>NC_000007.14:7740242-10240242 GCF_000001405.40 Homo sapiens
TCAGTATTTGGGTCCAAACCTATAAAATGTTTACAAGCACCTCCAAGGATGTATTGTGAGCAATCACGTCTATCCTTTGCGATAACCTTAAAAAAAGTTATCTGTTTTCTCTCCCCACCCAAATGGAATTGCAAGATTACTTTGTCTATAAATCCTTAAAAAACAACTAAATCCTTCTTCAAACTGTTATAATTTTAGCTTTATGCTACTTTTTATGGTAAGATTGACAAGTTTTCTATCAACTCTTAAAACATTCTTTTATTTGCCCTAAATTATTTCAAGTATAAGTTGGTATTGCTTTTCTTCTAGAATTTTGAAATTTAGTGAACAAATTCAAGTAGGACACACCCTTCATACTGTTCGTAACACTATATACTCTTTTAATCTGCCTTTTGCATTGCCCTTTCCCTACTGAGAAGTCATAACCCTCGGTTGTAATTTACCTCATACAGCAATCAATGATTTTGTGATCACTTTAGTTTCTTTGGACCTTATCCAGCATCTGTTTATGTCTTGACATGTAGATACCAGAATTGAAGACAATTTGAAAACTGGCTTTTCTTTGTTTCTTCCTTTCTCCTTTTCTCTTTTAACCCAAATCTGTTTTATCAATTGCAAATTTTAATGAGTAAAGAATTCCAGTATTTGGGTCCAAACCTATATAATGTTTGCAGTCACCTCCAAGGATGTATTGTGAGAATTCATGTCTGCCCTTTGTGGGAATAAGTTTAAAGTTTTCTTCTGTTAATGTTGAAATTAGGAATTCATTTTTTCTTTAAATTCTTGCAAAGCCTGACTTTTAGACTTTTTTTAAAATTTTACATTCCATTTATTTGACAAAACCATTAACGTAGCTAATAGCATGGCAGTGAGCAGTTGTGCAGTTACATAAACTTCTTCAGGTTATAAAGCTTCTATTTTGTATGATGTGGCAGTAATTCAGGGAGTAAGTCTTTATAAAGTTTCTCTAGGTGCTCAACTTACTAGGAGAACTTTGGATTCCTTTAAAGAGCAAGGAAAAAATAGTCTCAAAAAAAAAAAGACTGTGGCCTGGCGCGGTGGCTCACGCCTGTAATCCCAGCACTTTGGGAGGCTGAGGCGGGAGGATCACGAGGTCAGGAGATCCAGACCATCCTGGCTAACACAGTGAAACCCCATCTCTACTGAAAATACAAAAAATTAGCTGGGCGTGGTGGCGTGCGCCTGTAGTCGTAGTCCCAGCCACCCGGGAGGCTGAGGCAGGAGAATGGCGTGAACCCAGGAGGCGGAGTTTGCAGTGAGCCGAGATCACATCACTGCACTCCAGCCTGGGCTACAGAGCGAGACAACGTCTCAAAATAATAATAATAATAATAATAATAATAATAATAATAAAAATAATAAAAAAACACTGTAATGTAATTAGTTGAAACATGATTAGAATGACAGTTGAGGTCCTCCCTGCTTATTGAACCAACAATAACTTAAACAAACTTAAACCACTGATTTGCTAAAAACAACTGTAGACTTTTCAGTTAACTACAATTAGTATGATAAGAGCAGAGAAAAACCTGCATTTCTTCATCCTTGTAAAACTTAAGTAAAAGGCTTTAAGTCAACTTATTAAAAATAGAACACCTTTGTAAAATGAAAAAATAAAGTCATTTTTTACTACTAAACAAAAAATATTTTTATTTTTAGCGTAATAAAATCAATCGTTTTATAGTTATAGTGTTGAAAAAATATTTCTTACCAACTGCCTCTGAAAAATTTTCATAAATACTATTTTTAAATGAATACTGATGTGAGACAGTTCCATTGTACAGCACAGGGCTTGGTACATCATAGATGTTTAGTAAACGCTTGTTGATATGATGAAAGTTTGGCAACATCCAAAGCATCGTAATCAGGAGGCAGTTGAATATATGCCTTCTCTCCATCAGGCCGAATCAGGTGTTGACCTTGGCCACATCGATGTCACAGAGCTTCTTCACAGCCTGTTTGATCTGGTGCTTGTTGGCTTTAACATCCACAGTGAACACAAGCGTGCTGTTGTCTTCTGTCTTCTTCATGGCCGACTCAGTGGTCAGCGGAAATTTGATAGTGTAGTGGTTAAGCTTGTTTCTCCTGGGGGCGCTCTTCCGAGGATATCTGGGCTGCCTCCGGAGTCGCAGTGTCTTGGGCTGCTGGAAGGTGGGTGACGGGCAGATCTTTCTTTTTTTCTTTTTCTTTTTTTGTGGTTGTGGACACCTTTCAACACTGCCTTCTTGGCCTTCGAAGCCTTCACTTTGGCTTCAGCTGTAGGAGGGGCAGGAGCTTCCTTCTTCGCTTTCGGCGCCATCTTGTGAAAAGGGTCAGGACAATTTCTAGAAGGATTAAAGGATGAATGCTGTTTAGTAATAAGCCGAAAAGAACCATAATTTTCAAGTGATTCTTCATGATTGCCAACTAAGAATAAAATAAATATGAATAATCAAACATTTGAAATTCTGTATTTATTTCTCTAAAATCAGCTTGATTGATGAGAAAGTTACTATTGCTTGACATTTTAATTTTTCCAGTTTCTGATATTGATGCTTTATTTTGTATAAAATGGCACTGTGATAGAATATTTACTATTCTTTCTGTCATAATAGACTTGCTTTAAACTAACCCCATCAAAGTGCTGTATGTTCAAAATATCATCATGTTAAGGTAATAATTTTCAGTGTATTAGAAAAGATTTGTATAGAAATATTTATTGTAAAGCACGTGCGTTTTACACTCCATGCACTAGGTTGTTTTTGTTTGGTCTCTGTGTATATATGTGTTTACATTCCTGTTGAAATCTGAAGAAGGTGGTGTGTATTTAAATGTTACTTTTAGTTTATTCACATGAATGTGAATTTCTGTGTAAGTATGTATCTAAAATTGGTTTAGAAACAACACAATCAGTTTTGGTCTGGTGGTGCAGGATGAAATTTATATACATTTACATACTTACAAGTAAGTTGCTTTAAAATTAAAGTAGGGGATAAAATGTAGTGTGAATTGTTATGCAAAATCTAAGCACAGCATAATTAGCAAGGGATAGTAGAAATGCAATTTGTTAAAACCTGAATTGTAACAGTCAATTAATTTCCTCACAACGTGAAATAGCAAAACAATTAACAAACATCATTTGTCAAAAACAGTATTAAGGCAGGTTAAAGAACTACAGATACAAAATTTATAAATTATAACATTGAAAACAGAATGTTCAGTAGTGTTTAAAGATGTTTTGATATCTTTTACAGATTTTTTTAACTGATTGATTTATTTCAATAAATTTTCCAAAATCATGTTAATACTTTCCCCTTATGTATGTTTGGACTTATAACACGTTTTAGATGTGAGATTTTCCTACTCTGGACAAAGTGAGTCTATTGGAGAAAGAATCTATTCATTATTAAAGCAGGGGAAAGTAAGCTAATATACATATATGTGTATATGTATATGTATAATATATATTATACATATACATATATATTTTCCATTCTGCACTTTTAAAAAAATATTGTTTTAAAATATATATAACAAAATTTTCCATTGTAACCATTTACAAGTGTACAATTTAGTAGCGTTAATTATATTTATGATGTTGTGAAACCATCACCACTGTCTATTTCTAAAGCTTTTCCATCACCCCAGAGAAACTATTTTTAAAATAAAATCTTTATTGAGATATAATTAATATACCATAACATTAACGTAAAGTGTACGATTCAATGGCTTTTAACATATCCACACAATTGTATAACCATTACCATAGTTAATTTTAGAACATTTTCATCACCCCAAAAGAAACCTCTGTATCCATTAGCAGTTACTCACTATTTCCCCCAAATCCTCTTTCCCCTAACCCTAGTCACTCAGGAATCTACTTTCTATCTCTATAGATTTGCCTGTTCTGGGTGTTTCATATAAATGAAATTTTAAAATAGGTAGGTTTTTGTGACTGGCTTCTTTTTTGTTTTCAAGACCTCTCTATGTTGGAGCAGATATCATTACTTCATTCATTTTTATTGTTGAATAATATCCCATTGTACGGCTATCCCACATTTTATTTATCTATTCACTGATTGATGGACATTTATGTTGTTTTTGCTTTTTGGATATAATGAATAATGCTGCTGTGAACATTTGTGTACAGGCTTTTGTGTAGACATGTATTTTCATTTCATTGAGTGTATACCTAGGAGTAGAATTGCTAGGTTATATGGCAGTCCTATGTTTAACCATTCGAGGAATTGCCAGACAATTTTTCAAAGGGATTTGCTCCATTTCATAGTCCCAACCAGCTGTGTACAAGGGTTCTCATTTCTCCACGTCCTGGTAACACTAATTGTTACTGTTTTTTTTTTTTTTTTATTATAGTCATCCTAGTGAGTGTGATATAGTAGTTCATTGTGGTTTTGATTTACATTGACCTGATGGCTAATGATGTTTTCGTGTGCTTATTGGCCATTTATATCTTCACTGGATAAATGTCTATTCAGATATTTTGTTTATTTTTAAGTCATATTATTTGTCTTTTTATTATTGAATTCTAAGAGTTCTTTATATAGTCTAGATACAAGCCTATTACCAGATATATATGATTTGCAAATATTTTTTCCCATTCTGTAGGTTGTCTTTTCATAATACAGTTGACCCTTACAACATGGGAGTTAGGGGCACTGACCCCTGTGCACAGTCGGAAATCTGTGTATAAGTTTTGACTCCCCCAAAGCTTAAACTACTAATAGCCTACTGTTGACTGGAAGTCTTACTGATAACGTAAACAGTCTATTAGCACATACTTTATATATGTTTTATATACTATATTCTTACCATAAAGCAAGCTAGAGAAAAAAAGATGTTATTAAGAAAAACATAGAGAAGAGGAACTATTCTTACTATTCATTAAGTGGAAGTGGATCATCATAAAGGTCTTCATTCTTGTTGTCTTCGCTGTGAGTAGGGTGAAGAGGAGGAGGAAGAGGGGAGGTTGGCCTTGCTGTCTCAGGAGTGGCAGAGGGGGAAGAAAATACACGTATAGTGTACACCTGCAGTTCAAACCTGTGTTGTTCAAGGGTCAGCTGTACTTTCTTTTTGAGATTCTACTGTTGCTTCTCTCTGATTTCTAATTATATCACGACTTTATTTTGGGAAACTCTGAACTCCTTACGGGGTGTGCCTATCATTGATAAGCTGAGAAAGGCCTCTGTGCTGGCCAAATCCATTTCTTACCCCTTGGCTCTGTGCTGTAGAATTCAGGAAGCATTTATTTTGGTATCTGCTAATGTACTAGACACTGTGACCAACTTTTGGGAATAAATATAAGATGGAAGCCATTCTCAGTAAGCTTATAGTCTAGCGAACAGGTCAGGGAAAGCTGAGTTGTCAGGAAAATCACTGTCTTTATAAACCAAGGAGAGTTTATTTTATTAGATTTATGATATTAACTTGCAGATCATAGAAGGAGACTTGAATATCACTGAGTATATTTTACTTCGTGGTCTGTAAAAAGTAGTCTAGTACGATGACAAATGGCCTGTTTCCCCACATTTTCTTTCCATTCCCCCTCATTGGAGCTCTTTGCTCAGTCTCTCTGGGCCCTGAAAGTTTACATTGATTCCTTATTCTTGTCTTTTCCTGGGCTGTTTCTTTTCTCTTTCCTTATCCAAGTCTGTCTGGGACCGAGACTTACCTTCTCATGGCTCACTGCACCCTCAAACTTCTGGGCTCAAGAGATCCTCCCACCTCAGCCCCCTGAGTAGCTAGGACTACAGGCATGTGGCACCACACTCAGCCAATTGGTGCCTTTCTGAAGGTCTTCTTTTCCTCTCCCATTAGCATAGTACTGTTAAACCTTGCGTCTTGATTAATATTCTCGTGTTTGAATGCTTAGTTGCTCTCGTGGTTTGCATGCACCGTAGAGTTTGTACTGTTTCCTTCTTTGGTGCACTGTGTGTGGAGCTGAGTAGAAGAAACATGGTAAAAGCACAGTGTACTGTTCTCACTTTGCAACATCAGTTGGGAAAATGATAGAGGGAAGCACTTGGGGCAAATGGGCAAAATAGAGCAATGGGTTAGCAAATGCAGAAAATGATATAGTTAATTAAACAACCTGATATGTTGAGTTGAAGGCAAAGAAAATATACAATTTTATAATTGCATTTTAGACTATTTAAAAATGCTCCTTTCTCTTATCCCCAGCCTTTTCATTAGATAAGCAGTTTTCGTGTGCTAACTTGGAACTCACATACGTTTAAAGTCTTTCATTTCACACACGTTGCTTAAATATGTGCATGTAGTTTTTGCCTTAGCTACTGGCCTAATAAAAGCCTCTTGTGAATGCTTATCACCTTGTAAAGTAGTTACCAGAGCTACAGTAAAATTGGCCTGCAAGTGAAAAGGCTTTGACTTCCCTAGAGGAAGAATAAAAAACATATGAGACAAATAGCAGCAACTGAAATTATCTGGTGCAGAATGTGGCAGAATGCCAGCCAAATGCCCTGTCCCTCAGATGTTTCACACCTTTATCTTAATTCGCTAAAAAGGCCACCTTATTTAAAGAATTTCAAACACAACTTGAGAATGCCTTATTATTGGCTTTGACACAGTTTACACATACAATCCTGTTTCTTATTGCTATCTTCTGGTATTAAGGCCCTATAGATTTAAGAGATTTTAAAAAAATGTTTATATTTCTTTTAAGTGGAGTGCATGTTTGTGTGTGTGTGTGTGTGTGTGTGTGTGTGTGTCTGTGTGTATGTGTGTGAACTGTTATTGGAAGTTATTGCCATGTTTATTTTAGGCACTTCATATATCTAATTAGAAATGATGTTTATTGTTAAGTAGGCAAAGTTGCCTTCGAGTGCATGGTGAGAAATAGTAATGAGATACTTTAGCCATTAGGCCATGAAGACTTTTACCTAAATAATAGGGAAGGAATAAATCCTAGTATTGTTTTGGAGTTGCTACAGGAGAACAGAAATTGTTTAAACGAGAGAGTTTCAAAAGGCCCCACTACAGTTAAGTATATTTAATTTAATTAGGTAATCAGTATTATTCTTGCAACTATTAATGGCACCTCATTTGTTTAACACTTGCTATATCATAGAGCATTTCATACGTGCTACTTTATTTGGTCCTTTCAGAAATCCCTAGAACAAGGCAGGGCAAATGTTTCCATCTTGGTTCATGGATGAGGAAAACCAAGACTCAAAGATATGCAGTGACTTGGTCAAGGTCACAGAGTAGTAGAGGATGGCTCTCTTTCCATTACAGTGACAGTCAGAAAGCGTCAAATCTTAGGTTATCATGACACTTAGTAATTATGAAGTATATTTTTTCCAAGAAATAATAAGCCTTTTAGGCAATTGAAACTGCCGAGAAGGCTGCCAGAGGAGTAACTCAAAACAGAACAAACATGGAGGTTTTTGGTCCTTTCATCTCTAGCATTGAGTCCACTAGGTCAGGGTTTCAGGAAATGGGAAATCTTCATTGTTACCTGCTAGGTTGCCTTATTTCTCCATTTAATGGAAAACTTAGTCTTCATTATTTTCAGTTTAACAAATAATTTTCCTTAGAGGAAAAGAAAGTTTTGCCTGTATTTTGGGGAAAATGTATAGAAATTAAATCTAAATCATTGAATTATTAGATGATGTGCCATTTCTGAGCCAAAAAAGTAGGAAAACAATGCATAATCATCTAATAAAGTATATGTTTTATGATTATATATGTTTCTTGTTTTGTTTTGTTTACAGTGGCGTGATCTCGGCTCACTGCAACCTCCGCCTCCTGGGTTCAAACGATTCTCCTGCCTCAGCCTCCTGAGTAGCTGGGACTACAGGGGCCTGCCACCACGCCCAGCTAATTTTTTTTTTTTTTGTATTTTCAGTAGAGACGGGGTTTCACCATGTTGGCCAGGATGGTCTTGATCTCTTGACATCATGATCCGCCCGCCTCGGCCTCCCAAAGTCCTGGGATTACAGGCGTGAGCCACCGTGCCCGGCCTATATGTTTTATTTTATAAAGTTATATGTTTTATTATTTACTTTTTGTTATGTAATTGTTTATGTCATAAAATTATAATATAATAATTCCTTAAACCAAATTATATTCCATAAATTATAACATATGAATTCAATATGCATTTATAAAATAAAGATTTCTAGACATATGGTAGACTAACAGTGATATTTTGAAATCTACTTCTGCCACAGAACTAGATAACCATTTCCAGATTGGAATATAAATTAATCAATGTCTCATTGTTAGAGCTGCTGTAATTTTTTGAGGGGATCAAGTGAGGAAGGACTTATTTTTGGCTTAGATTTACATTTACAGCAAGGTTATCAACATTTTCCTGTGGTGGCACATTAATATTAATAATATAATCATAATGCCGATTTACACATTTACCAAATTCCCATCTATTACCTTCATTCCTGTTAAAATACAACCTATCATGTTGTTCTTTGGGGATGAGTAGTACATTTATAGACATATAAGTATATGTGTATATTTATATATTTGTATATATAAAAATTTAAAAAATTCTTTTATTTTTAGGAGCAAAAATTTGGGGAAAATAATGTAATATTTATCAGAAGGATACTTTAGGATTTAGCTCTATCAGCCAGGCAGGGTCATCAGTAAATCTAAGAACTGCCAAACTTCTCACACTCCTAATTCCCTCTTTTATCCCTCCTTTTCTGGCTGTGCTAGAGATATCCTATTACACATGATTTTCTTTTACTCTGGGCTCTTCTTCGCCCAGATCAGTGTGATTGCTTTGCATTGATTTCTGTATTTGCTTAAAAAAAATTTCCCTTGATAATGTTTTTAAACTTTCTAGCATGAGCCTTTCCATACTTGGTATTGGTGTTTTATAATAGATTTGAGGACAGGTTTGTGGGGGATTCCATAACAAATTCAATTTATCAGTTACTTCTTTTTAATGTTAAAATAACTGCAACAATTCCACAATAAATAGAGTGAAATTTGATGTGCTAAATTAATTTAAATGGTTTTGACACATTTTCCTTGAAGGACTCTTTTCTAGGTTTTTATAATCTCACCTCAGTGAGAGTACAGTATGGTTTAATTACTTTCCAGCAGTGCACACTTTAATAGCCCGTATTCCACGTGAAAGCTATGTGTCTTCTGTGGGTTTGAACTGTTTCTGCCTAATCCAAGGAAAAATATTTGAGGAACATTAGTTAATGCCTTTTCCAGGAATGGGAGTGGGTAAGCGTTTTTTTCATGGCTTATAGAATATTTAGCAATTTTAGCTTCCAGTACTTAATTTTATAGTGTTCTCAGTACTGGTGGCAAAGGCTTCCTTCAGAAAAGTGAGAAATTATGTGAATTCCCCTCTTGGCATGCTTAGGAGGGCAAGTCATGAATCTTTACTCTCATATTTTTCTAAAATAAAACTGGGCGTTGATATTTGCTGTGATCTAATATGTAGATATGATGAAAAGATTTATAAAATAGCATATATTGAGATTTTTGTATGTTCTCATAAAAGGTGCTATAAATTGAAACATTTATTACACAGAAAACGTCTAAGATAAGAGTATTATTTTCCAGGATAGTTTATCTAAGTTCTGTAAAACTTTTAATAATGTAAGTAACTACTAATGAAAGGACGTTATGTGTCACATTTGCATTCATAAATATCCATGAAGGATCTCTTTCACCAATGTTATTCAGTCTCAGTCCAAGACAAGGTCAGACATTGATTATGTTTGACATCTTAACAAAAGTGAATAGGGAAGATAAATATTCTTAATTATACTGCTAGAATGGTGAGAAGCAGTGGTCTATAATGTAAGGAGGAATATTAGCAAAATAGAATTATGGTCAATTGCAATTATAATAACTTCTATGCATTAAGTATCTTCTACTACATATTAGCTCTTTATATATGTCTTATATAATGTAATTTTAACTAATATCTTAAGAAGTCTAGGTAGTATTTATACCCATTTGCCCAAATCTGGAAACGGAGTTTCCAAAAAATTAAATAAATTCCTTAAAACTGCCCAGCTAGAGTCCATTTCACATCTGTCAGGCTCTACTAAGCTGCTTGTCAGTCTTTGACTTCCTCATTATCAGAGATAGATATGGTATTGATAATGTACAAATTGTTTATTTGGCCCAGAAATGTGTTTGTGCTTTTAAATTTGAACTAATTGTCTTTGGCAGTTTGAAATGTACAATACTTGATGGAAAATAATAAAACTCCACTCCAATTAGAATAACTACCTGATTTCTTGATTATAGCTTCTTTAATGACGGCCCATTTTATATTATACACGGTTTCATATTTTTCTTATATTTAACAAACACATATACAACACTACTGTGTGTAAGGCACTGTTCTAAGTAGTTACAAACATGAATTCATGTAATCCTCACCAGTATACTTATGAGGTAGGCATTATTTTATCCCCATTTTACAAATAAGATAAATGAGGCACAGAGAGGTTAAGTAACTTGCTCAAAATCACACAGCTAGAACATGGCGGAGCTGAGATATAAACCCAGTCAGTTTGGCTGCAGAGTGCTCTTAACTGTATGTATTTTTCAGATGTTTCAGAATTTGGTGAAAGCAATAATTGTTCTAATCCTATTGCTGGATTTAAAAGTAGGAAAGGGTAAATAGAGATAGCAAACAGTGTCAATAAAGTATTTAATAAGAAGTAATGACCCCCATAATACTTTGAAATTCCCTATATTAAAAATACAAGATGAATTGTAAAGAGAAACTGAAAACCAGCTTTAACTGTGTTAAAAGCCAGTTGAGACTTCTACTTTATTTATCCATTTGATATTATGCAGGCTTCTCTTTGTGTATATAGCTGAGCAATGTGAATATAATGCTGTCATTATTGTTTTCTGTGTTATACCACTAGTTACATTACTTCAGATTATGAAGTACAGTATTGAGCTCTGTCGTTGACTATATCTCTCCCCAATTATATGTATCATGATTTTAGCCCATATTTTATAAATGAGAGATAATTTTAATGAATGTGTGGGGCAAATAAAACTTTTAGAGTTGGTATGTTAAAATAGGGCTAAAGTTAAAGTTTCAAGAATTGTAGAGAGAGAGAGACTAGATGTGCCAATGCAAACAATGGATTGGTGAAACTGAAACTGAAGAAATTTCTGATAAGTTAGAGATTTTTGGTTAACTAAGATTTCAACCTGTGTGAATCTCAATTTTGGCAGAAATGAGGAATGTAAGCAATTCTAGCTTTGCAATGTGGAAAAGTCAGGGAAACTAAATTAGACTTTGCACTAACACTTCCTATAAGCATATGTCACCCTGATATTGAATGTTGTATATGAGGGTGGAGGGACAGGTGGGGACAAACACCCAGCTCCTCCTGGGCTTGAGCCAAGGACCTTTGGCTTCAGTTGGATCTTGTAACTGCCCTGTTTACCTGTAATCAGAGGCAAATTTACCAGGAGTAAATTTACTGGGATTTAGGTTTCAGGACCTCTGACTTGCACAGACCTCCTCCAAGGCTCTGCGAGGACCTCTAGCAATGTGTTCACGTGATCATATGGTTTTGCAAAATTTGAGGAATTTAAAGGTATTTAAGCATAATTAGTTAAGACTGCTATCTCTTTTCTACTCTGACGGTCCTTCTATCACATTTCCTCACACAGGATTGCTTTGGAATGATCACAGGCATTTATCAGATCTGGCTAAAGGGAAATTGAGTTGAGAATATACAACTTTAAACTATAGTTTGAAAGATATTTTGAAACATTTCAATAAGACAAGGGAGAAATTATAGACTCCTAATTTAGGTACATAGGGTTCATTATTTTCTCATTTTTGCACTTATTTTTTAAAGAACTGAGATAATTTAGATAATGGAACATAAAACTAAAGCAACAAAGATGAATGATGAAATAAGTAGAAATTATTTGATATCAAAAAGCATGTTGTAAAAAAATAGATTATAACAAAAGCAGTAATGCATTGAAAAGAAAAGTTTCTAATAGAGATAATAAATAGGCTTGATAGACTACTTGAAAACTTAGTTAATAAAAAAGAGTGAATCATATGAATACACTGGGGAAACACTTAAGTTTCTCTTGATTTAACCACAAAATACGTATCGAGAAAGACAACATAAAATGTCATAATATGTAACTATAATGAGCTTTATAATTAATGAGTATCTTCAGGTCAAAGAGTATATATATTAGTTGCCACATATGAAACTTTGAAATACCCTGAAATTTTGCAACTCATAAAAGAAAAAAATTTTATGAAAGTTTTCCCAAATTTTACAGTGATCCTAAAAACCCGACATGAGTTGTGAACTGAAAAGAATCTTTCCTTAACACATATTTCTAAAAATTCTTTTTATAGCATAATTAGAAGAGATGCCAAATTATTTTTTAATTTCGTATGTGGAAAATTGTGTTATAAAATTGTCATTTGTCAAAATATGTATAATCAAAAATTTTAGAAAAAAGCATTATAGAGGTTTGTTGGATAAATAAAAATAAGATGGTATTTTTCTGAATTTCATGATGTTTATTTTCAGCTATTTAAAATTTGTAATTTTTCTGTTCTAAATATACTTCCACTTTCTCTTCTAATTTTGTATTCATAATTTTGTATTCTTTTTCTTTAAAAGGTCTAGAAAAGTTGCATAAGATTCAGTTACCCTACAACCTGGATCCACCCTGGTCTGTAGTTAATGGTTTTAAACATGAAAAAATATATTTATTATGTAGCATACATATTCCAGAAGGCATAAAGTGAGAAGTAAAAGACCCCTCCTCCACTCTCATTTGTAAGCCCAAAAAGAAAATACTTGACCTTCTTTATGTATTTTTTAAAATTGTTGTCACATCATCTTTTTATTTATTTTAATTTTTGTGGTTACATAGTAGGTGTATATATTTATGGAGTACATGAGATGTTTTGATACAGGCATACATTGTGTAATAATCACATCACAGAAAATGAGGTATCCATCCTCTCAAGCATTTATCCTTTGTGTTACGAACAATTCAATAACTCTTTAGTTATTTTAAAATTTACAATTAAATTATTGTTCACTATAGTCACTCTTGTGTTGTCAAATATTTGGTCATATTGATTCTATTATTTTTGGCACCCATTAACCATCCCCATCAATCCCCCCAACTCCCCACTACTCTTCCTTGCCTCTGGTAACCATTCTTCTACTCTCTATTTCCATAAGTTCAATTGTTTTGATTTTGAGATCCCACGAATAAGTGAGAGCATGTGATGTTTGTCTTTCTATGCCTGGCTTATTTCACTTAACATAATGACTTCCAGTTCTATCCATGTAGTCACAAATAACTGGGTGTCATTCTTTCTTGTGGCTGAATCATACTCCATTGTGTATAAATACCACGTTTTCTCTATCCGTTCATCTGTTGTTGGGGTGCTTAGGTTGCTTCCACATCTTGGCTCTTGTGAACAGCGCTGTAACAAACATGGGAGTGCAGATATCTCTTCAATATACTGATTTTCTTTCCTTTGGGTATATACCCAGCGGTCAGATTGCTGGATCATATGGTAGCTCTATTTTTAGTTTTTTGAGGTACCTCCAAACGGTTCTCCATAGTGGTTGTACTAATTCACATTCCCACCAACAGTGTACGGGCCCGGTGTGGTGGCTCATTCCTGTAATCCCAGCATTTTGGGAGGCCGAGACGGGTGGATCACCTGAGGTCGGGAGTTCGAGACCAGCCTGACCAACATGGTGAAACCCTGTCTCTACTAAAAATACAAAAAATTAGCTGAGCGTGGTGGCGGGCGCCTGTAATCACAGCTACTCAGGAGGCTGGGGCAGGAGAATCGCTTGAACCTGGGAGGCGGAGGTTGCAGTGAGCCAAGATTGCGCCATTGCACTCCAGCCTGGGTGACAAGAGCAAGACTCCGTCTCAAAAAAGAAAGAAAAAAAACAAAGCAAAACAAAAAAAACAGTGTACAGGGGTTCCCTTTTCTCCACATCCTCTCTAGCATTTGTAATTGCCTGTCTTGTGAATATAAGCCATTTTAACTCAGGTGACATGATATCTTATTGTAATTTTTGTTGCATTTCTCTGGTGATCAGTGATGTTGAGTACCTTTTTATGTGCCTGCTTGCCATTTGCATGTCTTCTTTTGAGAAATGTCTAATCAAATTGTTTGCCCATTTTTTAATCGGATTATTAGTTTTATTTCCTACAGAGTTGTTTGAACTCCTTATATATACTGGTTATTAATCCCGCATCAAATGGGTAGCTTTCCTTATGTATGTTTTACAGTTGTTCAGATCTGCTTTGTTCAGTAGGGTGGTGTGCACTAACCAGCCACATGTAGCTATGGAGAACTTGAAGTGTAACAAATATACTGATTTTTAAATTTTCATTTCACCAAGGTTTAATTTTAATTCAGTTTACATTTTAAATGAATAATTTCATTATTGGAAAACTTCTAAGTATATTTAAAACAACTTGGGTTTGTGGATTTATTTTTTTCAGCTGTAAATTTTCTAAAATCCAAAGGACATCACTGCAGTATGTGTACATGTGGTGTGTCTGTGTATATACATATTTTTTTCCACAAACGAGATCATACTCTGCATCTTAGCTTTTCAACTTAACCGTATGATTGCACATCTTTTCGCAGCAACTTACAGATTTATTTCATTTAGTTATTAGCAGTATAATATTCTCTTCTGTTTTTATAGTCTTTTTTCATACAGCTGCTGGGGTGATTCTTTTTAATTTAAGTGTAAGTGAGATCATGTCACTCCTTTGTTCACAACCCTTCGGTGGCTTCAAATCTATCTCAAAACCAAATTCCAAGTCTTCACTCCACATCGAATGCCTGCCTTGATCTGTTTTCTCACTGCTATTTTAATATGGGGATTAGACACAAATATTTTATTCTTTAAAAAATCCATCAGAAATGTTATTTAGTAAAGCAGAGACTTTCCACGTACAAAATTTAAGGTCTTGTTTAGTGTCTCATTTATTTTACCACCACCAGTTCCTTTTAAAGACACCCCATTTTTCCTTCCCAATAGCACTCACTGAAGTAATATAAACCTTGTTAACTGTAGTAAAAAATGATGCAGACTTTCTCTAATCAAGAGCTCATTTACAAGAGGAAATGGTGTTATGGCAGATAGCTGAAGTATACTGTGTCTTAAGAATTTGTTGCCTCTTTCTTGCTAGATTGAATTTCAGAATTCAGAGTCTAAATTTTCTCTTTCACATCTGGTGGCACTTTTTAAAAAATCAGTGTGCAAAAAGGAGAAAAATCTCTCTGCTTCCTCTTTATGCCACTCACTACAGTCCAGCCTATGCCAGGCTTAAAGAAAAGGCTTTTGTATTGGCAAAGACACTCCAAAATGGTTTCCAAGTGCATTAAAAGTCAAGGAGAGTTTTGCAGAAAAATTTAAGATTAAAAAAAATCCGAGTGGTTACAAGTTAAGAAACCATTTTTAAAATTAAGCAATGACTACCAAAAACATGCTGGCTAAGTACGTATGTAATGTTAGCATCCCAGTGCCACTAGTGCAAGGCAGACTCCCATGAGCCATTTAAACATAAAAGTTAAGAAGGTAGAATTTTAGAAGTTTTAATGATTATTTGAAATCTCAAGGGATTCTTATACAAGATATGGTGATGGTTATAAATATATGGACTGACACACACTTATCACTAAATAAATGTTTTACATGAACAAATGAGTAAACAAGTAAACCACATTGCTTGGAATAAGTAGTGTTTGTTAGAGCTTTGAGCCCTGGGAGCGGGGGACTCAAGAAATAGGGAGACTTAATCAGAAAGAAAGGACTATGAAGTGATATCAGAGTAAATGCTAAAACTAGGCATAGTGTGAAGTTGGACCCCAAAGGGTAAAGACGGTTGTTGGAAAATGAAGATAGCCTTTTCTGTGGAAGATCAGGCAAGTAACCACCCCAGTTTGGAGTTATCATGAAATCAGACTTGAGGACATGTGGATTTACACCTGGTGAATTGACCAAAAAAGAGCTTGTTAATGTGCTCAGAGAGTTGAGAATTAAAGTGTGAGTGGTTCTGAACTGAGTATTGTTTGCAATTATTTATGAAGAAAGTGACAGAAAATCTAGCTTATCCTGGCTTAAATGAAAAAGGGCATCTGTTGACACATATAACCAAACAGTCCATGGGTTGGACTCACTTTGGGCATATCTTGATTTAAGGTTCCAAAGATGGCCCAGGATCTTATTCTTTGTGTGAAAGCCTCATCTTAGACCAGCCGCCCCTTTCTGGTGGCAAGATGGCTACAGCAGCTCCAAGCCCCTTACTCTGTTCTTTCATGAATGTGCTGGTCACTATTGTCTCCCACATCATGGGTTGCTTTTTACTAGATGTCTCTTGTTAAAAAGTTTTTAATTTTAGCGTTAAGTTTCTCAATCTGTTTCCCGTTTGGTTAGCACTTTCTGCTGTGCAAGTAATCTTTGCCTCCCCCATGATCAAGAAAATATTCCCTTACGTAATCTGCTAGACACTTATACTGTTTTACCAATCATATGTAGAGTTACAGTCTGCTCAGAATTCCTTAAAGTCTGGGTGATTCTACTGGGCAGCCAGGGTTGAAGACCTCAGGCTTTGATGTTGCTGAGTTTTCCTGGGAGTCTTTGGCACTGCTACAGTGTGTGGTACCTGCTTGCCTGAGAGGGAAGTACCAGTTTGACAGAATAGCTACACATTGATCTGTTTTGTGGTAAACTAATATGCTCCTTCTTTGTTTTAAATGAATGGGATTTTGCCTTTCTTTGAGACATGAGTTACTACTTTTATTAACAGATGAATGATGTAAATGTGTTAGTTGTTAGTAAAAGGAGAAAAATCCAGAGAGAGTATCCATTCATAAGCAACTATCAATTATATTATGTATTCAAGGTGTCATCTTGGATTCTGAGATGTTGAGACTCTTCAACTTCAAGACTCCCTGATCCTTTATTTTCACATTTTTTCACACTATGAGGTATCCAAGATGTGAGAAAATAAAATTATTCCAGATGGCTTTCCTTTTCTCATTTTTTAGAATGTTTCCGTCTAATCCTCTCTCTCAAAAGAAACATTCCCCTTGGAATTGCTTCTGTTATTATTTGTATTCATTTTTAAACCTTGACAACCATGTGAACGTAGTACAGGTGTTTTTTTTAAGAGAGTGATCTATAAAGTAAAGTTCTTTGTGCTGTGTTGCAGAAGGAGAAATACTTAAGCTACCAAAGTAAAGCTACTTTAATCTAATTAAACATGCTTTGGAGCCAGATGTAAATGAGGTAACTTTTTTGAAGAGTTAGTTTACAGATATTTGGTCATTCTCATTTTAGATAAACAGAAAGCCATGTTGATTATTATCTGGATCTGGCTAGACTCCTGTTCAACCACTTGCTAGCTGTGGGGACTTGACAATTTCTTTAGCTTCTCTGAAATGAACATGGTAGCAATTCCCACGTTTAGGGATGTTGTGTGGATTAAGTAGAGAATGCAGAGAATGCAGAAAAAGCTCAAAGCTTTCAATGCCTGGTACGTAATATATGCCCACTAAGTCTTAGTTATGCTGTTGGTTCCACTCCCGCCACCATTCCAGAGGCCGCAGCAGGGTTCTGTGTTGTGTTGTGTTTGATCCTATCTTCTTATGGTTTGTCTAGAGTGGAAGTTTTGGGGTAGGGGTCACTCATAAAACAGAAATGCAAAAGTAGAGGGAGGAATCTGGGATGTGGTTTATTTAAGATTTTTAAAATGTGCTTGCTTGTTTGGGTTTTTTTAAAATTATTTTTACATTATTATTATTATTTTTAATTAGAGACAGGGTTCTCCCTATGTTGACCAGGCTGGTCTTGAACTCCTGGGCTCAAGCAGTCGTTCTGCCAAGCCTCCCAGTGTGCTATGGTTACGGGCATGAGCCACCGCGTTTGGCCTTGGCTGGATTTTTGGTTTGTTTTTCTTACCTTATTTTGAGAACTAGAGTCGTCTTTGCTTTCCCTTTTTCTCACGTAGCCTATCCCAGTGGTCTTGAATCATTCCCTATGTAGACTGCCTAATCTTTATTTCCCTCTGTTTATGCTGAATTTTTATAGCGAAGATCTTAAGAAAGTGTAAAAGCTGTTTTTACCCATCTTTTTATCTTTAAATTTTTTTATATAATAATTAAGCTTTATAAAAGTTATAAAGTATAATACAACCAACATCCACATACCTACCATCCAGCTTTAGAAAGAAAACATAGTGGGTGGATACTGTGGAAGCTGCCTCTGCACCTTCAGCCTCCATTGAAGAAGCCATTCATTCCCATGCCATTTTCTTATACTTTTACCATATATGGTGTGTAGTTCCAACCTATTTAAAGTACCGTTTTACTTATTTAAACATTTTATATAAGTCTTGTCATTTTCTTTGTATTCTGCAATTTACCTTCTTATTCAATGTTGCATTTTTCAGATTTATACATGTTGATGTTTGTAGCTCTAGTTCATTAATTTTGACTCCTGCGTAATGTTTCTTTGTATGAAGGTACCACAGTTTATCCTTTCTCCGAGTGGTGGGCATTTGTGGACACTCTCTCTCTCCCCACCCTGTTAGAGACAATACTGCCACACAAGTTTTTGTACATATCTTGCTTCACGGATCTTTGTAGCTTTGGTTTTGTTGTGTTTGTTTTTATACAGAAAATGAGTTCTTTGGGGACTAGTCAAATTCTGTGGGCCTCAGATTTTTCATCATAAGATTGAACTAGATCTTTTCTAGCTCAAAATTGCACTTCTTACATGGTTATTTAAACTGGATAGCTTGAATTACTGGCTTTTGTTGTTTGTGTTACCTCACAGGCCCATTAGTATATCTCTTCAGTAGATTATGCCGGATATGGATTTTACTCTGACATGAGAAACTTCCATTTGCAACATTTTTGAGGACAAAAGTGTATGTAGTGTTAGAAACTATCATTAAGCAGGACACAGGACACTAAACCTTCCTTCTCCCCAAGTTTGTTTATCTTTCCTGGACTCTACAGGAATTACAACTGCTATTAATTTAGAATAAACATATAAATAATATATTTTAAAGTATGTTGTCTACATGTGCTGGGTCACCTTCATCCGGCATCAGCCTGGACAGAGGACTCAGGCCCTCTACTTGATTCCATAAGAGTCCGGTTACATCGAGCATTTTGCGCCCTCTTTAAACTTGACTGAGAATTTACAAGGCCACGGGGCTTACAGCATTCTATTTTTCTTTTTGCCTTTCTCTCTTTTTTGCTTCGTACATAAATGAAAATCTAATGTAAAATTGTAAATGGGAAAAGTACTATCATGAAGAAAAAAGTACCAGGGAACCTGAAACGAGATTAAAACTGACTGAAAGGATCTAGGAAGGAGTCTTGGAGGAAGGGAAATTTAAGCTGGTCCTTTAGGGATGAAGACCTTAAAGGTGTATGACAATTAGACATGCTTGTAGGGAAGAAGGAGGAATGGAGATGCTTTCCAGGCAGAGGAAAGATATACGAGGGGAAAAAGTATAAGACCATGACATATTCAGGGAACAGTAAGAGAAGTGGCTCAGACTTTCTGGGAGACAGTCTGCCATATTATCCCCCTTCTTCCCTAACTTAGGCAGTGTTAAAACATGGCTGCATATTCTTTGACACTCTCCCATTGAAAAGTTGTGTCGACGCCCCCTCCTCTTGAATCTAGACGAGCTGATGACTGCCTCAGTCAATAGAATATGGCCAAAGAGACCCTGGCTTACAAGGGTCAGTTGCAAAAGGCCATGTGACTTCTGCTTTGTTTTCTGGAACACTTGCTCTTGGAGCCCGGAGCCACCATTTAAGAAGTCCAACCAGCTTGAGGCCATCATGCTGTAGAGGCATGTGTATAGATGATCTGGTTGACGTTCCCAGCTGAACCCAACTTTCTAGCCATTCTACCAAATGTGAGTGAAGTTGTCCTTCAACTGTTTTCTGACTACCAGTACCCTAGAGCAACCTCTAACATCACTACACAGAACAGAAGAAATGCTCAAGCTCTGCCCGAATTTTTGACTCACAGAGCTGTGAGATATAATACAAATAACCATCCTGGCTAACACGGTGAAACCCTGTCTCTACTAAAAATACAAAAAAATACAAAATAATAATAATAATAATAATAATAATAATAATAATAATAATTGTCTTGAGTTATAAGTAGTTTATTATACACCAATAGATAACTGGAATACCAACCAAAGCCAAAGTGAGGGGATTTTTCTTTAGATGCTTGCTGAAGACAATATTAAGTCATCCAAAAACCTCTCCCCAGAATATACTACTGAATGTAATTTAGCACTTATGGCAGGAAGACTGAGTTTGGATAGCATTCAAGGCAGAGGAAATGACATGAACAAAGATAGCAAGGCAGGGAAGGACAGGACATATGTAAGGTAGAGAGTAATTAGGTTCAGCTAGGAGTAGGGCACCTCCTGGGCACAGTGAAAGAATAGACTAAAAGAGAAGGTTAAGGACATGCTATGAAGGGCCTTGAATGTGAGATTGAAGAAAATAACAGTACCACTGAAGATTTTTTGAAAAGTTTTACTAGCAAAACAGCACTTTTGGGAATTTTTTCAAATGCTTGTGGGATGGACTGAAGTATGGAGAAATTAGGGGATCATTTTGGAAGCTATTGCAAGATACTATGTGAATCAGATCTGTGGTAGCTGCAGCCAGAATGAAGGCTGGAAAATAGATAGGAAATACTGTGGGCAGGACCACCACTGACCTGCTTAGTGCATTTTGTGAATTATGAAAAGGTCACCCCAGCTGGGCACGGTGGCTGACGCCTGTAATCCTAGTACTTTGGGAGGCCAAGGTGGGCAGATTGCTTGAGCCCAGGAATTCAAGTTCAGCTCAGACAACACGGTAAAACCCTGTCTCTACAAAATATACAAAAAATTAGCCAATATGGTGGTATGTGCCTGTGGTCCCAGCTACTCGGGAGGCTGATTTAGGAGACTCACCAGAGTCCAGGAGGTCAAGGATACAGTGAGCTGTGATCGTGTCACTGTACTCCATCCTGGGTGATAAAAGTGAGACCTAACTAAAAAAAAAAAAGTACCACTTCTTTAAGACATTTTACTTCCATCTGTTAGAAAATTGTTGTAATATGTTTATTAGAATAAGACACTTGACTGCCATCTGCTGGAAAATTATTAAAGATATGTCTTTGGTTTCAATGCTCCTCTCCTTTTCACATCCTTGTGCAGTACACAAATTTTGTGGGTGCGAGTAATAGGACTTGGTAACGGATCACATTTCTTATTAAAAGGAAAAGGAAGAAATCTCAAGTTTGGATGGTAGGGAGGTTAGTAGTGACATTAATAGAACTAGAACTTATTATTGGGGAATAGATTTATAAGGCAGAATCATTCTTTACATGGAAAGACACTCATCTTATTATTTATTGATCCCAATTGTTTGCATTTACTTAGTAAGAATTTTGATACCTTTTCTTCTAGAATCTCAGCTCTCCCCCCTTGTGACATCTGAGAATGTTGACCAGTTCCTCTTTTGTATTCCATACACCCCTCTCTTCTGTATCTTTTCTTTCTATTCTGAACGTTGCTTCTTATCCGTCTCCTTTGCAGGCCCTTTTCCCTCAGTTTCCATTCTTGTGCTTTTTTATACAGTGGGCGCTCAATAAATGTTTGTTTAATTGAATTGCATTGCTTTTGAAAGATCAGTTGCAGGTTTTTCAGGAGACTGATTCATAGGCAGTTAGGGACTAAGGGCGTGCCAGAATTCAGAAAGTAGAAACCTATCCTAAATACAGTTCCTTGTTTCGGGATGTATTTTTTACACAGTAGGTCACTCTTCCTTGGGGAATATCTGTACTGTTGATCCGTTCATCATTGTTCAGCAGTGGCAACACCAGGAGAACAAATTATTTACATTGGCTGTGTCATATGGGTGTGTCTAATTCGGAGAACTTTCAAACAAAATAATGAAGCTTCCCCAGCTTCTAACTTGGGAAGTATGAAAAGTTACTTAAAAAAAAATCTTGACTCTTGTTTAAGTACATCAGTGACTGATTAAGTCACAACACATTTTAATATTTTCATTCGAGGTTTCTTGCTAACATTCTTACCACCACTACCACTAACCCCACCCCATGTGTGTAAGTTACTTTTCCTTTCATTTTTCGTGGGTCTTGTGTGTTAAGGCAAAGTCAAGAACTTTGCTCTTCTGATAACTTAACATTGATTGTGTGACTGCTTTGTGCAAATTGCTATGGGATGCCTCATGGAAATTACAAAGGTTTCGTTTGCTTCTGCCCTTCAAGAGAGACTTGCTTAGTGGGAGAAGTAGATGCATATGCAACTGCTCCAGGGCAGGCGATGACAAGGATCATAATATAGTGCAGACAGAGACAGGATTCCCTGTCTTAGAGTGATATAAACATCACTCGAAGACTGAGTCACATATATGGACTTGCCATATTTCTTTCCTAAATTGCACACTTAACTCTTCACTTTCCTGGGCTGGATTAGAATTTGTTTTCGTCGAAGGCTTCATGAGTTGAAAGCACATTACATATATGTAAGATTTAATGGATTTAATTTAAAATGCATTGAATAACATTAATTTTAGCAGGTTTGATTGTTTTAAATGCTTTTAAGCCGGCACTCTTAAACGAAAATAGAGAATATCAGAGTGATATTAAATAAACAATGATATAAAACAGGAGTTTTATGTTTATGGAAACCTAGTATTTAGGAAATAAATATCCTGAAATTCTCTAGCCAAATTATATTTTTAAATGTTTTGAGCATAGGATACAAGTTATAAACAGCCTAGTAGGGAAAAATGTATATTACTGTCATAAACATAGGTAGTATTTAAAATATTAAATATGGATAATTGATATTTAATTGAAGTGCTTTTTATTTAATTAAAGCCAATGACATTTTAAAATTATTTCTTTATTAATTTTTCTTCAATTAAATTTTAGCCTGTATTTTAGATACAAGGGGTGCATGCGCAAGTTTGTTATATGGGACTATTGCATAATGCTAAGGTTTGGGGTATGGATCCCATCACCTGGGTAGTGACCCTAGTACTCAATAAGTGGTTCTTCAGCCCACATTCTCCTCCCTCCTCCACCCCCAGTAGACCACAGTGTCTGTCATTCCTGTGTTTATGTCCATGTGTGCTCAATGTTTAGCTCTCATTTATAAATGAGAACATGCAAAGCCAATGACATTTTTCCAGTCATTGGAGTAACAAAGACGTTTGAATTTTAAAAATTTAAATATATTTAAGATTGAAATTTAGGCCGGGCGTGGTGGCTTACGCCTGTAATCCCAGCACTTTGGGAGGCTGAGGCTGGCAGATCACCTGAGGTCAGGAGTTTGAGACCAGCCTGACCAACATGGAGAAACCCCATCTCTACTAAAACTGCAAAATTAGTTACAAAAATAGTAGAGTGATTTATGTAATAAGTAAACAGTTCAGGTTTACTTGACTTAATAGCATAATGATTTACAGCTTTTACTTAAATTCATTCTGAGATGAAATAATACAGCCTCTAGGAAGATACATTATCTGGTTTTCCTTTGCATTTTCATTAAAAATCTAAAATTGGAAATGAAGTATGTCAACTAGTTTTAGAAATGATAGTAAATTGGGAAGCATCTCAAATAGCAGTAGAAAAGAAGATACCAAAAAGGTTTAGAAATATCACAGGAAATAGTGAGATTCAGCCTAAGAAAATGCAAGCTAATACATGTAAGAGCAAATAATCTGAAATAGATATTTAATGAGAGACAATGCTTAGTAGTAGTGAAAGGGAGTCAGGTGCTATCAGACAGCAAAGCAGATATGAGGTTGCGGTGTGATACGGCAGTCACAGAGCTGTTGCCATCTGGGGGGTCATCTTGCAAGCTCATTACAATAAAGCAGGGAAGCAGAAATCTCTTACAAATGTCAGTGTTAAGACCACATTTGTCTTATATCAACTTAAGAATGTCCAGACCCATAGCTATCAATATATTGAGTGCTGAAAGAATAGAAGCTGCAGTTCTTAGAATAGGGGAGAATTTAATGTAATAAAAATAATTTTAAAAAATAAAATATCTTTGCTTCGGTTAAGTAGTAAGGCAATATGAAGTTATACAGTGGATATAAGCAACTTGTTGGAAGACAAATTTGTTTAGATGAAGCTGAGACTGTGGAAGGTGAGAGTAGTGTGAACTTGTTCATAGGCAGTTCTCAATACCTAGGCCAATTATGCAGATAGTGAAATAACATCTTAAGGCAGTGATGGGAGCTGGATCACTTGAGGTAAGTTTGGACTGTATGAGGAACTCCATTAGGTAACAGTGCCGGAATTGATTGGAAGCAGTGTGTTTTAACAATGAGGTCATATTTTTAATGTTGTCTATACTGGTCCAATTACTCTGCCCCTTGTTTACAATATGTGATTCAGTGCATATACTCAAGAACCATTCTTATGTCTTGGCAAGGTACCCTGCCCTTTCTCTAAGCACCCTTTTTGATCTTGGCTTCTAGAATTTCTTTGACTGCTTTACTTCTGATCTCCAAAACTGGCCTGCTGTTTCTTTTGAAGCACTTCCTTCCCTGTATGTACCTGCTGTATCTTAGCTCTGATCATGTTTGTACTTCAGCTGTCACTGCCTACTACTGGTGACACCTCTGCTCTGCTCTATTCTTAATATCATTCTTTTTTTTTTTTTAAAGGACATAGAAAATCAGGTATTGTCTTGTTGTCTTTAAGTGTTGACACACTTAAATTCTTGAAGTCCTGTTTTTAGTCTTCCCTTCCCAAATCTGACAAATATATAGCTTTCTACTTATGTCAGTGAGGACAACATCTCACTGATCAAAAATCTCAAGTTCCTTCACTCATATCTTGCCTCTCATCAGTTTACTCTATGTATCTGTCTCTTCTGTGTCTGTCCTTTTTCTTCCAGTAGCCAAATTTTTAACCTCGCCTTGAGATCTTTCTTTCAAAATACTCCTTTGGCTTCGAGTGCAGTACTCCAGTGCTTAAAAACAATAATATTTAATCAATCATACCATAGCTTCAGAAACCATTGATGACTTGTAAAAAGTTCTAATTCTGATTAAATTTTGATTTTTGGCTACTCTTATTTAAAATTTTATGAAAAGTAAATTTATCATATTAAACAAATTTAATAATTTTGGTAGCTTAATATTACAATTCTAAAATTTGCTTTTTAAAATTGAAACTGTTTAGGTCATTGACTTTGTATACTTTTACTGACCCATTAGTCATTTCTTGAGTTTTGTCTCTGTGTCAGGGATTGAGGTAGGCCTGCCCTGAGGGTTATGAATGAGGTGTGGTCTTTGGCCTTAAGAAGCTCACATTCTTGTTATGAGCAATACTTTTGTTGACTGAGAAATCATTAATATGTTCAGTCAATATTTATTGAGCTTCAAACTCTCTGTTAGGCACTGGGGATACAGTATGCTAAGCAAGAGGGGAAACTGGGATTCCTACAGGCTTGTTTAGTAAGCATATATCTATCTGGTTTTATAAATAGAATGTTCTACTCAAAATTTTGGAAATAATTTTTTCCCTCTATTTAGTATCTGAGTTTTTTTTGAATACTTATTAATTTCTTAGTCAACAAAGTAGTCCTTGTATATATAACAAATGGTAGAACAGTTCTCCTCAGTTACATATCGTTGTAATAGTGGAATAAGAATTGTAATCAGAATTAGCCTTCTGGTCATTTGTTTGGGATGGATCTTCTGTTAGAATCCAGATATGGCAGATAGAACCGAAATGTAGCAGTTTCCTTCTTTTAATGTTAACAGTGATTGTGCTAACACATAAGATTATAATAGAGCAGCCTTGTCAATAGCAGCAAAATTTACTTGTCTGTTTTTCTCCCAGAGTACATGTGTAGTTAATCAATTTTTAAAAATATATTTTACTACAAGTTATTGCTTATTCCAGGCATGCCCAATGACATGCTATTTATTACTTCTTTTTGCAGATCCACAGTTTATATTAGGAAATAAAACTTCTACTGTTTAAAATTGAAGTTCATCTGATTAATAAACTGATATTGCCTCAGGTTTCAAACTCCGTAGTGAATAAAATAGGTCCTCGTGTAGTTTAGAAATAGTATACCAGCTGCAAGTCCAGAAAATACTTGCTGTTACTCACATAATAAAAGAACTCCCAAAGCCTTATAATTTATATATTCATAACTGCTTCTTGTTGAATTTCTTCTTCTCAATCATACAGGTGCTGCTTTGGTTTAAAACTTACAGCCCTCTTTAGGCAATCTACAGTTTCTCCAAAGTGTTTAATTTTTTTCCTTCTTATATTGTGAGCTGGTTAATGTTGAAGATAGCACTTCATTTAAAGTTCAAACCTGTGATTGTTTTAAAAACTTACCTAGTATTCATTTTTTCATTTAAATATATATGTAATTTCCTACAAATGTGTACTTGTTTATCTAAGATTTGGACAATTCATTTTAAACCATATTATTCATTTATTTTGAAATATTAAGATCCTGCCATGTTCCAGGCACAGATCCAGATACTGACTGCACATTGGTGAACTCAGCAAAAATCCTTGCCTTTATGGAAACTTACTGTCTGGTGGAATTTATATTTTGGTGGATTCTATAGGCATTCTTGCCTATTCTGCTTTCATAAATCCTCTAGACAGGTATAATATAAGCAACAGTTTCAAGTTCTGTCTTTTAAGGTCCTTTCACCCAAAAAAAAGATGGCATGAGTGTATTGCTTCAGAGATGATCATTACTGTTTATTGTGAATAGTGAGCATTTCAAGAAATTAAGCTCTTTTTTTTTTTTTTGAGACGGACTCTCACTCTGTCACCCAGGCTGGAGTGCAGTGGCACAATCTCGCCTCACTGCAAGCTCCGCCTCCCGGGTTCACGCCATTCTCCTGCCTCAGCCTCCTGAGTAGCTGGGACTAACAGGCACCTGCCACCACACCCGGCTAATTTTTTGTATTTTTAGTAGAGACGGGGTTTCACCATGTTAGCCAGGATGGTCTCGATCTCCTGACCTCATGATCCGCCTGCCTCGGTCTCCCAAAGTGCTGAGATTACAGGCGTGAGCCACCGCGCCCAGCCAGAAATTAAGCTCTTAAACAAAAGTAGGATTAAACAATGTGCGTTGCTAAGCATGTTTATTTTAGGTTTCAATTCCAGAGTAATAGTAGCTGGAAAGCAGCATTTTTACACAATTTAATAAAAGGATAAATATTTTTTCACGAGATCATCAGTAGTTTAATATGGATTTTGTAGTAAAGTGCCAGCTCTGGATCATAATAGCAACAATAACCGTTACCACTCACAACAGTAACAGTTAGGGGCCAGGTACTGGTTTGAAGAGCCTTGTTTATATTTATGAGTTTAAGCCTCAAAATAATTCTTTGAGGTAGATACCATTATTATAACTCTGTATTACATATAAAGAAGCTGAGCCTA
Source organism: Homo sapiens (assembly GCF_000001405.40). Taxonomy (NCBI): domain Eukaryota; kingdom Metazoa; phylum Chordata; class Mammalia; order Primates; family Hominidae; genus Homo; species Homo sapiens. The sequence continues at coordinate 7,767,782 of NC_000007.14, forward strand.
AGCAACTTGCCCGAGGTTACAAAGCTAGTGAGAGGCAAGGCTGAGATGAGATCCCAAGCAAGCTGGCTCTTCACCTCTGTGTTCTACTGCCTTATATCCTTAAATACTGTATATGCTTTCTTGCTTCTTCATTCTAGGAATTAGCTGTCTTTCAGATATGTAAATATTAATTTGTGTAGCACATGTCATACTCTGAATGTGAACATGAACATACTGGTTTTTCTATTATGACTTTTTTTTCTTATTCATGACTTTCCTATCTTAGAAAGGCTTCTTTTTAAAATTTCTAGCCCATAGGAACCTGGAAATTTATTTGTTTGGGTTCTTGTGTTTGCTTACTTTTTAATTAATTAATATTATGATTTGTTTTTATATGCCCAATACCCTGGCAGATTTATCAAATTTAAAATGAAAATTTAGTCAAACTCATTGCCTAAAAATTTTATTTTTCTGTACCTCTGGAAAAAAATGGAAACAGAAAAGCAGCCTTCATTCTTCCCATAAAAAGAGAACAAGCATAATTTTGCCAAATGTGTGTTTTGAGAGGGATTTCCTCATTTCTTAACTGCAGTCTAACAGAAGGTTATTTGGGCTTACTTGTCCCACTTCAGACTTCTTACTGGAGCAAGTATTTCTGCCGTTCTGAACTCCACACACTGTTCTCTTACATGTCTAGGCTGTTTGCTTCCTCGGACCATGTTCCTGGATCACTTTCTTCTTCTGCCTATGCATTTCTGCTCATCCTCCGAGATTAAACTGCCATCAGCTTCTCTGAGGAGGCCTGAAAACTCCTCCTGCTCTGGAGGAATTGCTGCCTTCAATGTCGTGCTTCATTTTATTCGCTCATGTGTTTATCAATTAAACTCCTTGAAGACAAGTGTTATTTTTTTTCCTCCTACTTGTTTCACTGCTGAATCCTCAGCACTGAAAGTAGTGCCTGGTATATATTAGATATTTCGTATTTGTTGAATAAATAAATAAATGAATGCATAGTATATTATCGCACTTTACTATATTATATGTAATAATTTTGTACTTTCTCTTCTTCCCCAGACAGTAAGCGTCTTATGTTATTCATCTTTGTATGTTTTCCAGTGTCTATAACATATTAATTAAGTCAGTAGCTGTTTGCTGAATTAATGAGTGAGCAACTAATTAATACCTATAGCTCTCTGTGGTATTAGATGGAGATGATTAAAAGGAGGGGGCTAGAATGAGTGGTGACTAAAAGGACCAGTGCATTGTGAATTTCTGAAGTCTGAATCAAGAAAGGAGGAGCAGAAACACCAAGACCAGATGTCCCTTTTCATTCATCTGTCCAGAAATTTAGCTTTTGTTTGGCTGCAATTTGCACATTTGGGCATACCAGTCAAGCTGAGCTCCAGATACTCATTTGTCTTTTAGGGTAACATGGTTAGGGAAATAGTTGTAGAGATAGGAGCTCTCAGTGAAAACTCAATAAATCTGCTTCTGTCAATTAGGGAGACTAAGTAGCTTTAACTTCCATAAAAATCTCAAAAATAATTGCCCTTTAATGTTCTTTTTTTTAAGTTTTGGAGAACTTTAGAGGATTATGTTTTGAATTTAGATTAGGGAAACAAGGACCTGAGGAATGATATACAAGTTTATTAAACATGATGGGGTGGAGGGGATGCTTGATGATACCCATTATCCCCTTTTCTTCATGCGCCTTAGAGAGCCTCCCCCACTGACAGGATGGGCGTTTGCTGCATATCATATGATTCCTTCCCCAGTGAAATGCTCGTCGAGTGCTTGCTGTGTACCCAGCTTATTGGTTTGGTGGGCTGCCTACCCAGGCCAATCAAATTTATTGTGGAATGTTTCTTTTTGGAGTGAAGGAAGACAGAGGGAAGGAGAGGGGAGTAGGGGGAAGTGCATTTATGTAGAGGAAGCAGCATGTCCTACGACGGAGTCCTGATAGTGTGGCATGTTCTGGAAATGGTACAGTATGTTCATTATGGTTGGAACACACATTCTAGGAGAGGAAGAGGGACTAAATTGCACTGGCCCTGGGGAAATTGAGCTAAATGGATAAAAGTAGGCATTGAGAGCTGTTGGTGATTTATAGCCCATCAGCACCATGATCACACTCTTCCCGCTTCTCCTGCTCACCACCTTTGCAACCAACTTTCCTCTCACTGTGCTGATTGTCTCTGGTACAGATTTATGATTTCCAGCCTCAGCTCAGTGCTCAGGATGACTTTTCTTTCCCTTTTTTATTCTTTCAGACTTATTTCTAATCAGCTGCTTTCTTCATTATTAGTAGTGACTGTTCCAAACTGGAACCGCTGTTCTCAGGCAGTCAGCCCTACTTATCCCCTCATTTTAAAGTAATAATTTACCTCCCTTCTCATATTTCTAAGGAAATAGATAATATCTGGCACATACTCCCTCGGCTTGCCTCCCCTCCGTATTCAAACTTACCTTCATCACATTCATCCTTACCGTCTTTCTTTCTCCCCCAGAGGCAAGTGCATCTATGAAGCCATCCCCTCCTCCAGGGCTCTGGAGCCTGCCTAGCCTGCCTAATGCTCTGGGACCTTGCTCTGTTTATCATTGACTCTCATTCCTTTCTTACCACAGTCCCTTTCCTTCCATCTTATAAACATTTCCCAATCCCCGTTGGCATAAAAACACCACTGTTCTCAAGATACTGCTTGCTTCCCCTTGTTTAAGCAAGAGAGGTAGATGGTCTGAGTATGTAGGAACATTGGCTGTGATGTTGAGGGGTGAGTCAGGGAAGGCAGAAATTAGAGAGAAAAGACCAGTTAGGAGGGTGTCGAATTAAGGTGATGGTGATGGAGAGGAGACAAGTTTGAAAGGCATCTAGGAGGTAGGATTAATTACAATTTGACATTCAGTGATTATGAGAGTTGAAAGAATGATGATTCTTGTGAATTGAGAAAGTACAGAATGAGGAGGTGCACATGTACCCTAAAACTTAAAGTATAATAAAAAAAATGAGGAGCAGGTTTTATGGAGACGATCATGAGTTCACGATCGTCTGGAAGTGTTGAGGTGAACTGCTCTTGGACATCTAGTTGGAGAAATCAGGTAAGCAGTTGAAAGTATGGGGCATATGATGTATAACTTAAGAAAAATATTCGTTATTTAGAAATGGCTTTGGTAATTAAAGATGTCTTGGTGTATCTTGAGTTAGTCTTGGATAAGATCCCCTAGAGATGGAGTGAGAAGAGAGCAACCCTAGAGAGTAACACAGGAGGTGGAGGAAGAGGACCCTGTAAAGGAGCCTGAGAACAAATGGCAGAAAGAAAGAGGGCAAATATGAGGTAAATTTTTGTTAGATGGAGGTTTTTGTTAGTTTTTTTTTTTTTCTTGGAACGCTTTGAGGACAAGGATAATTGTATTGACAGCTTCTAGCAAAACCAGCCTAAGTTGTATATACCCAATAACTATGTATTACATTGCATTATTGACAGGGCTTAATTAAAATAAAGTCTCATCACTTGTTGAGAACTTCCTTTGCCTGAAATCACATATAGCTAGGGTTTTTGGAAGGAATGAGGTTGTAAATGAGACAGTTTGGAAAGGTAAAATATCAATATATTGGAGCTATATGGCAAAGCTGATGGTTAGGGGGTGCCATCGCTGCGGCAGCCACAGGATGTTATTTTCAGTATAAACCTCTTTGCTGATTGAGGTGATTTTGATTGCTGTCAGGTGTGAGAGAATAATCATTGGCTGCTAGCAGTTTTGCCACTGAAGTTGGGGGTTCACAGATCTGAACATTTTCTTGTACTTTAAATCTCCATAATGTTTTATCACATTTGAATTCCATTGCAACCCTCCAGTGATGAGTCAGAATTAAAAGCTGTTCTAAACTAGATTATATTCTTATGTTTCTACAAACAATCTTCTTAAGGGCAGGGATAGAAATTAGAGCAATCAAATAATTCATCCAAAGCCACTGAGGGCATGGTTTGGCCTCACATTAGCTATGGCCCACTTAGGGTCTCCATGGGTGGGGGTGAGAGTGGAGGGGCTGGTGCCTCAGGAGCTGTGCAAGGTTACCCATAGGAGGTGTGCAAAGTCTTAAAACTTCTATTTATAAGCAATTTTATCCTATTCTTAACAACTATTTTTGTATATGTTTAAAAATGTGCATTAGATATTAGTATAGTGCTCCATGCTTGTAGGTATATATATCTATATATATATGATTTACATAAATATGGCAGAAGCATGCTCTAACATTTTGAAATTGACAAGTGTGTGTTTGATTAAAAAAAAATACTTTGGAGACCTCAAGATTAAATTGTGATTACTGTTTGAGCATTGTAAATTAACTGGGAATATTTAGAAGTTTCTTAACAAACTTGTGTCAATCATTTTAGCTATTATTAGATTTCCAGTAATAGCTAAACCTTTGTGTTTTAGTTGCAAAATGCAGATGTGTTTCTTGACCTTAATTCCTTACTATGGATTTTAATGGAGAGCCTTAAAACACAAGTTGAAAACCGTTTGTTGTACTTTTTGTGAATATGCTGAAGTTTTCTCATGAACTAACTAATGCCTCTCCACATACGGTATGTTCTTTGCAGTCATTCTTTAGTCACAGGCAGTTTAAGCTGTTAAATAGTATCTTGCTTTGAAAGGTAGGCGGATGGCATTTCTATCTTCTGGTACATCTGGTAAGTTAATATATACAGTCTCTGAGTATCCTGCAGGGACCTGTTTTTACATGCATACAGGGATGTTTATGTAGAAATCAAAGGCCATGAATCAGAAGAACACAACTCTTGTTTCCAGTGTACTGGAGGCTTGAAAAAATTGGCTTTGAAAAATTGAAAGTAGTGTGGTTTGTTTTTATTGTGGAACCGATCAGGAAGAACAATTTACAGTCATTGCCATTCTTCACAGATGAATGGAGTAGAGGTGCCTGCCTCGTGAAATGGAGCAGCTGCGCCCGTTTTCTCTGGGCTCACAAAAACATTTGCTTTTTAATCGAGAACTTTAGATGGTAGGGTACAGTTTGTTTTCATGATGGAAGTGGTCAGTTGTGCCTTACCAGACAGCTGTAGTGTAATTAAGAAAAACTGTGTGAAAGTGGATTAGATATAACACAAGAAGCCTTTTTTATTTTTTTTTAAAGAGGGGTTTCCCCTTAAATTTATTCATTTTTTTCTTTAATGGTTCAAAGGAGAAATACTGCTATCATTCTGGTCCACAAGATTTTTGCTACTTCAGGATATCATTTAGCTCTAGGAAACATGAGATGCTCTGCTATAGAATAATTGCTTGTTTTTGTAACAAGTGCAAACTAAAAACTACAGGTTTTAAAGATGATTTAGTTTGTGAGAGATTTGCCTTCAAAACAAAGCTTAAAATAAAGAATTGCACAGTTATATTTACATTAACTTTAATGCATTTTAAAAAGTGACCTACTTTTATAATAAAGTTGTGAGGCTGCTTTTTAGACCTGCTTTGTACACAAGTTGCAACATTAGGGGATCTTTAAAAACTGTTAGGGTATTAGCTTTTTAAGACCAGAAACCATGAGAGGAGAAAATTATACTTTTCTTGATAAATTTTAAAATGAGTTAGTCAAATAATAATGAAATAAGCTGTTGAAGTGTTGATGTAGCTAAATGTGCAACATTAGGCTGTCAATTTACTTTGAAGAGCATACACTTACTTTATGCAGCAGACTTTGAAATAAGAATAGAAATGCCTTAATTTGCATCACAGTCTACAGTAGCAAAATGACTTTCAAGGTCAGAGGGAGCTTAATTTCTAAAAAAAAACACAATAACAAAACCAAACAGGAACCTATTGTGTTCACAAATAACCAAGATTTATTTGTACTAGACACTTAACCTTTATAACTTTTTATACAGATTGCCCAACACACTAGAAACCAAACTTTTCATCCTAAGCAAAGTAAAGGTGCCAGTTTCAGGTTTGCTTTAAAACATTTTTATATGTTGATTTTCTGGAGGAGACTCTTAGGCTTTATTTCAGTTAGGGGAATTTGGAAGGCTGGTTGAAGGGAGGAGGTGAGTGAGGAGTTACAGCCCAAATGCTCTTACCATTTCCAGCCTTGCAGCCCTGCCCTGGGAGGTATTATAAGGAGGACGAGTCTATATTAGATTGGTTGGTTTAGAGAAGAACCCTGGCTGCTGTTTCTCTCTGGCTCACTGATGGCGGCTCTCTACTGATTTCTTTTGTCTCTCCTCACCACAGACCCTAAGAAAACACTGAGAATCAGGCCATCCATTCTAAATGGCAAACCATGGCTGCAGCTTGATAGCTGGTGCTTTTTCTGTTTGCAAACTGAGTCCTCAGGTGCACCAAAATCTTCTTCCCCTTTCTCTGAGCAGCTTCTCAGGCTTAGATGCTACTCTGACTTCTCGACAGACTTCTGCTTCTGTAGAACATGAGCAATGTTGTTTAGGAAAGAATGGAGCAGAGTGTGGGGTGGATTAGAAAGGTAGAGTAACAATTAAGAAACTGAGGCAGTTTTTAAGGTCAGAACAATAATGAAGAGCATTGAAGGTAGATAGCAGCAGGATGCAGCAATAGAATTATGGGACATGCTAATTACTAGAATCAGAATCAAAAAATCTGGATTAAAGTTCCAGCTAGCCTAGCGTTGTGGGAAAGCCATTCCCTCACTTTCTGTTTCTTCATGTATAGAGTGGAACCTGTTCTACATACCAAACAAGTTGTAAGTCTCAAAAAAGAAAGAGAGAGAGCTTGAGAATGTGAAAGTGTTGTGAGGTAGTATAGTTATGGAACTGTTTGACCCATTTATGTCCTTTTTTTGGGAACTCTTGACAACCAAGGAAAGAGAATACAAGAAATATTAAATTTTACTAACATAGATTCTTTGTGAGTGCTCTTAAAGCTGTTTGATAATCCCACTACTTATCTCTGTTTGATTCCCAACCCACTGCTTTCTCATAACACCAATTTCAACTCTTGTCATCCTTCTCAAGCCCCAGGCCCAGTTCCTTCTATTTTAGTCTCAGTAGATAAGTTCTTCCCCAATTTTGCCAGGAAGGTTGAGCAAAGCCCTTGAGTTTCCCTGGCCACCATCTCAAAATGTATTTCTTCACTTAATTTCCATCTCACTTTCTGTCTCTTCCTCGCAAAGGTAACCTGTATCCTTATCACATTCTCATCCCATTTCTTCTCTAACCTTTCTTCATCAATTATTTCATGTCTTTCTCTTGTTCTTTTAATCTCCTCTACCGGTCCTTCCTCATAGCCAAGAAACCCTCTTTAAGTTCACTGTCATATGTGTTTCTTCCATTTTCACTGCCAAAATTTTCCAAAGACTGATTTGAGCTCATTCTTTCTTCACCATTCATGCTTTCTTTTGGTCCATTTCAGTATGGCTTCTGTCTGTTCAAATAAGCACATGAAAAGATGCTCAGCATCGGTAGTTATTAGGGAAATGTAAATTAATACTGCAATGAGATACTACTTGATATGGTTTGGCTGTGTCTCTACCCAAATCTCATCTTGAACTGTAATCCCCATAATCATATGTGTCCTGGGAGGGACCCAGTGGGAGGTAATTGAATCATGGGGGCAGTTTCCACCATGCTGTTCTCATGATAGTGAGTGAGTTCTCATGAGATTTGATGGTTTTATAAGTGTCTGGCATTTTCCCTGCTGTCTCTCATTCTCTTTCCTGCCACCCTTTGAAGAGGTGCCTTCCGCCATGATTGTAAGTTTCAAGCCCTCCCCAGCCATGCAGAACTGTGAGTCAATTAAACCTCTATAAATTACCCAGTCTCAGGTATTTCTTCATAGCAGCATGAGAATGGACTAATACACTACTACACCCACTAGAAAGGCTAAAATTACAAAGACTGACCATACCAAATGTTGATGAGGATATGGAGAAATTGGAATTGCACATATTGCTGGTGGGAATATAAAATGTTACAGTCATTTTGGAAGTTTGGCTGTTTGTAAAGGAGGTAAACATATACCTACTATATGATGCAGCTATTCTACTTCTAGGTATTTACTCAGGAGAAATGAAAAAATATACTATGTGATTCCATTTAAATAAAAATCTAGAAAATGTGAACCTATAGTAATGGATAGCAAAGTGGTTGCCTGGGAATGAGTGTATAATGTTGGAAAAATGGATTACAAAGTAATACAAGGAAACTTTTCAGGGGTGATGGATCGTTATGTAGGTTGTGATGATGCCTTCACAAATATATATAAACTCATCAAATTTGATACTTGAAAATGTGTAATTTGTTATACACTATACCAAAACAAAACTATTTTAAAAAATCATAGAACTGCACACTGAAAAGGGTGAGTTTTATAGTATGTAAATTATCCCTCAATAAACCTGACTTAAAAAACAAAACAAAACAAGACATATGGAACCAGGCACAGTGGTATGCACTTGTAGTTCCAGCTACTTGAGAGGCTAAGGCAGAATGATCAGTTGAGCCCAGGAATTCGAAAGCAGCTTGGGCAACATGGCAAGACCCCATCTCTAGAAAAGAAATAAAAATATGAAAATGCAATCAATATGGGGAATGAGAGTGCAAAAAGTAATTGTTAAACGCTAATCTCAAAATATTGCATACTTTGTAAATCCATTTATATAGTATTCTCAAGTGACAGGGTTATACAGATAGAGAGCAGATTAGTGGTAGCCAGGTTTAGGGATAGTAAACCATGGGGAAAACTAGGTGACGGGCACACAGGAATTTTCAGTGTTGTTTTTGCAATTATATGACTAAAGAATCTGTATCACAAAAAGTTTCTTTTGAAAAGGCCTTTTAGATATTGTATTCTCTAATGTGAAACAAAGACAGCATGCCAAAAAATAATCAATCTTTATAATTAAATCTATAATAACGGTTACTCTGCAAACACTTGAAACTAAATTTCATAGAGATGATTACAATTTAACATTGTATTGTTGTAGACAGAAGGCACAGGAAGAATCATTTTCCAATTTCTGATCACCCTATCTAAATGTTCAAAATCTTAAATTCGTTTTGACTAGATAATACATATAAATGGCTAAAAAATATATGAAAAGTAATACACTGAAAAGCCTTCCTCCAACATCTGTCATCGATCCACACAGTTCTTCCTCCTCCAAAAGTAAACTACTACTGTTCATCTTTTATGTATTCTTTCAGAGTTTATGTCTACACGAGCAAATGCAGGTGTATCTTTTTACCCTCCTCCATGCTTGTATGCAAAAGGTAGCTTACTATACCAACTCGTTTTGCGCCATACTTTTTTCACATAACAATGTATCTTAAGACATTTTCAAGGTGGTATGCAGCTTTTTAATTTTTTCTTTTGACAGTTAGTATTGTATTATATGACTGTACCATACTTTATTTACTGATCTCCTGTCTAGCCATTTAGATCATTTCCAGACTTCCGCTTGTAAAAACAATACTACAGGCTGGGCGTGGCGGCTCATCCCTGTAATCCCAGTACTTTGGGTGGCTGAGGCGGGCAAATCACAAGGCCAGGAGTTCAAGACCAGCCTGGCCAACATGGTGAAACCCTATCTCTACTAAAAATACAAAAAATTAGCTGGGCGTGGTGGTGGGTGCCTGTAATCCCAGCTACTCGGGAGGATGAGGCAGGAGAATCGCCTGAACCCGGGAGGTGGTGGTTGCAGTGAGCTGAGATTGAACCACCGCACTCCAGCCTGGGAGACAGTGTGAGACTCCATCTCAAAAAAAAAAAAAAAAAAGAAAAACTACAGTTAATATTCTTATATTTATGTCATTTCATACATGAGCAAATATATATATATATATATATATATATATGTAATTGCCAGTATTTGGCTTTTTAACCTAGAAAAAAATTTATGTTGTTCAGTCTAATATCTGTAGAGTAAATGTTCACATATGTAATTCTTTGAGACAAAATATTTAGCATCCTTTTGATTTTCTGATCTACTTCCAGATACTCGTGATAGTCTGGATGTTTAAAATTTGTAAAAGGGAGTGGGGAACCTTTATTTAAAAGCTCCTTTTCAATATAGTTAAGGGGGAAATACCCATGTACACAGGGCTATTTCTGGAAATCCTTTACCAGTAACTTCATTCAGTAACATATCTAACTCTAACCCTGATCTAGCTGTGTTAGGCTTCCTTGCCTGCTAGTGAAAGCCTTTGCTCTCCCCTTATTAAAAGGCCTGAACATAAAACTCTGAGACTGTTTATCCTTCCCAAGTGGGGCATTGCAGAAAAATATCTTCTTATTCGCTATCAGTGTTACTCTCTATTGATCATCACAATTATTGCAACTTTAATATTATGACATTGTATGTCTTATGCAATATTAGGTTCTCTGAAAAAGGCTTTTTGTACATATGACAAATAGGTGGAGTATGCTCTTCTACACAGTGAGCCAACCAGCCGTCATCTTGGCTTCTCCAAAACTGGTTTTGTGTGTGTGTGTGTGTGTGTGTGTGTGTGTGTGTGTGTGTGTGTGTGTGAGAGAGAGAGAGAGAGAGAGACAGAGAGAGAGCGTAAATATGGCAAAGTTTAACAACTGATGAATATAGGTAAAGGTGAACAGTCTAGAGTGTTCATGGTACTGTTCTTTCAAATTTTCTGTAGATTTAAAGTTTTTCTTTTTTTTCTTTCTTTCTTTTCTTTTTTTTTTAAAGGCAGGTCTTGTCACCCATGCTGGAGTGCAGGGGTGCGATCACAGCTCAATGCAGTTTCAACCTTCTGTGATCATCCAATCTTAGCCTCCTGAGCAGCTAGGGCTACAGGCGTGTGCCACCACAATTGGCTGATTTTTTATATTTTTGTAGAGATGAGGTCTCGCTCTGTTGCCCAAAGTAGTTTCAAATTCATGGCCTCAAGTGATCCTCCTACCTTGGCCTCCCAAAGTGCTGGGATTTTAGGTGTGAGCCACCACACTCAGCCTAATGTTTTTCAAAAGAAAAAGTTGAGAGCATATTCTTTGTTGAGATTATTTATTGTGAATTAGGGGCTGCTGCTTCGTTACCTATTGTGTTCTTTTTTGTTTTGTTTTGGTGTTTCTAGGTTTGAAGACATCTTAGAAATTCCACTTCTAAATAAAAATAAGAATAAATGCTAATAGCAATTTATACTTATTAAGGGTTTCCTCTGTGCCACACGTTAGGCTAAGCATTTTATATGGATGATCTCATGTAAACCTCTTATCAGTCTATTATTATCTTCATCATTTTTCAGATAGGGAAACTCAGGCACAGTGAGGTTAAATAATTTGCCTAAGGTCACACAGCTATCATATGGTAGAAATGCTACTTGCCACCATTTCTATCTCTATATTTCTGTACTTCACCTAGGTTTCATTTGCCCTGGTCTTTATTTTCCTCTGAAGTATTTTGAAGTGAGAGATAGGTTATCCTCTGGCTCAAATTTTTAAAGAATTAACCTAATCCAGATAATAGGATGATGTGAAGGCCTCATGAAAACATAAAAATTGATATAAACAGGAAGAAAAATCTTTTTTTTAAAAAGAGATAGTCTAGCTCTGTCACCCAGGCTAGAGTGCAGTACTACAATCATAGCTGACTTCCTGGGCTCAAGCAGTCCTCCCTTTTCAGCCTCCCCAAGTAGCTGGGACTACAGGTGTTCATCACCACATCCAGCTAATTAACAACAAAAAAAGTTTCTACAGATGGAGTCTCACTATGTTCCCCAGTCTGGTCTCGAAATCTTGGCCTTAAGTGATCCTCCCACTTTGTTTTCCCAAAGTACTAAGACCATCCTTCCACTTTAAAGTACTGAAATTACAGGCATGAGCCACCATGCCCAGCCCCGTTTTTTTCCTCTTCATTTTCTTTTCCTTTATTTCCTTTATTTTACTTTATTTATTTATTTTTGAGACAGGGTCTCACTCTGCCATCCAGGCTGAAGTGCAGTGGCACAATCTCAGCTCACTGCAACCTCCACCTCCTGTGCTCAAGGGATCTTCCCACCTCAGCCTCTAGAATAGCTGGGACTACAGGTGCACACCACCACACCTGGCTAATTTTTGTATTTTTGTAGAGACGGGATTTTACCATGTTGCCCAGGCTGGTCTCAAACTCTTGAACTCAAGCGATCCGCCAGCCTCTGCCTCCCAGAGTGTCAGGATAACAGACATAAGCCACTGTGCCCGGCCCAAGTTTCTTAATATATTAATTTGCCAAGCTCTACAAACAAGAACTGCTTTGTGTACATACAGTAGTCAAAACTTGCTGGTCCCTTTTCTGAGTTTGCTTATTTGTTTATACACTGACTGGCCTGCCAAGGGGCATTATTGTTCTTTTTCTGTATATTTCCTGTACATTTCCCTCTCTGTTGACTCTTTGCTTTCAGAACTTAAACAGGTTCCAGTGTTCCTGTCTTAACAACCATTGCCATTTACTACACACATCCTCTAACCACCCCCATCTCTCTTCTTCAAACTAAGCTCTCCTCATAAACAATTCCTATGAGAGACCATAGGGGTATTTCCCCATTTCCTGCTGGCTCCTCTGTCCCTCCCAACTACCCCCACAGACTGTGCTCCCAGTGACCTCCTTTCCTTCTAGCAATTTTCCTATGCTATTCTTTTATTTACAAAACTGGAACTGTATTTTATGCACAGATATTTTATAGCTTGATTTTTTTCCTACTTTAATATTAGGGACTTTCTTTTTCCAAGTCATTAATTTTTAAAAACTTTCTATTGATGAATAGCATACATGCAGAAACATGCACAAACGATAAGTTTGATAACCTTTCACAAAATGTCGTTAGCGTCCAAATCAAGGAAAAGAAATTGCAGAATCCTAGAATCTCCTCCCAACCCACTCCTTTCAGTCACTTCATCCAACTTCCAAAGCAATCCTGACTTCTAACAGCACAGATTGTTTTACATATATGAAATGTATGTAAATAGAATCATATAGTGTGTACCTTTTCTGTGTCTCACTTCTTTCACTAAAGATTATGATGTTTGTGAGATTCATCCATATTGTTCCATGCACTTGTAGTTTGTTATTCTCACTGTTATATGATATTATATTGTGTGTTTATGCATTAATATGTTTTAAAACATAATGTTAATTCCTATGTAATATTCCATTGTAGGGATAATTAATTAACTTATTAATTACCCATCATTTTTGCCAGGTTTTCACTATTAGAAATAACACTATAATAAACATCTTTCTGTAAATACTTGAAGAAATTTCTGATCATTCCTTAGAATAAATCCTGGAAGTGGATTTACCAGCTAAAAGCTTATACATTCTTCAAAAGTTCTTGATACATATTGCCAAATTGCCTTCTAGAAAGCTTATACCTGTTTACTTTCCTGCTGGCACAGTACCTGACACATAAACATTCAATAACATTTTGTTTACATGAACTGGATGAACTAAATTCTTTTATATCTTAGAATCCTAGAAGCTGAGTTTTCTGTGTCTTTGATCTGCCTTCTTTCCAGTTCATTTTTGTTTTAATGAATTTATACTAAAAACAATTTAATAGTACATAGGGCGCAGCTTCCCCTCCCGACCTTATTCTTTTTCAAAAATAATCTGGTTATTCTTGCTCCTCTTTCTTTTTTTTTTAGTGGAAATTTAAAATATACTGCTGCATTCTGGAAAAATCACTGGAGATCTTATGAAATTGCATTGCTGGCATTTTCTTTACATTAATGTGGAAAAAAATGTCATATTTATATGTTTATAATCCTATCCAGAAATGATTCTCCATTTATTTAATTATTTTTTATGAAATGCATTTCAGTAAAGTTTTATAGGTTTATTGTTGCAGTAAAGTTTGATAGCTTTATTCTTAAAATTTAAAAATTTTATTTGTGAATATTTTATATTTTGTGACTACTGGGAATGAGATATTTTGTTTCCATTATAATTTCGTTATGTGAAAGCTATTGTATCTTCTATATTAATTTTGTATTCATCCTTTTTAGCAAGCTCTTATTAATGTTAACAGTTTTTCCCTTATAATACTTTTGGGTCTGTGAACATTTAATTTATAATTTCAGAGAGGGAGAAATTAATATGTAGAATAAAGAAATAGAAAAATGGTAACCTTGAAAAAATTAAAAAATAGAAATGTAGAATTCTGATCTGTTCTTTTAATGCATTGAGGTACTCATTTTTATCAGTTCTCAACTATTTTCTCTAGCTTTGTATTTTGAATGAAGCAGCAAGTCACAAAGTTAAACATAAAACTAATGAAGTTGTAGAATGTAAAAATAATCTATCATTACGTTAGGAAAAGTAGTTACGAAAACCACATTATTTACCCATTATACTACTCTATACTTTTTCCATTCTCTTATTTTTAAAAACTTCTCTTTTTATTATCTGTTCTCTATTTTGCTTCTCTGTTTTGTTTTTTTAAGAATACAATAGCTTGGGAATAATTTTTTTAAATACTAATGGAAAATAAACTTTAGGATAAATAAGGGAAAAAATAAAAATCTTTCAGTTTTCCTCTCGGATTTTTTTCTCACGTATTCTCATATACTTTTCTGTTCTTTTGGATCACTTTAGTGATTCTCTTCCTTCTTACAGCATGTATTCATCTGAATGCCTTCATACATGCGTGCATGTAAGATACCAGTATTTGTGTCAGGGGTTGTCTTATCTCATCTTTTTCCTCAGAGATAAGAAAATGTGTCTAAGTCGTGTGTCTACATGCTATTGCATAGATAATAAAATAATTTTTTATCAGTTTACTTTCAATTTTTAAAATTTTTTTTATTTTCTTTTTTATTCATTTTAAATTGTAGGGTTATTTTTTTGTTTAATCCTAAAGATAGTTTTAAGTACCTGTAAACTTGAACCACAAATGTAATCAGAAAATAATACTTTAATCCTAGTTAATCCACGTTATTGACCGTCTGTGCCTACAAGCCGAAACAATAGCAGAATGTCTTGTGTATAACCTCTCTCTTTTTTTTTTTTTTTTTTTTGAGACGGAGTCTCTTTCTGTCACCCAGGTTGGAGTGCAGTGGCGTGATCTTGACTCACTGCAACCTCTGAGTTCGAGCGATTCTCCTGCCTCAGCCTCCCAAATAGCTGGGACTACAGATGCACGCCACCACACCCAGCTAATATTTTTTGTATTTTTTATACAGACAGGGTTTTGCCATGTTGGCCAGGCTGGTCTTGAACGCCTGACTTCAGGTAATCTGCCTCCCTCAGCCTCCCAAAGCACTGGGATTACAGGCATGAGGCATCGTGCCCAACCTAGTGTATAATCTGTTATGTGGACCTACATACTCACTGGCAAAGTCTGATCTAGAGATTAACTGTCTTCTTTTGAGATGGTGGTTTTGCTGATTTTTAGGAAGAGACTATCTAGGGTCTCATTTAATCCTTGTAAGAGACAGGCTGGTTGCACCCATCTTGTCTAAGTTTGTAAAATGAAACTAGGTCAGATCAATTACAGATAGTTGTAACTTCCTCAGAATAGTCTGTAAGCCAGGGCTGTTGGTTATTAAAATACATTTTTTCTCTTATCAAAATCAAAGGAATTAATTATTTCTCATGACTGTAGAATTGGAATATGACAACTTGAGAATCCTATCTTTTGTAGAATAGAATAGAAGTTGTTTTTTTTTTTTTTTCTAAAAGAGAAATTCAGATGCTGCACGGTTTGTGTCTTTGGGTGTTTGCTGAGCTACGAGGCTGGGAAGTGAGAATCAGAATGGACAATCAGGACACTGTATTCAGATTTCACTTATAAAATGGGTTTGGAAATGAGGATGAAGGGCACTAGCCAAAATAATCTCAAAGGCTGCTTCCAGGTCTTAACTACCAAGATTTGTAGCTTAAAAACGAACTATTGGGAATTATAGAGGTAAACTGATGTGCTTTCATTAGAGAGGCGTAAAACTGGTTCTAAGTCCTTAAAAGAAAGTAGAAACAAAGCACCAAAGCCAGAAACAATTACACCAGCAGAATACTTAAAAACTAACAACAAAAAACTGTTTTCATAGGCACCCTGTTATACGCGGTAATGCAGTTTGTTTTGTACAATGTTATAAAATGATCAGTATACTGTACTTCTGGTTAAGCAAAATAAGACCAAAGACTGACACGGTATGCTGTCTACTCTAATTCAGTACATTCACCAAAAGGAGATGAAATTAAAGATGAAGAAGAAATTAAAGAATTAAGGAAGAAATTAAAGATGATAAATGGATCCAGTTTGCCTATGGCAAACTGATAGTATGCCATTCTGAAGGTGGATATTGCTTATGAAGAAAATTTTGAGTGAATTGTTTCCTTTTATAATTGTATTAGAAGAAGTGTGGATCTTGACTGTAGACAGACTTTAGTTTAAATATGGCTCTGCTATTTAGGAGTTTTGTGACACTGGGAACTTTTTAAACTCTCTTTTGTTATTTGCTTCACTTATTAAATCAGCAAAATCATTCCTACTTAATAAAGTTATTGGAAAGAGCTTATTATAAGGAGTTTGTCCCCTTTCATGAAATTTTCAAGGAAATTGTGATTTCCATGACTTAAAATTTTCTACTTAAAATCTCTGTTTTTTTTTTTTTTTTGAGACAGAGTCTTGCTCTGTCACCCAGGCTGGAGTGCAGTGGTGCTACCTTGGCTCACTGCAAGCTCCGCCTCCCGGGTTCACGCCCTTCTCCTGCCTCAGCCTCCCGAGTAGCTGGGGCTACAGGCACCTGCCACCATGCCCGGCTAATTTTTTGTATTTTTTTTTTTTTTAAGTAGAGATGAGGTTTCACTGTGTTAGCCAGGATGGTCTCGATCTTCTGACCTCGTGATCCGCCCTCCTCGGCGTCCCAGAGTGCTGGGATTACAGGCGTGAGCCACCGTGCCCGGCCTACTTAAAATCTTTTGAGGAAAAGTGCTATATCAGAAAATAAACAAGACCAACCCAGTTACATATTACCATATCATCTGAATATGTTTTACATTAGCTTCTGCCCTTCCTTCTTTTTTTTTTTTTTTTTTTTTTTGA
Organism: Homo sapiens; assembly: GCF_000001405.40. Lineage (NCBI taxonomy): Eukaryota > Metazoa > Chordata > Mammalia > Primates > Hominidae > Homo > Homo sapiens. The sequence continues at coordinate 7,784,782 of NC_000007.14, forward strand.
GACGGAGTCTTGCTGTGTCGCCCAGGCTGGAGTGCAGTGGCGCGATCTCGGCTCGCTGCAGGCTCCGCCCCCTGGGGTTCACGCCATTCTCCTGCCTCAGCCTCCCGAGTAGCTGGGACTACAGGCGCCCGCCACCTCGCCCGGCTAATTTTTTGTATTTTTAGTAGAGACGGGGTTTCACCGTGTCCTTCCTTCTTAGAAAGGTTCCCTAATTGTCTGAACTGTGTTGGAGATTTCGTGGCATGTGTAGTATTTGTGGAGAACTTTTCCTGTATGGTCATTTCCAAGTGTCTAAAGAATCTGGTATCAGTCCTTCAGATTTTAGCGGGTTAAGAGAAAAAGACACCAATAAATCAAGTAGGCATAGAATTTTGTATAAGAAGTGAATCTGGGTATGGTAAAAAGTTGTGATAGAATGAAAACTTTCTGAACAGTGGTTTGGGAGAAATGCAGTAAGACTTTTAAGAAGTCAATCATTCATTTACTCATTGAATATTTCTTCAATATTGATTGTGTGTTCAGTGGAAAGAGGTGACATGGAATGGGGAAGAATGTTCAAGACACACAGAGTAGCACACCTGAACGGAAGCAGATTTGAGGATCTGAAAGTTGTTTTATGATTGGAGTGTAGAGTTGGAACCGAAGGGATGAAAAGGGATGAGAGAGTTAGTCAGGGGACCGATCATCCTGGACTTACAAGCCATGAAAAGGAATTTGACCTTTATCCTAAGCACAATAGGGGCCATAAAATAATTGTGGGATGGGGCAAAGGCCAGGTCTGTGTTAAGAAAGAGTAGGAGAATGGATTGAAGGAAGGAGAACAAGTAGAGGAAGGGAGATTGATTGCGTGGCCGCTTGTGGAAATCACAGAAATCATGGTAGCCTAAACTTGAGTAGAGTCAGTGGCTTTAGAAAGCTGAACGTGGAGGCCAGCATACAAAAGAGCCAGCTAGCTGACTGACATGATGTGGGGAGTGAGGGAGGAAGAGGAAGCAGGGCAATTGGTGATGCTTTTTCTTCCTTGACACAAAGAGTACCTAGGAGGAGAAGGTGAAAGGGGTAAAGGATTAGTTCCATTTTAGTTGGTGGGTTAAAGGAACTTGTGAGATGTATCTATCAATATATTTATCTGTGTACCTATCTGTATATCATATTCATGTATTCTAATCATCCTAACTACTCCTCTCATTTATTTTTTATTTTGAAATAATTTCAAACTTAAAAGGTCACAAAAACAGTACAAAGTGCTTTTTGTTTTTTTGGAATCTTTTGAGAGTAAATTGACAATATGATGTCTCATTACTTTCCAATACCTGAGTGTGCATTTCATAAAAGCAAGGGCATCTCCTACATTTACGTTTTGTCCCAGTGATGTCCTTTACAGCAAAAGGATCCAGTCTAGAATCACATGTTGCATTTACTCGGGATGTCTCTTTAATTTCCCTCCATCTTGAATGGTTCCTCAGTGTTTCCATGACCTTCAATATCTAGACATTTTTGAAAATCACAAGCTAATTATTTTGTAAAATATCCCTCAATTTGAGTTTGTCTGACATGTTTTGCAATTAGATGCAGGTTATGATTCAGGAATTTTTGCTAGGAATATCACAATAATTATGTGTTCTTTTCATTGCAGTCTATCAGGTGGTGCACAGCTCCTGTTCGTTACATTACTGAAAATGTCAACCATCATCATTTACTAATTTTGCTATGAGATGGGGAGGTAGATGCGTAGTGTACAGATCAGCTGATGGTTTACAGAAGAGTAAACATTCAGAATTCCCTCCCACCCCCCGTAAGCCTTGTTCAGAGAAATATTTTTTACATAATAACTGTAGTCTTTACTGTTATTATAATTTGGATTATTGCCCACTGAATTTATTATCAGTTTAGTGCAGAAGAGAAATACTTTGCTCTTGCCTTAGATTGAAAGGCTCTCCCTGTTGCCACTGTGCTCTGGTTTCCAGATGCCTTGCTCTCACTGGGATTGATGTGCTTTCTCACAGAGTGAAGAGAGAACCTGACAGCCATAGGAGGAGGAAGGTTTGCCTCACTTTAAGTCCGGATGTGGTTAAAGCATGGGAGTGGGAGAAGAGAAGGGATTTGACTGAGACAAGTTGATTTGAGTGAAGCCGCTACTCTTAGACAACTTTGCGTAAAACAGCTGGTTAGTTAATATGTTTCTCTTTTATTCCATGCTAGTCCTCCAAGCCTTAAAACAACTTATTAGAGATTAGAATTTTTAAAATCTGTTTTGCAATAAGGCACGTGTCCAGTTGAATTCTAATTTCACTAAACCTGCCCCCTAGAAAACTGCTGAACTTATTTGAAAACACTGAGTCATGATGATATAAATATATGATGGGGATTTAATGAAGTAGGTCTAATTTCAAGAATATCTAATTTATGAAACCAAGCAGTACTGTGGAATTTGTTGGTAATTAGAAATACAGGTTTAAAGTATATAAACCATATATGATTTTCATAACTTTAAAGGAGTAAATGTTTTTACTCTTTAACCAGTCTTGATATTAGTGATTCCTTCTTTACAAACTGAAATGACTCCAGATTTTTTGAAACAGTACTGTTGTTTTTAGAGGAATTAAAAAATATATTGCAAGTTTGCTGCCATGTGTTTCTAGTATAGTACTGCTTTGAAAATATAGGTGTTTAAAATTAATCAAATACATATTAGCAACCTTTAAAATACAGCATTGAATACAATATGATAAATAAAATTACTTTATCAAAACTCCTTTGGAGTCTCAGCCAACTTTTATATTTCATGTTATTTACCTCAAACTCCATTGTAACTATGCAGAACCCAGTAAAATCTCTTTTCTTTCTCCTTTCTCCCATATTGTCTTGTCTACAGAATACCAGAGACCTATCAGTTTTCCTAATGCAGCTTCAAAGGCACTATTGACTCCTTGCCCTGTTTCTTCTACCCTTGCAAACTTCTGGGAAGTATTTCCAAGTATCTTATAGCTGAGCTACCCTGTCCTTATTGTAGAAATCCCATCCAAATTTCACATTAGGGTTATGATTGTAGATCTCTCCTTAAGCCTTTTGTTCAGCTTCTGCCTTTCACCCAGGTCAAAGTGCTATTAATAAGCTTATTTCCTATTACCAAAGTGTATCATCTTAAATTTCCTTCACCTAACCTATAGCTTCATCAGAAACTTAAATTTTTCTGAGACTATTGCCACCCTCTCTTGATCATACCATGTTTGCCGCAATGCACCAGTCGGGAAACAGCCGTTTAGTCAGAGCCTACTTGGTGCCAGTCACTTTACCAGATGCTGAGAATACTGTGGCAAATAAACACATTATTGTCCTCATGGAACTGATAGTCTGGTGGGAACAACAACTATTAAACAAGGTAGTGCGTGTAATTAAGTGATTGCATATGTGTGAAGTGGTTTGGAGAAGAAGGAGAACGTATGACTTGTAAAGCAGACATGCGTTTTATTGGGGTAGTCTTGAGGTAGTTGTGTTGAAGCTGAAGCATGAAGATTGAGTACATATTGTTAGCTGGTTGAAATCTGGGTTGGGGAATATTTTAGGCTAAGAGTGGTCCCTTCTCTATCATCACATTTTACTCTGTAATCAAGCAGGTTCTCATACTATTTATTCTCATACTATTTAGCCGTGCCACTTGCTCACTGTCACCCAGTGCTTCTTCTTTCTTAATGAGCTCTTGCTTTTATACCTTTCTATATTTCTGATTTTATAGTATCATCCTATTTTGGAATTCCTGAGGTCAGAGTTTTCAAGCTGTTAGATTAGGATCTACCAGTAGCAGGCTCTCAGTGTCTGATTTGTCCACTGCTTCCTACCTGGTGACTCTCCTTTTCCTTCTCTCAACTCCTCAGATTTTCTGTGATTTCTGCAGGAAGCAAAGCCAGCAGTCAGGTAAAGGGGTTGGGGAGTTGGTGGGGGTGGGGACTTAGAATATTTGTTGATATCAAACCTCTCCCCACCAAACACTTGAATTTCATTTTCAGCAACCTCTTCTTCCCATTCTAGTGACATCAAGACTTAAGAAGATTGAAAAATGTCCCATCTTCAGAGGAAATCTAGGTATTTTGCTCTAGATCATTAAAGGTTACACATATTCGCCCTGAAATTCTCCATAATCTGTAACTGTGCTTCATCTGTTGCCTAATACTTTATATTTTAAATTTCTTCATTTACTTAAAAATTTCTATTTTTGTAACTAGCAGTTTACATTTTTTTAGAGTCAAGCATATTGATATGCAGTATCACTAACATTGTCAGTACTGGTGATATACATACAAGCAAACTTGCAGATATATATCAACAAAAACAACATTATTGTACTAGTACAAAGTGGTCAAAGTGTGTTCCTCTGACACTGGTTATTATTTTTTTGCTGCAAGGCATAGTAGCTGGGCAGGTGGTCAAACTATTTCTTGTAGCCAGGTAGTAAGGCTTTTTATTGAGCCGTAACCAATTCTATGGCTGAGAGAAAAAAAACACATTTCCCTCGCATGACTTTCCTTTTCCCTTTAAATACCTATTTATTAAAATAACAATGTGAATATGGAGTAGAGACTTATTATAACATCTGTATGAAAACAATTGTTAGAACAAAACTAAAATTGAAAAAGTACCAATTTATTGTTTTAAATAGAGAAAAACATCTTATTTCTTTAATTTTTTAATTACTAGTAATAAAACCAATGTAATATTTGCCATCTTAAACTATTTTTGAGTATATAGTTTATTTGTGGTAAGTACATTCTCATTGTTGTACAACAGATCTCTAGAACTAAAACTGAAACTCTGTACTCGTTAAACAAAATACCCCTTCTCCCCTCCCCACAGACCCTGGAAACCACCATTCTGTTTTCTGTCTGTATGAATGTGACTACTTTAGGTATGTCATATAAGTAGCATCATACAGTATTTGTCTTGTGACTGGCTTATTTTACTTAGCAATGTCTTCAAGTTTCATCCATGTTGTAGCATGTATCAATTTCCCCTTAAAGCTAAATAATATTCTACTGTATGTTTATACTACATTTTTTTAATTCATTCATCTGTCAGTGAAGACTAGGGTTGCTTCCACCATTGGCCATCGTGCATGGTGCTACTGTGAACATGGGTGTATGTTCAGATATTTCTTTGAGACTCTGCTTTCGGTTCCTTTGGGAACATTTACTTAGTGAGCCCCAATCTTCTTACAGAGTTATTTATTTTTTACGTATTAGAATGTGGGCGGAATTGATGAAGGGAAGGAGGCGATAGTGACTGTAAAAAGTAGGCAGATAATAGTCTGTCCATTGTTTAAGGCTCTCTGTCTGCTTCAGTGTTTCTCAAAGTGTTGTCCATGTACCACTTGCATTAGAATATCTGGGATATTTTGATTCTTAGGCCTTTCACCAGACTTTTCAAGTCAGACTCTCTTGTGAGACTCAGGAATTTGCACCCCAGGGGATTCTTGTGTACACCGGAATGTGAGATGCATTGCCCTACTGGTAACTAGACATCCCAGGATTTATCTGTGTTTATGCGGATGAAAACTCTGTTCCCTGCTACTAATAGCACCTTGCTTTTGGGGGGCACATCCATCCCATGCCAGCCTATGATTTTCACTTTATTCTGTCTGCGTATTGTAGCCCAACTAAAAGTCTCATAAATGTAGTAAAGGAGGGCAGCCCTGAGTTCATAACCCTAAACTTGGATTCAGGCCCATTCAGGCCCTTCTTCTCAGGCTCCTAATGGTGATTCACTATTGCTGTGTCTGCTTCTGATCAGTGGGCCAGTGAACAGGTTAGAACTTCCTCCCTCTGGCCTTGTAGTGTTTAGGCTTACCTGAGTTCTTAAAGGGACCAAATCTCTTTCCTGATACGAACACTTTAAGTATGGCATAGCAAATTGTGATCCTAATTAAGGCAGTAATTTCTCACGTTCATCTTGTATAGCTGAATGACATGTGTGACATCTTTAATAAAACCAACCAGCTTCTGCATTCTGAAACTGAACTCTGTCTTCATCTAGTTATCACATTGTGCTATCTCTAACATGTGTTCTTGGCTTCTGATTATTACATGATCTGTGATTTGCAAGTGACTGTTTTTCATTTTTTGTTTTTTTGATACAGAATCTTGCTTGCTCTGCTGTCCAGGCTGGGGTGCAATGGTGCGATCTTGGCTCACTGCAACCTCCGCCTCCCGGGCTCAAGCACTCCTCCTGTCTCAGCCCCCAAGTAGCTGGGACCAGAGGCCCACACCACCACACCTCTAATTTTTGTATTTTTAGTAGACATGGGGTTTCACCATGTTGGCCAGGCTGGTCTCGAACTCCCCACCTCAGGTGATGCACCCGCCTCAGCCTCCCAAAGTGCTGGGATTACAGGCAAGAGTCACTGTGCCCAGCTGGAGCATATTTTATTTTCTATTTACATATTTAGGCTTTAAGCTGTACACACCAAAAATATTTTTTTATGGCAGTCCTGTTTGTTCTCAGCAGAGCCTGTAGAGCCTGTTGTCAGTGGAATGCTGAGAACAGCCCTTTGTAGAGCTTTCTATTGGCAGTATTTTGGGATTCAGGCTGAGGAATGGTTGACCCAACTTATACTTCCAGCAGTATGTAAATTTACTCTGACATGGGAAAGATATTAACAGCAGCAACAACACAAAATCTTTCAAGATGCAGATTTGTACAGCATAATACAGTATTGTACAAATGTACATATACAAAATTAATTTGGCCTTTTCAGTTTCTAGTCTTCCAGCCTGGAAGTAAGAATTGTTTTTAACAAAGTGTTAAACGGCTAAATTGATGTTTTGGGGTTCCGTCAAGATCTTCCAGAAAAATTATTACCCCATAGCTACAAAGTAACAAGACTGAGAACTAAGGACATCAGTGAAGCCCAAGACAAGTTAATTAAGAGCAGACCGGTAGGACTGACCGGTGGATATGACCTCATTTAGATTTGTTGGTGTTCTTACTTTCCAGATTAAGCATGCTTAACTATTCAGTGTGGCCCAATGCTTTTAAAGTAGTAAGCATGTTTTTGAGCTGTATGATTCGAACAGCAATCACATTTAAAATCTAACATGGTGCCTAAAAGTTGTATAGAAATATGTATGAAAATTCACACTAATATATTTTAACGTAGACTACCTGTTCTGGTGAACTCTTAGTTTGAAACTTTCTTTATATTTTAGCAATCGTTTGTAATTCTTTTTATTAGCTCTTAGTGAGTGTGTATGCAGCATTTTCTTTCTTACTGTCCTTCTCCCACCTACAGTCAAATCAACAGATGTTTATTGAGCATTCACTTTGCATGTGCCAATTCTTTCCTTTGCCAATTTCGGGTGTTAATAATTTTGGTATGCTAATTTATTACATGCTCTGTGCCATTTTAATTTGCTTTTCTTTAATTCACAGTCAGCTTGTACCCTTTCCTATATTTGTTTGCTAACTGCATTCCTTCCTCTATGGCTTAGCTGTTCCTGTTCTTGGCTCATTTTCCTTTGAGGTTATAACAGTTGTCAACAGAATCCTGACCAGGCTCCTGGGCAAGCCATGTCTTAACCAATTAGTACTTTTGTTTTCTCTCTATTCCTCTTTTCTTCATTATGGTGGAAAACAGACAGGGATTAAATGGACAGAATTAGAAAAAGTAGGAGGGGAAACTAAACTGAATTGGAAGAGATTTAAATGTAATGTGTTTAAAACTGAATTGGTTAACTTAACTCAAGCTTTGATAAGTAATGGGAAGCACCATGATATTATGGAATAATTTGTCATTTTCAACAGACTTGGGTTTTAGTACCAGGTCTGCCTCTGTTACATGAATGCAATAAAGCCTACCTCACAATGCTGCCAGAGCATTTAATAAGATTACATGTACGGGCCTTCCCCTCCCATCCTCTCTGTCTTAGTTTGTTTGGACTGCTATAACAAAATACCATAAACCGCGTGGCTTACAAACAACAGAAATTTATTTCTCGCAGTTCTGGAAGTTGAGAAGTCCAAGATCAAGATGCTGGCAGGTTTGGAGTCTGGTGAGGGCGCACTTTTTGGTTCGTAGAAGGCATCTTCTTGCTTCATTTTCACATGGCAGAAGGGGACAGCCCAGCTCTCTTCAACCCCTTCTAAGGGCACTAATCACTCGTGAGGGCTCCATCCTCATGACCTCATGACCTCCCAAAGGCTCCACCTCTTACTACCAACACACTGGGGATTAGGTTTCAATATACGAATTTTGCAGGGATCGGGGAGGACACACACTTTCAGTCCATAGATTCTCTGATGCTGAACGAGCGTGTCGCTAATTGCTACACGCAAAGACAGAATAGCAGTCGAAACCAAGACCTTACCCCGGCTTCCCATCCTTCTCTGCAATTAGTGTCTAATATGTTTTCCCATTTAATCTTTATAACAGCCTTAGTATGTATCATTATTCCCATTTTTCAGATGAGGAAATTGAGGCACTGAGAAGTAACTTGTACAAGGTCATAGATTTGGTAGAGGATTTGGGTAGAGTTCTGTCAGATTTCAAATCCATTCTCTTTCCACAGTGCCAGGCTGCCTAGAATAATGAGTGTGACTGAAGAATGAAAAGGAGTTAATGGTGTGGCCATTCCCCTGTTCTTTCCACTACTTCACTTGGTGAATGACTAATAGGCAAACACTCCCAGAGGGTATTTGCATTTTAAAAGCGAGCTCATTAACCCTAATGAATCTCTAATTGGTGGAATTTGTGGGGGAGATATTTTTAAGTACTGGGGCTTTCTCCTGTGTCTTCAAGGTGCCTGGCTATCTTTTTCTTCTTTATAGATTATCAACTATTCTGGAATCAGAATCGTGTAGCAGAATGCAGTCACATACTGCTAGTCTGCCCCAAATGCATTAACAGGGAGTCATGAATTAAAAGGCAGCCATGAAAAAACATTGAAAGGAAAAAAGTGTGGGTTAGCATTGTCTAAAATGAATGTCCAAAAGCAAATAAATTTGGCCATATAGAGAGTCTTCCGAAGAGTCAGATGAAAAGAATATATTTTATAACCAAATTTAACTTTAGAAATGTTATATCAGCATTTCCCATGGTGTGTTAATGAAGCTCTGCAAGATGTTTAATAGGTGTCAGATGAATAAAATGGCTCCACAGTCAAATACACTTCGAAAAAAAATTTTTTTTTAAGTTTCATCACTGCAGAATTTCTTAGATGCTAAAGTGCATTAGGAAATCAACTGGAAGAGAACTTGCATTCTGAAGGTTTTTCTCATATTTTTGACCATAGAAATATTTTTTTCCATGTGAACCCCTTGGAACCAGTGTTTCATAGATTGCATTCTCAGATACAGAGTTCTAGATAAATCATCTTTAATTAAAGAAAAGAAAAAGAAAAACAGTTTTCTGTATTCACAGCCCTTTGCATGCAGACAGGCTCCAACCCAGTCCACAACAGCCCATTTCCAGTCTTGTTGGGCTCAAGGGCATGCCAATAATAACAGCCCTCTTCCCCAGATGAGATCTGGCCAATTGAGGGGAGGAAAAAGGAACAGATGGAGACCAAACTCTCATCTTTATTGCCTATAAAGCTGGTGTTGAAGAATGTGGCTTATAACAGGGAGCAAAAGGGCGTCCTAATCGGAATCCCAGAATTAGGTTGAGTGTGTAAACCAAAAGTAAGATCCTAAACCCCCACAACAGACTGAACGGACCCCCTCTGGGCCTCAAAAACTGAATTCCCCATTATGACAGGAGAGATCTTGGTATACCCCCTCCCTTTTGGAGTTTAGGAGCAACTGACTAGCATTAATGTTAAAAGAGAGATTATAAGACTGACAAAACAGACTCTTTGTAGCAGTAAGATACCAAATTGCAACCTGACACTGGTATAGGACCTCATGACAGATAGCAGACCCTGAAGGAAATAAAAATATTTTACCCTAGAATATATTTCCTTGACATACGTTGAAATGGCCCTGCAAAGCTGTCTTTTGTGGGGGAGATTACATCCGTAGAGAATCTCCTTCCCTTTCTAGATCTTTCCCAGATCTAGGAGAGATGAAATGAAAGGCTGACACCTTTAAGGTCTGAAGAGAGACGCTTAGGATATTCTCTATAGGGCTGTTACCTGAAGGCGTCATCTACTTAACAAGAACCTTGGCTTCCACAATGCCCTTTTTCTTAACTCAAGCATTTACTTCTAGTCTTTAGACAAAGCTGAACTCCTTCAACCAACTGCCAATCAGAAAATCTTTGAATCCAACTATGACTTGTAAGAACCCCTACTTTGAGATATCCCAACTTTTTAGGCTGAACCAATATATACCTTACATGTATTGACTTATGTCTTTGCCTGTAATTTCTTTCTCTCTAAAATATATAAAACCAAACTGTAACCTGACCGTCTCAGGCACACTTTCTCAGGACCTCCTGAGACTGTTTCCTGGGTCATGGACACACACATTGGATCCGAATAAACCTCTCCAAATATTTTACAGAGCTTGGCTTTTTTGTCAGCTAGTTCCACTCAGTTACAGAATATGCTGAGCTGGTCAGGCTTTTCCCCAAGTGGGAGGATGTTTCTGTGGAGGATCAGAGCAGACAGCAACATGCTGCCTGTGTTCCTTGATTCTTAAGAGAGAGGGAAGGAGAAGTTACTGGAAAGGAATCCTGATCTTGGGGAGGGTTCTTAGATCTCCTGCAAGAAAGAATTTGGGGTGAGTCCACAGAGTGAAGAAAGAAACTTTATTAAGCAAGTAAAGGAGTAAAAGAATGGCTGCCCCACAGGCAGAGCAGCTGCGAGGGCTGCTGGTTGGCTATTTTTATGGTTATTTATTGATTATATGCTAAACAAGGATGGGTTATTCATGAGTTTTTAAGGAAAGGGGCAGGGATTTCCCAGAGCTGAGGGTTTCTCTTCCTTTTAGACCTTATAGGGTAACTTCTGGATGTTGTGTAAACAGTCATGACGTTGGTGGGAGTATTGTTTAGCAGGCCAATACATTATAATTGGCATATAATGAACATTGAGGATGACCAGAGGCCACTTTCATCACCATTTTGGTTTTGGCTTCCTTCTTTACTGCATCTTCATTTATCAGCAGGGTGTTTGTGATGTTTATCTTGTGACCTCATATCCCATCCTGTGACTAAGAATGTCTAACCTCCTGGGGATGTGGCCCAGCAGGTCTAAGCCTCATTTTATCCAGATCCTATTCAAGATAGAGTCACTGGTTCAAAGGCCTCTGACAAGGGGACAGAACCACTTGTGGCCAAGTCCTCCCAAATGCAACAACCAGTGGACAGGAGAGTGGAGAGAGGCCTGGAGTGAATGTTAATGGAATTTCCTCCATGTTGAAGGAAGCATAAGGCAAGTGACCTCACAGGGTTAACAGGAATTCTGAACAGAAATATATAGATATACTTAAGCATTCTTCTGGCTGTACTTTGACCCATTTCTATTTTCTTTCTTTTTTTTTTTTTTTTTTTTTTTTGAGATGGAGTTTCGCTCTTCTTGCCCAGGCTGGAGTGCAATGGCATAATCTCGGCTCACCACAACCTCCGCCTCCCAGGTTCAAGTGATTCTCCTGCTTCAGCCTCCCGAGTAGCTGGGATTACAGGCGTGCCCTACCGCACCCGGCTAATTTTGCATTTTTATTAGAGACGGAGTTTCTCCATGTTGGACAGGCTGGTTTCGAACTCCCAACCTCAGGTGATCCGCCTGCCTCGGCCTCCCAAAGTGTTGGGATTACAGGCGTGAGCCACCGTGCCCGGCCGACCCATTTCTTTGTAACCAAAATTTATGTAACACCAGATACTGACCATTTGTATCCCCATTGTTCCTATAGATAGGATTCTGGTTTTCGTTCAAGATAGTGTCCCTGACACTAGAATCATAAGCTCTTGGTGAAGAATTACTTAAGCAGATCCTGGATTCTAGTGGAACAACTAACACCAACCAGTTTAAAGACCCCCACAGAGGAACCAAATCAGCAAGAGAATACCGTTTCTTCATCTCCCTGCCCCATGACTTCACCCCACAATTTTCAACCAATCAGTGGTCTCCACACTTTGGCCCACTCCAAAACCCTTAAAAACCCTACCCCCAAACTCCTCTGGGGAAAAGATTTGAGCTTTCTTCATGTCTCCTCATTTGGTGGCCCTAAGATTAAAGTTCTTTTTCTGCTGCAGCCCAGTGTCTCAGTGTATTAGTCTGTTTATGTTGCTATAAAGGAATACCTGAGAAGGGTAATTTATAAAGAAAAGAGGTTTATTTTGCCTCAGGGTTCTGCAGGCTCTACAGGAAGCATGATGCTGGCAACTGCTTCTGGTCAGGGCCCCAGGAAGCTTACAATCATGGCAGAAGGTGAAGGGAAACCAGCATGTCACATGGCAAGAGTGGAAGCAAGAGAAATGCCAGACTCTTAAACAACCACCTCTCACATGGACTAATAGAGTGAGAACTCATTACCACAGGGAGGGTACTTCATGAGGGATCTGTCCCCATGACCCAAACACCTCCCAGCAGGCCCACCTGCAACATTCGAGGTTACATTTCAACATGAGTTTTGGAGGGGACACACATCCAAATCATACCACTCAGTGTATTGACTTACCACATGCATGAACAATGAACCTATTATGGTTACATTAAGGAGTGGGAACCAAGTGTCTGCCCCATCACCCACCTACCACCAACCCCTTCAGACAAGCCTCCTCTGGGTGACCTAAGTAGGTATTTGGTTCTTCTCCCATCACTGGAAATTTCTGTCCTGTCCAATTTCCTTTATACATAGTGCTCACTCTTCAGCATTATTTCTCCCCTCAACCATCCTCACCCAGTAGAATGGGATCATGATGATACTCTAATGACCATTCCTTTCTCACATCCTTATATAGCTAAAACATCATCCAACATTTTTTTTTTTTTTTGAGACGAGGTCTCACTCTGTTGCCCAGGCTGGAGTGCAGTGGTGTGATCTTGGCTGACTGCAACCTCTGCCTCCCAGGTTCAAGCAAATCTCCTGCCTCAGCCTCCCCAGTAGCTAGGGTTACAGGCACATGCCACCACCCCCAGCTAATTTTTGTATTTTTGTTAGAGATGGTTTCACCATGTTGGCCAGGCTGGTCTTGAATTCCAGACCTCAAGTGATCCACCTGCCTGAGCCTCCCAAAGTGCTGGGATTATAGGCGTGAGCCACCGTGCCTGGCCATCATTCAACTTTTTATCCCGGAAATGATGGAAGACATATATTTCTCTAATACAGACTGGAAAACTACAGGCTGCCACTTGTTTTTGTAAACAAAATTTTATTGGAACACAGCCACACACATTAGGTTACATATTTTCTATGACTGCTTGTGACTACAATGGTAGAGTTGTGAAGTTGTGACAGAGACCTTATGACCTGCAAAGACTAAAATGTTTACTATCTGACCCTTTACAAAAAAAATTTGCCAACCCCTCGTCTAAAATATAGATGAGTTTCACATCAGTCCTTTAAGTTCTGAAAGAGCTTCATTAGTATGTATATGTAGCCTTTATCATTTACTCACTCTAAATAAAAACTACATTTGAAACAAAGAAAATCGCATGGCTGTACTATAAGGATAATTTTTACATCTTGTAAAATTGTTTCCAGCCTTAAAAACTTCCTGAAAAATATGAAGGGAACTGTGTATTTGCTTTGAAGGAGCAGAAGGAAGAATAAAGTCTTGCATCAGTCAGAAGTATTTGATGTCACCATTGAAAAGGGAAGAAAACAGATAATCTATGGGGCCTATAGAAGCAAAAAGGAGTAATGAAAACTGTCTGCAGGACCAGAAGGCACAAGATCCTGCCTTCAGAGCTCCCTATCAGAGCCCTTGGCTCCTCTCTTCACACCCTGTTCCCTAACTCAGAGTCTAGTTTCCTCCCACCTTGGCCCTCATGCATTGGAACCGTTCACCAGACCACAGAGTCCCCAGAGATGTCAAGAGACTGGGTTCTGCTCCCATTGTGACTGCTTTCTATGTGGGAGACCTTGGGCAGGTCACTGAGTGCCTCTGCCCCTTAGGTTTCACTCTCCTGTAAATTGGGGGTGGGCAGAGTTATCTTACTGTGCTTGCCCAACAGTAATCAAATCTGATGTTTTTTAAAAGCCTATATGAAAGGTAAGGTATTATGAAATTGTCAGTGTTTTTGTTTTTGTTGAAATGTCTGAGTTGCAAATGAAATTTTTTTATCTATCCAAGATATAAATTAGAGTTAACTGATATTTGAAAACTTAAGTACCTTATTTCATATTTCTCATACCCATTTTTGCTTATTTATTTTTATAGTATTTAACTTTTATATGGATTAGAGAAAATATAGAAAATAACTGAATTTTTACCATAATAAAATAATTCTTCAAGGGGTGGAAAAAAAACTTCAAAAATTGTATTTCATTGTGACCCATTCTTTTCTGTTTGTTGTTTATTCAGCTTTCATTTTTATGCCTTTGTTTACAGAGAAACAATCTTGCAGATGGCAATTTTCCTTGTAATCATTTATTGTCCTATCTGAGTCATCGCCAGACATGGCATTTCAGTAAACAGTGATTCTGCAATTGCTTCCAGGCAGATGTGTTGTGTGAAGTTAAGAACGCTGGCTGATAACCTTTCTGGTTTTTCAAGCAGCAGGGAGAAAGTTTTGTGTAGATACACACCTCGAAATCAGAAAATGGCGAAGGAAGGACTTTGTGCTGCATGATTTTAACCAAATATAGTGTTTGTGTGATGGATGGAATAGTAATCTTTTTAAAAGATAAATAATATTTCTTCGAGTAAAGGACTTTTTATAGTGCGTTATACGTATTTTCTTAGAAACATCGTGCATGTGCATTGTTAAACACAACGTTGACCTTGTTGTACAGACATTTGTATCACCTTGTCCACTCAGGTTCCTGTGGTCTCATGCCTGTAGCTAAGCAAACCAAACTCCTCATGCATTGGTTTTTCCAGTGTAAATTGGAGGTTCTCTTATCCCTCACTTTCAGACATAGGGGATTTCTTTTGCCTCACAAATATGTTTTTACAAACACGTATGCTCAAATATAATTTTTATTATGTATCATAAAGTCTTATCTTGTCACTGTTTTTATCTGAGATGGAGTTTCGCTGTTGTTCCCCAGGCTGGAGTGCAATGGCGCGTTCTCGGCTCACTGCAACCTCCGCCTCCTGGGTTCAAGTGATTCTCCTGCCTCAGCCTCCTGAGTAGCTGGGATTACAGGCATGTGCCACCATGTCCAGCTAATTTTGTGTTTTTAGTAGAGACGGAGTTTCACCATGTTGGTCTGGCTGGTCTCGATCTCCTGACCTCAAGTGATCCACCCACCTTGGCCTCCCAAAGTGGTGGGATTACAGGTGTGAGCCACCATGCCTGGCCTTGTCACAGTTTTACCATCAACTACAAAGAGAAGTTCACTAATTTATTCATCTAATGTTTATTGAACACCTATTGTGTGCTGGGCCCTGCCCAACAATAATAATGTTGCACAAAACAGAGAACAAAGTAATAGGGTGGAATATGCATTGTAAACATTTTGTGGGTTAATTTATCTTAAATATATAAGCTACCAATTTAGTTCTTGTTTCATGATTTTATAATTTAACAGGCTTATAAATATTTTTTATTACTTTAATCACTTTTTTTTTATTGCAATAGGTTTTGGGGGAACAGATGGTGTTTGGTACATGAGTAAGTTCTTTAGTGGTGATTTCTGAGATTTTGGTGCACCCATCACCTGAGCGGTGTACACTATACCCAAAGTATAGTCTTTTATCCCTCACCCTCTCCCACCCTTTCCCCTGAGTCCCCAAAGTCTAATGTATCATTCTTATCAACAGGCTTATATTAAATCCTTCACAATTTTCATGAGACTTTTCCTTGATTATAGCCATGAGTAAACTAAACTTTTGTGTTGCATATGGAGAAATTAAGCTTAGACAAGATTTTCATACTTTATCTCCAGTCAAGACTCATGACTTTTCCTTACATTAACAAATTTCTAACCATTAGTGTCAGCTAAGCCATCATCCATTTCTTTGGTAATCTTCCCTGCTGTGGACATTCCTAAGATTGCCCAATTTTATAGAAAAAGCAATTTACAAATGGCTAAATTAGCGTCTGATTATGCTTCAAAGAAGTAGGCTAATAGGTAGTCTCTATCATGTGTTAATCACAAACCATTAGTGATAATTAATAAATTAAAATGGGCCAATTATGAAATTCTGCTTATACTTACCCAAGTGTGTTTGTGTCTATCCTGTGTCCTTCAAGCCAGCCTACTCACCAACTTCATTTAGTAATGTAACCCAGTCAGGCACTAGCCTTAGGAATCAAAGTATTAAGTGAAGGCTAGTTTATGCATTTGTTCATTATTCTTTCCTGCTGTAAGGATTATCTGTCATCTGGTTAATTATTACATATAAACATACACATCTACTCCAAGGCAAATCCACAAACGCTTACAAAGAGTAAGCCTTATGAAAAACTAACTTGGAGGACAGTTATCCATATCATAAAAGAGTTTTTATTTCAACATAATTTGCCTTAAGTCATAAGCTTTCCAAGTTTGTTTGAAATATGACTTGATTTATAAAATATGAATTTATTTGATTTTTCCAGAGTAAATCTAGATAAAACAGGATACATTTAGGTTGTGTGTGTATGTATTTATGAATGATATATGAGACCTGTTTATAATTACTGTTCTTAAAAAGTTAGCTTGTTTACTTTGAAACAAGGGAAATAGTGGTTTCTTCCATGATGTGAAACATATAATAACAAAAGATACTTCAAACAAATAGCAAGTAGTTTGGCCTCAGTAATATGGTCAAGTTTTAAAAATAGACATATATTTTACTTCATAGGAGATACAACAGATGAGCAAAGAATGACAGCAAGAGGCAAAACTTCGGACATAGAGGCCAACCAACCTTTGGAGGTAAGTGAAACAGAGTAAGTCCTTTTCGGTGAAACTGAACAAGTCACTATGATTACTTATGCCTCCGAGGATAAATAGTAACTTCTGCTCTTGCTATGCCATAGGTGCCTGAATACAGGGAAACAAGTGGTCTGCTGAAAGTCAGTGGAGAGCAGTACAGGGAGTGCCTTCCCAAGTGCTAAACTCCTTTAGTGCTAGAAATGAAAACTTTCTGTTAAAAACAAAACAAAACAGAAATCAAGTCCTTAAGTTAAAACATTTAAACTATTTTTAATTGAGTGATTATGTACTAATATATTTCAATAAATAGGCAGTATATTAACTTGTAGAGAAAGGCTTAAAAATAATCCATTCAGCCGGGCACAGTGGCTCACGCCTGTAATCCCAGCACTTTGGGAGGCCTAGGCGGGTAGATCACGAGGTCAAGAGATCAAGACCATCCTGGCCAACATGGTGAAACCCCATCTCTACTAAAAATATAAAAATTAGCTGGGCATGGTGGCATGTGCCTGTCATCCCAGCTACTTGGGAGGCTGAGGCAGGAGACTCGCTTGAACCCCGGAGGTGGAGGTTGCAGTGAGCCTAGATCGCGCCTCTGCGCTCCTGCCTGGCGACAGAGCGAGACTCCGTCTCAAAAAAAAAAAAAAAAATCCATTCAAAATCCCGTTGCCTTACTAGTTCCAGCATCAAAGTACACTCCTTGAAAGTATTCTGTAGAAAAACTAGGGTATTTATTCTTTTTCACATGAGAAAACTATTTGCTCTCTAAGAGTTTACATGAAAATGTAGTTAGGATACTTTTGAAAACTATATAGAAATATACTAACATTATTTAATCACCAAAATAATCATCTTTAAGACTTAAGGGGAATGTTAAGTACTAGGGTGGAAGGATTATCTTGAAATGTGAAACTTTCTACGTAGTGACACACCTCTACCTGTATTCTAGTTGTAGCATATGAGGGTATTGCTGCATACAACTAGAGGGAGGTCAGAGACCTGGCCAGTGTGATTCACCATGGTTCCCTAATGCCTAGCCCACAGTAGGTAGTTGAAAAGATTTGTTAAATGAATAAGTCAGTACAATCATGAGTAATAAGTAGAGACTAATATACTTTTAAGAGATATTTTTATTTTTTATATTTATATTTTTCACCGTGAACAAATATTTTGCAATCAAGGAAAAATCATCCTATTTAAAACATCTTATTTAAAGATGTGATATAGGAAGTAAATTCATGAGGAGGAAGAAAATCATCTTTCTCATGAAACTGTGCATTCATTCTTTCACTTATGCATGCAACAAGTATTTATTACACTGACCGTACTCAAGATACTGTGCATGGAGCTGAATATATAATGGTGAAAATAGGACACAAGGACATAGAAAAATGTCCATCTTATATGTTGAAGCAACTTGATCTCTTTCATTTATTCAAACATTTGGTGAGGCTGGGCGTAGTGGCCCATACCTGTGGTCCCTGTGCTTTGGGAGGCCAAGGAAAGAGGATTGCTTGAGGCTAGGAGTTTGAGACCGGCCTGGGCAACATTGAGAGACTCATCTCTACAAAAAATTTAAAAATTAGCTGAGTGTGGTGGCACATGCCTGTAGTCCCAGCTACTCAGAAGGCTGAGGTGGGAGAATTGCTTGAGCCCGGGAATTCAAGGCTCCCAGCCTGGGCAGCAGAAACATTTAGTGAGTGCTGGCCATAAGTAGCATCTCTGATAGGAAATAAAAGTTGATATGTTTGGGATTTGGGAGATAACCACCAGGATGGTTCAAAAATCATCCACAATTACTTGAGTTTCGTTGCTTAGTGTCTTCTTTTATATGGGCTGCTACAGCAAAATACCATAAATTGGATACCTTATGAACAACAGAAATTTATTTCTTTAGTTCTGGAGGCTGGAAAGGCCAAGGTCAAGGTGCTGGCAGATTTGTGTCTGGTGAGGGCCCTTTTTTTTTTTGGTTTGCACTCTGGCTGTGTCCTCACATGATAAAGGGAGAACTCTAGTCTCTTCAGCCCCTTATAAGGGCACTAATCCCATTAATGCAGGCTCTCCCCTCCCACCCCCTAATACAGTCGCCTTGGGGATTAGGTTTCAACATACGAATTTTGGAGGGACACAAAGCATTCAGACCATAGCACTTAGTTATGTGATTCATTGGAAATGTCTGCAGAACTTGACTATTTTTCAAAGTTGATTCATTGATAGAAAGAATTCCAAGACTAATTCTTAAGGAAAGATGCTTTTAAGATTACAATCCACAGAGCTTTCAAACAAGCTCATTATTGTGCTACTTTCTAGTCTCTCTATTAATATAGTCAGTTGTTAATCATTAAGGCTGGATGTACATACTCATGCAGTAACAGATGTTTCAAAAGTGCCTTCTATGCAAGTACCGGCTGGGCAATGAGAGGACAGTGTTTGCTATCAGACAGCTCACTAATGTAGAAAAAAAGAAAAGTGGAGTGGGAGACTATAAATGAGACCACAGGGTTAAATCGCAATGCAAGAGGAAAACAATAAAATACTTCTAGAGGCTATATATGTTTTGCCACAGAAAAGCCAAATAGTAATTTACCTTGACAGTAAGCATCTAACATGGGATTTGTTATTCCTCCCCTTTAAAATACAAAAATGAGACTGGGCGTGGTGGCTCACACCTGTAATCCCAGCACTTTGGGAAGTCAAGGTGGGTGGATTGCCTGAGCTCCGGAGTTCAAGACCAGCCTGGGCAACATGATGAAACCCCATCTCTACTAAAATACAAAAAATTAGCCGGGCTTGGCGCCGTGCGCCTGTAATCCCAGCTACTCAGGAGGCTGAGGCAGGAGAACTGCTTGAAACTGGGAGGCGGAGGTTGCAGTGAGCCAAGATTGTGCCACTGCACCCTAGCCTGAGCAAGAGAGCGAGACTCCATCTCCAAAAATAAAATAAAATACAAAAATGAGGCCGGGTGCGGTGGCTCACGCCTGTAATCCCAACACTTTGGGAGGCTGAGGCAGCCGGATCATGAGGTCAGGAGATCAAGACCATTCTGGCTAACATGGTGAAACCCTGTCTCTACTAAAAATACAAAAAATTAGCTGGGCACGGTGGCCTGCGCCTGTAGTCCCAGCTGCTTGGGAGGCTGAGGCAGGAGAATTGCTTGAACCTGGGAGGCGGGGGTTGCAGTGAGCCGAGATCACACCACTGCACTCCAGCCTGGGCGACAGAGCGGAACTCCTTCTCAAGAAAACAAAACAAAACAAAACAAAACAAAACAAAAGTGAAAACACTGCTGAACGCTCGCTACCCTTCATATACTACCTAGATATAGTCAAAAATGAGTCTTATCCAGCCTCCTCGATTTAAATTCTGTGTAGAAGTTGATGACTCCTAAAATATGTCTCTACCTAGACCTCTCCCCTGAGTTCTAGACTCTGTACCCAACTGCCTATGTAACATTTCACTTACAAATTTCTACACAGTTCAGCCTTTCCTTAACCCATAGAAGAACTATTGATACCTGGCCCCACCACCCTGGAGCCTCTCTGTGCCCAAGTTTTAATCATTCCTGTTTAATATCACCACCCTATATCTATATAGTGATTTAGAACCAATTCCCCCTGAGGTACCCTTGGCTCCTGTCTTTCCCTCACACTGCACATCCAGTCTATCAGCAAGTCCTGCCATCTTGCCCTCTATATCCGGAATGTGACTGCTGCTCAACGTCATCACTGTTAGAACAGTCTAAGCCACCCCTTTTACTAGGGCCCCATTCTTTCTCCTCCAGCCCATTCTCCACATAGCAGACAGAAATATGTCAGATCACATCACTCCTTGGCTTAAAAGCTCTATCTACTGTAACTAGAATAAATGCTAAGCTCCTTGCAGTGGGCTACAAGGAACTCCATACTCTCTCTAATCTCATTTTTCTCCCCATCCCCATCCACCAGCCACCTGCCGTTCTGTCTCTTGATGATGTTAAGCCCTTTCCTATCTCAGGCTTTGTATTTGCTAGTCATTTTTTAAACCAGAGCTTCACTTGGCTTCCTCCTTATCATTCAAGTGTCACTTTTCATGACTACCTCAGCTAATGTGTCCTTCCCCCAGTCACTGTCACATAACTCTGTCTTATTTTCTCCATTACACTTAATCACTATGTCGGATTATTCATTTGCTATCTGCTTCTCCTGACTAGAATGAAAACAAACTTTGTATGTCTAGAATAGTGTCTGGTACACAGAAGTTACCCAATAAGTACTTGCTAACTGATCATCTAGATTTTATTTAATGTCTTTGTCCATCTGCCAGGTTAAAGGCCTAAATGTCATTTTGACTCCTTCTTCTCACTCCCTCATTAAATCTATAACCAAGGCCTAATGTTTCTGCCTATCAAATATCTTCCAAATGTGGTTTCTCCTACACCAACTAGGTCCTCATCTGTTCACTAGACTATTATTAGATGAGCAGTTTCTTCCCCAAATCTCTTTCTAAAAAAGAACAGCAGGGTTTTTTTTTTTTTACTTCCCCCCTCTAAAATCCCTTGAAACCTGCACAATGCAGCTGAAACCTTGAACCCTGTTCTAATGTCACTTCCTTTGTGAACCCTTTTCTCTGCTCCCCCAGCCAGAGACAACCCCAATGTCCTCTTAATGCTTAGATTGTCTTTTATGAGTTCACTATAGTGCAGGTTTTTGAAAGGCAGGGGCTATAGCTTAATTAGCTTTATGACCTCAGCAACTATCACACTGTTAGACATATGTGATGTAACATAAATGCCCTGTCAATGATTTCTGGGTAGATAAATGAAAAATAAATAATCCACTTATCTTTATTAAATTCTGTTTTCTACTTTACATAATAAACAGACAGTTGTATCTTTTCTCACCATAAAAAAATTTTCTTGCATTTCTTTGGAGTTATCCATTTAAAAATCTGTTAATTTACATTATTTTTGGCACTCTTACTACATTAGCAGGGAAAAGTTTAATAAATTCAGTTAGCTTTAAATATATATATACATCTGATTAAGAAATCATAACTATTTGCTAACTGGAAAGCCTCTAATTATTTTAATTTTTAATGACTAAGCAATGTTGAAATATTCTCTATAACGAGAACATAATTAGTAAATTAGCATGGGTTCCATAAAGCTTAAAAATAACATTTGTAGTTGCCAAAATATAGCTCAGTTTTCTAAGAACCTTTGGAGAAGGTGGCTTTTAGTATACCGAAAGAGGTTTCTTTTGGCAAGTTCAGATAAACATATAGATTGCCTCTTAGTTTCAAGGGATTGTGTTAGACATGGTGGTAGGGAGGATACAAAGATACCTAAGACCCAGTGACTCTGACTTACTGATGCAGGAATTCTCCATCTATTTGTGGAAAATTTAGCAAATCACTGTACTGTAAAGTGAAATAAAATAAGTTCCTTACGCGTCATAACTACAAAGGTAGCTGTGAGATTTCGATGGAAGAAGGATATTGTCTGGGGGAGTCAAAAAAGGCATCATGCATTAGATGAGCTTTAAACTATGAATAATTTTGTCTACTTGTATGATTAATTTTTTATGATTAAGAAGTTCCTGGGAAATGAAATTCTTCATTAAGAACATTTTAGAAATACAGAAGCAAATCCTAATGTGAAATTGCTTTACACACGTGAATCTCAATGGCTGGTAATAAGGGGTTAAAAAATGAAATGAATGTAGCGTGGCCTATGCTACATTGTAATTTTAATGACAGTTAAAATATTTGTTAAGTGTCTGTGATATTTTTCATTACACGTCATAGCCCAAGTATATTTCAAAACTGTGTTCTCCATTCAAGTACATCTCTCGACCTTATGGAAATTCTAACATCTAGATGGAATAGAATTTAAAAAAGATCTGGTTTGGGCATCAAATAGGTTAGTTTTTACAGAGCTAGATTATGGGATATTTTAGCGCATTTACACGAATGATTGTCTATGGAAAACAGCGTATTTGTATTAAGTAATTTGAGAGACTTTGCAGTTCATGAAAGTGATGATAATTTAGCATTCACTCCAGAAAAATCGAAAGTTTTCAGTACTTCCTGAAGTAGTGTTTGTCTCTTCTTCACCTCCCTGTTTAGGTAGTTTCAGGTTTCTCTCAATAATAAATTAATTAATACTGCATCTACATCATAGTTTCCTATGTATCATCCTAAGATATTATCACCTAAAATAGGGTAACTTTAGGAGACACGTCACTGAACTATCTAATCATCAAAATGTGATTTTTACTAAGTTGTGCATTACTCTGTGTTTTAAGAGTCATTTGTAACTTTTAACAAAGTTCACCATGTTTTTGGTATGGAGAGAGTGAATGTGTATAAATCCATGTTTGGGCTTATTAAAATTAATGTCATTAGACTCTGATATTTGAGGGAAGAGTTACAATTCAACCTAATTATCCAATTAAAGGATTAGACACATCCTTTTCATTCTTCTTTTTTCCTTCTTGCCCTTCTGGGTAAATTTTGATAGTGAGTTGTAATGATGTTGCATCTACTTCTACTGTGTTCTACTAGTCTTGGAGCCTGTAACTTACAGCTCAGGGAGATAAACCTGTAGGGGCCCAGTTTTGAGTTTTTGCCATTATGACTCATCTCTTAAGAGAATAAACATTACATGTAAGCAAGTCGTCATTCTTTTTCAATTTGTAGTCTTGGAAAGTGTTTTATATTGTGAAAACTGGAACCGTATTAGCTAATAATTTACCAGCGGACCTGTTCTTTTTGGCTTTAAGGTGTATTTTGGGAATCGAGAATGTTAGTTTTAGTTTTTAATATAACTATGTCTAATTTTGGTGACTGAATTTTAATCTAGTTTTAGCAGATATTTTTAGGTTGTTTATTTTAAGTGTTGGTTGAACTTAAATTTCTTGTATTTGTAACTGCAGTTTTTTAAAAATTTGAACTTATTTTTGATCTCAAAGACTGAGGGATATTTTTATTTACTTATTTTTATTTACTTAGTGGCTTAAAGATAATAAAATACAAAAACAAGCCAATAAAATGCTCCCCACAAAACCATAATTCCATTTGTGTATTTGTCTTGAGTGATAACGAATTCACATATGCATATGGAGACACATATAAAATAATAACTAACAGATGGTAGAGCTGCAAAGTAGGATTTATAAAGATTATTATCAGCTGGTGGTATTGAGATACTCCTGTGGTTATACTGACAGAAGACACAAAAATTATTTATATTAAGAAACTGGCACTAACACCTTCCCCCAACTTCTGTTACCAAAGTAACTTATTGCATATTTAATATAAATTTCTTAATGAAGAGGTAAAACAATCTTATGGCCAATTTGTACTAGCAAATTTAATAGAGTAGCAGAAATAGTAATTAAGGTAGTAGCAATAACAATAAAAACTGTTTTGCTAAAATTGTTAGGGGCATGATATTTCTAGTAGGTAAAGGAAGGATTTAAGGGACTTTGTTTATTCAGGTAATTTCAAACACACTTCTCAATTTAGTACACAGCGGTCACTTTGGAATATTGTACAATTGTAAACAAAAGCTTGAGTTCTTTTGAGCTAGGTATGGAAGCTGCATTGTATATGAAGCTGCATTATAGAATTCATAGTTCAGTAATTTAGGGAAAAGTTGATTCTTTTGTTCATTTCTTTTTAAAAACTTTTATTTTTAATGGACAAGTAATAATTGCATGTATTTATGGGGTACGGTGTGATGTTTTGACACATGCTTACAATGTGAAATGATTAAATCAGGCTAATTAACAAATCTATCCCCTTACGTGCTTATCTTTTTTCATGGTAAAAACATTTAAAATCTCTTTTAGCAATTTTGAGTATACAGTGTATTGTTATTTATTAAAGTCACCATTCTGTGCATTAGATTACTAAAGCTTATTCTTCCTGTCTTACTGAGACTTTGTCCCTTTTGATCAGCATCTTCCCTTTCCCTACCCACTCCCTTCCCTCAGCCTAAAATTTGATTTTCTGAAAAAAGTATGAGATGCACATTTTAATAAAACATGTTCACTCTTCTTCTGATGTGTTTTCATACATCCATTATGTCTTTCATAGAGCTATAGGAGCCTTCAGATTCTGTAGGGACGCGTTTCCTTGTTGCTTTTATTTCAGATAGTTATTGAAATGAATGAAAATATCCTTGAGATTTGTGAATCCCATGTGATACAGACTTTGGTTACTACTCCTCAAAGAATGGAATAAGATTACTGCATTAAAAACTGGGTTTTGTGTAGAAAGGAATTGGGGACTCAAAGTATAGAAAAAAGGAGACTGGAGGGGGAGATTTTCAAGAACAATTTCAAAAATAGCAACAGTTCTTCTAGTGGATGCCAGGATTTCAGTTTTAAGAATTTTTTAGTACAAAATGGTATATAATAAGTATATTAATTTAAAGCATCGGGGGGTTACAAAGATGATTATGAAACTCTTTACTCACACAAGATATTCATAGTCAAAATACAAATATAATGGATATTGCTATTGAAGGCAGTTTAAATTGGTACAACTATTCTTGGAGAGCATTTTGGCAATAGGTATTAAGAGCCATAAAGATGTTAATATACTTTGACAGTAATTCCACTTTTAGGATTCTGTTCTAAGAAAATAGTCTTTTAAATCCACAAGTTGTATGCTAAAAAAGATGGCATATTCAGTCAGTGCAATATTTTTCAGTTTTTATAAATGACACTGATGATGAGTTTTCAATAAAATATACAGATATAGTACTTAATTTTATAATTTTAGTTAAAAATGCAATATACAAAATTGTATATACAGTATGATTGCTGCTATATAAAAACTATGCAGAAAAAGATGATGTAATACATAAAAACATTAAGAGTACTTGCATTTGGGATGATAGCTACATAGGTTAAATCATTCTTTCCAGTGTTCTGATCTTCCAATTTGTCTATAATGAATGTATCTTATATTTTAAATGATAGTAATGTTGGTGATGAGGAAACAACGTATTCACTCAAGGATAGTTTTTGCAAGAACTATTTTGTGTGATAGTAAAATAGTGAAACAGTCGGTCTGTTGAGAATGATCATGAAGGAGATATGTTGGCACTTTGCTCCCTTGACTCATTTAGGTTTAAGGTCTCTTAATTAGTTGATCACAGAGTACCACATCTGACCACAATTTGTCAAAACATCTGTCCCCTGACACCCAGGGACCTTTCCAGCAGGGAGAAGAGTGAGGTGATTTGGGAGGTTATTCTTCCTATCTCTTTGGAAATCACATGGCCCAAACTTTTCTCATTAATCAACCTGTCAATGTCATTGAATCACTTATAAAGGCATATTTTCCCCCGCAAAAGTGTATGGGTTACTGGCTTGGACACATATTTGTCTAAACATCTCGCTTCTTTCTTTTTATCTATGATGCTGAGACTCCTAATTTAAAGATATGAATTTCTAGCTTTATGATAATTAGCTGATGAGAACATAATTTTATCAAAGACTTGCCAGGATTTTTGTTCATTCTTTGTTTTTCCTAATATAAAACCCTTTCTAATTTCTGATTTCTTTGGATATGAAGCATAGTTAGATTATTGCACTGTGTCATTTGAACAGATAAATTTAATTCTTTGATGTGTTTATCCTCTTATGCAGCATACCTTTTGGTAAGAAGATTTTGTAGAATGCATTTCTCCAACCTTTATTTTCATCTGAATTGCTGGGTCATATAACAAAATAGAAAGTGCACTTTTGTTGGACTCCTTAGCTCACTAAGTATGATCTAGGATATGTTGCTGAGATTTCTTCAACTTCAATTCTTAGTCCATGAAGTCGATGAATTAGGTGCAATGTTTGAGCGCCCTCCCTGCCCAGAAGTCATGACTGTTTACCTCTTTGGAAAGCGAACTGGGGTTTTGCCACAAAATGCCAACCTTTAAAATAATGCTTTGATAGGGGAGAAAGGGAGATGCGAATCTGCTGCTTAATGAAGAGATTTTAGGCATTGATTAATCAAGCTTTATGGCCTGTTGGGTGGGGAAAATTCAATGGTCCTTGCAGGTAAATTGTCAGACTTCAAAAATTACTTCAAAGATTCTTGCTCTTCCTAAGAGTGTTTGTCTTGGGAAATGATAAATTTGGTCACTGGTAGAGAACAATTAAAAATACGTTGTTATTTCTTTTAGTCTATAGGTAATCTTGACTTATTTTACAGTAAGATTAGCACAGGTTGTTTACCCAGAACACTGCCAAGATAAACTTACAGCCTGCTTCTCAAAGTTTGTGAAGGTCTTTTTCGTAACTTCAAATTTGTACATTTTTGTTACCACAACATCTGTATCCTAACTTCACCTTTGCTGGAAAAATTATAATTGAAAGGTCATAATTCTGGTGCTTTCTTCTGGCTTGCATTGGGGTTAACTAGCACACTGAAACATAATGTTCATTCACCCTAGCCAGTGAGTCCAAACCATGTGAGGTGTATGAGAGCAACCCTGTTTCCATCCAAACTGCACATATGGTGTGGGTAAGCCAGTAATGTGAGTTTTATGCAATGTTTCTGCTCATGTACACAGTCTGTTGCTCAGCACCAATTATTCCCTGCCAGAAACCCGCTAACCTGCTGCTTTTGTACCTCTGCTGGATGAAGTTAGGTAGCTTAAAATGACCACAATGATATTTATTTAACTTTAGCAATCTTTGTTTGTTAAAGTTATGTAACTTTAAGTGCCCAACACATCTGTTGATTGATCACAATTGATTGCAATTAGAATCTAAGAACTGGAACATTGTTACTGCAGTTTGTGGAGATACACATGTGTTAATTATATATATTTAGAAGGAGGAATCAAAATGTGGAAATACTAGCTTTTTGTTTATCAAATCTAGTTTTATGTCTTCAATTGAGATATTATTATTTAAAAAACGATATATAATATTCTGTTTATACTTTGGTAGTCACCTTGTTGTCATTGTTTCCAGTTTCTACTTTTATAGCTTTAAAAACCACAAAATCAGCAGGGTGAGAGGTCCATGTTGGGAGAACAACTGTTCCCTATTTCACACAGCCATCTTTTTTTTTTTTTTCAAATTCTGTTTTTTAATTAGTGGCAAATGGTCCTTATTTTGTCCTCCTTTGGTTTATATTACCATTACAACTTCTTGAGACTATATAGAGAGCTTAAGTGCAGCCATTTTTATGATGTCTTCCGACCACTAGAGATTCCTTCTTGAAGGATAAATTTCATCTGAATCTTCAGGCAGTGGAAAAGTAACATGTAGGTATGCACCTGGTCTAACTGACATTATCTGAATATTCCACTTTGTACCTACTGAGGAGTCTTCTTATGAACATGCCTACATGAGTGCACCAGCATGAATACATAGAAAAAAAATTATACTTTAGCTTAGTACAATTTACGTAGATTTTCCATTTTTCTCCAGGCGTAGCCAGCCCCATTCCTTACTATGTGCCAGGTTTCTTTGTTGTTGTTGTTGTTGTTTTTAGATGGAGTCTCGCTCTGTCGCCCAGGCTGGACAACCTTGGCTCACTGCAACCTCCACCTCCTGAGTTCAGGCGATTCTCCTGCCTCAACCTCCCAAGTAGCTGGGACTACAGGCATGCGACACCACGCCTGGCTAATTTTTGTATTTTTTAGTAGAGACAGGGTTTCACCGTATCGGCCAGGCTGGTCTCGAACTCCTGACCTCATGATCCGCCTGCCTTGGCCTCCCAAAGTGCTGGGATTACAGGCATGAGTGACTGCGCCCAGCCCCTTTTTCTGCCTTTTTATGCCACTTGCAGAGGGAGAAAAGATTGGTGTATGCTACACGTAAGAGCACAGTGATAGTGTACTGAAGTACCATTTACATTAAAAAAAAGCATATGAAAACTTTCTCACAACTTTTTAGCTGAGAAGTTGGTAAATGGTTGTATAACCCTACTTTTTAAGATGGTTTCTCTTGGAAAATAGTTTGAAGAACATGCTGTTTATTTGTTCATCGAGATATTCTGGCATTTATGACTAGCTCAAACCAACCCATCGGAGAGCTGTATATTTCTACCTCATTGCCTTAGTCCTGCACAGATTGCCTTCCTTGTACTGTTGTTCAGTTTGATTGAATAACTTGGTGAGAAACTGCTGTGTGGAATTTACTGATATTTATTATGGAGGTGTTACTAAGGCATTGTCAACTACATTAGATAGTTTCCCATGTGAAGTCCTACTTAGGTATTCTAATTTCATATTGCTTTTTATTTATTTTTTTTTTTTGAGACGGAGTCTCGCTCTGTTGCCAGGCTGGAGCACAGTGGCGTGATCTCGGCTCACTGCAACTTCCGCCTCCCAGGTTCAAGCGATTCTCCTGCTTCAGCCTCCCAAGTAGCTGGGACTACAGGCACCCAACACCACGCCCAGCTAATTTTTTTGTATTTTTAGTAGAGATGTATTTTCACCATGTTGGCCAGGATGGTCTTGATCTCTTGACTTTGTGATCCGCCTGCCTCAGCCTCCTGAAGTGCTGGGATTACAGGCGTGAGCCACTGTCATATTGCTTTTATACTAACAAAATATTTTGTTTTTCTTGAGGTGGTAATAGTCTCTTTTTCTCATGGCCATTGTAAATTTTGTGCCTAACTTTGTTTTTTCCCATTTTCCATTGGCTAGGGGGAAGCTCAGACCTAAATTTACAGTTCAGTTTTAGTAACTATTTAAGACCTTATGAGATATGCATCTGCTTGCTTTATTTTCCTCTCACCTGATGCTCCTGTTCTATATTTTTCCTGGACGTAATTTTTAAATTTATTGTGAGTCTTTTTAGTTGCCTCATTCATTTTGTAGAGGAAAGGGTTAAAATATATTCCTATATGTAAGTATATTTATGTAATACTTCTACAAAATATATTTATATTTAGAGTGTACTTTTTATTTTAATAGGTTGTAAGTGGTATACATAACCTCTAATTTTAATCATCTTTTGCTCCTCTTTCAAATCTCTGATAAAATCATACATAGGGGTTTGACTGCGAGAACGTGTGTGACATTGAGTACCTTCCTTAACCTGTCTCTCCCATGCCTCAGGTGGAGTATGGCAGTCAGCTACACACTTACCTCCAGTGCGATGTGATTTCTTCAGGGTCCTTATTGATTTGAAGATGCAGGTGAAAGGAGCCTCCTTTCCAGGTCATCAACCTTGCCAAGCTGCTTTCGGGCAGGGTGTACCGCAGGCATCTTGCAAGTCTCACTACTTGTCACATCAGCCACTTCATGGTCTCCCTTCTGTATACACTTTCAATCCTAGATATGCTTTTTAGATGGCTTACCAGTTGGATTTTTGATATCAGTATAGAGGATGTAGGACAAGTGCCTTTCTAACTTAGAGAGAAAGATTGTCTCGGGAGTGATGGTTCCTCACAGTGGCAGATTTTCATAACCCTTGCTGTAGTATGGATAGCTGTAAGAATGTGAACTGTATCAGACAGACTTGTAGCTCAGATCTTGGCTTTACCACTTATTGTACAGGGTTACTATAAGAATTTGGTGAGTCAATATGTAATATTTATTTGTATGTCTATATACACAGTATCTGATGTATACTAGATACTCAGTAAGTATTAGTTTCTTTTTAGATTGGAAGGAAATTATGGTTAATGCCTTAAAAATCATGCCAGAGTAGAGTAGAATTGATTAAATCATTTAGGAATTATGCTCAATTGAGAGTTACAGTAAAAGGCAGGGGTTTAATTTGGGGCTTAATTTTTCTCATGTGACAAGAAGTCTCATAGAAGGTAGTTAAAGTATTGATTCAGGAGCTCAGGAATGTTAAGACCAAAGTCCTATAGTTCCTCATAGTTGCAAGTTAGCTATTGCAGCTCCAGCCATCATATCTATTTTCCAGGAAGCAGGAAGGAGGAAGACAGCAAAGGGAGAATAAAACTGTGTCCAGAAACTTTTCAAAAAATCTCTAACAGTTTTACTGGCCATATTATAACATATGGCCACCCCTAGTGGCACGGGAGCCTGGTAAGGAGCCTACTTTAGCTTGGTACTTTGCTACTACCCCCAGAAAAATCAGGATTCTATTAAAGATGAAAGGAAGGATGAATATTGGGTAGGCTACAAGAGGTCTCTGACATAGATATCAACCTATTTTGCTTTTAGAAGGTTCATTTGTCCAACAATAGATATCAGTGGAGGTGGGGGAGGACAAATAGAGAGAAGCATTCATTAGTGATGCCTGGATTCTATTTAGGGCCACGAAGTCTTTGAGTAGTCATAGTGGGACAAGAAATAAAGAAGGACATTAATTTAAAAAAAAATCTTGGATAAGCTAAGCACAATGCTGGTAGGACCTTTACATGTATTAACTCATTAATTTTTACAGACGAGGTAGGCAATATTATCTATATATCTTATAGAGGAGGAAACCAAGGCTCAACAATACCCATTTCCCAAGGTCACAAAAAAAACAGTAACATTAATGGAACCGGAATTGAGACTTGCGCCTGACTAACCACAAAACCTATGCTTTGCATCGTGTTGTTTTCCTGTCTCCACTATATAAATAACGCTGCAGAAACCTGCTGTTTCACTTTGCTTCTCTTTTCCGTAGTGCCTTCTCCTGTGAGGTCCACAATAACTATATATTGACTTCAATGATTTGTGTGCAGAACTAAACTGAGTGTTCTATAAAAGATTGCTGCTGTTAGTTGCTGAAGGCTGTAGAGATGAGGCCGGGAGAGGAAGAAGTGGTGCTTCTCTCTTATCACCGCCACTCAGAGGTGGGAATGACTGCCTTGGGATATATGCCACCAGTGTCGGTAGCATTCAAGGACATTCTTTGGGACAAAGAGAATGTGGCAAAGCAGCAGTGACCAATCTGAGTGAGCCAAAGTCCAAAAGGAAAGCTGATAGAATGAGTTGGCATGGAGGTGTATCTTCTCAAGTCAGAAGCCTGGGAATTATCTTTGACTTCTTCCTCTTTCATTCTCAACCCAATTGATCACCAATCACTTTATTTCTACCTCCTCTGGCTACCTTGCTTATCTGTCCTTTCCTCTACCTCCCCACTGCAACTACAGTGGTTCTGGCCTTATCTTTCACATGGATTATTACAAAGAGTTTTTGTAATAGCCCTTAATGCCCAGTCCTACTTTCATTCAATCCATTCACCCACAAATCTGACCATGTAGTTGCCTTACTTGATGGCATCAGAGGCTCTTCAGCTGCCTGTAGGATAAAATCCAGTAATTTGTGTCTACTGTGCATATATGGTCCTTCGTGGTCTGGTCCTGCTCCTCTGTGTAAACGTTCAGGTCTGTTCTGTGTCACCATACAGAGTTTCTTACCATTTCTTGAGTATATTCCTTTCTCTTGAAGTTTGTGCAATTTCTGTCACTTCTCTGAAGAACTTTATCCCATACGTCTTGTGTTCACTGAGCAAATTCCTGTTCATCCTTCAAACCCCTGCTCAAATATCTTTCATCTTCAATGCCATTTAGTCTCCCCTCTGGTCCCTTAACACCTTGTACATCTGACCAGGAGTGCCATGAAGTGGGGATTCGGGTTGACTCATCATTGTTCCCTGTGCGTGGCATGCATCAGCCACTCAATAAATATTTAATGTTTGATGTGTGCAGGAACAGTCAGACTAGACAAAAGACAGAAGAACTTGTTATCTAAGTATTACTCTTAACCATGAAAAGCTCTAACTTTGGATAACCTCCTTACCTTTCGGTGCTAGAGTAATGGGAATATATTTGAAACATTACTTCATCTCTCCGAAGTGAATTATTCTCACCAGGTTCTTAACAGTTTCTGTTAGTTTTTCAGGTTATGTTTAATAATTCCCATGATACCAGCTGAATGATGATTCTAATTCTCAAATCCTAAAGTGACTCTTGCCTCTCTTGTCCAATTTAACCTGCCACATTGATTTTTTATTTGTTATGTATTATGACTTTCCTCAAAACTTGGTTGTATTTTGGATTTTCTTTTCTGTATCTCATCCGTTTTTGCATCCGTTCCTGACTAAAGACACATTTTCAATGGTACTTTTTACCTTTTAGATGTTTCAGTATGTTCCCCCCACCCCCTTTTCTTTGAGACAAGGTCTCACTCTGTCACCTGGGCTGGAGTGCAGTGGCATGATGTCAGCTTACTGCAACCTGCACCTTCTGGGCTCATGTGATCTTCTCACCTCAGCCTCTCGAGTCACTGGGACTATAGGCATGTGACACCAGGCTCAGCTAATTTTCTTTTTAAACTTTCAGGTTCAGAGGTACATGCACAGGATGTGCAGGTTTGTTACATAGGTAAACATGTGTCATGGGGGTTTGCCATACAGATTATTTCACCCATGTATTAAGCCTAGTAGTACTTAGTTATTTTTTCTGCTTCTCTCCCTCCTCCCACCTTCCACCCTCTGATAAGACCCAGTTGTTCCCCTCTATGTGTCTGTGTTCTCATCATTTTAACACCCTCTTATAAGTGAGTACATGCTGTACTTGGTTTTCTGTTCCTGCATTAGTTTGCTAAGGATAAAGGCCTCCAGCTCCATCCATGTCCCTGCAAAGGATATGGTCTTGTTCTTTTTTATGGCTACATAGTATTCCATGGTTTATGTGTACCACGTGAACAGACACTTTGCAAAAGACATACACCTGTCCAACAATCATATGAAAAAAAGCTCAACATCACTGATCATCAGTGAAATGCAAATCAAAACCACAATGAGATACCGTCTCACATCAGTCAGAATGGCTATTAATAAAAAGTCAAAAAATAACAGATGCTGGCAAGGTTAAGGAGAAAAGAGAATGCTTATATACTGTTGGTGGGAGTGTAAATTAGTTCAACCATTGTGAAAGACAGTGGTGATTCCTCAAAGACCTAAAGACAGAAATACCATTTGACCCAGCAATACCTTTACTGTATATACCCAAAGGAATATAAATCATTCTATTATAAAGACACGTGCACACTTATGTTCATTGTAGCACTATTCACAATAGCAAAGACATGGAATCAACCTCCATGCCCATCAGTGAAAGGCTGGATAAAGAAAACATGCTAATTTTTGTATTTTTTGTAGAGACAGGGTTTTGCTATGTTGCCCATAGTTTTTCCTCTGTTTTTTTGAGACGGAGTCTTGCTCTGTTGCCCAGGCTAGAATGCCATAGCACAGTCTCTGCTCACTGCAGTCTCCACCTCCCAGGTCCAAGCGATTCTCCTGCCTCAGCCTCCCAAGTAGCTGGGATTGCAGATGCATGCCACAACACCCAGCTAATTTTTGTATTTTTAGTAGAGACGGGTTTTCACCATGTTGGCTAGGCTGGTCTCGAACTCCTGACCCCAGGTGATCCACCCACCTCAGCCTCCCAAAGTGCTGGGATTACAGGCATGAACCACCTTGCCCGGCCCTCTCCTCTTATTTTTAAGCAGTGATTCCTAAGGGTAAATTTGTGTATGATTTTTAGCCCCATAGTACAGGACCTTCTTGCACAAAAATTAGGAATTTGACAAAATAAGTAAATGACAAGCATCTGAAGATTTTCTTCAAACCATGAATATATTACTTCTCAAAATTTTAAGCCCCCATTTTTGATGTATCAAATAACATTCAGCAGTTGTTTATATTACGCTGTATCTGGTAAGTTGTAGGTAATTACTAGAAGAATATAAGATTCTTGAGAGCTGCATAAATGTGATTTCTGCAGGGTCTCTTTAGGTATGCTATGCTATACACACGCTGGGAGCCTGCAGAAATCACACATACACAAAAGGGCCACTGAATCAGATCTGAAAGAGGAGGGCCATTTTGAGTTGGATAAAGCTACGTGTATATTACTTGTTTTTTCCACGCCTGTTGACATGGAGAACCAAAACCGGTGTTTCGTGCTTTCAACAAAAATAGTTTTAGTTTTGCTCTGAAAGAAAAATGGGTTCACATTCTGAAAAAGGTGATTTTGTCACCAGAATATCTGATGAGTAAATCTGCATTTGCATTTTTATCATTGCCTAACTAAAACCTGTTCAGTTTGGTTAATAAATTATTAATACAGTTCTCTAACTTCTCATCCGGGTACACTGTTGAAATAGCAGACCATCCCATTTATTTCACCAAATATTTCTTATACACCTATTTTGGATGAGGCTCTGTTAAACTCTGTTCTCCATATCTGAAAATGTATGGGTTATTACTCTGCCAAAGATTTGTGGTTAAAAAAATTGTGTTAAGTTCTAAGACTCATCATATCAAGATCAAGCAAAACAATTGACCATGACTAACTTTGGGGTTGAAGGCTACAACTATGTCTTTTAGAGGTAGTTGTCACTCAGGCAAATTTTAGGGCATCACAGGGCTAAACATTAATTAACCAAATGAATCAGTTTTAACCACTGCTTTTCCTCAATTCAGTTAAGGGTTAAGGAGTTACTAATACAGAAAGATGGTGATACAGGAGAGTATGAGAATTATTGATTAAATTATAGATAAATTATAGACTAAAGCATAGTAATATGAGAATGTTTCATTTTCTGACGTATTTAACTTAATTACCTAATCTCATTAGAAGTGATTAAGATGAATACTCAGCTTGTATCTCAAGATCTTTTTAGGTATTGATTATAGCATCTATAAGTCCACTGACTTTTTGGTTTCTACATGCATTGCCTGGCAGTATCAGTCAGTTCACAATTCAAGTTGAAATTAAAATTTTCTAACAATAAATGAGAAACAAAAAGTAACATTTATTTTAAAATATTATGTCTTTTAAATTTTGAATATTCAGATTTGAGGATTGAATACTGGCACCTCTCTGTCACTTATGTTTTGCTAATGATCATCTATGCTTCAGCTCCTCAAAATGGCCTGTCAGGTGTCAGTTTAGCATGCGAGACTTTAAGCTGTCTTTTGTAGTTTCATAAGGGCCAAAGAGCTTGTTAGCCTGGAATTTAGTGTATTTTGGTACTCATTTGCTTTTAGTTATTCTTTTCTTGATTTTTTTTCAAACTCTTCTCATGAGGAAAATGTACAATTCCTACCAATTAGTCATAAGCCAGTTTGGATTTAGGAATTGCATAGTTTATTACTTTGAAATATTATTTTATTCAAATATTTAGCAAATAGTAAAGATGTGAATATTTCACTGAATGTTGGGTGATTTGGCTGATAATTAGATCCTCAGAGAAAAACTGAAACTCCTGAAGTTTGTTGCAGAATCTGAAAAGTAACCAGGAAAACAGTAGTTTAATATGTTAAGTACTAGTTATTAATGAAAATTAAGCGTGACTTTTTTAGGATTCAATTCCTGTTTTTAGTGGTATAGCTTTCTGGTATTTTGTAGCTTACTGTGTTCATGAACACAAAAGAACAAGTAACCTCACTAGTGGCTTGAGATCTGACTCGCAGGAAAACATTAGGTAGTAATTAAAACAAAGCTTTCCCCCCACCCCCAAGTTTGTGAAATTTTAAGCACACTGCCTAATGCAGTCACCACTTGCCGCTTGTGGCTATTGAGCACTTGAAATGTGACTAGTCTGTATTCAGATGTAAAATACATGCTGGGATTCAAAGACTTAGTATGAAAAAAAGGATTGTAAAATATCTGAATATTTTATATTAGTTACATGTTGCCATGATAATGTTTTTGATATATTGGATTTAAAAAAGAATATTAAAATTAATTTCACCTGTTTAACTTTCTTAATGTGGCTATCAAAAAATTTAAAATTATATGTGTTTCACCTCACTGATTTATTGGACAATGCCAGTCTAATAGATTTAAAAATTCTTAATATGTACAGTAAATATCAGATATTAAAAGCTTATATGATTTGGTTTTTAACCTCTGAACAGTCAATTCTTTGGAAATCTGAGAAGCCCAATTATTCTTTGGTCTCTTCAAGGGCTCCAGGTTGAAGCAGCTGTTCTTTGAAATTGCCAGTCCTGATTCAGTTGACTAATAGCAATCGATAGATACGGAAGGCTAAGTACTGCTTTGCGGTTGTGCAGCCAAATGAGTGAACTGTACCTACTGTTTCTCTCCTTTCTGCCTCTTCCCCTGATGGCTTTTATGTGGTTGTTAGTATTCAGTTGATGTTTATGGTAACATAAATCTAAATTGGTTTTCAGAGACCCAATTCATGTTTTACTATATCCCATAAATTATGTCATAAATTACCATGGCTGACCATCTTATTTACAACCCTTGAGTAATAATCTATCACTTATTATATTATTACATATTACTGTAATATTACATTAATATTACTTATTAGTAAACAAAAATGAGTTGTTGATGTGCTTTTGTATGATATCAGCCAAAGCAAAACCTACATATGGTAGGAACTGGAAAGCAAGCATTTATTAATAATCAGCCTCTCTTTTCCAGGGGGGTTTAGCTATTTACCTGTGAAAAGCTTGTGTACTTTATTTAAAATTTTTGATGTATGTATTGTTTGACAAAAACTTAAAGGGTTTGGGCGCACTGAGAATAGTACAGTGAAGTCACACTGTATGAAAAAGAGAGAGGCAGTTGGGTAAATGCTGATAATAATGAAATCTGTAAGGTCAGTCTGTGAAGATAAATGTAATATTTGAATTAGTCATCTAGTTTCTCTGAAAAGGTAGTAAGTTAATCTTGTTCCAAAAAAAAACAACCCGAGCCTGGTCGTTTTGTTTTTCATGCCTTTCATCTTGGGCAATCTTTTGTATATCATGCAAAGGACCATACAATTAGCATGAAATGAGAGAGCGCTTTTTAAATTTGATGAATAAGGGCTCTTTTTCTTCAGCTGATATGCATGCAAGGTGGAGGTCTATATCCCACCAGCACACAGACCACTTGGTATCTGCCCTGTAAGTAGCTCTCAGTTTATATCTGTGCCTTAATGAGGAAAGGGTTCTGGAAGTAATAAAAGTAAGCTTAAAATGCATCAGAAATAGCCATAACGCTTTAGTGTAAATACAGAAAAATTCCTAGATTTGAACAGTTCGGCTTCCTACCTTGCTTGGATTCCAGAGATGCCCCTGTCATTCTCTTTTTCTAGCAATCAATTGAAGACATATTAGTAAGACTTCTATGAAGACGAAAAACTTTTTTTTTTTGGTTGTCTTCTCTGTCATTTATAATGAAAATATGCTTTGTTAACAAGTTTTTTTTAGGTGACATGTGTTTAGAAAAATTTTCATGCCTCTATATTTTTATGGGCTGTTTGCTTTTCAGAATACTTGTCTGTGAGGTTATAGTGCTAATATGTGTCAATGAACATTATTTATTCTTTCTTTAAGGTTTTAATATTCTGTTTTATTGATTAGGAGTGCTCCTCCCTTGATGTTTTATACAGAGCACAGTACTTAAGAGATGAGATCCCAATGTTGTTGGGAAAGTTTTTATAATTAGTCATTTAAGCTCACACTTTTATATTGTTGTGCTTCATAATCCCCTAATATGTAGTTAATAACACTCCTTATTACATAAAGGAAGCCAAAATGTCACCCCCAAAAAGATAAATAGGTCATTAATTCAGCCAACTTTTTTCCCTTAACTATGATTGCCAGATTTAGCAAATAAAATTACTGGATGCCCAGTTAAATTTGTGTTTCAGATAAACAATAAATAATTTTTTAGTATGTTTGTCTTGTGCAATATTTGGGTTATACTTAGACCAAAAAAAGTTATCTATATTTGATCTGGCAACCCCCGCCATAACTCAGCCCTCTTATTAACTCAAAGAATTCCCAAGTCTGGCAAATGTGATGTTTGGCCCTCCTGCACTCCGTTTGCCCAATTTTTTTGAAGCCCAAAGTGCCTCAGGTATGCTTTCTCATTTGTCCACATGTCTTTTGGGAGATAGGAATTGGGAATTGGGCAGGCTCTATTCACATCTTACCTACTTTTCATTTTTTAAAAAAGAGAAAATGCTTTCTTTTTTATTTTTGAAAAACATATTAGCGTATATATTTCTGGATAATTTTCACAATAATATGTTTAAAGATGGTAATAAGGATGATTTAAAGACAGATTTCAATATGAGAAATCTAATGCATCCCCTCTCCATTCCCTTTAGGTGAAAAATGCTTCCTTGTAAAGTGATAATATTGATTCGTAAAGCTAAGAAGACACCTACAGCAAAAAGCTTCAGCTTCTCCTTCTCACATCTCTTTATTTTTGGTTCATTTAGTATTAAATGCCTAGCAGTATAATCCCAGACAAAAACCTTTGAAAGAGTGAATTCATAGAGAACGTGCATTTCCTGGGTGCCTTATAAACAATGTTGAGGGCAAGTGGATAAAAAGTGACTATTCCAAACAACAAACATTACCATCAGCTGAATGATTTTTAACCTTCCTTTCCTTTCCCTCCCGCACCTCCCACCTTGCCCTCCGCTCCACAGAATCAGAGAGGAACCACTTGTAACTTGCATGTCCTCATCCTTTGTCATCTGGATTATTACTAAGGCTTCCCAGGTGATATTCCTTCCTCCAGCCTCACTCCATTCCAAGTACCCCGGCTCACCTTCAGTAACTACTTATCAGATAAAATCCAAGTTGATTAGCATGGCATCCAGCACCCTCCCTGATCTGTGTTCTAATTAATTCCCCCTTCTTTTACTTCTTCCTCAGTGCTCAATGCTACAGCAATAACAAATATTTGTCATACATAAAACATTCATATCATCAGGTTTTGTTCATTTTTCCCTCTGACTGCAATGCATATCCTCTTTCATCTCCATAGCAAAATCCTATCATCCTGGAAAATCCTGTTTAGGTATCATTCCCTGTGTGAGGCTTTCTCTGACCACTCTTCATCATCCTTAGAATGAATTCTGCTATCCTACTTGAGCTTTTGTATCCACTTGTGGTACCACATGCTTCACAGTGTTTTGTCATGGTTTATTTACATGACAATCACCAGTAGAAGTTTGGAAGATTTTTGAAGATAGGACACTATCATCATCATTTTGAATCTCTACTATCTAGTACTAACCCACAAATAACAAGCACTTGAGAAATGTTTGAGTGCCTGAGTGGATCAGCTTTCCACTTGGTAAAACTTTAGGTAAATTTCATCCTGTTAAACTGGTCCTGTGTATTAGCCGCTCACTTACCACCATTTGTCTCTCTTTCACATCAATTGGTGAATAGAAAAATGGCTCTTGATTTTTCACCAGGATAGCTAGTCCACCTATGCTGTTTATTAGTTAACTGGGTTTTGTTTTTTTGTTTTTGTAGAATAAATAAAGTAGGCCCATATAGAGGGGTGGTCATGGGTAGCATTATGTAACAGAGGTGTAAGTTTGCCTTTGGCACACTTTCCATTCAGGTTTGTAGCTCTCCTTTCAGTTTTTATATCCTTGACCTCTAAGGCTGCCTGTCAATATCTTAGAGATGGGAATAGAGTGGATAGGAGGTGGGCGCAGGGGGGAGTGTAATCTTCCTACAGGAAAACTTTTCTATTAATATCTTGTGTTCCATCCCCTCAGGGCCTACCCATCACTGAAGTTAATTAATAAGTCCATTCACAACGAGATAGTCAATTATATTGATACGTTAAAGTGTAACTCTTCTCAGATAGCATTTTTATTTTTACAGAAACTTTAAATCCATCTGTATTAGTCCATTTTCATGCTGCTGATAAAAACATACCTGAGACTGGGCATTTTACAAAAGAAAGAGGTTTTAGGACTTACAGTTCTGCATGGTTGGGAAGGCCTCACAATCATGGTGGAAGGCAAGGAGGAGCAAGTCACATCTTACATGGATGGCAGCAGGCAAAGAGAAAGAGCTTGTGCAGGGAAATTCCCATTTTTAAAACCATCAGATCTCATGAGACTTATTCACTATCATGAGAACAGCATGGGAAAGACCTGCCTCTTCCCACAACATGTGGGAATTCAAGATGAGATTTGAGTGGGAACACAGCCAAACCATATCACCCTATTTCCAAAGAATGAATAATATTGGCATGATATATTTTATAACAAATATGCACTTTACAGTACCAAGGAAAAAGGTGTTTGTGAAAAAGCTGAGGACCTTTTAATCACCACTCAAATAGGATTCCCTAGATTGTGCCTATAACGTGTATAATTGTCCCTCAGTATATAGGGGATTGGTTCCATGACCTCTGCAGATACTAAAATCTGAGGGTGCTCAAGTCTCAGGTATAAAATGGGCACAGTATATGCATATAACTTACACACATCCTTTCCTATACTATAAGTCATCTTTAGATTACTTGTAAAAGTTAATATAATGTAAACGCTATATAAATAGTTGTTATGATGTAGTGTTTTTAAAGTTATACTTTATTGTTGTATTGGTTTTTTTCTAATAATTTTGATCAGTAGTTGGTTGAATCCATGGATATTGAACCTAAGGATACAGAGGGCTGACTGTATGTACATGGATGAATCAGAAATTGCATTTGGCTGAAAGTAATTGATATTCCTGAACTGGTGGCCTTAACAAAACAGGGGTTTGTTTTTCTTTATCTAGAAATGTCTCACGTTAGGCAATTGAGGGCTGATAATAGTGGCTCCATGATACTAACAGTTTCCTCAACTTTTTCTCTTTCTGCATCACCACCTTTAATTTTTGAAGATAGGACACAATCATCATTATTTCGATTCTCTAGTATCTAGTACTAAGTCTCACAAATGACAAGCACTTGAGAAATGTTTGAGTGCCTGAGTGGATCAACTGTCCACTTGATAAAACTTTAGGTAAATTCCATCCTGTTAAACTGGTCCTGTGCGTTAGCCACTCACTTCCCACCATTTGTTATTTCTTTCGCCTCAATTGGTGAATAGAAAAATGGTTCTTGATTTTTCACCTGGATAGCTGGTCTACCCATGCTGTTTATTAGATGTGTGATTTTTATATATCAGATTGCCTCTAGATTACAAGATGGTCACTGCATCTTCAACCATAGCAGGAGGGGACTAGGGTAAAACCCACCCCCCTTTAAGTAATTTTCTGAAAGCCCCATATAACAGCTTTCATTTACATCTCATTGACTATATCTATCAGCAAGGAAGGCTCAGAAATGTTAGCTAGGCACATTGCCACCCCATCACCATACTTACCTGTAATTAAAGAAGAAGAAGAAACGTCCACCAATACACAACTACTAATCTTATAACAATTCAAATTTTGCCTTTATGGATCATTCAATTCAAAATAATTAGAACTAAAATTTAGTTTATTTTCATTAATATTTAGAGAACATTCCATAAGATGCAGTTACTTTAATGAATTATAAGGAATTATAAGACTATTCAGAAAATATTTATAGTATGCCCCATTTGCATAGTGCTGTGCTCAGTGCCAAAGAAGATGGATTAATTCTTTTTCCCCTGAAGTGTTTTATCAGTCTCACAGTCCAGGATATATATATATATATATATATATATGTGTGTGTGTGTGTGTGTGTGTGTGTGTGTATCACATGAAAATTTAAATAATGGAATATTATAGCATATGATTTTGTGTTAATCATGTAGTAAAAATAAAATCACGTAGTGTAGACTAAATTCTATAGGAAAAATTCCAGATACAAAGAGTAATTGCTGTGGCTGCAGTGGCCAACGAAGGTCTGCAAAAGGTAGATTAGTAGATTTGGCAGGCAAACGAGAATAGCAGAGGGCAGTCCTCCTGTATTCAACTTGTGCCACCTATTATTTTAGGATATTTATCGTACTATATCTCTGATATAT
Organism: Homo sapiens; assembly: GCF_000001405.40. Taxonomy (NCBI): domain Eukaryota; kingdom Metazoa; phylum Chordata; class Mammalia; order Primates; family Hominidae; genus Homo; species Homo sapiens. The sequence continues at coordinate 7,827,452 of NC_000007.14, forward strand.
TCTTTAAAATATTTTTAGTATTTTAAAATATTATTTATCCACAGTTTTAAAATTGACTCATGTTTTAATACATATATTTGAAGAGGAAATTTTATGCCAATATCATATACGTAAAGCTGATTTTACTTACCAACTAAAGATAACTTTTGAGAAAATACAGTGATACTAAAAATTTTAAATGCATAATGAACTAGAAGTAATAGTAAGATATAACTTCTAGTTCATTATTTAATAGTAAACAAATTAAGTTCTTCAGTGGGCAAAATGGAACATTTTGTGATCAGTCAGTAGTAAAGGGATATATGGCTTAATGGCATGTGGTTTAAGACAAAGATGAAGTTCTACCTCCAATAAGACAATTCTGCCTTTTAATGAAAATTACTACCAGCAGCAAAAACTCCAATTCACATGTACATGAAGTTGGAAATATATAAATATGTTTAACCCCTCTTCTTATAGGTTGTTCATAGAATCAGTTTTTAACCAAAATGTTATAGATGACTTTTGTTTGGCAAACAATTATTCAAGAAGCCACTATAAGACCATTTTCAAAGTCTTTTTCTTCTTTTGAATATGTCAGGTTATTGGGTAATGTTTAAAAAGTTGTGGAATGAAAGAGACTCTTTGTCATTCACCACTACCATCTTGTTTGTGAAAATACTTATGAAAACCTTTCATCAATTTCAAAATATCTTCACAGAATTCATTTGAATTTACAACCTGGCCAGGGTTTTTGGATGTTTGATAGTCGCTGGTTGGTTAAAATGGATGAATGAGATCCGGCATTCAGTAATAATAATAAAAGCTATTATTTGTTGTTCTACTGTGGTTAGAGACTGTGTGGAGTACAGTGCATGCACATATATCATATAGCTCTCCCTATTTGAGGAGTTGAGAAAACTGATGCTCAGAAAGGTGAAAGTTTGACATACTCAGGTCACATACCTAATCTGTGGCACAAACTCAAATTCTGATTTGTTGGGTTCAGTCCAAACACTTAAGCCAAGTCACTGAATCAAAATTGGGGAATACAGCTCTGACTCATGCTTCTTCTCAGAGCCCCTGGTCCCGAGCTTCTTGCGGCTATATCAACCCATAGGGACCCCATCCCTGCTGACTTCTGTGTGTACACACGCATGCTAGTTTGTGCAGGGGCTAAGGGGCTGCCTGTAAAGGCTTTGATCCAGAAAAAGAAAGGGGATAGCTCTTGACCTGTCTTGCACACAACCTTGCGTTTCATTTTTCCTTCTCCTTTTTGCCTTTGAAGCTCTCCTGAACTCCAGCTTCCCAGTGCTCCTCCTCCTCCTCCTCAATGCTTGTACAACCAGTGGTACTCTCCCCACTACTTAGGAATTACTGAACAGATCAGAGGGAATTACGACAAGAAAATCGACTGGCCCAGGTCTTCTAGGTCTTTGAATGTCAAATTCAAAAGTTTGAACTCTATTTTGTATGTGGTTAGGAGGTCATTGACAATAATATTATCTTAAATTAAGGTAGATAAAAATCAGTGGTTTTCCTCAAAATGCAAACATGGAACACTATTATAAGGGATAACATGTCTATATAATATTGATCATATAGTCATGTCACTGTCTAAGGAAATGTAAGTGTGTTGTAATAGCTCCCAAACATTTTCTTGTCAATGTTCTTTTTCTAGCAGTTCTTACCACTGGCATTAATAAGGACTTGGCCTTGTATAGGGCGTCTAGCAATTTTTCATAACAACAAATTTGGTGATAAGGATAAATTATTTAGGAAATAGATCTTTCCTGATGAACATTTTAAATTGTTACTGAATGAGCAGCAGCAATCACTTGCATACCTGCACTGAACAGCTAGTCCAGTGCTAAGAGCAATAACTCTCTACAAGTTTGGGGAACAGGTGATTTCTGTTTGACTTTAATTCTTGAATTTATTCATTCAGCATGTAATTTTTAAGCATCTACTTTGATCATAGTTTTGTGTTATCCCTGGCAATGTGGGAGGTAGATAATAAGACACTTAGTGCAAATCATATAAATCCCTGGATAAAAAGTTAAAGCCCATTTTCCTTTTCGTAAATATAAATGGACAAAAAAAGGAATGTGCTGAAACCTGAGCTAGAACTATAGCCACAGTGCTTTAGGTCTCATATAATGAATCTGGCTGAAATAGCACTTTATATTTTTATTTTAAAGAAACATACGTTTCATATTCTGACATGATTTTAAATGTAATGAACGAGCATTTTACAAAACAATTTTGTATACTTTCCTTGATGGAAAATATTATGACACAAAGGTATATGTTAATTTTGTTGTCACCAAACCTAGTAAAACATTAGAAAAAGCATGTAGTATCAGCTTCTGGATCTCCTTGGTCACATAGGATTAAGAGGCAAGGCACCCTCAAGTCATGTGTGACTGACTCATCTCTTTCCTCACATTTAATTATATTCACTAGGAGCTGTCAGAGAGTCTCCTACCTGTCCTCTCCTTTACCTTTCCTGTGCCAGGACCAGAGATCAGGCCCTTATCTTCCCTCATTGGATTTACTACAGAGTCTTCCGACAAACCTTCTTCCTTCTGACTTTTGCCTTTCTGGTCTATTCTTTACACAGCACTAGAGTTTTCTACTTTAAAAAAGAAAAGTTATATTATTTTCCCACCTCTCCCTCAAAAATCTACTATGTTATTTGTTCCTTAAGAGGCATTTGCCAGTGGACCTGCAGGTCTGGCCAAGCCCCTGCTAGGACTGTGTCTACCTTGTACGTTGTGCTGGAATCAACTTGCCATTTCCTAAACATGCGTTGTAATCACACGGCTCTCTGTCTGCTTGCTAAAGATTGAGTGTGGAATACCTTTTTTGTAGCAGCTGCTCTGGAGGTTAGCCCTGCCCTTCATTTCCAGCCTAGAATGTGACTGTTTGCCCTGGAGCCTTTCCAGGTTCTCCCATCAGAAGTTCATTCTCTGCTTGAAGCACGTTCATACTATATTGATTTTTTACCTCTATTAGGTAAAAAATTATATGTTTTGGTTTCTCTCTTTTGTATCTTTCTCTTTCTTTTCCCTTTTTCGTTTCTTTTCTTTCTTTTAACATGCGTGTTTTTCTTCTTTGCTCTGGGTGCCCAAAAACTGTGAGCCAACTTCAAAGTGTGGAAACCACAGTCATACTGATTCTTACCTTCAGCATGTTTTGGTTCATTTTCCTTGTCCCAGACTTTCTATTTCAATGGTTTTCTTTATTCTAATGTCAGATATTGCCTCAGAACCTTTGTAAGAAGAGATACAGTAGGGTTTTGAGTCAATATAAATAAACACATAGACTAAGTTCTATGAATCTTTACTTGCCGATCTTGTATCTTTCAGTACTGGATAAGTGAAGTGAATGTAAATTGAAGCCTGTTTATATCTTCCCATCTTTTTAAGTATCTGCATAGAAAAATTTGTTATTAGTTTTTATGAATAAGCCAATCACCCAAACATTTCCTCATGTGGCTACAAGAATATTTTTTAATTATAAAAAATATACCAGTCCTTAAAATATGTATTTTATTGATAAAAATCAATGCTTGTATTTCTCTGATTCTTAAAGAAGATAATATTACAACAAATACTAATGATATACTTATGCATTTATAAGGAAAATTATTTGTATGAAGTTAGATATTCTTGGCTAGTATTAATTGGATTCTCCTGACTATTAATTTGATGTAAATCCTCAAGAGTTACAGTTAAGGTGACATTAGTTTTACTCTGTTTTAGCCTCTAACCCATATTTTTGTGTTCAGCATGTCCTTATCTTAAAAGTTGCTGTCGCCAGGATATTCTAAGTATCTATATCTTACAGAAATTTATTCTTGTTATATATTTTTGGAAGTACCATTCATTGGTGATGCATCATATCAATTCTCTGTACTCTTAAAAAATTATCTGAAATACTTGATCATAAAATCAAACTAAGGAACAAAGAAGTTCTATTTGTTAGCTCCATTCTGGAGCCTGTCTTTCTGGGTACCTTTCAATGAAAGAAGTCAATGAAAGAAGTCAAAGTGGCCTCTAAATCACAGGCCACTTTTTACTCTTCTGAAATTGGATTACTTAGTTTTGTGTTGTTTTTAGGCTCTTTTTTGTTGATTACGTGAACCAAGCTCCCCATTGAACCTCCCTGGTGACTTGAGTCAGCGTTGAGAGCCCGGAACTGGGAGCCCTGATTCCCTTTGTGGCTTTTTGACAATTACCTAACTTTGCTGTATTTCTTCATTGACACCGTTGGGATAATTGCCTTTCATACCTCGTGGGAGTATTGTGAGATTAATTAATGTTTGTAAAGTGTTTTCAGGATCACGATGAAAGGTATTAATTTATAAGCATGTGGTATTATTATAATTATTATTAGTAATAGGGATGGTTGTTTAATGCAAATTTTCTTCTAAATGTAGTGTCATATTTTCAAAGGACAACTTCTTTCTTTGTGGCCAGATGTGGATACAATTAACCCTTTACCCTTTATTTTGAAGATACAATTAGCCAATTGTGTGTGCAATTAGATGTGTATGCAGTTTTTGCCTGAACAACTAATTACAGCCCTGGTAAAACTTCTTTTGAAAAACGCTGGCCCTTTGAATGTTGACTCTGTCTATCTGTGTAATAAGCAATTTGTGCTAAGCATATTTTGGGGCCATGGAGGCTCCTGAATATTGAAGAATTGCTTTTGCAGTTACTTGAGAAAGATTTTATGTTCTTCATACCATAGCATTGTATTTTGCCATTGAGCCTACAAGTCCTCTCACATGGTTCTAGTTTCAAAGGTTTTATTGGTTTTTCTTAATCTTGACATTCAGTGGAAATATTTTCCACAGACTGCATTTTGTGAAACAGGTTTTTCTTTTGGAATTTTTTTTTCCCTTGAAAATTCCATTTCCTTTCTGTCTTCAATTCAAACATGTCATCTTATATCCTCCTTACTCACTAAAGAGGACTGATCCTCTCTTCCCAGATATGGCCTGGTGAAACCATTTTTACAGGGTGCTTTTAATCACTACAATGTAACTTCTACTTATACGGAAAAGTAGGAAGAAAAATGAGGAGACCCAGAAGATAGTGTTATAGCCATTTGTCTCCACTAATCTCCTAAGTGAAAGGGGAACGTTTTTGGCTTTTAATGGTGAGTTTAGTAACGGCCTCTTTTAAGACAGCTACTCTTTAACAGTGCTCTTCAGTGATGATCATTGAACTCTGCTTTGCATAATGTACCATGCTACCACGAAGGGGGATCCAGAGATGGCCAAAGTACAGTTGTTAACTTCTAGGATTTTAGAACAAACTGTTGACATAAGAAAGGTGCTTCTGTCTGCAAGCTGTAGTAAGTATTCTACAGAGTGCAGGTGGGATTCAGTGGAGGTGGTGATCACATTGATTGGAAACATCAGGAGAAGCTTCTTCGTAGTTGCATTTGAGATAGGACCTAATGGGTCGGTCAGCTTTTCATAGACAGGGGGGAACGTTTGATGGAAATGAGGGAAAGTGTTTGTCTGAGCAGAGGATTGGATCTACTAGAACATAGGTTCAGAAAAGAGTGATTTGTCTTGCTAGAGTTGTAGTTATCTTGCAAAGGAAGGGATAGGAGATGAGACTGGAAAGGCAGCTTGGGACCACAGTGTGGAGGGCCCTGAAAGTTTGGCAGGAAACTTTTTACTTAATTCAGCTGACACTGTGGAGGCACTGCGTGGTTTTGATGGAGAGTGATAGACTAGAGCTGGGCTGTGAAATCGGGCAGGCCTCACCATGCCAGATGAACTGCAGTGGAACAGACTACAGGAGAACAGATACACTCAGCAACGTTGTGGAAATTAAGACCAGAGTCATCTCTGGACTGTTGGCATTGGGAGTGAAAAAGAGAGTTACTACACACATGAGGCATACTGTGGTGTTAGTATTTCTTGATATCGGCAACTATCCTGACATGTGACCACCGAGGGGGATTCAGAGATGGGCAAAGTACAGTTGTTAACTTTTAGGAATTTAGAACAAGCTGTAGACATAAGAAAGGTGCTTCTGTCTGCAGACTGTAGTAAGTACTCTACAGAGTGCAGGTGGTCAACATGACTGGGAAGAAAGAGGTAAGTACCTTCAATTAAAATAGGTTGTCAGGAAGCGGGCAGATTTCAGAGAATAACTCTTGGTAATTACCATACTATGGCACATTTACACAAATAGGCAAAGATGGCAGGATAGGAAATATAGTTACTGGAGCCTATTAACCTTTACACTGTGAAAAACGAATTAGAAAAACTACACATATATGCTAAATATACAAAACCATAGTTCTATGTATGTCTTTAATCATGGAATAGCAGCCAGAACATGGTGGTTACTTTTTCAGGTTTTATTTGAAATACTTGAAATGAAGATGCCAGAGAGGAACAGTATTCTCCTATCTAATCTTACAAAAGTCTGCTTCCCATCTTATTCTGTCAAGCACTGGTTTCCAAGGAGATTCCGTGGGTAACCTATCATGTCATCAGTCTCAAGAATGTGGAGATCTACCCAAGTATCCCTAACATTTCTTTCTTTTTCTTTTCTTTTTTTTTTTTTTTTTTTTTTTTGAGACGGAGTCTTGCTCTGTCACCCAGGCTGGAGTGCAATGGCGTGATCTCAGCTCACTGCAAACTCTGCCTCTGGGGTCAAGTGATTCTCCTGCCTCAGCTTCCTGAGTAGCTGGGATTACAGGCACCCACCACCACGCCTGGATAAATTTTGTATTTTTTATTAGAGGCGGGGTTTCACCATGTTGGCCAGGCTGGTCTCGAACTCCTGATCTCAGGTGATCCACCCGCCTCAGCCTCCCAAAGTGCTGAGATTATAGGCATGAGCCACCATGCCTGGCCTATCCCTAACATTTCTAGATAACCTGATATGATCTGTCATCCATAAATTTCCTATCCTATTTCCCAGGCTTTTTATATTTTTAGACTGCACTCCACCATGTCATTGGACACTGTCTCAGTCTGCTCAGGCTGCTGTAACAAAATACCATAGACTGGGTGACTTAAACAACAGACATTTATTTTTCTCATGGTTCTGGAGGCTGGTAAGTCTAAGATCAAGATTCTGGCCAATTCGGTTCCTGATGAAGAACCCCTTCATGGCTTGCAGATGGCCACCTTCTTGCTGTGTCTTCACAGGCAGAGAAAGAACTCTCTCCCTCTTCTTCCTATAAAGCCACAAATCCCATCATGAGGGCCCTACCCTTATGAATTTCTCTTACCCTAATTATCTCCCTAAACACCTGATCTTCAAATACCATCACATCGGCAGTTAGGGCTTCAACATATGAATTGAACGTATGGGTGGGGGTGTGTAGGGTAGAGGAAGAGATACACAATTAGTCCATAGCAGACAGTGAGCTTGTAATTCAGGGAGATACTACCAATTATTTTTCAGGACACTTACAATCAGGGCAGAAGGCGAAGGGGAAGTAAGGCATGTCTTCCCACTGTGAAGCAGAAGAGAGAGAGAAAGCAAAGGAAGCCACACATTTTAAAAAAATCAGATCTCTTGAGAACTCACTATCACAAGAACAGCATGGGGGAGACTGCCCCCGTGATCTAATCACTTCTCTCAATAGATGGGGTTTACAGTTCGAGGTGAGATTTGGGTGGAAACACAGAGCCAAACCATATCATTGATCCTATTATGTTTTATTCACTTAATCTGTCAAAGACTATGAGAAGTATATTAGTCACTCATCATTGTAATTCTATCATTTTCTGTCTGTATTTCTGCTTTTTTATTGTTTTGTGTGTATCTTGATCTTGTTATTTGAAGCAAGATTTGTGACTTAAATTCCATTATAGGTTTTATCTTTTATCAACAGCAAAAATGTCTTTATGTATTCTAAAAGCATTTTGCTGTCACTTTTATATGACATTTTCATTGTAACTTCTGCTTTCTTTTTTTTTTTTTTGCTTTAAAAAAAAATCTTGCTCTGTGATTTTCATTCATTCATTCACTCATTGAAACAGCACTTTTTTTTTTTTTTTTTTTTTTTTTTTTTTTTTTTTTTAGCTCTTAGCAATATATAGAAGTGAGCAGGACAGCCGTGGTCCTTTCTTGGGAAGTTTATTTTCTAGTGTGGGAAATTGTACAATAAATAAAATAATTCTAATAGTAGTAAGTGCTATGAAGAAAACACAATAGTATGCTAACATGATAAACATCATGATAAAAGGCCTTTAAGTAGCAGTGGAGATTATTTGTCAGTTAATAAAGGGATTTAAAACAATTACATTTACTGAAATAGCTGATATGTGTATGATCTTACATCAGTTATCTTATTTTAGGTTTTCTGAGGTTTTGTTTCCATTTAGTTTGTAGTCTATTTAGTTTTTAGTTCCATTTAGTTATGAGTAATATCTTGCTTTATTTGCTTGTTTTCTTCTCAATTGGTTTGGAAGATGATGTTATTTTTATTTACATAAGTGGATATTTTTACATTCACTGAAAACATTCTCTAATCTAAATTTTGCCTTTTTATCAAATCAAACAATTATATCTTTTGCTTTCTTCCTGTAACATGAGAAATTTAATCATCCACGGTCTTGCTATTTTATGGTCTTTATTAATATAGTCTTAAAGATTCCATTTAATTAATTGTATTAACTGTACTTAATAGGTTTTCTTAGCTACAATAATTATACCGACTTCCATATTTAACAGCTTTTAATGCTTACTGTCAATTTGTGTACAATAATTTAACCTTTCTGAATTTCTTAATTTTAGTGGTAAACGTGTTTACATATTACTTTATAAATGTCTTCAGTATATTCTTAAGCTCTTGGATATTTAAAAGTGGTTTTCTATGGTCTTTACAAAGGAACAGTAATTTTACTAGCTATAAAAGTCTTATGTTATAATCTTTGGTTTGCTCAAAATGATCACTCTATGGTTTTCTGGCCAACCTGATTTTTCTTCATTAGTAGGGAATATGTTTTATCTTTTCTGTTTCATGCTATAATTTATTTTTTATACCTTTGAAGTTTAGAAATTTACTATGTATCAAGATAGGTGTGTCTCAAGGCCAAGTGAGAGTTAGCAAAAACAGGTTACAGAGTCAGATCTGCAAAGGTCTCAGATATTGGTATATCTCATATAACACAAACTAAATATGTTTACTATATTTAAATAAATAAAAGGCAAACTTAAAATATTATAATGATCATGAGAATTAAAAATTAAGTGTATTTGGGAAAAAATAGAACATTAGAAATTAAAAACAGTTATTCAATGCATAGGTTAAAGAGTATATTAGACATAAGCAAAGAGAGATTTTATAGGCTAGAAAACAGATCTGAAGGATTACTCAGAATGTAACACAGAGAGACATAGAAATGCATAATAGTAGCATGAAGGATATAATGAAGAGGTGTGTCTAACATCCATCTTAATGGAGAGACAAGGTCAGGGAATGGGGCAGGGACAATATATGAAAATTAGGAGCTAGGAATTTTCCAAAACTATTAAAAAAAAAAAATCTGTCTTCAGATTTAGAAAGCCCCCCAAACACAAAGAAGAATAAATGAAAGAAATCCACATTAGACATATAATAGTGACTCAGTATAACACCAAAGACAAACAAAATGACCTTAAAAGACTGCCTTAAAGGAATTAACAGAACTAAAGCTGATTTGTCAGTAACAGCACTGGATCCAAAGGCAGTCAAATAATATCTTCAAAGTGGTGAGAAAATATAACTCAATCTAGAAGTCCATGTTCAGCAAAAATTTGAAGATTAAGGGCAAAATAATTTTTTTCAGATATATAAAACCTGAGTGAATATGCAGCAAGAGACTCTCTCTAAAGGAAATTCTAAGTGATGTACGTCAGGCTGAAGGAAAATGATCCCAGATGGAAGATGTGACCTACAAGAGGGAATGACGAACTAAGAAAGTGGTTTATATGAGAATAAATCTAAACTAAAATTGATTGGTGAAACAATAATGTAATGGCTTATAGCCAACAACTCCGTAGAGAAGTGATTAGAGTGAAAGCATTCTAAAGTCCTTGCTTTATGTAGGAAGTTGGTTAAAACAAAAACAAAAGCCACTGACTAAGTATGCATGTTAACATTTCTAGGGTATTCACTAAAGAAAAGAAATAGTATAACTCTAAACTAGTGGAGATTTAAAAAGGAACAAAAAAAGTTAGTCAACCCAAAAGCAGTTAAAAAAAGAAGAGAAAAAGAAAGGGAGACGAAGCATAACAAGATGATAGAACAAATGTGAATATATCAGTTACTATACTATATGTAAATTAAATTTTCCTGTTAAAAAGCACAGTTTATTAGATTAAATTCAAAAGATAGACTAGCTTTAAAAATCTAAATACAGTACTGTGGTTTACGTGAAAACCCTACATAAGGGTACGTAAAGGTTTTGAGAAATAGGGTGACATAACTACAAATATAGGTGGAATGAACTTTAAGGCAAAAGGTGTTACCAGAGATAGAGGGTCACAAGATAATGGTAAAAGATTCATTTCACCAGGAAAATATGACACTTCTAATGTTGTATGCCCCCAATAACAGACTAAAATTATATAAAGTAAAAAATGGACAGAAACACAAGGATAAAAAGAAAAAATGTCATCAGAATTGGAGGTTGGAATCTACTTCTTTTAGTAATTGATTTATTGAATAAACCAGGGATCAGCAAACATTTTCTGAAAGAGAGGCCAGATAAATATTTTAGGCCTTGCAGGGCGCATATAGTCTGTTTTGTGTATTCCTCTTTGCACCATACTTAGCTCATTGGGCCATACAACAACAGGCTAAACAGATTGAGTCCACAGGGTATAGTTTGTTGACCTCTGAAATAGAGAGTAAAAATTAGTGAGGGAATACATGATTTGAGCAACAGAGTTAATAAGGTTGATATTGACCATACACGTATGGAAGAGACATTCTTCTCAAGGATGCATGGAAGATTTATGAAAATAAGAAGCATACAGGACCATAGAGCAAATATCAATAAATGGTAAAAGATTATTATCTTACAATCAACATTATCCAGTCAACTAATACAATTAGTAAAACCACTTTTAGCAATAATCTGGCATTTCTTCATTAAATACGTGATTCTTTCATGATCCAGCAAGTTCATTCCTGGTCATATGCTCTGGATGAACTCTTGTACACTGATAGACATACAAGAATGATCACAGTGCTATTCATGGTAGAAGAAGCTAGAAACAACACAAATATCCATCATCCACAGAATGAATAAATAAATAATGTTTATTCACAAATGAAATACTCTTAAGGATATGAAAATAGATTTAAAACTGCTTCACATAGCAGTATGGATGAATCTTAACATAGTTTTAAGAGAATAAAGCAAACCACAGAAGAATAAATACAATTATGAAATTCAAAACATGCAAAGCTATCCGATATATTATTTAGAGAGAAATATATAGATATATTGATCTATATATTTGTCATGTAGCTATAAAGAAGAGCAAAACAAGAATAAACGCAAAATTCAGATTAGCATTTACTTTCTAGCAGGGGAGGAAAAGGAATAGATGGGAGTGAGAGCAGACTCCAGAGTTCCTGGTAATGTTCTGTTCCTTAAATTGGGTGGTGAAACACAGCTGATTGTTGTATTTTATTCTTTATGCCTTACACATATTATAGTATCTCGTCATTGTTTAATAAATGAAATAAATTACACAGTGGGGATGGAGTAAGGAAGTATGGAAACAGCAAGGGTGGGCACTTTTTTTGTTTTTTGAGACTGGGTCTTGCTCTGTCATCACCCGTTCTGGAAGGCAGGTGCATAATCATGGCTCACTGCTGCCTCAATCTCCTGGGCTCTGCCAGTCCTCCTGCCTCAGCCTCCCCCAAGCTGGGACCACAGACACATGCCATCATGCCAGGCTAATTTAAAAAAAAATTATTTGTACACATAGGGTCCCCCTATGTTGCCCAGACGGATCTTGAACTCCGGGGCTCAAGCCCTTCTCTTGCCTCGGCCACCAAACCCGGCCAGATGAACACTTTTTTTTGAGCCTTTTTACTCTTGCTGTACACGAGAGCAGAGCAATAGAACAGTAGGTTGGAGGGAGACAGGAGTAAAAGGGTTTCTTTGTAAATAGGACTTACAATAGCATGTTCGAATGCTAATAGGAATGATCCGGGAGAGAGGGGGAAAAGTCATAATAAGGAAGAAGAGAAGGTAGTTTCAAGAACAAAGTTCTTAAGAAGCAATGCAATCTACAAATGAGTGGTTTGGCCTTAGGGTCAAGTTGACAAGTTTAATGGGGATTGGGGAAGAATATATGTTACAGTTGCATGTAGGTTGGTAGGTTTGTTTGTGGGAAGATGAAGATCACATCTAGAGATTTATGACCATAAATTTAAAATGAAACTAGTCATCATGATTCTGTGCTTTCCTCCAACTCATATCCAGCTGCTCAAGTGCCTGCAGGTTTGCAGTTGGCAGAAAATTGGGCTTAACTGAGGTTGAGGTTTTGCTAGCTGAAAACATGGTCGGAACAAACAGGCAATGGAATTGGGGTGTATACAATGATGAAACAGAGAATTCAAGCTGGATGAAGAAAGAATAGACATGATGGTGACCTAGACAGTGCAAAAATGGACCCCCCATTTTGGGGGGCAGGGCAGGTCACAAAATTGGCAGAGTGTAGCTTCCAGAGTATGTGAGGCAGATTGTTAGGTAAATAGGGTTCTGGGGTTAGTGTAGTTGTTAGTGTCAGGGTCTAAGATGATCATGGGAATACCCAGCTCGGTTGAAAGAAAAGGATTTTGGAGGACATGGAACTGAGAGGATGAAGTGTTGGATGGGTTGTATATGCTCGTGGTCTTCAACCCCGACTGCACATCAGAATAATCTGAGGGACTTTCATAGAATATTGATGCCCCGGCCCCACCCCAGACCAATTAAATCAGGATCTCTGGGTGTGGTTTCTCGGGAATTTATATTTTAAAAGAGCTCCCTGAGTGATTGTAGCGTGCATTTAGGTTCACGTAGCTACGTGAATGTTGGCATTGCCAAGCCAATAAAAGAAGCAGTAGAGAGAACTGTTGTAGACTGGGGGACTATGGGAGGAAGGAGGATTGATTCAGAGGATCCCCGACTACTTGAACAGCACTTAGCACAATTTATTGTATATAGTGTGCACTCAATTAATGGTAGCTCTTTTTATTTTTGTTATTATTGTCATCATCATTATTATTGACAGTGGCAATAGCAGCAGCATTATCCTGGGGAAAGTCTCCAGATGTTTTATCAAAGGTTCTTCACAGAAGGTTAAAAAGCACTAGTTTTAGATGATCATCAAGGAAAGTTCCTAATAAAGTTTGGCAAAAAAGCTAGAAGTTAGCAATATTCTGAATTGACGTTCTACAGTTGTTGTGAAGCTTGGAGGAGTTGTACTCCATCATAGCCTGGCTTAGCAGTCTGCACTTGTCAGAAGCCAGCAGGTTAGGAGTTGGGTACCTTCTTTTCTTATGTCAAAAACCTAAAGGCTAAGACAGCTGGTTGCTATTTTCCTGCCAATAGGAACCTTAGAGCCTTTTAGTTGTGTTTCAGTGTACCTGTGCCAGGGTTGGGATTGGGAAGAGGAGACAGGGATTAAACATATAACATTCTAATATTTTATTTTACATTCCCAAATTACTTCGTGTGCATGTATACACTCTTACTCCCTTCTCTGCAAAAGGAGTATTATGAGTCGGGTAAACAGTACTATTTAAAGCTAATGTGTACTTGTGGGTACTTTAGTGACTCCCGAAGATGTGGTTCCACTGAAGAATGCAAGGAATTATAGCTACGAACTGTCAATATAACAAGTGATCTTTTTTTTTTTTTTTTTTGAGGCCAGGTGTTGCTCTGTCGCCAAGGCTGGAGTGCAATGGCACGATCATGGCTCAGATTTCAGGCTCAAGCGATCCTCCCACCTCAGCCTCCCAAGTACACTGGGACCACAGGCACACACCTCCACACTCGGCTAATTTTTGTATTTTTTGTAGAGTTGGGTTCTCCTTATGTTGCTCAGGCAGGTCTTCAACTCCTGGGCTCAAGTGATCCTCCCACCTTGGCCTCCCAAAGTGCTAGGATTACAGGTGTGAACCACCACACCTGGCTCACAAATTATCACATTTTTGTACAATTGCATACGAAAATATATTTTAATATACATTCACTGGATCACTGGGAAAGCTGGCATGCAAGCAGCTTAGAAAAGACAATATCAAAGAAAGAATTCGAAAATATCCCCATTTGGAACATTCCAGAATAGTTCCGCTCTAATTTGAAGAGTAATGAGATACATCTCTCTCTTTATATCCAACCAGATTTTAGCTTGCTATAAAGAGACATACCTCCTATATTTTGTTTCCAATTGTCTTTGCACTCCATAATAATTCATGTCAGCTTGCATTATAAATGAATAAAAGATCTAATTTAAAAACCTATCATCTGATATGGGATGCCATACACTTTTCTCCATGGCCCTGTATGAAACAAAAATAATGATGACAACATTGGACAATGACACCAGGCAGTAAACAATGTAATTTCTGTACAGTGTCTCTGTCGGGTATGTTAGGTAAGCAATAACAGCAAACTAAAGTTTATGTTTTATAAACCAATCATTTTTGATACTTTCAGCAACATCTTTGTCCTCATTTCAAGCTTGAAATTCCCAACTGTTCATTTATTATTACGTGACACTGAGTGGCTTAGTTCTGTGAGCCCCAGTTCTTTCTCTGTAAAATGAGGATAACTCTGCCTTCTGCGCAGGGATGATATTATTAAAAGCAAATGATTGTGGAAATGCTTTGCAAATTAGAAATTTCTACACATAATGGTTTTTATCATCGTTTATTTTTTGTTGTTGTATTTCTAATCCAAAACGTGGACCTTATTTTGATAAGCACAACCGAGACCTAGACAGCTTTAAAACCTGATTTGGCATTACCAATATGACACAAGGTCTTAAGATGTCTTATTTCCAACTTGTGATTGTGATCTGTCAAATTTTAGAATGACTTATTAAGGTCTAAAAGAGAAATATTACTGTATTTTCTGATAACCTGTGGGCAGTTCCCTGATGGTATTGAGTAAAATGTGGCAAGGCAAATTAAGTTACCTTTTTTTAAAAAAAAAAAAAACTAATATGGGTATTTCACTAAGAAAGCTTATTATCTGAAGAAAGCTATTATTAAAATAAAGAGTACATCCCTTACTCAATATGTATTCTTCAGAATATTGGTCACTGGTGATCCATCCTTGTTTCTTTTAGCCTATCCTGAGAAAATTCTTTTTCACCCCATTCAATAAATATTTAAGCACCTGTGATATGCCAGCCATGGTACTCAGGGAGGAAGACAGAATACAGTTATTGTTAAAAAGGTAGACAGTGTCCATGCCCTCCCAGACCTCTCAGTCTATAGGGGACAAAGGTAGTTACAAAACCCAGTAGGGTCTGTCCTGTGACTGTGAAGGGGGACGCTGTGGGCCAAGTGGATACTCTTGCCATTTCTTAAATAATATGGTTCTTTTTGAGATGGTTCATCCAGTACTCTTAGCCCTTCAAAGAGAGATTTTTCTGGACATACAAATTTAAGAATCTAGTTAGTGAGTGGATTTTGCAGAAAATAAGTAAAGTCTCTCTGCCACTTTAAGAAAGAAAAGCAGAAGATGCCATTTTAAGTTCACTGCTTTTTAAAGTTGAGCATTTGACTGCAAAGTTTGTGAAAGGTCAATTGCTTTAGCATGTAGGTGTCCCTATCAGGGCCCATGTTTGTCTATTCTGAGATTCACTGCGAAGTTGAACCTCTTTCTTGGCTGAATCAGTTGCTCATTGGGTGGTTCTAGAACTAAAATGATTGCTAAAGACTGGTAGATTCTCCTGTGAAGAATAGTAAACCTGTTTTAAAGTGAAAGATTGTTAGAACTTAGAGTACTGTTCTTCCGATTGCTTAGAGAGCTTTGTGTACCTCCCTGTTTATTTGAACTAGTCTTTGAGTGGATTGGCAATGAAGAATAATATTCGTATTCTAACACGCACATAATATATGAAAGGAGATGAAGTATACTACCTATAGTTGTCTTATTTATTATTACCTAACATTTTATTGTGCTGTTTATTTGGATAGAGTTCAAACTTGTTCGTGAATATGGACCTAGTAGGCTGGAAATAAACTTAAGACCCAGTAAAAAAGAGTTGTAACAAAAGAGTTGCTATGTTTTCTGCAGTGAGGATTCCTTATCACTTTGTGATTCTTAGATAAAATCCTTTCCATCCAGGAAAAATTATACTTCCAGAATTTACCAAACTGACAGAACAACTAACATGCCCCAGGCCAAGTAATGTCAGTTCTGTAATCCCCTAAAGCCATTCCTTCCCATAATTGCAAAAACTAACAGGGAACCCCCACACCCTGGCCCCTGCACCCTTGCCTGCCATGCTATATGTTTAAAATTGACATTTGCTTGCAAGAGTAAACTGAGTGAGATACTAATTCTTGGTTTATGACAAAGTGTTCCTTTCTGGCTTGCCAGTGGGAATGAAGGAATGCTTTTGCGTAATGCCTGAATACTTATCCTAAATTCATAGCCGCCTTCTACCTGACTAAATAAAAATGTATGCCAAAATTATTTTGAGGACCACTCTGGTCGCCTCTTCTTTCTCTTAACAAGAGGCTGGCACAGCATTTCCCACATACCCTGTATGCCGTCACTTGCAGATGTGATTATTGCAGAACCTTAATCTGAATCTCAGAGTGGAAACTGGTTGACATGAGGGCACAAATTCTGACACAGTCCAGAATTTTTTTTTTCTTTTTGCTTTCAACAGCCTCTTTGCCGCAGACTTACCATTTCTCCTTTCAAGGTGGAGCTAAATGTTTAAATACTATCACATAGGTCCTGGTTGTTTTAAAGTGTCCTACCTAGTTATGCCTCTGCTATTAACTTTTATTTTGTATTGTTAGTAGGTCCTCTTAAAGGAGCCCAGGTGCATTTTATAGCAGTGACTGGCGTTGGTAGTATCTTCCCCAACATCACTGTGTTGGAATTGGCATTCATTGATGTTAAGATCAAAATGACAGCTCTTCTTTTGTATGACTTCACCTAACACATGATTATCTGGATTCATTTTTCTTATCTTTTTTCCATTTTAGTTCAAAGTTAGACTGTAAGAAATAAAGTTAGACTCTAAGAACACAAGGCTGATTCATTAAGTAAGTACATTTTTTCTTAGGCATCTACCATCCACAGGTTTCTCATCCCTACCCTCCAGTGCCATGTAAGATGCTAGTGATCCATCTAATATGTTAAACACATTCACATAAAATATTAGGGACCCCTTAATTTACTGTTTACAGCCTTTATGCTTCTAAAAAGATTTTTAGTTTGCATTAAGAACTTATCTTTTTACAATTTATACTTTAAAACAGTAGAAAAGACATAGATAATTTCTGTTTAGTACAAAAGAATCCCCACCCAAGGTAAATCTTTTTTACGTAAAAAAATTTACATAAATTATTACATAATAGACTTCTAGGGCTGCACTGTCCAATATGGTAGCCACAGTCACATGTGGCTATTGAACATTTGTAATGTGGGTAGTCTGAATTGAAACTTGCTGTAAGTGTAAAATATGAACTGGATTTCAAAGTCTTAGTGTCATAAAATGAATTTAAAATTTTCATTAATAATTTTTTATACCAATTATGTTTTGGACTGACGTTTTAGATATATTGGGTTAAATAAAATATATTATTAAAATTAATTTTAGCTATTTCCTTTTCCTTTTTTACTGTGGCTACTGGGAAATTTTAAATTACATATGTAGTTCTTATTAATTTCTATTTAACAAGCTGCTCTATAGGGATCAAGATCTTCTCTTCTAACCCTGTCATTTTAGACTTCAGGAAACCTCATAGAATTTAGAGAATTTAAGTGACTTGCTTTAGGTCACATAGCATTTTAGTATAGTAGTAAAGCTTGAGACTAGAAATTTCTTTTAAATGTTAAGACTAGTGCCCTTCTCAGTGAAACTAGCTTTTTGTGACTCTGACACTTTTATTATAAGAGGAAATGTCTATTCTTCAGAATTTTTCACTGAACTCTTTAAAGCAAAGAGTCTCTCTATACTGTAGGTAAATGTTCCTTTTTGTTTGTTTCATAAATTTGAAATATCAGTTATTAGCTATTCTTAAAATGGCGATGGTTTTCCCTATGAAAACCTTACATACAGAACCGTTATGGCAGCAGAAATATTTTTTAAATAGATCTAGTTAATACCGTAGTAGAGTTTTCAAATTTCCTTGCACACTTGTAATACAAATATGTCATAAATTACAAATTTTTATTGGGTATCTTCCAATAACAGCTATCATGTTAGCATATAACTGGGAAATGATGCCAGTAAGAATAAGGCCTCCAGGCTATGTATTTCCTTGGTAAATTGTTAATACTAGGCAACTATTTATTTTCTCTTGCTAAGCTTTAACACTCTCTTTGCTAGTATTGTGAGAACAGTCTATCTTTGAGTGAGAGATTTACTCAATCATAGTAAAGTAATCCAGAATTCAGTTCTTAAGAACAGTGTCGAGTAGTGCTGCGTGATGTATGAACTGTGACCTTGGGCCATTTATTTAATGTGTCTGTGTCTCACCTTCCTATCTGTAAATTGGGGTTAATACTATTTATCTGTAAGGTAGTTGTGCAGATTTCAATGACACGTGTAAAGAATATATAGCATGATATTCCATAATATCTCATAGTGTCCATTTTATCTCAAAGAAAAGGTAAAGATCAAGTATTTATTCTTTTCTTTAAAATATCTTTAGTCTTCTCCTGTTCCCTAGAAATCCTCTACCACTGAACTAACAGTTTTTGGTCAAATCTGGTCATAGTGACATCTTATTTTCCATAGATACGTAAAAATTTGTAATTATTACCTGCAAGAGATATTACAATTCATACAACACTAATAGCTGGAGATACTTTCATTACAAATACAATGTTCATAAAATATCACATGTATAAAATAAATGTAAACAGATGATACTATCTTAAAAAGCTCAGCTGAGTAGTAATATTTTTTAATTGGATTTTCAAAATCATGGTAAAATTTTGATATGTTTTGATGGCTATTCCAAATACTGCTATTATAACATTGAATTGGATTTTAAAACTTGATGTGTACTGAGAGTTAGATTGTCGAAACCAATACTTTTCAATAATAACTCTTCCAGAATTTCAAATATTTTAACATGGAAGTATGGAAATTGAGTCACATAAGTTTACTTAAAAGACTTTTCATTCTATTTTAAAAATATATTTGATCCACCGCATATTCTCACTCATAGGTGGGAATTGAACAATGAGATCACATGGACACAGGAAGGGGAATATCACACTCTGGGGACTGTGGTGGGGTCGGGGGAGGGGGTAGGGATAGCATTGGGAGATATACCTAATGCTAGATGACACATTAGTGGGTGCAGCGCACCAGCATGGCACATGTATACATATGTAACTAACCTGCACAATATGCACATGTACCCTAAAACTTAGAGTATAATAAAAAAAAAAAAAAAAAAAAGACAGCAATGCAAAAAAAAAAAAAAAAAATATATATATATATATATATATATATATATATATATATATATATATATATTTGATCATAATAATTGTTTTAAAGTGATACAGCTTAGGGTGACCAATGAACATGGTTTGCCTGGGACTGTCCAGTTTTAGCATTGAAAGTTCTGCATTCCAGGAAGCCGTTTAGTTCTGAGCAAACCAAGATGGTTTTCACTCTAGCTGATGCTTCACAGTTTACATAGCTTTGTGTATATATATATATATTCTCACTGGATCTCTGTGAGATAGGAATGACAGTATTGTCATCACCATTTCATTAGAGAGGCCACATGCTCAGTTACCCTGGCTACCTGAATTAGCTTCAGGTCCCATTCTTTATGACATTGTCTCCTTTCCTCCAGATTTCAGTTGAAACCTCCCCTCCCCAGTGAGCGTTTCTCTGAATGTGCAGTCAAAATGAGTTGTCTTTTTCCCTCTTCATCCCTACTGCCCATCCCATCTCATTTCATTGCATGTTACTCCCCCTTATAACACTTCCCACAGTTGGTTTCCTAGTGTTTTGCCCAAGTTCCACACTGGACTGTAATTCTCACCAAGGCAGCATCATGACTCTTCCCGACTCTGGTGCCGGGCACATTATAGGGACTCAAATCTAAATGAAGCCTTGCTATGTTGCCCAGGCTGGTTTTGAACTCCTGGCTCAAAGCAATTCTTCTGCCTCAGCCTGTCAAAATGCTGGGATTACAGGCATGAGGCACCCAGGATGCACATTTTTTAACTGCAAAAACCGAAACCATTATCTATACCCATTTGGCCAAATTTCTCAAAGCCACTTGGTTTTTTCTACATGTAGCTACAAAATTCTTAAGATATTTTTAGTTGACAGTCATCTTTTGATGTATCGAACCAATATGAATTAAGCCAATGAGGAATTTTTAAACTTATTAAATAAAGAAGTGAATTGTTGAAAGATACCTGTAGAAGCTCCTTTGAACTAATGATGTATTACCTGGCATAGTATTTTGAAAAATGATAATTTTTAACCATTGTTAACATTATTAATCAACTACAGTATAACCTGTTTCAATTTACTAGTCTCTGTTTCATTTTTCCCTCAAATAACTGATTTTAACAGACTCTGTTGTACTACTAAATGTTTCAAGATATATATTATGGCCAATCTGTGTTTTAGTTTGCCATCTCAAAATAAAATGACACATGATTAATGTTT
Organism: Homo sapiens; assembly: GCF_000001405.40. Lineage (NCBI taxonomy): Eukaryota > Metazoa > Chordata > Mammalia > Primates > Hominidae > Homo > Homo sapiens. The sequence continues at coordinate 7,848,313 of NC_000007.14, forward strand.
TCAGAAAGAAAACACATTTTAGCAATTTTTGATACATTGCTGTGAAATTGGTAATTGGGCTGAAGTTACACGAGTGTTGGTTGGTTTCCTGCAGGAAGTCTTCACTTTCTATATCAACAGTTGATCTGGTGTCTAAAGTGTTCACAGTTTGGTTAAAATTATACTCGATACCAAAGATAGTACTTCCACCAAGGAGGGTAGAGTCAAATAACACTTATGGTGTTCTCAAAAATGACAATAGAGGATATGCCAAATCAAGCTTACTATTATTGAAATGTTTGCTTGAAAAAGTTATTTTTCTGAGCATTGTTAAAGGAAGGGAAAGGGAGAGATTTATGAAATCTTGCCTGGAAGGTGACACAGGGGTTTGAAAGCCAGTAAATAATTATAAAAATTATAATTATTATTCAGTCATCAAACTTAAAGGAAAAGACAACCAGAAAGTCAAGTCTGCTTTTAGGATTATTAGGTCAATTATCAGTATTTTTGAAGGAAAGAATTTTTTAAGCTATCCATATGCTGGCAATTTTTTCATATTTTACTGCCAACTTTATTTAAACTACTTTCTCAATTTGCAAGGATAACAATACAATTTCTCTTGTTCTTTGAAAAACTCTATATGCCACATTCTTAAAGTATTATTGTTCTACCTGTTATGTAAGTTATGGTTCGATTTTATATTACGTGCACTTCTTGGAATGAAATATTTCCCTTATGTTGAAATTTGGGATAATGCTGAGTATGATGGACTTGATGGACATGTTCAAATTTCATTGTAGAGAGTGAGGTAATAGTGACTAACATTTATTGATTACTTACTGCATTCTGCATTCTGTATTGAGGATCTTTGCCAACATTATCTCATTCAATCCTCACATCTTACAAATAGATTCACTTATTCCCATTTTGACTGCCCATCCCATTTCTTTTCATTGCGTGCTGCTCCTCCTTATAACACTTCCCACAGTTGCTTTTCTTGTGTTTGAGAATAAAAAGTGACTGAGGTACAGAAACATAAGGTAGCTTTTCTAAGGTCACACAAATGGGGAGCTGTTAACTACTATATTTATGTTGTGTCCTGCAGTTCAACACAGTTCACTATAAAAGTAGTTGTAGGGTTATGCACATAGAAGTTTACCCAGTGTAAAGCTAAGGAGTGTGGCCAAGAGCAAGACAGGTACTGTGGTCTAGTGAATTCTGGGAGGTCTTCTGAAGGAAGGATAGAGGATGAAACCACTCTATGACCCAACCCTGCGATGGTCATTCAACAGTATTTATTGAGTGTCTACTGTATACCAGGTATTCTCTCATATACTGCACATACAACAGAGTGGACAGGGACCCTGCCTCATGGAGTTTACCATTTAGTAGGAGATTCAGACCAAAAACTAAACTAAAATAAAAATAGGCAAACAAATAAAATTACATCAGACCATGGTAAGTACAGCAAATGAAATAATCTGTGGATTGAAACAGCAGTGTAGAGAATGGGGTGAATGGGGTCACATACTTTAAGATGGAGTGGACAGAGCAGGCCTCTCTGAGTGGTTTTAAGCTGAGACTTTTAAGAGTTAGGAGGATATGCTCAGTGGGAAGCAAGGAGTTTTAGATAGAACTGTGGAGCAAAGGCAAATTAAAATATGATGCCTTTTCACATTCAGATTGGCAAAGATTAAAAAGTCTGAAAACACCCATTTTTGATGATGTTGTAGGGAAAAGGAAAACCTTCATGCCCAGTATAAGTCTGTACAACTACTCTAGAGACCAATTTGGCAATAGCTAGTAATTGTGAAGATACAATTTTGTATATAAATCCTAGAGCAATTATTCTTAAAAGAAGTTTTAAAAACTATCTATCCCCATGACATTTTTAAGCTATCATAAAACTTTTCCTTTATAACTTTAATAGTTACAAAGATAAGAATTTTTTACAAATTACAAATATTGATATTTAAATATGAAACTCTTACATCATTCTTTCAAACATATTTAATAATATATCCAATGGAATTGAGATCCCACAGCAATTTGATACATTACATCATCCATTTAAAAAATACATGAACAAGCTAAGCTCTTTCTCAATTCAGAAATTTTGCATCGTTCCTTTTTCTCCTTGAACTCAGATTTCCATCTACTTCCCCCCAAAGAATTGTATCTTTTATCTTGAATGTCTTTTATTGATCACAATATCATATTTCTTGGCAACAAAGAAAACTGATATAAGTTAATTTAAAATATATGTATATTTACCATGACCATAAGGCCAAGTGTTATAAAATTTCTTCTGACTTATTATTTTAATTATTTCTGGTATATAATCAGTCAAAACAATATAAGTAATTCCATGTTTTGACAATTATTAAACATGAAGGTAATTTTTTAAGAAACATATATCTTAATGTGATGGAAGAGCTTGATATTTTTCAATTAATTCATATATCTGAGGACAATTATTACTAGAATAATGCTAACGATAAAATGAAGTGAAGGATTTGGGGGTCTTACAAAGGTGTATTAGTGATTTTTAAGCACCTTATAAGTAGAATATACATTTCTTTTAAGTTCATCTAAATATTATAGATGGGTTGCAATAAATTTTAAAATGAATGTGGATTTATGATATCCAAAAATATTTGGGGAAAAAATGAAATACTTCTTTTATGAGTCTAATTAAGTGTTCAAAGATATATAAAACCTAACTTATGACCAGTATATATATTTTTACTTGAACATGTAGCTTTGATATGTTGGAAGTAAAAGTGAAATTTTCACAACTAATCTATTCTGTCTCTTATAGATTTACCTATTCTGACTGGTTCATACAAATGGAATAATATAATATGTGGTCTTTTGTGACTGGCTTCTTTCAGTTAGTGTAACGTTTTCAAGGGTCATCCTTGTTGAAGCAGTACTCCATTCCTTCTCATTCCTTTTATTGTTGTATAATATTCCATTGCGTGGCTATACCACATTTTGTTTATCTATTCATCAGTCTATGAATATTTGAGTTGTTTTCACCTTTTGACTATTGTAAATAATACTATTCTGAACATTTATGTACAAGTATTTGTTTGAATGCCTGTTTTCAATTTTTTTGATACATACCTAGGAGTAGAATTACTGGGTCTTATGTAACTCTGTTTAACCTTTTGAGAAGCTGCCAGAACATTTTCTGAAGTAGCTGCACCATTTGCACTCCCACCAGAAGTGTGGGAGTGTTCCAGTTTCTCCACATCCTGACCAGAAGTTGTTATTATCTGACTTCTTGATTATAACCATCCTGCTGGGTGAGAACTGGTATTTCATTGTGGTTTTGATTTGCATTTCCTTGGTGACTAGTAATATGCTTATTGGGCTTTTGTATATCTGCTTTGGAGAAATGTCTACTCATATCCTTCGCTTATTCTTTTTAATTCATTGTCTTTTGAGTTGTTGAGGTTTCTAAAAAATATATTCTAGATGCAAGTCCTTTATCAAATATATACTTTTTAAATATTTCCTCTCATTCTGTGGGTTGCCATTTTACTTTTTGATAATGTCCTTTGAAGCATAGAAGTTTATATTTTTGATGAGGTCTTATCTATTTTTTCTTTTGTTGCTCATGCTTGTGGTGTCATATGTATGAATCCATTTCAAAATGTGAGGCCCTGAAGATTTACCCTTATGTTTTCTTCTAAGAGTTTTATATGTTAGCTTTTATAGGCTTTTGATCAACTTTGAGTTAATTTTTGTATATGGTTTGAGATAAGGGTCCAGTTTCATTATTTTGCTGTGACTATCCAGTTGTCCCAGCAATATTTGTTAAAAAGACTATTCTTTCCACATTGAATGGTCTTGGCACCCTTATCAAAAATCAGCTGACCGCAGATACGTGGCTTTATTTCTGGATGTTTGGAAAAACTCAAACTGTTTTTCCTCTACTCTCACATCAACATAACAGCAGCCAACACAGAAGATTTCTGTGACCTCAAAATATGTGGGGATATCACTCTACCAGCAAGCAGGCAATTAGTTCTGTAGAAGACACCTGCTGGGTGTCCTCCAGTTCAATTTTACTTCATCTTTTTCGAGATAGTGTCAGATCCCACAGATTGTGGGCTCAATCCCCAAGATTGCCCCACACCTCAGACAACAGTCACAAGTCCAGGCCCCTGGATCTTCTGACAGACCAGCTTTAAGTTGGGGTTCCCACAACCCTCTCTTTGGGTTTGACTACTTTACTAGAGTGGCTCACAGAACTCAGGGAAACATGTTTACTGATTATTACAAAGGATATTTTAAAGGATACAAATAAGCAGCCAGATGAAGAGATACACGGGGTAAGGTCTGGAAGGGTCATGAGCACAGGAACTCTGTTCCTGTGGAGCTGGCACGTGCTAACCTTCCAACACGTAAATGAGTTCCTTCCTGTCAGCCTCCACATATTCAGCTCTGTAGAAGCCCCCCGAACCCTGTCCTCCTAGGCTTTTATGCAGACATCCTTGGATAGACAATTGACAACTATGTAGAAATGTGACTGGACAAAATGGATATGATCTAATATTAATAAACTGAGTGGGGAAACCCAGCAAGACCTGTTTGTTCACATTCTTCTCGCCTCTCTGTGCAGCATTTCTTTCTTCAGGATATGAGGCAGGACCCTCTCTGGAATGAGGGTCGTATAGCCCAACATTCAGAGTAGAGTCCTGCCTTGGGCCATGAAAAGAGGGCAGGAGAAGGTCAGAAAGAGAGAGTTTTTTTCTGAGGCCTAAAGCACCCCGACATTATATAACAAATGCTGTGGGAGTTATGAGCCAGAAACTGTGGACGAAAACCAGTATATATGTATATCATAATATCACACAGGACATTTAATCGATTTCATTGATCTATATCTCTCTGCTTATGTCAATACCACAGTCTCATGACTAATATTGCCTAAAATTTTGAAATCAGAGAGTGAGTCCTCCAACTTTGTTCGTTTTCAAGATTGTTTTGGCAATTCTGGATTCCTGGCAATTCCATATGGATTTTAGGATCCACTTTTTTACAATGAAATCAGTTGGGATTCTGATAAGGATTGCATTGATTTTGTAGCGCAATTTGAAGAGTATTGCCATCTTAACAATACTGTCTTCTGATACATGAGCGTGGGATTTTTTTTTTCCATTTATTTAGGTCTTAATTTTTTTCTATTATCCTTTGTAGTTTTCAGGGTATGAGTTTTGTACTTCTTTCATTAAATTTATTCCTAATCATGTTATTATTTTTGATAGTATTGTAAATGAAATTATCTTAATTTCATATTTGGATTGTTCATTCCAAGTATATAGAAATACAACTGATTTTTGTATATTGATCTTGTACTCTGCAACCTGCTGAACTTATTTGTTCCAATAGTATTTTAATGAATTCCTTAGGATTTTCTACATAGAAAATCATATCATCTGTACATAGAGATAGTTTTCCTTCTTCCTTCCTAATTTAGATAACTATTATTATTGTCATCGAGATCTTGCTTAATTGCCCTGACTAGAACCTCTGGTACAATGTTGAATAGAAGTAGCAAGAATGGATACCTTGTCTTGTTCCTGGTCTTAGGGGAAAAGCATCTAGTCTTTCACCATTAATAATGTTGTCAGCTTTGGTTTTCTATAGACACACTTTATCAGGTTGCTGAAGAGCCCTTCTATTCTTTCTTTGTTGGGTGTATTAGTCCGTTCTCACGTTGCCATAAGGAAATACCTGAGATTGGACAATTTATAAAGAAAAGAGGTTTAGCCAGGTGCCATGGCTCACACCTGTAATCCCAGCACTTTGGGAGGCCAAGGCAAGCAGATCCCCTGAGGCTGGAAGTTTGAGATCAGCCTGACCAACATGGAGAAACCCTGTCTCTACTAAAAATACAGAATTAGCTGGGTGTGGTGGTGCATGCCTGTAATCCCAGCTACTCAGGAGGCTGAGTCAGGAGAATTGCTTTAACCCGGGAGGCAGAGGTTGTGGTGAGCCAAGATGGCACCATTGCACTCCAGCCTGGGCAACAAGAGCAAAGCTCCATCTCAAAAAAAAAAAAAAAAAAAAAAAAGATAAGAGATTTAATTGACTCACAGTTCCACGTAGCTGAGGAGGCCTCAGAAAACTTACAATCATGGCAGAAGATACCTCTTTATGAGGCAGCAGAAGAGAGAATGAGTACCAGCAAGGGAAATGCCGGACGCATATAAAACCATCAGATCTTGTGAGAACTCACTATCACGTTAACAACATGGGGGAAACCACCCCCATGATTCAATTACCTCCCACTGTGTCCTTCCCACAACACTTGGATGTTATGGGGGTTACAATTCAAGATGAGATTTGGGTGGGGACACAGAGCCAAACCATACCATCCCACCCCTGGCCGCTCCCAGATCTCATGTCCTCACATTTCAAAACACAATCATATCCTCCCAACAGTCCCCAAAAGTCTTAACCCAGCATTATTCCAGCATTAACCCAAAAATCCAAGTCCAAAGTCTAATCTAAAGCAAGGCAAATCCCTTCTGCCTATGAGCCTGTAAAATCAAAGCAGGTTAGTTGCTTCCTAGATACAATGGGGGTACAGGCATTGGGTAGATATACTTGTCCCACATGGGAGAAATGGGCCAAAACAAAGGGGCTACAGGCCCCATGCAAGTTTGAAATCCAGTAAGGCAGTCATTAAACCTTAGAGTTCCAAAATACTCTGCTTTGACTCCATGTCTCATATCCAGGTTATGCTGATGCAAAAGGTGGGCTCCTGAGGCCTTGGGCAGTTCTGCCTCTGTGGCTTTGCAGGGTACAGCCCCTCCCAGCTGCTTTCAAGGCTGGCATTGAGTGTCTGCAGCTTTTCCAGGTGCATGGTGCAAGCTGTCAGTGAATCTACCATTTTGGGGTCTGGAGGATCGTGGTTCTCTTCTCACAACTCCACTAGACAGTGCCCCAGTGTGGACTCTGCATGAGGGCTCCAACCCCACATTTCCCTTCTGCACTGCCCTAGCAGAGGTTCTCCATGAGGGCTCCACCCCTGCAGCAAACTTCTGTCTGGACATCCAGGAGTTTCCATACATCCTTTGAAATCTAGGCAAAGGTTCCCAGACATTAATTCTTGTCTTCTGCATGCCCCAAGACCAACACCACCTGGAAGCTGCCAAGGCTTGGGGCTTGCACCCTCTGAAGGAACGGCCTGAGTTGTACCTTGGCCCCTTTTAGCCATAGTCGGAGTGGCTAGGATACAGGGCACCAAATCCCAAGGCTGCACACAGCAGGGGGGGCCCTAGACCCAGCCCAGGAAACCGTCTTTTCCTCCTAGGCCTCCAGGCCTGTGGTGGGAGGAGCTGGTGCGAAGCTCTCTGACATGCCCTGAAGACATTTTCCTCATTGTTGGGTATTTGCATTTGGCTTCTCATTACTTATGCAAGTTTCTGCAGAGGGTTTGAATTTTTCTCCAGAAAATGGGTTTTTATTTTCTACTGTATCATCTGGATGCATATTTTTCAAACTTTATGCTCTGCCACCTCTTGAATGCTTTGCTGCTTAGAAATATCTTCCGCCAGATACCCTACATCGTCTCTCAAGTTCGAAGTTCCACAGATCTCTAGGGCAAGGACAAAATGCTGCCAGTCTCTTTGCTAAAGCATAGCAGGAATGACCTTTACTCCAGTTCCCATCAAGTTTCTTATCTCCACCTGAGACCACTCACCCTGGACTTCATTGTCCATATCACCATCAGCATTTTGGTCAAAGCCATTCAACAAGTCTCTAGGAAGTTCCAGACTTTACTACGTCTTCTAGTCTTCTTCTGAGTCCTCCAAACTGTTCCAACCTCTGCCCATTACCCAATTCCAAAGTTGCTTCCACATTATCAGGTATCTTAAGCTATGCCCCACTACTTCAATACCAATTTATTGTATTAGTTTGTTCTCACATTGTTATAAGGAAATACCCGAGACTGCGTAATTAATAAAGAAAAGAGGTTTAATTGACTCACAGATCTGCATGGCTGGGAGGGCCTCAGGAAACTTACAGTCATGGTAGAAGGCACCTCCTCACAAGGCAGCAAGAGAGAGAATGAGTGCCAGCAGGGGAAATGCCAGATGCTTATAAAACCCTCAGATCTTGTGAGAACTTACTCACTATCACAAGAACAGCATGGGGAAAACCACCCCAATGATTCAATTACCTCCCACCAGGTCCCTCCCGCAACATATGGGGATTGTGGAGATTACAATTCAAGATGAGATTTTGGATGGCGACACCGCCAAACCGTATCATTGGGTGTGTTTTTTTTCTTTTTATGAAAGGGTATTGGATATTTTTCATATGTTTTTTTCTGAGCCTATTGAGTTGACCGTATGAGATGGTCATGTGGTTTTAATTTTTTATTCTATTGATGTGATATATTACATTAATTGAGCTTCCCTAAACTCAAGTAAGCCATACTAGGGGACAATACAAAGCTCATGCTACAGAAAAGCATATACTTTACATATATTGACCATACAGGTCTCTTTTCAAAAACAAATTAACTTTTGGGTATAAAAGGAAAACTGAAGGAATAGCATCAGTTGGGCACATTTTTGTGCAAGTCAGAATAGTTTTTATGTTTCCTTCTCACTGATCGTCTACTCAGAATTTAAAAAATTTTTCAACTTGTGATTTGCTTTACTTTTTATAGTTGATGATCCCAGGTATTTTCAATAATTTTTCAAGCAACCACCATAAAATTGTATTTTGGACTATATCACATTATTCGGTTTTTGTTTAGGTTTTAGTTCAAAGCAATTAAATAAATAGGAAGTAAAATATACACACGGGTCTTTTAAAAAATCAACTGTACTCTTTGAGCATGAAAGCACCACTCTTTTTTGCACTATTTTGGGCATAAATGCTGATGATGTACTTCCCCTTTTCTTCCACAGTTAAGGGTCCACCCGGGAGTTTACAACTATATTCAGTCCCGGAAATGTTCTCATTCTCTTTTCTAGCCTCTGATATAATCTCTTAGCATAATTGGTTCAGGAATCATGTTAAGTGGGCCCAGATCATGTGTTTCAGCCTGTTAAAGGCAAGGTATATTTTCATTTCCTGAGAACAGATTGCAGCCTAGGTCCCAACCATCTGGCACTTTCTTGCCATTGCTTGCCAAGTGCTATGGGCTAGAGAATGTGGGCAGTTGAATGCAGTCAGTCCCTGTTACTGGACAACTGACCACAGAGGACTTGTCTCAGGAAGAGTCGTCCTCATGAACACAGGACACTCTGTTGTGACTTTGAGTTCTTAAATTTCACTGGAATACATTTAGGTAAGGTAAACAGTTATTTTTAAAATGTATTATTCAGGGATCACAACAGTGCTTTTAGGGATTAAAATAGTCCAAACAGCCTGTAATTTCAGGGTGTCTAAGATCCACATAGAATTAGCATATCGAGCTGGATATAAAAATGACACATAATACAACAGCCAACAATGTTTTTCCCCCTCCAAAAAAATGGTGTCCTCCAGATTCCATCTGCTTTGTTTGTTTGTTTTGGGAGAAAACATAAGTATGATCATTAGAAAAGAATCTATAACCCTTTCTGAAAGAGAAGATAATCTTTGGTCTCTAGAAACAATAGCTTTGCATTTTAAAAGGCATGAAGTGAAATGTCCTTATACTCTGTTGGATTTGGGAAGCAGCATGAAATAGTGGTTAAGCTTATGACTCCAGAGTTAGACGGTGTGACTTCTCTGTACTTCAGTATTCCCCATCTGTTAAGTGGAGATTAAAATAGTACCTACCTCATAAAGGAAAAATTAAATTAGACTCAGGTAGAGAGCTTAAAACAGTGACTGGCAAGTAAGTGCTCATTCAGTGTGAACTGATAACGGTGGTAGTAGAAATAGGCACACTATCGGAAGCTTAAGACCGATTTGATGTAAAGTTAATGAAACGAAAATCAGTAACAGCTAATATAATTTATTTATTAGTATGTATCAGGGCTCGTATTTTAAACCACCTTATTTTTACCCTCAGGAGTGAACCATAAATTATTTAGTTTCTTCAGAGAATTCTGATTATCAACTCACCTGCAAAGAGGGCAGAGGAGGGAAAAACAAAAGCTCTGTTGGGCTGTAAGCATAGTTTCTATACACTTAAAAACACTTTGGGAAATTATAGCTGTTCACTTTTAGGTCACTTTGGCAGTTGAAACCATAGCAATGATTTCTAGAAGGCTAAAGGAAAATCTGGTACTGGGTTTTAAAAGTTGACTACCTAGAAACTTTGGTGAAATACGTAATCATCTGGGTCCTAGAGAGCTGTGTGATGTTGCTTCTTCCTCTCAGTCATTCCAGGCTTTTCTCTTCCCTAGTTCGGCCATCAGAAAAACCAGCCTGACCCATGGAAAAGTCACATGGTGGCCAGGAAGGAAGTGTGTGAGGTTCTTCCCTATAACATCCGGTTTTCCATTTCTGACAGTTAGCAGACGGATTATGCTCACACTTTCACTTCTTGTAACCAGTCATTTCCACCTCTAGCTAATGGCTTTCTTTCATACATGTACATCTTTCTTAATGCCCTTCTCTTTCCAGATTTTGCCACTAATCTCAGGAAAATTTTACTTTATCACCTTGCTGTTTATGGGAGTAAAACAAAAAATTTTAAAGAACACAACTCATGTATTTCCTAGAGATATTTCTAATGAAAATACCCCCCAGCAAACTGAGGCCAGCAATCTTGAAAGTGTTCCTAAGTTCCTTTGCCAGAGTTCAGCTCCTCCAAACTAAATTGCCTTTTCAAGCACTAGCATTCAGGATAAATTTTAATTTAATCTAATTTATTGTTTTCCTGATTTCAAGGCATATATTATAATAATTTTTCTACATCTGTGTGTTAGAAGCATATAGGATTTTTGTCTCTATTGTGAACTCATTAGCCTAAGAAAATACATTCTGACTTCTTAATAATTATAAAGATTATTTTTAGGCCGTGCTTATGAGAAGATTGGCACTTATCTGTATTTTTCTTATTTGACTCCTAAGTGTTTATGTTTCTTACCATAATCAAGAACAGTGTGAAGTTAGGTATTCTTCCATTATATGAGTCCTTCACATAACCTTTGGAATATCTTTCTGAATTACGAGTATCTTTTCAGTAATTACTTTCTTTCTATTGTTACCATTTATATTGATTTAAGTACTATTTCCTTAAGAATTTTTACTATTGCAGATTTGTGGTCTAAGTCTACTTGGAAGCATGGCATTTGAGAGCTGGATCATCTGGTTCAATTATCTCATGTTTCAGAGGAGTAAATTGAAACCCAGAAAGGTTAAATGATTCGCTTAAGGTCACACGGTTTAGGTAGAGGCAGGGGTCATTGAGACTTGAGACCAGTGCTCTTTCTACTAAGTCTTGCAGATTAATTTTCAACTTGACGTACAAGTAACAGAATATATTCTGATAATTACCTTTTTCCCAAAAATGCTAGGAATCCTGGAAAAAGATGACCTTAAGAATTGATTATCCATTAATCAACTTTTCTGTTGTTGATCTGAAAGCATTTTTTCACTAGACTGTATTTTCCTTTAAGAAATTCCAGGTTGCTTATGTAAAGTTTGTTACTTTGTTGAAGCATTATAATTTTTGAAATTTATTAAGCTATGTGAACTTTAAATTTTCCTCTTATGATTTTTAGACACCATTGTGGCTTCTCATTTTTAATCACTTCTTGGTATTATTTACTCTATTTTATTGGGTAGACTTTCTCCAAGAGCGGGTAAGGACATCTTGTACCCTTATAATAACCACAGAAAAGTATTGTAGTGTAGAGTTCCAGTGTGTGTGAAAGGTCTTAGGGATTATGGAGCTGTTTCAAACAAGATTGAAATAGTGTCAATTATATTCAGATTTTAATTTATAAAATATTAAATTGAACAGATTTACTTTAATTATGATTTTTAAAGACAAGCAAAGAGTGTATTATAAAAATGTACAAATTTATCTTACCCAAATAAGTTTATAATTCAAAATAAGCAGGAACCATGGTTTGTGTTTCTCTCACTTCGGGCCCTTGCTAATTGTCTTCCATCTACTTAAATATTCTGTATTCCTATATTCATCAAATCCTAATGAATCTGTTAGACTTGTTTCTCAACTTTTCCACCTTTTACTTAAAAATATTGTCCTGGCCGAGCGTGGTGGCTTATGCTTGTAATCTCAGCACTTTGGGAGGCCGAGGCAGGTGGATCACGGGGTCAGGAGATAGAGACCATCCTGGCTAACACTGTGAAACCCTGTGTCTACTAAAAATACAAAAAAAAAAAAAAAAAAAAAATTAGCAGGCATGGTGGCGGGCACCTGTAGTCCCAGTTACTCGGGAGGCTGAGGCAGGAGAATGGCGCGAACCCAGGAGGCGGAGCTTGCAGTGAGCCAAGATTGCACCACTGCACTCCAGCCTGGGCGACAAAGCGAGACTCCATCTCAAAAAAAAAAAAAATAACAAAAAAAATAATAATAATAATAATTGTCCTACATTAGACAAAAGATGGAAACAACCAAATGTCCATTAGTAGATAAATGAATAAACAAAATGTGGCATATACATACAATGAAATCTTATTCAGCCTTAAAAAGGAATGAAATTCTGATATATGCTACAACATATATGGACCTTGAAAACATTTTATTAAGTAAAATGACCAGACACAAAAGGATATACATTGTATGGTTCCATTTATATAAGGTGCCTATAATAGGCAAATATATAGAGACAAAAAGTGTTTACAAAAAGCTTACCCAGGGCTTGGGGAGAGGAGGGATGGGGAGTTGTTTAATGGGTATAGAGTTTCTGTTTAGGATTCTAGAGATGGAGAGTAGTGATGGTTGCACAACACTGTGAATTTACTTAGGCCACTGAATTGTACACTTAAAAATGGTTAAGATGGTAAATTTTATTTTTGTATATTTTACCACAATAACAAACTACTGTCCTGAGTTAGCCATGAAATGAAATAATAGCTCTGAGTGTGCACCAAGAAGGGACTCAGCCTCCTGCCATTCTGAATGGCCACTTCATCCTCATACTGGGGTGGAGAAAACACAGCTGTGTTTACTTTTCCAACCCCATCTTCTATTTTGAAATATAACCTTTTGCAAGTGAGAGCCAAGGTCAAGTGACACAGCTTTCTGCTCACCTCTTCAGTTTGCCAAACATTGTTTTTCTAGTGGAGTTCTGGGTTAGGTGCAGCAAGTGTGAGTAACACTATCACTCATACGCCCATTGGAATTTAATTAGTCTACCCTCATAATTTCTGTACTCAGTTTGGTATGACACATTTCCTTACTTTCATCTGTATATGAAAACACACAGTTGTGTATTCACCAACTATAGTGTTTCCAAGTATGTGGATTACTCTATATATCAAATTCAAATTACACAGAAAATAAGGCTTTTCTTCTCCAATATTTTCCCATTTCTTGAAGAATTATTTACTTTTTGAGATTAGAGAGATGTTTATACATAGGGTGAACATGAGCAATTCTAAGTACATACTAAGTATTAGATATTTATGTTTTTGTATAATAATTGTAGAAACAGTGGCAAAGCATACATTTTCAGCATATATTAAGAGCAGCAGAACAGATTAGTTTTTGTGCTCAGACAACAGCCTTAACATGAAATAACTGTATTCATTGTTGTTTGTCATAACATTTAATTATTTGTTCTTAAAAATATATATCATACTTAGGTTATGAGAATGGCAAATGTTCATTCTATCAAAGCACACACCAAAAAATCCAACATGCAGCTGGTACTTAATATTTTTAGATTTACTTTCTTCTTGTATTTTTGACTGTATCTTATGCCATTTATTTGCATTCAGTCGATATCATATAAGTGATGTCAATTTATTTATATAAAAACAAATTAGTATAATATATTTATATTTTCTTACCAGGTTTAAAATGGAAAGTGTTCCATTTTCTTTCTTATTGTATATGTAGATGATTGAAGTACTTTATGTTTCACTGAAATGAGTATTATTCCCTTCAGTGAAATTAATGTTCAGCAATGCTGAGGAGATGGGCAAGATCATTTCTCATTGTTTTCCTTTTAAATTATCTGGAAAAAATATGATCTTGTTGCATTACATTCTGAAGAAGTTGAATAGATACTTACAATAAATAAGGCTATATAAATGGGAAGTTAAGTATTAATAGAATCCAGTGTGACTAACAAGGGATATCAAGTTCTTCAGACCTGTGGTATACATAATAAGCTTGAAGAATTCGTGCACAAAAGTCTTAACTGTTTTGCAGCCTTGGTTGTGGTTAGATGCTGTAGTTTTCTAAGCTACTACATGTTGTAACCAGCTTGGTAGATTTAACCTAGTAATAAGATGCTTAGTTTAACTGTTAGTTTAAACTCAGTTTCTATAGCGGCACAGTCTTTATTTTTGGACCTTCACTTTCCAATCCAGATGACACTTGTCCATAAAGAAATTGCTAAACTTGAGACCTAAAAACAAAACAAAAAACAAAAAAACTACAGACAAGTAACCTTTAAAATTATTTCGCTTGATGGAAATTTACCGGAAGGCTTTAACCAATTCAGTTTGCTTAGACTCATAAAGAAAATTATGATAATGTCTAGGTAAACTTCAGTAAAACATTTTTTTGTGAAATTATACTATAGTACATAAAATTGAAATATTGCTGATTTAATGTAAAAAAAAAGAAATCAGCTTGGCCAAGTTGGATTACCTTGTTAGAGATTGCTTATGTAGGTGGCATCGACATTGTTACGATCTGGACACAGGGGATACATACTTGTTTTATAGTCTATATGTGACTGTCATTGACTTGGAGTATGGGACAGGGAGCATTGGATTTTAAGTCAGAAGACCCAAAGTGTAAGTCTCTGCCAGTTAGTGGTGGTGTGATAGTCACTAACCTCTGAGCCTCAGAAGATTAGAATGAAATAATAGCTTCCCTGTCAAATTTAGTGAGTTGTGAGGTTCAAATTAAATACATGTGAAACTACTTTGAAAACTGTATAGAGCACCATACAAATGTTATTTGTTATTTTTCCAAGGTTCTGATGAGAACTTTTCTGATCTCTTAGATCTAACTGAGTTATCATGAAACTTTGATAAAATTGTACCAGTATGTTGTTTCGTATAGTACTATGGGGCATGCACATGTTTTAAACCCTTAGTTTGTTATATTTTAAATTTCCAGATCATTTAACATTTGCTTTACTTCGGTTTTTGTTTTGTGTTTTGTTTTGTTTTGGTGTGGTTAATGTGCCTTTTTTATGTAAATGGGCAGTAGAAGTTGGTGGGGGTCTTAAGTACTAATAAAGGGCACTCTTTTTCCTTCTTGCATCAAGAGCCAATGGAGAAATAAGATCAAAGAGCCACCAAACAGAGAAACAAGATACATAAAGCTGTGGGTGGATAGTGTAATAGCTAAGATGGACTTGTGCACTCCCACTGTCCCATGTCTACATCTGTGGGGAAGTTTAAGGCACCACAACAGACTCTCCCTTTGGCCACTTTTTTTCCCCAGTCCAAGTAGAGAGATAAGGAGAAAGAGACTCTCCCTGGGCCTTAGGATATTAGGGTTTAGCTTAGCCCACCTAGAAATACAGGCTTACGCCTGTCATCCACTGTGATAAGAAGAAATATATATCTGGTCTTTGTCTCTGGTTCCTGACACTGAGCTTCTAGAACACTTTGAATTTCCTGAGTAATAGGGGTGAGAGGAGCATCTTTTGTTATCCATAACAAGTTCCTTTCAACCATGCCCGATTTTATGCAGTAAACCCTCTATTGACATCCTCGATAGGTTCTTGGAAGCTACAACTTTAAGCAAAACAACATATAACAAAACCAGTTTTACTGTAGGTTGATTGATAGAAATAAGAGTTAAGTTGCTATGGTATATTTGTGGTCACAAAAAATCACCAAACTTCTAAATAAAGATCAAAACACTTCTAATAGTAAACACTGAAATAAATGTGAGCTCTACATTTAGAAATATTAATAAAGACAAGTAAGAACATTACTCACCCAGTTATTTGAATTTGGACTTGCCAGAGCATATCCCAGCAGCTCAGGGTGTGAGGGGGTACCCAGAGCTGGACAGGGCACCATCCCATCACAGGGCACACTCATACACACCCACACTCAAGCAGATGGGGACAACGCAGACACGCCAGTTCTTCTAACATGCACAGCTTGGGGATGTGTGAGGAAACCAGGGTACCTGAAGAAAACCCAGCTAGACATGAGGAGAACATGAAAACTACACACACACACACACACACACACACACACACACACACACACACACACAGTGGCGTCTTGAAGAATTGAGTTTTTTTTCTTATCCATGTTGTAACATTGAATAAAAACAATGTTATCTGAGGACCCACTGTACTAATGAGATGGCTCTTGGTGGTTTCTAGATGGCATCAGAATGAAGGACCATTTGCCAGAGGAACCAACCATGTAATTAGAGGGTTGGAACCATCAGACCCACTCCTTAACCTCTGGGAAGGAAGAAGAGCTAGAGATTGAGTTAATCACCAGTGGCCAATGATTTTTATGCCTATGTAATAAAACCTCCATAAAAACCTCTAAATAGTGGGTTCCAAGAGTTTCTGGATTGGTGAACACATTGAGGTGCTAGAAGGGCGAGGTCCCGGAAGGGGTGTGGGAGCCCCAAACTCCTTCCCCTGATCTTGCCCTATGCATCTCTTCTGTTTGACTGTTCATGAGGGTATCCTCTGTAATAAGCCAATAGTGTGAAGAAAATTGTTTTTCTGGGTTTTGTAAGCTGCTCTAGCAAATTATCAACCTGGAGGAGGGGGTTGTGGGAATCCTTGACTTTATAGCTCGTCAGTCAAAAGTACCTGTGACCTGAATTTGTGATTGGCATCTGAAATGGGCGCAGCCTTGTGAGACTGATCCCTGAACCTGTGGGGTTTGGGCTACCTCCAGGAAGTTAGCGTTGGAATTGAATTGAATTGTAGAACACTCGGTTGTTATTCGGGGAGTTGGAGAATTGGTTGGTATGAGGAAAAAGCCCATGTGTTTAGTGTCATAAGTGTTGTGACTAAAAACAATATAGACCCACCAACTAGGTAACTCAGCCTACCTCCTTGGGGAGGAATAAGGGGTGGAGGAGAAGGCCAGAGTTCCTTACAGAAAAAAATCCCTGTTTATGGAAACCAGAGAAGTAGATATGAGGCTTTTCCTCTAACAGAGGTGAACAGCAATTAAATAAATGGAATTCACCTGCCCATCCCCTTGCCTACCCTCCTTTGCAGCTCTCATCTCTGAGGCTCTCCTTCCTTTTCAGTACCTACCTAGTCCTGCCACCCTGTTGCTGTTCATGTCCATTGTCCCCAAGCATAGGCTACACCACAGCCCCTCCAGATTATACCATGTAGCTGGAGAGAAACACTGATTCCTGGGAGAGAAGAGTTGTGTAAGGCAGGTTGGTTAAGGGGACTTTGGAGTAGATGAGGGGACTTTGGAGTAGATGAGGCTAGCTCAGTGAGAAGATGGGTCTGTAGGAAAAATCTTTCCCCAACAATTTCATCTACATTGTGGCAGGACCCCATTAAACTTCCTTTAGGAGATGTATTTGTAAAGCTGTTCATTTGGCAAGTCAAGGAATAACTTATCTCATGCTTGAGGAAATGGATGTAGCTGGAGTCACAAACCAGTTTATCTCTGCATTTAATACCATCCATAGTTTATCATGTTGGTGATAACGGGCAAAATGGGTTTGGTAAAATCTTAGAAAAACAAAGAAACAAATGCAGGAATTGAGGGCCAACATCCTAATTCCTAACTTATTTAGAAGAAATGTGAATATAAAATTTATGAAGAGATTTAGATTATTCAGTCATTCAGTAAACATGTATTGATTATCTGTTATGAGCCCCACATTGTGCTGGCTGGGAAGGAAATGGGAATGAAAGCTGTAGTCCCTGGCTTTGAACAGCCCGTAGGTTTGTGGGGGTGACAGGGAATTCTAGTCGAGTGTGATGTGTGCTGTGAGGGAAGTATGCATAAGCTGTTAAGGGAACACAGGGATGGTTACTTGGCCCACGTTTGGGGAGTTAGTTGGGGAAGTCTTTCTAAAAGAGGCTTGTGTGACCTGGAAGGGCAAATTGAAATAGGCAAGATGAAGGGAGTAGAAGAGAGGATGTCTTAACTTAGGTTTAAGTAATTCAATGAGCCAAGGCTCAGAACTAAAGAGAAAGTGTGTGTACACACACATGCATGAATCTACATACATGTCTACTTTTGAGGGAGTGGAAAGCAGTAGGCACCATGAAAAGGTTTGGTTAACAGCGGATAGCTTGGTATGGATGCAGTAAAGAGTTTAGGAATAAGAGTACAAGAAATTGGAGGGGTAAGCAAGGCCAGGTCATGCTTGTGTGTCGTGATAAGGAGTTTGGTCTTTTTTCAAAGGCATTGAGGAATGTTAAGCAAGGAAGAGAATGTGTTTTATATGCTACAAGTGGTAGGGAGAGTGTAGTGTAGGGTAGTAAAGCTGTACATGGGAAACTCTTGCAGCATTCCAGGAAGAAGACCTTAGTATCCTGAATGAAGAGAATGACATGAACCTGAAGAGAAATGGATGAATTAGGGGAGATATTAAAAGCAGAAAAGTCAATAGGACTCAGTGATTTATTGCATGGAGGAAGTGAGAGGGAGGGAAACGTCAAAGATGATACAGGTTTCTGTGCTGGGCAACTATATAGGTTCTCTTCACTGATAGAGAAAATATTGGAAGATTGGAAGAGCATTAAGTTTGAGGTAAGGTTAAGGTAAGGAAGGGACTAAGCTAAGAGCCAGGTTTAAAACATGTTGAGTGTAAGATGTCCTGTGGAATATGCAAAAGGAAATGTATAATAGGAGTTGAACATATGGATCAGGAACTCTAGAGAGAAATCCGAGTTTGAGATTGGTATATGTGCATGTATCTACATACATATTACTTTTGGGGGAGTGGAAGAGTGGAGCAGTAGGCATGCTCCATATCAGATAAGCTCATCCGAAGAAGTGTGTTGAGATTAGGAAGAGTAAAGGAACAGAAATGGAACCCTAAAGAACACCATCACTTGAGAAATAGACAAAAAGAATAAGCAGCTAGACATGTAGAAAACAAAACTAACAAGTGTACCGAAGCCAAGAACTAAAAATTCAGAGTCAGTAGCAGTAAGTGCTACAAAGTGGTCATTTCAGATTAGCACTTCCAAACATTTTCTGAATTTAGCAAGAGAGTGATTATTAGTAACCTTTGTGAAAGCAGACTCAGTAGAGGGGTGCAGGCAGGAGGCAGGTTGCAGTGGGTGAGGGAGGCATGGCAGACAGTGTGTGCCAACAATGGTCTCAGCCTCGCTGTGAAAAAAACATAGAAAGATAGTATGGGAGTTAGGAAGGTGATATTCCAATAGGCAATATAGAGTTGAGTCGAATTTTAAAAAATGGTTAATTGCTTCTAGGAAAGATTAGCAATTAGGAGACTCCCCCTAATTGATGAAGCCATGTCCTTGAAGAGTTTGCACTGGGTGGATCTGCAGCCCTGGAAGCTCTGGGGAAGGGGTTGGATACAAATGCAGATACATTTGTTGGGGGGTAGAGCAGATAGAGGAGATCCTCACTCGGTGGTTGCTGTTTTCTCTGTGAAGTAGGAGGCTGGCCCACCTGCCAGCAGCGAGGAGGAAGCTGGTGATATAGGGCTAGAGGAGAGAAGAGAAAGGGGAAATGTGTGCTGAGAATCATGAGGCGGGAAGGCCTACTGGGAAAATATGAGCTGCCTGGACAGCTTACGGTTGGAGTTTATGAATTTCTATAAAGCAACTTTAAAACAATTTTTAAAAAATCACTGAAACAGCCTTTTGTGTTTTCAAAACCAGTATTAAATAGGATCCTGCATTTAACGCACTATTTCTTGCCTGGTTCCTTTCCTGAAGTGCTTCTCTTTCCTCTTTCCACCGCGCCCCCACTCTAGTTGGCTAGTAGAGAAGATTTTTCCAGCTTCAGACAAACCACTTTTCCAAGAATACATGGAACAGATTACAGAAGCAAGTAACAGCCTGCTTACTTCCCCTTCTGCACTTGTATGTACGTTCAGCTGGAGTTCTGAAAAGAGGAAGTCGGGAGAACATTTTTTTCTTTTTAAAAGAAAGATTGGAGAACCACGGAGCACAAGCAGGTAGAAATATTGAAGGAAAGAGAAAGAAGAGAAAATGGAAAAAATACTGAAAAAAAAAAAATCATGAGCCAGAAGGTAAACCAAAATGATGTCAGAGACTAGGAAAGGAACAGAGAAAATAATCTGCCTTCTAACCTAGCCTCTTAGTTTGCTACTGAAATACAGCGTTCTTGAACTGGAGCCCTCACTTCTAGGCAAAACTAACACCTAGGCCACATGGAGATAGAAATCTTCTGTGAATTCAGCTTCTCCCCCCTAATTTCTGTATCAGTGACAACATATCCTGGGTTTTTATTTCTTTCTTTGACCTAACCTTTCAATTTTAAAATCAAGTCTGAGTGCCTAGAGTATCTGAAAAAGAAGGGGACCAGATCTAGTGCCATTCAAAAACATTTAATGAGCACTTTGTATATATAGGTGCTGTTCTGGGTACTGGGAACTTGGAGAAAAAGAGGAAACAATCTTTGCCGTTGCAATATGATTTCTCCCAAGTGAAAGGAGACTATTGCTTAGGAATTACATAGGTGCAGGACACCAACTCTCAGGCATTTAATAGCTAGACAGACATTTATTAGTGACCAGCTTCTTATAAAAAATAAAAAGCTTGAGTACTGCCTTAACTGTGCCATAGCTTATATCACCTTCTCCTAACCTCTGTCCCCTGATGCTTCTAACTCAGATTTGCCCCTCCACCTCACCCCACAGTAATGCAAGCAGATACCAGCTGAAGCCAGAATAGAATGGATAGTTATCTAGGGAGATAAAGTGACAGTGTTGCTTGTTCAGGCTATTGTTCAAAGAAGCACGTCTTTTATTTATAGACATTAGAATTTAAAGGCATAGACAGCCAGAGCTTGATATTACCTCTTCTTTTTGTAACTTGTTTTCTAGAAATATGCTTGATACAGCTACCTTCTTTGCATGTAAATTGAATGTGTTGGAAGAGTGTTTTATACCTGGTTTCATGTTCTTTTAATAGGTTCTATTGCTGTTTTAGTTAAGGCTGGTTTCTAAATTTTAATGCATCAATATTTTGCTTTTATAGCATACTACTTTATCTCTGTCTGAGGCATAGGTTGCAGAAAAAAGCAGGAGGTTTTAAAAGAAGCCAAATATAGATGACTTTCATATTAATAAAATATTCATAATTTAGTTGGATATAGCTAAGTAGATGAGGTCTCCAATTGTTAGTGCGTCTGCAAAGTTGGCGCCTCCTAATAGACTTCATGGTGGTTACTGGAATTTTGTGCCAGGAAAAATGTAGTTGTCTGTTCTTAAACCTGAATTTCCTTGCTTTCAAACACCCAAGAGCGAGGTTCACAAGGATGCCACTAACCTTCTGTTGCTCTGGGGAAGTGACTTCATTTTTCCAACCCTTTGCTGAAAAGTGTTATATGCCTTGTATTCTTGGAGTGTGTTTTTTCCTAAGCTCTGAGAAGATTTTTAAGATTGAACCTCATGAATTTTTACACCCCTCTGCAAGAAAGGGAGGAACAGTGCCTGTAAACCTCTTTGAATTACTTGAAATAAAGATAATAGAATGTAAGGAATGAAAATAAATTTGGCCAGTCAATTTTTTAACAGGTTAACTGATGAACAAGAAATAGTTTTTATACAAACATATGAAAACAGCTTATAACAGCAAACTTTATTTGTTGTAATGATATAAATAAGAATATTAACTTTCTTTGTAAGATTAAAAAAATCTGACACGGTATGCTCATATTTAAACTAGGTAAGGGCAACCGCTAATAATTTGAAAAAGAAGTATTAAAGCTAGGTTTATGAAGAAACTATACTCAGAAACATTATGATAGCATTTCTGTGAACAGGATTCATCACAAAAATAACAAATACGCTTTATGAACTTAGTATTTGAATTAATTTTCTGAAATTTGGCTATTAACCAAAAGGTTAATTGAGTCTTTTCTTCTTGCTCTATTGTGGTTAACATACTAATTCTTCCCATTAAAGACCCATTTTATTATGCAAATGAAAAAAATCACAAGACTTTGTGTCTAAGAGAAAGCTGCTTTTTTGGAGGGGAACTCATGCACCTGTTTAAACCCCCAGCCCCCACCACTGCTTCCATTGGCTGCCAGACTTAGTGATCAGGTTTATAGGCTGTAGGGTCCTTGAATTTTGACTCACATTTTCTTTGTGACTTACTCTTGTTTTGGCTTATATTTCTCCCCTTCCAGCTCTCAGCATGCCAACAGCAGCTGCATCATGGCACTCACCCTGCTGCCAAGAGGGCAGGCAGCCTCCTTGGAGACTGTAATGTTGCACTATAGCCAACAGTTAAGAGATAGATGCTGGAGTAATACTTACAGCACAGCTGAAATTCACATCATCCTAGGAGGCATTTGGTGGAACACTTTGCCCATCGTATTGTTAAACTAATTTTTAAAAACTTAATTATGAAAAATTTTCAAGCTTATACAAAGGTGGAAAGAATACTATAGTGCATTCCCACTTACCTTCATGTCTGTTTCAATAATTATCAACTCACAGACAATTTTTCACTGTCCACGGTGTTTTTCCCATGGTCTTATCCAGACTGCTGGTAGATTCATTTCCAGGGATAAATATATCTTAAACTAGAGTTGCTTTTCCATCCTTCTTCAGCCTGTCTGTAAGATCTGTCACCTTAATGATTTTCTCAGTCCTTTCTTCTTTAAGGTACAAAATATTAGCATCTTTTTTCTTCCTAAATTAAGCCAAGATATGCTACTTTAATAACTGTTATATTTTCTAATGCTGTACCCTAAAATTGTTGAAGCACTGTTCATTCAGTCAATCATTCTATCCAAAGCATGTCTGAAATGTGCAGGATCTTGGAATATAGAGCTTTAATGGTCATTGGGTTTGATTATCAGTTTCACCACTGACAAGCTGTGTAATCTGGGACAACTTCCTTAACCTCTCTGTGCCTCAGTTTCCTCTTGTCTTTAATACGGGACTAATAGGAGCACATACCCTTACAAGGCTGTTGTAAGACTTAAATGAGCAAATACATTTAAACAGCTTAGATACAGCCTGACACAGTGTTCCGTATATGCTAGTTGCTGTCTTGTCATCATTGTCATCCTAGTTGTCTTCATCATCTTCATCTTTTGTCCCTCTTCACTCATTTTACATAATAGTGGGTTGAGGCTCAAATGGGTAAAGCAACCCCCTTCAGGTCAGATGGCAGTTTTATCAGGATAACTTGAATGAGAAAGCATGTCCCAATTTTTTTACTGTACTAGATATAGTTTGATACATTCTTGTCCTCAAGGAATTACGTTCTCACAAATAACAGAGAATTGTCAAAAAAAAAAAAGAGGATTAATAAAAATATGAGGAATAAATATTGCTGCTGGAGAGTTAAGCCTTAGGCACTGCGTGTTTCAAGAGGAAGAGAGAGAACCTCAGCTGCTGGGGAGTCCTTGCCACACTCAGTCTCCCACCACATCAAGAATCTCCCCTCCGCAGTTCCATGCAGACCTCCGAAAGAGGAGGGGGCCTTCATGTCCCATCAGTAAAGTCTGCTCTACTCAGCCATAAAAAAATAAAAAATAAAAAATAAAAAAAAAAAGAAGTTGTGTGTTTAGAAAGCAAAATGCTACAGGTAATGTACAGGCATACCTCGAAGATATTTCGGGTTCAGTTCTACATCACTGCAGTAAAGTGAAAATTGCATTAAAGTGAGCCACATAAATTTTTTTGTTTCCCACTACATATAAAAGTTATGCTTACACTATATTGTCATCTATTAAGTGTGCAATAGCAGTATGTCTAAACAAATGTACATGTCTTAATTAAAAGTATACTGAGCTGTCTCAGGGAAGTCTGAGGAGAGGCAGATAGGGGAATGGCCAACTAGTTGGTGGAACAATCAGAACACACACAACATTTATCAGTTAAATTTGTCATCTTACATGGGCATGGTTCGTGGCACTGCAAAACAAATACAATAATAGCATCAAAGATCACTGATCATGCCTCACCAAAGCAGATAGAATAACGAAAAAATTTGAAATATTGTGGGAATTATAATAATGTGACATAGACACACAAAGTGAGCACATGCTGCTGGATAAATGACTCCAGTAGACTTACTTGATGCAGGGTTGCCACAAACCTTCAATTTGTAAAAAATGGAGTATCTATGAAGTACCGTAAAGCAAAGTGCAATAAAAGAATGTATGCCTATACCTCCACTTTAGTGCAGAATGTGGGATGTCAGGAATGCTTTTGTTTAAAAAAGGAGATGATTTCGCTAATGAAACTCTAGAACATTCTATACACAACCAAAAAAGAAAAGAAAGTTTGAGTGGGATGAGACTACCAGATCTAGGGAACATTTACACATGAGATTAAGAGAGAAAGCAAGAAATAAAAGGAGAGGGAAAGGTATTATTTGAACTACCAGTGAGTGTCAAAAGAGATGAATGGATTCTAAACTTCATCTAAACCCAAATGGGATCTGGCATTTCTAAAATGTTATTTATTCACTTACTTTAACCTGTGCCGAGCACTGTTCTGCTTACTTATAAATATAACTTTATTTAATCCTTGCATTTAACAATCCTATGAAATAGCTAACTGTTATCAATCTCATAATACAGCTAAGGAAACTGAGGCACGGAGAAGTTAAATATTTTGCCCAAGGCCATTTGCTTATTAATAAACAAGAGACCTGGGATTTATACCAAGCAGCGTGGTTCTGGAATCTGTGCTCCTAACCACTTTGTTCTCCTGCTCACAGGTGATCAAAGCCCCGGTGCATATGGAATCTTGAGGTTTTATGGTGCACCCAAACGTTGCTTCCCTTTCAGTTTTTCTATATAAACCAGTGTATAGAGAAGCCCTTTAAAGAGAATAGAATGGTGGTGTCATTACTCATACCTGCACTCTTGGCTGACCCGAGGATAATTAGCATGGTGAGTCCCAATTAGATTTCAGGAGACAGGATCTGCCCACTGCAGATGTACATCTTTATAACAAGCTTTATCATAATAGAGTATGATTACATTTGTTAGTTGCAGTCCTAAAACAGTACTCTGGTGTTATTTTCACATGAAATTATAAGACCACTCTTATAGGCATGTGCTTTTTAACTTTACTAATTCGAGGTCATCCACTAAAAAATATTTCTTGATGGCCTCTGTTTTAGGTATTGGAGATGCTTTGTGACGAGTTCCTTCTCTATAAATTCTCTATGGATTTTTTCCTTTCTTATGAGCTGTTTCTTATTAGCTTATAAATTGTCATTATTTCTCCCAACTTGAAAAACAAAAATCAAAAGAAACTTTTCTTGACTACACATCCCTTTTTAACTACTGGCCCATATATGTTTCTTCATTTACATCGTAACACCTAGAAAATACTGTCTGTTCTAATTTTCTCTCCACTTTCTCCACCAGATCTCGTCCAGCTGCAGATTCAAATTATATCCCCCTGCCTACTAACAGCTCCACCTGATGTCCGCTAGGCACTGAAACTTCCAAAACCCAACTCTTGATCTTCCCACCCATTCCTGCTCTCTGGTACTCTTTCCCATCCCTATAATTGGTGATTCCATGTGTCTCATCGCTCAGGCCAAGAGCTTTGGCTTTATCCTTAACTGTGCTCTTGTTCTCATATCCCCACCGTCCATTCCATCAGCAAATTGTGTTCCTTTTACCCTTAAAGTCTATCCAAAATCCAACCATTTTATCTCACCTTTGCTATCCCTGCTCTAATCGACTTCATAAGTAATCTGTCATTCCCAGCTATCTTCCCACTTCTTTCCCCGGCCACCCCACCTCTACTATCTGCTGTCAACCCAGCAACCAGGGTGATTATTTTAAAACATCAGTCAGAATATATCACCTTTCCAACAATATGTTCTTCAAGATTTTTTTCATCTAACATGCAACAATTTAGATGAATCTCATCCACATAATGTTGAGTAAAAGAAGCCAGAAGCAAGAGTTCATACTGTATGATTGCATTCATTTAAAATACAAAATCAGGCCGGGCACAGTGGCTCACGCCTGTAATCCCAGCACTTTGGGAGGCTGAGGAGGGTGGATCACCTGAGCTCAAGAGTTCGAGACCAGCCTAGCCAACATGGTGAAACCCTGTTTCTACTAAAAATACAAAAAGTAGCTGGACATTCCAGCCTGGGTGACAAGAGCAAAACTCTGTCTCAAAATAATACATAAATAAATTAATTAATTAAAAAACAAAACCAGGTAAAACCAATTCTGTGTTGTTAGAAATAAGGATAGTGATTGACAGGACGGGGGTTGATTGTGACTGCAAGAGAACACCAGGAGGGCTTCTGGGGGCTGGTCTTTTCTATTTCCTGATCTGGGCGCTGGTTGCTCATGTGTATTCAGTTTGTAAAAATTTAGCAAGTTACACCCTTATGAAGTATTTTGTATTTTTAGTACAGACGGGGTTTCTCCATGTTGGTCAGGCTGGTCTCGAACTCCCGACCTCAGGTGATCTGCCCACCTTAACCTCCCAAAGTGCTGGGATTACAGGCGTGAGCCACCGTGCCCGGCCCAGAAAATTATTCTTCTCCTTTAGACTTACAGTCTAAGAATTTGTCAGCATTTATAACCATTAGCATTTATAACCAAAGACACAACGTACCAGAATCTCTGGGACACAGCTAAAGCAGTGTGTAGAGGGAAATTTATAGCACTAAATGCCCACGGGAGAAAGCAGGAAAGATCTAAAATCGACATCTAACATAACAATTAAAAGAACTAGAGAAGCAAGAGCAAACAAATTCATAAGCTAGCAGAAGGCAAGAAATAACTAAGATCAGAGCAGAAGCGAAGGAGATAGAGACATGAAAAACCCTTCAAAAAAATCAATGAATCCAGGAGCTGGTTTTTTGAAAGATTAACAAAATAGATGGACCATTAACCAGACTAGTAAAGATGAAAAGAGAGAAGAATCAAATAGACACAATAAAAAATGATAAAGAGGATATCACCACTGATCCCACAGAAATACAAACTACCATCAGAGAATACTATAAACACCTCTATGCAAATAAGCTAGAAAATCTAGAAGAAATGGATAAATTCCTGGACACATACACCCTTCCAACACTAAAGCAGGAAGAAGTCGAATCCCTGAATAGACCAATAACAAGTTGTGAAATTGAGGCAGTAATTAATAGCCTGCCAACCACAAAAAGCCCAATAAATCTTTATTGAGCAGTAGGCACTGATCTAGGCATGTGGAATACAGCAGTGAACATGAGCTACAAAAGCTTCTTGGCTGGGTGCAGTGGCTCATGCCTGTAATCCCAGCATTTTGGGAGGCAGGCAGATCGCTTGAGTCCAGGAGTTCAAAACCAGCTTGGGCAACATAGTGAAATCCTGTCTGTACAAAAAAATACAAAAATTAGCCAAGCATGGTGGCATGCTCCTATAGTCCTAGCTACTTGGGAGGCTGAGACAGGGAGGATACAGTGAGCCAGGATCACGCACTGCGCCCCAGCCTGGGTGACAGAGCGAGACTCTGTCTCAAAAAAATAACAAACAAAAACCACGTAAAAGTAAGTTTTATATAAGTGAGAAAAGGCCTCATTGAGATGGCATCTGGGCTAGCGCTTGGAAGGAGATAAGGGAAGTAGCCCTGTGTATGTCTGGGAGAAGAGCGTCCTGGTCTGAGGGAATGGAAAGCAAAGGCCCTGAGGCAGAAGCAGGCTCGGTGTGCACGAGCAAGCACTTGCAAGGAGCACTAGCAAGGAGACAGTGGGATTGAAGAGGAATAGGCCAGGGCACACGAGCTGGAGATGAGGGCAGAAGCACACCTGGAGCCAGATGGCGAAGGAGCTAGTAGGCCTCTGTAAAGACTTGGGAGTTTCATTCTGCCTGAGATTGAGGGTCAAGGGGGGAGTCATTTTTTTGCCCAGGCTGGTTTGAGTTAGGTTCCAGGTGCTTGTAGTGGCAGGCCATTCATCTTCATTGCTGTAAATAAATTTCAGTTTATTATCCATTCTTCTATTGATTGATATTTAGGTGATTTGCAAGACATATTAATTGTAAAGAAATTGAACAAGATATATCCTTTTTTAAAAAATTGCGTAACTTTTATGACATAACAGGTTAGTTCCAATGACAATCAGACAATCAGTACTCATGGTATACATTAGAGATAAATTATGAGTACATATATATTACTGTCAAATAGTAAAGTGTGCAAGGTTGAAAATACAAAGATATGCCAGATAGACTGCTTGCCTTCAAGGACCCTATAGTCTAGTTGGAGATAAGATATATTTGCATATGGAACAGCAATTTGCAAGGACACATATAGGCAACACCAAATAACATCTTAGGCAATTTGCCCCATAAGCATTCTGAAATAGGCAAGATCACTTTGTACTCCATTGATACAAGATTTTATAGGGCAGCTGAGAATTTAGCAGAGCCTGAAAACGTACATAGGATTTGGAAAAGCGGAGACAGAATTTGCAGACATTATCTGAGCAAGGGAAATAACAAGAAGGCCAGTTTGTGTTTAAGGGGTCTGTGGGTGGTCAGTCTGAGTTAAAGTTTAGGATTCATTTTAAAGCCTAACAGAGATTTGGATGAATGTAATTCTAAAGTAAAGTAAAGAGCTGCGTTCAAATCTGGGAATATTTATATAGCCCACATTGCTCAATCATTTTGATGTATTAATGCCACATTTACCGTTATTCAACCTCAAAGTTCACAAGGCCTAAATGTTTTAAATGTATGTATTTTTAGACCAACAAAGAAAATTCATCCAGTGTGACTGTATCAGACCCTGAGATGGAAAATAAGGCAGGCCAGACTCTGGAGAACAGCTCATTAATGGCCGAGCTCCTGAGCGATGTGCCGTTCACCCTGGCCCCGCATGTGCTGGCAGTACAGGGCACCATCACTGACCTTCCCGACCACTTACTCTCCTATGATGGCAGCGAAAACTTATCACGGTTTTGGTATGATTTCACTCTTGAAAATTCAGTGCTCTGTGATTCATAACCTTTATGTCTGTTTGCACCTTAACAGCTTTAAAATATGTTCGCCTATTTTATCTAACCTGTTTGATGTTCTTTGCCGTTTCACTGTTTAAGGTCCTCAGCAAGGATCATAAAGCAAAGAAAATAGCATTATGTTCACTACTCTATTTTTAAGAAAAAGGTACATTTGTATACAAATTGAACTTAAGTTCTACTTCCTTTCTCCCATATAATAAATATACAAATTAGGCTATGAAGGTTTTAGGAAAGGACTCGATTCCTTCAGATGGTCTCTCAAAATATAACACCTCAAATTTATCTTAGAAGAACTGTGAAAAAGAATTGTGGCATTTTTCAGTCACTACAGCTCCGAAGTCTGAGCAAGAAGTGGGTGTGAAGTCTCCTCTCTGGTTTGTAGGAAGTTGAATTGGTGTTATTCCTGCATTTTTTTCTTCCACAGTGTTTATGAATGAATTCAGAAAAAAAGTTGCCAGTTAGCTTAATTTCTTCAGATGCATTGATGTGGAAATTTAAAACTTGTCCTAAACAGCAGTGCTAGTTTGCTGATACAAGGATGCTAGACCTGCTCTGCGTGCTCTTTCTGGAGTGGCCCATTTCGGTTTTCTGAAACCCATGGCAGCCCTTTCCATCGTGAATAATCGTTGTGTTCCCACCTTTGTTCTCTGCCTTTTTGCTACTTCAGTGTGCTCTCTGACCAGCTTTCCAAAGAACTTTCCCTGCTTCTGCCTCGGTTGCCATTTGCTCTCCTTACCACATATGTTCCCAGTTTATGAAGAGATCCACATTTCCTTTCAACCCCTCTGCCTCCTGAAGAAAAACATCTCATGATGATACATATTATTGCTGATAACACCCTTATTTAGAAATTTGTTGGCCACAATAGAGATGGAAATGTTTTACTGCTGGAAAAACTGAAATCAACTCATTTCCAATTAGAGTATAGGCAGAACACCTAGATATGACTTTTAGTTCTTGAATATCCATTACTTACTTTAATGAAAACAGAACTGCCATTGGTCAATAAACTGTAAAGGGAAGAGGTAAATTGTGATAGAGAATTTTCTATGTCATGGGAAATTGAAATCACATTTATTTTGATTACCAGCAATATGATTTGTTAACTCTGTGCCAAGTTTTAAGTATATTTTTTCACAAAGATAGAGTGCCATAGTGAAACTAAACACTGTGCATAAAGGTACATGAATTATTCCAGTTTTAAAGTATTATGCATGTTTGTTTAATAAATGTGGCATGGTTTTAATACAAATGCTATGTTATTTAAAAGTTAGAGGAACATTTCTATTGACAAAAATATGCTTCATTTACATATAATGTTACCATATGGTGTTAATGATTAAATTAGATCTTTACATAGTTCTTACAAAGCATCAGTCTAGGAAATATGACTTATTACTGATGCAAACGTGAACATTTTGTAGTAGTTTTGTAAAAGAACATCCTTTTCAAATATCTGTGTTAATGTACCCTTGAAATTAAATGCAAGCACATAGTCAGTTTGTCTAATTTTGTGTGAAATTTTGTCGAAAATACCTAAACATTTCATCTATATTTGTGCCTACCATGTTATAAATGTTCATAAGTACCTTCATGTGTCTATAAAAAATGTTATATTTAAATAAATGTGAATTAAAATAAAATTTTTGATTATTTTCAGATCCAGAAAAATGGGTTTGATTGCATTATTTATATCTGAATGCAAGTTGTTAATTCTTTAGGAGCCAAAAAGTTTAAGTATATAGTTTGTATAGTGCTGGGAAAAATATACGATTTCCTCTTACATGTAAGTTTTAAGGAATAACATTAAAAATGGTAAGATCCCTAGTCCTGGCTTAACAGGACTGGAGGGATTTGAGAGAGATGACATGAGCATTTCTAGATTGATACCATCATCACAACATTTAGTAAGGGCCAATGTTAATGATCTTCTTCTTTAAACAAAAATATTGTGAAAATTACCATTTAATTTTTTATTCTGTATATAAATTAATATTTCTATGAAACATTAGAAATCAATACGTCAACTTCATTTTACCCAAGATAAAATTGAAGCCTAGAAAGACTAAATGACTTAAATCACTTAGTGATAAATAAATGCCTACTTTAATAGTGTTAGTAATTATAATATATGATAACAAAGCTGTATGATATGGTGGGAGAGAGTTCAGGCAATTGAGGCAGCCAGACAGAGTTTGTAATGGCTCCCTCCTTTATAAGCTGTGGGGCTTTCAATCAGTCCCCTAACTTCTGGTGCCCTCAGTTCTCTCAATTGTGAAACACTAATTGTTCATAACTTGTAGCGTTGTGTTAAGTTATAGGTGGTGTATGTCAAATGCCTGGCAGCCTAAAGCCTTGCACATCATCGGTATTCTGGGAAAGGGATTGTTATAATTCTCGTTATTGACCATACACACACAATACTATAATGAAATGCAAAATACATATTAATTGAACTTCTTGAAGAGTAACATAAATAAAACAGCTACCTACGTTAACTGTAGATCCCCCTCCTTCCCAGTTATTTTTTTCCATATTAAATACCTTACTATGAGAAATATTCCTAAAATATGTTAGTTGACTGTTCTGCCTTAACTAAGAATTCCATAGTGAACATTTTTTTCTTTTTCTCGTTATTACAGTCTTTTTCCTAATATATGTTATTGTTGCAAAGTACTATAGATATGGAATGTGCAGGTGATTTTACTGAATCTTATTTATTTATTTGTGACAGAGTTTTGCTCTTGTCACCCAGGCTGGAATGCAATGGCATGATCTCGGCTCACTGCAACCTCCTCCTCCTGGGTTCAAGCGATTCTCTTGCCTCAGCCTCCCAAGTAGCTGCGATTACAGGTGCCTGCCACCATGCCTAATTTTTTTTTTTTTTTTTTTTAGTAGATACAGGGCTTCACCATGTTGACTAGGCTGGTCTCGAACTCCTGAGATGATCCACCCGCCTAGGCCTCCCAAATTGCTGGGATTACAGGCATGAGCCACTGTGCCCAGCCTTGAATCTTATTTTTAGCCCTAAAATATATTCAAGAACTTGCATGTATTTTTTTCCCAAGCTTTCTTTAAAGACATTTGCATTCTTTCCTAAAAACAGAATGAGAGAGGCGATTCTGACCAATTTATTATCCTGGCTAATTAAATTTTGATCAACTGAACTTTTAAAATTGTACCATTAAAATGTTAACAAAGCCACAATTTTTATTAACAATTGCAAATCAAATCCGTAATAGTTTTTTAAGGTAAATATTCATTGACGTCAACACTTATTTTTTTCTTCTCTTAAAGAAAAATGGTAAATTCAAAACAGTATGAAAAAATTCTTCTAAAATTCCCAGAGATTTCATTTCTCATAATTCTAAATGACAGATAAGGAGAAGCAAGGAAAGAATCTCACTCATGTTCTGAAACCGTAGTACATCAGACTACCTCTGTGCCTCCCATGGTAACAATTGATCAATAAGTGAACACTGCCCTCAGTAATCTAGCAAAGAATATGTTTCTTTCAGAGATTAGTGCGTTATCTTATTAATTATGTCAATAACTCACACAAAATATAAGTTTATTGGAAATGCAGTTGAAGGATGGTTTATCTTTTAAAGTTTTTGGGAAATACAGGTTTATTGACATTCTCTTTTGAGCATTTGTCCCATATTACTGAGGGCATGACCTAGGTATTATTGGGAAATCTAAAACTTTCAGAATAAGTCCAATTCCATTCATACTACAGTGGCTTGAAGGATTAAGTATTCTTATGTTTCAGGAAAAGGACTCTTTTTGCCATATGGTTTGGCAGATAGGCGTGTGTGGGAAAGAGAGAAAGAGGTATTGATTGACGCAGGGAACTCTGTTTCAGTCGATGTGACAATATGTCAGTCTTTTAAAAATTTAAATAAACTTTTTATTTTGGAATAGTTTTAGATTCACAGAAAAATTATGAAGGTACTACAGAGAGTTCCCACATACCCCTCACTTAGTTTCCCCTGTTGTTGACATGTCACGTAACTGCAGTACATTTGTCACAACCGAGGAATCAACACCGGTACATTGCAATTAACTACACTGCACACCCCGTTCAGATTTCATAGTTTTCCTCTAATGTCCTTTTTCTCCTTCAGCAGCCTACCTGGGATAGCACATTACATTTATTTAGTCGTCATATCTCCTTAGGCACCTCTTGGCTTCAACAGTTTCTCAGACTTTTTATTTTTGATGACCTTGACAGTTTTGAGGAGTACTGGTTAAGTATTTTGTAGAATATTTCTCAAGTGGGGTTTATCTGATGTTTTCACATGGTTAGACTAGGGATATCGGTTTTTGGAGAAATATTAAAAAGGTGATACCCCCTTCAGTGAGATTATATCGTATTGAGAGTAGTATAAGCTATAGACATGACTTATTACTGATGATGCTGACTTTGAATACCTGGCCAAAGTAGTGCTTCTCAGGTTTCTCCACTGCAAAAGTTATTCCCCCCAACCTTTCTATACTCTTTGGAATTAAATCACAAAGCACAGCCCACACTCAACGAGTGGGTAATTAAACTCCACCTCCTTGAAAGGCAACTATCACATAAATTATTTGGAATTCTTCTGCATGAGAGATTTGTCTCTTTTCCCCAATTTATTTATCAATTATTTATATTAGTATGAACTCAGGAATCTTCAATCTTTTTCCAAGTCTTAATCAGTGCTATCCAAGAGACATATTTACATTTTTATGAAAGTCGATAAAATTTGGAACATTTTACATGGTGCAGATGAATACCATTTTATGTTGGATACGATAGTATATTCTATGGTTTCCTCAAAATTTATCTTCCTGTTAATGTCAGGCATGTATCTCCTTAGCTTGCCACAAATAACTATATATACCACAGACCTTCCTTTGTAGGGCTAACAGTGTTGCATTGTAAGTGGAGGCCTCATAGATACCTGGCCTTTTCCTACCTTATTCCA
Organism: Homo sapiens; assembly: GCF_000001405.40. Taxonomy (NCBI): domain Eukaryota; kingdom Metazoa; phylum Chordata; class Mammalia; order Primates; family Hominidae; genus Homo; species Homo sapiens. The sequence continues at coordinate 7,882,520 of NC_000007.14, forward strand.
AAGATGGTTGCATCTTATAAATAATGTCATTCTTCAGCAAATGGTATGGAAATGAGATTGTAATGTCATTATTTCCTCTTTAAATAATCAGGACAACTCATGATACAAAGAGCTCTTCTCTATAAAAGGTGGGACTTTTTTTTTTAGTAATAGCAAAAATAAAATTGTACCTCCTTAATCTTCTACAGAAAGATGGATTTCATTTTCAACATTAAGAGGTAGTTTTAAGAAGCAGTAGAAGTCAGCCTGGGCAGCATGGTGAAACCCCGTCTCTACAAAAAAGTTAGCTGGGCTTAGTAGTTGCAATCCCAGCTACTCTGGAGGCTGAGGTTGGAGATCATCTGAGCCTGGGGAGGTCGAGGCTGCAGTGATACAGTGAGCCGTGATTGTGCCACTCCAGCCTGGTTGACAGAGTGAGACCCTGCCAAAAAAAAAGAAAGGGAGAAGGAGAAGGAAGCAATAAGAGGAAGAAGAAGAAGGAGGAGGAGAAGGAGGAAGAAGAAAGAAGAAGAAAGAAGAGGAAGAAGAAGAAAGGAAGAAGGAAGAAGGAGAAGGAGGAGAAGGAGAAAAAGAGGAAGAGGAAGAAGAAGAAGAGGAAGAAGAAGAAGAAAAGAAGAAGCAGCAATAAAAGGAAACCAATCTTCTTTTGGAGGGGAAAAGTGCCCAAGAATCTCATAATTTTACTTCTCATTAGCGAAAGCTCACTGCATGCTAAAAGGTAAATTTGATGAGTGGATCTCATTCAGTTTCCTTTGGGAAAGACACAATCAAAACAAAAAACAACTTATTTAGTCTTTGCAAGAAACTTGAATATAATTCCTTGTCAAGAATTTACCCAATCCCAATTTTCACCCTTACAAAAAATAAATAAATAAATAAATGTCTTACAATCAAAGCTAAAGCAAAGGATAATTGCATCCAGAACAAACCGTCAGTTGCCCAGCCCCAACAGAGAGCTTGCAAGTCACTACCCAGGCCAGAAAGGGAGTCAGACAACAGAGCATTTCAGAGGTCAGTTAAGGAGACAGGTTCCAACTTAGGACTGCTGCCAGGGATGTACAATCCAGTGTCTGACATCTGGGTTCTACAGCTGCCAAATCTGCCCCTTGTGTGGCCACAGGTGTTGGCTATAACTCTGAGGCACATTGGAGAAGGAACAGGGTAATGTCAACGTCATTGTGCATATGTGTGTTTATGTGTATGGTTTTTCTTTTAATTTTTTCAAAAGGTACATAATTAATTTTGTTTTAAAATGAATGTATTTCTACATAATGGCTGGGAACATTCGGGAGGCTAGCAAAGAAGAAGCTTTTGTTCAAGAACAAGGGCAAAACAAAGCTGAATTTTTACACCTACAGGGTACATTGTACGCTAACATGTTGTGTGTGATATTGTTAACTTAGTCATTTGAATAGGCCTTCTCAGGACAAAAATAAATAAATAAATGGATGCCGAAACGCACACAGGCAGTTGGTATAAGATGAAACCTAAATACTCATTCTCTTCCTGTAGGCTTCTCCCCTCATCCTTCTTTTGGATCTTCAGGAGAATTTGTGTTTATCCACACATATTTTTGAGCCTGGAACAGACTAGACTGTATGTAGTCTTCTATCTCACACTATACCAGTTGTAGCCATCAATTAACACAGCTTAAAACAGGAACACTAAACTTTCCTCTTCTTTTTGCAGGAAACTTAGCTACTGTCTGTAAAGCAAATCTGGAAGTTTCTACCTCAGGTAGCTGTTTGAGTTTCCTAACCCTAAAGATGTAGGCAACCCTAAAGATGTAGAAGAAATGAAGATGATTTAGAGAATGGAATGATCCCGGTAAGAAACTTAAAGAACAGATGGTCAGTAGGTTAGAGAAAAAAAATACAGGTCTATAGCTCCACAAATTAATTGGATATTTCTTCCATGTTTTGCCTATTCCATATCCTGAAATTAGAAATTGAACTTCAAGGAGGAGGAAGGAATCTACATATTTTATGTTCATATTGAATCCCTTCTAAAGAGAAATGCTTCAGTCCTTGGGCCAATGTCTGTCCTGCTTTTAAAACTAATGTGACCTGCAGTGTTTTTTCACTGTATCCTCTATATATTCCACCAGCCAAGATTTCTGACAGGTTATAGTTTGTGTTTTCTATTACAAAGATCATAGGTAAATTGAATGCACTTTTTCAAAGATTAACCCCCATCCCCTATTTCACTTAACAATCAGTGCTCTGACTGGGCTTGTGCTTAGCACATGATAAATCCTCAGTCAGGATTTGTTGAATGAATGAGTGAACCAATGAAATCAATCATTAAGTTATTTATACAGGAGATTTCCCAAAAGCAAAGGAATAGAATTTAAAAACTTTTGTCATTTCTCCAGCCTTGGGAAGAACTGTGTTTGTGCAGTTGAAAATAATGCTTAGCTCACCAGGCCTCTACAAATTGTGCCTTTTATCTGTTTTGGGTATTTTCCATGTTTCTCAGGTTGTGTTTTCCTCTGCCCATAATGACTACGTATGTCTTCATGATGAGTAAGAGCTGATTCTAGACAATACAGTGTATGTTGGTCCGAGGTTTTATCTAGCTGCCAAGTTTCCCTTGTGTGTTCTTGGTTATGGTAGTGTGTATTCCTGTCCCAGAATTTATTAGTCCGATCTGACCTGTCCTTGAAAAATGTTTTCCTTTTTCATTTGCTTGCCTCCAAGCACATTTGAGTATTTTTAATGACCTTGTTTTTTTTTAAAAAAAGGTTTTTCCAGGAGCAGTAGTGCACCTTTGTTTCAGTACTCTCCTACATCGCTGTCCTACATTTCCTACTCAGCCAGTTCTATCCCTTCGTCATACAAACATGTTTAGCGCTTTCCTGTCTAACTCCAACTATCAACTCTTTTTTCTTTCTCTTTAGAGTCGAGCTTCTTGAGAGAGTGGTCTATATTTGTGCCTCCAGTTTCTTACTTTTTATTCATTGTCAACTTCTGCAATCTGATTTTGCGTCCCTCATTAGAACCTCCCCTGAACTGGTTTATACTCGGCCCACCTCTAAAGCCTGCCAAATGCCTTTATCTCTCTTTTTTTTTTTTGAGGTGAAGTTTCACTCTGTCCCCCAGGCTGGAGGGCAATGGCACAATCGCACAATCTCAGCTCACTGCAATCTCCACCTCCCAGGTTCAAGCGATTCTTCTGCCTCAGCCTCCCAAGTAGTTAGGATTACAGGCATGTGCCACCACACCTGGCTAATTTTTTTTTTTTTTTGTATTTAGTAGAGACGGGTTTTCACCATGTTGGTCAGGCTGGTCTCGAGCTCCTGACCGCCGGTGATCGACTCGCCTTGGCCTCCCAAAGTGCTGGGATTACAGGCATTAGCCACCATGCCCAGGCTATCTCTCTTTGAGGCAATTAATCACTATTGATTAATCCTACTCTCTTGAAATTGTCTTCCACCCTTGATGTCTATGACACCTTTTCTGGTGTTCCTTCCATCTCTGTAACCATTCCATTTTAGACCTTTGGGGACTTGTTTTCACTTCTACTTGTAAAATTTTGGTGTTCTTCAGAATTCTGCCTCTGCCTCTCTTCTCTACCTTTTCTTTTGCCTACATAATCATATCCATGTCTTATCTGCATAATCAATCTTCAGCCCAGAACTCTCTCAAGTTCCATATCCATATACATAATTTGCTATCAAATATCTCCCTTGACCCTTGTTCTCAGCTTCTATAACAGATCACAGTAGCTGCTATTTTTATTTGCTCTACACTCTTTTTCATCTCTCTCCCCTCTGCCCACTTTCCTTTGAGGAATTCTGCACCACTTTATGTAGTCCTGTTGGGAGCTGTGATACTTATGGCCATTTCTATACCACAAGGTGATAAACACGTAACCTAGCCTAGTCCAAGTATCATCCATCAACCAGTACATAGATTTTAGGAGAAAGAAACACCTATTTTGCTGGGTTACTACTGACAGCCATCCTTCCCTCCATGTTTCATAGTCTTGACCATATTATTTGAGGCCCTGGATTACCCAAGCAAGAAATCTAAGAATCTATCCATTCTTCTTTCTTACCTCCATACTCAATTGATGATAAACTTTTGTTAATTATACATCTAAAAGATTTGTCTGTCAAATATGTACTCCAGACCTACTACTACTCCTGCTTCAGTCCCGGTCTTTATCATTTCACCCAACTGATCTCCCTACATCCAGTTAAGCCTCCCTCCCATCCATCCTCTACTCTAAAGCCAGATGAAATATATTAAGAAATACAGATAAATTCCTCAGGGCTTCTGTGGTGTCTCTGGAAAATTGAGGCATTTTAAGGCAAACAAGGGCCCCCCACCTGCCTCTCCAGCCTCCGCAAATGATATTGCAATTCATATATTCTGTGTTCTTGCCCTATTGAGCAATGCCCTGCGCCATTTAACATGCCATAATTTCTTTGATTATCCTTATATTCTATTTCCTTTCCCTGGAATGCCCTGACCTTCCCTTCTTCACCCAGCTAAATCCTATTACAAGACTTTTTTTTTCTGTATCATCTCCTCTAGGAGTCTTCCTTTATTTTTGCTGAGCTGCACTGATCTCTTTCCATGTTTTTGTGCTAACCTGTGCTCCCCTCTTTGAAGGTTCTTGATCCATAGTATTGTAATTGTTTGTTCCCTGTCTGATTCATAACTCTGAATTGATACCAACATATAGACTTCTGTGCTTAACATGATGCCTGACATACAGCGTGTGCTCGGTAAAATTTGTCCAGTAGGTGAATGATTGAGTCACTATTGATTCAAGGAAATACATGAGTTTATATGCCATCTATATTAGACTATTAGATGTTGCCCTTGTGTCTGTGTTGGAAGCCTTTAAGGAAACCTTTCAGATATCCCTATTAGAATATGCTACATTTCTTTAATGCTCCCAAACATATCTTGTATTCTAAATAAATTAGCTTTTTAAATTTCTACCCCTTTTGTTTGGTGACCTGTATCAGCATTAATACAATAAAGACATTTTATATTTATTATAATCTTTCAGACAGTGTTAAGTCTTCAGATTAAATTTTTGGGATGTAAGTTACTATGAATCTATGTATTAATATTATTATTTTAGACACAGGGTCTTGCTCTGTTGCTCCCAGGCTGGAGTGCAGTGGTGTGATAATAGCTCACTGCAGACTCCAAATTCCTGGGCTCAAGTGATCCTCCTACCTCAGCTTCCCCAGTGGCTGAGACTATAGGCACCTGCCACCATGCCTGGCTAATATTTTAATTTTTGTAGAGATGGGATCTCACTTTATTGCCCAGGCTGGTCATGAACTCCTGGCTTTAAGCAATCCTCCTGCTTTAGCCTCCCAAAGTACTAGGATTATAGGCATTGAGCCACCATGGCTGGCTGGATCTATGTATTATAACTTCAGTTTTATTTTTTGGTTTACTTTATTTTTTATTTTATTTTATTTTTTTGAAACGGAGTCTCACTTACTCTGTAGACCAGGCAAGAGTTCAGTGGTGCAATCTCAGCTTACTGCAACCTCTGCTTCCCAGGTTCAAGTGATTCTCCCACCTCAGCCTCCCAAAGTGCTGGGATTACAGGTGTGAGCCACCGCGCCCAGCTAATTTTTTGTGTGTGTTTTTAGCATAGACGGGCTTTCCCCAAGTTGGCCAAGGTGGTCTCAGACTCCTGACAAGTGATCCACCCACCTCGGCCTCCCAAAGTGCTGGGATTACAGGCGTGAGCCACCGTGCCTAGCCTATTTTTTTGGCTTATTTTAATATCTACCTGGGAAGACCTTTCTTCCTCCTTCTATTAAATTAACATTATTTAATGCCAATTAAGTTACATGGCTCTTTTCAAAGCATGGACTTGAATAGATTTAAATATGTACCATAAAATGGAATACCTGATTTTTTAATGGGCTGTAGCATTTTGTTTTTATGTAATCTAACCTTACTGAAGGATTTGGAAATGTTAACCCTTTTGGTGATGGCCCATATTGAAAGATAAGCTCATTTTGCTTTTGAGGAAAAATAACAATTATTTGAGAAAGGAAAACCACAATTTCGATTTTTCATGCAATCAAAACAGGTTCTAAAATATTCTTTAACTGGTCCATTTATTTGATAGCCAGTTTACTGACTGAATTTAACTTTTTAATTTCTGTAATGGATTATAATGATTTTGTGCACTATTAGTTAACTGAATTTCTAACTAGTGTGGTTACCACATTAGTTATTGCAACCTCTTCATGGGTCCCCTTCTCTCCCAAGATGCAAGTGCAGGTATGCAATACATCATTTTCAATAAATGGGGAATAGTAGCCAATCTCTTAAAACTTTGATTTAGCCAAGAAGAAGAAGGAGGAGGAGGAGGAGGAGGGGGAGGGGGAGGGGAGGGGGAGGGGGAGGAGGAGGAGGAGAAGAAACCCTGTTGTTGGTTAACAAAATTCTCATTTCTGTTACCTAAATAACAAGTTGCAAATACTTTGTAACATCAAGAAGTCATACAATTTTTCATTAGAAAGAGTTTCAGCAAAAATAGCCTCCAGAACTTAAAAACAAATTCTTTTTTTTTTCTTGAGACGGAGTCTTGCACTGGCACCCAGGCTGGAGTGCAGTGGCGCAATCTCGGCTCACTGCAAGCTCCGCCTCCCGGGTTCACGCCATGCTCCTGCCTCAGCCTCCCGAGTAGCTGGGACTACAGGCGCCCGCCACCATGGCCAGGTAAATTTTTTTTGTATTTGTAGTAGAGACGGGGGTTTCACCGTGTTAGCCAGGATGGTCTCGATTTCCTGACCTCGTGATCCGCCCGCCTCGGCCTCCCAAAGTGCTGGGATTACAGGCGTGAGCCACCGCGCCCGGCCTTTTGACTAAAATGCTAGATTAAATTAGTGTCAGGGGTCAATAGTTTCTTCTTTTCCAAATTGAAAGACTACCTGCTGAAACTCTCTATACCCACCTTAGGTTTCCCACTTGAGTAATTTTAAGCAACTCTTAAGTTTCTACGCTTGGCAATATTTAACTATCAGAGAGTGGTTGTAGGAATTAAACCCCCTTTAAGCAAACCAGTTGTCTTCTGGGTGTAGGTTATTTCCATTCAGGCTTGTTTCCATTGGGGCTTTTCTAGTATATGTAGAGATACACCTGAGGCATGATTTCTTTTTTATGTGGATTGTGATAAGGGCCTCATTTCCCAGTGAAATTTCTAACCACTCTAGGGGGCGAGACCACTGGGCTTGCTGCTTTTGTTGTGTTGAAGTACAGCAAATGTGATATCCTTCAGCCTGGGTGTGCTTTCTTATGCTTGTTAAATACAGAGTGCCAGAAAATGTACCCTAAGCATGACAAAACATAATACACAAAAGACAAGTTCTGTATCCTTAGCACTTTTCATTCTAGAGTCTAATATTACAGGTAGCAGTAACAGTATCAAGTTGACCACCAAAGACAGGTTTGATCATCATGAAATGCCAAGTAAGTGAGCCAGTTTAAATGAAAGTCAGGGAAGGAGGTGATTCAGAGGCCAAGCACTGGTTATTCAGAGCATCCAAGAAAATTTGTTGGGGCTAGTTTATTATTTTTTTAATTACCTTGCCTGGAGTGTGTGATTTATAATGCAACAAGATATAGAAAGAATGGACAAATGGACAGGGGTGGTGGTGATAAAACAGAATGCAAAGCTGCAGCACCTAGACATGAAGCCATATTCTCGTCACTAGCCTGGAAATAATGAACTATTGAGTACATGTCTCCTTTTTGGCCCCATTCTCACTATTGAACCTTATTTCCCACAGGGCCCAGTCAAGCCAACCTCTTTTACACCTACTCATTCCTTATCTCCTTTCTGGTGCCATGTCACTCCTCTGTTGATGGTATTGCTCCCTCTTTTGGTCTTATATCCTGCCTGCACACATACTAACGCTCACTGCAGCTCCGTTTTCAGCCCCCTCATGAATGTGTTCTCCAGGAATGGCCGACACATGTCATCTCAGAGCCCCTCTGGCTCTGGCATTCGGATTTTCCCACTGTTTCTTCCACTTGTTTTCTCACAATATTGTGTGATGAATCTTAACTCTCTAAGTACATTGTAAGATATGTAAGGGCAAGCTGATTATGATTTTATGTAATAAAACACATTGCACACAGCAGGTGCTCAATGAATATCTGACTTCCAAACATTATTGGAGTTGTTGGATCTCAAATGATTGACCGCCTATGTTAGTGTCAAAGGTCTTCAATGCCGAAGTAAGATGTGTTATCACCACTGTCACTAGAGGGGGATTACCTTCCCTCCTCCCCACCTCTTTCCCACTCCCTGTTTAAATGTGTTCTTTAGTATATGCTCCTTCCCCTAAAGCAGATCCTCTCCCAGAGATGCACCTCTTATAATCAAAGTTTTGAAGCTCACGATTGATTGTAGAACTATTTCATCATCATTAGAAATGGTTAAGTGCTGCCCCTTTTCTTCTTTGTCATTTAACAATTTAATTATGTGTCACTTCAGCTTAGGTTTGAAGCATAGTATTTTTCCCATAGGAGGTACTCAATAAAATCTGGATGGATGGATGGGCAGACGGATATAAGTGGGGTTGTATCCATTATACCTGCACCACAGATGGCCACAGACCTATGAACATATCATTTGCTCCAAATTGTATGGTAGGTCTTCATGACACTTTCAGTGTATCCGCATACTACTTCATTTCCCCTTGAAATGAAGGACAGTTGACAAAGTGGATGTGGTGGGTTGGTATTTAGCAATAGTAATAATAGTTTTTTTAGCTTACATTTGCTGAGTTCTTAGGTACCAAGCACTGTTCTAAATGCTTTACATATATTACTTATCTTTTAAAACCCTATTATTGCCAAAAGTAGAAATAACCCTTGTCCTGATATCAGTTGATGAATGGCTAAATAAAATGTGAAATGTTTATACAATGGAATATTATTCAGCCACAAAAAAGGAATAAAGTTATAATACATGCTACAACATGGATGAATCTTTAAAACGTTATTCTAAGTGAAATAAGCCAGACATAAAAGGACAAATATTGTGTTATTCAACTTATATGAAATATCTAGAATTTGCATCTCTATGTGTACTCATAAAGATGGTAATTTGATTATAAATTACCAAGGACTTTAGTGGGAGGGATGGCAGTTATTACTTAATGGGTACAGTTTCCGTTTGGGGAGATGAAAAATTTTGGAAATAGTGGTAATGGTTGCACAACATTGTGAATGTAATTAATGCCACTGAACTGTACACTTAAAAATGGTTAAAATGGCAAATTTTGTTATATATATTATACCACAGTAAAAAACAGTTTTGCAAAACTCTATTCCTAACCTAATTTTAATTTGACTATATCTGGAATGTTTAAACAAATAGGAGTTGTGTATACTAACATAATGAGAAGTCTAGGAGGGTGCTGTGGCACTGGTTCAGGGTCATCCTCTCCTCGAATCTCTTGGCTGACCATCCACAGGCCTTTCCTGAGTGCTTATTATTTAGCAATAACCTCCTACAATTTAGAAGGAATAGAGTATATGATGGAGGAACAAGGGTCAAGTCACTGTAACCCAAGTATTCTCAATGGGAAGACTGGTTTTGGGGAGACCAAAAATATCTTAAATATTAAATGGTTTGTGGCCCTCCAAGGCTCATCCCTACCCAACAAATCTTTTCCCTTAGTATTTAATTCTCTCATAAGAGAGTATTTAAATTAAATTCTTTTTTCTTTTTTGGAGAAGAGTAATGAAAAAAAATTGAGAAATACTTTTGTAGCCTAAGGAAGAAGGTGGAGCAAGGGATATTTTTCAGAGAAGGTGAGAAGTACTGTTTCCTAAAATGAGATGATACAGTTCTGTAGAATATGAATGGTGAGTGATTTTTTTTTTTTTTTTTCTGAGACAGGGTCTTGCTCTGTCACTCAGGCTGGAGTGCAGTGGCTCCATCATGTCTCACTGCAGCCTCAACCTCCTGGGCTCAAGTGATCCTCCTACCTCCTGAGTAGCTGGGATTGCAGGCGCATGACACCACGCCCAGGTAGTTTCTTTTATTTTTTATAGAGACAGGGTCTGACTATGTTCCCTAGGCTGGTCTTGAACTCCTGGGCTCAAGTGATCCACCTCAACCTCCCAAAGTGCTAGGATTATAGGCATGAGCCACCATGCCTGGCAGTGAGTGAATTTTCAAAGTCCTGCTGGGTGTTTTCGTTAGATGCATCCCTTTAGCTGTTGTTAAAGTCACTATTCATCCCAGTGAATTCACTTTCATTCTCTCTGTTCATGAATGAGATGTTCAGAGAATACTTGCTTTTTATAAAGGATGAAGTAGACATGGACACTAGATCACTTTTGAGAGTAACTGTGTCTGCTTTTTAAATATCTTATCTGAAAATAACTGTACTATTTAGTTAAGATTTCTTTGAGTCACTAAATCTGTAGTTGGGGGTTGGAAGAGGGGACATGTAATTCTTTCTGTACCCTATCTTTTCGACACTTTTCCTAGGTTTTAAAATATATGTGAGATGCTAACATTATGGAGATACAATAATATAACTCATAGCTGCATTTTACATCTATGACTTCATCTGGCTGTGAAACAGATGGCTCACAGAATACAGCAGCCACTCTTATATTGATAGTTGTGGTTTAAAAATCATTGTAACAACTACTAGCAACTACTGTATTTGCTAGAAAGCACATAGTCCAGACTACATTTTGGCCTAGGGAACTGTTATTAATTCAAATATAGGAAGAGTCACTGGATAATTTTAGAAATATTCATAGCTAAGCATTGGATTTTTGTCTTCTCTGACACTGTACCAAATTCCATAACGAATTTCTTCTTGCTTAGATGTGACTGGGACAAAGCCTCCCCACATTTGACTTAATTGTTGCTGGTCCCAAATATTTGACTGAAAGTCTCATTACCTTTTAGCCATCCTCGCAAAAACATAATTGAATATGTATTTTCATCTCTACTGAAATATCATTTTCCTTCAAATCAACTAAATTTGCCTCTTCCCCCAATTCGTTGTAGGATTCATTTTATCATATATCAGCTTTTTTTTCTCTAAACTATAGGAAGGGAATTGTCTGATGATAAAGCGGAAAGCACAAAAGTCATGAAATGCTAGGCTAAGGCTCTCCTGTCAATAAGCACCCACTATGGCCCTTTCTGCAAACCTCAGTACCCAGTTAGTGCCATAACTAGTCATCGTCCATCCTTTGTAAGGAAACAGTTTCTGGTTCCCTGGCCTTTGCATGATTGTGTTCAAATGTTTATTTCACTTTTGGATATTTGGCTCATTTTTTTCTTTCCACCTTATCTCCTTTATTCTAAGGCAGGGTGAGGTTGGAGATGATATATATTGAGGAAGAAAAATAGAAAAACATACACTCTCTGAAATTCCCTGGAATTTAAGTTAGTTTCCTTTAGAACCAGGGATAAAACTCTTTGTCCAGATTTATCCATCCCTTTTCATTTCTTAAATATGGTAAGGAATTCTTACATCTCTGGTACTGGCCTTTGGTATCCAGTAAAATAAATGGAGAGACGCTCAGTAAATGTCTTTTAAGTGAGTGTCCTAATAAATGTTCCCTAAAGTGTTTATTTGAGTCCCGTGTCTTATATCATTTGACAGAACCACACAATTTGGGTTCTGTGAGGTGGATGCTAGGGTCTAGGTGAGATCGTTCTGGTTAGGATTTCCTATAGGCATGTATCAACAGAGCCAAAGCACAATTATTTTCTCCAATAAAATAGAACTTCATTTAAGCACATAAATACAAACATAAAGGAACATTCTGTGTAATTAAAAGACACAATATAGAGCTCAAGCTAAAGACATTCATGTGTCTAGGTGTAGTTAAATGCCTCACTAACATTCAGCCATTCTCAGTCACTGTAATCCAAACCCAATATTTCCCTGGGCTTAAGTAGATCCTAACTTGTATATAGAACTTTCTAGGGCTTGTCCAATTGAAGCTCTGTGGGTACATTTCTAGTAAGCCTTTCATTTCTCTCTAATAACAATGATCTTTGCCCACTGGTTTTCAATTCAAAAGGGGAAAGAAGCCTATTTGCCATTCCAAGACTAAAGATATATTTGCTTTCCTAAAGTTGTTATTCTCTCATCTAACTTGAAACATACAGAAAGTCTAAAAAAGGTGATACCACTAAACCTAATCAAAGAGGAAATTCCCTGCCACTTTTAAAATCCCTACATCTTCTGTATCTGCTCTGAATTCAGTCTGCCTTATAATTCAAGATTCAACTAGTTCAAAGAACTCACTCTGTCATAACATTACATAGTATTAAAGTAGAAATATGAGATTTTTTTCACAGCGTATTGTCATGCTTATAGTACATTTTATCTACTGGAGTAATCTAATAACTTCATACTCTCTTAAACACAGCTTCTTGTAAGCACATTAAAACCTATCCTAGGAAGCCCTTCCAAAGGAAGTGACAGCAAAATTCCCCAAAATGTTGCCTGCTTGGAAAGTTACCTAAAAGTTTAGTTCTGAGGAAGTTGACATTGAGTGTTTCTTGGTTTGTACCGTGCTCCTCTCTAGAGGCTGCCCCGTGTGCATAGCTGGCAGAGAGGGACATGGACAGGCATTAGAAGCAGCTCCAGCCAGTCAGAATTGGAGGTCTTGATGGCATTGGAGCTGGAGTTGGGGGGAGCAGTGAGAAAAGGAAGCAGAAACTGTGGTTGATTTCATGCTCCTCTGGCTTGCCTCTCTTACCCTAGGCACAGCCCAGAGATGCTCTGGCAGGGGTGGGAGGCAGCTGGATAGATTAAGAAAGGGCTTTTGTCCCTGCGATTCTCTAACAGACCATATTTGAGATGACAGATGCAAAATAAACAGGCATGACTTTAGACAGGTCCAGAATGGTCTTAATATCCTGAAGCTTATTCTTATTCAAACTTCGCGTTTTAATTGTTTGGAATTCTTAGACAGAGTAGGTGGAATTTCATCCTTTGTATGTTTTAAGGAGAGCTTCGCTCCTCTCTTTACCACCCACCCCCCGCCACCCAGTAAAATACTGAACTTTCATTTTAATCCATAACACTAAATGCTTTTGTGTTTTTCTTTCTTCAAAGACTGTCATTAAGAATGTCTACAAGGAAATCATGGGAAATGACAAAATCTCCCCCAGATTGATTTTTTACGTGTTGTTGGAAATAACCACATAACTAAAAAAAAAAAATGCTCATTCTGGGAAAAAAATCTGTCCAAGGATGTGGAAAACCTCAGCATTAAAAATAATATCCTAAGTAATCCAAAAGGGAAATTAACTTTCACTTTGAAGGCGTTCACTAGCACAAACACTAAAATAATGAGTAAACTGTCTCTCCTGAGAAAATGCCAGCTGTCACCTGCTGCCTCCCACTGGGCTCCAGGTCTAACAAGCCTCGCTCCCTGCCCTAACTTGTGACTCTGTGTCAGGAGACTTTTCTGAAGGACATTTTTTCAAGCAATTAGAAACAATCTACTGTGGGCCAGGCACGGTGGCTCATGCCTATAATCCCAGCACTTTGGGAGGCCAAGGTGAGCAGATCACCTGAGGTCAGGAGTTCGAGACCAGCTTGGCCAACATGGTGAAACCCTGTCTCTTCCAAACACACACACACACACACACACACACACACACACAAATCAGCCGGGCATGGTGGTGTGCACCTGTAGTCCCAACTACCTGGGGGCTGAGGCAGGAAAATCTGTTGAACCTGGGAAGAAGAGGTTGCAGTGAGCCAAGATTGTGCCACTGCACTCCAGCCTGGGAGACAGAACAAGACTCCATCTCAGAAAAAAAAAAAAAAAAAAAAAGGCCGGGCGCGGTGGCTCACACCTGTAATCCTAACACTTTGCGAGGCCGAAGCGGGTGGATCACCTGAGGTCAGGAGTTCGAGATCAGCCTGGCCAACATGGTGAAACCTCATCTCTACTAAAAATACAAAAAATTAGCGGGGCATGGTGCTGTGCACCTGTATTGCCAGTTACTCGGGAGGCTGAGGCAGGAGAATCACTTGAACCCGGGAGGCGGAGGTTGCAGTGAGCCGAGATAGCGCCACTGCACTCCAGCCTGGGTGACAAGAGCGAAACTCTGTCTCAAAAAAAAAAAGAAACAATCTATTGTGTTATTAAACACCAACTTCTCTTATTGTCAAATCACTCAGAATTGGCCAATTTCCCTATTAAGTAAAACTGTCATTGTTATTAAAACATAATAGCAATGCAAGGCACTGTGGAGTACAGAGGGTGTTTAAGTTGATGATGCATATTTTACGACCCTGCAGAGGGGCAAACATGTTCAGGTATCCATTCACACCCACAAACAGTGAGTAGTCTCCTAGGGGGTGGGTTTGTTGAAAATTTCAGAGATCACCTAGGGTCTATGAAATATATCAATAATTTCACTTTTAAATTGTATAGTAGATTTACAGGTATATGTAATATAAGTAATTTAATTATTCATTGTGTATAATGTGACACATTATCATATAAAAGCTAAAAGTTAGAAAAAACAAAGGTCCTGAGCAATATCTTGAGTGTATAATCATTTATTGGAAAATTAGAAGTTGATTTGTGAATGCCATTGTACAGGCTTGACTTGTTGAAACCACCCTCTTCCATGTTACCCTCCACCGAGATTGACATATCTTAGTGTCTTCCACACTTCACAGGGTGACACAGGTTCTGCCACTCAACGCTCACTTCGACCCTCGCCCATAAAATTCCTAAACAGCTTCATCTGTTAGTGGTTTTCAAGAGTAGTAGCATATGTGGACCATGCTGTAATAATCTCCGAAAGACAGATTTGTTAAAGGTTCACAAATGCTTAAGCACAACTATATTCAAACTAATGTTACATTAGACTAAAACAATATCTGCTTTTGAGAAGTGGAGCTACATGCTGGAAGTTTTTTACGAGTAGAGGCTGAGCTGAAAGGGATGGAGAATGAAAACTGAACAGGAGAGAAAATCAAAGGAGAAAAAAAAGTAACTACATTATCTTCCCTTGCATGTTAACATGGAAATAACAAAGACACTGAAACATTCTTGGAGAATTTTAAGAAGGGGTGTATATGGCCAAGTCACCTGAAAAGAACTTTAAGAAACATCTGTCTCCACCCTCAACCCTCAAAACATCTAAAATTAACTTTAGGACATAAACCCAATTACTTTAAAAATACGTTTCCTAGACTTAAGCTGTAAAGTTTAAGTGTTCTCACCACAAAAAAATGTTAAGTATGTAAGGTAATACATATGTTAATTAGCTCCATGTAGCCAATTCGCAGTATATATGTATTTCAGGACATTATATTGTACATGATAAATTTATATAATTTTTGCCTGTTAAAATAAATAACCAAAATAAAATATATCTAAGCAAAGCTAATAAAATAGAAATTACCAGATAGTATTTAAGAAAACCCAAGGTCGCTACTAGTGGCTATGTATAACTTCATGGAGTGCTGGCATATCCAACGGTGTGTTTGTAATCTTTTCCTCTCAGGTTCTCTGATAGCAAGATTCTCTAAATTGAAATGACTGCTTTACTGATTGCCTCTAGTTTTCCCCCTTGTTCTCCCTGAACTATATTAACTTTGTGCTATGTTAGTGACTGTGTATGTTGACAGATTTCCTAGAGAACTGCTGATGAATACTGCCCACAAGAAATCTCACTTTTCCTTTTCATTGACGTATTTGTGTAATTTATAATTCTAACCCATGAGTTAATTCAATGCAGAGATTATTTAAAAGACTACTTGAGACATAGTGTATAGCTAATCCAGGTCCTCATAATCTTTACCAGAAGTTATTTGCTCTTGTGCATAATTGAAAACAAATGTTCTGTGTTGTGTACAATTATTTTGATCTTAAAGGCTATGCTTCGTAGAAAAAGAGAAGGTTAGGATTCTGTAGTTTCCCTTAGTGCTTTCAAGGTATCTTCTTTATAGTCATACTTATCTATATATTAAATTATAATAGTTTATATATAGGCTTGAGTTTATGTATGTATATGATTGTACATGGATATATGTATCTAGATTTGGGAATGCATAGACTTAAAAATAAAATTGTAGACCTTGTCATAACTTAAAATATTACAGATGGAATTTAACATAACATGTCTTTTAAAATCAGGTCTAAAGATTATTAGAAGGATTTGTTGCAAAAACTACCGGATTGGACATAAAACATGGTTTCCAGTCTTCCTTTGTTATGAAATGAGTGAGTCACTTAGCCTATTTGGGCCCCAGTACTTATTTTTAAATTGAAAATACAAAAATAATTGTAGATACTTGACCCTTTAAATGATAATGTGCTGAGAAAACAGGCAGAATGGTCAGCACATTTATTTTATTTCTTGAATTTCACAGATGAAGAATAGCACTTTCACTTACAGCAGCAATGGCAGACAAGACACTCTGTACTCGAAACCAATTATATCCGAAATAAAACATTCTGGTTTGCTGCTGGACTTCCTGGAAGTGGGTAAAACCATCTGTAAGTCCAACCTCTCCTCCCCTCCAAAAAATAAAAAGGAACAAATTGAGACAATGTTGGAGCTTAGAGCCATGAGCAGATAAATGTCCTGAGCAAGAAGCAAGGGAGAGAAACTGTGATTATATTGAGGGGAAATGCCAATAGAAGCACTGTAAATTGCAACCGGGATACTGAGCTTGGGGTCAACAGCAAGGAAAAGGAACTGAATCTGAGATTTTGCATTAACCCAGGTCCCTCAAAGAGTAGTAAATGGCCCCAGGTTAGTAGTCCTCCCACCTACTTGCAGAAACACACCAAATCACCATAGGAAAGAATCTTACGGATATTTCATCAGATTCCCACAATGTATAATCAGATAAGTATTAGTTCACAACCAAAGACATGAAGCGACAAGAGGAAATAAGCCATCTATATTAGAACTGTTAGACATAGAAATGCTGTTTATGAAGTACTTAAAAAGTAAAATATAGGATCAAAATAGTGAGCAAACAACAGAAAATTATCAGGAATAATCAGGCAATTCTTACAAATAACACAATGGAATGTCTACATAAAATACGTAAACATTGAAAGAAAACACAAGACATGTTAAAAAGCAGACTAGCCACAGATGAAAAGAGAATTAATGAATTTGTAGGTTGAAGTGAATAAATTAACCAGAATATAATCTTGAAAGAAAAAGGGCCAGAAGAAGTTAGAATAATTTAAAATGTTGAGGATAAAATAAGAAGGTCTAACATAAGTCAAATCAGAGTCGCAGAAGAAAAGAATTAAGTCAACCAAGAAGTGATAATAAAATTAATCAAGGAGAAGTGTTCAGAAATGCTGAAAGCTGTGAATCCCCAGTTTCATAAAGGACAGTATTCCCAAGCAAGACGAAAAAGAAAACCAATAGCTGGCATAGTGGTGGCTCTCTAGAGAAACAAGGCAAAAATGTTTAAAAGAGCCAGAGAGTAAAGACACATCACATACCAAGAAATGATCATTTCATTGGCAGCAGAGTGCTCAACAGTGATACCAGAAAACAGAAAGCAGTGGAATAATAAAGTGTTGAGAGCAAATAGCTATTATCTATCAATCATGAGAGTAAAAGGCATTTGCCGTTAAACAAAAATGGAGAATTTACCATCGGTAGACTCACACTGTATTAATAGTCTGTTCTCATGCTGCTAATAAAGACATACCTGAGACTGAGTATTCTATAAAGAAAAAGAGGTTTCATGGACTTGCAGTTCCACGTGGCTGGGGAGGCCTCACAATCATGGCAGAAGGCGAAGGAGGAGCAAAGGCATGTCTCACATGGCAGCAGTCAAGAGGATGTGTGCAGGGGAACTGCCTTTATAAAACCATCAGATCTTGTGAGACTTATTCACTATCATGAGAAAAGCACAGGAACAACCTGCCTCCATGATTCAATTATCTCCCACTGGGTCCCTCCCATGACATGTAGGAATTATAGGAGCTACAGTTCAAGATGAGATTTGGATGGGAACACAGCCAAACTGTATCAAACACTAAAGGTTATTCCTTAGGAAGATGGTATTTTGGGGCTGGGCACAGTGGCTCACGCCTGTAATCCCAGCACTTTGGGAGGCTGAGGCGGGTGGATCACTTGAGGTCAGAAGTTCAAGACCAGTCTGGCCAACATGATGAAACCCTGTCTCTACTAAAAATACAAAAATTAGCCGGGTATGGTAGCATATGCCTGTAATCCCAGCTACTCGGGAGGCTGAGGCAGGAGAATCTCTTGAACTTGGGAGGTGGAGGTTGCAGTGAGCTGAGATCGCACCACTGCACTCCAGTCTGGGCAAAAAGAGCGAGACTCCATCTCAGAAAAAATAAAATAAAAAGAAAGATTATATTTTTGACAAAAATTCAGTTAAGGTAAAAGTCAATAGCAAAATTATATTTTTACAGTCCTCACATCTTTGGAAATAGAATACTTAATTATTCATTGCTCAATTAAGAAATCATAATGAATTTTTAAAAATACTTAAAGCCAAATTGTAATGAAAATGTAACATGTCAAAACCAGTATTTTTGAGGGCAGTCTATCAACCATAAATACATACATTAGAAAGAAAGAAGTCTGAAAATGAACTAAGCACCATCATAAGTATTTGGAAAAGAATAAAAAAAATAAAAAGGAAGCAGAATCCCCTAAGTTGAAAATGATATTACAAAAGAAAAAATTATGAAGATAAAATTTAGCTTTTTGAAAAGACTCATAAAATAGACAATCTTTTGCTAAGACTGAGAAAAGAGTACACATAATGTAAGGATTAAGAGAGAATATAAATATAGCTATAGCACAGATTGAAAAGAAAATACGATGGGCAATGTTAAGCCAATAAATTGAAGGTGAAGTGAAATAATCTTTAGAAAAATAGAATTTACCAAAGCTGAATTAGGAATTAAGAAACTTTAATGATTCTATAACTTTTTTTTTTTTTTTTAAGACAGAGTCTCGCTCTGTCACCCAGGCAGGAGTGCAGTGGCGCAATCTCAGCTCACTGCAACCTCCACCTCCTGGGTTCAAGCGATTCTCCTGCCTCAGCCTCCTGAGTAGTTGGGATTGCAGATGCATGCCACCACGCCCAGCTAATTTTTTATTTTTAGTAGAGACAGGGTTTTACCACGTTGATAAGGCTGGTCTCAAACTCCTGACCTCATGGTCCACCCGCCTCGGCCTCCCAAAGTGCTGGGATTACAGGCATGAGCCACCACTCCCGGCCGATTCTATAACTAGTAAAGCAACTGAATTAGTAGTTCAAAATTTCCTACAGGAAAGACCAAACCATTTAATTTTACAGGTGGAATTACTAAGCATTCAAGAGTTAATTTCTATCTTTTACAAACTTATACAGCAAAATGGAAAAGAACAAATACTCTCTAAATCATTCCATATAACCTGGACACCAAAAATAGACAAATACAGTTTAAAAAAATAAATTATAGGCCAATCTCACTCAAGACCCTAAATAAATTATACCAAATGGAATACAGTGGAGTTAAAGACAAAAAAAGGTGTATTTATCATGACCAACTTGGCTTTATCCCAGGAATGCAAGGGTAGTTTAACATTTAGAAATCTAGAATTGTGATTTACATAATAGATTAAAAGGGGAAACCCATATATAATCTCAATAGGAACAGAAAAACTTTGGATAAAGTTAACCACTGATTTAGTATAAAAAGTCTTAGCAAAGTATGAGTAAAAGAGAATTCTCTTTACATGAATGATGTTATCAGCCAAAACCTCAGTAAACATCATTCTTGATGAAAATCTAAAAACATTCCATGTAAAATCACAAATGGGATACGTTTGCTCACTATCATGTTTTTAATCACAATTAAAACCGAAGCTTCTAGCCAGATAATAACATGAGGAAAATAAATAAAGGCATAATGATTAGAAAGGTGCAAATAATTCTTCTATGCCAAGTTTGCTTTAAAAAAAAGAAAGAAAGAAAGGAACAAACAAACCCATAAATATTTGCAGATAATATGATAATATACAAAGAAAATCACAAAGAATCTAAAACTAACGTGATAGTAATTAACTTAGTAAGGTGTCAGGCCTAAAACCCATATACAGAAATTAGTTGCCTATTTTTGTGTTTGTTATGTTTTATTTTATATTTTGTTTGCTGTTTGCTTTGGGTAATAGTTTCAGAATAAGTAGGAAGCAGGAGGTCAGGGAGACATACTGAGTTGCTGAGACATCTGCAGAAACAGCACAGAGACTGGGAAACTGTTCTCCCAGTTTGCTTGGTACTGAGGGTTTCATAGGATGCAGGACTTTCAGGTTCAATACCATGACTATCCCAGTCTGCCTGGGACTGAGGGGCTCCCAGGATGCAGGACTGTCAGTGCTAAGACCAGAAGAGTCCTGCACAAACCAGGAGGAGGTGGTTACTCTGTGGGAGAACTGTAAGTAGTCCAGTGTCATTGCAACTTAAAATGCAGGGCAGGAAGTGGTGACAGACAAGACTGGGGAGAAAAGCAGGGACCAGATCACAAAGGGCCTGATGTTCCATACTAAAGGAACTTGTACCTTGTTCTCCAGGCAGCGGCAAGCTGTTGAAAGGTTTTAAGTGGGGAGATATGTGACGGTGACAGTTTGCATTTTAGTTAGACCACTTCAGTAGTAGTCTAGAGGCTGGATTTGAAGGGGCTCAGGCTGGAGGTAGGAGGTGGTTGCTATAGTCCAAGTAAAGATGATGAAGGCCCACACTAAGGGGCGGTAGGGATGGAGTGGAGGGGACAGTCCCAGGGACTACTTAAGAGGCAAAATTTGTAGAGTGACTGACTGGATGTGGGAGTGATAGACAAGAGTTGACAATGATCTCTGCCCTTCAGAAAAATGTTAGACAACATGTTGGCTAAATGAAAATACAGGCTGGGCATGGTAGCTCCTGCCTGTAATCCCAGCGCTTTGGGAGGCCAAGGCGGTCAGTTCATCTGAGGTCAGAAGTTCAAGATCAGCCTGGCCAGCATGGTGAACCCTGTCTCTACTGAAAATACAAAAATTAGCCGGGCATGATGGCACATACCTGTAATCCCAGCCACTCAGAAAGCTGAGGCAGGAGAATCGCTTGAACCTGGGAGGTGGAGGTTGCAGTGAGCCGAGATCGTGCCACTGCACTCCAGTCTGGGTGACAGTGAGACTGTATCTCAAAAAAAAAAGACAGAAAATATAGAAAGAGAAATATAACCAACACTCATATGTGCATCATCCAGTTTAAGGAATAAAATATTAAAGATACCATTGTATCCCCCTGCATATACCTGATCCCACTCCCCTGATACCACTTCCCCTTCCCTTCCCAGAAGTAACCCCTACATTACACTGATACTTCTAATCGCCATGACTTTCTATAAAATTCTGCTACAGAGATGTACATTGCTAAACAACCTATACTAATTGCAACGTTTTGCATTTTTCTAAACTTCATAGAAATTATAAGTATTAGTCTGTAACATGCAGTCTTCTCTCACCATTGTATATGAGATACAGCCCCTGCACAAGAGTTCTCTGAAAAGGAATGTGGAAGAAAGAGACTATATTCCAGTGAACAGTTTGCAAACTAGGGAGATGCAACCTTCAGTGTAAAATGAAGGTGCATTCCCCAACTGCTTTTCTAAACAGTGGTCATGGACAGTTTTAAAATGTAATATAAAAAAGGTAAAGTTTATAGTTACAACAAAAATGTACACATCAGTTGAGAAAAACCAATAGAAAATGATCAAAACACGGTAACAGGCATATCAAAGGAGAAAAGTGAATGGACAGTATATAAAAGGATGCTCATTCTCATCAGTAATAAAGGAAATACAAATTAAAACTGAAGTGAAGCACCATTTTTATACCCAGAATTGGCAAAAATTAAGAAATTGGACAATGTCAAGTGTTGGAAAGGATGGGGGTTAACAAGATCTCTTATATACCTTTGTCGGGAAGGTAAACTTGTATAATTGCTTCAGAAAACAATTTGGCCTTATCCAATAAATTTGAGAATGAATGTAACTTACTCCTAGATATATATCCTAGAGAAACTATTACCCATGGTTACCTAGGAACTTGTTCAGAGCAGCACAATTCACAAAAGAAAAAATAACTGGAAATGACTGAAATCTCCATCCTTTGACAGGAGACTAAATAAATTGTAGAATATTTACTTGGTGGAATATTATACAGTAGTAAAAATGAATGTTTTTGATGAATGGATAAGCAATATGTGGTGTAGCCATACAGTAGAATCATATTCAGCAATAAAAACTAATGAAGTACAGTCATGTGCTACATAGTGACGTTTCTGTCACAATGGACCACATATACAACAGTGGTCCGGGAGGATTATAGTACCATACTTTTACTGTACCTTTTCTATGTTTAGATACACAAATACTTACCATTGTGTTACAGTTGCCTACAATATTCAGTACAGTAATATGCTATACAGGTTTGTAGCCTAGGAGCAAATAGGCTATACCATATAGCCTACATGTGTAGTAGGCTATACCATCTAGGTTTTTGTAAGTATACTCTGTGATGTTTGCACAACAATGAAATTGCCTAACAATTTATTTCTCAGAACATATCCTTGTTCTTAAGTGATGCATGATTGTACTGATACATGCTGCAGCATGGAAGAACCTCAAAATGTTATTTTAAATGAAAGAAAATCACATATTGAATGATTCCATTTATATGAAATGCCTAAAAGAGGCAAATCAATAAAGACAGAAAGTCAGGCCAGGGGATAGGGAAGGAGGGGAGAGGGATACTGGGAATGACTGCCAATTGGCACAAGATTTCTTTTGGGGGTGATGAAAATACTCTGAAGGTAGAAGATGGTGATGAATACACAACTCTGTATATACACTGAAAGCCATTAAAATAGATACTTGAAACAGGTGAACTTGATGATTTAAATTATGTATCAGTAATGCTATTAAAAGTGAGTACTCTATAGTAACACAATGCAACATGAGTCTGTAAAAATTTAAATAGTAAGTTGAATGAAAAAAGTTCCAAAAGACAATATATGGTATTATACCATTTCTGTATAACTTAAAAATAAGCAAAATGAAATAATATTGTATATTTTTTAGGAATACATACTTACATGACAAAACCATATGGATATTGAAAGGAAGGATAACCATACAGGAAAGTTGCTGCCTCAGGGGGCGAAGAGGCACATGGGACAGAGGAGGAATCCACAGGTAGATGCAGTGCTATTGGGGATTCTTTTAGTTCTTCAGTTGAGTAATTATTTAAAAGCTGAAATCTTATTTTGATTATAATTTACATATTTTATATTTAATCTTGTATAGGTATCAAATATATTACATTTGAGATAATAAAGGGAAATGCTTTAAAAATAATAGTAGTATGGGTATACTAGCAAAAAACAAGTCACTTATGAAAGAGAAAATAAGATTGACCCCAGATGTCTCCACACCATCTTCCAAGCCAAAGACAATGCAGCAGTATCTACAAAGTTATGAGGAAGACAGTGAATGGCTTTAAAATTTTAAGCCCAAATTATCCTCCTAAGGATAAATGCAACAGATGGATAGTAAGCATTAAAGAATGTAAAGAAATAAGAATCCATGAGCCTTTTATAGAATAAAAATAAGTAAATTTAAAACTTTTGTATAATAAAATCTAGGCAACTAAGTAGACGAATCAAAGAGTATAAAAATGGAGAAGCCAGGCACAGAGAAGTTAGATGATGAACACCAAATTATTTAAAATAGAAATGAAGAGTAAACAGTGGTTTGAATTACGGTTTCAGAACAAGATGTAAATGTTAAAACCCCAGATGTTATGAAGAATAATATAACCAATAAAATGCATTTGGAAGAGGGAGAGAGGAGGAAGAAAGTGAAATGATGTCTCTTTTATCAAATTTCATAAGGAGGTTGTCAGATATTGTAAAAAATTGAAATATAATTTTTAAAATATGTTGATTGGTTTTGCAGCAGATATACTAAAATTGGAATGATACAGAGAAGACCAGCATAGCTCCTGCACACACAGGGTGATACACAAATTTGTGAAATATATTTTTCATTTAAAATGAATTAATCTTTTCCCCCTCTAAAATGTCATAGAAATAGTAAGTGCAGTAGGATATAACTATCAGTTGCCAATCCTAAATTTTCATATTCAATATCTAATAGATACGTTGCAAATTTTGTAATTTAAGATTTGTTTATAGATGTGCATATATTTACAGTATGAACTTTAAAATCATTTAAAAATGAATGGTGGTAAAATCTGTGAATTATGTGAAATAACTGTAATGTACATATATTTTTATTCTAATAAACTTTTGAATCCTAGATTGGATTTTATTAGAAAAAATAAAAATAAAACATACATTGACTCTTCCCCAGAGTCACTGGGGGAGCTATTGACATTTCGGTTGGGTATGTTTTGATGTCAGGTCTGTCAGGTACATAATAAGATGTTTGACATCTCTGGAGAATGCCAGGATCCTCATAATTGTGACAACCAAAAACATGTCCATGCATTTCTAGATGCACCCTAGGGAATTGGCACTGCCATGGATTGAGAACCACTGCTCTAACTTCTTACAGGTTTTCACATCTGTCCTATTACATTTAGAGCAATGTTAGAGAATTAAAATCTCTTAAAATCTCAAAAGGGAATCATTTACCTGAAATTCGTTCAGCTTCATGTTGGTGTCCTTTTCTCCTATTAAACTAAAATAAAAAATAAACTTAATACAGAATAAGCCTGTTTATAGAATGCAACAATTTTCATTAATAAAAAAGTATTTGTTGAAACAAGGAATCTGAAAAAATACACAGTTACTTTGCGTATTTTTATTGTGATAATATATGTGTAACACACAATTTACCATTTTAACCATTTTAACCATTTCAAAGTATACAGTTCCATGGGATTACTTACATTCACATTGTTGTGCAATCATCACCACTTTCCATCTCCAGCACTTTTTCATCTTCCCTGATATGGTTTGGCTGTGTCCCCCACCCAAATCTCACCTTGAATTGTAATAAACCCCATGTTTCAAGGGCGGGGCCAGGTGGAGATAATTGAATCATGGGAGCTGTTCCCTCATACTGTTCTCATGGTAGTGAATAAGTCTCATGAGATCTGATGGTTTTATAAATGGGAGTTCCCCTGCACAAGCTTTCTTGCCTGCTGCCATGTAAGACATGACTTAGCTCTTCCTTTGCCTGCCGCCATGATTGTGAGGCCTTCCCAGTCATGTGGAACTGTGAGTCAATTAAACCTCTTTCCTTTGTAAATTACCCAGTCTTGGCTATGTCTTTATTAGCAGTGTGAAAACAGAGTAATACATTCCCCAATGGCATATTTAACATGAATTATATATAGTCATTTGCCATTTGCCAATCTTTTAATTTGGGGCCAAGATCTTTTCTTTGAGAGTGGTCCCCTGATTGGAATTCCCCCTCACCATCTTTTTTGCATGAATTACCTACCACTCTCTAAGATTATCAGTTTTCAATTTTTAAAAAATGAAACAAGACACTTGGAAAGGAACTGAGTGTAGAATCCTCCTAGATTCCCCCAACCCCCTATGTGTCATGCATCATGCTCACAGCTATTTTGAAAGCAAACTAAAAAAAAAAAAAATTGAGAAGGATTCTCGCTGTGTTGCCCAGGCTGGTCTCAAACTTCTGGGCTCAAGCAATCCTCCTGCCTTGGCCTCCCAAAATGCTGGGATTATAGGCATGAGCCACTGCACCCACCCCGAAAGCAAATTTTTAATCACCCTATATTTATCCAGTCTTTCTAACATACTCAATCTAGTTTGTATGGAAACAAAAATTTGTTCTTTTTGCATTTATATTTTGTCAGTTTTCTTAACATTTATTTAAATTATATAATTAAAAAAAGTTTGGGTTCAAACACCCAAATTGAATCATGGAAAACTTCCAGCTGAACTGGTGGGGACAGAAGTATAGGGCATCTAAAGAGCTATCTGCTTGCACATTTAAAGTGAAGGGTGACACGGCATGATCTGGCAAGTCAGATATTATATTAACATAATAGATTGAAAATAGTATGTATACTTGGGATGGTTAATTTTATGTGTCAGTTTAGCTAGGCCACGGGGTGCCCAGATATTTGGTTAAACGTTAATCTTCTGTGTCTGTGACAGTGTTTTTTGATGAGGTTAATGCTTGAATAGGCAGACTGAGTAAAGCAAACTGCCTTCCATAATATGGGTGGGCCTCATCCTATCCTTTGAAGACAACATGAATAAAACAAAAAGACTCCGTAAGGGGGAACTCCTCCTGCCTGACTGCTTTGAGATGGGACACCAGTTTCTTTCTGGCTTTTGGACTTGAAACTGAAACATTGGCTGTTTTTTTAGTCTCCAGCCTGCTAAGTTTCAGATTGGAAATACATGTCACCTTCCCTGGGTCTCCAGCTTGCCAACTGCAGATCTTGGGATTTCTTGGCCTCCATAATTGCATGAGCCAATTCCTTATAATAAATCTCTTTTAGGATCTCTCTAGTAGGATAAATTGGTATATTGTTGTTTTTTTTTTTTTTTACCTTAAGAAAAACCAATAGCTTAATTTTTCCTCGATATATATTTAGAAAATTGGTCTGAGAAGAGTTTTCATGAAACAGACCAGAGAACTATGTATAAAATTAAGAGTTCTAACCCAGTAAGAAAAAGTGCAAAAATGAAGCACACATTCCCAGGGGCCACTGCAGCCTAGGACCCTCCCATCAGAGGGAAGGCAAGGTCTTTGATGGCTTTTGAGTTCAGCTGAGGGATCATGCTGATCTTCAGGAATTTGTTGCTTGCATACTTATTCTTGATGGCGATGAATTTAGTTAAGTTTTCATTTACTTTCAGCACATTTTTGGCCACGTGCTGCATGACTTCCAATACTTCATTCTGTGTGTATCCTGTATAACACTGCTGCTTTAAGTTCCATTTTCCTTGGCCCAGAACCTTCTGAGACAAGCAGGAAGCAGCTGTTGCTGCCTTAGAAGGATGATAATGCATCATATCGTAGTCAATGAGAGTCAGCTCCATCAAATATTTGGCTAAAGTGTGCTGTTCAACATCAGCCTTCCCGGCTTTTGATGCTTGCCTTAAGAAGTGTAGTGGCAAGGGTCCACCCACCTCAAATTTCAGTTCTTTCAAAATTAGTTTCCATTTCTTGGATTTGGAAACTAGTATAAGCATTGTCTGTGATGTAAACAAAGCCTTCAGTATTTGGAGAAAACATCTCCTCATACTTGGAAGCCAAGAGCAGAGCAGTAATCCAAACTAGTTGAAGCTTCCTCTGGGAAACTGGCTGAACCAGTAAAGATCAATCCATAATGGCAACACACACATACAGAGTCTCCTGAAGAAGCCTAAACTTGGAGTGGATTTGCACCAACCAGTCTACCAGGATGGTATGCTTATGTCCATTTACATCTCATCCACCTAAGACATGTGGGTTTATGAACTGCAAAATCTCCAGCTGCCTGAGGTACTGATAGATACCCTTAAATAGTCACTGCAGAGCTGAGGGTTATTCCAATCTTTGTTATCAATATCCTCAATTTTGTAGAGCAAAGCATCAGAAAAAGCTCGGCAGATGTTCTCTTCTTTCACGGAGGCATCCTCAGGTATGGGAGAAGGACCCTTTGGAGCCAACATTTCCATCTGTACTGTTTCACAGAAGCAGTAGGTTTCAGTTGTTTGTTGACATTTGTTGTTTCCCTGGGTTGAACTGGCACTTTGGTGTTCTGAGCTTTCTTAGCTACTTGTGCTGCTCTGGCTGTAACTCTATTTCCAATTTATTCTAAAATGGAATGCCTAATAGTCACATGACTCTTAGGTTTAGAATTAACTCCTGTCTCTCTGTCTCTGCATATACCCATTTACCCTATTGGTTCTGTCTCTTTGGAGAGTCCTAATAGAATACCTGACAACTAAATGCAATGTGGATCTTGGGACAGAAAGAGGACATTAGTAGAAAAACTGGTGAAATTTAAAAAGAGCCTGGAATTTAGTTAATAGTAATGTACCAGTGTTGGTTTCTTAGTTGTAACAAATGTACCATAGTAATGTAAGATGTTAGCAATAGAGGAAGTTGGTTGAGAGCTCTAGAACGCTCTGTATTATCTTTGCAACCTTTCCATAAACCTAAAATTATTCAAAAATAAAAATTTTGTTTTAAAAAATAGCATGTACCATACAATCTCTCTCTCTGAAACTGCTCCTAATTGTCTAGCTTTCTATTTGTATTTATGGATTCTATTCACCAAATGTTAGTAATCTTTACTTTGGGAAGTAATTTACTTCTTTCTTTGTGCTTTTCTGTATTGTTTGAATTTTAAAAATATATATATATATATATTACTAAAATAGTGAAGTCATTTTTTAAAACATTGGAGGCTGTTTTGAAAAGATGACTTCTAAAAATCTTCCAGAAAACTCTATGATCTTTGATTTGGTGTTATTTTTTTAATAGCACTGTCTCACCTATAACATTCTCCTTAGGCACCCAAAAATGATTTTATGATGAGGCTCCAAGATTGATACTCTGTGGCAGGACTTGAAAAATGACCAGGTTGTGTTACCATAAGAACATGTTCCTGTTTTGTTTTGTTTTCTTTTTTATTTTTCTAGTTCATTAAGGCTGCTATAACAGAATACCATAAACGACAGAAATTTATTTCTTACAGTTCTGGAGGCTGGGAAGGCCAACATCAAGGCACCAGCAGATTCAGTGTCTGGTGAGGGCCTGTTCCCTGGTTTATAGATAGCTGCATTCTCACCCTTACATGGTGGAAGGGGCAAATGAATTATCTGGGGTCTCTTATTCATAAGGACACTAATCCCCTTCATGAGGGCTCTTACCTCATGGCCTAATCACCTCTCAAAGGCCATGTCTCCTGATACCATCACATTGTGGGTTAGGATTTCAACATAAGAATGGGGTTGGGTGGGGAAGCAAACATTCTTTAAATAGCACCGACCCATACATAGCTTAATGGTTTATGTCAGTGTGTTACTATAGCTATTTGCTGGCGATAAGCATCGTAAGGAAATGAAAGGCTTTTGGTTGCAATTCTCCTGTGGTTCTGTCCAGTGAAGCAATGAGTCAGGGATTTTTATCTCCAAATCAAAGCAGAGCTCACCTTTTAGTAATTGGAGGAATTAAAAGAACAAATTTCCTAAATGTTCTATGTTCTAGTACAAATAAAATTTTTTAATACTCTGTTTATCCTCATATCTTCTATTTTCTTTGTTCTCTTCATCTTGTCTCTATGTCTCCTGATGTCCAACCTCTCTCTTTTGATCCTTTTTTCTTTTGAGTCAGGGTCTCACTCTGTCACCCAGGCTGGAGTGCAGTGACGACATGATGGCTTACTGTGACCTCAACCTCCTGGACTCAAGCCATCCTCCCACCTCAGCCTCCCAAGCAGCTGGTACCACAGGCACACACCACTAAGCCCAGCTAATTTTTTTATTTTTTGTAGAGACATTGTTCTGCCCTGTTGCCCAGGCTGGTCCAGAACTCCTCTAGGCTCAAATGATTCTCCTGTCTTGGCCTCCCAAAGTGCTGTGGTTACAGGAATGAGACACTGCGCCCAGCCTCCTTTGACTTAAAATATTAGGTCTATTGTAAATTCTCAAGGGAGCCATTTTTTTCTTTTTCCACTCTAATACTGTGAATTCTTTGCGGATGGAGAGACTGTTCTCTTCATTTCTGTTTCCCTTCACCTAGCACAGTCCTCACCCATCAAATCATGGAGGATTGTAGCCACAGCTGCAAATGGAACCCTGGAGTTTTCCAGTTCCTCCTACTCATTCAAGTTCTATGTCTCCCTTCTTCCCTTTGTTTTTCTTTCTCAGGTCCTTTTTCTTCTTGTAATGTAGTTATAGGCTTATCGCCTGTATTCTGTGCCTTCTGAATGTCCAGGCTCTAAGGTCATTCTGCTGATTATATGAGGCCAGGTCTTCCCTTTAACTTGTGCTTCTGTAAGGTAATAATCTAAGCTATACCAGTGGTTCTTAAACTCTAGCAGGCATTAGAATCACCTGGAGAGCTTGCTAAAACAGACTGCTGGGCCCACTCCTAGAGTTTCTTAATTAGTAGGTCTGGGATGGCACTGGAGAATTTGCATTTTTAACAAGTTTCTAGTAGATGCTGATGCAAATACTGATGCTGCTAGTCCAGGGACTACACTTCGTACATCGTGGATCTACATTCTACAGAATCATTGGCTGGGCTAGCTCCTCCTTTGCAAGGAGGCAAAAAGAAATGCAGATGTTCAGTGTCTAGAACTTATCCATAAAGTAAAAATAATAGGAAGAATATACATGTTTTATTTTAAACCCAAGATATAAAGGCGTTTTTTCCCTTATAATGATTATTCTTCAAATCATCTCTATACACCATAAGTAAAGTTAAAAGTGCTAAAGGAGGAAAAACTATTGATATTTCTATCAGAACACATAAAAAGGTTAATTATGGCATGCACGTCTTAAAGATCTCCTTGCCATCTGAGCCATCTCCAGAAATACTTGCCATAGAACAGAAATAGAAATGATTATATGAGTAAATTATCACCCACACTCCTCGCATGCATCATTTCATACCACAAGCCTTTTCTCTTTTCAAGGAATAATGGTTTTACATTTTACTTTGTGATGGCACTCTAATTGCTAAATATAATAGGGGCATTATGCTACAAAGTTAAAAGACTCCAAGTGAAAAGATAAGTCAAATATAGTAATTTCACACAGCCAATGATTCTTCAAAGTATGCTTCTCTTTTTTTCCAGCTGTCTCCCAATTGTGAACTCTCACAGACTCATGAAAATTGAATACTAAGGCAGAGAAAAGCTAACAGGGATCCTAGAATATTTCTAGTCCAGGAGTCTGTAACTATGATCTACTGGCCAAATCTGGCCCACCACCTGTTTTCATAAATAAAATTTTATTGGAAAATAGGCATGCCCATTTTTATTGAGAAACAGCCGTACCCGTTGTTTACATATTCTGTGTGGCTGCTTTCGCACTATAATAACAGAGTTAAATAGTTGCAACACAGACCATGTGGTCCAAAGCTGAAAATATTTACTATCTTGACCTTTACCAAAAAAGTTTACTGACTCCTGCTGTAGTTCCAGCTACTCACTGGACAGATTAGAAACCTGTCTAGAGGGAGAGAGTTGGGGAGGGCAGGAGAGAATGGAGGGAGAGGTAGCTCAGGTTTCCACATTCAAATAGAAACAGGATTGCAGAATGTGAGGCTTCTCCCTAAGCAACTCCTGTAAGAGCTTTGGTCCACTGAAAGCCAGTCACAGCTGCCCTTCATGTATTAGTAGAGAAGGGGACACTGGAGTAAGTTTGTATCTCGTTATAATTTTCAAAGAACCTCTTCAAATGTCCACCCCAAAAAGAAGAGCAGTGAGACAGAAGTGTGCTTTGATGTTAGTCCAAAGTGTTATTTATGGCATTTATTTGCACACGTATACAAAAACACATTAGCAGCCTAACCTTTGGGGCTCATTTCTAATAATGAAAAAGTCCTTTTTCATTGATGAGGAAATCATTAGGATCATCTTGTCTTTCAGAAAGTATACTAGCATTCTGTCATGTAGTATTCTCCATAGTGCCCAAAGCTTTCAGGAGAATATGCCTTATAGTGGGAATTCTTATTTCTTCAAGTTATTAGTCACTAAATTGACAAAAGTATGTGAGTGTGTGTGTGTGTATGTTTACATTGCTATTTTACATAATTTATATATCCACGTCTAAAATAAAATGATATAGTGGTGCTAGGTGTTCCCTAATCTCTCTCATTTATATGTTAAAAATATATCTATTCTGTAAATGAACAGAAGCCCCAATTCCATGGTTTCAGGTAAGTGCAAAGATATTTACAATGAGTTAAAATGGAGTATTGTCACAAAAAAGGACCGTTATTTTATTTGGTCATTCATCAGTTCTTTATTGGGTACCTCTTCTGTGCCAGGAACCCACTGTACTGACATGATACGCACCAAGAGGCTAAGAGGATCTCGTAATCTGATGGGGTGATGGGGGAGGTCACATGCAATACAATGTCTGCAAGTTCTGCCTTGGAGAGAGCCCTGGAAGAGACATTTGAGTGAAGTCCAAAAGATGAATAAGGGCTTGCCATGCAGATATGCACATGCTAGGGAAATGAAATTCACTTTTAATGTTAATTCTCCTGGGAGATGTTCTTGACTCCTTAGTCCAAACCCCTTAATATCCCTATTCTGTGTTCCTATAGCATCTATCTATCACAGGACTTTTCTGTCTGCCTGGCATTCAGTAGGTGTTTAGCAAATGAATGAATAATAAGTGAGTGAGTGAACACATGGAGTGAGTGAATTATGAGTATACAAAAGTCAGAGGTGTGAACCACTATGGCCTATTCTTGGAACTGCATATATGGCTAGAAGATAGGGCATGGGGAAGGAGGGACAGATGTACCGGGATATGAGGCTGGAGAGGTAGGTCAGGGTAAGATTGTGGAGGACCCTATATGCCAATCTAAGAATTGAATTGTATTTATTATTTCAGCAATTTCATGTTGGCCCCCATTCTGTGCCAATCCTGTGTTAGGCTCTGGAGACACAAGATTCAGCCCTTCCCCTTGTAGACCTTACTGTTTCACTGAAGCTACATATATATATATATATATATATATATATATATATATATATATATATATATATATATTTTGTTTGTTTGTTTGTTTGTTTCAGAGACAGAGTTTCGCTCTTGTTGCCCAGGCTGGAGTGCAATGGTGTGATCTTGGCTCACCACAACCTCTGCCTCCTGGGTTCAAGTGATTCTCCTGCCTCACCCTCCCGAGTAGCTGGGATTACAGGCATGCGCCACCATGCCCGGCTAATTTTGTATTTTTAGTAGAGACGAGGTTTCTCCATGTTGGTCAGGCTGGTCTCAAACTCCCGACCTCAGGTGATCTGCCCGCCTCAGCCTCCCAAAGTGCTGGGATTAAAGGCATGAGCCACGGCGCCTGGCCACTGAAGCAATATTAATTGTGGATAGGATATGGGCCCTGGATGTAGACTGCCTGGGTTTTAGTTTTAATTTACTCCATACTAGCTGTGTGGCCTTCAATTTCTCAATGCTTCGGTTTCCTTATCTTTAAAATTGGAGTAATAATAGAACCTACCTCATAGTTACTGTTGTGATTAAAATGAGATAATATGTGTGAAACTTCCTGGCACATAGAAAGTACCCAACAAATATTAAGCACTCTTTTTACTGGGGAAAATGGACATTAAACAAGTAATTAAAAGTGTGATGGGGAATTGCAGAAGATGAGGCCCATAGTGCAAAGACAATGTAATGGTGGCAGGTGGTGGTGTGCTGTGGAAATGATCTGGAGATTCAAAGAAGTACTCTCTAATGGAAGAATGGGTGGAAATGAGACTGGAAAGGAGGCAGCAGCCAGCTCATGGAGAGGGTCAGGGTCAGATTTTGGACTTCATTCCAGGGTCATTGAGAGCCACTGAAGAGATTAAGCATGGGTATGACAAAATCAGAGTTGTGAATTTTTTTGTTTTTGAGACAGGATCTCTTTCTGCCACCCATGC
Source organism: Homo sapiens (assembly GCF_000001405.40). Taxonomy (NCBI): domain Eukaryota; kingdom Metazoa; phylum Chordata; class Mammalia; order Primates; family Hominidae; genus Homo; species Homo sapiens. Next base: position 7,916,189 of record NC_000007.14, read on the forward strand.
TGGAGTGCATTGGCATGATTAAAGTTCTCTGTAGCCTTGATCTCCTGGGCTCAAGCAGTCCTCCTGCGTCAGCCACTTAAGTAGCTGGGACTTCAGGTGCATGCCACTGCACTTGGCTAATTTTTTTATTTTTTTGGAGAGATGATATCTTGCTGTGTTGCTCAGGCTGGTCTTGAACTCCTGAGCTCAAGCAATCCTCCTGCCTTGACCTTCCAGAGTGCTAGAATTACAGATGTGAGCCACCATGCTTGGCCCAGAGTTGTGCTGTTAATAGATGAAGAGAAGTGGACAGATGTAAGAGATTGCAGGAATCGAATTGACAGGAATTGGTGATTGATTGACTATAAGATGAGAGGGGAAAAAAAAGAATGTAAGATGACTCCCAAATTTCTGGATTGAGCCATTGAATTAATAGTGTGCCATTTACTCAGGATCTATGAAAGGAGGAGCAGACTTTCAGGGGCCGTTGAAGTTGAACTGCCAGTGCAGACGGTGATGGAGCTTAGAATATAAATGGGCATGGAACCTGGATGTGGATGAGATTGTCAAGGAAAACATTTAACAAGAAAAGACAACCAAGATGGAATTCCGGGTGTAGAAGAAAACCCCAGAGTAGACTGAGCAGGAGTACTCAAAGAAGTTGGTTAAAAACTAGGAGATGGTGATATGACAGAAACCAAGGGAGGAGAAAGGAGGGCATGGTCAACATTATCCAATGCTGCTTCATTTTTTAATAAGGATTAAAAATCGCCCACTGGATTTGGCAATTAGATCTCTTATCAGGGTCATTTAAAACTCTTCTAGATCCTGAACACAGTGGTTTCTGAGGATCCAACCACATATTACAGCAAACATTAAAATGCACCAAACTCCATATTAAATTTATGTCATAAAAATTTAGGAGATTAACCTTTTTCCCTTTGAAATTATTACAAATTAAAATGTTCTATTTTCTTCTGTATTTGAGTCAGTCAATTTTTAATTTTTCTAAAATGTTTTTCTAAACATTTTTTTTCAAACATTTTATAGGTTCTTGAAAATGTGGAGGACCTAGGCTGTCATAAATAGTGACCATATTCAGGCTGGGCACGGTGGCTCATGCCTTTAATCCCAGCACTTTGGGAGGCCAAGGTGGGCAGATCGCTTGAGGTCAGGAGTTCGAGACCAGTCTGGTCAACATGGTGAAACCTTGTCTCTACTAAGAATACAAAAAATTAGCCAGGCGTAGTGGGGGCTGCCTGTAACTCCAGCTACTCGGGAGGCTGTCTGGAGAATCTCTTGAACCCAGGAAGAACAGCCTGCAGTGAGCCGAGATCACACCACTGCACTACAGCCTGGGCAATAGAGCCAGACTCTGTCTCAAAAATAAAATAAACAAAACAGATAGACCCACATTCAGAGAAGGCTACAGGGGCCATGGAGTGAATGAGTGATGGAGCCAAGACAGTTAAGTATGAACTTCTCTTTCCCAGACATAGCAAAGAAAGGAAAGAAAGAGATGGAGAGAGCAAAGAAGGCCGTAAAATCCAGGTAGAACATGATTTATTTAAGATTGGAGTTTTTCACATGGCTTAGAAGAAAAATGTAGCAAAAAAAATTGATGACTCAGGAGGGAGTAGTAATATTTGATCAAAATGCTGCTTAAGGAGACAAGAAGAACAGATCCAGAACATAGGTAGGATTCACCTTCTTTAATGTCCCTCTTTGTCTGAATCCAGATGGAAGGAGGTGTAAGAACAGGTGGTGGATAGGTGCTCACATCCTATAGCTATCATTAATAATGAAATGTTAAAATCACAACTCTCTCAAGTAACTGCCACCACCATTTGGCATTGTTCTTCTAAAGATCGGAGACTACAATAATGGCAGCAAAAGGTCCCAGCAGTTAACAACTCTGTTTCATAAATAATTTCAAACTACTCTGTGATGCAGAGTGCTGTGTAGATGCCTGTTGGGGTTTGGCCCCTGATTCCTTTATGAGCCAAGAAGAGTCAATGTACTCTCTCTATAATAGATGTTGGCAGTAAAATGCCCACCTGTGTCAAGCAAATTGATTTGTCAAAAGCACCATCTGATAAATTTGTCGATTTACAGAGAAGGCAGGAGCTTTATGGGAAGTGCATTAACTCTTTGGGGCCCTTGGGGCAACAGAACTAAATCATTGCTGCAGTACTAAATGATTTCTCTAATGGCCCCAAAAGTAAATGCGTCCCCCAAAATCTCAGATGTTCCCAGGTGGTCATTCACCCTCTGAGACTTAAAATGATTACAAATACTTTTCAAGAGCTATATCGGTGGCCCAGTTCTCACTTTGCAGATAGGGGAACTGAAGTTCATTCTAGGCCAGTTAGTAACAGTTTAGAGTAGATACTAGCCAGCTTAAGTGGCCAGCTAATAATTAGCATTGCTGCTCTGACACCAATAGATATTCCAGTGATCATCTCAGTAAATATTTGTCATTTGAAGTGTAACTGCTCACAGTAAAAATACTCCATATTCATTCCCACAGAGTAGACAATTAGCTCCAATAAGATTGACTTATTGAATGTCCTTTTGCAAAAATTTTATTTTAGTTGTGGCTTTTTTTGTTGTTGTTAGATGGTTGTCAATTGTAGAAATAGAAATGAAAACTCAATAAAGAAGATAGGAAAACTTTGTGATAGATGCTGGAAGTAGGTCTCAAATTTCATGAGCAAGTTTATTAAGCTCATACACTGAAGACATTGGGTCATCTTTGGAGGTGTTGCTTAACAAGCCATGAGTGTTTCAGAGCTGAAGGGGGCCTTGAAAGCCTTAACTCAAGAGTGCTTATTTTACAAATGAAAAAATTGTCTCTAAAGTGGCCCAGCCAGGCCTTTTGCCTTAAGCTTGCAAAGTGAGAAAACCTGTTTACATAAAGACAACACAGAATGGGGGTCAGGGACTCCCAAGACTTGAAGACTAGTGGCCACAGAAAGGGGGAGAAAGCATTGTACATGGTTATTATTATTATCCAGATTGATTGTAAAAAGGCCCACCAATTCTTGGGCCTCTTCCCTCAAAAGGAAAAGACAACACATACACACACATGCACACATACACACACACACACACACTCACCTACACACATAAAGCAAAATTAGTTACCAAATGATAAGCATGTAAAACTTGAGGCAAAGAAGTTCTATTCTGGGCTTATCCACCTCTAACCTCAAAGCTTACTTGCATGGCTAACAGCTTTTAGGAACTTCATGACCAGATACTCAATTGTAAATTTCTCTAGAAAGAAAAAAATAAAAGCTACAATAACAAAATGTACTCTGTAAGCACAGTTGAACCTTGAATATTTTTGATGTTGCTTCCCAGTGTATTATGAATGTGTTATTATAAGGTTTACATAGAAGAGCAATGATCTGTGTAATTTCTTGCCTAAAATGGTAGTCTTTTGGTCAGTTGACCAAGAATGAGAACAGCTTAGGGTTCTGGGATTGCATGGAATGAGACATTGGTTTTGTTTGTTTCGTTTTATCTTGTCATTGGCGATTAGATTTAGGACATAAGTGCCAAAATAGGCCATTTTAATCAACATTGGGACTTCCCTGTTAAAATCTTGGCTGAGTTCAGTGAGTTTCACAAACACATAAAAAGCAAGCTTAAATACTGGCAGAGGGTGGCCTGAAAAGGAAATTCAGCTTTCTTGCTGAATATTATTATTAATCAAAATAAGTATAAGGATCAAATAATTATAATTGCATTAAACTCTTTGGGGACTTGAGACTTCTGTCATTTCTATAAACTAAGAATAGCTATTATTGAATTCACTTATGAATCACAATTCCTTACACTTATTTGTCATCTTACACATCACAAAATGCTTTCACCTGTTATGATTTGGTTTGATGTTCACAGTGCAAATGTGCAGGACAGGTATTATTAGCCCCGTTTAATAGATGAGTGAGTTGAACTTACGAATGGTCAAGAGCTCTTTCCATAGGCAACATTGCCTCTAAGATCCTCTTAGCTGTCCCTTTGTGATGAATAATCACTTCTTTGCTCAAGGAAGAACTAGGCCTTCAAAGGTTGCTGTCATTTTATATAAATGTTGACTGAAGGTGTGCACAACCTGACCTGGAAATACAAGAAGTATGTCATTGACATATCTTTATGATATTCAAGCAGGTTACCTTTTTTCTACCAATAATAATTGAAATAAATTAAAGAGAGTACAGATTAAACATATGTTTTCAATTGATGGTGGGAATGTAAAGAGGCTCTTAATGAATTTGTTAACGGCTGTTTCCATTTTGCTCAATGCTCGGTTATCAATGCCAATGAGTTTTGGACTTTGATCATAATAACATTTACCTGTTTCTTTAAAAGCTGTTTTTTTTTTCATACTGAAGGTTACCCTAGTTGCATAGTGCACTTTTGCCAGCCTGATGACGCTTCTGAATGCCTCCAGACCAGTGCTCCCTAAGAATCTGTAAACTATTCTTTTCATGCCAGCTGTTGTGCTCCTTTTATTCCCCCAATTTGCATATGGTGCTTTACTGAACAAGAGAGTTTTTCTTTCGGTTTCACCCAATGCAGGTGTGCAGTCATTCTGTGAGAGCTTTTGTAATTGGCTATGTAAATTATCTCTCAGGTCCAAGGGCCAAAAATATAGTTTTTCATAAAGACAATAAAAAACCACAATATTTATATTTTATTTTTTTTCAGTCTTCTGAGAAAATCTTTCTGCCAGTAGCAACATCACAAACGGCATCAGTCATTGTGGGAAGAGTTGGCAATTATTTTTCTAGCTGGTGTAGGTTCGTAGAAAACAAAAATTTTCAAAAACCATAAATACGTAATAAAATGTATTGGCTTACTTTGCTTTCTGGAAAAGCCCACCAAAATTTCTTTTTTGTATTTACTTTTAAAATCTTCCCAGATACTTAAGAATTCCTGGACTCTATATCCTCTCAGCCACTGTTTTTTATTTTCTCCTGCAGTCATTTTCTATAATATGCACTTATCTCAGACTCAGAACACCAAACTGAAATAGGTGGAAAATTTTTCTTTTTTCCTCAGTTATATTTATGTGTACGGATGCTAATTGGGGTAAAATGAAGGTACTGTGAATCTTCAGACATTATAGAAGATCTGGGCTTGTCAAAATTTAAGTGCCCTTAACCTTTATTAAGTATTGTAACCAGAAGTCCTACAGATATATAAAAGGTCAAATATTTATCATGTGTACAAATCTGACCCCAATAATAATAGATTATTTATCCTACAGCTCTTTTAAAATGTCAAAAATCATATCACATCTCATATAAAGAAAATATGTGATTTTCATGAAAACTAATTTCATTAATTATTCAGATGTCACTAGCCACCAAATTTTAGATGATTTTGGACTTAATTCCTTCTCAATAAACATAAAATAAATTAAACTTTTATTGATATGAACTATTGCTTTACTCCAAATTTTCACAGTCCTTAAATAAAAATATAAAGCAGGAACTCAGACATTTTCGCCAAATGGCTCCTTTCACCCTTAAGCTTTGTTCAAAGTTTTGGCCAATTCTATGAAAGCCCCAAAAAATAAAAAATAAAAACTTTCTCTGCTCTGTCCTTAAAAACTTAGTTTCCAAGTTAAAGTTTATAATCACGTTAAAGTCACTTGACTTTTAATGTTTACATTTTATAGAAAGAAAAAGGAGTATTTGAGTTGGCTTCTAGTAGGTTCCAAATGAGGCAGAGTAGAGCCTTAAATTTCTTGTAATGATCAGAAGGCAATGCATCCTTTTTATTATGTGGTAATCTGTTGGCTGAGTTCAGATTGCCAACCTCTCTGTACCCTGCTTTGGTTGACTAGTTGGCTCACTCCTCTGGATGTTACATAATAGCCTGTGCTGGTAGAGAAGGGGACTCAGACACCAACTTTAGGCTCAGACTGACTTGAGAGAGCCATAGTCTCAATTGGCTTTGCAGAAAAAAAGTCATGTTGTACCATAGACATGAGCAGTTTTTCTAAATTCTGTCATTTTAAATATGTCTTCTGGTCACTTCTCTTAGTTCTCTATTGATCAGGCCACTGGAGAAACATAAGGATTTTTACAAAGTGTTTGTCTTTCCAGGAGACCGCATTCCGGATATGAAAGTATCTAATCCCCACACACTTTCCTAAAGATGGTGCTAAGTCATCTTCCCTCACTCATTCTTGCTGGAGCTCACTCCCATGTTCCTTTTGTAGGTGGCATCTATTTCTTATCCACTGTAAATTGTGCCAACCTGCTTTCTTCAGCAGATTGTTGGTGCTAAATAAATGGTGTGATTTGTAGTAATAATGGTGATGATAATGACTCTTAAAACACCTAACTAATCCCAGTGAACTCTCAGTGATGTTTAGGCTGTGGAACACATGGTTGACTAACAGTGATAATGACTGAAAACGAGGTGATAAATTGCTATGCAGATTGTTGATGGCCTATAATTGCCTTAAAAGGGGGATATTTTATAACAGACTAATCCCATTTAAATAAATGTGTGTGTAGCATTTTAGATATATAGGACTGTATCTGTATTTTTTAATAATAACCAGCTCCCTAAAATACAAGATGCAAAACAACTTAGATAAACACTCCTTAGGTCAAGGGCCATGGGAGGTAAGAATTAAGGTTGTGTTTGCTCTTTCTTGAGTGTTGCATTGTTCCTGGGTCGGTAAGCATAACTTTAGAGACTCCACCAATATAAACACGAAACTACCTAGTTATGAGCCTGTGTTTACACAGTCCGGATCAAAAGCACAGACACTCAGGTTCATTTGCATTTGCTGCCAAAAATGTCCTAATTCTTCTTTTGAAAAGGAGCAATAATTCATATTTTGATGCCATTTACTCCCAAGGTTAATTTATATTTACAAATTTTATAACAGGCCTCATGTTCTTTACCATGTTGCCAGCACTTTCTTTTCTTTTGAGTTGCATTGTTCTTTTCTAAGGAACTGATTGTGTGGCAGATCGTCGGATCATTGCAGGGAGCACAGATGAAAAGCCTGTTATTCCAAAGGATTAAATTGCAATTCTTAGTGAACCATTGCCAAGCGATTTTTTTTTTTTTTTTTTTTTTTTACAAACCCGAGGAGGATTGGAAATAGGAAATGTTATGCCTTGAAAAGGGGTGGGAATGGTTGAATGGATGAGGAAGGACAATCATCCTAGTAAGTGTTATTAAATTCTCTTCAAGTAAAATCATGGAGCAAATAAATGATAAAATCTGTAAAATATCCAAATGGTCAGGAATAATAAGTAACTGAGTTTGTAAAGAAGTAATAATATCATGGGATAGATTTTGATTGAATCTATCCCATGATTCAGTAAAAATTTACTCCTGATTTTTATTGAATGTAGCATGTAGCATTAATACACAAAAATAATTAAAATTCCAGCTTTACTTTAGCATTTTCAGGGTTCAAGGACTATGGGGGCAGAGGACCTAAGATTTGCAAATCACTTCAATACGACCTCTTTGGGGAAGGATAGAATGTAGTAGGAAAAAAACAATGAAAGGGAATCTCTATCTTGGAGCATGATAACTGAGCACATTCCCCAAAATCTGACCTGAAATTAGGAAGAGAAATTAGTTCCGTTTGAGGTTCTAAACACCAGGAAAGTTTCATATAACCTGAGAGGGGACAGGATAAGTAAATTTTGGAAAGAAAACACCATAAAGAAGAGATGTTTCAAAATTCAATTCTGAAATATGTTAATGAACTCAGAGGAAGATAAAGGATTTAAATGCCCAATGTAATGGAGAAATTAGAGTAAGGAGGAAAGAAACTGACAATTTACCGTGTGCTCTTTGCAACAGGCAGCCTACAGGATGCCATTGTGGTTTCTGTTTGTGTATTACTCTGAGAATCAAGAACAAACTCCACATGAAATGCTGTAATAAAGAGTTGAAAAATATGCACTGAAAGTATACCATGTTTCAGGCACATATCAAGCATGATGGTACATGCTTGGGATTAAAAAGATGGATGAGATACAATACCTGCACTCTAAAAGTTCATAGTATTTGGGAGAAAAGAGAGACATACAAGAGGATGATTGCAGTCAAAACATTGGAGCAGATGCTACAAGGATATGTAATACAAATGAAGTTCAAGAATCACAACTTGCTTTGCCTGGGAAAATCAATAAATGCATTGAAAAAGGGGTAGTGTTTGAGTTGGGTCCTGGAGGATGAGTAGTTCTTCAGGCACAAAGAAGACAGATGCAAAGGATAAGGTGCATGCAGTGTGATAAGTTCAGAGTTGCCTGGGTTGAAGGAGTCAGCAGGAGAGGAGTTTGGAGGTTGGTGGGGTTAGGCTATTGAGGGCCTTTTGTAGTTGCTGAGGGGTTTAACTTTAACCAGTTAGGTGCAAGACAGTGTTACCAGCTTTAAAACAAGAGAATGATCCAATCAAATGTGTGTCTCAGAACAGAAGCTCTGGCAGGGAGGGATAGGATGAGGCTGAAGTCTGCAGGTAGCAGTCAGGAGGCAGTTGCAGCAGGGACAAAGGGGAGATGAGAGATCAGATTCCATAGATAGTTTGGAGATGATATGAGTAGATCTTTGGGAGATATTAAATGTTAGGAGTGAGGAAAAGGAAAAGTTGAAGGGGTTTGCAGCTCCTAAGGTTGTGATACCACTAACTGAAATAAAGAACACTGCAAAAGGAATACATCATTTATGTCTACAGCAGGGCAGTATGGGGGGTGGCATGCAGGGAAGGCTAGCAGATAGGTTGTTAAAATCCTGCCTGTGTAGTGGAGAAGACTACAGCTTGGAGAGAACCAACCAGAACAGTGTTCTTACCCTGCCCCACCCTATTGTGTCCCTGAGGAGAATCATGGGTCAAGAAACATTTGATTGGAATTTTGCTAATTTTTTATCTATTAAAAATGCTATTTATTTTTATTGATTTATTTATTTGTTTTTTTGAGATGGAGTTTCGCTCTCGTTGCCCACCCAGGCTGGAGTACAATGGTGTGATCTCGGCTCACCACAACCTCAGCCTCCTGAGTAGCTGGAGTTACAGGCATGCACCACCACACCACGCCTGGCTGATTTTGTATTTTTAGTAGAGATGGGGTTTCTCCATGTTGATCAGGCTGGTCTCAAACTCCTGACCTCAGGTGATCCGCCCACCTCAGTCTCCCAAAGTGCTGGGATTATAGGCATGGGCCACTGCACCTGGCCACAAAATGCTATTTTTAAAACAGGCACATTCAAGCCTGCCATGTACTGAATATTATTACAATAGAGACCAACAACATGCCAACTCGTCTCAGACTAACCTAGAATGTGGCTCTCAGAACAAATGAAGTTCCCTCTCATTACTTATAAATGGAATAGTGTCCTGATATTACAAGGCAACTTGTTTAAAAACTCATATTTTTACCATTTCCAACAGCTTATTTTTGTTGTCAAGAAAATCTCAATACTATGCAACTAGTAAGAAATCACAGAAATATCAAAACAGTCTTACTTTTCCAATTCATTGATATGCATAAATATGATAAATTTAAACTAATGAAATGTTTATGAAATATTCTTATTTATTTCTCATAGTCTATCTGATATATTAATAGTTTGGATATTTGTTGCTGCCCAAATCTCATGTTGAAATATAATCCCCAATGTTGGAGGTGGGGCCTGGTGGGAGCTGTTTGGGTCATGGGGGCACATCCCTCATGGCTTGGTGCTGTCTGCGTGGTAGTGAGTGTGTTCTTTCTGGGCCCATTCCCTCTCTGCTCCTGCTTTCACCATGTGACATGCCTGCTCCCAATTTGCCTTCTGCTTTGAGTAAAAGCTCCCTGAGGCCCCCCTCAGAAGCCAGGCAGGTGCCATCACAATGCCTCCTGTACAGTTTGCAGAATCATGAGCTAATTACGTCTCTTTTCTTTATAAATAACCCCGCCTCCGGTATTTCTTTATTTCAACACGAGAACGGCCTTACACACCATCGTATATGGATTGTGATTATTCATAAGATTTCTTTGGGTTCTACTTCTTAAAAAGTTTTAAAAACACTGAATATAAAGTATATATTACATTTATTTCTCCTGAAATTTATTTCTCAGATTGTTAATCAGGTCTTCAATTTTTGGACTCATTTAAAATTCTAAAATTGTTCTTTTGCTCTTTTCACACACATATCCATATTCTTCTTCTGGCTCGCCACTTCTCCTTCTGAGCTTGGGATTTATGCAAGACAATAACGGGAACAATCTGATATGGCAGCATAATAACCAACCAAAATATGTCTTTTCTGTTTTTCATTTTGCTTGATCATGACAACATCAAAATGCAAGAATGGGTGAACTGTTTTGAAGTCTAGGTTTTGAAAACACTTGTTTGCTGGTGTGGATGTGTGTGCATTTTTATATTTAACATTAATAGCAGCTTTCTCTGTCATTTTTACACTTTCGTTTCAAAAACAGTGGCCTGGACAGATCCTGGCAAAATACATTACGTGGTTATGGTAGCAGCTAAAATGTTTGTGGAAGAATAAAAATGTACATTAATACAATTTACACTTATTTTATTAGTTTATGTAATCTTATATGAGCAAGAATCAACTCTTCTGTTGTATATAACTTTTTAATATGTTATTTGAACTTCATCAACAGCTTCTTGATTGGGTCTCAAGCATTAATCAGGCCCCTCACAAGTACTATGCGAGGCTTAAACATCTTGCATCCATCATAAAGAATAAGTAGGACCATAATGACTAATCACATTAGCATAATTTAAAAATGCAGAGCGTGAATAGCTTTTTTCCCCAAGATTTGTAGTAAAAACATATGCACAATAAGACTGAAATGATTCATTACACCATTGACTTGTTTATATTATAACATATTTATGTGCCCGGCAGAATGAAACCATAAAACTGCCATTAATGAGTACAGGAAAGAGGTTCTGTTTTTAACTAAATTACATGAATTCATAATGAATACATTTTAAAAAAATTATTTTAAGGAAGGGATCTTGCTATCATGTTGTGTCCTTTTGGGACATTACAAAACCCATTCTCATCATAGATCTTTTTTGTCATCTACACTTTGCACTTTTCACTTAGGCTATAAGTAAATTTAGCAATTTATGAACAAGTTTCTGCCCTTAAAGCCAAACAATAAGTTGCAGGTGGAGTCACTTCGTATTGCAGAAGCAAACAGCTAAAGGAAAATGTATTCTTAGGGGAAAAAACAAGAACAAAAACACCTTTTTCTTTGTAGCCACTTACAAATAAAAAAAATCTTGCCACCCCAATGGATATGAGTTCACTGGTCCCCTCTCGGAACTTTGGGATGTCTGCTTTAGGATTGAATTTGTCTGCTAAATACTATTTATTGAGTGTCAGGCACTGAGCAAGATGCTTCAGAGGCAACAATGAAAAATGACAAACATAGTAGTGACTTAATTGCCATTGCCTTACCATCTGGTAAGAAAAGCAGAAAGAGAAACAGACATTTAAATTATAGTATAAAGATTTTATCATGGAAGAACAAGCAAGGCGTCCAGGTGCAAGGACAGTGTTGATACCTGAAGGTAAGCAGGAGTTTGCCATGTGAAAGGGCATGAGGGTTAAACAGAATTATTCCAGGCAGAGGGTAGTATTCTATGTGGAATGTTTAGGGAACCGAGAATAGTCATTATCAAATAATTGTTGAATACATGTTGACTGCATATAGCTAAACCATAAATCCCAAGAAAAAATATAGCAAGAGATGAAGCTAGACAGTATTCAGGGGTCCAGATTTATTCACTTAACCATATTCAGGAGCTAGGGAAATATCAGTGTGCAAGATAGACATGGTATTTTCTCTCAGGGAGCTTATTGTTTAGTTGGGGAAACAGATAAAAATAATCACAATAATAATGTCAAATTGTAATGAATGCAATGAAGAAAACAAACAAGTTGCTAAGAGACAATAACAAGAACTTACTTTAAATGGGATCAGGATGATACCTCTGAGGAGGTGAGATTTGAAGAATGAGAAGGAGTCAGATCATGAAAGTCTGGGGAACCTTATTAAGGAGCTATGGCTTTATCTTGAGAGTTACGCATGTTTAAAGATTTTAAATAGGGGAAAGATGTCATCAATTTGCATTTTAGACAAATCACCCTGGCTGCTATGCAGAGTCTGGAGATGAATAAGTCAGGAGGTAGGGAAACAAGTTGGATGGTGTATTTGTCTGTTTCATTGCTATAAACGAATGCCTGAGACTGGGTAATTAATAAAGAAACGAGGTTTATTTGGCTCACAGTTCTGCAGGCTATACAGGCATGGTGCCAGCATCTGTTCAGCTTCTTGTGAAGCCACAGGAAGCTTACAATCATGGTGGAAGGCAAGGGGGAAGCCGGCATATCACATAGTGAGAGACGGAGCAAGAGAGAGAAGGAGGAGGTGCTAGGCTCTTTTAAACAGCCAAATCCCGTGTGAACTCATAGAGTGAGAACTCACCTGTTATGGTGAGGACAGCATAAAGCCATTCATAAGGGATCTACTCCCATGACCCAAACACCTTTCACTACACCCACCTTCAACATTGGAGATCACATTTCAGCATGAGATTTGGGGGGGACAAACATCCAAACTATATCAGATAGCTTTTCCAGGAATCTGGGTGAAAGATAATTTCCTAGTGCTAGAATATTTTAGTCACTGTGGTATTAGGCAGGGATAATATTAAAATACTTAGCTATTTTGGCATAAACATTGATCCATCAGAATGGATGCAAGCCTTAGCACTAGAGCAGAGTCTTCAGGTGTCTGCTAGACCAGGCTGGATGGGGCACGTGGACCCCAGAGGTGGAGCCAGCACAACAGGAGCTTAGGCCAGCAGTTCTTTAAAACAAATATGGACATATTTCAGTATTTTAGCAACAGATGCTGCTATACCAGCCTAAGAATTAGGTATAGAGAGCCAGGGAAATATCCAGGAGATGATTAGGAAACAGAAGGCTTACGTTTTGGTAATGCGAAAGAATGCCAAAGGGAGGAGTTAATGATTAGGCTCTGGTTTCTGCTTGGGAAACCAGGTAAACTCATGTATGTATTTATTCAATCATATTTGCTCAGCACTTTACATTTAAGACATCTATCTGAGAGACTTGCAATATCAAGTGGGCAATTGGATATATGAGTAAGGAAATGGGGGAATGATCTGGGCTGAAAAAGTAAATTTGTGAGTTTCCAGCATAAAGATATCATTTAAAGCTATAGAGTAGATGAAGTCCCCTAGGGAGAGAAGCAATAGAACCCAGGACAGAGTCCTGAGCAACTCCATCATGTAGTTTGTGAAGAGGAGAAGGAGCCTTTGATGATTGACAAGTATTCCTGCTGAAGGAAGGAAATCAGTCTTGAAAGGTTTCAGAAGATGAGTGGAGAGTATTTCCAGAAGGAGGAGTGAGTGGCTGGCTGTGTTGAAAGCTGTGTAGAGATTGAGTAAGAAAGAGAAGACTGGAGTCTCTGAGGGATTTAGCAACATGGAGATCGTCGGTGACCTTGATAAGGACAATTTTAGTAGGTGGTGAGCGCAGAGGTCGGACTATCTAGAGTTGAAGGTAAATGAGCAGTGGAGAAAGAGAGCTGGTGAGTACAAAACAACTTTTTGCGGTGATGTGGGCTTCTTTGATTTTTATTTAGGGGAGGGACTTGAGCAAGTTTAATTGCAAGTGGGGGAGCCATTGAGGTATTTCGATAGATTCTAGGGGTGTACAAACTAGAGCTCCTGTCTATTTTTGTAAGGAAAATTAGAAGACAGCCACCCTCATTCAATTATGTATTGTTTATGACTGCTTTTGTGCTACAAGGGCATAGTTTAATAGTTGTGATAGAGACCTATGGCCCACAAAACAAAAATGTTTACTCTCTGGCTCTTTATAAAAAAAAGATCGCCAATCTCTGGATTAAGCTAAAATATTACGTGCCCTTGCCCATTTAATTTCCCCCAGGAAACCCAAATAAGTACATATGTATATAAATGCATGCATAAGCACATAAACCAAATAAAGAATTTGTTTCCCAAGGCAAAAGTGCGATGGAAATTCTCTCTAGTCAGTTTACCAATTTATCAACAAAAAAGAGAAAAAGACTTTGCTCTTCTGTCGATAATACACTTATAGCTGTTGTTGACAATAGAAATTAGCCTATTGTAGTCACCACTACATACCCAGTACCTGGTGCTGAGCCTGACACATGGTAGGTGTCCAATACATATTGTTTGAATCAAGGAAGGAAAGGTACCAGGTGCTGTACTACATGATTGCTTGGAGCAAGAAGCAGAGGATCTTTCCTAGATTTGGGTAGATAGCGGAGAATTCCCAAGGTAAATGAGCTTATATGGAGCTATCCCAGTGAGGTTTGTGGAACCTGGAATAAATCACATTCCTTTAGAATTAATTTGAGAGGTGAATGGGGGAATGGGTTGGGGAGATGAAGTCAAAGCTCATGTCAAGAGTAAGCTCAATATGGAAACAAAGTCACAAAGAGGCAGTGTGTAGCTTGGCTGCAAGAAAGGGCCATCCCTGCAGCTCTTTATTTGTTGCGGTGAAACAGCAAATAGAGATGAGCCAAATTTATGTATAGTCCAAGCCAACTTATCCCTCAGGAGTGGGACCAGGAGTTGGTCTGTTAAAAAGTAGGTTAAAGCAACAAGTCAAAAAATGCGATTTTCCACAAACATTTTAACTGAAAAAAAAAAAATGTATATGTCATCAGTTTTCCAATCCTTTGACATAGGGGCAAGGCCTTTTCTTTTCTTTCTTTCTTTTTTTTTTTTTTTAATTGAGACAGGGACAGGGTCTCGCTCTGTCACCCAGGCTGGAGTGCAGTGGTGTGATCATAGTTCTCTGCAGCCTCGACCTCCAGGGCTCAAGCGACCCTCCCACTTAGCCCCCCAAGTAGCTGGGACTACAGGCACATGCCACCACATCTGACTAATTTTTAAAATTTTTTGTAGAGATGAGGCTCATTATATTGCCCAGACTGGCCTCAAACTCCTGGGATTAAGTGATTCTCTTGCTTCAGCCTCCCAAAGTGCTGGAATTACAGGCCTGAGTAACCAGACCTGGCCAGCAAGGCCTTTTCTTTGAGCACAGGACATCACAGAACATCACTCTTGAATAAAGCACAACTCCTACATATTAACTAAGATTTAAAGTATGGATTTCTTTAAAGGAGAGTGAGAGCTTATAGAGAAATGGGAAGAAATCTGAGCACAGCATCCTTCTAGATTTTTTTCCACAATCTTTTTGCAGCTGTATTACTCACACTTTGTGATGCTTTCAACTTGTTTTCATAGAAACAGCTCTTTTGCCTTCACATTTTATTGATTTATATAATATTTAATGAAATCACATCATTATTATAATAAAATACAACTATCATAAACAGATTTAGGAAATAAGAACTGCTTCTCAGGGAGCACATAATTCCTATCAGAGAGTAGCCTGCTAATTTTGTTCTGTGTTGGGGAGCATTATGATACAAAGGGAATAGAGACTCACTGATTCTGGTGAGTCCAGGAAGGGAAAGCAGGTTAAGACTGTTGTCGGCAAGGGTGGTACAAGCACGTTACAGGCAACAGCTGGTGCTCCTTGAGTCACTGACAAGCTGCCAGAACAGCTAGGTCCCCTGAATATTGACCTGGGGCAGCTGTACCAAGTCATCCCACTCTAGGGACCTTGGAGTATTGTGTGTTGGAAAGCATGTATTAAGCACTTGCTGTAGCTGCTTCTGGAATACAGTATGTGGAATAATAGCTGAATCCTCCTAACAATGCAACTTTCAGAGAATTGCAACTGATGAGAAACCAGCCTTGCTTATCCTGTAGCAGATTTAGCTTTGGAAAGTATACTTAAAATTCTCCAACTGCTAGATCTAGACAGAGACGGTAAAATCTCAGTAAACTTATTCTGGCAGCTTGTTACATGGTAACTAACAAAGAACACCCAAAATAGTGGGCAGAAATCACTGAACAATGTAAAAATCAGAGTAGTGGTTAATGTATTACCATGAACTGAGACTGGGGAACCCTCTGTTCTCCATCAAATGCCTACCCAGCTTTCTAACTTATTTTGAGCTAAATTTGGGCTGATAAAAATGATTCTATTCTCTACTACCAATATTTTGGAAAATTATTTCCAATAATGTGGAAACGACAGAAATAAGATTGCCCTGTAAAATCAAGACTAGCATTGATGAAAAATAGGTATTCAGCATCTTAAGAAACAGAATATTTCCAATTTAAGAACATTTACAATATTAAATATTCTATATTGAGATATTTAATGGTAGAAGTTGAAGAAGACTAAAAAGTTCAGATACCTTCTTTGACAGATGTGGATATCAAGACCCAGAAAGGTTACATGATTTAGTCAAGGACCCATAGCCAGTTATGAGCTAATCCAGTTACAACCCAAGTCTCTCAGGTCCTAGTCTAATGTTTTCTCATTATAACACCCTCCTTCTACATGAAATCTTCTGATAAGTTGGTGTCCTTAGTGACCTGGCTACTGTAGCTGAGTCATAAATTACCCCATAACTCAATGATGTAACACAACCATTTAGTATGCTCACTGAGTCTGTGCATTACAGATTTCGCACAGGGCACTGTAGCGCTGGCTTGGCCCTGGTCTTCGCTCCAAGGCTGAGGGCTGGGATTATTTGAAGGCTCATTCACATGTCTGCTAGTTGACCCATCTTGGAAGTCACACAGCATGACTTCCACTCTATTCCTTTTTTGTTGAGGCAATCATAAAGGTCCACCCTAGTACAAGGGGATAGACGCCACTTCTTGATGGGAAGTAGCAAGATCCTCGAAGAGCATGTGAGACCAGAAATATTGCTGTGACTACTTTTGGAAATTACAATTTGCTACAATTAGGAATTAAAAGAATTCTTTGCAAGAAGAAAACTAGAGGGAGAAAAGAGGCAGAAGAACAATAACAAATCATACCTGCAGGCTGAGTGTACCTACTCCCATTTCTCTCCCTCTGGGGAACTTCGCAATCTGTGCTTACTGCAAATTGAATAGGAATAAAGCATTTTAACTCAACATGATTGAAGCTTTTATTTCATTTAACTGTCTAGTTTGGTGTGTTGGAAAGTATGTTTATAAGATATATCCCTAGCATAAAAGCCTTCACAATGAGGAAAAAGGGAGAAATTATTTTAATTGAAGAAATTATTTTTTTAAATAGCTTATATACTAGACTATAAAGAAAACATCAATAAATCTCTTAAAATATGAAGTGCACAGACATATTCTCTGACCACAGAATAATAAAACTACAAATAAAAGTACAAATCAGAACAAAACATTTCAACAAAAATTTCCCACCCACTTGAAAATAAAAAAATATACTTCTCCATATCTCTTGGGCATAAAGAGGGAAATATGATTGCAGTTACAGAATATATAGAAAATAAGAATGAGGACACTACAAAAGTCATGGGATGTGACACAAGTTAGATTTAAGTGGCATGTAAACCAGTGAGGAATGAATAAATGACAACACCAGCAGCAGCAATGGCTGACACTTCATGTGTTGGACACTTGGAGCTTTACACGTATAAATTCAGTTACTCCACACAACAACCTATAGGTAGACACTATTATGTTCATTCTCATTTTCCTCTGAGGAGGAAATTGATGTACAGAAGGAATGAGTGATTGGAGCAACACTGTGCAACTAGCCCCTATCATATGCCAGGCAGTGTCCAGGCACTAAGGTTGCCAAGATGACCCAGGCAGGCAAAGTCCATGCTCTTTGACAGCTCCCCATTACTGCTGGGCAGGGCGGGAATTCCTCTTCCCACTGGGCCTCCACAGATACCCTCCTGGCAGGGAGGGGTAGAAGTGCCTCATAACTCCTCTACATGAGGCCTCCACTGATACCAGGGTGAAGAGGTGGCCTCATTTCCACTGGGTCATGGTGAAAACCCTGAAGCTCCACCAGGCCTCCTCTAATGGCACCCCAGTTAGGGGTGGGAGTGGAAGTCCAAACTCCCTATGTGGTCTCTACTGGTACTGGGGAGGGGGATGGTGGAGGAAAGTGTGTGTCATTACTGCCTGGTGCTCCCTACTCAGCATTCTTTCACAGCACCTTGGACAGCATGTTGGGAGGACCTCAATGTAGCCTAGCAGAGGGTTACAGTCTAGGCTTCCTAGTAGGACTTGTTTAGCATAGATGGGAATAGGGCCACAGTTTTTTTTTTTTTTTGTCATTTTAGGAGTGGTTATTGTCTAAAAGTTTTCTGTTTTACTAGGCTGACCCTTTCCTGGTTCTTTGGCTTGACAGATCTTGCTTTTGTTGAGGCTTTTTTTTTTTTTTTTTTTTTTGGTTTCTGCCTGTTGGTGTTTGTGGCTTATTGTGGCTTACCAGCTTATTCAGCTCAAAGCCTGGGATATATGAGGCAAACAAACAAAAAGCACAGAGAACTATTACTATGTTGTTCCTCAGGTTCCAAATCCCCCATCTGGTCTGCCTTCTTCTCTCCACCTTTCAATGTTTCAATATTTCTTTTATATGTAATGCCAAGAGGTTTTCATTTGATTTAGCTGGAGGAATAGGGGAAAGTATGTCTATTACATCTTCCCAGAAGCAGAAGTCTCCTGTTTTGTTTTTTAAGAAAAAAAAAATCTGACAGCATGTGCTCATTCTCAGACCAAAAAGACAAACAGAATGACAGGGAGTTATATATAATGATAGGTAGAGGGGAAAAGTGGGATCCATGCACTCAAGCGTTTTTCACTTTTGCATTTGTCACTTTTTTGACAGTTCATCAAAGTTACAAGAAGGAAAGCTAAGAATATACAGTACTACAGATTCAAGGAGTTTAGTGGATTTGGTGGTGGGTGAATGAGAAAGCTCTCCACTGTTGGATTCTATTGTCCCCAGTAGAATAGAAGGGAATCCACCAATTGAGAAAGGAGTCGCTCGGGGAAGGCTAGGGATTTGCAGAGAGGAAGGTGTGAATCAGTTGCTTTGAAAGGTGGTAGAATGAACTGATAGAGAAATAGAGTAGGATTGCTGAGCATACTGAAGCCACATACATTTCGAAGGAAATCAGTCAGCATAGTTGCTTGTTACCTTCCAGAACTAGGTACAGAGTAGGTGGGTAGATGTAGGTTTAATCAGTAGTTGTTGCCAGATTAAATATTAGAAGGGGAAAGGAATAAGGACATGGAAGGTGTGTGCAAGGGAGTGATTATGATGATGGAACACAGGATCAGTACCACAGCATGGCACAATTGCAGAAGGCACATTGCATTTTGCAACACAGTTACCCTGCATAGATTCTAATCTGGATAAAAATGAATTTAAGTTTAGGCGTGGTGGCTCAGGTTTGTAATCCCAGCACTTTGGGAGGTGGGAGAATCACTTGTGCTCAGAAGTTCGAGACCAGCTTGGGAAACATAGTGAGACCTCATCTCTACAAAAAATAAAAAACTTAGCCAGGTGTGGTGGTGCACATCTATAGTCTCAGCTACTCATGAGGCTACAGGCAGGAGGATCACTTGAGCCCAGGAAGTTGAGGCTGCAGTGAGCTGTAACTGTGCCACTGCACTCCAACCTGGGTGACAGAGCAAGACCCTGTCTCAAATAATAATAATAATAATAATAATTTTAAGATGAATTTGAGAAGGTGGACAGTGAACATGAACATATGAGGATGAATGGGTTGGCAGTCCTAATGGGGTTGAATAACTCTTAACATAGAACTGATAAATTAAAGGAACTCAAGGACAGGAGATGTTGGCCATAGGGTAGATATTTGAAATTTAGGAGGTGAAACAGATCTTGGAAATGAAAAGTTCTAGGGTATGAGAATGGGTAGCTGAAGTGGGGTGGATGGAAGACCATTGGCAAACTGGATACTCTTACCAACCCTCCTATTGAGAATAATTAAAAACAATGAATAAAATATAGAAATATGTTTTAAAATGCATCAATGAACTGGTAATAAAGTAAGGCCAAAACAACTCAAAGCAAGGCCCTAGCAAGATGACAGAGGCTCTAATGCTGGCTTCTGTACTGAGCAGTTTTGACAGATCCAGGGGATCTTGAGCTCCAGTTTTCACAGCCTTGTGAGATGTGGACAATAGGTCACAAAGCCTAGGTCCAGCCCAAAGAAGGTAGTCTAAAAGACAACATCCTACATAAAGCTCGAAAGGGTATACCAGAAACAAAATTGCCCCCACAGCAGACAACAAGAAAATTTGCTTATCTTAAAACTTGGCACTGGGTAAACAAGAAGGAAAATCTCCCCGAAAGTTTATAAGTACAAGCCAACCCTTATGTGTGAGTTTTGCTGCCTGAGTTTTACTACCTGGGTGGTCTGGAAAAACTTCAAGCTGAGAATTTAGTTTAAAGTGGCCCTCCTTCAGTAGTACCCATGGGCATCTGGCAGAAACAAATGCAAATCCTCTTTAAATGAACTCCCTTCAATCTAGGCTTCAAAGAATTCCCATAGAAATATGAATCCACAGTCAAGAAACAAAAGCACCGTGAATGATACCCAATACAAATAATAAGCTTCTGAATATCACCCACAAAAAACTTTAGTCAGGTACTAGAAAGATGATACAAAATTTATATACAATTTGTAAGGATTAGATAGGCAGAAAAGTTACATAGTCATCATTCGCAGATGATGATTTTTTTTGCATAGAAAATACAAAAGAATCTGCATACAAATTAGAATTAAGCCTTTTTAGCAAAATTGCTACTTATAATGTTAATAATTTAAAAATGAATTTATTTATAGCCACAAATAAAAACAGGTAACATTTACAATACTATAAACATATTAAATACCTAGGGATAAATTTAACAAAATATGTATAAGATCTGTACACAAAAAAATCATAAAATTATTGACAGAAATTAAAGGACGTTTAAATAAGTAGAAAGAAATACTATGTTTATGGATAGGAAGATTCAATATTGTAAAGTTTTCACTTTTGTTGTAATTGGCCCATATATTTAATTCAATTACACTCAAATCCCAACAAAGTGGGGTTTTTGGTTTTGTTTTGTTTTGTTTTTCTTTTCGAGGTTTTTTTTTTTTTTTTTTTGAAGGAGGACGGGTTGAAGAGTGGATAGTGGAACTTGGCAGGTTGCTTGTCAAATGTATCAGAGCTGGCTGATCAGAGCTGAAAATCAGCTGGGAAAGCATAGGCTTTAAATAGGTGATGCTGAAACAACTGGTTATTCCTATAGGAAAACTCAATTTGAACCCCTATCTCACACCACATGCCAAAAAATCTATTCTAGATGGATTAAAGACTTAACTTTAGGTAGAGCTTTAAAACTTTTGAAGGATAATATAAGAGAATGCCCTTTTCAATTAAAGGAAGGGAAGGGTTTCTGAAGCTAAATTGAAAAGCGCAGATAGTAAAGGAAATTATTAAAGTCAACCACATTAAAGTTAAGATCTTCTGTACATAAAGAGATACCTAAAGAGAGAAAAAGATGAGCCACAAACTGGGAGAGGGGATTTGCTATACCTTTGTGTCAAAGAATTAGCATCCAGACTACATAAAAACTGTAAGCCCATAAAAAAAATACAGCCTAATTTATTTTAAATGGGAAAAGGATTTAAATGGGCCTGTCACTGAAGAGAAAACACAAATGGTGAACAAACATACGAAAATATGCTCAACTTCATTTGTAATCAGGGAAATGCAAATTAAAACCACAATGGCATATTATTTCAATCCCATTAGTTTGACAAAAGTTTTAAAATGTCAAATAACAAGAATGAGAAAAGATGTGGAACCACTGAGTTCTTATACACTGTTAATGAGACTGTAAATTTTTTCAACCATTTTGGAAGAAAATTTGCCATTATCTAAAAGGTTGAAAATGTGCATGCCTTTGATCCAGTAATTTCGCTTTTGATATTTGGCCAAGAGAAATTCTTATACGCAATGTACTGTGATACAGGTACAAGGATGTTCATAGTAGCATTACTTGTAATAGCAAAATCTATTCATTAACAGGAGAATAGATTTAAAATATGGTATATTCATATAATTGAATACTATATAACAGTAAAAATGGATACACTGTAGCTATGGGCAACAACATGGATGCATCTCAGGAATACATTGAGTGGAAAAAGCAAGTCACCGAACGATCTATGCAGTAAAATTTCAATTTATATAGTTTGAAACCATGCAAAATCACATATTATATATGTTCAGGCATATGTGCGTATGGAGACAAAAGTGACTCCATCTTGGATGCTAATCAACCATGTTGACTTCTGATTAGCCCCAGTCCCATGAATGCCTCCTGATTTCTGTTTTAGTTACTGTCCTTAGTGTAAAAACATGTACTCCTACTTTTAGATCAAAGCAACCTTGATGTTATCGCACAAATTATAGGCTGTGACGCACATAGCATTCTCACCTGTTCTGGAGGGTTGCCTTTCATTGTCTTGCTGGAGCACGTATACCTTTTCCCTGTGGTATAAAGCTGTGGTTCTGAGGATTAACAATGCGAAGATCTGCTTGTCTTGTGGCCACCCAAGACCACGCTTCTGTTTGTAAGTTCTCTTAATAAATCAGCCAATACTGACAAGCTGGATTTATTTGCCTCCTTCTTTGGTTTCTCGGCTCCTTTGGCATTTGGGGGCCACTTGGCATATATGGCCCTTTCATGGAAAAATATGCATGTGGTAAAATACAAACAAAATAAAGGGAATGATGAGCAAAGAAGGATGAGATTGGAGAGGGACGCATAGAGGATTAGATGTGGTGTTTCTTAGGATAGTGGCTACAAAAGTGATCACTGTATAGTTTTTAAAAACACTTAAACATTCATTTTATAAATATTTTTGTATATATTTAATATTTAATAAAAATAAAATTCCAAAGATCTTTGGGGTTGAGGAGGTAAGAGAGGTTTATCACAGCATTATTTCACGCTGGAAATTGGGAAACAGCAAAGGTCACATAAGAGACTGTTTAAATAAATTAAGGTGCGTCTATACAATGGAAGAGCATGCAGCAATGACAGATGATGTGTTAGAAATGTACGTACTGATAGGAAGGATATTCCTGGTAGAGCAGGTGAAAGAAGAAGATTATAGAACAACATTGTATCTCATTTGTATAAGGAACATGTAAAAATACACATAGATAAGAGTATTAAAAGTGACGCCTATAATCCCAGCATCTTGGGAGGTCGAGGTGGGAGGATTGCTTGAGGCTGGGAGGTCAAGGCTGCAGTTAACTATGATTGTGCCACTGCACTGCAGCCTGGGCAACAGACTGAGACTCTGTCTCAGGAAAAAAAAAAAGTGTTTAGTAGGTACAACGGAAAGTTAACAATGTTGGGATCTGGGAGTTGATGTTAGGATTTATTTAATTTATTTTCTTAATTTCTCCTAGTTTTCCACCACAGACATTATTACTGTTATATCAAAACCATGTCAGAGAAAGAATAACAAAGAATGTCTAAGAAAAATCAGACAGAAGAATGTAAATATAAAATATTTGGAAATGACCTTCACAAAATATGCTTCTTATTCTCTTCTTAGAGCTAAAAAAAGACTTGATGATAAGTAGATGTGTGTGTGTGTGTGTGTGTGTGTGTGTGTGTGTGTGAAGTTTCTGGCTAAATATAATGAAGTTAAACTCTTCCCAATTTAATTTGTAGGATTAAAACAATCCCAAACAAAATCCCAGTGGATTTTTTTAATTGATAAAATGTTTCTAAGGCTCATCTGGAAGAATAAATAGACTATTAATAATATAATTCTGAAAATTAAGAAATAAGAAGTTAGACTTGCTCAAAACGATATTGAAATGTATGAAAGTGACAACCCTTTCCACAATGATAGTTAAATAGGAAGCTCTTAAACATCGAATAGAAAGTGCTTAGGCATCTCTTTGTACTTTTAAAAACAGTATATGATGAAGTAATTGTAACAGAGAAAGTGATGAATTATTTAGTAAATGATGTTGGAATAATGGCTAAAGAAGGATAAATTTTCACCTTAAACTGTATTCTGAAATAAATTCTAGATAAGTTAAAGAAATATAAAAAATTAAAAGCATTATAAACTACAAGGGAACACAGAAAATATGTAACAGATTCCGGATGTCATTTAAGTCACTAAATCCAATGACTGCAGCACCAGTTGATAGTCTTGACTGCAAACGCTTTTTTTATTCCCTTTGCTTCCTTTGGCTTTCATAACACTTCCCTAATTTTTCTCTTACCAGTTTGGCCACTACTTCTCCAGTGACTTTGCAGGATTATCCTCCTCTGGGGACCATTATATGTTTGAGTTTCTCTGGGCCCATCCCTTCTCTCCACTGTCTTCCAAGGATTCTCATCATGCCTATGGCTGTAGTTACCACCTCCTGTCAGGTGACTCTCAAACTCCAGCCTAACCATTTCCAACTTTTCAGTATTAGTCAGGATCCATGCAGGAAATGTATGGCACATTCAAAATGGGTAATTAAGAAGACTTTAGTTAAGAGATCATTTACAGAGGGTTTAGGGAAGGCAACAAAGGATAATGGTACAGTATCTCAGGGAACATTACTGCTTTAGGCCTAAACAAGGAAGCAGGTGGAAATGATTACTGAATGAGAGTGAGAGAGAGGAGGAGGTGGCAAAGGAGTGGTACAAGTAGGAAAAGGTGGGGAAGAGGGGCAGGAGAAGGAAGGGGAAGAGAGAATGCAGTATGGAGATAATATGGAATAAATAATCAGCCTCCACGCTCTGCCTTCAGTCTTCTGCTTCTACCTCCCATTGGCTGAACCTAACTAGAAGACAGAGAACACGGGAACCAGGTGCTAAGGTTACATGGGATGTTGATTCATTTCATACAGGTCAGTCTCTCTGGATACAGCAGAATAGAGAAGGGTGGAGAGTGGCTCTATGTGGGAAAGCAGAAGATATCCACCTAGCATTCACCTCCTACCTGGCTTCTTCTCCAGGACATCCCAAGAGCATTTCAAACTCAACGGGTCCACAATTGAGCTCATAAACTGCCCGCTGCATACCCTCTCCTCTCAAAAAACAAACTAACAAAAATCCAAACTGGTTCTTTGTCAGTGTTTTCCTTCTTTTTTGTTAACAAGTTTATTTTCTTGCATTTCTTATTTTAAAAATTTTACTGTATATATTTAAGGTGTACAACATGATGTTTCGATATACATATAGAAAGTAAAAAGGTTACTATAGTCAAGCAAATTCACATCCATTATCTCACATAATTACTTGTTTTTTGTGTGTGGCACCTGAAATCTACTCTTTTAGGGAAAATCTCAAGTACAATACAATATTATTTCATGGAGCCCTCCTGTTGCACATTAGATCTTCTAATGTTATCTTATGTCATCAAATGCTATCAATGTCAGGATTGAATTCTCATTACCATGGAATGGATTAAACTGGGGCAAGAGTAGGAGCAAATAGATCAATGAGGAGGCTGTTCCATTAGTGCAAGCAGAAATGATGATAGAATGGACTAAAGCAGTGTTGGTAAATATGAAGAGAAATGGACAGATTAAAGTGGATAGATTAAAGAGATATGTAGAAAGCAAAAGTAATAGGATTTGGGGGTTTGATAGAATTGGATGTTGGGGGTAAAGGTAATATGGTTGTCAAAGATGACACCATGGATTTTAGGAAGGAGGCAGCACTCTTTAACACGGACTTATTAACCCTGCATAGTCAGCTTCTCCCAGCTCCATCCCCCAACCTCTCAGCCTTTCCAGCTTCATCTTATACCAAGACCCTCTCAGGATCCGGTGGCGTTTACTTTCTTTTATCCCTCTTATTTCCTGTGCTTGTTCCTGAGCAGGACCTTTGCACCTATAGTTCCTACTACCTGTAATGCCCTTACCCAGCTACCTGACTCCTTTTCATCATTCATAGTTCAATCACCGTTTCCCCAGGGAAGCTTCCCCTGATTTCCTTAGTTAGTCCTAATTTTCCTATTAGAGCTCTCATATATTGTGTACCTTCTCTTTGTAGGATCTGTCCACTGGCAGCTCACACTTATTTGGGTGGCTTTTCAGTTTAATGTTTGCCTTACCCTCGGTCCCCCCACTAGGATATAAACTAGGATATAAGACAGGGACTGTATCTTTTTTGGCTCGCTTGTGTATTATAGCCTGGAACCCTGTGGTTGCTACGCACAGACACACACACACACACACACCTATTAGTGAATGAATAACAGTAAAAGCAATGGAATATATCACAAAGAAAAATACTGGTATATTTAATTACATTAAGACTATATTCTTCTCTGAATTAAATAAGACTACATAGCAAATAATGAACAAGTGATAAACTTGGAGACATAGTCATAATAAATAGACAACAAGATTACACCCTCAATAGAGTTCTTACCACATCAACAATAAAAACACTGATAATGCCTAATAGGAATTGGCAAAAACCAAATAAAAAACTCCAAAAATCCCATAAAGAGAAAGGGTTCTGACAGCTTCTCACTGTAAAAATTGGAAGCCCAAATCAAACTAACCTAAACACTAAGGAAATAATATATTTTTGCATGTAACCAGAAAGTCAGGTTGACTTCTCTGAGGTTCACAAGATAACACCCAGCAGCACGTGGGGACAATACGCTTTCCTGTTCACATTCATCAGAGGAGAAGTGGAACCTCTCTCTCTCTCTTTTTTTTTTTTTTTTTCTTGGCTCACTGCAACCTCTACCTCCTGGGTTCAAGCGATTCTCCTGCCTCAGCCTCCCGAGTAGCTGGAACTACAGGCACCCGCGACCACACTCGGCTAATTTTTGTGTTTTTGGTAGAGGCAGGCTGGTCTCAAACTCCTGACCTCAAATGATCCACCCACCTCGGCCTCCCAAAGTGCTGGGATTACAGGTGTGAACCACCACACCAGGCCGTAGAATCTCTTTTCTAGCAACAAAATACAAGTGCTTCTTCTCAGCCTTATTGACTCAGATTAGGACCAACCTGGATTAAATCTCTTGTCACAGGAATGCTATGTTTTGATTTTGAACCTTTCACTAGCCAAAGAGATTGGATTACTATGCTTGGTTCAATAGTAATCAGGACTCATTCCGAGAGCTGGGGTCAATTCCAGAAACTACATTGTTGTTGAGGAGTGAAACACGATGTCCACTGTAATTGGCCATAACCATAGGAAAGAAATGGTCAACTTTAGGATTGAGGGAGATAGAAGAAAATAAAGACAGCTGTGAGGCATCATTTTTCAACTCAAATTTAAAGCTGGCTTTTAAAATTACACCATTCACTGAAAATGGATTATAAATTGATTTAACTTTTCTGGAGGGCAATTTGGCAATATATGAAGCACCTTTAAAACATTTATGACAAATTTTGGAAAGTATACATATGTGTAGAAATAAGGAAACACAAAAATGTTCATGTGGCTGCCACTAAGTGGTAAGTTTATAGATGATTTTAATTTTCTTTTTAATATTTTCCATAGTTTTTAAAAACAGGCCTAATTACATTTATTTAAACACAAAGAACGTGAAGTAACCTGTTATTTAAGAACATGGACAAATTCCAGTCAAGAATATCCTCTAGAAGCTTGAGAGGTGGGAAAAGTAGTTTGGGGGATTTATTTGCTCTCTCAAGGTGATGAAAAGAAAAATATCTGAATCAAAGAGTCTGAGTTATGGAATTCTCTGCTTCTGGGGTTCTAGTGCAGCCCCGTTGGTCTGGAATTCAGGAAAAAAGATACAAGGCATAAAATCCCACAGAAAGTTACACAGTTGCAACAGAACATTTAGCATTTATTGCTTGTTCTTCTAATTAAACCTCTAATTCAACTCACTAGGCCCTTGCCTGCTAGCTTTAGTGAGTAAAGTTGAGACCATGTGACTGGACTTAGCTTGATTTAATGTCATGTTCATTGAGGAGAATGGTTGGACTTTTTTTTAAAAAACATGAGCATAGGAAATATCTGAAGTCACTTTTAACACTAGTCTGAACATGTAGGATAAAGGAATGTGTGTTACTGAATTGGGATTTCCAATAGATATTTAACCCAATGTGATTTGGTGATGATGTTCTTTCTTCAGATTTAATTTCATAATTTCCTCACTTATCTCAGACCACTCCCTCAGTTCGCTTTCTGCCTTAACTATCACCTCTAAGTAACATGGGATAAGTCACTTAACCTTTGCTGTATCCTTTCAAAAATAGGCCTCTGTCACGGAATTTCCTCTCTCTAAACATCTCTAAAGTTCTGTTGGTGTGAAGAATTAGTACGTCTCTTCTGGTTATATGAATTTAAGAAAGCATTTAGGTTAATGAGGGAAAATTGAATTTTAATGGTCCTCCCTTAAAAGGCTTTACAAAAGATTTTTTAGCTAGATGAGGTGGGAATATATATGCTAGCACCAGATTCCACTTATCAGTCATCCAGCAGTTACAGCAAGCCAGCAGCTCTGCCTGCGCCTGAGTTGGCCATGTATAGACAAGTGAGGACTGCAGAGGCAGGAAATATGGGGTTACGTTGATTTCCCTCTATTAGCAGCAGCTTAAACCGGCATGCTGGGCAGCACTGTCTCCTATTGGCTACAGCTGCTGAGAGCAGCAGGATGAGGGTTGACCTATATCTGTCAGGTGTAGGTCAAACCCTGAATTTTTGTTGCAAACTTCAGTCTTCTAGAACGCCAAGTTTCACTTGTGCTCAACCACATACAATATTTTTATCAGGATCTGTGATATACTCCACCTGCAAAGAGCTTGCATCTGTGGGTTTCCCTCTCTGGATTCTTTTGCTTTCTTTCTTGCTGCCTCTCCCTCCTGTCACCCTCTTACCATTTTTGTCCCCTGCTTCCGTGTCATCCTCTGGCTGAGAAGGGTTGAGATGGTCACAGCTGTGCTCCTTCTAGTAATCACAGTAACACCAGCCCTTCTCTGCCTGCCCCAGTTTCCATCTGACCAAGCTGTGCCCGTTCCTTTCAGTTGCAGTTATTGCCCCAGGTTGGCACAGCCTGTGCACATATGTGCTCCTCTGGGCCACCATGGTTTCGGAATGTGTCAGTTGCTAATTACAACTGCAGCTGTGCACAGAAATACAGCACACATTCAAAATGTGGGTCCTAAAGTTCCTACACAGTAAATATTTCTTGATAGTTTTAAGGCCATTTTTTTTCTTATTTTTTTTTTGTAAAGATAGACTTTTAAGTATTTAGACATGTATTTTTCTAGATGAGAGAATAAACTACTTGAATTTTCATTTATTCAGCCACCATCTAACTGTGACAAAGGTCCTTTCCCTCTGCCTTTGGTCTCAGTCAATATATGTATGTTGTTTTGGGACTTAATTGGTATTGTGTTTTTATTTATTTACACTGACATCACAATGTGAAACTTACCATAGTCAGTCCTGCCTTCATACTAAAGCATCAGTACACTGTGGGCTTCCACTTACAATGCAGAAACTGCATTCCATGACCCGTTATCATTTCTTCACTGAGGCCTTGTAGTAATAGTAAAGAAGCCCAAATGCTGGAAAAATTATTCTAGAACCTCAGGTCCCCATGCGTACAAACTACATCACAGTAATTTGAGATGGAAAAGACCTATTAAGTCATCCCACTGATTCTCTGAGGACCTGCGGTGTTTTTTCCCTCTCCAACAGGCTGATCTACTTTTTAATGGCTTTTCCAACTGTAAATGGCACAAGTGATGGGGTTTCCACCCTTCCCAAGGCTGTACAGCCTATAATAGATCTCTCCATTAGGGCCTGTGACTCGTTCAGCTGCCTAAATCATCTTTGTTTTGACTTTCATTTACCATCACTCCTCCTGCTGTCCCCTTGCACACTAAATAATTTCTCTCTGTCCCCACTATTTACACCCTTCAAGTACTTGTTGCCCATGAGCCAGTCCCGTTAGAGCCACATGGTCATGCTGAGAGACTTGTCTCTTTCATCTTCTCTCTGAAGGCTGTCCCTTCAGACTTATGAATCATATTTGTTGCTCTTCAATGAATGCCCATCAGTTTCTTAATAATTTGCTTCATTTCTTTGTTACTGACACTGCTCAGGAAAATCTTCTTTGTCTCCGTCGCTGCAAAACAAGAAGATAATGGTAGTAGAATCTCTGCTAACAGAAAATAGAGCGGAGCTTTTCAGCTACCAGGTATCTTCCTACCCAGGACAATGGAATCATCTAATCAGTTATCTTTAACTCTCTTACTTGGGGTGCACAATTGCTATGTTAACAGGTGTTAGGTGTGCATGTGGAGACAGGGATAGTTCATCTATATTTTATCTGGGAAGGCTTTGTTGTGGTGTATTTAGTTAATGCCCATTAGCTGTTTAAGTCATATTTCCCCACCAACCTCACTTCCCAGTTGGAAAAGCTTCCTTGAACTCCCTCAAGAGAATGCTAACCTCCTCCTTTCCATTACTATGCCTATGTTTACTGATACTAAATTGTGTGACATCAGTGACATCAGCATCTTTGCCAGAGGAGGAATTCCTTTGCTATGAGAGAGGCAGAGTGTGCCCTTTACCTTGAATGAACATGAATGGTACGGCAAACCGGGAAATTCTGGCAGTGGGTTTTGTAATTCCAGGGTTAATAGTGTTCAGCCTGTCCCGTCTGTACCCCTCTCCAGAGCCTACTCCCTGGCTACTGTGTGTGCTTATACACCATCTAAAGTACTGAATTTAATAAGGTCTGGCCTACTGTGCTCATTGTTCGTATTTATGCAATAATAATAATACCAACATAGTGCTTCACAAACTGTTTTTGTCTAATTGCATCATCCCATTTAGTAGTTCCAACCATCCCGTGAGGAAGGAATTACCATCTTTCTTTCACCAGGGAGCAAACTGAGACTTAGAGATGCTCTATTGCCACAAATTTCACAAACATCCCATAAATTCTCCTTTGGAGTCCCTCTTGTCCTCCCTCTGAAATCACTGGAGAACATGCTTTCTGAGCAGTATGTGAAGAGGCACTAACTGCATATAAGTTCCTAAAGTCACTGAAATGCTGGCCATGGCATAATGTTTATCTGTGTTCTCCTTTTGGCAAAAATAGAGTAGCTAGACATCATCCACAGTTTTATATGAATCCTATTATCAGTAGGATAATTCAGTTGTTACACGATGACAGAAAGAGTATATACAAATTTTAAGAAATAGCTTGCTATCTCTTCCTAAACAATAAGGTAATATTATTAGGCATGGACTAAAAGTGAGCTTATCTATTCAAACACCAATTCAGACCCTAAGGGTATCTGTTTTTCCTGCAAAGTTGATGAGATTATACACCTAAGATAAAAGAAGAAAGAGCTATATTTCATTAAATGTTAATAACATGATTTGAAGAAGCAAAGAACCGAAAAATACTGACTTTTATTTATGAATAATATAAAAAGCAGAAATATAATTTTCTACCAAATACATGGTGGTAAAGGAGGCACAGCAGCCTAAAATTATGTTAATAGCTAAGCAAAAGAGGACATTTTATTTATTCTACAACTGATTTTCAAATAGGCTTACCAATATTTTAAACTTGGCATAAATGTGGTTATGGTAGGAGAAAAGCCTGTACTAAAAGGGTTTTATCCTTTAACAAACTGAAGTGACATCAAATAAATAAAAGACTCTTCAGCTCCAGCAATCTGAAGAAAACCCAGGTCAAGAAAATTATGCATTTTGTTGCTACCTGTACAAGTAGTCCATTCCTTTTTATTGCTGAGTAGTATTTTATTATATGGATAGTACACAATTTGTTTATACATTCACATATTGATGGACATTTGGCTTCTTTCCAGTTCAGGGGTATTATAAATAAAACTGTTATGTATATTTGTATGCAAAACAAAGAAGAAAAATAAAATTATGCACTTAAGTGAATTGCCCTCTTCTGTGGCCTGGCCAGAGAAGGCAAATTGCAAGTGTATGCATATATTGTCCACACACAGAAATGTTTAGAAGTTACCATGTCTATCAATAGGGAGGGAAGAATTATTTCTTATATATTAGCTTGCGGGCCCCCACTGTCTCATGTACGGCTAACTCTAAATTCAGCTTTGTGGCTGGACTGGATGGTGCCTGTGACTTTCTAGGAAAAAAACGAAGCCAATGCATCTTTGAAGATACATCCTTAACTATGCCAGCTGTACCTTACAGTACCCACTGTTTAACCGTAAAAATGGGGGGGAGGGGTAAATGCTATCATACTTACTGCTTTTTAAAATTACTGCAAATGCAATACATGCTTACTACGGCAAAATTTAGAAACACAGAAGAGGAAAAAACAAACTCAGATACTTTTCATTCCAAAGTAACAACTTTTGACACACCCTTCCAAGCCTTATCTACATACCTATATATGATATGTGTGTGTATATATATTCATCTTTTTAAAACAGTAAGTTTTGGGTTTAAATCTTCCATAGTACTAACTAATTGACTACTCTGTCCTTTAACTTAAGATCTCTGAAGCCCTTATTGAAGAACTGATGCTGTTTTGGGCTGATATAAATAGGGTGACAAAAATGCTTTAGTTAGGTTTTAAAAAATGCATTTACTTTAGATGAATCTTATGAGGCTATAGGTTTTTTAAAAGTACAAGACCTTTTACAGTCAAACCTTGGATAAATATAATGCCTAGAAAATGTATTATATCTGTTATTATGGACATTATTAAGGTAAATGAATCTTTTCCAGGGGTTGCAGTGTGTCATTGAATTCTACAATACCAAGGGACTGAAACTGACTAGACCCAGCTTTATGAGGTTTGGGAGTGAGGCAGGAAAGACATAGCTGAGTTAGATGCCAGCCTAAGTCACTATGGATGTCATTAAACTCACTGTCTTTACCCAAGAACTTCCTCCTGACAATGCTTTTCCTTTTTGCTCTCAAGACCAGACGTTCTAATGAATGTTTCTTTAGCATTTTCCAGTTTATCCTAAGATAATTCACAAATATTAAAACATCTATGATGTCCCTATTGAAGACAGTTCATCAAATACCTCATGATTTGATTAAATACTTCATCAAATCTAAGACACCATCATAAATTGTGCCATTATTTTAAGTGATGCCAAGAAAAAAGATGCTGCCAATTAAACAACAACAAGCCATTCATTTAAAATTTTATCCACGTTTCAGGGCCGGGCGCAGTGGCTCACACTTGTAATTCCAGCACTTTGGGAGGCTGAGGCAGGTGGATCACCTGAGGTCAGGAGTTCGAGACCAGCCTGGCCAACATGGTAAAAACCCCATCTCTACTAAAAATACAAAAATTAGCCAGGCGTGGTGGCAGGGGCCTGTAATCCCAGCTACTGGAGAGGCTGAGGCAGGAGAATCGCTTGAATCGGGGAGGCGGAGGTTGCAGTGAGCCAAGATCTTGCCGTTGCACTCCAGCCTGGGCAACAAGAGCGAAACTCCATCTCGAAAATAAATAAAGTAAAATAAAATAAAGTGTTATCCACATTTCAGAGATGTTAAAATGTAAAAAAGTTTCTTATAATAAATAAACCGTGGCATTTGTTTAACACCTACACATTTCATAGACAATATTCAGTCATATACCATGAACAGATTTTTAGCGCCCACTGCATAATAGGTTATGAACAGAGAAGTTCCAAATTAGAATGGATATCTTTGACATTTAATTCATTTATTTATTTTTGGATTGAAATAAGAACAAAAATGTTCATATTTTAATATGTATGTTTCTATAGAGAATATTCTGTTTCCATACCTTACATTGCAGTCTCTAAGTGGGAGCAGAAGCCTTCCATGTGATCTTGAGTGTCTTTATCTCCTTGTAATTTGTCCTCAGAGATAACAAAATTCTCAGTTAGACTGCCCTTTTACCTTAAGAAGCATGACTGAGTTCTTTCCTTTCATCTTCAGGCTGCCAGTTAGTGACTTAATTCAGTTTTAATAAAGTCATCAGGCTTGGAAAATGCAGATTCATTCCAATTTATGTGTATTATATCTTTTGCCCATTATATCTTTTGCTGGGCCAGTCTAATCACCAGATTTTACAGATGAAGAATGTGAAACTCAAGCAAGTTAACTGATTCATCCCTAATCATTCAGAAGGGGTTTTTTCCCTGTCACAGACAGCCTGTCCAACACAAAGTCCAGTTCTCTTGAAGTCTCCTTTCATCTTAACAGATCCAAATATGTTCTTTCAGTTGCCTGAGAAATCCATTTTCTTCTAAATTTTCTGAAATCAAAATTCATCCTCTTTTTAACATTCTGCCCCGTATTAGCAGATCCTGTCTGGTTTCCAAATTTAGAGTCATACATTTTTCCCTAGGGAAGAGAAAGAGATATCCCCTATTTATCCACAAGAGTAATCTGCTACCTGGAATATATACATGGAACCGCTACTTGGTCAAATATAAATTAGCTCTAAGTGGGAGAAGGTAAGGCAACAACTTTTCATAGACTCCCATCCTTTCCCCTTTGAATTTTTACCTTGAATTATCTTGTTTTCTTGCTTTAAAGTGGATTATCTGTAAAGCATGTGATAGAAACAGAAAGAAACATAAAATAAATGTTTAAAATGTGAAATTTTGATTAAGTTAAAGAATCACACTGAGCTTACGCAAGAAAGTATGGGACCCTATCATCATCGGTGGAATCAGTTTACCCAGCTATGTACTAAATGATTATGGTTTATTGAGCCACCTCTGAGCTCCTCCCCCTCTTCCCCAGTGTCCTGCTTCCTTGGGCCAAAAATAAACCTGTTAGCTGGAAAACAAGCTAGATGAGTGTATTAGTCCATTCTTGCATTGCTATAAAGAACTGAAGATCGGGTAATTTATAAAGAAAAGAGGTTTAATTGGCTCACAGTTTCACAGGCTGTACAGGAAGCATGATGCTGGCATCTGCTCAGCTTCTGGAGAGGCCTCAGGAAACTTACAATCATGGCAGAAAGCAAAGGGCAAGCAAGCACTTCACATGGCCAGAGCAGAAGGAAAAGAGAGATAGCGGGGAGGTGCCACACACTTTTTTTTTTTTTTTTTTGAGATGGAGTTTTGCTCTTGTTGCCCAGGCTGGAGTGCAATGGGACGATCTTGGCTCACTGCAACCTCTGCCTCCCAGATTTAAGAGATTCTCCTGTCTCAGCCTTCTGAGTAGCTGGGATTACAGGCACTCGCCACTACGCCCAGCTAATTTTTAGTAGAGATGGGGCTTCACCATGTTGGCCAGGCTGGTCTCGATTTCCTGACCTCAGGTGATCCGCCCACCTTGGTCTCCCAAAGTCCTGGGATTACAGGCGTGAGCCACTGTGCCCAGCTGCCACACACTTCTAAACAACCAAATATTATGAGACTTCGCTATCACAATGACAGCACCAAGGGGAATGGTGTTAAACCATGAGAAATTGCCCCCTTATCCAATCACCTCCCACCAGGCCTCACCTCTGACATTTACAGTTTGACATGAGATTTGGTGGGGACACAGATCCAAACCATATCAATGAGGCTGGGCAAGGCTTG
Source organism: Homo sapiens (assembly GCF_000001405.40). NCBI lineage: Eukaryota > Metazoa > Chordata > Mammalia > Primates > Hominidae > Homo > Homo sapiens. The sequence goes on from NC_000007.14 coordinate 7,951,700, forward strand.
ACATAACCCAGAACAAACTTTTTCCTGAAAAAGCAGAAAAAGCTTGACTAGCCTTAAAGGAGGTGGAATACAGAAGGCATTAATTAGGAATGGTCCTAGAGGGAAACATACAAGGGCTTCTGAGAAGATGGTCTAAGAATGAGATACAAAGGAGCAGAGTTGATATGTGAGGTATAGTCCCTAACAGCATTTCTGAAATGACTACTTTTGGCAGAAGACACCCTTATTCTGCAGTTTAGGAAAACATTTGCCATTAAGTCATCTGGGTTTTTTTGCTCCCCCCATAAAAACAGTTCTTTTCTTAGAGTGGGAGACAAGTCCAAGTTTAAATGTTTAAAATCCTACTCATATTTCTGAACCACTTTCTTATCAGTTATAATTGTAGATCTTACACTTACTAGGTAACTGAGGTTTGTATTTTTGATCTTGAAATGTGATGCCAGACCCAAACCATATTCTTTGAAATCATCAGGTTAATGTGTCCTCAGCAAGCAATGTGACCCCCTACTAAGATGATTTCCCTTAAAAAACGTGGGACATTTAGCCATTCCAATTTCACCAAACGTAGATTTAGTATGTTGAGGTCAGGTGCTGTGGCTCATGCCTGTAATCCTAACACTTTGGAAGGCCAAGGCAGACAGATCACTTGAGCTAAGGAGTTTGAGATCAGCCTGGGCGACATAGTAAAACCCCATCTCTACCCAAAATACAAAAAATTAGCCAAGTATGGTGGTGTGCATCTGTGGTCCCAGCTACTAGGGAGGCTGAGATGGGAGGATCACCTGAGCCTGGGAGGCGGAAATGGCAATGAGCAAAGATCATGCCAACGCATTTCAGCCTAGGTGACAGAGTGAGACTCTGTCTCAAAAAAATAGAAAATAAAATATATTGAGACAAGTCTGTGTGTGTGTGTGTGTGTGTGTGTGTGTGTGTGTGTGTGCGCGCGCGCGCATGTCCAAATGGACAATGATATTTGCAAAGAACGTAGATGTGCTTTTTCTTTGCATTATAGTAAAGGACATAGCTAAATTCAAAGCTGCTTTTAATCACAAATAAAAATAAAAAATTATCTTCAGAGAGACAAATCCAATAAATAATTACATAAAAATAAAAATTCAAATAACATTGTAATTACAAAGTTCTAACATTTTATTGATATTGCAAACATTTTTGGTAATATAAACATAGGAAAAATGATTTTAAAAAATTGAATTATATTATGGCTTCATTTGCTGTTTTCATTACTCATTAAAACCTTGAAAATAAATAAATAAATAAAGAAAACCTTGATAAGTATGGAGAATGAAATGAGCTATATAATTACAATGTGTCAAAGATTCCTTTAGATGCCATCTACATTAACTACAAGACTATTTTAAAATGAAGTATGTGTGCCAGGTGGCTGATAGGAAATTCTTAGATCAACAACCATTTTTTTTGCAGAATTTTTCTGTTCTTTAGCTAACAATAAGAACATAACTACCAAGATAACATTTATTGAGTGCTTACTATGTTCCAGGCACTGAGCTAGGCCTAGCTTTAAAAGTATTATTTTATTTACATCTTAAGATTTAAGAACCCCATGAGCCAGGTATGATTATTATCTTCATTTTATACACATAGTATCATGTGCTTAGCTGTGTGTCTTCTGTGTGCCTTCTGAGTAGAGGGTTTTAGGCAAGAGCTAAAAGAATTCTGGTAGTTGTATATGATAGTTTAGCATAATAAGAAATTATGGCCAGATGTGGTGGCTCACACCTGTAATCCCAGCACTTTGGGAGGCTGAGTCAGGAGGATTGCCTGAGGTCGGGAGTTCAAGGCCAGCTTGGGCAACATGGCAAAATTCCAGCTCTACAAAAAATACAAAAGTTAGCCAGGTGTGTGGTGGTGCATGCCTGTTGTCCCAGCTACTCAGGTGGCTGGGGTGGGAGGGTCACCTGAGCCTGAGAGAGAGAGGTTGAAATGAGCCATGATTGTGACACTGCACTCCAGCATGGGCAACAGAGTGAGACCCTATCTCAAAAAAAGAAAGAAATTATAAGAAAAGCTAATTTTATTTCTAGTGTTGGACAGAGTGACAGTTTGCTGCTAACAATGGGCTCTATGCTATTTAATAAATTTTTCCTCACTCTATACAAAATTCCATTCCTAATACAATGTTATTCTATTCTCAATTTTAAAACCTTTGCAGAAAATTATTTTACATGTGTGGTATGTGCAAAGCATTCTTTCTAGTAATATATGTAGACATGTTCAGTTTAGAAAAATGTAAAGAAGCCCAGAGATGAAAATAAGTCACCCTTTATCCCAGTAACCACAGGGAACCACTATTAATGTTTTGGCATGTGTTCTCTTGGTTGTTTTTATATATGCATATGTAAATATATATTTATATTCAATTAGAAACATACTTTACAGTTGAGTTTGGTTTTTCTGGTTTTTCAAATTCACTTGATAATATATCATTGGCATTTTGTTATGTCATTAAAATTTCTTCCACATAATTCTAACAATAACACAAAATTCCATTATATGGATATACTCTATTAGACTAATTTCTTAATGTTGGATATTTAAGTAGGTGGAGGAAACTTTAAATATAAATAGCTAAAGTCTTACTCATGCTATAGGCCTCAGATCTTTAATGATTAAAAAAATGTGCCCAGTAAAAGCCTTGGACTAAAGCTCTATTGATCTCAATTTTAATCTAAAATTGCAGGGCTGAAGGTGGCCTCAGAGGAATATAGTCCATTTTTCTATTTTTCAGATAGGACTATATCACTATCCTAGATATATGTCTCTAGAAACTATTCTTGAATTTAATGAGAGCAGAAGATTTCATAACACTGCCCAATGTAGCATTACAGTGACTTGGTCCTGTAGCACAGACTCTGGAAGTAAACAGACCCTAAGACCAAATACCAGGTAAAGGACTTTGACCTTTGACTTTGACCTTGACTTTTCTACCTCCTCATTCTTGGTTTCTATCAGTCTTGCAGGGTATCTGGGAAGATTCCATGAGATAAAATACATAGAGTGCATAGCAGTGTGAATGCTGAACATATGCTTTTATTTACCCTGTTCCTCTTAAATCTTTAACTAATTTCCTTACATTCTTTCTATGACGAAAAATCCCCAAACACCAATATCTATGGCACTAAATATACCTGAAGGCCATGACTAACCCCTTCTTGAACTTCTTCTGCAAACTAAATAAAGCTAAATCATTTGACTTTTTCTAGCGTCTACATTCATAATTCTTTATTAAATTGTGGGACCCCAAATTAGGCAGGATTTATTATAATTGCTCTGGGTGGTGATAGAGATTGTGGTGTAAGTTGTAAGAGTACACCTTATTTATTGTTATGTTGATGCCACTATAGCAAGAACTTGCTGGATTCTTATTTTAATTTCTTTCTTTCTCTCTTAACTTCTCTTTTTCTTTCTTTCTTTTCTTTCTTTCTTTCTTTCTTTCTTTCTTTCTTTCTTTCTTTCTTTCTTTCTTTCTTTTCATTTTGTTTTTTTGCAGACATGGGATCTCACTCAGGCTGGAGTGCAGTGGCACTATCATAGCTCATTGCAGCCTCAAACTCCTGGACTCAAGTGATCATTCTGCCTCAGGCTCCCAAATAGCTGGGACTATAGCCATGCACCACCATGCTTGGCAGATTTTTAAATTATTTTTTTAGACACAGGATCTTAATATGTTGCCCAGGCTGGTCTCAAACTTCTTGTCTCAAGCGATCCCTCCTGCCTCAGCCTCCCAAGTTGTTGGGATTACAGGTGTGAGCCACAATGCTTGGCTTGAATTCTTAAAAAGAACTTATGATGTAAGTTCTATGATATAAGTAAATAACTCGGGTTGTACTTGTAGGCCATCATGACAAGGATGACTGCTTTTCTGTGCTGTACTTATTTCTTGGTTCTGATTCTTTATCTTACTTAGAAGCAGCTCCTTCATTGTTTCAAGTTGCTTTCATTAATTTGAGTCAGTTTTACTTCTATGGTGTTATCCATACACTCTTTCTTTTTTGTTACTTGTTTTGTTAATTTTGATTACATTTAGAGGCAAATGAATTTATGTGCACTTCCCTAGATCAAGGTGAAACCATGACACATCTATGTGGTAAAGTATAGCTATGACATAGAAATAAAGGGTACCTCTTTTTAAGCAGTTTTCTCCTAATGTAAGTCCAATAGTGCTGAAATTGTCTTCAGACTTACAAGTTTGAGTAGATTTTAGTATGTCATCTGTATGGATTATGAATTTGTAGGCTTTGGGTCTGAAAGCTGTAATTATCAATGTTTGAAAGACATCTGTGAAGGTGAGGATATGGAGACAATTAGCCAAAAGTTAGATATATAATTACCACACCCTGCCTTCCTATCAGGAACTCTGGATATTTAAAACAAATTAGGACCTTTAGACAGGCCCTTCTCTTATCAGGGTGCATCATCGGGTTGCCTTGAATGTAGGTAATCAATCTCTTAGCCAGTAAGTGTCCTCTCTTGCATATACTATTAGCTCACAGGTCTTTCAGAGACCAACGTGGAAAAGAACCATGCCTCTCAATTACATCCCTGGCTCTTGCTACAGAGGGAATTTTTATAGTGAAGAAAAAACACTGGGGAAAAAAGTCACCCAATTTTTATAGTGAAGGAATCAGAAGACCTGGCTTCTACTTCTAGTCTCTCATGTGCTATCTGTGACCCCAGCCAAGGTTGTGGGCCTCCATTTCCCCATCTGTCAAATGGAGACAGCATACATGTTCTAACGTCACAGAATTGTTGTGGTGATACAAAAAAGTCATAGATCTGAAAGCGCTTTTAAAAGTTCTGTGAAGTTTCTATAAAACCCAGGAAATTGGGAAAAAATCATGCAGAGTCACATCATTTCCTTGGAATTTGGAACATTTGTTTCTCTTCCCATCTGTGACTAAGTACTACACATATATGTTTTGATATTTATGAAACCATTGAGTACATAGTTACACTATGAATAGTTACGACTGGAAGGTATTGAGAAAAATGACAAAATTCCTTGTTATTGATAATTAACAAAGGAACTAATCCTTTCAAGGGTAAAGCTACTTAGACCTGGCTCACAGCACTTATGCTCTAACTGATTTTCTTTAAAGAAAACTCCTGAAGAGTTTTCTAAGAACAAGTGAAGCAAGATTGGACCCTGAGTACGGAAAGTGGGCAGCTAAAGCTTCTTTCCTCAATAACAAGTTTAAGTGCCTTATTTATTTTTGTATTATTAAGTGACACTTGTGAAAATACTTTGTTGAGTAATGATGCTGTGGCAAAACTAAAGTTTATTTAGGACACTGCTCCGCCCAAGGTGAGCAATTAAAGCAGGTATGTAAACCTGCTCCCCTGGGCTCCTCCACTCAACCACTTAAGTAAGTAGTGCTAGAAATGAAAAAGGGTGTGGGGCAAGATACATGGCATGGCTGGGGGTGAGAAGAAGTTGGAAGGGGAAGAGGAGGCCCCATGAAAGAATGAAAAAAAGTGTGAAGGTTGATAGGGAATCTATAACTAAAAATGGATTCTAACTGATGACTGATATCACTATATCAAGTTAATACAAATTGAGATGGCATAAGATTGATTAAAAAACAAACAACAAAAAAATTCTTTTTCCCGCATGGTATAATAATAACCACCTTATTTTAAATGTAGCCAGGAAGGGTTGTGTTTGTTCATGTGATCAGGTTTCCTCACTTCCCACACCTGGGGAAGTATCGGCTAATATTGATTTAGCACTAATTTATACCTGATGGTCAGGATCAACTAGAATGGAGAAAAACTGGTACAAATTAGAGGGGCTTTGTGTTCCCAGAAAGCAGTTTGGGCTGCGACTATTGTGTATCAATACAAATCACTTTTTCTAGGAGGAAATGGAAATAAATTTTTCAAGGACCCGTATCTATTCTCAGCTGCTGTACTGCTAGTGTGCTCAAGATTTTGTTTAAATATGTTAGGAATGGATAAGATCAAGTTGCATTCTTATATTTTACTATGTTAGTTTATTAATCTGGGAGCTAAGCAAACCAGAAGCAGAACAGGCTTTAAAATATCTGACTCATTATTATATTATACATAATAACTGTTAGCTAGTCAGGTCCATTTCCCTTTTCCTCAATGAAATTTGCTATAATAAAAAAAATCTATAACCTAGTCTTATATATTTAAACACCACTGTAGATTATTTGGAACCATAGAATTAGATACCAATCATGTAAAATGAGTAGACCTCTTAGATTTTTTAAAAAAAATTCTACAGGTAGAATTTTAAAAGGTGTTTTCTTTTGGTAATTTCCATGAATTGATGTCAGGTATCAATGTTTCTATGTATTTGGCTGAAAATGGAGATAATATTTTGGGCCTGAAATTATACTTGGTAAACTTTCATTTATTTCATATCTACTGTTGCGCAAATTTGCCTGATCATAAAGATCACCTGAGGAACTTGTTAAAAATTATACAGTCCTAACCCTCCCACCAGCAGACCAGCTGAATTAGACTCTCCAGGAAAGGGGACTGAAATCTGTGTTTTTAGCAAGGGACCCAGATATGCCTGATGATCTGACACATGTGGAAAATACAGTTTTGTTTCCTTTTCGTATTCCTCATGATGCCAGAGCTCTTCAACCCTATATTCACTTCTGACTATCTTGCTCTCCACTGATTGCACTGTTTTCTACTCCACCCTACCTGTATTAATTTGTTTTGTGCTGCTGTAACAGAATACCATGGGCTGGGTAATTTATAATGATACCACAGACTGGGTAATTTATAATGAACAGAAACTTACTGGCTCACAATTCTGGAGGCTGTGAAGTCCAGTATCAAGGTGCCAGCAGTCGGTGAGGTTCTTCTTGTAGCATCATCTCATGGCAGAAGGTGTCACATGCTGGAAGAGCAAAAAGAAAGAGAGAGAGAGAGAGAATGAATAAGGGGGGTGAACCCCCACCTGCAATAGTGAACCCACTCCCATGATAATGCCAATAATCCATTCATAAGGGCAGAGTCCTCATTACCTAATCACCACTTAAAGGTGCCACCTCTTAATACTATTACAATGACAATTAAATTTCAACATGAGGGGGTGGGGGCAGAAAGAAAGAAAAAAAAGTTCAACGTGAGTTTTGGAAAGGACAAACATTCAAACCATAGCGCCATCTAAGAAGTAAGGCACACTTCATCAGCCACTGTGGCCTTTTGTAGCAGTGAGTGTCTGCTATGGTGGTAGTGGAAAACAAGTCTTGGGCAGGGAGGTAAGGGATGGAATGAAGGGTTGGAAGTATGGTTCAGAAAAGTCTTTCAAGAGATTCTGATCTTCTCCTTGACAATTGGTTTGTAGATGACTTTGCTACCTTCTGAAGTGGCCACACTCAACCTCCCTTTGCTCGATCCAAAACTCTGTCTTACTTTTGACCTCTTATCCTCCTTCCTTCCTGTAGTAGAAGGGGAAACATTGTGCCTTTTTGTCAATGTTGTGCTCTTGATCAAATCCTTTAATGCTAATGGAAACTAAATCTATTAATCTTCCTCCCCATTCAAACGCTTCTTGATGTTTTTCTCCTTCGGCTTCTTTGGCTTATGGGTATATCGATAGGAATATTTTCTCTTTTCTTTTTTCTTTTTTTTTGAGACAGAGTCCAATGGTGTGATCTTGGCTAACCACAATCTCCGCCTCCCGGGTTCAAGTGATTCTCCTGACTCAGCCTCCCAAGTAGCTGGGATTACAGCATGGGCCACCACGCCCGGCTACTTTTGTATTTTTAGTAGAGATCGGGTTTCTCCATGTTGGTCAGGCTGGTCTCAAACTCCCGACCTCAGATGATCTGCCCGCCTTGCCCCCCCAAAGTGTTGGGATTACAGGCGTGAGCCACCGCACCTGGCCTGTCTTTTCTTTTAAACTAGACTAACATGTACTTTCTTTGGCTCTGCTCAACCCCAAGATCCCATTTTATATCATGCCTTATTTTAATTGTTACACTCTTAAAAGGAATATTCTGCATTGATGCATCTACCTTCGTACCCATCTTGCTAACTTAGTTGTAATCTGGCTTCGATTGGGCCATATTTTATGGACACTATTGGCTTGAAGATGATCAGTGATGAGATCCAGTGCTTTTTGCTTAGCTCTTAACCTGCTTTCCCATTCAGCAGCATGTGACATTGCTGATCACCTTGTCCTTTTAAAAGCTGCATCAATTAGTGGTCATTTGATATAACAGCAGAAACCTACTCAAATTATTGACATGACAAAAGGGATCTGAGTACAAGACTATAGGAAACTCTCCCACAGAAAGTATAGTAGGACTGTACAAGGACTGGAATAATGAATGATGAAGCCATCAGCAACAAGTAAAGTTATAACAAGTAATTATTGAACACGTGGTATATCCTAGGAACTACATAGGTGTTAAGTGATCAAGTAGTGAACAGAAGAGACAAACAAGGTCGCTGCCTCTAGAGACTTTACAATCTAGTAGGAAAGACTTGCCATTAGGAGGTAAACAAATGTGTATTGACAACATTTAATGAGCAAAATAGATGGAAAAAACTGACTTAATGATAGATTATTATAGGTTATTAGTGATGGGTGAGGACTCAGGAAGGACATTCTAAGACATGGCATTTCAAGGGAATTGAGGAGCAGGGAGGTAGAAGTGATTTAGGCTGAGGAGACACCTGTATGCAGGCCATGCAGGAGCGTTTCAGGGGAAGTGAAAGGAGGCATTGTGGCTGGAACTGAAAAGGGGAGGAGAAGAGTAGAGCAAAAGTAGTCAGGCCAGGTCAGGCCTTTTAAGCTATTTTAAGGAATTTGGATTTCATTGCAAAGTTATTGGAAGACACCAAACCTTTTTTTTTTTTTGAGATGAAGTCTCAATCTGTTGCCAGGCTGGAGGGCAGTGGCATGATCTCGGCTCACTGCAACCTCCACCTCCCTGGTTCAAGCGATTCTCCTGCCTCAGCCTCCCGAGTAGCTGGACTATAGGCACGTGCCACCATGCCCAACTAATTTTTGTATTTTTAGTAGAGACGGGGTTTCACCATGTTGGCCAGGATGGTCTCGATCTCTTGACCTTGTGATCCACCTGCCTTGGCCTCCCAAAATGCTGGGATTACAGGCGTGAGCCACCGCGCCCACCCGACACTGAACATTTTTAAGCAGGAAATGTGGCTCAACATATTTCCAAGTTTACCCTGACTAATAAGTAGAAACTAAATTAAAGAAGGCAAGAGTAGAAGCTGGGAGGCAAGTTGAGTAGCTGCAGCAATAGATTAGGTAAGAGATGACAGTAGTTTGACTTAATGTAATAGCAGAAGAGATAGAAGTGGATGGATTAGACATCCATTTATTAAAAACAAATGAGAGGACTAGCTGCTGGGTTGGAGGGGGCGATGGTGGGGAGAAAAATGAGAAATCAAAAATATTGTCTAGGTTAATTGTTTGGAATAACTGGATAGATGGTGAAACCATTTGCTGAAATGGGGAAAAAATGGGGACAATTTTCTCAGAGGTTAAGAGAAAGCAGGAATATGGAAATTAAGATTTTAGGCCCATTTTAGACACATTCACTTCAAGTATTCATGGGTACTTGACGTATCAAGCAGGCAACTGAATATACAAATATGAATCTTGGAGGAAATGTCTGGGCTGGAGAGTTTCATTTAGGAGTTGCCAGCATTTTGCAGTATTTAAAGCCATGGGAATGTCTAAGATTACCAAGAAGGTGAGTTTATACAGAAGCAAGCAGAGAATAGAGGCCAATTTTTAGAGGGAACTAGAGGAGGAAGAACCTGAAGAGCACTGAGCAGTAGTGGTTAGAGAAGTAGGAAACAGAACAGGTGAGTACAGTGTCCCAGACTCCTATAGAAGAGATTTTTTTAAAGAACTGAGCCTGACCAGCAATGTGGAAAACTGCTAAAAGCTGGAAAAGGAAGAGGTCCCAGAAATATCCACTGGGTCTGGCAATATGGAGGCAGTTGATATTGATTAGCAGTTTTCAGTGGCATGAAGCCAGATTGGAATAGACTAAACAGGAAAATAGTAGATTAATAGGATTAAATAGGATATCAGAAGTAACATGTAGACATCTCTGTCAAGAACTGTTGCTGTGACAAGATCAAAGAATTTGGACCATAGATGGAAAGGGATGGCAGAAGAATCTTTGTTTTGCCTTTTAAAGTAAATGTTGGCATAACAGCATGTTCAAACATTACTGGGAAAAATCAATAATTTGATGATGAAGAAGATGGAGATAATAACTGCAGAAATGAAGTCCCTGAGAGACAAGAGGGTCAGAATTTAAATCAGAAGTGGAGGAGATGGCTTTCGATAGGAAAGGAGAACATGTATTACCTGTACAGAAAGGAAAAAGAAATTGATCCAAATGTTGAAAAAATCATAGATTTGATGGTGGGACTGTAGTGGAGATGTATCAGCAGGAATGGGTCTGGAGTTGGGGTGGTTTTGGAGGATTGAATAAAATGCATAAGAAACAAAATAATCATCATGGGAAAGTGAACTTCCTCTCAGACTCTCTCCCTCTTTCTGGTCACCTGGTGTGATTTCTCCTTCTTTCTGTAAGTCACTTCATTCTTTTCTCTCAGAAGGCAGGTTTCCTCTGCTTCTCTGTGCCCATGACAGAAAATGGCCACTCTATGCACAATTCTTTATAGAAAAATATTTTATTTCTTAATTTCAGATTCCCAAAGGAGAAAATTTAATTGGCCCAGCTTTAGTCAGTTGTTGAACTCGGGTGAAATCAACCATGGCCAGAGGGGCAAGGTTATTTGGGACATACATAGCTGTCAGGCCCAAACCCTCTATGTGTTGGGGGAGGATTGGTTCTCAGAGAAGAGGGATATTAGTTTGTCAGATGACCCACGAAGCAGCTACCAAACTTATTTTCTGAGACCCTGAACTCTATTTTAAGGAGTACTTCTGCCCTGCCTTCTTTTCTAGTATTGTTTTCTTTCATTTTTTTTTTGTTGTTGTTGTTTTGTTTTGTTTTTTACTTATCCCTCCATGACTCACGTATAAATTTTCACAATTTTGTTTTTCACCTTCTTTTCATTTCTATGCTTTTCTCCTTTGTGACCATGGCTTCAGCTACCATATGGACATGGATAGCCCCCAAATCTATATCTCTTGTCTTCTCAACTTCACTGTCGTTTAAAAGCTGTCTCTATTTGGATATTCTCTGGTTATTTTATTTATAGCTGAACTCATTATCTTTTCACCAAACCTCCTCCTTCCCTTAGCTGCCTTGTTTGTGTTAAAGCCATGACTATCTTCTCAGGCATCCAAGCTTGAATCTTCAGAACTGTCTGGCGTTCTCTTTTCAAAGTCCACATGATCATCAGCTGAGAAGGAGCATGACTTTCACCTTATTTCACTCTCCATGTCCTTTGTCATTCCCCTGACTCATGCCACCTAAACTAATGTGGAGTATCCTCTAAACCTTCTACATCGTCTTCCAACCATCAATCTCTAATTCAATGCTTTAAGCTATTCTTGCATTAATCTTCATAAAGCACAGCTCCACTCATGTTCTCTCCACCCATTCAAGAATCTTCAACAGCTCCTCACTGCATATCCAATAAAGTGCAAACCTTACCTGGCAACCAAGGGCCGTCATGACCCGTCATCAACAGGCTAAGACTTATCTTCCATTAACCATCAGCCAAAGGCAAACTGTTCAATCATCTTCTGCCTGGTTTTGTGCATTCCTACCTACATGACTTCTTCATACTCTTCTTCCTGAAGCCTTTTCTCAAGTGAGCTTTCCTTTCCCTCACTTCAATAATACTCTATTTACATCCTTTTTATATAAGGCAAATCTGTAGATATGGCTTTAGCTTTGTCGGCATATCTTTTTACTCCTCTTTACCAAAGTGTGAGAACAGGTAAACCCTACTGAGTGTAAAACAGTGTCTGACACTTCAAAAACATTCAATAAGTAACCTGACAAGGAGTTGCTATGGCTTGATGCTAGTATTGTTGCTACTAAGCCCGCATTTAGCCTTATTAGGGGCATTAATATGGACCTTTTCAATAAGATGCTGAGTAGGGCACTCTGAAAATTGTGTTTCAAAAAGTTTAAAATAATAAAAAGAAACTTCTCTAGTCCAGCACTGCTGATGAATTGACGGCACCCTAACAACAGTCCCTCAACACACTTACTCGTGTGGCAAAAAATAAGATTTGGCCACATAGGAAGAAACCTATGACATACTTTAATGACTTTCAACTCTCAATAAAAAAAAATAACATTATGATAATCAAACATATTCCCTTCATAGGACTACTATTGCTTTCAGGTATTATGAACACTCTATTTGGGACTAAAACAAATAGAATGTCACACCATAGAAAGAGAATATTTATAGTCCTTTGGCCCCCAAGTTTTACCTGTGAATGTGCTGACTTTATACAATATAGTCTTTTAGTTACATGGTGAGAGTATTATGCATCAGCTTAAGATGCATTGGAGGTGCCACTGGCATCATAGTTGGCAATTGGAGCTGCTATGGCGATGAAAATCTGAAAAACCAGTGGTTTTCATTACTGTTTTCTATTTTTGAGAAATAACTGTACACTTATTCTGGATGACCTTACCAGTTAAAAATAAAATATCTATTACTATTGCTTCTTCTGAACTTCTTTTAGAAACAAAGTTTTCATTATTTACATATAATAGTCTCGTCTACTTAATTATCATTTATTTTCAGTTCCTTTACACAGGTCTCTTGAGAATAGCTCTTCTTAATAGTGAGATAGAACTAAATACCAATCAGCAGATGTCACTCCTTAAGTGATCCTCTTCAGTTTTCTCTGTTTATTTCAGTTGTCCTTTTTTTTTCAATGCCTTTTCTCCATTGCCAATTCTATTTTCCTTCTTTTGGAGATAGGTTCCCACTCTGTCACCCAGGCTGTAGTGCAGTGGCACAATCATAGCTCACTGTAACCTCAAACTACTGGGCTCAAGCGGTCCTCTGCCTCAGCCTTGCCAGTAGTTGGGAATATGCCTGGCCCCCATTTTCCATTTTCATCCTCTGATGAGCCTCCAGGAGCCAGTAGGTCTAACAACCATAATGCAAGGTATTCTATCTTTTTGAATGGCAGCTTCAATACAAATATCTGTGTGGTTTACAGTAGCCACATCAGATATTTTTCTACTCTGCGACTAGGCTTTTGTAGCAGAGATACACCTGTTAGATTTTTTTTCCTGAGGAAAAGCACAAGTTTTAGTTCATAAGATAAACACTGGCTAAAATTTGCCACTCTTAACAACATTAAACAAATATTTATTGATCATCTACCATATACTAAGCACTGTTGTAGAGATTCAGCAGTTATAAAACTGATAAAAAGTCTTCACTTCATGGCTGTTCTATTCTAGACAGACAAAACAAAAAATAATTATAATATATTATGGTTTGGTTGCTGATAAGTACTCTGCAAAAAGAGTAGGATAAAGAGCAGGAAAAGCCGAGGGGTGCTTACAATTTTTAAAAAAGTGTTCAGGAAAGCTCTCATCATAAAGGTGGTGACATTTGAGTAAAGACCTGATGGAAATGAGTGAGCAAGCCATGTGGATATCTGGGCAAGAACCTTTCAGGCAGAGGGAACACCTAGTGCAAAGGTGCACGTAGGCTGTCACAAGCAGTAAGGAGTTTAATTTAAGCATCTGCCAGGGACAAAAATTCAGTCAAGGCTTTTTTGTTGTTGTTGCTATTAGGAATCAATCTACAAGAGAGTTTAATCAGCTTAAGATGAACATCAGTGCAGATCTGTTTAGTGTTCTCTCCCAGCCATGACCTCATTGCAAATACTGACAGCCTGGACTGCCTCTCAGATTTGGATGGGCCTTGGATGCTCAGCCAGGCAAACCCAGATGGAGCTAGAAGAGGAAGGTTTTGGTAGCTCTGTGGGCTCTGTGGCTTCTTCATCTTATGATCTCTCCACATAGGGCTGCATATAAATCGCATGTAACCAATGATTCCAAGTTTTAATTTAACCTAAAATGTAGTCTATTACCATATTTGCACTAAGAAGAAAGTAGAACAGAATTCTACCTCAGATTAGCTAATGGCAGATCCTCGTCCCACAGATAGCCATGGCATGGGGCTACTGATACAGAAGTATTTCTCATGCCACCAAATTGTGCCTTCAATTTTGTCTTCTTTACACAGGACAACATAGTAAGAGGTCATTGTTAACATTAAGTCTTATATAAGATTTTCAGAGATTGTTACACTTACATTCAACCAGTATGGAAAATCGGCACTAGGCCTAACTACCCCATAGCTAGCATAGTAGCATAACAACGCTCTTCTAGCCTAGCAATCCACATCTCATTCTAGGGGGTTTCCAATTTACTAAGAACATTTTCTTAAAGCTTCTATATATCCTTGGAGCTTACTTTGTCCTCAATAAGAATAAAATATTATCAAGAACTCAACAAATGGACATTTGAAAGCAGGCACTGAGTTTAATTTATTTTAGGCCACCTTTGATTTGTTTGAAGCCTGTATTCCTTAAATATGAAGATCAGTACTTACGTCGTGAGAATAAAGGTTTAAGAGACAACCAAGGTTTCTATAGCAAAGAGAAACGACTGAGCTTCTAGATTGGTCATAATGACTTACTAGTAACTGAAAATAGTATTTTAAGATCATACTAATTCTCTGTTTCTCTGTGTGAGTTATTTAGATTTGCTTTAGATGTCTAAGTCAGCTGTGGTAGATTTGAACAAACACAGAAAGTCCTTAAAATATGACTAGGTATGTTGCTTTAGATCCAAATTAGGTATTGATCATTGTGATTGTGACCTAGAATAAATTTAGAATTATTGTAACCTAATGTGTTGAAGTTGTTCCATAAATATATTTAGGAGTAGCTAGAGATGACATTTCTATAATGCAACTATGCTGTAATCAAAGCAACAACTCAGAAATTTACCAGCATGTAAAAGAAAAATCTTAACTTTTTTTCTTCTTCTTCTTCTTTTTTTTTTTTTTTTTTTTTTTTTTGAGACAGGGTGTCATTCTGTCACCCAAGCTGGAGTGCAGTGGTGTGATCAAGGCTCACTGCAGCCTTGATCTCCCGGCCTTTTGGGCTCAGGTGATCCTCCCACCTCAGCCTCCCTAACCGCGTCCAGCTAGTATTTTTACATTTTTAGTAGAGATGGGGTTTTGCCATGTTGCCCAGACTGGTTTCAAAATCCTGAGCTCAAGTGATCCGTCTGCCTTGGCCTCCCAAGGAGCTGGGATTACAGGCGTGAGCCACCGCACCTAGCCAGCTTTACATATTTTTAATCTGTCAGATTTTTTGTTCTTGCTATTCTGAGAAAAGTCACTGAAAAGAAATCATTTATCATTCTTTTTACACACAAAATAATGCAGTTTTTAAATTAATGAGATAGGCCATTTATATAAAATTTGAAAGAGTAAAGTTTTTATTCATAATTAAAATATATGTTATTCTGGAAAACAAAAAAAAAGTAGTGGTCTGTCTTCATTTGTAAAATTTCCTTTGAACTGATGGGAACTTATCTCACAGATGAGATTTGTGGGCCATTGTGAATACTCTACAGATTATGTACCCCACAGCTTTGAGCTGCCAGGTACTATAGCAGAGTGCTTCCTCAGACTCTTGAGCCAGTCTGTCTGGGTGAAATTTTTAGCTCCCCATATACTAACTATGTGATCTCAGGCAAGACAGCTTATTTATGCCACAACTGAGACCACAGTAAGGATAATAATAGTATCTACCTTGTGGATTATATGAGGACTGAATGAATTAACACACATAATGTTCTTAGAATAGCGGCTGGCACATGGTGAATAAATGTTAGCTCTTATTATAATATGTGGTAAACTGAGGAACTATCACTAGTTTTACTTGGATGAAGTACTGCATGAAATTTTTGTATTTTTATTGAGTTTCATCAATTTTTTTACTGAACCTAGTATGCTTTCTCGTCTGAACACACAAGGAAGAAAAGAAGGATGGCTCCTGTACGTGAAAGTGACCCCTGCATATAGTGCCTGAAATCAGAGGAAGCTTGTCAGTGTGGGCAGACACCACGAGCAGACCAATTTGACATTGTGCTTCTCTTTTAACCTCTTGAAAATTAATGAAAGTTATCTGATGAAGATCCTTACATTAATTGCTCCCGATTAAGGTTTAAAACCTTGGTTTACTGTGGGGTAAATTTATGTTTTTGATAGTCATCCAAAATCTTTGTACGCTTTCAGTTTCATTACAGAATAAAAAACAAATTTACCACAATGGATTATTACATTACATCTGGTATTTATTCCTCCCAAGAAGCTATCTGCTTCGGAAAAGCCAGGGGCGCCCTTCATTAATATATCTAACTGATGGTGTAATGACATAAAATTCCTTGTTGACCCCTGCTATTCAGTGTTATTGTCTTGGAACATAGAACTTGATAATCTCTTTTCACTGCATAACTACAAATGTTAGGCTGTAAGAGTATTTTACTTTGTTCAGTGCAGGTTCCAGACATTTCTCCTGATCACCAGAAGTTCTTTTGATTAATAAGGCTACTGGTCACGAAAACTCAGCTTACTAAAAGAGATCCAGTCTTCTGGTTCTAACTAAAACATCCCACCGGATGCAGGTGTACTTGCAAATTAAAGTTTGCCTCATGTGTCCTGTGTCTCAAGTCATACAGACGGCCCAGGAGGGTGGAGCCCCTGCAACCTGCCTAGCGGGGCGTTTGCGTGTCTGGGGGTGTCGGGACACGCGCAGGACACACACAGTCCCACTTTCCTAGTCTCGCACTTACCTCAAGGCTGTCAACTTTTACGCTCCTCCCTGCGCGCACAGCCCCCACCTCACGCTGCCACCCCTCACGCCCCGCCTTCAAAGTAGGAGGCACCATTGTCATTGGACACTGCTTCTCTCACTCCTATTCCAGAACCAATCACTCGAGTTCTAGTGGGGAGCGCCTAAGCCAATGGAAATGCTCGCTGCGGCAGCTGCCGGGTCCTGGGCGCTGGGAGGCGGTGCCGGGGGCGGGGTGCGGCTGGGGCGAATTAGTTGCCATTCGGAGTGAGGAGTGGGTAGAAGCGGCGGCGGCGGCGGCGGCGTTTGCGGTGGCGCGGACTCCGAGGAGCGCCAGCACCTCGAGGCCCTTTCTCTCTACCCTGGTCCCCAGAAGCAGGGGTCCCGGCCCTCCTTGCAGCTGCCGGGTTCTCCCGTGCGTGCAGCCCTGCGAGGGCTGAGGAGAAGGCTGCGAGCGGCCCTCGGGGCTGCGTGATCCGGGCCGTTGCCCTGTCAGCACGATGCCTGGAGCGGTGGCGGCGGCGGCTCCGGGCTCCTTGCGGCCCCGGCCGTGACCGCCACACCGAGCCCAGCCGGGCGGTTGCGGCCGTTGGACGTTTGTTTTCGCAGCCTTCCCCTCCCCCCTCGCCGAGGCGGCGGGGGTGTGCGTTGGGGAGGGGGAGCCCCGAGACTCCTCCCCCACAGCGATACCCCCGCCCCTCCCCCTTACACACTCGCACGCACTATCGCGCCGGCTCCCACACGCTCGCGCGCCTCCCGCCCCGCGCCTCCGTGTCGGCCGGCGGCGTCCAGGGCCCGCAGAGCCACCATGTCCACTGCCTCCTCCTCCTCCTCCTCCAGTTCCTCTCAGACCCCTCATCCCCCGTCGCAGAGGATGAGGCGCAGCGCCGCGGGGTCCCCGCCCGCCGTCGCCGCCGCCGGGAGCGGGAACGGTGCGGGCGGCGGCGGCGGCGTGGGCTGCGCCCCGGCTGCGGGAGCCGGCCGGCTGCTGCAGCCCATCCGCGCCACGGTGCCCTACCAGCTCTTGCGGGGCAGCCAGCACAGTCCCACGCGTCCGCCCGTCGCCGCTGCCGCCGCCTCGCTGGGCAGCCTCCCGGGGCCCGGCGCGGCCCGCGGCCCCAGCCCGTCCAGCCCGACGCCGCCGGCGGCCGCAGCCCCGGCCGAGCAGGCGCCGCGGGCCAAGGGCCGCCCGAGACGGTCCCCAGAGAGCCACCGGAGGAGCAGCTCACCTGAGAGACGGAGCCCCGGCTCGCCCGTGTGCAGAGGTAGCGAGCCCAACCCTCCCGTCCTCCCGGGCTGCGTCTCCCCGACGGTGCCCTCCGTGGAAACTTCAGCCTCTTCGGGCTTCTCTTTGCTAGTGCATTATCGAAGGTGTGAAAGTGGCTTTGGGAATCTCACCCCCCTGCGGTCGCTGTGGGGCTTGGAGGAGCGAACTGAAAAGCGACTTTTATTTGACCCTCATGCCGCCCCTCAGAGTCTCTCTTCCATCACTCGCCTGCTTCGAGAGGTTTTTCAGTTTAAGAGCTGGCTAGCTCATTCGTGTGTTTGCCGTTTGTAGCCGGGGAAGGAGAAGCTGGGCGAAACACTTAACACGCACACAAACTCTTCAGCAGCGGATAAGGTGGCGGTTGTAATCTCTACCGTCTCTTTGTGCTTTTCTGCAAAGTTCCTAACGTGCCTGTAACTACCGGGATAGTATTTTATTTTTTAGAGGGTTGGTGGCATTAGTTTCGATGTAAGGATATCGGCTGGATGTAATGATATCTGCTAGAGGGGACAGTTTTGAATGTACAATTGAAGTGTATACGGTTTTTTCCCTCAGTCCTCCCTCTCTCCCTCTCCCCCAGCCCCCCGCCACCCCGCCTCTCTCTCTCCCTCTCTTTCTCCCCCTCCCCTTTATATATTCATGCATCAGAGCACTCCTGCACTGGAAACAGTTTGTGCTCTACCGGAGATTTTCATGGTAAATTTCTGAAAACTTATTTGTGGAACGTGTTCGTTTTTTTCCTTCCATTTTTAAGTACACTTAACAGTTCAGTTGAGCTGTTCAAGGATCTCAAGTTTCTTTTTTTGTTAGGTGTCAAAGGTAATGGTGAGCTGGTGGATGCTGTGGGTTTCCCTTAGTGTTTTCTGTTTTGCTTTGGTTTTGTTTATGTCTAGGGACACAGTGCATGATTTAGTTGAGCCCTGGGGGAGAAAAGGAAGATTAGCCAAAACAGGGACTTAAAGCTCATAAGGGAGAGTGGAATAGCTAATATTGTTAGATACCGAACTAGAGCTACAGATGCTGCTGCTGCATTGTGGAGGGAACAGATCATACTGGGTGGAAAAATCTCTGCTTGGAAGGGAAACACTGTCAAAGTCTGTACATTGTTTATGTGGTATGTGGAATTTTTTTTTTTAATGGAGCTTTCTTGATGAAGGTGTTAGAGTTGGAGAAAGTGGTTGTCTGCATTATGATACATTGCAGTCTTGGTGTTTTTGTTTTAATATTTCAGACCCGTAATTAGCATGTTGCTAACGCACTTGTTTTCTGACCACTTGATGGTGAACCAGTGTAGGATGTAGTGCAGTGGGATGAGTACATGAGCAGCAAGAAATACATCCTGTAATCTGTATGCATTGGGAGGAATATGCTCCTGCACTCCTCCCCCAGGTCAAGCCAGCTGCTGCAGAAACTGACATCCTCCAGCAAATCCTGAATGAATGAATGAAAACAACGTGATCGCCCTAATAATGACCACAACTGAACACACATCTTTGGCTGTATTTTATAGAAAAGGCCACCATTTTCTAACAGATTAATGCCATATGCAACTCCTTTGCACATTTTCTAGAACTGTATGAAATGAGAAGTAACAGAACGAACAGAAAACAGTTACATAAATTTTTTAGTGATTTCGCTTCAACAGTGCACAAATTGAGTTTTGGGATTTTCTTGTAGGGACTAAGAGGCATAAAATAAGCATTGCAGATTGTGTACAGAGGGTCTGGTGGGTGTGAGTAAGAGAAGTTTCGGCAATTGCTGCAACAACATAATGGCCATCTAGTACCTCCTCCCCTTTTGTATATAAACACTAACATCTTACAACGGATAATAGTACAACTTGTTTTTCTGCATCCTTCAAAAGGCTTAATGGCCTAGGAATTACATGCTCCATCATCAAGCAGTTTTAATAAAATTTGTGATCTGGCTTAAACTATTCTCTTTGTTGTAGTGTGGCACATACGAGTTTAATGCGATTTTAATGCAATCATGATGAAAACACTTTTCTGAGTCTGGTTGTGCAGCAGACAGATTTGCAGTGTCAGAGAGCTTGTGTTGGGAATGCAAGGGCTTTCTTTGCTAAAGATGTTTTTCTGCTGTTTTAAACACCAGGTGGTTTTGTCAGTTTCTTACATTGCAGTGATTTTTGAATGCGGGCTTCTGTGCCCCCAGTTCCGTGATTATATTACTCCTATGTTACTTCTCCATGTCCCGCCTTTTACCCCCACTACCCAAATTAAAACTGTCCTACTAAACTGTTCTGTTTCCTTAGCCATTTAAAATCCATGATCTGAACAGTTGATTTAATTTTTCGAATGATTATCTTCTCAATTTCTTTTGAATGCTGTAAGGTTCTGACTTGAGTGGATTTTAGCCTCCACTGGTCAAGGTTCCTGCCGCTGCCACTGCTGCTGCAGACACTGACATCACTATACTGCATGAATGAAAAACAACAACGTGCTCCATTTCTTCCTCTGCTCTCCACCTCCTCCTTTTTCTGCACACTTCAGTGTATGTGTGTGTGTGTGTGTGTGCGCGCAAGAGGGTGTTAAAACTGCGTTTGAAACTACACTTGAAAGCATTAAGTAGTTGATGGCTCAAGGGGTAGGTATATAGTATAAAGGCATATTGTTTATGAAAAGCTGCAAGGGCTATGGGCATTTCGACTAAAGGTGACATAACTGAGCATTCAGTGTTTCATGCATTTCATCTGGAGTGATGATTATAGGAGAAAATATGGAAGCTTAAAAATGTTTTTATGATTCTTTTACCAAAAAATTATGAAACCACTCAATTTCTAAATAAATTATATCATTATCTGCGTCTTAAGCATTCTTAATGTGAATATTTGTAGGGCTAAGGCTAGAGTAATAGAGAATTGATATTCAGATTGTTTCACAAGGCTGAGGAAAAGCTGAATTCTATAAATAGGAATAGTCAATTTTAATATTATTATAATATTAATTTATACAACCCAGGAAAAAATGATAATTTCCTTTATTTTTGTAGTATAGTTTTAAATAATTTAAATGGTTACCATAATAGAAATACGTAAATTGCCAAATACCTTGCTGTATATATAGCAGACATGGAGTTTTACAAATTGAAACTGTTTTGTTTGTGCTCATGCATCATCCTCTTTTTGCTTGTTTTTTTTCTTTTGTATTTTTAAAACTTCAAGGTTTGTTATTTACATTCATTCCTGTACTTCTGCCATTAGTAAAATGTCATCCTCCCTCTTGTTTGGTTCTGAAGGGTATTGCAGTGGTGAATGACAGGCTGCTGAATGAATCCTCAGGCTCCCTGTGATGTGTTTGTAATAGACGTAAAATCATAAAGTATTATGCAAATAGTTATTTTTTTGTAATGGTAATACATAAAGTCTACCTTTGAGATAAATAGAGCAACTCAAATGAGAAAAAGCAGGATGTTAGTGTTAAAATTAATGATCTTTAAGCTAAAATCATTAGTAACAACCAAAAGAAAATATAGTAAAGTTGCTTCTTTTTGAAACCTCACAGACCAGAACCCATGGATTTAAACATAGAACAAATACAGTTTTACTGTCCAAGATAGTAAGTAGGAAATGCAAATCTTTGTGTGCGTGTGTGTGTGTGTGTGTGTGTGTGTGTTTTGTAAAGATAGATCATTAGGATTAATTATAAGTTCTAAAAGATGTAAAAACAGTCATATTTAGAATACTCTGGATGGAGAATACAGCTTATTTTTAAGTGTACCAAATCTGATAACAAAAACATGGAAGAGCTTGTAATTTATATAGCTCCTGTTTTGAAAAATAGCATATGTTAGTTCCTGATTTAACATATCAGGTTTATTTAGGCCTAATACTCTACCAGATTGCTAACTCTAGAGTGAAATTTGATTAGACTTTTTCATGAGTATCTTGAGAGCCTCATTGTTTTATACATAAAGAAGTTATGATTCTATTCTAAAAGATAATGCAAATATAATGTTAACTCCATGTAATATATGTTTGCCTGTGTTCATTCATTTGCTTTCAGTTTTTCTCTTTTCCTTAAATTTATCTTTTTAAGTCATTTTTATACTGTGCTCAATGGAATACAAAAAATTTTAATAACTTTTTCTCTTTTAAAAGAGATACTCAGATATTCTCTTTCTATAAAGTTTTATTCTCAGGCTATTCTTGAAAATTAAGATCCTCCCTTTCCATTTTAAAATTAATTAATTTTCCTTGAGTGCTTATAGATACTTGTTTCAAAGCTTTCTTCTACATTAATGTTTTAGCTTTTTCTAAAGAGACAGGTTTCACATACTGACTTTTGGGAAAGGTTTTCATTCTCAGAAAACTATGCTAGAGAGCAGCAGTGTTCATTATTTACAGAACTATTTTTTTCCATCAGTTATCTCATGGTGCCTAAAATTTCTAGATCAATCAGTGAATAGCAAAATAGATAAATGAATTTATAGTTATTTAATCAAAATCTATTGTCTTATGTTCAAAGATTATATTCCTCTCAAATAACTGTTATTGTAAGCGTATTGAATATTGAATACCTAGCATGTGTAAATCATCTTAATCAGTTTTTAACTGTATGTAAAGTTCTGTGTGTATATATCGAACTGGAAATCATTTTATTAATTACAGTACTTTTTACAGAAGGACTGCCGTGTACGTTTCTGTAAGGACTTAATGCAAATTAGGATTTGTACTTTGGGGAAATGTTGAAGGATAATGGCGTCCTTGTGATTTTTGTTTTACTTGTGATAAGTCAGACTACATGTGAATAAGAAAATAAGGGAGTAACTGGGCTCCACAGCAGTGAGTGGAATGGAAATAAATGACAGTGTTCAACAAATGGCTAGTCGGAGAGGGTTTTCCTTAGTCTGAAATTTTAAAAAATTCTAAAAGTCTGTTTTATTAAAATGTTCACAGGTAGTTAATAATCTGCCAAAGAGTATAGTCTAATGACTTAGTTCTTCTTAATTTTAGTTTGGTCTTTTCTCCAGAACTTAACATTTCCAGACACCACTAAGATAGACTTTCTGGCAGCCCCTGTCCTAGTCTGTGTCTGGCACTGCTTTTTGTCTTCAGTATATAATTTATTCTTTTATTAAGTGTCTAAGAAGCTAAATCACTGACACTCTTTTTGTGCTACATACTGTTTAATTATTTTAACGAGAGGTTGAAAATATCTAACTTCTGGTTTCTGCCAAAAGTAAGTGGAGGAAAGGGAACACAAGTACTCATATATTGATATAGAAAGCCTAGGGAACTGATGGAAGGCAGATACTACCTGTATTTCCCTCTGCTCTTCATTTGGACCCTTGAAAGTGACCATAAGTTGACTCATCATTTGGCTATTCTGGAAGAATTTTTGTGCTTATTCTGAAAGACAAATTATAATGGATTAGCAGTAATTCTGAAAAATCTAAGGATTTTACTTACGAACAAATTGTGGAAAAGTATTTCATTGTAGCATGAACAAACATGGCAGATACCTTTAAGCAGTGTTGTTTATTCCAAGTGAATGTTACTAAGGCACATACCAAGTTCATGAATACCTCAGTGACTTCCCCTATACTATGCTGTGTCTCTAGTTTTAGGTAGGAAAGAAGAAAACATATATTTGTGTGCTAACTATATACCAAGCAATGTATACTTTGATTCAGCAAGGATTTAGGATGTGGATCTTCTCATTCCAGATCCAGTGTTCATTCCATAAGACTATGCTGTTGCTCCTAACTCAAAAAGACTCTAATGTTGATGATCAGCTGTGATTTCTAAGCTAAAAGAATGACAAAGGAATTGGTTTTCTTTTGTTTCCATGGCACTATTACGCTGTGCTGGGGTATGGTCTGACATTTTCAGAATGTCTAAAAATGTGAGACCTAGTTTGTTGAATGTAACTAAAATAAAATATAGATGGATTGGCCATTTTTCTCCATTTCTTTCTTGCATATAAGGAGAAAGAGACAGAGAGAATGTGTGTGTGAGAGAGAGAAATCCTTGTTTCTGAGATAGAGAGAGAAATTCTTGTTTCTGAAGATAGGAACATGATTGTATCTGGGCTTTCTTGTGTGTATTCAGAATCGGTACTGTCCTCGAATCACTTTGTAGTGAATATAAGTGCTTTTCTCCCCTTTTCTCTCTTCATAAATGTTAAAAGTTAATTACATATGGTGCTAAACTGATGGAAGCTTCAGGAATCACTAAACAGAGACTGGTCTCAAGTGATTGTCCCAGCAACTGGCACTAGGTTGATTCAGCCCTCCCAAAAGACAACAGGCTTCCAAGAATCTGCAATTTGTGGGTTGAACAGTGTACGTATATAACTTAATGAAGTCCACCATCGTATACCTTAATGATGGCTCACCAAAAAGAATGATGATTTAAAGAAGCTAGTGGGCTGGGCGCAGTGGCTCATGCCTGTAATCCCAGCACTTTGGGAGGCTGTGGTGGGCAGATTACTTGAGATCAGGAGTTTGAGACCAGCTTGGCCAACATGGTGAAACCCTGTCTCTACTAAAAATACAGAAATTAGCCGGGCATGGTGGTACACCTCTATAATCCCAGTTACTCGGGAGGCTGAGACACGAAAGTTGCTTGAACCTGGGAGGTGGAGGTTGCAGTGAGCTGAGATCATGCCATTGCACTCCAGCTTGGGCAACAAGAGTGAAACTCCATCTCAAAAAAAAAAAAAAAAAAAGGAAAGGAAAAAGGAAAGGAGAAAGGAAAAAGGAAATAAAAGAAAGGAAAGGAAAACTAGTAACCCACGGTTGTGTGGCAAGGTCAGTGTCCAAAATTGTCTACCAGGTTATTAGAATTGTTAAGAAATCCTGCTGGGCATGGTGGCTCACACCTGTAATCCCAGCACTTTGGGAAGCTGAGGCAGGCAGATGGCTTGAGTTCAGGATTTCAAGACCAACCTGAGCAACATGACAAGACCTTGCCTCTGCGCAAAATATAAAAATTAGCCTGGGCATGGTGGGACACTCCTGTAGTCCAGCTACTCAGGATCCTCCTGAGTGATCCTCAAGGAGGATCACTTGAGCCCAGGCGGCAGAGGTTACAGTGAGCTGAAATCACCCTACTGCACTCCAGCCTGGGTGCTAGAGTGGGGTGTTGTCTCAAAAAAAAAAAAAAAGTTAAGAAATCCACCAACCATCTAGATGTGTTTCGTAATGAAAAGGTGAAAACTGCTACAACTTCCTGTCTAGTGTTACTGAAGATCAAATACTTATTAACTACTGACAGTAATAATTCCTTATTTATTCTCTGTAGCCATAAAGAAAACTTTTGTGAATAGTCCGTATAGCTAATTTTAACTTTTACATTACTAAAAAATTAGCTTTCTGATGAAACATTTTCTAACGTCATTACACACTTGATTGTTAAGCACAGTGAACAAGACATAAACGAACTCCTTGTGGCTTGATTAGCTTTATTAATAACTTATTGATAACATATACATAAAATTGATTACTATAGATGATATTGAGAATAAGACTGAATGAGTATTGACTGACTAGACTTGTGCTATAACTGATTCTATAAATTTGCTTTTGGGATTATTTCCTGTTTTTCTGATGAAGGTGGAGCAAAGCATGTTTGACTGAACTGGTCCTTGATAGTATAACCGGGCTGTTTTCTCTAGAACTAATTATCAAATGAAAGGCCAAAGCAATTATTTTCCAAATGGTTCCATAGACATGTCGTAGAGGCATAAATGTATCCTGGGAAATACTAGATTTGGAGTCAAGAAACCTGAGTTCTCTTTTCAGTTTTGACATTTGTCTTATGACAAGCCACTAACTCTGCATCTTATCTTCTGTGTCTTTAAAATGAAGGGGATAGACTTTTTAAGATTTTGGTTGGGTAGGGAAAAGATTGAGCTATTTAAAGGAAAAGAAAGTTTATTAGACTAGATGATTCTTAAAATTTTTATTTATTGAGCCTTTATGCCAACTAATAATCTTTGGTAGAATCCAATATAAGGTACTTTTATTAACCTCTTTTCACAGATGAGGAAATGAGGTCCTGGGAAGTTAAGTAATTTGCCCAAGGTCAGGCAGCATGCACAGGGCTCTTGTAATGCTCTAAGTCCTGACTTCAAGATAGCTGAAAGTTGTTGTTGGAACCCAGTTAGTTATGGGGCAGGAAAGTATGCACAATGTATTATCCCACTGCTTATACAGTTAAGTCATAGAAAGGCTAAATATAGCTTTGGGGCGGTGAGGGAAGAAGAGAAAGCTAAATGGGACTAGACGCTAGGGTGCATGGAACTTAAAATAGCTGTAAGTATCCCCAGTAATTATGCCATCATTGGGCCTTCCCTTTGGTCCCTAAAGGACCTATCACTTTGTTTAGACAGAATTTAGCATTTTATTTTTAAAAACTTCCTTTCACATGAAATTTCAAAATCTGGGTAGAATAAGGTCTCTTTTTTGTGTATTCATATTTGGCAATGTAAACTTTAAAAAATCTGCCCATTTGTAATGTATTATAAGGCTACCTTCAGCCCCATAATTATGATTCTCTACATTTATCATCCTTTGATATTTTAGCAACATTTAACATAGTATCTTTTTATACAACACTGTCATGGCAAAGCAATGCACACTACCTTAAAAAAATTATTTATATGTACTTGGCTCTTTCACTTCTTTTAGGTTTGTTGATGTAATATAGAAAATAAATTTTAATCTCTATTTTAATAATTTCTTCTGGGGTGTTTTGGCATTTTTTCAATGTCATTTGTGCTTACTATAAGTTCTGCATAGTAGTTAATGTGGAAACGATTTTCTTTTATAAGTAACATTAGAAATTGTGTTTATTGTTAGGAGAGCAAAAGTATTATATAGAGTCTTTGTGATGGATAAAGTTTCTCATAACATTTCTTCTGTAATTATATTTACTTTTCTAGTTAAATATATCAGTTGTACATTGAATTAGTGAAGTGTAATGCTGGTATCTTAGAAGATAATAAAAACAGTAGGACTCAGTGGCTCAGGGTTACATCAAGTCTAGCCATATGGAAACTTTACTATTCCTCATACAAACTTGTGAAGTGATCTTTCTATGAAGGTACAAAAATATCATAGTAAAATATAGATTGGTTTATATTAGCTAATTATAAACAAAATGTATTTATAATATCTTTCGAAGTTTTGTAAGTGTCATTTTATTTCTTCTAAAGTATTCTTGGAGTTACTCTGACACATTGACCTTAAAAGAATCAATCAACAGTCCTCTTCCTGCTTTATGTCAGATCATTTAAGTGTCTAGGACTTAACTAAACTGGTGTTGGCAAACATTGCTAAATGCAGTTTCATTAGTATTGCAAAAGTGAGGATTTAGACTGTGCTCAGAGATTAGATTTTTGAAAAAAGCTACAGTATTCTGCAATATTTCGATCATAGAGCTTAAAAAGTGTATTTCAAAGGTCTATTAATACTTTACATGCCAGAGTGACCTCTTAGTTTGTAAAAAAAACGCATTCAGGGAATTGCATTTGCTCACTTTTTATCTTTTTAGGTAACAAATAGTGGGTCAAATTCTTAGCAGATTTTAAATGAGTTATCCTTGTTCAGAAATATGCTATTGTCACTGAGTTTTAGATTTTATATATGAATTGTTTATTTCTAAGTTAGCTTGAGCTTTTTCTGGTGTTCTGTTTTGAAGTTGCCACTCTGTTTATGTGTATTTTTCTTTCATTAGATGAAGCTTGAAATATTAATTGGTTCATCCTATGGTTTCTATAACATACTTACATCTAACGTATCTTGCTGCCTTTACCTATTATAATATTATACTATAGTTTAGCCTAGGATGATGTCACTGGCCCTTTCTTTCTATGCATACATATACATTAGTGCAGAAGTCTGAACTGTATTGTTGAATGTGGCTTCTTGTGTAGTAATGTAGTAATATGTAGTAATAATACTGTGTAGTAATCTTGGGCAGTGATGCCTTGTGAGGCTGTTGAGATAAGGAGGAATTGGCTTTGTCTAAATATCTGCTATTGCTGAGCTAGAATGGGAAGTGACAAACTTTTCATGTGTTATGTCACCATTTACCTGAAACTTTGGTTGAATGCAGTGACCCATTTTTCTTTCTCTTCTTTTATTTTTTCTTTATCTTTCTGTCTTTCTGTCTTTCTTTCTGGCAGTGTCTCGCTGTGTCACCCAGGCTGAAGCACAGTGGCACAATCTTGGCTCACTGTAACCTCTGCCTCCTGCCTCAGCCTCCCAAATAGCTGGGACCATGGGAGTGTGCCAGCACACCTGGCTAATTTTTTGTATTTTTAGTAGAGATGGGGTTTCGAACTCCTGGCCTCAAGTGATCCACCTGCCTTGGCCTCCCAAAATGCTGGGATTATAGGTGTGAGCCACTGGACCTGGCCCTATTTTTCTTTCTTATAATCAGACTTTACCTATTTTCAGTTTCTATTGACTTTTAGTTTTTGCCTTAAAGAATATTAGTGACCTCACCAGGGCTTATAGCTGAGGAGAAGTGGGTGCCATGGCGGTTCTACTGGAGACTACTGTGGGCAATGTGGTTGTCAATTTGCACACTGAGCAGCAGCCTTGCAACTGTGAACTTTTTGAGAGCAGGTACCACAGTTTAATGGCATTTGTGATGGCAGTGCCAAGCATCTAGAAGGTACTCGCCTGCTTTAATTTCTTGAGATATTACAAAATAAAATATTACAGTTATTGCCTTATTCACAGTATACAAAGGTATTTTATCATACAAACTGTTGATCCTACAGGGACTGGTCATGGAGGAGAGTCTATTTTTGGCCTAGGATTGTATGGTGATCAAGCAAGCTTTTTTGAGACAGAAAACGTCCCAAGAATTAAGCACAAGAAGAAGGGCACAATGTCCATGGTGAATAATGACAGTGATCAACATGGATCTCAGTTTCTTATCACTACAGGAGAAAATCTAGATTACCTTGATGGTACCATACAGTATTTGGTGAGGTGACAGAAGGCATTGACATAATTAAGAAAATAAATGAGACCTTTGTTGACAAGGACTTTGTACCATATCAGGATATCAGGATAAATTATATAGTGATTTTAGATGGTCCATTTTGATGACATTCCTGATTTATTAATCCCTGATCAATCACCAGAACCTACAAGGGAACAATTAAAGAGTGGTAGAGTTGACACAAATGAAGAAATTGATCATTTCAAACGAAGGTCAGCCGAAGAAGTAGAAGAAATAAAGGCAGAAAAAGAAGCTAAAACTCAGGCTTTACTTTTAGAGATGGTGGGAGACCTACCTGATGCAGATATTAAACCTCCGGAAAAATCTGTGTATGCAAATTGAATCCAGTGACCACAGATGAGGATCTGGATATAATACTCTCTAGATTTGGGCCAATAAGAAGTTGTGAAGTTATCTGGGACTGGAAGACAGGAGAAATCCTCTGTTATTTCTTTCTTTCTTTCTTTCTCTTTTTTTCTTTCTTTCTTTCTTTCTCTCTCCCTCTTTCTCTCTTTCTTTCTGTCTCTCTTTCTTTCTTTCTTTTTTTGTTGAGATGGAGTCTCACTCTGTTGCTTAAGCTGGAGTGCAGTGGCACGATCTCGGCTCACTGCAGCCTCTGCCTCCTGGGTTCAAGTGATTCTCCTCCCTTAGCCTCCCAAGTAGCTGGGACTACAGGCGTGTGCCACCACACCTGGCTAATTTTTGTATTTTTAGTAAAGACAGGGTTTTGCCATATTGGCCAGGCTGGTCTCGAATTCCTGACCTCAGGTGATTCACTTGCCCTGGCCTCCCAAAGTGCTGGGATTACAGATGTATGCTTTTATTGAATTTGAAAAGGAAGAAGATTATGAGAAAGCCTTCTTCAAAATGGACAATATACTTATAGATGACAGAAGAAAACATGGATTTTAGCCAGTCTGTTACAAAGGTTAAATGGAAGGAAAAAGTGGGAAATACACCAAGAGTGATTTAAAGGAGTATACAAAGGAACAGGATAAACCATCTAATTTGGTTCTGAAAGATAAAGTAAGCCCAAATAGGAGGCAAAATATAATGTTGTACTAGATGAGCAGGCAGAAGACTCCAAGTCAAGTCACTCACACACAAGTAAAAATCACAAGAAGAAAACCCATCACTGCTCTGAAGTAAAAGAAGATGAAGACTACATACCAATCAAAAATATTAATCCAGATAAGTATGAGAAAGTTTGGAGTTTGGTCACTACGAAGAAGAAGAAAGCTGTTGGGAGAAATGAAAGAGTAAAAAGAGAGACCGAACTCAGAACTGAAGTCGTAGCTGATCGCAAGAGAGGAATGGCCATTATAGTAATAGTCACAAATCCAAATACCAGACATCTTTATGAAAGAGAAAGGAGTAAAAAGAGACTGAAGCAGAAATCCAAAGAAAAATCCAAAGATAAAGAAAAATCTAAGTACAGATGAAAGATGAAGAGGCAGAATTGAGTGGCTAACATATTCACCCTTGTCTAACTTAGAGTGCCAGGAAAGCAGGTGTTCAGATTTTGTGTCAGAGCTTGTTATTTTTTTCATACTAGGATTATCACCCTTTAGATTATTAATACTGATTATATAGGGCACTGAAAGAACTCAACATTTTCTTTGTATACTTTTTTACACTAATGTTATTGTTATACATAAATGGTAGTCTTCATTTTTGAAGTCTTTCACATTTTTACTCTTCTTTTAAAATGAAGTATTTATGCTACAAAAATACATAAACGTGTTTATAAAGGCAAAGGGATAATAAATATGAATATCTGTATACTCATCAGCCAGCTTAAGATCTAGAATATTGCCTATACTTTAGAAGTCCCCTAAGAACCCTCTCCCTCTCAAGTAATTATTTGGAAATTTGTGTTTGTCATTTGCTTTGTACATAGGTATCTCTAAATGAAATGTTAATTTTGTATGTTTCTCAATTTTGTATAAATGGCATAATGTTTGTTTACTTTTGTGACTTTCATTTTTATTGCTGTATTGTATTATATGAATACTTATTCTTCTGTTGATGTACATTTGAGTTTTATTTAGTTTTGTTTTTGCTGCTGAAACTGCTGCTGTGAACATTGTCTGTCTAGGAGTTATAGTGCTTGATCATGTGCTATGAGTATCTTCATTTGTATAAAATAATGCCAAATTATAAAAAATATTAGAATTATAGCCTTTAATATTACTATTCAGTTATGTTAGCTAGTCTTTAGGACACTTGCCCCGTTGTACTTTGTATTAAACATGTGGTCAAAAAATAATGTCTTTATGCGGATATTCCTGTTTAATGAAGTACGTGTTGTAGTTAACTTCTTGGTAAAGCAAACAATGTTAAATGAATCATATTTTGTGGATTTTCTTTTTTATGGGCATATAGAACACTGAAGAAAATCTTACGGCCTCTGACTATAACCATGTAAGAAACTGTATAAAATTGTATGTAGGAATTTTAGGAAATAGGGAGGTATAGGAAAAGTAATGAAATGAATTATAATTAATATTTGTTTTGTTCATTTTAAAATATTATTCTATTATTGAATTAAGTGCCTCAAAATATAAAATAAATGTATAGTGCAGTAGCTGAATCTTTGATTATTTGACCCACTGTATTATTCCATAGTTAATGTAGTGATTCTAGAGGCTTTGATAGTTTAGTTATGATTTTTCATTTATCTTGATGTTTTTATAACTCTGTATTCAAGGTAATTTTGGTGGATATCTGTGCTTCACCAAATAATAGCATGTCATTTTTAGTATTCCAGCATCTACTATGGTTTCTGGTGTTTAGAAAGCCAGCCTTGCAGTAAATATTTTTTAAATCCTTACATAGGGTTTATATAGAGATTTCTGTTTAGCTATATATGTTCAAATCTGTGATTTGAACCCAGCTACATGAACAATGATTGTTAGTGCATGCAAGTCCTGTGAATATCTGACAAAGGTTAAAACTAATAGATTATATTTGTGTTGCCCATTTTGTAAAAATGCCTAATAGTTTAGGTAACTGATGGTTTTTATCTTCATTTAAGGCCTGTTATTCAGTGGTAGTGGTGGAAAAACACTGATTTAGACTTTCACACAAAATAAAAGGAGCTGGGTGCTCTTGCTGGTAGAGATAGGTGGGATAAAGATGGGTGATGTCAGCATAGTCCACATATTAAAAGATGGAAGATAGATTTCCACAGAATGAGTTTCTAAGTTACATTTAAAGTTCTATTAAGTGAATTTTGATTTAGTGAGGCTCCATGGACTCAGCTTCTGAATTTTTGTTTGTTTTTTTTGAGACAGGGTCTCACTCTGTCACCCAGGCTGATTGCAGTGGCGCAATCATGGCTCACTGCAGCCTCAGCTTCCTGGGCTCCAGCAATCCTCCCATTTTAGCCTCTGGAGTATCCAGGACCACAGGCATGTGCCACCACACCTGGCTAATTTTTTAATTTTTATAGAGACGTGGTCTCCCTATGTTACCCAGACTGGTCTTGAACTCCTGGGCTCAAGGAATCCTCTCACCTTGGGCTCCCAAACTGCTGGTATTACAGAGCCACCAGTGCTGACCCTGAATCTGTTATACTTAGAGAAACTAAACCATCCATGCCCAAAATTTGGTGGGCTCTTCAAGTTAAAAATTCTGATGTTTTTATAGTCCCTCCTAAAGACTGTGGTAATACTGAGCTCCAAGTAAGGAGAATGTGAATTATATATTAATTTGAACTTCATCGTAATGTAAAAACTTTAAACTGTAAAGCAGATTTTGAGGTGGTTATTTGCTCTACGCAATATCTAACTTATGTGCAGGTAAAATGACCCAATTTACAAAATGTTATTTACGCAAACTTTTTAGGAAGTCAGTTACACAAGGTTGAGGTTCATCTGAGGTTGTAAAAACATATTAACTGAATAGTGTAATTTCTCATTGCTGAATAAAATGTTCTACTGAGATTTAGCAAAATTAATATCCTAAGAAACTATTATAAATGAACATGAATACATCTTTTCCATTCCCTTTCTGTCTGAGTTTTACAATTCTGAGGAATGTGGTATTCAAATAACCCCTAAAAGGGAAAGAACTCATATATGCTAATGATTTTCTCACATTTCTGTGAAAAGATATGCTTATATTGGATAAATATCCCAAGACTTTTTCTGGAATATTTTGTCCTTATTTAAAAAAGTATTACTTTAGTTATAGTTCCCTAGGAAATTATTCCTAACCAGCCTCATATTTCTGTCCTTCTTCCAAGAAAAACTTTCACAAAACATTCTACTCTTGTCACTGTCAGGGGGACAGAGCAGTAAGTAAGCATAATTAGACTACAAATATGGTTAGTGCTGTAGATTATGATTTTGTGTATATTTGTATATTTCTACAGGCTGATTTTAATTTGTTGTTTTCGTATATACTTAAGGACCCAGGGAAATGTGTGTATGTATGTGTATGAGAGAGGGAGGGAAGGAAGGAGGGAGAGAGAGAGGGAGAAAGAGAAAGAGAGTAATAGCATGCGCACCCTAAAGTTCACATTCCTTTTTCAGCAATCACTGGATAATCCCTGGCTCCTGACATTTTCTCCATACAGAGTAGAGGTTCATGATCACTTTTTCATAATACTTTAGGTAATTTTAATATACTGAGGGATAGTGACTTAGGATTTGCTCACTTCGTATAAGATAAAACCAATGATGGGCACACATTTACCTGTGTAACAAACCTGCACGTCCTGCACATCTATCCTGGAACTTTAAGTTAAAAAAAAACCAGTGAACACCCAACTAGACATATTCCTGAATGTCTTCCTTGTGATTCAGGGGAAGTTTACTATTTATAGTGTTATATTTCCTTCTCGGAAGCATTTATTCAATGCTGAACACCTTGACTGAACTGTTTACCTCAGAGTTATTTGGTAAGGTGTAAGTTTGTTGTGTGTGGGTTTGGAGAAAAATCAATCCGTTTAGATATAAATCCTTTCTTCTGAATCATATAATATAGTTTTAGAATGGCAATCCTGTTATCTGCAGTTTAATTTTCTTAACAAATGTATCAATTTTCTCTGCTGGGGTTGGCTTTATAATTTTTGAGTGGAAGATTATGTTGGTATTTAAATTCAAACTTGAAACAAGCATTGAAAAGTATAATTACTGCATTTCTATTGGCTGGAAATGAGTATTTTTATAGTTGGTACCTGTGTATGGCAAGTTAAAACAGACATGATCCTTACACATTCTACAAGTTTACAAATCTGAATTTTTTAAAGTATCATTATAACTGTCTTTGGATATTTTGCTCATGGTTTTTATCTTCTTCTTGATCCTGTTACTGTCTGTATAAAAAGTTTTAAAGTGTATTCAATCTCTTTTTCACAAAATAGAATATATCATACTCTCTTAGTACAGGAATTCGTATTCAATTTACATGCTTTGAAAAAGTGACCTAGTGTGGCCAGGCACAGTGGCTCCTGCCTGTAATCCCAGCACTCTGGGAGGCTGAGGCAGGCGGATCATGAGGTCAGGAGATGAAGACTATCCTGGCTAACACGGTGAAACCCTGTCTCTACTAAAAATACAAAAAATTAGCCGGGAGCAGGGGGAGGGGGGGGTGGCAGGCACCTGTAGTCCCAGCTACTCAGGAGGCTGAGGCAGGAGAATGGCATGAACCTGCTAGGCGGCGCTTGCAGTGAGCCGAGATCACACCACTGCACTCCAGCCTGGGCGACAGAGCGAGACTCTGACTCAAAAAAGAAAAAAAAGAAAAAGTGACCTAGTGTATTTTTCTGTGTTACTGAGAATAAAACTAATAAAATTCAACAAATTTTACTCTATATAATTGCAAGTTTGAGTCATGTGTTTTAAAGATTCATATGTAATATATGATTAGAAGCATAGTTATGAAGGTAAGAGTATTGAATGATTTAAATTTACACTCAGAGACTTGGTACAGAAATGGAGTTGGTTTCTTCACTTATTGGCATGATGGTTCCAGCCTTTATGGTTAAGAGATATTCAGACCTAGAGTGTCATTGGATTGAGTTCTTACTTCCTACTAGCATAATCTTTGACTTTTTCTCCTCACTCATTTCTCCCATCCTTCTGGTCACTATATCTTGTCTTACCTTCTCAGAATTATCTACTGAACATGGTGGGGTTTTTTTGCATTCTTTCCATGTCCTAATTATTACTTCTTGCTTGGACTTTTGGAATTGTCACCTCTTAAGTCTTTTCCCATGCCAGTTGTCTTGCATCTTTAATGTAATCATTATACTGCTATAAGTACAGTCTTTCTTTAAAAACAAAACAAAAAAACCCCACAAAAACTGATTTTAATGAAAGATTTCTGTTGGTTCCTTGGTGAATTAGGGGTAAAAGACTCATCTCACTATCCTCCACTGTGTACCTTGTGTTCCTGCCAAACTGAACTCACTTTCTTTGGGTATATTTTTCCTGTCAGGAATACTTGTGCCTCTAATATACATGATTTTTGCCTGAAAACCCTAGCCGTTCTTTGCAAACAGCTTTCCAATATCATGCTTCTCTGCAAAATATTCCTGACGTTTCCAGGTAAAGAGAAGTGTGGCTTTCTTTGAATATTCAAAGCACTGTATTTACACCTTTACATCGTACTGTCACTATTTAAGACACTTGTCATCTCATCTGAAATGTCAGTTTCTTGAGGGCAGGAATTCTGGACTGTTCAGGATCTCATTGCCCACCAAATGTATTTCTCTACTTGAATGTTTCTATTTCACTCTAACAAATTGCCTGACATTTTACTACTTAGAGATCCTTTTGAGTTGACAGTCATTTATTGATTGATGATTGACAGAGTCTCGCTCTGTTGCCCAGACTGGAGTGTAATGGCATAATCATAGTTCACTGTAACCCCAGACTCCTGGGCTCAAGCGATCCTTCCACTTGAGCCTCCCGAGTAGCTAGGACTACAGGTGCATGCCGCCATGTCTGGCTAATTTATTTTTTATTTTTTATTTTTTTTAGAAATGGGGTTCCACTGTGTTGTTCAGGCTGTTCTGGCCTCAAGTTATCCTTCCGCTTTGGCCTTTAAAAGAGCTGGGGTTGCAGGAGTGAGCCACCATTTTATTTTTTAAAATGCGTATCTCTGAAAAGATATCCTTGAAACTCACTATCTTTGTATGAATTAGTTCAATTAGATTATTTTCCTCATGATATTAAATTGAGAACAACAGTACCAAGATAATGGGAGTCTTCTTGGAGATGAGATGGGAGTGACGGACATAATGCTTTTTGGGGAGAGTAAGTAGTAGTCTTTCAGTAAGATGATGTTTGGAATATGAGAATATAGTCTTTCATCTCCATATGGCCCCAAATCCCAAAACCTAGAACTAAGGCAGCACTGGAGTCTCTGTTGATAAGAGTTTACAGTTTACAATAAGGTTTTTGTGGTTAAGTCTATGTTAAAAGGATCCAGAAAGTTCAACTAGTGTTACGTGTTTTAATGCTGATGAGCAGAGTTTTTTGTTTTGTTTTGTTTTGTTTTGTTTTTTACTATCAGGTGTATTGTTATTAGTAGATACTTAGTATCATCAGTGTGAAATTACATACCACCTTGCTTTGACAAATCTTAAGAACTTTCGAATAAGTTATGGGAGTCCTGACCATCCTTTAAGGAAAACAGTGCACTCCTCTAAAAGCCTATTCAAAGAGGTCACATTGAGGAATTATATATGTTTTCTAGTCTTTTTGAAGTACTTTTTTTTAATGTCTTCGGAGAATTTCATTTAGAATACTCTTGGAGTGAATCTGTCTTTTAGGGGTAGATACGACTTTTGAAAATAACCAAATGTCATTAAGAACCTAATGTGGAGAGTAAGGTAGGTGATTAAGTTAGATTATCTTATTTATGGTGACAGATGATGATGCTTATGCAATGAGAGTCACTTTAAAATTTGGACAGACTGTCTCCAAGAGTAATTTAGACAAATAGAGTTATTAATAATACAAAAAGTCTTCTATAGTAGACTCCTATATGTTCACCTAATCCTCTTTTCTCTCCCTCTTGTGCCTACTTCTAGGCTGTAATTTCTGGCCCCCTTTGCAGTTCTGTATTTTTTTCTTTGCTGACCTCTGCTGCAGTTAGATAAGGCTAAATGATAAAGAACACTTTCATCCTTGTTCAACTTAAAAATTCTTATGTGGTCCTCCTCATTCTTTCTTTTCCCTCATCTGCCAACTGGATGCAGAGAATCTAGTAAAGGACTCTGACCAAGGTCCTAATGGAATGGTAGAGCCATGAGATGAATGAAGTCTGAATCCCTAAATGATCAAGTAAAAAGCAATCTGTCAGTCAGAAAATACATATTGGGCTTTTATTGTGATAAGGCACTAATTTTTTATAAAAATAAAGCTATAATTTTAAATTGTAGCGGCTAGCATTACCACCCTTACTGTACTTTAGAGTTTGAAGAAGGTAGTCCACTAGCTGATGCTATTGGAGCCACCTTGAAAATTAACCTTGGGAGTTCCTCTCTTTCCTTATCTAATCTGTCACATTGGCAAGTATGGTTAATTTGTGTTGGCAGTGCATCTGTCAATGCAAGAGACACTCCATCAACCTGTTCTATTTTTGTGTTTGTAAAATGTCAGAGCATAGAAATCATGGTCTTTTATATAAATGAGGAAAATAGAATGACAATTGGACCTGAATTCAAGTTGTTTTTTTCACTGTCTTGTACTTTATTCACAGTGATTTTAGATGAGCCTCACATAAAGAATATTAACGAGAAATATGGAGCTATTCTACTTGAGGCTCTTCCCAAAAGTCTGCTTTGGTAAAGAGGTCTAGAATACATGCCAGGCGATTTTAAATTTTTGAATATTTATTTCATAGTAAAGGCTAAGGAGACCACTTGTGATAGCCACAAGTTTAACAACTGTTTTGTAAGTAGATATACTAGGTGTCAGATAAATGAAAATATGACAACATTCTTGCCTTTTAGGAACATACCTCCTGGTAGATAAGTCTTGCATTAATCATTTAAGTGCAAGGTAAACATATTTTGATTGTTAGTTTTTTTCCTCTCCTGTCTCATTCTAAAGTGAAAGTAAAATAGCTGAGATATAGGTGAAAAGAGAGACAGATACAAGTGTGTGATCTCCATGAGAAATAAGTGAGCTACATTACTTATAATGCTCCGAACATGCGTAGTTCAGTTCTTGTCACCTGTTAATACTAAACACATAGAAAGGATTTTAAAAATGTAATCAGAAGTGAAGGGAGAGAGAAAGGAGAGAAAAAATCCACTGGAGCTATCTGGCTTGGTGTGGTTTTGTTTTCCTCCTACTTTGAGATGAGTCCAGTACATCTGGAGGTATTATTCAGTTTTGTATTCCAAATGCCCCAGCTATTCTAGGTATTGTTAATGATTCAGGCTGTATCTAAAACTATCATCTGAGATTAATTCACTCATTTCTTGGGCACTTAGGGTGAACAGTGCTCTTTGTTTGTTGAGGAGAAAAAAATTAAATACAGTAAACACTAAAACTTTGTGACTGTAGTCTGTATCGCCTGGACAGTGCCATTTTGACTGAAGCACAGTTCAATCGGTAATATCAATTGACTCTTTTTGACAAAGATAATAATGCCCAGTTTTGTGGCTATTTTAGAAAATAAAGCATAATGCTATCCTCCAATATGTTATGACACTTTGCCCTACACTTGTTTATGCTGCTGGTTGTTTTATTTCTTCAGTTGCTCTCAATCCTTGGCAAAACTTCCTGGCAATCTTTTATG
Source organism: Homo sapiens (assembly GCF_000001405.40). Taxonomy (NCBI): domain Eukaryota; kingdom Metazoa; phylum Chordata; class Mammalia; order Primates; family Hominidae; genus Homo; species Homo sapiens. The sequence continues at coordinate 7,990,556 of NC_000007.14, forward strand.
CACAATATTTGTAGAATTGTTGAGGTGAAAGGTGTTCTGTGTATGCAGACATAGACTGGTGTTTTACTGTGTTGTGTTTTACTCGTGGCCTCTACAAAAGTGTGATTTCTGTAAGACATTTTCCTTCAGGATATTTTCTGCTGCTTTTGGCCTTTCCGACTTTATGAAGCACTCAATTTTGGATAAGCTACTGCTTTACAGCTACATATTTGATTCTTTGGTGTCAATATATATGAAAGTAAATGCTAGAATTAACGTCTGTGTTTCCGTATTTCTGAAGCCTTCATTCTGTTGAGTCTGTTTATTCTGGGTTTACTCTAGAAAAGTGTAGCTAGTTGTGTTTCCTAGTAAACAACATATTCACCATTGCTGGATTTGGGGACACATTGTGGGGGTGGGGAGAATACAGCTTGTGAGCTATATTTAATTTACTACATTATTTTGCATTGAGCAAATCAGTGGTATCCAGACATATTTCAGTACAGATTTCTATTTATCATTTGCTTTGCAGCAGTAGATTAGCTTGGCTGGAAATCATACCTTACTCAGGTTAAATAGTTACTCTTTTTCCTAGGCCTTTCCCCTTCATCTCTTCTACATTTAACCATGGATTTAACTCTTCACCCTATTGCTAGACAGTTACGAGCTAATTTGTAGTTATTACATAAGCAAAGTGTTTAAGTGTGTGAATCTTTTGTTTATAAATTGTATGTTAAAATATATTTGGATTAGGAATTCTACTTTTCAGTTTAGATATCATGAGAAGGGCTATTCACTTGTCTAGGAGACTGTTGTGTTTTCTGTATTATATTTAGCTGTTCTTTATTCAAATAGGAAATAAGAATGCAGATAATTTTCCAAGGAAGGATGTTACTTTTCAGAATTAGAGGAATTATAGGCATACACCTATCTAAATACATTTTACATGGCATAATTTGATTGTCCTTTTGTAGAGATTCCATAATATTAATAGCCATAATCAGCTTTTTCTTGGCCTTGAAAATAATTTTAGGGATGCTTTGTTCTTTACTGACATGTCCAGTAGTTGGTAAGGTAGTGTGGAAGGAGCCTGGTTATTCTCTTTGTTCTGTAAGAGGCCCTTCTAGATTTACCCCATTGCAAGGAGAAGATCTTCCTCAAGGCTTCTATCTTTTCTACATGGCTCTTCTTCAACCCCCTCAGTCCATTATCCCATCATTTCTCATGGTAAATATCTTTCTCCATAAAAGGAACTACTATTTCTTAATGCTTTCCTGGTTCTTGCTATAGACTTCCATAGGATGCACTTGGAACTTTGTGAGTGTCAGGCTTGGAGGGAGAGAATAGGCAAAAACCTATTGATGGTTTTAGTGTGAATCCTCCAATTTCAGTTACTTTCTCCTCTAGATTGAGCAGGAGCTGATTTCTTTACTAGGTTACTTAGGGAGAAAACTTACCTCTCTAAGGCTAGCCAATTCAATGACGTTGGAGGAATATTAGAATTTATTTTTTCTTTCTTTCTTTCTTTCTTTCTTTCTTTCTTTCTTTCTTTCTTTCTTTCTTTCTGTCTGTTTCTCTCTCTCTCTCTCTCTCTCATATATATATATATCTGGCTCTAGAAGGAATTTAATAACTCACATTTAGTTATCAGACATTCTGGAAATTTATAGTCTTAAATTCAAATGTGTTGAGAGGGAAACAATGTAATTTTACTATCCTTCTATGGTCATTTATTTCATTTAGTGGTGGAAGACTTGCCCATAGAGATACTGAACATACTGCTGCTCTCTTCTCCTTCAAAGGTGCTGGCTCAATGACTCACACCTTCCACCAGTTCTTATGTTAATTCCTTTCCAGGCTTTTGATTGAAGAGCATTCTCTAATAGATTTTCAGGAAAGACTCATAGGAACAATATTCCGTAAGTTCTTGCTAGTTATGTAGCAAGAACTCAGATATAGCTTTTTTAATCTGTAGCCTTTATACTTGAAGGTCACTTTAGCTTTATCAGATATATTTGATATGTTGATTATTTTCCCCAGATATAAGTATGTCCTTTCCGTATGTCCTTTCAAGTTATCTTTTATTTTAGGAGAGTTTTAAAAATTATAGTTTTTAGTATTTTTTGTTTTGTTCCTTTGGTCATTTCTTGAGGGACTCCTGTTACACACACATGTTGGACCTTCTTTGCCTATGTTACATATTACTTTCTCTTGAAATCTTGTCTCCTCATTTTTTTAATTCTGTAGTTTTTTTCTTACCATTTCCTATTTCTGTTAAGGCATTATCCATTGTGTTTATTCATTCTTGTGTTTCTTGTAACTTAGTCTTCATCCCTAAAATAAGTTTTGATATCTTTTCTAAGTTTTTCCTGAGTTTGATCACCTCTATTTTCATATCTTCCTTGCTGTCAAACACATCATTTCCGAGTATTTTTTAAGTAATGAGGTTTTTCATCACTGTTGTCATTTAAAAAAGGATTTTTAGCTTACTTTGAAATATTAGGTCACAGTTTTCATCTTATGTGAGCATGTCTTTCTGGCATGCTTTCATTATTCATAGGGACATCTTTTATTCTTTGTATGCTTTTATTCCCTTACAATAACTTTAGGAAGAATCTGCTATTTTCTGTTGTTCATTTTTTTTAAGTAAAATGATTTTTTTTGTACTTTTAAATAGGGTGGATAGTTCATGATACCATTTCTGTCTTCAAGGCTCTAGTGCTCCCACTCTTCTTGTTTTTGTAAAATGACTTCTAAAAAAATTCTCGATTCTGCTCTCTTCCTGACTCCGTTGTCCAACTTTTTCTCAACCTTCTCTTTTCTTTGCTTCTGTCTGCTCAATTTTGATTAGACTCTCAGTAATTTCTCTTTACTGTTGGATTCCATGTTGGAAGCAGTTCTTTTTTGTTAGATTTGAGCATAGCCATATTGCTCTAGTATCTCAGACTTTATTGAGTTGATGTCCTCTTGCTTTCACTTGCAAATCAGATTGTGTGGAATCCCCTCCCAGTTTGGCTACTATTCTAGATTGGCCCTTTACATTTACCCATTAGTGAATTGTGTTCTCTGGACCATCAGAAGCCTGGGTACATTCCTTTGCTGTCTCTCACACAGATGCTGATACCACTATGGCCCAATACTTTTTTATGCTTTCTCCCAACTCATTTATATTTGGTGTTTTGTGGAGATATTTTGTGACTTTATTATGTTGTAGATGCCAATACTCCTTGACTTACAATGGGGGTTACATCCTGAAAAAAAAAAAGAAAATATTTTAAGTCAAATATGCATTTAATACCCCAGTAAACCCATTGTAAAGTCAAAAAATTGTGAGTCAAACTATCATAAGTCCAAATGCTTCTTGACTTAGGTATGATGGGTTTATATCCTGATAAACACATCATAAAGTCAAAAAATTCTAAGTTGAAATATCATAAATGTGGAACCATCTGTATTGTCCTTGAATCTTTTGTTTGGCTATTGTCTTAATCTGTTTCGTATTGCTATAACAGTGTCACAGACCAGCATGGCCAACATAGTGAAACCCTGTCTCTACAAAAAATACAAAAATTAGCCAGACATGTTGGTTCATGCTTGTAATCCCAGCTACTTGGGAGGCTGAGACATGAGAATCACTTGAATCTGGGAGGCAGAGGTTACAGTGAGCTGAGATCACACCACTGCACTCCAGCCTGGGTGACAGAGTGAGACTCTGTCTCAAATAAATAAATAAAGTAGCTATAGAATATTATAGCTAGTTTATAAAATTTTCAGACTCAGGGTTAAATTATTTAATGAATTTAAACTATTAAAATCTAAATTTAACTTACATATTAGAGCAGTCTGATTTAATTTTACTTTGCCACTTTCACAAAAAAGAAATTCATTGTTCACAATTCTGGAGAGTGGGAAGTACAGTATCAAGGTACTAGCATTTGGTGAGGGCCTTCATGCTATGTCATCCCATGACAGAGGTAGAAAGGCAAGAGAGCAAAAGAGGGTTGACCTAGCTCTAATAACAACCTGCTCTTGTAATAGCATTAATGCATTCATGAAGGCAGAGCCCTCATGGCCTAATTGCCTCTTATTGGTCCCAACTCTTAATACCATCAGAGTGGCAATTAAATTCCAAGATGAGTTTTGGAGGGGACATTCAAGTGTAGCACCTTTCTTCCTTGCTGTCTGTCTGTCGTTAAAATCTATTCTGCCAGCATCTTCATATTGTTGGAATACATTGACAAAACTTCTATATAAGGAACAGTCTTGAATATTGACTTATTACTCTATTTAATGGACAGAAAATGCTACATATATTACATAGATATACATAGAGATACACACAAACACACACACACTCACACACTCTCCATATTTGTCCAGGTAATGGTTTCACTTAATACACTAACAGTGTTTGTGTTTGTGTATCAGTGTTTGAAGTGAAACTGTTACGTGGACAAATAGGGAGAGCATGTGAGTGTATGTGTTTGTGTTTTGTGTATGTCTGTGTATTTCTGTATGTATGGACATCAATCCCAAGTAAAAGCAAGTGAAAAATTTTAGTAGTATCCTCTACTAGAAGAGTGAATATTTTTCTATTTGTTGCCTTTATTTCTTATTAAATAAAAAGCAAATTTTGAGGGAAAATGCTTTTTCCTATGTGTCATTATATTGAGGAAATTATTCCCTACTTTAATTATCAAGGTGTTTGACCAGTAATATTAGTTAGCACTTTAGGAGGCTGAGGTAGGCAAATCATTTGAGCCCAGGAGTTCCAGACCGTCCTGGGCAATATGGCAAAACCCCGTCCTCTACAAAAAATACAAAAATTAGCTGGGCGTGGTAGCATGTGCCTGTAGCCCCAAATACTCGGGAAGCTAAGGCAGGAGGATCATCTGAGCCTGGGAGATCAAGGCTGCAGTGAGCCGAGATCGTGCCACTGCACTCTAGTCTGGGTGACAGAGCAACCCAAATGTCCATCAATGATAGACTGGATTAAGAAAATGTGGCACATATACACCATGGAATACTATGCAGCCATAAAAAAGGATGAGTTCATGTCCTTTGTAAGGACATGGATGAAGCTGGAAACCATCATTCTCGGCAAACTATTGCAAGGACAAAAAACCAAACACCGCATGTTCTCACTCATAGGTGGGAATTGAACAGTGAGAACACCTGGACACAGGAAGGGGAACATCACACACCAGGGCCTGTCGTGGGGTGGGGAGAGTGGGGAGGGATAGCATTAGGAGATATAACTAATGTAAATGACGAGTTAATGGGTGCAGCACACCAACATGGCACATGTATACATATGTAACAAACCTGCACGTTGTGCACATATACCCTAGAACTTAAAGTATAATAAAAAAAATAAAATAAATTTTAAGTTCAATTAAAAAAAATAAAAATGAAAAAAAGAGAGCCTATTTTATAACCTTTGTTGTTGTGCTCTTGTTAAAAACAGTTTTTCTTTATAAATTGAGATGTAATAGTGAGCCTGTCTCATTTCATAAAAAATTTTCCAAGCTGTGGTGCTTTAACTGGAAGTTAAATTCACAGAATTTTGTGAAATATTGTTTTCTGAGTAGGAATATTTGTGTTCCTTTTGCTTACAATATGACTTTCCACCTTTGGTCAGTTATTTTAGTTGTTTTTGTAGTTGCTAATACTTTGTGATTACTTCTTTAGTATATGAACTCATTAGTCATAGTGGATTTTAGATGTTTGGAATTTCATTAACAGAATTCATTTGAAATTTGTAAGGCTGATGAATCTCCTTCTACTAATTACTACTTTGCTAAAGTTCGTTAAAGGACTATCATTCTGCCACCTCCCAAAAAAACGAACTTAAAAAAATCTTTTGCCATATATGTAATTAAAAAAAAAAAGTATTCCAAATATCAGAGCTCCATCTTAATTTGTTGTGTACTTTTTCAGTGCTTGTTACCAGGCTTCTTGTAGCCATATTAGTGAAGTTTTCTTTTCAACCTTGATGCAAAGATACTCCCTTGAGTTTTCTTTGAAAATAGACTGAAGGCCTCCTTCTAAATGTCTTATGTGTCATTTGACATAAGTTTATTGGGTGAGCTGTAACCTAGAGAATCATGCCCAAATAGCTGCCTGACTGCATTTTTTGGTTTGTTTGTTTTTCCTGATGGACCTCAGGTTACAGAGTTTTGTCAGGCCTCATTTGGTCAGAAGCATGTTTGTTTCTCTTGTCAGCTTCTTGATTGGTTTCTTTCCAGATTCTGCAGGGCAGCCATATGGTCATTTCTGCATGTTTTCTAGATTGCTTCTGTGGTAGGGTTCCAGGTTTGGTTGATGAGTATTTCAGATTCTACCCACACTGAGAGAGCTTCAGTTTTGCTCTTTGGTTTTATTTCAGATAGCATATTCACAACTTGTGTCCTTCCTGTCACTTATCTGAAGTTCATTTGAATTTGGTGATTTTATTTTACGTGGCCTATGTATTTGGCTAATGTTTCATCATTTTATATGTCAAGGAGGAAGACTATTAATGGCTGTTGAAGTGCTTAGATTATGCTAACTTAGGAAAACTAAATCTAGTAATAATTCTATTGGATGATAAATATTAATGTACATTAGATTGGGTAGAAAAACATACCAGTCACCTTTCCATATCTTGTATTCTCAGTTATTTTGTTACCTTTTTTTTTAAATTTATTTTGAAAATCATTGTCTATAACTGCAAGGCAAGGAGAAAATTACTTAATGTTAGTAGTGATAATACATTAAAAACTATAGCTTTCAAGGTATTCTCATTACAGAATTAATGAAGTAAATTTCTACTAATAAAATTGAGCTTTAGGAAATTTATGCTTAGCCTTAGTGAACCAATAGCAGGAAAATTCCACACCTGTATTTATTTATGGCTATTTTTGATCTCAGGTAGATTAAGAACTATATCATTTCCAGATATTTTGAAGTTTAAGAAAAGCAACTTAATGTCTTGTATTCAGTCTGATCTTGATGAATTTGGTATTTTGATTTCAATGAAGATTGAATTAATATGAATAAGTGAAGTTAAACATCATGAAAAACTCACTGACTACCTGTTAAAATAAAGGTTTTATAAAGTAGCTATAGAGGCTGGGCATGGTGGCTCACACCTGTAATCCCAGCAGTTTGGGAGGCCGAGGCAGGCAGATCACCTGAGGTCAGGAATTCAAGACCAGCCTGGCCAACATAGTGAAACCCTGTCTCTACAAAAAATACAAAAATTAGCCAGACATGTTGGTTCATACTTGTAATCCAGCTACTCGGGAGCCTGAGACATGAGAATTACTTGAACCTGGGAGGCAGAGGTTACAGTGAGCCGAGATCATACCACTGTACTCCAGCCTGGGTGACAGAGTGAGACTCTGTCTCAAATAAATAAATAAATAAATAAATAAATAAATAAATAAATAAATAAATAAAGTAGCTGTAGAATATTATAGCTAGTTTATAAAAATTTTCAGACTTAGGGTTAAATTATTTAATGAAATTAAATTATTAAAATCTACATTTAACATATATTAGAGCAGTCTGATTTAATTTTACTCTGGCACTTTCATTTTGTAAGAGAACCTACTTTGTTTTTTTCAGACTTACATTTTTGAGGAGGTAGTTTTTTTTGTTTTTTTTTTTTTTTGTTGTTGTTGTTTTTTGTTTTGTTTCGTTTTGTTTTGCTTTTGAGACGGAGTCTCGCTCTTGTCACCCAGGCTGGAGTGCAGTGGCGTGATCTTGGCTCACTGAAACCTCCGCCTTTCGGGTCAAGCAATTCACCTGCCTCAGCCTCCTGAGTAGCTGGGATTACAGGCGCCCTCCACCACGCCCAGCTAATTTTTGTACTTTTAGTAGAGACAGGGTTTCGCCATTTTGGCCAAGCTGGTCTCAATCTCCTGACCTCAGGTCATCCACCCACCTCGGCCTCCCAGAGTGCTGGGATTACAGGTGTGAGCCACCGTGCAGGCTCAGGAGGTAGCTTTTATTGTAACTACTTTTAACTTTTATTTGCATGCAAAATGCCTTGTTTGCGTGGTTGGGTCTTTTTCCAAAGAAGCTATAGTGTACTTTGTCTTTCTTACTTTCTAGTGTTCCTAAGCATTCTACCTTAGAGTGTTTTGTATTTAGGTTTTAAGGTTCTTATTGCCATGGCCAGAACTTAATTTATTAATAGCTACTGACCTTTTGAAGGAGCTGACTACATGTTTAAATTTATTAGATCTAAAAGTTTAGCTGCTAATTACAGATTTCAAAGAATTGGTTGACTTTTTTGCAGCAGGATATTTTCTAGAGTGTATAGTCAAGCTTTTAATGTCTCTAAATAGGTTGTTGAATAGGTTGTTGCCCCCCAAAATTTATTTTTTGAGATACAGAAAGAAAATATAATTTCTGTATTTTTATTTTTTATTTTCTACATATACATTTCTATTTTTCTGTTTTATAATATATAAAATATTAGCAATATCATAGATATCCAGTTCATAAATAAGCAGCTACACATTACTGCATGCCTATATATTTACCAATAGGGACACTTAGTAAAAATAATTTGAAGACCATAGTTCTGACAGAGTAGTTATAGAAAGTGAACACTAAGTGTAGAGCATGTGATCTTTTTAAAGAGATAGATAAAGATTCAATGATTAAAAATATAATAAAAGAAAAATTAAGTAAATATAGAGTAAATAAGTAAAAGTATAGATTAGAATATTATTATACAGACCAAGGGACTCATTTATAGATTGTTTATATATTTAACTCATTATAAAACATTAAAATGGGCTGAGTATTGTGACTCATGCCTGTAATCTCAGTGCTTTGGGAGCCTAAGGGGAAAGGATTGCTTGAGGCCAGGAGTTTGAAACCATCTTGAGCAACACAGCGAGACCCCATCCCCATAAAAAATTTAAAAATTAGCCAGATGTGGTGGTGCACACCTATAGTCCTAACTACTGTAGAGCTGACGTGGGAGGATAGCTTGAGCCCAGGAGTTCCAGGCTGCAGTGAGCTACGATCACGCCGGTACACTCCAGCCTGGGCAGGTGACAGAGCAATACCCTGTGTCTAAAAAGAACAAGGCTGGGAGTGGTGGCTTATACCTGTATTCCTAGTATTTTGGGAGGCCAAGGTGGGAGGATCGCTTGAGCCCAGGAGTTTGAGACCAGCCTGGTCAACATAGTGAGGCCTCATCTCTATAAATTTAAAAAATTAGCTGGGTGTGGTGATGCACACCTGTGGTCCCAGCTACTCAAGAGACTGAGGCAGGAGGATCACTTAAGTCTGGGAGTTTGAGGCTGCAGTGAGCTGTGATCATGCCACTGTCCTCTAGCCCTGGGTGACAGAACTAGACCGTCTGTAGAAAACACAAATAAAATAAACACCACCCCTTCAAAAAAACCATTAAAATGGTTCCTATTGTTTATTTACTAAACTAAAAGGAGTTTTAATAATTAAATGGACTACATACAGCGTTTCAAATTGTTTGGAGCAATTTAAGTAGAGGCTCAAGTTATTCACTTAGAATGGCGTTTCCTTATCTGGTTATAGCTGACCTTTATATAGGCCTTTTAAATTTAGAGGTCAACTGATAAATGTCGGCTTTGCCTCTCAACAGTTTGTTGTCTTGTGTTTCTTCGCAGTGGAAGGAATTTAAAGTAAACTTTAAAATTTTAAACAAATTACTATAAATCAGATAATGGGAGATGTTAATTTTCTGTTTCCCAGTGTTGCTAAAATTAGTAGGTATTGCCTTTATAACCAGGAAAAATATTCAAAAAGTTAATATAAATAACTTCTAGTAGTATTAATAGAACTAGAAACAGTTTATGTATCTTCAGAGTTACCTATGATGTGGGGAGGAGGTAAAGATAAAGGGAGAAGAAACAAACAATAAAACAGAAAGCAATTAGCAAGGAACATTCCAAAATAGGAAAAAATTACATGACAAATTAAACCAAATTTCTTATAACAATAAATATAAGTGGGATAAGCTCACCTTTTACAACCAGAAGGCTCGCTACAATGTTTTTTTCAAAAAGTATAAAAACATACTTTGTTTTATGATACACATAAAAAAATCTTTTAGGATGGGCATACCATGTAAATTAACAGAAAGAAAGCAGAAGGGGGTCATAATATTCAGTATCATAAAATTTCAAAAATAATTAATGGGACAAATTATAATATGATGCATATAAGCTGTAATGTTGATGTCAAGAATCTATATGTACCCTTTACCATTATGTAATGGCCTTCTTTGTCTCTTTTGATCTTTGTTGGTTTAAAGTCTGTTTTATCAGAGACTAGGATTGCAATCCCTGCTTTTTTTTGCTTTCCATTTGCTTGGTATATCTTCCTCCATCCCTTTATTTTGAGCCTATGTGTGTCTCTGCATGTGAGATGGGTCTCCTGAATACAGCACACTAATGGGTCTTGAATCTTAATCCAGTTTGCCAGTCTGTGTCTTTTAATTGGGGCATTTAGCCCATTTACATTTAAGGTTAATATTGTTATGTGTGAATTTGATCCTGACATTATGATGATAGCTGGTTATTTTGCCTGTTATTTGATGCAGTTTCTTCCTAGCATCGGTGGTCTTTACAATTTGGCATATTTTTGCAGTGGCTGGTACCAGTTGTTCCTTTCCATGTTTAATGCTTCCTTCAGGAGCTCTTGTAAGGCAGGCCTGGTGGTGACAACATCTCTCAACATTTGCTTATCTGTAAAGAATTTTATTTCTCCTTCACTTATGAAGCTTAGTTTGGCTGGATATGAAATTCTGGGTTGAAAGTTCTTTTCTTTAAGAATGTTGAATATCGGCCCCCACTCTCTTCTGGCTGCAAATCAAAACCACAATGAGATACTATCTCACACCAGTTAGAATGGCAATCATTAAAAAGTCAGAAAACAACAGATGCTGGAGAGGATGTGGAGAAACAAGAATGCTTTTACACTGTTGGTTTGAGTGTAAACTAGTTCAACTATTGTGGAAGACAGTGGTGATTCCTCAAGGATGTAGAACTAAAAATACCATTTGACCCAGCGATCCCATTACTGGGTGTATACCCAAAGGATTATAAATCATGCTACTATAAAGACACATGCACACGTATGTTTATTGCGGCACTATTCACAATAGCAAAGACTTGGAACCAACCCAAATGTCCATCAGTGATAGACTGGATTAAGAAAATGTGGCATATATACACCATGGAATACTATGCAGCCATAAAAAAGAATGAGTTCATGACCTTTGCAAGGATGTGGATGAAGCTGGAAACCATCATTCTGAGCAAATTATCGCAAGGACCAAACACTGCATGTCCTCACTCATAGGTGGGAATTGAACAATGAGAACACTTGGACACAGGAAGGGGAACATCACACACCAGGGCCTCTCATAGGGTGGGGAGCTGGGAGAGGGATAGCATTAGGAGAAATCCCTAATGTAAATGACAAGTTAATGGGTGCAGCAAACCAACATGGCACATGTATACCTATGTAACAAATCTGCACATTGTGCACATGTACCCTAGAACTTAAAGTATACTTTTAAAAAAAGGAAAAAAAAGGAATCTATATGTGCTAAATAATATAGAACTAAAATATAAAGGTCAAAAATGTGCAAAAAATAAAGAGAATTTTTAGAACTCAATAGTAGTTTAAAGCTTTTAGAGTACTCTTCTAAGTCTGTAACAGATAAAACTGATAATTATTCCTATATTCTATAATTTAATTCAATTGATATATAAGACAAGGAACTATATATTCTGAAAACAAAATATCTTCTCTGTAATTCATGAAACGTTTATAAAAAATGACCATGCTTTTGGTCACAGGGAAAATTTCAGGTAATTCCAATGAGTAGAAATGGGTTCCATTAGATTCTCTGCCTTCAGTATAATACAATTAGAGCTAAAGTAATACAGATAAAGAGGAAATCTGGTAATTTTCAGATCTTTTCTATCAATTCTTGGGTCAAAGGAAAAAATAAAAACTGCAGTTCTAAGCTATTATCTGCCTAATATGATAACATGCATTTTCTTCTGTTTTTCTGGTAAACTATGTATTCTGATTTCAGGAAGGTGAAGGACAGCATTCAATAATAAATGTTTCTTCACCCCCTGTAAAGAGGAAGGCATTTTGTTTGATGTGAGATATGACTCTGAAAAGAGTTAGCCTTGGGAACCTGTAAATCTGTTGGATTCTATCACAGAATGCACATTAGTAGTAAATTATTTAGGATAGATATATGGAGAATCCTCTATAGTTATCTGTGTAGATTTGGTGTTCAGTGTGATTAATTTTTAACAGAGATTCTTGTGATACCCCTATGGGAAGGAGAAGTATCATAGTTTGTTATGGCAGATTGATTGAACTGTGTATAATGTCTGTAGATTTTGGGTTCTTTTTACCTCTGTCCCTTGTTTGCATCTCTTGTTCAGTATTCCTCTAGGACTCAAATTCTTCGTCTGTGAATGAGGAAGTTGAATTAAAATATAAAGTTATTTATACATGTTATTTTTGTATAGCTCTGAATAAATTCATTAAGTGAGTATTGAATGTTGGTTCCTATTTAGTCTGTAGGGTTTAAACTTATGTTGTGATGGGAGAGAGAAACAGGCTTAGGGTGCCATGAAAGCAGAGACAGGCAAGTATATCTTAGAAGGAAGGCGAGAGGAAAGGGCATTAGGGAAACTTTCACAGAGGCAGTGTGACATCTGAACTGGTCTTGAAGATAAATGAGTTTGTCAAGTAAACAAGAAAGAGAGTTCTAGGCTCAGGAAGTAGAATGTACAGAGGCAGAAAGAATGTATTTTACCTTTGGAAAAACACAGGCCATTCATGTGACGCTTAGCATGGGATTATGGAGTAGTAAGATATTAGGCATTGAGGTATATGGCACCCAAATCGTGAAAGCTTATTATGTCATACTAAATAATATAGGCTTTAAATTAAAGACAATGACTAACCATGGAAATGTTTTCTATTTGGGTATGACACTGTAAAATTTAGTTGAAATGGATACAGGGATAGCAGTTAGAAAACTGGCAGTTCAGGTGAGACATGAATGGGAGTCTTAATTAAAATAATGGCAATGAGATGATATGCAGATTTATATAAAATGGATAGGCTTCATAGGGTCTGTGGGAGCCCTGGAAATGTATGTGAGATTTAACATGAATGTATTTTCCTTGGGACATGGTTCATACATTTCATCTGATCATACAACAGGGCTATTAGTGTAAATATATATATCACAGGAAAAATTGACAGGATGACATTCTACAAACTATGAAGTTAGATAACTTTAAATTTTATTTTATTCACTAATGACTAATCTTTTTTTTCACTTTCTGTAGCGGACAAGGCAAAATCTCAGCAAGTTCGGACCTCTAGTACAATAAGGCGAACCTCCTCTTTGGATACAATAACAGGACCTTACCTCACAGGACAGTGGCCACGGGATCCTCATGTTCACTACCCTTCATGCATGAAAGACAAAGCTACTCAGGTAAAATCAGGAAATCAAAATCAGCTTATTACCCTGCACTTCTTCTGTTTTGATCACAGTAAAGAAAATGTAATATAATCAAATTTCCCCAAATTTGAAATACATCCAACCAAGGAAGAAAGGAAAAATCCATTGTTTTAAATAAACTTTGCAGTAATTGTTTTTTGTCATCTGGCTTTTAGAAGTTTTGAAATTCTTTAATACTTAAATAGCACATCAGTCTATATTACATGGTTGTAGACACGTTGTAATTTTAAGAATTGCTTTCCAATACAAATTAAAATGACTGGTAACCATTTTAGAAAATATAATTTTTTAAGAAGAGTTTGCACCGTTCTTGAAAATAATTTATAAAGTAGTAACAAATGCCTAATGAAATCTATGTTGGAGAATTTATTTTTTTCTGTTTAAAACCAAGACTAAAAGCCTTCAGAGGGAAATAGAAATTAACTGTCTCATTTTCCCTGTTTTTGGAAGGATCTCCAAGCTTTTGATTTGAAAAGCTTTTCCTCCACATCAGAAAAAAAATCTGAAAACATCTTTATTCATGATTATCTGAGTTCTTGACCATATCTTCATAACAGTAGTCAATCAGCATTTATTGGCATAAAGAAGAATACTAAAAATATAAGAGATAGTCATTGGTTTTAAAAAACCTGCAGCACAGTTAGGTAGATGAGATACACATTTATAAAAATTGGTAAAAGAAGACAGTGTATAATTCGACGTTAGATGAATGGAGTATGTAAATGTGAGGGCATTCAAAGGAAAGAGAACATTTTGGGCTTTGTAGGTTAGGGAAATAGAATAATTAGAGTTTCATGTCCGAAGACTGAGGAAAAGAGAGAGAGTTTTGGACATGATCTGTAAAACTCTGCTTCTCAGGTTTTGTCATTTTCTCAGGCAAGCTTGCAACTGTGAAATTGGCTTCTTCTTTATCATCTGTCTCATCAGTTCTGTCCTTGTAATGTTTTATGCTGCTCTACTCTTTTGATTTCCATTCTTCATTTAGTGAGGAAGAGGATAAGTTTAATATGGCAGGCAGTGGAATTTCCAAATAGAAATAACTAGCAAAACTTAGAGGTGTGGGCCTGGACAGTTAGAGATCTGGACACAGATAATTAATTCAGAACCATCCTTCTAGAGGAGTTAGATTCACAAATATGATAAAATGTAGGTATAGAAAATAAAATTTAAAAATAATTTTAAAAAGAAAAAAATTTAAAAAAATGTACTTATAGAGTATGAAAGAAGAAGGTCAAGTGATGGAGGACTTAGTTTTTGGAAGGGTGCACACACACAAGAAAAAAACTAATATATTCATCTGAAAGCAGCAAGAGGAGGAGGGAGTTAATATTTATTAACTGTGTACCGTGTACTGTTTGTTTTATAACCTGTTTCATTTAATTCTCAAAAGACCATTGCAACATTACACAGATGGAAAAGCAGTCACTCAGGGAACTTAAATGATTTATTTAGGAGCATAGAGCTAGAAAGTGTTGGAGCCAGATTTCTAACACAGGCTAATCTGTTAACCAATATAAGCTCCATTTTTATTATTACTGAACTGGGATTATAGGATAATACAAACATACATATGTATGTATGTACCTAGTGCTGTGACACTGCACTAAAAAATGGTAGCTATTCTTTTTAGATTACCAAACCAACATATGAAATGAATGCTATGTGCTGACACTATCGAGAGGGAAACATTATCTAGTTTTTTTTTTGTTTGTTTGTTTTGTTTTTTTTGAGACAGGAGTTTCTGTCTTGTTGCCCAGGCTGGAGTGCAATGGTGTGATCTCAGCTCACTGCACCCTCCGCCTCCCAGGTTCAAGTGATTCTCCTGCCTCAGCTTCCTGAGTAGCTGGGATTACAGGTGCCTGCCACCATGCCCAGCCAAGTTTTTGTATTTAGTAGAGATGGGGTTTCACCATGTTAGTCAAGCTGGTCTCGAACTCCTGACCAAAGGTGACCCACCTGTCTTAGCCTCCCAAAGTGCTGAGATTACAGGCATGCGCCACCACTCCTGGCCCAGAAATATTATCTTATTCGCTCTTCACAAAAATTCTGAAAAAGAAGAGAAGCCAGAGAAAGAGCGAAAGGCTAAGTGAAAAACTGGAATAGTGAAGCCTTAGAAGTCAGAGGAGAAAGCTATTCTAAGAAAGGAAAAAATTGTTGACAGTATCAGATGCTAAAGAGAGGTCATGGTGATTAAGGACCACATTTAGGGATCAGAGGCACATTGTCTTGGAGAGTGCAGTATTGGAGATAATGCCAGAGTAGGAGACCCTACTATTTGAGAGTTAAGAGAGTGATGTGGAGATAGAAGGAAAGAACGCTGGATATGTTTCTTACACATGTCTGATTTTTTATCTGTGCAGTGGGGTTAATAAAACCTAACCCATAATATTACTGTGTGATTAAGTATGATAATATTGAAGGTAAATTTGGCAAATACTATATACACATTTAAGTTAGTAGTAGTATATGTAGACATGCCCGCTTGTAACATTTGCAGGGTCTGCAGCAAATATAAAGACCAATATACTATATGTACGTAAGTTAAATGAACAAATTATTGAGTAAAATACATTTTGTCCTCCCCCCACTACCCAATGACAAATAATCTTCATATGGACCTGGAAGATGAGGTTTAAACTAAGAATTCTCAGATTCTTCAGAGTTACATGCCGGTATATGTCCACATGGGGCAGGCCCACCAGGCCCATTAGGCCCACCTCGTCTGAGCCTAAGTCCCATTCTCTTCCTACCCTACAATCTATTCTGTACTTTAAGCTGGCTTTACACATACACTTGGACCCACCAGTTCTCACATTCAAGTGCCATCCTCAAAAAGCAAGAACCAGGGAATGGGTCTGCAGACCTTAGAAGCCAAGCCTACTGCTGTTTGTTCAGGAAATTCCTGGTTTTAGATTACCTGGAGTATATTCTACAGCCAGGCATGGGCTCATAACGTCCATGCTCTTTGCTCCCAAGGTCTCTTATCCCATGGGGAGGGGCATGGCTGCTAGAAGGCCAGAGGAATTTCTCCTGAATTTTGAGGTCCAGGATAAGGGCTTGTCTGGCTTGCATCTATCTGGATGTAGGTCATTTATTTGAGAAGTTTGACATTGAAAAGAAGGTAAAATATAGGGCTCATTTTACAGATGAGGAACCTGAGGCTTAGAGAAGTTAAGTAATTTGTACATCATTACATAGCTGTACATTAATATGTACTACATACATATTACATCGTTATGTAATATGTACTACGTACGTAGTACATCGTTATGTAATATGTACGTAGTACGTATTAAGCGTGAGGACAGTGAACCCAGACCTGGCTGATTCTAAAGCGTTTCCTTTTTTTTCTTCAGCTGTCTATTGCCTTTTATGGCAACCACTAACTACTAACCTACTTCTTGCCTCACAAGCATAAGAAATGGTCCTTCCCTAACCATTTATTAGTTTAATTGAAGATACAAGAGATGAACATATGAGATACTTTTTATGGCGACATCCGTTTCTCCTGGATTAACTGTTGAACTCTTAGGGTGGGAAGAACTTGTTTTATTTATGTAGTGGAATTATGTAGTGGACATTGGTGGAAGGAAGGTGGTATACTCAGCTTGCTACAGACATTAAACACCTGGGCTGTTTGGCCTTGGTGGAGGGTGTCTTGAGGGTGTTCTTCCTTTTATATTTCTGTTTCAACTACCTTAATTATTGAGAGCTTGACATAAAAAAATTAATATTGTTTAGTATGTTTACATATTAAAAAGAAGTAGCATAATGTTGTGAAAAGATTGTAGACTTTGGAACCAGATCATGTATTCAAATCAAGGCCCACTGAGGGAACTTTCTGGGATAATGAAAATGTTAATTAAAAAAGTAGTTAATTTTAATTAAGTAAAAATTATTTATATATTAATGGTGTACAGCATGGTAGACACACACACATTTGAAATGATTACATCAATCTATTTAACATATGCGTTACCTCATTTTTTTATGTGTGGTGAGAACACTTAAAATCTACTCTCTTAGCAATTTTCAAGTATACCATATATTTTACTGTAGTCATTATGATGTATAGTAGATCACTTGAAGTTGTTTCTTGTAACTGAAATTTTGTGTCCTTTGACCAGCATCTCCCAAGGACTCCTAGCCTCTGATAACCACTATTCTACTCTCTATTTCTGTAAGTTAAATGTTGTATATCTTTTTTTTTTTTTTTTGAGACAGGGTCTTGTTCTGTTGCCCAGGCTGGAGTGCGGTGATGTGATCTTGGCTCACTTCAACCTCTGCCCCTCAGATTCAAGCAATTCTCATGCCTCAGCCTCCCAAGTAGCTGGGAATTAGCTGGGACTACAGGCCCCTGCCATCACGTCCAGCTAATTTTTGTATTTTTAGTAGAGGTGGAGTTTCACCAGTAGAGAGGCTGGTCTTGAACTCCTTGCCTCAAGTGATCCACTAGACTTGACCTCCCAGAGTGTTGGGATTACAGGCATGAGCCACCATGCCTGGCCAGTGTTATATGTCTTAATAGAAGTTTGGGTTATGTTGGCGAATTCATTTATCGGAACTTACCCAAGTGTACACTTGTGCATTTTGCTGTATAACTTTAACTTTAAAAATACAGAATATGAACAGAAAACAAATACTGAACTCAGATGTTTAGAGATGAAGTATACTGCTGTCTGCAACTTTGAAATGAATAAAAAATAAGATGAATTGATGGGTGGATACCTAGATAGATAGCTGGTGGAGTAAATAGAGCAAAATGTTATTTAGAGAAGCTCAGTATTGGCTTTATGGGCCTTCACTGAACAGTTTTTTTTTTAACTGTTCTGTTTGAAATTTTTATTAGTAAAATGTTAAAAAAAAATTCATGACCCACTGACTTAACTGCTTTGTGACCCAGTCTTAAGCTTTCTTTTCTGTAAATTGAAGTTAGTAATACCCGATTTGCACATTCACACGTTTATTCTGAGGATTATAAGATACAGCTTTACATTTTTAAGGCCTCTGAAGAAATGGATCACTGCTGGTTATTTAGAGTCATCTGTTTAGCCTTGTAGAAAGAAAAACTAAAATCCATTTGTGAAATTTAATATTTTATTACTGTAGCCTTGCAGATACAACCTTTTTAAAACAAAAAATGTATTACCAACTCTTAAAATTGAACTTGCAATTAAGGTTACTATAATAAAACAGTAATGTTTCCTCAGTCTTCACCCCATAGTCTGAGGTGTAGTCTCTGGACAAATTTTAAATTCTGTGTTTGAATGTGTTTTTAAATGCGAAAGTAATATATATTCTTTGTAAAGTGGTCAAGTAATAAAAATAATATATACAGCAATAATCAGAGGTATTTCCTACAACTTCCCAGGTATAGTAATGATTAGAGCTATTCATAAATATTGGCATTCTCTCTCCTGGGCACATGATAGGATTCTACTTCTCTGCCCACTTGAAGTTAAGTGTGGCCATGAGACTTGATTTGGGAAGATGCTTTAAAGAACTGGTGCATTCTCTCTGACAGGGAAGTAACTGTTCATTCCTACTCTGTCCATCTGGGTCACTGACAGTGACAAGCATAGCCTTCTTAATGACCCATACATGTAGTATGAGCAAGAAATTAACTTTTGCAGTTTTAAGTCATTTGGATTTGGAGATTGTGTAGTTACTATCCTATAATCTAGTCTTTACTAATATGCAAAGTATAACCCTTTTAAACAAATTTTTGTAGGCCTTTCAGAGCATAGTATGTTATTTTTATTAATTAAAAGCTTTTCAAAAGATTCAGTGTGGACGTAAAATCAGTATCAAAATAGAATGAAAAAAAAAAACCTGAGCACTGGAAGTGGTTTTTTTTTTTCTTAGAGTTTTGCCATTTGCTTAATTAACTTGTTTTCTTAATCTTATTTAAACATTTAAAAATTGTATCTTTAATGGTTTATTTTCCTGTTATACCTTTATTTGAGTTTTATAGGCCTTAAACTTTTTCTGATACAGTTAGATGCGATTTTCTTTGTATGAGTAGTCCATCCAAAACAGCCCCTGGAACAGGCTACCTCAGTCTCAAAATGTCACCTCTTTTGAAATGTCTATTAAACTAGAAGACATGATGGTGTTAATCTACAGAGCTAATTTTCATTAACAAGCTTTCTGCAAGTGAATGTATTCAGTCTTAACAAGAGAAACCACCACTGCCTTCTTGCTTCTTTCTTCTTTTTAAATGAGGATTTAAAATGCTTTTGATTAGATTTATATTCTAATAAAATGATGGATTTAATGCTTTTTATATATAACTTGTAAAAGAAAAAAGTCACTTGCCTAAACATCGAATTTCCACTTTAGGAATCTGCTCCCTGCCAAGGTCAGCATCCTGTCATAATATCTTATAAAATCTCTGTGCTTCTCAGTTCTTGCAGGGATGCTTAGTGATATATTTATAGACATTCTATAATTATCCCAGAATGTTTTTAATTCAGCTAAATTAAAAGAAGTAAATATTTCAGGTTATGTATTTTTGGGTTTTATCTGATTTTGTTTTAAAAATAATGCTTTTTGATGGTAAAATAATCCATCATATATTTGATGGCAAAATAATCCATAATATAGAAGGACATGAATAGTAGCCACTAACTCCCTAGGCCTACTACTTAAAAAAAGTATTATTAACAGGTTTTTGGGGGACACATATTTTGAGAAATTTTCTGTACCTATAGAAATATATTGTTTAGACATATACACACAGAGATGGAATCATACTTTATATCATATTACTGACTTGCTTTTTCCATTTGATGGATCATGGGCATCTCTCCTTATAACATATAAATCCCTACCTCATTTTTTTTTTCTATTTTTTAAGTTGTGGTAAAATATATATAACATGCTAGGGAGGCATGGTAGCCTGTGCTTGTAATCTCAGCTACTCAGGAGGCTGAGGCAAGAGAATCGCTTGAACCCGGGAGGTGGAGGTTGCAGTGAGCCGAGATCATGTGACTACATTCCAGCCTGGGCAACAGAGTGAGACTCTGTCTCCTCCCACACAAAAAAAAATAATGAAATTTACCATGAGTGAAAATGAATTAACCATTTTTTAAATGTACAGTTCCATAGCATTAAGTGCATTCACATTATTGTACAACCATTATCTCCATCCATGTCTAATACTTTTTTACTTTTTCCAGCTGAAACTCTGTGTTTATTAAATACTAGCTCTCCATCCTCCCCACCACACGCCAGCCTCTGGTAGCCATCATTCTATTTTCTGTCTCTGTGAATATACTCTAGGAACCTCATATAAGAAAATCATACAGTATTTTCCTTTTTTGTCTGGTTTATTTTACTTAGTATAATGATTTCAGGATTTGACATTGTAGCTGTGTGTCAAAATTTCCTTCCTTTTTAAAGCAGAATAATATTCCATTAGATATACATACCACATTTTCTTTATCCATTCGTCTATGGGTGGACATTTAGGTTGTTTCTGCTTTTTGACAGTTGCAAATAATGCTGCTAGCAACATTAGTGTGTGGGTATCTTTTCGAGTCTCGGCTTTCAGTTCTTTTGTATATATTTCCAGAAGTAGAACTGCTAGATCATAGGGTAATTCTGTGTTTAAATTTTTGATGAACTGATGTACTGTCTTCCACTATGGCTGTAGTATTTTATACTCACATTAGCAACGCACAGGGGTCCAGTTGTTTTTTCTTGTTGTTGTTGTTGTTGTTTTTTGTTTTTTTGTTTGTTTTTTGAGATGGAGTCTCGCTGTGTCGCCCAGGCAGGAATGCAGTGGCACTATCTTGGCTCACTGCAAGCTCTGCCTCCCGGGTTCACGCCATTCTCCTGCCTCAGCCTCCCCAGCAGCTGGCACTGCAGGCACACGCCACCACGCCCAGCTAATTTTTTGTATTTTTAGTAGAGACGGGGTTTCACTGTGTTAGCCAGGATGGTCTCAATCTCTCGACCTTGTGATCCGCTTGCCTCGGCCTTCCAAAGTGCTAGGATTACAGGCATGAGTCACCGTGCCCAGCCAGGGGTCCAGTTTTTCTACATCTTTGCCAATATTTTCTTTTTTCCTTTTTTAAAACATAATAGTCAACCTGGTATCTTACTTTGATTTTCGATTTGTATTTCCTAAATGATTAATGATGCTGAGCATCACTTCATCTGCTTTTTGGCCATCTGTATTTCTTTTTTGGAGAAATGTCTATTCAAGTCCTTTGTCTATTTTTGAATTGGGTTTTTTGTTGTTGAGTTTTAGGAGTTCTTTATATATACTGGATATAAATCTCTTATCAGATACATGGTTTGCAAATATTTTCTCCCATTCTGTGGGTTGCCTTTTTATTCTTTTTTTTTTTTTTTTTTTTTTTTTTTTTTGAGATGGAGTCTTGCTCTGTCACCCAGGCTGGAGTGCAGTGGTGTGATCTCGGCTCACTGCAAGCTCCACCTCCTGGGTTCATGCCATTCTCCTGCCTCAGCCTCCCGAGTAGCTGGGACTACAGGCGCCTGCCACCATGCCCGGCTAATTTTTTGTATTTTTTAGTAGAGACGGGGTTTCACCGTGTTAGCCAGGATGGTCTTGATCTCCTGACCTTGTGATCCACCCGCCTCAGCCTCCCAAAGTACTGGGATTACAGGCGTGAGCCACCACGCCTGGCCAGGTTGCCTTTTTATTCTTTTGATAGTGTACTAGTTTTTAATTTTGATAAAGTCCAGTTTATCTATTTTTCCATTTGTTGACTGTACTTTTGTTGGCATATTCAAGAAATCCTTGCCAAATCCAGTGTCAGGAAGCTTTCTTCTTATTTTCTTCTAAGAATTTTAGCCTTTAAGTTTATGTCTTTGATCCATTTGAGTCCATTTTTGTATAAGGTAAGAGTCCAACTTCGTTCTTTTGGATGTGAATATCCAGTTCTCCCAGCACCAGTTGTTGAAAAGGCTGTCCTTTTCCCATTGAATGGCCTCGACACCCTTATCAAAAATCAATTTACCGTATATGCTAGGGTTTATTTCTGGCTGCTGTATTTATCACAGTGGTCTGTGCCTTGTGGCTTTTTGCATTATGCCATAATTGGGAAAGATTTTTTCCACTCCAAGTTAAAAAATTTCATTTAAACTATATTTTCTTTTAATAGTTTTATGTTTCTTTTTACATATTTGTGTCTTTGATATTTCTGGAGTTTATTTTGATGGAAGGCATGAGGTGATATCCAGCTTTATTTATTTTTCAAAGTGACTAACAGTTGATAAAGAGTTTATCTTTTCCCTGCTGATTTGAGATATTGTTATATCATAAATTTCCATTCTTATTTGGATCTCTTTCTGGCTTCTCTATGCTATACTATATACCATTAATATCTTTTTTAATACTGAATGATTTTAATTTGTATTGCTTAGTAATTCATTTTAATAATTTGTATGGCTAGTCTTGCGTATTTATTTTTCTCAGTTAATTTTATAATTTGTACAATTCCTCAAAATGTTTTATATTACAATTAAATATGAATTCAGGGGAATTGTTACCATATTGAATCTTATCCAAGAAAGGGGTATATCTTTTTATTCATTCAAGTATTATGTTTGCCCTTCAGAATATTTTACAACTTCTTATTGGAACAACACATTTCTTGTTAAACTTATATCTAAATATTTTGTCTTTTTTGGTTGCTGTTGTAATTAGGATATTTAATATCTAATTTACATACAGGACATCTTCAACTTGACTTTTCTTGTTTCTAGTAATTTTTAGGTAATTTTCTTTGGTTTTTCGGCTGTACGATCATCCAAATAGTAATTCTACATCCTTTTCGTTATTTATTTCTTGGTATGTGTCCTCTTTTGGAATTGCATTTGTTGCCACTCCGAGAACCATGTAAACTAACAGTTATGGTACTGAAGGCCTTGACTTTTTTTTTTTTTTTTGAGACGGAGTCTTGCTCTGTCGCCCAGGCTGGAGTGCAATGGCACTGTCTTGGCTCACTGCAGCCTCCACCTTCTAGGTTCAAGTGATTCTCCTGCCTTAGCCTCCCGAGTAGCTGGAATTACAGGCGCCCGCCACCATGCCCAGCTAATTTTTTAATTTTTTAGTAGAGACGGGGTTTCACCATGTTGGTCAGGCTGGTCTCAAATTCCTCAGGTGGACCTCAGGTGATCCACCCATCTCGGCCTCCCAAAGTGCTGAGATGACAGATGTGAGCCACTGTACCCGGCTGCCTTGGCCTCTTTCTTGACTCTAATGGTAATGTATCTAGTTTACTCACTGGACAAGGTATACTGACATTTGCTGTGAAGCATGTGTGTTTGTTATACGTAGAGTACACATGCTTATTTTACTAATGGTTTTTCTTGTTTTAATCAGGAATAATAATTTATGTGGAAAATGCCATTTCATCAGTGAATATGTTTGTTAATTCTATATTTGTTTATTATTCAGCAATGAGTTCTTAATTTTTTTTCATGAGCCTTAGAGTATTTTTACACTTGCTTCATAAACAGGTTTTGCAAGATTTCCTTCCTCTGTGCTCTAGCATAACACAGTATAAATATCATCTGAATTCTGTCACTTGGGTCTGAAAGGATTTTACCTAAGTAACTTACTTACTAGCCTAGTATGTTTTTGGATTGTAGCACTTTAGAAAATTTTCTTAATTTCTTCCATGGCACTTGGTCTCTTGGTTGATATCAGGGAGAGATTTCAAAACTTGTATTCTCTGAGAGGTGAGAGATGGGATGGTTAGATCTTAAATAAAATTACATATACTGATACTTCCCTTTCTCCAGGTGATGGTATTATTATATTTGGTATTTTATTGTTTTAAATTAATTTTTAAAAGTTAAACTGTGAAACATGAGACATGCCAAAAGCACATAAAGCAGTTTCTCTTAATCTCATTAGACTTCAGTCTATGGAGTTTTATGATCCTGCCTCTATGTCAGCATCTTTCCCTAGAAATCTATTTGTTTTTATTTGTTTTTAAGAAACAGATCCAGACTAAGTAGTTAGCATTTGGCTTTAGGCAACATTCAATAAAGTTAACTAACTCTGAACTAAAACATATATATTCTTTTCTGTTGACGTCATATTTAAAGTACCTAGCCTTTTCCTCCATTCCTGAAAGGAGCTTGGTTAGGGAGGACTTTAGTCAAAGGAACAGATGATGCACCTCAAATACTTACTGATATAAAAAATAACTTTCAGTTTTATCACTCTGATCAGAAATTCATTTCCTGACCAAAAGTCACACTTTATACAGCTGTCTGAGTTTCCTGTGCCCTTGTCAAAGGGCTTGCTTTTGAAATATATTTAAGAAACAGCAGTTGCTGAAACATTTTAGGGGCTGGGGGACTTCTTCATGAAATGGAAGCAAGACTGAAGATTTGACTGTTTTTGCCTCTTAGATTGCATTCTAGGGGTCTAAATTATTTTTTATGGAGCTGGCCCCTGACTGGCTGTTGAGATCACCTTTACTTTTTCTCTCAGCCATCATCTAATTATGAGACAGAGGATTGTAGAATCCTAGAGTTGAATAGTTCACACCAAATTAGTCATGTTCCTGGTTTAGGGAGTAATTTCTTTGGTTGCTAAAGGAATATACTCAGTTATATTAATGAAAGATTTTAACCCATAACTAAAATATTTAACATTTTATTCATTAGTTTCAAATACCATCTCTAAAATTACCAAAGTCAAAATTCTACTTATTAATTTTAATACGTTATGTGTTCATTTGTTTCAAAAGTAGAAAGTATACAGCGAAAGGCCTTTCCCATACCCCCGTTACCCTGATACTCAGTTTTCTTCCCTTTACGAGAAACATTTAGCTGGAAACAAAATTAACCTGTTTTTCTTCATTGCTTTCTCATGCCTTTGCCCCTAAGCACACTCTAGGTAAAATTGTGAAATAGGTTGTATTTATTTGGAATAACACTCTTACTCTGGTCCCCTGACCTGTGTTGGTTTTGTACATTGACTTATACATTGGTTCTCAACCTGTTATATCTTGTATCAATTTTCTATGAAAAATTCCTGTGATAATATTAAACAGAATTTACTGAGAAAGACATTTTTACGTTAGAGACATTATGCCTTAACAGTTAAGATCGCCCGGGCGCGGTGGCTTACGCCTGTAATCCCAGCACTTTGGGAGACCGAGGTGGGCAGATCATGAGGTCAGGAGATCAAGATCATCCTGGCTAACATGGTGAAACCCCGTCTCTACTAAAAATACAAAAAATTAGCCGGGTGTGGTGGTGGGCGCCTGTAGTCCCAACTACTCGGGAGGCTGAGGCAGGAGAATGGCGTGAACCCGGGAGGTGGAGCTTGCAGCGAGCCGAGATCGCACCACTGCACTCCAGCCTGGACGACAGAGCGAGACTCCATCTCAAAAACAAACAAAAAAAACCAATTAAGATCATAGAGTTATAGTTTAAAATTAGGTCATAGTTTACGGTATGGTATGAGAAAGCAGTATGCCTCTTAAGGTATACTGTTTTGTATAAATGAATGAATAAATGAATGATTGATATGGGAGATACCATATTGTTAGGAACCAGTATAAACTAAGGGAAAACTTTTCCATGCTATTGGAATTCTAACAGCTTTTGGGGGACAACTATTATTGTCAACATAGCCTATTGCAATGAGGATTATATGAAACAATCCATGTTAAGCTTCTAGCACAGTATCTATGACATAACAGACACTGATACTTATTAGTTGCCTTTGATTAGAATCAATAGTATTTTACTGTTACCGGGTTTAAATATAATAATATGGAATTAAGTGGACAGGAAAAGTCTTTATTACTAGTATCAACTATTGATTATACAATTATGAACATTAGGTCTGGACTGGTAGGAAATGGCATAGAAATGACACAAGTGACCCCAGAGCATGTGAGGGCTGTGAAATTCAATAAACAATTTCTGGTAGGTCAGGATTCATTCAGTCAGAGGTAGTTATTGTGTGTTTGCTGTCTTACAAATAAGAAATGGTACTTCAAATCTATAGGTTCATGTGCAGGAGAGCGTATTTACATTCTTAGGAAAGCTACTCCCTCCTCCATTACTTAGTTATCCTATTGGTGATATTCATGCCATCATCTTAGCACTATTTTTATGACTTCAGTGGGTGTTTTTTAGAATGGTGTGAAAAATATTTTTGGCCATATGTAGTAATCACCTGTGTTGCTGATTTTCTGTCAGATGTAAGAGATTTTAAAACAATAACATGTTCAAAGCTAGCAAGAAAAATGAGTGGGTATATGGTCAACATGACACCTTGAGTGCAGATTCCGTATCTTATTGATTTCAATTTTTTAGTCTAACACTGGTTTTCAAACTTTAGAATCCATCAGAATAATCTGAAAAGGTTGCTTAAAAAATAAGAAGTATATTTCTGGGCCTTATCTAAGAGTTCCAGATCTAGTAGTCTGAGGTTGAGCCTGAGAATTTGCTTTTCTAACATGTGATGATGCTGCTGCTCATTTGGGGACTGCACTTTGAAACTGGTCTAACATAATGAGCACAAAACTTAGCATAGAGTTGGAGCTTGATAAAAAATTTGAATATGTAAGTGCTGCTATTGCTGAATTCCTAAAGCTTAAAAAAAAACCTTCCGACTTTACATAAAATAAAAATGCAGTCTTAACTTCCACAGTGTTTTGTTTGAGCTGAATTCTG
The DNA here is from genome assembly GCF_000001405.40 of Homo sapiens. Taxonomy (NCBI): domain Eukaryota; kingdom Metazoa; phylum Chordata; class Mammalia; order Primates; family Hominidae; genus Homo; species Homo sapiens. The sequence goes on from NC_000007.14 coordinate 8,017,767, forward strand.
CCTTTTTCTACACTCTTTGCTAATCAGAGCAGCTATTTACTATATCTGGTTACCACTCTTCCCAGAAAGGCAAAGGATAATTACACTAGAACCACAATCTTTTGTGCTGCTTTGTAATACTTCATCAGGATAGACTTTTCAAAATAATATTTAAAGAAGTTTTAAAAGAAGTTAAAAATTGTTTTATTAGTCAAAAACAAATTTTTGTAAACAAAAACAAATATTTGTAAATAATGGTTTGTCATTACCTATTCTAAACTTTTTTATAATTTAAGATTAGTCTGTGGTCATAATTAATTCTTAATATAGGTATCATTGATTTTTCAGCTAATTACATCTCATTTCTTGCTAGGTTTATCATTGCTATAAGTACTATAAAATAATTAGCAGTCAGTACTCATATTTCTATAATTGATTTATAAACTACAATAAATTTTAAGACCAGTGATGAACCACATAAAATAGATTTTTTAATATTTAAATAAGATTAAAGAATTTTGTTATGTTTTTGTTGATGGATTTTTTTTAAGTGGCTTTAGACTTTTGCACATTGACAAAGCATGTTTTTTGCTAGGAGTTAGTTTGAGCTGGTTTGAAGTTGATAAAACTAAAAAGCATATTGGCCCTTTCTAGTTAGTGAATAAAGATATACATAACAAAAGCACCCAGTATTTAAGCTTTTTGGTTGATCTAGCCAAAAATAATTTTTCTAATGGTATTCATTTTGAAGCCTCTTTAGTCCTGTGCAGTGGGATTATTCCCTTTGTATTTTACTTAGAGAAAAAGTGGTTCTCACACAGGTTGGAGCTGGGAGGATGGCCCTAGAGGTTGGAAAGAAATTTCATAGTCTGGACTTTGGAGACTTCCAGGGAGTGAGAATAGAAAAGGACCCCTTCTACCTATAGGTATCCTTTTTACATAGAGGCTTTTTTTTTCCAACTACCTTTTTTGTTAATAGTCTTACAGATAGGTTTTAGTTCTGCATTGTTCAAGTGTACAGAAGTTTCATTTCTTTTAAATGATGGTATGATATTACAGTTTTTCCTAAATTTATTTAACTGTGGAACCCTTTTTGTCTACTCCTTTTAACACCAAAGGCATGGTTATATGTAGCACTATTTAAAAAATTCTAGTCTAGATTAATGGACAGAATAACAGACCAGTTGGAAGGGGCTGCTTGCTGATATGAAAGGAAAGAACTTTTGCTACTTTGTGTTATTTTCCTGATTGAAATGGTAAAACATTTCTCAAATACACAGGTTTAATAAATTGGATTCAAATTAGTCACTTCTGTGACTTCTTAATCATCAGCTTTAAATAGATTTGATTTTGGTAGCCATCTTTTGGTTTTGTTTTGGCTAAAATAACTCATTAAAAATCAGTGATCAGTGTATAGAACACTGCCCTCCAATTGAACTTTCTTTAGTATTGGAAATGTTCTATATTTGTGTTGTCCTATATGACAGCCGGTAGCCACATGTGGTTATTGAGCTTTTAAAATGTGCTAAGTGTGACTAAGGAAGTTTAGTTTTATTAGGTCCTCATTAATTTAAATCTAAATAGGCACATGTGGCTAGTAGCTGTTGTATTGGACAATTCAATCTATAGAATATATTTGTAGATGAGAATTTTTTTATACTGTTTATTTTAAATTGATGGAATTAAAACTACTCTTTGGGGGATATTTTTGGAAAGTTAATACTATGATGACCTTAAATTATATGCATTCTATAGTTACATGATTGAGAGAACTCTTTCAGTCGTTTTTCTTTTTTTTAAACTACAGTCACTGTCACTTCATGAGGGGGATATGTTTTGAGAAATGCATCGTTAGGCATTCATCGCTGTGCGAACATCATAGAGTGTACTTACACAAACCTAGATGGTGTAGCCTACTACACACTGAGGCTATGTGGCATAGCCCGTTGCTCTTAGGCTACAAAACTGTACAGCATGTTACCGTAATGCAGACTGTAGGCAACTGTAACGTAGTGATATTTGTATATATAAACATAGAAAAGGCACAGTAAAAATATAATACATAAAGGTAGAAAATGATACACCTGTATAGGGCATGTACCATGGAATGGAGTTTGCAGGACTGGAACCTGCTCCAATTGGGTCAGTGAGCGGTGAGTGAATGTGAAGGCTTAGGGTATTACCGTAAACTACTGTAGACTTTCTAAGCACTGCACATTTAGGTTACACTAAGTTTATAACAAATACTTTTCTTTCTTCAGTAATGTTAACCTTAGCTTACCATAACATTTTTACTTCATAAACTTAATTTTGTTTAGCTTTTTGAGCCTTTCATAATAACACTTAGCTTAAAACACAAACATATTTTACAACCATAACAAACTATTCTTATTCTGTAAGCTTTTATTTATTTATTTGTTTATTTATTTCCTTTTTAGACTTTTTTTTAAAGCTAAGACAAACATACACATTAGCCTAGGCCCACACAAGATCAGGATCATCAAGACATCACTAGGTAATAGGAATTTTTCAGCTTCATTATAATTTTATGGGACCACTGTTAGGTATACCATCCATCATTGACCAAAACATTGTTATGCAGCACATAACTATACATATACTACTAACTTGATTTCTTTTGTAGGTAATTCTTTTGTGTAAATAACACACTCTGAAATAACTGAATAAGTTTTCATATTCATTTTTAAGAAAAGGATAATAGGAAGAAAGAAGATAATCTGTGAGATAAGAGAACTCAGATTTAGTTCCTTTTGCTGTTGGCGTGCTTGCCAGTGTTGAAGCAGTTGCAGAATTTTTGTGGCTATTAATTTATCTGTAAGTTGGAGATACAGTATATGTAAATGTCCTTTGAAAAAGGGCTGTACAAAATGAATGTAATTCATATTATAAATGTTGATTTTGAATAATTGTGGAAAATGCTAAAAATTTGACTCATTTTCTGTGAATATACTTTGAGTTATAAAGATTATGATTCTTAATCTTTTCATTTTGATAAGAGTAATGCTCAGTTGCTAGACAGGTAAAACCATTAAGTTATATAAATTATCAAAATAAAAGTGACTAAACAATTGAATAATTTTGGAATAAATTCATTATTAAGGATACAATGATTTGGAGGGTTGAATTATTTTCAGAGTACGTCATCTTATCTAGGACGGAACATAGGAAATTCTAATAAGTAATAGTTTTTTATAAGCAACTTATTTAATATATTGATACCTCTTATCCGTGGTCTTGCTGATTGAATAAAGTATTTTACTCTGTCAATTGACTTAAAAACTTCTTTTTACTAGTGAACTGCTCAAGCAGTTTATTTTTGTGTTTATTCAGCTAGCATTCAGTTGTTAACGGTTTTTTTGAATATCATTGCTTTTAAGACGTGGTGATTATTTTAAAAGTTTTCCACAAGCATTTTGAACTGTAAAATAGAACTGATGACTTCTTCATAAGAACTTACATATTATGTAGTCACAAGTATGGCCTTAATATAAATGATACCTTTTTCAGCATGTATTGAAAAATAATTTTTAAAGCTGTATATAGTTACTGTGACAATCATTGCCCTTTAAGTAGTGGTTTTGACCCTTTCTGATTTACATTACGCAAGTCTTCTCATGTATTAAAGATGATATTTTAATATTGTTTAATTATTATTTTTTTTTTGAGACAGAGTTTCACTCTCGTCGCCCAGGCTGGAGTGCAATGACACAATCTTGGCTCACTGCAGCCTCTGCCTCCCGGGTTCAAGTGATTCTCCTGTCTCAGCCTCCTGAGTAGCTGAGATTACAGGTGCTCGCCACCAGGCCCAGCTAATTTTTTAGAGGCGGGGTTTCACCATGTTGGTCAGGCTGGTCTCGGACTCCTGACCTCAGGTGATCCACCCGCCTTGGCCTCCCAAAGTGCTGGGATTACAGGTGTGAGCCACCATGCTCAGCCTATTGTTTAATTTTTTAATACAACTATTAAATGGTCTTAACCACTGTATGGCATTATTTCGGATTTAGTGATTTGTGTTACATTTGAGGATAGTATCTATTAATGGCTAAATAACTGAAAATGATATTTTAGATAAAAATGATTCTGTTTTCTGACATATGGTTCAGGTTTTTTAGAAGATGTATTACTTTAGTTTATATTCTGTTTATTTAGCTTATATTTTACTGTTTTTAATCTTTTTCACTTTTATAATAACTTTATGTGTTTTATATAAAGATGCCTGATATTTTTCAAAAAAGATACTAATACTTACTCTTCCCCAAGCACAGAAAAAGTAGTACAATCAGCCCTCTAGCTAAATATTTGAAATGTAGGTCATTCTTAATACTATTGCTTTTGAGATACTTTTGTTCATTTTACCTCTATTGAATTTAGTGGAAATACCATTTCATATTTAGTTTGGCTATTCTCTTTAAAAACACCAATACACATATCTTTACTATTCCCTTTGAATTTTATAATTAAGTTATTTATGTTATTGATGTGAAGATATCAAATTTTTAAGTAAGGTGACTCAGAGACATCTTTGAGCATATATAATTCAGAATATGGCAGAATATTTTAAACATTTCACGGGGTCACAAAACTCTTAGCGTTTAAAGGATTTTAGTATAGCTCTCTAACTGGTAAGTGCTAAGAATTTTAAATATGTTTCAGTTGCTTGAGATTAGGAAGTAGAGATAAAATTTCTTATTTTATTTATATATATATTTTTTAAAGACACCTAGCTGTTGGGCAGAAGAGGGTGCAGAAAAGAGGTCACATCAGCGTTCTGCGTCATGGGGGAGTGCTGATCAACTAAAAGAGGTAAGTTATTTCTGTTTTCCGTCTGTAACCTGTTTTGGTCCTAGTAGATTACCTTAGTATTTCCTGAATGTAATGACACTTTTAAAATTTATCCTAACCTTACCTCTTTCAGTAAGGTTAGGACAAATTCTAGGGTAAGGTTAGAATAAATTCTAGGCAGGTTTTTGTAAGGTTAGGACAGATTCTAGTTTGGTAGGCTGCATTCTACATTTTGGTGAACAAGTCTAAATTTACCCTATTTGTGTATTTTGCGTCTTTTATAAATATTTGTTATGCACTCAGTCAGCTTTAACCTTTCCAGAGTGAAGTCTAATTTTATGTAATACTCTCTATCTTGTTCATTTTAGTTATCTTTTGTTCTCTCTTCAGCTTGCTTGTTTTTAAGTTGTAGCAACCAGAGCTATAGGTTATAGCTTTGTACAATGGTAGGATAGTGTTTTCTGTTTCTAATAGCTTTTTTATTTGAGACGGAGTCTCGCTCTGTTGCCCAGGCTGGAATGCGGTGGCGCAATCTTGGCTTACTGCAAGCTCCACCTCCCAGGTTCACGCCATTCTCCTGCCTCAGCCTCCCGAGTAGCTGGGAGTACAGGCACCCACCACCACACCTGGCTAATTTTTTGTATTTTTAGTAGATACACGGTTTCACTGTGTTAGCCAGGATGGTCTCAATCTCCTGACCTCGTGATCCGCCCGCCTTGGCCTCCCAAAGTGCTGGAATTACAGGCGTGATCTAATAGCTTTTTAATGATATCCAGCATATTGTTGCCCTTTGGAACCCAACAGTAATCCATGCTTCTCAGAAACTTAGTTTCTATGACCCGTTTCCTTATTTATTATGAATAACCTGAGGTGTCATATCTTTATGTATATTTTGGATTATTTTTCCTGATACTTTTATCCATCTAAATTCTTTTCTATTTCTTTTTACAAATTACAGAAACTTTAGAATTGAAAGGTCATCCAGCCAATCTCCTAAATAAATACTCCTTAAAAAGATGGTCATCTAATCTCTGTTATTCTTTTTTTTTTTTTTTTTTTTTTTTTTTTGAGGTGGAATCTCACTCTGTCACCCAGGCTGGAGGACAGTGGCACAGTCTTGGCTCACTGCAGCTTCCACCTCCCAGGTTCAAGCGATTCTCCTGCCTCAGCCACCCGAGTAGCTGGGATTACAGATATGTGCCACCATGTCCAGCTAATTTTTGTATTTTTAGTAGAGATGGGGTTTTGCCATATTGGCCAGGCTAGTCTCGAACTCCTGACCTTAAGCGATCTGCCCACCTCGGCCTCCCAAAGTGCTGAGATTACAGGCATGAACCACCACACCAGGCCATGATCATTCTTAGTGATGGAAACTCACTACTTTACAAAAAGAGCCAGTTTAATTGGTTTAATTGTTTCAAGTTTTTAAATCTGTTCTCTTATGTATTGAACTTAGAATTAGATAACTTAGTTTTGACTTTGCCCTCTGGATCAATATTGAGTAAGTCTAAGTCTTTTAAAGGCTAGCAGTAAGTCATTTTTTTCCTCCAGAGTAAACATCTACATTTCTCTCAAATTTTTTTTCATATACCAGTTTCCAGGCCTCTTTGTATAATTTTTATGTACTATAGGTTATCAGTGTCCCTCATATACTGTGGTGTCTGGACTGCATAGATATAGTTTATTAGCATGATTTTACTTATGATTGTATTACATTTTAGCAGCTTCTTTATAGTATGGATGTAGAGACCTACTCAGCTCCTTCTGCCTACCATACATGTATGCAAAAAAAATCAGTTTTCTCCAGCAACAACAAAAAATAAATGAAGCTAAGTCTAATATCTCTGGCTTACTATAACTACATGTCTATGTATAGCATATGAATAACAAAAAAGTGAACTTGTATTTTTATCTCAGAGTTGAATACAGTCTTAGAGTTATCAACGAGATTTAGGCTGAAAGGAAGTAACGCCAGATATTAATTTGAATCCGTAGGAAGAATTGAAGAGTGCTGGGAATAGTAAATATGTGGATAAATATGAAAGAGTTTTTAATACTGTTGTGTTGGATTTATAATTTAACTATAACTGGATTTCAGTAATATATGACATACACTCTTAAAAAGGAATGACTGATTCAGTGAGAACATTTGATTGTTTTCCACAGAAGGCAACCATTAAAGCTGGACAAAACTGTCAAAACAACTGTTTGAGTACTTTACCAAACAAACTGAGAAGCTTTATTCATGAAAACTAATGAACATAGGGTAAGAATAGCACAAATTCGTGATCTGGTGCTACTCCTTTTCTCCTTTTCCTTGTCCCTAGCTCTGTCGCATAGCATTTCAGTCAGGATGAAAACCAGCAGCTTTGCTTCCACTTTTGCAGAGAAATCACTTGCTATGGAGAATTGTAGGTTAAAATAGTGATCTTTGTGGCAAGTAAACAGAGAGGGCCAACAGCTTTATTAGTCTAAGACTGTAGTCCAATTTGGGGCCAGCAGTAGGCTCATGAACTAGTTGAGTTTAATAGAAAGTTTTGAGAGGTAAGACAGTAGTGGGAGTTTGATAAATTCCCCACATATCCCAGGTTGAGTGGAGGCTGTGGACATGCACATCAGAGAACAGAGTGGGCTCAGGCCACCGATGTGTTCTTGGCCAGGAGAGCCTAGGAATAGGTGCAGATGAAATTCAAGTGGGCTACTGGAAATAAAACCAGGGAGGCAGAGCTTGCAGTGAGCCAAGATCGCGCCACTGCACTGCAGCCTGGGTGACAGAGCGAGACTCCATCCCAAAAAAAATAAAAAATAATAAAAGAATTTTCACAAAGAGTTAGTCATTCTAAAAAAGAAGGAAACAAAATTCTAGAGTTAAAAAGGGCAATAACTAAATATAAAAATGTTAGATGGGTTTGACAACAGATTTGCGATGGCAGAAGAATCAATGAATTAGAAGATAAGTCAATAGAATTTATATACTCTGAAGAACAGAGAGGAAAAAAAAATTAAAGTTGAAAAAGCCTCATAGGAGAAAAGAGACAGAGCAGAGAAAAAGAATCAAAGAAATACTAACAGAGAACTTTCCAGATTTGATGAAAAACAATCTACAGATTCATGAAGCTTAACTAACCACAACTAGGAAAACACAAAGAGAGCCATAAAAAGAAGAAAATGGGTCATCACATGTAGGGGACCACTAATAACTTTAACAGCTGACTTTAAAATCAGAAGCGATGGGGACCATAAGGCCTGATGCATTCAAAGTGCTGAAAGAAAAAAAACCAAAAAACTGTCAACCAGGTATTCTATATCCAGCAAAACTAGTCTTCCAAAGTGAAGGTGAAAAAATGGCATTCCCAGATAAAACTTGAGAGAATTTCTCCCTGTCAGACTGTCTTATAAGAAATATTAAAGCAAATCTTCAGGCTGAAAGGAAGTAACACTGTATATTAGTTTGTATCCATAGGAAGAATTGAAGAATGCTGGGAATAGTAAATATGTGGTAAATATAAAGGAGTTTTCAACATTGTTTGGTTGGATTTATAGCAGGTACATGAAATATATATATGATAATAGCACAAAGGAGTTAGGAAAAGGACATAAATTATAGTTTCTATTTGACTGATATTAAGTATTATTGTGATATAGATTGTGATAAATTAAGACACATTATAATCCCTAGAGCAGTTGCTAAGTTACTAAGAAGATAACTCCAAAAATGTAAAAGAAAAAAAACAAACACCAGAGGAATTAAAATGGCATACTAAAAAATATCACAAAGCAGGAAAGGAAGAATAGGTAAACAAAAAAAGTTGTGACACAAAAATAGAAGCCTACAGCATTCATCCCTCCCACCCCCAATGGAGTACTAAATTTTAACAACTATCTGCACAGGGAAAAACACCATTCACAAGAACCCAAAATCAAGTGAGCAACCACAGTACCGAGTTTTAAGTTCATAGCACCAAAAGAGGCATTGAGTAGGCCAGGAGAGAGAGTCTTGAATTGCTGATGTTACCCCTCCATTCCCTGGCAGCAGTTGTGCGGAGCACAGAATCTGTGCACTTTGGGGAAGAAGAGCACAGCGACTGGGGAACTTTACACTGAACTCAGTACTGCCATATCACAGTGAAGAATAAAGCCATGCTGGCCTCAGCCAGTGCCTGTGCATGGAGGGAACGTTTGGACCAACCTTAGCCAGAGGAGAATCAACCATTCCAGCAGTCAGAACTTTTTATTGGCAAGCTTTAAAGAGAGAGACAGACAAGACAGACAGACACCCCCTGTTTGCTGAGGAGAAAGTAAGGGAAAAGAATAACAGTCTTTGTCTGGTAATCAAGAGAATTCTCCCAGATCTTTTTCAAGACCTCCAAGATGGTAGGTATAACTCTACAAATCTGAAAAAAACACAGTGTTATTGGGCTTGGGGCCCAAGTCTCTTTGAATACCTGGAAAGCCTTCCCAAGAAGGACAGGCACAAACAAGCCCAGACTGTGAAGACTACAATAAATACCTAACTCTTCAATGCCCAGACACTGAGGAACATCTACGATAATTAGCACCATCCAGGAAAACATGACCTCACCAAATGAACCAGGCACCAGGGACTAATCCTAGAGAAACAGAGATATATAACCTTTCAGACAAAGAATTCAAAGTAGCTATGTTGAGGAAACTCACGCCTGTAATCCCAGCACCTTGGGAAGCCAAGGCGGGCAGATCCCTTGAGGTCAGGAGTTTGAGACCAGCCTGGCCAACATGGTGAAACTCTGTCTCTACTAAAAATACAAAAATTAGCTGGTTGTCGTGGCACACACCTGTAGTCCCAGCTACTGGGGAGGCTGAGGCGCAAGAATCGCTTGAGCCTGGGAGGTGGAGGTTGCAGTGAGCCAAGATCGCACCACTGTACTCCTGCCTGGGTAACAGAGTGAAACCCTATCTCAAAAATAAAAGGAAGAAGGCATACCACCACAAAAAAATCACCAAAAGGAAGACAAGAAGGGTAGAAAGAAGGAAGGAAGAGAAAACCAGAAAACAAATAATAAAATGGCAGGAGTAAGTTCCTACTTATCCATAATAAAATGGAATGTAAATGGACTAAACTCTCCAAACAAAAGACAACGAGTGGCTGAATGGATGAAAAAAAAAAAAGAGACCCAATGATCTATTGCCTACAAGAAACACACTTCACCTATAAAGATAAACATAGACTTAAACTAAAAGGATGGAAAGATATTCCATGCCAGTGGAAACCAAAAAAGAGCAGGAGTTGCTATGCTTATGTCAGGCAAAATAGATTTGGAGACAAAAACTGTAAGAAAAGACAGGGTCATTGTATAATGATAAAAGGGTCAATTCAACAAGAGGATGTAATGATTGTAAGTATATATGTACTGGAGCACCCAGGTGTATAAAGCAAATATTATTAGAGCTAAAGAGGAAGATAGACCCCAATACAATAATAGCTGGAGACTTCAACACCCTACTTTCAGTATTAGACAGATCTCCTAGACAGAAAATCAGCAAGGAAACATTGGGCTTAATCTGCACTGTAGAACAAATGGACCTAATAGATATTTACAGAACATTTCATCCAACAGCCTCAGAATACAAATTTTCCTCCTCAGCACATGGATCATTCTCAAAGACAGACCACATATTAGGTCACAAAACATGTCTTAAAACATTCAGAAAAATTGAAATAATATCAGGAATCCTCTCTGACCACAGTGGAATAAAACTACAAATCAATAACAAGGGGAATTTTGGAAACCATACAAGCACATGGAAGTTAAACAATATGCTCCTAAATGACCAATGAGTCAATGAAGAAATGAAGAAGGAAATTGAAAAACTTCTTGAAACAAATGATAATGGAAGCACAACATACCAAAATCTATGGGATACAGCAAAAGCAGCACTAAGAGGGAAATTTATAGCTGTAAGTGCCTACATCAAAAAAGAAGAAAAACTTCAAATAAATAACCTAACAATGCATCTTAAAAAGCAGCAAAAGCAAGAGCAAACCAAACTGAAAATTAGTATAAGAAAAGAAATAATAAAGATCAGAGCTGAAATAAAATGGATTTGAAATGAAGACAACACTACAAAAGATGACTGAAATTAAAAGTTAGTTTTTTGAAAAGATAAAATTGACAAACCTGTAGCCAAGGTAACCAAGAAAAAAAAAGAATACCCAAATAAATTAGAGGTGAAAAAGAAGACTTTACAGCCGATACCACAGAAATTCAAAAGATCATTAGTGGCTACTTTGAACAACTATATGCCAATAAATTGGAATATCTATAAGAAATGAATAAATTCTCAGATACATATAACCTACCAAGACAGAATCATGAAGAAATCCAAAGCCCAAATGGGCCAATAACAAGTAGAGATTGAACCCATACTAAAAAGTCTTCCAGTAAAGAAAAGCCTGGGACCCAATGGCTTCACCGCTGAATTCTACCAAACATTTAAAGAACACCTAGTACCAATCCTACTAAAGCTTTTCCAAAAAATGGAGGGAGATGGAATACTTTCAAACTCATTCTACAAGACTAGTATTACCCTGCTACCAAAACCAGACAAAGACACATCAGAAAAGTAAAAACAATAGGGCAATTTATCTGATGAATATGGATGCAAAAATCCTCAACAAAATAACTAGCAAACCAAATTCAGCAATACTTTAAAAAGATCATTCATCCTGTCCAAGTGGGATTTATCCCAGGGATGCAAAGATGGTTCAACAAACTCAAATCAATGTGATGCATCATATCAACAAAATGAAGAAAAGCCATATGATCATTTCAATTGATGCTGAAAAAACATTTGATAAAGTTCAGCATCTCTTCATGTCAAAAACCCTCGAAAAAACTGGCTGTAGAAGGAATATACCTCAACATAATAAAAGCTATATATCCCACAGCTATTATTGTGCTGAATAGGGAAAAAGAAAAGAAGGATGTTCACTTTCACCAGTGTTATTCAACATAGTACTGGAAGTCTTAGCTGGAGTAATCATAAAAGAGAAAGAAATAAAGGGTATTTGAATTGGAAAGGAAGAAGTCAAATTATCCTTGTTTGTAGATGATATAATCTTATATCTGGAAAAACCCAGACTCCATCAAAAAGCTATTAAAACTGATAAATTCAGTTAAGTTGCAGAACACAAAGTCAACATACAAAAATCAGTAGTGTTTCTATATTCTAAAAGTGAACAATAGAAAAAGAAATAAAAAGTCATCCCATTTACAATAGACACAAATAAAATTAAATACCTTGGAATTATTCAAAGAAGTGAAAGATCTCTACAATGAAAAGTATGAAACACTGATGAAAGAAATTGAAGAGGACACCAAAAAATGGAAGGATACTTCATGTTCATTAATTTGAAGAATCAATATTGTTAAAATGTCTATTCTACCCAAAGCAATCTTAGATTCAATGCAATTCCTATCAAAATACCAATGAAATTCTTCACAGAAATGAAAAAAACTAAAATTTGTATGGAATGACAAAAGACCCAGAATAGCCAAAGCTGTCCTAAGCGAAAAGAACAAAACCGGAGGAATGACATGACCTGACTTTAAATTCTACTGAAGAGCTATAGTAACCAAAACAGCATGGCACTGGCATAAAAACAGACCCGTAGACCAATGGAACAGAACAGAGAATCCAGAAACAAATTCACACACCTAAAATGAGCTCATTTTTGACAAAGGTGCTAAGAACACACATTGGGAAAAAGACTTCAATCCATGGTGCTGGGGAAACTGGATATGCCTATGCAGAGAAAGAAACCTGACTCCTTTTTTTCACCTTATACAAAAATAAAATCAAGATGGATTAAAGACTTAAATCTGAGACCTCAAACTATGAAACTACTACAAGAAACCATTGGGGAAATTCTCCAGGACATTGGTCAGGGCAAACATTTCTTGACTAATACCACACAAGCACAGGCCATCAAAGCAAAAATGGAAAAATGGGATGACATCAAGTTAGAAAGCTTCTGCACAGCAAACAATCAACAGTGTGAAGAGACATCCCACAGAATGGGAGAAAATATTTGCAAACTACCCACCTAACAAGGGATTAACAAACAGAATATATAAGGAGCTCAAAGAACTCCATATTAATAAACCTAATAGTATGATTTTTAAAATGGGCAAAATATTTGATTAGACATTTCTCAAAAGAAGACATAGACGTGGAAAACAGGCATACGAAAAGGTGCTCAGCATCATTGATTATTAGAGAAATGCAGATCAAAACTGCAATGAGGTATCATCTCACCCCAGTTAAGATGACTTTTATCCAAAAGTCAGGCAATAACAGATGCTATTGAGAATGTGGAGAAATGGGAACCCTCTGTACACTGTTGATGGGGATGTAAATTAGTACAACCACTATGGAGAACAGTTTGGAGGTTTCTTTAAAATCTTGAAAATAGAGCTACCATATGATCCAGCAATCCTACTGCTGGGTATATACCCAAAGGAAAGAAAATCAGGATATTGAAGAGATATCTGCACTCCTATGTTTGTTGCAGCAGTGTTCACAATAGCCAAGATTTGGAAGCAGCCTAAGTGTCCGTCAACAGATGAATGGATAAAGAAAATGTGGTACTTATAGACAAAGCAGTACTATTCAGCCACGAAAAGAATGAGATCCTATCATAATGACGTCCAGTTCCATCCAACAACATGGATGTCATTACGTTAAGTGAAATAAGCCAGGCACAGAAAGACAAACATTGCATGTTCTCAGTCATTTGTGGGATATAAAAATCAAAACAATAGAACTCGTGGAACTAGAGGATAGAAGGATGGTTACTTACAGGCTGGAAAGTGTTGGGTGGGGAGCCATGGGGAGGTGGGAATGGTTAATGGGGGAAAAAGTTGGAAAGAATGAGTAAGACCTAGTATTTGATAGTACAACAGTGGGACTATAGTCAGTAATAATTCATTATTCGTTTAAAAGTACTAAAAGGGTATAATTGGGTTGTTAGTAACATAAAGAATAAATGCTCTAGGGGATAGATACCCAGTTTACTCTCATGTGATTATTATGCATTGCATGCCTGTGCCAAAATATCTCATGTGTCCCATAAATACATATACCTACTATGTACCCACAATAATTAAAAAATTTTTTTAAATAAATATTTTTAAAAAAACAAACAGACTGAAAGCAAAAAGATGGGAAAAGATAAAACAGTAACAATAAGAGAGCTGGAATAGATATGTTAATATCAGGCAATGTAGACTTTAATACAATAAAGATAACTGAAGAGAAATAGGAAAGTTTCATAATAATAAAAAGGTTAGTGCAAAAGGAACTTAAAACAATCATAAGGATATATGCATCTAACATCTGCATTTCAAAAATACATTAAGCAAAAAATGTAAAATGAGAAATTATAATTATATGACAGTAATTAGAGATTTCAGCATCCCATTATTGAGAAACCAATTAGAGAATCAGCAAGGTGATAGAAGACTTTAACAATATTATCAATCAACTTGACCTAACTGACATGCATAGATGGAAAACACCCAGTCACTGCAGAATAGCAGAAAGAAATCTTAGAAAATCCCAAATATTTGACAATTAAGGAACACTTTTCTAATAACCCAAGGATATTTTTTAATATTTTCAATTGAGTGAAAATGAAAACTCAACTTAGAATTTATGTATGCAGCTAAAGCAGTGCTTCAAGGAAAATTTATACTTTTAAATCCACATATCAGAAACAGAGAAAAACTTCTCATTAATTACATAAGTTTCCATCTTAAGAAACTGGAAAAAGAAAAGCAAATCAGAGCAAAAACAAGCAAAGGAATGAGAAAATAAAGAATAAGCAAAACCAATGAAACAGAAAAGTACTAGAGAAAAATCAGTGTAACTAAAAGTTTGCAGAGATCACTAAAGTTGAAAAACATTTAGCTACACTGACTAGAAAAAAAGCAGACCCAAATTACCAACTTCAGAAGTGAAAGAGGTGACATTACTACCAACTGTACAAACTTAAAAAATATTATGAAACAATATTATGAACAACTTTATGCCATCAACGTAGAAAACTGAGATGAAATGGACAAATTCCTAAAAGACACAAATTAGTAGAAAGGTATAAAGTGCCAAAGCTGACTTAGGAACAAATAGAAAATGTGAAGAAACTTATAAAAAGTAAAGAAGCTGAATAAATAATTTAAATTCTTCCCACAGAGACTATCCCGGGGTCACATTTGATGAATTCGATCAAATATTTAAGGAAAAAGTAATGTTAATTATTTACAAACTCTTCTTCTAAAAAATAGAAAAGGAGGGAACACTCTCCAATTTATTTTTTCAGGTCATAAGTACTGTCCTTTCAAAGTCAGGCAAAGACATCTCAAGAAAATAAAACAAGATGAATATCCATCTTGAATATAAATATAAAATTATTAATAAAATATGAGCAAACCAAATCCAGCAATAAATAAGAGGGATTATATACCCTGAGTAAGTGGGATTTGTCCAAGGAATGCAATGATGGTTTAACATCAGAAAATTAGTTAATGGCATGAATTATATTAATAGAATAAAGGACATAAATTACATAATCACCTAAGTAGAGTCAGATGAAACATTTGACAATATTCAACAGTCATTCATGATTAAAAAAAAAAATCAACAAACTGGGAACAGAAGAAAACTTTCTTCATCTGATAAACTGCATTTATGAAAAACCTACAGATTACTCATATTAAATGATAAAACAGAATGCTTTTCTCCTAAGGAACAAGGCAAGGATGTCCACTGTCATCTTGTCACCACTTTTATTCATTACTGTACAGGAGATTCTAGCCAGTGCAGTCAGGCAAGAAAACAAAAAGACATTCGGATTGTAAAGGAAGCAGTGCAACTTCCTTTATTCACCGAAGACATAATCCTATATGTAAAAACTCCTATGGAATGTACAAATATATTATTATAACTAATAAGTTTACCAAGGTTACATGATATGAGATCAACATACAGAGATCAATTATATTTCTGGGTAGTAGCTATGAATAATTAAAAAATAAGAAAACAATTTATTCACAGTTGCATCAAAAAAGATTAAAGTGTTTAGAAATAATTTAAGAGACCACTCCAGAATTTATACACTGAAAATATTACTGGATGAAATTTATAAGGATTTAAATAATGGAAATTAAATAAATGGAAAGACTTAACTTGTTCATGGATTGGAAGAATCAATAGTAAGATGGTAATTCTCAAATTGATATATAGATTCAATGCAATTTCTATGAAAATACCAGGGCTTTTGTTTTTTGGTTTGTTTTTTACTAGGAATTGACAAGCTAATCCTAAAGTGTGTATGGAAATACAAAGGATCTAGAAAAGTCCGAATAATCTTGAAAACGAAAAATTTGGTAGAATTATATTACACTATTTCAATGTTTCCTGTGAACCTACATTAATATAGTTAGTATAGTATTGGCACACATAAAGATTTATAGGTAAATGGAACAAAATTTGTGAATCTAGAAATAAACCCTTATATTTGTGGTCAGTTTATTTTAGCCAAAGAAGCCAACACAATTTAATTGAAAAAGACAGTCTTTTCAACAATTGGTGCTATAATAATTGAATATTTGTATGTACAAAATACCCTTAAGTCCTAGCTCTCACCATAGAGAAAAATCAGCTTTCAGTGAATCATAATCCTAAATGTAACCTCTAAAATTCTAAAACTTCTAGAATATATTAATTAGACATTCTTAGATACAATCTCAAGAGTAAAAGCCCTAAAAGAAAAAAAGATAATTGGATCTTCAATAAAATTAACACTTATACTTCAAAATACACCACTAAGAGAATAAAAAGACAAGCCACAGACTTGAAGAAATATTAGCAAATCATGTATTTGATAAAGGGCTTCTATGTAGAATATATAAAGAATTCTTACAAATCAATAAGAAGATAAATAATCTACTTTAAAAATTGGTAAGACACTTGAAGTATTTCATCAGAGAAGAGGATGGCTGACAAGAGACATCAGACACCACTTCTCAGAAAGAAGAACCATAGTTACAGGTGAATAATCATAACTTGAATAGAATATCAAGGGGAGAGTGCTGGAGTCCAGTGGAGAACTCACAGGAAGAAGCTAGGACACAGAAAAAGAAGGAAAAAGAGGCTGGCAGAGATTAGCTAGGAAGCCCAAGGGACTTGCTATTTTGTTGAAAGGATAGGTGGAAGTGTTTTGGGCTCCCCTTCCCCTCGCAGCAAACTGCTGGTATTCAAGAGTTCCTCTGCCCTTATGAACCCAAACACTGGTGTGGGTGGTGATTTGGGGACTTACTGAGGGCATTACACCAGACTACCAGCTCATGCTGGGTTGCTTACCCTCCCTGTGGACCCGAGCTGTGATGGCAGGCCCAATATATTTGGGACATGCCTGTTGAAGGACTGAGTCCTGCCCAAGGAACCTCAGGTCCTGCCCTTGTGTCTCGACATCACTGGATCCCATACAGACATTCCCTGGCACTCACTCAGATTGTAGCAGCCACATAGTGCTGGCTGGACCCAGGGGAGCTGCAGGATTCTCAGTGGTCTCTCCCTCAGGGAGTGCTGCTCCTAAGGGAAGGGAAAGTGCAGTGCACAAAAGTGTGTGCTGTCCTTTGCCCGAGAACTCCCCACTTGGCTGAGAGTGACTGCTACTTCCAGTGCAGATGTGGGCACTGTGCTTGGCTCTTCAAGGGAGGAACAGGGTTCCATCCCAGCAGCCAGGTGGCCTCAGTGCTTAAGCACAGATGTGGAGAAGGGATATCTCTCCTCTGCAGCTTGTCCACTGCTGCGAACACAGCCATGGCTGCTCCTATGGGAGGTTGGTACAGGCGTATCACAAGACAGCCATTCTAGGGCAATTAGGTATGGCTGTGTCCGCACTGATAATCTAAAAAATAAGAATTTATTCAAGCTGGGCCCAGGCTTGTGTGAAAGGTGGGGCACCTCCCCCTTATATGTGGAGTTGTTATGTTCCTGCAACAGAAATCAGGAGAACCACAAAGATGTATGTTTTAGGCTGAAGACAGGTTCTACACCAAAGATAGTTTGGCAGTAAGCTGTGAGATGGGCAGATTTCACAGCTCTTGGCTACACTGCAGTGTGGATATAGACAGTGTTGTCTGTCCCGTCAGAGTGTCCCAAGTGCCTAACAGGGGTGTGACAGGGAAGCAAATCATGTTCCTGCCTGCCTAGGTATGGAGCTGAGGCAGTTCCCTCCCCCACATAGAGAGCTTGTCACATTCTACCAGGAGCTCCTCTCACCACCCGCTTCAGGGCTAGTGATTGTGTCCACCATTGGAGTATTGAAGAGCAGGCTTGGTGGTTTAGCTCTACCCAGCTTTGTCCCCATCAGGGGCTGAGCAGAGATCTCAGGCTACTGTGCATTACACAGTCTGGCCAATTTGAAGCAACAGAGAGATCCTTCCAGTAAACAAAGATCAAGCATATACCCATCTGCTTCTGCTGTAGCTGGCCTTTACACATAAGCACCACCTATTGGTCTGTAGGTTAAATTGCACAACCCAATACAAAATCTGCTAACACAAGTGCACAGTTCTGGGGAATGAGATAAACTTCCTGAGACCTCCACCATCCTGGCCCAAGAGGCAGTGAGTTTGTTCACATGCCCAGTACATCACTTCTACAACTAGTATTTGAGAAGCCATCACACAAAGCATGTCTGAAACCAAGTAACTCATAGAAACTTTGCTTTCAGTGGAAAGCACCCAGAATAAAAGCCAAAAGGCCATACACAACATATATTATAGTCTCATCCTTAAGATGGAAAAAAAATCATGTCCAAACAAAAGTAAATTCAAAAATAAGAAGAGAGAGTTTATCCAGATGAGAAGGAACTAGAGAGACAATTCTGGAAGTATGAAAAAACAGAGTATTACAACACCTCCAAAGGATCATACTAACTCTCCAGCAATAGATCCTAATGAAAATGAAATCTTTTAAATACCAGATAAAGAATTCAGAATATTGATACTAAAGTTCAATGATACCCAAGAGAAAGTTCAAAAACAATACAAAGAAATCAGAAAAACAATTTAAGATATAAATGAACAGTTTATTAGGAGATACTTTTTTAAATCCACCAGAACTTTTAGAAATGAAAAATTCATTGAATGAATTACAAAATAGAGTTGAAAGTTTTAACAAGTAGACTAAACCAATGAGAAGAAAGAATGTCAGAGCATGAAGACAGGTCCTGCAAGTTAATCCAGCTAGAAAAAGAAAACAGAATTTTGAAAAATAAAGCCTTTGAGAAGTATGAGATTATGTAAAACCTCCAAACCTTGTCATAGGGAGAAGGTTTCTTCCTGAGGGAGAAGAAAAAGAAAAAAGTTTGGAAAACCTATGTGAGGAGATAATTGAGGAATAATTCTCTCATCTTACTAGAGATTTAGATGTTGAAATAGAAGAGGCTCAAGGAAATCCAAAAGATATATTGCAAGATGACTCGACCAAAATAGTCTTCAGACAAAGTCAGTGTGAAGGAAAGGAATCCTAAAATCAGCAAGAGAAAAGCATCTAATCTCCTGTAAAGGAAACCCCAACAGACTTACAGCAGAATGCTCAGCAGAAACTCTATAAGCCAGAAGAGGTTGGGTGCCTAATTTCAGACTTCTTAAAAGAAAAAGAAAACTGTCAGCCACGAATTTTGTATGCTGGTAAACTCAGCTCGGTAAGTGAAGGGGAAATAGTATTTCCCAGACACGTGAATGCCAAAGGAATTCATCACCACTAGACTGGTCCTACAAGAAATGCTCAAGGGATTTCTAAACATGGAAATGAAAGGTTGACACTCACCATCATAAAAACACATGAAAGGATAAAACTCACAGATCTTATAAAACAGTTCCACAACTGAGACTACAAAGCAACTAGGTAAGTTAACATTATGATAGGAACAAAACCTCACATACCAATATTAATTCTGAACATAAATGGGTTAAATGCTCCACTTAAAAGATACAGCTTGGCAGAATTGATTAAAAAGCAGGATCTAATCATATCTTGCTTACAAGAAATCCACCTAACTGCTAAAGACACGTAAAGACTCAAGGTAAAGGGGTGGAAAAAGACATTCCTTGCAAATGGAAAGAAAACGTGAGCAGGAGTAGTCATACTTACATCAGATAAAACAGATTTTAAATCAACAGGGAAAAAAAGATAAGGTCATTATATAATGATAAAGGGATCAATTCAACAAGAAGATATAGCAATTCTAAATATATATGCACCCAATACTAGGCCACCCAGATTCATAAAGCAGATACTGCTATACTTAAGAAAACAGATAGTAATACAATAATAGTGGATAGGGGACTTCAGCCCCCCACTGACAGCACTAAATGGGTCATCAAGACAGAAAGTCAGCAAAGAAACACTGGACTTAAATTGGACTCTAGATCAAATGGACCTGGTAGAAATTTACAGAATATTCACAGCAGCCATAGAATATACATTCTTCTCATTAGTGCATGGAACAGAACACCAATGAAGTCACTGATGACAAAAGCAAATGGACAAACATTCTAAGCTCTTGGATTGTAAGAGCTTAAATTAATATGGTTAAAATTGCCACCTACATATTCAGTATAATTCCTATCAAAATACCAAGGTCATTTTTCATGGAATTAGAAAAAATAATCTGAAAATTCATATTGAAAAAAGCCCAAATGGTGAAAGCAGTCTTAAGCAAAAAAAGAAGAAAAGTTTATTGCATCACATTACCTGCCTTCAAATTATACTACAAGGCTATTGTACCCAAAACAGAATGCTACTGGTAGGATAGCAAAAACATAAATCAGTGGAACAAAATAGAGAACCCAGAAATAAAGTCAACTGATTTTTGACAAAGTTGACAAAACATATGCTGGGGAAAGTACACTCTTTTGAATAAATGGTCCTGGGAAAATTGTGTAGCCATATGTAGAAGAATGAAACTGAACCTATATCTCTTATCATATACAAAAATTAACTCAAGATGGATTAGAGACTTAAATGTAAGACCTGAACCTATAAACATTTTGGAGGAAACCTAGGACAAACCTAGAAAACCTAGGACAAACTTGAACATTGGCCTAAGCAAAAAATTTATGAGTAAGATCTCAAAAGCAAATGCAACAAAAATAGGCACATGGGAGTTAATTAAACTAAAAAGCCTCTATGTAGCAAAATAAATAACAGAGAAAATAGACTACCTACAGAATGCAAGAAAATATTTGCAAACTATATATCTGACAAAGGACTAATGCACAGAATCTACAAGGAAGTCAAACAATGCAACAAGAAAAAAAATACGTAACCCTGTTAAAAAGTGGATAAAGGACATGAACAAACATTTTTCAAAAGAAAACATGCATATAGCCAACAAGGAGATGAAAAATGCTCAGTATCACTAATTATCAGAGAAATGCAAAATAAAATCAAAATGAGATAGCACCTTATACCAGTCAGAATGACTATTAAAAAGTCAAAAAAAAATAGTTGTTGGTGAGGAAAAGGGAATGCTTATACACCATTAGTGAGAATGTAAATTACTACAACCTCTATGCAAAAATATGGAGATTTCTCACAGAACTAAAAATAGAACTGCCATTTAATCCAGTAGTCCTACTACTGGGTATCTACCCAAAAGAAAGGAAATTATATCGGAGACACCTCCACTCACATGTTTATTACAACACTATTCACGGTAGCAAAGATAAGGAATTAAGTTCACGGTAGCAAAGATAAGGAATTAAGTGTCAATGGCTGATCAGATAAAGAAAATGTGTGTCTGTGTGTGTGTATATATATGTATATACACACACCACGGAATACTATTAATTCATAAAGAAGAATGAAATCATGTCTTTTGTAGCAACATGGATAGAACTGGAGGGCATTATCTTAAATGAAATAACTCAGAAGCAGTCAAATATTACATATTCTTACTCATAAGTGGGAGCTTAAAAATATGTATACATGGACATAGAGAGTAGAATAATAGACATTGGAGACTTGGAAGGGTTGGAGTGGGGTGAGGGATGAAAAATTACCTAATGGTTACAATATTTAGGTGATGGTTCCACTAAAAGCCCAGACTTCAGCCGGGCGCAGTGGCCCACGCCTGTAATTCCAGCACTTTGGGAGGCCACGCGGGGTGGATCACTTGAGGTCAGAGGTTTGAGACCAGCCTGGCCAACGTGGTGAAACCCCGTCTCTACTAAAAATACAAAAATTAGCTTGGCATGGTAGCGGGCTCCTGTAATCCCAGTTACTTGGGCGGTTGAGGCAGGAGAACCACTTGCACCCAGGAGGCAGAGGTTGCAGTGAGCCGAGATCATGCCACTGCACTCCAGCCCGGGTGACAGAGCAAGACTCTGTCTCAAAAAAAAAAAAAAAAAGAAGAAGCCCAGGCTTCCCTACACAATATATCCATGTAACAGAACTGCACTTTACCCCCTAAATCTATATAAAAATAAATAATAAAAAAGTATTTCATCAAAGAGAATGTATGAATGGCAGATGACCACATGAAAAGGTGTTCAACATCATTCATTAGTCATTAGGGAAATGAAAATTAAAACCACAATGAGGGAGGTGTGATGGCCCACAACTATAATCCCAGCACTTAGGGAGGCTGAGATGGAAGGATCTTTTGAGCTCATGAGTTCAAGACCAGCCTGAGCAACATAGTAAGAGTTCATCTCTACAAAAAATACAGAAGTTAGCTGGGCATGGTGGTGTGTGCCTGTGGTCCGAGTTACTCAGGATGTTGAGACAGGTGGATTGCTTAAGTCCAGGAGTTTGAGACTGCAGTGGACTATCTATGATCATGCCACTGCACTCCAGCCTGGGTGGCAGAGCAAGACCCTGACTCAAAAAAAAACTTAAAAACCATAGTGAGATATAATTAACACACACACACACACACACACACACACACACACACCAATGACTATTTAAAAGACGGATTAATTGCAAGCATTGGTTAGGATTTGGAGGACCTGGAACTCTCAGACATTTTTAGGAATATAAAGTGGTACATCCACTTTGGAAAACACTTTGCTAGTTTCTCAAAAAGGTAAACAGAAATTTAGCATACAACCCAACAATTTCATTCTTAAAAGTCTGTACAAGAAAAATGAAAACACATGTCTACATTGAGACTTATACACAAATGTTTATCGCAGCATCATTCAAACTTAATCCGTAAATGTATGCATGTGCTTTGCTTCATCAACTATCATTTTCCTCTCCTTGGGCTTCCTTATTTCCTGAGACACAATAATAGTGAAATAGGCCAACTAATACTCCTACAGTGACCTCTTAAGTGTTCAAATGAATGAGAGAGTCATACCTCTCTCACATTCAGTCAAAAGCTAGGAATGATTAAGCTTAGTGAGGAAGGCAAGTAAAAAGCCAGTACAGACCAAAAACTAGGTCTCTTGCACCCAAATAACCAAGCTGTGGATGCAAAGGGAAAGGTCTTGAAGGAAATAAAAATTCTACTCAAACAAACACAAGAATGATAACAAAGCAAAACAGCATTATTGCTGACACGGAGAAAATTTGAGTGGACTAGATAAAAGATCAAACCAGCCACAACATTCCCTTAAGCCAAAGCTTAATCAGAGAAGGGCCCTAATTCTCTTCAATTCTGTGACAGCTGAGAGAGAAGAGGAAGCTGCAGAAGTAAAGTTTGAAGCCAGCAGACATTGGTTCTGAGGTTTAAGGAAAGAAGCCATATCTATAAAGTGCAAGGTGAAGAAGTACTAAGTGGTGATGTAGAAACTGCAGCAAGTGAACTGGAATACCTAGCTGAGATCATTGATGAAAGTGGCTACACTAACAGGTTTTCATTATAGACAAAACAGCTGTACTGTGGAATAAGATGTTGTCTAGGACTTTCATAGCTGGAGAGAAGTTGATGATGCCTGGCTTCAAAGCTTTAAAGGACAGGCTGACTCTCTTGTTAGGAGCTTGCTTTTTTTCTTTTTTTCGAGACAAGGTCTTGCTCTGTCACCCAGGCTGGAGTACAGTGGCATGATCGTAGCTCACTGCAGCTGCAGCTGGGCTCAAGCAGTCTTCCTACCTGAGTATCCCAAGTAGCTGGTACTACAGGCATACACCACCACACCCAGCTAATTGTTTTTTATTTTTGTAGAGACAAGGTCTCATTATGTTGCCCAGACTGGTCTCGAACTCCTGGGCTCAAGCAGTCCTCCCGCCTCAGCCTCCCAAAGTGCTGGAATCACAAGTATGAGCCACCACACGCAGCTGCAGCTGATGATTTAAGCCAGTGCTCATTTGCCATTCTGAAAATCCTGGGGATCTTAAAAATTATGCTATGTCTATTGTGCTTGTACTTTATAAAGTGGAAGAACAAAGCCTGGATGATATAGCACATCTATTTACAACATGGTTTACTGAATATTTTAAGCCCACTATGGGGACATACTGCTCAAAAAAGGAAAAGATTCTTTTCAAAATATTACTGCTTATTGACAATTTGCCTGGTCACCCAAAAGCTCCGATGGGGATATAAAAAAAATTAATGTTTTCATGCCTGCTAACACAACATCCATTCTGCAGTCCGTGAATCAAGGAGTAATTTCAATCTTCAATTCTTATTATTTAAGAAGTACATTTTGTAAGGCTTACAGGTACCATAGATAATGATTCCTTTGATGAATCTGGGCAGAGTAAATTGAAAACCTTCTGGAAAGGATTCACCATTCTAGATGCCATTAAGAACATTTGTGATTCATTGGAGGATTTCAAAATATCATTAACAGGAGCTTGGAAGAACTTGATTCCACCCTTAATGGATGACTTTGAGGGGTTCAAGACTAGAGTGGAGGAAGTCACTGCAGATGTGGTGGAAATAGCAAGAGAACTAGAATTAGAAGTGGAACATGGGCTGGGTGCAGTGGCTCATGCCTATAATCCCAACACTTTGAGGCTGAGATCACTTAAGCCCAGGAGTTTGAGACCAGGGCAACATAGCAAGACCCTGTCTCTTTGAAAAATAGAAGTGGAACCTGAAGATGTGACTGATTTGCTGCAATCTGGTGATCAAATTTGCATGAATGAGGAATTGCTTCTTACGGATGAGCAAAGTAAGTGGTTTCTTAAGTAGGAATGTACTCCTGATGAAGAAGCTGTGAACATTGTTGAAATGATAACAAAAGATTTAGAATATTACATAAACCTAGTTGATAAAGAGTGGCAGGGTTTGAGAGGATTGACTCCAATTTTAAAAGAAGTCCTGCGAGTAAAATGCTATCAAACAGCATCACATGCTACAAAGAAATCTGGTATGAAAGGAAAAGTCAGTCAATTTGGCAAACTTCACTGTTATTTTAAGAAATTACCACAACTGCCTCTGCCTTCAGCAACCGCCATCCTGATCAGTCAGCTAACATCTACGAGACAAGAGCTTCACCATAAAAAAGATTGTAACTTGCTGAAGACTCAGATGATCATTAGCATTTTTTAGCAATAAAGTATTTTAAAATTAAGGTATGTATATTGTTTTTAGACACTACTATTGCACACTTACTAGACTACAGTATAATATAAACATAACTTTTATTTGCACTGGGAAACCAAAAAGTTCATGTGACTCACTTCATTGCTATATTTTTTATTTCTTGTGGTGGTCTGGAATCAAACCTGCAATATCTTAAAAGTATGCCTTCATTCAACAATGCTGTGGTAAAAAAAAAAAAAGCAGCCATAGGCAGTATAGAGTAGGTTTGACTATGTTCCAGTAAAAGTTTATTTGCAAAAACATATGACAGGCTAGATATGGCCAGCAGAACATAGCTTGCCAATCCTTGCTAAGTAAAGTCAGATGAGTAAGACTACATGTTATATGATTATAGTTTTATCAAAATTGCAGAAAAGGCAAATCTATAGAAAGGAAAAAATGCCTATTATGGTTGCCTGTGACCAGAAAACTGATGATTGACAATAAATAGAATGAAGGGAAATTTGGGGGGTGATGAAAAAGTCCTAAAATTGGATTGTGATTCTTGTTGTATAAATCTGCAAATTGATTAAAACCTTATGAATTTTACTATTAAAATGGATGAAGTTAATGGAATGTAAATTATACTTCAATAAAACTGAAAAAAGGGAATAGGTATAAAAGACTAATGTGATTTTCATGATATTTCATGAAGATACTAAATTCTGTATAACAGGCTATAAAAATGAGAGTACATGGGTGAAGACCGAACATGAAAATAGGAAGAATAGTTGTAATAGATGTCAAGAATTATAATGTGAGAAAGTCATGAAAAATCAAAACTATTGTTGAAGCACTAAATTTTTTTTTTTTTTTTTGAGATGGAGTCTCGCTCTGTCACCCAGGCTGGAGTGCAGTGGCGCGATCTCCGCTCACTGCAAGCTCCGCCTCCCGGGTTCACACCATTCTCCTGCCTCAGCCTCCCGAGTAGCTGGGACTACAGGCGCCTGCCACCATGCCTGGCTAATTTTTTTATATTTTTAGTAGAGACAGGGTTTCACCATGTTAGCCAGGATAGTCTTGATTTCCTGACCTCGCGATCCACCTGCGTCAGCCTCCCAAAGTGCTGGGATTACAGACATGAGCCACCGTGCCTGGCCAAGGCACTAAATATTTTTAAAAGTTACACACCACTAAAGTTCAGTGCTTTTTGAAATAATGTATCATCATCTTCCTTGACATAGGATCGAATTAAACAGTATTATATCCATTCCTTTTTGTACTTTTTTTTTTTTTTTCTTTTGAGACAGGGTCTTGCCCTGTCACCAGGCTGGAGTGAAGTGGTGTGATGTCGGCTCACTGCGGCCTCGACCTCCTGGGTTCAAGTGATCCTTCTACCTCTCAGTGTGCTGAGTATCTGGGACTATAGGCATATGCCACCACACCTGGCTAATTTTTGTATTTTTTGTAGAGACAATTTTTCGGCATGTTGCCCAGGCTGGTCTCAATCTCCTGGGCTCAAGCAATCATCCAGCCTCTGCCTCTCAAAGTGCTAAAATTACAGGTGTGGGCCACTGTGCCCGGCACATCTGTTCTTCATAATTCACATGTATACTCTCTCTATCAGATAATTTGCTTCAGGATTTCTGATTAAAATGTCAGTAAAAGCACTTGTATATAATTTGCCTCTACTTTGCTCCAAACCTGTAAGAATGCAATGTGAAAAAATTTAATCATAAGTAAATACATTTTATCTACATTTATGACAAGAAAAATCTCAACAGACCATAGAAATAGAAAAAAAAGTCTTGGTGATGAGTGGATGTTGATGCTTACAGTAAGTCCTCACTTAATGTTGTCAGTAGATTCTTGGAAACTATGACTTTAAAGGAAATGATGTATAATGAAACCACTTTTACCGTAGGCTAATGGACAGAAACAAGAATTAAGTCCTTATGGCATATTTCTGGTTATAAAAACATCACCAGACTTCTAGATAAAGACCAAAAAACTTGTAATATTAAACACTGAAACAACTGTGAGCTGGAGGTAAATTTAAGAAAGAGTAATAAAAATATTATTTACCCAACGGTTCCAGTGTAGGGTCATGAGTGGCTGCAGTGTATCCTGGAAGGTTAGTGCACAGGATGAGAACCAACCCTGGACAGGATGCCATTCCTTCACAAGGCACACTTACAGATGCACCCACACTCGCTCAGACTGGGACCATTTAGATACGGCAACATATTTGGGATGTGGGAGGAAACCAGAGTACCCAGAAAAAAGCCATGCAGACGTGGGGAGAGATTGCAAACTCCACACAGTGGCCCCAGCTGGAATTGGTTGTTTTCAATGAACAATATGATGAAAGGACCTATTGTACAGAAACCTAGGTAATCTTCACGGGAAAGAGAACCAAAAGTATTCTGCAAATGGCAGGAGATTGGAACTGGGCTCTCTGTATAAAAGTAGGGAACTGGGACCGTGTTTTAGGCAGTGCAACTATACCTGAAATACTATACCCGAAATAATTCCACCTGACACTGTTGGTATTTTCCTGTGACCCAATGAGGCAGTTATGCAAAAATAGGAATGTAACCCTATAATATATGTAGATGTGGCACCTGAATTAGAGCTCTACTTATGAGGGACCAAAGTTCCAGTCTTCTTTATGTTAGACCTACTCTGGAGCTGTGTAACTCCAGAGGTGTGAGTAACCATGCAACCACACAGCAGGCAGGAGTTCGCAGAGGATAAAACTTCCACATAAGATGAACCTGCAAACAAATATCTTAGGAAACATGTTGCCATAAGAGATATCGGACATATTAAGTAGCCTCATTTACATCTGAGGAAATGAGAGTAAGAACCACAATTCCAAAAAAAAAAAACCTTATAAATGTTTAAGATGTTCAAATGAAGTCATAATTCACTATGAGAATAGAAGTAAATAAGAACAGGTGGAATGAAAAGGGGCCACTTGCAAATCTTGTAACAAAATTTGATAAAATTAAATAAACTGTTGGATGGATTAAAGTCAAGTTGGCATAACGGAAGAGAGAATTCATGAATCAGAACTATCAGCTGGGAATTGAAAGTTAGGATGAATCAAGTCACGTAGAACATAGAACAAAGAGGTAAAGAGGTTTAAAACATGAAAGAGAAGAGACATGGAAGATATAAACCAAAAATAAAATTCAGAGCCCTCCCTCAACCATCTGAGTGGACTCCCTCCTCTCGTCCAGGAACTGAAAGTTAACCTGAAAGACTGGTTCAGGCCATTATGGGAAGCAGGGGTGGACATGCCTCTTTATGCCCTCCTCCCTTTTGGAATTTGGGAAAAACTGACCAGCATTTAACATCAACACAGACCTTAAGTTTGATAAGAAACATTTACAGTCTATTCTCTCTGAAGCCTGCTATCTGGAGGCTTCTTCTGCATGATAAAAGTTTGGTTTCCATAACTTCTTATCGGAATTCAGACATTCCTTTCTATTGATAATAACTCAGCCATTTGCCAATCGGAAAATTTTTAAATCTACCTATAACCCAGAAGCCCCTGTCTCGAGTTGTCCTGCCTTTCTGGACTGAACCAATGTATATCTCAAATGTATTTGATTGATGCCTCATGTCTCCATAAAATGTATAAAACCAAGCTGTGCCCCAACCACCTTGGCCACATGTTCTCCTCAGGGCTGTGACATGGGCCATGGTCACTCATATTTGGCTCAGAATAAATACCTTCAAATACAGAGTTTGACTTTTTTTGTTGACAGAGATAACTGAGTTAGGAACTCCAGAATGTAAGAATAGTGCCAGGGAAGAGAAATTTCCCAAGGTTGAAAATTTGTTAGATTTGGAGATGGATGTGTGTCTTCAGATTGAAAAAGTTACCAGTTTCAATGAGGAGAAACAGAGAGGGGGAAAAAAAAAACCACCTCTAAGTATAGCATAAAGGAACTGTAGATCAATAATACACACGTACACACACATTCTAGCAATTAGGGAAAAGCATATTACTTACAAAGAAATGACAACCAGGTTATCAATGCATTTATTAGAAATCACAGTTAATGCTCGTATACAATGAAGTTGTGACCATGTTAAGGAAATGAATCCAAGTGAAACATCATTTCCCTTTATGAAAAGATTGATTTTCCTCCAGTGCATTGTATTTACTAGAGATTTGCTAACCCAGCCTTTATTTAGATTATACACTTGTTTAATTTCTAAACAATTGTACGCGTATACTTTTCCATTGGTTAGATTTGTGTTTCCCTGCTGAAATAACACAATAATTTTAAATTAATGTATAAAGCATTAAGTAGGGTTTAAGATGTCTGCTAAGGAAATAAGGATTTAATGAATACTTACCACTTTTTACAACCGTTAATTTGCACCCATTTAGTTGAGGTAAAAACAAAGACAAGTACATGCTGAAGATAACTTTTTAGCATTCATTATCAGCCTTTGGTGACACTGCATTAGTTTATATAGTGTCAACATGTGCATTAACATCAAATGAGTAAGATTGTATGCTCAGTATTGTGTAAAGCATCTACAATTTCAGAAGAAACTTTAGATACAGTCTACTTCTTAAAGAGCTTAAGAGCTTAATTACATATTAGACAACACAACTAAGACTTTTAAGTGATAATCACAAAAGGACTTTAAATTAGCTCCCACTATCCTTATTCAGTGACAGAAGTTCTTCTGCCCATGATAGAAAATTAGAATCTGGTCACTCCTAAACTCCTGTGTTCCCTTTAAGTGAGTAAATGCTTTCTTATCTCTTATGATAATCAAAGCTTACATCTCTTTTTATGTTTACAGCTACTTCCCTTCTCCCAGAGTGTACTGCTGCTGGGTGACTTATCATGGGTGAAGGGATCCCAGGGGCTTCTTTTCTCTTTCTTGCTCATTTTTTCCCTAACTCAACAGTCTCTATTTCTGACCTCTGTGGAGTTGGAGCTTGGAAAAATGAGGGAAAAGGAAATGGAATAGAAATGTTCCTACTTGACTGCTACTGTCATAAGAGAGTTTTACTTTTTCTGGGCTTAACAGATTTTTAAAGTTGACTTTCTCTTACATTTTCATGGGTCTTTGGAGATCCCCTGTTCTGCACATCTCTTACCTACAGTTATTTCTGGGTTAGTGTATCTCTTACTCTCTCTTAGCCTCTAAAATTCTAGAAATAACCTTCAGCTTCTCAGCTGCTGAGCTCTATTTCCTCTTCTTGGTGGCCCTCTTAAGAAGGACCTAAAACAACCCTTCATGATGGTTCACACACTCAGATTTCCCAAATGGCTCCTGAGAAACTCTCACCAATTTTTTTGGGGAGGTGGGGGGGTCTGTTTAATACAGGGAGTTTAGATTTATTCTAATGCAGCAGTAAATCTATATCATCCTACCGCACTCTTTTCAGAGTGTGGAGTGTGAGTCAAATACCAGTCCCCTTAATTATGGGGAACATACATGAGTCTTTCCAAGTTGTTCCATTAAAACTCCTCTCTTTTCATTTGAGGTAAAGCAGGAAGTATACTGTCTTAGGTATTAGATTTGATTTTATCCTACTTGGAACCTCATAAGGTAACCTGTTACTCTTTCATAGATGCTAGCAGAAGGTATAAGACTCCTGATTTAGAGACAGGTGACTTTATTATTCACAGCACAGCAAGTGTCAAGAACATCAAATTTATGTCAATTCTCCTGGACCCCAAGTCCCATGGGGAAATGAGGAAGACTCAGATGGATCCTGTACATACAGTAGATCATATTATGGAAGAGGAACACTGAGCTTGGGTAATCCACTGCTTTTACAATAAGCAGTAAGCACATTTACCCTTTGTCCCAGAGGGAACGTAAGTAGAACTGTTATATTGTTGTTTTCTTTTTTTGTTTTTGTTTTTACTATTCTGGTTTTTATAAACAAAAATTGAAAAAGATAGATTTACTATTCTTTAAGGCACTCAGTGGAAAGAAGAATAAAATCACATGTTGCTTCATTATTTCACCAGCAAGCCCTCTCATTAGTACGTTATATTTTTTTTAGATGGAACCATCTGAAGGAGTAAAATAAATGATTAGGGATGTTTCTTGCTTCCAGTCAAAAGTGTTTAATGAGTATTATTGATAGGGTCTCCTTTTTAAAGTAAGACTTCCCTTTAATAAAACTATAGTTTTACTGAGAGGGTACAGTCTGCCCTAACATTCTGTTCATTCTTGGTATTTTCAGTACATATTTGTAATGATATTAGGGAAGAACAATTGCAGTAATGGTTTTTCTGGACCTACAAGATAATAGTCTGAATATTTTATATTATCTCTTTGAAATCAAAGGAATTATGTTATAAACCTTTTAAAAATACATATATTATTTATCCAGTAAAGTCTCTGTCTAAATTAAATTGAATCGTAAATATGTTTTATAATGCTTTCATTATCTTTTAAAAACCAGACCCAATAGGAACAGTTTTGAAGGTCACATAAATTGTTTATCAAAAAATATAGAAACTTACCAGTAAGTTAATATACAGTCATTTAATCGCTTCATTAAATTTTTGTTCATTATTATTTCAGTTTCACGGCTTGTAATATCTCCAGCATCAAGAAAGGAAGTTATGCAGTGGTTGGTTGAAATTATGAGCCAATAGTTATTTATTGGTAGTTATTTACAGTTGAACATTCACACAGTATTCAGTAGCATCGCTAGGTAATAGAGGTTACAAATGAAAGCTGTAGAACTGGATTTGCCATTTATTAGCTGTTTCACATTGGGAAGGTACTTTGTTTTTGAGTTTTTCTCATCTGCAGTATAAATTTGAGGCATCAGATGGATTTGTGAACAGTGTTTTTAAATTTTAGTCTGGTATTAAAATGTCTCTTGACAAATATGGTTTATTAATAGTTGTAAATACATTTCTATATTAAAACTTATATGTATAAAAATTCTTCCAAAGCTAGCTGTATCTGTAGAGGTGAATCTGGGGGTTCGGGGGTGCGTGGTGTGTGGAATCTCTGTCTATTCCGGGATCAGTGGGTTTATGTGAAGTCTGCATGTAGGCAAGCATGTCTGTTTGTGGATGGATGTATAGGGGTAGATGTGCTTACAGATGACCCTCCCTGTGTATATGTATTGTGCTTGCACGTATGTATTTTCTTTGTGCATGTTTGTGTGCATGTGTTGAATGAAGAGCAGTTTGTTCATCAGGGTTTGCTTACTGACACTTTAAAGAAAAACAGGAAAACAACAGTGATTATTCATATTTATAGGAAGGCAGAAGTTTAAAATTTTTATTTTTAGAAGTTTGAGATTTTTGTTGAGGGATATAATATATAAAATTTATATGTAGAGGGATATAATATATAAAATTTACTTTTAACTAGACTATAGACCTTTCTTTTGGGACATGTGATCTTTATAAACATTAAAGTTTGTCGTATATTTCCCATTTTATAAAGAAGAGATTAACAGCTTGAGATTCATGATTTTTCAAACTATATTTTCAGAAAAAGTACTTGAGTTAATATCTTCAGTGATTGTTTTAGGGAAGGAGTTATCTCAGTTCAGCCTTTGTCACCTTTTCCATTCCCATTTGTCTGTAATTTTTGTAAGATTTATCTCCTTGTGAGTTGTTAACTTCATTCTTCAGTCAGTATAGAATGGTGATGAAGAGAGCAGAATGTGGAATTCCACTTACTGAGTCCAAACACTTGTTTACCACTTAACAATGTGACTTTTAGCAATATATTTTTTTAACCTTTCTACCTGTATTTCTTCACCTTTAAAATAATAATAATAGTACCTATCTCATGTGCTTTTGTTGAAAAATAAATGAGATAATTCATATAAAAGCAAGTAGCAGAGTGCCTTCTACAATGCTAGTACTCAGTAAATAATTAGATAGGCAAATTTTAATGATGCTTTTTTATTGTTAATTGACACAGTCATCAAACTGGCCTATAATTACTCTTAATAATTGCTGGAAAGAATATGTTATTAGGCAGAATGTGCATCATCAGAGCATTTTCAGCATGTTGAATTATAATTTGTTTAAAATTGTATTACTGGCATTTGGCAAAGCATAAATTTCTATTATAGGAATATCCCTTTACATAAAGAGGGTGTGTTCTAATGTCCGTTGTTAGAAATGTCATTAGCAGAAATAGACATCATAGTTGTGTATTTGCAGAGGTCTTCTATTTTCCGGTAGCTCATTCCTCTTTGCCATGCAAGGCAGGAAGCATAGCTCCCCAGCCCTCTTGAATAATCAGCATGATTTCCTCTTCTGTTAGTACTATTTCCTACTAAGAACCTTAGAACCTAATTACAGCCTTGGGCATGTCATTCATTTCTGCATCCAGGTAACTGAATTAAGAATTTTTGCCTCTTTTGAGTCAGGTTACTGCTTTCTGCTCTTCAGCTGTTACCTTGAGTGACTTAGTATTGAGGATATAAGCACTTCCCCCAGAAAATCTTATGTGGTGAAGGCTACTATGTTAAAATAAAAGAACACCCTTCACCCCCAGCAGTGGAAGGAGAGTTCCAGTTGTTTCACGTCTTAGTCATCATTTGGTTTTGTCATCTTTTAAGTTAAGTTTAGACCTTATGATGGGTGTTAATTTATATTTCCCTCATTAGAATGATGTTGAGCACCTTTTTTATGCATATTGACCATTTGGATATTCTCTTTGGCTAAGTACCTGTTCAAGTCTTTTGCCTACTATTAGACTTTTTCTTACTGCTTTGTAGGTGTTCTTTACATATTGTGGATATGAATTCTTTGGTGGATATATGTGTTGTAAATATATTTTCCCAGTTTATGATGTGCCTTTTTATTCTAATGGTATCTCTGTCTTCTTTTTCAAAGATGAAAAGAATTATAGCTATTACTTTTGGTTCCTGTTAAAAAGGATTTTAGCTTTAGTCACCTTGTCCTGGGCAGGTACTACCCTATAGGTCACCTTTGTGTGAATTAGATAAAAGCACCCCCTCTTAAGTAGATGTAGCCCCATTAGCATAAGATTTTTTTTTTTAAAGGGCAGTGTCTTTCAGTGAAGGAAAAGGCTTCTTTCAGGTAGCCTGAGTATTCTGCTAAGGCTACAGCTTGCTGAGTAGAGCTTGGTCTAGCCTGGATTTACCCCTCAGTCTGGTGCCTTAATGCTTGCTCAGCACTCAAACCGCAAACCAAAGATGGCACCCTAGGGCAGGTTATCTTTAAATATTCAGAGTTTCTAACTATTGAATACAAATTATTACAGTTTATGGATTGAATTTTCTTTTTTCAAAAGGTTGTTCTTAAGTTGTGGGGAGCTGACTTCCAAAATTAATTTCCTAGTTTTGAGTTGGTTATGGCTTAAAAGTTTAGTTATCAGTTAGATGTCTCACACCCAGGATATATTTGTCCCACTGAAACACTGTTCTGTGGAATCTTGGTTATAAACCAACATATAGTAGTGGGATAGAGAGACCTTAACTACTGTGTGTAATGGGTGGTCTTTCTGTAGCAAATATTGTTCAGCAGTCTGCCTTGGGGCAGGAGTGGCATACTTCCCACATTGTCCTAACATTAGAAATAAGAATTACTTCACTTTCCAGCTACCTCTGATGGTTGTGCTTGTATCGCGGTGCAGTGGTACCTGTGGATAAGAAGGATGAACTGAGGACACCAGGTCTCTTGCTAGTGATAATCTATAACATTTTTCCTGGTTTTAGGCTTGCTCCTTCTCTTTTTTTCTTCCCAAAGCCCCCAAATCCTGCTTCCTTTCTCACTGCCATCCCTTAGTCCTTTAAGTTAAGATTTCCCATTTCCCTGCTCTATGGTGGAATAGAATTCATTCTGAGAAAGATTTCTGTCTTCTTCAGTCCTTGAGGCAAAAGTGCACAACCAGTCTTTTGAGGATAAGGGTTTTGGTTTTGTATTATTTATTTATTTATTTATTTATTTATTTATTTATGCAAATGTTAACAGTAGTGGGGGAAATAATCAGGACAAAAATAGCAAGTAAACAGA
This sequence comes from Homo sapiens, assembly GCF_000001405.40. Classification (NCBI taxonomy): domain Eukaryota; kingdom Metazoa; phylum Chordata; class Mammalia; order Primates; family Hominidae; genus Homo; species Homo sapiens. The sequence goes on from NC_000007.14 coordinate 8,053,098, forward strand.
TGATGTTACTAAGTTTTCAAAAAATGTGTTTCTGGTTCTCAGATGTTAAGTAAGGCCAGTTTCTGTTTTTTCTTCATTTAATTGCATAAATGCTTTAATCTTCTCTTGGTGACTATGCTTATTACTCTCTCTATAGTTATTATTTATTCCTTGTGACCCAGGATCACTTACTTATTTCCTACCTTTTCATGGTTTTGTTTTGTTTTTTTTTGTTTTCGTTTTTTTTTTTGTTTGTTTGTTTGTTTTGAGACAGTCTCGCACTGTCGCCCAGGTTGGAGTGCAGTGGTGGGATCTTGGCTCACTGCAACCTCCCCCTCCAGGTTCAAGCAATTCTTTTGCCTCAGCCTCCCAAGTAGCTGGGATTACAGGCCCACACCACCACGTCTGGCTAATTTTTGTATTTTTTTTTTTTTTTTTAGCAGAGATGGGGTTTCGCCATGTTGGCCAGGCTGGTCTTCAACTGCTGATCCACCTGCCTCAGCCTCCCAGAGTGCTGGGATTACAGGTGTGAGCCACTGCACCCAGCTGACTTATTCCCTAACTAATGTTTTAAAACCTTGGAGCTAGTGTAGTTGGGACCCGTTTCAAGTTTAAATTAGGCATCTCACATACTTCTTGACTAGAATTTGAAATATGCCAAGTATATAATATACATTTAGAAAGATGGACTTTTACCCTAATTCCCACGGGATTGTAAACAAGAGCATAACTATGTTATATTCCAAAGAAGGTCTGTCTTTGGAATTCACAGTACATGTGAAAAGCTATAGGATTATATTATTTAGGTTGGTAATCTAAGTGAAGTAAGGTTTGTAGCATAATGTAGGCTTTTTGTCTTCAGGGGTTTGTTAAGTTGGCTTAGAACAAAATTTTCTGGCTTATTTTGACATCTCAGAGGCCTTGAAAAAATAGATTGACTAATATTTATCAATTTTAAGATTTTATGTTTAAATATTTTTTTAAATGAGTAAGTACAGATTATATTATTAATCTCTAGGCATTCTGAGCTCTTTCATATAAGCTCTTTGCAGTTTTGCTTTTATACCTCTGTCCTGATTAAATGAATTGTACAATTTGAAATCCTATTTCTTTTTTATCATAGAGAATTATCTGTCTTGAGTTATATTGATTACCTACAAATTTTGATTCATTTTCTTGTAAAAATTAATGTTCTCTGCAAGAAAATTATGTCAGTTCAATAGAGAGGAAGGCACACAAATATTCACATAATCTTATTTGTGTATCTTTTGCAAGCACATTTTATGAGAGATCCATAAGCTACATAGAGCTTTAAAAAACTTAAAAGGATCTAAAGATCTCACCATAAAAGAAAGGATATAAATTCTTCCTTGTTTGGGTGCTTTATTTTCTTCTATATTGTTTTCTCTTCTATTAACCACAGGTAAACATTAGTTTTCTCAGCGACCTATATACTTTTACCCTTGAGCATTTATAGGCTTTAATACTAATTTTCTATTGCCATGGTTATTCAAGGTAAATATTTAGATAATTTTGGAATACATTATATCTTTGTTGTATCTCTCTGGGCTCATTGTAGATGTTCAGGGAATAATTATTAATTGATTAACATCCTCTTTTCTACAAGGAAAATAATACCAATATTAAATGACTACCCCCAATTTGTTAATGGTTTCCTTTTACATCACCTAAAATATGTAAGTAGTTTAATGAATTCCAGGTCATATTATAGTAATGACTTTTCTGTGAAACGAGGGAAGTGTGGCCCTTCCTTTTAGGAGAATATACCCTAAATTATATTTGTTTTTAAAGGTTTTATGATTACAGAGTAATATATATAGTAATATATTAAATATTAATAAGTTACTAAATAGCTTTGATTCTCCACAACACCATGGGATTTACAATTTTAAAGTGTTTAGTAATTGGTAAACCAGATCCATTTTGTTTATGTAGGACAGGAACTTAGAAACTAATGTGGTGCATATGTTTAGAGATCAGGTTTAACTTTAATCAGTAGGCATTTGAAATATTATTTTTCATCTTATAAAAGGTTTTCAAAAAGGATATTTCTGGTGTTACAAAGGTAAAATCTGAAATAATCTGGGGAAATGTAGTTAGCATATTTACCAATAACACTATTCAAATTTGTAGAAGTGAAGCATTTGTAGCATATATTTACTTCTCATTTTTAATAATCCCAAAAACTTGCAAGAGTAAATCATGGTGGTGAAATATTGTCTCTTCTTAGAAACTTGAAAATGTTTTAATCAGTACCCCAAAACTGAAGAAATAAATATAAAAATTTGGTATTCACTTTTATTCTCTTCTTACTTCTCTTTCCCTGTCCCCAAAGCAGATCGCCAAACTGAGGCAGCAACTACAACGCAGTAAACAGAGTAGTCGTCACAGTAAGGAGAAAGATCGCCAGTCACCTCTTCATGGCAACCATATAACAATCAGTCACACTCAGGTAGGCTAACTTCTTGTCCAGATTTGAATAATTACTTTTAGTTCATTAAGGAAGGGAATTCATCATTTCAGCATTTAAAAAAACCCATAAATATTTAGCTCTACTAAATTACTAGTTTGTTAAATTGTTATAAAAAGATTGTTAGAAAGCAGCCGGGCGGCCGGCCTTGGTGGCTCACGCCTGTAATCCCAGCACTTTGGGAGGCCGAGGCGGGCGGATCACGAGGTCAGGAGATCAAGACCATCCTGGCTAACAGGGTGAAACCGTGTCTCTACTGAAAAAACACAAAAAAAATTAGCCGGGCGTCGTGCCGGGCGCCTGTAGTCCCAGCTACTCGGGAGGCTGAGGCAGCAGAATGGTATGAACCCGGGAGGCGGAGCTTGCAGTGAGCCAAGATCGCGCCGCTGCACTTCAGCCTGGGCGACAGAGCGAGACTCCGTCTCAAAAAAAAAAAAAAACAAAAACCAGCCAGGGGCAGTGGCTCACTCCTGTAATCCTAGCACTTTGGGAGGCCAAGGCAGGTGGATCACTTGAGGTCAGGAGTTCGAAACCAGCCTGGCCAACATAGTGAAACCCCATCTCTACTAAAAATACAAAAAAATTAGCCAGACTGGTGGTGGGTTCCTGTAATCCCAGCTATTCGGAGACTGAGGCAGGAGACTCACTTGAACCCGGGAGGCAGAGGTTGCAGTGAGCTGAAATCATGCCACTGCACTCCAGCCTGGGTGACAGAGCGAGAATCCATCTCAATGGTTAGCCTTCTCTTAATAACAGATAAAACAGAGGATGGTGGTGTCAAGGATGATACTGACCTGGATTGAAATCTTTACTTCCTTCATTTATTGAGCAACTATGCACATTATCTCATTTAATCTTCCTAACAGTTCCTTTACCCATCTTTCTCTGTGTCTCTATGTATCTTATCCCTATTTTACATATGAAGAAATTGAGGATTAACATTTTTATTTTCCCCTAGAAGTAAATACTAACATATCCCATGGAACAAAATAGTAGTGTAACAGAAGAAACCCAAGCAGTATATCAAAACAAACCCCAATTAGGGTTTGTTTCACAAAGATAAGGATGATTCAACATTGGGAAATATGTTAATTTAGTTCATTGCATCAGAAAACCAAAGTAGAAAAGACAGTTGATTTTTTAGATGCTGAATTACACTTGATAAAAACTCAGTATCTTGTGATTAAAAGAATAAATAACCTCTTACTAAACTAAAAATAGGATATTTCATAATGTGACTAACTGCAAATACAGTAAGATCCTAACAATAAAATATTAGTAGCATAATTGTTAAAAAGTCAAGGATGTCTATAATTATTGATATTATTTGCTAGTGATTTAGATGTTCTAGAAACAGGGCAGTAAGATAAAGAATTATCACTACTTACATATGATATTATATATTTAGAAAATCAAAGTGAATTAACTAGACTATTAAAACTAATGATAGGATAGCTAAAATGAAAAATACTGACAATACCAAGTGTTGATGAGGATGTGGAACAACCAGAACAGCCACACATTGCTGGTGGGAACACAAAAAGGTACAACTACTTTGGCAAACATTTTGTCATTTTCTTAAGAAGTTAAACATATGCTGACCGTTCAACCTAGAATTTTCGCCCTTTGATATCAATCCATGAGAAATAAAAGCATATGTCCACACAAACACTTGTACATGAATCTTCTCAGAGGCGTTATTCATAATACTAAAAAAAAAAAGGAAATAGACAAACATCCGTCAAGTTGTGAGTGGATAAACACTTCATGTATCCATGCATCCATGCAATACTGTAGGCAGTAAAATGGAAGGAACTACTGATACAGGGAATAACATGGTTGAATCTCAAAAACATCATGCTAAGTGAAAGAAATCAGGAGCAAAAGGCTACATACTGTATGATTTGTTATATTAAATTCTCAAAAAGGCAACATTATCGAAACAAAGTTTTAGGGATGCGGATTGACCACAGAGAGGCCCTAGGGAAATTTTTTGGATGATAGAGGGTTCTAAAAGTGACTATACTAACAAAGCTCAACAAACTGCATACTTAAAATGGGAGAATTTTATTGTATGCTGATTATACCTCATTAAAGCTGTAAAACAAACTGGCAAGTCTGAGGCATTTGAAGTGAAAATTCTTATATGCCTTCCTTTTTCTTCTTAATCTGATACAATTAACATATTGTTTGTTTCAGGCAGTTTTTCTCTAGGAGTCCAGTGCGCTTACACTAGATCACTTGACTGAACAAAGAATGCTTACACAATTGTTCAAATTTACATTGAATTTTTACCATGTGGTTATTCTTAAAAATTATTATCCTTTGCTATACATACTGGAATATTTGTAGGTGGAATATGAAGTCTAGAATGTACTTTAAAATATTCCAAAAACCAAAAAAACGTGTTCACATGAAACAAATTGGTAAATGTTGATAATTTTTGAAGCTGGATTATGTGTACCTGGGGGTTTATTGTGTTACTCTGTTGAATTATGTTTATGATTGGAATTTTCCATAATGAAAAGGGGAAAACTGAAACTAGATGACTAGATAAAGTATAAACATACCCAAATTCAGTTTCCTCTTATATTAGTAATGTTTCAAAATATGATGAAAAATACAAAATGCCTGGAATCAAACTTAAAAGAAATATGTAAACTATACATCTTTGAGAACATGAAATATAAGACACATAAATGGGAAGTCTTAACACATTAATAGATGGGAAGATTCAGTATTTTTCAAATAGCAATTTACCTGAAATTAATGTACAAATTGTTTTGCATTCCAGTGCAAATTTAAAAGGACTTGTTTTTATTACTTGAAAAACTGTCTTCAAAGGCCAATGAAAAAGCAGGGCCCATTAATAGAAAAGAAAATTTGAAAAGACTTTTCCTACAAGATATGAAAATGTAATATAAAATTATAGCAATTAAGTGGCACTCTGCCTAGGGATTATCAGATAGTAGCTCCAGGAAATCAAATACAGAATCCATAAAGAAATGGTGGGGCAATTGGATTACTGTGTGGGGGAAATAATACTGAGACTTTACACCATACACAAAAGTAAATCATGATAGGTTAAGTATTTAAATGTGAAAAACTGTAAAAATCCAGAAAGAAAAATATTTGATAAAAGTTGATTACCTATTTGATAAAATACAGTTAACTCTTCAACAACAATGGGGGTTGGGGCATTGACCCTCATGCAGTTGAAAATTTGTTTATAACTTTTGGGTTCCCAAAAACTTAACCTACTAACAGCGTACTGTTGCACAGAAGCCTTGCCGATAACGTAAAATAGTCACTTAACATATTTTGTATGTTTCATGTATTATATACTATATTCTTTAATAAAGTAACCTAGAGAAAAGAAATGGTCATTAATAAAAGCATAAGGAAGAAAAAATATGTTCAGTGTTCATTAAGTGGAAGTGAATCATCATAAAGGTCTTCCTCCCCATTGTGTTCACTTTGAGTAGGCTGAGGAAGAGAAAAAAGAGGAGAGGTTGGTTTTGCTGTCTCAGGGTGGCAGAGGTGGAAGAAAATCTGTATGTAAGTCGACCCACACAGGTCAAACCCATGTTGTTCGAGGGTCAACAGTATTTGAAAAAATACTGATAGTAATATATGAAAAAGAGTTAAAACCTCAATATGAGAAAAGTTCATGCATCAATAAGAGACAAAAGACACTGATGAGCAGCAACTCACAGTTGGCAAGAATACACCATTGTATGGGAAATATTATTAGTGTGCTAACCAATGATTAGCAGTCTACCTTATCACAGATCATGTATGTCAACTGGATTCAGTGTAAGATAGAGGTCATTTGTTTTAATTTTTACCTTATTAATCTTTATTTTTCTTATTTCTTTCTTGTTGTATAAATCCTTAAGTATCAAAAGGCTTGTCTTACACTTTTTCCTTAACAACTATTAGTGGTAGTTAATTTTTGAGAACTCCTGCCAAGGACTTTTGAAAACAGGCTTTAAATTGTTAAGTGAGTTGTTGAACTTAGCATAATACTGTTGCCACATTACTTAATAATCCAACAGATTTTCTGAAATAGTTGACAAGATGGAAATGCCAAATACTAGAACGTAATTGTCACCATACAGAAAACAAACATCTTGTAAACATACTCATACAGAGCTATACAGTAGACTTACATGATACATTTAAGTTACGTGACTTCAACTATGCTGTTCCCGTGAAATAGAAAAAGGAAAACAATGTAAATAATGCAGAAGATTCTGCCATTCTACTGAACAAGTATATACATTATACAGGTATACCTTTATACTTACATAAAGGGATTTGAAAGGATTATTTTGACTATGTAATTTTCATTTTACTTTCTTACTTCAGAACCTAAATTTCTATATGTGCACCTGAATTTTATTGTATTTGAAAGGTCAGAAATAACTCCGTTCATTGAGTTTCAATTTTAATATTTACCATACTCTTTAGTTCTTGATTGCTTTGACCACAAATAATTTGATACCACCTTTATCTTATCTCATAGGCTACTGGATCAAGGTCAGTTCCTATGCCACTGTCAAATATATCAGTGCCAAAATCATCTGTTTCGCGTGTGCCCTGCAATGTAGAAGGAATAAGTCCTGAATTAGAAAAGGTATTCATTAAAGAAAATAATGGGAAGGAAGAAGTATCCAAGGTAAGGTTACATGGGATATTTGAATCCTTTTTTTCTCTGATATAACGAACTGTCTGAAAAGTACTTTCTTGGTAACAGCTTTGTTAAGATATAATTCACATACCATCCAGTTTACTCATTTAGTGTACAATTCAGTGGTTTTTAACAGATTCAGAGTTATACAACTGTCACCACAATCAATTTTACAGCATTTTCATCACCCCAAAAAGAAACATTTTATCCTTTCACAGTGGTCTCTCATTTCCCTGTAATACTCTTGGCCCTAGGCGGTCACTAATCTGTTGATGGATTTTTTGCTGGTTGTTCTAGATGTTTCATATCAATGGAATCATACAACGTGGCCTTCTTAACTGGATTTTTTTTAACTTAGCATAGTGTTTTTAAGGTTCACCCACGTTTAGCCTGTTATCAGTGACTTCCTTTTTATGGCCAAATATTAATCAGTTATATGGATTTTATTTATTCAGTCATCAATTAATGGAAATTTGGATTGTTTTAGTTTTTGGCTATTGTGAATAATGCTTCTATAAACATTTGTATACAAGGTTTTGTGTGAACATACTGTTTGCATTTCTCTTGGGTATATACCTAGGGTTGGAAATGCTAACATGGTAACTCTATGTTTAACTTTTTGAGGAACTGCCAGACTCTTTTCCAAAGTGTCTGCATTGTTGTATATTCCTACCAGTGTATAAGAATTCCAGTTTCTCTGCATCCTCACCAACACTTGTAATTATCTGTCCTTTTTTAATTATAGCAATCTTAGTGGATGTGAAGTGATATATCATTGTGGTGTTAATTTGCATTTCGTAATGGCTGAAGATGTTAAGCATCTTTTCATGTGCTAGTGATCTTTTTTTTTTTTTTTTGAGGTGGAGTCTCGCTCTTTCACCCAGGCTGGAGTGCAGTGGCGTGATCTCGGCTCACTGCAAGCTCTGCCTCCTGGGTTCACGCCATTCTCCTGCCTCAGCCTCCCGAGTAGCTGGGACTACAGGTGCCCGCCACCACACCCGGCTAATTTTTTTGTATTTTTAGTAGAGACGGGGTTTTGCCATGTTAGCCAGGATGGTCTGGATCTCCTGACCTCGTGATCCGTCCACCTCGGCCTCCCAAAGTGCTGGGATTACAGGCGTGAGCCACTGCACCCAGCCTTTAGTGGTCATTTGTATATCCTCATTGGAGAAATATTTATTTAGATCTTTTGCCCCATTTTAAAATTGGCAGTGAAATTGCTAGGTCATAGCATTTGTACATTTAAAATCTTGATGAATATTGCCAGAATTACCCTCCCAAAAGGTTGTACTATTTGACTCTCCTTCAACATTTCATGTTAAGTTTATAATTTTATATATATTACAACATCAAGGAACTCTTTGGACATCATGGCATCTCTGTTTACCATTGAACTCTTTTTTTTTTTTTTTTTTTTTTTTTTTGAGACAGGGTCTCGTTCTGTTGCCTAGGCTGGAGTGCAGTGGCACCATCTCGGCTCACTGTAACCTCCTCCTCCCAGGTTCAAGTGGTTCTCCCGCCTCAGCCTCCTGAGTAGCTGGGATTACAGGCACACACCACCATGCCCAGCTAATTTTTGTATTTTTAGTGGAGACAGGGTTTTACCATGTTGACCAGGCTGGTCTCGAACTCCTCACCTCAAGTGATCCGCCCACCTCGGCCTCCCAACGTGCTTGGATTACAGGCATGAGCCACTGCGCCCAGCCCATTAAAGTGTTTTTTTTATGCATTAAGTGAAGTTTAAGAACAGTCATGTAAAGATGTAAACTTTGGATCTAATTTTTAGAGGATGAGATAATTCACATATTTGCTGATTCCTTAAAAACATCCTCAAAAAGCAAAACTATACTAAAATAAAAAACTTGGTAAGGTACCTCTGCTTTTAATAAGCCATACTTCAATTGTAGCCATATCAGAATCATTCTGGGATAACCTACAAACTTATAATTTTTAGAAGTTTTAGATTTATGATTAAGTGTACCTCAAAGTTTTAATTAAAATATCACCATGAACTGGCCAGTAGCCAAAAAAGGAAAATTGTCTGGTTAACTATGTCAGTATTCCAACATAGTTAACCAGACAATTTGTTCACTTTTTCTGTTTATCAAACAAACTGATAGATAATTAAAAATTATCTTTAGAGTAGAATAGTTATTGCTGTGAAGTTGGTATAGTTTTTGTTTAGCAGCATACTGTAGACAAATGAAGTTTTTAACTTTTAGGTTCAAGGGTACACGTGCAGGTTTCTTACATAGGTAAGTTGTATGTCACTGGAATTTGGTGTACAGATTATTTCACCACCCAGGTAATAAGCATACTACCTGATAAGGTAGTTTTTCAATCCTCACCCTACTCCCATCTTCTAACCCTCAAGTAGGCCCTGATATCTGTTGTTCCCTTCTTTGTATCTGTATGTACTCAATGTTTAGTTTTCATTTGTAAGTGACAATATGTATAGTATTTGGTTTTCTGTTCCTGTGTTAGTTTACTTAGGATAATGGCCTTTAGCACCATCCATGTTGCTGCAAAGGACATGGTCTTACTCTTTTTATGGCTGCATAGTATTCCATGGTATATATGTACCACATTTTCTTTATCCAGTCTACCACTGATGGGCATTTAGGTTGATTCTGTATGTTTGTTATTGTAAACAGTACTGTCATGAACATATGCGTGCATGTGTCTTTATGGTAGAGCAATTTATATTTCTTTGGGTATATACTCAATAATGGGATTGCTGAGTTGAATGGTAATTCTGCTTTGAGTTGAGAAATCACCACAGTGCTTTCCACAGTGGCTAAACTTACTTACATTCCCACCAGCAGTGTATAAGCATTCCCTTTTCTCCACAAACTTGCCAACATCTGTTTTTTTGACTTTTTTGTTTTGTTTTTGTTAACGGAGTCTCGCTCTGTTGCCCAGGTTGGAGTGCAATGGCGTGATCTTGGCTTACTGCAACTTCTGCCTCCCAGGTCCAAGCGATTCTCCTGCCTCAGCCTCCCAAATGGCTGGGACTTCAGGTGCATGCTGCCATGCCCGACTAACTTTTTGTATTTTTTTTTTCTAGTAGAGACAGGGTTTCATCATGTTGGCCAGGCTGGTCTTGAACTCCTGAGCTCAGGCAATCCACCCACCTCAGCCTCCCAAAGTGCTAGGATTACAGGTGTGAGCCACCGCACCCAGCCTGTTTTTTGACTTTTTAATAACCGTTCTAACTGATGTGAGATGGTATCTCATTGTGGTTTTGACTTGCATTTTTGTAATGTGGAGCATTTTTTCATATGCTTGTTGGCCACGTGTATATCCTTCTTTTGAAAAGTGTCTGTGCGTGTGATTTGCCTACCACTTTTCTTCCTTTTTTTTTTTTTTTTTTTTTGAGACAGGGTCTTGCTCCATTGCCCAGGCTGGAGTATAGCGGCACAGTCATGGCTTACTGTGGCCTCAATCCCTCAGGCCCAAATGATCCTTCCACCTCAGCCTCCTGAGTAGCTGGGACTACAGTCCTGTCCCACCACAGCCAGCTGATTTTTTTTTTAATTTTAGTACACACAAGGTCTTGCTAATTTGCCCAGGCTTGCCTCAAACTCCAGAGCTCAAGAATCCTCTTGCCTGGGCCTCCCAAAGTGCTAGGATTATAATTACAGGCATGAGACATCATACCTGGCCATTTGCCCACTTTTTAATGGGATTCTTTGGTTTTTGCTTGTTCATTTGTTTTCATTTCTTAGATTCTGGATATTAGACCTTTGTCAGATGCATAGTTTGCAAACATTTTCTCCCATTATGTAGGTTGTCTGTGTACTCTGTTGTTGAAACCTATTGTTGTGCAGAAGCTCTTTAGTTTAATTAGGTCCCATTTGTCAATTTTTGTTTTTGTTGCAGTTGCTTTTGGCATCTTTATTATGAAATCTTTGCCAGGTCCTGTGTCCAGAATGGTAATTCCTGGGTTATCTTCTGGTGTTTTTATAGTTTCAGGTTTTATATTTAAGTCTTTGATCCATCTTGAATTTATTTTTGTATATGGTGTGAGGAAGGTATCCAGTTTCAGTCTTCTGCATATAGCTAGCGAATTATCCCAGTGCCATTTATTGAATAGGGAGTACTTTCCCCATTGCTTATTTTTCTCGACTTTGTCAAAGAACAGATGGTTACAGGTGTGCAGTATTATTTCTGGGCTCTCTCTTCTGTTCCATTGGTCTATATGTCTGCTTTTGTACCAGTACCATGTTTTGGTTACTATGTCCTTGTAATATAGTATGAAGTCAGGTCATGTGATGCCTCTAGCTGTGTTCTTCTTGCCTAGGACTACCTTGGCTGTTCAAGCTCCTTTTTGGTTCTATATGAATTTTAAAATAGATTTTTCTGATTCTGTGAGGAACATCATTGGAAGTTTGATGGGAACAGCATTGAATCTGGAAATTGCTTTGGACAGTATGGCTTTTTATTTTATTTTTATTTTTTTGGAGACAGAGTCTTGCTGCTCTGTCGCCAGGCTGAAGTGCAGTGGCATGGTCTCGGCTCACTGCAACCTCCACTTCCCAGGTTCCAATGATTCCCCTGCCACAGCCTCCCGAGCAGCTGGCACTACAAGCGTGTGCCACCATGCCCAGCGAATTTTTTGGTTTTTTTTGTATTTTAGTAGAGACGGGGTTTCACTGTGTTGGCCAGGATGGTCTCGATCTCCTGACCGCGTGATCTGCCCACCTCGGCCCCCCTAAAGTGCTGGGATTATGAGCGTGAGCCACCGCGCCTGGCCAGTGTGGCCATTTTAACAATATTTATACTTCCTATTCATGAGCATGGAATGTTTTTCTATCTGATACTGTCATTTCTAATTTCATTGAGCAGTGGTTTGTAATTCTCATTCTAGAGATCTTTCCCTTCCTTGGATAGCTGTATTCCTAAGCTATTGTGAATGTGATTGTGTTCTGTATTTGTCTCTCAGCTTCGATATTGTTAGTATATAGAAACACTACTGATTTTTGTATGTTTTGTTTCTTAAAACTTTGCTGAAGTTGTTTATCAGATCAAGGAGCTTTTGGGTAGAGACTATGGGATTTTCTAGGTATAGAATCATATTGTCTAAAACCAGGGATCATGTGCCTTTACTCTTCCTATTTGTGGCTGTCTTTTATTTCTTTCTCTTGCCTCATTGCTCCAGCCAGGACTTCCAGTACTATGTTGAACAGGAGTGGTGAGAGGGCATTCTTGTTTCATTACAGTTTTCAAGGGAATGCTTCCAGTTTTTGCCCATTCAGTATGACGTTGGCTGTGGGTTTTTCTTGGATGGCTCTTCTTATCTTGAAGTATGTTCCTTCAGTGCCTAGTTTGTTGGAGGTTTTTAACATGAAGGGATGTTGGATTTTATTGAAAGCCCTTTCTGTATCTATTAAGATAATTATGTGGTTTCCGTTTTTAGTTCTATTTGATGAATCACATTTATTGATATGCATATGTTGAACCAACATTGCATCCCAGGGATAAAGTCTGCTTAGTCATGGTGGATTCACTTTTTGATCTGCTGCTGGATTTGGTTTGCTAGTATTTTGTTGAGGATTTTTGCATCTATTTTTATCAAGGATATTCACCTGAAGTTTTTGTTGTCATCGTCATGTCTCTGCCAAGTTTTAGTATCAGGATGATGTTATCCTTATAGAATTAGTTAAGGAGAAGTCCCTCCCCCTCAATTTTTTTGAATAGTTTCAGTAGGAATGGTACTAGCTCTTCTTTATACAGCTAGTAGAATTTGGCTGTGGATCCATGTGGTTCAGGGCTCTTTCTGGTTGGTAGGCTTTTTATTACTGACTCAATTTCAGAACCATTATTGTTCCATTCAGGGATTCTCTCTTCCTGGTTCAGTCTTGGGAGTTTGTATGTTTCCAGGAATTTACCTGTTTTTTTCTGTATTTTCTAGCTTGTATGCACAGAGGTGTTCATAGTAGTCTCTGAGGGTTTTTTAATATTTCTGTGGAGTCAGTGGTACTGTCCCCTTTGTCATTTCTGATTTTGTTTATTTGGATCTTTTTTTCTTTATTAGTCTAGCTAGCAGTCTCTCTCATTCTTTCAAAGAATTAATGCAGGGATTCGTTAATCTTTTATGGTTTTTTGCATCTCAGTTTCTTTCAGGTCAGCTCTGATTTTATTTTTGTTATTTCTTGTCTTCTGCTAGCTTTGGAGTTAGTTTGCTCTTGTTTCTCTAGTCCCTCTATATGTGATGTTAGTTTGTTATCTGAGATCGGATTTTTATGTGGACCTTTAGAGCTTGTAAATTTCCCTCTTAACACTGCTTTAGCTGTGTCCCATAGAATCTAGTATGTTGTATCTTTAGTCCCATAGTTTCAAAGAATTTCTTGATTTCTGCCTTAATTTCATGGTTTACGCAAATGCCATTCAGGAGCAGGTTGTTTAATTTCCATGTAATTATATGGTTTTCAGCAATTTTCTTAGTATTGATTTCAATTTTTATTGTACTGTGGTCCAAGAGTGTGGTTGGCATGATTTCAGTTTTTTTGAATTTGTAGAGGATTGTTTTATGTCCATTCGTGTGGTTGTTTTTATATTATGTGCCATGTGGTAATGAGAAGAATGTATATTCTATTGTTTTGGGTTGAAGAGTTCTGTAGATGTCTATTCAGTTCATTTGGTCAAGTGTTGAGTTCAGGTCCTGAACATCTCCATTAATTTTCTACCTCAGTGATCTGGCTAATACTGGCAGTCGGGTGTTGAAGTCTCCCACTATTATTTTATGGACATCGAAGTCTCTTTGTAGGTCTCTGAGAACTTGTTTTATGAATCTGGGTGCCCCTGTGTTGGGTGCATATATATTTAGGATAGTTAGGTCTTCCTGTTGCATTGAATCCTTTACCATTATATACTGACCTTGTCTTTTTTGATATTTGTTGGTATAAAGTCTGTTTTGTCTGAAATTAGAATAGCAATCTTGCTTTTTTTCAGTGTTCCATTTGGTTGGTAGATTTTTCTCCATCCCTTTATTTTGACCGCATGGGTGTCTTTGCATGTGAGCCTGGTCTCTTAAAGACGCCTACTGTTTAGTCTTGCTTCTTTATGCAGCTTGCCAGTTTGCACCTTTTAATTAGGACATTTAATCCATTTACATTCAAGGTTAATATTGATATGTACATGATCCTTCATTGTGTTGTTAGCTGGTTACTTTGCAGACTTAATTGTGTAGTTGCTTTATAGTGTCACTGTTCTGTGTACTTAATTGTGTTTTTGTAGTGGCTGATAACGTTCTTTCCTTTCCAGATTTAGCAGTCCTTTCAGGACCTCTTGTAAGGCAGGTCTGGTAGTAATGAATTCTCTTACCATTTGCTTGTCTGAAAAGGATCTTATTTGTCCTGTGCTTATGTAGCTTAGTTTGACTAGATAGCCACTTCTCGCTTGGAATAGGCTCCAATCTCTTTTGGCTTGCCAGATTTCTGCTGAAAGGTCTTCTGTTGGCCTCATGGGGTTCCCTTTGTAGGTGGGTGACCTGCCTATTCTCTCCAGCTGCCTTTAACATTTTTTCTTTCATTCCAACCTTGGAGAATCTGATGATTATGTATCTTGGGAATGGTCCTCTTGTGTAGTATTTTGCAGGGGTTCTCTGCATTTCCTGAATTTGAATGTTGGCCTCTTTAGTGTGGGTGGGGAAGTTTTCATGGACGGTATCCTGAAATCTGGTTTCTAAGTTGCTTGCTTTCTCCTCATCATTTTTAGGGATGCCAGTGCATCGTGGATTTAGTCTCTTTACATAGTATTTCTCAGAGGCTTTGTTCATTCTTTTTTATTCTTTTTAAAAAAAATTTTGGCTAGGCACGGTGGCTCATGCCTATAATCCTAGCACTTTGGGAGGCCAAGGCAGGATCACCTGAGGTCAGAAGTTCAAGACCAACCTGGCCAACGTGGTGAAACCCCATCTCTACTAAAAATACAAAACATTAGCCGGTCATCGTGGTGGGCACCTATAATCCCAGCTACTCAGGAGGCTGAGGCAGGAGAATCTCTTGAACCCAGGAGGCGGAGGTTGCAGTGAGCCGAGATTGTGCCATTGCACTCCATCCTGGCAACAAGAGCAAAACTCCATCTCAGAAAAGAAAAAAAAAATTTCGTCTTAGTTCAGAGAACCAGTCTTCAAGCTCTGAGATTCTTTCCTCAGCTTGGTCTATTCTGCTATTAATATTTGGGATTGCATTATGAAAGTCTCATAGTGTGTTTTTCAACTCTCTGATCAGTTTGGTTCCTTCTTACAATGGCCATTTCATCAATCAGCTCCTGTATTATTTTATGGTAATCATTAGATTCCTTGGATTGGGTTTTTGCTTTCTTCTGAATCTTGATGACCTTCATTTCTATATTATGAATTCTTTCTGTCATTTCAGCCATTCCAACCTGTTTAAGAACCTTTGTTGGGTAACTAATGTGGTCAGTGGGAGGAAAGAAGACGCTGTGGCTTTCTGAGTTGCCAGAGTTCTTGCACTGGTTCTTTCTCACCTGTGTGGGCTGATGTTCCTTCAACCATGGTATAATTTGTACAGTCGGTTGACTTTTCGGGATGTTTTTAGAGTCTGAGGCATTGTACAAGGTTTTTATTTGTAGCTGACTTATTGTCCTTAGTTTCACAGGAGGGTTTATTAACTAAGTATTTTCAGTATTGAAGTTTGCACTCTGATTGAAGTTTGATGCCTCTTAAGCGTAATGGCCAGTAGGTAAGCTCTTGCTCAGCCACGTGGCTCTTCTGTATTTCCTCACTATTGCAGCTGCGCTCCCTGTCAGTGCTCTGAAAGTGTGGGCTCCTCTCCTACTCAAGTGCTGGCTGCAGATCTTGGCTTGGCACTCCCAGGCTGCAGCCCTGGGGTGAGCTAAGGCTTTATGTTCTCTCCCAGCTTGGAGGCAGCAGGGGAAGGGACCTTGGCAGTGGCTATGGCAGAGGGCCTTTCCCTTGTCTCTGGGGTCCACCCCAGAGAAATAGCAGAACTGCTGCCAGTCGGTGTGATTGGCTTTGAGTAGGACAGCTGCGTTGTGGGCTCAAGCTGGGGGGATCCTGGGGGAGACAGACTGACCTCTTCTTAGGGCCGTGGCAGCTTGCTGGAGGTGTGGTTAAAGCACTCTGGGTCTTTGCTCCTTTCCTAGTACAAGGGTAGCAAGGGCAGTACCACTGCAGTGGCAGTGGCAGAGGGGCTTTCGGTTGCCTCTGGGAGCTCCACTGCAGAAACACAGATCCGTTGCTACTGGGATGTTCAGCCAGGGGGTGGGGCAGCTGTGCTGCTGGCCTGAGCCGGGAGCCCCACCGGGTGAAAGGTGGGGTGCCGAGGGCTCACAGGGAGGACATGGGCTCCTCTCTGTATGGTGAGTATGTCATGCTAGCAGTGCAAGTAAAGCCCTCGGCCTCTCTGTTTCTTCTCTACTCCAAGGGCAGCAGGGGCAGAACTCTAAATGAAGTTTTCATTTGCATAGTTTCAGATTTCGGCCTTCACTTGTTTGGTATAGAAAATATTGATACATTTTGAATTTCACCTGATTTTACCTTCCTTCATTTCCCCTCTTGACAGTTTTTCTAAAATCTCTGAAATGACAATGATCAGAGTAAGAGCAGTAGACACAATAAATAGTGAAAATAAATTATAAATAAATTAACAGCATATTGGTTCTTTTCCCTAGCACTGCAGTCCTGTGTGTTTAATAACAACAAATATTTTCAATTATATAACTTAATATAGAGAATTTTACTTGTTAACCTCACTTTGTTAGCACACAAATGAAGAATATGGAGTAAGATCTATTTTTACAGAAGCAGAGTAGTAAAGTAGAAAGAGTCCACTGCAGCAGAATCTCTGATGCCACTTAATTAGCTGTGCCACTGAACTATAGGTTCCTCATTTGTGAAAACAAAACAATGGACCAGTGAGCTCTGAGGTACCCTCAAGACCAAAATATGTGGCTCTATGATGATGGTTTCCTTTTTTTCCTTCTTTTTGCTACTGAGAACAAAGTATTCAAACTAAGGAAGATTATGAGTAGTCCTACTTAGTTGGATACTGAGTTAGTAGAATTTGATATCCAAATTCTTCTAATATTAGAATTCTTTTGAGTTACATTAATAAACTCTATTGAGTACTAATAGAATAAACCTCTTTATTAGAAATTTTGGATAATTTGCAAAGGAAATAGAAACTATGGTTCTGTTCATAACCTCTAAAAATTAAACTAGGAAGGAATGAACAAACAGAAAAATCTGTACCTGTGAATATGAGGAATATGAGATTTCACTTTTTCTTACAAGCAAGTCAAAGTGATTTTTTTTTTAGCTTTGTTAATTCTTTCAGCAAATGTTTACTGAATATCTGCCATGTGCCAGGAGTAGTGCCAGGCACAGGACTCCCGCTGTCCTTGAAGAGTTTTGTGGGATGTGCTGACCTACAGGTACATACAGTGAGCTATGGAATTTTTAAGGCAAACAATTTGATTTAAAAGAAATGTTTAGTTCAATAAAGGTAACATACGCAGAAATTAGCTTAAGACACAAGCTTGGTCTTTAGCCTTTGAAGAATAAACTGGGTCAGTAGTGGTGGAATATGAAATCAAGGGAAATACTATGTGCTTTCTATGTAGATGAATATATGCACCAGCATTTGGATGTTTAATGGTATTCCTCTTACAGCCGTTGGACATACCAGATGGTCGAAGAGCTCCACTTCCTGCTCATTACCGGAGCAGTAGTACTCGCAGCATTGACACTCAGACTCCTTCTGTCCAGGAGCGCAGCAGTAGCTGCAGCAGTCATTCACCCTGTGTCTCCCCTTTTTGTCCCCCGGAATCCCAGGATGGTAGCCCTTGCTCAACAGAAGATTTGCTCTATGATCGTGATAAAGGTAAGAATGGAATTGTCCACTTAGAGGGTTTGTTATGGGCCTTGCTCATTATACCTTGTCTTAGACCATTACATCTTTTTTTTTTTCTTTTGTTCAATGGTGACATTGTCAAAGATTGGTTAATCTAGGTTTCTTTGTTCATTGGTTTCACATACCCCCTTTTTTGTGACTCTAACAAACATCTTCCATAAATGTGTCAGAGAAGCACAGCGCATGGTTCTAACAGCTAATAAAAGCCATAAAATGGAGTGTGTACAACTTCATATAATGCATAGGTCTTTTCCTTGGTATTGTCCAGAGCGGATGATGGTTATGGTAAAGTTAGCTTTACCATGGTAAAATCAAGCTTAAAGTTAGATTTTATAATCAGATTGATTTGCGAGGAAATAATTTCTAAAAATTCTGTTGGAAAAAGTGAGTGTATTTTTAACCAAGTTTATAAAGCTTAGTGAGTATCTACAGGACATCAGGGATTTTATTACAGTATGTAGATAAATTATTAACTGTTGAGAACATCTGGGATTCTTATTTCCTATCAAGCCCAACTGTCTCTCCATGTTCTTCTATCCTTGTGTCTACTTGTGTACACCAACACTTCCTGGGTTCTTTCTGTTTCTAGCCCCCTAAGACCTAGCTACAGAAGGCCATATAGACTGCCCAGCTTCTTCCTTCCTAGCTACTTACAAAGAAACACTGAACTTATGTTTATAACAAATTTACTGCTTGTCACCATAGAGAAATAGGTCAATGGCAACAAAATTGTAAAACTATAAAAAGTTAGACAGTTTATAAAATCTTGCAGGAGTTTTATGGTCCTTGTTCTGAATTGACCCCATCCCCTATGATTGATGTATTGTTGTAAGTAAAATGCCCAGATCATAAGTGCTCAGCCAAATGAATTTTTACATATGTGTGTGCTCCTGAAACCACTACCTACATCAAGTATAGATATAGAAGATTTTTATTATCCCACAAGGCTCCCTTGCGCCTCTTCCCAAATAGTATCCTTCCTCTCTCCACTTGAAAGTAACCACTTTGCTGACTTCCATCACTATAATTTAATTTCCCCTGTTACTAGACTTCATAGAAATTGAATAATGTGGTATATATTCTTTGTGTCTGACTTCTTTTACTTATCATTATACCTAACTCTTCTAAGATATTAAATGGAAGCTACTTTGGACTTTGTCCTCTGCTTTTCTATGTGGGTAGATCTTAACAGTTCTCCCCTTTCTTGTTGACTCTTTCATTACTGAAGGCCTTGTGGACCCCCTTCCTTCATTAAGGATATATTGAATATAGTACCAGGTGTCTTTGGCTTCATGTGGGAAGTCTCCATTTCTTAAAATGTCAGACTAGGAAATTTTCATTTCACTGAAGCATCCTGTGAGAATAAACACCTTTAATCACTTCCTCACAACCTTTTAATGTGGATGTTTCACAATAAAACATCTTGCTTCCAGTAGGAGTGTTTGTTTTGAAGGTAAATGGAAATGATAAATAATAGTAACTTGTTTTAGGTTGTGTAGGTGGTAAATGGAGAAACCAGTCTGTCTTCATTCCAAACTCATATTCTTTGTTATTAAGTACAGTTCAGGTTGGCCACTTTTGCTACTTAACACTTGTAACTGGGGTAAAAATGAAAAGTAGAAATAATGGTGGCAGTACAGCTAGACAGTTAAGTCTGGAGTTCTGTTTTCTTTAATACTGTGGATAATTGAGAGATGCTGAACCAAAAAGAAAATGTATTGAGAGGATGGTAAATGAGTTCCATTTTGGTTAACTGGTTGTGAGATTGCCTTCAGGGCCTCCCAGTGAATAGTGGTTTCTGTAGTTCACAGGTCTTCACTTACATCATAAGTTTCAAACAGTGCATGTTCTTTAATATATAATAGCTCTTTTTCCTAAATATGTATAATCAATTTTATTATGAGAAAGTATAATCATGTCACTCTCCTGCCAGGGTCTTTTGCAGGAGACATTGTAACATAGAAGTTAAGAGTAGCACTGGCTTTGGGACCATAGGAATGCATTTGAATCCTGGGAAGTTTTGGACATAAAACCTGCATTAATTCTCAAAGATTTAATGAATGGTAGCTGCTGCTATAAAAATAGTCACCTTTATTATCACCTGTTAGTTTCCCTAATCCTTTCAGGAAAAAAATATCAATTATTTAATACACAGCTTAGTCAAAACCTCCTTCCCTAGCCTAGTTTGTGTCAATTATCTAATAAGATGAATTCTGACCATTTCTTAGACAGATTAGACCTTTTCCTAAGTTTGCCTTTGTTGGTATATTTTCCTCTGTGCCCTTTTGTTCCTACATACCAGATATCTGCCTGCATAACACTAATTTCTTTATATTCATCCTCTTGTTTTTTTAATATGTAAAATGAGAACATTGGTTCAGATCATCTCTAAAGCTAAGGTTTTTTTCCTAATAGTTAAAAAATATTTCTTAGTAAAATAGGGTAATAATACCTTCCTCATATCATTGAGGTTACATGAGATACAGCAAAATGCTTAGCACAACTTATTGGCACATGGCAAACAATTAGTGGTGATGAATGTTGCTTAATAGTGATTTTTTTAAAATCTCTTTAGAAGTTATATAGAATGGGTTTCAGAATTATTTAAGACATTTCTCTGTTTTCTACAAGATCACCTCAGTTTGAGAATTAAAGCCCCATGACATCAGTTTCATAATATCTACCATATTTAGCTGAGAGGCATTACTTTGTGATTAAGATCAAGTTGATGTTACTACTCCCTGGAAAACTGTGTAGCTCTCTGTTATGCAATACAAGGTTTCTAGTTCTCAAATCAAATACCATCTTTATAAAGAGAAAATTAAAATAGCACCTATCCCTTTTATATATGTAACTATGCACACATGGGTGTGTTAGAATTGGGAGTTGAGGTTTATGTATTTCAACTGAGGTTATACTTCTAGTTTATTTAAGGAACACTTATTGAGCATTTATTGTATGTCAGATATTGTACTGGAGAGTGGAGAAATAGAGATGAATAATATGTGATATCTGTCTTTAAGGAATTTATAGTGTAGTAGGGAGTAATTAGGAATGTAAACAAATAATACACTATTATAAATACACTATTATACAGTGATGTTTAGAATACTAAAAGTGTAAAGGAGGGAGTTGTCCAGAAATTTTACAATTTCTGGAACTAATATATGTCATTCAAACTGTAGGCTAGTTTCTGACTCATTTCTTCTTTATGTAAGGCCCAAACTCTGGGTTTTGCTATTTTTAAATATACTAATTATTTCTGTGATCCCAGCATTTTGGGAGGTCAAGGCGGGCAGCTCACTTGAGGTCAGGAGTTAAAGACCAGCCTGGCCAACATAGTGAAACCCCATCTCTACTAAAAATACAAAAAGTTAGCCAGGTATGGTGGCATGCAGCTGCAGTCTCAGCTAATTAGGAGGCTGAGACAAGAGGATCACTTGAACTTGGGAGGTGGAGGTTGCAGCAAGCCGAGATCACGTCACTGCATTCCAGCCTGGGCAACAGAGCAAGAGTCCATCTCAAAAAAAAGATACTAATTCTTTCCTATAATGTATGTTTTCTACAATAAATCATAAATTGGTGTTTTTTTATTAAAGACATAAAAGGAAGCTGTATAGCTTTCCTAGAGCTTTTCATCATTATGAAAACAGAATTAATTATATAATTTTGAAGTCAACTAGGATTGATTTGATTTGGAGTACCTACATGTTCTGCAGTTGCTGTGGAGAGATTTGTTCTGTGGTAGAGTAACTAGTTCAGACATCTGTAGGAGCCTGGATAGACATGGAGGGGAGAGGGATAGCTGCAGTGAATAGCTGCCCTAATGAGGGATGTGCTGGTGAGCTGATTATTTTTCTAGTATTCATTTTATATACGTATTCTTTTTCTGACTTTGCTAACATCATTTTTGTGTGTTCCTAACATCTATTCGCTATGAATTATGTATAATTTGAGACCTATAAAATAATTTTGTATTATCAATGTGCATCGCACATTGGTTTTTTTCTTTGCCTGTATGGATTGTAATGCCAGGACAAAAACACTCTGTCAAGAAAGTTTCAGCTATTGAGAGACTTGTTTCAAGTGAATGGGTTTTTGGCGTTTCGTTTTGATTTTTTACTAGATTTTTCCAGTGACCTAAAGACTGAAGGGAACTTGGTCACACTGGTCACATGTGTAAAGTTTCCAGGCTAACTAATAGCCATAGGAACTACTACTGCTCTTCTCTGTGTGGAGAATTCAGAGATCCAGAATGAGAGCACTCATCTTGACATCATCAGAATGTACCCTAAGAGGTAGCTTACATTCTTCCACATTATCATACCCAAAATAAAGTTCAAGGAACAAAAATAGCCATTTATATAATACAGATGGCAGTGTCGGAATATTAGTTTCTTAAGCAGCTCTGCCAGCGTTGCTTGATGGTAGCCAAACTGGTGCTGGTTAAGCCACAAAATGTAGACTTCAGTCAGCTACTTATCATTGATCTTTGGCACAGTTCACTTATGCAGTTGTTATAAAATTCTGCAATTTTGCAGGATATTGTGGAAACATTGATTATTGTAATCATGAAATAAATGGAATCGTTTGATTCAGGCCAACTACTGAGTAGAGTTGTATTCCAAGAGTCCCTAAATTGATTACTTGTAATTTAAGCTATATTTTCCTGAAGGAACAGTGTACACTATGTGGATAGAGTTTCCCAAGCCAATGCATGTAAGCCTATTTAACTCATTCTGTGATTTAACTCATAAATATTCGTATTGCTAAACTTTTAGTGTTAGGACTGAGCCTCCCTTGGTCTTAGGAGAAAAAAATCAAAAGTATTAATTTTGTCTTTTCAGGGTCTAGGGTTGACCCTAGGCAGACTTTTGAAACAGACTGCTTTTGGCATCTTCCTATTCCTTTATACGTATATTTTAACATACTTGTATTTATCTCTAGGGCTCTATTTCTTGACCTTTTTTTGACCTATGCCCTTACTATGCTTTAACCCTCTATTTTTTAGATAAATCAGCCAAGATTTTATGGCACTTTTCTTTTGGGGGTTTATATTGTAAAAGCAGATATGATGGGTATACTACTTAGAGCTACCACACCTTGAAAAATCACTGCTTTTGAATCTGGATGCGTTTATCAAAATATTCTCTTTATATGGTTCTAGGGCGCTTATTATCCTAGAAGGACCTTTTGGTGGTAAAATTACAGCATATAAAGATATTATTCCAACAAAGGAGTTAGTCTATAGGTTAAAATTGATCTATTCTAGAATTCATGTCCCTAAGGTCATTTTACCTGTCTTTCAAGAAAGCATCTTAAGATACATACATTCCAGTGTCTAACAGCACAAAATAAGTATCCAGTAAATGCTATTGTCCCTTCTTTCTGAAAATGTTAACAATTTTAACAATGGCAGATACTGTGATAGCTATGAGTTATTATTCATAATTCAAAACTACTTAAATATACAACTCAGTTTTAGCCATTATTGCTCAGTTTAGAATATAAGCAAATCAAAAATTTTTAACATACCTGCATATATATTTCACTTAATTGTTTGTCTATTTACCATGATGTTAGCTCCAACAAGAGTAAATGACCATATTTTGGTCAGTGCTTTACTCTCAGTGAATAAACTAGTGCCTAGCATGGTGTAGTGCTTAATGGAGATTTTTTTGAGTATTAAGACCTTTGTTCATGATATGCCCATTTTTTAATGGATATATTTTTATAGCTATGTTGAAAATGTGTTTTCTTTGAATTGTTAAATTTTATGTTAGGCTTTTAATGTTTATGAAGAGTGTGTGATACTCTTCATAAAAATAAAAACCAAGAATAATTAAACTAAGATTATGCTAAATTTAGTGATAGGCTTTTGGTGGGAAAGAGGCCATGAAGTTCAAATTTGCTGTAGAAATAAGGGGAAAGGAAGTAACTGCTAAAACTGTCTCATCTTCCCCTTCTTGCTGTTGGTCATGCTGGTAACCAGTAAACTCTGATAGTAACTGGGTGGAAAATAATAGGGTGTCACCTAGGTTCAAGGAAAAGGGAATCTGTTGGAGTTTTCCTCCCCCATTATCTTTTGTGTTCCTCTGAGAAGAAGTATCAACTCATAGGGACCACTCCTTACACTATCTCCTTGTGACACTGACAGAAGGCAGACCCAGTGAAGCTCTTGCCTGAGCCATAAGCCTTTAATTAGAAACAGAATATTAGATTGGAAGGAACTTGATCATCTAGTCAGCTCCTCACATCTCTAATAAAGACACTGGAGTTGAGATAGACCCAAACTTAGTGAAACAGATAGCATAACAATAATCAACATTGACTCTGGGGCAGCCAGGTTGAAGCCCTGCTCTGCCACTTAATTATGTGCCCTTGGACAAGCTACTCAATCGATCTGTATCTCCTCACCTATAAATTGGGGATAGCTGCCTCATAGAATTGTTATGATGATTAAATGTGTTCAGGTGATTTTATTATTTCCAATATTACCACAGTCCTTTAGGTAGGTGACATTGTCATTATTAAAGGTGCCAGAATCTGAGGCTTAGAGAAATTAAGTAACCTAGCTAATTTCCATGGCGTCTACATGCCAACAAAGATATTTTGTAGGAACCTGATTACATCTTGCTGCCTTTACAGAAGGAATAGTCTTTATATGGGCATTCAGCTGTGAAAGGGCCCGGTGTGTACAGAACAGTAAGAAATTGAACGGTTGGGGTATAGGGGTGAATGGTGGAGAGAAGAAAACAGTGAGACTGGAGATTTAGAAAGTCCACTATTTAGGCCGGGCGCGGTGGCTCACGCCTGTAATCCCAGCACTTTGGGAGGCCAAGGCAGGCGGATAACGAGGTCAGGAAATCGAGACCATCCTGGCTAACACGGTGAAACCCCGTCTCTACTAAAAATACAAAAAATGAGCCGGGCGTGGTGGCGGGCACCTGTAGTCCCAGCTACTCGGGAGGCTGAGGCAGGAGAATGGCATGAACCGAGATCACACCACTGCACTCCAGCCTGGGCGACAGTGCGAGACTCCGTCTTAAAAAAAAAAAAAAAAAAAAAAGGCCACTATTTCATAAGAGTCCTTGTAAGCTTTGCTAAGAGAAAGAAAAGCCAAGGAAAGATCTTTTGTCAGCTAAAGGATAGGACCAGCTTCACATTTAAGAACTATAACTCACGTTGACACAGAAGTAGAGGCAGTAGGAGGGCAAGATAAGTAGCCATGTTAATAGTCTAGTCTTGTGATTTTCAAACTTGATTTATTCCACACCCTTGTCAGCAATTTTGAATCTGTACCCCTAATAAAAGTTTATATATTTCTAGGTGATATATGTATATAATTCATTCTACAAACTGTTAAAGTTTACCTGTTTTAAAAGATTAAAAGTGTGTATAAATGTAGAAATAAATATATTTAATTGCTCTATTTTTTCCTACATGTCAGCAGATTGTTTCATGCCTCTTAACTGGGAGACCACAGGTATAGGGCAAAGATGAGGAGACATAGCAAGGTCAGAGGAACTGGAGGAAAGGGGCTGAAGAAGAGTCAACAGCATTTGGTGGCCAATTAGATGTATGAGGTGAGGGAGGAGGAGGAGATCAGGATAACAGCAAAGTTCTTATGAAGTTCCAGCATGGGAGATGTGGAAACGATTACCATCATTAATAAGGTAGTAAATATTGGAGATGGAACAGACTTTAAGGTGACTATAATGATTAAAATTCCATGTTGGTTTCTGCCTAAAGACATTATAATACCATTTTCCTTTAGCAAGAATTTTTTTAAAAAGAGGAAATGCTAAATTTTATCTAATGTTGCACTGACAACATTGATAGCATTTTGCTTTGCCTTCTCTTTTGAACATAGTAAATGCTTAGTAAATATTTAAGTGAATATTTAAAATTGTAGTGAAATTTTTATTAGAAGTTCCAATGTTCTTTTTTCCCTAAATGTTAGTAAAGTTTACTTGTTTTTAAAGATAAAAGGTAAATATGTATAATGCACTGATTTTTTTTCCCCACACGTCAGCAGATTGTTTCATGCCTCTCTTATTGGGAGACCACAATTGTAGGATACCTTAGGAGCAGTTTAACATGAACAATATGTTCTGTTTTTTGTTTTTTTAAAAACTGATGTTCCTGGAAATTTTGCCATTTAATAAACTTGACAATATAAAAATTAAGATTGTATTACAGTGATTTTCTTGAGATACCTACTTTTGCGCAAGATACAAAATATTTTGTGCAATCCAATTTATTTTGTTTAGTTTTACCATTAAGATTTACAATCATTATTTTAGTCTATAAATTGCTTTGAGGACACTTTTCAGTTTTAACTGTC
This sequence comes from Homo sapiens, assembly GCF_000001405.40. Classification (NCBI taxonomy): domain Eukaryota; kingdom Metazoa; phylum Chordata; class Mammalia; order Primates; family Hominidae; genus Homo; species Homo sapiens. The sequence goes on from NC_000007.14 coordinate 8,079,509, forward strand.
ATATCAGATTAAAAGTGAGTTGTTTTCATTTTTAATTGTCATATCAGATTTAGAGTGAGTAGTTAGCATATCAACAATAATGATTAGCACTGTTGTTCTGCATATCAAGATTATGTTGTGGAAGAAGCACTGTACTTATTTTGACTACACAAAAACAAAAGAGTAACTTTTTGGCTTAATTTGTAAGTTGGCATCAATTTAATTCATACTTATGGAATGAGAAGTGATTACAAAATATAAAATACCTCCTACATATAATAAATATATAATTAATGGGCCTTGGAATGTAAGTTGAGTCCCGGTTATTAAAAAATCAATCTGATTTGAAACAAAGTTTATAAATGTAAGTAATAAAAGGTTCTGATGTCATTTTTCCCCTGTACTCTTTGCTGAATGCTGATCTAAAGGAGATCTTACATATAGCTGATGTCTTGGTTCATTACAATTCTTTAGTATTCTCACAAGGTGTTAACTTTGAATTTTAGAAAAACCTTAGAGGCTCTTTGTAAAAGCCAAATGTTCTCCTTACTTCTAAGTTTCCAAGTTGGTCTTGGAGTTAACTGAAAATACAGGCTTTTTAATACAATTGGTAATACAACCTGATTCTTAAAGTTCATTGCCAAGAAATGATACACAATTGTGTGTTTCTGCTGATTTCATTAGGCCTTCAAACCCCATTATAGTTGATAATTTCATTTCCTGAAGCAAAATAAGTATATTTTAACACTAGAGTAGTAATTTTAAGTACTATTCAGTCAATCATATTTCTAATTTAATTCTCTTGGCCAATTTTATGCTTTAGTATGTCATTGAGTAAAGTGTTGGTTGAACAGTGTACTCACTTTCCTAGTCAGTTAACTACCTGGGAAAGATAGAATAAGAATTACATTCTACTGCTTATTGCTGCATATACTATGAAAGTATTTTCTTTGCATAGTAGTCTATAGAATCTGCATGCTTTAAGCATTGATTTTAATTTCAGGATGATAGATCTCTTTACACTAAAGGATGCCATCATGAACTGACAGAGTTCATGTCAGGCAGTTATAAACCTGGACAACCTGGTACTCCAGATATTATTCTGCTTCTCTCTCAGAAATAAAATTGTATCTGTATGTACCGGAGTAGAGTACACAAATCTATTGAAAACATTTCCTTTACTCTCTTCTGTCAAGAGGGAGCAGAATAGGCACTTAATTTTTGAATGGTTCATCATTTTTAATTTTCAAATTAGAAATGATGTGTTACTTTTTACTATAATAATAATATTCAGCGCTTACTGTGTTTCAGGCACTATCCTAATCCTTTTTTTGTTTGTTTTTTGGTTTTGGGGTTTTTTTTTTTTTTTTGTAGAGAGGGTTTCCCCATGTTGGCCAGGTGGTCTCGAACTCCTGGCCTCAAGTGATCCTCCCGCCTCAGCCTCCCTAAAATGTTGTGGTTACAGGCGTAAGCCACCTCGCCCAGCGCTTATCCTAATCCTTTTACATATATTTTTCACAGCTATCATGTCAGTGGTATTTTCTATTTTATAGATAAAAAAACAGAGGGATCAGACTTACCCTATGCCATGCACCTAGGCCTAGGAAGAAGTCAGGTGGCCTCACTCCAAATCAATGTTCTTAACCATTTCATGATTGGTTTTCAGATATGGCTGTGCTTCAGGTGCACGTGGGAGCTTTACCCCCCACCTCCCTACCCCAAGGCAGTGCTTGGCTCCTCCCCAGACTAATTAAATCAGAATATTTCAGGAATGAGGTCTAGACATTGATCTTTTTAAAACATCTGATAAGTCTAATGTGAAAGAAAACTCTGGTTAAGAACCACTATTCTATTATTGCTTGTTTTAGAATCAATTTTACTTAATTTAATAAAGTAATGTGATAGAGATAAAACCCATCTATAGACTTAGGGCTAGAATAGAACCATGGCAGAGATTTTACATACTACCTGCATAAATGAATCAACCTTTATATATGTGATATATATATTTTTGAGACAGGGTCTCACTGTCACCCAGGCTGAAGTTCAATGGTATGCTCAAATGTATAATTTTTTATACAAGAAGTGTGGGCCCCACAATATACCAGATATAATAAAAATCAGAAGAATTTCAGAATACTCAAGCTATACAAGTACATGTAGTTTAATGAATATTGTTTCTATATGAAATTCCAAACTTGAATAACTTCTCTAATTTTTCCAAACTCTAATTTATTATCATATGTTTAAAAGTATTTCAGAAGCTACTCGTATTTTAATGGTAAATATGGTACAGATGCATATGTGTGATCTGTTTTAAAACAGCAATCACATTTTTCCATATTCTTGATTTTCAGAGTTGAGTGATTGTTATAAATATATAAAAATGAGACTTGTGAATACAGAAAGATGTGAATAACTATATTCACTGCATTTAATTTTATTGACATTAGCTATGATGTTAAAAGTCATAAAGTAACATTTAACCTAATCTCAACTGTATTTCTAGTTATGATCCTATATTATTCTCCGGAATACCAGAATGAGAAAACTTACCATTACTGGTAAACAAGAGAGACTCAATTAAGATTACCATGAGACTTCTCATCTTGAATCTCCTGAGCAGGCATATTTATATTTATAATGTTGTTATTGAAATGTGGCTATTAAATTCAACACAGAGTTTTAAATGAATAGTAATAGTTTGTACATTCAAGTCTGGAATGAGTAGCATAGGTTGGTCATATGGGTTGTTTTTAAAGCGTGCTGCTTTGTAAGGCAAGAAAAAATATATATGTAAAATATGTCTTCTTTGTATGTTAGAACTATTAAAGAAAAATCACAGAATTTTAGAGTTCATGAATGGCAATTCCTTTAATTATATAGAAATCCAGAGAGATGATTGTACTCCAGGTAACATAGAACTATACAACAAGAGCTAAAGCCACAGACTAGATGTCTCCATTCCCTGACCCCTATTTACAGTCTCTCTGATTGCATACTTAACCTGAAGAAAAAACTCCAGATTTAGCAAATATTTGTTTATAGTCTCAAAATTTTTTTCTTACAAGCTTTGCCTTTCCAGACCATCTAACATTAAATACATATTCAATTAAAAAAAATTTTTATTGAAAAGATATAAACCCTGCCTGTCTAGGATAGCAGTATATTTGTTTACTTAACATTAATACCCCCAAAAAAAGCAGAATAATGTTTAAGAGGGTAAAACTCTGTTAAAAGATGCACTTACAGCCTCTGAAATTAGAAATATTTTAAGAAGAAAAATTACTTATTCTAGATTGTTAACAGGAAGATAATCAGTTTTGCAGATAGATTAGCCAACTCACATCTAGCCTTCAGTTATGAGAAAGTCCTTTGAAACCATCAGTAAAATACTGAAAGAATGTGATAGGCCTGATGATGTAGTAAGAAAAAGAACACAGAAGACTGTGGCCAAGATGACTTTTCTTACGTGATAATAGAGTGGATCCTTAACTACTGACATGACTGCTAATGGTATCAAGCTGATGCTAATGGTATCAGGCTGATGCTGCTTGTGCCGTGTAGGCTAAGTTATGTCCAGCAGTAATCTCCATGGAGGCATCTCATGCCATATCTACTTGTATTTTTTTATTTTTATTTTAAAAATTTCTGTGGATACATAGGTGTATATATTTATAGGGTACATGAGATGTTTTGATACACGTATGTAGTGTGAAATATGCACATCATGAAGAATGGGATGTCCATCCTCCCTACTTACTTGTATTTTTGATCTCATATATTTCCTTTGCCTGGTTTGTTGCTGTTTGCATAGTAAGGTAAGGTCAAGCCATATTTTTTATATTACACCAAATTTGAGGCCTTATTCTCATCAGATGTTTGGTTTTTTGTTTGTTTGTTTGTTTTTATTCATGGACCAGTCTTGTCTAGCCTAGCTTAAATAGGGCAGCAAATTCAGACCTCCAATCAGGCTAATTATGCTTTGTATCAACCTGAGACAATCCTATTCCTCCTCCTTCCTCCCATTTGTTCATGCAAGATGTAGGATAAATATTAAACTTAAGAAAATTCTCAAATCTGAATGGTATATGAAGAAACCAAATTTCATTCTAAGACTTAATTTTTTCCAAGAGGCTCTTTGGTGCCTACTCTGTAGGATCATACATAATAATGATAGAGAAACTGTGTGGTTTTCTAGCTTTCCCAATAGTATAACGTTATTATTTTGCAGACAGTGGTTTCCCAGCCAAAGTTATAGCCATGTTCAAATATAAGCATAAATCTGCATTCACAAGACTCTAACAAGCATTAGTGTGCATCAAGGGTCTTCTTCCTAAGCATGTGTTATAACTTCATTAATGATGATAAAACATTCTTATTAGTCAGATTTTAAATATTGGACTGTGTTCTATATTCTAAACTAAAGCAACTTATCAAAATTGTGATGAACATAATTATGATACTGTTGCTATCTTCCCAATAGATGAAAATAATACATTTCAATAGATCATGTGCTTAGTATTTTAGCAGTGGGGATAGGTTTGCATTAAGTCAGAATTTGTTTAAATAGGACTATTGTATACAAACATGTCACTGACTTTACAACTTGGCCTCTTATAAAAATAATGACACATTTTAGTGGATTTGAATTTCCAAAATCTCTTGCCAGGTAGGAAAGGGAGAAATTGCATATGGGTTTTATGGCTTTTCATGAATAGACCATTTTCTTTTTGGCCAAAAATATGAGGAAAACGTGTTAGGTAGAGATGTTTGGAGATTTTGCATGTCTTCTAGTAGCAAAAATACAAATTCTGCTGAAAAAGCCCTTTTATTATAAACATTTTAAAGGTAAAATTCTGAGCAAATTGTTTTTTATGTTGGGTAGGTAGAAAGAGACATTTTATAAACTTGTTTTTTTCCCCTGCGTACGTGTTATTCATGATATTTAGCAAAAATAACATTTCTGCTAAGAACTTTTGTAATGAACATTATTCATTTTCGTTAAATTGGTTGGGCAGTGAGAAGGCATGTAGAGAACCCTGTATCATTATAATCTGTTTTATTCTTCTGTGTGACTTAAGCACATTGCCCCATCATTTGCATTCTTGAAATACGTAATAAATAACATATTTGTTTTCAGGATTACAGCTCTGTTGTATTCAAAATGCAGTTTTCTGGACCAAAATGTCCTTTTTATGTTCTATGGTGTGGCAGATGACTGTTGCATTGCAGTTTTTATTTAGAAGAAATGTGCTACACAGGGTATAAGAAATAGCTTTGCAATAAAGGAGACTGGTCAAAGCATAGGGGCAGTAGTGGATAAATTGTGCAAAAGGCTGTTTGTTTGGAAATCAAATTTAAAAGAGCTTTCAATCACTAGTTAATATAACTGCTTTAAATTTACAGACAGTGGGAGTAGCTCACCGTTACCCAAGTATGCTTCATCTCCCAAACCAAACAACAGCTACATGTTCAAACGGGAGCCCCCAGAGGGATGTGAGCGAGTGAAGGTCTTTGAGGAAATGGCGTAAGTAATGTCTTTTTTGTCAGCTGGGATCTGCAAAGCTGTAAAGCTTTTTACTGAGACCAGTTGATTACATATGAATCAACTACTCTATCCAGCTGATAATGTGTTTCAAGAGCAAATTATGTAAAGAGAATTGAATAGGCAAGAGAGATCTTACTGAAGGAGAACTGGAGTCTGTATGTTGGAAATGTATAAGCCAGTACAAAGACACGTGGAAACTTATTCTTACTACCTGAAAAATCTATTTTTAATCATTAAGAATTGTCATTTCAGGAACTCTTAGTTTAGATGGTAACAAAGAGACTTTAGGAGCAAAGTTAATATCCGTGTGTGACTAGCTTAAAGACAGTGTACTCCACAAGCCAGAAGATTAGTCTCCTTCCCTGTAGCCTCATCTAGCTTACTTATTCAGACTTTCTGTTCACAAGGGGTTTGTTATCTTCATGAAATTTTAATATGTGTAAGTTAGAAATGAAATTAGAAAAAGAGGTTCTTGCTGTAAACACTGGGCAGAGTAGCTCAGAAGAAGACTGTGGTTCTTGGATGCCCTCATGCCTTTGTTCCAGTGCAGGTGCCTAGTGGAGGGTGCAGTGCTCTTGCAACATAGAAGGACCCATCTTGCAGGAGCTGATGGCTTAGCTCCTGGGAACGGGAGGAGAGGAAGGGCTTGTGGACCCAACCTCTGTTGAATTGACTGGCTTTTTGAGAGACCACTGAAACTCCCCTCCCCACTCCACCCCCCATCTGTGCTAGCGGAAGTCTATCTAGAAAGAAAAAAGGAGAAAGTGTTTAAATACGTGATGGACGAATGCCCCCTGCCTCTGGTATACTTTTTCTTAACAGAAAAGGTCATTCTAACTTTGCATAATCTTCAATTATAATGTAGAAGACTTTTCCACCTTCCTAAATAATTAAAAGCAAACTAATGATCTCTAAATATTTGCCTTCCTGGTTCTTTTGAAAATCCTTTTGTCTCAAATACCACTTCAGTGCTGTGTGCATGAATAGTCTGCCAGCTGACTTGTGCTATGGAAGATGTTTACCCCTCTGTATACACTTAACCCATCTCCTGCCATTTACATTTTAGCTGTTTTAGAGAACTCCAGTTAATTCAGAAAATGCTTAACTTTTTCTGTGTTCATGATTATAAATCTAATTTTGTTTTATGGTTTTAGGTCTCGTCAGCCTATCTCGGCCCCTCTCTTTTCATGTCCTGACAAAAACAAGGTTAATTTCATCCCAACCGGATCAGCTTTCTGTCCTGTAAAACTTCTAGGCCCCCTCTTACCTGCTTCTGACCTTATGCTCAAGAACTCCCCTAACTCTGGCCAGAGCTCAGCTTTGGCAACTCTGACCGTTGAGCAGCTCTCATCCCGGGTTTCCTTTACGTCTCTTTCTGATGACACCAGCACAGCGGGCTCCATGGAGGCCTCTGTCCAGCAGCCATCCCAGCAGCAGCAGCTCCTGCAGGAACTGCAGGGTGAGGACCACATCTCTGCTCAGAACTATGTGATCATCTAAAAAAGGGGGAGCTGGCCTCCACCCTATGTTCCATGGATTCGGAACAAGATTTCAGACATCTGCATGAGTGACAAACTTTCTGAACACCACCACCACCAATAATACTTATCAGCATCATAAAGTATCTCTTAAACACTGATCTTGGCAGGGACGGAACTCCTATTCAGCAGTTTTTGTGGAAAGCAGTAATGCTTGCAAAACGTGTGTGTCATTCAGCATTTTAAGTGGAGACTATGCATTTCATAGTATATTTGACAGATTAGTACTGTGTCCTGTGTTTTGTTCCAGATTCTTCAGTATAAATAAGCTCTATATCAAAAAGTTGCCTGTCTAAATAGAAAATGTCTTGCTGTGTTTTGTCCTATGGAAAATACTGTAATTCAGGATTATGTTTACAATTGATCCAGGTGTTTGTTTCTAACTTCTGTAATACATACAATGCAAAAAAAAAAAAAAAAAAATGGCCACAACAGTTGCACAGTGCCCACCCTATGGCCTAGCTTCAGGTACTTCAGTTGAAGTCTAAACTCAGGTAACTTGGAATGTATATCATATTGGGATATTAAATATTTCACAGCTAAAAAGCTAAAGAGGGAACATCACTCTTTTGCCTTTCCTTATTTTATGCATTTCCCTTTCCTCATTACATTCCACATTCTTAGAATAAGAAGTGCATTCAATCCTAGGAGAATGATAATCCTGGACATGGGTGAACATGAGGAGAACCAGCAAAATCTGTGGTGTTTGACATCACTTTGTCATGTGGTTACAAGTAAAACAACTGTTGCATTCACTGTTTCAACATGTGTACATGTGGCTTTTTTAAAAGTTCAGGTGTTGCTCAGTAAAGGACTGTGACAATGTTGCAAATAAAGTGTTCAGTACTGGACTGTACATAAACATTCCACATTGTGTGTGATGAAATTTAAAGACAAGAATGTCTAGAGTTAATTTCAAAATAAGTGAAGTGTTTGACGGAATGGTTGAGATTTTTTTGTTTATGTTAGCCATCAGGGTCATAACTGTTACCATTTTATCTAAAGACATATTTATATTTAGTTTCTCCCTTGGAAATTCTTTATTTTGCAGGTGAAAAAGTGACATACTTTTTGTTATTGTCTTCCTCAAGCAGTTTAGGTGCATGATCTTCATTTACATAGAATACTTGGGTCTCAGAATTGATGCAACATAAGCAGGTTTTTTTGGTGACTTACAAGAGCAATAGTTTGAAGCTATCTCATTTAAGCCTCTCATAATGCATAATCATGAGTAGTTTTGAAATTTGCAACCTGTGAGGTAGAGCATAAACTCAAGAAAATAGCCTTGAACTTGCAGACTTTTGACACAAGTTCTCCACAAAGTGTGAAGAGAGCCCCAGGCATTCCTGATTGGTCAATGGGAGAGCCTAACTTTCATTGTTTTCTTCAGTACAAAGAGTATCCAAAAGCTAAGTTTTTGTATTCCACTACTTTCAGTTCAATAAAACCTAGAGTTGTTTCATCTGCGCCTAAAGTGTATGGCACAATTTTCTTAAGAATTAGGGGAACCAGGTGCCTACAGTTAAAGGAACGTTTCAGTTCCTTTCATTCATTCCTGGGTTTTTCTTTTATTTTCTAAGAAGGTTGAAGAAGGATGAGTGATAGAGAAGAAAGCAACACCATTGATTTTTTTTTTTAAGAAATGATATATATATGTATATGTTTGTGTGTGTGTGTGTGTGTGTGTGTGTGTGTATTCTGTGCATTATTTTGTCATGATCTCAATTCTCTTCTTTCCACCAAAGTTTGTCGTAATATTTTCTCCTGAAGGTGCATTCTGGCTCCTTTAAATTAGTCAGTGTTATATTGTAGGAGACTGTCATGGAAAAAAGGACTCAGTTTACTTTCGTCATTTTCACAGGGGAACCTTTTAAAACAATCTTTTCAGCAGCAGATACCTTTAACCCTAATAATCTCAGGCCTTGATGAAAATACTATATTTTGTAGATTATGGTTAAAGGGGGAAAATTACTAGTTCCGTAAGATAAATATGAGCTCCATTTGACTTCTGATGTCTGGTTTAGCATTACATAATATGTTGATCTTACACTCTGCTTTTGTCCAAATAAAATGCAATAGTATCAATATCAATTTCAGAAAAATGGACTGAATATGCTTTTTTGGTGATGAAATCTCATGTACGATATTTATAGTGATGTGCTTTTATTTTCTCATGAGATACTAAATATTAATTGTGTTGTACATTTGTTCTTAGCATATATTAAAGTTTTGAACCAAATGTGTTAAAGCTTACGCTTTGCCATGTAAATTTCCCAGAAGTTGTTGAGCTCAAATGTATCCTACATCCAGCTGTAGAAATTTGTCAGAAATTGTTTAAATTTTGTATATAATTGTACTGTTTAATTCTAGCCATTGCGCTGAACAGTATTTGAGTTACCATATAATATGGCTTTACACAAGGAAATGTGTGGCTTTTGTTTTGTATTTTTTCAGTATAGAAGTTCCTGTGTCTTATTTAAATAAAGTTATTAGTAAAACTGAAATAGTTCACACATGTTTTTGGAAAGACTGGGGTTGTTGGCTCGTTACCCGACAGAGAGAAATTCAGCTCAGGTTAATGGTAGTTTTCTGTACTCATTGAGTTCCTGGCCTGCATGTCTGGAGGTGTGGGGTGTCTAACTGGATCAGATTTCTACAACCTGGCTTCCTCTTGGCATTTAACTTACACACTCTCCATCACAAGGTGAGAAGCTAGAGGTCTTAAGTTCCAAGTCTTGGTACTGTTCCCAGGTATGATCACATTAAATAGAGAAAACATTGTTCTCACATCACTTTATACCTCAGAATTTATAGAAATGAGTTTAAATTCAATGAAATCATTTCAGAGGAAGTTGCATATTTCTTGCAAGCAAAGCTGCAGCAATAAAATTTAATTTTTTACTTTTTTATTTGTTTAGATTCAGAATAAGGTGGAGAAAAGCTTTACAAAACAAAGGAGGGTTGACATCATGCCCAGTTATCCAGACATGGATATGGTCTGGTAGGCCATATGGTAGCGTGAAAGCAAGAACAAAACGCTCTGAGAAATAATTTATCAGCAGACTGTTGTTCACTTCCAAAGCGCATCTCAAAGGGATAAGATTTGATCTTTAAATTGAACTTAGAAGTGACCAGTAGCTGTGGTTTTGGCTGAGAAAAATAAAACGTAACTTTTTAAATGGTGGGATGTATCAGCTGTGTTAATGTTATTTAGGCAGGAAATTTTCTACTTTATACAACTTTAAATTTCCATTGCAAGTGAATTCATGTGAAGGAAAGTGGAATTCCTAGCCCCATCTCTTCTTGACTCGATCATATAATAAGTAATATAAACAGCCCTGAGAAGTTAATACAGTATTTGCAAAATCAGACCTCAGGAACAAGGAGGGGAATATTAGTCCTAAGAACTTGCGTGTTGTAACCCTATGCTAACCAAAAATAATCACTTGAAGTTTATTTATGAATATTGCAAACTGAGGGGTTACCCCCATCCCTCATCCTCCATCCCACAGTGTAAGGTCGCATCTAGCTCTGAAGTTTCATTGTCCCCTATATATTCTCTACCTCTCTCTGGGAAGCTTCTAACATCTACCCTGCTCTCTGATATGCACAAGTCTCGATTTCCCCCTGTACACTCACTCTTTTGGTGAACTCATGGTTCTTTGGAGCTGTAGGAGCCTTATGAAGATGGATCCCCTAATTCACATGTTGATTCAAAATCCCACTGCTGTAGTCTAGACCAACAGTTCCAATTGTTGAGAGAACATCTCCTCTCAGACTTCTTGCCTTATCTCAACCTTAGTGATTCAGTGGAATAAAGACACTGTCTTACCCCCTGTTGGACCAAGCCAGCTCTCCTTTACATTCTTATTTCCAAAGATAAGGACTGTTTCTTAAATCTCTCAGATTTGCTTTTCTGTCTTCCTGTTATCTCACCACTGAATTTTGAGGTACAGCGACATATAATGGTGGCAGATCAGAGAGCCATGACAACTTAGATGAATTTCTGTGAAGACTGTAATAGCAAGGAACCAAAGTCACTGCGTATGTTAGACTTCCACTAACCTCTGTAGCTATAAGACCAGGGCCAAACAACTGTTCCTGGGCCAAATCCAGCCTGCTGACTGTGTAAATAAAGTGTTCCTGAACAAAGCCACACTCATTTGCTTATGGAGTGCCTATGGCTATCTTGCAGCACAATGGCACGGTTAAATAGTTGCAACAGAGAATCTGGCCCACAATGCCTAAAATATTTACTCTCTGGTTCTTTGCTGACCTCTACTGTACACCAAAGAGCAGACTGGAGACTAGGTATAGGTAACTTGTATCATATATGTAGTTGGGTTTTGTTTTGTTTTGTTTTGTTTTAGTCAGAGTCTCACTCTGTCGCCCAGGCTGGAGTGCAGTGGCACAGTCTCGGCTCGCTGCAACCTCCATCTCCCGGGTTCAAATGATTCTCCTGCCTCAGCCTCCCGTGTAGCTGGGATTACAGGCACCTGCCACCATGCCGGGCTAATTTTTTGTATTTTTAGTAGAGACGAGGTTTCACCATGTTGGCCAGGCTGGTCTCGAACTCCTGACCTCGTGATCTGCCCACCTCAGCCTCCCAAAGTGCTGGGATTACAGGTATAAGCCACCGCACCTGGCCTATGTAGACGTTTTAAAATTTTTTCCATAAATTATTTTATACTCCTCCCTTCAAAAGGTAGAGCTTAATTTTCCTCTCAAGTGTGGGTTGATTTGCTTCTTATCAACAGAATATGGCAGAAGTAATGGGAAGTCACTTCTAAGAACAGGTTATAAAAAGACTGGTTTTGTCTTGGTATTTGTTCTGTTGGATCACTTAGTTTGGGAGAAGCTATATTGGGAGGATACTGAGAAAGTTTATGGCAGGACCCTATGGTGAGATTATGGAGGCCCCGACCTCCTGCCAAAAACCACAAGGAAGCAGATCCTTCAGCTCCAGCCAAGCCATGAGACACCTTGAGCCAGAAACCACCCAGATCAACTGGATACCTGCTCCAACGCCCCTGGATACCTGACCCTCAGAAACTGTGTCAAATAATAAATTTTTGTTATTTTAAGGTGACAAGTTTTGGGGTAACTTGTTACATAGGGTTAGAGAACTAATACAACAGCCCTCTCTTTCCCCCATACACATCCCATTATTTCCACCATCACCTAGAGCCTTGCCATATAAGTCTGTCCTCTGGGTCCAGAAAATGAAGCTTGCTCTTTTGGAATGGATATGGCTTGGCAAAGCCCTTTTGGAGTAGGTCTAAGACAAAGCTTTTTCAACACAAAATTTTGTTTTTTGAACAGTTTGCATGTTAGAAAAGGATTTCCTATGGAAAATGATGCAAGAAGAAGCAGGATAGGTGATCAGTTTTTAGAGCTGAAAAGAATAAAAGGCAGAATTTCACAAGAAAAGGAGGAATATCTCCACCTCATATGTCTTTTAGTTAACAGGAGGCTGGTAACCCACTGGTTCTAAAATGACCTATCTCATTCCATATGCATCTCTCAAAGAGGAGAGTAAAAATAATTTTTTTTCCCAAAGGCTTTAGATCAGTTTGGTGATGGGCTCTCTCCTGCATAACAGCCATTTTCTTAACACTAAGAATTTGAACAATTAGATCATTTTTCCTCCAAAAGATTTCCTGATAACAAAGAGTAGATCCCCTTTCGCACACCACAAATTCTACTCAAGTCTTGGCATCTGCTTTAAGCATGACATTGATGACATTCCTTTAGTCAGAACTGGGCATGACTCTGCAGGCAATGGATGTTATTTCAAACCACTGTCTGGAAGCAAGATGGATAAAGGTGGGTACAGGGCTCCACAAGGACCTGCCAAGTGAGGAGAAGCGTTCATGCTGGAAAAGCAAACCTTTTCTTAGGTTTTCTTTTCCACTTTGTAAACCAAACAGGTTACACTCAAGGGACAGGACTTAACAAAGGACACTGCTCATGTACTGCAATAAACAGCCTGCCATTTTTCATACGGACTGGAACTGAGGCAGACAGGGTAATCTTAGCTGACTCTCTGTTCACCTGCCCATTTGATTCCAGACAAACACCTGGTGTGGTTTCTCTCTCCTGCTTCCCTTCCCAGTGACCACTCTGCAGCAAGCCCCGGGAGCTTTGTATGAAGAAGCTATTCCTTTTCAAATCCCTAACCCTTTCTCCTGATTGCTCCTCCAAATCTGTGGCCAGTGCAGCAAGTCCTGTGAAGACAGTAAGGAGGTAGCAGGAGGAGGCTAAAAATGGTGACATCAAGGAATAGAAACTGGTGAGTGAGGGAAGTAGAGTGTTGAGGTGAGCTTTCATAATATTCATACACCTTTTGAAATATTTGATTTTTTTTTCTTAAAATGAGCATGTATTCTTTTTGTAATGTTTGGTAACATTACAATGTAAAAGACAAGGAAACAACATGACCATTCTGCAGAACTGTGAACGGCCCTGTTCCCTCTGCTGGTTCCAACTTCTACCCATCAATTTATCATCAAATTTGCAGCAGAAAGGGGATACAACTTAGCTGACTGCTTTATATATGACTAATATGAAAGAAAGGTGAAATTCAAAGGAAGTGATTAACATGAAAATAAATGTTTAACCTCACTAGTAATCAAAGCAACGCAAATTAAAACAACAATTTGGCAGGGCGCGGTGGCTCATGCCTGTAATCCCAACACTTTGGGAGGCCAAGGTGGGCAAACCACTTGAGGTCAGGAGTTCGAGATCAGTCTGGCCAACATGGTGAAACCCCTTCTCTACTAAGAATACCAAAATTAGCTGGATGTGGTGGCTCACGCCTGTAGTCCCAGCTACTCGGGAGGCCAAGGCAGAAGAACTGCTTGAACCCGGGAGGTGGAGGTTGCAGTGAGCCGAGATTATGCCATTGCACTCCAGCCTGAGCAAAAGAGTGAGACTCCCTCTCAAGAAAACAAACAAAAACCAACAATTTATTGCTTTTAAATTGGCAAAGAACAAAAAAGGAAGGATAATAGTGCTAAAGGAGGCTGGAGATATACTCTTACATCTGCTATTAGAAGGATACGCTGGCACATGCTTTCTGAACAAGTGGGGCAGCATTTATGCCAAGTGACAAAACAGCAGGTCACAAACCAGTGTGATCCGTTTGTTTTATAAAAATACATATATGTGTGGGGAAAAAAAGGATGAATGTAAACAAAAATAGTAGTGTTAGTAGTGGTTACGGGCCAAGTGCAGTAGCTCACTCCAGGAGTTCTAGCTACTTGGGAGGCGGAGGCAGGAGGACCGCTTGAGCTGAATTTAAGGCTACACTCCAGCTTGGGTAACAGAGTGAGACCGTGTCTCAAAAAAAAAAAAAAAAAAGTGCTTATCCTGGGTAGATAATTTTTTAACATTTGCTTTTCTGGTTTTCTAAGTATTCTCTAGCAGCACCCGTTAACCTTGTAATTTGAGAGAACATGCATGTTAATCTCTAAATATCAAAGGACAGAAAAAGTAGGGAGGGAAAAAAAGGAAATGGCAGCAAGACAATTTTGTTTTAATGAAAATGACTGACATCTCTTAAAATCCAGGTGGCTTAAGAGAAGGCTTGGTAGAGTGAACTTTGGCTCGGTGGGAGAATCCTAACATGGCATAGTTTCAAGCTTTATCTCCCTTCCCAGAAAGAAAACGGTCCCAACATCCTCACACTGTAAGGTAAGCAGGATTAAATTATGTAAGCCTGGAATGGGGTTGAAAGTGTCTTTGGGAAAGGCTGCAGTTTTAGTTCAAAGGACAGAGCATTTTCTGGAGTGTGGCCCATACTGACAGCCTTCCACTCAGTTGAGATGGGTTTGTGAAGTGGGCACCAGGGAGTCCAGAAATCTGTCCTCTCATTTATGCTTCTTGAACTGCCTCATCTAGAAAATTAAAAGGGACTCCTTGCCGCAAGCAAACTGTAGATGCCTGAAAATGGCCAAGAGATCATTCTTGACTGTGATTCATATTTCTAAGCACACTTTTTATTGCAGGTTGTTTGGTCTGGTTTTACAGAGATTGCCTAATGTAGGTACATGTGAGATGGACATTGATCCTTTGGTCATAGAGGTGGTTACCTTAGAATTTGTATTAGGAAGATTGGGAATACCAGCATTGAACAGGCTGCACAGGATACTTTGAGAATTACCAGTGTACAAGACCTTGGGCCCCTTTTATTAATCTTTGCATCTGTAGCTGGCATAAGCCAGGGGCACGGAAAGCAACTTGGGGATTCAGACATTTGCTTATTTCTCCTTCTTGGCAAGTTTCTGCCCCTTATTCACTAGGTCTCTAAGAACTAGGTCTCAGCACAGTGCCATCTGTGATTTTGGTCAGCTGGCAGGCCGCACATATGTCCCTCCCACATTCTGGAACCCACAGGCAGTGTGGCATAAGAAGAAATGGTCCAGACGTTGGCATCAGACAAGGGTGAGGGATGGCTCTGTGAGCGTGGGAGTCTTTATTTATAAAATGGAGATAATTATTCCATTCCTTAATTAGAATAATAAAATGGAAAGGGTCGGCAAGCTCTCTGGTGTCTTCCACACAGACACTAATTCTTTTGTATCAGGACTCCATCTTTATGACTTCCTTGTACCTTAATTACCTCCCAAAGGCCCTATTTGCAAATACAATCACACGGCAGTGGGGGGTGGGGGGCTGGGGGGTGGGGGGGTTGGGGGTGGGTTATGGCTTCAACATATGAATTTGGTGGGGGTGGGGTGGGGTAAACAATTTAGTCCATAGCAAATAGGTACTTCCATTAGGTAGATGCAAATTAAAACCACAATGAGATATCACTTCACACCCACTAGGAAGGCCATAATCAAAAAGACAGATAATTACAAGTGTTGGTGAGGACGTGGAGAAATTGGAGCCCTCGTGCATTTCTGGTGGAAGTGTAAAATGGTGTACTTGCTTTGGAAAACTGTCTGGCAATTCTGCAAAAGGTTAAATGTAGAGTAACCATATGACCAAGCAATTCAATTCCTAGGTGTATACTCAAGAAAGTAAAAAGACTTAAAGATGGTTGAGGGCAGATTCAAGATGGCCAAATAGGAACAGCTCCAGTCTGCAGCTCCCAGCCAGATCGACAACAGAAGGCAGGTGATTTCTGCATTTCCAACTGAGGTACCCAGTCCATCTCATAGGGACTGGTTGGACAGTGGGTGCAGCCCATGGAAGGTGAGCCAAAGCAGGGTGAGGTGTCACCTCACCTTGGAAGCAGAAGGGGTTGGGGAATTTTCTCTTCTACCCAAGGGAAGCCATGAGGGTCTGAGCCTGAGGAACTCCGGCACAGATACCGCACCTGTCCCACAGTCTTCACAACCCACAAACCAGGAGATCCCCTCCAGTGTTTACACTACCAGGGCCCTGGGTTTTAAGCACAAAACTGGGTGGCCAACTGGGCAGACACCGAACTAGCTGCAGGAGCTCTTTTTTTTTTTTGAGATGGAGTCTTGCTCTTGTCTCCCAGGCTGGAGTACAATGGCACGATCTCAGCTCACTACAACCTCTGCCTCCCGGGTTCAAGCAATTCTCCTGCCTCAGCCTCCCAAGTAGCTGGGAATACAGGTGCCCACCACCACACCTGGCTAATTTTTGTATTTTTAGTAGAGACAGGGTTTTGCCATGTTGGCCAGGCTCGTTTTCAACTCCTGACCTCAGGAGATCCACCCGCATCAGCCTCCCAAAGTGCTGGGATCACAGGCGTGAGCCACCATGCCCAGCCTCTTTTTTTTTTTTCTATACCCCAGTGGCGCCTGGAATGCCAGTGAGACAGAACTATTCACTCCCCTGGAAAGGGGTGCTGAAGCCAGGGAGCCAAGTGGTCTGCACCTCAGCGGGTCCCACCCCCATGGAACCCAGGAAACTAAGATCCACTGGCTTGAAATTCTCACTGCCAGCACAGCAGCAATCTGAGATTCACCTGGGACTTTTGAGCTTGGTGCAAGGAGGGGTGTCCACCATTGCTAAGGCTTGAGTAGGTAGTTTTTAAGGTTACAGTGTAAACAAAGCTGCTGGGAAGTTCAAACTGGGTGGAGCCCACTGCAGCTCAGCAAGGCTGCTATGGCCAGTCTGCCAGATTTCTCCTCTCTAGACAGGACATCTCTGTGAAAAAGGCAGCAGCCCCAGTCAGGGGCTTATAGCAGACTTAAACGTCCCTGCCTGAAGTCTCTGAAGAGAGAAGCAGACCTCCCAGCACAGCATTCGAGCTCTGCTAAGGGTCAGACTGCCTCCTCAAGTGGGTCCCTGACCCCCGTGTATACTAACTGGGAGACCCCTCGTACAGGAGAGCTCTGGCTGGCATTGGGCAGGTGCCCCTCTGGGTTGAAGCTTCCAGAGGAAAGAACAGTCAGCAATCTTTGCTGCTTTGCAGCCTCCGCTGATGATACCCAGGCAAGCAGGATGGGGAGTGGACCTCCAGCAAACTCCAGCAGACTGGCAGCAGAGGGGCCTGACTGTTAGAAGGAAAAGAAACAAACAGAAAGGACTAGCACATCCACTGAAAGACCCCATCCAAAGGTCACCAACATCAAAGACCAAAGGTAGATAAATCCACAAAGATGGGGAAAAATCAGTGCAAAAAGCCTAAAAATTCCAAAAACCAGAATGCCTCTCCTCCTCCAAAGGCTCACAACTCCCTGCCAGCAAGGGAACAAAACTGGATGGAGAATGAGTGTGATGAACTGACAGAAGTAGGCTTCAGAAGGTGGGTAATAACAAACTCCTCCAAGCTAAAGGAGCATGTTCTAACCCAATGCAAGGAAGCTAAGAACCTTGAAGAAAGGTTAGTTGAATTGCTAACTAGAATAACCAATGTAGAGAAGAACATAAATGACCTGATGGAGCTGAAAAACACAGCACAATAACTTCGTGAAGAATACACAAGTATCAACAGCCAAATCGATCAAGCAGAAGAAAGGATAAAAGTGAGTGAAGATCAACTTAATGAAATAAAGAGCGAAGAAAAGATTAGAGAAAAAAGAATAAAAAGGAACGAACAAAGCCTCCAAGAAATATGAGACTATGTGAAAAGACCAAATGTACATTTGACTGGTGTATCTGAAAGTGACAGGGAGAATGGAACCAAGTTGGAAAACATTCTTCAGGATATTATCCAGGAGAACTTCCCCAAGCTAGCAAGACAGGCCAACATTCAAATTCAGGAAATACAGAGAACACCACAAAGATACTCCTTGAGAAGAGCGACCCCAAGACACATAATTGTCAGATTCACCAAGGTTGAAATGAAGGAAAAAATGTTAAGGGCAGCCAGAGAGAAAGGTCAGGTTACCCACAAAGGGAAGCCCATCAGACTAACAGCAGATCTCTCTGCAGAAATCCTACAAGCCAGAAGAGTGAGGGCCAATATTCAATGTTCTCAAAGAAAAGAATTTTCAACCCAGAATTTCATATCCAGCCAAACTAAGCTTCATAAGTGAAGGAGAAATAAAGTCCTTTACAGACAAACAAATGCTGAGAGATTTTGTCACCACCAGACATGCCTTACAAGAGCTCCTGAAGGAAGCACTAAACATGGAAAGGAACAATCAGTACCAGCCACTGCAAAAACATACCAAATTGTAAAGAACATCAACATTATGAAGAAACTGCATTAACTAATGGGCAAAACAACCAGCTAGCATCAAAATGACAGAATCAAATTCACACATAACAATATTAACCTTAAATGTAAACAGGCTAAATGCCCCAATTAAAAGACACAGACTGGCAAATTGGATAGAGTCAAGACCCATCAGTGTGCTGTATTCAGGAGACCCATCTCACATGCAAAGACACACATAGGCTCAAAATAAAGGGATGGAGGAATATTTACCAAGCAAATGGAAAGAAAAAAAAAAAACAGGAGTTGCAATAAGAAACAGACTTTAAACCAACAAAGATCAAAAGAGACAAAGAAGGGCATTACGTAATAGTAAAGGGATCAATACAATGAGAAAAGTTAACTATTTTAAATATATATGCACCCTATACAGGAGCACCCAGATTCATAAAGTTCTTAGAGACCTACAAAGAGAGTTGGACTCCCACACAATAATAGTGGGAGACTTTGACACCCAACTGTCAATATTAGACAGATCAACAAGCCAGAAAATTAGCAAGGATATTCAGGACTTGAACTCAGCTCTGGCCCAAGCAGACCTAACAGACATCTACAGAACTCTCCACCCCAAACAAACAGAATAATACATTCTTCTCAGCACCTCATCACACTTATTCTAAAATTGGCCACATAATTGGAAGTAAAACACTCATCAGCAAATGCAGAAGAATGGAAATCATAACAAACACTCTCTCAGACCACAAGAGTAATCAAATTAGAACTCAGGATTAAGAAACTCATTCAAAATCGCACAGCTACATGGAAACTGAACAACCTGCTCCTGAATGACTACTGGGTAAATAATGAAATGAAGGCAGAAATAAAGATGTTCTTTGAAACCAATAAAATTGAAGACACAATGTACCAGAATCTGTGGGATGCATTTAAAGCAGTGTTTAGAGGGACATTTATAGCACTAAATGCCCACAAGAGAAAGGAGGAAAGATCTAAAATTGACACCCTAACATCAAAATGAAAACAACTAGAGAAGCAACAGCAAACAAATTCAAAAGCTAGCAGAAGACATGAAATAACTTAGATCAGAGCAGAACTGAAGGAGATAGAGACATGAAAAACCCTTCAAAAAAAAAAAATCAATAAATCCAGGACCTGCTTTTTGAAAAAAGTCAACAAAATAGACAGTCTGCTAGCCAGACCAATAAAGAAGAAAAGATCTAAGACCCAAATAGAATAGAATGAAATACACACAATAAAAAGTGATATAGGGAATATCATCCCTGATCCCACAGAAATACAAACTACCATCTATAAGCACCTCTATGCAAATAAACTAGAAAATCTAGAAGAAATAGATAAATTTCTGGACACATACACCCCCCACGTCTAAGCCAGGAAGAAGTCGAATCCCTGAATAAACCAAAAACAAGTTCTGAAATTGAGGCAGTTATTAATAGCCTAACAACCAAAAAAAGTCCAGGGCCAGATGGATTCACAGCCAAATTCTACCAGAGGTACAAAGAAGAGCTGGTACCATTCCTTCTGAAAGGATTCCAATCAATAGAAAAAGAGGGACTCCTCCCTAACTCATTTTATGAAGCCAGCATCATCCTGATACCAAAACCTGGCAGAGATACAACAAAAAAAGAAAATTTCAGGCCAATATCCCTGTTGAACATCGATGTGAAAATCCTCAATAAAAGACTGGCAAACTAAATCCAGCAGCACATCAAAAAGTTTATCTATCCATCACTATCAAGTTGGCTTCATCCCTGGGATGCAAGTCTGGTTCAACATATGCAAATCAATTAATGTAATTCATCACATAAACAGAACCAATGACAAAAACCACATGATTATCTCAATAGATACAGAAAAGGTATTTGATAAAATGTAACAGCCCTTCATGCTAAAAACTCTCAATAAACTAGGTATTGATGGGATGTATCTCAAAATAATAAGAGCTATTTATGACAGACCCACAGCCATTATACTGAATGGGCAAAAACTGGAAGCATTCCCTTTGAAAACTGGCACAAGACAGGGATGCCCTCTCACCACACCTACTCAACATAGCATTGGAAGTTCTGGCCAGGGCAATCAGGCAAGATATATATAAAGCAATAAAGGGTATTCAAATAGGAAGAGAGGATGTCAAATTGTCTCTGTTTGCAGATGACATGATTGTATGTTTAGAAAACCCCATCGTTTCAACCCAAAATCTCCTTAAGCTGATAAGCAAGTTCAGCAAAGTCTCAGGATACAAAATCAATGTGCAAAATTACAAGCATTCCTATGCACTAATTACAGACAGAGAGCCAAATCATGAGTGAACTCCCATTCACGATTGCTACTAAGAGAATAAAATACCTAGGAATCCAACTTACAAGAGAAGTGAAGGACCTCTTCAAGGAGAACTACAAACCACTGCTCAAGGAAATAAGAGAGGACACAAACAAATGGAAAATCATTCCATGCTCATGGATCAGCAGAATCAATATCATGAAAATGGCCATACTGCCCAAAGTAATTTATAGATTCAATGCTATCCCCATCAACCAACCACTGACTTTCTTCACAGAACTGGAAAAAAACTACTTTAAACTTCATATGGAACCAAAAAAGAGCCCGCATAACCAAGACAATCCTGGGCAAGAAGAACAAAGCTGGAGGCATCACACTACCTGACTTCAAACTATACTACAAGGCTAGAGCAACCAAAACAGCATGGTACTACTACCAAAACGGATATATAGACCAATGGAACAGAACAGAGGCCTCAGAAATAACACCACACATCTACAACCATCTGATCTTTGACAAACCTGACACACACAAGCAACGGGGAAAAGATTCCCTATTTAATAAAAGGTGTTGGAAAAAACTGGATAGCCATATGCAGAAAACTGAAACTTCCTTACACCTTATACAAAAATCAACTCAAGATGGATCAAAGACTTAAACATAAGACCTAGGGCCATAAAAATCCTAGAAGAAAACCTGGGCAATACCATTCAGGACATAGGCATGGGCAAGGACTTCATGTCAAAAACACCAAAAGCAATGGCAACAAAAGCCAAAATTGACAAATGGGATCTAATTAAACTAAAGAGCTTCTGCACAGCAAAAGAAACTATCATCAGAGTGAACAGGTAACCTACAGAATGGGAGAAAATTTTTGCAATCTATCCATCTGACAAAGGGCTAATATCTAGAATCTACAAATAACTTAAACAAATTTACAAGAAAAAAACAACCCACCCCATCAAAAAATGGGCAAAGGATATGAACAGACACTTCTCAAAACAAGACATTTATGCAACCAACAGACATATGAAAAAATGCTCATCAACACGGGTCATTAGAGAAATGCATATCAAAACCACAATGAGATACTATCTCCTGCCAGTTAGAATGGCGATCATTAAAAAGTCAGGAAACAACAGATGCTGGAGAGGTTGTAGAAAAATACGAACGCTTTTACACTGCTGGTGGGAGTGTCAATGAGTTCAACCACTTCAGAAGACAGTGTGGTGGTTCCTCAAGGATCTGGAACTAGAAATACCGTTTGACTCAGCACTCCCATTACTGGGCATATACCCAAGGATTATAAATCATTCTACGATAAAGACACATGCACACGTATGTTTATTGCATCACTATTCACAATAGCAAAGACTTGGAACCAACCTAAATGTCCATCAATGATAGACTGGATAAAGAAAATGTGGCACATATACACCATGCAATACTATGCAGTCATAAAAAAGGATGAGTTCATGTCCTTTGAAGGGACATGGATGAAGCTGGAAACTATCGAACTATCACAGGATCAGAAAACCAAATACCGCACGTTATCACTCATAAGTAGGAGCTGAACAATGAGAACACATGTACACAGGGAG
Organism: Homo sapiens; assembly: GCF_000001405.40. Lineage (NCBI taxonomy): Eukaryota > Metazoa > Chordata > Mammalia > Primates > Hominidae > Homo > Homo sapiens. The sequence goes on from NC_000007.14 coordinate 8,102,084, forward strand.
GGGAGCATCACACACCAAGGCCTGTCGGCGGGTGGGGGGCTAGGAGAGGGATAGCATTAGGAGAAATACCTAATGTAGGTGACGGGTTGATGGGTGCAGCTAACCAACATGGCACGTGTGTAACTGTGTAACAAAGCTGCCCATTCTGTACATGTAACCCAGAACTTAAAGTATAATAAAAAAAATTTTAAGGAAGAAAAAAAAATCCACTTTTTTTTTTTTTTTTTGAGACGGCTGGAGTGCAGTGGTACAATCTCGGCTCACTGCAATCTCCGCCTCCTGGTTTCACGCCATTCTCCTGCCTCAGCCTCCCGAGTAGCTGGGACTACAGGCACCCGCCACCATGCCCGGCTATTTTTTTTTGTATTTTTATTAGAGATGGGGTTTCACCATGTTAGCCAGGATGGTCTGGATCTCCTGACCTCGTGATCTGCCCGCCTCAGCCTTCCAAAGTGCTGGGATTACAGGCGTGAGCCACCACGCCTGGCCCATCTACATTGTTTTTTTACAAAAAATTTAAACATCATTCTTATCAGTTCTGAGAATAGTGGGAGCCCTCAAAAAAAAAAAAAAAAAAAAAAAGAAAAAGAAAAGAAAAGAAAAACATGTCTACATGAAAACCAAGTACACAAACGTTCATAGCAGCATTGTTCATAAGAGTCCAAAACTGGAAACAATCCAAATGTTCATCAGTTGATGACTGCATAAATCAAACGTGTCCTATCCATACAATTGTTATTCAGGAATAAAAAGGAATGAAGTACTGATACCTGCTCCACATGAACAAGCCTTTAAAACATTATGCTAAGTGAAAGAGGCCAGTCACAAAAGACTGCATACTCTATAATCCCATTGATATGAAATGTCCATTATAGGAAAATTTGCAGAGACAGAAAGTAGTAGTGGTTGCCAGGGTCTGGGGTAGGCCGAAATAGGGAGTCACTACTACTAAGTACAGGCTTTCTTTTGGGAGTAATAAAAAATGTTCTGGAATTAGATAATGGTAATCGTTGCGTGACCTTGTAAATGTACTAAAAGCTACTGAATCATATATTTAAAATGGTAAATTGTATGGTATGTGACATGTATTTTAATTTAAAAATTCACGTATGCAAAGAACCTATGCCATAGTATAGTTAAGAGGATGAAATGGGCTTATGTGCACATAGCACAGTGCCTGGCATAGAGTGACTACTCCATGGACGATAGCTATTTTTATTTTTCATAGTCCATGTAGGGTCAGAGTGAAGAGAATAAACACACAAAGGTGGTTCATAGCTCAAGGCCATTCATCCAACAGGAGGGTGGCCTACTTCCTTCCTCTGTTGTCTTCTGTTTTCCTGGGTTTCAGTACGTGAAGCAGTCAGGCGCCCGACCACACTGATAGCCTGTGGAAGAGGCCAGAGTACGCGCACTCGTTCTCCACCGTCTTCCCTGCTCATCGTGATCCTGTGTGCCCAGTTCTCCTCACCCTGCCCAGACCTGAAAAGCAAGGCCAGGACACCAGGGGACTTCAGGCTTCAGCCTTGGCCCATTCCTGTCTTTTCAAGGTGCTTTCTCTTTAACCACACACCTGGTTTGTAGGGCAGAACAACTAGGCTGCTTGGCTCTGGGCTTCTCACCACAGGTTCACCGTATAAGCCCAAGATCAAGAAGCAAGGGCTCCCTTCAGGGCTGCTTCTGAGGGCAGGTAACAGATGGGTGGCAAACTACAGGTAGCCAGAGCTTAGGCTAGTGTGTTGTCAGGATTTGTTCTCTCCCTGCTAGTTTCTTCCTTTCTAGCTGGAGCCAAAGTCACAGCTTACCCAGGATGGCAGCTCCTATTGGCAAGACAAAAATACACCTCAGTTTGACTGCTGAGGCCCACACATGGCCAACTCAACCATTAAGGGCAAAGAGAGAGGACCAAGAACAAAATGGCTGTTACTTCCCTGTGGTGGGAAAAGGGACCAGAGGAACCTCCAGCTTGCCTACACGTTTGCTGTGGGCTGTTAGCGCTCACGAGAGGTTTCAAGCACTTTGGTGCCCTCTGCATCAGCACGAATCCTATGATGAGCACAACTTTTCTGACTTGTTTTGTTCATCCACCCCTTTGAGAATATATGGAAGCTCTAGACCATTTCATCAAGTTAAATATCCACACAGGTGCATTTTCACAAAAACTTACATATCTCAGAGGATGTACAGAACCATTGAGGCCAAGGGCTCCATAAATCTCTGGACCAGAATAGATTTTATTGGAACAGATCAGAAAGAGTTTATAACCCAGCCATCAGAAATAGCAGTGAATTTCTGGAAGAGAATAGAAGCAAGGGTGTTGACCTGTCAAGTGCTGTGTATGTCCTAGGAATGCCTTCTGTTTGTGCCATGGACGGAAGACAGCGGAGGAAACTCTCAGTGCAGAACAGATCCTTGGGGTGCCACAGTTCAGGGCCAGATATATCAGCAAGAAGACACCTCATACCAAAATGAATAAACAGTTCCCTGTGAAGTAGCTGGGGAAGGAAGCCCCAGAGGGCTGATAGATAACCCAGCCTGGGCTGAGGAGGCATTCCTAAAATTAGTTGCCTCCTCACTGGCTGGCAGAGGGGGGCCTGGGTGTAAGACCCTGTCTTAGTCTGTTGTCACATTTCTATAAGGAAATACCCAAGACTGGGTAATTTATAAAGAAATGAGGTTTAATTGACTCACAGTTCCTCATGGCTGGGGAGGCCTCAGGAAACTTACAATCACGGGGTAAGGCACCCCTTCTCACAAGGCAGCAGGAGAGAGAATGAGTGCCAGCAGGGGAAATGCCAGATGCTTATAAAACCCTCAGATCTTGTGAGCACTCACTATCACGAGAACAGCATGGGGGGAACTGCCCCATGATTCAATTAGCTCTTACTAGGTCCCTCCCACCACATGTGGGGATTATGGGGATTAGAACTCAAGATGAGATTTGGGTGGGGACACAGCCAAACCATATCAGACCCTATCTGGTTTTAGAGGTTTCCTGAACAGTTCCAATCAGCTCTCTACTAGGACAAATCATGAAGAAGTTGCCCCCGCTAATAATGAAGCCAGTACTTACCCAACACTGAGATGGTGTCAGCAGCTGCATCCCAACAATAGAAGAAGGGACATCCAGTGGTCTGGATATTCTACTGAAATGCTCCAAGAGTGACAGGCAATAGGAGCAGGGTGGGGGATGGGGAGGAAGACATTGATAGAGAGAGCTTGAGGGGCTCCAGAATTTGACTGAGTTTAATCATGTTGTCAAGGAGAATGCCTGCTGGTTCAATGACTGTGGCTAAATGCTTGAGAACTCTAGAGCAAGCACTGGGACATGTTGAGAACAGTGGGGCCCTCAGATCAGTTTCTTACCAATTATCTGAGGATAGGACATAGGTGTTTATTTTGTATTAAGGCCAAAGATTCTATTTTCAGAGGAGAGTACAAAGAGGTGCAACTGATCAAAGAAACTTAGAAAAACAGCTGAAGTGGAGCCATGCTCAGTCCTCACGGGGCAGTCCTTACAGAGATTCAGTACCCTGGGCTGGTTGCATGGTCCACCCACTCTAGCTGTGCACCCCTCTGCTGCGTGTCTTTTCTGTGCCCCTCTGCCCTGGTTGCTCAGAGTTTCCTATTACTCAAGACTCCTATTGCTCTATAGTAACTGTGCATTGCTTTTGCTTGTATTGGTATCTCTTGCTTTTATAATTGACAAACTGTTTCATATTATCACCAGCTAAGAATCAAATGAGAGTGAATATGATAAACTCTGAGTCTTCTCTTGGTGAAAAGTGATTCCGCAAGGCCTACCACATTGGCTTCCTGAGCTAGTCAGCTGAATGCAGGAGGTCCTGTGGCTCACAGCATGACTTCCTTGCCCAAGACTGTTTCTCCTGGCAAAATGGGAGCCAGGATTGCTTAGAAGTGGGGGACGTGGAAATGACAGTCATCTTGAATTTTGGTCTTTTTGATACATTCACTTGGAATGTTTCCAACCTCCTGTAAGAAGACAACTGCCAGTATTACAAGACCCTTGTCTACTAAAAGCAAAACTGCACACAAAGAAAACCCTACTGTAAAGCATGTTTTCTTATGTCCTTTGAACAAAGTAGACTTTATTGTTGCAAAGTTTGCAACCCATTTTAAAGACCAACAAACTTTATAAGAGACGATAGTGCTAAAGAAATAGTCCATCTATCTGATCCCACTTCCCAGGCCCTTGCAATTAGGCAGGGCCATGTGACTGGTTCTGGGTACTGGAGGGAAGAGAAGTGTGCCCTTTCTAGGATGAAGGATAAAACAGCCAATGCGTGACTCTCAGCTCAGCTTTTCCTTGTGGCTGTGATGGAGAGATTCCTGTGTTTTATGTGATCAGCTGTAGGCCAGTGATGCCTTTGTCAGCTTGAGCACCTGAGGATTTGTGGGGCAAAGCCCACTGAGCTACATTGGAAATAGAGCACAAAAGGGAAAGGAAGCAAACTTCCTCGTTTTAAATCACAGGGATGTTGTGGTGATTTTGCAAAACATAACCTGGCCTGTCCTGACTTTACACAGAAGGATGCTGGCAGATCCCCGCAGGAGGACACCGGTGTGAGTAGCACTGTCTACCTTGGAGCTGGAGGCCAATGAGACTCCCTAATCTACAACTCAGGCTGAGTCTCTCAGCTTCAGGTAACGTCTCAGAGGTTTGTCTTCCCCGTACTGCTGGCATCCCTCTGTGGAGGACCCAGAATCCAATTTCTTTTTTCTTTTTTTTAGCATCATACTTATTGAGGCATAATTTACACACAGTACAATTTCCTCTTTTTAGTGTACACCTGTATGGGTTTTGACAGATGCATACAGTCATGGAACCACCAACACAATCAGTCTACAAAGAGTTCCATTATCCCCCCGCCAAATTCTCTTGTGTCCCTTTGGAATGAACTCTTCCTCTAACCTCAGACTTGGGCAACCACTGATCTGATATCTGTCCTTATAAGGTTTTTTCCAAAATGTCATACATATGGAATCACACAATATGAAGGTTTTTTTTTTTTTTTTTTTTTTTTTTTTTTTTGAGACGGAGTCTCGCTCTGTTGCCCAGGCTGGAGTGCAGTGACGCGATCTCGGCTCACTGCAAGCTCCGCCTCCCGGGTTCACGCCATTCTCCTGCCTCAGCCTCCCAAGTAGCTGGGACTACAGGCACCGGCCACCATGCCCGGCCATTTTTTTGTATTTTTAGTAGAGACAGGGTTTCACCGTGTTAGCCAGGATGGTCTCCATCTCCTGACCTCGTGATCCACCTGCCTCGGCCTCCCAAAGTGCCGGGATTACAGGCGTGAGCCACCACGCCTGGCCGCCATTTTTTTTTTAATCAGCTTTTTATTTTAGAATACTTTGAGACTTACGGAGAAGTTGCAAAGATAGCACAAAGTTCCCATATGCCCTTTACCCTGCTTCCCATATTGTTCACGTTACATAGCTTGTCAAAATTAAGAAATTAACATTTCTACAATACTATTATACTATATCTACTATTATACTATACTATACTATATAAAGCATAGACTTTATTTGGATTCACCAGTTTTTCCAATGACGTCCTTTTTCTGTTTTGGGATCTAATCCAGGGTCCCCCAACTTAGCATTAAGTTGCTGTGGCTCTTTAGTTTCCTCCCATCTGTGGTTTCTCAGTGTTTTCTTGTTTTTCATGACCTGGACACTTTTGAAAGATACGTATCAGGTATTTTGTGGAATGCCTCTCAATTTGGGTTTGTTTGATATGTTCTGACACCAAGCTTGGGGTTATGAATTTGGGGAGAGAATAGCACAGAGGCTAAGTGCCCGTCCCACTGCATCATGGCAGGGGGGCACATGATATTGCTGTGGATTATCATGGTGTTGTATCAATATTCATATTTGCCACTAAATAATATTCCATTGTATGCACATACCACATCAATTGAAGGACATTTGCGTGCTCTCAGTTTGGGAGATTATGAATAAAGCCGATACACACATTCACATACAGGTTTTTGTGTGGATATCCCTTTTTCTTTCTTTCCCTTCAGGGTGAATTCCTACGTGTGGGATTGCTGGGTTGTATGGTAAGCATGTGTTTCACTTTCTGTGACACTGCCAAACTGTTTCCCCAAGTGGCTTCCATGTTAACATTCCCATCAACAATGCATGAGAATTTTAATTGCTCTGCATCCTGATTTCTGTTCATCAGTGTTCCAATTAGTGATTTGTTCTCAAGATACCTTTAAGATTGGTGAGTTTTGTAATGTGTCCCTTTTGTCTGTGGACACAAGAATCCACTTCATATCTCCTAGTCTTACCACAGAATTTTGTCCAGCTTTATGGAAAAATCAGGGGCAACTTATTCAATAGACTTTCTAGTCCTGTCCTCCTCCCTCCATTCCCATAATATTTATGAATGAGGTAATAAATGATGGGAACAGAAAAGAGAGCCTGGCATGTCTTATGCAAGGTAATTCATTAGGAGAGGGTAGGAATTTTTTTTTTTTTTTTTTTTTTAGATGGAGTCTCACTCTTGTTTCCTAGGCTGGAGTGCAATGGTGCAGTCTCAGCTCACTGCAACCTCTGCCTCCTGGGCTCGAGCGATTCTCCTGCCTCAGCCTCCCAAGTAGCTGGGATTACAGGTACACACCACCACACTTAAATAATTTTTTTGTATTTTTAGTAGAGACGGGGTTTCACCATGTTGGGCAGCTGGTCTTGAACTCCTGACCTCAGGTGATCCACTCACCTCAGCCTCCCAAAGTGCTGGGATTACAGGAGTGAGCCACCATGCCCAGCCACATTTTTAAAATTTAGTTAAAATTTCAAAAATTGACAAATAGCTGTATATATTCATGGGCTACATAGTGATGTTTCTATCCGTATAATGTATAGTGACTACATCAGGGTAATCAGCATATCCATCATCTCAAACATGTATCATTTCTTTGTATTGGGAACATTCAATATCCTCCCTCTAACTATTTTAAAGTATATGTTATTGTTAACTACAGTCAGCCTTCAGTGCTATAGAATACCAGAACTTATTCTATCTAGCTATAATTTTGTGCCCTTTAACTAATCTCTCCCTTCCCCCTTCCAACATTTTACCAAGAGAGTGAACTTTGGTGGCACATTTCTCCACACTTGAGTGTTGCTGTGTGCAAGTACAATGCTAAAGTCTTTGGGGACATCAACTCAATCCTTGTAATGACTCCAAGTGGCAGGAAATGTTACTATTCCTATTTTATGGATGAGAAAACAAGCTTGAGAGGGTATATGACTTAGAGCAGGCGGAGCCCAGTTGGCCACAGATTTGTCTGGCTTCAGAGCAAACTTACCAACTGTCCTAAATGCTTCTCCTGGATGCTATCCCCAAAGGATGTACTTAATAACTAACTTCTGAAAAATGAAAATAAAAGCAGTCATGAAGGACAGGAGTTTTCCCTGTTTTTGCATTTGAATTGCTTTCTACAACTTTTAATTTCTAGCAAACACTTAAGAAGCATTGGCCTGGGAGTCAGTCCTGGAAAACCAAGACTAGTAACCACAGGAATGTGATTACTCGTCTTGGGTTTCCTTAACTTTAAACCTAGTTCTCCACGTCCCTTTGGTCTCCTCAGTTTCTTCACATAGATATGAGCAGGTTGGAAGCAAAAAGCTCTAGGACTCCTTTTGTGATTCCATGAAGTCAGCAGGAAGGTCAGTATTCTCAATGGGCCACTAAGAGCTCCAAGCTTCCAGCCCCAGTGCCTGCTGGGGAGTGGCCTCATGGCACAGGTGGGAGGCGCCTAATAGGGGGGTTTTTGGAAACCACTGCAGTTCTTTAACAACCCTGTTTCATAGCCCTCTGGAAAGACTGGAAAAGCATTTCCTGAAAGTCCTCCACTGGAAACTAGAGTGGCTGTCTTGTATTTTCCTGCCTAACATCCATTTTTTTTTCTTTCTCTAGTAACAGCATCCCAATTCTGCCTTAAGGAACTTTCTCTATTCTTGGTCCTTGAGGGTGAGACTCCAGTGCCTGAAAAGCTGGGCACACAGCCCATTTCCCACCATGACTACTATGGTTTGAATATATCCCCCAAAGTTCATGTGTTGGAAATTTAATTGCCATTGCAACAGTATTAAGAGGTGAGGCTTTAAAGAGGTGATTAGTCCAAAAAGGAGAATCTCCACCCCTTTCCCAGAAAACTCATGAATAATCCACCCCTTGTTTAGCATATAATCAGGAAATAACTGTAAGTATACTCAGTCAAGCGGCCCATGCCACTACTCTGCCTATGACTCGAGTAGCCATTCCTTATTCCTTTACTTTCTTTTTTTTTTTTTTTCTTTTGAGATGCAGTTTTGCTCTTTCACCCAGACTGGAGTGCAGTGGAGCAATCATGGCTGACTGCAACCTGCGCCTCTCAGATTCAAGCAATTTTCCTGCCTTAGCCTCCTAAGTAGCTGGGATTACAGGTGCCCGCCACCACGCCCAACTAATTTCTTTTAGTAGAGACGGGATTTCACCACGTTGGCCAGGCTGGTCTCAAACTCCTGATCTCAGGTGATCTGCCCACCTCAGCCTCCCAAAGTGCTGGGATTACAGGCGTGAGCCACTGCGCCTGGCCTCCTTTACTTTATTAATAAACTTGTTCTCACTTTACTCTATGGACTCGCCCCAAATTCTTTCTTGTGCATGAGGTCCAAGAACCCTCTCTTGGGGTCTGGATCAGGACCCCTGCCTGGTAATAATAGCACCATGCATAAGTCCTGCCTACAGGCCCACCGACGCCTCGGGCCGCCTCTGAGTAGATCACGTCTTTTTGGGAAAAACCACTGACAAAAAGTGCTGGTTCGTCCTAAGTTGGTGCATTTCTAATTCTGAAGCTGACGGGTGCTTTTCTCACTTTCCCAGAGCTCAAAAATCAACTTGATATTTCTAAAATTACATTTTGAAGGAAATGAATCTATAAGGTACACCAAAAGCCCAAGCCAGCTGGGGAAAGAAGAAAGAAGGAAAAAGAATTTTCTCTGGCTCCCTCCCTTAAATTTGTATATTCTTTAAATCTTGGCTGGGGGACAGGGAAGGGAGCCTGGCAGACCACCCCACCTGGATTGGCAGGAAAGCTTTCCAGGAATAGGTGCTCTCTAAATCGCCCCAAAGGGTTCAGTGCAACTGTGATTCAGACCAGGCTCTCATCATGAAATGAAAATGAGGGACATGTGGGAGTGTACAGGAAGAGGGTACAGGAAGTGTACAGGAAGAGGGTAGCGTACCTTTGTCTTCTTCATACCAGGGCCAGTCCTTGGGTGGCTGAGGAGGGTCCGGGAGGTGCGTCCTGGAAGAAGCCCTTTGGCCCCGCAGGCACGCAGGCCACTTAAAAAGAGAATCAGGCAGCAGCTGCTGCTGTTTAAACTGAAAAGGTGGTCCACCGGCTTTGCATGAGCCCGGATCAAAACACGCATATCAAAAGGGATCAAGATGCTGGCCAAGTGGATTGCAGTTAGAAAAGGGAATTGAATCTTTTGTTTTTTTTAAGGTCAAGAAAATATGGAGAGAAAATGCCTCCATGTGCAATTCTTTCCTTGTCCTTGTAGTGAAGCTTGTCCAGCTACCACAATCCTCTCCCCTCCACCCAAAGAGCAACTTTTAAATGCCACCTGTTAGTATTTAAAGTAATCCATTCAAAATAGATGAACCCCACCCCCTTTGCTGTCCCACCCTTTCCCCCACCAAGCTCTCTGGGCCTCTAGCCTGGACGGAGCGAGTCAGTGCCTCGTCCCTCATCTTCTTACTGTGGTTGCAGGGTTTTCACAGCTGCAAATGTGACCCAGGATGAAACCAGGACTGAGTCCACATTCCATGAAGGGCAGCTTGACTCCCCCAATCATTAATCCATTGCTGACGAGGTGACTGCAGGGTGCTGACTGCCGGAGAGACAGAGATTTGGAGAAACAGGGAGACTGTTCTTTGGGGTCATAGCACCTAGTGGTAGAGGCAGATACATAAAGCACAGTCCTTGTGAGGCCAGGGCAAGCACCATCCTAGTGTCGCTGTATGAGATGGGAGAGAGGCAGGAAGGGAGGGCAGGAGCTGATGAAGTGTCACGGAGAGGTGAGGGCTGGTTCCTCACAGGAGACCTGGGGGATGCACTTGGAGAGGTCCTTGTGGAGCACGTCGGCTCTACAGAGGCTCTGGAAGGGTAGGTGGGGTTGTGATGGCATCCCAGCAGACGTGCACAGCAAACACACAGGCCCAGGGTGGGGAGCAGAGGCTGAGGGTACAGCAAGGCCTCCTGTGTGAGTGCGGGAAGGCTCACAAGGTGAGGCTCTGGTACTGAACTCTTCATATCCTCAAAGCCCACCAATGCCGGGTTGAGGAATCTGCTAAATGAGATTCTAACAAAGGAGACCCCCTGGATAGCTGATGGTAGGCCCGGATGTTAGTGGGGTTCCGTGAGCTCCCTAACATGCCCCATTTCACCTGCAGTGCACTTTCCTGTGCAGAGAAAGAACACCTCAACAGTCCCCCATCTCCAGTCCTCCAAGGTGTCTTGTAGGGATGGAGGTGATTGCTGTGGCCAGGTCCTTCCATGAGCCGTTCCTGTATGTGTGTGTGTGTGTGTGTTACAGGAAGTGGCCTCAGGAAGCCCTTTCAGAGCTGGGCACTGAAGCTGCAGGAGTCCAGGAGAGACCTCCTGGCCCAACCAAGCATGTGGAACCATCTCCTGGGGCAGTATTAGATTCCACCCCTACTCTGGGCCTCTAGCTCATTGAAAGGGGTATACATGGGCTTCCACAGATCTGTGTGGGCCCTCGGCAGGTCACCTGTGACATGTGTGGCAGGGAGAGGTGCCAGCTCTGGGGTCTCTAATAGTGGCAGAGTATCCGAGCTGCCCAAATGTAAAACTGTGGCTCCCACCCCTGCCTGATCCTTCAAGCCCCATGTTGTCCTTCCTGCTGCTGCCTTATCTGGGTGGTACATGGGGTCAAATCAACAGCTTCAAGGCTGCAGTTGGGACCCATCCTTCTCCTCTGTCCCACTCCCACACCCACACCCAGAGCACTTTCCTCAGCACATCACTGAGTCCCCACAACAGACTCCATAAACTTGACTTTGCATGTCAAATATCTTTTCTGTTTAATTAAAAAAAAAAAAAAAACAATGTCACAAGAGGCTTCAGAAATACATGCTTTTGAATTCCAGCCACGAAGAGGACAAAAGGAGACAGTGGTATCTGCAAATATGGCTGCTTTCCATAGTAAGGTTTGTGCCTTGGACAGAAGCCCAGCTCCTCCACCAGTGTGAGAACACGTGGCCCACCAGGCACCTGCTGTGGGGACAGTGTCTTTGGTTGGCCAGAGCTTCATCCAGAGCTCACTGGAAGGTGGCTTGGCAGGAAGAGGGAATCTTCCTACAGCCCTCCTCCAAGGGGGACAGAGGCTGGGGGCAGAGAAGGAGGCATTTAAGCTTTGCTAGCCTCCTGCTGCCTCTGAGGCTGTAGGACACGTCATTCAAACCTACCATCAAAGTAGGCTTCTGATTTCAACTTGGATCTCACGGTAGCCCAGTGACACCGCAGCAGCCATGATGGGATGTAGGCAGGAGAGCGGTGGCCTGGAAACCGCTTCTAGACAATCCTGTATTATTTAGATCCACATAGAGATACACGAAAACCCTTTATACCAAATAAGAGTAAATAATTATACCAATATAAACAGGGCCGTTGACCCTTTCATTTTATTAAAATGGCACATAATTATTAAAACAGCATACTGATCACTTTATACTTCTGCTAGCCCCCAGGGGAGCTGCTGGGGGCGGCATGTGAGTGCCCTCCCGAAGGGTACAGATTCATGCATTGAGCAATTCGTGTTCTTTATCGGTTTTCCCAACAGCATCAGGATTTGAGAGTGGGTCGAGGTCAGCGAAGAGGCTGAACCAGGCAGTCAGGTCTGAGGCAGCCTTAGCAGGTTCTGGGGAGAGAAGAGGAAACATGAGCAAACGCACCTTCCAAATGTCCACCTCTGCCATGCGGGATGCAGGCAGGTCCAGGTCATCTTCAAATGCAGATTGTTCAATCAGACAAATCCCTTTGCACTCTCTCTGACAATAGTTAGGGAATTCCAACTCCCGTGGCTGGTTGGCCAGTTAACATTTCCAAACCAGGGCCTGAAGCTCCGAGAATAACAAGCTCTTGTGTTAACAAACTCCCACCTGCACCCCAACCCCACTAATGGCCATAGCCCATGAAAAGCTGATCAAACCCTCGGGCCCTGCCACTTCACCACAACCAGGAAATAGCATAGTTATTTCAGAAATCAGACTGAATGGCTGAGGAAGCAAGGGGCTTTCCACTGTCTGCTGGAGGAATCTTTTCAAATCTGCTGGGTCAGGAGAAATATTATGGCCACTCTTTCTACCCTTCAAAGCAACAGGCCCAAAAGTGTTTGGCGCCCAGGCCTGGCTTCTCCTCTTCTCTCAGGGTCACTGCCTTCTTCAATCCTTTCCTGTTAAAAGGAGGGCCCTGACATGCCTTCCCTTCTCCCAGGGGGTCAATTCCCCTCACTCTTCAGCCTCATTGGAATACTCCCTTCTGCTCTTCCACCTAAACACCTGCCCTAACTTCCTGAATACCACGATTATACAGCCAAATTATTTTCCAGATGAGGAGAACATTTTCAAAAGAGTGCCTCATGCAAGTGATTTCTAAATAAGATGAAGGCTTTGTTTAAAATACATAAATCATTCCACATGAGAATCTAAGTTCATTGGCTTGGATGACCTGTGTTTTTTTCTTCTCCAACAGGTGGGAGTGTCAGAAACATGAAGAAAACGTCTCTGATGGGTGATCCTTCTAGCTGAGAGCAGCTAGGAATGTGCTTGCCATCTGGCTGAAAAGAGTCTCAGGAAGTGTTGGTAGGACAAGTTGCTAAAAGTGGTTAGTGAGGGGATAGAGGCAATGGGATTATATCAGTATAAACAGGGCCTTTGATCCTTTCATCAAAATGGCACTGAAATGCTAAGATAGTGTACCGATCACTTTATACTTCGGATTCCCCTCCCTCTTTTTGTAAAAAAAGTCTTTTGTAGATATTAATGTATCTACATGTAAAAATCAGTGTATCTATGATGGTGAGAAAACTATATCAAGACTAGTGGGTAATATGCAAGTTATTACTATGTAACATTGAATTCCATGTGCAATTAGCCCTGGAATCATCTGGTTTATCTTGATATGAGTATCAGAGACAAGAGAGCTCACTGTAGCTTAGTTGGAGGGGGAGTGGGCAGGGTATTGCCTAAAAAAAGGCAATACTGATTTCGCTGGATTAGCCTATCTCTATTCTTGCTAGAGGATATCAAAATATCTTAAAGACGACTCTAGTGAAAAGATGCTACATGCTTGTTTCCCCTTCCTTCTAACCTCCTCAAGGGTCTTAGGAGGTCTTCTGAGCGTTCTCATGGCCTTGCCGTGAGGAGCCAGTGATTGTGCTTTGGGACAATCCTCACATTCCCCAGGCAGCCACTGTTGGAGACAAAGCAGGTGCAACTTATTTGCATAACACTTAAAAGAGCATCATGGGAACATTTTTTGATGATAATGGAGTACACACTTCCTTCAACTTCCTGTGGCCAACAAGAGAAAGTCAGTGATACCAAAGAAACAGAGCTAGAGCTGCAAACACAGATGATATCTTCAGTCGAGCAGAGGCTCCCTTGGGGGACCTGTCCCAAAAGAGAACAGATCTCATGAACTTGAAATGACCTCTTTTGACAACTATGAAACCTGGCCCTTTCTGAGGTGCACAAATTAAATGCCCTATTTGGTGGTGGCAATGGTATTTCTGGCTAAAAATAGCAAACCTCAGAGGCCTTTCATACCTTGGTATTTCCAACCAAACTTGGGGACCACCCAACCACATGTAGATATTTGACTCATCCACATTAGGTACAATTTGATAAAGGGAATTATGAATGAGGACATTAAGCCAGAAAAAGAAGTCAGAATGTAATTTCTGGGATTATGCGAAATTCTCCATCTCATAGCCCTGTCTTGAGCCCTAGATGTTCAAATGGAAATTAGCAAAGTAGTACAGAAAACAGGTTAGGCCACTGGAAAGGAAGGCAGCTGTCATTTCAGAGAGACAAAATGCTGTTATTACCTTTCACTGCAGGGCTGTTGTCATTTGGACTGCTTGTCTTTGGTACTGGCCATGGAGTAGGAGGGGGATTGACATTGCTCTCTGACCAGTCTAATATTCAAAACCAGAGCATATCAGATCTAGTGAAGAAGTCACATGGACCCACCAGTTGATGGCCACATCCGTGGTTGCCTCCGAATAAAAATAAGACATTTCTCCCATGTTCCTCATACTGGAATACATTTGAGGAGATAGGAGATATGCATCATCGAACCCAATCCAAAAATATGAAAAATGAAGGAAAAGGTTAGATTCTGAAAAGCAAATAAACTATTGCTATGGATAAGGCATCTTTGCTTTTTAGCTTTATTTATGCCCATTTTTCTTCTCAAGCACAATCGTTTCATGATCATACCAAAGATTATCAGTGGTGCTCTAAGGAAAGCAGGTGCCTTGTTTTTCTGTCACAAATGGGGAAAAGCTTAAAAAAGAGAACACCATTAAATGAAGCAATAGGACTAGTAACTGCACATCTTCTCGACTTCCAATATGATCCAGTCCTTTTATTTTCTACACAGCTAATTTAAATTGGGAGATTTAATTAATACAGATAAGTAAATAACAGTCCAGTCCAAATATATGAGGGGGAAAGAAATCCCTCGTTAACTTTATGCCCCCCATTACAATGGTATTTGGCTTGTGATATGGTTAGGCTTTGTGTCCCCACCCAAATCTCACCTTGAACTGTAATCCCCATGATCCCCATATGTCAAGGGAGAGACTAGGTGGAGGTAACTGAATCATGGGGATGGTTTCCCCCATGCTGTTCTCCTGATAGTGAATTCTCGCGAGATCTGATGGTTTTATAAGGAGCTCTTCCCCATTTGCTCCACACTTCTCCTTCCTGGCTCCTTGTGAAGAACATACTTTGCTTCCCCTTCATCTTTGCCATGATTGTAAGTTTCCTGAGGCCTCCCCAGTCATGCTGAACTGTGAGTCACTTAAACCCCTTTCCTTTATAAATTATCCAGTCTTGGGCAGTTCTTTATATTAATAGCAGTGTGAAAACGGCCTAATACACGTTGTATAACCCAAGCACATGTTCTATAATGCCTCTTGTGCCCTGCCTGCCCCAGAATGGTTAAGAGGCATTCAGCACTCCTGTTTTAGGGACAGCAAACCTAGTTCCACACAGCATTTACTGTCTGTCCTGGAGGTTTTCACATGACTCATATTTAAAGCAGAACTTTACCATAAGCTTCTTTGCACCTCTGCTTTCATTGTATATATGCAAGTCTTACCTTCTCAATGAGACAAGGAATTTTTTGTTTTTCAATTTGCTCCAAAATACTTAACACAGCACAGGTAGATGTTTGCTGATTAAATGGATTGTTGATTCTCACTATAAAATGTAGACCATCAGAGGATGCATCACTGTTGGGATCATTGTGCTTAAAACTGTATCCTTTTATTGGCATACTCTCGTCACAGTGTTTTTTAAGGAAAAGATTTGTATCTGATAAGGCCCTCAAGAGAGATCATGTTTGGAAGGCGAGTTCAGATGGGGCAGTGAAACCAATGTCCAGAGCAAGAATGCCACTCAGTATATGGCACAAAAAGTATAGGATTTAATGCCACTTGTTCACTCTGCCATTCTAAGCTTTACACTTTCCAGTGGACTTCATTACAGAATTACACTCTATTTCTTAGTTTACACTTTCATCTCATTTCCTAGAGTCCTGAGCCCCTGGAAGCCAGGGACAATGTATTATTCATCTTTATATCCTTTAGTGCACTGAATGCTACACAATGGGTGTTCAAATATATGACTATTGCATTAACATAAACAGAGTACTCTTTTAAACCGTGAGTATACTTCTAAAGCATTATTTTAAGAGATGGCAAAGCAGTACCTGGCACATATTCATTATTACAATAATACTCACTGGTTGAAGTATTTCATTTTAGGCAAATGGCACAAACCTCACGAACTTATTTATCAAGACTAACTTAATGAAACAGGTGGCCTGCGACCTATTTACTCAATCTAGAACAATGAAAAAATACGAAGAGTTCTAAAAGGCATTGTTATTCATTGGAAAGGTGTTTGAACATATACATAACAGAATTCACAAACAATCAAAAGTACTAGGCTTGGAGGGAGCTATCTGGGACCGTGGAAATGTTCTAACACTGGACTGTGGTGAAGGCTGCACAATATAAAGTTACCCGAAATCCTTGAGCTGTTCTCTTACAGTGGGTGAAGTTTTGGCATATAAATTATACTGCAATAAAACGATTTTTTTTAATGACCAGTATTTGGTGTAATCCAGGAATAACATAACCTCCCTGGTTCCTAGAAAATTGGCCCCTGACCATTTTCCTTCTAGACCCAAATCACATAAAACAGTGGTAAATGTGGAAAGTTAAAGTTGTGGTTTCTGTGTGTGCCAAATAATGCTGATCATAGAAAAGCTGAGAAGTATTGAATCTAACTGGTAACTGTCACCCTTTCCTTCAATCCTTCTCCAACACTAAGTGTACCCAAGACCCACCTGTCCCCAGAGCCCATGCCACCTTTCCCCTAACCCCTGCAGCTTGCCCTCAGTCTCTCAGAACCATGGTTCTCACAATGTGGGCCCTCAACAGAGGCATGGGCATCACCTATGTGCTGGTTAGAAATTCAAGCTCACGAGCCAATGCTGACCTACTGAATCAGAATCCCTGCAGGTAGAGCCCGGGAAGATTTTAGCAAACTCTGAGTGATTGTTATGTAAGTAAAAGTTTGGGAAGCACTTCCTCAGTTGGTCTCTGAGGCTGCCTAGGTCACCATTTCTATTAGAATCACAGGATGCCTTTTG
This sequence comes from Homo sapiens, assembly GCF_000001405.40. NCBI lineage: Eukaryota > Metazoa > Chordata > Mammalia > Primates > Hominidae > Homo > Homo sapiens. The sequence continues at coordinate 8,119,075 of NC_000007.14, forward strand.
GGCCAGTGTGAGGACGAGAGAGGTTCTCCTAAGAATCAGAGGGGCCCACTTCAGGACCCCACACTCCCAGGCAGCTGACTCCAAATCTTGCAGCTTTATGCTCTTCGATCCTATGGTCCTCTGACAGAGTTCCTGGAGGGCCAGGAGCTTCCAGAGAGAACTTGAACTGACTCAGTAAAGCCAGGTGAGGAGTAGAAACCCCTCCCTGATCTCTGTATGCTATGTGACACAATGGGAACTCAAACAAGATCATTCTTCCCATTTCAAAAACATGCACGACACTCAGCTGCAGAGAACACTGGAAAAAAGAGGCAGACTCGAAGCATTATATTTTTCAAAGTATGACATGAACGCATTCCTAAGAGGAGGCAGAAATCAATTTATATGTCAAAATGGAACTCACTTCCCATCATGTAATGTGCGTGTTCTTGGAAAGCTATAAATAAGTGAAACATCTGTGTATCAAGTCATACTTTAAAAGAAGCCAGAGGCCGGGTGTGGTGGCTCACGTCTGTAATCCCAGCACTTTGGGAAGCCAAAGCAGGCGGATCACTTGAGGTCAGGAGTTCAAGACCAGCCCGGCCAACATGGTGAAACCCTGTCTCTACTAAAAAGACAAAAATTAGCCGGGTGTGGTGGCGGGCACCTGTAATCCTAGCTACTCAGGAGGTTGAGGCAGGAGATTCGCTTGAACCCGGGAGGCGGAGGTTGCAGTGAGCCGAGATCGTGCCACTGTACTCCAGCCTGAGTGACAGAGTAAGAATGCATCTCAAAGATAAAAGATAAATAAGAGGACCCAGGAATACAAATTATATTTTCAAACATGTGATTTAAAAGATGATAATGGCAGATTCCTTTATAGACAAAACAGATATCTTCTACTTGAATTCCTTTGTAAGTATGGATTTTTAAATATTGTTCACCTAAAACACTCATGAACCATACAATGAACACCTAGAACCCATGGATTTGGAGGCTTCTCTGCAGCAGAAGACATGAAGATGATAAAGCCTGAAGATATCCCCTCTTTGGGAGCTAAGATGACGGGAACAGTACACCTCAGAATGTTCACAAACACACACAGGGTATCATTATTCCCTTTCCCCGTAGTGTGAGGCAGAAACAACAGCCAGTTTGCCAAGTCACATTCTTTTCTCCGAACAATTATTAAGCATCAGTCTAACAATTTGACTACATGCGCATGAAGAGATAAAATAGTATGTCTATGACACCGACTATTTATGGGAAAAAAAGCAAATACTAAGCTCAGCTACAGTTCCAACCTCATTCATATCACTTTGGAAATTATTTAGGGGAAGGGTGCAATGAGGGTAATTATGGATTGAATGCCAAGCCAGATTTCAACTGTCTTGGCTTCTGTCAGGAAAAAATGCTATGTAAAGAGAACTTAGTGTTGCTAATATTCCCATAATTGCCATCAACTGTTCTCTAGCTGGTGTGAGTTGGCTGAGGCATTTTTAACATGAAGGTGTGGCTAGAAAGATGTCGGCCCATCTCAGAGTAGTTCTGTCAGGAGAGGGGTGGTGACGAGTGAGCAACCAGGGCACTGAGTTGTGAGAACAAAATGACTACCCTAGCTTTCAGGATCCTTTGATATATCAGATGTGCTACCCATTTGCAGGAAACAAATAAAATTTTATTAGAGCAAACTGCCCCCCGTTACTTACATAAAGGAAAGTCTAAATCAGCCAGGCATAAGGCCGGCCAGCTACAGCAGCAAGTGAAGCCAAAGGACACCGCCCAGAGCTGCGCTTTGCCATGGGTGTCATTTACCAGCGGGGAGAGCCGAAGCCCGGGGCTGGGAGGGGATCACAGCCTGGAGAGCTCTGCGGTGGGGCTGCCCGTGAAGGGGAGAGTGGGAACACCACAACCACGTGGCCAAGCACCATCCTGACACCCACAGTTCCCCCTCAGGCCTAGTTTCCATGCCTGCAAGGGGTAGATAAAATGTCCTGCTTCATTTGGGGGTTGTCTGGATAAAATGGGATCTTGTAGATGAAACCAGGTAGGAGACAGACTAGAGAGCAGGCCCTCAGTAAACCTAAGCTGAATCTGGGAGTTTGTAAGCTAAGCAGATGGCAGGACTAACCCCTGAGGACATCATCTTCAAGGGTTCTCATTTTAGGACTGGTTTCATCTAGTGTCATTTGTCAGTTGTCCTCTCCCCCACTTCTTGCCTGCCATCCAGCCAGCCAGCCAGCCAGCAAGTACTTTTGAACATTTACTGTATTCCAGGCACTGAGCTGTGTTCTGGAAATACGATGGTGAGCAACATAAATATGGGACCTGTTCCCATGACAACCTAGAGCAAGAGACAGAAAATGGAATCAGAATGAGATCCTGTCATTTGCAACAACCTGGATGGAACTGGAAGACATTATGTTAAGTGAACTAAGCCAGGCGCAGAAAGACAAACTTTGCATGTTCTTACTCATTTGCGGGAGCTAAAAATGAAAACAATTCAGTTCATGGAAATAGAAAGTAGAATGATGGTTACCAGAGGCTGGAAAGGGTGGTAGGGGATGGGGGTAGAAGGGATGGTTAGTGGGTACAAAAATATAGTTAGATAGAATAAGTATGATCTAGCATTCGATAGCACGACAGGGTGACTGCAGTCAACAATAATTTACAGTACATTTAAAAATAACCCAAAGAGTATAATTGGAATGTGTGTAACACCAAGAAATGAGAAATGCTTGAGGTGATGAACACCCCATTTACCCTGATGTGATTATTACACATTGCACGCCTGTATCAAAATATCTCACATACCCCATAAATACATACGTCTACTAGTCCCACAGAAATTAAAAGTTAAAATAAAGTGAATCCATTTTACAATAAGTTAAGGGGAGAGGAGTGATTAAGTACAGGTTGTCATGGACTTGGGGAGCAGAAACACCCTGACTGCTGGGGAGGGGGGACTCAAGGAAGGCTCCTCAGTGAGATGACAGTGGAGCTGAGATACTGAAGGATGAGAAGTTAGCCAGGTCAGACAAGCAGCATGCTGCACAGGTGAGTGGCATGCTCTAAGGAGAAGGGAGAGCATGTGCCAAGACCCCATGGTGGGGACAGACGGGTGCACTGAAGCTTCATATGGCTGGAGTCGGGTGTACTGATAGCACACGTGGTTCTCCAGGGAAACAATGCCACGAAGACAGCTAAGCTAAGATGTGGGAGGTGTGGACAGTGAGGAGACAGTCGTGTCCTAAAGGACCTTGGAAGCCATGCTGAGGAGTTTAGACCTTATTCAAATGGTGGAACAACTGCAACAACTAAGCAGGTCACAAGGCCTTTCTGGGGCTCCTTGATTCCCTGTTCTATAAAACAGGTGTAGAGTAGATCAAAGTTCCTTCTGGGGACTAAATTCTGCAGAGCTCCAAGACCTGCAAATGCTCCTCAGCAGGCATAGGAAGTGCTGCACTTTGGCGGAACTCCGTTCCATTGCCTTGTGCTGAGAGTGCCTGCTCTGCATTCAAACTATAAATACACCCCGTGGTCTTTTCCCTCACACGATTCTGAGGACTGGGAATGTCCATTACCTGGAGCCAGGCTAAGCCAGGAATGGCAGGAGGTGAGCACTGCTTGAGGAAAGGTGAAACGGAGATAACCCGAAGCCTGACATTATATTAGCCTTAAGTGGAAATCCATCTAAATGGCAACGGCATCTCAGAATTCGGTAAAACAAAAGAATACCGTGAAGGAACACAAGGCTGTATGTTTTTGGGAATTTGGAACAAGATTCCTAACTTCGGTTTGCAGAGTCCTAAATTAAAAGATGTCCTGATGCATTTATTTGAGCAGCTGGTAATCTTTCTAGTATCAGTGTCTACTTCTAAATTTTGGAAATGGGTACAGAATTGAGAACATCGACTCTGAGGCCTCTCAGCATTGCCTGTCTCCAGCTCAGGTGGCCTCTCTGGCTGGCTCTCCTCCTACTCACACAAAGTGGCCTTGGGAAGGCACAATTTTCTCATCACTGCATGACAGAGGAACCCCCACACCTTACCATGCTGATAACTTCAGACACTCTTAGAAATCCCAGCTAAAATTAACTTCATCTTCTCATTTTCAGCACAACTTGATTCTACATGCATTCCTTTGTTTTGGACTCTTAGAGCTTAAAGTAGGGGGAAAAGAGGATATCATTGTTCTCCAAATCCCCCTTCCTCTCCATTTCCCCAGGGGACTGGGGACAGAACGAGGAGAGAGGTGGAAGAAGAGAGGTACAAAAGCAGGGGAGAATCCAGGGAGACGACAGAGGAGGAAACTGAAGAGATGAAGGCGGAAGAGGAGGGGGAAATGTGGATTGTGAGAGGGGGTGAGGGAGCTGGGGACGCGGCCCAGAGCTTGCACTTCAGTCCTGGTGCCTGTCCCCGAGGACTCGGTGCCCCAGTCTCTCACGGAGAGCCAGGAAAACCTGAGATGCAGCAGGAGTGTGCCAGAGCGAATGTAGCTGCTGGCACACAGGAACAAGATTTCCTAGGACAATCTCAATTTCAAATATTCTATTCTGGAACATCATTCAATTGTGTGTGGACTTAGCCTCTGTCTCCCACACCCATTCCTCCTTTATGGCTCCCTAAATATCTCTATCCCTGTGTGCGACCAGGATGCCCAGGCCAGGGTGTCATTACAAGTCCTGCCCCTCTGACGGCTTCCTAAGAGAGGTCTGAAGAGCCCCACTGGGAAATCCCTTTTGCTCTCAGAGACTGTACTGAGAGGCCAGAGAAGGGAATGGTGAAAGGCATGGATTCTGGAGTCCGGCTGCCTGGGCTCAAAATCCGGCCTGCCCGTTAACAGGAGTGTGATCTTGGGCACATCACTTAACCACTGTTCCTCAGTTTCCCAGGCAATAAAACGGATAATAGTAGCTGGCTGGGAAGGGTACGGTGAGGATTAAAATTCATCCATGTGAAAAGCACACAGGACAGTTCCTGGCACGTAGCACGTGCCACACTGAGTGCTGGCTGTTATTTTACCATCTACAAATCATAGATTCACTGAATCATACAATTTTTTTTTTTTTTTTTTTTTTTTTTTGAGACGGAGTCTCGCTCTGTCGCCCAGGCTGGAGTGCAGTGGCGGGATCTCGGCTCACTGCAAGCTCCGCCTCCCGGGTTCACGCCATTCTCCTGCCTCAGCCTCCCAAGTAGCTGGGACTACAGGCACGCACCAGCATGCCCAGCTAATTTTTGTATTTTTAGTAGAGCCGGGGTTTCACCATTTTGGCCATGATGGTCTCGACCTCTTGACCTCATGATCCGCCCACCTCGGCCTCCCAAAGTGCTGGGATTACAGGCATGAGCCACCGCGCCCAGCCGTGTATAGGTAGATTTTCTAGGCCATGAATGCAGTGAAAAAAAAAAAAAAAACTCAAGCTAACATTCATCCTTTCCTCTTTTTTGAGGGGATTGAGGGTCCTAATAGAAGAATAGAAGGCAGAATTTGACATGATCAGTCATGGAAGCATAATGTCCATCCTTCATTTGTAACAAACACGTGTTGAAGGATCCCTGAACTGGGAGCACCTGCTGGGAATCTGTAAGTGTGGCAGAAGCTGAATGGTCTGCTTGTTTCAACCACTTAGGTTTGGCTTTTTTTCCTCCTATCATTTCAGTTCTGTAGGTATTCCATTGGCAGCTGTTTGCATGCAAAGGAAATAGTACAGTAGTTACAAGTTAACTCAACATTTTTTTTTTTTTCAGAGACAGAGTCTCCCTCACTCTGTCACCCAGACTGGAGTGTAGTGGCGTGATCTCAGCTCACTGCAACCTCTACCTCCTGGATTCAAATGATTCTCCTGCCTCAGCCTCCCGAGTAGCTGGACCTACAGGTGCACACCACCACACCCAGCTAATTTTTGTATTTTTAGTAGAGACAGAGTTTCACCATGTTGGCCAGGCTGGTCTCAAACTCCTGACCTCAAGCCATCTGCCCACCTCCGCCTCCTAAAGTGCTGGGATTACAGGTATGAGCCACCTTGCCCGGGTGGTAACTCCTTTAACACTGACCTTGATAGAATCCCAGCAGAGGAAATAAAACTTCTAGCAGACAGAATGACCCTTTTAAATAGGAAATCAGATCATGTTTCTCTTTGGCTCAAGATCCTGTGATGGCTCCCAATTTTACTTGGGCTGAAAAAAGGTCTAAGTTCTTCCAACAGCTATGAGTCCCTGTGTGGCCTGGCCTCCGCCTCTGCATCCTCTGAGCATCCCTCCCCCTTGCTTAGTCAGCTCCAGCCAAGTGTCCTTCCTGAAGACCCTTCACTGTGCCAGGCATATCCTCACCTTAGGGCATTGGCACAGGTTGTTCCCTCTGCCCAGAGCTCCACATGGTTCATTCTCACCTCCTGCAAGTCTCTGCTCAGATCTCATCTTCCCAGTAAGAACCTACTCAGCTCTGCAGCCTGACCTACTACCCTGAGAGCCCCAACACTCCATTATCCCCAGGCTCTACTTTTTCCTTTTCTCCCTAACATCGATCACTTTCTAGCCTACTATGCGATTTGCTTATTATTATGCTTATTATTCACTGCCTGTCTGCATCCTGTTACAATGTGGGCTCCAGGACAGCAGACAGCCTTGTCTGTTTTGTCCTCAGCTGAATTCCCAGTGCCTGGCACACAGTGGGACCCGGTAAATATTTGTTGACTGAATGAGAGACTTGCTAAAGTGCTAGTAGGATGGCAACCTCAAATGAGATGTTGTTGGCCTGAGTAACAAATGGCCTCCCTTTGCAGTTCCTGTTTCTCTTTCCGTAGCATGAGCTTGTGTTTCTCTCTCCCTCCCAGAACACCTCCCTCCTTAGACCTCAGTGTGGTTTGGTGCCTTTCCCGTGTATATGGGGCAAGGCTGAAGTGCAATTCCCCATGGCCGCTGCCCTTGTCACAGCTCTCAGGCATAGTCTGGCAGCCCCACTGTGGGCACTGAGATGAACTTCTCTCACTTTGCCTGCTCAGGAAGTGGGCGAGGAGCTCTGACTTCTTGGCTGTCTGCTGATGTGTGTGCATGGGCTCTTACAATGACTGACACTCAGCCACCCTGGCTAAGCAGCAACACAGTTGCAACCATTCCCTGTGGTTAGTAGGGGCTCTTGTTTCCAAAGCTGAGGATCTGAGTGGGGTTCGTTCTGCAACACTGCTGGGGAGTCCTCAGCAGCCCTAAGATATCACTTGAGGATCTGGGCTCTGCCTCGACTCTCTCAGGGCTTCTTAGCACCTCCACCACAGGTGGGTGGGGATGAAACTCTAGTCAGTTGGCAGCCTTACTCATTTGCAGCTCCCGTGAATGAGGTGGTGAAACCTGGGGTGAAACTCAGGGTGGAGAAACATTTTTGGATTTCATTTATCCCTGCTATCTCTACCTCCATTACTGCAAATAAATGAAATGGCTATGAAATAAGACTCCCAAAGGAAGATAAAAGGAGTCATGTATTTCATTTAAAAAAAAAGACTTTTTTTTTTGTCTTGCCCACCAACTCTTGTGTCCATGATCTCATCTCCAAAGACCTGAGGTTTTAATAGCCCATAATTACTTAATTGTTCCAGCTTTACCGTTTTGTTCTCAGCTTTAAGTGCCAGATAAACATGCTGTTTATTAGGGAGACAGCCTAAATTCATAGAAAAACCAAAACAGTTTGATAATTTCTTAAGTGATTCCTGTTTTACAATTAAAGTCACATGAAAGAAGGAAAAAGTGTTGAAATACTAAAAAATGGTTTCCTTTCAGAAGCCTGTGTGTTTAGAAACTCAAAAATTTAAATTTCAACATGAGTTTCAGGCTTTGCACTGTCAACCAATGTGTTCCAATGCTAGCAATTCTCAGCCAGCACTTGGTTGGTGTACCTTGAACCCTTACTGATGTTGACAACCCCTCCAGCATTTTTTTTTTTTTTTCAGACAGAGTCTCACTCTGTTGCCCAGGCTAGAGTGCAGTGGCACAATCTTGGCTCACTGTAACTTTGCCTCCTGGGTTCAAGCGATTCTCCTGCCTCAGCCTCCTGAGTAACTAGGATTTGGGATTACAGGCATGTGCCATCATGCCTACCTAAGTTTTTTTTTTTTTTGTATTTTTAGTAGAGACAGGCTTCCACCATTGTTGGCCAGGCTGGTCTCAAACTCCTGACCTCAAGTGATCCTCTCACCTCGGCCTCCCAAAGTGCTGGGATTACAGGCATGAGCCACCATGCCTGGCCTGAGAAATTTCTTCTGATCAGTGTGGAAACTCTATTTTTTCTGTGGCTGAGGAGGTAATGTTTGGCCCTGTGTTTCGGGCAGAACCAGAAGAGTGGATCTAGTGGGGGGTCCTCAGGGGAGAGGTGGATCAGGATAGAAAGGGAGCAGAAATGCAAGATAAAACTTAGTGTGCAAAAAGAGTGAAGAAGCCCCGTGCAATGTCAGTCAGCACCCAGGAAGAGGGCATGCTTATGGGAACGTGGTGAACTCAGGGCGGAGTGGCCAAGTCAACGGGGCCTTGACCATGAAAGCAGTTTGATCCTCTCAAGTATGCCACAAGAAGTCTAAAATCAAAGGATGACAATATGATTTAGAACCACTCATCTAACCTTTGATGCTAACACAGGGGAGAATTATGAAAAGGAATGTATTTTAAACCCTGAAACATAAAGTTGGAATGTGATTCTGAGTCTCCAGTTAAAAAGTCAATAAAAATAGAGAAAACATTAAAAAAGACAAAGAAGGAAGAAATATGCTTTTGGATTGAAAACAAAAAGAATGAACAAACAAAAAACCCCATTTCAATCCCCACCTTACCTACCTTGTAGCGAGGCCTGTAAGTCTTTCATATTTTGGTCTAAAAGCTGCGAAGGAAGGAAACCTGAGCCTGTCTGGGCCTTGGGGTCTGGCTCTCCCAGGGCCATAGTGGGCACTGGCTCCTTCACTTGGCCGTCTCCAAACACAGCGGCCCACTCTTTGCTGAACTCGCCCTCTTCCAAGGAGGAAGCATTGAAGATCTCACTCAACAGCAGCAGGTCATCTTTGTCAGCACCTTCAGGTTCCGGGGTCCCTGCCACTGGTCCCAGGCAAGCTGATTGAAGTAACAGAGAACAAAACGTCACCACGGAGGGCTCAAGCCCTCAGGAATCAATGCTGTGGGGGCTGCGAAGGGGGAGACTGGTTGATGGCTAGATTTAAGAAAAATGTCATCAAAATATAAGTTCATCCTATTATTATAGCCTCTCTTAAGAGTTTATAGAATTAAATTTCGAATCCCATGTTCCCTTGTCCCCTGTCCTCCAAAGCAAGTTCAGTTTCTGGGCATCAGACTCTAGGATTTTGGTTTTTCTTTAATATAAAAACAAATTTACCAAAACATTTCTCAGATATGAAACAAGGCCAAGATTGAAAACATGTTGGAGATCTTAGTTCCTTGTTTGCATAGCTTCCCAAATCTTCCCACGCAAGCCCTCAATACACATTGCCTGGGCTGGAACAGCAACACGCCATGTGGCAGCCTGTCCTGCCACCCAGGATGGGGAGAGAACTTTCACCATGCCCTGGCCCAGGGCACGACAGTGAAGGGGAGGATGTCCAGAGCTCAACAATGCCCAAGAGAGGCATCCTTACTTCCTTCCCACTTTGCTGAAACTCCATTGCATGAAGCAAAGGAAAAGTGGGTCTGGTTTGCCTAAGTGCCTTTTGCAGCAATAAAATAAAAGGGAAAGAGGCTGCGAGTCAGGGAGCTTCACAGGCTAGAGACACAGTTCGAGGGGCGTTGAAGTGAGCACCGGATCAGAGGGGAAGCCTCAGGTCCACCCCTTCGCTGCTATGTGACTTCGGTAAAAACCCTTAGACCCCCTTGAGCCTCTGTTTGCTCATCCACAAGGTTATCATGTTAATAACGGCCACCTCGGTGTTGTCAGGAAGACCAAAAGAAATACACTTTAAACCTAATTGCCTTTCCAGAAGGAAGGCTTTAAAGAAGGCAGCCATCCTTACATTACGAACATTGGCAGAATACTGAATATTGAATACAAGTAGCATTACTATCAGAAATCTTACACCAAGTCCTTTCACTGGGTTTATTACTTATTTTGAGAACCAAAGACTGATGGTGTTATCAACTGTGGCTTTGTGGTGGTATCTAACTGCCACTTGGAAACTATAAACATTTTTGTTGTTAATTCACAAAGAGAAGAAAAAAATCATGATTTATGTTTTTTTTCTGAGACATGCTGCAATTCTGATATGGTCATATTAAATGAGATGACCAGGTTTTCTTCAAATGTATAAGATAATTAGTAAGTAAAGGCTTTTTTTTTAAAAAAAAAAAAGTTCTCTGTGTTGGCTTTACTGGATCTATTTTCAATCACACTTTACATAAAGATCTAAAGATGAAGGGGATTTCTGATGTGCTGAGCAGACAGGCTATAAATCAGGGAGGGGAAGAATCTAGTCACTCTCATGTCCCTGTGGTTTAAAAATAGTGGCAAAACATCACTTTAGTCGGACAACTGTCTAATGTAAGCATTCTTATTGTTTGTGTTATCACAGAAATTCTCACTAAGAGCTAGCCTGTAGGTGTTGTGGGTGAGAAGATGGGGCAAATGGCATTTTAAACAGGCTTCTGAGACAGTGTGATTTTTTTTAAAATTATTATTATTATACTTTAAGTTTTAGGGTAAATGTGCACAACGTGCAGGTTTGTTACATATGTATACATGTGCCATGCTGGTGTGTTGCACCCATTAACTCGTCATTTAACATTAGGTATATCTCCTAATGGTATCCCTCCCCCCTCCCCCCACCCCACAACAGTCCCCGGTGTGTGATGTTCCCCTTCCTGTGTCCATGTGTTCTCATTGTTCAATTCCCACCTACGAGATAGAATATGCGGTATTTGGTTTTTTGTCCTTGGCGATAGTTTGCTGAGAATGATGGTTTCCAGCTTCATCCATGTCCCTACAAAGGACATGAACTCATCCTTTTTTATGGCTGCATAGTATTCCATGGTGTATATGTGCCACATTTTCTTAATCCAGTCTATCATTGTTGGACATTTGGGTTGGTTCCAAGTCTTTGCTGCTAGTGCCGCAATAAACATACGTGGGCATGTGTCTTTATAGCAGCATGATTTATAATCCTTTGGGTCTATACCCAGTAATGGGATGGCTGGGTCGAATGGTATTTCGACAGTGTGATATTAACAGGGTAGTTCAGGAACCACTTGAGCCTGCACATGGTGGGCGAGGCAGGACTGTAAGGTCAGGCAGGTGGCCCACCTCTGTGGATGAAGGCAGGAGCTGAAGGAAAGGAAAGCAACCTTCGCAGCTCAGGATGTGTCCATCAACACCTGTATCTACGCATGCTCCCCTCTCCAGCATCACCTTTTTAAGGATTATTAACATTACAGAACTCTATACTTCCTACTTTCAGGTAGGACTGGAATGCCCAAACCCTTTCTTATAGTTTACTTTTTGCCCTGACTGAAACCAGATAATTACTGAACCAAACCTATTCTATTGAAACCAAGTCAAGTCAATGTGTAGACCCTGGAGGAGCAGATAATTTCAAATGCACCTTGGAAATGACGTATGTTCCTTCTACAGTCGCTTTATACAGCCCTCCACTAAGTCAAACCCTCAGGGAGGCTTCACTACTTTAGTACAGATGTCTGTCCAGGGAAGATCATCATTAACATTAGCAAGAACAAATAATAAACTGTAAGCCTTCTAAAAATAACCACAGACTGTAATAGCTCCATCTTTGTTTTTATTGTTTAGGTTTTGTGCTATGGTGTTTATAATGGACTTTGGTGGTTTTTGCTAACTCAGCATCCCTTCCCTCTGCTTCTTCAGTTTTCCCTTTGGGAAAATGCCTTCTCCATGTGATCCTGGTGAGATGCCTCTGGAAATGACTCCTTACCCTCCACCCCAGTGAATGACTGATGAGGCTGGCCAGAGTCCTCCATCCCCCAGGCATGGTGATTGGCTCAGGGGTGGACACATGCCGGACACCTCCCGGAATTTGGTATATAGAAACTTAATGGAAGAGGGCCTCTCTTTCTTTGGGATTCCAAGCTCTAAAGATGCAAATTTCAGGCTCCCAGTGATAATGAAGTCAACACATAGAGGGAAACAGCCTCAAGAAGTGGAGAGAGAATCCTGACAACATTGTCTAAGCGCCTGGATCCAGCCTTGCTTGAAGCCAATCCACAACTGAGTGTCCCCATTACATGGATCAATACATTCTTTTTTGCTTTTAAAAATTTAAACCTAAACTATTTCAAATAGGGTTTTTCTATCACTTGCAATCAGAAAACTTTTTACTAATACATATCCTATTCAACTCAAACTTTTTAGTGACAGAAAAGAGAAAAGGACCCTTGGTGAGGATATTGCCTACAGCCAGTTCTAAATACAGATTTTGCCTACACTGAGGTCTACCAATGAATTTAGCCTTTTATTTGGCTTCTTGATTATTCAACAGCTAACAGGCCACACAGTGCACATTTTCTCTTTTAAGAGAACTTACTACTTAGCTAAAAGCAATGAAACTGGCACTGACTTGAACCATAAAACACAAAAACCTCCCAATTATTGCACTGATAATTAAGATGCTTAAAATTATTACACATAACACGTAAGAAAAATCTAACTACAAGTAGAAAAGGACGGGTTCAGGTCTGTAACCAGACAAGTTGAGACTTGAGAAATAGCTCTATAGTCAGTTGGCTCTTGAGAATCATGCTATCATTTTCTTTGAAAAAAATTCAACTCAACTGAGAGATAATGGAGACACATGCAGAGATGTGATAAGCTCTTTGGGAGAAACTCTAGTAAGAAACTCCCAACTGGAGTCAGGGCTTCCACCCATGCAGATGTGGACTGCTTCTGGGTTATGGTGCCCCAATCCTGCTTTTGTGTTAAAGGATGAACAAGGGTTGAGGATCTCTCAGGTGCCAAACCCACAGATGCTACACCAAGTTCCCTTCACTCTCTTGCAGGCTCCCAAGTCTCTGTGTTTACTTGCTTACCAGATAACCTAACTACAGACACTGCTGCAAAAATAAGAGCCAACAGACATGACGTACTCACATCCTCACCTGTCTCCAACTCCGTGACCTTGCAGGCATTGCCTCTCCTTTCTAAGATAAGCCCTCTCTATGCCCTCCCCTCCTTCCTGAAGCCTGCTCTGTTCCCACCATTATTCAGATCCAGCACCTTTAGTCTTTCATTTTCCAATGCTTCCTTCCCCTAGCCGCAGGAGATGTGTGCCTATCTCAACAATAATCAGCCTTCACTTGATGTTGCTCTCCACCCTCCCCTCACACTTTCAAGTTACTGTTCTGGTTTCTTCTTCCTTCCACAACCACATACTCTACTTTGGCTCTACTCTTTTCTCAGCTGCCTGTAATTAAGTTCCTGCCCCCACCCTATACTGAAATAGCTCTCTTGAAGGTCAGCAGTGAGATCCTCATTGCCAGTTCTGAGGCTCTTTTCCCAGGCCTTTACCTGTACAGCATCATTTGTACCACTGCCCAGCCTGGAAATGCTGCTATCTCCTGGGAGTCCCCATGAGGCGGCTCTCTCGGATGACCTCCCATCTCCCTGACAGTACCTTCTCCACTGCCTCCTCCTATTCTGGCTGCCCTTAAGGTTTCATCCCAAACCATCATACCTTCCCTACATTCTCTATAGAAGATCTTTTCTATTCTTAGGGTTCCAATGTCACCTCAGAAGGTTCTCCAATCTCTACCTCCAATTCCAAGTTCTTTCTGGAACTCCATTTGCAAATTCCTGTCTGGGAGCCCTTCTGGGTTTGCCCATTGGTGAAGCTGCTGGTGCTCCATAGAGGAACCCTCTTACTGTGTATCTTTGCTTAGTCTGTGTTATGGTTTGCATATCTGTCCCTTCCAAAACTCATGCTGATATTTAAACCCTAGTGCGGCAGCTTGAGAGGTGCGGCCTTTAAGAGGTGATTGGGTCATGAGGGCTCTGCCCTCACAAATGGGTTAACCCATTCATGGATTAATGAATTAATGGATTATCATGGGAGTGGGATTGGTAGCTTCTATAAGAAGAGGAACAGAGACCTGAGGGAGCACATTCGGCCCCCTCACTATGTGATGCCCTAAGCCGCCTTAGGACTCAGCAAAAAAGGCCCTCACCAGATGTGTCCCCTCAGAATTGGACATTTTAGCCCCTATAACTCTAAGAAATAAATTCCATTTCTTTCTTTTCTTTTCTTGTTTTTTCTTTATAGAGTCTCACTCTGTCATCCAGGCTGGAGTGCAGTGGTGCAACCATAGCACTCCAGGCTTGAATGCCTTCTGAGTAGCTGGGACTACAGGCACATGCCACCATGCCTGGCTAACTTTTAAAACTTTTGTAGAGATAGGGTTTTACTTTGTTGCCCTCTTGGTCTCAAGTGATCCTCCTGCCTTGATCTCCCAAAGTGCTAGGATTACAGGCATGAGCCCTTTTCCTTATAAATTATCCAGGTGCCAGTATTCTGTTTTATAAGCAACAGAAAGCAAAGTTAGACAGGCTGGCTGTGAGATTACTCATTTACTCAAAGGCCTTCAGTGGCTCCCTGACTACTGGCTAAAGTAACACTCTGTCTAGTGGTATTCAGGATGTCTGCAGTCAAGCACGAATGCAGCCCTTTCAGCTACCCATCAATATAGCCATCTGGAAAGCCTTCATTCAATTTGGCAAAACTTCTCTACTTGCCATTGCTCAAACATATTCTGGGAACCTGATGATTTGTCCCAGTGAGAAAAATCATACTTTTTTTTTTTTTTTTTTTTGCAACCAATAGGAATCTTAGAGATCATCTCCTCTAACTCACTTTACAGATAAGGAAAAAGACCCAGGTTAAATAACCTACCCAATGACACAAAATTTATTAGTTACAGACAATCTTGCTAGGGACCCCAACTCACAGTCAAGGTGTTTTCTCACTGTAGCACTCTGCTTTTACTTCAGAACCTATTAAGGATCTCATGTATAAATTAATATTTAAGCTTTTGTAAAGTGTTGAGGGTTTCTAAGGTCAGATGGCTCCACTGGCAGCCAGGCACCATGCAGGCACCGTGGCAGAAAGGCTGAGATGACAGATCCATTCAGCATGTTTGCCCTGTACTGCCCAAGTTTTCAAAAATAAAAACCCTATGCCCCTGGGAGAACATTCCCTAGGAGAACTGATCCTGAACCAATGAGCAATATCTGTGTGAAAACTCACATAGAGAGGAAGCTCTTTTAAGTTTAGACACGGTGTGGGAAATTGGTGACAGCTCACTCAGGTGGTATTTTTGAACTCATACTGAGTTTCATGACCTCAGCATAAATTAGAACACAGAAGATGGAAGGAAACATAACTACATAGACCGAAAACGAGAGCACAGAAAAGCTGGCAGATAAATGTCACTTAATTTACCTTCATCTGCGTGTGAAACAGGAAGACTCCATCTCTCTGGTTTTCTCCCTCGTCCCCACTCTGGACATTATGACTAATCGTAAAGGCCACACGCTTGCAGTACAGATGAAAAACCCCAAACACCAACACTATCCTCACATCGCCCAAAGAGAGTAGGGGGAAGATAGGGAGGAAAACACCTTACGAAAATGGCTAACAAGAAAAACATATTCTATATTATAACAAACTGTACTTGTTTGGAACTCAAGAACACTGCTTCTAAGAACTTCGCTCTGATGAAAAATGATATAGATTATAATAAGAACAGAGAGAGGAAAAACAACTCCTACTCCCTGAAAAACAAAACAAAACAAAAAACAAACAACAAACCAACAGCACTGGACCCTGAGTAGGCACTAAAAAAAAAAAATTCTTGTTCATGATCCCTAAGCTTGCTACTCCATTTCACCAGTAGATGTTAGAAGACAAGTAATCTTACTGAAAAACATAAAACCTAGGGCAGGGATAAATATTTATAGACTCTTTATAGAATTTTTTTTATTTTTTTTTGAGACAGAGTGTTACTCTGTTGCCTAGACTGGAGTGCAGTGGTGCAATCTCGGTTCACTGCAACCTCCGCCTCCCGGGTTCAAGCGATTCTTCTGCCTCAGCCTCCAGAGTAGCTGGGATTACAGATGCCCATCACCAGGCCTGGCTAATTTTTGGATTTTTAGTAGAGACAGGGTTTCATTATGTTGGCAAGGCTGGTCTCGAACTCTTGACCTCAAGTGATCCGCCCATCTTGTCCTCCCAAAGTGCTGGGATTACAAGTGTGAGCCACCGCGCCCGGCCAGAATCTTTATAGAAATCTTTATAAGGGTAAATCTATAGAGAGCACTACAGGCTACAGGATGATCAGCTAAGAACAGTATTTGGTTAAAAAAAAAAATGTACCAAAGCCAGCAGTACATCCCAGGATGCTGAGGAAGACAGAGAGGAGGGAAAGTTCATGAGAAAAGAGAAGGCGCTTTTTAGAACTTGCCACTTCGTATGCGAGGAAGCAGTCAGATCCCTAGTCAGTAATATATGGACAACTGCAGGAGACAATTCTGAGTGACTCAGGAGGAACTCAGAGGTAAACATGTATGACTGCTGTGGGCTAAAAGTTTTCACCCACACCTATGGTACCTACTGAATGAGCTATTATTCTGACATGTGACCACAATTTAGAATCACAAGTCTAGAAGTAGTAACCAAGGAGGTAGCAGGAGATAAACATTTTATTTAGAATATAGACAATTAAAATTGTTTTAATTGGCTTAGTCTTGTCCTGGAGAGGGATCTTTTGGGTAAGGCCAACTTATGAGACTTAGGTGAGTTGAATTCATTGAACTGTCTTCTGCTTTGTAACACCACTTTTTTGTTCAGGTATCTGCTATTCATTTTTCTTGGCCCAATTTTGGGAAACACAAAGATTTCTCCATGTTATAATTAACGAATTGAGGTCAGATTGCCACATGTGGTCATAAGGCAGTTTGAGAGCCACTTTCACGTGTCTCAAAATGTCACTAACTTTTTTACTTAAAATAGTTTTATAAACTGTGGTCAAATATTGGTTTTCCATTATATTAGCTATTTAGTAGGAGAAAGCCAATGTCATTACGACACTGAATGGGGGTGATTTTCTGGGCAATGGCTCTTTGAGAATCGTTGCTGTTGTCACGAGCGGTCTGCTTTTTGATAACATTGTACCACGGCTTAGCCATTACTTGTCTAACAGAATTACCACAGGGAGTGAACCGGCCCCCAAGCAGCAGGGTGCTAGAGCTTATCGTCCCCAAGTCCTATAAAGTCAGCCATCCCTGGATTAAGCTCTTTTTATTTCTTGACTGTTTAATGTCGTGCATATTGTAATCAGCATTTTAATTCAGGATTTGGGCCTTCCAGCAGTTTTCCAAAGGGCACACATTTTGAAGTCAACAAATTAATGAGTGTTCTTTTCTTCAGTCACCACAAGTTCTCTGTGCACTGAGAGAATATTTTTATTCTACCGACCACGTTAATATTTAAGCCGACGCTACCCTGTGGGTTGACAACATAGAAGCAGAGGCAGACAGTGGGGCAGCCCTGCTCATGCCTGAAGAAGGGCTGTGTGGGTTGGCAGTGAGAAAGAGAAAAGACAAATTATGTGACATTGACTTTAACTGAGACAATGTGCAAACCAATACTTCTGCCTGAGAACAACTACACATTTTAAGGGACCAGCACATTAATATCCCTATCTTTACAATTACATAGAGTGCTCAAAAAAGGGGGTATGGACTGCTAGTCTACAAAACTAACAAAGATCCTAACTATAAACCAATGAAATATGAAAGTTGTTTTAAATAAGCAGACAAGTGTCAATCTCATTCCAACATATCTTGGCACATGCTTTCGAGGAAGTTTATAAAAGTAAGCATCTATCGCAGGCAGTGCCATTTCTGATTTAATTCTGTGAAAAAATGCATGACTACTGGGTTAGGGTTGTACCTTTACCGCCAAGTTAAAAAAAATTAAATTCTAAAGCCAAGAACCTTTTTTTTTTTTTTAGAAAGAGGGAAACAAAATACAGACTCGTATTTGCTGTGTCTGGGTAAACAAACACTAAGATACACTGGGGGATGGAAGTATTAGAATAGGGAGGGGGTTAAGGAAGAGGAATGAGAGTGAGGATTCTTTTACTGTGTATTTTTTTATTATAAGTCGGCTTTTGTCCCAGTGTGAATGTACTACCTAGTCAAATTCAAACACTAAAATAATAAAATTAAAGAAGGTGATAATAAAAGCAAAGAGCAAATTATATAAACAAGATGTTGGGAATGAAAGGAATAACAGCCTTCCTATCAAAGTAAGTTAAAGCACGTGAAGGATTATAAATACATTTGTTTACTGGTAAGACTTGTTGAAACTGGGTGGTGGGTACCTAGGTTTGTTCTATTATTGTCTTTACCTGACTTTGGTAAGAATAAAATATTTATCCCCTCCAAAAAATAATTTGTGAAAGACACCTTTATTCTATCAAAATAATCTGTTCTTAAGCCAAAGAGGAAAATGTTTTACAAAAATGGACACCATGTATGGCAATCTACATTAACTGCTTATTACTTCCACTACCTGGTATGATTTCAATATTTATAAATGATTAGTCATTTTGATAAAATATTCATGGGCATTCACACAGTACTGCATAGTATGCTACCTGTCGTAAGACAGTAACAGGGAAAGCAGATATCTGTCCTCAAGTTTATATCCCTAAACCCTGAAAACTTAATGCTAGAGGTGCGGTGCCTTTCTACTTTTGACAAAACTTTAACCAATGTCCTCTGTCTTCCAGAGACTCTCTTCCTTGCACACTCTGTAAATTAAATCAACATCAAGCCCAGACTGAACTGAGTTGTCTGCCCTGGTTGACTGGGGCCTGCAGGATAACTTCGGCCAGTCTGTAGTCCTGTGAGAAATCTGTAAAGCCAGGGCAGGCTGCATGCCAACCACCAGGGCATGGGATGCTCTGGAGTTTGGCTCTAAATTTCAGGTGTATTTTGGACTCTTGGTACATCATTAAAAGGAAACCCTTGGTCAGATGGAGAGCTAAGGCTATAATTAGGCTGAACCCTCTCAATGTCTTAGGATTACTTAACACTCTACATTCTCACTCAAATCCATGGTTCTGGATTCTCTTTTGGGAGGTTATTTCATAAGTGATTTTAGGTTTGGTAAATTCAGGTGTGCGACTTAACTAAGCAAACTCTCCCTCTGCATCTACCTAAGGGTCAGTAGAGACTTACTACAGTAAATCACCCACAAAACATTACTAGTCCTACTATCTCAACTCATGACCATTTGACATAACCCTGTGTTAGAGGCCATCAAGGACCCCTTACACACGATCTCCAGTTCTGACAATAACCCACCAAGGCCGTTGCTATTGTTTCCATTTTACAAATGAGAATAACCCAGGCTTAGAGAGTTTAAGTATGAAGCAAATCACTTAAAATACAGGCCATTTATGGTAAAACCAGTCTTTAAATCCACGTGTCTGATTCTGAAAGCCATGTTTTTTCTACTACAGCATGTGACCCATGACATAACTTTTAGCTATAGTAGTTTGAACATTATGAAATTCATTATACTAATGATGATAGGTCTACACATACTATTTTGTGCTTGGGCATATTTGAGGTCATTTATAAAGACTGTCACCCAAAAAACTTTCCTTTGGAATGCAAAGCTATTAAAAAGATTAAGATTACACTTTCTTACATGTAAAAGAGTAATTTAAAAAATCAAACAAATCATAATCCCAAAGAAACACATAAATCTTACCACCTTCCTCAGATTTCATGTCTAATAGTTCATCTATGGGTCCTTTAGAGAAGAGGAAAGAAAACAAAATTATAAGTCAGTTTCATTTTGTGAGGAGTTTGAGTCAAATAATTAAAATTGAGTAGTTTTCCTTAATCTAGGTTACCTGAGCATGCAGTATGTGTAGAGCCTTTGTCTAAGGCAGATAAAATACTTTTTCCATCTTCAGCTGTAATATAACATGTGCAACTGGTTACCAACAACTCGAAATGGTGTGCATGTTCATACGCTATTGCAGTGTAAGGTAAATGCACGGCTTCAGGAAGAAATGGGATCCACAAACTCAGCCAGAAGCAAGGGTCCTCAGATTACACTGGACTCCTGCTATCAGCTCTCAGAGAATGCCAAATTAACAGCCCTGAATCTTTGCTTTGTTTGGCAGATAACCTGAAAACCATATGACATCGATCTAACAATTCTCCTTCCATGGACAAGTGTGTGACTTAAGTAACTGACTATTACTTGATGATGCTGATGAACTTTAGCCATATGGGCCTGGCTAAAATGAAAAGGTAGATTACTAAGTGAAAGAAGTCAATCTGAAAAGGCTACACATTGCATGATTCCAATTATATGACATTTTGGAAAAGACAAAACTATGAGGACAGTAAGAAGATCAGCATTTGCCAAAGGCTTGAGGGGAGGGAGGGATGAATAGTGGAGGACACAGGGGTTTCAGGGCAGTGAAACTGTTTTGTAAGGTCCTATAATGGTAGATATATATCATTATACATTTGTAATGCCCACAAAATGTATAACACCAAGCGTGAATGCTAATGTAAACTATGGACTTTGGGTGATAATGATGTCAATGTAGGTTTATTGACTATAACAAATATACCACCTGGTGTAGGATGTTAATAGTGGGAAAGGCTATGTATATGCTGGGGAAAGGAATCTATGAGAAATCTCTGTACATTGAGCCTAACTTTGCTGTGAACCAAAAACTATTCTAAACAATAAAGTGTGTCTGTGTGTGTGTTTGTAATAGAACAGCCTTAAAACTTGATTTGCTCATATGTTCATTAGCCTTTCTGCAAGTCACAGAATAAAAGAAATATGATACTTCATTATAATGGATTTTATTCTGTGCATATATAAAACAAGATGATCGACATTTACAATCTCAAAATATGCAAATACCACAAGCAATTATACTGCACAAGGAACGAGAGAAAATTTGATTCCCCTGCATTGTCACATATTGTATGAATATATAATTTATATAGATTTATAACTTGCATACAAATATAATAAACTGCAGTTTATATTTTCCCACAGAACCCATGTTTTCCTATCCAATTACCTTGACTATGACAACATTAGTGATTCGTGCCGTGGGTACACTGAGGCTGGAGAGCTTGCATCCATATAGACAGAGAGCTCTTCTGTGGCCAACAAGAGCAGGCCCAGCTGCTCCCTTTCTCCTCCTGCCACTCGCTCCCCCTCATGCTCTGGAGCATGGTTTCTCTGACTTTCTCCAGGTCCTCCTGTGCCCATAACCTTTGCCCAGGCTGTTTCTTCTGCTTTGACAAGTCTTGCCATAGCACTTGGCTTAGCCAGTTCCCTGATCTCCTAAAAAAGTTGTGTCCTCTCCATCACATGTGCCCAAAGCCCTACACCTCTCCCTTGGAGCTCCCACCAAAGCTGGAGCTGCTGGATTACTTTGGTAATGATTAGATTACCATCTGCTTGCCCTTTTGACTGTCAGCCTCATCCTGGAAGGGACTATGTCTGGTGCACCACTGTATGCCCAGAGCCCAGCGCCATGCCTGGCACAGAGGCGGCTCAATAAACATCTGTTGAACAAATGAACAAGTGCATGAGTACTTGTACGTGAAGGTGTACATGTGTGAATGGATGACATGAAGCAAGCATTAGAGGCAAAAAAGTGAGTCTTTTGTTGTTGTTGTTGAAAGGCAGATAGGAGAAAAGCAAATAGGAGGAGAAGCAAGTGGGTGGAAAGGTAAAAAGGAAGATAGAGGGTGAAGGAGAAGAATGGAGCAGAGGAGAAGTTCTAGAATCTCCTTTGCCTCCTCCTATCTTCCAGGAAGGTACCACACCAGAGGGTGAAGCAGGAAGAGATGCATATGTCCCCAGGGGGACCAGGTAAACACAGTGTTGGGGTAATTTTAGTTCTCTTCATAACACCTGTAAAACATTCCCCCGCATCTCCGAGGAGCTTGAGTGCCAGTGAAGTGCTTGGTACTGTGTCACATTAATTCTACCACAATCTATCAAACCCTGTGTCCCTCTGTGAGGTGAAGGACCAATGAAAACACTGGCAGTAACAGCAGGAGACAGAAATAGCTGATGAGCCTGCACAGCACACTGTGCCATCTCCCAACGCTCTGACCCCTTCTCCTAACACATCAGGTTCAGTTCACCTGAGGGATCAGGGGTTGCTTGGCACTGGCAGGCTGAGGCATCAGCTGGCAGGGCAGGGTGAGCAGCTCCTATCTGTTTCCAACATTGACAAACATCCACCCGCCCCACACATACCGCAAATCCACCTCTCCTGAGGTCATAGCCTCATCTTATGAAAACTAGAACCAGTCAGGGTCACAGCAGAAATCTTATAATCCGCTGTGAAAAGAAACAGCGATTTGCCAGTTCCCATCGTGGCTGCCCCTCTGAAGAGCTGCTGCTGATGTGACTGTGATGTGATTTTCTGGTTCACAATACACAGCCTCTCTCAGTAATGCTGTAGGGTTGACATGGTGGATATCTGAACATTTAGAACTGAGTCTACAGGAAGCAAATTAGCCTTTTCTCAGTTGAAAAAGAAGAAAGGCCTAGGAGGAGTTTGTCAAAAAGTAAAATGACTTGGCTGTTAAGCATTAAGTAATATTTCAGAAGCAATTCTAAATAAAAATCAAAACTTACTCTTAAAACTAGAGGATTCCTTGCGCTGGTTTTCTTCCTCTAATGAAATTAATCTTAAAATAAAAAAGAGGTTTAGTCATCAACTTCTACCAATGTTATATTTATGATACAGCCAGACTTTCAGTACAATATTACTTCACTTTTAACACAAACACATACACCACACACACGCACACGAAGAAGGGTCAACATATAGTCATTTACATGCCAATTTGCTGGCCTTCTTTCCCTTTCTGTAGCATCTTAATATCTGAATTTGCTTTCATCTCGAGGCAAATATTCTGTAAATATCTAGATGGGCAGTTAGATATAAATAAGATAGACGCATACAGTTATCACCTTAAAAATAGTAAAAATTGATAGTTAAAAAAACTGTAAAAATATCAATCAGAATCCATTTCTTCTGATTCCTAGTGTTATAGGAGAGGACACCTCCAGAGGTTAGCTCGGCTACAGAGGCTGCAGGCAGGACCACTCATAAATCCAGGCTGACCATCTCCTACTCAACTCTCACCACTTCTTTAAACACAGAGACACATCACTGCCCTTGAGATTCACTTGGTGCCTCCGAGCCTTCCTCCTAGCACCGTGATGCACCTTTGTCTGCTATTTCTAAACAAAATTCACGTTCAGTGTTCACTGTCATTTTAAATAGTTACTGGGTTATACTTTGTGAGCTTTCAAAAATGAAGCACTGAAGTATTTGAGAAATCTGAATTAATTAAAACAAATCAAGAAAAATCCCAGGTAATCCACTTCCAAGTAAAGGTGAATGCTTTATTTTGATTGTATGAACTTATATGGTGAAAAGAAGGTGCAGGGACCCACTTCAGGTCTCACCTCTTACTACACAAGAGTAAGTGGGCAGCCCCTTAACCTTCCGGAACCTTCCTTCCATCTTTTACATGACAAGGAAAATCCCAGCCTTGACGTCACTGAAGGTTGTCATGAGATGGAATTAACATAAATAAAACACCTAGCATTGTATCTGGTTCATAGTAGGTGCTCACTAAAATGATAGCTAGCACTATTACCATCACCAGGAATGGGTTAAACTGGTTCACCATAAAATAGCCAGTTTTACTAGATTCAGATCACATTCTACAGTCTGTCCTTCAGTGAGAACTTGTCTTCATTCTGCATCAAAAAATTTATCTAGTACATATACTCTTTAAAATTTAAAAAGGCTAATATTGGCAGCAACTTTTCCTGTGGGACAAAAAATATATCTGAAAGTCGATTTAGAAATACAATAAAAGTATAAGCCTGTTTTACGATAAGACTGTCATCTAAATTTTTTTTGTGTGTGGAAAAGGAGTAGAGAATAGAAACGAGGCCATCCATTTTGTTTTCCTAGGTCGGCCAGTTCAAAGATTAACTGCATTCCTGCAAGCTATTATATCTCCATAGAAAATGATACAGATCCACATTTCAACCTCCTTCTCAATGTATGAGAAAGGGAACCATGCACCACATATGTTGAAAAGTTCATCTCAGTATTTAAAATGACAAGAGGCACCTTCTTTGTAAAGGGGCATGAAATGGAGATGGAGCAGTCATTTCCTGTACTTGAAGCTGTTCTCTGTTTCACAGAGAAGAAAACAGACATTCTGCATGGTAGAAAACACAGTGCCAAAATCCAACACTTTCATATGATGATGCCTTAGTATGCATGTATCCCAGGGCAATTTCATAGGTAAGCTCCCTCAGTGAGAGAAAAGCCAGGGGATTTCCTATCTAGAAGAGCATCTAGTGTTGACAAAGGACCAGATAGGGTCCAGAAACCAGAGAAAGTGCAAAGCTGGGGCTCAGGTCACAGGCAGAGAGCCAGGGAATGCTGGGGACATTTGCCCTGTCTTGTTCCAGTCAGCTCCTCACAAGTGTGCCCTTCTAAGTCCCCTGGAAACCGATCTCTTACTGGGATACGTGAGTCATGACCTAGCAGGAGCATGCGTTAAAGGGGTTTGGCTGGGATGCTAATACATCTACTCTGAGAAGTGAGGAAGTAAGACAAGTCTGCGTCTGAGGCCCAGCCAGGTTCGGTCAGCGAGAACCACATAACTCTCACCTGTGGGAAGAAAGATGCAGAGGGAAGGAACCTGTGACTTACTGGCTCGGCTCCTGCACGGCTGCATCTGTACTTTCCTGCTGGTTGATTTTCTTCTTCTCTTCTTTCTCAACTAATTTTTTCATAGGGTCTTGTAAGCTCTTGATCACGAGCCATAGAAAAATGAAAAAGAAAAAAAAAGAAGAAGAAATAGAGACAAAAAAAAGAAAAGAAAGGTTATCAATTAAAAAATTCAACTGCCATTTGTCCCAGCAACCAAACTTTGAATTACAGGTATTGGGAGGTGACCTTGAACCAATCAGCTGGAAGAAATAAAATTTTATATGGTGAAGCAACAATGTTCTCAGACACATCCGAGAAATACTAGCATATATAGCAGAGCTGATTTGCCACAAGATTTATGTTTTCCATTTTGTGATAAGTTATTCAAACGTGGCCTTTTGGCTATTGCTAACTTTATTTTTCAACTTCAACATGTAGTTAAGATAAACATTCTGTTCTGTTCGCAGCCCACACACTGACAAAGTAGAAGTTCCTCCCACCTCCACCAGAGATGAGACGATTTCATTTTGTTTTAAATTTTGTTTGCTATTTTGCAATCTAAAACCCAGTTTTAAAAAATAACAGAAAACAAAACCTTTTCTTAAAAAACCAAAAATAGTGGCTTAACATATTCTGACAACCTAACTCCCACGAGTGGACAGAGCAGGTGCATCCAAATCTTTGTAGATTAAAATGGGTGAGAGTCTTCTTTTGGCACATCATTTGTTGGAGTTACTATTTTCAAGGTTAACTAAATATTTAAGTTTTTTTTTTTAAACAGCAAGTGCCTAGAAACTGTATACCAGTGACAATGATCCTGAAAGAAAAAGCAAAACATTTCTAGAACTGAATAATGATTTATACAAAAAGATCTCTATTTCTGGCCCTAATTAAAATACAAACCTATAAATACAAAATAAACATCTCAGGATACTTATCCTTCTTATATTCTCAGAACTACTAAAATCCAAGTCATGAGCCTGGGGCCTTCACCTTGTTTCTCCTGTCCTTCTCCTGCCTATCGTTCACTTGTCTGACACACATAGGAGGCAATCAGGTTTCATGGCCAATTCTGATTGATTAGTACTGGCTGACTGGAGGGCCAGTGAAGATGGTTCTCAGGCTGTGTCTCGGCAGAGCAGACCTGTGATTGATTTTGGTGTCTGCCATGGACACCAGATGGATACTGGTGTCACACTTCCAAACTGCCAGCTCTGTTTCTCTCTCTGCACAGAGTAATTTTCCTAAAACACCCACGTCATCATGTTATCCTTCTTTTCAAGAATCTTATTTCTTGAGAAGGACCAGCGTATTTCTTTATTGTAAGAACTTCCTTATTTCTTTCCACTTCTAATATCAACCTCTCTGACCAATTTTGAAGATCTTCTAAAATGGGATCCTAGCCTAACTTTCCCATCTTGCTCCCTACCATCCCCCAAACATGAGCTTTCTTTCAGTTAGGATGGTCTCCTCATAGTCTCCCATGTGCTAGTTTCTTCCTTCCTGTCTTTGTTCATTCTGCTTCTTTAACCTAAAATGCTCTATTTGTTTATCCTCATTAATCCTATGAGTGTTTTCAAAGTCCAGATCAATTACCAGCATTTTCTGCAAAGCTTCACTAAGCATGCCAAATTCAGGAAAGTCTTTCCATATCCAAACTGCACTTCAGTTTTATTAATATTTGATCATATTTATCCTGTATTATGTTTTGTCTCCGTAAAATATTTTCTAAATCAGAAACATAATAGAACCACATGCAGCAAGTCTGATAAAAAAGTAAAAATTACTCATAATTCCATATCCTTAAAATGATGATGATTTTCATATATTTTCTGCTTTTTTCATACACTACTTGTATGATTGGAATCATTGTGTATATATATATATATATATGTATATAAAATATATAGAGAGACAGTAGTCCTTTTAACCAATATAATTTGTGTAGATATTTCATAATTTAAAAAAGGCTTATTAGACTACAGAATATAAAAAAGACGTTATATACCTTAAGCAGTTAATATCAAAACTGAAATATAAAAATGTGCATTCCTTCACCAATATTCTAAAGTGGAACCCAGGTCTTCTCTGAGTATATGTCCCCTGACTGGAGTTCTGAAGCATTTTCTTGCATAAAGCACATCCGTAAGGCACTGACATCATTTTTAATGACTCCTATTTCTGGACATTTAGATTAGTTCATTCAGTTAACAAATAGTTTTTGAGCACTACCCAATGACAGGTGCTGTTGGGTGCTTTGGATACACCGGTGAACACGACAGACAAAATTATTAGCTAGCGATGGGTCTAGGCAGATAATTAAAACCGAGGGATAGAAAGTGATTGGGTCATTACCCCAGTTAGCAGGATGTCCTCTTTTGGAAGTGACATTTCAACTAAGAGCTAAATGACAAGAAGGAGCCAGCCATGTGAAGCTCAGGGAGAAGAGAGTTCCGAGTCAATGGCTCAAAGGTAGGAATAGCTTGGTTTGTCTGAGGAACAAAAAGAATGCCACTGGAGCTGCCGTATAGTTGGCAAGAGTACAAGTCTTGAGACTGGGATAAAGAGGTCAGCAGGGGTCACATGGGGAGAACATTCCCGTACCCATATTCATCAATATTTAACATTTTGCCCCATTTTGTTCCATCATCATCTTTTGCTCTGTCTCCCTAATGCATGACAACTAAATGCAATACACGATCCTTGGCTGCTGCAGCCTGCACTGGAGGGGAAAATGATACAAAGGGCAGTGTCAGGACAAATGAGACAACTGGAATATGGACTGCAGCCTGGATGTTCATGATTTTTTTATATACCCCAAAGCTTCCAGTGAAAGTCAGGCACGTGTGTGCGTGTGTGTGCGTGTGCGTGTGTGTGTGTGTGTGTGTGTTTAGTATATGTGCAGCCAGGAGGAAGGAGTTCAATAGATGTCAAGGATGTACTCTTTTCAATCCATCTGCCAATTACAGCATTTTATTCATGTACACACACACACACACACACACACGCACACACACACACACACACACACACTCGCCTTTCGGTAGTTTTATTCCTCCACAAAATGGTCCAACTCTGGTCAAAGTGAAGCCAGGAATATTTTCAGCCAAGGTTCTGATGGCTCCCAAGACTCACTTTTAAATTTTGTAACACTGGTCCAGGCCTCCTGGTTTGCTCAATTATCTTCTCATTGTGTTTCCTTTTTATCAATCAACGCTAGGCAGGGCCAGGGCATGTCTGCTCTCAGCCGGCCCTGTCTAGCTGCCACAGCGCTTGCCTAAACCCCTGACATGCCCTTGACAGCTCCACGGTTATCATCCTTTCTGTCTCCAGCCTGACCTCCCCTCATAACCACACTTGAGCAGCTCTCAGACAATCCTTTTGTAATGTAAACCACTCACTCCTCCTTTTCAACCCCTTCCCCTGTTGGCCCATTAGCAGGGACTCAATTGTTGGCTCCCTGTCACCACAATCACAGTTAAGTCACTATTGTGCTTCTCCCAACGGAATGGCTGCAGTTCCAACTATTTAAAATTATTATTAATAATTCCTGTAGTAATTGCTCCTCTCTTCCTACTATTACTATTATTCCTAAAACAATTTGGCTGTTGCAGCTCAAGACAGGTGCTAAATATGTACTTGTTGATTGATAAATGGATGTACATAAGGTTACACTAAAAAAACTAGAGCTCCTTAGCTAGGAAATTCAAAGGCTCAGGGGAGTAATTTGAAAAGGTTTATAAAACCACAAGCAAAATTGATACTGAGCACATGGACTTGTTTATTAAATATTAGAATTTTGAGCCAAGGGGAACACACACACACACACACACACACACACACACACACACACACAAGCTTAACTGAGCTATAATTCAAATACCATAGAATTCACCTAACTGTTCAATGGTTTGCAGTACACAGTAAGTAGGTCCTTGAATAATGTCATTTTGTTATAATGTTGATGAGAAAAAAAAATGGATTTCCTGGCTCGGGGCCACTGTCAGGGTGGAGTTTGCACATTCTGCCCATGTCTGAATGGGTTTTCTCCTGGCTCCACTCCAGTTTCCTCCCATATCCCAAAGCTACACAAGTCAGGTGAATGTGCGATTCTACATGGTCCCAGTGTGAATGACCGTGGGGGTGTGTGTCGGTGCGACCTGCTACGGGGTGGCATCCTGTCTAGGACTGGTTCCCATCCTGTGTCCTGAGCTGCTGGGATAGGCTCCCACCATCCACCACCCTGAACTGGAATAAGCAGTTTGGAAAATGAACAAATGAATAAATAAAATTTATCATAAAAAATCCTTCAAGTATATAATCATACAGAAGCATGACAATAAACGCTGTGACAGAAAAGCACCCGGTGAGCCCACGGTATTTGTGATTGTGATTGAACTGCCTGGTGGCAGGCGGTGTCTTAGAATTTTTGCTTCACCAACGCTTATTCCTTAATTTAACCCACTACTGTTCTGACTCCCTGTCACTCACTGATCCACCAAGAATTGGGTAAAGAATTACCTTACCTTTTTTTTTAAACTTTTCTAAATGTACATATAACTTAGATTTATTTCAGTGTTAAATATTAGAAGTGTTTTGGGTCTTTATTTAGAAGCTTGGTGATGTTTTTGTGACCATAAATTGTTACATCGTAAGAACTTAACTCTTGATTGTATAATCAGCCTATGGTAAAATGGATTTCATTATACATTGTTTTGCTTAAAGTCACAGTTTCCCAAGAACAAACTGATGACAGTGAGGACATACTGTATTCACAGAGTGGGACGACCATCACCATAATCAATTTCAGGACATTTTCAAGGGACATCACCAAGACAGAATTTGTAGACCAAACGAAGCTAAATACTCTTTGATATAGCAAGGAAAAAAACAATAACACATATGGAACTTGTTTCTTACAAAAGATGGTATACATTGAAGATATAAAGGGGCTAAGGGGAACATTAAAAGATCATGGAGGAAAAAATCATAACCCCCTTTATCCCCCCAAATTAGTTCCTGGGTGTGACTGTCAGATACAGGATATTCTCTAGACTGCTCTCCCCGACGTTGGATCACAAACGCTCAACTCGGGGTAGAAGGTGCAGGTGAATTCTTCAAATTATTTTGAAGTCCACGACTCCATTGAAGTGCTTAACCCTATAGAACGCATAGAAGTCAGGGGTGACAATATTTTCTGTGTGACAGGAACACCTGCTCAGGCAAAATGAATCTAAGAGGCCTCTCTGACTATGTATAGACGAGGCAGCCATCAGATGAACCATTATTTCCAATTACCAGCTGATGGGAGCCACATACGAATCCACGTCCAGAAATGAAAACTCCAAAAACGTTCTGTTTCTAAACCCCAAACCCACTCAGTCTCTCATTAAAATTGCTCATGAAAATTGCTGTGTATTAGCAGCACACAGAGTCATACAAGACTGAAAGTTTCTTTGTGGAGGAAAGAATGTTTTTAGACTAAGAAACTTTTCTCTGTTAAGGCTGCACTAACATGCTAATGATTTCCATCCATGCTTAAATGGTTTCAGGAAGCACACACACAGTAGTATGTAAGATCAGCGTGACAGAGGAAACTCGCAGATCGAGCTTGCAAAAGTGTCTTAGAAAGGAAACAGCTTAATATAATAATGGGAGTTACCACTTCCTGTATTAGGAAAATAAAAGCAACAGCAACATTCATCTGAATGAATGCAAAACTACTTAGCAAAACAAATTTCACAGACACAAGGCCAGCAGCCAGTTCTAATAACCTAAATTTAATGTTTAACTTTGACAACTGAGTAGTATCTTCTCTAGCCTTTAATTACGACATCTAATTTTCTTATGCTACTTTCCATTAATTATATTGTATACATATGAAGGTGCCAAGTAATTGTCTATAAAAAAAATAAAAGTGTTCAAAATAGTGGGGCATGTTTAAAAAGTGCTGAATTCAGTTGGGTATGTGTATGTGTGTGTTTATACAATTAGAAGTACATGAAAATAAAAACAGAGGCCACAGTGATGTGTACTGGCCACATAATTCATGGACATTTAGCACATACGTACTCTCTTGCTCTCACCGTACACTTACAAATTTATAAAGACACTATATAAGAAACACTATTACTCTGTAACTAGAGGTAGCCTTGAATTGTACTGTATAAAAAAGTAAAATTAGAGAAAAATAATCACAATCATAAACAAGATAGGTAATATTCTTCTTTAAAAATAAGATAGAAAATTGATAATGACAAGGCACCATACTGTCCTGGAAACAAATGGACTTTGGAGATGGATCACATAGTGCTGTGGCATGGACATGGTCTCCACTCCTTGGAGGTCTTGGTTTACCCATGAGAACAATGGAGGTAATGACGAGTATTCGTCTTGTGATGCTGTGAGGATGAACTGAGAGGGTGCTTCTACACAGTACCAAGCTCATACCAAACACTCAAAACTTGCTTTCTTATCAATGACTTTTAAAGTTCTAAAGGGAATTAGATGTCTTAAGTGCTCCTCCTGTGGCAGGTACTGTGCTCTATGTTTTCTGTATCTCACTTAATCCTCACAAAACCCAGTTAAACCTTGTATTCCTGCTTTCCTGACAGGAAAATGGAGACTTGGAGAGGTGAACTGACTTGCTTCAGGCCTTTCGGCTATTACCAGGTAGAAGCAATATTTGAATCCGGGTCTTAAAAATTCTACAACTAGTTAAGAAATGGTATTAAATACCCCAGCCAGCATGTAGTGACCTTCCCCTTCAATATGAGGCGTTTGGGAGATCGAGAGGACTTCATCCCAAACTCTAAAAGAAGAGCCATACATTCCCAGGTATCTGAAGGACTGACATACAAATCATGCTTTTTTGCCTATAAGCAAACACTTCAAAGTGCTATTTTTAATTGAAAGTTTGCAGCTGTATTTTTTAAAGGTGGCACTTCTGCTTTCTCCTCCTCCCTTCCTGCCCCATGTCCAGAAGTGCCCCTGGGAAGCAGTGCATGGCCCTGCTGGGGAAGGCAGGAGCATCCCAATTCCCAATCTTCTGCACAATGGGCATGCAGGCCCAGGCAAACGACTAGACCTTTCTGAGTTTCTGTGTCCTCATTTGAAACACGGAAAGAAGAACAAGTATATCCAATGTTCCAAGGTTATTTTGAGGGTTAAAGGAAATAGATTCACTTTCTATATGTCAGTGCTGAACCTAGCAGTACTATTAATTACAATCCCAACCTTGGCACACTGTGTGACAAATTCTCCTAGACACTATTTCACCTCACCCTTTGCAGAGCGTTTGGCCCAGACAACCTACCCACACAATAGTAATATTTTTCCCTTTCCCCTCAGGGAGGAGTTAGGGAATGAGAGAGGTGGGGGATGGAGAAGCAACATGCCATTGTGAAGGCTTGAGCTACCAGCTGCCTGGGAGAACCAATGCCAGTCGCCATCAGGCGTGGATGAACAAATGACAAGCCACACTCCGGCTCGTCCCCCTCAGATTTCAGTGGTGGCCTTGGTCAGTCCCTCCACTCCCTCCTTTCTTGGTGACCTGGATGCATCCCAATTTTCTGTTTCCAATGATCTGGCCTGGAGCAGCTTGGGAAAAAAACAGCCTTGCTAAATGCTGTGTAAAGTAATGACAATGAGAGAAAACTTGAAAGCCTAAAAGGATATCCTGGATGCTCGCCATATGTAATTGTCTTGTTGGGACTGGTAACTAAAATAGCATTGCAGGGATATTTACCCAATTTTCATAAAAACTATTATGGCTTTATTTTCAAAGCAAGTAACTACAGAGCCATGTGGCCGGTTGGTAAATGTTCCAGTGATTAACTGAGAAATGTGGAGGTGGGTGGAAGAAGGCTGCGAGGCATATGAATTTGAGAAAAACAAAATTTAGAAAAGGATGTTTTTTGAATTTTCAAAGCTAAAAGCATTCTGGTCTCTAGAATGACGTTCCATCTAACAGTGCTAAGACCTACACCCCAAGAGAGAAAGGAGGAGACATGGGTACATCTGTTTCAATGGTTATTTTTGAACATGTTCAGAGTTACGTTTTCAAATTCAGGTTTCCTTAGCGTTAAAATCTTGGCACAGATCAAGAGCGAGTTGTAAAGCCAAATTGCATTTTTTAGAATTAGCCCTGTTGCAGAGATGGGAGGCCCTACTGCCTTTC
This sequence comes from Homo sapiens, assembly GCF_000001405.40. Taxonomy (NCBI): domain Eukaryota; kingdom Metazoa; phylum Chordata; class Mammalia; order Primates; family Hominidae; genus Homo; species Homo sapiens. The sequence goes on from NC_000007.14 coordinate 8,152,054, forward strand.
CTGCCTGCCGGCCTTCCCAGCCCTCTTCTATCCCTGGTGGGAATTCTGTAAGCCCAGACCAAGGTCTGCAAAGCTGAAGGACAGGTTTGGGAATCGAGCTGCCAGAGTGTCTGTGAAAGCCAGGCAGGGGGTGGGTTGGGTTACCCTGGGGTGAGATCTGGCCAGACCTCCTGTCCCACTGCAATTCATAGCCTCACCTGTGAAACTCACATAAAACTGACAATCTAGGGTGAAATGGAGAGTGAGAAAGTAACATAACCTAGAAACCCCAACAAACTCTCCTGTATTGATGCTTCGCATGGTTGTCTTCTGGATCTACTATAGAATTCATAGTAAGTACATCCCCATTACCAGCACTATGTCATTACTGGAGCCTTTACCGTGGCTGTTATCCTCACCACTGCCACCACCATCGCAACAACCACCACAACCATTACCGTCACCCTTACCACCACCACTACCACTCACCTCTTTCACTACTGCTATTACCATCACCACCTCCACCACCACCACCACCACCACCATCTCCTTCACCACCACTACCCCCAGCACTACCACCATCACCTCTTCCACCACTACCACCATCTCCTCCACCACCACCACCACCACCACCACCATTATCTCCTTCATCACCACTACCCCCACCACTACCACCATCACCTCCTCCACCATCACCACCACCACCACAACCACCATCTCCTTCATCACCACTACCCCCACCACTATCACCATCACCATCACCTCCACCACCACCACCACCATCTCCTTCAACACCACTACCCCCACCACTACCACCATCACCTCCTCCGCCACCATCACCATCACCTCCACCACCACTACCACCATTATCTCCTTCATCACCACTACCCCCACCACTACCACCATCACCTCTTCCACCACTACCATCATCTCCTCCATCACCACTACCACCAGCACCTCCTCTAGCACTGCTGCTGTCATTGCTTTCACCTCCTTTGTCACCACCGCTGCCATCACCAGCATCACCAACACAAACACTGCTACCACTTTCACAACCACTCACGCCTCTCTCACTACCACCACCATGCAGAGCCAGACTTAAAGCTAGGTCTGGCTGGCTCCAGAGATTGTGCTTTTATATACTTTGTTTTATCACAAAACCAGAGGAAATGAAGAACAAAGTCAAAAAACTGGCTTTCCTTCCAAAAACACTGGGAAGAGACATCTCACAGGAATCCACTTTACTACTGGCCATTTTCATTAAATACAGGCACTCTGATCTCCTTAAAAATACAAATGCAGGAGGACAGGCCCCTGGATGAGTATGTCCACTGCTGCGAGGGGCCCAATGCTCACTGCGACACCCAACTCAACCTGCTGCCAGCACGCCAGATAGAGGGAAAATGGTCACTGATATAATATATGTGAGATTTTCCAGGGAAAAGCCACTCTACTTATGAGGTCTTTTTTTTTCCCCCTTGATAATGTCTGCTCGGCATCTGTGGAGAAATGTGAAAGTAAATGACATCCTCGAAAGATGAAGCAAAGACTACCACATCTCAGTGTTGGTAATTTAAGATAGGGTACTGCTCTCCTAACAAGACAGAATTTCATTTAGTATTTTAAAATGCCATAAACTCTTAGTCTAAGTTACTTTCTCTAGAAAAGTGACCATGTTTTCAAGTTCTGGCTAGTAATATTCCATTCCTAGCCCCATGACTCAATAATTTCTACCACGTGAAAGATAGTCCCAGATGATTTAGCATCAATATAAAATAAATATATTAATTACAACTCATGCAGAATATATATATATATATATATATGTAGTAACATTTCAATGAATTGATAAATGTTTGTTGTGTGAAAATACAAGATCAGGGAATTGCTTTTGTCATTGGAAACCACTTAGAAGATAGTTTCTCTGCCTTAAACTTGAGCTGTTATAATTATCAGATTAAAATTTTTTAAATATTAAATTTCAAAGCTAAACTATAAAGTTAAAATGCTACAAAAATCTATTTATTATAAAAAAATTAAAATGATGAAGGAATGTGTCAGTAAAAGTAGAATCAATATAATTATATTAGGCTTGGGTAAAAAAGCAATATTTGTTGTCACATAAAACATTACAACAAAATATCACAACAGTCACTTGGATATTTTTCAAGTATGAAGTGAAGACTCAATTCATCTTTATAATAAAATAACTTTGTAAAAGAATTATAACTCTATTTCTTACAGAAAGGTTCAGTAGAAGTAAAACTTTGTGCTTCTTGGGGCATGAGTTATATCTCTGTAATTCTGTAGCAAAAAACTTGTCCCTCCAAACAGGATGCACCGAGTGTTTAACACATTAATTATCATCCTTCATCAAGCATAAAACTAACAGTCAGGAAATACAGCTGCAATGGCACAATTACCAACACACTCAGAATACACCCTGAAGCAAAGAAAACAAATGGCTTGCTTTTCATTAACAGAGCTTGGCAACCCTCTCTAAAGACAATGTTTTCTTTCCAGTCAGAGTCCCAAAAGGCATTTCAGGGGCTATTTGCTTAGGTAAATCAACAGAATAAATTAATCGTGGAAATATTTACTTAAATTTCAAAATGGCCATTATCAACACAGAGTGCCATTCAGAATAAAATTTTATATATTAAAAGATGACTTGATAAAATACAAATCTTATAAACACAGGACATGTATTAAAAATACTGGTGCAAGAGGGTTGGGAAGTCACACAATATCCTTGTATTTTACTGTGATACATTAAGTATTAATGGCTTTCACCATCATGTTTTGTGGCATACAAAACAATATGCAACATACTTATATCGATCTAATAGTGAGTTGTATCGTAACAGGATTCCATTATATCATATTTGAGTCCACATAAAGAAAAATATTAGGTTGGTGCAAAAGTAATTGTGGTTTTTGACACTAAAAGTAATGGAAAAACCCGTAATTACTTTTGAACCAACCTGATAATTATCTATCAGCTTGAGATTCTAATGTGATATGTCATCATTGAAAGCCTAGATGAAAACCATTCTAGAGAGGTAACAAAAGAACAAAAGTACAGTTTATTTGGTTGGTTTCTGAACATTTATTCTTAATATTACCATAACATCATTATACCCTAACAGATATATTATTACTCCTACTAAGATTATATCACAATTAAACCATGAACTATTACTTAAACCATAATTTAAGGAAGGCTCTGGGGATGTAAAAGCTAACAGATAGTCATCTGCCCAAAATATTTGTAAGTATGTCCTGAACCACTGCTGTCAAACTTTCACTAAATTCTCTGCCCAGAAATGCTCTAACATAATCAGCTTGATCCTCTCTGCAGGATAAACGTCGTAGCAAAAATTAAGGAGCCATATTTTCCTCAGCACAGGAGGCCAGGGATACACATGTGGGTTCTTCCATGCTTGTGGCACAACTTCAATTTCATGAATTCACATTGTACTTTATATGCAACTAACTCATGCCTGAAGTTCTTCTGAATTATACTTGGGGTAGGCATCATTTCATCTTCTAACTGGTTGGTGTATGTAATGTACAGTTGTCTTGTAAAAGACAGATAAGCTTTGAAATGATGTATAAAAGAAAACCCGATGCACATGCATGCCCTAAACCCTAAAAGCCTCTGCTTTATCAAAGAGTAAAATCCATGGGATTTTGCTCAGGCCTGTATAAGAATTGTGAATAGTGTGCATTATACTTTTAACCAATCTGCCTTGGTCAGAATGCCTGCTTCTGAAGGTGCAGTAAATCAGAGATGATGAAGCCCCTACCAACAACGGTAACATTGCCAGTGTGAAGGGGAAGGCTGAGGGCACACTGTGTACAAAACATTTGGCTAGACAAAAGAGGATACATAAGAAATAAAAGCTCCTTCCCCTGAAGTGCTTATAGTTGACAGAGCAAAACAGTGCTCACTGTGAACGCATTCACCATGCAACATGCCAGCTAGTGCCAATCAATGGGCGGGCGGCCAGCTGGGAGAGGATAATGAAGAACAAATTCTTTGGCCAGGTGTCCTGTCTGGAGCCAGGTCAGGTGCAGCACAAGGTGAGTGGACTTTCTTGGGTTCCTCTTGGAACCTTCATTTTAAGGGCCAGGGTCTTAAAGCATTTTTTGGTACTTGTATGTATGCACTGACATTATACACATCTCAGAATCAAAAAAATGGTTTAAAGCAAAAGAAATGCATTTGAATGTTTTAACGTCTTGTCAAGCAAGGTGATGAAACACATACAAATTGCTTGAACGATAAAGAGCAAGGCAAGTTCAAGGTGAACTTTAGCTAGTTCATGCCTCGTTTTCTTCTTGCAAAGACATGACCTGGCAATGAAGTACCCACTGTTCTCTCATCATCCTTAAAATCCTTTTGGAACCAAAATCACTTCTTTATCTCAATATGCATTCATCCTCTGTAACCACTAGAGAGAAAAACACTCCATGTGCAGATCCAATACTGAGAATCAGACACTGTGCACGTATCCCTACTGAGATGAAAAATCATTGAGTTTAATACTGCTTTTTCAATTAGAAAATATTGCTGTAGTCTTACAGAAAAATTCAATTTTATGTTGGATAATACTCTCAGAATAAAATGATACATTTCAGAAGTAAGAGAGGAAAGGAGGACACCTTCTCAAGTGAGGATATTTGAATATAATAATTAAAAGTAACTGAGTTTATGGGACTTGTACAATCTCCCCTTTAGCAATGTCAAACAAGTATTTTAAAGGAGCAGGACCAATCATTAGACTCAAGTTCACCACAATTCATCTCCCAGGAACATGTATCTCAAGGTTCAAGGTTCAATTCGCGCTTTTGGATTGCAGTAGATTCTCATTGTATTGAATCCTGATGCAGTAAAAAAAAAAAAAAAAAAAAAAAAAGAAAGAAAGAAAGAAAGAAAAAGACTCTGCTGGGGGCACAGTTCTCTCTTCAGCATTCTGAGTCCTGGAATAATGATGCTTTCTGCAATGGACTTTGCTTGTGATATAAACAAAACTTTACTTTTCTCAAGATTTTCTAGTGGCCCCTCTAGCTTCCATACCTTTAAAGTAGTAAATTCATATGGTTGATAACCTTTGAAACTCTCATGGATGGCTGCCATAGTGTGAGAAGTTTTCTCCCAAAAATGAAGCAGAGTGGTCTGCAAAGAAAGACAGTAAAGCTATTAATGTTTTGAATGCCCAGTTCTAGTCCTGGTCCCCAGGGAAGTATGACTCTCTGTAGCTTTGAAGATTCTTTAAAGCATGATTCTAACTCATTTCCATGCTTCCCATTATGCCCCCAATTACACTCTGTATTTCAGCCAAACTAAATGCCTCCCTGTTTCCCCAAATGCTGCCTCCCAGAACTCATGCTGCTCCCACCACCTGGGACATTCTCCTCTCCATTCTCTTTTTCTCATCTGATCCATCCTCCAAAACCCAGGGTAAATAATTAACGCTCTACTGTTGCAATCCCTCAGCTGATTCTATTTCTCCCTCTTTAAGCTGTCACTGGCTTTCTTAGAACTTATTTCACTTAGCACACTCTGCTCTGTCCTAGAGGTATAGAAAAATAGACTTCACTATCTCCAGATTCTTCCTAAACTTTGAGCTCTTTGAAGACAAGGAACCTAGTCTTAATTTTTTTTTTTTTTTTTGAGATGGAGTCTTGCTCTGTCGCTCAGGCTGGAGTGCAGTGGTGCGATCTCGGCTCACTTCGCCTCCCAGGTTCAAGCAATTCTCCTGCCTCAGCCTCCCAAGTAGCTGAAACTACAGGCGCCCACCACCATGCCCGACTAATTTTTGTATTTTTTTAGTAGAGACGAGGTTTCACCATGTTGGCCAGGCTGGTCTCGAACTCCTGACCTCAAGTGATCCGCCTGCCTCGGCCTCCCAAAGTGCTAGGATTACAGGTGAGAGCCACTGTGCCCAGCCCTGGTCTTAACTGTTATATTTCCTACAACATCCAGCATTCTGCATCCTGCCCTCAGTTGGTGCTCAGTAGCATTGTTGATGCAGTGTTATCCGGAAGGAACTCAGAGGCTATCAGGGGAAACAAAAACAATGCATTGAATACTGACAACCTGATGAGAAAGATATGCCACGAGATGGACAGACACAACGCTAAGTGAGTTCAGAGGAGGCTTACTGAAAAAGGCGTGACATTCTGTCTCGTACATTAAAAAGAATGGAATTTGGAAAGGCACGGATGGAGGAGAAAGGCACTCCAGGTAGAAGGGACCCCATAAGTAAATGTACAGAAGTGGGAAATTATGGTATATACAGGAAATAACTACTATTTGGTTTGGTTAAACGTAGGGCCCTAGAAGGCAGAGATGTGGGAAGTGAAATTACGGAAAGGCATTCAGAACTTCACAATGGCCAAAGCTTACTTTTAGCTCAAACACCATTTTGATGTTATTTAAACCTTGTGCCATCCTTGGTTCATTGCAACAAACATTATTTTGTTACCTGGTATGTTGCTAGCATGTGAGACAAGAGATTGCATCTGCTCGCTCCAAGAAGATCCACTTTTTGACAAACATCCATCTTCAATTTGTCAAAGTTTTTTTTTGCAAGGCGCACTTGTGTTTGTACCTATGAAAATAAAGAGGAATTTCTGAATCACCCTAACCCTTAAGTAGGTAAAATTTGCAGGTGAAATGAGACCAACAGCAGGCCTTTTCTCTTTCACATATGAAAAGACTTTTGAAAATTCCAGACAAATGGGAAGATGTTACAACATCCATTCTTTACCTCCAAAGGAGCCAAATGAGAGTACTGCATATTATGATTTTATAGCACACTTGTCATCCTAATTCTATTTTTCTTAGTCTAATGTTAAAATCCTTTCTTCTCAAGGCATTCACAAACTGATCATGGTTGGGAGAAGACTGGAGACAAGCAGGGTGGTGAGGAAATCAGCTTTGCTCCATTGTTTTCCTACAGTCTTTAGAAGCTGAGTTCCCTCATACCCTTCACTCAGCTTCCCCTAGTGTTAACATCTTATAGAACATGCTACATTTGTTAAAACAAAGAAATTTACAGTGATACAATCCTATTTACTAACCTACAGACTTTATTTGGATTTCACCAGTTTTCCCACTAATGTCCTTTTTCTGTTCCAGGATCCAATCTAAGATCCCGTCGGAGGGAATTTTGACACAGCCTAAAAAAACTATTCCCATGGATGAAACTTTTTACTACTGAGTAACGTGTACTAGTAATCCTCCATCGATCCTTAAACCATACAGGAATTTGGGGATGGAGTGAACGTCAGGGAAAGATTCAGAAACATCTATTTTACACATTATTTCATAACAAAATAGAAAGTTTTACAACTTGATACGGCTGCATTGAAAATTGTGAGGTCAAGGCCAGGCACAGTGGCTTAAACCTGTAATTTCAACAATTTAGGAGGCTGAGGTGGGTGGATCACTTGATCTCAGGAGTTTGAGACCAGCCTGGGCAAAACGGTGAAACCCCATCTCTACAACAACAAAGGTGTGGGGTTGCACGCCTATAGTCCCAGCTACTGGGGAGGCTAAGGTGGGAGGATCACTTGAGCGTGGGAGGTGGAGGTTGCAGTGAGCCAAGATTGTGCCACTGCACCCCAGCCTGGGTGACAGTGAGAGCCTGTCTCAAAAAAAACAAACAAATAAACATCCAACAACAAAACCAAAAAACAAAACAAAATATGAAGTTAAAATTACACCCTCCTTCAATCTATAGTGTCAACACAGCATATTTTGGCTAGAGAAAACCAGCCAATTTTTCAAAAACCACCTTACTGAGGTATGATTGACATATAAAAAGCTGTACATATTCAGTGTATTCAGTGTGATGAGTTCAAATATTAATTTATCTCAGATCATCGTAAAGTTATAGATACTAGATAGGTTACTGAGAGTTGGAAGTAACACTGATGTATTAATAATTCTTTCATCATAGGATACCAGGAGGGCATGGACCATGTCTACGTTGTTCATCATTATATTGCCTAGCAACCTGGCGCAAAGCAGGTACTGAATACGTATTTGTTGGCTGAATAAAGAAATTTTTCAAGCCATTGCAAAAGGTGAGGTATTTGCATGCATTTTAAAGTATAACCTTTAATGTAGTTTAAGAAGTGATGATTTTATTTTCTAATAAAAATAAATACATAGATCATTTTATATAAAATACATTCATTTTCACCACTAATATGAACATATTCACAATGTATAAAATTATAGGATGTTATATAATAATAACTAAATCTAACAGTGAATACAATTTACTTATCACATGTCAGCATCATTCTATTTTGGCTGCTGTTATTACTGTCTCTTACTGATGAGGATTGCGAGGCTTCATCAAGGCAAGTTACTCATGGGCAGGGCTGGCATTCTAAATTAGCCGGCCTGACTCCAAAGCCATGCTATTCTGCCTCCCGAGCAACTTAGGCTACTCACTGGAAAATCAAGAAGCTCAGAATTATGATTCTACCCAGAAATACAAGTTTTCCCTGAAGGATTCTATGGAATTGGAAAATAATGAGGCAGTACATTGAACACTACACTGATAGAAAGAATTAATACTCTGTATGAATAGAATCTTGTGTCTATAGCTATGTCAAAACTGTCCTAAGACTTCTTCTGTATTCTTGGTCTACAGATCTGGGAAGATCAAAGATCAGTAGCCACCCAGTTCCTTTCAAACTGACCATACCATGAGCTGGACGGTTCTCCACTGCAGAGCAAAGAGCCAGTAGTTTAAATTCCCTGGGAGCTCTGACTATAAAAAGAGTCTAGGATGAGTAAGTGTTAGAGATTTCCTGCCTCCCTTTGAGAGGAATAGGAAGGCAGAAAAAAGAAAACCTAATTTCTGGAGGGGAGAATCGGGGGAGTCTGGAGGGGAAGATGTTCACTGTAGATCCCTGTGTTGGTCATCGGTTGCTCTGGCCAGGAAGGCCGCCTCAGCTGGGGTCCTGAAAGGCATCTGTCTTCAGCCTTTTCCTACAAAGGGGAAGAAAATACACGTGGGAGTCGGAGCTTTCAAGTATGTATTCATTCAACACGTATTTACTGAGTGCCTGGTGTGTGTCAGGACCAACGCTAGGAACTAGGGTGTCTATAAAGCTGTAAAGGAATGAGGTACATAACAGGGAGTCAATAAATATTTATAAATGAATGCACATAGCATAAAGACCCCCTCATCTCTTAAGGAGGACAGACAAGTTAGTCACTATATTATAATAGAATGGGAAAATTAAAAACATAGAACTAAGAGGAACAGAGAGACAGCACAGACAAGGAAATGATTAATGCTGGTGGTGGAACAGAGAGGGGTGGGGTTGTAGGATGATGGCATTAAAGCCTTAACTAATGGCCTCCCTGTATTCTCATTCTTTGCCCTGTAACTCTGTAGTGTTCTCCTACTCTGACTCTGAGCTCGGCCATGTGACTTGCGTTGGTCAATGGGATGTTAACAAATGTAATGAAACTGTAAGCTTGACAAAACAATGCCAGCCTGTTTCCACTTTCTCTCTTGCTTCTTTGAGAGGGCCATCAGAATATGCCTGGGCTGACCAGCTGGAGGGGGGTGAGAAACATATGCATGCAAGAGACGTGAGGAGGAGAGACCAGTTGTCCCAGCAGATCAGTCTTTGACCAGCTGACTCTGAGATATGTGAGGGAGCCCAGCCATTATCAGCAGAGACCCTCCCTGCCCACAGCTGACCACAGACACAAGTGAGCCCACAAAGACGAGAATGGTCCTGCTTACCATAGCCTTGTGTGCAATGAGAAATGCTTATTGTTTTAAGCCATTGAGTGTTATGGTTGCTTATTTCACAGCATTATTGTGGTTATAGACAACTGATATAAACTGTAAGGAAACAGACAATGAAGGCTTCTGAAATGATGGGATATTTGAGGTGGGTCTTAGGCATGACTAGGAGGTACAAAGTAAATATAAGGTATTCGTAAGGCTGGCCTACTTATATGGAACCTCTAGATTTTCTAACGAAATGCGAATTAACTTTTTCTGCAGGGGTGTCAATTTTGCTTTTTCCTTTACGTTAACATAATCAGTTACTCATAGATTCTCTTATATCTTAGGAGAAAACTTATTTCACTTGCTATAACACAAAGCTCATGAATTAGCGTAGTTTGAAATGTACCCTAATTTCATTTTGTTTGAATTTTGTAAGGTAATTTTAGAAACCTAGAAGACAACTTCAACACTTGACCCAATGATTCTGAAAGGCCATATGCTTTGTATGTCAACAATGATTATTAAAATACTTAATGCACTGCTGAGTTTCCAAATGCTGAGCCCTTTCCCTGCCAAACAGGGAGGATGCTACACTGTTGGGCGTTTTGAATACAGCAAAGTTCATTTAATATTTTGTGCTCCATGTCTGCTCTAGAAAACACATTTCCAGCCTGAAGCCTGAGGTTAAAACACCAAGGACATAGCCAAGCATAGGCCACTATCAAGAGTCTAATTTCATATGCCTCCAGATGCACTTAAGTGACAAACGTCTTGATTATTATTCCTCTCAACCCTAGATAAGTTATATTCTATTACATAAATATCTTGAGGAGCTCCTGTGGTTTTGAAGGCCCTTTTAAAATTTTCTTCACTCAAATAAATGTACCCTTTATTTCTTAGTTTTATTTCTGTTACCCCATCTATCTTCTCTTATTCTCCAAGTTGTAGGAAATGGTCATTTATTTATTTAGAGATGGAGTCTCGCTCTGTCACCCAGGCTGGAATGCAGTGGTGCGATCTTGGCTCACTGCAACCGCTGCCTCCTGGGTTCAAGCAATTCTCCTGCCTCGGCCTCCCTAGTAGCTGGGATTACAGGCTTGCGCCACCACGCCTGGCTAATTTTTGTATTTTTAGTAGAGATACGGTTTCACCATGTTGGCCAGGCTGGTCTTGAACTTGTGACCTCAGAAAATCCGCCCGCCTTGGCCTCCCAAAGTGCTAGGATTACAGCTATGAGCCACTGCGCCTAGTCTAATGGCCATGTATTTTAGAGCCTCCTTAGTCTGGGTTCTGTCTTCCTCAGGCCACAGCAATTCAGTTTACCAGAGAAAGGAGCAATGATTTGACTGGCAAAACATCAGAGCCCTTCTCTGTACTTATTCCTTCTAACCTGAAATTCTAACTCTTAGCCCCAAATTGAACAACGCATGGTGAAGCCAAAGCTATTCGTACTTTCAGTTCAATCTGGCTTTTCTATCCAGTGGAAAGGTCTTTATTATTCTACAACCAATAATATGACAGTAGTTTTGCATTTTTCTAAGAGTTTTATTAACCTTATAAAATAAAACAATGATTCTACTCTCATTTTTATATCTTCTTATAGGAGATAGCTCTGGCCTTAAATCCATTCATTCAGCAAATACTTATTGAGTATCTTCTATATGCTGGTAGCAGTCGGCACAAATGGAATCGATAGTACATTGGGTATATTTCAGATCAGCGAAGGTGTAACTATGAACTGAGTGAGGTACTCAGAAGGAAAGTCACATAGTCCCTCAAGAATGATTGACCAAGGAATCTGACCCAGAGGATGTCCTCCGAGGACATGGTGCTCAACCTCTACTCTGAAGGACTAGCATGATTAACTATGCAAGGAGGGAGAGAAGTCCAGTGGAAGGAAAAGTGTGTGCAAGGGTTGTGGGGTGGAGGACAATAAAGCAGGTCCTAGAGCTGAGAGTAGGTCAGTGTAGCTGCGTTGCTCAGAACGAGCAGGAGGGTGGGATGAGATGAGGCAGAGAGGTGAGTTGGGGCACATCCTGGAGCAGCACCTTGTTGGCGTGCTCAGGATTTTAATTTTTATCCTGGAATAGCAGAAAAACACTGGAGGCTTTTAAGCAAGGAAGAGAGAGGATCCTATTTTCAGTTTGAAAGATTACTCACTGCAGTGGGAGATGGACTGAAGGAGAGAGTTGAAGGTAGATAAGAATAGATTTGGGCTGGGCTCAGTGGCTCATGCCTGTAATCCGCACTTTGGGAGCTGAGGTGGGCGGATCACCCGAGGTCAGGAGTTTGAGACCAGCCTGGCCAACATGGTGAAACCCCGTCTCTACTAAAAATACAAAAATTTGATAGTGTGGTGGTACACGCCTGTAATCCTAGCTACTCAGGAGGCTGAGGCAGGAGAATCGCTAGAACTTGGGAGGCAGAGGTAGCAGTGAACTGAGATCGTCGCACTGCACTCCAGCCTGGGCGACCGAGCGAGACTCCGTCTCAAAAAAAAAAAAAAAAAAAAAAAAAAGAATAGATCTGGAGTCAAGAGGAAAGATGTTAGTAGTTTAGATTTGGATAGTGATGCTGGTTATGGAAAATACTGCTCTGATCCAAAAGACACTTAAGAGGCAAAGCAGGCCCTGGTGAGGGGTTGAGTGCTGGGGTGTGGAGGATGACTCCTCTGTACCTGACTACCCCAGACTTAATGTTATTGTCTAGCTTGCCTTTCCACCAGCCAGTTCTACTCACATCAACTTCTCATGGACACCTCAGACCACATCAGAAATCTTGGCCTTCTTCCCCAATCAGCTCTAATACTCCTCCGTCATTAACTGGATCTGTTCACCCCTATTTTCCCCTGAGGCAACATCCTGCATTCAGGGAAAATTTTAAGATCACTGAATATATCAATTACTTCTTTTGGCCTTTAATAAGGTGCCACAGGAGAAAGTCTAAGCCAGCCCATCTGAAGTCACTTCAAAAACAGAAGGTCAGGCTGGGTACAGTGCTGCATACTGGTAATCCCAGTACTTTGGGAGGCTGAGATGGGTGGACTGCTTGAGCCCAGGTGTTCAAGACCAGCCTGGGCAACATGGCAAAACCCTATCTCTACAAAAGATACAAAAATTTGCCAGGCTGGTGGCACCTGCCTGTAGTCCTAGCTACTCAGAGAGTTAAGGTGGGAGGATTGCCTGAGCCCAGGAGGTGGAGGCTGCAGTGAGCTGTGATCATGCCACTGCACTCCAGAAGCAGCCTGGGTGACAGTAAGACCCTGTCTCAAAAACAAACAAACAAACACCCCAAAACAGAAGGTCAGATATTTATTTGGCTTCATTAAAAGAGGATCTTTTCATCCGAGGCTGATGAACCAAGACCTCTCGAGGGCCAAATAACCAAGAATTTTGCTGAATTCCTTTAATTAACACTTCCTTTAATTAACAATTTATGTTACTTCATTTATCATATATGCATCCACTCATGGCAGAAGCAATTTTCATATTTTATTATGCAAAGAAGTATGTGTAAGTGAATGTGTGTGCACCACACATGTGTGTGGGCAGCCAACAGTAGACTTCAGGATCTATTTTTGGTCTCCCCTCAACGATATCCTTACCTCATTGAAAAAATGTTTCTTCTCAGCATTCCCCTTGAAAACCAGAACAAGACAACGATGCCCTCTCTCAGTACTCCTATTCAACATAATATTGGAAGTCCTAGCTTTGAGCCATGAGGCAAGAAAAGAAAGAAAAGGCACCCAAATAGGAAGAGAGGAAGTCAAGCTATCCCTGTTTGCAGATAATAATACTCTATACCCAGAAAGCCCCATCATCTCTTCCCAAAGCTTCTTGATCTGATAAACAACTTCAGCAAAGTCTTAAAATATAAAATCAATTATAAAAAAAATCAGCATTTATATACACCAACAACAACCAAGCTGAAAGCCAAATCAAGAATGCAATCCCATTCACAATAGCCACAAAAGGAATAAAACACTTAGGAATACAGCTATCCAGGAAGGTGCAAAATTTCTACAGTGAGAATTACAAAACACTGCTCAGTGAAATCAGAGATGACACAGATGGAAAAATATTCCATGCTCATGGATAGGAAGAATCAATATTGTTGAAATGTCCATACTGCCCAAAGCAATCACAGGTTCAATGCTATTCCTATAAAACTACCAATGCCATTCGTTACAGAAGTAGAAAGATCTATTTTAAAATTTCATATAGAACCAAAAAAAGAGCCTAAATAGCCAACGTAGTCCTAAGCAAAACGAACAAAGCAGTAGGTATCACATGACCTGACTTCAAACTATACTACAAGGCTACAGTAACCAAAACAGCATATTGGTGTTATTAATTACCAGTAAAACGTAATTATTAATAATGGCCTATCATGAAAAGAACCTTCAATTTACTTCTTAGGGCTAGATTTCTCTGTGGGCCTATATGCACATAAGGCAAAAGCATGGAACGGGTACAAAAACAGACACGTAGACCAGTGGAGCAGAATAGAGAGCCCAGAAATAATGCCACACACCTACAACCATGTGATCTTCAACAAAGTCGACAAAAACAAGTAATGGAGAAAGGACTCCATATTCAATAAATGGTGCTGGGATAACTGCTAGGCATATGCAGAAGACTGAAACTGGACTCTTTCCTTACACCATACAAAAATATCAACTCAAGATGAATTAAAGACTTAAATGAAAAAACTAAAACTATGAAAACATTGAAAGATAACCTGGGACAAACCATTCTGGACTAGGACCTAACAAAGATTTCATGACGAAAATGCCAAAAGCAATTTAACAAAAGCAAAAATTGGCAAATGGGACCAAAGTAAACTAAAGAGCTTCTGTACAGCAAAAGAAACTATCAACAGAGAAAAAAGACAACTTACAGAATGGGAGAAAATATTTGCAAACTATGTATCTGGCAAGGGTCTAATATCCAGAATCTATAAGTAACTTAAATTTACAAGCAAAAAACAAACCACTTGATTAAAAAACAGGCCAAAACCATAAACAGACACTATTCAAAAGAAGACATGGCCAAGAAGCATATGAAAAGAATGCTCAACATCACTAATCATAGAGAAATGAAATCAAAACTACAGTAAGATATATCTCACACTAGTCAGAATGGCTATTAAAAAGTCAAAAAATGACATGCTGGTGAGGCTGCAGAAAAAAGGAATGTGTATATACTGCTGGTGGGAATGTAAATTAGTCAGCCTTTGGGAACAGCAGTTTGGTGAGTTCTCAAAGAACTTAAAAAGGAATTACCATTTGACCCAACAATCCCATTATTGGGAATATATCCAAAGGAATGTAAATCATTCTACCATAAAGACACATGCACACATGTGCTCATCATAGCACTATTCATAATAGCAAAGATATGGAATCAACCTAAACACCCACCAGTGGTAGAGTGGATAAGGAAAATGCGGTACATATGCACCATAGCATACTACACAGCCATAAAAAGAAATGAGATCATGTCCTCTGCAGCAACATGGATGCAGATGGAGGTCATTATCCTAAGTGAACTAACACAGGAACAGAAAAACAAATACTGCATGTTCTCACCTAGAGTAGAAGCTAAATATTGAGTACATATAGACACAAAGAAGGGAACAACAGACACCAACGCCTACTTGCGGGTAGGTGGAGGGTGGGAAGAGGGTGAGGATAAAAAAACTGCCTATCAGCTACTATGCTTATTTCCTAAGTGACAAAATAATCTGTACACCAAACCCCCCGGCATGTAATTTACCTAAATAACAAACCTGCACCTGTACCCCTGAACCTAAAATAAATGTTAAAAAAAAGCATTATTAAACAAACAAAACAATTTTCTTCTCTTTACTTTAATAACGTGGTTTAAATGGGGGGTGGCAAGCCTTTTTATAGGCCAAATTCCACTGACTAGACCAGGGATGGACATCTTTACCCAAGTTGAATTAATCATAATGCACTGTGGTTGGCTAATTCAGTGAACGGCACCTGATCAAAGCTGGGTGAATCAGAGCCCTTCCTTAGGATTTCTGAACCTGGAGCTAGAGTGAAAAAGTCTCCTTCCTTCTCTGTTGGCTAAAGCATTAGGGGCAGACAATCTTGCCATTTAAATTTCTTGTGGTGTAAGGAACATTGGTCTGAGAGAACAAAGGTGGCCTACAAAGAAAAACAGGGGGGAGAGAGCAGAGAGAGAAAAAGAGGGAGAGAGAGAGAGAGAGACGGAGAGACTGAGAGACCTAGTAGCACTAAAGTTTCTGGATCCAGTTGCTTTTCCTATGGTCACATGGGATTTCTAATTAACTCCTCTGCTTGCCTCAATGAATCAAGAGGAATTTCTGTTTTGTGGAATCCGGATAGCACAGACACAGGCTGCTTACTTTTGCCTGCTTAGCAATTCATATGAAAGGATCTAAGAAGTTTCATGATAAAGGTTTCTTTTTAACTTTGATTACTCCAGTGTTTCCAAAATTTATTTTAGAAACACAGAACCCTTTCCATTTATCAGATACCACCTATTACATGCCATAACATTTGTTTGGGAAATCCCTATTTTACAGAAGAGGAAATCGAGACCCAGATACTCATCTGACAAATAAATATCAGATCCAGACTCAGGTGTATTTGGTTGTATAATCCATGCTCTTTAAACCATGGGACACAGGGTCACAAATCTACCACCATTGACCACGTGACTGACAGTATTCTGAGATGTGCACAAAATGTTTAGATACCATCTCAAGAACCCCTGGTCAACAATGTTGATCTTATCAGTTTCAAAGTAGGCATAGGGAAACTTCAAGCCACATAGCCTGAACAGAGCTTCTATTATCAGAAATCTTGCTAAGTTTCTTTAGCTCAGGCTTCTCAACGCAGTAGAAAGAAATTAGCCCATCAAATTCCCTCAAGTGCACTGTGGTCAGTGGATTCCCTGTTTTTAGGGGAAAAGTATGCAGAGAGGGTATCTGTTTATTGTGCACCTTGGAGATGATGCCTCTATTTCCTTCATTATCATATCATCATCTTCATCATCATTACTTTTAAGCAGCTTTGTTGAGCTACAATTTAATTTCAGATGTGCAATTCTATGAATTTTTGAACAAACGTATATAGTTATGCAACTATGACCACAATCATGATATAAGACATTCTATATTCCTAAAAGTTCCCGTTGTAGTCAATTCCTTCCCTCAAGTCCCAGCTCCTGCCAACTACTAATCTGACTTCTGTCACTATAGATTATATTTGTCTTTCTACAGTTTCATATAAATAGAATTATGCCAAGTAGTCTATAGTCTTTTTTTGTGGCTGGATTCTTTCACTCAGCACAATCCTTTCTGAGATAAGTGTTGTTGCATGTATTAGTAGTGTGTTCTTTTTTATTTCTCAAGTAGTATTTAATTGTATGAATATACTGTTACTTGTACATCAATTTTTTGGCTCTTTTGTTTATTGTTTCCAATTTTTGGTGATTTTGAGTAAAGCTGTTATAAATATTTGAGCAAAAGTCTTTGTGTAAACACATTTTTCATTTCTCTTTGGTAAATGTCTAAGGGCAGGATTGCTAAATCATACAGTAAGTGTGTGCTTAACTTTATAAGACATTGCCAAACCATTTTCCAAAGTAACTGCATCATTTTGTATTCCTACCAGCAATGAATACAAGTTCTATTTGCTCCACATCCTCATTAACATTTGGCATTTTCGGTCTTTTAAATTCAAGCCATTATAGTCATAATTATTGTGATTTTAATTTGCATTTCTCTAATGACTAATGATATTGAACTTCTTTTCATATCTTATTTGCCACATATATTTTTAGTAATGTGTCTATTCAAATCTTTCACCTATTTTAAAAATGGGTTTATCTTTTTATTACTGAATTTTAAGAGTTCTTTATATGTTCTAAATACAAATTCATTATCAGACTAAATTTGAAAACATTTTCTTTAAGTCTGAACTTGCCTTTCATTTTCTTAATAGTGCCTTTTGAAATAAAAACGTTTTAAATTTTGATGAAGTCTGATTTACCAAGTTTTCTTTTATGGTTGTGTGTGTGTGTTTTAATGCCTGAGTGTGTGTGTGTGTGTGTGTGTGTGTTTTAATGCCTGAACAAACCTTCCCCTAATCTAAGGTCTAAAAGACTGTTTTCCTGCACTTTTTCTTCTAGAAATGTAGTATTTTTAGCTATTACATTTAGACTTGAGATCTGATTCAAGTTCACATTTACACATGGTGTGGGACAAAGATGTAGGCTCATTTTGTTTTTCCTCAATACGGATACCCAATAGTCCAAGCACCACTTCTTGAAAAACCGCCTTAACTTGGCTCTTTTGTGTAGGTCTATTTCTGGACTTTCTATTATTCTGATCTATATGTCTGTCCTTATGCCAATACCACACTGTCTCGATTACTGTCACTTTACAGTAAGTCTTGAAATCATGTAGTATAAATCTTACTCTTTTGTTCTTGTTTGAAATTGTTTTGCCCATTCCAGGTACATCACATTTCTATACAAATCTTAGGGTCAGCTTGTCAATTTCTACAAAAAAGCCTTTGGGGGGTTATTAGGACTGCATTGAATCTACAGATTTATTGGAAACAATTGACATCTTAATATCTTCTGACCCAGGAATGCATTCTCTCTCTCCATTTATTGGATTTTTAAATTGTCTTGGCACTTTTTGGGTAGATTTTGGTGCACAGGTCTTGCATATATTTTGTTAAATTTATTGTTAAACATTTCATATTTTGATGCTATTATAATTTCTAAAAAATTCAATTGCTAATTGTTCATTACTAGAAATATAATTAATTTTTATAACTTCAGCTTGTATACTGTGACCTTGCAAAATTCAACGATTAGCTTTAAAAGTTCTTTTGGAGATTCCTTAGAATTTTCCATAAAAATTCATGTGGATACATCTATGTACACATGCTGTCCAAGAATGAAGACAGCTTTACTTCTGTTTTAATTTATATGTCTTTTATTTTTCTTGCCTTATTATATTGGCTATGTTAATGTTGAACAGAAGTTTATGTGAGAAAGCATATTTATTTTGTTCCTGATCTTAGGAGGAAACATCAATTCACATATTTAAAGTGTACAATTAAATCATTTTCAGTATATTCCCAGAGCTGTGTAATCATCACCAAATCAATTTTGGCACATTTTTATCAATCCAAAAAGAAACCCCATCATCATTTCCTTTTGCTAATATTTTGATAATAATTTTTCTTGTCTATGTTCATGAAGGACATTAGCTTGTAGTTTGCTTTTCTTATAATATCTTTTTCTGGTTTTGCTATTAGGGTAACTCTGCCCTCATAAAATGAACTGGGAAGTGTTCACTCCTCTTTCATTTTTTTGGAAGAGTTTATGTAAAGTTGATATTATTTCTTCCGTATATGTTTGGCACATTTTATGAGTGAAGCCATATAGAACTGAGGTTTCCTTTGTAGAAAGATTTTTAACTACAAATATGATTTATTCATAGATATAGGGCTACCATGTTATTTATTTCTATTTGAGTGAATTTTGGTAGCTTGTCTTTAAAGGGATTTGTCCATTTCACTGAGTTATCAAATTTGTTGGCTTAAAGTTGTTCATAATATTTATTATTCTTTTAGTGCCTGTACTGTCTATAGTAATGTCCTCCTTAATTCTAAGTATTAATGATTTATGTCTTCTTTCTTTTGTTTCTGACCAATCTGACTATAGGTTATCAATGTTATTGATCTTTTCAAAAGGCCAGCTTTTGATTTCTCTATTGTTTTCTGTTTATGGTTTCATTTGCCCCTGCTCTTAATTACTGTCTTCTGTGTACTTAGGTTTAATTTGTTCTTTTTTCCTAGTTTCTTAAGATAAAAATTTATATTATTGATTTGAGAACTTCCTTATTTTCTAATAATTAATGGTTTTAATTTCCCTCTAAACATTGCTTTAGCTGTATCCCACACATTTTGATATGTTGTGTTCTGATTTCAATTATTTCAAAATATATCCTGATTTCCCTCGTGACATCTTCTTTAATCCACAAGTTATTTGGATAAATATTGTTGAATTTCCAATTATTCAGGGGATATTACAGATATATATTTGTTACTGATTTCTAGTTTAATTCTGTCATAACTAGATTACTTTGCATAATTTTGATTTTTAAAAATTTATTCAGACCTGTTTTATAAACCTAAACACAGTCTATCTTGGTGAATGTTTCATGTGCACTTGAAAAGAACATATACTGTGATGTTGAATGGAACATTCTGTAAATGTCAATGAAGTCAAGGTAGCTGACAGTCTTCTATATCCTTATTGATTTCTGTCTATTTCTTCCATTAATTACTGAAAGATGAGTGTTGAAATCTTCAACTATTATTGTAGACTTGTCTATTTTTCCTTTAAGTTCTTATTCTATTTTTATATTCTATTATCAGTTGTAGACAACATTGGGATTGTTATATCCTTTTTATAAATTGACCCTATTATCTTCAATAAATATCCTTATTTCTGGTAATAGTCCTTGTGCTGAAGTATGTTTTTGTCTGATATGAATAAAGCCACTTCAGATTTCTTTTGATTAGAATTTGCAGGCTATATATTAATCTATCCTTTTGTTTTGAATAAATCTGTTTCTTTACATTTAAGGTGTGTGCTATGGACAGCATAGAGCTAGATCTTGCTTTTGAAAAAATCCAATCTATAACTCACTTTACTCCATTTATATCTATAGAGATGACTATGAGACTTACAAAATATAACAAGAATAAATAGGGTTGGTCTGGTGTTAGATTTAAAATAAACTCATTCTGCTTTGAAATAATCACATGTTTTTTCTAAGTTGCTTATAAACCATCTAGAAGTGATCAGTTCTAGATTTGGTTAAGAACACAGTTTAATTTAGTACATTCAATTTTCAAGTTTTAAAATTCTCTTTTAAAAATAGGACAATATTTTCTTGTTACGCAATTTCTGGCACCTCTGATTTCTCAAATGTCACTGGCAGTATTACTGTGCTTGCATACATGAGTTCTTTCTGAGACATAATTCATCTTAGTCTGGTGACTAAATGTATTTAAATATAACTAGCACACATTTGCTCCTTTCATAGATTGAGCTTCAATTTTTCCCTAAAATCTTTCTATCATTTCCAGTTTAAATATCACTGACAACGGAGGTGAAAGTAAAATAGGGGCTTAGTTGCTTTGCTTTCTTTGCTTTCCCTATTAAGATTTAATCATTTAAAATGCATTTTCTGGCTCTGTTCACTGTAAAGGTCTACAAGTAACGGCTAACTTAGAAGCAATGAGGTCACGGCCTCTGACTATCATGTCCCCTCTCTAAGTAACCAGGGCTCCTTGACAAAACTGCTGATTCCAGGACTAGGGAAGGAAATACATAAGATGATTCTGAAATATTCGGTTGTACCAGAAAGCAAAGAAGGCTATTACTGGGGTCAAAAGGACTCAGGAGTCAACCTAAGAGACTCCCACTAGCCAAAAATGAGACATTGTGAGCATCAATGAAGTTAATATTGGCAACGATTAAAACACATCAAATATATCCAAATCTATGAGTTCATAATAATACTTAAAAACAAGCAAATGAACAAATCAACAGAAAAACAAACAAACAAAACCCTCACTGGGCACCTGTAGAGAATGCTAATGAACCAATTCAATATTTTGACAAAGAAAAAGAAACAAACATTTATCCTGCATATCCTATCAAACTGTCTGTGCTTCAGGACGACCGGATAATTGACAAGGGAGTTATTCATTGCTGAAGCATTCCAACTAATAAATGAAGAAGGAATATAATCTGTTTCCAGTAGCAGGCCTGTCTTTCCAAGGTACTATTTCATGCTCACAACAGCCTTGTTGTTATTAAGATGTTTCATAAACCTCAGGCCATTCCAGGTTTTAATTTTCCTGACACCATTACTTACTTCTTAATTCCTTTCTTCCCTCTCTTCCTCCTCCCAAGCAATATAATTGAACACCTATAGCTCTCGGTGCTGGAGATAAGCAGAGAATAAAGCAAAGTCTTTGCTTTCATGATGGTTATGTTGTAGTGGGTGAAACTGGACAATAAATAACAAAAGTAAACATATTGTCTGTTGGTGAAAATAAAGCATTGTAAGAAAGATATGAGTGCAGGGTTTGGAGGGGTAGTAGAGGATTCTGTTTCATATGGAATAGTCTTGGAAAGACTTTCTGAGAAGGTGATATTGGAGCAGAGACCTGGAGGAAATGAGGAAGCAAACCATACCGATCTCAGGGGGAAGAAGACTCAGCAGAAAGAAGAGTGAGCACAAAGGCCCTGGGAATGGAGTATGCGTGGCTTGTTCTAGGAAATGTGGTCAGTCTCTTTAATTATGTATTTCTTTTCCCGTCTGTTTTACATGTTTTGTAAGTTCATCAACAAATAGAGAACATGATCTTTCCTCTTAATCTGACTTAATGGGTGATTGAAAAACTGACTTTTGAAAAGGTACCTATGACAATATAAATAGTTGTAGTAATAAGCAGCCACAGAAAACTCATTTATATATACATTTTTTCTGTATGCTTTTATAACGAACCTAGTGCACTAGAAATGAATGAGCTTTAAATGTGCATATAAAGTTGCCCCCCACATTATAGTGTGAGAATTTCCCCCAAGATGGCAAGAAAAAAAATGAAAGCTGGGCGTGGTGGTTCACGCCTGTAATCCCAGCACTTTGGGAGTCTGAGGCAGGTGGGTCGCTTGAGCTCAGGAGTTTCAGACCAGCTTGGGCAACGTGGCAAAACCGGGTTTCTACAAAAAAATAAAAAAATCAGCTGGGTGTGGTGGTGAGCACTTATAGTCCCAGCTACTCAGGAGGCTGAGGCGGGAGGATCACTTGCACTGTGCTCCAGCCTGGGTGACACAGCCAGACTGTATCTCAAAAAAAAAAAAAAAAAAAAAAAACAGAGAGAGAGACAAATGAGACAATTCATACTCTTTAATGCGGGAAACACAAACACGTCCACTCTTGGCAGCATCATTCTACCATTGCGCTGAAGAGAATTACACCTGAATAGTAGGGGAAAGAAACCGAAGAATGAGTGAGAAAGACTTTAAACCAAGGCCAGGGAGAAATACACGTTCCACTGCTAAGAGAAAGAGAGGAATGGGTGGTTAAACAGGGCCTTGGAGACAAAAATTCCACCATCTGGAGGGCAAAAGAGAGAAAGGATCATCTCATGTGCTTGTCAGGTTCAGCACTTGAGGTAAGGAAAACGAGGTGGGGCTGAGTGAGAGGTTGAAAAGAATGTGGGGGATAAAGCGGGGAGGGGCACAGAGTGGGCTGGCCAAGCTGATGCTTAACCTTGCTCAAGGAGGGAGCAGGGTAGAGAGATTTCAGGGACAGGGAAGTTGAAGTCAATAAAGAAGCAAAAGGAGAGGAAAAAGAGGGAAGAATCTGTATGTTTAATGCTGTGGCTAAGACGGTTAATCATCAGTATTTTGCCAAAAACAAGGAAGATGTGGTTGTCATTTTACTTCATTTCCTCCTAAACATTCATTTTAAACTCCAACAATTCAGTGATAATAAATAAGCAGTGACAACATTAGGTTTTCCAGCTACATCTCTGCTGAATTTATAGGAGTTTAAATTGAATCATCCAGATAATACTCCCTTCGCATGCATGAAAACTGTTTAAGATAAGGGTTTTTTTCTTTATATCCACCTGAATAAACCACACATGCAGCTGACACAATTTCAACTGATTTATAAAAACATGGCATGCAACCTTCATTCAGATACTCATTTTCAGATAATAGTGGAAAAGCCACCAAACTTTTTCCCTACTTGCTCTTCAGAAGTTCAGGTTTATACATGTTCTGATAACAAAACAAAAATCAAACGGGGATTATGGGTTCAAAAGCCACCTAGAAAAACAGAGCACACCAATGCCTCATGGTCATTTTCTAGGAATATATCAAATGTTGTACTGGATCAAAATCTCAAAATAATTATCTCAACGATGATTCAGGAGAATTGGGCACTCCTAGCATAATCCACTTTTCGGAGTTTCCAAGGAAGAGAGCTGTGATTCTCCCTTGTTTATCCCCCGCTCCTGCCTCGTCAGTCTTTGGTTCCATGGACGGCAAAGGGGAGAAAAAGGAAGTGAACACTTATGGAGGGCCTCCTGTTTTACAACTGTTTCATTCTGCAACTCCCCTCATTTTACAGAGGAGAAAGCTTAGGTACAAAGTACCGTTCCTAAAAGCAAACAGCCAGTGTGTAGAAATGCCAGGACTGGGGTTGGATGTTGTCTCCTCTTGTACGAAACACAAACTTTGCACCCAGGCCCTGCCTGCCTGCCTTAGTCCAGAGGTCTCCTTTCCCATGTTACCTTCCAGGCACCTTATCCTTCATGCATGCTGAGCTACAGCAGGCCAATCCCATCCACGTGCTTCTGTACTGCCTCTGCCTGGAAAGCCCTCTTCCTTTTGGTCCACATGGTTAATTCTCACTCATCTTTTAAGTTTCCGCTTAAGGGTTTGCTCCTCTGAGAACCTTTTCCTGTAATGCCCCTCAGCAGAGTTAGCAGCTTCCTCCTCTCTGCAGTCAGTGCACTTTGCAGACGCCCTTATGAGACAAAACCGTGGTAAGTGCCACCTGATCCTGTGTGTGCTCAGCTACCCTCCAGACTCTAAGCTGCACGAAGGGGGAAACCACAGCACTCAATTTTCTAAGGCTAAGGCTTTGTGCCTCGTGGGCAGCAGGCATGCACAACAATGAGTAAATGAAGAGACGATAGCAGAATGAGTGAACAAATCACTCCTCAGGCCTTGCTTTTCCCACTACATAGTACTGCTCTTCAACAGGGCACAACATGCTCTGTTTGCTGAATTACTGCTCAGGCTTTCTCAGATACCATCCCTCGTCCTTACCACCACCACCACCACTTACTGATTAGATGTCATACATACATGCACATATTCTCATTTGACTTTCACAATGTACCTACAACATAATTGTGGTACTGTATTTCTATTTCACAAAGAAGGAAAGCAGGTTTCGGAAACATTAAGCACTCAACTGGCAGGGGTGGAGCCAGGATGTGAAAGCCCCTGCTCATTTCACTAAACCACTTTACCTCCTCAATTACACCAAATCTCCGAACAGCGAGATTAACTTTATATTACCCAAAATGGAGTGTCAGCACTTCGTCTACTACTCTCTTTCCTTATCACTTTGTTAATTTATTACATGAAAATATTCTAATGCATACAAAATTTGATTTTTGGCTTCTTATTTTAAAATACAAACTATTACCCACTATGTAATTACATCCGTTGATGTATGATCACAGAGAAAAAGGTCTTCTATTTTCGAGCCCATGGCAAGTCAAATACAGTCAAAATTATTCACAATCGTGTAGTTTATAATATGTAGATACATTTCAGGTTAATTTGGTCAGTTTTTACATTGTTCCAACATTCTTAATGTTTGCTCAGCTGGTGAATTTTTTTTTTCTGTTTTCTGTTTTTAACTTAAGGAAGCAATTCTGTCATCAGAAAACAGCTAACTGGGTTCACTTCCTCTTTCAGGTCATTAGTGGAAGCATTAGGTCACAAGACTGAGCCCAGGGCACCCTTTTATCAATTTCTCTCTAATCTGAGAAGCACATATTTCAGCAGAAATTCTTCAGTAAAGGTCTACAATATTTTTATCCCATTGGTATTTCCTTTATTTTTTATTACTTTTATTTTTATTAATCTTTCTTTTGATCTATGTGCTATGTGAAAAGCTGAAGAATTTGCTTCTGTCTCTTGGCTGCCTAAGCTAAACCTACTTGTATTTTATAGTACAGTATAGTTTTATTATGCTTATTGATGGCCAGTCACTGTAAGTAAACACAACTCACATCCACAAATCAACCAATAAATTAACAGGTGAACTGAATTGCAGAAAGTAATTCTGTTAGGGAGATAGTATTTATTCACTCTATAGTGGGTCCTGAATAGAGTGAATGGGGAAAAAGATCAGGTCCTTCCCTTTATGGATCCATTATGCTGTCACTGAATACCAAAGTGTGGTTGATATCGGTGTTCAGAAGCATCTCAAAAGACTGATGCATTAACAGCACTTTCAGCAGTTCCCAGACATCCAGGGTAAATGCAAACTCTGGAATGTGAGCACAGGACCTTCATGATCTGGCCCTGGCCCACTTCTCTACCTCCATCTTTGGCTTCTTTCACATTCTTTTCTCTAGCAAAACTAAACTATCTACAATCTTCCAGCTCATCAAGCAGTTTCATCTTTGTAAGTTCCTTCCTTTTGTAAGTTCCCAGTGTTCATCCCCTTCCATGTTGTTCCCATTGGTGTCACGTTGTTTCTCCTTCACTGGCCCTTCAAAATTCAGCTTGTGCCATACCTTCTAGGAAGCACATATCTTGATTCCCAAAGTCTGATCTTAGATGCTCCACTTTCAGGCTCTGAAAGCAGTTCGTTATATACCTCTATTACCTCACAAGACACTTATCACATTGAATGGTCACTGTATTTTAATTGACTGTTTTCTACATTCCTCAGGGAGGGTATGGCAGAAACCATATCTTGATTTTGTTGCCCCAGTACTGATAGTAGGTGCTAAAAATGCTAGTCAAATAATTTTTAACCTGCTGCACAGAAATATACATCATCTTGTGCTTTGGGTCTGTAGCTTCTATTTTTATAGTCTGATGACTAACATTCTGTCACTTGGTGTGGTCTTTTTTTTTTTTTTTTAAAAAAGAAGACATTGCTGCAGTAATTGTGTGCCAAGAAGGAAGCTTGTCCAGCTGCTTCAATTTCCCATTAGTCTAAATCTTTAAAACATTTTCTGTGTTAAGATTTTATATATTGCTGTACCATTTATTTGCTCCTTCCTGCTGGAAATTACCTTATTCTAATTTGCTCTGCTCTGGAAAATGTGGATCCTGGGTTCTTTGTACACACCTGATCCAGTAACGCTTGGTGTCAGTGATGGCTCCTTTTGTCATCATAGGCCTGACAGCATTTCAGCGTTTTAGCATGATGACCAGGTGCTCTTATGGTGGAATCTGCTAGCTTTCCACCCAAATCCATCTGCCCTTCTATATTTTTCAGACTCCTCTGAAAATGGTTGTCGCTATGGACAAAGTTCTCTACAATGGAATCTGAGCAGAAGTAAACTGCATCACTTCCAGGCTTGTCCATAAAACTCTTCCATACAGGCTCCTGTATGTGCTTTCTCTTTTTGGGATGACTGAGATGTCCACATCCAGGCAACACTGAAAGGCAAGTTTTAAGGACTGCAAAGCTGTTGTCACCCGAGTCTCTAAATGACTTCTTAGAGGACAGCCACCCCACCAACCTGGACGCCTGGCTGGGAACACAAAAGAAAAACTTCTATTGATTTAAGTCATAGACTTGTGGGTGTCTCTGTCCCATAACCTAGCCTAGCCTATCCTACCCAGTGTGGGGAAGGCTTTAAGAAGAGGCTAAATGACTTAGGATTCTAGCTATAATGTTGGAAGTGGGTTGAAGTCTAACAATCCCATAGACAACTGACAGTGATCCAAAGATTTATTATTTCCATTACTAGTTTGACCATCAACAAGAATGTCATCAACAGCATCGGATGATTACTAAAGTGTTCAGAAATTCTCAAAATTCGTTTTCATACCATTTCACGCATTTGTAAAGAAATGTTGTATAACAACTATCGAACGGTTTTGCGGTGTTGCTAAATGTGGTGGGATGAATCTGAAAACTGCTAGAAAATTCTTCAGTGTTTTCTTTTAGCATAATTATTAGAACTAAGAAGTCCCAGATGACTCTCTGGTGAACTTCTGGTGCTCTTAGCCTTTTGTTCTAGTTCCCCAAACGAGTTTCCAAATACTAAATATACTTTCCTGAGGAAGGGAGAACTTTTTTTTTTCCCACATTTTTACAGAAAGAGTTCTCCGAATATTTAGGGCTGGGAGATATATGTATGAAATGGTAAAGAACTTAAAAAGTTGGATATGTAAACAACAGAGATACTCCTGATTATATGGTCCTTTTCTTTCTAAAGGGCTTCTAAGTAACCATGTTGCTAAAACTCACTTTATTCTATGCTTTTTTTCATGTAAGCTCTACGACTCTATTCCCCCGTTCCTCTTCTCAAACTCCTTATTATCAGCTGCTTAGATTTTGTTGTTGTTGTTGTTAAGGTCTAGCTTACACTGAAGTGCAAAATATACAGTTTTTTTTGCTCCATACACTTTTAAATATGTATATACCCACATTAACCACCACCCAGAAAAACATACCAAACATTTTCAGCACTCCAGAAGACTCCCTTGTATTCTATCCCCAGTCAATACCTCCTCAAAAAGATAACCAATATTCTGATCTCTATCACCATGAATTAGTTTTGTCTAATGTTAAACATTATATAAATGAAGTCATATATATATTGTGATATCTAGTTTCTTTCATTCAACATCACACCCATGACAGTCATCCATAGTACTGCAATATAGTAACAGTTCGTTCTTTTTCATTACTGTATGGTATCCTATTGAATGAATGGTACCACAATTAATTTATCCTTTCTACTATTCATGGACATTTGGTTTACTTTCACGTTGCAGCTATTATGAAAATACTGCCGTGAACATTCTTGTGAATGTTTTACATGAACATTCATTCTCCTTGAGTATATGCCTTAAAGTATACGAGTTTTAGTAGACAATGTCAGTTTCCCAAAGTGGTTCTACCAGTTTACACTCCGACTATCAGTGCATGATAGTTCCTGTTCCTTCACATTCTCATTCCTTTGATACTGTCAGTCCTTTAAATTTTAGCCATTGGGTGGGTTTTATTTACTATTTCCCTGATGATTGATAGTGTAAGTACCTCTACAGGTGTACATGAAACCATGTTGGCAATTTTGATATTTCCTTTTGTCAAGTATCTGCTCAAATGCTTTGTCCATTTTTTCACGAGGTGGCGGCCAGTCTCTCTCTCTTTTTTTTTTTTTGAGTTGTAGAACTTCTTTAGATGTTCTGGATACAAGTCCCTTGTTGGATACACATGTAACAAATATCTTCTCCCTCTCTGCAGTTTGTCCTTATCTTTTCTAAATGGTGTTTTTTAATGAAAAGATTGAATTTTCATAAAACATAATTTATTATTTTCTTTTATGGTGGTGCAGTTTGCATCCTGTTAAGAACTCTTTATCTGTTCTAAGGTCATTGAGATATTTACCTATGTTTTGTTTTAAAAGAGTTATTGTTCTGTCTTTGGACTTTTAAGTCTATGATCCAGCCCTAGTTAATTTTTGTGTATGATATGAAATAGGGGTCGGGTTCCTGGTATTCTGTATAGATATCCAACTGATCCAGCGTAATTTTCTAAAAAGACCATTATTTTCTCCAATGAATTACAGTAATGCTGTTAACATAAATCAAGTGACCTTATATGTGTGGGATTATTTATGAACTATGTAGTCTGTTCCATCGATCTACTGGATCATTCTTTAGCCAATGCCACACTGCCTTAATTAGTTTAGCTTTATAATCAGCCTTAATATCTGTAAATGTAAGTCCTCTATCTTTGTTCTTACTTTTAAAGATTATCCTGGCTATTCTATGCCCTTTGTATTTCTATATAAGTTTATAGTCATCTTTACTACTTACTAGCAGGATTTTGAATGGTGTTGCATTTAATCTGTAGGTCAATTTGAAGGGTACTGACCTCTTAACAAAAGGAAGTCTTCTAATTCATAAATATGGTACATTCCTCTCTTTTCTTAAACCTGCTTTAATTTTCCTAAGCAATGTTTTGCAGTTTTAGTATAGAAGTCTCACATGTCTGTGATAAGATGTATTTTTAGGTATTTGCCATTTTCAGTTTTTAAACGTGGCTCAGAAAATAAGCCAGTGCTTAATTAAGAAATGTGAGGCATGAATAGTATTCACATCACCTTTCTTAAGAGGTCAAAGGAACATAATCCAAATGCAAAATGAATACATAAATATAGTTAAAACTATCCAGGAGATTATCTGAGTGTTCCAGTCTTCTTACTTCCTATGAGCTGAATGTATCTGAGCATACGTTATTACTGGAGCAATGTTCTTTGAACCTGCTCCTTTATGATCTAATTAAAGCTAATGGTAGTTACTTGCAAAGCTTATGGAAGAAAAACTCAATGCTCCAGTCAATTCCTTTCATTTCCTTGACTATGCCATTTCTTCCCTCTCCCACTTCTGGGCTTTCACATATCCTACAACTCTGCCAGAAACACTCTTACCCTTTTTTTTCCCTTTTTTCACTTGGCTACTAACTATACACTCTTCAGGCTCAACTTAAATCGTAGAATCTCTGAGAAGCCTATCTGGACCCACTGGACAAAGTTAGTCATCCCTGCTACATTCCCTAACAAGATCCTTTATGTTCTCTTTTCTAGAACTAGACTCCCTGCATTTCAATTGCTTGATTAATGTCTGTCTTTCCTTCTACACTTTGAATTCTAGGAAGGCAGAAGCAGTGAGTGCCTGGTTCACAATTTTATTCTCAGAGCTCTGCATAGTGCCTAACACATTTTAATTGCTCAATAAATACTTGAAGGAATGACTATGAAAGTTGGGCAGAGGAGAAGAACAGGACTCTTCTTCCCTGGAAACAGAAGTCATTAAAGTCATTAAACCAACCATTGGGATGTTCCAAAGTGGAATGAATTAAAGGGACACCCATTATCCCTGGGATCCTAGTAGTTATCTTATGGGTGATATATTTCCTCTAAATTTTTATTGTTGATAAAACATAAAATAAAAAAATTAAAGGGTTATTAAAGAAGGTCATCCTTTCAGAATGACCAGCAGATCTAACACTCAGGATTTATTCTATTTTTAAAAACATTTTGTCTTTTAAAAACTTTATTTTTGTATTGTATGTTACAGCTTTCTATCTATTGACTTTGGTGTTCAATATATTTGTTTTTGCTTTTTTAAAGAAAACCCACTGTCACTGTAAGGTTGGCAGTGTAAATGAGAATCTCCACATGGGGAGATTATATCCTTGGATGATATATCCCTGAAGTTGCTGCCTCCATCACTAGTGTCTGCAGGGCACAGCTTCCCAGTAAAAACATTAGCATGTACAGGGGACATGCAATGACTATTTCCATAGTTTTCCACAACACAATGGTGATCAGGCTAGAATCTCTAACCACAACTTTCCTAAAGACTCCAGAATAACAGACAAGAAATAAACATAAGAGAAGAAAGTTACAACTAAATAGACCGATTTACAAGATTTAGTTTGCTTTTCCAGCTCTTGGTCTCCTATGGGAATGCGGGGGAAGATTAGCTTAGCAACCATCTGACACCTAAACCTACCTGACACTGAAACTTACCTACATGCCTAAAAGTCTTTACTTAAGAAAGTGAAGGTTCTATCTTAACAGTTAAAGATCATTCTGAGGACTTTTTCCCCAGATATTTGTCCCGTTAAAGGCTATTCTAACCCCCGTCTACAGATGTGGTCCTATCGCAAAGCCTGAGCAATGCAGCCACATTGGAATATAATCCAATAAGAGATACACACATACTGATGTGTATATGTTAGAGGGAGATATAGAAGGTTTTTGCAGAGGGGAATACTTTGGGGACAATTATATGCATTCAGTCAACAAAAAATTATTAAAACCCCTGGTAATGTGGTGGAGTAGAAAGGGTATCCAATCTGGGGCTAGAAGACTTGGGCTATGCCTGGATCAGAAGCTTCCTGCCTTTGTAACCCTGAGCAAGTTATTTAACCTTTCTGAATTTCTGCCATTAGATCTGGAAAATAAGCATGAGATAAATAAGAGAGAAAATGTATATGAGAAGCTTTCTTTAAAACTGTAATGCTTAATGCTATTATTATTAGGAGTTGCATGCAAGGCCCTGTGTTTAGCACTATGGAGGTCAATTATGCCTCTCTGTAAGGGCAGTTGAGAGGGTAAATGAGA
Organism: Homo sapiens; assembly: GCF_000001405.40. Taxonomy (NCBI): domain Eukaryota; kingdom Metazoa; phylum Chordata; class Mammalia; order Primates; family Hominidae; genus Homo; species Homo sapiens. Next base: position 8,183,824 of record NC_000007.14, read on the forward strand.
TAAAAACATTCAAAAGCTACAGATAAGGCATGATCTCTACTCTTAAGGAAATTTCAAGTTGTCGGAAAGTTGAGACTTGGGCACAAACAATATATAAAAAACATAGTATTTGAAAAACACCGCAAGAATAAAAAATATAGACTAGCATTTACTACATAAATTTATTGTTCATTGCATGGTATATTATCACTAACATAGAAAGTTACCTATTAGTCTATTAAGATGCTTATCTCACTGATAAAATAAAAAGAGCTAGTTAATTTGCTAGCATCTTCTGCATACAGAAATCAATGGGCTTTTAACTTCCAAAAGCAAGGTCATAATCACTGTGCCTTCTAAATTGGCAAATGTGGTGCCTAGTCAAACAGAAAAGTGCTCAGGTGCATTTTGAAGTGCTTTGCATTTCCTATGGAAAATGCCCCTCTCATTTTGTCTCTGTAGAGTAATATGGAGCCTTACATTATAGATGTACATAATGGTCTGGTGCCATTTCCATGCTCCAAGAGGATTACAGGAAGGGCATGCACACTGCCTTTTGCTCCAGCTGTATCTTTTATCAATAAGACGCAATGTGCTCAACAGTGAAAGGGCTACTGTCTTTACTTTGAAATAACAGCTGAATTCATATCATGGGTCATTTTGTTAAGAGGTGAAACAGTGCGGGGGTTGGAGAGGGGAGGAAATTTGCTCTAACCATGCTCCTCAGGGAATATATCACAATATATAAATCACAAGATAGCTTTCTCTCTTCCTAGGCCACTTAAAAATAATCCCTTTAGAATACACTTAGGTTTGAGAGAATAATTCATACTTGAAATAAAACCTAATGAACTATTGTGGATTAAAAGCCTATTGTATGTTAAATATACATGCAAGAGTATAGAAAAGATATTGGAAGGAGATGGGAGAGATGTGTAAACCATCTTTAACATTATTTTGGACAAAATATTTTTAAGATAGAAAAGAAAAGGCGGGGTGCCGTGGCTTGCACCTGTAATACCAGCACTTTGGGAGGCCAGGGCGGGCAGATCACTTGAGGTCAGGAGTTTGAGACCAGCCTGGCCAACATGGTGAAACCCCATCTTTATTAAAATACAAAAATTAGTTAGGCTTGGTGGCGTGCGCCTATAGTCCTAGCTACTTGGGAGGCTGAGGTGGGAGAATTGTTTGAACCTGGGAGGCGGAGGCTGCAGTGACCTGAGATTGTGCCACTGCACTCCAGCCTGGGCAACAGAGTGAGACTATGTCTCAAAAAAGAAAAAAAAAAAGGAAAAAAGGAAATGAGAGATAAATTTTTAAAATTCTGTCTTTGGTTTAAAAAAACTGAAAAAGTCAGCTCAAATTCAAACTTAAACAATATTATGAAACAGTAAAGATGGCTGTGAAAAATAAAAGTAAATTTTAATCCTGACCTTGTAAGAATTATAAGTGAACACATCAATGTACCTAATGTACAAAATTAGAGCAGACTTATGAAACTTTAAACCAAGTGATAAATTTAAATATATTCATCCAACCATCCATTCACCCATCCATGCATCTGGCCATCCACATCCATCCATCCATCCATCCACCCACCCACCAATCCATTTATTCATCAACGAATGATTATGCTTACTTACGCTCAGTGTACTGTCTGGACCAGCAACATCAGCATCACCTGGGAGCTTGATAGAAATGTAATTCTTGGGCCCTAACTTGGGCCTACGGAATCAGAAACTGGGATGGGGCACATCAATACATTTTACCAAGCCCTCCAGAAGACCCTGCTGCATACTTAATCTTAAGAACCATCTGCCTGGAGTGAAAAGGTTAAGAGCATGCTCTTTGAAGTCAGAGAAATTTGGGCTCGAATGTTTCTATTTAGGCTTACTGCTTCTGTGATCTAGAACAAGGTCATTTGATCCAAGCCTTAATTTCCAAATTAGTAAACAGAGACACAGTATTTCAAAGCTATTGTTAGGATTAAATGAGATAATATATACAGATGGTATCTAAAGTGTATATTGATTATACATACAGTGCTTGGTGCATAGTAAGCACTCAAGAACTGATGTCTGTTATTTTTCCAGGCATGTAGGAGCCTGGGTTAGATGCTACAGGAAACACTTTGTTAATCAGACACAGTTTCTTTCTTCAAGGGTCGTATTCTGAAAGAGGAGCTATACAGCATATAAATAATCATGATACACATTAGGAAGTGTTAGGTGGCAAAAGAGTGGTTGTATAAAGAACCCTGGGAGAGTTTTGAAAGAGTGGAGGAAGTAACATTTGAATGGGCCTTTGAAAAAGGGGAAGCTTGTGGATAGGCACAGATCAAGCGACAGCAATTCAGATGAAAGGAACAGGGGGAGGAGACAGGGAATCCTGGGATACATGGTTTGGCTAATGGGATAACAGCAGGGTGGCCATACAATTTATTGTCCAAACAGGGACGCTCTCTGAGTGAAGAGGGCATCATTAATAGTGAAGCCTGGACAACAAACATAAATGTGGACCATGCCAGACACAGCAATCATCTGGTCACTGTGGAGAATAGGCTGTTGGGAATACAGTATTGGACCTAGGGAAGGAGAGTGGGCTGGGTTTGTGTGGTTCTGAACGACAGGCTGAGGGCTTTGCTTGTTAAGCAATGGGGAGCTGCTGAAGGTCCTGAGCAGGGAAGTGGCCACAGTAGAGTGGTTTTTCAGGAAGATGAGGTTGGCAGCTCTGTGTAGGCTGCTATACAAATGGAGACAGGGGATGGATGACAGAGAGATTTCCAGGGAAGAAATGATGAGATTTTGAAACCAAATAAATGGGTCAGAAAAGAAGAAAGTGAAGCTGAATCTAAAGTTAAGATTTCAAGCTGAGGTCAACAAAAACAAGGAGGGCAGGAAAAGGGGCAGATCAGGGTAAGATATCACAAGTGTACTTTCATGCATAATGTACTCAATTTGATGGGTTCCATTACATATAAGTGACAGGGCCTCAACGTGCCACTGAGAAGGGGAAATATGAAAACTAGTTAGAGTTGTATTCTTATTCCAGTAATGTTGTCTCCATTTCTCAAAAGATAAGCTATTCAATATCTCAGTATAGCACACAGGCTATTATCTTGTTTTGCATTTATTTTATATATCAAACACTTAAAATTGGGCAACAAGAATGTTTATGTTGTGCTTAATATGGACCACACTCAGTTCTAAGAACTTGACAAATATTACAGATTTAATCCTCATTAGAATCTTATGAGCTTGACGTGATTACACTTATGTGTCACTTAACGATGGGGACATGTTCTCAGAAACATGTTGTTAGGTGATTTTGTCCTTGTTCACACATCATACAGTGTACTTAAATAAACCTAGACGATATAGCACCTATTACACACCTATACTTTTTTACAAAGTATATATTATATTACAAAGCATTATATTACACATGAGATGGCCTATTTCTCTTAGGCTGCAAACCTGTACAACATGTTATTGTACTGAATACTGTAGGCAATTGTAACACAATGATAAGTGTTTGTGTATCTGAACATATCTAAACATAGAAAAGGCACAGTAAAAATATGGCATAAAAGATAAAAATGATAAACCTGTGTAGGGCACTTCCCACAAATGGAGCTTGCAGGCCTGGAAGTTGTTCTGGGTGAGTGAGAGTGGTGAGTGAATGTGAAGGCCCAGGACATTACTGTACACTACTTTAGACTGCATAAGCACTACACTTAGACTACACTAAATTTATAACAAATGTTTTTCTTTCTTTGATAATAAATTAACCTTAGCTTACTGTAACTTTTTTACTTTATAAACATCTTTAAACATTTTTAAATTTTTTGACTCTTCTGTAATAATTCTTGTCATAAAGCACAAACACATTGTACAACTGTACAAAAGATTTCTTTATATCCTTATTCTATAAGCTTTTTTCTATCTTTAACTTTTTTCACTTTTTAAACTTCTTTGTTAAAAACTAAGACACACATTAGCCCAGATTTGCACAGATTTAGTATCATCAAGATGTCACTAGGCAATAGGAATTGTCAGCCCCATTGTTATCTTATGGGACCACCATCATAAAATGTCATTATATGGTACTTGACTGTGTCTCCATTTTTCAGATGAAGACACTGAAATATTCAGAAGTTAAGAAACCTGCCTGAGATTATACTGCTACGAAGTGGGGAAGCCACAGTTTGAACCCAGGAGATGCTCACTGCAGAGACTGAGTTCCTCACCAAGGCACCAGGCTGTTTCTTACGCTAAAGGCATCCTAAGGGAACATAATGGAATGGGGATTGGAAAAACTCTTAGATAATGTTTTCTTGGGGTGTTTTGTTATTTATATGAAAAGAAAAGATTTTCCAGTTATAATTATCAAACTGCTTTCATAGAACCAAAATAAATAAGATACTTTGAGAGTACAGGAAAGTTATATAAGTTCACATTGCATAATGACACACTTATTTGGTTTCTAAGTTTCATCATTTCTACGCTGAAAATCTCTCATCTTTTCCCTCCTCTCCATTCTTGTAGCATCCTACACAGAGCTACCAAAATTAACTCTCCTCAAAACTGCTCTTCCATGGTCGCTTCCTTGCCCAGGAACCTTCATACCGACATAATTTCATAATGTCCGATATCAAGGCACAGAGTCAAGATTCCAACCTGAACCACTCTGTTATGCCACCTTCCAAATGACAGGTGACTTCTTTGAATCACTTCGATTGTTACTATTTTAAAAGTGAGTGTGGAGTAAGGGTGGAAGCCTAGAAGGGATTTTTGGTAGAATTATAATTAGGGCATTATAAATATAGGACAGCAAGAGGTAGCTGGGACTTCAGAAATATTTTGGGAGGTAAGGAATATTTTAAACTTGGGAGTACCAGAGTTGCTGCCAATCCTGCCTCTCTTCAGGGCAGGGAAGGCCCCAAGGAGAGCAAGAGAGAACCTTTTTTGGCCATGGCTCCCTAGGGCAGAGAAGAAGCAAGCATTCAGGGCAGTACTTACAGGAATCAAGACTATGGTTTGGTGGGAGCATCCCTGTATTCTATCTTTCAGTGACGCAAAGAGGAGGGCAAGACTTTCCTTGATGAGGCCAGGGGACCATGCCAAACTGTTAGGATGGTAGATGCAGAAGCTATGCTTCCCAGTGAACCAGATTTGATACCCTGGGAGAGGAGTCAATTAAAATAGAAATCAGGGGAGTGAGCCCGCGAGCCAACCCCTCTGCAAAGACTTCATCTGATTCAGACCCTCCTGAGCTTTTACAGAACCCAGTGCCCATTGCAATCATAGCACTTATGAACATTCACTTAAAGATCTGTCTCCCCAAGTAAACACTGCACCCTGTGAGTGCTGGGATCTGTATTATTTGACTGTATTCCCACCAAGCCCAGAGCCTGCACAAAGCATGTGCCCTGAGTAAAATGCCTCTGAATGAATAAAATGAGGGTAGAGCTTTGATCAATTGGGGTCATTATACTAGAAGGAGGCTTATAACTCATTTAGTACAATCCTATTGTCTTACAGATGATGTGATACACAGAGGTTAAAGGGCTTACTAAGGTCCTATGTTGGGTTTAGTGCTAGAGCTGGACCCAGAACCCAGAACACACAGGCGGATTCTTTCGCCTCCTCGCTCTGCTAGGGGCATGAAGACAGAAGACAGCCCCCACAGTCATTCTAACATTTGTTGGCTGGCTATTGGGAATGCAGAATACATTTTCCCATGGAGGCAGGTTTTTTCTTCTTCTTTTTTTTAAATGGTGGTTCGGTTCCCAGGCCAGGCCACAAAAGCCTATTTACCCCATAGCTGAGCTCAACTATAAAACCAGCGGTAGCTCTGAGGCCTCACTGAACCCCCAGCTCCGAGCCTGCAGTCCGAGGGGCAGGTGGGCAGCTGGCTCTGCAAGGGGGGTAGGCAGCGCTCCCTTGAGCAGACCAGGAGTGTGGGGAGGGGGCTGGGCAGGGGGGCTGGGCAGGGGGCCCAGGCAGCAGCTGCAGGAGCCTACAGCAGCCTCTGAATGCCTTGGTGGTTCTTAAGTGGATTGTTTGTAAGTTGGGAACTGTCTGTACTTAGAAAGGCGGATTTCAAGAGGTAGGGGATCCTATTTCACTTGAAGGCCCACAGTAATGAGGGTTCTTTATTCGTAATGAAGTAAGCCACTAATTGGAGGGACGGGCTCAGGAGGCCTGGTGGAATTTTGTACTCCTGGACCAGAACTGAGTAATATTATGCAGTAGCCTGGCAACCCTTTACTTTTGCACAAAATTCATATAAAAATCTACCATGAAGTGCCTGTCTGACATTCACTGTGTTTATTATTAATAATGATAATAACAGGGTAGCTTATACACAGCCTTAAGGCTAAGAAAGTAAATTGAATTCTCAGTTTCTTCCAGTTTTTTTTTTTTCCGCAGTCAGATTAGGAACATTTGGAAAGTCCTTACTCTCCGAGTGGGCTGAAACCTTTCATATTTACCCAGAGGAGACATGGCTGTAGTTTCTAAGGACTCATCCAAGAGATGATCTCTTTCCTTCCTCTGCCTCCTCAGAGAGGCAGAAACATTCCATAAACTCACAAATGTTGTAAAAGTAAATGTACAAAAAAATAATATTAATGGAACTGAAAACGTTACAGTAGAGAAATCAATTATAATAAGGTAATACAGTTAGCTCTTCTGGACTTAATGAAATGTGTTCAACTGCATTGGAATGTTCTGGTGCCCCCTGCAGGATTCTAACACCTCACAGAAATGGTTTAGTACCAATTCAGATGGCTTAGAAAACCCTACAGAGGCAATGTGTTTCTTTTCTCAGGTTCAAATCAACTTAACCTGGCTCAATCACATGCAGAGGGACAAAGCAGGAACTCAATCTAACATTTAAAAGGTTTTTAGCCACCATAAGTTTGTCATTAGAATGGAGGTTTTTGGATCAACAACAGAAACTATTTTTGGTTTGTGAAGTTTATAAATCTAACAGTGCAAAGTTCACGGTTACATGTGTGATCTCTCAATTTTTCTGGGCTGAGTGTTTAGGGAACAAGGAAGTTTGCTTCCATGAGCCTTGCTTTGACTTAGTGCAGAAAAATTAAACATTCTGGAAAGTTAAACATTTAGCTTCTAAATTTTTACTGCCCTGGAATTCCTCAGGAACATGACTCCAGTATGATAATGAACAAATGGTCATCAGAGTTGTTTATTCCATAGTTACAGGTCAGCAGATGTGAGGAACCATCGTCTGACTCCAATAAGCTTTTAAGATGATAGCTGTCCATCGTTCCTGCCCTCCACTTTATACGAGAGTAACTGAAATCACTATTTTGATGTATAATGTCCCTGCTATCATCTAGTCTTAGGTAATTTATCTGAAAGACATTGACCAGGTCTCACTGAATTTGCAAAGAATCATGCTGGCACATAATTCTAATTATATCACAATAGCTACAACATAAATACAGTATTGTAATATTGTACAGACAGTCCTGGATTTGCCATGGTTTGATTTATGATTGTTTGACTTAGAGTTTTTGACTTTGCCAAGATGCAAAAGCAACATGTATTCAGCAGAAACTGTACTTCAAGTACGCAAACAACCACTCTGTTTTTCATTGTCAGTACAGTGTTCAATAAATTACTGTGAAATATTAAGCACTGTAGTATAGTATAGGTTTTGTGTTAGATGATTTTGCCCCACTGTAGGCTAATGTAGGCATTCTGAAAACATTTAAGGTAGCCTGTGGTAAGCTATGCTGTTTGGTAGGTTTGGTGTATTAAATGCATTTCCGATTAGGATATTTTCAACTTGATGGGTTTACTGGGGCATAACTCCATTGTAAGTCAAGAAGCATCTGTATATATGTGTTATATAATACATATTGCCTATAGTAATATTACATATTATTATAATATTGTATAATATTATAACACAATATAAACCTCTACTAATGTCACTTTTTTCAGTGCCATTCCTTCTTTCATATACTGGATGTTTAATTTCTTAATTTGAACATTATAAAGAAACGTATTAAAATTCAAATCACAAAGACACTAAACATAATTCCAGACTTCTAGAAAAGTTGCAAGAATTCTTTGTATGCCTGGATACCCTTCACCCAGATTCCCAAAATGTTAATTCACCCAAACATTACTACATTTGTTTCATTTTCTAAATACAAACACACATAGATTTTTTCCTAAACTGTTTAAGAGTAAATTGCAGACAGAAAGTTCCTTTATTCTTAAATAATTCAATATATATTTCCTAAAAATAGGGAACTCTCTTACATAACCACAGTACAATTATTGAAATCAGGAAATTAATATTGAAATAATGTTATCTAATATTACAGACCTTATTGTGATTTTATCAATTGTCCCAATAATATCTTCTATAACAAAAGAAAATCTAAAATCATACACTGCATTCAGTTGTCATGTTTTTTCAGTCTCCTTTAATCTGGGAAGTTCCTGGGTCTGTCTTTTTTCAGGGCAGGTATTTTAGAGAGTGTTCCACATTTTGGGTTGTCTGATGTGTCCTCACACTTAAATTAAGGTTATACACCTCTAACAGTATAACAAAAGTCATTCCGGCTTTTCCTCAGTGCATGGTATCATGTGGCACATGCTGTTGGTTAGTCCCACCACTAGCGATGTTAACTTTAATCTTTTGGTTAAGATGGTGTTTGCCAGGTTTCTCCATTTGAGTTACTATTTCACCCATTGTAAATAATACAATATAATTTGAAACAATGTAAAGACAACGTAAAGATCCTATATCTCATTAAACTTCCATCCATTAGTTTTCATATTCATAGATGATTCTTGACTGAATCAATTATGTTTATGATGGCTTGCAAAATATGATTTTTGATTTTCAACATTCTACATTTATTGGTTGGCTTTCTACTTTATTTGTTCTCCTTTGTTTGTTTATATCAAAGTAGCTCATGGATTCTTACTTTATTCAATAGTATTACACTTACTAAAATTATTTATTTAAATTAGTAATTTATTTTAACGCTTAAATGATCCCATATTTGGCGAATGGGAGCCTCTTTGGGCTGGCTCCAGCGTCATTTTGACAAGTCCCCCTTATTCTGCAGGTACTTTCTTCATTTTTGGCATGACATGATGTTCCAGGCTCTATTCTACTTTACCTGCCTCAAATTTGAATTTAACCATTTCTCCAAAAAGCCCTAGTTCCTTTTAGTGGAGGGTATGTAGAAACAAAGATCTGGTTTCTAGATATGCTCACTGCTACTAGAGTGAAACTGCTTCAAGGTCATCTCAGAGGACTGAGCTGGGAAATGTTTATATGTATATGTAAACAAATGTGTGCATATCCACAAGTACTCTCAGACACAACACACATACACATATATGTATTATAATCCATGCACAGCTACATTAGTTTACATATATCTAAACACATACACACATGTATGTATGCATGCATGTATGTGTGTATGTATCAGAAATCAGGAGTTTACATCCATATCTCCAATTTGAATCCAATACCGCAGAGTTCTATCTCATCCTTTTACCACAACTGTAGCTCCGTTCTCCTAAAGTGCAAAACCTGGCTCCCACTGTCCACAACTTATCTGCTCAATCCTGGAATGCACGAAGAATAGTTTCAGAACTGCTAACCTATGCTTCTGCAAAAAGAGACGACGTCTGCTAACTAGAGTTGAAAATTCCAAGGGACCAGGAATGACATTAAATCAAAGAGGTCAATATATTCATTTTCAAAGTCAGTCCTGTTGTCAAAATCAGTAAGAAAATGGTGGTGGCAAAAGCATTCTATCCTTCAAATCCTTCCCTCTGTAGATTCTGCCATTGCGTGATATCATACCGAAGTTAGAGTTTGGCCAGATATGACATGAAAAAAACTGTCTTTTGTTCCATTTGCTTATTTATTCATTTATTACATTATACTTTGCCTGCTCCCATAACAAACCTTTGAGTAATAACATATCTAAGCAGAAGAGCTAACACAGAGAGACCAAAACCAATATAAAGAAAAGAGGAGATGATTTTATGTGGAACAGAGATATTCTAAGAAGGTCACAGGAAAGGAGCCTGTGATAGATGGAGTTTCTGTGTTTGCCTGTGGTGGCTGCAAACAAATTACCTCAACTGCCTCTGTCCTAACAGCATTCTTTTCATTTTCCAAGTTCACTTTCAGTCTCTGTCCATATGTGGCCAATTAAAATTATATGGTTATCTTCATAGATAAAATGATTTTTTAAAATCTCTGCCCCTTAAACTGGTAACAGGTTTGATGATATTTCATGCCTGGAACAGAACTATTCCAGAACTGTTCCTCCAAAGCTGGCTTGCTCTGGAATCCTGTCTGTTATACACAAACACACATATACACATGTGTGTGAACTCTCCTCCCCACTATATTATACCCTAGATCCCTGAATCAGAATCTTTGGGGCGGTGGGGTTGGAGAGACCAAATGTAATAAATGTTAATATCAGTGAAAATGACTTACAGAAGCAGCCAAAAATAAATTACTTTTTACAAAAGTTCATGTTTATTTATAAAATAAAAGACGTTAACATCTTGTTTTCAATTTTCTTTTTATGAAGCCAACAGTTTATTAAATACAACTTACTTATTTGTGAGAAAAGGCTATCTCTCCTTTTAAAATTCTTACCATTTTAGCTTAATTAATTTTACCAAACTGGCAAGAGTCTGACTTAAAAGTCCCTTGAGCCATCAAAAGCTATAAAAATGTTACTTCTTCTTGACCAAATTATTTTCTTGAAGCAGATTCCTACAAATTCAGGGGAATTTTCTAAAATACGGGCAAAGGTTTATGTACAAAAAGTTTCAGACAGCATTTATTTGCTCACAAATGTAAGCAACCTAAAAGTCTAATGTTAGGGCGTTTTATATAATAAAATATTGGGCTATTGTCGTCACTTTTTTTTTATAAAGAATTTTTTGACACACAGGGAAATGCTTATGATAAATGGAAGCCCTTTAAATGTAGGTATTGGGTCTTTTTCTGTATTAAATCTCCAATCTCCATGCAATGCTAAGCACTTAATAGGTGCTTCAAAAAATTTTTTTATGTTGAGTTGAAATAATAAAGCATTAAAAATTATATGTGTGGAAGAAAATATTTACAAAAGACATGTATGATAAAGGACATGCTATTCAAAATATACAAAGAAACTTTAAAATTCAACAATAAGAAAATAACCTGGTTTAAAAAGTGGCAAAATATATGAATAGATACTTCACCAAAGATGACATACAGATGGCTAATAAGCATATGAAAAAATGCCCAATATTGTATGTCATTAGGGAACTGCAAATTAAAACAACAATGAGATAATACATAGATACTAGAATGGCAAAAATCCAAAATACTGACATCAAATGCTGGTGAGGATGTGAGAATACAAAATGGGGCTGGGTGCGGTGGCCCACGCCTGCAATCCCAGCACTTTGAGAGGATGAGGTGGGCAGATCCCTGGATCTCTTGAGGTCAGGAGTTCGAGACCGGCCTGGCCATCATGGTGAAACCCTGTCTCTACTAAAAATAGAAAAAATTAGCCGGGTGTGGTGGCGCATGCTGATAATCCCAGCTACTTTGGGAGGCTGAGGCAGGAGAATCCTTGAACCCGGGAGGCAGAGGTTGTAGTGAGCCAAGATCATACCACTGCATTCCAGTCTGGGCAACAAGAGTGAAACTCTATCTCAAAACAAAAACAAAAACAAAAACAAAAACAAAAACAAAAACAAAATGGTATCGCCACTTTGAAAGACAGTTTGACAGTTTCTTATAAAACTAAAGTTCTTACCATATGATCTAGCAACAGTGCTCCTTGGTGTCCACCTGGAGTTAAAAACATCCGGCCGGGCACAGTGGCTCATGCTTGCAATCCCAGCACTTTGGGAGGCCAAGGCGGGAGGATCACGAGGTCAGGAGTTCGAGACCAGCCTAGCCAACATAGTGAAACCCCATCTCTACTAAAAATACACAAATTAGCCAGGCATGGTGGTATGTGCCTGTAGTCCCAGCTACTCGGGAGGCTGAGGCAGGAGAATTGCTTGAACCCAGGAGGAAGAGGTTGTGGTGAGCTGAGATCGTGCCACTGCACTCCAGCCTGGGCAACAGAGTGAGGCTCCGTCTCACAACAACAACAACAACAACAACACCAACACCAACACCAAAAACAATAACAACAAAAAATTCCACATAAGAACCTATACATGAATGTTTACAGCATCTTTATTCATAGTTGCCAAAAAGTGGAAGCAACCAAGCTGTCCTTCAGTAGATGGATGAAAAAACTGTGATACATCCAGACAATGAAATATTATTTAGTACTAAAAGGAAATAAGCTATCAAGCCATGAAAAGATATGGAGAAATTTAAGTACATATTACTAAGTGAAAGACACCAATCTGAAAAGCCTACCTGCTATATGATTCCAATTATATGACATTCTGAAAAAGGCAAAACTATGAAGGCAGTAAAAAGATCAGTGCTTGCCAGGCGCTCAGGGAGATAGAAGGATGAATAGGTGAAGCACAGATGACTGCTCGGGCAATGAAACTACCCATATGCTACTAGAATGGTGGGTACATGTCACTATACATTTGTCAAAACATAGAATCTACAACACAAAGAGTGAACCCTAATGTAAACTCTAGACTTTGGTTGATAATAATGTGTCAACCTTGGCTCATTAATTGCAAAAAATGTACTGCACTGATGGGGGATGCTGATGGTGAGGGAGGCTGTGTGTATGCACTGGGTATGTGTGTTGTGGGGTGGTTGGGAAGCGGGGAGTGAGTATGCAGAAACTCTGTATCTTTCAATTTTGCTGGGAAGCTAAAAATTGCTCTTAAAATAGTCTATTAACTTTACATATAATATATAATATATTGATGTGGTTTGGCTGCATTCCCACACAAATCTTACCTTGAATTGTAGTAATTCAATTATCACAGGGGCCAGGTGGAGATAAATGAATCACGGCAGTTCCCCCATACTTTTCTTGTGGTAGTGAATATATCTCACGAGATCTGATGGTTTTATAAATGGGAGATCCCCTGGACAAGCTTTCTTTCCTCCCGCCATGTGACACGTGACTTTGCTCCTCATTCACCTTCCGCCACGATTGTGAGGCCTCCCCAGCCATGTGCAACTGTGAGTCAATTAAACTTCTTCCCTTTACAAATTACCCAGCCTTGGGTATATCTTTATTAGCAGACTAATAGATATATTAATATATATAATTTTTCTACACATGAGCATTTAAAAAATGTCTTTGGGAAGGGGTAAAAAAGACAGATGTATATCCTTAATGTAGATGCTGAAAAAAAAAAGACAGATGGTAAAGATGAGAAAAGATAATAAAAATTATGCTTCAGACCCTTAAAAAATGTCTACCATTTGCCAACCACATTAAAAAAAAGAAGAGGCTGGGTGTGGTGGCTCACGCCTGTAATCCCAGCACTTTGGGAGGCCGAAGCGGGCGGATCACAAGGTCAGGACTTCAAGACAAGCCTGGCCAACATAGTGAAACCCCATCTCTACTAAAAATACAAAAATTAGCCGGGCATGGCGGTGCGTGCCTGTAGTCCCAGCTACTCGGGAGACTGGGGCAGAAGACTCACTTGAACCCGGGAGGTGGAGGTTGCAGTGATCACACCACTGCACTCCAGCTTAGGCAATAGAGTGGGACTTCGTCTCAGAAAAAAAAAAAAAAAGAAGAAAGAAGAAATAATAATAATAATAATAATAATAATAATAATAATAATAATGGAGTCTTTCTATTAAAGATGAAGGGTGGAAGCCATCCATTTAGCTCTATTCAACCCTGAAAGCCCACCAAAAACTCTAAGGGGGCACAAACGAGAACAAAGAAGATGGGAAAAGAGCTACCACTACTAAACGTTGGAAGCTGGAAAGTAGATAGATGACTTATAACTAAATGAACAGACCCAAGAAAGCTAAATCCAAATCTGGCAATGGAAAAAACCTAAAAACTACCTGGTTAATTCAGAACTCTCAAAGTTTTATGAACTGATGGTTTGGATACCTTTGGAAGTGGAAGTGATAGGATGGAATGGATGTTAGGGAATCAACCGAAAATATATGTTATACATAATGATTTTATCAGAAGAGTATTCCCTATATTTTGGAATGATGTATTTCTATCAACTTTCTTTTGAAAATTAAAATTTCTAAAAGTTGTGTATGTAACAAACAATACAGATTGTGGTATACCACAAGCCAAAATATGGAAGCAGAATACAAGCTAATGGCCTATGGCAGAAAATGTGGTTTGCATAAATGTTACCCATTGTCACAAACATCCACCCATCCTGCGCTGCACACTGTGCTACTTCATGCTCCTTCTCTTGTGGACTTCTATTCTCTTTCTCCAGGTTGAAGGGAAATCATCCACATACCTGCTGAGATGGTATCAACCTCAACCTGTCTCCTAGCAGAGGAGACAATATGAGCAAAGCATTGTTTGGAGAAAATCAAGTAGCTTGATGTTATTGCAACAGAAAATATGAGGCTGAAAATAGTGTGAATTAAAACCCTAGATTTGGACCAGAGTGAAACCACAGAGGGCTTTGTGGGATGTTGAGGAGCTTGAACTCAATCCTGTGGCCTTGGCAGTTACTTTGCAGAGACGTTGATGTGGTTGGATTTGGGTTTCATTTCAGTCACACTGGGGTATGTGGAAGGCAGACTTGAAGCAGGAAGCCAAGCCAGAGACTGGTGGTCCAGGCGAGCGTCATAAGGCCTGAACAAGAGCCGAGATGACAGACTTAAGAAGACATAGATCTGGAAAATATTTGGAAGGTCAAAATATGCTAATCTGATGATTTGTTGGATGTAGGAGGTGTGAGAGAGTAAGGCATCAAGATGTTCTTTAGGTTTCCAGCCTCAGTGACAATAAAGGGAGCAGTTCTGCACAGCAAAGGAAACAACAACGTGAAGAGATGACCCACAGAATGGGAGAAAATAATGTGCAAACTACCTGACAATGGATTAATAACTAGAGTATATAAGAAGCTCAAATAACTCAATAGGAAAAAATCTAATAATCTGATATAAAAGTGGGCAAAAGATTTGAATAGACATTTCTCAAGACACAGAAATGGCAAACAGGCATACAAAAAAGTGCTCAACATCGTTCATCATCAGAGAAATGCAAATCAAAATGACAATGAAAGATCATCTCACCCCAGTTAAAATGGCCTTTATCCAAAAGACAGGCAATAACAAATTCTGGCAAGGATGTGGAGAAAAGGGGAACCCTGATAAATCAGTACAACCATTGTGGAGAACTGTCTGGAGGTTCCTCAGAAAACTAAAAGTAGAGCTACCATATGATCCAACAATCCCACTGCAGGGTATATACCCAAAAGAAAGGAAATCAGTATATCAAAGACATATCTGCACTCCTGTATTTGTTGCAGCAAATACAGGCTCTTGGCTGTTCACTACAGCTATGATTTGGAAGCAACCTAAGTGTCCATCAATAGATGAATGGATAAAGAAAATGTGGTACTTATACACAATAGAGTACTATTCAGCCATAAAAAGAATGAGTTCCTGGCCAGGCATGGTGGCTCACGCCTGTAACCCCAGCACTTTGGGAGGCCAAGGCGGGCGGATCACTTGAGGTCAGGAGTTTGAGACCAGCTTGGCCAACATGGTGAAACCCTGTCTCTACTAAAAAAATAAAAAAAATTAGCCGGGTGTGGTGACAGGTGCCTGTAATCCCAGCTACTCAGGAGGCTGAGGCAGGAGAATTGCCTGAACCCAGGAGGCAGAGGTTGCAGTGAGCCAAGATCATGCCACTGTGCTCCACACTGATGACAGAGCGAGACTCTGTCTCAAAACAAAAACAAAAAACAAAAGAATGAATTCCTGTCGTTTGCAACAACATGGATGGAACTGGAGGTCATTATGTTAAGTGAAATAAGCCAGGCACAGAAAGACAAACATTGCATGTTCTCACTTATTTGTGGAACCTAAACATCAAAACAATTGAACTCATGGAGACAGAGAGTAGGATGGTTACCAGAGGCTGGGAAGGGTAATGGGAAGTGGGAAGGGAAGTCGGGATGGCTAATGGGTACAAAAAAATAGAAAAAATGAGTAAGACCTAGTATGTGATAGCACAACAGGGGGACTACAGTGAATAATAATTTAATTGTACATTTTAAAGTAACTAAAAGAGTATAATTGAATTGTTTATAACACAAAAGATAAATGCTTGAGGAAATGGATACCCCATTTTACACGATGTGATTATTATGCATTGCACGCCTGTATCAAAACATCTCGGGTACCTCATAAATACATATACCTACTATGTACCCACAAAAAATAAAATTTAAAAAATTAAAAAGTACATCAACTGAACATTTATTCAGTTAAAGCATAGTGCCATGTGTTTCCGGGATGACAGAAGTAATTAGGGCTTCTTAAAGTCTTTGAGAACCTTTAGCACAGTTGAGCAAAAAAAAAAAAAAAAAAAAAAGAACAATTACAAAACAATATATTAGAACAATTACAAAGTACTATATTAATGAAAAAGTGAACTCGTGGAAGTTTGGATTTTATGCCAGATTAAAGAAGTGGCCATAAGTTGACATGGAGGAAATAAAGGAACAGATTGACTTCCTGTTTGGGGGACGCAATCATGAAGGGCACGGACATAAGAGCAAGCACATGCCATGTGAAGGTTGACAAGTATGGAAGGGGCCTTGCTGGGAATCAGAGATGAGACCGATGAGGTCTCATGGAAAGGGAGCAAAAAGAACACTTGAATATAGGAAACTGGATTTACTAGACTGTAGTTGACTACTGAAAATCATTTTAGATTCTTCAGTATAATGAAAGAGTTTCATGAAGATTTAAGCCACAGTTATGAATATTAGTTGAGTTTTGAGCTGGTAATCCTGGATCCATCTACTAAATGTCCAGCCAAACAGGATAGTTTCATAATTTATCATTCTTTTCTAATTTCTCACTGTCTATTTCTCAGAAAAGCCATGTCTAGCTTTGGCTCCTTTTGTAACTGTAGACATATTCTGGACTGAAGTGTTTCATGTCTGATCTACTTTTACCACTGCTCTATTCTCTTGATGCCAAAAAACCCCACAAATTTCATTTACTTTAGTGGTCAATGAGTATGGCAGATAAAAACATACTTTCTAGAGTGACAATGCTTGTGTTTTAGTCATAGAAAATTGGGGCAATATTTTTGTAATATATCAACGTGGTTTTCTATTTGCATGTCTATGTGCCTGACCTCCTCCATTGCCAGCCTGAGACATACCTCTCCCTGGCTGTGCCTCTGGATTGTTGCAGGAGAAATACAAAAAGAAAGTTGTACTCTCCAGCTTCTGACAGCCCAAAATTGGGTTCTCAAGTCTGCAGCAAGACAATAAACTTGAAACTCGGGCTTTTTAAAGGATTAGAAAGTGTTTATCTTCCACTTTAGCAGGTGGACTTGATCCTACACTTCGTATTATGGTGGTGGTATGATGGGGTTAATGACAAGAGAAAGGAAGGGACAAATCCTGCCCACCCGTTTCTGGGCTGGGGCCTTCAATCAGGGAACTGGGCCTTTTAAAGACACATGGAGCCCAACTTTGTCTCAGGGAGGAAAAGCCCTGAGGGAAAAACCAAAGGCAGAAGATGAGCTGCCCCACCGCCTGTTTGGGAGTCTGCAAGAGGGTTGCCTCTCAGGCCTGACTTGGCTCCAAGTAGGGTCAGCTGCGTTAAAATAAAGCAGTGCAGTTGATGAAAAAGGGCCGAGTTTAGCTCCCAGGTTTCTCCATAAGCTTTTGTGGTATGGAGAAGAAATTCAGAAGATCTTCTATGTTTTATGGAAAGAAGAGGGAGGTGGCTGAGGGTGCTGGCCAGTAAACTTGCCAGGGAATGGCACTGGGTTAGCAGCCAAATGGAAGTCCAAGGTAATCAGAGTTGCCATTAGGGAGATTCATCAGAGGAAGGAGGCTGAGGATTTTAGAACATTCCTAGGGCTGAGGAAGGAGACCAGGCATTCCCCTGGCCACAGGTTTCAGGAACTCACCATGCAAGCCCAGATGCTGCAGCAAGATAAGCAAGAAACCGGGGGACAGGGAGTGGCCTCAAGGACACCATGTCCCCTGCCTACCCCCAGGACACAGTCAGCCCAATGCCCTCCCTCCTGGGGCAGAGAATGCTTCTGAAAGGGCATCCAAAAAGAGATGATTTAAAACAGTACAGAGGAAGCCAAATTTTGATTGACTCAACATTTAAACTGAAACAACAGAGGCTTCTTAACCTTATTCAACTGACAAGTGTAGAAGACCCCATCATGCTGCTCATGAAGAAACTGCTTTAGTTCCAGAAAATAAGGGGATGCATGTGTCAATGTGGTCTGAGTCAAATTATAATCCCTTCCACCTGGCCCTGACATGTTCTGACTGTGTCACATTGAGACAGTTATGTAACCTCTCTAAGCGTCAAAATCCTCATCTGTGAAAAGGAGATCATAGTGTCTTCCTCTTGGGGAGTTTTAACGAGCCCATTCATGTAAATTGCTTAGAACTGTAGCTGATACATGATAAACTTTTTAAATGTGCTAATTTTGTTATCACTTCTACTTTACATTCAATGTCAAAGTTTCTTTTATTCTGTTCAAGAATGGCTAACTACATCTTTGTCAAAAAATGTCAAAGTACTGTATTTCTGACATTCTTCATTTATGATTTCAGAACCTCTAGTGCATTCCCACAAGCACAGAAATGCCATTCTGGGGATGAATGAGAATTACTGTTTTTATATCACCCTTGACTTTTTCTCAGCTTAGTAAACATCTTGGTACTCACCACAGAAATTACCTCCAAGCCAGGAAGATATTTCTTAAGAATAATGTTAGCTGTAACAAACTGCAGAGTAAAATGATGGAGGCATCTGTAGGACCTGGTGGTGAGCCTGCTCTGTCTTAGGCTGATTACTCCTAAGAGGAAGAACCAGCTATAGGCAATAGACACACCGCACGAATGGGGGAAAATGCAGAGGGGAGGATTCCTTTGTGAACCTGTGGGCAATTTTAACATGCATATCAGGACAGGACAGTGTCAGAGTGCTCCTGGCAAATTCCTTGTGATTAACATGGGTACATTAACTGTCAGAATTGTTTGCTGCTGAGTATTCAATAATAGATATTAACTAACCTGGGGCTCCATTCTAGCTCTTTCAGTTTTCTGTATCAACCTAGAGAACACCAAGGGGGCTTTAGCTGAAGCAGGAGAAGAGATTTCGTTAGAAAGGTTAGTACTGATTCTAGATAAACAAAATAAGTAATTTTTGAGTGTCTGTGATATACAAATTTCTAGGCTCTAAGCCTTAGGTAAACATGCATGTAAGTACTAAAAAGCACATTAAGCCTTAATATAGTAGAGTTCCTGGGAAATCCAGTGGTTTAAGTGACTTTTCCATGTAGGTAAAGCATATTCTATTAAAAAAAAAGTTAAGACATAAGAAATCTTCATATAAGTCAGATACCTCTTATTAAATGTCTATCTTCTAAAATAGAGCAAAATTGCCTTTTTTGATGGATCAGTCATCATCATGAACATCAGCTATTTCACGATGGTGCTCTGAGAAAGTATTTCTCAAGGTGTGATCTATGGATCCCAGAAAAGGAATTATCTGGGAGCCCATTAAAAGTCAGATCTCTGAGCCCCACCCCAGGCCTCCAGAATCAAAATCCTTAGGTAGAAGCCAGGATTCTCCACATCCAACTTGCTTCTCAGAGGATTCTTACACTCAACTCAGGCCAGAGAGGCCCTAATTCAGAGTGAGTTGAGATGTTCTTCACTGGAAATGTCTGCAGGGGGCCTGTTAATTTTCTGTGCCTATTTGCTGTAGGGCTTCTGCTACTTTCCTCTTATGACCGCAAACCTTTCAACAGTGACAGGCTTTAAACCTGTGGGGCAATTTGCAGAGGATCCTTTGCTGGATGCTGGCCTTTGTGATGTCTACTTTCCAACCATGAGCCTCAGCTTTGGGTCCCTGAGTTGAGCCTACTCTTGCAGGATTCAGGCGCCAGACAGACCCCAAGGAATTCAGGCTCTAGACCTGCCATTTCACCTCAAAAAACGACTCCCAGAATAAGGTAGAACAGAAATGTGAAACGCCAAACCCAGAAATGTGACTGGATGTTCAAGAGACAGAGAGATTGGTGAGAAGGAAAAAAAAAAGCCCAAATACTCCTTAAGGGTGCTTGGAACATGAAACACTGGGGTCAGAAAAACGAGTTCAGAGGACGTGGCATGTGCTGGAAGATGTGACTGCTACTTGAACAGGAAGCCAGGTCTCCTCTACCCCAGAAACCTTTTTTTCCAATAGTAACCTAATATCACACAAGGATCTGTTTATCGGATTGTAGTAATATGGGGCTGGAAAGCCGAGAAGAGCACTGACTCTAGAGTCAGAGGCTTGGGTTCAAATTCTAGTTCACACGTATGGCTATGGGCAAGTCAGTCATGGCTGCCCTGTGGTCTTATCTGTGAAATGGGAAAAAGAATTCATACCCTCGCTAAACTCTTGTGCAGTTTTAACGAAGTAATGAATATGAAACAGCTTTGTAAACTGTAGAGAACTTTACCAATATTTAATCAAAAATATTCTGCATTATGTACATATTTAAAGAGCTGCTACATCTATCTACAAGGCAGAATGTTAGGGAAAACTCTAGGCTGGGAAAAAATTCAAATATGTTAATTTTCTTACATAAATAAACCTATCACATTGTTCATTGTGGAGTTTAAATATCTGCTGTGCTTTTGTACTAAGAAAAAGATATTTTTAAACAAAAAATGAGCAGTCTTTTGACTTTTGCACAACTCATGTTTAACGTTCTTTTAAAGTACGTTTTTCTTATTTTCTGGATTAAATCGTAAGAAAGTTCATCAAATCTTCATTATATTTTCAAAATACTCTTTCCTATTGTCATCTCCTTAATGTCAACTTTACTTGCACCATTTATTAGCTGACATTGCAGAACAGTGGGGAAAATGGGGACATGCCAGGGAGAAAGGAGGGACAATTAAGTCCACAATGAATCTAATAGGTTTTGCCTAAAACCTAAAATACACTAAGGATAAGGAAGAGGGAGTCTAACTTACGAAATCTAACCATTGTCTGGTTTCACATCATGACTTTTAGCTGTTGCTTTTTATTTTAAAATGGAAGACATGCAAAAAAAAAAAAAAAAGGCGGGGGGGTGGGCTAAGCTAATTCTTTCAGCAGAGAATTAATGAAAAGCAGACGGAGGCCTGGATCATAAGTACCAATAAAAGCTTTAGCTGACATAGCTTCAGTTTACAAATCCCTGCCTTTTCCTGGCAGGGCTTGGGGAGGGAAGGTGAGGAAGCATGGCATACACAGCCTGGATGAGGAAGATATGCAGATCTTTAAAATTAAAGATGTTTTCAATGTCTTATTCTAAAATACTTGATTTGTGGTGCCTCTGATAAAATTCCAGTGAAACCTGAGTATGCCACATAGTCTCTAGTAACCCTCAGAGGAGCCACATCCTCTGTGTTCCCAGTCATACCTGACTTTAACACATACACTTTGTTAAAAGGAGCCCAATCCATAACATGCACACAAAAAGATGTGTGGTTTAGAATCTGCATGTGTTTCCATTTCTTTTTAAACTTGAACATTAGGAGACCCTTATGAGAGTATTAAAAAATAAGCTAGTAATAAACAAATATTATGAAGCCAGAGGGATATTAGTTTGATTTATGGCAATTGATACTACTCAAAAACTTTTAATGACAAAATTGGGGCTAGCAGGAACATAAATCCTCTTGGGTTTAGTTTGTAAGACCTGGAAGACTCCCAAAGAAAAGGAACTGATGAAATCGCTAGATTGAGAGAACAGAGTTGAGAGAGAGACTGTAGGGAAAGACTGTGTCTCAGCACATTAAACAGCATGAATAAGAAATAGAAGTGGACGCTGAACACAGAGCAAGTCATTAAGGCTGACAGAAAACCTCCATGTCAGGAGACGAAACCTCGGCCTGTAGGGTGCTGCAATCCAACTCGAAGGCCTGGAGTTGGGTTGAAAGTGTGGAGATGGTTCCCTCTCAAATAGCTGCCCCCTCCACAGCCTCTCTCCCCCTCCCCCTTCGTTCTTTTTTGGGAAAGGATTTTCTCCACGTTCTCACTGATGCTAAACATAGAACATGTTCCTTCTAGGACAGAATTGAGATATGTGGGAAAAGTTGGCTTTTTACTTTCTCACCTTTTTTCCCTTTCCGGATAAGCATAACTGCTTCTTGAAGTTCTCCTAGAACAGTGGAGGCTTTTAAAAGAAACACTCTCATCTTCCTTCCTGCTATTTGGTGGATTTCCCTCAGGCACTAGTTTTGATCCTTCCATCCCTAAGTGACTTCACCTCCTCACATGGCTCTCCCTGCTGATGGCTTTCGAAAATGACTTCATCCTCCAACCTCCTCCATCCAGCTGCCCACTTGACATTACCTTGGAACTTAGCTTCCCATCTTTGCCCCTAAAGCCTGATTTCTCTCTTCCCTTTATTATTATTAAAAACAAACCATTTAAAAACCCTCCCCATTTTTGCCAATTTAAGAAACTTTTCTGTCATTCTCCCTTTTCTTCTGTTCTTCAATCTCATTGATTCTCAATATTTTTAATACAAATTATTTTAATGGGTAACCCGTGCACATGGCACAACATTTGAGAGGCAGGAAAAGGCGTATGGTGAAACCTCAACCTCATTCTTAGCTTCCTCAGCTCATCTCATCCCCCAACTTGCTTCCAGGCCCTGGAAGCACTTGCGGTTGCCAGCTTCTCCTGGATCTTTCTCCCACAGGTTTAAAATGAAAAAAAAAAAAAAAAAAAAAAGAAAGAGAACAAGATCCTAAATGTAACATATTTTGCCCCACTATTTTCTCAGCTTCCTTATTTGAGAGATTTCTTCATTTATTTCACATGCATTAATCTGTAGACTATTTTCCCCTATGGTCCCTCCTCTTCCGATGTGGATATTTTCCAAGTCCGTTCGCCTGAACCTCTCTCAGAACATGAACTAATACCCATGAACTATTTTTGCTTGTAAGCATGGCTGAGTCCCACTTCTAGTGGTCCAGGACAGAAATTTATTCAAAAGAACAAAGCAGAAGAAGACCTCATCCCTCAATTTGTTTATATAATTAATCTATCTTGAGAAACATCCCTCATTTCAATGTCAGCAGTCACCAACAGAACCACAGTGAGGAATCAGCATCTAAATGACAATGGTTGTCTCAGAGTCACAGCTGGAGAGAGAATTTTAAAAGATGGATGCACAGATAGATGGGTGGTTGGATAGAAGGAGCCAATCAACTGTGAAGTGTTACCAAGCCCGAAAATCATATTTCATTTGATGGTAACAACAGAAGCCTGATTAATGCATGTGGGAATTTCATTTCAGAGTTATACCAACAGGCTCTTAGGGTCTGCTTCTTTTTAGGGCTCCCTGAACCCATGTAAAATTGGCCCATTTAAGATTTTAAGGCTCCTCTCTCTGAGTTCCATTGATCTTGCTTAATTATTAGGAGTGGGATAGCTGCTGAAGATGAAGCAGGATTTCTTCACTTGGGATAATTTTATTATACCTGTAACTGTCCTGAAAATTTTATGTTTGAAAGGTAGTACACATATTTTTAAAGCTGTTTTCTGTTTAAGGTTTTCTTTTTATCAATAACTCACTAAAGGAGACAAAGCGAAGACACTTTTTGAGGTAAGTGGGATGAAAGTGGCTGAGAATTGTGCACATTTTAGTGAACAGAGCTCCTGCTGACCAGGACATAAACCGGTAACATGCCAGCCTCCATTTCCTCATTTCCCTGTTAGATTAGAATTACAGCAGTTCTCTGGAGAACAAGGAATCATCCAACATCTTTTTTTGCTATTTTAAATCTCAGAACTATGAATGGAAACTACCAGTTTTCTATTGGATCATTCTTCCGATAGCTCAAACACTAAAATATAGATAGACTTAGGACCTGGGACAAAGGGGATTCTGAGTTTCACTGAGAGACAGGGAACCTATGAAATCATGACAACCTATGACTCCATTATAGGGCCAATACTGCTTGCATAAACCTTGTTAGGAATGCTTTGTTGAGGGTTAACAAAAATAATTCAATCATTAAAAAATGCTATTCAAAATTCTTTAATATTCCTTGATGACAAACTAACACAGAACACAAGTTTTTCCTAAAGCAATTGTGATTTAGATCTTTCTTTCTAAAATATTAATTTTCCCTAGCCAACTTATAAATCTAGTTTTACGTAAAAGTGGCAATCTAGGCAACCACGAAACCATTATTTTTGCAGTCACCGAAGTCTGTTTGTAAAGAAGGATTTGAAGAAAATTCTTTTTGATTCTAACAAAAGCAACTTACAGTACTATAACGCTATTGGCATTCGGGAAACAGTAGCTACACTGCTCCTGTTTGAAATTTAAATAAAACCCATGCTCTATTTTGTATATGTAAGTAAATCACCATATTTTAAAATAAAAATAAAAATAAAAAGTAATGGATCCCTGAAGCATAAATACTTTAAACGAGTGTGCTGGGCTAACCCACCAGGGTACAACTGTCTTCTTTTATACTGAAATCTAGAAGATGGTAAAAATTACAACATTTCATCTTGGTGAATAAGACGACTAGCTGGGAAAGATGATATGTGAGCTGTTAACCAAAAAGAAGAAAGTAATCTAGAAGGATGTGTTGCTATGACAGACTTAGGGATAAACTACAGAGGCGAGAGATAGTAACCAGTAAATCATACTACCTGAACATGGTAATTTTCCATTGACCCGTAATTTAAGATGATACCTTCTTCAGGAGCTACCAAAAAGAGACAGAGGCCAGCGGAACAGTCAGTGTTGGGTGGGGGTAGGGGGAGTTGTCACAGGCACTATACATCCCTCTGACCCTGCAGCCAAAAGCATTAAGTGATGAAACATGGAAACAGTCATCCAAGAGATTCAAGCTGCTGAGGCACTGAGGAGCCCTTGTTAAGAGATGGGCTCAATTTACGGCAGTATTTTGACCTGGAACTTGATGGTTCCACTCAGTAAAACCTGTTATGTTTTGACTGTTGTCATCCATGAAATTCTAGAAGCCAAGCTTGCATGTGCCACCCAATACACCTAAACCTTAGGAAGAAAAGCCAGACAATCTGGCAAAAGGAAAACTATCTTGGACCAGATCAGTTCACACAGATGAGTTCACAGATAATTCACTTTTGTCCAGAGTCCACTCTGAAACTCGAGAGTTAAGCAAGCTTTTCCCTTAAACAATTAGAGAAATGTCACATGGAAAGATTTAATGCCTCTCAAGAGAGATGTGGTCCTTCCCCCTCCACACTTGAAAAAAATCTGTTTGAAGCCAACATATTAGCATTTATAGTATTACAAAACATGCTTAATTTTAAAAAAACTGTATGGATAGTTCCTCTACTTATAGAATTCAAGGAACAGAAATTATGAATTAGTAAGTATAGATGGTATCTTCTAGGATGTTAATATCAAATGACTCCTCGCTTGCATACCTGAGTCTCATTTTTGTTCAATGGAAGGATTAAATTTCAGTAATACATTTATAAGATGCATATTATGTTTATTTATTATGCAATTTGGGTTCGAGGATGTGTAAGACCCGGATTTTACACATTCTTGAACCCCAATTGCATAATAATTAAGCCTATTTATTTACCTATTTGCTCATTTGATAAACATTTATTGAATATCTACCAAGTGGCAGGCTAAGAAGCATGTATAAAGTGCAACAGGAACAGTGCAAAAGGGTAACAGCCTTGCTTTGGGAAGTCGGCAAAGGCTCCCTGAGGGTCACGTGGCTTTAAATGATGCCTCAAAGTTTTACAGGCACAAAAGAGGGAGAAGGGAATTTCTGGTGGGAGAAACAGAGCCTGCAAAGGTCAGAGTGTGTTAAGAATGGGGTGAATGGCACAGATTTTAATGAGGCTGGAAACACAGGGTGTGCATGTATGTGTGTGGCAGCAGCAGGGAAGAGAGGCGGGAGGGAAATTATTCTAGAGGGAAGCTGGGGTTGGGGGAGGTAGGTCAGAGCCAGCCTGTGGAGGGCCTAGAAGGCCACACTAACTTTGGACTTGTCAATTGTCCAAGGAAGGGCCACAGAAAGTTATTAGCCAGGAGAAAGACATGATCACTTTATGTTACAGAATTGGACTAGCATTAGTGTGGAAAGGGGTGCCAATTATAGTCCTTTAAATTGAGGAAGATCCTAGCTCAGATAAGAGCACTGGGGATGAGAGGAGGGAACCAATTCAAGAGACACTTTGGAAGTAGAATTATTAGAAACAAGAGGCCTCCTGCATGTGGAGACTGAATAATGGTAGCAGCTGAGGATCAGCCTCTAGCTTGGGAAACAGAAAAGGATGTGAGAGAAATGTGCTTAAATGTCTGTCATTTTGGGGATGTGTGTAAATATATTTACTTATTTTGCACAAACGTAACTGAAAACTTTTCAGGACATAAACACATCATGAATATGTATTTATTTAAACTTAAATATTTCTCACCACGAAGTCGAACTAAAAGCAGAAATAATATAAAAGCTGTGAAAGTACATCCAGTAGGAAAGGTACAAATTAACAGACCACTATATAATTTCCTAGCCTATCCATTTATAAACGCAAAATTATGCTCAAAAGACAATTTTTTTTTCAAAGACTCCATCCAACTAAAAGTAGACCACAGAGGGGAAAAAAAAATCCCTGAACACAAAGGTGGGTTGTCTAACCATTATAGCCAAAGGAAAAAAATTTTTTTTAATGTTTTATTTTTTGAAACGGGGTCTCACTCTGTCTCCCAGGCTGGAGTACAGTGGCGTGATCATGGCTTACTGCAATCTCTGCCACCCAGGCTCAAGGGATCCTCACCTCAGCTTCCTGGGTAGCTGGGATTACAGACGTGCACCACCATGGGCCAAGGGAAATTTTAAAGCAAAATGTTCAAGGGATCCCAGGAGCTCCAGCGAGAGACAGGACAGGCAGCTAATCCTGGGTTGGCGGGACTCCTGAGACAGTCAGGCACTTTGGAAGTCACCTGCACTTTGGGTTGGAGGAAGGCCGCTGAATCGTAGAAGAGGAAGTCAGGAGTGGCCTGTCATACCTGGAGACTCCTGTGTGACAAACTGTCAGACAATCCAGAACGATAAACACCATTTACTCCAGCCCACATTGTGGGGGCAATCCAAGGCTGAGGCCAACCTCCCAGAGAACCCACAGCTGATTTACTTAGCATATGTGTTTTGCTGGATGTTAATTTTTTTTTTCCCTTGGAGATTCAGCAGTAAATATGGTAACTATAAAAAAGAGTTTCCATTATCTGAGAGCTTGCCTTGTGCCATGTGCCCTGCTAAGTACCTCCTGTGACTCATGCCCTCTAAAACTCACTGCCCCCCGGTGACGGGCACCTTCCTCAGCTCCAACCTGCAAGGGAGGCTTAGCGTGGTTAATGCGTTTGGTAGTTTGTCCAGCATTATGCCCTGAAGAAATGGATCTTCTGGTTTGTAGATCAGGTCTCATTCTACTCTGAGTACCATGGGCCCTGGATTTCATTTGTTCATAGTGCTCTGTAGGAGTGGGAGGAATGAGTGGTTTACATAGTGAGCTCTGGAATTGGACTGTCTGGGGCCAAGATGAAAATGTTCTACAGTTCCATTGCACAACAATGTAAATACATTGATCACTACTCAACTGGACACTTAAAAATGGCTAAGATGGCAAATTTTATGGTATGTGTTTCTTTTTACCACAATTAAAAAATTTTAAAACCTCACACTTTCTTAATCTCAACATGCACCAGAGGTACCTATAAAACAGCAGCCAGCAAACTGTTTTCTATAAAGGGGTGGCGAGTAAGTATTTTTAGCTTTGTGAGCCATTAGCCTCTGTTGTAACTGCTCAACTCTGCCATGGTATTGTGAAAGGAGCCAGACCACTTATAGTCCTAAGTGAATGAATAGGCATGGTCATGTTCCAATAAAACCTTTATTTACAAAAACAGGTGGCTGACCTGTGGGCCATAGGTTACTGACCCTTGCAAAAGTATTCATATATAAATAAGAGAAAAATATTACCCATTTGTAAATACCAAAGGCTCCTCTTTGAAAGTGTCCAATAAATTCACCCAATAATTATGCATGAAACATTCTTATTTTTTTCCAGAGGCTAAGATTAGAGCAACAGCAACAAGAGCAAGCAGACTCAGAAAGACCAGAACTTACTTGAAGTCCCAGGAAAACACCACATTGAAAAAAGTACATGTCAGTCCTTCTCCAGTATCGACACTTCTCTACAGAAGAGCTCAGTGATTTAGAAAAAAAAATACTAAGGCCAGGCACTGTGGCTCACACCTGTACTCCCAGCACTTTGGGAGGCCAAGGTGGGCAGATCACTTGAGGCCAGGAGCTTGAGACCAGCCTGGCCAACATGGTGAAACCCCATCTCTACTAAAAATACAAAAATTAGCTGGGTGTGGTGGCCCGTGCTTGTAATTCCGGCTACTCAGGAAGCTGGGGCACAAGAAATGCTTGAACCTGGGAAGCGGAGGTTGCAGTGAGCTGAGATTGCACCACTGCACTCCAGCCTGGGAGACAGAGCAAGACCCTGTCTCAAAACAAACAAAACAAAACGAAAAACTAAAAATGTTGCAGCTGGAAGAGGGCTCAGCAATCACCTTCAGTGGATGAGAAAACTGCAATAGGCCTATCGGACCTATCCAAGTGGTCACAGCTGGTGTCAGCAAGGGCGGGGACGGAGTGTAGCACCATCCTGACTCTGAGGTCACGCTCCTTCCTCCTCTCCATTTCCAGTCAGGAGCAGCAGCCAGCCAGCCACCAGCTCTGCAAGTTATCTGTTTCATGCATGTTATTTTAAATGGTCTTGGCTTCACCCTAAAGCTAATTTTTGCTATTTACCAAGTTCCATGGGGAAAATCAATAAAGATGAGGCTTTCATCCAAAGCCTCATCTCATCCAATTCAGAACTGGAAGCATGGGTGTAATTGTTTGTTCCCTTCCAAGTTGTGCCATGTGAAAACAGCAGGCTTTTCCTTCGGCATTCACATACTCTAAAAAAGCAGCAACCCACGGGTGGGGTTTGGCAGCTAGAGTCAATCTACTTGAATCCACAAAAAACAGGCACCCCAGTTAAACAACCAAACCCAAACAACAGGCACACAACAAAACCTACAAATGAAAATGGCGAGTTATGAAACAAATACATTTAAGAGAGCATTAGTTTTACAAAAGAAATTCTCCTCATAAAAGAACTCAATCCACTGTATAGAATTCTAGAATTAGCAGAGGAAGAGCAGATAATGGAATAAGCCCCCTACCCTACCTCCTTTATATATGAATTAAGCAAAGTCCTGAGAGATATTAGCGCTTAAACATTTAACACTGGTTCACTGTATGGATCCAAACTGGAAATGTTCCCCATTCACTCAACACAACTCACTGGCATAGGGGGAGGTGTCCCAGCCCTACCTTAGACACTGAAGTAAAGCAGAAACTGGTTTAATCCAGAGAGCTGAATGGCCCAGGCAGAAAGGAAAGGCCTTCGTCCTACAGCCTGAGATGGTTGAGCAGTGACACTCTTGCATTACTTAGTGTCTCCAACTCTCATGGGACCTGCCCTCAATTGCTAAAAGAGCCTGACCTCTGACAAAAACCAATGATTTCAGCAGTAATTAATGATACTGTCAAATTAATTAACCCAAGTCTTTGTTCACAGGAAACCCATCCCCCATATCAATACTGCTGTTTACCAGTCCTTGACCAAGTGCCATAGACCCAAACCTTCACAATCAGGACACCGGAGCACCACTGACTGATGGCCCTAATAAGGTCCCACCGAGTAAGCCACCAACATTTGTTAATAAACCTTCTCACCACATATCCTTTGATAATATGATTAGTGCATGAACAGTCTCCAAAACCTAACACTATTTTAAATAGATACGCACCTGCAAATACCAGTGAGTATCACTCATTTCCTATAATACCTTTTAGCTATCCTTTTGAATTATGGTGATGAAACACTAGACAAATGCTGTAGGATTTCATTAGCCGTTTAATAAATGGCCCTCATTAAAACACTGGTCCGCTTGTCCTTGTCTATGAGGACTCAGACTCCTATAAATGCCCACGTATACATTTCTATACTATCTCTTTAGAGGATTCAGGACTATTTTCTTACACCTAACACAGCTTTTATCCCATTTAGAATAATTACCCTCCATCCCATTTCTGACTTTCAAGAAAAACAAGACACTTAATTGACCACAGGAGGACTCTCTCAAGGGCATTCAGGCTGCGAAAGCTCTGCAGCAAGCTCACAACTTCAGCTGATGTAATCTGCTACAAGAAGCTGACTTCTACTTTTAAATCATACCCTTTTACTCTGCCTTCAAAGAGCACATATATCACACGTTGTAACTTTGCTCATAAAATACCTCGTGGTCTTGGGGTGAATCACGCTGTCAGGAGGAACTTCCAACTGCACACAGCTCAGCCCTGCCCCTTTAAATCCATCCACCTTTTCCTATTATGTATTTGGTCTTGAGAACAGCTATGTGCAGCCACACTCTCCAGGTATCCCGTCCCTCATGGTCATATTGACAAGGAGCAGATGCCTGGCAGGGTCCTTCTTGAAGGCTGGACTCACGCTTTCCCACCTCTTTGTATTTCCACCCCCGACACAGACACTTAATAAATGCTCTTAATGTTGATGTTGAGAGCTCTGTCGTCAGGCCTCTGTGCTTCACAGGGTGCCAGAAGGAAAACAGATTGCTTTGTTTAACTTCAGGTTTTTCATTCATCATTTCAGTCATGCTCACTGTGTGCTATTTAAAAGGTTTCTTGGCAATCTGAAGACACTATGAAAAAAGCCTTGGTTGGAAGTGAAAATACACTTGAACTTGCGATTTATTTATGCTTATTCTACTTATTTCTAAAGACAATGAAGAGCTCAGCAATTAAAGTGGTGCTACCACGGAATCTGGTAGAGGTCAGAACAGCCCATTTCTCTCTGGTCTACCTCCCCCTTCATTTCATGGTTACCTTATGTCTCATCCGGGTTTGTGTAAAAGCCTCCCAGTAGTTCTCCCAGCCTCCAAGCTTAGGCCCTCGCAATCCCTTCTCCACCTTACAAAGAACACAAACCTGATCATGCCTCCTGCCTTCCCTACACCCTCCCACTACTCCGTCCCCTTAGAGCGGTGTCTTTTCTATTCCAGTCCTGTCTCCCTTTCTAACCCCATGGTCAGGGCACCCCCATCTCCACACTCACCTCACCTTCTGTGCTCTGGTTCTAAGCACGCTGCTCCTTTCCCCTAAAAGGCCTTTCGTAAATTGCTTTCTCAGCCAGGAATGCTGCTCTGTTGCTTCTACTCCTTCTACCCAGCTCTTTCCTACCCATCCTTCACATTTTGTTTAGTGCCACCTCCTCCAGGAAGCCCCTTCCAGGAGCTCCTGCAGCACCACGTGCCACCATAGACACTACTGTTCACCATGCGCCACCACAGACACTACTGTTCACCATGCTGTACTATGTTTACTTGCTCTATCCACAGATGACTGCACAAGACAAGATGGCAATGATCAATCTGCCTCCTTACTGCTGTATTCCCCTGGATGCTGCCTGAACAGGGCCCAGCTTCAATATCATTTGTTGAATGGACAAATAAATGAATGAGTGGATACTAAGGAATCCAAATAGGGAGATCACATCCATGAGGTATGAATTAGAATTTTGTCTCCACCAGAAAGTGTGAACTCAAAAAAGAGAATTTATAGCAAAATACTACTTTAGCTCAGGATTCATCCTTTAAGACGTGAAGGTGGCAGCCGGCCCCGAGGAGACTGAAACTCCCCCTCCCACAGTCACTCCTGAGGAGCCACTTGCAGCTGGATAGCTCTCCTAGATGACTCAGAAACACGTTTAGGTAACACATCCCTGGGAGAGAAATGGAGACTCTGTTTAAAATGGAATCCTACTGGGACAAAACACTAAAGCTTGCTCAAAGTTAAATGTCATGTTGTAAACTCCAAGTGAAGGGAAAACTCCACAATTTAAATTCATTCTAAAGAGGGCAGCAAGCCTCACATTAATAACGCAACTTCTTACCTGCAAAACCACATAAGTCAATTTCCAAAACATCATGAGGTCAGCTGCAAATGGCGGGAATGCCCTACAGGTTTGAGAAAACATGGGTGTGGCACTTCCAAATCAGTGCCTGGAATCTTGTCATCTGTTATGTATGTGCTCATTTGGGGTCAAGTGCTGGACTGGCCCTGGGGTGATGGCTGTGAAGATCCCCAACATGGTTTCTGTCCTTGTGGAGAGTCTGGTCTAATCAAATATACACTTGAAGACAGGCTTATTTAAAAAAAGATTCTAAGTACACCATGTTTAGCTGTTAAATTGAATCCAGCACACATGGGATTGGGGAGTAAGGCTTCAGCAACTTCTGCATGGCAAAGGATTTTTTTTTAAAAAAACATGTTTTCCAAAATCAACAGACTGATGACACCAAGGAATGGGTAATGTTTCAACACTCAAACCAAATGACGAACGGGCTTGGTTTTTATTTCGTCCTTACAGTTAGTAACCACCCCCACAAAACAAAACCAAAAAAAAAATTCCACATAAAATTCTTCTGCCTTCCAGAATAATCATATATTTATCTTTATTACCTGGCACATAGGAGGTGTTCAATAAATATTAATTGAGTGAATAAATCACAAGAGAGGAATTAGTATGAAAGGCCTTTTTCAATTTTAGGTATTCTCTCTTAGAGAAGAAAATTATGTGTATTTTGAATGATTCTGACTCTCATTTACCTCTCTGATCTTGGGCTAATTTCCTAACATGGGTATCATTTTCCTCGCTTATAAAATAAAATCGGTGTCTTGGTTATTGTGAGGAGTAAAGGAGGCAACAGATACAAATGATAAGCACTCTGCCCTGCAGGCAATTTTTTTCACCCTCTTCATTCTCCTCAACCCTCAAATAAAGTGCTAAAGACAAACCAAATTATTGGCCTGATTAGAAAGTTAGAAAACTTCAAAAGTAGCCTGGGCTCACCAGCATCTAGCTAGCAATCCTTTAAAAATGTTATTTACAATTTTGGGGCTTTGATTTTTCTCTTCTATAAGATGAGCGAGTTTCACCAGAGGATCATGAGCAGCCTTTTTAGTCCTGATTTTCTATGATTCAGAAGCCTACCTTTTGAAGAAGTCAGATGTTGCTGACACATGAAGAACATCTGCGATCAGAAATAAAATGGACCCTGCTTTCTCTTCAGAGGGAAGGGTTCTAAATCACAAACCAAGATAAAACTTGACTTTAAAGAAATCAATCTATATCTAGGTCAAGAATTGGTGACCGTATTCTTAAGGACCAGAAGGTCCCTCCTTCCCTCCACCTCTACACAGCTAACCTCCAACGCAAGTGATGGTTCTATTTGTAGCTCTGCAATAATGTACATAATAAGAAATCTAGGGATTTTAAGCAATATCACAATTACAAATGGATCATTTGAAGTGAGTAAGACAGTTGACACAATATTATGTCAAGCCTAACATTTGGCTGATTCTTTTTTCTTTCACACTCTGAAATATATCCAGGCGACCAAACAAAGAACTACCAAGATTGTACACAACAAAAATCTCGCTGCATTTTCATAAATATTCAGTGTAAGACTGCCACCTAGTGGTGTGATGTATTCTTGTATGACAAAATCAAACTGCTAAATTGACACAATTAAAAAACCAACAAGATTGTTCTTTACTGCTCACCAAATCTTTCAGTGCATATCCAAATCTTTAAGAGCATAGCCATCTCTTCAGCCACATATTTTCCTCAGAAAAATTTCTGAGGAATGCTGCATGAGTTAACCCTGCAACTAAACCCCACTGCTTCTGAACATATCGCAAAACAAAGGAGCATTATTATTCTATTAATTTTAATATGCATTAGCGATTTTAAAAGATTTCCCCAGTAGTCTGTTCTAACCTCCCAGATTCATTTGATCTAATCTTGATTTTTAGTTATGCATGAAAAGGCATTTAAATGTGACAATCTTACAAAAAGTGCACATTATAAGAAAATCTGACTTCAATTAAAAGCAGTTATGAAATCCCAGCAATTTCCAGCTGTCTCTTCTATCTTATCCTTTAGAGAATTATGTATCACATTAATTGGTATTCTGTCACATAAAAAGACACCAGCGATGATTAATTGCATCCTTGGTGCTTTTGAGTTATGTCTTCTTCACCAGAGGGATTCAAATCACACCTCATTACCTTCCAGCAGGTACCCCTTCTGCTAACCCTCATAAAACCTCCTACCTTCCTGAACTTCTCCATTTGCTTGTAGAGGTCTGGATCAAGCTCCTGAGACACGTCCTTCATCCATAATAGTGCTCCTCTATATTCCGTCCTGCACTGTTCCATGCGGTTCACCGTCAGCCAAGTATCTGAGATGGCCCGATGCCGAAAAGTCTCCACTTCTTGGTGAAATCGACACAAAGGATTTCGTAAGGCCAACCTAGACAAGAGGACAAAGCCACACTCTCAAAACTAAGCCAGTGAGCAATTTAAATCCTTGACATTCTGCCAATCTTAGACTCGTGAGTCTAGAACAGTACCTGGAATGTAGAAGATGCTCCATCAATATTTGCTGAATAATAATCGAAATGCATGTAGTTCCAACTGATTAGTCAGCCAGAGAAGATTATCCATGTACCCATCCCTTAGTTTACTGCTACTAACTGGACCACTGGCAAGCACCTCCATCCGCGTTGTTGGGGGTGGTCTTGAGCCTGGGCTGAGTGCTCATTTGAAGCTGGGGCCAATCCCGTGTTCATGGAGGATGGCCAAGGCATGACCACTGCCCATTTCTACATTTGGCCCTTTGAGGAGGAATGGAGCGTATGTGATTAGCATCTCTCCGACTAGGCCATTTTAGATCACTCTCCAAAGGCCAAGGCATCTGCTGCTCACTCCAATAGTCACAGAGGAATGAAATATGAGCAGAAGCATTTTGAAATGGTATAGGAAGGGGGACCAGCACATTTACTGAGAGGCTGTCGTGTGTTAGCACTTTCAGATAGGTTACATGATTTAATCCTTGTTAAAAAAACCTTGAGGATACTATACCAGAAATGAAAGTGATGAAGTAGGTGTAAAATTATTATAAT
Source organism: Homo sapiens (assembly GCF_000001405.40). Classification (NCBI taxonomy): domain Eukaryota; kingdom Metazoa; phylum Chordata; class Mammalia; order Primates; family Hominidae; genus Homo; species Homo sapiens. The sequence continues at coordinate 8,219,156 of NC_000007.14, forward strand.
GTTGGCTATAACATATGCCCTTTACCCAGCCAAAAAACATTTAAGGCATATTAAACTTTGGATAAAATACTTATCTTGGGGAAAAACACTGCTTCTTCCATCTCCCTACCCAAAAATGAGCAATGTCAGATGAATTATACTCTTAAAATATACTCTTCTTCATGAAGTTTCAGGGCACAGGTGCCAAAAAATGAATATTTAAATTTCAATTTAAATGCAAACTTATTTAGCTAAAGGGAACAATGGTGTCAGTGAACTGAAGTCAGCTTTTGGAAATTCCATCAACGTCTGCAATGCCTTACGTGCGTGTAGCACGGTAAGATTACAAATGGTGCAATGAACTATTTAAGAAAAAATTTCCTTTTACTATTTCCCCTAGTTTTCTTCTTCTCTGTAAAGTATTGTTTTTAAATATTGAGTACTTGTATAAGAATAACCTGCTCACACTGTCCTACCTAGATGTTGCAGATTATTTTCAAAGACATTGTTGTGCCATAAAGTAAGCTTGTTATCCCTGTTGGTTTAATTTAATACTCACCTTTCATCAAATAGAATATATGGCTGTTGCAATGACTACCAAATAAGTCTGTAAAACAAACACTGGTGTGAAGGTTTGTGTAACTGATGACTTCTACTTAAAGACATCAAGAGTCCTCAGCTATCTCCCTAACTATTCTATTCATTTCTAGATTCTTTGTTTCTCTTCCTTTGCCTAAGAATTTTTCTCACTGAAGTTAGTGATAATTATATGTTTAACACATGACAACTTACTCTATGAAATATTTTTTTAGGAATCAATTATTCTTGCAAGGTTGGAAAAGGTCCTATATGCACAGAAAGTATCTATTAAGAGGTTAAAAGTAGATCATTTTATTAGTAAAAATTTTAGTTGCTTTTTAATTTTCACTTTTTGGTTTGTCTCTATTTTAAAATTTTTCTAGAATGAATATGTATTTTTACATAGAAAAATTATAAATAATACTAAATGGTAAGATTTAAGATGATAAACAAATACCTTTCTTGGGAAATGTGTGGAGAACTACTAGAAATGGTTTCATTCAAGCATAAAAGTTGGCATTGCCCCCAAAGTCAGGGTCCAAATGTCATCAGGAAGAACCAAAATGCCCAGGAGAAGGCATCACTGAAAAACAGACACAGCAGGTCTCTTTTTTCCTCCTCTTTCTTGGGTTTTCAAAGGAACAACCATGTACCATGCTGCTGGCCTGCTCTTGGCCCACACGGAGGGAAAGCAGCAAGGAGACATTAACAGAAGAAAATGTTGGACAATTTGAGTAAGTGAAATTTCTATAGCTTGAATATTTGTGGGAACTACCTACATTCTGCCTACTACTAGTGAGTGACATTTTGGGGGTTTGTTAGTTACTGGGAGAGAAGGGAACGAGGAGGAGTGTCACTTTTCTCAGGCGCAGAGAGTGACTGTGTGCAGGGGCTCCTGCTTATTTAACATCCACCATAAAAATGAGTCACGGTTGTGTTAAAAAAAAATGCCACTCATCTACCACAATTTTCCCTGTACCAGAGCTTCGCAAACTTGAATTTACATCAAAACAACAGCGGTCTAGTTAAAATGTGGATGTGGATCCTGCATGTCTGGGGTAGGGCCTACATTCTGCATTTCTAACACACTCCCGGGTTATGGTCCAGGGTCTGAGCAGTGTGGACCTGGGCATGAGAACAGCACCTCTCTGAAGTTAATTGGTCCACAGAGAGCAGAGAGGGAACCCTTCAACCTGGTCTCATTAGGCTCCTGCTTTAATCAGCTGCTGGAAGGGGACCAGACTGATTGCTACAAGCAACACTGAAGGTCAAACATAAGCCTAGGACAGCACTCATAGTGATTGACATATATAATGCCCCTACAGACCAACAGAAAAATGAAAAAAAATTTTTTTTAATTAATAGGGAGGAAAAAAAAATCCTATGTGTTAATCTTAATTAGAGAGTTAAGTACAAACTGCCTAACTAGTGAGTACAGAGCAGCTCCTCAGCCTCAGGCAAAATCCTTCTAAAGAACACTGTGAGATTCCCTTTCGTGAGTAGGTGGGTCCCGGAGTCTCCTCAGATCCCCCCAGATAGAACCCCACTAAAGGCCACACACCTTTGCTGGGAAGAAAAGCAGAGGGCCTTTCCTGTCGCTTGCATCATCTTTCCTGCTCTGGTTTTATCTTGGAAACCTTGGGATCGAAGAAATTTTCCCAGTTCGTTTTCTTCTTGAGACAAGACTGATGAAGAAAAGACCAAAAGGAGCCATGAACAATGAGCATTTTGATTGCAAAGGGAACAAGAAAGACAAATCACAAGGTCCTCTCTCTTCCAGAGGCGAAGACGAGATGAAATTAAATCTAAGCGGCAGGCTACAGGGTAAGCTCCCCCTACCCCCCATTTAACTTTCAGGCTGTTCTTCCATTTACAATACGAGAGATCAAATTCACTTGAATACATCTGTCAGTGAGTTTGGTGCCCTGTAATCAGAACTAGAAAATGACCTCTGTACTGAAACGTAAGCCCATAGTGTGCGGCTTCGAGCTGAAATAAAGGAGTTGGGTTTGTCAAGTATGACTGTGGGAATCTTTTGTGGCTGCCTAGGATGCAGTGCTAGCTGCCTCTCATTATTCTCTCCTGCTGACTTTTGATCTCTGCTTTTTGAGTTACATTCTATTCCATTGTAAAGCAATTCAAATACCTCAGCTGTGACACAGGTTTTTGGTTGGAAGTGGGGGTAGGGACGGAGGGTGGGGAGGTCATCAGGTTGATGACAGTGGGTTTTAAAAATACAGAGCTGGAACCAAATCTGAATTGGTGATGCCTAATCTTGGCCTTATTTTTAAAGACAACCTCAGATGGTATTATTGGTGGGTAAGTGATTTGGTGCAAGCTTTCTGCAGACTGATTTGACGGTAAACATTTAAAAAATCATAGAATTACATGTATCTTTGGACTCTCCATGTCTACTGTTAGGAGAACTTCCTAAGGAAGTAGCAAAATGGGCACAAAGATGTAAATGCAAAAACAATCATAGCATCATTATTTATAATAGTGAAACACTCTCCTTATACTAGGAACTAGTTTAATAAAATACAGCATACCCACATAATGGTACAGTGGGGGTCCTGAACACACACCAGCAGCCAAGCCACAGGCACCAGAGTGACACTTAGCTTCCTCGGATGTGCTTTCCCCCTAAACACAGCATTTACTATCAACATACTTTGAACACTACTTTTATTTCCTATTTCTGTATTGATGTATTTACATACCCTGTGTCTCTAAAACTGCTTTCTAAATGCTACTAGGATTCTTGTCAGCTTTCACAAACCAGTCACTTTTCTTTAAGAATGCACCCCCATTCCTGACATAATCTCACTAACAATAATTGTAGGACATTAGGCAGGAACCACAAATCCAAAGGTGAAGGCTAAACTCGATACTGCTACCTTATTAATTTGTGACTATAGTTTCACCCTAAACATTCCCTTGGGAAGGCCCAGTCAAGAAGAGGCTTTTAGAATCCATTTTTCCTGAGAGATAAATGATGACCCTGCTTCTCTTCTGTCTCTCAAAAATCAAGTTCACCATCAAAGGCCTGCTCGCAGGTTCCTTTCTCTGTGAAGCAATTGATCCCTATTTCTCCGGACAGCAGTGCTCTCTGGGCACCTGACTTAGCACTCACCTTGTGTGACTGGGCATGTGTCTCTCTTCCCCAGGGGGCTCTAAGCTTTCCAAGACAGGGATCTCACCCAAACTTTGTATTCCCCAGGCTGAGCATAAAGTCTTAAATTCACGGTGCTAATTAAATGCTTGTGAATTGAATTGACTACAATTTTGCCTTGTTATCCTCATACACTTTATTTCAGTTGAAATACTTATTGCCTTTTAATACTCACGCCATGGTTCTATGTAGCTTTTTAAAATTCCTATAATTATAAGAAGGTTTTTTGTTTTTTAATACATTCCATTCCTTCTCCTCCCCACTGATTAATATGTGCCTCACTCAATTCCACAATGAATCTTTCCCTATGGAAAGCAATGTCTCATTTTTGATCTTAATCGTGTGAGGCTACTGTCACCCTTTTTACCTTGAAGTCTCAAGTCACATACAAATGAATGCATTTAGCTTAAGGCTAGGAAGAAACCAATTTGTGGTACCTGAATAATTACATGGTTGACAAAATGTACTCTTTCCTAAATAAACCTAAGTAGGCTGAAACATTTAAAAATAATTTTCGGTCATTTTAGGCACTTGTGGATCAACTTGGGGCAGCAAACAGGTTTCATTTTAGGTGCTGACTCTGATTACTTGGCAATACTTACTCAGAGGGCAGTGGAAAGAAGTGTGAGCTCCATCAGGGTCAAGGTTAGATTTTCTGAGAAGGGATGGTCATTCTTTAATTTTAAAAATTCAAATACTGAAATTAACTTACAGAAGTTTAAAATTCAGGTATAACATAGGTATCAGGTAACGCAAAAGGGCTGAGTGTGGTGGTTCACACCTGCAGTCCCAGCACTTTTGGGAGGTAGAGGCAGGAGGATTGCTTGATACTAGGAGTTCAAGACCAGCCTGTGCAACATAGCAAGACCCCTGTCTCTATTACAAGAAGAAAGCAAAAACAAAAAAAGATAACTCAAAATGTTCTATTAATAAGGTTTCAATTATCTGGGACTTGAGAATTCAGAGACAAAAACATTTTTATATTTACTTGCTAATTAGGTTTTCAGATGTGCCGTTAAAAACAAGGCAACTATGGAACTATGAAATTAATTAGCTGGACAGCATTAACTCACTCAGCACAGATTTATGGATGATCCAACACATACGAGGCACAGTTCTTGCCACTGGAATACAGTGATGAAGAGGATAAAGGAGTTCCCCACACTTACAGAGCTTATATTCAAGCAGCAGGAGATAGAAAATAAAACATAATCACAAACACGAAACACAAAAAAGAAAAATACCAGGCAGAGCAATGAGAGATGGGGAGTTAAGAGTGAGCGGTCAGTAGGTGCCTTAGACAAGGTAATCAGGGAAGGCATCTCTGAGCAGCTGACCATTAGGCTGAGTTCTGAATGACGATAGCCTTGGGACTATGAGAGCAGGGACCTTCCAGGCAGCAGGAACACCCAGTGCAAAAGGCCTTGGGAGTTTGGTGGACAAGGGAAAAGGTGACTGAAGAGGTGAACTGGGGCCAGATCACGTCCTATGTATAAGAATGGGAGTCGGATTCCATTTTATGTGTTATTGGAGGCTTTTAAAAGTAGGGGAGCAATGTGATCCAATTTACATGTATTAAACCTTTTAGTTTGAAATAATGATAGACTTACAGAAAAATTACAAACAGTATATAGAGTTCCTGTATACATTTCCCTAACATCCCCTAGTACTTACTCTTCCCTAGCATCCCCTTATATTTACATTTTACATAATCATGGCACAATAATCAACATTAGGAAATTAACACTGGTATAATACTATCAACTAACCTACAGCCCTTATTTGAATTTTACCAGTTTTTTCATTGACATTCTTTTTCTGTTACAGGATCCAATCTAGGGTCTCACCTGGCACCAAAACATTGAGTGTCCTTAGTTTCCTTAAATCTGTGACCGTTCCTTAGTCTTTATCTTTCATGACTTTGACATATTTTAAGAGTACTGGTCAGATATTTTGTAGAATGTGCCTCAATTTGGTTTGTCTGATTTCTCAGAATTAGACTGTGGTTACAGATATTTGGGAAGGATACACAATGGTGAAGTGTCTTTCTTAGTGCACAGCATCAGAGGTTACATGACATCAGTGTTCCTCATCACTCATGATGTCAAGCTCAACCACTTGGTTAAGGAGGTATCTGCTGGGTTTCTCCACTGCAAAGTTAAGAATGTTTTTTTCCTTTTGTAATCATTACAGATCTTCGGGGGAATACATGAGACAATGCAAATGTCCATTTTCTCCTCAAACTTTCACTCACTAATTCTAACACTCTTCAGTGAATCTCACCTGTCACAATTCTCACTGTGGTGTTTGCCTAATGGTGATTTTGTAGTTCCCTCATTCTTTCTATTAATTAACTGAAATTATTTTATGAGAAAAAGCTGTCCCTTCTCCACCATTTATCTCTCTCTCTTCATATAGATTTAAGGGAAATTAATTTTATTCTATGGGTTATAATTCAAAACTGTCATTATTTAGTTTGTTGCTCAAATTGTGCCAGCTTTGATCACAGGTTTGCACCTGTGTCCTTTCAACATATCCTTTTTCAAGCACTTCCTTATGTTCTAGTGCTACAAACAATATAGGTGCATCTTGAATTTTCCCTGCCCCAATCCTAGAATCAACCACTTCTCCAAGGAGCATTTCTTTTACTGGGAAAAGGTATTTAGAAAGCAAGATCTGGGTGCCAGATGTACTCACTGCTATGGAGCGTTAGTGCTTCTAGGTCATGTCAGCTCACAGAAGCAGGAAATATATGAATGTACACTAACCCATGCATACACCCTCATCTGCATCTATTTCTGTATGTATCTATCTGTATAGATATTAAAAACAATGGCTTCATAGTGGCACCTTTGATGACAGTGCAACACCACAGTGTTCCTTCTAGCTTCTCCTTTTATCTGTAACTTCTTTCTAAAGTACAGAGTGAGAAACCTGGCTCTCATCATCTGCAATATCTTATCTATTCAACTTCAATATTTGCATAATGTAGTTTCAGCATTGCTAACCCATATTCCTATAAGAAACAAATTTACCAATGAGAGTACGGCTTCCATGTATAATTATTTTTGTGTTTAGCCTCAGTATCTAGTTAAAAATAATTATGTTCCAAAACTACTGAGGTTAGTTCTTTTTTTTTCTGATTCTGATCACTGTGACAATGTTATTCATTTATAATGCAATCAGGTTCATTTGCTACTGTTTGTATTCCATTTTAGATTTTCCCACATCTGGCTGGGTTTAAGTATTTTTTGAGTCTATGAAATGTTACTATGGTTTTATGAATCAGAGCTATGGGAAGGTATCTCATAGCTCCCTCTTCACCTTTGCTCCTCCATTCTCATTCCCTCCTCTCCAACCCTTCCCCACTCCTCATCCACCACTGGTATCCAGTCTCTTTCGTTTCTGGTTTATCCTTCCTAAATTTCCTTTGCACAATGAGCAGGCTTGCTCTCTAGATATAGATATAGATATAGATGGTAAAATGTGATGCAATGTAAAAAAATGGTAATACACACACTCTCCATATATTACCTTTTTTTACATTTATATTTTATATCACCTTCTTGCTTGCATGAAGGATAGCATACTATAGATACGCTTTTATGTTTTGCTTCTTTCACTTAAAAGCATATCCTCCAAATCACTCCATATTAGTTCACAGATTTTCCTCATTTTTGTGTCTTTGACAGCTACATAGCAACATCCTCAAATTAACCACACTATTTTTAGTCTTCCATCAAAGTTGGGATCTCTTTCAAGTCCACACAGGGCAGAACTCCTCCTTCCTGTCTCTGCTGAGATGGCATGGCTCATGTGAGCTTAGCGGGTAGACATAAAAGGGCTTATCTACCATCCACAGCCAGCTCTGCTGGCACAACCAGGTGACTGCTTCAACGGTGGGGACATTATTCTAACCCTTTATATTACAAGATAATTATGAGCCTTCATGGTGTTCAACTATAATTCTATTAACTAATCTGAGGTGGTTTAGGGGGAAGTTTTTCCTCTATATTCTTTTAGAAACACTAATATACGTAGGAAGCATAATTTCTGTTTAGAGAATCACTATTTACAGGAAATATGCAAGCATCCTTCTTTTCTTCCCTTGTTACAATATATATTGTTTAATGAAAAGTGGACACACCAACTTCATGTGACTTACTTAAAAAAATAAAGTTACAATTTTCTAAATTATTTTGTTTTCTACCATAACAATGAAAATGATTCATTTCATGGTGAGTGCTAGGGGGATGGTGGGTATAGTAAGAAGGAGTTTGACCAATAGTTTCCAGAACACAAGGTTTAAGCCAAGGAAGAATCTGATCGGGTTTAAAAGTGTACTTTGATTGAAAGCAGTGCAGACAATAGGCTAGAGAAAGCAGAGGTGGAGGCAAGATCAGTGAGGAAAATGGTTAGTAAACCAAGTGAGAGACTAATGGTGGTGGCCTGAACCAAGGTAGTGGCAGAGAAGATGGAGAGAGGAAGGAGAATCTGCGAGCTATTTAGGAGGCAAAATACCAGCATTTGAGACTGACTGAATGTGGGGAAGATAAATGGGGGAGTGGCGGTCATGTGTCTTAATTTGCTCACAGATCAAGACCTGGAGGTGGAGCCCTGGAGAAGTCTTACCTCAAACACTTAGGAAATACTAACATAGATAATTTATAAAATACTGCCTCTACATACAATGATTTTGGACTTTCCTGAAGTAGTTGTCTTTTTTTTTTTTTTTTTTCTAAGAGATCTCACCTTCTGTCGCCCAGGCTGGAGCACAACGGCTCATTATAGGTCACTGTGATCCTCCTGCCTCAGCCTCCTGAGTAGCTGGGACTGCACATGCACGGTACCCGGATAATTTTTAAGTGTTTTTATTTTTTGTAGAGATGGGGGTCTCACTTTGTTGCCCAGGCTGGTCTCAAACTCCTGGCTCCAAGTGATCCTCCTGCCTTGGCCTCCTAAAATGCTGGGATTACAGATGTCAGACAATGCACCCAGCCTACCAAAATGATTGTCTTAATAAAATATTACTGATGTAGAAAAATGACCAATTATTAATTTGTGATTACTGAAAAGGGGTTTGGCAGCAGTCAGCAACAGAAAGACTTCCCATAGTCTAGTCTCAAAAATATATACATTATATTATTAAAATGACCTACAAATGGAAACTTAAAAATGTACAAACACATAATTGATATTTAGTATTTCAGAGATAACTTTGTTGTTAATGCTTTTAAAACAGTGTGACTATATGAAAATATTGTTCTGTAGGAACCTAATATCCAATGCAAAAAACATTCATGAAGAAATGTTGTCAACAAAATGTCATCAACAAATCAACTGTATGTGCCTTCTGTCTCTTATCTTAAAAGGAACAAAATTGGATATCAGAGAGTGAAGATAATCACATTAAAAAAAAACCTGAAGGTAAAAAGCCCAAGATACAAACTGAGAAAACTCTTTTATAATTGGGAAAATAAATGGCATGTCCATATCCATGGGAGATCCAAACAGAATTCTCCTAATATGATACTTGCTTTGAAAGATAAATAAGCTATGTATATTATTGGTAAAATTATTAGAGACTCTCCTCCCAACGCCTGAAGACACAGACAAACACTCTTAGTTTCCTAAGCATATGAAATGATGTATCAAGACAAAATACCCTGCTATTTCTTACTATTTGATCAATATTCATACTGATGTCATACTTACAACATATCCTCTTTTGATAGAGTACAATTGCTTTCGATAAGTCCAGACAGGTTCTCTGAATTGAATGAAACAGCTGTAATAAAAATACAAACAAAATGCAAAATAAAACAGACAGTGGTGAGATAAAAAATAATTACATTGAACACAACCAGAGTGTTCAATTTGCCAAAAACAAGACCACATGTCTAAGTATGCTTAGTGTTATGCGGTGTACTATACAGAAACTGTGACCAAAGCCTTTAAATATCTCCTATTATTCTGTATTTATTGGAATTCATCATCTCTGTGATCTAAATTAAGATCTGCAGAACAGTTATTTCTCCCAGTCTACTGAAATAATAGCTGAAAAACAAAAAACAGACATCCTAAGTGAAGGGCCTAGTTAGAGGACTTGGTAAACCAGAGACCCAATATTCATTCATAATCAAATTTATTCCTTTCACCACTTGCTGTGGTTTTTTTTTAATGGGGGATCTGTCAATTAAGCATATTTAAAAGATGACGTTAACTTATTTTGTGATCCTAATGTATTTTATGGCATGCTTAAACAACTGGATAAAGCAAACAAAATCAATCAGCTGGATGTCCTGTCTATTTAGAAAACATCTGATAAAATGATGTTGGGCAAGCAGTCCCCATCACTCCTTATTTTCCCAACAATTTCATAAACCATACAGAGAGAAAATATAATGCCATGCTGTGGCCATACTAGCGGAAACTGGGGGATAGGCAGATGGGGCTGTGCTGAGAAGAATCTAACTTGATTTCAATGCGTGGCGGTTCCAGCCTTTGTTTCAGAAACTGAGATAGCTCAAGAAAAGACAGAACAGACTTCACACTTTCTCCACCCTTTGCCCACTAACTTAGGGACCAGATATGGTATCAATGAGAAAACCTGGAAGATAAACATCTTGCCTCTGTAGAGCCACTCAGTAAGGCAGGGCAAGGTTTTCCCTCTTTCTCTCTCCTAGTTCACTGGCTATGGTGGTGCAGAAATTATATATTGGTATCATAAAGCACTTCTACATTTGCGTGAACACAGATGATCTGTTTCATTATAAATATGACTAAATTAATAAAAACAGATGCATGCATATATACTTAAAACATTAAACCATTTCTAGGAATGCTTCATATAAAACTTGGTTATAAAGAATATAAATTTGCTAATTCTCATTTTGTTAAATTGCATCTTCCACCTGTTTAGTAAAGAGCCATAAAACAAAAGAGAAAATCAGCAGTCTGAATCTGTCCCTTAGCAAGTGTTTTATATCAGTATTCTGGATCAAAACCCACTAACACATAGTATTTCCTGAATATAGGAGCAAGGACGTTCAAAAAGTATGTTTAGGAGTTGTTCTGTTGTTACTGTTCACTTTTTAAAAATTGAGGTATAAATTAAATGCACTACAGTGCACAGCTCTGGAGTGTTCAGTTCTGTGAGTTATGACAATTATATATACTAACATAATCATGCCCAAGGCAAGATAAGAAACATTTCCATCATCTAATCAGTCCACTCTGCTGTGGCACAGTGACTCTGGCAAGAAGACTTCTGTCAGCAGAGATTACTTTTGTCTGTTATTGTACTGAAGAGCTGTTTTTCAGAAAAGGATTTCATTAGCAAGCAACGTGGACAAATATTAAAACTCAGCGCAATATTTCTATATTAACTTTCCAACAGATTGCAATAGAATCTGACCAATATTATAGCTTGGAACACAAGTTTTCTGTGCCAGAAGAATAAAACTTCTTGGTTTATAAGTTAGCCTTCTATGGATAACTCAAGGTACGAACATCAAAGAGGTTTTCACATCATTTTTGTATATTTCATGGATGGAATCCATCCTCTCTATAAACATCAACATCAGTATTAACATTTCTGCAACAGAAACCTCTATCATGTGCTAAATTATTTGTCACAGCTAAGTACAATGGATGCTACATACCTAGGACAGCAGCTATTTTGATTAAGGTACATTTGGTTCAGCCAAAATATAATGTTTAATATATTTGTAATTAACATATTAAATTACCTTTTGAATAATGCATGTATTTACTAGGTTCTTAAGAAGAAAATACTATGAGATATAAAAAGCATATATGCTTATAATAATTTACACTGTACTTAGAATATAACAATCGAAACAGATGCTTCCTGGTTCTACTTTCCTCCATTGCAGAAATCTCCATTAGAACATCCTTGTCAAACCCAGTTTCTATTTCAAAATTTCCAATTGCAGAAGGAAAGGGCTGAGAACTGATATTAATTGCACTAACACATACCCTTATTCAGTTGGTACTTATTGAATGTGTATTCTATGTGTGGCTGGGGATACGTCGTGAATAGGCTAACATGGAATTTGATCTCATAGTGGAGGGAAGGTGGGCAAACAGATGAACACCTGAGATAATTCAATGAGAGATGAGTACTACGAATAAAATAAAACATGGCCAGGTGTTAGACAGTGAGCAGGGGTGGGGTAGGTGGGGAGCAGGGGTGGACAGGCAGTGACTCGAAACAGCGTGACCTTTAGGCTGAAACCTGAACTATGAGAAGGGAAGATGTGGGGAAACAGTGTCCAGGTGGAAGCCAGCAAATGCTCTGATGGGTGTGAACTTGGCTGGTTGTGGACTGAGAACTGAGACAAGGCCATCATAGCTGGCTGGTGGTGAGGGCAATGTAAGCGTGTGGGAGAGAGGAAATGCAGGATGGGGAGGCAGGGCCAGTGGGTCAGGAGCTTTGCTATGTACTAGAGATACCATATGGAATGCAGTCTAAATGGTTCCTGAGACATAAAACACACTCATAAACATTAATTATTAATAAACATTAGTCATGTTTATAAATATGTTAGTATAATATTTATAAACACTAATAAACCTTAGCCATCACTCTGTTACCTACTTTAATCTTGATAATAGCTGTAATAAGTAGGTATTAATATCTCTATTTCATGCATTAAGAAAACGAGGATATGAGAAACTGGGTATAGTTCTCCTAAAGTTACAGCAGATAGTAGGTACAATAGTAGCCCAGATCCATCTCACAGGGTTAGTCCTAACCTCAAAGGCAGCCCAGTTCTCACGGGGCAGCCTTAACATTACAAAGTTCTTCCTGGGTCTGGTCTACCCTCATGTGCTTAGAATCAATCTCATCCCTTTTCACATGACAGTAATTGACAACTAACATTTCCCCTTAACCCTCTCTGATGTAGAATAACTATGGTTTCCACCATTCTGGACACTCCGAAAACTTTTTGAAATCTTGGGCTTTTTTAGTCCCATTAAATGTTCAGTTCATTAACCTTAGTGTATATATTAAAATCTGAGTTCATTTTGAATCCTTATCAGACCATCTAAGATATTATTCCTCTCAGTGCCCTGTTATTTATAGAAATGATAGGTATGCTTTCAAAATTTTAATCTAAACTATTGGCAGAAATGTCCAGCAAGACAGGGAGTTAGTTAGTGGGCCTTCTTATATTAATATGCTAGATCAACCATATCTAAATCCAGCTTACTATATTGTTAACTAGTCTAACTAAATATCTCCTTATTCATTTTAGAATTTTCCAGGGTCCAATACAAAACTTATTAGACTCTACTTTCCACGACGTTTTACCTGAGTTCTTCTTTTAAAAAAATTTAACATTTGCCAGATTCTAGTGTTCTAAATCTGACTCCTCAGCTCTGACCAGCAAGCAGCAGCTCTTTGACTGCATTCCTTTTCCCAAGAAACGCTTACTGAGAATTTACCACAGGCAATACATGGCGACTATGTTCTTAAAATACAGAGTAACTGAGGCATGGTGGTTATGTGAGAATTTGCAGGTTTTAATAAATATGCTGGGATTGAGTTTACCTAATCCTAGATTTTCCTCATTTTCAAATACAAAGCACACCCAGCTCTGCCTCAGTGAGTATACTCTAGGACCTTGATCCTAGCAAGGTGGCTGTGTTGGGGCTGACAGCAATAAAGAGCTCACCTCTAGCTTGGCATCCAGGTCCGCGTCAGAGGCAACAACATGTTCATCTTCCTTCTTCCCTGTGGCTTTAATAAAGGCCTGCTTCGTCTCCCAATATTTCTGTTGCATCTTATTTACAACTGACTTATCTTGAGCATATCGATCCTGTAAGTCCCAGGGATAACTGCTAAAAACATTTAAAGAACTATTTTATTCACACCTTTCATAAAGATTAAGATATTTTAGTGTGAAATGATTTCTTTAAACATGACTTTCCATTATGCATTTACATTTACAACATTGATAAACGTATGAGCACTTTCTTATCTGGGTGTTACACCAAGGAAGTTCATCAACTCTTTCTGACTCAAAAACCTTAAAAGTCAGAGTGGAGAAATTTAGAATCTTTTGCAGGAAATAAAGAAACTAACCCTTGAAAAGAATGTAGATATAACAGACTAAGCACACCCCTTTTAGAGGTGGAGACAGTGAGATCAAGCCAGGCAGGGTGACTGGCCCAAGTTACCTCAGTGAGTCAGAGATAAAGCCAGACACCAACACACTCTCTCCACTCTAACACTACAGCCAACACTGAGGTGATGGCAGGAAAGCAGAGATAAGAGGCTGAAGAACAGCATGCCTAAGATCTGTTACAGAGAAATCTAAAATAGTCAAACTCACAGAAGCAGAGAGTAGAATGGCAGTTACGAGTGGCTAGAAGGTAGGAAGAAATGAGAAATTACTATTCAAGGTGCATAAGGTTTCAGTTATGCAAGATGAATAAGCTCTAGAGATCTGCTGTGTGACATGGTGCTTATTCTTGGTATTTTTTTTTTTTTTTTGAGATGGACTTTCACTCCTGTTGCCCAGACTGGAGTGCAGTGGCGTGATCTCAGCTCACTGCAGCCTCTGCCTTCCAGGTTCAAGCGATTCTCCTGCCTAGGCCTCCTGAGTAGCTGGGATTATAGGCACATGCTACCACGCCCAGCTACTTTTTGTATGTTTTTAGTACAGATGGGGTTTCACTATGTTGGCCAGGCTGGTCTCCAACTCCTGACCTCAGATGATCCGCCCTCCTCAGCCTCCCAAACTGCTGGGATTACAGATATGAGCCACCGCGCCCAGCCCCATGGTGCCTATTGTTAACAATACTGTATTGTGCACCTAAAATTTAAGACGGTTGACTTCATGTTAACTGTTCTTACCACAATAAAATAACAATAAAATAAATTTAAAATTGGTTGCAGGCTTCTGATGTTAAAAACTTTAAACTCTTCCATATAAATGCTTAAAATATAGATGAAAAGCCATTTTTCAGGAGGATCACAGTGAAGAGCAAATCAAAAAGTATGTGGAGAAAAAATTAGAAACTGGCCGGGCATGGTGGCTCATGCCTTTAATTCTAGCACTTTGGAAGGCCCAGGCAGGAGGACTGCTTGAGGCCAGGAGTTTCAGATCAGCCTGGGCAACATAGTAAAACCCCATCTCTACAAATAATTAGTCAGGTGTGGTGGCACAGGCCTATGACACAAAGCTACTCAGCAGACTGAAGTGGGTGGATTGTTCAAGTCCAGGAGTTTGAGGCTGCAGGGAGCCGTGATCACACCACTGCACTTCATCCTGGGATACGGGGCGAGACCCTGTCCCTCAAAAAAGAAAAAAGAGAAGAAAAAAGAGAAAAGAAACAAAAGTAATTGAAAATGAAATGGAATTGTGTAAAAGTGATTGGAGTACCCCAAATATGGCTGGAAAGTTTGCTGATGGAGTTCCATCCCTCCCCTTGCTTCGTCCACATCCTCTTTGGACCTAGAGTCCCTGCCCCAAAGGCTCCCCTGACCCCCCCAGGCAACTCTCCTCTGTGGAGATGTACTTTCCTCTACCCCATCCCATCACCACCCAAAATGTGCCAGGCTTGTGCTGAAACGTGAGTTTGTTTATATGACTATATCAAAATACCAGTATCTCAAAACCTACTTTCCTTCATTTACAAT
The DNA here is from genome assembly GCF_000001405.40 of Homo sapiens. Lineage (NCBI taxonomy): Eukaryota > Metazoa > Chordata > Mammalia > Primates > Hominidae > Homo > Homo sapiens. The sequence continues at coordinate 8,234,560 of NC_000007.14, forward strand.
TTCATTAAGTTTACAATTTTCAATTTACACATTTATTCTTAAAAAGCCAGAAGGCATTTCTGATGACTTCCTTAACAATGGTTATCTTTGGAGAGAGAAGTAGGATTATGGGAGACTTTCATGGTCTACTTTATATCTTTCTGCATTATTTAAAAGTCGTATTATGAGCTCATATCAGAGAAAATAAGATAATGTATAAAACTTATGTAAAAGATAATCTCTCTATAGAATATGCACATTAAAAGGTTGGAAGGATACACTCCAAAGACTGATTATTTTAGGGGAATGGCATTCTCAAGAGTGGGCCATAGAATGGATTTCTTTGGCCGGGCGCGGTGGCTCATGCCTGTAATCCCAGCACTTTGGGAGGCTGAGGTGGGCAGATCATGAGGTCAAGAGATCGAGACCATCCTGGCCAACATGGTGAAACCCCGTCTGTACTAAAAATACAAAAATTAGCCAGGCGTGGTGGCACATGCCTGTAATCCCAGCTACTCGGGAGGCTGAGGCAGGAGAATCACTTGAACCAGGGAGGCGGAGGTTGCAGTGAGCTGAGATTGCACCACTGAACTCCAGCCTGGGTGACAGAGTGAGACTCCATCTCAAAAAAAAAAAATGTATTATTATAATTAATTGTGCATTTGAAAAATATGTAACACATTTGTTTTTCATGATACAAATTAAAGAAAATAAAAGTTCACAAAGATCTGCTTGCTTGGTGGGTCATGGGTTCAAAAGAATTTGGAAACACTGCTTGAAGAGCTCTGGACCTTACAAGAGGTTTAACATGCTGCTCAGATATGTTATAGGCACATAAATGTCAGCGCTAACATTGCCAAATGGTTACCACATCTACTTTATTCAGCATCATTTACTTTTGACAATAATTGGCTCCTGAATGTTCAGGAAGGTTGAAGTCATGACTCTAAATTAATAAGCACGAGTCGTGTGTGGTTGTAGAATCATTCTTTATTTTATAGCTACCCTAACATAAAATTCCCTTGTAACTCTAATGTTAGAAGTTATAAATAAGATAGTAATAAAAACGCATCAACTCATTACATTAGACAAAATGGTGGTAAGAAAAACTATCAGTAGGTTCCCAAGAGAAAAGTTACACATAAATGAATTTCTTAGAGAATGCACATTAGGTAAGAATTTACAATATTTTTGTTACTTGGTTTTCACACCATATTTAACAGAGATACTGAATTTGGCTCAGCATTGGTGAGGGCTAACATGATACTTACTGCCAATGTATCTCTTGTTTTTCCATTCAATAGATGTTTATTGATCATATGCTATATGCTTTCTACTTTCCCAATTCAGAAAAGATGACAAATTACTTACCATTTGTGTCCTGACATGTTTTCTTCTTCTTCTATTGTTGATGATTTGGGGAGAAGGGGCAGGAAAAAAGCATGAGAGGATAAGTTATATTATAACCTGAAATAAAACAAATATGTTTAATAGTTACACACCATATTATAGTTACATATTAATGTGACACACATAAAAGCCTTCAACCTAAGCCATTTCTAGCTGTATTTTAGGGTCTAACACTGTTACACAGTAATGCTGCACACTGGTGATGACAACAATATAGCTAAGTAACACTGGAAGAAATATTCCAAATAAAGTTTAAAAAGTGAACAGGCAGATTGAATGAAAAAGCAGGTTGCAGAAGACTACATAAAATATAATATCATTTATATAAAGCTTAAAAATATGTAAAACAATACTATATGTTGTTGAGGTATACAATATTATAAGGTGAAGGTATAAAGAATTGCTTAGGAATGATGAACACTAAGTTCCAGACAGCAGACCACGGCAGGAGATGGTGTGGGATGTGATGTGAGAGAGATATACAGCAGCTTCAAGTGCACACATAGTGTTCTCTTTGTGAAGCTAGGTGGTGAATATATTGCATCTGTATGCCTCCTTACAGATTTGAAATATTTTATAATCAACATTTTTAAAGAAACAAACCAGCACATTGCAAAAATAGAAACAAAAATAGAACAAAATTTTAAAACCCCAAATAAAAACCAAAAAAGGGTTGATATGCTTGAATAAGATAGCAAGAAGGGCACAAAGGTGGAAAATAGGTATCTACCAGCCTAGCCTTGTATATTTATCTCGTTAGTAAATACTGGAGTCAATGTCTCTGCCCTTACTCCATTTGCTCCACTCATGGAAGCTAGCCCACCCCAGGGCCCACCAGCCCAGCCACATTAGCCCACTTGCCAGCAGTTACTGGAAAGAACAGAAAGCTCACTACTCAAAGGAATGGTCACTGGCCAGAGGCAAAACCTCTAGCTGCCAGAGTGAGTGCTCACAGCATATGAATGCCCAGACTGCTTCACAAAATCAATCCAATCATTCTCCTTTGGTCTCAGAAAGGATCCTGGCAACCAGTACTCCTAAAGTGATTAAAGCTTTCCTAGGCTATTTAAAAACATTTCAAGGGGACAAAATTACGATGTGCAAATCCCACGCTTCAGGTATGCAGACAAGAGAGAGGAAGAAGAGAATTTCCAGAGTGTCAGATGCCTCTGATATGACAGCATCCTGCAGTGAACATCTCTCTTCCTTGTGGAGAGCATCCAAATATCTGGACGAGCTGCTTTTGGGAATGACATTCAGGGTAAGTAAGTAAGCTCTGCCCTCCACTCAGTGCATCATGGAGAGGCTACCAACACCCAGTCCTCTCACCACCCAGACAGCTTCACTGTAAGTACACATTTACTTTAGTTAGCTTGAAATTTCCAACAAATTTTTTCATAAAAAGAGGGTGTTCAAAGGAAATGGAATTATCATATTCTTCTCTTGAGTTCAATGTCACCATGAACTATTAGGATAGTTGGTACTTTTTGATTAATATTTTTATTATGGTAAAAAAGTTTATTCTTTTAATTTAAAAGTGTACAGTATAGTAGTGCTAACAATATACACTTTGTTGTACAACAGATCTCTAGAACTTTTTCATCTTGCATGATGGAAATTCTACACCCATTGAACAACTCCCCATTTTCCCCTCCCACAGCCCCCAGCAACCACTATTCTAGTTTCTGATTCTATGAATTTGACTACTTTAGATACCTCATAAAAATGCAAACACTCAGTATTTGTGTTCTTGTGATTGGCTTATTTCACTTAGCATAATGCATTTAAGGTTCATCTGTGTTGTAGTATATGACAGGACTTCCTTTTTAAGGCTGAATGATATTGCATTGTATATGCAATGTTGAAGACAGACACACACACACACACACACACACACACACACACCATTTTCTTTAACCATTCATGTGTCAATGGATATTTAGGTTGCTTTCACATCTTGGCTATTGGGAATAATGCTGCAATAAACACAGTATACAGTGTCAAATTCATTGACAGGTTCTTGGAAGCTGCAACTATAGGCAAAGTGATATACACAGGTCCAGAATAACACTGTTTCATAATAATATTGATAAGAAAAAAATGGCTTATGTCGTTTTGCCTAAAGTTGCAGTTTCCAAGAACTATCAATGACATTAAATGAGGTCTTAATGTATCTCTCTGAGATCCTGTATTCAATTCTTTTGCACAAATACACAGAATTTGGACTGCTGGATTATACAGTTCTCTACTTAATTTTTTGAGGAAACTGCCTATTGTTTTCCACAGCAGCTGCACCATTTCAAGCCCACTGATGGTATGCAAGGGTCCCACTTTCTCCACATCCTTGTTAATGTTTGTTTCCATTTTTAAAAATAATAGCCATCCGAAGCATTGTGAGGTGATATCTCATGGTTTTGGTTTACAGTTCTCTGATTAGTGATGTTGTGCATCTTTTCATATTTTTTTGCCATTTGTATATTTTCTTTGGAGAAATGTCTATGCAGGTCTTTTGCCCATTTTTAAATTGGGTCATTTTGTTATTGACCCAACTTAATTTGCAGGAGTTATTGCAGGAGTTCTCTATATATTCCAGATATTGATCCCTTATCCAATATATGGTTTGCAAATATTTTCTCATATTCTGTAGGTTAGCTTTTCACTCTGTTGACTATTTCCTTTACTATGACTTTTTAATTAATTTTTGCTTATTAAAATGCCTTTTAATTTAAATCCTTCATAGTGTAAGTTCTTATAGTATGTGTTATTTATAGTTATAGTTAACAAAAATTGCTGAGCAAATTGCCCCTTCTACCTAGATTTCCAGGCTATTCCCAGATCATGATACCATACGGCAGTGTTCCTCAAGGTATTGTTTAACAGCCACTTGCATTGAAATCTTCCGGGGATACTAATATACAGAATCCTAGACCCCACTCCTTTCCTAGTGAAATAGCATCTCTGAGAATGATTCTGGGAATCTAGTTTTATAATAGGCTTTGCAAGTCATTCTTAAGCACATTAAAGTATGAGAACCACAGCTAAATGGCACACAGGGAAAATATTTTTGGAAATTGGTCTTTCTTGAACAAACTACTGGATCATAGGCACAGGAGCAAAGGAATCATAAGTGGTCAAAATAAGGTCAGCTCTGCAGGGTACATCTGAACGCCTCATGAGAAGGCAGCTGGAGCCAGTGCTAACATCTCTTTTTATATATGTTCTAACTCTACATACCAGAGACAATTAATAAACATCTTAAGATTTCCTGACATAATCTATCTTGTTTTGCTCTATCACTTTCCAAATCCACAGCATTTAAATTGCTACTTTAAAAAATCATTATAATTGTTATCCATTCATTTCAGTTCAACAGTTTGGTTTATCAGACATAAACTGAGCATCAAATGAGTACATGCCAGTCACTCTTCCTGGCCTCAAATATAGATCAGCTCTGTCCAATAGAAATAGACTATGAGCACATTCCAAGACGGCCGAATAGGAATAGCTCCAGTCTGCAGCTCCCAGCGTGGCTGACGCAGAAGATGGGTGATTTCTGCATTTCCAGCTGAGGTACCTGGTTCATCTCATTGGGACTGGTTGACAGTGGGTGCAACCCACAGAGGGTGAGCCGAAACAGGGCAGGGCATCTTCTCACCCAGGAAGTGCAAGGGGTCGGGGGATTTCCCTTTCCAAGCTGAGGGAAGGCATGACAGACTGTACCTGGAAAATCGGGACACTGCCGCCCAAATACTGCACTTTTCCAACAGTCTCAGCAAATGGCACACCAGGAGTTTATATCCCACGCCTGGCTCGGCAGGTCCCATGCCCATGAAGCCTTGCTCACTGCTAGCACAGCAGTCTGAGATAGAACTGCGAGGTGTCAGCCTAGCTGGGGCAGGGGCGTCTGCCATTGCTGAGGCATGAGTAGGTAAACAAAGCGGCCAGGGAAGCTTGAACTGGGCGGAACCCACTGCAGCTCAGCAAGGCCTGTTGCCTCTGTACATTCCACCTCTGGGGGAAGGGCATCGCTGAACAAAAGGCAGCAGAAACTTCTGCAGACTTAAACGTCCCTGTCTGACAGCTCTGAAGAGAGCAGTGGTTCTCCCAGCACTGAGCTCTGAGAATGGACAGACTGCCTCCTCAAGTAGGTCCCTGACCCCCATGTAGCCTAACTGGGAGACACCTCCCAGTAGGGGCTGACAGACACCTTATACAGGTGGGTGCCCCTCTGGGACGAAGCTTCCAGAGGAAGGATCAGGCAGCAATATTTGCTGTTCTGCAATATTTGCTATTCTGCAGCCTCTGCTGGCGATACCCAGGCAAACAGAGTCTGGAGTGGACCTCCAGCAAACTCCAACAAACCTGCAGCTGAGGGACCTGACTGTTAGAAGGAAAACTAACAAACAGAAAGGAACAGCACCAACATCAACAAAAAGGACATTCACACCAAAACCCCATCTGTAGGTCATCAACATCAAAGACCAAGGGTAGATAAAACCAGAGCAGAAACCAGAGCAGAAAAGCTGAAAATTCTAAAAACCAGAGCGCATCTTCTCCTCCAAAGGATCGCAGCCCCTTGCCAGCAAAGGAACAAAGTTGGATGGAGAATGACTTTGACGAGCTGACAGAAGTAGGCTTCAGAAGGTTGGTAATAACAAACTTCTCCGAGCTAAAGGAGACTGTTCAAACCCATTGCAAGGAAGCTAAAAACCTTGAAAAAAAGATCAGACGAATGAGTAACTCAAATAAACAGTGTAGAGAAGACTTAAATGACCTGATGGAGCTGAAAACCATGGCAGGAGAACTACGTGACGCATTTACAAGCTTCAACAGCTGATTCAATCAAGTGGAAGAAAGGGTAGGTATCAGTGATTGAATCAAATTAACGAAATAAAGCGAGAAGAAAAGTTTAGAGAAAAAAGAGTAAAAAGTAACTAGCAAAGCCTCCAAGAAATAAGGGACTATGTGAAAAGACCAAATCTATGCTTGACTGGTGTACCTGAAAGTGACGGGGAGAATGGAACCAAGCTGGAAAACAGTCTTCAGGATATTATCCAGGAGAATTTCCCCAACCTAGCAAGGCAGGCCAATATTCAAATTCAGGAATTACAGAGAACACCACAGAGATACTCCTTGAGAAGAGCAACCCCAAGACACATAACTGTCAGATTCACCAAGGTTGAAATGAAGGAAAAAATGTTAAGGGCAGCCAGAGAGAAAGGTTGGGTTACCCACAAAGGGAAGCCCATCAGACTAATAGCAGATCTCTCAGCAGAAACTCTACAAGCCAGAAGCGAGTGGGGGCCAATATTCAACATTCTTAAAGAAAAGAATTTTCAATCCAGAATTTCATATCCAGGCAAACTAAGCTTCATAAGTGAAGGAGAAATAAAATCCTTTACAGAAAAGCAAATGCTGAGAGATTTTTGTCACCACCAGGTCTACCTTACAAGAGCTCCTGAAGGAAGCACTAAACATGGAAAGGAATGACTGGTACCAGCCACTGCAAAAACATGCCAAATTGTAAAGACCATCGATGCTAGGAAGAAACTGCATCAACTAATAGGCAAAATAACCAGCTAACATCATAATGACAGATTAAATTCACACATAACAATATTAACCTTATTGTAAATGGGCTAAATGCCCCAATTAAAAGACACAGACTGGCAAATTGGATAAAGAGTCAAGACCCATCAGTGTGCTGTATTCAGGAGACCCATCTCACAGACAGAGACACACATAGGCTCAAAATAAAGGGATGGAGGAACATCTACCAAACAAATGGAAAGCAAAAAAACAGCAGGGGTTGCAATCCTAGTCTCTGATAAAACATACTTTAAACCAACAAAGATCAAAAGAGACAAAGAAGGCCATTACATAATGGTAAAGGGGTCAATTCGACAAGAAGAGTTAACTATCCTAAATATATATGCACCCAATACAAGAGCACCCAGATTCATAAAGCAAATCCTTCAAGACCTACAAAGAGACTTAGACTCCCACACAATAATAATGGGAGACTTTAACACCCCACTGTCAACATTACACAGATCAACGAGACAGAAGGTTAACAAGGATATCCAGGACTTGAACTCAGCTCTGCACCAAGCAGACCTAATAGACATCTACAGAACTCTCCACCCCAAATCAACAGAATATACATTCTTCTCAGCACCACATCACACTTATTCCAAAATTGAACACATAACTGGAAAAAAGCACTCCTCAGCAAATGAAAAAGAACACAAGTCACAACAAACTGTCTCTCAGACCACAGTGCAATCAAATTAGAATTCAGGATTAAGAAACTCACTCAAAATGACACAACTACATGCAAACTGAACTATCTGCTCCTGAATGACTACTGGGTAAATAATGAAATGAAGGCAGACATAAAGATGTTCTTTGAAACCAAAGAGAACAAAGACACAATGTACCAGAATCTCTGGGACACATTTAAAGCAGTGTATAGAGGGAAATTTATAGCACTAAGTGCCCACAAGAGAAAGCAGGAAAGATCTAAAATTGACACCCTAACATCACAATTAAAAGAACTAGAGAAGCAAGAGCAAACAAATTCAAATGCTAGCAGAAGGCAAGAAATAACTAAGATCAGAGCAGAACTGAAGGAGATAAGACACAAAAAACCCTTCAAAAAATCAATGAATCCAGGAGCTGGTTTTTTGAAAAGATCAACAAAATTGATAGATCACTAGCAAGACTAATAAAGAAGAAAAGAGAGAAGAATCAAACAGATGCAATAAAAAATGATAAAGGGGATATCACCACCGATCCCACAGAAATACAAACTACCATCAGAGAATACTATAAACACCTCGATGCAAATAAACTAGAAAATCTAGAAGAAATGGATGAATTCCTGGACACATACACCCTCCCAAGACTAAAACCAGGAAGAAATTGAATCTCTGAATAGACCAATAACAGGCTCTGAAATTGAGGCAATAATTAATAGCCTACCAACCAAAAAAAGTCCAGGACCAGACGGATTCACAGCCGAATTCTACCAGAGGTACAAAGAGGAGCTGGTACCATTTCTTCTGAAACTATTCCAATCAATAGAAAAAGAGGGAATCCTCCTTAACTCATTTTATGAGGCCAGCATCATCCTGATACCAAAGCCTGGCAGAGACACAACAAAAAAAGGGAATTTTAGACCTATATCCCTGATAAACATCAGTGTGAAAATCCTCAATAAAATACTGGCAAACGGAATCCAGCAGCACATCAAAAAGCTTATCCACCACAATCAAGTCGGCTTCATCCCTGGAATGCAAGGCTGGTTCAACATACACAAATCAATACACGTAATCCATCACATAAACAGAATCATCGACAAAAACCACATGATTATCTCAATGGATGCAGAAAAGGCCTTTGACAAAATTCAACAATGCTTCATGCTAAAAACTCTCAATAAACTAGGTATTGATGGAACGTATCTCAAAATAATAAGAGCTATTTATGACAAACCCACAGCCAATATCATACTGAAAGGGCAAAAACTGGAAGCATTCCCTCTGAAAACTGGCACAAGACAGGGATGTCCTCTCTCACCACTCCCATTCAACATAGTGTTGGAAGTTCTGGCCAGGGCAATCAGGCAAGAGAAAGCAATAAAGCATATTCAATTAGGAAAAGAAGAAGTCTAATTGTCCCTGTTTGCAGATGACATGATTGTATATTTAGAAAACCCCATTGTCTCAGCCCCAAATCTCCTTAAGCAGACAAGCAACTTCAGCAAAGTCTCAGGATACAAAATCAATGTGCAAAAATCATAAGCGTTCCTATACACCAATAACAGACAAACAGAGAGCCAAATCATGAGTGAACTCCCATTCACAATTGCTACGAAGAGAATAAAATACCCAGGAATCCAACTTACAAGGGATGTGAAGGACCTCTTCAAGGAGAACTACAAACCACTGCTCAACGAAATAAAAGAGGACACAAACAAATGGAAGAACATTCCATGCTCATGGATAGGAAGAATCAATATTGTGAAAATGGCCATACTGCCCAAGGTAATTTATAGATTCAATGCTATCCCCATATGACTTTCTTCACAGAATTGGAAAAAAACTACTTTAAAGTTCATATGGAATCAAAAAAGAGCCTGCATTGCCAAGACAATCCTGGGCAAGAAGAACAAACCTGGAGGCATCACGCTACCTGACTTCAAACTATACTACAAAGCTACAGTAACCAAAACAGCATGGTACTGGTATGAAAACAGAGATATAGACCAATGGAACAGAACACAGAACTCAGAAATACACCACACATCTACAGCTATCTGATCTTTGACAAATCTGACAAAAACAAGAAATGGGGAAAGGATTCCCTATTTAATAAATGGTGCTGGGAAAACTGGCTAGCTATATGTAGAAAGCTGAAACTGGATCCCTTCCTTACACTTTATACAAAAATTAATTCAAGATGGATTAAAGACTTAAATGTTAGACCTACAACCATAAAAACCCTAGAGGAAAACCTAGGCAATACCATTCAGGACATAGGCATGGGCAAGGACTTCATGACTAAAACACCAAAAGCAATGGCAACAAAAGCCAAAATACACACATGGGATCTAATTAAACTAAAGAGCTTCTGCACAGCAAAAGAAACTGCCATCAGAGTAAACAGGCAACCTACACAATGGGAGAAAATTTTTGCAATCTACCCATCTGATAAAGGGATAATATCCAGAATCGACAAAGAATGTAAACAAATTTACAAGAAAAAAGCAAACAACCCCATCAAAAAGTGGGCAAAGGATATGAACAGACACTTCACAAAAGAATACATTTATGCAGCTAACAGACACATGAAAAAATGCTCATCATCATTGGTCATCAGAGAAATGCAAATCAAAACCACAGTGAGATACCATCTCACACCTGTTAGAATGGTGATCATTAAAAAGTCAGGAAACAACAGGTGCTGGAGAGGATGTGGAGAAACAGGAACACTTTTACACTGTTGGTGGGGAGTGTAAACTAGTTCAACTATTGTGGAAGACAGTGTGGTGATTCCTCAAGGATCTAGAACTAGAAATACCATTTGACCCAGTGATCCCATTACTGGGTATATACCCAAAGGATTATAAATCATGCTGCTATAAAGACACATGCACACGTATGTTTACTGCGGCACTATTCACAATACCAACGACTTGGAACCAATACAAATGTCCATCAATGGTAGAGCGGATTAAGAAAATGCGGCACATATACACCATGGAATACTATGCAGCCATAAAAAAGGATGAGTTCATGTCCTTTGCAAGGACATGGATGAAGCTGGAAACCATCACTCTGAGCAAACTATCACAAGGACAGAAATCCAAGCACCACATGTTCTCACTCATAGGTGGGAATAGAACAATGAGAACACTTGGTCACTGGGTAGAAACATCACACACTGGGGCCTGTTGTGGGGTGGGGGGTGGGGGCAGGGATGGCATTTGGAGAAATACCTAATTTAAATGACAGGTTGATGGGTACAGTGGGCCAGCATGGCACATGTATACTTATGTAATGAGCCTGCACGTTGTGCTCATGTACCCTAGAACTTAAAGTATAATAATAATAATTAAAAAAGAATTATACTATGAGTTTAAATGTTCTAATAGCCATGTTAAAAAAATTTAAAAACAGTGAAATTAATGTTTATATATTTTAACCCAATATATCTAAATTATTATTTCAACATATAACCAATATAAAAATGAGTGATACATTTTACACTAATATTTTTGTACCAAGTTTAAAATATAGTATGTTATACTTTCAGCAAATCTCAATTCACACTAGCCATATTAAGTACTCAAGAGCCACACGGGGTTAGTGGATACCATATTGAACAGTACAAGTTTCGCAGTAAAGACAGATATATAATTTCCAGAATCAGTAGAGCCTTGACATTTGCAAGGGACATATAACAATGTCCCCTTAATGAATCCCCAAATTTGCAAATTCTGCTGTAAAAATATTTTCCCTGTAAAATTGAATAAAGTCTATGATTAGCTAATACTTCATGATTCTGCAATGGAAGCTATTTCTCCACTTCTGCCACAAGGCCCTTATGAAACAAGCCCAGAAAGAATGGTGTCACATCTCCAGCTTTTTAATGACACAGAAAAGATGTCCTAAAGATCTGCTTGTGGTCATCTTACCTTGGGAGATAAGCAAAGAAGGGCAAGTAACAAGATGCTGATGGACTGTGAGCGCCAAGATATTGTCACAGTCAGCACAACTTGATCGCATGAATGTTTGTGTTTCACAGTTAAACTGTTTCCTCAAAGAAGACAAAGCAGTTGCACCAATAATTAAGATCTGCTCAAAGAAGCAGAGGCCCAAGGATGAATAGATCAATGGAAAGCAAGTTTCTAATTTTGATATAACAACCTGGGGAGTGTGGGAATGAGTTGGTGAGGAGGAGGCTCTGTGTCTAAGGCAGAAATATAGGTGAAGGAAAGGCAACTTCCTGCTCAGAGGTGGAACTGCTGCTGAGGTCAGCACCTTCTTCTTAGGTGACACTGAGACTACCAACCTAATCCCTTTAGATTTTCCTAGACTGCACCTTGATGGGGTTACAATATATTCACCTCATGGTCCAAAGCCAGGCATTAAAACCATAGTTGTTCTCAGCCACATCCATTTGACTGAGAAACCACCTTGCTCTGTGGGAAGAATTGAGAGAACAGTGGGGAAGGACACTTTGTTCAGGTTTTCTGTTGGGATCCTGTGCTCCTGTGCAATAACTATGCTCATTTTTCCTTTTATTTTTTGAGACGGAGTCTCGCTCTGTCACCCAGGCTGGAGTATAGTGGTGCGATCTCGGCTCACCACAACCTCTGCCTCCTGGGTTCAAGCGATTCTCTTGCCTCAGCCTCCCGAGTAGCTGGAACTACAGGCATGTGCCACAACGCCTGGCTAAGTTTTTGTATTTTTAGTAGAGATGGGGTTTCACCGTGTTAGCCAGGATGGTCTCAATCTCCTGACCTCATGATCCACCCGCCTTGGCCTCCCAAAGTGCTGGGATTACAGGCGTGAACCACCATGCCTGGCCTTTCCTTTTCATATATGCTTGCTGTGCTGAGTCCTCAATTTTATTCCCCCGTGTAGATGGGCAAAAGACTACAGCAATCGTCCCACTTGTCATTACTTGCTAGAGCCATTTAAAAACCATTTTAGGCTGGATGTGATGCCTCATGCCTGTAATCCCAGAACTTTGGGAGGCCAAGGCAAGTGGAACGCTTGAGCCCAGGAGTTTGAGACCAGCCTTGTGAACACAGTGAACTCTGTCTCTACAAAAAAATAATTAGAAGAAGAAATTAGCTAGACACGGTGGCACACGCCTGTAGTCCCAGCTACTCAGGAGGCTGACATGGGAGGATCAATCGAGCCCAGGAGGTCAAGGCTGCAGAGAGCCATGATGGAGCCACTGCACTCCAGCCTGGGTGACAGAGTGAGATCCTGTATCAAAAAAGAAAAGAAAAAAGAAAAAAAACAAAACAAGCCATTTTGAACAAGCTGGACAGCTTGGCCATAAGACATGCATAGTAGTTTTTTCCTAACACCCAAAGGTACACAGAATGCTAAAACAAGCCAGGTTTTAAGTACAGAGTTTGATTCATTGCCACAAAGTGGACAGGAGTCAGTTTTTCCCTAGCTGCCTTGAACCCAGATACCAGATTCTTCTCCTTGGAAATATAATCTAGGAAGGCATTTTCATTCCACATAAGCTGGCTTCCACTGCAATGAACGCTTGTTCTGACCTAGAACTTTTTCTATGCATTTCTTCAAGGCAGTGAAGTTAGCTGATGGCACTTCTGATTACTTTTGAATTATGCAAAGAATCTAAAATTCTTGAGCCAATCCTTGTTCAGAGTAAAGCTAAGATCAGTAGTCATTCCACTATATTGGTATTCTATACCCACAAAATTTGACCAGTTTTCAATACCTTGTTCTTTCATACACTAAAACTTATCAGGCAGCAACTTGGTAAAACTCAAATGTAGTTAATTTTTCTTCAGAGAAGCAGAAATGTGTGCCTCCTCGTCAGTTTATTAGATCAACTATTTCTTTTTAATATGGAACTGGCTTCCTCTTGAATCATGTTTCCTAAGCACGTCATTTTACTTATGCAAAGATTCATGTCTCCAATTAATTAACTTTACAACTTTAGTGGTAGAATTTTTCTCTTCCATTCAGTGGGTAGCTTTTCTGTTGGTTGGAGTACCAGCTGAAACTGAGTCCAGAGTCGCTTTTTCTTGTTGTCTGTACTGAGCATATGGTGGAATCTCTTGAGTTGCATATCTGAGTCAATGCCAAATTTGTCATTTTCCTCTTTAGTTTATTCAACATTTCTATTTTCTAGATAAAAATTGTCATTACCTTAGAGCTCTTCAGTTCTTTGGGAAGTAGGGGGCCATTTTTTCCCCCATAAGAAATAACGCTTTTTTCAGACCAGGAACAGTGGCTCATGCTTAGAATTCCAGCACTTTGAGAGGCAAGGAGGGTGGATTGTTTGAGCTCAGAAGTTCGAGACCAGACGATGAAACCCTATCTCTACCAAAAATACAAAAAATTAGCTGGGCATGGTGGTGCACACTTGTGGTCCCAGCTATTCAGGAGGCTGAGGTGGGAGGATCGCTTGAGCCAGGAAGGTGGAAGTTGCATTGAGCTGAGATCATGCCACTGCACTCCAGCCTGGGCAGCAGAGTAAGATGCCCACCACTCCCTCAACCTCTCGAAAGAAAAGAAAATACACACACTTTTCAGAACAGAACAGAGTCTGGCAATGATGTGGGTGCAAAGTGGTACATTAGAAACATCCCATAGTGAAATCACTCATTCCTAAACACCAGCTTCATAGCACCACATGCCATACAATCTACGGTACAAATCTGTTCATATTCTATCATCACTGTGTTAGAGTCACTACCTTGTCAACTGTCAGTCATTTTTCTTTCTTCATGGAATATAAATGGTAAGACCTCCTGACCAATAGTTTTTTATATATGATAAAATGCAGAGTAATTCTTTAAAATCAAACTTCAGTAAAATTATAAATCACTATGTGCCCCAGACTTTTGCGGCTATTTGTATATAACTGAAAAAAAGCATCTGCCATCAGAAGATGCTACAGGCTCCCTGTGATGGGGCACAAATGCCATGGCAGAGGAAACTGCCAGGGTTTGAGGGGCACAGAACAGAGGCACAATGCTGGCTTCCCACACAGCCTCTGGGCTGAGTCTCTAAGACTTAATTAGTCATTGCTGGAGAGGCAAAGGCTGGAAGTGCGGTGGGGAGGGAAGTGGTATTATTCTAGGCAGAGGAAATGCAGTGAACAAATTCTTCCACAGCAGAACTGCCAGTGGTGTGTGTAACTAACCGTAAGCAGTTGTGCATTATAATTTAAAGACACGCAACAGGGGAAACAGAGGGGCCAGCCTCTGAAGCACCATGTGCCACCTTCAGCATTTAGATATACTCTAGCCATTGGAGGATGGACATTCAATGCTGTTTATTTCACACTCGGTGGGCACCATGTTTTGTCCTGCCTTTGTTAGGGAGTTAGTTTTTGGACTATCCATCACAAATATTGGAAGCTGGTGACATGTCTCTCAGATTTAGCTTCCAATTGCATGGTACTAATTTACGTAACTTCTTCCTCATTCCATTTTCCTGTTATTTCAGAGATCAGTTTCATCTGGAAATATGACCAGTCTTCAATATTTTGTTCTTCCATACACTAAAACTTACACATCATGCAATAATTTTACAGAACTCAATTGTAGTGAACTTTTCTTCAGAGAAGTGGAAATGTGTGTCTCCTACTCAGTTTATTAGACTGACTATTTCTTTTCAAATGATCTGAAGTGATGCAGGTATTTGGGTTTATTTCTCTGGTGTGTAACTTCAGAAAAAACAGAAGTCATATAATTTAGAGCCTAGAAAGAGATGAGGAAGAACTGAATAAAGCCCCTTCCTTCTGAAATGGGACTTGTGATCCAGGGAGGAACACGGCCTGAGAGCACAAAGCCAATAGTCTTCAGAGCCAGGGCTCCCACATGGGGTCCTCCACTTGCCTGATGAACAGGGGAAATACTGATTTGTCAGAGGTTTTAGCCACTAAGGTAAAAAAATAATTGGATGTCTGTGCATTTCTTTTGGGCAAAGTATGTTTTCATCATTTTTCCTAGATGTTTGTCTCTGTCAC
Organism: Homo sapiens; assembly: GCF_000001405.40. Classification (NCBI taxonomy): domain Eukaryota; kingdom Metazoa; phylum Chordata; class Mammalia; order Primates; family Hominidae; genus Homo; species Homo sapiens. Next base: position 8,250,202 of record NC_000007.14, read on the forward strand.
TTCCTCTTATGTCAATAATGATTTTTACAATTTCTTATGGAGAGAAGTGTATTTGAGTATAAATATTAAAATAGTTTCAGTAGAAGCAGTGAAAAAAACTGGAACAATTCCTCCAGGCATAATTAACCATATTAATTATTATTTTTAAAATCCTGATTCATCAAATCCTGTTCTCAAGTGGTTGAGAAATGGGCATTCCCATGGAGGATGGGAAGTTCAATTAGCCTTCCATCTTTTCAAAAGCTAGGTATTAATTAAAGTAACACGATTTTGATGAGTTTTTAATGGGTGTTTTTCCTACCTCTGAGATATCATACAGCTTGTCCTTTTGGATTTTTGACGTGGACACGATTACCTGAGCATTCCACACAACTGCACACAAGGCTACAGTGAGCTCTGATCCCCTCACTGCACTCCAGCCTGGGTGATTGAGTGACTACACAACTTTAAATGGATCCTGTTTCCAGTTTTGTGCCTTCTGCAATGATTTTTGATATTTCATAAATTCACAAGTAAATGTGAAATGGGATCATGTTTTAATTTTGTGAGTCAGCAAATATCACCAAGAGGAAAACAGAATTGTGATCTTATTCATGGTAGCTAAAAGGTGAGTTTTTATTTTAACACTACAGATGCAAGCCACTGTTAAAATCTGTGTTTTCTGTTAATGAACTAAAGTCTTAGGATATTTTCTTTTATTAAAGAAATTTTTTTTTTGAGACAGGATCTTGCTCAGTTGCCCAGGCTGGAGTGCAATTGTGACATTACAGCTCATGCAGCCTTGACCTCCTGGGCTCAAGTGATCCCCCCCACCTCAGCCTCTTCAGTAGCTGGGACTACAGGCACTTGCCAATAGGCCCAGCTAATTTTTTTATTTTTAGTAAAATGCCTCCCAATGCTAGTCTCAAACTCCTGAGCTCAAGTGATCCACCAGCTTTGGACTCCCCAAGTGCCAGGATTACAGGCATGAGCCACTGTGCCCAGCCAGATATTTTTAAATGATTGTTTTATTTACATTTCAAAAGAACTCAGGTGTTATATACAATGATTAAGTTATATACAATGATTAAGTTTAATGACTCCCTAAAACTATTAAAATCACATTCCTAAAGTATGTATTTTGAAGGTTTCCCAATATGCTCCTTGATATAAATAAAAGCTGGTAAATCCATGACTATGTCACACACTTAGTCATCACTTCAGCGATCTGGCTTCACTTTGCTCATCTGTAAAACAGTAGACTAGGCAAGTGGCCATCTAGGATGCCCCCAGTCACAAAAATAAAAAACTCAAATTATTTTCAGAGACATTTACATCTAAGATAAAGCTTAGAGATAATGAACACAACATCCTTTTCAATGATTAAAAAATTGGGGTTCTAAAAATAGAGATGACTTGTCCAAGATCAGGTTAAAGGTCAAGTTCACATAGAGGAATGCTGGGAATGAAACATTCATCAGCCAGTTAACAATTTGGTGCTCTCCTCTGTCTCTTCATCTATTCCAAGAGATGTTTCTGAAAGGAAAATATCAAATATAACAGAAACCAAAATAAAATTGCCAAGCTACTTTCTAAAATGTCATCTTCAGCATTAATATTATTGTAAAATTTTTAAATATTATATCCATGTAAAACAAATTAAAAACAAACCAGAAAACTCAAACTGCTCACAAAAAGTGTGGTCTAGGTCTTGCTCCTCTTTCTTTTGCTTAAAGCCCTCCTTTCAAAGGATGATCGATGGTGAATTTTGTGCTACACCAAAAATCATGGCAGTAATAACAAAGAGGTAGGTATTTGCAAACCACAAACCTAAAAGAAATCTAGAAAGATAAAAATATAAAGTGTAAAACAACACTAGAAACAGAACAAATGGGTTACCTCTGCTAAAGAAAAAAGTAATTTTAAAAGTTTGCAGTATAAATTATATTCACCTTTGATTTTATTTAGTTTGGTTTACATAAATTTCAAATATCAAATCAAATTTCACATACAGATTTTACTCTGTATTTATGGTGGTGTTTTCTCTAAAAGCTTAATTTCAAAAGCTGAAGAATGAAGGAACACCCTAATCAGATAAAAGTCTCGATCAAGTTCTGTGAAGGAATACTACGCCCTTCGATGTCAGCACAGAACATTATTAAATCATAGGTCTAAATGTTATCCTTATATTTTATTGGGATCAAATTATAAAACTTGGAAGGCTCTTACAAATCTTACTTTAAAGAATTGCACCAACTTAAATTTTCTTTTTATGGAAGAATAACCTCAGATAAATTGACTTTATCATCTAAGACTATGCAGTCCAATATAGCAGACACTAGCCACATGTAATATGAGCACTTGAGATACGGCTGGTATGAATTCAGATGAGCTCTAAATGTAAAATTCACACTGGATTTTGAAGACTTAGTAACAAAAAATTAAAATGTCTCATTAATAAATCCATGTATTTATAGTTATAAAAATTATTTCATGTTGATATATTGTATATATCTAAATTTTATATAACTACATTTATATATTACATATTTACATATGTATATTATATATTCTGCTTTATATTTAATTATATTTTTTGCTTATTTATTACTTTTTTATATTTTACGTTGAAACAATATTTTGAATATTTTGGGTTAGATCAAATAAATTATCAATTTAATTTAAGCTGTTTCTTTTTAGTTTTTGTTTGTTTTGAGACAGGGTCTTACTGTGTTGCCCAGGCTGGTCTTGAACTCCTAGGCTCAAACAATCCTCCCACCTCAGCCTCCTGAGTAGCTGGAATTATAAGCATGGCACACGCCACAGCCCCCACCTTATTTCTTTTTAGTTTTTAAGCCAAAAATATTTTACTACTAGAATGTTTTAAATTATATATGTGGCTGCTGTTATATTTTTGTTGGAGAGCCTCAGTCTAAGGCATCAAACAAATCAAAAAAGAGCTAGAAATTAATTCTATAACTTCGGTCACCAATATTCTGTACTAGTTACAAATACCCTTAAACAGTTATTTCTGCTCAGAATCTCTGACATTCTGTCAGAGATGTCATTACAAAAATAAAATCATATGTATCTTCTTTTGAAATAACCTACAAAATGATTGTACTCCATATTTTTACAAGTTTAAAAAGGTCCAAATCTGTGTGCACAATGTACTATTTGTGTCAAATTAGATTTATGTGAATAGTAAGTGAAGTGGTGGGCTACTATAAGACCATCAGAAGTAAAAATGTAAGGACAATGTGATGTAATATATACAATATGTATCCACAAATGTAAAATGTATACATATATTTAGAAATCACAAATATATATAGCTGACCCTTAAAGAAAATGGGTTTGGACTGCATAGGTCCACCTATACACCAGTTTTTTTCAACCAAAGGCAAATAGAAAATATATCTTCTATTTTTTTATAATCATATTTTTATATTTAAGTACATTTTTTGCTTATAATTAAATATAAAGAGAGAAACCTGGCATGAGAAACCTGTGTATATGGAAAGTCAACTTTTCATATACATACATGGGTTCTGCAGGGCTCTGCAGGACTTGAGCATGTGTGGATTTTCATAGCTGAGGGTGGTCCTAGAACCAATCCCCTGTGTATACAGAGGGATGACTTTAATTCATATGTACATAGAAACGTATGAATGGTTAATAATAACAGTGTGAAGGAAGAACCAAGAGTATGAATGTGGGGACTATAATTATATGAAATTGCACGTAAGCATAATATCAGCCATCAGAATAATCAGGGAGATGCTAATGTTTATAAGGTTCTCTTCCTTTAAGATTAAATTCATAATTTGAAGCCTCCAAAAGATGTGATCAAGCAATTTGTTATGACTCCACAGAACCTCCTGGCTGAGAGTGAGGAGAGAATTTACACATCATTTAGTCCAACCTCCTCTTTTCACTGAAGGAACTGAGGGAAATTTGGGGAAATTTCCCAAGTCACAGAGTAAAATTTGTCTCATTAGTCTTAAATTACTGAACTATGCAGACACCAATATGTGGTTTATAAAATGTGTATGCTGTGCACGGGTCCTGTAAACAAACCACCACAGCTCCTTTATCTGGAAATGGCACATATTCCAGAACTTTCCTTGGTTAAGCTGTGGCAGGTAAATCATGTTTGAGTTTGGGCTGGCTTAGGAGCAGGGAATGCAGGCAGTCCAGGCAGGGGAAGGGAGGAGCAAGAAAGGATCTCAGAGGTCAGCAGCAAAGGGAAGCAGGCAGCAGAAGAAAGCACTATATGATCATGTATGCTCAGCTAACAGCACCACACTTGCGTCTGCTGGGTCATCTAGTTGGCGTTATTTGAGAACTAATAAAGATCCCTTTTTCAGGTTCTCTCTACTTTCTCAGGAAATAAACAGCAGCAAAGCCCAGAGCTTATAAAGCACAAGACTGGTTATTTTGATGGGGGTCAGGAAAGACAGGGATATTGGGCATGTACCCTCTAGGGCAGACCAGGTAGAAAACCCAGAAAGTTGCTTGAAGGTACTGAGTTCCAGGTTAGGAGTGCAGAGAAGAGAGAAACAGGAAGCAGAAAGTGGGGAGTGGCTTAGCACAAACACAACACAATGTTTACATACTTCACAATGATGCCAATGCTGCAAATGGCAACACTGAGTCAACAGCATTAGGCACCAGGACACTTAGCTCCTGGCCTTCAGGGAGCAGTGGGAAGAAAACCCTGCAGGGTGGTGACAGGCAGTCTCCCTCTTCACGCACTCTGGGGAACCATGGCCTTGGCACTGCGCTGGGCACCTTCTGTCACAGTTTCCACTCTCTGTGCACCCCTGCTCACTTCTTTGGAGCTATCCAGAATCATGACCACAACCTGCTGTTCGCTTCCTTCTCCCTAGGAAGGACAGCTCCTACACTCTTACCCCTGCCCACCTTAGTCCATCTTTCTGTCTCTTCTCTTTCATGTTAATCAACCTCCCTTGGCTTCTACCATCAGGCCTCATTCTTCAAACTCTTTCTCAGTTCCCATCCTCTTCCTTCTCTTCACAGTCAAGAGTTCTAAGCCCATGCTCTCTGGTTCCTTTCTCCACCAGCCCAGAGAACATCTTTCACTATGGGCCCCACTCAAGTCCTCATTTCTCATGACTTTTGACCACGTTCTCTTCCTTTCTTGAAATGCTCCTCTTCCTCTACTTTTCAGGAAATATTCTCCACACTTTTCTATCTTTTCAATTTTCTTTGCTAGCTTCTTTTCCTCTGTGTCTGCATCTCAAATATCAGTATCTGTAAGGTTCCAAGCTTGGAACTTTACTTGCTCTCATTAGGTGATTTCTCATTAGGTGAGGCCACTTCCATGGCTTCAACTGCCAGCTGTATGCCAACAACTTCCAAAATCACACACCTCTCCAGGGCACCAGATCCACATTTCCACCTCCAGATGGTAATCTTCACCTGGATTGTTCCACAGGCACTTCAAATTCAGCACATCTAAAACTAAACTCCTCTTTCCATCTGCACTCTCAAATTCTTCTTTCTGTGGTCCCTATGTTAATTACCAGCACTAAATGTACTGAATGGCCTAAGTTGAAAACCTCACTTCTTTCTCTTTTTTTTTTTTTTTGGCAGGGTCTTGCTCTGTTGCCCAGGCTGGAGTGCAGTGGCACAATCATGACTCACTGCAGCCCTGACCTGCTGGGCTCAAGCAATCCTCTTACTTAGCCTACCAAGTAGCTGGGACTACAGGCACATACCACCACACCCAGCTAATTTTTTAAATTGTTGGTAGAGATGAGTTCTCACTATGTTGCCCAGGCTGGTCTCAAACACTTGAGTTCAAGCAATCCTCTTGCCCTGGTCTCCCAAAGTGCTAGGATCACAGACATGAGCCACCACACCCAGCCTCTTTCATCTTTTGCAACCAGTCTCCAGGTTCTCTCCATTCTACCTCTTAAAAAGCGATTGAATGCATCTTATCTTTTCTATCTTCACAGCTTAGGCCTTAAGAGGCAATGCTATCTGTGTACCTGTCCATTCCAATCTTTACAACACTGCCCGACCTATCACTATATGATGCAAATCAAATTTTTCCACTCTCCTACTTAAAATGTTTTAATTGCTTTCTCTTGCCACTAGAGAAATTCCAAACATTTTTTGAAAAAACACAGGCCCCTTTACATCCTGGCTCCCTTCCCCCCAAATCTTACTCTCCTCCCCACCCTCCGATAGAACTATTCCCTCTGCGCATGTCAGAACGCTTGAGCTTCCCTGAATATACTATGCACTTCAAGGACTTGAGATGATTCTTTCCACTTGGAATGCCCTCCCCCTCCTTTGTCTGATTGCCTAACTTAGAATTTACATCAAGACTCTCCTCAAATGTTGCCTCTTCAGTGAAGTATTCCCAACTCAACATCTCGTCTCTATCCCTCTCCCCATGGGTCTTGCACTCCAGACCTCCCCACTGAAGAGTTAACTGCTCCATACTGGTGGTGCCACTGCACTCCTGTACTCTCCTTCAAGGAGCTAATTACATCTGTATCTCCTGCACTAGACTGTAGGTCCCATGAGTACAGGGACCCTCAAGTTCATCTTTGCCTCCTTAGCACCAAGCATGGCCCCTGGAGCACAGTAGCCATTCAGTACATATGTGCTGGGCAAGGGGCAATAATTATGTTCTACCACTTACCAAGCACTTTACATGTGTGAAGCACTTAACATCATTATGTCATCGCCACACATTATGAAGGGGATATCAACCCATTTTGCAAGTGAGAAACAAAGTTTAGAAGGACGAAGTAATTTACCCAAAGTCAACAACTGGTAAACACAAGTTTACTTTTGACTTCTGAGCTCCTGTTTTTAACTACTCTGCTCTACTCTTGGATGAAAGGAGCTTGATTAATGGGGCTGTTTCAATAAAAACAATCTCCCCCAATCACAGGCTTAGGTGCTGGGTTAGGCCCAAATCCACTGCCAATATAGTGCTACTGTGCACAACAAAACCTGCAATTGCTGATTGATTTCTTCCTTGATAGTTGTCAGGGTTCCTATGACTAAGGAGAGGGGCACTATTTATAAATATCAGCTTCTTGGTTTCTGGCTTAGAATGCTCTACCCTGGAAATATCACAGAGAAGACCGGATTTTCCCCTAGGTACTATTAGGTTTCAGAAACTGATGTCTATGCCCTGTTCTGGGAACAGAGATGTGGCAGTGAGTGTGATCATGATGATGGTAAGAGATGGATTTCAATATGTATACTCTTGGAACATTGTTGCAATACTTAAGAGTCACTTCTTGTACAAATACTTTCACTAACTAGAACCAGAGGACCTTTCTAGTCTCCAATCTAGACTCTTAAAATTAACAATGACTACTATCTATATATTCAGTGGTCCATCACTGAACACATATACCTCATATTTTCCACTCCACAGAACTATATTGCATTCAGTCACCCTCTCTTAATTCATGTATTTTCTGCTAAATGTATTCTAAAATTGAACTCTGCAATGTTCTCTGATTCTAATGACTTTTTAATATTAGTCCCCTATTTTCTACTAATACCTCCACCACCTCCACAACCATGCAACGAATATTTAGAATCAGTCCTGTGCTTACACTAATTAGTGCATCTAATCCTCCTGAATCACAGATGATCAGACTTGTCCAAGGCCACTCAGCTAGTAAGGGACACACATAGACACTGGGCTCCAGACACGAGGACTATTTGTATTAGCATTCTCTCCCTTACTTGTTGACTTTTGTACACACATACACATGGTTGGGAGTGGGGAACGCTCTTTCTCCCCACTCCCAACCCTTATTTACCTGCTGAATTCCTACTGGTTGTTTCAGGCTCAACTCAAGGGCAATCTCCTCCATGAAGCATCTCAGGGTTTCTCTGCCCTTTCTCCTGTTGGGGTGGGATGCCCCCGCCCTGGGCTGCATTACCACCTGTGTCTCTATCTCCTTCTTGCTTTCCCTGAAAGGCAATTGGTTAGTTGACTCCTCTCTTTCCCTCTTTTACTCAGCTGTACGCTCCTCCAGAGCATGGTGGGGTCTGAGTCTTGGGATTCTGAGTGTTTAGCACAGTGTGTAGCTCATGGCACATATACAACCAATGCTTGTTCAATACTAAGTCATCCCACTTCTCTGATTTGGTCAAAGGCCTGATGGATGATGTCATCTGACTTAGCAAGAGAGACAGATGATTCCCATCATGAGTGATGCAGGCCATCATTTCCCCACCTTTTCATGAACTCATTCTAGCTCACTAGGTTTACACTGGGACAAGGAGTTACCACTAATTGAGGAACTGCCACTTCTCAGACACTGGGGTGTATGCTTCACCCACATCACGGAGTATCCTCGCAATACGGCCAAGTTGACATAATGATTTATATTCATTTCACGAAGAAGTTTAAGTTCAGTTATCTTAAGCAACTGGCCTACAGTCACATAGTAGGCAGGCTTTGTTATAAAAACAGGTATAAAATGCCCTATCACATGTAGTCTTCCCTGTCCTGGAGAGATTCATTAGTTATTTGTGAAAATTACTTACAGGTCAAAAAACAAAAACTATGTTAATTTGATGCTATAATACTAAATAGTAAATTGCTAGAATAGTGAAAGTGTGGTCAGCCAGGATTTTTAGAGGCTCCAAGGCAGTTCTACCATATGCATCTATCCAGGGCAAATCATGCCTGCAGTCCTTATCAGACAGATGGAGATTATAATATCTACTTATCTCAAAGGGGGTTGAGTATCACATAAGATCATAGTTGCCAAAGTGCTTTGTGAAGGAAGAGGACAGAGGCTCATTTTAGAGTAGTGTGCTGGACAGTCTGTGGGAGACCCTAGGGATCAGAGCTACCTGAGATGTTGCTTAACAGCAGATGAAGGAAGCTTGACCGGGAATCCACACTTATTTTAACAAGCCCCCAAATGATTCTCTGGGACACTAAAGTTTGAGAAATAACAGGTTACAGCATTGCTTCTCAAATGTTAACATACTCATGGAGATCTTGTTAAAATGGAGATTTGAATTCACTGGGTCTGGAAGAGAGTAGCAGGCACGCTAAGATTTTGCATTTCTAATAAGCTCCCAGGGGAGGCCACATGCTACTGGTCCATGGACCACGTTTGAGTGACAGGGGCTTGGAAGATCTATCCCCACTGGAACAAATTAGATTTGTTTTGTTTCTGGTTGCACCCCCCAACTTCAGAGAGTGTTTTCCATAAAGCCCAGGGTCTTAGTATTGGTACAAAATTATTTGAACTACTCAAAACCAAATTGAAATACACTTCCTATCACAGGCAAAGCAGCAGCATTCTTTTTAGATACGGATAGCATATGTTTAGCATGTGAAAAAATAATTTATTACTACTGAGTGAGTCCTATTTAAAAGCGTGCAAAGCATTTTATATACATTATCTCTAATCTCCACCCTGCCCCTAAAAAGGTGGATATTCCTGTTCTGTAGATAAGGAAATGGTGACTTAAGTAACTTGGTCAAGGTCACACGGCTAGTTAGGTGTTACCGCAGGGATTCTGATTTTGCTCCATCAGGATCCAAAGCCCATGAGTCCTCCATACTCCCTCAGAGTGTTAGATATGATTGTGATACGAAATGTATCAGCTTGGGAATCAAGAAAAAAGCGGGGGAAAAGTGTTTTTTGAGTTTAAAGTTCTGCTGAGGCAGATTGCGAATGGTGGTGGGGTTGGGGGATAAGATTCATTAGTGATCTATGTTGCCTCATGGACAAAACATGCAGATAGCATCCTTATTAATGGTTCCCATAAATCTAGTAATGCAGATGGAAAAAAAGGACACTAGTGACCAGCGTGCTGATTATAAACACTGCCACCTACCCTCAGGCTCAACCAACGAAGAGGAAAAATTCATCCTGACACTTGGGGCCTGTTAACTTCCTCCCTCTCTCGCATGAGGTTTCTATAATCTTAAAAGTTCATACCAAACATAGGTTTATCCTTCTACGTTATGGCATAACTACCAGACCTCCATACCGCTAATGCTGCTTGCACCTGAAAAAAATGTACTATTTAGTCAAATACCTTGAAAACGTACTGATTTTGAAGGCTCTGAGTAACAAAATTTTCTATACTTTTCGTGAGATTGATCTTTATGCACTGCGGTAAAGATGCGTAGAGAAAGCAGTCAGATAGTTACTCAGGTGTTCCAAATGGGGGAAAATAGTTACAAAATAAACCACCCAGGCAATTACCATCCAGTATCTTTAGCACTCAATGATCCACGGGTGGAGGATACAGGGTTAACGTTTTTTAACATCAGGTCTCTCCACAAATAGCCCGCTGTAGCTTAACTGTTACGTTTTCTAAAGATTCATCTTTATAAACAGTACAATTATTTCCCTTTGTAATACAAACAGAAACAATTAGAAAGCAACATCTCCTGCAATTAAGATGTATGTACAGTATTAGTATAAAACCAAAGAGTGATATTTGAGCTATTCAGGATTATAAATTGATTTTGTCCCTGTGGTATTCTCTACAAAGGGTGTTTCAAAAATAAAGACTGAAATCTAAAAATATATCTTTGGTTTGAAAACTTACTTAAAAGCATTTTTAGAGAGTGTGTGTTTTAAACAGGGGGTATGAAATTGCATCGGGAGCCTAGATTTCAAACTAAGCATTTCTTATTTCACTCCCTAACCACAGAACAGTTCAGATCTCAGATTCAAACCAGAGGGCCACAGAAACCAATTTGAGATTTTCCGAAGAGACTTCACTGAAACGTATGGACAAAAACATGTTTGCGATGAGTCATATTTTATAGGACCTTAATGGCCAATAAATGCCTTATGTGTCTTTCTTCCTACATTCAGTATCACTCCCAAGCAAGCTGGTGACATATTTTCCAGGCCTTGATAATTTTTATACCGTTACCAGATCTCGGTTACTAAGATTCATGAACAAAACCCTTTCTTGCGCTAATTTTTTAATGCCATCTAAATGAAGAGAACGCGATTCTTTCCAAACTAACTCTCCCCAACCAGGCAGTTAATGCCCTTCGCCAGAATAAGGGCGCGATACTTTTAAGACCCCAAAGAGAAGCTCAGGTGCTTTGGGGGTACTACAAGTAAAAAGACAGTGGGAAAGGTTCCTGGAGAGCCGCTTTGGGGGAAAGGCAGACATAACAACAGGATATGTTCGTTTCTAGAGGAAGCAGGAGCTGCAATAGCCCCGGAGCAGGAAAGGCGGAGTCAGCAGCGCCCAAAGGAAACGGGCGCGCCAGGGTTTGCTGGAACCGGGGTTGCTTAGGGGTTCTCGCCCCGTCTAGTCCGAGACTGCTGAGCACCTCGCCCCCGGGGGACCAAGCTCAGGCCTCCTGGCACTAGTGGTTATAAAGAGGTACCCATATGCTCTCTGCCGCCCCTGCCAAAAAAAGGGCCACGGAGGGGAAGAGAAAAAGCACACACCAGGCGCCGCGGCAGGTGAACTTGTCAACAAGTCAACCCTGGACGCAAGTCCCTGCCCACCAGGGAGCTCGGGGTCCTGGGGCCGGAGCCGCCGGGAAGGCGAGGCGCGCGGTGGGTGGGTGGGGTGGGCTGGCATGGGTGCCGGTGCTCCCAGCGCTGGGGCCGGAGCGCGGAACGCTTCCCTACCGCTCCCCCGGGGCTGACGCACGCTCTCACGGCGCGCGCATCCTCCAGACCTTCCCAGGCCGGAGGGAGGAGGGGAGGGGAAGGGGCTGATGCGGTTCCCGCACCGGGATCCGGGACCCGAGGAGGCGACTCGCCTATCACGCGCCGCCCGCGGAGGGCAGAGAAGGCAGCTCCTACCAGGCGTCCCCGACCGTCCCGGCTGCCGGGCGTCTCCTGCTGCTTCCTGCAGCCCGCCCGGCGCGCCCCCGCCCCGACCCCGGAGGGCAGGTACCTCGGAGCCCCGGCCCCCAGGAGCCTCCCGGCCGCGGTCGGAGCGTCCCTCCGGATCACTCATCCGACGTCAGCGTCAGCCGAAGGCGAGGGAAAGGGGCGGGGGGAGCGCAGGAACCGGCCCTTCCTGCGGCGGCCGCCACCAGCCGGAATAGCAACCGGCGGAGCCCGTGCGCACCGCAGCGCAGCGCAGCGGCCGGGGGGTGCGGGCGCCCTCGCCGCCCGGCTACCTACCGCCGCCTGGGCGCCGCCGCTGCCTCCCTTCCCCGCTTCTACCCTCCAGCAGACGCCCGCCGGAGCGACCCCTCCCAGGGTGACCGGGGGAAGGTGGGTGGCGTTGACCTCACCTTGCTTGGGGAGGGTCGGGGACTCGGGGAGTGAGTTTCTCTCTCTCTACTCCCCGGGGTCTCTCCTCGACCCCCATCTCCTGGGGTATCCCCCGCTCGGATCCGCCGCCCAGAGTGACCCCGCCCCTGCTCTCCGGCAGGTGTTCCACGTGGCCATAGCGTTTGCGTCACAATGACCTGGCGGACAGGTGGGAGCCACAGCGTACACCCCAGGGTTCCCTCTGTGCTGTGCGTAGTGCCTACTGCTTGCTTCCAGGTTAAATTTCTGTAGCTTTAGAGGACAGGAGACTTCATGACTTCACTGCCAAGAAAAGTTACAGAGGCCTGCTGTACCTGGAAATCAAGTTTGAGCTTCGAGAATAAAGGTCATGTTTTAAAAACAGCTGTGTATGTATAGGTATATGTTTTTCATTTCCATATATTTCTGTATCTTTTATTTTTAAGTTATTGCCATTTGTAGCAGTTTCATCTTCTCTTATCCTTTGTCACCAGGAAAGAACCAAACCATTGTTTCTAGAGACCCTGCAGTATACAGATCACAGGAAGAAAAAGTGTTGGCATAGCTGCTTCCTAATATTATCTATGTGGAAATGAAACCTCAATGTAGTATGACTTCATCCCTAGTTATGTTATACATTTATAAATAAGTTCATTCAGTCGTCGCTGAAACAATTTAAAAGGGCCGAATGATAGTTATTGAGTAATGATGCTGACGAATCAGAAATCCTGCGCTAACATGGATGGAGTGCTAGCTCTATGTCCGGCACATGCTGTATGCTTTATATTTAATCCTTACAGCAACCCAATACTGTAGATAAAATCATTATCCCGATTTCACAGATGAAGACACTGCCCAGAGTGCCATAAAGAGATTATTGAGCAGGGATTTGAATCTGAACCAGGAGACTTAGCTTAATCTCAAGATAGCATGGTGTCTTGCCAGAATGGATGGAGAAAAAGTATAGAATATGTTGACATTTTAATAGAAAGATAATAAGATACCTCCAGAAATTTACATAACCTTTAAAGTTATTCTTTGGGGATTCTGTTTGTCATAGATTTGAGCCTGTCCTAGTCTTAACACGAATTTTGGAGCTGAGTAAACATCTCCTTAGTAAGTGTGTATGAGTAAACAAATCATGAATATGGTCTACAAAATAGCAAATTGTTGAAAAGCTAAGATTCAGGAGAAATTTTCAGAGAGAAAAGCATTGCTTATATATATTTGGCTTTTATAAAAAAAAATTCAAACTAACGTGTTAACAACGCAAGCCAAATGATTTTGCTGTAAGAAAAAAAACCCAAAGCCTTTAAAATGAGAAAGTCTTCCTTACAAAAGAAAGATGATTAAGATATGTTAAGATACATTGATTCCAAGAACTGTAAATTTATGTGTAAAAAGCTATTATCGGGAGTTAAAAGGATAAAGAGATTATTATTCTTTAACAGAATGAAGTGCCGTAATGAACATCATAGGTGCCCGATAAATGTTGACTGAGCGTTATCATCAGTTAATTGAAGCATTGAGAAAGGACTAAATCACCTGAAAAGTTTTTCCTGACTCTGTAATGTTCTCCTTTCTACCAGTTACATGAAAACTTAATCAGAAGCCCCATTGGTCAAAGGCTGGCTTTGGGGCAAATATTTAAATCTGTTACAAAACAGCCAGTAGAATGGGAGGTTGTGTGTGTGTTCAAAGTATCCCCTCAAAATGCAGATGATTGGAACAAAAGCATGAAGGGAAAAAACGGGGACAGCTGAGCTGCAACTGATTACGCAGTTTTCTTTTATGCTTTCTGAATTCCAAGGTGAAAACGATGACTGTGAGTCTAACCTGTTACAGAGGCTAAAAGTGGCTTCAAAAGCAATGTCTAAAAGAGAACAAATACATGATACAAGCATTATGTAGTCAACATGGCACTGAAATTCTTTGGGCTCCCGGAGAGTTTAGGAGAAAACCTTAACTGATTTTTCTTCATTCTAATTATTGTCCTAACACTTAGCATAATATTTGAGAAAGGAAATAATAGACAACTCCTGCTCATTCTCCATCACCACAATGAGTACTTTTCCTTCCCCTTAAATAAAATGGCTCCATCAATAACACTTGCATTTGTTTCTGAATAACCAGCTGTTGTTTCCATCTTGCAGAACACCAGTAAGGTGCTAGTGAGAACCCGAAACAGTTTCTAAGGAGAATGGCTATTGAATGATGGGATCAGAAATTAGGAGAGAAATAAGGTGCGTTTTCCAGTGTACAACAGGATGACAAAATTTTCTATGAAAAAAATCTTTACATATTCAATTCAATAATTTTTTCAAGAGCTTCCCAGATTCAAGATATGCTAATAGGACCACAAGAGTTGGATTTGTGTTAAGCTACTAACAGAGACTTGGAATAGCGGTGGATTAAATGAAATAGGGCTTTATTTTTTCTCACTTAAATTGGAAGGTAGGCAGTCTAGGGCTGGTGCGATCTCCACTGTGTCACTGGGCTGTTGCCCTTCTGTCATTCTATTCTGCCATCCTAGGCAAAGCAAGATTGCCCAAAGGTAAACCCAGGCGAGGATGTAAATTGGTGGTGGAAACTGCTGGTGGGAAAGTAAAATGGTGCAACCACTTTGGAAAACAGTCTGAAAGTTCCTTAAACGATTAAACATAGAGCTACCATGTGACCCAACAATTCCACTCCTAGGTCTATATCCAAGAGAAATAAAAACCTATGTCTACACAAAAACTTGTACACAAATGTCTATAGCAGCATTATTCAAAACAGTCAAAAGGTCAAAGCTGTCCTGCTGTAGACAAATGAATAAACAAAATGTAGTATATTCATGTAATGGAATATTCAGCCATGCAAATGAATGAAATACTGACATATGCTACAACTTAGACAAAACTTGAAACATTATGCTGAGTGAAGGAAGCCAGTCACAAATATATTATTCCATTCATATGAAAGTCCAAAATAGAGAAATCTGTACAGGCAGAAAGTACAATAGTGATCATTTAGGGCTGGAGAGAGTATGGGTGAATAGGGAGTGAGATCTAAAGAGTATAGAGTTTCTTTATCTTCTTTTTTTCTTTTTTCTTTTTTCTTTTTTTTTGAGACAGAGTCTTGCTCTGTCCTGCAGCATGGAGTGCAGTGGCACAATCTCGGCTCACTGCAACCTTCGCCTCCCGGGTTCAAGTGATTCTCCCGCCTCAGCCTCCTGAGTAACTGGGATTACAGGCATGCACCACCATGCCCAGCTAAGTTTGGTATTTTTTGTTTGGTTGGTTTTTTTTTTTTTTTTTTTGAGACAGAGTCACACTCTGTTGCATAGACTGGAGTGCAGTGGCACGATCTCAGCTCACTGCAGCCCCCATCTCCTGGGTTCAAGGGATTCTCCTGCCTCAATCTCCTGAGTAGCTGGGACTACAGGCATGTGCCACCATGCGCAGCTAATTTTTGTATTTTTAGTAGAGACAGGGTTTTGCCATGTTGGCCAGGCTGGTCTTGAACTCCTGACCTCAAGTGATCCACTTGCCTTGGCCTCCCAAAGTAGTAGGATTAAGAGTTTCTTTTTCATGTGATGAAAATGTTTTAAAATTGACTGGTGTTGTTTACAAATATCTGCCATATGCTAAAAACCATTGAGTTGTGCATTTTACAATTCATTGTGAATTAGTGGTATGTGAATTATGTCTCAGTAAAGCTGTTTAAAAAGTAAAAAAAAAAGGGGTTCATAGTTTTATTGGCACACACACACACATGTGTGCACACATGTACACAGTAAATCCAGTATCTTCCTCAGGAATAGTTACAAGGTAAGAACCATACAACAAACCCCCAAATATGTGACTTATTTTCAGATTTCTGGATACTATTCAAATTCTACTGGCGCTAAGAAGCTAATTATGAGGAAACAGGACAGAAAAATCTGTTAATGAAAGAGAAATATTTCAGGTCCATCCATTGGATACCTCATGATAATATAAAGAAAAGTTCCTGCTGCGCAAATATTTTGCAAGTGTGCTCTAGTCTTATAACATCTCAGCCTTCTTAGCTATCCCTGTTTAAATGAAGGAAGAAGCAGACTGCCTACCAAAACAATCCTTTTGGATAAGCGCAAACACAGATAATAATGAATTTTATGGAATTGAACTTAATAATAACAAGGAGGTAAAGTGATAAGTTTGTCCTGATAAGTTAATATTAATGGAGGATACCACTGAAGGTAAAACAAAACCAGCTCCCCACTCTACCCGCCCCAAATCTGCACTTGCAGTAAAACCCCCCCGCAAAAAAACAAAATAAGAATTATGACACTAAAGCCCCAAAATTCTATCTTAATTCTTCAAAAAGAACACTCATTTCAGAGATATTTTCAAATTAATGCCAGTTATTTTGAATGAGCAAATTATAGGAATATTCATATAGGAAATAAGTTTTTCAGGAGCTATTTAATGGTCTTATGTCTTAAGGGATCCTTTTAGCTGAGTAATTCCAAGGCTTCTTAGTGTTTGCCAAGTTACTGTCCCTCTTCTCCCTCTGAGGTAATCTAAAATGAATTAAATTAGCAATGTATTTCATCTCATGTGACTGAAACAGTGTCATATTCCTAATACATAGGAATATATATTTATTTGTTTCAAGTGGAACTTAATCCATAGGCCATCTCTGATTTGACGTTGATTATCATGTAGACTGAATTCACTAATATCTCTCTTGCATGTATATGTATTTATATAAATTATATATGGACATACAAATACAAACTACTCATTTACATATGATCTGGTCTATTTTATTGCATTGTTGATACATATTTTTGATGTTCTCAATGTTCCTTATGGTCTTAGATCTCAGCCAGCGTGAGCAAGTGAGGCAGAATGCCCCTTTCTCTTGGTGTGTGGATACTGTAAGGCAAATGAACCCTCTACCATTCCTTCTAGACAGATGTTTATAAGCCCCTACAGTTCTGCAATCTTTTTATTTCCTGATTCACGTTTGGCAGCATCATAAGTACTCATTGTACCTGTTCTATAGTAGGGGATGTTGAGACAGAGCTTAAGCTATTATCATTATCAATGTGTTTAATAAGAGCCGTACATATAAATCTCTCCAGAGCTCAGCTCATTAATAAGAAAAACAATCACTTTCTCTTTAGAGTTGCTGAGAGATTAAAATTAGATAATCTAGAAGAACAAACTTAGAAAAAATGATGTTTAAAAATTATTAAAATCGGCCAGGCGCGGTGGCTTGCGCCTGTAATCCCAGCACTTTGGGAGGCTGAGGCGGGTGGATCACGAGGTCAGGAGATGGAGACCATCCTGGCTAACACGGTGAAAACCCGTCTCTACTAAAAATACAAAAAATTAGTCAGGCACGGCGGCGGGCGCCTGTAGTCCCAGCTACTCGGGAGGCTAAGGCAGGAGAATGGCGTGAACCCGGGAGGCTGAGCTCGCAGTGAGCGGAGATAGAGCCACTGCAGTCCGGCCTGGGCGAAAGAGCGAGACTCCGCAATTTCTACAGGTGTTATAAATTTAAAGGGTGTTATAAATGTAAAGAAAGATTACATCAAATTTTATTAATAAAAATAAAGTCATTTATTCCTGGATTGTGTAATCCTTAAAAACAAATTTGGATTTACTCAAGAATATGGACTAATTTGGCCAGTTTAATTCCTGTGACATTTGTACTTTCTATGTAGCAAAACAAAGCTTTTGTTATACCCTCAGCAGAGCTAGTTATATCTTTAGGCAGATTTGTGTGTGCATGTGAAAATAGAACAAATGTTTAATTAGTAGCATTAACTTTTATTAATTAAAATTAACTTCCTTTCCTTTCAAAATTAAGGCTATAATGAAGAGAGGAGCCTTGTTTTACACTAAAAGAAAGGTAATTATTTTCATTATCACATCAGCTTAGATTTCTGCATAAATAATGCTGCTCTCCATCTCACCACCCCTAGTATCATCCATTGGAACTTCTGCAAGAAAATGCTGGTGATGGCATCAAAATGGGACTTTTTTTTTTTTTTTTTTAATTCACTGCAGTTGGAGAATTTTGTCATGTGCCATAGAGTAGAATCCTGCTTCTGACTAGGAACTATGCTGGAGTTTGGCCTAGCATAAGCCCAGAGTTCACAGCTGAGCCCTAGTCTTCATAGATGTAGAGCTAATGACTCCTCAGAGGGTCACACTGTCCAATAAAGAACAGGATTTAACTAAAAAATTAGGATGAAACTCTCTTGGTTCTTCGTATAGCTCGCTCCCCCTACACAGGGACAATTGGGAAGAATCACTGAAAATTCGGGTGCAGATAATTAAGGTAGTTCAGGTGAAACATGGACAAACATTTGGTTTAATCATGGAATAAGAGGCTGAATTGCAACTGCAATTCCTGTTTCTTAACCGTCAATCTGATGAGCTTTTCCTCTTCCAGTTTTAACTCAGTCACAAACTTGTTTGGCAGATACTGTTAATCATTTCCCCAATATTTATTCTTCCCCTTTTCTACAGTAATATAAGTTTCAGTTGAGCACATTATTGCTAAGTTACATTGGTTTTAGCTTCCCTTGTTGCAAGGTGTGGTCATGTGACTAGGTTGTAGTGAATAGGATATGATGGAAAGACATGCATATAACTTTTGTGTCCTGCCCTTGAAAGAAACACATCCTAATCTTTACTTTCTCCCTTTCCCACTGGTTAGATCGCCTTTGGCCATGCAGGTGAGGGCAACACCTTGGGAATGGCAAGGAACCTGGGCCTCTGACCCCCCTGAGCTGCCATATTGCCTTGGCCCTTCTGCCTGGATTGTTTTATGAGAAGGAAATAAAGTCACTATATTTTAAAAATATTATTGCAGCTCAGCCTTTATCCTCATCAATCCAGTTGTCTGCCCCATGACATTGGATTGGACCTTCATTTCTCATGAAGTTTGTATTCTGAAACAATGATTCTCGATCTGTGGGTCCCAGGACCATGAGGGTCTGTGGTGGTGACACAAAGGATCCTAGGATTCAAATCCCTAACAAGTAATGCCCACAAACAGAACCACTTGCTTGACAAACAGAAACAACACTTTTTGGAATGTATATGATGTGATTACAAAATAAAATTTATTTAAAACCATTAATGTATTTCTTGAAATGAAGGTATGTTATTGATGAGTCTCTTAGCTTTGTACATCTGAAAAATTCTATTTCGCTTTTGTTTTTGAAAATTTTTTTACTGCTAAGGAAATTTATATTGACTTTTTTTCTTTCAGTACTTTTAAAGATTTTGCTTCATTGTTTCCTGGCTTGCATTGTTTTCAATGAGAAATCTTCTATTATCATTATTTTTGGCCCTCTTTTTTTTTTTTCAATGGTTGCTTTAAAGACTTTTTTTTCCCTATCATTGGTTTTAAGCAGTTTGATTATGATGTCCTTAGTGTTGTTTATTCTTACATTTTTGGCTTTGCTGAGCTTCTTGGAGCTGTGGGCTTATGGTTAAAATTAAACTTTGAAAAACTCTATCCATACCCAGAATAGCCAACACAATATCAAAGGAGAAAAACAAAGATGAGGGACTGATACTACCTGACTTCAAGACTTACTATAAATATGCAGTAATCAAGAGTGTGGCACCAGCAAAATAATAGACAAATAGACCAATGGAACAGAATAGAGAGTTCAAAAATAGATACAAATATAGTCACCTGATCTTGGACAAAGGAACAAAGGCAAGTCAACGGAAAAAAAGTCTTTTCAACAAATGGCATCCGCATGCAAAAACATGAATCTAGACACATCTCTTACACTTTGCAGAAAAATTAACTCAAAATAAATCATAGATCAAAGTATAAACCACAAAAGTATAAAACCCCTAGAAGATAAATATAGAAGAAAATCTAGATGACCTTGGGTTTGATGGTAACATCTTAGGTACAATACCAAAGGCAAAATTCACAAAAAAAAAATGGATAAATTGGACTTTATTAAAATTAAAAACTTCTGTTGTGCAAAAGGTACCATCAAGAGAATGACAAGGCAATATACTAGGAGATAATATTTTCAAAAATATATCTGATAAAGGACTATTATTCAAAATAGACAACTCTTAAAATCAACAATTAGAAAATTCATAATCCAATTTTAAAAATAGACAAAAGGGCTGGGCGTGGTGGCTCATGGCTCATGCTTGTAAACCTAGCACTTTGGGAGGCTGAGGAGGGTGGATCACAGGAGCCCAGGAGTTCAACACCAGCATGGGCAACATGGTGAAACCCTGTCCCTCAAAAAGAAAAAAAAAAAAAAAAGCCAGGCGTGGCGGTGGCATGCCTGTAGTTCCAGCTACTTGGGAGGCTGAGATGGGAGATCTCTTGGGCCTGGAGAGGTCAAGGCTATAGTGAGCTGGGATCATGCCACTGCACTCAAGCCTGGATGACAGAGTGAGATCCTTTCTCAAAAATAAGTGGCAACAGATCTGAACAGATGCCTCACCAAAGATGATATACAGATGACAAATATATAAAATGCACAGCATCATATATAACTAGGGAATGGCAAATTAAAAGAATGAAATACCACTACACACCTATTAAAATGGCCCACATCCAAAACACCGACAATACCAAATGCTGATGAAGGAAATCTCCATTGTTGGTGGGAATGCAAAGTGGTATAGCCACTTTTGGAAAACGGTCTTGCAGTTTCTTATAAAATTAAACATGCTCTTGCCATATGAGCTAGCAATTGCACTCTTTGGTATGTACTCAAATGAGTTGAAAACATGTCCACACAAAAACCTGTACAGGAATGTTTGTAGCAGTTTTATTTATAATTGCCAAAAATATGAGTGTGTGTTTAAGGATGTATGGGAATTCTCTGTATTTTTTGCTTAATTTGTCTGTAAAACTAAAACTGTTCTAAAAAGACTTTATTATCTAAAATTCTTCAGTTTTTATGTCTTCGAAAATGTTTTTGGCTCCTCCTTTTCTCTCCTCTCTTTTGGAGACCAGCTACACATATATTTAACTGTCTGAAGTTGTCCTATAATTCACTTATGTTCTGTTTTTTTTTGGTCTTTTTTATTTTTCATAGTTTTTATCGCTATGTCTTCAGTGTTACTGACCCTTTCTTTAGCAAAGTCCGTTCTGCTATTAATTTTATCCAGTGAATTTTTTTACCTCATCAATTGTAGTTTTTATCTGTAGATGTTCAATTTGGGTCTTTTAAATATTTTCCATGTCTGTACTTACTGTGTTCAGTCTTTCCTCTAGTTTCTTGAACATATGAATGCAATCATAATAACTTTTAAAATCTGTGTCTACTTATTTTATAATTTATCATTTATGAGTCAGTTTCAATTGATTGATTTTACTCTCATTATGTTTGTATCTTTCTGCTTCTTTCCATTTCCTATAATTTTTAATGGGATCGCAGACACGGTAAATTTTATGTTATTGCATAGTACATACTTCTGTATTTCTAAAATATTTTTGAGCCTTGTTCTGCATGTGGTTAGGTTACTTGAAAACAAATTGAACCTTTTTGGTTTTGCTTTCAAGCTTTTTTTAGGTGAGACCAGAGCTGTGTTTAGTCAGGGGTTATATTTCTCTACTATTGAGGCAATAGCATTATTTATATTCTAACAGACTGATGCCCCCTGATATATGAGGAATTCCCCTTTGGCTGTTGAAAACAGGCACTGCTGTCAGATTGGTGTGAGACTTGGGGGCACTGTTCTTTATCATCCTTTCTGATGGTTCTTTCCCTGGTCTCTAGGACTTTCCTCATCTGCATGGGCTGATTCATACTCAGCTGAATACTGGAGGGGAAAACTGTAGATCTCTGGAATTTTCTCTCTGTACAACTGTCTCCTTTCTGGTACCTTGCCTTGCAAACCCAGTCCATCTTGGCTATATTCTGAGCTCCATCTCTTAATTCACTGAGACTGCCAAGCTCTTCCTGGGTTCCCACTTTTTCTAGCATGGCCCGGAAACTTTTTCCAGGTGCTAAGTTAGGGAAAGCATAGAGTTCATCTCATCTGTCTCCAAGGGATGACCATTCTTCTTTGCCTAATATCCAGTATT
Organism: Homo sapiens; assembly: GCF_000001405.40. Classification (NCBI taxonomy): domain Eukaryota; kingdom Metazoa; phylum Chordata; class Mammalia; order Primates; family Hominidae; genus Homo; species Homo sapiens. The sequence goes on from NC_000007.14 coordinate 8,272,503, forward strand.
TTGAGTAGCATTTGTTCTGTTTTGGCTATTTCAGGAGGGAACATAAATCTGGTCACTGTTATTCCATTTTGATCAGAAGTCAAAGTCCCTCCATTAAAGAATTTGCATTATGTATTTCTTGATCTATATTATATGCATTGATATATATTTATATGCATTTGATATAAATTTGATATATAGTATATGCATTTCTACTATTTTTTTGAGGAGGGTCTAGGAATTCTCTGATATTAAAAAAGGTCCTCAGGCTGGGTGCAGTGATTCATGCCTGTAATCCCAGCATTTTGGGAGTCCGAGTTGGGAGGATGACTTGAGGCCAGAAGTTCAAGGCCAGCTTGGGCAATATGGTGAGACCTCATCTCTAATAAAAATAATAATTAAAAAAAAAGCCGGGTGTGGTGGTACATGCCTGTAGTCCTAGCTGCTCAGGAGGCTGAGGCAGGAGGCTCCCTTGAGCCCAAGAATTCAAGGTTGCAGTGAGCTATGATTGTGCCACGGCACTCTAGCCTGGGTGACAGAGCAAGACTTTGCCTCAAAAAGAAAAAAAAAAAAAGATCCTCAAGAACACTTCAGCTGAAGAGTGAGTAAAAACCAGAAACAGGCAATTCAAGGAGAAATTGCAATGATAAACGTTTTTAAAACCCACATTTTTTAACTAAAAAATGTTTAAACAAAACCAGTTTCACCTATCTTATTGACAAATATGAAAAATGTAATGCTCAGGGTTGATGAGAATATGGGAGATGAGCATTGTCATACTCTCATAAACTGAGAAAAGAAACAATTTTATTTTACACCCGTTATGGAAGGCAACTTGGTAATATTACAAAATGTTAGTAGTACATATCTTTTGACCCAGTAGGTCCACTTAGAATTTTTTCTTGCCGAAATAATATGGAAGTTTATAGTAGTGAATGTGTGAATATGGCAATCACAACAACACAGTTTATACCGTTAAAAAATTTGTCCATCTTGGCTGGGTGCGGTGGCCTGTAATCCCAGCAGTTTGGGAGGCCAAGGTGGGTGGATCACCTGAGGTCTGGAGTTTAAGACCAGCCTGGCCAACATGGTGAAACCCCATCTCTACTAAAAATACAAAAACTTAGCCAGGTGTGGTGGCAAGTGCCTATAATCCTAGCTACTTGGGAGGCTGAGGCAGGAGAATCGCTTGAACCTGGGGGACGCAGGTTGCAGTGAGCTGAGATCGCACCATTGCACTCCAGCCTGGAAAATGAGGGAAACTCCATCTCAAAAAAATAATAATAATAATAATAGTAATCGTCCATCTAAAGGAAGGATTAGTTAACAAAATTATGGTACATTTACATGTTGGAACATTGACAGCTGTTGAAAGGATGAGGTCAAGATTTTTTTTTCAAGTGAAAATAGCAGCTTGTATAACACAGTGTGAAATATGATTTTGTTTATGCAAATATTTTCTATGTAACATTAAAATCTTGTAATGATATTCACTAAAATGTTAACTGAAGCTATCTCTGCAGAGTGATCTTTTTTTGGCTGACATTGGAGGTGGGGGAAAGTTGTATTTTCACTTATACTCTTTGGTAGTGTTTGAATTTTTAAAGTGCACATATAGTATTTTGTAATTGACAAAAATAAAGATTTAAATTTTGACACCAGAACAAAATAAAAGAGATCCTCACATTTGAAAATGTTGGGAAATACTAGTTTAGATGACGTCTGAAATTCCTTACTGTGTAATATTCAATTCTTCTAATGACCTTCTAATAACCTTTGAGATTAGTCTAGTGCTAAAAGTCTTCTAGTGCTGAAAGTCCATGACTTCCTCCCCTCTTGCTGCCGCTGCCATGACAAATATGACTTGCTTAGGTAAATCTTGGACACTCCCTGATGGAGAGACCCTTACACTGGCTTATTCTTATATTTCTCATATTTCAAGTGACTTTATTCCTTGGTGACATCCTTGAGCTGATATAGGAGACCTGCAGCAAGACACTGGAATTTGAAAAGGCTAGAAGTGGCTCTAGGAGTCTCATCACCTCTTTGGCGGCCTAAGGTTGTACAGATGTGGATGGGAAGGGAGGAGCATGAACTGATTTTTTTATATCTGTATAACTAGGGTTTTCTATTTTATTCCCAGAGTAGTAGGATGGCTTATCATTCATTCAGTAAGCATTTATTATCTCAAACTTGATGTGACCGAAAAGTATTTTTTCTCTCAGAGCTCTTTCTTCTTATCTCGGCAAGCTTAAAAACCTCAATGTTATTTTGAATTCCTTCCTAGTAGTTTACCTTATGTGCTCAATTGGTTGCTAAATTCTGGTTCATTACAAGTCTATGATTCACTACAGGAAATTGCAGTTTCCTTTATAGTGTCTCTCAGCTGTCATATCCATTTTTCTCATTCTTATTTCCATTGCCTTTCTAACCCTGCTTCTTACCTGGAATTTAAAAACATCTTCCACCTAGGATTGTGTATTTTAACCAATACAAAATCAGCTTAGGTAATCACAAAATACATAATTTGCATACTTTTTGTGACTACTTTATGCTAAGAATCGAATGTGTGTGTGGGTTGTGGTGGGATGGGAGATGATATGTCAAGTAATAGAAGACAACTCAGGTCTTTGAGTTACTCTTTAAGTATGAAGCTAATTACATAATATTTTGATTGGCTTCAGTCCCAACTATAAAATTTTCAACGGGTTACCTCAAAATCCAATACCTAATCTAAACATTCGAAGCCTTTATCAGTCCTAATTTTCTTTATTCACCTCTCACCTTCTAATACTAATTTATGCATGTCCTCTCCTGGTCACCACCCCCCACATTCAGCCTCCTCCTTTTCCTGGACATATATTTACCAAGAACAATCACTGTCTCCTATTGCCAACGCCAAACTTGTAGTGTGTCCTTCAACTCCAGGTTGGAGTCCCCAAGAAACCCCTGGCCCTCCCTTTTCCACTTCCACCATTACTACTGCAACTTTATCTGTATGTCCCAAACAGTTACTAGAGCTCTGAATAAATGCTTGCTGAAGCAAGCTTAAATGAAATCTTTCTCACTTAGAAAAACAAGAGCCATTGGACCTATAACCATGACCCAGCTCAAACATTATGCATTCTCCCACAAGAGATATACTTAGGCAATTAGGTCTTTGAAGGCAAAGACTCTGCCCAGCTTGTGTGTTCCCTTACACATCCACCATAGTGCCTTGAATGTACAATGTTAGGTGTTTAATCAAAGTGTGTTGAATTAATGGATGAGTGAATAGTTTGTATACAACTAGACCCTCTGAGGGTGGGGTGTTAATTCTCTTGGCTGTGTTTTGATAAAGTCTCTCCATTAATTCTTAGCCATTTTTCAAACCAAACTTTGATACTCAATACTACTATTTTATAATACTACATGGTCTGATATTCTCTATTATAGATTTTCCAAATTTACTTTATCCCCCAAATCAGGTAAACACTTGTGAAATATGTACACTCACCAGGCTCCTTCGAAATCAGATTTTTTTTTTGTACAATTTATGGGGTACATGTGCCATTTTGTTACATTCATGGATTGTGTAGTAGTCAAGTCAGGGTTTTTAGGGTACCCATGACCAGAATAACGTGCCCATTAATTAATTTCTCATCATCTGCCCCCTTTCCACCCTCTCACCCTTCCCAGTGTTCATTGCCTATCATTCCACTATGTCTATGTGTACACAATTTTAGCACCCATTTATGGCTGGGAACATGCAATTCCAAATAGAAAACTTTGGTAGAGGGACCTGAGATTCTACATTTTTGACAACTAACTCAGCTGATTCTTATGGCCAGAAGAATCTGAAAACCCTTCTCTATCGTAAAATTCAATGGGTATTAGTTGAGGATAATTATTATATTTGAGCTTTATGTCAAATATAATTCTATGAGTATTAATTTGATGTCAAAACACCTGAACTCCAGTTTCATTCACTACCATCTAGGTGATTGGAGGCTAGTCTAGTTTTTCCCCAACTCTCCGCACATTAGAATCAAAGGGTATCTTTTAAAAATCCCAAAACTTAGGCCACACCCAGACCAACTAAATCTCAATCTTTAGGGCTGCCACACAGACATGAGTACTCTTTGAAGCTCCCCAGGTGGTTCCAACATGCAGACAAGTTTGGAACAGCTGGGATAATCATCTACCCTCTCTAAGCCAGTTTTTTCATATATAAAATGTGCTAATAACTCCCCTCCTAAAATATAATGAAGAGTTAATCTAATTAATGCATGTGAATATACTTTATACATGACAAAACTCCGTATAAACCTAACACATTCTATTTTAGGCTTCAAATATTTTATTTATATTTTTAAATGTATTATAAAGACAGGGTCTTGCTCTCACCCAGGCTAGAGTGCAGTGGCATGATCATAGCTCACTGCAGGATCGAACTCCCCGGGCTCAAGTGCTCCACCTCAGCCTCCTGAGTAGGTAGGACTACAGATCCGCACCCATATGCCTGGCTAATTTTTAAATTTTTTATAGAGATGGGGCCTTGCTATATTACCCAGACTGGTCTCAAACTCCCGGCTCAAGTCATTCTTCTGCCTAGGCATAAGCCACTGCACCCAGCCCAAATTTTTTTTTTTTTTTTTGAGATGGAGTCTCGCTCTGTCGCCCAGGCTGGAATGCAGTGGCACAGTCTCGGCTCACTGCAAGCTCCGCCTCCCGGGTTCACACCATTCTCCTGCCTCAGCCTCCCGAGTAGCTGGGACTACAGGTGCCCGCCACCACGCCTGGCTAATTTTTCGTATTTTTAGTAGAGAACGGGGTTTCACCGTGTTAGCCAGATGGTCTCCATCTCCTGACCTCATGATCCACCCGTCTCAGCCTCCCAAAGTGCTGGGATTACAGGCGTGAGCCACCTCTCCCAGTCCTAATATTTTCCATAAAAATTAACAAATGTGCAGTTAGAAATTTTTGTATTTTTCTGTATATTTACATTTTTTATGGTTATCATTGTGTTTGCCAGTTCAACAGATTAGCTTAGATTCAGCTCGCAAAGGAAACTACCATTCCAAAAGCTGTCCTTACAATTTAGGTACATTTCCATCAGGTGGCAGTAGTGTCTTTGTCCTGGTTGAAAGCAGGAGATCTCAGCCCTGCCAGCTATCAAAGTTTTTCTTGGCTGGGCTTTATCCCCAGATATTTTGATTCAATAGGTGTGGAGTGGGACTGTATGTAGCATCTATAAGTTTATAAAGATCAGCATGTGATTCTGATGCCCTGTTGTTAACCACGGTGAGTTTGATATTTCTGGTTAGGCCTTCTGCTATATCTACCAGATTTAGTCATAGACGTTCTACTTTTTAATGTCAAAAATAATCTCTTCATCATGTAAAGCAGAAACAATTTTAGAATAGTTTTTAAAAGTCTTTAAATTCACATAGGTCCCATTTCTTATTTCTACTACTGTTTAATATTTAATCCTACAATTTTTATTTAAAATGTATCTTAATATATACTCAAACCTCCCCAATGACTATGACCACGACTTGCCTTTTTAAAAAGTCAGAGAATATATGATTCCCTCATGGGCGTGAAGCTCTCTCCTTAGGGCAGAGGTTCTTAAACTTCAGTGTGGGCAAGTAGACCTGAGAGGTTCATTAACAATGTGCATTCTATCTTGAACTAATGGATCAATTCTTGGAGTGAGGCCAATAATTGCACATTGTAAGCCATCTCCCCAGGTTATTCTGATACACACCATATTTTGAGAACCACTAACTCTGGCACTGAGAGGCTGGAGCAGCCTGGGTAAGGTAGAGAATACAGAGAGAGGGCTCACAGAGTCCAGGTGCAGATCTGTAAGAAACTGTGTTCCCTTCTTCCTGTGCTTCATCTTTGTGTAAATGGTGATAAGTGTGCTCTTATTCAGGCCATATCTGGCTCAGTAACCCTGAGGAGTTACCAAGTATTGGTTGGTAAGTTTGCAGCAGAAACCTGCCAACTTATGTTGCCAATCTTAGCATGGAACCTGGGACACGCAGTAACTATTTATTGGTTTACACTGAGGCTATCCTCCTCTTCCTCCTCTGTTACCTTTTCTTTCCTCAACGTAACCTCTTCCATCTATTGTCTTTTCTCCCTGTTGTGTTGGTTTGTGATCCACTCTTGAAGAAACACCCATGTAGATCAGATTTAGACACTAAAAAGAAGAAAATATTTTTCTGAAATCCTATCAATAACAGTGAAATCACCCATTCATATTTAAGTTGCAAGAATAGCATGTTTGTTAATTATCTTGGGTTAAGTTTTTTACTATTATGTACAATTGTATTTGGTCTTCTTTAGTTTCATGACTATGCTTTTATTTTGAGCAGTTTACTTTCATTTACTAGCATCTTAATATATACAGCCTGAGTTGTCATCTGCCTTTGATTTCAGATAAACTGTGTTCCTTCTGCAAAATATGCAGCAAATGATTTTCTACTAAAATTTGTTAGGTTGGTAGGAACACATGATAAGCTTGGATCACTGGATTTTCATTTTTGATATTTTATGTCCTAAACACACTTGCAAGTTATTTATCAATGTTTATGTTAAATCAACATCTAATAAGTATTGCCTCAGCATTACTTGAAACCTACAAAATCTTAACAGTAGACTTTAAAACAAAAATGTAGATCATGATAGAAGCTGGCAACTTGATTAATCTCTTTCTAAAGCCTTTACTTAAAACTATAATTATATATGCAGTTCTCTGTCCACTCCCCTGCACCCCACCATAAACAAGTTATATTCCTTATTGTGATTTTGAAAGGAGGACTAACTACAAATGGCTAGATTAACACTATTTATATAAGAGCTTTAATCTTGTCTGAGCCATCGCCACCTTTTTGTAGGCACTATGACTTCTCACTTAAGTTATGGCAATTGTCCTTCCTCCTGGAAGGACCCTCCTAATCTATTATCTAACCTAAACCAAGGGTACATCTTTCTAACGTACAAACTTAATTGTACTGAATAAAGACTTTCTTTGGCTTCAAACCTTCTGGTGGTTCCCTATGAGGTGGTTATCTATTGCTCTGGCCACCTGGATCTTCTTTCTTTACTGATGGAAATAAAATGAGAGTTTAAAATTTAATATTAGAGGACACATGTGCCGGTCCTTCCTGGGGAGGAGAAGCTATAAAAGGAGAAGCTTGGGAGCTGTCAGTGGCCATGTTTTTCACCATGTGCAGGAACCTGGTCAGTAGTGAGAAAGGATTAAACCAACCCATGGGGAAGATCAGAGATTAGAGGTAGGGAATACATATATATATATATACACACACACACATATATATGTATATATATGTGTATAAATATACACACACATATATATGTATATATATGCACACGTATATGTATATATACACACATATATATGTATATATGCACACACACATATATACACATCTATATACATATATGTATATATACACATCTATATGCATATATGTATATATATACACATCTATATACATATATGTATATATATATACACATCATATATATGTATCATATATACATATATGATATATATACATCATATATATGTGTGTATATATATGTGTGTGTGTGTATATATATACACACACACATATATATATATGATGGAATTTCTCTCTTGTTGCCCAGGCTGGAGTGCAGTGGTGCAATCTTGGCTCACTGCAACCACTGCCTCCCAGGTTCAAGCAATTCTCCTGCCTCAGCCTCCCGAATAGCTGGGATTACAGGCCTCTGTCACCATGCCTGGCTAATTTTTTGTATTTTTAGTAGAGATGCGGTTTCGCCATGTTGGCCAGGCTGGTCTTGAACCCCTGACCTCAGGGATCCATCCACCTTGGCCTCCCTAAGTTCTGGGATTACAGGCATGAGCCACTGCACCAGGCCCAGAGATAGGGAATATTCTGCAGGTGGTATTAGAAGCTCTCATTCATGTGGTTCTGTCCTTCCAGAAGTTGGTTTTCCAACCCTTCCTCGGATCACGTGAGATACCCCAATACAGTCTTATGAAGAACCCCTTTTATCTAAGCCAGATAGAAATAGATTTCTGCCACTGCAAATAAAAAGGTGTTCCTTAGAATATAGCTTGTAAGGGCCTTCATGAGATGGAACTGCCTTATCAATTGAGTCTTTATAAAACCCTCAGGAATGTGCTTAGCTGAAAGTAATAGAACACATGACAAGTAGACTTAAATAATAAAAGCATCCTGTTTTCTGACATATCAAGAAGTGTTGACAAAGACAGTTCCAGGGTTGGTTTATCAGCTCAACTAAATGACAGTGACTTAGTCAGCTCTTTGCAATTCTTTGGATCTTTTCCTTGATCACAAGATGGTTGTAGGAGCTCCAAATTGTCTTTAAGACCTAGGTGAGCATTGCAGACAGGGAAGAAGAGGGCAAAAGCTTTCTCCTATCAAGGGTCTGGTTTTAGCCTCGAAGGAAGCCCTGGTGGACTTATCCTTAGATCTCATTGGCCAGAAATGGCTCACATGTCCAACTCTAGACTCATGACTGTGAAGTGAAAATTACCTTGATTAATTTCCTAGCTGTCCCTAAATCAAGGGATCCCTGCCAGTTTTCTGAGGTTCCGTCTGCAGTAAAAGGAAAGAAAGGCTGTAGTGTAGGCAAGGAACTGTGTCTGCCACACTCATATATTTCAATTACCCTCTCTATTCTTCCACCACTACCACCACCACCCCAGTTCTAAGAGCTAGCCTGACTGAACTGCCTTTGATACCCAAACATGCGAGGCTCTCTGTGGTTTCTGGGTCTTTGCACATAACTTGCTCTGCCCTATATATACTCTCTTCCCTTCATTTACTAGCATCTTGGTCTGGGTGGCTCCTACCTTTCTCTTTAGGCCTCAACTTAGACATCATTTCCTTTAGAAAGCCTTCCCTAATATATTGTAATTTTATACTTACTTATTCATATCCCCCACTGGGCTATAAACTTCTTGATGGTGTGTCGTCTGAGTCTTATTTCTCTATTGCCTCACATAGAACCTGCACGTTGTAATGATCAATAAATACTTGCAGAAGTAGATGAAGCACTTCTTGGGTGCACTCAGAATCAACTTGTGTGAGAACCATTTAAAACATGGCTCATAAAAATTTAGGTATTAACTTACTTCTGATTTTTGTTAAAGAGAATGGACAAAGAAGTGATTTATTTTAAAATACCTGATAAATATTTACATTTTAAAATCTTTGCCACGATGGCTTCCAAAGAAAGAACATAGCAAAGGATGATTCCCCACTTAGGCAGGGCAACATTTATTTTACTTGTCTTACAGCAGGACTAAAGATTCTAAGATTTTTTTTGAATGGTCCTTAAATAGTTTTACAAATAGTCAGAGTTCTGCACATGGACTCAACATAAAAACTGAACGTAGCTAAGTGATTAACTTACTTCTTGAACTTCTTAAGATGTTGTCTTACTCTGTAACTTCTTGCTAACATGTTATTCAAAGAAGCAATAAGGTGACATGACAAGGCACTTCCAGTTCTTTTCCAAACAAGGTAATTTTAAATCAGGAATAAAACGAAGCAAGAGAAAAATAATCACCAAATGTGATTAATATAAAGTAGCAGCATTTGGAAATTTTAGCACTTTGAAGTTGGACATTCAGTTTGTAATTAATATGAGGTAATGAATTATTTGTTCGCAAATATTAAAAAATTTACCAGGCATAGTGTGGGGGGCTTCTTTAGGTTTTAGAAGTAGTAGTGCCACCTTTGGGTGTCATACTCTGACTTTTTCTGGGTGGCCTTGACCTGCCAAAAGCTGCCTGTTTTGAGTGAGGCCGAAAGTGGGAAGTAGCTGTCCAGCTGGCTCAGGCTGCAAGGCAAGCAGCTCTGCCCTTTGGCCCTTGTGAGCAAATGGATTTGGTGCTGCTGAAATGGTGTGCAGCCCATTGGAGAGCTATATGGCATCCATGACAAGTGCCTACAAGAGCCATCGTAGAGGAGAACTTCTGTGTTTGGGAAAATGTGAAGACCCCTTTAGCAGATGACCCTTTATTTTGAAACATGACTCCTGACTTGTTCCTGGGCTCTGATAGAGACTGAAAGACCCAACTCTCTGGTGTAAGATGATCTCAGTACTTTGATACCTGACATGGAATGAGTGTTGTCTCAGGTACTTAGCCACAAAGTCAAGCATTCCCAACGGTAGTCCACATTGAGTGAACTGAAAAGGAAGAAAAAACTATGAGGCTGAGCCTGTGGAGAAGCCTAAAAACACAGATAAACGGTACAAGCAGGCAGTCGTATTCCTACTACATTACTTTTTCTTCCTATGCTTCATGGGAGTTTCCAGTGACTAGTGGTCCAATGAGAGAGTTCTTCACTGAGAGACCTAACTTGAACCTGGTGTACAAATGGCCTTGCACAATATGCTAGCCCCAGACAGGATGAGAGGAAGCGTTGCTGTCCTTCAGTGTGGCTGTGAAGTATAGTGGAGAAGGAAAATGCTCACAATAGTTGATTCTGAGCATGAATTTCATTGTCTACTTGACCTGGAAGGAAATATTGTCAACTTTATCTGAGGTCAGGATCTACACCAATTCCTGAGGTAATGATTTGCTCAGAGGTGATATTCAAAATATTTAACACATAAGACAATTGGAATCTATCACTGAAACTAGTCTTGAAGTCCAGTTTTGCCAGATGTTAACCCTTTGGTTTCTGAATTGTGGGGAGTCAGAGATGTCCCTGAGGGAGGGATCGATTGACTTGGGCAATGGTGGGGATACTGGGCAGGGGCTTGGAACAGGGCAATATTTTAGAGATGCTTAAAGCTGATGAGTACACAATGAGTCATTTTTAGTCCTGGTCTGATTAGACGGTCAGAGACTTAGAAGGATCAAGATTGGAGAACTGATGACAAGTAGGTTTTAAGGAAAGTTGATGCACCATTGAAAATGGGCCCAAAGTGTGAAAATATCTGGGTTAATGTGAGTCCTCACTGAGAAGCCATTATTGTAGAAGAGTTTGTGTATTAGTCCATTCTCATACTGCTATAAAGAAGTGCCCAGGACTGGGTAATTTATAAAGGAAAGAGGTTTAATTTACTCACAATTCCACATGGCTGGGGAGGCCTCAGGAAACTTACAATCATGGCTAAAGGGGAAGCAAACACATCCTTCTTCACGTGATGGCAGGAAGGAGAAGGATGAGAGCTGAACAAAGGGGGAAGCCCCTTATAAAACCATCAGATCTTGTGAGAACTTACTATCGTGAGAATAGCATGGGGAACACCATCCCCATGATTCAATTACCTCCCACAAGGTGCCTCCCATGACAGGTGGGGATTATGGGAACTACAATTCAAGATAAGATTTCAATGGGGACATAGCAAAACCATATCAGTTTGTTAATATCCAAGAGAACAAAGTGATTTCTTCTATGGGGGTCAGACATCCTCTGTTCCCAGTCAGTTTCTTGGCTTATGGATATAATAGCTGCTATTGCCAGAATGGAGGTAATTCTTGGGCCTAACAGCATAAATTTCCTTTTACCAGACGCATCTGTATATTGCTAGCAGCAGTGACTGTCACTGCACCTCTAGGGAACTTGGTCTGCTGGTAGTGGGAAAGTTATTTTAAGTTGGGAATGCTTCTTTATCATGGAGTGGCAGCAACTCATCCAGTGGCACTCATCCAGTGGCAGTACTGGAATAGTCTTTCTGAACTTGGATTTGCTTTCCCTGCTTACATACCACTAACACATCGGCAGGATTCTATATATGGCCTCTGACCAATGAACTCACCACTTGATAAGTAAGGCAATAGGCTAATAACTCACTGGCCTTACTGTATAAATATCCAATCATCCTCATGAAGCTATTGAAATGACCTATTGAAAACTTTGCCCTAGTGCCATTTGGAAAATAGCAGATGTGATATGGAGTGTTACGTTGTAAGATATAGAACATGAGCAGAAACAATGACTAATACATTGGTTATTACTTTCAGAGCCAAAACACAACCTAAGAATCTAGGGATGAAGGCACCTCTTACAATTATACTTATTCTCTCACTCTTAGAATTTTTGCTTTAATTTTTAAAAATTGTTCTCTTAACTCTTTTAGCCTAAGGAATTTAGTACCCAATGGAGGACTGCTTCAAGCAAGAGTTTTTGTTTGTTTGTTTGTTTGTTTTAAAAAAGTAGGTTTTATTGAATTGGCAGCTGAGATTGCCACCTGGAGATTTTGTATTCTTTATACAATCAGGGCAAAGATGCTTGGCAAGCTGAGGTGTTGGCTGAAAGCCAGGAGAACTTGGAGCAAACAGGGAAAGTACATATTTTATATGTCAGCAGCAGTCTCATGCGTTCTTGCAGAATGGAGGACAGTAGCCTTCCCCAGTATTTCCTTATTTGCTGCTAAGTATACTATTTATCTCACATTTCCTTTAAACATGAGAATTAAACAAATTTTCTTTTTCTTTCTCCCAGGGCTATATAATGTAATCTAAATATCAATTAAATCCACCATGTAGTTCATAGGCTGAAGAATACTGAGATGGGGTTGTGATAACTGAGAAGGAATGGACATAAGTCAGAGGTCATAGACTTGAAGGACAATGTCTCACCTCTGAGTGCAGTTGCTGGAAATGACTTTGCTTGTCTTCTATTGCCATTGTGTGATGATTGGTTGAATCATGTGTTATGGGTGTTTTTTTTTTGGTACAGGTAAAGAAAGATATGTATGTGAGTAAGCAAGCATGTGTGTATTCTGGGCAGCCAGAGGGTAGATTGTAGCAGATAGCTTTGGGGGTAGCTGTATGGCTATGGCTAAGCATGGCTCCTTTCTCAGAAGGATTATTTGTTTATATACAGACATAGCCCCAGGAGATCACATCTGTGCTCTGTGATTTTGTCTTCCTGGCCATAGCTGCTAGTCTGGGAGTTACCACCTATGTTCTTCATTTTGATGATTAACATTTGGCATGATGAGATAGAGAGATGGGAAGATGTGTAAACTCCTACTGAGGCCCTGGAGTGTCCCCATTTCTTGTCCTTTTGAGCCTTTGTTCCTCTCTTGCATTTTATGAAGTGCTCTATAATCCTTCTGATAACCTTCTCTCTTTGCCTAAATTAACCAGAGTTGTTTTACACTCTTTGCAACCAAAGAACATTAACAAATGTGGAAATTAAAGACTACTTAATATATATAGTGATCTTAGATGTGGTTCCTCAATTTTAACTAAAAATTATCAAGTATTTGTGAAGAAGAAAGCTACAAGAAGAAGACACCTGAGTTCATCTCTTCCTTCATGGGTTCTCCCCTTTCCCTTAATTCTTTGGTGGAAAAAACAGCATTACTGGAGTAATTAACATACATTTTTCTAGAATTAAAATTAGGAACTAGGGAGGGTGGCATGTGGAGGGAAAAAACCCAGCCATCTGGAATGAACGATTTTTTACAGGTAGCCTAGGTTAGCCAGGCTGGTGAGAAAACTAGGTCAGGAGGTGAAGACACATGGACCTGGAGTAATGGCAAGCATAGGATGAAAACATGCAGAACCTGGTTGAAGTTCTCCTGCACTAGCTTCCTCATATGTTGCCATTTCATCAGTCTTGCTGTCACTGGGACAAAGACACATGTTCTGGCAGCAGTGGATAGAGACCATGGAGAAACCTGCCAAATAAGCAAAATTATATATTGGTGGCTTCAGGCATATTATTCAACAATGTCACCTCATCTGCTTTTCTTAATTTTCTTAAAATTTTCTTAGAAAGAAACATTTAATAGGGACTTAAGAACGGAAGCCATGTCTGTGTCTCAGGCAGTGGCCAGACAAGATGGTAAGATGGTAGATCCCTGTCCTCTTTTCCTCTTTTCTTTTTTCCTTCCCTCCCCTCCCCTCTCCTCCCCTCCTCTCCCCTCCCCTCCCCTCCCCTCCCCTCCCCTCCCCTTCCTTTTTTTGTCAGGGTCTTGCTCTGCACCCCGGTGGAGTGCAGTGGTATGATCTCAGCTCATTGCAACCTCTGCCTCCTGGGTTCAAGTGATTCTCATACCTCAGCTTCCAGAGTAGCTGGGACTACAGGTGAGTACCACCACGCCTGGCTAATTTTTGTATTTTTAGCAGAGATGGGGTTTTGCCATGTTGACTAGGCTTGTCCTGAACTCCCGGCCTTAAGTGATCTGCCCGCCTCGGCCTCCTGAAGTTCTGGGATTACAGGTGTGAGCCCCCGCACCCGGCCTCTTTTCTTTATTTACTGGCCTTTCCAGGTTTTTGCCCATTGAAATATAATAGTCTTTATTGTATAATAATGCGGTGGTTCTCACACTTTAGTATTCCTAACAATTATCAGGGGGTTGGGTATGCGGTGATTCTTCTGTTTTGTTTATTTTATTTTTTTTAAGTTTTGAAGAACTTTTATTGCCAGTTTGTCTAAAAGGTCATTTACTCAAAATGGAACTGGGGTGACAACAGGCTATCAAGCCATGACCTGGAAACCAAAGAACAATTCAGCAGTTCCAGGCTATAAGGAGTTGGCTGGGTCCCAGCACCCTGTGGGGAGACCAGTGGCCACCTAACCTGAGCAGGAGGTCAGTGCAGGAGGCAGGAGGGCTTGTCAAAATGTATTATCCTGGGTCTGCACCAACAACAAACAACAAACAAACAAACAAACAAACAAAAACCTCATTTATTCATTTCAAGGTGGGACTCAGGAAGCTCTGCTTTTAGTAAGAACCAGGAGTGTCAAATGCATTTAGTCATTGGTTGAATGACCATATAAATTATTTTCAAACTAGGAGACTTCGGAGAGTGAAGTGAGCTGCTGCTGACAATTACTCTGAGATAACAAGTGCAAAACAGCTCTGTCTCAGGCAAACTCTGACATAAAGTCTCTGCCAGTTGTGGGTCAACATTTGAGAAATGCTGCTGAGTGAAATTGACTTTCAATTACTGTGACTCGGGCTATTCCCATTTGCACTGATGGTGGTATAAAAGGCTTTTTGATGAATGAGAAAATTTAGGCCACAAGAAAAAATTGTTGCAAGTAGATTTTTTTTTCTTCAAATGGGGGACTGCCTGCTGTGTCCCAGAAAACTCACATCACCTGGGTGTGAGTGATTTTTGAGATGGTTTAAGTACTTTTAAATCACAAAATTCTTTCCTTCCCCCTTACCTCCCTTCTTCCTTCCCTCTTTCCATCCCTTCCTTTCTTCCTTCTTTCCTTCTCTCACCCATTCATTTATTAAATATTCATTGAGTAATCCAGAAGACTGAGGAAGTAAAAGACTGAGAGAACATAATCATGGACCCTCATTCTTCTTACTATCCATAAAAATTTGGAGACAGCTCAGCTCCTGTAACCTTTGTGATTTGCTACTGATCTGAGTAGATGTTTGGCTCAACATTACTAAAAATAAAACAGAACTAAAAAGAAACCATGTATTTTACTTTAATGCTGGTTTAGTGAGTCAACCAGAAACGTCCTAACTTTGAACATGTAAAGGACTATACTTCAAAGTATTTTTAAGCAATAGTTAAATGTAAATATGAAATTATATATCATTTGTCTAGATCGATTGTCAATGTGTTTAGAATCGCTCTTGTAGATGATGATAAGGTTTAGCTTTGTTCTTTTCCAGTTAATTTTGGGTTTGCATTGTAGAGAACAGATCAAGTGTGTCAGAAAAGTAGGCACTGGCTAGGGAGGAGGAAATCATTAACTATTTCAGGCCACTAATATGAAATGGTATTCACTGAAGAAATAAAATAGCAAATTACATTTATAAAGAATTAATGTTCCTTTAAAAATATCTGGCCATTTGATTATTTGCCTCAGAGAAAATGACCCCCCTCCCCAGGTTTGTAAATTTAAGAGTGCTAGTGAGCTTGAAAGAGCCTTATGATGTTTACTTTTTCTCTCCTTTACCAAAGAGAAAAGGGACTTACTTGGGAAGATAATATCATCACTTTTTGATTTTTTTGATGCCATGTCATCTTATTGATGTTTTAAAAGACTTGGAACAACATGAAGCACTTTAATGGAGAGATAAATATTTTTTAAACAAGTTATTATTTTTTCTTTGGCCTTTTATCTGTTGTACTACTTAGTGTAAATACAATTTAAAAATCATAAGTTGAAATTTTTTAATTTAGATTTAGTTCTCCTTAAGAAATTCAACAAGAAGGAAATATAAACTCTAAATAGACCTTTCTTATACATAGGCCATACTGCGGTGTGTTTATTTTCTATAAAATAAATGTCACTTTTAGCTTCTGTTAACCCACATCATTCCAGAACATTTCCTAATGATTCTTTTTAAAAAACATTTTTTTGTTCTGTAAATCTATTACTGTGAAAGTAGTTCCTTCCTGGCTTCCTGCTGTGTTTCTCTGCTATTGCATTATTGGTACTTACTGTGTCACAATGATCTGTCTTTACAAATTAATTTTGTCTTTTTCTTCTGAATTTTTTCAATGCTCTTGATTTTTTTTCAATTTATACTAACATTTTAATTATCAATTCCTTTCTAAAGAGGCATTCATACTGTTTGCAAAATTTAATTACAGTGCCTTCCTTCCTTAATACATTAAACCTATAAGTCTTCTTAGATTTTTGTATTTTCTGTTAGCTCAAATTAATAAGGGAGAATGAAAACATTCTTACATTGATCTAAATTATTTTCCTCTTCTTTTCTATTTTTTGAGCAGCAAATTGAACATTATTTATTTTTATCATATTTGAGATTCTTGACTATAAAAACATGTCCTTCTACCTCTCCTAATATAAGGGTAGTCTATAGTTTTAAGAAAGTATACACTTACATATCCCACATTTATTTGTCTTCTCTGTGTCCATTTATTCAGCCAGACATCTATTGAGTGCCTATCACAGGTTGGACACTGTGTTAGGTTATGTTTATTTGTTATTGTTTCTTTACAAGAGCAACTTAAAAAATTATCTTTCTAATGCCGCTCACAAAAAATATATTGAAACTAACTCTCTTACTCTGATCTCAACGATATCTCTTACATAGGTAATTGAACTGTAGTGTATTTATGAAATAATAGACAGGACAACCAAATAAACACTAGTAGTTCTGATAATTCTAAAACTATCCAGTGAAATTGTCTATGTGTTTGTTTATGTGTACAAATCATCAAGATTTGTGAAAAAAAACTACAGAAAACTTGATTATCTTTACTGGCAATAATTTAGTTTTAAATGGCAGACTGAGAACAAGTGAATGTAAGCTGTAACTTAATATCATTTAGTTATGCACCAACTTGGTCAAATCATTAATTTTATCTAACATCAAAAAGAAAAGCTGGATGCATGAAAAATTCTTGATAGATATGTTAAAATTATTTCATTTACTGAAAATTAACTCTTTTCAAATAAAGTTTAGTTTTTAGATCTTTATAGATTATGAGAAAAGAATCAGGAGAAAGAGGAAAGAAATAAAAAATGGAAGTCTAAACCAATTTCTGGTTCGGTTTAGTCTCCTTCACTGAACAAATATTTACAAAACACCTGCTCTGAGCCAAGCAGAATGCTGGGGATGCAGGAGGACTCACTTGAATCATGAGTGATGATATTGCCTTACTTTATGCTAGATTTAAGTTTGGGATGCCCTATGGAAATACTATGAAACTATGTTGTTAGCTAAATAGCATGAAATACCTTGTAGAAAATGCAAGTGAAAAAGAACCTGGGAAAGAAGGTTCACTTTCAAAGACAAACTATTAAGAATATCAGTGACTGCAGGTTAGACAGTAATTGTAGACAATTAAGAGAAGACAGAACTTCTGATTAGAAGAGTGATTGGCAAGAGAGTTGGCCAGGCAGAAAGGTGATGAGACCTTTAGGTGGGAGGCAGGAGCAGAGCTTGGTGTTTCTTTTGTATAGTGCCCCATCTC
The DNA here is from genome assembly GCF_000001405.40 of Homo sapiens. Classification (NCBI taxonomy): domain Eukaryota; kingdom Metazoa; phylum Chordata; class Mammalia; order Primates; family Hominidae; genus Homo; species Homo sapiens. Next base: position 8,290,402 of record NC_000007.14, read on the forward strand.
TGGGTTTTAGGAAGCATACTATCAAATGTTTAAATAATGCTCCAAAAGTTAGGTAACTCCTCAAGGTTACGCAGCCTTCAAGTGGTGGTGCCTGGACTTAAACCTCTAACTCTGTAGCTAGTGATCTTAGGAAGGTCTGCATTTTAGAATTTTTCTGCTGAAACAATAGAATTCCCATAGCTATTACAAGTTCAAGTATGAGAAGGAATGAAAAAGAAATACTGCCTGAAGATTTCCTTCATCAGAGAAACATAGGGATTGAGGAATACCAAGTGGTCTTGAGGATATGCATTGCAGACCAGTTCATTTATGATTTATTTATTCATTCAACAAACACTGATTTGACATCCTCCACATACCATGAGCCCTGCTTCTCACACCTGGCATGGGTCTTGAGAGCCACTCTGGCACCATGTTGCATTTTATTGGGTTCTCCAAAGTGAAACCTATTTATAGGTTCATCCTTGTATCCAACCACCAAAGTTCAGATAATAATTTGCCTCTTGATTTGCAGCCAGGGGCTTTCCAGTTAGTGAGAGGGGTTGATATAAGGGAGAGTGAAGAACCAAAAGAGGTAATTTGTCTTCATTTCTGCTGATGAGGACACCCAAGCAAGTTTTCCCTGAGGCTATGGTAATCTGCAGGGCTGTCTCTCATTTATTACCCACAGAATCTAGAAGCCCTGTGGCGCATTGCAAAGATAAGGTAATGAGCACACATTATGCAATAACAGACGGTAAACTCTCTAGTTTTCCTTTGTTATTGGAAGGTGGCCTGGAACACCAGGTGTTAGAGACAGGTTTTCCTGTCACTCGTCTAACCAGTTTCCTATGCACTAAATGCAAGAGATAACACATGAAATAACTCACCAGATTTAAAGTTAAGCAGTTAACTGTGAGAATGACAAAGATAAAATGAAATTGTAGAAGAGCTTTATAATGCCAAAATGCTATAAAATATTTGTTGCTATTATGAGACTTGTATGATATAGCTTCAATGGACTTGTTATGTTGCAATTAGATTGTTTTAAAATGTCACAAAGACTTGCTGGTGGATGGCTGGGTGGTATAAGGCAATATTTCTCTAATTTTAATATGCATATGAATCCCCAGGAGATCTTGTTAAAATACAGGTTCTGAGTCACCAGGTCTGGGGTGTGGCCTGAGAGTCTGCATTATTTAAAAATCTCCCAGATGATATTGATGCTTCTGGCTCATGGATCACAGTATGAGTAGCATGGATGTAAAATTGAGAGTATGTATTACCATCCCTCAATTCAAGGGAATTCATGACATATTCTGGCTAAAAACATACATATTTATCTGGTGTGTAAACCTCAGGATTCACAGCATATCATCAAATCAACTTTATTTTTGTCTTTCCTACTCCCTTAAAATTTATTCAGTAATCATCGGAAGCCCTGGGAAGCAAATTTCTGGAGACCCTATGCCTTTTCTGCTCATGCTTAAGTAGTATACCATCCTACTGTCAATTAAGATCATAAACACAGGCACAATTCAGTAATTAGATTGTGGGCCTAAGATAATAACCAGGCTCTGACCTCGATTTAACGGGCAGAGCTCCCTTGGCCCAGCCTGGGCCTGCTTACCCTGCTGTTTGTCCCTAAAAGGGCTCTCATTAGCTATTCTCTGTTTGCCCATGTTGAGCTTTTTGGTTTAAATCTGATGCCTTCCCCTGTAGGGCACTTTTGTGAGGCTTTGTGATTCCCTTCATTGGTGACTTCTCCTGCAGTCCCCTTGTTGCTGGCTGCAGAACCCCGTCAAGTCCAGGTGGCCACTTGTTCCTCCTGCTTTGGATCCTAGGAATTTGGCCTTGCACCCAGCTTCTTGCTGCTGCCCTCTAGGACCTGCATTGGGCCAGACTCAAGTTAGCTCTCTCTCATTTGCTGCCCACCTCTGCTCCACAGGAAACACTCTAGGGTTCTTTGACCTGAAAAACCCTGGAAATGCATGTGGGAGTAACTGTCCTCAAAGCAGTTATTCTACCATCCTTGGCCCTCTAGATTTCCTGGGCAGAAGGCAGAATGCAGGGCCAGTGTCCCCAAAATGCAGGGATGCCCCACTTAGGAATTCAAAGTGGACCCATGGGAGTCCCTCTCAATAGAGTGAGATGGTAGAAACTAATAACGAGGCAATTATTCTCCCCAAAGTGCTATCTTCACAAATATCCCTTCTCCTTTCGTCTCTCAGCTCTTTCATATCCTTGTAGTGAGTCAGATGGTTCAGAATTTATGCGGTGGGTTCTCAGAAATTTCCTTTCATGGTTTTTATATGACAGTTTTGTATCTCACTTTTCAATGTCATTCAATATTCTGTTACAATAATAATAACAATGACCTACGTTTAGCAAGCACAGCAATACCATGAGACAGGTGTGATCCATTTCCCCATTTTACAGGTGAAGAAATTGAAGCACAGAAAGATTAAGTAAAAAATGCCTGATGTGAACCTAACAAATCTTAAGTTTCTACTCTTAACCATTCTGCTGTGCTTCTGGTAGAAAACGTCCAAATATTTGAAGGCAATATCATGATATATTCAAAAGAATACTAAAAACCAAGTGGTATGTCAGGCTTGCAGAGTAAAATCTTTGGGTAACATTTCCGTTCTAAGTCTTAATTATTATTGCTTTAAAAGAAATATCGTTGGATTGCATTTCCTAAAGTGTGTTTGCATGAAATATTAGACCCAAGGTTCCTTCAATCATTCAACACATATTCACTGCATGCCACATAGGGAATTCTGTCCCTCTTGGAGATCTGCAATCTATTAACATGTTATAGATTCTAAAAGATCCTGTATAAATGTGTATTTATCCCCAAATTATTTGATATTGGATTTTCTGTTCAATTTTGGGGCAACACCAATAACATTCTTTGGAAGTTCCTTAGAATCAGCTTTTGGAAGTTAACTAATGAATTTACTGATTAATTCAGAGACAATGAATGAAAGTGCATGTACTAATTATTCTTTATTCATTTGACCTTGAAGAATGTTTAATTTGTGATCACCTTTTGCAGTAACTTGACAGATATTTCTAAACACATGTTAAACCTAACTTGGAAGTAAACCCATTTATAAAAAACACTGAAAATAATAAAGTAATAATGTGTTAACATCTGTATGTGTAAGATGTGAGGTTTGGTGCAGTGATTCTCAATCTTGCCTATTAGAATCACCTGGGAAGGTTTTAATTAACTGATGTCCACACCACATTCAGGCCAATTTAATCAGAATCTCTGAGGGTAGGATCTAATATTTTGATCCAGGGCTGTGATTTGAGTCTCCTTCAGTCCATGTGATAAATAACTTATATAATTAGGTGAATTGAAACTACCTCTCTGAAAAGGAGATGAAATTATCTACCACCAATAGATTTAGTCTGGTTGAAATAAAATGGATAAAATATATAAGAAATTTGGTCGGGCGCAGTGGCTGTAAGATTTTTGGCCAGGTGTGGTGGCTCATGCCTGTAATCCCAGCACTTTGGAAGGGAGAGGTGGACAGATCACTTGAGGTCAGGAGTTCAAGACCAGCCTGGCCAACATGGCGAAACCCTGTCTCTACTAAAAATACAAAAATTAGCCAGGCGTGGTAGCAGGTCCACGTAATCCCAGCTACTCAGAAGGCTGAGGGAAGATAATCGCTTGAACCTGGAAGGCAGAGGTTGCAGTGAGCCAACATCATACCACTACACTTTAGCCTGGGTGACAGAGACAGACTCTGTCTCAAAAATAAATAAATAAATAAATAAATAAATAAAATAAAATAAAATAAAATAATAAAAAAGTAAATTTAAAAAAACCCAACAAACCCAAAAATGTAAGGTTTTCTTAAAAAAAAAGAAAAAAGAAATGCATATACTTAACACTTTCACATCACGGCAATTATCTAGGATCTTCCTTATTGAGGCTTTATAATTTATGACCTTTTGTTTAAACTCCGCTCCTCATGTGGCTCCTGTTTATCAATTTTATATTTCCAAATTGCACTCTGCTGAAAATAATGAAATTAGATCAATATAGTTATGTTAATGGAGGTACCATGCAGCTCATTTGAAAGAGAATGCAATACATATTTTCATACGTCCTATATTACTCAACCCATTGATCAGAAAAGTGTTAATGATACAATGCTAGTATTTTGAATGTCTAAGAGGTCCATTGATGGCAACTTAGACATAAAAAGCTACTGAATGTTCATGAAACTGGAATAAATGACTGCATTGAATATATTTAAGTTATCCTTAATGTCCTGTTGTTAGCTGCAAATTTTATTCAAACTCATCTCAACTGTTATTCTTAAGACTTAAATAAATCAACCATGTATTTTTGTTCATCTTGGCTTACACAATTCTGTCATTTGTTTGAACAATAAGCATAATTCTGTTGCCAAATAAAAGAAAAACAAAATTATGGGGCTGTAAAAAACGCAGTACTAGAATGATGTGATTAAATAAGAACGAGCCAGAAGTATATTCCTACGTGAAGTCTTCTTCTTCTTCTTTTCTTTTTTTGGACAGGGTCTTGCTCTGTTGCCCAGGCTGGAATGCAGTGGTGCAATCACAGCTAACTGCAGCCTTTATCTGCCAGGCTCAAGTGATCCTCCTGCCTCCGCCTCCTCAGTAGGTGGGACTACAGGCATGTGCCACCATGCCTGGCTAATTTAAAACTATTTTTTAGTAAGGGTGGGGTCTCACTTTGTTGCCCAGGGCAGTCTCAAACTCCTGCACTCAAGTGATCCTCCCACCTTGGCCTCCTAAAGTTCTGGGATTACAGGTGTTAGCTACCACACTGGGCTGAAGTTTTCTTCTTTTGCATTTCTGTTCCTCATACTTCTTTGTGTTCTCTCTTGGTCTTTGTCTTTCTTCAGGTCTTGCTCTTGCCACGTACTGTTTCTTGTTTTGAGATTTGTATTTGTAGTGGGGGAAAACAATACGGAGAGTTTTTATGGAGTGGAGGAACTTCCAAGATACAGTATGTAGTATTTTTAGGAAATGGAAATCTATTAGATGCTTTCTCCCTGAGAAGGTAGTAAAAGTTGTGAGAATGAGAAGGAAGAGATGGTAATGCAAAAGAAACACTTGTTGGAATATTCTAGTGAGGGTGAGGATGCAGAGGGAGTCTTTCTGGAGAGAAAATAGATTTGTGTAAATGGAAGACTACTTAATAGTCTACGGAGAGAAACCAAAAGATTAGCAACAAAGGATATTAACATTTATTATTCATGCTTATTAAAAAAAGAGAAACTAAGGAATAATCTTGGGTATACCCATTCAATGAAAAAGTCACTTGTAAATTTCAGAAACGTGAACTGCCTTCTAGGGACTACTGTTTAAATGTCACCTACCTAAAAGGAATACATTTTAATTGGACTTTGATTGGCAAGCTCGTCACTACTTCCTTTGCCTTTATGAAAAGATCTGTTCCAACTGGCAACACCCAAGAGTGCAGCATTTTAAACAGGGAAAAGGTGAGCAAACACAATTACCCGCATCTAAGTCCTGTGATACAGGCAACTGTTTTAATATAATTCGTCTTCCTAGTTGTCATTTACTAACCTAAAGAGCATTATTGGGCTGATTTAGTTAAAAAACACCACCACCACCACCAAAAAACAAAAAACAAAAACATGGATGGAAAAGGGAAAGCAATAGAAAGGGAGTCTGAAGATTCTAGATTGAGTCCTGATGTCTCTGCAAATAGCTATGAAGTAACTAGAGCTTCAATTTCATCAACTGTCTAGGTAGGATGCCCTCCAAGGTCTCTAAGATTACAAATAGTGTGAATTAGCCGACAGCGAGCTAGAGCATATTTGCTTAAGCCAATAGTGACATCTGGTGGCTGCATATACCAATGACAGATTTAGCTACCTTCAAGCTTTCCCAAAGGCTTGGTAAGTCTTGTTTTTAAAATGGCTGCCTTTTCCATTTGAAAATATACCAGTGGCCAGTTGGAAACCTAACTGTTCAGATTTGGTTTCTCTACTTTATTATTTATATCATGAGTTTTTAGATTTTTATTTTTTATTAAGTAGGTGAATGAGCAACATGTTTTTCAGAGAATGACACTTTGATAACTCTTTTCTTGTAAATGCAGTATTATAAACAGAGCTCCAAATTCCTTTGGCTCTGTCGCTACTTCTCTGAAGCAGATGTACTTCCATGCAATTGATTGGATTAGTGGAGGTGTAAATTTAAAAATAAATAAATTAATTTGTTTATCCTCTCATTTAACTCCTACTCTTGCGTCAACCTCTGTGCTAGACAGGACAGATCCAGAAATAAAAGCACACCCCTGAACTACTGAGTTCTCTGGCTTCGAACCCAGGGAACTGACAACACATCAGCTGGGATTTGAGCTCCCTTTTTGTAAATATAGACAGAGGCAGGGTAAATCTCAATCTTCATTTTGTTTGTCATAATTTCTTGGTTTCCCTTTGATGGTGGTGAGGTCCTTACCCCTGCTTTCTGAATCCTAGTTCTCTTGTCTCCCACAACTCTAATTTTTTATACATAAATGAATACATAAGCAAGTGTACTTTTATGAAATGCATACTATTTCCCTCTCACATTTAAATTCTCAATTTGTGATGTGTAGAATCTTAATATTTCCTTTAGTGCAGAGTGACCGGCACCTCCAGTTTAATCCTTCTCCAAAATGGTTAACTCAGAATTCTCACCATTCCCAGTCTCGGTCTCCACCATGGTGCTTTAATTCTCTTTTTTTCAATACTATTTAAAAGTATCATCATTGGCCGGGTGTGGTGGCTCACGCCTGCAATCCCAGCACTTTGGGAGGCCGAGGCAGGCAGCCACCTGAGGTCAGGAGTTTGAGACCAGCCTGGCCAACATGGTGAAACCCCATCTCTGTTAAAAGTAAATAAATAAATAAATAAAAATACAAAAATTAGCCGGGCGTGGTGGCACACACCTGTAATCTCAGCTACTTAGCAGGCTGAGCCAAGAGAATTGCTTGAACCTGGGAGGCAGAGGTTGCAATGAGTAGAGATTGTGCCACTCACTCCAGACTGGGCGAAAGAGTGAGACTCCGTCTCAAAAAAAAAAAAAAATTATCATCATTATTATCTTGTCTGTTCCTGGTTCTTTCCTTACTATGTAAGAGAAGCAACCCAAGTCGCAGTGCATTTAAATGCTTTTCCTAAGGCTCTAGTAAGGGCAGTTAGAAATGGAAGCCGGAACTTTAGATGGTCTGGAGCGTGGTCTGGAGTCTTTACAACACACCCAAACTATCCGCACACATGGAAGGGTGAGAACCTCCCTATCCAATTCCTTTGCATCAGCTCCTCCTTCCTTTATTGTCTATGGCTTCTGGGACGATTGTGAATAAGAGAGTGATCCAACAACAGAATGTGGAGACAACCTCTCTCCCCTCTGTAGCTGTGTCCACTTTGGCTTTTGATACAGGGAGTAGAGTCACAGACAGGCATGTATTCACTTTAGTTTCCCTAGGAACGCAGACAGGTGGTTCAGACAGAAATCAGAATTATTTATACATGACTGTAGGAAAATATTTATTCAGGGAACTCTGACCATTTTATGCTTGAATCATTTATATTCTCTACTATTTAGAGCTGCAGTTGGCCTTGCTATCATTTATTTATTTGTACATTGAGTCAGTGAAGATAAATTTTCTTAATTTTTTTTTCCTTTTTTTTTATTTTATTTATTTATTTATTTTTATTATTATACTTTAAGTTTTAGGGTACATGTGCACATTGTGCAGGTTAGTTACATATGTATACATGTGCCATGCTGGTGCGCTGCACCCACTAACTCGTCATCTAGCATTAGGTATATCTCCCAATGCTATCCCTCCCCCCTCCCCCAACCCCACAACAGTCCCCAGAGTGTGATGTTCCCCTTCCTGTGTCCATGTGATCTCATTGTTCAATTCCCACCTATGAGTGAGAATATGCGGTGTTTGGTTTTTTGTTCTTGCGATAGTTTACTGAGAATGATGGTTTCCAATTTCATCCATGTCCCTACAAAGGACATGAACTCATCATTTTTTATGGCTGCATAGTATTCCATGGTATATATGTGCCACATTTTCTTAATCCAGTCTATCATTGTTGGACATTTGGGTTGGTTCCAAGTCTTTGCTATTGTGAATAATGCCGCAGTAAACATACATGTGCATGTGTCTTTATAGCAGCATGATTTATAGTCCTTTGGGTATATACCCAGTAATGGGATGGCTGGGTCAAAAGGTATTTCTAGTTCTAGATCCATGAGGAATCGCCACACTGACTTCCACAATGGTTGAACTAGTTTACAGTCCCACCAACAGTGTAAAAGTTGTTCATATTTCTCCACATCCTCTCCAGCACCTGTTGTTTCCTGACTTTTTAATGATTGCCATTCTAACTGGTATGAGATGGTATCTCATTGTGGTTTTGATTTGCATTTTTCTGATGGCCAGTGATGGTGAGCATTTTTTCATGTGTTTTTTGGCTGCATAAATGTCTTCTTTTGAGAAGTGTCTGTTCATGTCCTTTGCCCACTTTTTGATGGGGTTGTTTGTTTTTTTCTTGTAAATTTGGGTTCACTGTAGATTCTGGATATTAGCCCTTTGTCAGATGAGTAGGTTGCGAAAATTTTCTCCCATTTTGTAGGTTGCCTGTTCACTCTGATGGTAGTTTCTTTTGCTGTGCAGAAGCTCTTTAGTTTAATTAGATCCCATTTGTCAATTTTGGCTTTGGTTGCCATTGCTTTTGGTGTTTTAGACATGAAGTCCTTGCCCATGCCTATGTCCTGAATGGTAATGCCTAGGTTTTCTTCTAGGGTTTTTATGGTTTTAGGTCTAACATTTAAGTCTTTAATCCATCTTGAATTGATTTTTGTATAAGGTGTAAGGAAGGGATCCAGTTTCAGCTTTCTACATATGGCTAGCCAGTTTTCCCAGCACCATTTATTAAATAGGGAATCCTTTCCCCATTGCTTGTTTTTCTCAGGTTTGTCAAAGATCAGATAGTTGTAGATATGCGGCGTTACTTCTGAGGGCTCTGTTCTGTTCCATTGATCTATATCTCTGTTTTGGTACCAGTACCATGCTGTTTTGGTTACTGTAGCCTTGTAGTATAGTTTGAAGTCGGGTAGTGTGATGCCTCCAGCTTTGTTCTTTTGGCTTAGGATTGACTTGGTGATGCGGGCTCTTTTTTGGTTCCATATAAACTTTAAAGTAGTTTTTTCCAATTCTGTGAAGAAAGGCATAGGTAGCTTGATGGGGATGGCATTGAATCTGTAAATTACCTTGGGCAGTATGGCCATTTTCACGATATTGATTCTTCCTACCCATGAGCATGGAATGTTCTTCCATTTGTTTGTATCCTCTTTTATTTCCTTGAGCAGCGGTTTGTAGTTCTCCTTGAAGAGGTCCTTCACATCCCTTGTAAGTTGGATTCGTAGGTATTTTTTTCTCTTTGAAGCAATTGTGAATGGGAGTTCACTCATGATTTGGCTCTCTGTTTGTCTGTTGTTGGTGTGTAGGAATGCTTGTGATTTTTGCACATTGATTTTGTATCCTGAGACTTTGCTGAAGTTGCTTATCAGCTTAAGGAGATTTTGGGCTGAGACAGTGGGGTTTTCTAGATATACAATCATGTCATCTGCAAACAGGGACAATTTGACTTCCTCTTTTCCTAATTGAATACCCTTTATTTCCTTCTCCTGCCTAATTGCCCTGGCCAGAACTTCCAACACTATGTTGAATAGGAGTGGTGCGAGAGGGCATCCCTGTCTTGTGCCAGTTTTCAAAGGGAATGCTTCCAGTTTTTGCCCATTCAGTATGATATTGGCTGTGGGTTTGTCATAGATAGCTCTTATTATTTTGAAATATGTCCCATCAATACCTAATTTATTGAGAGTTTTTAGCATGAAAGGTTGTTGAATTTTGTCAAAGGCCTTCTCTGCCTCTATTGAGATAATCATGTAGTTTTTGTCTTTGGCTCTGTTTATATGCTGGATTACATTTATTGATTTGCGTATATTGAACCAGCCTTGCATCCCAGGGATGAAGCCCACTTGATCATGGTGGATAAGCTTTTTGATGTGCTGCTGGATTCGGTTTGCCAGTAATTTATTGAGGATTTTTGCATCAATGTTCATCAAGGATATTGGTCTAAAATTCTCTTTTTTGGTTGTGTCTCTGCCCGGCTTTGGTATCAGAATGATGCTGGCCTCATAAAATGAGTTAGGGAGGATTCCCTCTTTTTCTATTGATTGGAATAGTTTCAGAAGGAATGGTACCAGTTCCTCCTTGTACCTCTGGTAGAATTTGGCTGTGAATCCATCTGGTCCTGGACTCTTTTTGGTTGGTAAGCTATTGATTATTGCCACAATTTCAGATCCTGTTATTGGTCTATTCAGAGATTCAACTTCTTCCTGGTCTAGTCTTGGGAGAGTGTATGTGTCAAGGAATTTATCCATTTCTTCTAGATTTTCTGGTTTATTTGCGTAGAGGTGTTTGTAGTATTCTCTGACGGTAGTTTGTATTTCTGTGGGATCAGTGGTGATATCCCCTTCATCGTTTTTTATTGTGTCTATATGATTCTTCTCTCTTTTTTTCTTTATTAGTCTTGCTAGCGGTCTATCAATTTTGTTGATCCTTTCAAAAAACCAGCTCCTGGATTCATTAATTTTTTGAAGGGTTTTTTGTGTCTCTATTTCCTTCAGTTCTGCTCTGATTTTAGTTATTTCTTGCCTTCTGCTAGCTTTTGAATGTGTTTGCTCTTGCTTTTCTAGTTCTTTTAATTGTGATGTTAGGGTGTCAATTTTGGATCTTTCCTGCTTTCTCTTGTGGGCATTTAGTGCTATAAATTTCCCTCTACACACTGCTTTGAATGCATCCCAGAGATTCTGGTATGTTGTGTCTTTGTTCTCGTTGGTTTCAAAGAACATCTTTATTTCAGCCTTCATTTCGTTATGTACCCAGTAGTCATTCAGGAGCAGGTTGTTCAGTTTCCATGTAGTTGAGCGGTTTTGAGTGAGATTCTTAATCCTGAGTTCTAGTTTGATTGCAATGTGGTCTGAGAGATAGTTTGTTATAATTTCTGTTCTTTTACATTTGCTGAGGAGAGCTTTACTTCCAAGTATGTGGTCAATTTTGGAATAGGTGTGGTGTGGTGCTGAAAAAAATGTATATTCTGTTGATTTGGGGTGGAGAGTTCTGTAGATGTCTATTAGGTCCGCTTGGTGCAGAGCTGAGTTCAATTCCTGGGTATCCTTGTTGACTTTCTGTCTCGTTGATCTGTCTAATGTTGACAGTGGGATGTTAAAGTCTCCCATTATTAATCTGTGGGAGTCTAAGTCTCTTTGTATGTCACTCAGGACTTGCTTTATGAATCTGGGTGCTCCTGTATTGGGTGCATATATATTTAGGATAGTTAGCTCTTCTTGTTGAATTGATCCCTTTACCATTATGTAATGGCCTTCTTTGTCTCTTTTGATCTTTGTTGGTTTAAAGTCTGTTTTATCAGAGACTAGGATTGCAACCCCTGCCTTTTTTTGTTTTCCATTTGCTTGGTAGATTTTCCTCCATCCTTTTATTTTGAGCCTATGTGTGTCTCTGCACGTGAGATGGGTTTCCTGAATACAGCACACTGATGGGTCTTGACTCTTTATCCAATTTGCCAGACTGTGTCTTTTAATTGGAGCATTTAGTCCATTTACATTTAAAGTTAATAGTGTTATGTGTGAATTTGATCCTGTCATTATGATGTTAGCTGGTTATTTTGCTCGTTAGTTGACGCAGTTTCTTCCTAGTCTCGATAGTCTTTACATTTTGGCATGATTTTGCAGCGGCTGGTACCGGTTGTTCCTTTCCATGTTTAGCGCTTCCTTTAGGAGCTCTTTTAAGGCAGGCCTGGTGGTGACAAAATCTCTCAGCATTTGCTTGTCTGTAAAGTATTTTATTTCTCCTTCACTTAAGAAGCTTAGTTTGGCTGGATATGAAATTCTGGGTTGAAAATCCTTTTCTTTAAGAATGTTGAATATTGGCCCCCACTCTCTTCTGGCTTGTAGGGTTTCTGCCGAGAGATCCACTGTTAGTCTGATGGGCTTCCCTTTGAGGGTAACCCGACCTTTCTCTCTGGCTGCCCTTAACATTTTTTCCTTCATTTCAACTTTGGTGAGTCTGACAATTATGTGTCTTGGGATTGCTCTTCTCGAGGAGTATCTTTGTGGCATTCTCTGTATTTCCTGAATCTGAACGTTGGCCTGCCTTGCTAGATTGGGGAAATTCTCCTGGATGATATCCTGCAGAGTGTTTTCCAACTTGGTTCCATTCTCCCCATCACTTTCAGTTACACCAATCAGACGTAGATTTGGTCTTTTCACATAGTCCCATATTTCTTGGAGGCTTTGCTCGTTTCTTTTTATTCTTTTTTCTCTAAACTTTCCTTCTCGCTTCGTTTCATTCATTTCATCTTCCATTGCTGATACCCTTTCTTCCACTTGATCACATCAGCTCCTGAGGCTTCTGCATTCTTCACGTAGTTCTCGAGCCTTGGTTTTCAGCTCCATCAGCTCCTTTAAGCACTTCTCTGTATTGGTTATTCTAGTTGTACATTCTTCTATATTTTTTTCAAAGTTTTCGACTTCTTTGCCTTTGGTTTGAATGTCCTCCCGTAGCTCAGAGTAATTTGATCGTCTGAAGCCTTCTTCTCTCAGCTCTTCAAAGTCATTCTCTGTCCAGCTTTGTTCCGTTGCTGGTGAGGAGCTGCATTCCTTTGGAGGAGGAGAGGCGCTCTGATTTTTAGAGTTTCCAGTTTTTCTGTTCTGTTTTTTCCCCATCTTTGTGGTTTTATCTACTTTTGGTCTTTGATGATGGTGACGTACAGATGGGTTTTTGGTGTGGATGTCCTTTCTGTTTGTTAGTTTTCCTTCTAACAGACAGGACCCTCAGCTGCAGGTCTGTTGGAGTACCCTGCAGTGTGAGGTGTCAGTGTGCCCCTGCTGGAGGGTGCCTCCCAGTTAGGCTGCTCGCGGGTCAGGGGTCAGGGACCCACTTGAGGAGGCAGTCTGCCCGTTCTCAGATCTCCAGCTGCATGCTGGGAGAACCACTGCTCTCTTCAAAGCTGTCAGACAGGGACATTTAAGTCTGCAGAGGTTACTGCTGTCTTTTTGTTTGTCTGTGCCCTGCCCCCAGAGGTGGAGCCTACAGAGGCAGGCAGGCCTCCTTGAGCTGTGGTGGGCTCCACCCAGTTCGAGCTTCCCGGCTGCTTTGTTTACCTAAGCAAGCCTGGGCAATGGCGGGCGCCCCTCCCCCAGCCTCGCTGCCGCCTTGCAGTTTGATCTCAGACTGCTGTGCTAGCAATCAGCGAGACTCCGTGGGCGTAGGACCCTCCGAGCCAGGTGCGGGATATAATCTCGTCGTGCGCCATTTTTTAAGCCCGTCGGAAATGCGCAGTATTCGGGTGGGAGTGACCCGATTTTCCAGGTGCCGTCCGTCACCCCTTTCTTTGATTAGGAAAGGGAACTCCCTGACCCCTAGCACTTCCCGAGTGAGGCAATGCCTCGCCCTGCTTCGGCTCGCGCACGGTGCGCACCCACTGACCTGCGCCCACTGTCTGGCGCTCCCTAGTGAGATGAACCCGGTACCTCAGATGGAAATGCAGAAATCACCCGTCTTCTGCGTCGCTCAGGCTGATTGCTGCAGACCGGAGCTGTTCCTATTCGGCCATCTTGCCTCCTCCCCCGGAATTTTCTTAATTGTAAGTATTTGGAGTCAAAGTAAATTTGATAGACTTACAGTTGTATTTTAAAAATATTACTCCCATGTTCATGTATCTAGTCTAGGGGGGAGATGAATTTGGACATGTGACAGTGACACAGAGGATGGCCTGTTGTTGCTTACCAAATGCTAGGGTATGCATGTGCCAGCACCTAATAGTGCCTGTCACATGACAGGTGTTCAGTATATAACTGACTGACTGAATGAATGGGATGATGCCATCCTTCTGTTTAAGATCCTCCAAGAGTGTCCTGTATATATACAATAAAGTCCCAATTTTGACCCTGACCTTCAAGACTTGCTTACCTTGCTAATCTCACTTATGCAGCCTCATCTATACTGGGCTTCTTAAACTCTAGCCTGTCTAAGGACTTTTGCACAGGTTTTTTTCCTCCGCCTGGAATACTTTTTTTTTCTGTCCATCCTCAGTTCTCAGTTAAAATGTCAGATTCTTAAAGAGGCCTTTTCCGGTCACCCCACTTAAGTAGGTTTCCCTCTATTCTCCTCCCTGGCACCTTTTTTGTTGCTTTGGCAGTATTTTCCCCAATTTTCAATTATTTAAATGTAGCATATTTTAAAAAATGTCTCTTTGCCTGTGTTCCCCAGACAGCTAGCCCAAAGTCTGCCCATAGCAGATCCTGCTAGGCAATATAAGGGCAGTGAAGTAAGCAGTCATGAAGCGAGGTTGCCTCTTTCAAATGATTGGAGATAATATGGGGTAAAACAATCTTTTTCTCCTCTTCACCATAAACCTCAGAAGGTTTTTTTCTGATAGGGCTAAGAACATTTCTTTTTGGTCTGTGGGTCACATAATTTTGGTTTCATATTTTGTAGACAATATCTCTGCTACCATGAGCTTCATTTTATGAATGCAAAAGCATGGGCATTATATTACATTAATTGTTTCTTCTTTAATTGTTTATCAAGCACGTACTAGGTGCTAAACACTGTAATCCATCCTGGAGATTGAACAATCAGTAAAATAGAGTCCTTGCTTTCAAAGAGCTTATACCCTATCTTAGTCTGCTAGGTTGCATAACAAAATACCATAGACTGGAGGCTGAACAACAGAAATTTATTTATTTCAGTCCTGGAGGCTGAAGTCCCAGAGCAGGGTGCCAGCATGGTTAAGTTCTGGTGAGGGCCTTCTTCCTGGCTGGCAGATGGTGGCCTTCTTGCTGTGTCCTCACATGGCTCTCTGGTGTCTCTTAAGGCATTAATAAGGGCACTAATCCCATCATGAGGACTCTGCCCTCATGGCCTCATCTAACCTTAATTACCTCCCAAAAGCTGAATCTCTAAATACCATCACATCGTGGGTTACAGCTTCAACATGTGAATTTTGGGGAGGACACAAAGCTTCAGTCTATAGCATATCCCTTTCTAGGCAAGGCAAGCAAATAAGAGGGAGTGACCATGCAGTCGGGATATGGGTGAGGGCCCAGGATGCTGTGGATTCCCTAAGAAGGACCCTACTGGCTTGGGTGTCCATGAGAGTTTTCCTGGAGAAATGTTTTTTAAGTTGCTAAAAGCACATGTGTGCTCGCCAAGATGAACCAGGCTGGTTGAGAAAAAGCCAGAAAGACGCCATTTTTCTGACTGCTCTTTCCCGTGCTTCGTGAAAGGAGATGTGAAACTATTAGTACAGGGTACTTGTGAGTTTTCCAACAGGCTGGTGTCTAAGAAATAGTGCTGGCTATACTTGACTTTCAAAGTCTAGATTACTCATTGCAAGCAGGACTCCCCATGTAATAGATACATATTTAAGTTTTAGTCATGTAAGACAAACAAAAGATCCAGAAGAATTCCAGGTATTCTACAGGGTCAGGGACATTAGCTTTCATTGTGGCAGGAAAATTGTTCATGCTCTGAGCAGCCCAATACCTCTTTACCACTGAGAGGATAGTCCTGGAAAGAAAGCTGTAATAAGAAGTGAGGACCCACTTTGCCCCAGAGGCTCTCAGGATTACACCGTCAAGCTTCACATCCTGTTCACCATGGTCACCACCAGAACTCCAAGCTTCCAGCATCCTCACTCTTGTTCACATACAGCTTGGTACATTCCTCAGTGTGACTCAATCTCCCGTGATTCTTTTTTTTTTTTTTTTTTTTGGGGACGGAGTCTTGCTCTGTCACCCAGGCTGGAGAGCAATGGTGTGATCTCAGCTCACTGCAACTTCCGCCTCCCGGGTTCAAGCGATTCTCCTGCCTCAGCCTCCTGAGTAGCTGGGATTACAGGCGCCCGCCACCATGCCCAGCTAATTTTTGTGTTTTTAGTAGAGATGGAGTTTCACCATGTTGGCCAGGCTGGTCTTGAACTCCTGACCTCGTGATCTGCCCACTTCGGCCTCCCAAAGTGCCGGGATTATAGGCGTGAGCCACTGCGCGCTGCCGTGATTCTTGACTTTACAAACGCTTCCATGGTGCCCTCTGGAAGGGTCATCACCAGCAAAATCTCCTCTTTCTTCAAACTTTTTTTTTTTTTTTGAATGTTTTCTTCATCTTGTTACTCTATCAGAAACCCGTTGTCCCTGGAGGCTTCTGAAATGCCGCCTGCTTTTACCTCCACATCTACTTCTGAGAGTGGGTTAGATGTCCTCCCTGAGCCAATGGATCTCAGCGCATTTGCTAGCCCTTGTCCCTCAGAAGTCTAGTCCTTTGAAGTACCTGCTTTTAGTGTACTCGCTGACCTTCTCGTCCCTTTTAATTTAGCTTTTAGCACCAGGCTCCTTTTCCTTCTGGCTATCACTATTACTGTCACCATTCTCAGTGACTGCAATAACAAAACACAGGGCATGCATCTAATAGTCTGACTTTGGTTCCTTGATCTCCTTGCTTTCAACTCTCTCTTCTCTGTTTCTCTCGGTCATATCCTAGACCTTGTCATTACCAAAAACCATACTGCCTCTGAAATGGAGACTATAAGCTGAACATCACCGCCTAACTTCCAGTTCACTAACTCTAGTACCCAACTTCCATTATATTAAAACTTTATTGGGACCTTCAGTTCACCGGCCTTGCCACTCTTCCGTGTTACCTCACGTCCCTCCCTCATCTTCTCCCCGCCCTCATTAACGTGCTTAGATTTCATTCCACACACCCTTCACTTTCTTGCCCCAGCCTCCCTCTATTATATTTTCCTGGTTAAAACTAATTCTCTGACTACTTTGCACTTGCACCAAAGCAGTTAAAAGTGTTCCAGAAAAATACCCAAATGTGCTGATTGTTTTCACTTTAGACTTAGATTCGCTGATCCAAGTGGGCTTTTAGCACTGCTAAGATGAAGTTTAACTTCACCTTCTTGGTATATTCAGTTTCTCTTTCTTCCAGTTAACAGTTTCATATACATCACACTCTCCTTTTCAACTTTAAACTCTAGAGATTTCCTTTCTCTGTGCTCTTAGCTGGTAAGATAACTTCCTGATTAATGTAGAAAATATTAGTAATCATTTGGCCACCTTCGTATTGACCAACCTTCCTATCCTGTACTTAAATATGTTCTTTGCCAGGCACGGTGGTTCGTGCCTGTAATCCCAGCACTTTGGGAGGCCCAGGCGGGCAGATCACCTGAGGTCAGGAGTTCAAGACCAGCCTGGACAACATGTAGTGAAACCCTGTCTCTACTAAAAAATACAAAAATTAGCTGGGCTGATGGTGCATGCCTGTAGTCCCAGCTGGTTGGGAAGCTGAGGCAGGAGAATCACTTGAACCTGGGAGGTGGAGGCTGCAGTGAGCTGAGATCATGCCACTGTACTCTAGTCTGGGCGACAGAGCAAGACTCCGTCTCTCAAAAAAAAAAACGAAACACTTTTTTTTTTCAGACTTTAAAAATATATTTTAGGGGTGTGTGTGTGTTTTCTTAAAAAATTCTTTTATTTCAATAGCATTAGGGGTACAAGTGGTTTTTGGTTACATGGATGAATTGTACAGTGGTGAAGTCTAGATTTGACTGTATCTGTCACTTGGGTAATACACATTGTATCCAATAGATAGTTTTTCATCCCTCATCCCTCTTGTACCTCCTTCTCTTCTGAGTCTCCAATGTCCATTATACCATTCCGTATGCCTTTGCATACCTATAGCTTAGCTCCCACTTATAAGTGAGAACATGAGGTATTTGTTTTTCTGTTCCTGAGTTGCTTCACTTAGAATTGAACTCCAATTCCAGCCAAGTTGCTGAAAGACGTTATTTTGTTCTTTTTTTTTAATGGCTGAGTAGTTGATTCCATATCTTTGCAGTTGTGAGTTGCGCTGCAATAAGCATACATGTACAGGTGTCTTTCTGATATAGTGACTTCTTTTCCTTTGGGTAGATACCCAGGAATGGGATTGCTGGGCTGAATGGTAGATCTACTTTTAGTTCATTGAGAAATCTCCATATTGTTTTCCATAGAGTTTGTACTGATTTACATTCCCACTAGCCGTGAATGAGTGTTCCTTTTTCACCATATCCACGTCAACATCTATTGTTTTTTGACTTTTTAATAATGGCCATTCTGACGGGGGTACGGTGGTATCTCATTGTGGTTTTAATTTACATTCCCCTGATGATTAGTGATGTTGAGCATTTGTAAATGTTTATTGGCCATTTGTATATCTTCTTTTGAGAAATGTCTATTCATGTCCTTTGCCCATGTTTTAATAAGATTGATTTTTTTTCTTGCTGATTTGTTTGAGTTCCTTGTAGATTCTGGATATTAGTCCTTTGTCAGATGCATAATTTGCAGATATTTTCTCCTATTCTGTAGGTTGTCTGTTTACTCTGATGACAGTTTCTTTTGCTGTGTAAAACTTTTTAATTTAATTAGGTCCCATTTATTTTTATTTATTTATTTTTTTGAGACAGAGTCTTGCTCTGTCACCCAGGCTGAAGTGCATTGGCATGATCTTGGCTCACTGCAACCTCCACCTCCTGGGTTCAAGTGATTCTCCAGCCTCAGCCTCCCCAGTAGCTGGAACTACAGGCACGTGCCACCACACCTGGCTAATTTTTGTATTTTTTTTTAGTAGAGGCAGGGTTTTGCCATCTTGACCAGGCTGGTCTCGAACTCGTGACCTCAAGCAGTCCATCTGCCTCGGCCTCCCAAAGTGCTGGGAATACAGGCATGAACCATGTGCCTGGCTAGGTCCCATATATTTATTTTTGTTTTTGTTGCATTAGTTTTGGGGTCTTAATCATACATGCTTTGCCCAGGCCAATGTCCAAATGAGTTTTTCCTAGTTTTTCTTCTAGAATTTTTATGGTTTCAGGTCTTAGACTTAAGTCTGTAATCCATCTTGAGTTAATTTTTGTATATGGTGAGAGATAGGGATGAAGTTTCATTCTTCTACATATGGCTATCCAATTTTCCCATAACTATTTATTGAATAGGGTGTCCTTTCCCCAGTTTATGTTTTTGTATGATTTGTTGAAGATCAGTTGGTTATATTAATAAGTATTTGGCTTTATTTTCAGATTCCCTATTCTGTTCCATTGGTCTATGTATCACTTTTATACTAGTACCATTCTGTTTTGGTTACTATAGCCTTGTAATATAATTTGAAGTCGGGTAATGTGATGCCTCCAGATTTGTTCTTTTTGGTGAGGATTGCTTTGGCTATTCGGGCCCCTTTTGGTTCCATATAAATTTTAGAATTGCTTTTTTTAATTCTATGAAAAATAATGTTGTTATTTTGATAGGAATTGCATTAAATCTGTAGATTGCTTTGTGTAGTATGGTCATTGTCATGATATTGATTCTTCTAATCCATGAGCATGAGATGTATTTCCATTGTTTGTTCACCCATAATTTATTTCAACAGTGTTTTGTAGTTCTTCTTGTAGAAATCTTTCACTTTCTTGGTCAGGTATATTCCTAGGTATTTTATTATTTTTTTGTAGCTATTGTAAAAGGGATTGAGTTCTTGATTTGATGCTCAGCTTGGTTGTTGTTGGTGCATATCAGTACTACTGATTTGTGTACATTAGCTTTGTAGCCTGAGACTTTACCAAGTTTATTTGTCAGATCTAGGAGTCTTTGGAGGTGTCTTTAGGGTTTTCTAGGTATAAGATTATGTTACTGGCAAACAGAGATGGTTTGACTTCCTTTTTTCCAATTTGGATGCGCTTTATTTCTTTCTCTTACCTGGTTGATTTGGCTTGGACTTCCAGTATTATGTTGAATAACAGTGGTGAAAGTAGGCATCCTTGTCTTTTTCCAGGTCTTAGGGGAAAGACTTTCAGTTTTTCCTCATTCTGTATGATACTGGCTGTGGGTCTGTCTTACATGGCTTTTATTATGTTGAGGTATATTCCTTCTATACCCAGTTTTTTGAAGGTTTTCATCATGAAGCGATGTTGAATTTTATGAAATACTTTTTCTGCATCAATTGAAATAATAATATGGATTTTGTTTTTAATTCTTTTTATGTGATAAATCATATTTATTGACTTGTGTATGTTGAACTATTCCTGCATCCCTGGAGTAAAACTCACTTGATCATGGTGAATTATTTTGATGTGTTGTTGGATTTGGTTTGCTATTATTTCGTTGAGGATTTTTGCAACTATATTCATCAGGGATATTGGTCTGTAGTTTTCTTTCTCTCTCTCTCTCTCCTTTTTTTTTTTTTTTTTTTTTGCCATGTCCTTTTCTGTTTTTTGCTGTCAGGGCGATACTGGCTTCATGGAATGATTTAGAAAGGATTCCCTCCTTCTTAATCTTTTGGAATAATTTCAGTAGAATTGGTACTAATTTTCTTTTAATGTCTGGCTGAATTTGGCTGTGAATCTATCTGGTTCTAAATTTTTTTTTGTTTGGAGTTTTTTTTAAATTACTAATTCAGCCTCACTACTTGTTTTTGGTCTGTTCAGGATTTCTATTTCTTCCTTATTCAAGCTAGGGGGTAGTATGCGTCCAGGAATTTATCCATTACCACTATATTTTCTAGTTTTTGTGTGTAGAGGTTTTTATAGTTGTCTTGAATGATCTTTTGTATTTCTGTGGTGTCAGTTGTAATGTGTCCATTTTCATTTCTAACTGAGCTTATTTGAATCTTCTCTCCTCTTGCTTAATCTGTTTAGTGGTCTATCAATTTTGCTTTTCTTTTCAAAGAAACAGCTTTTTGTTTCATTGTTATTTTTGTTTCAGCTTCATTTAGTTCTGCTCTGATCTTTGTTATATATATTTCTTTCTACTAGCTTTGGGTTTAGTTTGTTCTTATTTCTCTAGCTCCTTGAGGTGTGATGTTAGGTTGTAAATTTGTGATCTTTCAGACTTCTTGATGTAGGCATTTAGCATTATAAACTTTCCTCTTAGCACTGCTTTTGCTGTATTCCAGAGGTTTTGATAACTTATATCACTGTTATCATTCATTTTGAAAAATTTTCAGATTGCTATCTTTGTTTCATTGTTAACCAAAAAATTATTCAGGAGCAGATTGTTTAATTCCTAGGTATTTGCATAGTTTTGAGGGTTCTTTTCAGAATTTATTTCTAGCTTTATTCTGCTGTGGTCTGAGAAGATGCCTAATATGGTTTTGATTTTTAAAAATTTATTGAAACTTGTTTGGCCTATCATATGGTCTGTCTTGGAGAATGTTTCATATGCTGATGAGAAGAATGTATATTCTGCAGTTCTTGGGTAGAATGTTCTGTAAATATCTGTTAGGTCCATTTGTTCTAGAATGCAGTTAAGTCCAATGGTTTCTTTGTTGAATTTCTGCCTCAATGATCTGTCTAGTGCTGTCAGTGGAGTATTAAAGTCCCTGACTATTATTGTGTTGCTGTCTATCTCTTTTGTTAGGTCTAGTAGTAATTGCTTTATGAATCTGGGAACTCCAGAGTTAGGTGCATATATATTTAGGATTGTTATGTCTTTTTGTTGAATTGATCCTTTTATCATTATATAATGACCTTCTTTGTCTTTTTTCACTATTGTTGCTTTAAAGTCTGTTTTATCTGATACAAGAATAGCTATTCCTGTGTGCTTTTGGTTTCCATTTGCATGAAATGTCTTTTTCCACCCCTTTACCTTGAGTCTGTAAGAATCTTTCTGTGTTAGGTTTGTCTCCTGAAGACAGCGGATATTTGGTTTGTAACTTTTAATTCATTCTGCCAATCTGTATCCTTTTTTAAAGTTTTAAGTTCAGGGGTACATGTGCATGATGTGCAGGTTTGTTACTTATATAATCATGTGTCATGGGGATTTGTTATATAGATTATTTTATCACCTAGGTATTAAGCCTAGTATCCATTGGTTATTTTTCCTGATCCTTTCCCTCCTCCCACCTTCCAACCTCCTATAGATCCCTGTGTGTGTTGTTCCCCTCTATGTGTCCATGTGTTCTCATCATTTAGATCTCACTTATAAGTGAGAACATGCTCTATTTAGTTTTCTGTTCCTGTGTTAGTTTGCTAAGGATATTGGCCTCCAGCTCCCTCCATGTCCCTGCAAAGGACATCATCTTGTTCTTTTTTATGACTGCATTGTATTCCATGGTGTATATGTACCACATTTTGTTTATCCAGTCTATCACTGATGGGCATTTACGTTGATTCCATGTGTTTGCCATTGTGAATAGTGCTGGAATAAACATATGCTTGCATATGTCTTTACAATAGAACAATTTATATTCCTGTGGGTATATGTCCAGTAATGAGATTGCTGGGTTAAATGGTATTTCTGTCTTCAGGTCTTTGAGGAATCGCCACACTGTCTTCCACGATCTGTATCTTTTAAGTGGAGAATTTAGAACATTTACATTCAACATTAATATTGAGATGTGAAGTACTGTTCCAATCATCGTGTTGATTGTTACTTAGTGAAGTTGTTTTCTTCATTGTGTTCTTGTTTTATAAGCCCTGTGAATTTTATGCTTTGAAGAGTTTCTATTCTGATGTGTATTGACCTTTTGTCTCAAGATTTAGAACTCCTTTTAGCATTTCTTGTAGGGCTGGTTTAGTATTGACAAACTCCCTTAGCATTTGCTTGTCTGAGAAAGATTTTATTTCTCTTTCATTTATGAAACTTAGTTTTGCTAGATACAAAATTTTTGGCTGAGAGTTATTCTGTTTAAAGGGACTAAAGATAAGACCCCAATCCCTTCTGGCTTGTAAAGTTTCTGCTGCAAAGTCTGCTGTTAGTCTGATAGGTTTTCCTTTACAGGTTACCTGATGCATTTGTTTCACTGCTCCTGGAATTCTTTCCTTTACGTTGACTTTAGATACCCTGATGACCAGATACCTTCTTGATGTACTTTTTGCAATCAGTCTCCCAGGAATTATTTGAGCTTCTTGAATTTGGATGTCTAAGTCTCTAGCAAGACCAGGGAAGTTTTCCTTAGTTATTCCCTCAAATAGGTTTTCCAAACTTTTTGCTTTTTCTTCTCCATCAGGAACACAGAATTCTTATGTTTGGCAGTTTTACATAATCCCATATTTCTTGGAGACTTCTTTTATTTTGTTGCATTCTTTTTTTGCTATTTTTGTCTTGTTGGATTACTTCAAATACCTTGTGTTTAAGCTTTGAAATTCTTTCTCCTAATTGGTTGACTCTATTGTTAAAACTTTCGACAGTATTTTGTAGTTCCTTAAATGTGTCTTTCATTTCTGGAAGTTCTGATTGGCTTTTCTTTAAAATATCTATCTCTTTAGAAAATTTTTTATTCATATCCTGAATTGTTTATTACATTTCTGTACGTTGGGTTTCACCTTTCTCTTGTATCTCCTTGAGTAACTTAGTAATCAACCTTTTGAATTCCTTATCTGGTATTTCAAAGATTTTATCTTGGTTTGGATCCAATGCTGGAAAGTTGGTGTGATATTTTGGGGCTGTTAAAGAACCCTGTTTTTTCATATTGCTAGAATTGCTTTTCTGGTTCCTTCTCATTTAGGTAGACTATTTCTTCTAATTATTTTTGAATTTATTTTTGATTCAATGGTTTTTTAAAATTTCATTTATTTCTTCTTGAAGATGTGACTTTAATGTTTATAGTTTATTGTTACCTAGCTTTGGCTGTGGGTGCTTTGAGTGTTAAAGCCTCTGTATGAATTATTTTATTATAGGGAATCTTTGTGCGATGGCTTTCTCAGATGCTGATGGTCTTACCAGCCCTATAAGAGATGTTAAAAGGAGTTCTAAATCTTGAGACAAAGGTCAGTATGCATCAGAATAGACACTCCTCAAAGCATAAAAATCACACAGCCTATAAAGCGAGAGCACAATGAAGAAAACAAGTTCACTAGATTAGTAATGATGTGCTGGGTATGGGAGCAGGTTTTCTGTTTTCTGTGGGGCTGGAATGCAGAGGTCTCATGAAGCTTATCTCATTTTCCAGTGGCGTGCACTTTAAAAAAGCTTTCCTCCCAGGATTTTATTCACTGGGTTAAATGGTTCAGGCTTCGGGCCAGTAGGAGATGCTCATGGGGAAAAACTGGCTTTGGCTAAAGCAGGTGGGTAAATGCAATACCCTAATATTGGGCAGACGTCCCAGCTTTGACAGAGGTGGTTGGGTGAACTCTCAGTAAAAATGCACTGAAGTCTTTTCAGAGGGAGGGGAGGGAGCCACCACAGCTTTCCTTCCAGACCAGCAGGAAAGCAATCTGCCTTCCAGTCATACTCCTGACCTGGTGTTCTGGCTATACAGATCAGACAGGCATCTCTTTTTATCTGCAAGAATGCTGATGCTTCATTTAGAGAGAGATTGTGACTCTACCTCTCATGCAAGCCTGAACCTGGAGGGCATTCCTTCTCTGGGGATACAGTCACCCTGAAGTTCCAGAAAGGCTGCCTACAGATGCACTCATGCTGGGATTCCATGGGAGAAGCCCTAGTTGTGTCTACAGTGGTGAGTAAAAGGGAGGAGTCCCCTCTCCAAGACCCTTCACAAGCACCAGGGCTACCTGACTACTGGAGTAGAGCTGCAGAGTTTCCCCACTGAGCCCAGCATTGCACCTGTGCCTCTGCTGAAGAAAACATCCCACAGGTGGAAAGTTCAGGGACTGAAGGCTTGCAGTCCAGTATCTTTTGTCCCATGCTCCCTTAATGTGATACACTCCCTCTTCCCCTAAGTGTAGCAGTCCCTGAGGACCAGAGTACTGTGAATCCTTTTGCTCCTCTGGGTCTAGCTGCCCAGTGGGGCTGCCACACTCTAGGCTCCAGTGATGTGACTTATCCTCTAGTCTCTAAGCAGCAAATACCAGCACCAGCTCTGGTAGTGGTGGGAGGGGAGTGATGTAAACTGTGAGATTTCCTTGGTTATAAATGGCTTTAGTGTGTTGAGTTTTTCAAATGCCAGCTGTAGTCCTAACTTACTAGGCACACGGACAAACTCAAGCCTTCCTGGTTAGCGAGAGTGATGCAGGCAGTGAGGATAGATGAGGCCATGCAAAAGTTTTCTCCTTTCTGATTGCTGTGTTATTGTGCCTGTAGCTGCTGTCATGGGCTGTGCTGGTTGACCACCAGCCAGAAGGCGGTGCTTGCAAAAGAGCACCAGCTTGATGGTAGCAGTAGAATTTGTGCTTGGTTTATGTTATCCAGGAGAGGTATTCTGATGTCTCAGGTAATGGGTGGTGCCATGGAGCTCCCAAATGTCTTATTCTGTTGTGTTAGGCTACCAGGGCAGGTGGAAGGACAAATCTGGGTGTGGGCTGGGTCAGGTAAGTTTGTGCTCTGGGTCCCTATGTGGAGATTGAAGAGCAGTTCCCTGGCCATTGGGGTAATGTTCCAGGGAGGAGTGCAGCTGCCTCTGCTGCACAAAAAAATCTGCATGGGGAATGGGCAGGTAGCAGGTGGCAGTAAGCTTCACTCCACTCCCACACCGTTGGCAAGGCAGGTCTCGCACCCACAGTGTTCTTTTAGGAGCAGCTAGCTGGGTTTTAGGCAGCCTGCACTCAGAACTCAAAACTTCCCCAGGCCACAAGCCTTCCTGACAGAGACAGATACTGTGTGGCTTTCAGGCCACACCTCTCCTGGTCCACCTGTGAAGAAGAGGTATCCAGCTCCTGCATCTGTGACTATAGTACTCTTCCCACTCACCCCTCAGTCTGGCCAATGGGATTTGTGCCTACTCAAGATTCTATTGCAAATCTCAGTTGAAAGCGTCTCCCAACTGTGACCACTGTCTGAGTTAGCTGGTAGGCTTCTGTGAGGTCCCTTGTGAGGTTAGGATCAAGAGTGGCTTCCCATCATCCCCACTGCAGTCTGGGACTGCATGCTAAGCATGTCCTGATACTGCTCCTTCTCATATATTCCCCATCACTCACTAAATCAGCTCCAGCGCTGGGCAGGGTCAAGGCCTTCACCCTTGGCTGGGTAGGGGTAAGGTGCTCCCCCTTGGCCTGGATTGCCCAGCTGCCCTGTGGGAGCGTGTCACAGTAGCAGTCTCTCTCCCTCTCATGCTCTACAGACTCAACAGTTTTCCATCTGGTTCACAGTGTAGGCTGCTGCCCACTGCTTCTTTCAAAGGGTCTGTGGTTTCTTTCAGTTTTTCTGTTAAGTTCCTGTGTTGCTCCTTGAAAATGGTTCAAAATCTCTACTCACTAATTGGTCTTTCAAAGTGGGAGAAGCATGCTAACAATGTCTCCAATCCACCATCTTGCAAAAACAAATGTGCTGTCTTGTCTCTGAGTACCTAATAAACTTTATGTTTCTCTTCGGGGCCACTTTTCCACTTGTGTGCAACATCCCTATACTTCTACTTTGTTGAGAACTCTGCTCTTTTTTCTCTCCTTCCTCATTAATTTTCCTTTTCTGTTGGATTATTCCTATCAATATACAGACATGTTGTATTATCCGCTATTAAAAAGAGATTTCTCTTGGATCCGCATCCCCCTGCAGCCTTGCCTACGTCTCTTCTTTCCTTCATAGTTAAATTCTTTTAAAGATTTTTATATACTTGCTGTCTCCACTGCCTTACCATCCAATTATTCTGAATTCCACTCCTGTCCGGGTTTTGTCTCAACACTCTACCTACACTGGTCTTATCAAAGCTACAAGTTACCTTTATCTTGCCAAATCCAATTAGACAGGTCTGTCTGCAGTCTACCTGACTGCACAGATGCATTTAACATAATAGTCTTCTGCCTCCCTCTTGAAATACATTTTCACTTGGTTTTTGGGCCCCTCTCCTTTCTTTTTTTCTCTTTTCCAGTGCCTTCTCAACTTCCTTAGCTTGTCCTTTTGCCATCCCTGACCCGTTAATGGGTAGGGGGGCCTGTGCCTTAGTCCTAGAGCCCCCAATTCTTCTCTTCCTTAGTCATCCCATTCAGGTTTCTGACTTTAAACATCATCTACAAGCTGATGATCCCCAAATCTATACCTCTAGCTGTGACTTTTGACTGAACTCTAGACTCTTACATCCAATTACCTACTCAATGTCTCTATTTGGTTGTCTAACAGATACGTCAACCTTAATATGACCTAACTCTCAGTTTCCACTCTCCCACACTTATTTTCCTTGTGTCTTCCCTCTCTCAATTTATGAAAACATTCACCCACTTGTTGGAGACAAATATTTAGGTGGCATCCTTGATTTTTCCATTTTCTTTGCCCTGCCCATTCAATCTATCAGCAATCATGTTGGCTTCGCCTTGTCAGTATGTTCTGAACTCAACCATCTGCCTCTTCCACTGTCATCCCCAGGTCTAAGCCACCACATCTCTGGCTTGGGCTATGTTTGTCTTCCTATATTTTGTCCACCACATTGAAGCTAGAGTGAATTTTAAAAATAAATAAATTAGACAGGTTTTCCTGGTTACCATCCTGGCTCTGCTACGTATAAGCATGTGTGATCATATGTTATAAAATCTTTCCAAACCTCAATTTTGTTATCTGTAAAATGGGGAGAATAATATAATATCATCTACCTCATAGACTTGCTGTGGAGATATTAAATGAGTTTATATTTGTAAAGCACTTAAAGCAATTCAAATACATGATCAACATTATTATTGACCTAAAAGGAAGAAGCTGAGGCAAAATTAATATATGTAGAGAGTTTATTTGTTGGGCCAATCTTGAGGGTTGCAGCTTGTGGACATAGATTCAAATTGCCCTGAATATACACTCCAATTAACAGCAGTTACAAATAGATTTTTAAAGAAAAAGGAGAGGGAGTTCTTAAGAATTTACATTAAGGTAACATAAGCTATTGATTGGTTATACATTTTTCTTTGTATCACAAATTCCAGGAATGTGAAGATAATGGATGAGGCAGCTAGTCAGGAACAAAATGCCTTTAAACAATTGTCTCCAGGCATGGGTGGGTGGTGGTGGTGGGGATGACTGAAGTCCCATACTCATATCTCTGTGGGCCTGATAAATTTTGCTTACCTCACATAGCTCAGACTGTTCTAAGCTACTTTTGTTTTCTCACTATATTAGAGATTTTAAACTACAACAGCTAAAACTCCAATTGCTTCTCATTACACTTAAAGTAAAATCCAGATTGAGCATGAGTCTCTAAGGCTTTGTGTTTTCTTGTTCCCTGTCTGCCTCTTCAAATCTACTACTTACAACTCTTTTTGTTCTCTATTCAACTACACTAGGCTGCCCTGTAAACTTCAGGTCTTAAAGCCTGATCTTGGCTGGGCACGGTGGCTCATGCCTGTAATCCCAGCACTTTGGGAGGCTGAGGTGGGCGGATCACTTGAGGTCACGAGTTCGAGACCAGCCTGGCCAATGTGGCAAAACCCCATCTCTACTAAAAAGATAAGAATTAGCTGGGCATGGTGGTATGTGCCTGTAATCCCAGCTACTTGGGAGGCTGAGGCAGGAGAATCTCTTGAACCCACCCAGCAGACGGAAGTTGCAGTGAGCCAAGATTGCACCACTGTATTCCAGTCTGGGCAACAGAGCAACAAGACTTCATCTCAAAAACAAAAACAAAACAAACAAAAAACAACAAAAAACCCGATCTTGCCACGGGTTAGAACAATCTTTGTTTAATTCACTCTTCAGCAACTCAGGGTTCTTCCAACTGAAAAATGATAAAGTTCATAAACTTGGAAAGGAGAGCTTTATTTCTCATTAAGAGTTGCAGACTGTAAGGTGGCCATTCTGACAGGCTGAGATGTATAACCTTTGACAGTAGCCAGAAACCGGCACTTCAAGGGAGGGAAGCATAAGACAGGACTTTATGCAGAATGGGTTGGCTAAATGTACATATTTAATAAGTGATAGGAGGAGTCATAAATATTTATGAAAGAAGAAACATGTGCATGCACAATTGAGCTTCACATTTCCTTGTTGGGCTGCATGTTCAGAAAATGGTAGCATTAGTATGATCTGAGGGTGGAGATTTTGGCTGTCTTGTAATCAACTGATGAATTCTTCCTGCCCTCTGCACAGACAAAACCAATTCACTGAGACTGTGGTATTGCAGTGAAGAAAGACTTAACACAAGGTAGCCAAGCAGAAGGACCAGAGTTACACTTAAATCAGCCTCCCTGAGAATTCAGAGGCTAGGGCTTTTCAAGGATAGTTTAGTAGGCAGGGGACTAGGGAATGGGTACCGCCAATTGGTTAGGGATGCAATCATAGGTGTGTGGGGATTGGTCCTCATGCTGAGTCTGCCTCTGGGTGGGGGACCACAGGACTGGTTGAGTCATAAGTCATGAGTACAGGTGGGGTCAGTTAGTTGCCAGAATGCAAAAATCTGAAAAACATCTTGAAAGACCAAACTTAGGTTCTACAATAGCAATATTATCTATAGGAGCAATTGGGGAAGTCACAGATCTTATGACCTCTGACCAAATGACTCCTGAGCAGTAAGGGGTTATAGAAACTATGTTTACATTTTAGCAGAATTCAAGTCCTTCCTGTAATTCCTGATCTTGTGTCCTTTCATTAGTCTTGCAAAGGTGGTTCAGCCCCCGAACAAAGAGGGGATTAATTTTAGGGAGGGATGATTATCATGCTTGCTTCAAAGTTAAACTATAAACTAAATTCATCCCATAGTTAGCTTGACCACACCTAGGAGTGAGTGAGGACAGCCCACCTGTGAGGCTAGAAGCAAGATGGAATCTGCCATGTTAGATTTCTTTCACTGTCATGATCTTTGCAAAGGTGGTTTCACTCTTATATCAAAAGGTGAAGCAGAAGATAGGAAAATCCTCAATGTGCCATCTCTGTAGACTGGCCAGAACCACTCTATGGTCAGTGGTCTCTTATCAGGAAGGAATGCTGTTTAGTTACTGTGTTGTAACTGCGAAAGGGAGGGGAGTCCAGTTGCAAGTCTGGTTGCAGCCTCAGATGATTGGCTAAAGGTGATAAAGGAATGAGTCTCCCATTTCTTGTTTTCCAGAGCTGGTTTCTTCTTACTCCTTAGGAAAGAATTCTGATTCAAGGTTAATAAAAAAGGGGCATACTGAGGCCTGTCTGACCTCCCATCCCATCATGGCTGGGAACTTAGTTTTTAAGGTTTCTGTGGGGTCCCCTTTGCCAAGAGGGGATCTGTTCAGTCAGTTGGGGGGCTTAGGATTTGCTTTTTGTTTCTCGGGTCTGTTGAAACGTTGCCTCTTCAGAGAAGCCTATTCTGATAGCCTTTCCTAAAATAACCCCACCTAATCCCCAATTATACTCTATTCCCATATATGTATTATTTTTCTATAACAGTTTTTGTAATCTATAATTATATATATATGTTTATTTATTTATTATTTTCTGTTTCTCACACTCCCATGGTATCTCCATGATGTAAAGCATTTTGTTTGCCTGATTTACCTTTGTAGCCCCAGGATATAGAACAGTTCCTGGCACTAGTTGGCACTCCATAAATATTTGTTGAATAAATTGCAAAATAGTCTTATAAGTGCATTTTACTATTTGGCAGAATTATTGCCATTTCATTCTTCTTGGCTAATGAATAGTGACTGTGGGGTAATTTAATCTTCTTAAATTAACTGTGAGCACTTGATTGGGATTAAGCAAATTCCAAATTTACTTGATTGTAGTACGAGGAATTATTTTGACCTTTTCAGAAGTGTGACTTTTTCAGTTACTACCATTTTTATTAAATCATTGTGTAAAAATGAAATCTCTGGTCTTCCCTAACAGATGCAATTTAAATTATTTGGAATAGTTGAAGAAGATAAAGAACCAAGGAAAGGGTTTTCTCTCAATATTTATAGTCTAACAATTTTTGATGAATGTATTTTCTGATTCATAGCACATTTTATCAGTTTGGTAAGAATATAGTATAATGATAGAACTACTATGGTGTCACAGTTGCAAAGGCATATGGTGAGGGAGGCATTCACCTTGACTGGACAGGGCTTTGGATGTAATAGTGGTGAGACTAATAGGATAAATAAAATGGCTATAAATTCTCCACATTAAAATCTATAGGGTAGTGCTGAGACAGCAATATTAGCATCATGTAGGCACTTGAAGGGGTGTCTGTAGTGAACCCTGTATTCTTGAGGGAAAAATTCAGTGTTCATAGATATTTATAATCATCTAGGGTTTTGCTCTGGGTTGGTTCTATGGATGCACTTGTTGGCTTCTGTGGTCAGGCATCTTCAGAAGCAGCCTTACAGCAAGGTGAGCCAAAAGTTGCCAACAGCATTCCCAGAAGCTTGACTAGACCAGGACATTAAGGAGATCACATAAATACACTCCTCTCCCTACCTCCAGCCCATGCTAAGCGTGCCTCATGGTTGCATTTAACTGAGTCCTCGATTCTTCCAAGCCTGGTTTATCCATGTTTTTCCAACAATTATTAAAAGAGGGCAACATATTAGCTTTGGAACATTTTCCTTGCTGAATCCATTGAATTGGACAGAGCCTAAAGTGACCCTCACTGGTTTTCTACTTCCTGGTATCTACACCTTTGTGTAATACCCTCCCTTTGAGTGTAGGTGAAATCTGCAGCTTACTTCTAACTAATAGAGTAAGCCAGAGATGATGGAATGTCATCAAGGTGACTGTTATATTATGTGACGACAAGAGATTATTCTGCACGGGCTAGACTAATCAGATTAAAGTCCTTAAAAAGAAGGACTGGGCCCTATCTGAGGTGAGATACTCTCCTGTTGGACCTGAGGAGGCAAGCTGCTAAGATGTGACCTGCCTTTGCAGAGGGCCATATGGCAGGGAACATACAAGTCCTACAACTTGCAAGGAACTAAATTCTGCCAACCACCCAGTGAGCTTGGCAGAGGATTCTGGGTTCCAGAAAGGAACATAGCCCAGCTAACACTTTGATTGCAACCTTCCAGCAAGGATCCAGCTAAGCTGTCCTCAGACTCCTGGCCCACAGAATCTGTGAGCTAATAAATGTGTGTTCTTTTAAGCTGCTGAATTTTTTGTATTTTATTATTCAGCAATAGAAAACAAATACAGATATCAATTCTGTTCACATGCACATGCAAAACAGCATTACATATGAGTTTTGTGATGTCAAGTATATTGTAACCACGTTACATGTGAGAATAGGTTTGAGAGGGATTCTCTGTCTTCTAAAGTTAATGTGGGAAACACTGTAATGTGATGTAGGACAGGTGTGGGAAAGGTGTCTGTAAAAAATAAGGTTAAAGACAAGTTATTTGGGAAGATATGGATTTCTGTTATGAAACAAAGAGCTTTGGAAGAAAAGTAACCCTAGAGTGAATGTCAAATAAAATTTACAGGAGGCCATGGGTTTGGACTGAGCTCCTGCAGTAGGCCCCAGTAGACCAACCAAAATGGAGTTTCTCATGCTAAAGTTTCATGTTACCAAACTGAAACAGTTGTTTATCTGATCTTCCAGGTAATCAGGAGAGAGATAATAGTCAAATCTCCAAACAGACCAGTTTAGCCAGCACGATAAGGAAGTCTTCTCTGCTTTAACCTTACAAGGAAGGTAACTTGATGCTAAGCAACCCCCTTTTTGATCCTAGTTTCTGCTTTCTTCAGCCCTTTTCTGCCTATAAAGCCAAACTCCCCTGGTCAGCTGAATGGAGCACCTTTTCTAAAGTTTTAGAGGAGACGTCACCCTAATTCGTGAGTTGCAAATAAGAGTTAGTTAGATCATTTTGCTAAGTTTATTGTAATTTTGTCTTTTGATAAGAGTTCTTTGTGTTGCTTTTACATGTTGAAGTGAGAATCTGTCCCAACCATGTCACACCCCCACCTCAGTGGAGGAAAGGGGAAGGAGGTAAGGCCCTTGCTTAGAGGACAATGAGGACAACCCACTCCTTCCTTCTTTTGAGCAACACTCAGTGCAGAGGTGAAAAGCAATTTACAGTCTGTTTTCCAAGCTGGGAATTACCTGAAGGGATCAGTGGGTTCCTAAGTGTGTCAGTAGGGAGAGGTGGGAAACCTGGTTGGAGGTGGGGCAAAACTGCAGGAGGGGGAGAGCTGAAGGGAGATGGACACAAGAAGTGAAGCAAAGGAGGAAGAGTTGGGGATAGAAGGCCATGTCCCGGCAAGGCCTGGGGAAGGGTCAGGTCTTCCTTCTACTGTTCCACATGATCCTCCCCATCCCACACTCGTCATCAAAGGAGAAGAATGAGTCTTGTGTGACCTGAGGCTATAAGAGATCTGGACCAGTGACCACAACACCTGAATCCCTGATTCCCTTCCTTTCCTTTCAGTCTCCCAACACTTCTCCTGCCAATGCACAGGCACCCCAGGATGGCCCCCTTGGTAATTATTACTTCTCCAGTGAAGAATTGCTTGAACGTTGCCTGTGGCTGTGACTCATGGTGGCCATTTGTGTCCTTGTGATGTCTACCCACGGACAAGGCCTGGCTGGAGGAATGGTCAGGTGTACATCTCTTTGCCTCTGGAAGGTAGATGCCAGCACTTCAGCTCTTTAAAAAAGGAGTCATCACACAATTTCCAGATATAATTGAGACCACAAAGAAAACCATTAGAGGCCAACTGTGGTGGCCTGTAATCCCAGCACTTTGGGAGGCCGAGGTAGGAGGATCAATTGAGGCCAGGAGTTGGAGACCAGCCTGGGCAACACAGTGAGACCCTGTATACACAAAAAATAAAAAAAATTAGCTAGATGTGGTGGCACACACCTGTGGTCCCAGCTACCTGGGAGGCTGAGGCAGGTGGATCTCTCGAGCCCAGGAGTTTGAGGCTGCAGTGAGCCATGTTCATGCCGCTCTACTCCAGCTTGAGTGACAGAGCAAACAAGCAGAAAGAGAGAAAGAGAGAAAGAAAGGAAAGAAAGAAAGAAAGAGAAAGAAAGAAAGAAAGGATGGAAGGAAGGAAGGAAGGAAGGAAGAAAGGAAAGGAAGGAAAGAAAGAAAAGAAAACCATTAGAAACTCAACTGAGGATTTCCTGTGAGTCTGAAACTGAGACTGGGGAATATTCTCTGCCCTGACATGCTCTCTTCCCTCCCTCATCTCTGGGGTCTAATAGCAACCTAATCAAATGAGGCTGGCATTAACAAGAAGAAAGCATTGTCCTGAAGCAAAGGAGTCCATCCTCTCACATGAAAAATAGAACAACTTCCACTATGAACCAAAGAAATTTATATAAAAGCAATGATTATTCAACATGCAGATCATTCAAGATATAGGTAAATATTTAGAGAATGACAACAATTCCACTTAGAATCATTGGTGTCCCTTTCTAAGATATGCAAGTGTGGGAAACATGAGTTCTTAAACATAGAATCTAACCTTAGCCAATCCCTCAGCCCATTTCTGATCTGTCTCATCTTCAACGTCAGCCCTTGAATCTTAGAGATAAAATGATGCTCATTGTTTGGTAGAAAACAAAGGTGAAAATCTGGTGGTTGGTTTTTGGACAGTGTCACAATGTTCCTGCTTCAAAGTAATCCCCTCAAATTGACCTCATCATATTGTCCTTGGTATCTATATGGCCACATCAACACAGCTTCATCAATAGATTATGCACTCAAGACAGAAATTGGGCACAACATTACCTCCACACAAGAGTGGTTATTATACCATCTGCCCTTGTAAATGTCCACCACTGACATCCATGCTAATTAAATCAAGTTGATTAGAACTCAGCAATGACCTAATTCCATGTCTTACACATCAACAGCTGTTTGTGTATGCCAGTTAGCGGAACAGGGCAACCAAGCCACAGAAATAATTTAGGTGGCACTTTCTAAACAATGTAGATCAACTTAAAGTACATTCACTTGTGGTAAATGACTCATGGTGGACCAATGAGATCAAACCTATGATAACTAATGTTTACAAATGGAAGAGAATGTGACAAGGGTAAAAAATTGTTAATAGAGTTACTTAAATACTTCAGATAAATTAATCTAGTTAACAGCTACTTATTGAGCACCTACTATGTTCCAGGCATGAAAATCCCTACCTTCATGAAGCTTTCATTTACGTGGATGGAGAATAAAAACATTGAAAATTAAATATGTATTATGTCAGAAGGTGGTAAGTGCTATGAAGAAAAATAATCCAAGAAAGGGGAACATTTCACATCTAATCTGTCAGCTAATCCTGATGGTTTGCATTCAAAATATATTCAGAACCCATACTTTCTTCACTTCCACTGCTTGGGCCACATTACCAAAAGAATAATGCCCTAACCTCTTGATTGTTCTTCTTGCTTTAACTTGGCCCCTTTTAGTTTATTCTCAATACAGTAGCCAGAGTCATTCTGCTAAAAAGAAGTTAGATAATTTCATTCATCTCCTGTAAACATTCCAGCTGTTTACAATGTCATCCAGAGTACAACCCTGAGTCTTCAAAAAAGCCTCTGAGGTCTTGCATTGTCTAACCTCTGTGTGCTCTTTGTGTGCATCTCTTATTACTCTTCTCTCTGCTCCAGTCTCACTGGTCTGATTGCTTGTCCTTGAATGCTGGGCACCTCCTTCCTCATGGCCTTTGCTCTTGCAGTCGCTGTGCCTAGAAATCACCTTGTTTATTTTTAATTTTTATTTTTGCCTTGGATGCCACCAGCTCCCAAATCACCTCTGGTGTCTGCACTTCAAAGTGGAACATGTCGGGGCTTGACCCCATGATCACCTTTGACCAGTTTTGCCTGCCGTCTCATCAAGTACCGTGTGCCACATTAAAAGGGTGATAACACATGTGACATCTTGTCTTGCTCTGTTCATCACTCCCCCATCCAACTACCGAATGCTACTTTTCTCATTTCACCCTCACCTTCTGCCTTAGTCCTGTGCTATTATCTTCCTGATTGTGCCCTTCACTCCTTTGCGTGTGGACCCTGCTCCATTCTGGTAAAGAACACTGGACCTGCCATGGCAATGCACCTTCTTTCTGACTCAGACCCACGGAACATTTCTAACTGAAGGCTGTCACCAACCTCGCCCATGTTTCAAACATAGGAGGCAGGATTTGGACATGAGAGTATATTGATACATATAGACATTGAAAAATCCACATTATCAATTTGACTAGTTCAAGAAGCCACATTTCCTTTGAGTGATAGTAATAAATAGCAAAATGGGAACAAACATATACAATTTTACCTTACAGCTGGTAATGATCCATAGGGTGAAGTGGAAGTTCTTCACTCAGCTCCTTATTCTAGGAAAATCTTCCCTTCTCCCATCCCTTCCTCATTTCTGAAAAGGAGAAAATGTTATTTTGATTGCATATTTAGATGGTTAATTAGGCCACTCATGGTGGGGTTATTAACAGATGTGGCTCTCTGCAGAGATATGCACTTTTCTTGTCTACCTCTTGCTCCACACTGGAGCAATGTTAAATTCTGTTTTCTCTCATTCTCTTTGGCCCTGTCATGTTGCTGATCTTTGGGTAGTAAGAAGAAATATTCAGGTATGGGCTTGGAAGAAGGAAGAGGAAGTGGTTCAACTTAGCTTTCCAGAGTTCCATATAACAGTCTTATTTGTTACCTATATCTATTAATATACTTATCTTCCCCATGATGTCTGAGACCCCAGCTGGAAAGAATTGAATGCCTGGGGTGACTGATTAGCTGGAGGCTGAAATCATCTGGAGGCTTCGTTTCTCACATGTTTGTTGTTTGGGATGGTGACTTGAAGTCTGGGCTCAGCTGGGACACTGTCAACTGATGAGTCTATGTGCATCCTCTTGATACAGCTTGGACTTCCAACAATGATTTTTATTGTACATTAAAATGTAATATAGTACTATATAGTTCCTGAGTGATGAAAAACAGCTTTCACAAACCCCATATTTCAAAATCTCTCAGGCTGCGTTAAAAAAATGTTCGCTCTTATTTTCACACACACAACACTAATTGGGGTGTGTTTTATGTTACTTGGCCTACAGCAGATTATGAGTGGCAAAGTAGACACGCAAGGCTGGCTGCTACAGGCAGATGTACAGATAGTGCAGTGACTGTCAGATTAGTATTGGGGCTGCAGATTGTTTTTTTAATCAATTAAAGGAGGAATGAAATTATCACTGCAATTCAGAAAGAACAACAGTATGAGTCATTTAGTGTAAGAATCAATAGATCTTCACAACTCACTAGCTCTTTCAGGTAGTACAGTGTGGTAGGGAAGGGATTTCATTTACTGGGTAAGGACACAGGTTTTGTAGTGAGACACTCTTGAGTTCATTGTCCTATTTCTATTACTTAGCAGCTGTAATAGAAATTGGTTCTGTAAAAGGGACTTATCAGACTCATCTTGTAGGATTTTTTCGGTGAGGGGAGGAGGGGAGATTAAATGAGGTAATATTTGAAAAGCACAGCATAGATGTGGATGCTACAAGCTGATAAACAATGGTCCCATCTCTGAGAGTCCAGGTGATGACCATGAATCATTAAAAGAAGGGCACAATGTAATATGTGCACTCACTTACTTAGAGAAACAAGGAAGTGTACTGTAAATATTATCAATATTAAAATATTAAAATTATAAGGGTCCCAAGTAAAACATCTGTATCACACAAGGTTTTGACAAGAAACAGCCAATTCAAATGGAATGATTTGTGGATAATTTTACAGATGCATGGGCAGGGTAGTATACAGAAATCACTGGCTAAGGTGGGAAGGTTTCACATTACTGCTCCTAGGTCTAAGAGTAAGTAAGGGAAGTTAGCAGGACCTAGACCCAGTGAGGCTATGTGGAGAGGGCTGCTGAGACCTTTTGTGGAGAGACTCTCTCTCTGACTCCTTAGGGAGAAAGGTGGAGAAAAAACGATCTCGGTTTCCTTTTTCTAATCTGCTGATGCTATGCGTTGGAACCTACTGGAAGCCAGTGTGCAACGTAGCCTGCTGTTGAGGTTCACTCAAGTTAGCGCTCAGGGACTTGGAACAGGGTGAACAACAATATCGTTTTCATCTCCCAGACAAGGAAAGATGAAAAGAGCAACAATATGCAGTATGTAAACCTTAGAACATCTGCAAGCAAGATTAAAGGGCTTCTCTGTCTGGGTTTGTGAGCGTTTACTTCCCCCTCTCTTCTCCACTCTGCTTTTGATTTTCTGTGGACAAGTCATGGGGTGATTTTAGATGAGTTTAGCCATATGCAACTTTTGCAGCAGGCGAATGTAGACATTCTTCTTGTTCCTAGACTGGCATCCTCACTCAACAGCCCTATTAGGTGCTCAGAATTGTGTTAGAGGCTGCGGGAGAAACAGACAAGGAGGGAAACCCAATCCCTGTCATGCAAGAACTTACGATGTGATTAGGGATATAGGACAAACCCATAATATGGAGCAATTCAAGATGATGTATAATTAAAATATGGTAGGAGTTCTGAAGAAGGCCATCAATGAGGACTTGGTGCAGAGGGAAGAAAGATTTGTTGGAGGGGACAGCACAGCTGAGCTGTAATTTGACAGTAGTTGAGGTAGAGAGGAGAGCATCCCAGGTGACCAGACTACATAAGCAAAGAAGTAAATTTTTGGCTTCCAGCGGCACCAACCAGTAGAACAACCATTACCCAGTGAGCAAGGTGGAATAGGCTGAGAGTTAGAGAATCTCAAATCTGGTTTTGGGAAAAATGTAATATAATAAGTCCCTGGGGAATAAGGTAGGGTTACTTTTTCATTTGCTGTCCTGTTAAATCTGGGATATAATGTGAAGAGATCAGAAAAATTTCTAATGTTGACTTTTTTTATTAATGTGGGATCTTCAAATGTGACCAGGCGAATTCAGTAATTTTCTCCAGTTTTTCTAAGTGCTGAATTTGCGAGGTGCTCACTGAGAATCTCAAAATAGTGAGGTTGATGGATTTACATTAATTATTATGGTTGCAGGAATTTAACTGACTCAAACCTCTCCCTAAGACAGAAAACTTAATTGACAGTGGAAATAAAAATAGAAATTTACATTATCACTGTGAATATGAACACAATTATGATATATTTCAAGGATCTGACTTTCAAATGAGCCTTTACAAATAATTGCAAGCACCAATATCATATTTTATCTATGTAAAATAAGTTATCTTCTTTCTCGTGTGGTTTTATGCTCTTAGGAGTTCTATGGTGAATTTTCGGTGTCCTCACTTGGCACTTAAAAAATTTTTTTTTGGCTGAACTCAAGATGCTTCTTTCTTTCATCTGTACCATTAGTTGATTTAACAAGTCTACCAGCCTTGCTTTGAAGAAGGAATGAAGGCTACAAATTGGGGGTTGACCCCACCACAACCCCCAATAAATGCAGAAGATGAAAAGAAAATAACATTTACTTAAAATTTTCTATCTACCTAGTCCTTTTATATTTTTGATGGTAGTAGTATCCATAGCAAGCTAGTAGAGGACTAATATCATTTCCAACTTATATTTGAGGAAACTGAGGCTCAGAGAGGGTAAATTGCCTAAGGTCAGACAGCTATAAACAGATGGAACTGGAGTTTGAACCAGGAACAATTAGCTCTTTATTCCAAACCTCATTTTCTTTATGTTAAAATAATCTATTTGCTGAATTAATTCTTAGACATTAATAATACTTTTATTTGAATCTCACAAATATTTTATACAAAATTACGTCTTGTACCTTGGAGAATAACAAAGTCAAGCAAAAATACAGAACGACAATATTTTTTACTGTCTCAGACTCAGAAAGGAATCAGGGCTGATGCCCTAGTTTTGTTGAATGACCTCTTCCCCAGAGGTATCTGTTATTCTGACTTCTAACACCATAGATTAGTTTTCCATGTTTTGAATTTCATAGGCACAGAAGCATGCAGTACACATTTTTTTTCTGCATGTGGCTTTGCCTCAAAAATACATTTTTGAGATTCATCCATGTTATTTCATGTGGCAATTGATTATTCATTTTAGTTGCTTGTAGTTCAGACTTCCCCTATCTAATGACTGTTCAGTTAATAATATTCATTATGATGACTCTTAGAAATTTATACTATTTTTAAGGAATGACTCCTTTTTATTAAGTATAATGACTTTTTCACTGTAAAATATACTAAATAAATATGCTGTAGGAAGTGATATTTGACAATGATTTCAAGGAGACACATTCACCAATAATCTTGACACAGTTGTTCCTGACCAAAGATTGTCACATGAAACAAATTCTAATTGTGTGACACATTTGCATGAACCCAAATGTGTTGTTTTGCATGTACATGCCATGAGAGAGGGATAAAGAGGTGGTTTATTTCAGTAGTTCTTCATTGTGTTGAGTGGATGTGGCATTTCCACTTGTTTCAAAGGGATCTCACATTTAGCTTTATTTTGCCCTCTATTTTGCTTTTCCGTACTTTATCAGTGCCATTTGAGTGCAAGAAACGCTTAACCCCCCAAATGTTGAAAAATTGTTATAGAAAATGGTGTAGAAAGAAGAAAAAAGACTGAATGCAAAAAACCTTCATTACATTTTATGTGCAAACTATTCTAATCTATTGTTTTTTACATATATAAATTTATTATTCAATTTATTATTTTCTATCTGGATCTTATATCTTGGGTTATTAGGATTAGAATGAAATATATTAGTTTTTTCCATTAAAACTAATATAAATATTTTTCTTTTAATGTTTTTGATTTAGTGACAGGGTTTTAAGG
Organism: Homo sapiens; assembly: GCF_000001405.40. Classification (NCBI taxonomy): domain Eukaryota; kingdom Metazoa; phylum Chordata; class Mammalia; order Primates; family Hominidae; genus Homo; species Homo sapiens. The sequence continues at coordinate 8,331,085 of NC_000007.14, forward strand.
AATGAATTAAAGTTCATCGGGCAAAGGATAGGTATATTCCACAGCACGACTATATCACAACTTATCCATTCTATTGTTGATGAATATTTTGGTAGTTTTCCTCTTTCTGCAGTTAAGAATAATGTTTCTAAAAATATCCTGTACAAGCTGTTTTGTGTGCACAGATTCACACTTCTGTTGGGTATAAACTTAGGAGTGGTTTTTCTGGATCACATAAATACATGTGACTAATAGACAATGCCAATGAATTTTTTAAAATGCTTGTAACAAATTACATTCCCACAAGTAGTATATGAGAGTTTTAGTTGTTTAAATCTTTGCAAACATTAGTTATCTTAGTATTTAAAATTTTATCCATTCTGGTGTGTATGTCAAAATCATTGTGGTTTTAACTTGCATTTTCCTGATTATTGAAAAGTTGAGCACCTTTTCATACGTTTATTGGCCATTTGGATATTTTCTTTTGTGAAGTGTCTGTTCTCGTCTTTTGCCTGTTTGTCTGGCATATTTCTATTGATTTGTAGGTGTTCTTATACATTCTGGATACTGGCCCTTTGTTATTAGCGTTAAAAATATATGTTCTTACCATGTGACTTGCCTTTTCACTCTACTAGTAGAGCCTTTTGATAAGTGGATATTCTTAACTTTTTTTTTTTTTTTTTGAGATGGAGTCTCGCTCTGTCGCCCAGGCTGGAGTGCAGTGGTGTGATCTCGGCTCACTGCAAGCTCTGCCTCCCGGGTTCACGCCATTCTCCTGCCTCAGCCTCCCAAGTAGCTGGGACTACAGGTGCCCGCCACCACGCCCGGCTAATTTTTTATATTTTTAGTAGAGACGGGGTTTCACCGTGTTAACCAGGATGGTCTCGATCTCCTGACCTCGTGATCCGCCCGCCTTGGCCTCCCAAAATGCTGGGATTACAGGTGTGAGTCACTGCACCCGGCCTTCTTAACTTTATTGAAGCCCAGTGTATCTATTTTTCCTTTATGGTTTGAGTTCTTTTGTGTTGTTAAATAAATCTTTGACTACCTGAAGGTCACAAAATTGCTTTTTTATGTTATCTTTGAGATACTTGATTGTTTCACCTTTCACATTTAGATCTACAATCCACCTGGAATTGAGTTTTTGATATGATGCGAAGTAAGGGTCAAGTTTCATTGTTTTCCGTATGGATACCCAATTGACTCAGCACCATTTTTTGAAAATATGACCCTCCCTCACTTCTCTACAGTGTCATATTTGTCATAAATCAAGTGACCATATATGTATGGGTTTGTTCTGGCCACTCTGCCCTGTGTTGATCTGTCTATTATGTATCAGTGGCACATTCGCTTAGTTCTTATAGCTTTATAATAAGTCCTAATAATTGGTAGAGGAAATCCTCCAACTATGTCCTCTTTATGCTTATACTGGCTATTCTTGGTCTGTCACATTTTATTGAAACTTGAGTTTCAGGTGGTCAACTTACACACACACACATACACATACACACACACACACACACAGGACTGCTGGAATTTTGATTGGGATTGCACTGGAAATATAATTTAATTTAATTTTCAGAGAATTGATATGGTGTATAGTTTCATTTATTTATATCATGCCTGTAATCCCAGCACTTTGGGAGGCCGAGGCAGGCGGATCACGAGGTCAGGAGATCGAGACCATCCTGGCTAACACGGTGAAACCCCGTCTCTACTAAAAATACAAAAAATTAGCCAGGCGTGGTGGTGGGTGCCTGTGGTCCCCGCTACTCAGGAGGCTGAGGCAGGAGAATGGTGTGAACTCAGGCGGCAGAGCTTGCAGTGAGCCGAGATCACACCACTGCACTCCAGCCTGGGGGACAGAGCGAGACTCCATCTCACAAAAAACAAAAAACAACAATAATAACGACAACAAAAACGTTGCTCCTCCCCTTGCCTTCCACTTTTGAAAAATACTCTAATACTCTATTCCATAAGGAAGCATTGCCTCTTAAAAAATTTTTTTTCTACAAAAAAAAAAAAAAAAAGATAAAACCCATCTTTCAAGAGCTGAAGGATCAGCAATCAATTTAAATTTTCACATGAAAATGGCTGAAGGCCTCTGGGAGTCTGTTGATCCAGCAATCATCCAGCTTTAGTTGATTCAGGGCCACCTGAGCACTGGAGAGTCAGCATTTCTCTTTCTTTTCTAAGAGTCCAAGACTTTGTATGTTCTTCTTTAGCTATTAAGGAAACATGGCTTTTGACTATGTGTGCACTTCCTATGTAGGGGTATTTTGCAGTGTTATTAGAGGCAGAATGTTAAGGAAAATAGACATTTGCAATGAACATCTGTTATAAAGTTAGAAAGAGTCCGGTTTAGGGTATCACTAATCCCACACCATAAAAATATCTGGTTGAACGGTCATCGCTAATATTATTCATGGAGATTCAAGCTAAATACAGTTAGTTCATCCTACTAGGACTCATTTGACTAGAACCTATCCTTTGCATCTAAATGTTGTAAATAAACCTTTAATAAATAGTTATCAATACAATATAGAATAGTATATTCAGAATGCAGAAAGATCCTTTCAGGCTATAAGAGCATGTTTAATAAAATTCAGCTATGAGATATGAGATGGAGTAAGTAACAACAGCAGCGACATCCACCAAAGCCTCAGACAAACAAATCATTCATGCACATATATGTGAAAGTATCTCCTTCCCATACCTCCCAACAGAAATTATTATTTAATTAAATGGGCAAAACCTTGAATTAAATTGATCTTATATACTGTACTCTATGGCCAAGAAAACCACCTCTGTTTTATGTGGTGGTAAACACACATAAATAATGGAGGTCAGAGAAACAGGATGAATTTATATTTCTAGTTGGTTTGAAAGGGTTTACAAATCGTGTGGGTTTGAAGAATAAATATTTTACAACCACATTTTTTGCTATCAGTTTGATATTTCAATATAAATTGAATAAATCCTCGATGTACCTTTTGTTTGCTATTACCCTTTGTAGAATAGTACCAAATAAAGGTTTTCAACAGGGAAGACAACAGGTGTCATCAGCAGAAAGAGAGACATGATTTTCACATTAAAGTGCCTTAGATGGCAATTAAATCAACAACAAAGCACTGATATAGAACCCTGAGATTCAAACGTCAGAGAAATGTGAATAATGCACAAAATCATGGTAAAAACACCAAATTATAGTTTCTTTGGAATAACATTGTATGTAATGCCAAAATATGACAGGTATTACTGTCATGTGATATTGAGATATCTTGAGGCAATACACTGGGATAAATTCATTTCAACTGAAACCAGATTTTCAAAATTTACAGCTCCTGTAATGTATAGAGACAGAATACTTCTTGTAACACATGATTAAATAAACTCCATTTGGAGGGAGAGAAAGACAAGGGTTGGACACTTAGGCACTAAGAGTGGCCCTGTAAAGAAAATAGGAAATCAACAATCCCGAGACCCGTGTAAGTACCAATGCTTTCTAGGGTTATAAACTACTACTTCAGACACTCAGACAACTAACTAGTATCTCCATTACTTCCCACTGTCTTCCAACTGTTTCTTTTTATTTCTCCAACTAGTGTTGGGCAAAGTAAAAGTTGAATACCCAAGCAGGCTTTCTTCCATTGCCACTAAGTCCCCACAAAGTTGCTTGAAGGATGCCCTAATGTATATGACTAGAAGAGGGAGCAAGAGGCTTGGAGGGACAACTATGGTCAATGATGATATGACAGTCACTGGGGACACAGAGATGGTCAAGGAAGAGTTCTTGTCTTTAAAGTTTCCATAATGAGTTGAGAAGGCAAATATGTTAGCAAATAATTGTAACCACACTATGTTGGTCATGATAAAATAGATTTGTATAAAATAGGGGTATGTGGGATGGGGAAGGAGTAGGGTGGAGGTGAGTGGTGGGGAAGGCACAGGGAGAGCCCAGAGAGAGGTATCTCTCAAGCTGAATCCCTAAGGCTGAGCAGGAGTTCTCGAAGCAGGGAAGGGAGAAAAGGCCTTCTGAGTAGCAAGCATATGCCAAGACCTGGAGATGTTTAACAAATCAGAGTACAGGTGTGATGCTGGGAAAACCGGTGAGGGGACTGGAGAAAATGCACAGGACTCAAAAGTCTGAGGGTCACAGGCTCTGAATTTAGATGTTGTCTTATAGGCCAGAGGGACAAATATAAGGGCTTGAACAGAAGTGTAAAATTATTTGATTTGCTCTTTGGAAAGACCATTCTCTCTGCCTCATTGAGAGCTGATTGAAGAAAAACTAGGGGAACAATGACTAATTGGGAAGTCATTGCCAGAAACCAGGATTTGAACTAGGACAGAAGTGTGGTAGAGAAAGGTGTCAAGGTAACTACCAGATTTCAGGCTTGAGTTACCAGCAGTTTATCACTAGGATAGGGAATACAAATTTGGAAATATAATCATTTGAGTTTTGGACATGCTGCATATGTGGTCCTGGATGATAGCTTGATTGATAGATGATAGTGTAGAGAGTATGGATAGAGGGAGGCTCAGCTTGGCATTGACCTTACAGGCAGAGGGATAGTCATCCGGATTGACTGGCAAGTACCTCTCTGGAAAGTGTTTATCTCCTGTATACAAAGCCCAGGAGAATGGGCAGCTTTCCTCCCTTCTACTGCGTGTCTAGTGTCACCACTCTACCCGAGCACTGCAACGGATGTGTAATTTAAAAGAAAAATAACCTGTGGGAGTTAGTGGGCTGCCAGTCACTCTCAACCTCATGTTAAATAGAGTAATAAATAGCTGAGCTCATCTTAAGTTTGGAGGAAGTGGGAGGAACTAGTTTTGGGATATGGGAGAATATGCAATTACTGGATAGTGGCAACTAGACAGCCAAGGGTGCATGACACCACCCAAATTAGGGGATTAGAATAAGGGAATGCCAACTGTCAGGAGGAACAAGTCCAGACAGGGAGGTGAGAGGGTCCCAATTATAGCACTTTGGAATTTTGTCCCTAGAGGGTCCTGTTTACTGCATTGCTAACAATCCCCCACAGGTGGAGCGTAACACTCATGTACCAAGTACTTTTAATTTAAAGTAGATATGACCATATCTGTGAGTCCATTTTACAGATGAAAAATCTGAAGCTTAGAGAGTTGAATAACTTGCTAAGTGGCACAGCCAGATCTTTCTGCCTACAAAGTCCATAATACTCTTTGTACTGTATCATATTTGATCCTGAGAGGAAAGAGGAAGGAAAATGAATAGGATGTGCGGAAGTGTTAAAGTAAGAAGAATGAGTAACATTATTAAAATGTGTTTGATAGATATAGGTCCTTAGAAAAGACATCTCCATTACTTCTCGTTGCAGTGCCGATGTTCAAGCCTCTTCCCAGATCCTCAGATCTCTCACCAGGGTCCTAAGGATTGCATTTGAGATACGGCAAATCTGAAAATAATAATTTTACTTCTTCAAGGTATCAGTCACTGGTTATTAGCATTCCATCTAGTGGCTTTGCTACTCAAATTTATCTACCATGGAACATATTGGCAGTGGGAACATCTTGTCAACAGTGCTATGTTATAGAGAATATACAGAGTAAAGGCTTATCATTTTCAATGTCCTTACATGTCATTATCTCACATCAATCCTACAAGATGACAGATTACAGAGTTAAGGAAATGGAGGACCAGAGAGGTTAAGTGACTTGCTCAGACCTACACGTCTAGTAAGAGTTGGTGCCAGTACTAGAAATACAAGTCTTCTGACTTATTGGCAATATGCTTTCTGAGATATCACACAGACAGGGTGTGGAGAGATTGAGAGAGAGATGAGGGGATGGGAGGGAGAGGTTATATAATAGAGAAAAGGAATGCAAAGCAAAATCTAATAAAAATCCAGGGAACACGGAATCAACAACTTTGCTTTCAAATGCATCATTACGTTGTTTTCATCCTTTTGTTTTGCCCACTGTTTTCAAAGATTTTTAGGCTCTCAAGATTTCGGTGAAGAGCCACTTGAGGTAGCCACACAGGCTTGTCACTAAAAGGTCCTGGAGCTGAGGAGTTAATGGACCCCAGAAGTCTACTGCCACTGCAGTCACGCACAGCATCAGAGTTACAATTTCCATGCTGGTAATGAGCTGAGCATGCCCCATGGTCTGAAACAGATCCATGGTAGGATGCTACTTGTTGCAAATAATAGCAACTGTGAACAGCATGCTAGTGGGGCTGACTCTGGGCCTGGGATCCACTGTGGCACAAGTATCGCCAGTGAGATTTAATTGCTCACCTTGAGAGCCACTGTAGATAGGGCACAGGACATGGGGAGAACTGTTTCCACCCCTTGGATGGCAGTTCCTTCCACTTATTGGCTTTAGTGGGTGTCGGTCAATGTGCCTTACTTTTCAAAGAGCAATGTTGAATCTCTATCAAGTAATACAGCCAAGAGATCCTTCCAGTCTCTCCTGCAGCAGTTCAACAATTCTCAGGAAATATTTATTTCTGCTTATTAACAATGTTGACCAAGGATTAAGCGTTCTTATTTCTGGACTTTTTCTCTCCCTTGAGTTGTCTCTTTGGACAGGGAGCAGAGATGGCACCCAGGCATACCTACAAAACTTAATTGCTCCTTTCCCCTGGTTGTCTTGCCTGCCACTGCTATTGAAGCCAGGCTAATTAGTTTCTTCCAGAAATATCCATCCAAATCTGTGCTAGTCAAATCAAAATATCTTTTTAATATAGCTTTCAAGGTGCAGGGAGAGCATTGATCGTAATATCTCTGTTTCCCCTTGAATGCCAAGATGGAAAAAAAATATGTTCCAGTCAAATATCCCCCCAAAAAGAGCATGTCAAAGTATTAAATGCATCAGTGATAGCAAAATAGTTAAAACCCTGCTGTTGCAGCAGACTCGGGGTCATTACTTTTGATGAATATTTTCCTTTTTTTAAGAGGCATAGCTAATATAAGTAAGTAGACCAAAGAGGATATTTAAAATATATCCATAGATTGCCTTTTGTTAGGATCTTTAACCCTGGAAAATCATGTCCATAATCGTAGCTCATTATCTTAATTAGATCTGTCCTACATTATCTCATGATTTATTCTCATTACTTCATAGGTGATCAGCCTTTTGAAAAGGATGTGAGCAGAATTTGCTGATTTTTATTGTGATAGTGTCTGTCTTCTCTTTCAAACTCTATTTAGATCTTTTGGGTATAATAATGGTGATGCTATATTTAATTAAAAATTACATTAGAAAGATATTAATATTCATTCTACTGAATGAGCACAGGATTAACTCAAGAATTAAAACCTCTATAATGGCTAATGAGGTGAACTATGCTGGGATGCCCATAAAAACAGAAATGAATCATAAAAATGGCCTAAAGTCTGAAGCTTTTTGTCCTATTGTCATGCTGTTTGTATGGAAACCAGGGCTATCTGCTCACAAGTCACTTGAACATATGCTTGCCCCCAAGGGAGTGATGGTACCTGATGTTCAAGTTGCAGCTTCTTAGGATCAAGATTGTGTTGTCAGGAAGTTGTACCTTCTCTCTTCTTCTATCCCTCTCACTCGGGTTAAAAACATGAGGAATAGCTGTTTTAATACCTTGTCAGTTAACATGGGTTTATATCGTTTGAGGTAGGAAATAAATACCACACTTTCAGTTTTCTGGTTTGTAATACAGATTGTAATATAGGAGAAAAATTACAGATGAAGAAGGCAGAATTTGGCTATTGATACAAAATAGGAAGGGAACATTGCAAGATTAAAGTTATTAGCAACTGTGTGTGGAGCAGTTATCTCTAGATGAGACATCACTGGGCAAATGCTGGCACCTTCTGGGGCAGGTTGGTCCTAGAGGGAGAAACAGTCCCAGGGCAGGGCAGACAATTAGGATTATGGAAGTTCACTGTCAGGAAACATGCTCATGGGCAGCTTACTCATGGCTGAAGGGAGGTCAAGGTAGAAAAGGTCAGGGCCTAGTGAGGAAACCATAGCTGAAAGACCAACAGGCTTGGCTGGCTACAGTTGATGAGTTTCTAGATAATCGTTTTGTAGCAAATGTGGACAAAAATATGGAGTACAAAATCAAATTTTGTTCTGTCCTAAAGGTATCCTTGGAAGAAAGGTAAAGTGTGGTGGAAAGAGCTCTAAGCTGAATCAAAGAAATTTGTAGTCCTTCTTCATCTATAAGCCATTAATCAAATTGCTTAACCACTTTGGTCCTCAAATTCTTTATCTCTGAAATTAGAAGGTTGAAGTAGAGCATGATCACTAAGGTCCTCCCAACTCTAGAGTTATAAGTTTATCTCACACGAAGAGTATTGCAATAAAAGTAAAAATATCAGGTATGGTAGATTGAGTGTAAAAAGGCCCCAGTCATTGCTCTTTTAGAATCTGCCTCCCATGCAATTGACTACGCAGCTTTTCCCATGGAGGTGGAGTCTACATTTGAATCTGGTGTGGCCTTGTTACTTGCTTTGGCCTACAGAATGGGATGCGAGTAATGGTGATCCAGGTCCAAGTTTAGGCCTCCAGAAGTCTTTTGCTCTTTTGCTGTTTCTCAGACCCCTGTATCCACTGACAGGACAAGACTGAATTAAATTGCTGGAGGAATGAGACAGGTAGAAGAAAGCTGTGTCATTTCAGTCAAGGCTTCCTCATTCAGCAAACCTCAAGCTGGTCTGTTAGCTGATCACAGACACATGAGTGAGTCCAGATGAGATAATCCAAACCCAGCCCAGATTACCGGGGCTGCCCACTCTACCCAGACTTGTGAGAAATAAGAAATGCTCCTTGTAATAAACCCGTAAGTTTCGGGGGTTTTCATATGATAAAAGTTAACTGATATGTAAGGTCCACTTGTTCACCTAAGAATTCGGTACCCAGTAAAATCCTCTCTCTCTCTCTCTCTCTCTCTCTCTCTCTCTCTCTCTCTCTCTGACTGTGACTATTTATCATGGTCTTCAGGAAATATTTCCAGAGTATTCATGAAAAATCTTACTTGCCAAATAACACCCACAGGGTCCTACTACCACTTCTACTGGGTGCTGTTGATTCAATTGGGCATGTTGATACCCTATTCGTGGTGGTCATTGCTTCTACCTTTTTCTGCCTTGCACTAGGGAATCAACAAGTGCTTCAAGATGCCAAGGCTTTTCTTGAAAAGAGGGCAGTGAAATTGCGGAAATGCCTTGCTCCTCATTTTTTGCTATTTTCTGTTACATGGTTACTAAAGCTATGTCAATATGCCTAATGTCTTAAGGAAGTTTAAATAAAATAAATTTTAGGTTTTACTTATGGTTCTTTGTTTCTCCAGGACCCTGGGCCAGGGAAAGAAATGAATGAAGATGCCACCTTATGCCCAGAACACATCTCTCATTCAATGATAAAGGATTTGTGGTTGGGTCAACTTTTGTGATGCTCAACTCTTTCCTTCGTAAGGACGGGCTCTTTCTCAGGAGGCTTTTGTACTCCCAATTAACGCACTGCTGTAAGTTTGCCATATCATTATGTAACACATACCTGGATGTGTTTGAACTCTGTCTCAGGATGAAGCTATGATGTCCCATTGCAATTGTTTTGAAATCTGCTTCCTGTATCCAGAGAGAGGGGCATTAAGATCCCAGAGATACGTAGTTAAACATAACCTGCATATCAGCTGCTCTTCATTGCAAAATGTCTGTGTTTGCACATAATACCTTAATGTTTTCAGCTTCAGCTCACTTCAACATAGACATTTATGGGATCTTTTCAAACCTATCCTTCTCCATTTATTCACACCACAAAATCTAGTGATCGGCATAGACCCTGATAAAACTTTTGTAGGGAGAATGAGGATGGGGCTTATATTGCATAATATATTAATCTAACTTCAGCTATGTTGTGATAATAAATAAACCTTCAGATCTTAATGACTTTGTATAAACAATAAGTATTTCTCTCCCATGCAGAATCTGATGAAGCTCTATTTTGTAGCTATGCCATCTGGATCACATAGCCTCCAAGGCCAGCAGAGCAGAGGAAGACAAAGAGCAGAGCAAGATAGAGGTGGAAGTTACACGTCCTTTGTGCTTACTTTCTACTGGCCTCATCGGGTCGCAAGATCCCACTCTGATAGGTGCATGGGGGCTTGGAAAATTAGAAAAACATGTGAATATTTGGTAGGCACTTACAATCTCTGCCAGCATCTGCCCTTCTAATCAGCAAATTTTCAATTACTTTTTTCTTCACCCACATAAGACATCTTAATCCAACCTCAGGGGACACATCCTGATGTCCAATCTAGTCACTACTTCAAGCTTAATGGGATACATGGGCCTCTCTGTCATGTCTGCATGAGGCTCTTCTTGATCAGTTGACCTATGAACTGAAAGAAAGCATATATCGTTGTCCTCCACTGTCTATATCACTGCATACAGAGTGGTGGAAAGGAACAGAATAACGATGGTATACATTCCTATTTGAAAGGGGATGATTAGAGACACAAAACAATGATAACATCTCACTGGTCAGACATGGTGAAAGTTCCCCTGTGCAGGGGATGGTAAATGTTCCTTAATTAGGCCTTGGTTCTGGTCCTCGAGAGGCATTCTTTTATCCATTGTCCTCTATGGCTGTAATCTGTGCCCTCCAAGATATTCTTTCTTTTCCATTACTCTCTGAAGTGGTTGAGGGGGAATACGTCTTCCTTTGGGGCTGCACGGTTTTCTCAGCAAACTTCTTTCCCACAGAACATTGGCAGCTTAAGGGTTATAAGTCTCAAAATGTCAGTGGCTTTTTTTAGTCCAGGCTCATGATTTATTTAACAATGCATTTCCCTCAAACACACAGTAGGCTTCTGATCTATTTGCTTTAAATAACTTTCATGTGGTAGTAACCACACCTAAAGTTCTTTTCTAGGCATAATTCTAAAATCTGCTTTGTTTCGTTGCTTTCTCACTTCTGTGCATTTCTCTCTCTTCTATATGGGGGCTGTGTTGAAGATGTCTGACTAAGAGGTAGAAAGTTCACACACTTAATCTGTTTACACTCTTAATTGATTCTCATCCTAAGTCATTTCATCCAATGGGGACATTTCACTGTGATTTTGTGGCAGTCTTTTGAGATGCCAAGTCTTCCTGTTTAGAGCCTAGAAGTAGTCACTGTTCCAACTTAGAAACTTCCAAATTTCTGAACGATTTTTATTCCTTTCATTTCTGTTTGCAAGCCAGCCAGGGTTTTCCTGAGCTTATTTCATTATTGTAATCCTCTGCCAAATACAGCCAACATTCACTTTCAACATTGTTTCCCTAAGTCGTTGGACTCAGAAGCCCCACAGTCTGCCTCCCAAATTACCACAGGATTTTAATTTTTGCCAAATGGTTTCCTACTGCTTAAAATGGATTGCCATTTTTTCCAGCCTCTAACATTGGATTCTTCACTGCCCTCTGCCTAATTACTAAGTCATTGCTACACGTTTCAGGTTTCTTTGTGTTGGCCTCTTATCACTGATAAAAATTCTGAATTTGTTAGGATAGGCTAGACTATGCTGTGAAAACAAATATCCCCATTTCAATTCACTTGCTGAACAAAATGAAGTTATCTTTTTTGTTCACACAAAATCTCCAGGTTCCCGTCTGATTTCACTTTGGGCTGTGGTTGTGAGTATTGGAGAAGTATAAATTGTGGGGCAAATGGAAAGGAAGTTCAAGGTGACATTTTGCTTAGCAAACTCGAAGTGTATGTTGGTATTATTGCTTAGGTATGGTATATTTATTTGTATGTTTACATAGTGTGACTGCCTAATGGCATTAAAAAAATCTATAGTGCATGGTTCACTGTTTTCCCTTCGCTGAGAAGAGCAATGAGTAAGAATAGAAATAGGAATATATTTTATCTGATGAACCAGGGTGAAAATTAGCAAAAAATTTGTGACAGTGGATATATAAAATAAAATTTCCCCTTAAGTTATATAATCATGTTTACACTTTTTGCATATGTAACTAAATGAATGTATACTTTCTTCTAGTGGCTTACTGGTAGAAAATAAACACAGATGTTTTTGTTTTATATTTTACAGCAATGCTTTCAGTAACCTGGAGAGGTACACATGGCTGGTATAACAATTATCTTCATTTAATGATGTGGAAACACCTACCACAAGTCCTGGCACATTGAGGGTCTTGAATAAATTCTGTCAGATGAACGGACAAGCGCACAAAAGGTTGAAAGAGTGAATGAGGCAGGTTAAATGACCAGTTCTAGATTTGTTACTAAGTGACACAGCCTAACTGAGTTTTCTAATGTTCCACTAACCCTGCTTCCAAGCAGCTTCAGAATGCAGCTTACATTTCTGCTATAAATATTTTCTTTAGACTTTTGCTGATGAATTGAAGTTTCATAACAAGAAGAAAGCAGATGGCTTTTGGGAGGGGTTTATACTTGCTCTTTTAACTGTGTTTCTGTTTTGCTTGTTTATGCAGAGTGTGCACAAAGGTTGCCAGAGCCTTAATTTCAAACTGCATCATTTAATAAAATACAATAAGGAGAATTAAGAAAGAAGGCTGCAGGGGAACATCCTGCTTATTATCTCTGTAATGAGAGGACTATTTTTTCTCCCATCAGTTGCCAATGATGAGGTTTTTTGTTTCCTTTTGTGCAGGCACAATTGTGATATTCAACGAGAGTAGTGCGAAGTGCCACTTTACAGCCAAACATTCAATTCCTCCTAATTCACAAGGGAGAGAGGGATCAAGTTGTGCAGCTGGGAGGTGATGTTTCTTCCCAGCAGCTGTCATTGAGGAGACACGTGCAAACCATAGAAGTCATTTGTCACAAGAACCCCATCCAGAATTTGCTATGTGCGTCTCACTTGCTAACGTGACATGAAATACTGAAGCTTTCAAAAATCAAGTACAGAGACTTTGTTGTGTTGACATGGGCAAAATGAAATGAAGAGCTGAGGCAATTATGTGGATAAATCAGGCCAAAAATATCCAACCATTGAGAGGAAAAAGTTCCTTTGGCTCAAATTATTCAGAGTGACTGTCCATGTTCATCAATTTATCAGGATAATGAATTTTATCCTATACTTTACTTTGTCACTATAGATATATCTTTAGTCTATGAATTTGAATGACTTTGTGATATTTTACTTCACTGAAAATTATAATAGGGGTTGAATGAGCAAGCACCGTGTTAAAAGATTGCTACTGCAGCTATGATAATAGTCCAGGAGATTTTAAACCCCGTTATTCAATAGCTAGCAGACATAGTTATTGGAATGGGGGTAGAGAGGGAGACACGAAATCTGTTGAGAATCAAATGCTTGTAACTAATCTGTCTTTCCCATTTAGCATCCTATTATCCAAAAATATCTTGGTCTGTAGCTCCCACCTGGTTTCCTGGTCATTTGACTACTGGTTAAATGAGCCTGAAAATTTCATCAGGTTTCATATAAAGAATAATATATTATAGTTACATACATATAAATGTATATCTTTGTGTATTTTTAATATCCCTTATTTATCTACAAAGAGATGAATGTTTGAAATATGTGACGGATAAGCAAGGTCAATTCTTGTGTCTGCTCATGCATTGGCATTGAGCTTTCTGCTTGGAGTCCTTAGCATATTCCGCACTTGAGCCATCCTTCTTGTTTCTTCATACTTCCAGAGCCACTAGAATCACAGGCAAAAGGGCAGGAGCTTCTCCTTGGGGCAGAGGGAGAACCTCTGAGCATTACCCTGGGTGGTTTGGTCCTGCCAGAGTCTCTTAAACATTAGAGACAACTCACCATTTGGAAGTTACAAATCATGAAAGTGCTCACTGAAGCAAAATAATACCACATAAGAAATAAATGCCTAATGTTGATGAACATTTTAATCTTTATTATAAAATTATAACACAAAGAAGAATCCTGAAGAATGACCCTAAAGCTTTTGTCACAATAGCATTGTAATGGAAATACAGGTGTGTTTTCTTTTCTTTCTTTTTTCCTTTTTTGAGACAGGGTCTTGCTTTGTCACCCAGGGTGGTGTGCAGTGGAGCTATCATGGCTCACTGTAGCCTCGACCTCCTGGGCTCAAGCAATCCTCCCACCTCAGCCTATTGGGCAGCTGGGACTACAGGCATGCATAACCACATCCAGCTAATTTTTTGTAGAGATGGGGTTTCTCCATGTATTGCCCAGGCTGGTCTCGAACTCCTTGGCTCAAGTGATTCTCCCACCTTAGCCTCCCAAAGTGCTGGGATTACAAGCATGAGCCACCACACCTGGCCTATGTGTGTTTTATGATTAAAAAAGAAATACATACAATTATTGGGACAGAACAAAATAAAGAGAAAAATACAAATTACCTGTAATTCAACTATCCAGAGATAATTATTTTTTACGGACTGAATGATGTTCTCCAAAATTCATATGTTGAAGCCCTAGCCCCTAATGTGATTAATATGGTTTGGCTGTGTCCCCACCCAAATCTCATCTTGAATTGTAACTCCCACAATTCCCATGTGTTGTGGGAAGAAACTAATGGGAGGTAATTGAATCATGGGGACGGGTCTTTCCCATGCTGTTCTTATGATAGTGAATAAGTCTCACGAGATCTGATGGCTTTAAAAAATGGGAGTTTTCCTGTATAAGCTCTCCCTCTCTTTGCCTGCTGCCATCCATGTAAGACATGACTTTTTCCTCCTTGCCTTCCACCATGATTGTGAGGCCTCGCCAGCCATGTGGAACTGTAAGTCCATTAAATGTCTTTCTTTTGTAAGTTGCCCAGTCTCAGGTATGTCTTTATCAGCAGTGTGAAAATGAACTAATACAGTAAATTGGTACCAGTAGAGTGGGTTGCTGCTGTAAATACCCGAAAATGTGAAAACGACTTTGGAACTGGGTAACAGGCAGGGGTTGGAACAGTTTGGAGGGCTCAGAAGAAGACAGGAAAACGTGGGACAGTTTGGAACTTCCTAGAGACTTGTTGAATGACTTTGCCCAAAATGCTGATAGTGATATAGACAATGAAGTCCAGCCTGAGGTGGCTTCAGATGGAGATGAGGAACTTCTTGGGAACTGGAGCAAAGGTGACTCTTGTTATGTTTAGCAGCATTTTGCCCCTGGGCATTTTGCCCCCATCCTAGAGCTTTGTGGAACTTTGAACTCGAGAGAGATAATTTTGGGTATCTGGCAGAAGAAATTTCTAAGCAGCAAAGCATTCCAGAGGTGACCTGGTTCACCACTTGGGTGCTGTTAAAGGCATTCAGTTTCAAAAGGGAAATGGAGAATAAAAGTTCAGAAAACTTGCAGCCTGACAATGTGATAGAAAAGAAAATCCCATTTTCTGAGGAGAAATTCAAGCTGGCTGCAGAAATTTGCATAAGTAATGAGGAGCCAAATGTTAATCCCCAAGACAATGGGGAAAATGTCTCAAGGGCATGTCAGAGGTCTTCACAGCAGCCCCTCTCATCACAGGCCCAGAGGCCAAGGAGGAAAAAGTGGTTTTGTGGGCTGGGCCCAGGGTGCCTCGCTGTGTGCAGTCTAGGGACTTGGTGTCCTGCATCCCAGCTGCTCCAGCCATGACTAAAGGGGCCAAGGTACAGCTCAGATTGTTGCTTCAGAGGGTACAAGCCCCCAGCCTTGGCATCTTCCATGTGGTGTTGAGCCTGTGTGTGCACAGAAGTCAAGAATTGAAGTTTGGGAACCTCTGCCTAGATTTCAGAGGATGTATGGAAATGCCTGGATGCCCAGGCAGAAGTTTGCTGCAGGGGCAGGGCTCTCATGGAGAACCCCTATGAGGGCAATGCAAAAGGGAAATGTGGGGTTGGAGTCCCCACACAGATCTCTACTGAGACACCACCTAGTGGAGCTGTGAGAAGAGGGTCATCACTATCCTCCAGAACCCAGAATGCTAGATCCACCAACAGCTTACACTGTTTGCCTGAAAAAGCCACAGACACTCAATGCCAGCCTGTTAAAGCAGCTGGGAGGGAGTCTGTACCCTTCAAAGCCTGGATGTGAGACATCGAGTTAAAGGAGATCATTTGGAGCTTTAAGATTTGACTACCCCACAGGATTTCAGACTTGCATGGGGCTTGTAGCCCCTTTGTTTTAGCCAATTTCTCTCATTTGGAATGGCTGTATTTACCCAATGCCTGAACCCCCACTGTATCTAGGAAGTAACTAATTTGCTTTTGATTTTATAGGCTCATAGGCTGAAGGGACTTGCTTTGTCTGAGACTGTGGACTTTTGAGTTAATGCTGAAATGAGTTATGACTTTGGAGGAATATTAGAAAGGCGTGATTGGATTTGAAATGTGAGGACATGAGATTTGGAAGGGGCCAGGGGTGGAATGATATGGTTTGGCTGTGTCCCCACCCAAATCTCATCTCTAATTGTAACTTCCACAATTCCCATGTATGATGAGAGGAAACAGTGGGAGGTAATTGAATCACAGGGACGGGTCTTTCCCATATTGTTCTTGTGATAGTGAATAAGTCTCATGAGCTCTGAAGGCTTTACAAATGAGAGTTTCCCTTCACAAGCCCTCTCTCTCCCTCTCTTTGCCTGCTGCCATCCATGTAAGACATGATTTGTTCCTCCTTGTCTTCCACCATGATTGTGAGGCTCCCCAGCCATGTGGAAGTGTAAGTCCAATTAAACCTCTTTCTTTTGTAAATTGCCCAGTCTTGGGTATGTCTTTATCAGCAGCATGAAAACGGACTAATACAGTGATAGTATTTGAAAAGGGGCCTTTGGGAGGTAAACAAGGTTAAACAAGGTCATGAGGACCCTAATCCAATAGGATTTGTGCCCTTATGAAAACAGGGAGAGACAAACCAGAGCTCATTGGCTATCTCTTCCATGTTGGGACACACAAAGAAGATGGCCATCTCCAAGACAGAAATGTGATCATGCTGGCACCTTGACCCTGAACTTCTAGCCTTTGGAACTGTGAAAATAAATTTGTTTTTTACGCCACCCAGTCTATGGTATTTTGTTATGGTAGTCCAAGCTGACTAACACACCACTGTTAATATTTTTACATCCTTTTATATTTTAATATTATTCTATACTAAAATATATATCTATCCATCAACCCATCCATCCTTACGTACCTATAAAGATGGTGCTATACGCAATGGTTTACATCAGCACTGTATGATAGACATATATTGTGAATCACATACATTAATCACATACATTTAAAATTTTTTTAGTGGCCTCTTTGGAAACAGAAAAAATGAAAATATGAAATTAATTTTAGTAATATTTTAAATTTAACCCAACATAGCCAGAAAATTGTCATTTCAACATGTAATTATTTAAAAATTATTCTTCAGGCCAGGCATGGCGGCTCACTCCTGTAATCACACTTTGGGAGGCCAAGGTGGGAGAACTGCTTGAGGCCAGGAGTTCAAGATCAGCCTGGGCAACATAGCAAGACCTTGTGTCTACTAAAAATAAAAAAAAATTAGCTGGGCATGATGGTGCATGCCTGTAGTCTCAGCTACTCAGGAGGCTGAAGTGGGAGGATAACTTGAGCCCAGGAATTTGAGGCTGCAATCCTGGTTGTGCCACTGTACTCCAGGCTGAGCAGCAGAGCAAGATTCCGTCTCTGAAACAAAAAGTTATTCTTGAGATAAGTAACTTCTTTTCAAAATTCTAAGTCTTTAAAATATCGTGTATATTTTACACATACAGTACATTTCAATTTTGACTGACCACATTTCAAGTGCTATTACCACCATATTGGAAAGAGCAGTTTTAGATCGAGGGCTTTCAGTCCTGGGCTGGAGTTGGGCTTCTCTACCTTATTTGACAAATGGCGTTAGACAATTTATTTAACTTTTTTTTTTTTTTTGAGATGGAGTCTCACTCTGTCACCCAGGCTAGAGTGCAATGGTGTGATCTCAGCTCACTGCAACTTCTGCATCCTGGGTTCAAGTGATTCTCCTGCCTCAGCCTTCTGAGTAGCTGGGATTACAGGTGCCCACAACTACACCCAGCTAATTTTTGTATTTTTAGTAGAGACAGGGTTTCACCATGTTGGTCAGGCTGGTTGCAAACTCCTGATCTCGTGATCTGCCTGCCTTGGCCTCCCAAAGTGCTGGGATTACAGGCATGAGCCACTGTGCCCGGCGTATTTACCTTTTTAAATCCTGGGCTTCTTGTATTTAAAATGAAGGTAATAGAAGCATCTACTTCAAAGTGTTGTCATGATGCCTGAATAATCCAATATGTAAAGTATGTATACTTCATGGTGGAGAGCACTCAATAAATGTTGGCTAAAATTATTTTTGTGGTTATAAAATGAATATTTATTTTACAATAAGTGCTAATTTGAATTTGAAATCATTTCCAACTTAATAATATTTTTCCATAAAGTCTAAATTTATAGACATGCCAAAAAGTGAAATGTGTTACCATCAAAGGTTGTATCTTCTCATTGTAGTGTGTGTGTATTTCCACTCCTGCTTTAGGAGAAGTATGCTGGTGAGAACATGCTATCACAAAAATCTTCCAGGACTGACATGTGCCTTTATTGAACTGAACCCCAAGGTCTGATGGGCTGCATTATGTTGAGCATTCAGGCAAGTATTTGTAATGGTGGTGAATGATGAAGCAACTTCCAATTTCTTAGTTGACATGCATCATATTACTCCACTGTTGCTGAATTTAATAGCCATTTCATTTATTGACAGTCTCAGCAAAAAGGTAAGGAAAATCAATTCTGAACATGAATTATGGCATTTCTTTGAATATCAACCATTTATATTGTTTCTAAAATCTGCACCATGGTATCCTCTATTTCTGAGTGGTAGGTTATTAATGAATTCTAGTTGCACCTTTTCCTGTGCTTGTTATAATTTTTGTCAGAAAGATAATAGCAGTTCCTGGCACAATAACCTTTCCAACACTCTGTAACTTGATTTGCTGACAATTCTTTTACTCAGTTCTTGTGACTGGAGAAGAGGTGAAGTGGAAGGGTCGATCAAAGGACAGAGATTATCAAAAAAGTTTAAATAACTAAATCATTAAAGGCTGATATCTTCCCACGTGACAAAGATATTAACCAGAAGAGGAAATGGTATAATATGAAAGCATTTTTCATGAAATGAATATAATGGGATTAGAGGAGAGGAAATTATACCAACCTGCATGCATTCATTAGAGTCTGAATATTGGCCTTTGGTACTCATCCTATTTCCTGAGCTCATCTCTGTTAAGAATAGCAAATCAATATGGCATTTTTTGAGGCCCTAAACTTGCCTGAAAACCATATTTCTTTTAAAATAAAACTATTATGTTAGTCATATTTAAATATATGCAGTGGGAATCTAATATGACAGTGATTTGATATCCACCACTATCCATTAAAATTACAAGAACAAACTCTTCTTTAAGAGTCAGTCATTTAACATTATTCTTACGTTCTTTTTTCTCACTTCTCTCACTTCATTTTATCCTAATGAAGTACATATTTTTGTTTGACAGTGTTTTATTGATCATCCTATCATATTTATCTGTTATCACAATATGTTTATAAATTAAAAATTTTTAAAAATTTGGTAAGGCTCTAAGTAGCAATGACACTTTTGTTAATTAAGAATTTATAAAACCAAAGTAAACATATTAAATTATTGCAAAATATTGAAAAATCATTGAAAATTTTTTTGAGACGGGGCCTTGTTCTATTGCTAAGGCTTCAGTGCAGTGATGCAATCATTGCAGCCTTGAGCTCCTGGGCTCTAGTGATCCTCCCATCTCAGCCTCCCAAGTAGCTGGGACTACATGTGTGGCTATTTTTTTTTTTTTTTTTTTTGTGGAGAGGGGATCTTGGTATATATTCCAGGCTGGTCTTGAACTCTTGGCCTTCAGGGATCCTCCCCCGCCTTGGCCTCCCAAAGTGCTGGGATTACAAGTGTGAGCCACTGCACCCAGCCGGAAAGTTTATTTCTTAATGAGAATTGTGTCTCAAGCAATATTTCAAATTATCCCCTGAGATAATATACCATAAGGAGGGAAGCTATAGGTGGGAGGTATGCTTTTCTTTTATAAAATGGGGAAAAAAAACTACTTAAAGAAGAATGGGGCTGGGAAAGGAAAATCCAGTAGATAAAACTGCAGGTGCATTTCTGGCTGATTTTTAAGAAATAATATACTGTATGTGGAAGCCGATATTAGATCGGGAAAATTCAGTTTTTAAAAAGTTTCTATGCCCACATTTCCCTCTGGAGTAATTATTTTGAATTCCCAAGTGTCAGCAGCCCCTCCTGGAAGACCTAGAAAATAACTCTTCCATATATCTTGATAGAATATTGATGAATGGGAACAACTTGAAAAAGAAAACCACTTTCTAGCTCTCCATCCTTTTCTAGGTGAAGAGTGCTGTGTCTGAACAAGAGCAATGTCAGTCAGAGTGTGCTGTAGTGGAAAGACCCTAGGTTTTAGGGGCTGGTATTGTTACTCATTAGTTACTAAGCTGCCAGTTTTGTCATCAGTGAAATTGAGACAATCTATTAATATGTTATAGAGTTGCTATAAAGAGTCAGTGAATAATATAAAGTACTTGGACCGTAAAACACATAGTAAGTGCTCCATAAACAATATTTTAAAACATGTAAATACGTGTGCAGTATTTACTTTGTTAAGAGATAAACTTAGGATTGGGCGGGGGGTGGGGGAGGAGCCAAGATGGCGGAATAGGAACAGCTCTGGTCTACAGCTCCCAGCCTGAGCGACGCAGAAGACGGGTGATTTCTGCATTTCCATCTGAGGTACCGGGTTCATCTCACTAGGGAGTGCCAGACAGTGGGCGCAGGTCAGTGGGTGCACGCACCATGCACGAGCCAAAGCAGCGCGAGGCATTGCCTCACTCGGGAAGCGCAAGGGGTCAGGGAGTTCCCTTTCCTAATCAAAGAAAGGGATGATGGACGGCACCTGGAAAATCGGGAAAATCGGGTCACTCCCACCTGAATACTGCGCTTTTCCGACGGGCTTAAAAAATGGCGCACCACAAGATTATATCCCCCACCTGGCTCAGAGGGTCCTACCCCACGGAGTCTCGCTGATTGCTAGCACAGCAGTCTGAGATCAAACTGCAAGGCGGCAGCGAGGCTGGGGGAGGGGCGCCCGCCATTGCCCAGGCTTGCTTAGGTAAACAAAGCAGCCGGGAAGCTCGAACTGGGTGGAGCCCACCACAGCTCAAGGAGGCCTGCCTGCCTCTGTAGGCTCCACCTCTGGGGGCAGGGCACAGACAAACAAAAAGACAGCAGTAACCTCTGCAGACTTAAATGTCCCTGTCTGACAGCTTTGAAGAGAGCAGTGGTTCTCCCAGCATGCAGCTGGAGATCTGAGAACGGGCAGACTGCCTCCTCAAGTGGGTCCCTGACCCCTGACCCGCGAGCAGCCTAACTGGGAGGCACCCTCCAGCAGGGGCACACTGACACCTCACACTGCAGGGTACTCCAACAGACCTGCAGCTGAGGGTCCTGTCTGTTAGAAGGAAAACTAACAAACAGAAAGGACATCCACACCAAAAACCCATCTGTACGTCACCATCATCAAAGACCAAAAGTAGATAAAACCACAAAGATGGGGAAAAAACAGAACAGAAAAACGGGAAACTCTAAAAATCAGAGCGCCTCTCCTCCTCCAAAGGAATGCAGCTCCTCACCAGCAATGGAACAAAGCTGGACAGAGAATGACTTTGAAGAGCTGAGAGAAGAAGGCTTCAGATGATCAAATTACTCTGAGCTACGGGAGGACATTCAAACCAAAGGCAAAGAAGTCGAAAACTTTGAAAAAAATATAGAAGAATGTACAACTATAATAACCAATACAGAGAAGTGCTTAAAGGAGCTGATGGAGCTGAAAACCAAGGCTCGAGAACTACGTGAAGAATGCAGAAGCCTCAGGAGCCGATGTGATCAAGTGGAAGAAAGGGTATCAGCAATGGAAGATGAAATGAATGAAATGAAGGGAGAAGGAAAGTTTAGAGAAAAAAGAATAAAAAGAAACGAGCAAAGCCTCCAAGAAATATGGGACTATGTGAAAAGACCAAATCTACGTCTGATTGGTGTACCAGAAAGTGATGGGGAGAATGGAACCAAGTTGGAAAACACTCTGCAGGATATCATCCAGGAGAATTTCCCCAATCTAGCAAGGCAGGCCAACGTTCAGATTCAGGAAATACAGAGAACGCCACAAAGATACTCCTCGAGAAGAGCAACTCCAAGACACATAATTGTCAGATTCACCAAAGTTGAAATGAAGGAAAAAATGTTAAGGGCAGCCAGAGAGAAAGGTCGGGTTACCCTCAAAGGGAAGCCCATCAGACTAACAGTGGATCTCTCGGCAGAAACCCTACAAGCCAGAAGAGAGTGGGGGCCAATATTCAACATTCTTAAAGAAAAGAATTTTCAACCCAGAATTTCATATCCAGCCAAACTAAGCTTCATAAGTGAAGGAGAAATAAAATACTTTACAGACAAGCAAATGCTGAGAGATTTTGTCACCACCAGGCCTGCCCTAAAAGAGCTCCTGAAGGAAGCGCTAAACATGGAAAGGAACAACCGGTACCAGCCGCTGCAAAATCATGCCAAAATGTAAAGACCATCGAGACTAGGAAGAAACTGCATCAACTAACGAGCAAAATAACCAGCTAACATCATAATGACAGGATCAAATTCACACATAACACTATTAACTTTAAATGTAAATGGACTAAATGCTCCAATTAAAAGACACAGACTGGCAAATTGGATAAAGAGTCAAGAACCATCAGTGTGCTGTATTCAGGAAACCCATCTCATGTGCAGAGACACACATAGGCTCAAAATAAAAGGATGGAGGAAGACCTACCAAGCAAATGGAAAACAAAAAAAGGCAGGGGTTGCAATCCTAGTCTCTGATAAAACAGACTTTAAACCAAGAGACAAACTTAGGCACATTAAATTTTTTAAAGAGTTTATTTGAGCAAACAGCGATTCATAAATCCGCCAGTGCCAGATCACTAGCAATTCAGGGCTCCACAGAGGTGCTGTGAAGGGAAAATTGTATAAGATGTTCTGGCAAGCAAGACAGAGAAAATATTTGATTAAAGTGGAAAGTCCCTAGTTAGAGGTTTCTGGCAGTTTCTGATTGGTTAACCCTGTTTTGCTGTCCTAGGCTGTGACCCTTCACTTTGAGTTGGGTTTCACTTTGCTGATGTAGGTACTCAAGGTTCTGGAGCTGTCTCAGGCTAATGGCCTCCCAATTAATTTTTGTAAAACAACTTTCAGCAAAATTCTTCAGAGGGAGGATGGGTTCAAAAATGCCCCAAGATTCATCTTGGCTACACACAGAGTGGTAACCAGTATTTACCTCCTTACTCAGGGATCATCTCACTTGTCATTTTGCAAGAGAAGAGGAAGAAAGAATAACCTGCTACTCTTCTAAACTCTACTTGGAAAATTGCAGGAATTTTATCAGCCATCCGTGAGCACAAGAAGATATAAGCAAAAGCCACACAGAGAGAAGACCTGTTCTAGACTCTTATCAGCCAAACACAATGCCCAAGAAACAGCTAGAAGGTTTCATTTAACCAGAGAAGAGCTCCTGCTTTGAAATGTTTTCAAAGTTTCCATGACAAAATATTCTTTCACAGTCTCTGCTTCAGTGAGCTGCTTTGTATTTCTAGCGCAGCTAAGCAATTAAAAGAAGATGAATAGATGTATTCCGGCATGTGTGATAACAAATGGCATACTTAAGGTGACAAGGTTTTCTGTGTTAACTGGCTTTGCAGTCACTTGCAAGTTTTTGAAAAATACTCCCTTTTATCGGAAGTTTTTCCCTTCTTAATCTCAGCTTAAAGGCTATTTTTTCTCAAAGCAAATTGGAGGAGGACTTTTGAAGTCATCTTTGATGGGACAAAATATATGTACATATTCTCTCTGTGCAAAGGAATTGCTGCTTTTCTTATGACAGCTTAAAATTGATAAAGTTTTAAGCATCAAGACATTCACCATTACAAAAGATGCTCATGTGTCTATGAATGATGAGACTTCCACAGGAAACCAAGGTGGTCCATTTAAATTGCTACTCTATGGCTCCTGTTGGCAGTAATGTTCATGTAAACTGGAGAGGCTCTCCAAAGATCTTGAACTCAGGACATTTTTGGATCTAGACTATTCTTAGGGACAGGAAATAATGGGAATTTAGATACCATTTTGATTGCAAGTTGATGGAAAGTTGGCATGTAAGCCTTTTAAATTTAATCTTCAGTTCTCATTAAGTCTGTTTTATTTTCTCTTTTTTTTGTGTTTTTGTTTTGAAAATTAACCTACCCTGGACTTCAGTTAGGATCTCTCTAGTTATATGAACTTATGTTTATTAAATCTGATCATTAGAATCCTAGGAAATACTACCCTCCTGCTTGGCTTACGTACTATTTTGTAGCTTCAGAAAACAGGCCATGTGGTGTAAGGTAATATATATCAACTTGGAGGAAAACAAACCTGGATTCAGATTCTGACTCTGCCACTTTTGACTCTGTGACCTTCAGCAAGTTACTTGACCTCATTTAGCTGGCAGTTACAGATGTAAAAATGAGGACACGGGATTGACCACATTCTCTAAGGGTGGTAATACGGCCCAGTGGTTAAAAACTTATCTTTGTGATCAGGTAGACCTGGATTTGATCAACCTCTTCCATTTCATAACTGTGAAATCTTGAGAATTTTATTTAATCTTTATAGGCTTGCTTATTATCTCAAACAAATTAAATTTTAAAGTGAAAGTAACTACCTTATAGGATTGCTGTGCTGGTAAACTCGTAAGGTTGCTTAGAGGGTTGCTTTTAATCCTTGGAGGATTAAAAGTCATATGCAAGTGCCTGATAAAGACCAGTTCATATTGGCTGAGATCTCTTACCCTAAAAATATTATGTACCATTCTAAGGTCCTTGATAAAGATTCAAATCATAGAACATTGAATGGGTTTCAGATTACCTAATCTAAATTTCTGATTTTATACATAAAAAACACTCCATGGAGAGACTAAGTGAAATGCTCCAAATCCCACGCCAATATCTCACACTTGAGTCTTTACTATAACAGTAAGTATACGTGGCACATTCAACAAATATGCTGTTCATTCCAAGAAATTCCATATAGAGTATTTCACCTCCAAATCAGTGAACTCACCAAAACATTCTTCTTGTATGGGAACAAAGAGGTCCTTGTGATCACAATATTCTCCTTCCTACCTAAAATAGCAAACTTTCCATGAGTAACCAATGAAATAGACAAAAAGAAGAGTTAAGACATTTAGCAAGACAGAGTGCTTTGTCTAGTCTGAATCCACCTCTGCCTTTCAGTAAGTGAAAAAAAAGTATCCGCAGACCACTCATCAGAGGTGTGGTGAAATTTTTATGTTGAATGCTTACATTTTGTATTCCAATTTTCATCCCCTCCACAGAAAATGTTTCCAATCTTCTCTATCCATAATTCTTTGATGAATTATTTTCGTTGTACTTTCCTGGGAACATTTTGTCCCTTGGTTCCATTTTAGACACTTCACTTCATTAGGCTAAACTAGTTTCCAATTGGAGAAAAGAGAAAATGTGAAAATTCAACCATAAAAACAAATACATATTACATAATTTTTACCTGGTGAAGTTACCTTGCTGAGTGTTTTGGCTAACTGGTGCCTTTAGATACAGTCAATCTTACTATCTGGTATACCTTTTGAAGAGGTTAGAGCATGTCCCAGCTCTTTAAAACTCTGAAGTGGGAACATTAAATGACAGAGTGCCTTCTAGTATGGATATGGCCTGCATGGCAAACACATCTTGCTATTTCACAGTTCCTTGCACAGTGTCTTTTAAAGATATCCCCTGTCTTCATTCTCCTCACTTTCCACCCTCTCCTTCTACAGTGGAAAAGAACCTTATGCAAAGGCATAGAGAACAAATACTGTATTGGATTTATCTACAAAGCATGTTGAGGCTGGAGCCGTAATGTTTACCCATATTCTACAATCTCCATCTGAGTAAATAAAGTGGCATCGAGGGATAGGCTGCTCTACAGATAACGAGTTTTAAACTCATTCACCCTGAGAAATTTCAATTGATATAGTTTGCCTATTAAATGGATTTAAAATTGTATTGTCACTACACTGCTTTCTATGGCGATTTCTGCAGCTCCGTGGTTCCATGCCTCAATAGATGGTTTGATTGTATATATCTGCTGCTTTCTTCCTATGATTCTGTTCATAATGGTCTGTAATGTACGACCCTGCTATCCAGTTATAAAGCTGAACATAACCCCTTCTGTGCTTTTAACTAAGGAACTTATCTGTTTCTAGTGCTATTTTCCAAGAGTAAAAGTGGATATCCTTTTTGCTGAGGACTTTTTCTCTCTCTCTCTTTCTTTCTTTCTCTCTCTCCCTCTCTTTCTTTTTTCCCTTCCTCCTTCCCTCCCTCCCTTCCATTTTTTTCTTTGATCTATGTCTCTTTCTTCGACAATGGGCTTGATGAATATTTCTGCTGAATTTTCGTGAAAAGAAGATAAGTTATCAATGCATTTTCTACTTGTTAATGGCTTCAGTGGCCCATCATTTATTATCTGAGTGCTGTGTGCCCTGAATAGATGGTGGAGAAGATGAGGCAGCCTTTTACTTGGCAATCTGCCCCCCAACTGTCAGGGAATAGCCTTGGATCTTTTATTGAAATCAAGGACTGTCCTGTGCTTCATGCTTCACTGGTTCCAGGAATGAGTCTGGGATTATATCCTGTCCCTCTGGAAACACAATCAGCTACATTTCCCTCAAATGCCTAGGTTTCACTTTCAGGCTCAATTATCTATAAAAAGAACTTCTACAGCAAAGAGATTTCACCATAGAGAAATGATATTAAGTCAAATGGAATATTTAAAAAACCATATTCCAAACTGTCTCTGATAACGTAATATTAACTGAAGTCTGCAGTTGCAGAATAAAAGTAAAACAAAAACAAACCTGAATTCTGATGCTTTCTCAAAGGATAGATTGTTAAACTGCCTTGCTCGAGTTAGCCCCAGCGTTCTCTCTACAAAATCATCCGTTTAACCACTCTCTCTGACTAAAATTCTTAAAAAATCAATATCAGCATTATCCATTTATTAAATTTGATGTTGACTCAAAATGACGAGGTGTAGAACATCATTGAATTTTAAACTGACCTTGACATGTAGAAGAAATGGGCAGCTATAAACAGGGTGAACTGGCTTAATGTAGAGAGAAGGTGAGAGAGAAAGACTATGCATGCATATACCAGCAGGGCAGAACAGCTGGTACATACACAGTAGAAAACAGGTCAGGAGACATAGGAGTCACTTCATTCCAGATTTGCCTTAAATGTTACCTCCTTAGAGAAAGCTTCTCTTTGACTACCCTATTAAATATAGAACCCTAAGTCACTCTCCATCCCTTAACTCAGCTTTATTTTTCACCATATATATATATATAATCAAATATATTAAAATACGTGTATTTTTAAAATGTGGTTATTATCTGAATTTTTCCATTAGAATACAAGCTCAATGAAGGCAATAGCTTTGTTTAGTTCACTGCTGTAGCCTCCACACTTTGAGTAGCACCTGGCATTACATAAGCATTTGTTGAAGCGATTAACAAAAAACGAATATTATAAATTGATTATGTTTCCTTGCAGCTGGATGGCTTAGCCTGAAGTATGGATTGCTAGTAATTCCTCCAGTCACTCAACATTTTTTAGGTTTTATATAAGAACTTTACTCTGGCACACAATGGTGTAATGTTAGAAACTTGGCACAGATCTTGTAAACATGGTCGAAAACTAGGTATTCTTCAGCATTTGCATGAATTTCCTATGGGGTCTATTACATTTAGACAAATTAAGGTGGATTATCTTAGGGAAATATTTCCTATATTTCCTCTTAGGGAGGAAAATGTAGCACAAGTGTGAGGTTTAATAGCACCTATTGAACATATGCAGAAATATCTAATATTTAATGACCGATAATGGCTAACATTTCTAGAGTGACAGTGTTTTAACTAATTTACATTTATTAGCTCTCTTAATCCTCACAACAGCCACTTGAGGTAGATCTTATCATTAGCCCCTGCTACATAGTAATGGATTTGGCTGGACTTTCTCCCTGGTCCATGGAAACAAAGAAGCCTCTAAATCCTTAGATACTTCCTGAGTGATAGTGTCTTTGCTCTTCATGGTGGGTCCTGATAGATTATGCTAATGAGATGGCTCATGGTGGGTCCCTAGATAGTTTCAGGATGAGGGCTGACTATGCTGGAAAGACCGGCCATGTGATTAAAGGACTGACCCATACGATATCAGTCCAACCTCTTGGGAGGGAAGGCAGGCTAAAGGCTGAGTTCAATCACATGGTCAATGATTCTGTCAATCATGCCTATATAATTATATATGCCTCATTATATAATGAAACCCCAATAAAATCTGTGGACACTGAAGCTTGAGTGGGTCTGGCATGTCGTGACCCCACAAGGAGAAGTCATGGAAGCTTTGCACAGAGATCCTCCCAGACCTTGCTCTGTGTGTCTTTTCTTTTTGCTGATTCTATTATAATAAAACTGTGAGAGTATAGCACATACCTGAGTTCTGGGAGTTGTTCCAGCAAATTATCAAACCTGGAGAGGTAGTGAAAGCCTCCAAACTTGAGGCCATTTGGTCAGAAGTGCAGGTGGCCTGGGAATCCCTGAGTTTGTGGCTAGTGTTTGAAGTGAGGCCAGTCTTGTGGAGGTCTGAGCCCTTGTTCTGTGAAATTTTACCTAACTCCACGTAATTAGTGTCAGAATTGCATTGTAGCCCCACTTTCCAGATGAAGAAACAGAGGCATGCAGAGGTCAAATAATTTGCCCAAAGTCTCACAGCTAGTAAAGTGGCAGCATCAGTAATCAAATCCAGGATATTGTAGGGGAGAAAAAAATATTTTTCTCTCTACTCTTCAAAGTTCTTGGACCCTTGTAAGCTGGGGCCCCTATAACAAAAGACCTATTAACAAGAGAAAAACAAACAGCCATTTATTAACATGTGTGCTTCCTATATACCTGGGATAAAATTCAAGGAAAGAGTAACTCTGAGGTGGCTTGGAATTCAGGCTTAAATATCATCATCAGCTAAAGAAAAAATAAAAAGGATGTAGGGAAGGCCAGTTATGGGAAGGTAGCCAGAAAATGTGTATCAGCAAGAATGAGGTTTGGTCCTGTGATTTAGTCATTTTTTTTCTTCCTGGAAAGAAGAGAGGAGATCAGAGTGGAAGGTCATCCTTGAAAATGGAGATTTATTTTACAAATGTAAATTTACATTACAAAAGGGTAATTTCTAGTGTTTTCAGACCTTTTCCTGTGTCTGCTGTTTCTCAAAATCATCAGCTCGAAATAATCCTTAAGCAAAAGTGTCGTATTTTTAGGGTGGCATATCTGTTGCCTGTAGTCTGCCTGCAAAAGTTTTCTGCTCTTAATCATTAGGCAGTTCTCTGTCTCAATTGAAGAGCTCATTTCAGTTTTCAACAGATGTAGAATTATAATGAATCAGTTAGAATTCATTAAGCTACTCACACCTTGATTTTGAACTTCTGCCCTTCAGAACTGTGAGAGAACACATTTCTATTGTTTTAAGCCACACAGGTTGTGGTAATTTGTTACAACAGCCCTGGGAAACTAATACAGTATCTTAAGTTTAATATGACTAAAACAGAACTCTTGCTCTGCCCCCACCCAAAACCCACATCCCCACAGTCTTAGTTTCTCAGTAGGTGGTAATTTTATCCTTCCAGTTGCTAAAACGAAAATTTGAGGAGTCATTCTTGATCCTCTTTTCCTTATCTCCCACATCTAATGTTTTACAGACCTGTTGCTTTTATCTTCAAAACAGATCTGCCTTTTCCACCTCCATTTATTTGCAACTCCATGATTGCTACCTTGCTCACAGCCACCATCATCTCTGGCCTGGACTACAGTAATACCTTTCTTACTGATCTGTCTCCTTAAGCTCTTGCCCCATTATGCCTAAAATAAAATCCAAACTTCTTACCCTGGCTTGCAAAACACTGCATACAGGGGTTCTTTTTGTTTCTCAAATAGAACAGCTCATTCTCATTCTCACCTTGGGCCTTTGCTCTAGTTGTTCCCTCTGCCTGGAATGCACTTCCCTTTCAAGATGCAACCAGTTTCTTGTTAATTATATCTGAACTTCAGTGTTACCTTCCTTTGGACACCCTTTTCTGATCAGCTGGTTTAACCAGCCTTCCTAGTAGTTACTCTCTGCTACAATAGCCTATTAACATTCTTTGCACTGTACTCGTCGTTACCTAACATTTTTCTTCATTTGTTCACCTATGCTCACTAGAATGCAAGCTCTGTGAGAATAGAGAACGTACTTACCTGGTTCACCACCACTTTGCCAATGCCTGAGCAGTCATTGGCATATAAGAGGAACTCATAAATATTTGTTAAATGAATAACTCCCATCCTCCCCATCCCTCACAACTATATGTGAAGAAATGATGACACAGGTTTTCAAGCATAGGTTCTGAAGTTTTGGGTGAATCAGCTAGAGAAGAGTGAACAATAACCTAACAGGCTCCCTTTTTTTGATAAGAGTCTTTTATACATTTTGGCTTTTCTTTTGGGTTTGTCAAGTTCTCCCTTCTATTGACATATACTGAACCCCCCCAACTGGGATGATTACATATCAAGAAAAAAATACATACTTCTTTCTCAAAAACGTGTATGGCACCTCTAACATTGTTAGTACTTGTGTGTGTGGGGAGGTTACTTATAAAAAGTAAATGAATAAATGTGCTCTTAATTAGCACCCCCAAGCAATTAAAACTGATTGAAGCATGACTAATTTAATCATTCTAAATCACCTACACAGTGAAAATAATTTTTACAGTTCACTTAAATTCAGAAATTTTAGAAACTTTGATTGTTATTAGAAAATAATAAAAACAAATCAATACATTTCTGATAAAGGACTACTTTCTAAAGAAGCACTTAACGATTGTCTTAACCCTCTCTCTTTAAAATATGAATTTCAATTCAATATCTGTTTAACTCATACTTTTAGAAGTCAAATTTTAGATTGATATGAAAATGCTTGATAAATTCATACAATATTCGAATACAGGTAATATTCTAACACCAAACTGCCTGTTTTGTATAGTCTGCGAGCTAAGAGTGTTTTCTACATTCTTAAATGTTTGAAACAAAATTCAAAGAAAGAATATTTTGAGACACGTGAAAATTAAATGAAATTAAAATTAAAGTTAATTAAAATGAAATGAAATTAAGATTAAATTAAATTTCAGTGTTTATAAGTAAAGTGTTATTGAAACAGTCATGTTTATTTACTTATATATTGTCTATGGCTGCTTTCTCATTACAATCACAGGGTTAAGTAGTGGTGACAGAGACCATATAGCCCACAAAGCTTAGATATTTGTTATTGGGCTATTCGTAAAAAATTAGCTGACCCTTGTCCTAAGATAGAAAAACCTTTGAATAATATTCTTATTGCTCTGTTTATCTTAATCATCTAATTAAAAGACAACAATGTGGTATTTTAAAATTCAAACCAGTATTTTCTTGTATCTAAGAACTGGTGCCATTCAGAGTAAGAACAGCAAAACAAACAGAGCTACATATACTTGTTATACATCAAATATTACAGCATATAACTATAGAACCTATTAGTTAAAATGGTCTTTCCTAGACTACGTGGAAATAGGAGACTGTCTTTGTTAAGGCATCTATTTATATTCAGATGCGGTGCTGTGACACAAAGAAGAATGAGGAAGTCCTTACTCTCTAGGAGTTCGTGATCAAGCAGAAGTTCACATTCTTATTTAATTCCCATGCAACTTAATGAGACACATCACTATTTTAGAAGTGAGGCAACAGAAATGCAGATATTTGCTTAACAGAAATGCAGAAATTTGTTTAAGACACCCTGAAAATATTTGAAATTCTTGTGTTTATTTTTCTGGATTCAAGTTAACATAGTAGTAAAATATAGAGCTACACTTTTACAAATGGTATAGAAAGAAGGAAGAACCTAAGGACAGTCCACACCTGGCCAGTCCCTGTCAGAATGGATTCCTGGGCATGTTGTTTGTTTCAACATCTGATAGATTCCTATGTATATTCCAGGTTTAACGTGGTTAAGGGCTAAGCACAGGAGGCAGGGAATGGGAGGGCAGTAGACTGCCTGTTTTCTAAAGAAGTGTGTCCTTTAGAAAATATATTTCAATGGATCGCAGACACCATACCAACTTTCCACTTTAAAAAAAATCTCAAAATAGACTCTGTGCAGCCCTGGAAAGTGTAACAACATAAGGGAAACAGCTGGGGGGCTGAGAGAAGCTCTGAAGTCTGACCTATCTCAGATATGGATGTGATGACCTACTTTCATTCCAGGTAGAGAATAAATTCAGATAACCGTATATGCTGCCGTCCTGTGGAGCTCACATATGGCCTTACAGTAAATGGGCATGCTGCTGGAGCTCAGAGCAACCATGTTTATATTATAGATGCACTGATAGTCATCTCTGTGGTCCCAACTGGAAAGGCAATTCAGAAGAATAAAGGTTTACACTGTAGACTGTCATTGTGAGAAGAAAATGACTCCTCCCTCTGGCCTGAGCTATTTTTGTAACTAGGAAATTTAAGAGAAAATGAACAATATAGTCAGAAGAGCAGAGAAGGAGGAGCATAAACTCTTGCCCCACACCTCTGGGAACCAGCTGATTCAGACCACTTTCCTCATAACACGCATGGACTTGCTTATTTTGCTCATTGATTCATTTAAACTTCAATATACACTTTTGTCCCCTAGGATGGCAGATCCCAATTAGAACTGAAATGACTTTCTCAAATGAGATTTCCCAGAATCATATAAAAAAAAATATTACTGTTAACTATAGTCATCCACTATAGTTAAGAATATTATATAGATTTAAATGGCTAGAGGTGAGGTTATTGTATGTTTTCAACACAGACATGATAAATGTTTGAGATGATGGATATACTAATTATCCTGATCTGATCACTAAACATTATATGTATCAAATCATCACTATGTACACTGTAAATGTGTACAATGATTATTTGTCAGTTGAAAAATTAGAAAAATAGCCCCCAGTAAAGTTCAATCTCAAAGAAAAAGCATATCCAAGAGTAGTACAATAAACACACATAAACCTAAACCCTATATATAATTATTAACATTTTGTCACTTTTGTGCTTGTATGCTCTCTCTCTGTTGCTATTCAATGTAAGAACAGCTCTCTTGGGATATGTGGATACTAATGGCTCTTAGCAGTCAGAAGAAATCTTAAGTATTACCTTCTCATGTACAGTAGGAAAAAAATATATAACATATATGTATATTTTTGTTTTCCTGAACAAGCTGAGAATTCGTTGCAGGTTTCCTGGTGCTTGCCTCTTCTGCCTGTGTTTGCTAGGAAATGGACATTCTTTGACATAACCAAACATCAATATCACACTCAAGAAATCAACATTAACACAACACTAGTATCTAATTTCTTGTCCATATTCAAAATTTCACAATTGTTCCAAAAATGTCCTTTATAGGTGTTTAAAAAAGTTTGAAAAATTAAAAAATTAAAATTGCATTGGCATGTCATGCCTCTATGGGTCTTTAATTTAGAACTTTTTTTTTGTCCTTTTGGCCTTTTGAAGAGTCAAGGTTGGTCATTTGACAGATGTCTAATGATTTTCTTATTATTCAGATTAAACTTTTTTTGGCAGAAAACTACAGAAGTGATGTTGTATATTGTCACCCTAGGGTATCTAATTAGGAGACGCATTAGGTCAGTTTGTTCTTTTATTGGTTATGCTAAATTTGATCTTTTGATTAAAGTGAGGTCCATCAGATTTCCCCACTATCAAATATACCTTTCTTCATTAAAATTAATAAGTAATTGAAGGAGAAATAATTTCAGATTGTGTTACTATCCTGTTCTTCAACAGTCTTTCATCTGTGCTTTTGGCATCTATTACTAATTATTATCTCAATCAATTATTACTATGGTGGTTGCAAATGGTGATTTTTGAATTCTATTATTCCTTCTTAATTTATTAGTTAGAATTATTTTGCAAAACAGAGCTTTTGCTTGTCCACTCCACTTAAAATATTATTTATTTATCATTGTTAAACATATAAACATGACCACACACACATATATAATATATATACACATTTTATATTTGTATGGAATCATGAATTAAAAAAATTCATTTTGTTATTATTTGTTTCTGCCATTCTTCATTATGATACTTGAGTCATAATCTTTTAAATTTAGATCCACACTAACTTATTCCTGCTGATGGGAATGTGGGATCTGTGTGACTGAGTCTAGCCTGGAACAGAGCTTTCCTGGGACATACTAACTATGGCTCTTAAGAGGTGAAGAGATCTTAACCATTACCTTCTCATGGACAGTAGGAATTATCTGCACAATGTCTTATATCCATTGGTGGGAAGAGTCTATACTATTCTATTTGCTCTCGTCTCTGGAATGCCTATCTTCTTCCCAACAGAGATGCCCTTATGCTTCTGATTCATCACACATCTTCTGCCATCTGGTGGTAGGTTGCTAAGCAAACAAGAAGAGACCAGGCAAAGTCTTTACAATATTTGGAGAACACAGTAGGACCTGTGCTGTCCAGAAAACATAAAATGATGGTGTCCAAATGGCAGGTCATTTTTTAAAAGTAGGACTCTTAAATGCATGTGACTTTTTGGAAGAAGAAAGAAGATGAGAAGCATTTATGGGTCTCTGTGCTGAGGTCTGTCACAAACGCTACCCAAGTTAAACCCCAAGAAGTTCTAGGAGGTAGATGCTATTATCCTCATTGTATAGATCAGAAAAGGGAGAATTAAATATTTTGTCATGGCCATGCATCTTCTAAGTGGTAGAGACAATATTTGAAACAAATTTACCTGACTTTGAAGCCTGGATTCTTTCCTTTCACTGCACTGACTCTAAAGTGTATTTGTTTTTGTGTTTGTATGTGTGTGCGTGAGTAAACATAGAGGATACTATCTGCTGTGTAAATTAATGAAGGCCTTCCAAAATCTCAGATGAATATAAACAATTAAAAATATGTTAGAATATAATAATATATTCCTTTAAACACTTTTTTTTTTAAGACAAAGTCTTGCTATGTTATCTAGGCTGGCTTCAAGCTCCTAGGCTCAAGGGATCCTCTTGCCTCAGGCTCCAAGCATCTAGGACTACATGTGCTTGGCATCATGGTGGGCTTACTTTTCAGGTGCATGCCTAATCAGATAATCACTAATATTAGATATCCTCATTTCCATAATACATTTGAGATAGGCAGGACAGTCAAGTCCTGCCTATCTCAAATTTTAAAAAGGCTGGACTTAGGAATCATTGTGTTACTGTGAATACTAAATTAGGTAATATATATAAAGTTAACTCAGGGCCTGGAGAAATTCTGCTTAGCAAATGATGACAATTGCCATTATTAATTATGAGAAGAGTTAGTGGGAATACTTTTAAGCCAGTAAATATTTCTGAGGTCTGAAGACTTTCTTGACATGTCTTCTTAGAGATGCTTCAATAAGTTAGTCTTGTTTTTTCTCCTTGACCCTACTTCGTATTTAAATAAAAGTGGTTTTTGGCCAAACAGTTCCAGGGCCTCAGTACTTGCTAATCAGACATTATCTGTGATTGGTATATGGAGACTCTTAACTTTTTTCTTTCACTGCTTGTTGCTAACTAGAGTCCCCAGAAACCACCTCATTTGGAAAGAACAATCGTTCCAGATCATCAGGACTCAATATGTGATGAATTTTAAATCATTTGAGGATAAGCTTATTTTAGGCTATATTTCTAAGGTGCATTGTAGATTTTGATGTTTATCTCAATGTTAAGGAGACAAAAAAATGAAGCATTGTCTTTCATTATCTTCAAATATTCTTTGATTTGTTTTTGCACGTACATATGCAACTCTCCCTTTACTTATAGTTTATCAAATAAAAATGCGTGATATTTTATTTGCTCTACTTTTGATATATCTTACTGTATTTCATCATTTAATAGAAAACTTTGCCATAGATTTACTTAAAAATATTTATTGCACGTCTATCGTATGCCAGGCACTAAGTCATATAGGGTAGGATTTAAGAGAAAAATTACTTAATGTAAAAATCCATGTGCCAAGCACTGTGCCTGGTATACACAATATACAATTAAAAAGATACGGTGTTTTCCCTCAAGGAACTTTAAGATTGGTTTATCATCACAACTTAATGAAATTAATATTATTAAATACATTTAATGGGAGATGAGGAAACTGAAGTTAAAAGAAGTTGAAATAACTTACATAAGGTTACATAAGAAGTAAGTGGCAGAATAATAATTTGTGTTAATTAAATATTTTATAATATTATATTTTATTTCCTAAATTGGTTTTTGAACTGTATCTCTTTGTTTTCTTAAGACATTGATCTGAGGTTCAAATATGCATTTTTAACTTATTACAGTCTATTTAGAATCAATATTACACAGCTTTCTATAAAGTATAATAATCATATAATAATATACTTTTATTTTCCCTCTTTCAGCCTTTGGACTATTTTTCTCATACATTTTATTTTATTTTTATTTTTCCAGGTAGCTACCAATTCTAGTGTTGTGCATTCCTTCATATAGATCCATATTTTTTTTTTCTTTTTATTTCAAAAGGTTTTTGGGGAACCGGTGGTGTTTGGTTACATGGATAATTCTTTAGTGGTGATTTCTGAGATTTTGGTGCACCCATCACCCAAGAAGTATACATTGCACCGAAAGTGTAGCTTTTTATTCCTCACCCACCTCTCATCTTTCCTCCCTAAGTCTCCAAAGTCCATTGTATTGTTCTTATGCCTTTACATCCTCATAGCTTAGCTCCCACTTATGATACGATACTTGGTTTTCCATTCCTGAGTTACTTCACTTAGAGTAATGGTCTCCAACTCCATCCAGGTTGCTGTGAATGCCATTATTTCATTCCTTTTTTATGGCTGAATAGTATTCATATCTATCTATCTATCTATCTATCTATCTATCTATCTATCTATCTGTCTATCTATCATCTATCTATCTATCCAATCTCACATTTTCTTTATCCACTCAATTGACGGGCGTTTGGGCTGGTTCCATATTTTTGCAGTTGCAAATTGTGCTGCTATAAACATGCATGTGTTTTCATATAATGACTTCTTTTCTTCTGGGTAGATACCCAGTAGTGGGATTGCTGGATCCAGTGGCAGATCTTTTAGTTCTTTAAGGAATCTCCATATTATTTAACATAGTAATTGTACTAGTTTACATTCCCACCAGCAGTGTAAAAGTGTTGTCCTTTCACCACATCCATGCCAACATCTATTATTTTTTAATTTTCAAATTATAGCTATTGTTGCAGGAGTAAGGTGGAATATCATTGTGGTTTTGATTTGCATTTCCCTGATAATTAGTAATGCTGAGTATTTTTCATATGTTTGTTGGCCATTTGTATATCTTTTTTTGAGAATTGTCTATTCATGTACTTATCCCACTTTTTGATGGGATTATTATTTTTTTCTTGCTGATTTATTTGAGTTCCTTATAGATTCTGGATATAGTCCTTTGTCAGATGCATAGTTTGTGAAGATTTTCTCCAAACCTGTGGGCTGTCTGTTTACTCTGCTGATTATATCTTTGCTGTGCAGAAGCTTTTTAGTTTATTAAGTCTCATATATTTATCTTTGTTTTTGTTGCATTTGCTTTTGGGTTCTTGGTCATGAAGTCTTTGCCTAAGCCAGTGTCTAGAAGTGTTTCTCTGAGTTATCGTCTAGAATTTTTATGGTTTCAGGTCTTAGATTTAAGTATTTTATCTATCTTAAGTTGATTTTTATACGGGGTGAGAGATGAGGATCCAGTTTCATTCTTCTACATGTGGCTTGCCAATTATCTCAGCACTATTTGTTGAATAGAGTGTCCTTTTCCCACTTTATGTTTTTGTTTACTTTGTCACAGATAAGTTGGCTATAATTATTTGGCTTTATTTCCGGATTCTCTATTCTGTTCCATTGGTCTATGTGCCCATTTTTATAACAGTACCATGCTGTTTTGGTGACTATGACCTTATAGTATAGTTTGAAGTTAGATAATGTGATGCCTCCAAGTTTGTTCTTTTTGCTTAGTCTTGCTTTGGCTATGTGGTCTTTTTTGGTTCCATATCAATTTTAGGGTTGTTTTTTCCAGTTCTGTGAAGAATGATGATGGCCTTTTGATGGGAATTGCATTGAATTTGTTGATTGCTTTTGGCAGTATGGTCATTTTTACAGTATTGATTCTACCCATCCATGAGCATAGGATATGTTTCCATTTGTTTGTGTTGCCTATGATTTCTTTCAGCAGTGTTTTGTAGTTTTCCTTGTAGAGGTCTTTCACCTCCTTGGTTGGGTATATTCCTAAGCATTTTATTTTTATTTTTTTGCAGCTATT
Organism: Homo sapiens; assembly: GCF_000001405.40. Lineage (NCBI taxonomy): Eukaryota > Metazoa > Chordata > Mammalia > Primates > Hominidae > Homo > Homo sapiens. Next base: position 8,369,603 of record NC_000007.14, read on the forward strand.
ATAAAAGAGGTTGAGTTCTTGATTTTTTTCTCAGCTTGGTTGCTGTTGGTGTATAGCAGTGCTACTGATTTATGTATATTGATTTTGTATCGTGAAACTTTACTGAAGTCATTTATCAGATGTAGGAACTTTTTGGATGAGTCTTTAAACTTCTCTAGGTCTACAATCATGTCATCAACAAACAGCAACAGTTTGACTTCCTCTTTGTTGATTTGGATGCCCTAAATCTTTCTCTTTTCTGATTGCTCTGGCTAGGATGTCCAGTACAACGTTGAATAGAAGTGGTGAAAGTGGGCCTCCTTGTCTTGTTCCAGTTCTCAGGGGGAATGCTTTCGGCTTTTCCCCATTCAGTATAATGTTGGCTGTGGGTTTGTCATAGATGACTTTTATTACATTAAGGTATGTCCCTTCTATGCTGATTTTGCTGAGGGTTTTAGTCATAAAGGGATGCTGGATTTTGTCAAATGCTTTTTCTGCATCTATTGAGATGATCATGTGATCTTTGTTCTTACTTCTATTTGTGTGGTGTATTACATTTATTGACATGTGTATGTTAAACTATCCCTGCATCCCTGGTATGAAAGCCCCTTAATCATGGTGTGTTATCTTTTTGATATGCTGTTGGATTCTGTTAGCTAGTATTTTGTTGAGGATTTTGGCATCCATATTCATCAGGGATATTGGTCTGTAGTTTTCTTTTTTTGTTATGTCCTTTCCTGATTTTGGTATTAGGGTGACACTGGCTTCATAGAATGATTTAGGGAGGATTCCCTCTTTCTCTATCTCATGGAATAGTTTCAATAGGATTGGTAACAATTCTATTTTGAATGTCTGATAGAATTCAGCTGTGACTCCATCTGGTCCTGAACTTTTTTTTGTTGGCAATTTTTAAAAATTACCATTTCAATCTCACTGCTTGTTATTAGTCTGTTCAGAGCTTCTGTTTCTTCCTGGTTTAATCTAGGAGGGTTGTATATTTCCAGGAATGTATCCATCTCCTCTAGGTTTTCTAGTTTGTGCACATAAAAGTGTTCATAGTATCCATGAATGATCTTTTGTATTTCTGTGGTATTGGTTGTAATATCTCCCGTTTTGTTTCCAATTGAGTTTATTTGGATCTTCTTATTTATTTTCTTGGTTAATCTCGCTAATGGTCTATCAATTTTGTTTATCTTTTCAAAGAACCTGCTTTTTGTTTCATTTATCTTTTATATATTTTTTTGTTTCAGTTTCATTTAGTTTTGCTCTGATCTTTGTTATTTCTCTTCTTCTGCTGGGTTTGGGTTTGGTTTGTTCTTGTTTCTCTAGTTCCTTGAGGTAAACTGTTTATTTGTGCTCATTCAGACTTTTTGATGTAGGCATTTAATGCTATGAACTTTCCTCTTATCACTGCCTTTGCTGGATTCCAGAGGTTTTGATAAGTTGTGTCACTATTATCATTCAGTTTAAATGTTTTTTAAATTTTCGTCTTGATTTCATTGTTGATGCTACAATCATTCAGGAGTTATTTAATTTCCATGTATTTACGTGGTTTTGAGGGTTCCTTTTGGTGTTGATTTCCAATTTTATTCCACTGTGGTCTGAGAGAGTACTTGATATGATTTCAATTTCTTCAATATATTGAGACTTGTTTTGTGGCCTTGGAGAATGTTCCATGTGCTGATGAATAGAATGTATGTTCTGCAGTTGTTGGGTAGAATGTTCTGTAAATGTCTGTTAAGCCTATTTGTTTTAGGATATAGTTTTAAGCCCATTGTTCCTTTGTTGACTTTTTCTTGATGACCTGTCTAGTGCCATCAGTGGAGTAAGGAAGTCTCTCTCGATTATTGTGTTGCTGTCTATCTCATTTCTTAGTTCTAGTAGTAATTGTTTTATAAATTTGGGAGCTCCAGTGTTAGGTGCATATATATTTAGGATTGTGATATTTTCCTGTTGCACTAGTCGTTTTATCATTAATTAATGTCCCTCTGCCTTTTTAGCTGTTGTTGCTTTAAAGTCTATGGGGTGGGGGGGCATAGAGCCCTCAGAAGATTATGTTTTTTGTCTTTAGCTACCAAGACGGACAGAGAAAGACCATTTGGTGGGGGCAGGGTTAGGCATGAATGAGCTCAGACTCTCCTTGGGCAGGGCTTGCTGCGGCTGTAATGGGGGATGGGGGTGTGGTTCTCACCCCAATGGAGTTATGTTTCTAGGTGGATTATGGCTGCCTTTGCTGCATCATATAGATTGCCAGGGAAGTCGGGGAAAGCTGGTAATGACAGGCCTCACCTAGCTTTCACGCAGCCAGTAAAGCCAGTCTCACTTTCACTATGCCCCACCAACAGCATCAAGTTTATTTCCAGGCAGCCAGTGAGCAGGGCTGAGATCTTGCCCCAGGCTACAAGGCTACCTACTGTGAAAGCAAGTGGGGCTTTCAGGTCCCATCCCTCCCTGCCTGCCATGGCTTCTATGCTCATATCTGCACTTCCCATTCATCCCTGCCCCTGGATTCTGCCCAGGAAAATCTGTGCTTGGTCAAAATTATTACAAAGCTCAGCTTTGTAGTAATATTACAAAAATAATTTTAAGAAAACTAAAATCAGAAGTTTTCTTCTCCTTGTGGTCCTTCCCCAATTCCACTGAAAGCCCTCCCCCAGGACCCCTGAGAGATGAAGTCAGAAATGTCTTCCCTGGGGACTAGGAGGGCCTACAGGGCTCTTCCTGCTGCTTCTTGTACTTTTGTATTTCACTTGGCTCTCTAAATTCATTTCAGCTCTAGGTAAGGTTAAATCCTTCTCCTGTGATCTGGATTTTCAGGTTCTCCAGTGAGTATGTGCACTTGGAGGTGGATGTTGCCCCTCTCACACTTTGGGCATTCACAGTTTTCAGCTGTCTCATGGAGTTTGCAGTGGCAAGCTGCTTCTTTCAAAGAGCCTGTGAATTCTTTCATTTTTCTTGGTATGTTCCTGCAGGAGTTCTTGGAGCAAAGGCTTATAGTGTGAGTCTCCACATGCTGCTCTGTCTGTCTGAGTGAAGCTGCAACATAGTCCTGCCTCTTTTCTGCCTTTTATTTTTTGACTCTAGATCCCTATTCCTATATGATATCTTTTTTATTCTGCCTGAACAACCTTTCTATTAAAAATTATTTGTTGTACAAGTAGTGAGTGCAGATCTGCTGGTAATAAATACTTTCAGCATTTTTATATCTGAAAAAGTCTTTATTTTGTCTTCAATTTTGTAGCATATATTTGCTGCATATAGATTTCTAGATCATCAGGGTTTATTTTTCTTTTTCTCTATTGGTATTTTAAAGACATTCCTCCATTATCTTCTTGCTTCCTTACTTTCAGATAAGAAATCTGCTCTCATCTTTAATTCTGATCTTCTTTAATGTTGCATGTTCTCCTGTCTCTGCTGGTGCTCTCAAAGTTTTCTCTTTGTCACTGGTTTTGACCGATTTAATTATGATGTATCTTGATATTTGATATGGTTTGTCTCTGTGTCCCCACCCAAATCTCATCTTGAATTGTACTCCTATAATTCCCACGTGTTGTGGGAGGGACCCGGTGGGAGATAATTGAATCATGGGGGTGATTTCCCCCATACTGTTCCCGTGGTAGTGAATAAATCTCACGAGATCCGATGGTCTTATCAGGGGTTTTCGCTTTTGCATCTTCTCATTCTCTCTTTGCCTGCTTGCATTCCATATAAGATGTGACTTTTTCCTCCTTGCCTTCTGCCATGATTATGAGGCCTCCCCAGCTATGTGGAACTGTAAATCCAATTAAACCTCTTTCTTTTGTAATTGCCCGGTCTTGGGTATGTCTTCATCAGCAGCATAAAAATGGACTAATACATTAAATTGGTACTAGTAGAGTGAGGTGTTGCTGAAAAGGTATCTGAAAATGTGGAAGCAGCTTTGGAACTGGGTAACATGCAGAGGTTGGAACAGTTTGGATGTCTCAGAAGAACACAGAAAAATGTGGGAAAGTTTGGAACTTCCTAGAGACTTTTTGAATGGCTTTGACCAAAAGCCTGATATGGACAATAAGGTCCAGGCTGAGGTGGTCTCAGATGGAGATGAAGAACTTGTTGGGAATTGGAGCAAAGGTGACTCTTGTTATGTTTTAGCAAAGACACGGGCAGCATTTTACCCCTGCCCTAGAGATTTATAGAAATTTGAACTTGAAAGAAATGATTTAGGGTATCGGGAAGAAGAAATTTCTAAGCAGCAAAGCATTCAAGAGGTGACCTGGGCGCTGTTAAAAACATTCAGTTTTAAAAGGGAAACAGAGAATAAAAGTTCAGAAAATTTTAAGCTTGACAATGTGAAAGAAAAGAAAATCCCATTTTCTGAGGAGAAATTCAAGCCAGCTGCAGAAATTTGCATAAGTCACGAGGAGCCAAAAGTTAATCTCCAAGACAATGGGGAAAATGTCTCCAGGGCATGTTAGAGGTTTTCACGGCAGCCCCTCCCATCACAGGACTGGAAGCCTAGGAGGAAAAAGTGGTTTCATGGGCCTGGCCCAGGGTACCTGAGCTGTGTGCAGTCTAGGGACTTGGTGGCCTGCATTCCAGCTGCTCCAGCCATGGCTGAAAGGGGCCCATGTAGAGCTTGGGCCAGCCATGGCTTTATATGGTGCAAGCCCCAAGCCTTGGCAGCTTCAATGCAGTTTTGAGCCTGGAGGTGCACAGAGTCAAGAATTGAGCTTTGGGAACCTCCACCTAGATTTCAGATGTATAAAAATGCCTGGATGCCCAGGCAGAAGTTTGTTGCAGGGGCGGGGCTCTCATGGAGAACCTCTGCTAGGGCAGTGCAGAAGGGAAATGTGGGGTTGGAGCCCCCACACCGAGTCCCTACTGGGGCACCACCCAGTGGAGCTATGAGAAGAGGGCCACCATCCTCCAGACCCCAGAATGGTAGGTCCACTGACAGCTTGCACCATGCACCTGGAAAAGTTGCAGACACTCAATGTCAGCCCATGAAAGCAGCTGGGCGGGAGGTTGTACCCTGCAAAGCCACAGGGGCAGAGATGCCCAAGACCATGGGAACCCACCTCTTGCATCAGTGTGATCTGGATGTGAGACATGGAGTCAAAAGAGATCATTTTGGAGCTTTAAGATTTGCCTGCCCTGCTGGATTTTGGACTTGCATGGGGCCTGTGGCCCCTTTGTTTTGACCAATTTCTCCCATTTGGAATGGCTGTATTTACCCAATGTCTGTACCCCCATTGTATCTAGGAAATAACTAACTTGCTTTTGATTTTATGGGCTCATAGGCAGAAGGGACTTGCCTTGTCTCAGGTGAGACATTGGACTGTGGACTTTTGAGTTAATACTGAAATGATTTAAGACTTTGGGGGACTGTTGGGAAGGCATGATTGGATTTGAAATGTGAGGACATGAGATTTGGCAGGGGACAAGGTGGAATGATATGGTTTGGGTCTGTGTCCCCATCCAAATCTCATCTTGAATTGTACTCCCGTAATTCCCACGTGTTGTGGGAGGGACCCGGTGGGAGACAATTGAATCATGGGGGTGATTTCCCCCATACTGTTCTCATGGTAGTGAATAAGTCTCATGAGATCGGATGGTTTTATCAGGTGTTTCTAGTTTTGCATCTTTTCATTCTCTCTTTGCCTGCTGCCATTCCACGTAAGATGTGACTTGCCCTTTCCTGCCTTCTGTCATGATTATGAGGCCTCCCCAGCCATGTGGAACTGTAAGTCCAGTTTAACCTCTTTCTTTTGTAATTGCCCAGTCTCAGGTATGTCTTTATCAACAGCATGAAAATGGACTAATACAATAGTTTAATTCCTATTTCTTATTTTTGGAGTTTTTTGAGTTTCTGTGATCTGTGGGTTTCTAATTTTCATCAATTTAGAAAAATTTTGGTCACTATACCTTCAGACATTTAAAAATTTCCTCCCTTTCTTTTCTCTTGTTTAGCAACTCCAAATATATAAATATTAAGCCACTTGAAGTTGGCCTACTGATGCTCTGTTAATTTTTGTAAATTCTTTTCTTTTTGTGATTTTTTATTGCTTCAATTGCTACTTCTTCAAGTTTACTAATCTTTGCTTCTTCATTATCTAATGTGCCATTATTCTCATCCAAGGTACTTTTCATTTCAGCCATTGTAGTTTTCATATCTTAAAGTTTGATTACCCCAGATTACTGGCTTCAGTCTTCCTCTCTTTTTCATATTTCTTTTCTCTATTTAACATTTTTGAACATGTGAAATACAGTAATAATAATTATCTTTTTGTTCATGTCTGTTAGTTCTAACATTAGTCTCAGTTCTGGGTTGATTTCAGCTGATTGAATTACCCCTTCATTAGGGATTATATATTCTGGCTCCTTTGCATACCTGGCAAATTTTGATTAGATGCCAAATGTGAATTATATCTTGTTGAGTGCTGGATACCCTCTTGGAGCCTCAGGGCTGATTATACGGCAGAGCTGAGACATAGATTGAAGTCTGTGTGACTCTAAAACGTCAAATGTGTATCATTTAGAGTAGGCTAATTGCTGTAACAAACTACTCTCAACTCTCTGTGACTGAATATGATAAGAGTTTATGAAAGTGTTCTCGTTCTCATCAATTCTGGTGTGAGTGGATTGTGCATCAGCCTCCAACAGTCCTTCCTTCTAGTGGCTCCACTTCTCCTGGGGGACTTGGAGTTCTCTGTTGTTTCACTTTATTAGAAGACAAAAGAAGAGAGTGTGGAGGATCAAGCTGGAAGTTCTTAAGGCTGGTAAGTGGAGAACATCACCTTTGATCACATTCAGCTGGACAGAAGTCAGTTCTCAAGCCCCACCTAACCACAGGGATGCTGAGAAATGTGGTCTATCTGTGTACTAGGAAGAAAAGGGACAGGTTTTGGTGAAAAAACTAGTTAGTCTCTACAATAACACATTAAACTAAATTCTCCCCTAAGTTGCTCTTTAGGAAGTGTTTATATGTTTTGCTCTAAATGGAATTTTTCTAGTCTCGGGCTCTGGATTGGTACCACAAATAGTCCCTCTAAGCTAGTGAAAGTTAACAGAAATCATTCTCTTAGAAGATTTGGATATTTAGTTCATGTATGTATCACATTGCCCCTCGTAGGGCCAATAATAATTATTATAATCTCCAATTTTAAGCAATATATTTTTATTCTTAAATTTTTGACATCCTAATCTACAGGTAGTATCTACATTACTTTAACTAAAGCATTACACTTACTTTCCCACCATTCCCTCCTATGCTGCCCCTCATATCTGAACCACCATGGAGTCAACACCTTGTTTTCTGGTTTTTGACTTGTGCCTGTGTCAGGTTCTCAGAATGATGACTTCCAGTGAAAACTCTGAGTCTATAAACACAAAATAAGTGTCATTTTATGCTCTGGAATTGCTCTGGAAACAATGCTAGTGATAAATGAATAGTCAAAAACAAAACAAAATATCAATATGGGGAAGACACATCCAATGAAGGCTGGCTTAGGTTCCTTTGGGAAATGGTGGTGACACCTGGGGGATTAAGAGTTAAGTTAGAAAGAGGCAAAGCTGTGAAGCACTTTAGCCAGATTGCTTTGCTCAGCCCACCTGAGTCTTTTGATTTCAGTACATCTTTCCCATCTGTTTGGTTGGAATGTTTGAACAAATACCCTGAATTTCATTACAAATGCACCTGCCCTAAACCAGGACCTCTTTTTCTTTCCCTGTGATGACACTTTCAAATTTTCTCTGTTTTTAGTATCTTCCTTCCTAATTCATCCTACACAGGGTGATAATTATCTTCTAAAAGTGCAGTACATGTCATGTCTTATTCTTGCTCAGAAGTTTCCAATGGAACTTCCCCATTTCCAAATCATGGCTCTACCCCATATCTTTAACTTTGTCTCTGTTTTCTTCCCTCATATGCCCTCTGATCCAGCCAAACTGGTGTCCTTTGTGTTTTCAGAACTTGCTGCATGCTTTCCTATATCCATGCTTTTATTAATAGAGTTCCCAATAGCTGGATATTTTCTTACTGTCATATCTACTCCTCAAATCCTACCCAGATTTCAGGGCCCAAGTAACAATTGATCTGTTCTGTGAAGTTTGCACCATTTTTCTGGTAAAACAAATCTTTCTCTTGTTTATGTTTGTGTAATGCTTTATGCCAATCACTGTCTGCTTCGTGTCCTGTATTCCCTACTAGGTCATAAGCTCTTGGGGAACAAGTGTCTTGAGAACCCTCCTATCCATCCCACACTGCCCAACACTATACCTTGTTCAGTGCAGAAGCTTAGAAATGCTTATTGGGAAAAATTAACAGCAGGATCTGACATCAGCTGTATCAAGACGTTTTTTGAATTAAAATGGAAACTAACAAGAGACTATCCTCAAAATGACTTGACAGTAAATTTGAGATAAACTACCTTACGCACAACCTAAAAGTGCATTTAAATAGTTTCTTTAAAAAATAAAAAACACAGAATGCATGATTTAGAACAAGCAGTAAAAAACTAATTTCTTCAAATAGTTAATTTTTAGTAGATTCATAGTGCTCTTTGATAGTCTGTAGTTTCTTAAAGATAATATTATATGCACTAATAAGACAGAAAGAAAGATGAGAATTATCCCTATAAAATGAGTTCTGATTTCTGGTTTCCAAAAGGTACCTTAAATGGTAGGTATTTTGTGTGGCTGGGATAGTGCCATTGCAAGTGTCTTCCTTAGCCATGTCATGGATACAATTTTGCATCTAGATTGGCTTTGTCCAGGAGAAGCACAACTTTTGTCAGAGATCACAACTGCTGGTACAGCAGAAAGGGTTTCATATGAGAGAGATCTTTCAGAGAGAGAGTGTGTATCTTCATCAAAATTCTAAAGGCATTGGAACTGTCATTCAAAGAGTTAACATCTGTGAAGAATAAAAAATGCAATGGAGAGGTTTCAGGCAAAGCATGGGGAGACTGATAAAATTATCAGTGAATTAAATTCAGGCAGATGGCTTTGGAAAGGAATGAAGTATACAAACCTTATGCAGAGTATAATGACTCTCACTTTGACAGGGGCTTTGTCAACAGGGTAAGCCCTTTTTATTTTTTAATCTGCATCTTAAAGCAGTTGGAGTAAAATTCTTCTCCTTTTCCAAAGGTGTTGTTTAGTACTTACAGCAACAAAAACAACAATGAGCTTATATATAAAGCAGACTTGACAGAAACAGACTCTACTATGCCCAGTATAGGGACACAGGTTGGTAGAAGGCACATGGCAGGCATCATGCATGCCATTTCTTGTTGTTCTCAGATTGGCTGCCCATATTAATAGGTCCTTGGCAATTAAAATATTTCTACAGAAGAGAGGCCAATCATTAGCTCTGCTTGTAACAGCAGGATAACAAAGGAAGCTTTTAGTTGTCACACCAAAACAAAAATCAAAACAAAAATGAGGAAAAACTGCCCCCAAGCTCCATAAAACAAAAAATGCCTGCAAAACAGACAAACCCCTCCAAACTTAGAGAATGAAAAGACAAAAGTCAACCGATGTCTGCTGTTTAAATTTGCAATGTTTATAATTGTTGTCGATAGTGTTAAATAAAAAATAGAGCTCCTAGAAAGACTAATGAATAATATCCTTCTACATTTAGACAACAATAATGAGAAAATATATTATTTCTCTCTCCAGCTTTCTTTCCCCTTACGGTTTCTATTTTATCTTCTTCTTTAGCTCGAGGGACCGCCTCTTTCAGGTGACAGGACCTGGCATATTCATGCTTGAATGCTGATGGTCAGGCTGCTTCTTAGCAATGGACTTTGCTTTTGTTCCAGACCAGATGTTCTATTTCTCCCTGGTAACAGTTTGCATTGTGGTGCCTTATTGTACTCTCTGGAACTAGTGCCAGGGTAGCCTCCGAATCAGCCAAGAGCAGCACTGAATCAATGAGACAGCTGGCAGCCTCCCTGGGGAGGGAACGTTTTTACCTCTTTGATTCATGCACTCTCCGCTAGTTCAGATCCAGGATGCCATGAATGATTTTTCTTAGCGACAGGTGAGAACAAAAAAGCTTTGTAAACCTAATTCAATAGAAGCAGGAGACTCAGTGTGCTATTGATTAAAAGGAGAAGACAATGAAGAGGAAGTGTACGCATGGTCTAGTTGCATTTTCTCCATAATCGACTTCTGTGCTTCTATCTGTGTTGGAGTTGTCAGGTTTGCCGGGAGGAAAAGCTTGAAATCAAGAGTATAGTGTTTATTGACTTAGGACTAGAATTTTAATCATGTCTGTGAGATTGCATGTTACCTACAAAAGCAAGAAGATTACTCTTTTTTCATTGTTTTTTTTTTAGCTATAAAATTCCCTGATCTATTGCTAACTTTGCTAAAAATTCAAGGGTACTTTAATGGACTTGTTCATATCATCCAGGATTTAATGTTTGGGATGTGTTTATTTATCAGGGCTATGGATTCGGGTTAAAATCGTCCGTGTTTACACTCAAGCAAAGTATTACAACTCACTTTGGATCCTCGCCCTAGGTGATGCACATTTCAGCACACTTTTTGAGTCAGCAAGATCATTAGTGCTGGTCTCTCACTGCTCTATGAAAGCAGGGCAGTTCCTGAGCCATTTTAATCAGAGAGCCATTAGGAGATGAGATGGTACAATACCTGAGAGCTCCAGCCCTGGTGTGGCTGAGAGGCACAAATGTGACAGTAACAGAAGTTAGAGATCCTGCAGTACATCACCCCATCAATCATGGCAGACATATTGGCAACATGATGGATGATACCCAGCCACTGACCTTGGTGGGTTAGCCTTTGTCACATAAGTAACAGAATAAGTCAAAGCAGTGGGTCTACCCACCGTCAAATAGGAGAGATAAGCTGTGACAGTGGCAGAGGGAAAAGGAACATTAGTGGCAAGTGTTGGCCATATTTCTGAGCCAGGAAGAGCAGCTCTCTTATTGTTTAACCATTAAATGGGATGGCATATTTCAAGAAGGGGGAAAATCAATATCATCAATGCATCCTTGTAGCAATATGAGCTTTTCTTTCTTAACTAAGGTATAACTTAGAGGGTAGTAGATCTTAGTACAAATATTAGAGATCTGTAGACACTCTCATAGGGTGGGAACTATTATAACATAGGGTTCTTTACTTTAAACCTGAGAAAAATTAGTCTAATCAGAGAGCAAATCTCATATGAACTAAAGTTTCAATTCCATGTACAACACATGATCTCATATACATAAAGTTCAACATTCTGTTGGTAACAGATGGCTTGGCTTGGGAATAGAAATAATTTAGTTGGGGAATCCTGGTGGACTTTTCTTTCAAGCAGTCTCCCAAAGCTTCACAGTTACAAATGACCTATCCCAAGTCCCTTTTCTGGAATTCAAATGTTACTTGATTGGTCATAGAAAGCAAAGAGAGATTCTCAATAAGATATCTCAATAATGTGCAGGTGGACATGTGGAGGGCTCAATGGCTAAAGAGGATAAAGGAAACAGAGGAAAGATGATGATCAACTTGCTTTTCATAGGAAAGTGGGGTTGGAGTGGATTAAAGCAAGATCAACTCATTTTTTCTCCAGACGGTAAGGAATCATGCCACATGGTAAGGAATTTGGTCAGCTTCATCAAAGAAAAGAGTAGCCTTAACCATGCCCCTGAGCCAGTGAAATCTCTGAAAATCCTGTCTTATTTTTTTGAAATCAATATTTTTAACCCCTGCCCAAACAAGAGACCCAGATATTATATTCTTGCCTCCCCTTCCAAGTCAATGCATTCAAGTTGGCATCCTGAGGCACCCAGTCAAGTTGAGCCAATCAGGTGGTGCATTCATATTGAGGGGTCAGACCCTGCATATTTCTAATCCTGCCAATTCAAGTTGATATGTATTTTTTCAAAACATCTTTTGTATGCTTACCGTAGAGCCAGCCATCAGTAGAGTGTTGTTTTCAGGCAAACAAAAAAGACACCATTTATCACAGCCAAACTTACAAACTTTTGAACTTCAAGGGGCATGCACAAGCTGAAAAATGCTTATTGAATCAGTAAGGATTTAGAAAATAAAGGAGCAATATTGTATGCATCCTAGCTTTCTTAAGGAAAGGAAATCTATAGATGTCTGAAAATCAACATTCCCTGTTTTGAGATTGATGAGGAAAATGAACATATCCTCTCAGGCATGACCTGATGGTATAAGACATTTGTCTGATCCAACAAGACGTTTCTTATGTTCTCTAGTTCTTGTGATGGGAGTAGAGGCTGAAAAGCCAAAACATCTAGATGGGCTGTGTTTGGCTGTGTGGGCCTCTGTCTAGAGAGAGCAGATAAAGCCAAGGTGCAAGCCCTGATTGTATTCTGGGTTCATTCCTCTCCTTCCTGGATGAAAGCCTAAGATGCTGCTACACTAAAAACTGAATTACTTCCCTTGTTAATCTTTCCCATTCTTCTTGACTGCAGCATTTATAAAACATTGCTCTTTGGGTCTAGGTATCATTTTGGGATCACATCATGATAACTCTATGTGTGTGTGCTGGGAGGGCAAAGTTGCAAAGCAATTACTCAGCAATGCTGAAGAAAGAAGCAATTACTGGAACACATTTTAGCCCCGCTTGTCAGAGTGACTTTCACTGGGGCACAAGGGAAGCATTCACTTAGGCAGTATCCCTTTCAGAGGCTTAATTTAGTTTTTTCTTCCCTTTAATTGTGTGATTCCAGTATTTTAGCTACAATCCCTAGGCTGTAGGAACCTTTAAACACTTCTTTTTATAAAAGAAATGCATGGGCTTTTGAAGAATAAACAGGGGGCTGCATAATTTATAGGAAAATGGCACCATGGACTTTTCCTTCACAAAGAACATTGGGGTTACATTGGAACAAGCCAAATATGTTTTTAATGAATAGTCAGTAATCAGCAGCAGCTACAGTAAGTGCTTGAAATTTTTCTTTTATGTGCTATGAGTCCACAAACTAAGCATCTGATTCTGATTGCAGCCATGAATGCATTGGCCTATTGCTACCCGCCCCTCTTGCTCAGATCTCCCGCGGCAGCTCATGCTCAGCAGAGAGCCTTATGAAAAGCAGAGGGCAAGACTCTTTTAATATGTTCAATTTCCATCCATTTTAAATACTATAATGGAGAGGAATGTTGACAGTACATTTCACTTTCCTTTTTGGATCTAGATCACAATTTGGGGTTGAAGAGAGCAGTATTGTGTTCCAGAATGTAAGAAAAAAGTGTTTATGCCAAAAGCCATATTTTAATGTGAATTTTAAAGTGAATTGTCAAGGTGTCTTTTAAAAAATAAAAAAATTCTTTCAGCAGAGCTTTATCTCAATTGTAGGCTTCTAACTTGCTCATTCCTCCAAGATTTTGCACATACTATTTTCATCACTTGGAATGTATCGTCTTTTTTATTTCCCATTTCTCAATATTTCTAATGCTAATGACAACCCAAATAAAATATTTCAGGAAATTATTATTTTCTCATCTCATCTACGGCCAGATCCTGTTCACTCTCCTACACAATGGTTCCTTAGCCTCTGTGAAGTTAATGTGAGCATACAGTTTATTAATTTTTAACTAAGATGCCTTCTAAAAGTTCAAGAGCATTTAAAAAAGTCTAGACATATATTTTATTTGAAACAATGTTTTATGTAGTAGTTATAGCTTTAGGCCAAGTTACAAAATTTATTTAACCCAAAGTATGGGTTAAGTACAAATATTTAACATTTAAAAATAGCATTAGACAACAATCTTGCAATATGGGAAATACAATAAAATATTAATATTAGAGCTTTATATATGCTAAGCACTGTCTTAAGTTCTTTACAAGTACTAATTCATTTACTTTTTGCAATATTCCTGTAAGGTAAGTACCACTATTTTATGGAGGAGAAAACTGAGGGCCAAGAATGTTTAAGTGACTTCTCAAGCTAGTAAGTGTTTAAGTAACTTTACATAGCTAGTAAGTGATAGACCTGTAGTTTGAGCCCAAGGAGTTTAATTCCAAATATCATGATTTTAACTAAAATATTAATGGTATTTAATTTTCTAAAATTTTGGCAATTAAGGGATAAAGGAAATAAAGTGTAGAAGATGGCTTTAGTAAATATATTCAGAAGATAACTTTGGGACACTGTTAAGTGTTTTAGAAGTTGACAAAAATGCTTCTATTGGGGTTTAGACAGTTGCTGCCTTCTTAGGAAGTTTTTTTTTTTTCTTCTTAAAAGAAGTAGAGAGAAAGGGTATAAAGAAAAAGAGAAAGTAAGTGAAGTTTTTTTTATGAGTTTGGGAAGAATTTAAAACTGAGGGAAAGGGGGAAAGAAGGAATTTATAAGAAAAAATATTTTGAAAATTAAACGAGTATTGAAAGAGAAAATATATGGAATTGCTACATATGCCTAAAGCTTCCTTATAACTGACTCAAGAAGGAAGAAAAAGACTATAAATGTGGGGTCTGATAGCTTCCTCAAAGGCCTACTAGGCAGCAGTGTTGTCTGAGACAGTCTTGTGGATAAAGCTGCTTAGCCAGAGCATAGGGTTTTTAGGGGAAGGGAAGTCTGAAACATGTACAGGATGTTTATTATTTAATTGTCATAACTTGGAGAATACCTTACTAGTGGCTATCACTTGTTATTCTAAAACTTTTTGACTTTCTTTTTTTTTTTTTTTGAGACAGAGTCTCACTCTGTTGCCCAGGCTGGAGTGCAGTGGCGCGATCTCAGCTCACTGCAAGCTCCGCCTCCCGGGTTCACACCATTCTCCTGCCTCAGCCTCCCGAGTAGCTGGAACTACAGGCGCCTGCCACCACGCCCGGCTAATTTTTTTTTTTTTTTTTTTTTTGTATTTTTAGTAGAGACAGGGTTTCACCGTGTTAGCCAGGATGGTCTCGATCTCCTGACCTCGTGATCTGCCCCCTCTTGGCTTCCCAAAGTGCTGGGATTACAGGCGTGAGCCACCGCACCTGGCCACTTTTTTACTTTCTTTATGTTCTTCCTTTAATTCAGAAAATTATAGTATTTAGGGACAGGGAATATTATATCTTTTTCACAGATCCTGCCATTAAGTTTCTCATATTTGGAAAAATGACAGAGATCATTCCTACAAGACACAAAAGCTAAACTGACATGGAACCACTTTCGTGACCAAGGTAGTTCCCTGTCCATGAAAGTTTCGTACTGTATCTCAAGTGTCCCTGAACACTGTATCCTTTACATTAATAATGTTGAATAAATGTTATCTTGCATCCTGAATCTTGAGTTATATGTAAGCGCAGGGATTTTGTAGTTTAAGCCTGAAAATTATCTGTTGTGTCATTTCGTCAGCCAAGGACAGTAGCTTCAGCCACTTTCTTTTGTATTTTGCTCTTACTTGCCTGAGGAGAGAGCAACGTTGAGTAGAGGAACCCCAGGAGAAGATTTGGGGGGAATGTAAGCACTGTGGAGAAGTGAAGTGTTTAGCTTTGCATTAGGTAAGCAGAATTTCAGCAAGTCAAGATCAGCAAATTTGTGCGATGTTCTGGTAAGCCACTTCCCTTCTGCAACCCACTCATTAATTTTCGGAAGCCTGACAGAATGGCTAAAAGGATGATCAATTTCAAGTGTCACTCCTGGCTTGTTTCTAGCCTTATGTAAAAGGAGTTCCTGACAAGTAACCCTGTTAGTGGCCTCAAAATGTCTCCTATTGTTAAATATTGGGAATAAGCTAAAATAATGAAACTAGCTTTTTTCCGTCACTAGAATGGTTGGCTTAGAAGATGATGAGATTAATGTCTATTACTGACTTTTAGGTGGGCTCGAGCACCCAAAGCAGCAAAACCTCGAGAGAAATGAACACATTTCAGGAGAACTTGTTTTCCTTAATAGATTTGTGTGGAACACATGGGACATCCCTCCGCATGTTCCAAGTGATTGCATAAAGTTATTACCTAGTAGGTAATATCCCAACTCTTTCTTCCTCCTATTCAATATCTGTTTTTCTGCTTTACCCAGGATACCTGCTTTAATCCTGGGTAAACAACTGGTACCCCTGGGGTTCTGATAGAGTTGTAGCTGGCACTGTAGGGGTCCCTCTATCAGAGCGACAATCTTTCCCTCCTCATTTATGCCTCTCCTATCTCCTTCTCATTTGCTCAGTTTTCCCTTCTTTCCTGAATGTTTCCCCTTGCCCTTCTTCCTTTTGATAATAACTTCTACTCTTACATTTTTAGGCCAAATCACAGGCAATGTTTGGCCATTTTGATGTCTATTGGCACTGAAGCATTTGTTGATGGTGATCTTAATTGCCTCTATATCCTAATATTTGGTGAACTGATTTTATTCCCTAAGTGCTTGATGGGAAAAGGGGAGAAAGTTATTGCAGAACCTGGCCGTAGAGTCTCTATTGCAAAGAAGTGGAAAGCTTTAAGAAAGATATGGCCTTAAGGTCAGACAAGCACTGCAAAAGTGGTGGCAAATGTGAACCCCTGCCTACAAGAGCCTACAGGCCTAGGAAGGACAGGGAAGAACAGGACAGCATCTAGCCCATTCAAAAGGGGCAGCTGCTACTCAGCTCCACTGCTTCTGCCCTTCAAGAACATATATGAGATCTATGAATTTGCTTGGTTTGACACTAATTTAAAAAAATCGTCCTGGTAAAGAAAGGAAGGAAGAAAAAATAAAACAAATAGAGCAGGAAAGAAAAGAAAGTTAAAGTTATCTGGAGGCCTGGCGTACCGTAGGCAGCTTGTTTGTGACTTCTGCCGTAAACACTATAATTCTGGAGATAGAGTGTTACACCTGAGAACCTTTATGTTACCACGGTGTTCTGACAGAAGTTTGAGCACAAACACTTTTCTAGATGAATGTTCATCCACTCAGTTAAAACTCTGTAACTCAGAATGTGAAGTTCTGAAGTAAGACTGGAAACAAAAAACTGACTAATTAAACAGCCTCCCCTAGTGCTGCAAAACAAAGAGCTATTAATTTATAAAGCTAATTGGATTGGAATCCAGCTAAACTTAAACCTGAGTTACATTCTAATTGCTCTTTTACTTTAGAAAATTTCAAAGACTACTGGATGATATTTTTATAGTGACAGTTTTTAACAAGCCATGCAGGTCTTCAACAGAAGCCTTTATTAAGGTAGTGGCATTTGAAAGAATTAAATATAACAGGCCAACTTCGTAGAATTGGCTCAGAGCACATTAGAAGAAAAATAATTTGTAAAGGCCTTTAAAAACACAGCTTACATTCCATATGCACTAATATCTAATAGGCTCGTTATGTGTTTAAAAATTTTTTTTTCTGGAATGTTGTCTGAAATATATATTTAACAAACTGAGTTGTTTTGAATTCTTTGAACCACTGAAGACTCATCTCCATTGTCTTAATAGAGCTGTCAGGCTGTTTACAATCATCTTGGCTTTGATGTCTGTCAAGAATCCACACACAGAGAGAAGGTTGGGTGACCTGTTTGACATGGTACTTCCTGGTAGATACAAAGTGACTGACTTAACCAAGCAGAAGAGCATGATAGACAATGTGACATGGAGTAGAAGACACACGCTCATCTGGTCTGAACCCCGACTGATTTTTGGGTGTTAAAGGATGGTGTACACTTCTATTCAGAACTATTTCTCAGATATTTGCCCTTGAGAAGGGTCTCAGATCTCAGGTGCTCTTTCTTTCATAATCTAAGTTGGAATAACCTCAAACAGACCCATGAGTCATTTCAGTTTTTCTTATCAGTGAGTTTCCTGTAGCTTTTATTCAGTGTTTTGAAAATGTGCAGTCTACTGAGCTTTCTTGGACATACTGAGTGCACCCATGTTCCTCAATTCTTCACAGCCCTGCTCCGAAGAATTGGCTATAGTTTTTTTTTAATCCCAAGGATTATCACAATCGTGGCACTCAGTAAGATTAAATAACACCCAGGGGCAGTGATAAGTCCTTAAACAGGACTCCTAAGACCTGCATGTGTCAGGGTGTGTGCATTGGGCAGCCGCTGGCTTGTCATTGCTAACTTGGAGAATATCGCACCCTGCTTCTCTGCAGCAGCTCCTCAGGGGCCAGTCTTCACTTTCACAGGCTCACGGCTCCTGCTGGCCATGAACAGATGTTTCTCAGGGTGGATAACTTTTACCTTCTTGTGCTCTGTCAATCATGCATTTCTGCCCAGTGACCTTTTCTTCATGTCTCTTTACTAGGTGCCCATTTGTGGATGCAAACAGTGTCTCATTATTGGTTTCCTTGCTGTGTCCCTTGCCAGCCTTGTGTCAGGCTACAGCCTGTCAGCAACTTGTCACCCACAGTTCTAAACCAACACTATGGCTTATTGTTTTCTGCACACATCTCCCCTCTGTCTGGCATTGGATGGAACCTCACTCAGTGCCACGATCTGGCGCCGTTGTGCAGCACAAAGGGAGATAGGGTTAGGAGATGCTATGCACTTAGTCGCCTGTCAAAGATTATGTCTCTATGGGGCAATTTCCAACTAGGCTTTGTTATTTGGCTTCTAGTTCTTCCCTAGCCCCCTCCCTCATGCCCTTTCCTCCCACTACTTATCGCTTATCCACATGGCCACAAGTGAGACCTGTGAAAAATATGAGACAAGATTTTACCTTGAACAACTTTAGGACTTGAAAGTTGAAGGCCTAGGCAATACCAGTGGAATGAATGGGAAGAAAATAATAATTGTAACTAAATTGCCATCAGTACACTTCTGTGGGGAAGGTGACAAAGGAACAGTGGGGATGGAAGAAACATTCATAAGGATCCTTCAAGGTTTTACATGAGAGAAACAAATCTATTTTGTTTCAGATATTGGCTTATTGCCTCTGAAGCTGAATGGTCTTGTATGATTACTCTTTCTCTTTTTTCCATCGCTCACTTGTATTTCTCTACCAGCTCTAGAAATCTACTTCTTACTTAAAGGCACCGAATCCAGTAAAGCTGCATTTCCCTGACAGTAAAGAAGCTGTGTGCAACCCTAATATGTGTGTGATGTGTTTTATTCATTCCTGGACTTGTTTTTCTGTGAGCAACAAGTTTGAACACAAATACACACTAGTTCATAACAATCTGTCATATCTTTGCCTCCATATGTAATATTTTATGTAAATAAAGTCTGTAATTAATTTTACAACCTTGGCACCCTTTTGCAGTTCTTTTCCTCATCACCATTATGTACAAAGTTAGCATGATATTAAAATTTTTCTATCAATTTATGTTCCTTGCTAATCTATTTCCAATCTGTGGCACTTTAAAGATCTTTCCTTTGAAATCATTGCTTTCCTCAAATGGGAAAACTTTATAATTAGGTGGAGTGATTTTACATCAGTAAAATAAAAAAGAATGTCTCAAGATTTAACCCCTTATGCTCTATCTTTAGATGGTAATTTGCAAGGTGTCTGAGAATGCATGGCTTCAGAATTTATGTTTGGACTGCTTTTTTTCAATAATTATGGTAATTCATGTGCAAACACAAATTACAAACTTCTGCAATATTTCCAATTTATTCATATTTTTATCCTTGCCTAGAAGCAACTGCTTTATTTTTGGACTGCATTTATCTGTTCTTTAGAAGCTATATGAGAATTTAACATTTCCTCTTCCAGAGGACAATGAAAGCCTGACAGATGAGAATGTAAAAGGGTCTTCTGTATTTCCCATTTTCTAATCACACAGTGTATTTCACCCTATTTCAGTTTTATGATTTGCACAGAAAGTAAAGGCATTATTTCACCCACATTTCTTCAGTCAGTCAAGTAAGGATACCAACAGGTGTGTGCTTTACACAGTGAAAGAATGCTCATCCCCGGTTGTGAAGAACTTTTAAAAATTTTCTGGTAGTAGGATTTTTATGTTTTAGTCTGGGAACACAAACATTCCTCTGGGTTCTTCGTTTTGTGTGTGTGTGTGAAACCAAAGAGAGTCTCCAGGCGTCAATACCTGTGTCTTTCCTTTGCTTTGTTACGTAGACATTTCTTGTTACAGATTGTTCAGTTGGCATCATCTTTACAAGCACAGTGGATCTTTCCACTTAGTTACAGGATGCGTTTCCAAAAACAAATGGAATCTTTTCCACAGAGAGCAGAGATCCTTTTTTCTTAGCCAGAAAAGATCTAGTTAGTTTATGATATAAGTAGAATTCCCCCATATTATGGCATACCTTTCTCACTGTGCATCTTTTGAAATGCCACTCCCATGCTTGGGAGTCATCAGAAAGTGGTAGGATGATCAAACAGCCCTCTATTATCTTGGGAACACCCCGGAGCCAGAGCTTTAGAAAACATGAGTAAGAACTCCTCACATTTCTGTCGATTTAATAGTTTAGCATCAGAAGCAGACCTTGAGATGAGGATTCATGTGTGAGTGATTTGCTGGAGAAACACTCTTTGGACAAACAGAAAAGAGTGAGGGAACCGAGGGTGTGATTCCAAGCTAAGTCTCAGGATTCTAACCCCGCAGGGAAGCACGTAAGAGAGGCAGCTGGGCTTGCTTGGTCCCGCCCCCAATCAGTCATTGGCTGAGCACCACGTAAGGGCGGAGCCAGCATGTTCAGAGCCTTGAGGGCTGCTTCCAAAGCAGAGTAACAAGTGTCATTTGTTGGAGGTTAAGGCACACTGAAGCCAGAAACAGCAAAGAGGACCTGAGAGCAACTTGGCGGAACACTGTATCCACTACATCACATAACTCCTGTGAAAACTGGTTTGGGCTTCATAGTATCACTGCGATGTTTCTTCCAAGGGTGATGTTTTTCTGCTAGTTAAGCCTTCTAGGGATCCGTCTCCACAAACAGGAAGCTTGAATGTTAAACTGAGTGATATTCTGGAGCTCACTCCAATTTACTTGCAAGAGCTGATTGTGCACATCCTGACTCCTATTTGAGCGATGCATTGGTAGCTTGCAATCAACTATGGCAGGGATGTTTACATATGGAAATCTTCAGTCAGGGCTTTTTCTGAGGGGGAGGGGTATGTGGAAGAAGGAGCCAGTTGTTAAACAATTACCATCATACCACTTTGATGCTAAGCTGAAATGTTAATAGAGACAAAGATATTGTTAAAAGTGAATGTTTATTCTATTAAATGCATTAAACAATGTATACCCACAAATAATGTGTGTGAAACATTTTGTAAATCATGACATCATACACCAATGTAGTTCTTGAAACAACAGCCTGTTACAACGTAAAACACACACAACATACAAAATTTCTCCCCAACTCCACCAAACTGGCGATATATGGTAAAAAAAATTGTGTGAAAAGGGGATTTTTTAGTTGTTTTGATATACTGTTGCTGATATTAAGCAAAAGCCATCCCAGAATAAAGTTCGGCTTTCATTTTCTTCTTTTATTTCCTTTCCCAAGATGCCTTATAATTGCATTACGACTCATGTCTTATACTTTGCTTCTCTGTTGGGCAGATATAAAATAATTTGTTGGGAGGAGTTACCACGTAAATGTGGAATATTCTCCAGTCTGGCAGATATTATGAAGGAAATAGGCTAGTCTAATGAAGTCACAACAACAAAAAATCAAGATTTTCTCAGTCTGCCCGAGCATTTTCAAGGAGCACAGTGGTCTTCAAACTTAAAAAAAATCATCAATAAATCTCTTTTTAAAATGCAATATCATAAAGCCCTGTTTGAGGGTTGGGGAGGGGCGGTCAGCTCAACTCCTTTATCAGCCCCTCACCTGCTGGGACCAGCCAGGCTGGGGACCTGCAGTGGGGGAACTGCCCTGAAAGGATTGAGTCATATTCCTCCACTATTCCAGGAAGGCAATGCGTCTTTCATTTGATCACTACGGTTTTGAAAAGCAAAGTGTAGTAGACAGAATAATGCACTATTTCCCCCAAGATATTCACATTCTAATTCCTGAAACCTATGGATATGTTATCCTGCATGGCAAAAGGGACTTTGCAGATATGATTAAGTAAAAGCTCTTGAGATGGGGAGTTATCCTAGATTGCCTAGATTGGCCCACTGTAATCACAAGGGTCCTTTGAAGAGGGAGGCTGTAGAGTTAGAGTCAGATAAGAAAATGTAGTGATGGAAAGAGAGGTCTGAGTCATGTGAGGAAGAGCCGTGAACTCAGTAATGCAGGCAGCCTCTAGAAGCTGGAAAAAGCAAAGAAACTAATTCTTCCCTAAAGCCTCCAGAAGAAGCATAGCCCTGCTGAGATCCCATTTAGACTTCTGACCTTCAGAACTGTAACATAATAAATGTGTATGGTTTTAAGAATTGAGTTTGTGGTAGGAAACGAATACAGCAAGTTTCTAGGCTCTGGTCTCTCATTTGAAGGTACCTTTTTTACTTCCTTTTTCATAGACCTGTTTGGTGATTTCCGTCAGCTGGGCAGGGAGAGTAATAAATGCAGCTCCTGAGAGGAATGCTACGTGTGACTTTTAATGAGCTCAAAGAACTCTTCTGTACTGGTTCGTTTATCCTAACAAGTTTTTTTTTTTTTTTTTTTTTTTTTTTTTTTTTTTATGAAAAGGGATTTTAGTCTAGCTTAGCATGCAAAAACATTAACAGTGTCTAATATATGGAGTCTTTGCAGGTTTTATTATCTTCCTGCTAACCTGATTTTTACAAGATAAGCATTTTCTATTATAAATGAATTAGGTATTCATTATAGAAAATTGGAAATAAATGGACATAGAAAGAAAAAGAAAAATCATCTATTTTCCCATTATCAGAGGAAACCACTCAACAGTTTGATATATTTCCTTCCAATGTTTTCTATGCAGTTTCTATATTTATTGTACTCATTTATGTGCATAACATTTTGTATCTTGCTATTTTTACTTACTATTATATAAATACTTCTTTATGATAGTGAATTTATTGTAACTGTAATTTTTGCTGTTCTTCAATTTGGAAACTGTACTTATGAGGGTTCTTGCATGCAAATGTAAGAAATCAACTCTGGCTAATGTAAGTAGAACATGTTGTGATAAAAGGATATTCAGGTGGCTTATGGAACGGTGAAAAGACACAGGAATTAGGGAGACAAGGGTAGCCATGATCACTTTGCATAGTATGCTTGGAATCCTGGTCGTGGACCTCTCATTTTGGACTGTGCCATCTTTTATTATTGCCTCCAATACACTGAGAAGCCCCATGAGCATTATGCCTTTTTTTTTTGTGATAGGAGGCTTGTTGCACAGCCACTTGCCCTTCCTCTTGGAAAGAATATGCTGATATGAGGTCCTGTAAGATTCCTTGAGTTGACACTTTCCTATATTTTTATGGGATTTATCTTCCACTCTGTCATATATAGATATATTTCCATGGTTTCCAGGATAATTTATCTGGATCTTGATTTCCAGATCATATCATCATGATGTCATCCATACAGACAGCCACCACAATGAACTGTGGGAGGATATAATGACTTTTTTTGGATTAATTTTGGCACAGAGCTAGAGATTTTGTATGATTCTGAGGCAAGATAGTAAAGGTGCACTCTGCTGTCTTCCAGATTGTAGCAAACTGCTTCTGGTCCTTTCTGCTTTTGAAAATTTACATAGAGAAAAACATGTTTTCTTAGATTAAAAGTTATATATGAGCTGCTAAGGTCTACATGTATTTGCTTCAAGAAGAATAGCACAGCTAAAACCGTATTTTCAAGTAGAGCAACCAACTGAGGAAGCTAACGTGTAACCACTAATTCTCTAAGAACCACATGTCTTATGCACAGACTAAACTGAATGCTTAAATGGAATTGTCTATTCATTTGTTTCACAAATAGATATTGAATGCCGAAGTGCCAGGTTCTATTTTAGACCTGAAACACATAAATGAACAAACAAAGGTTCTTGACATCATATAGTTCATATTCTAAAGAATCTTGCCCTTTGCAATTTTCAGGTTTGGAGGAAGACACCAGCCCTTGAGATTTACCATTTTGGTAGTGACAGAGACCACCAGGAGCTTCCAGCTGCCCTGTCTTGCTGTAATGGCACTCACTCCATGCACTTGTCCTCAATGTGGGTGGTATCATCTGAAAGGACATTTTGGAAATTTGTGGGTACATTTCTCATTACTGCAATGATTATCTGTGCTGCTAGATTTTGTGGATAAGGGCCAGGGATGTCATATACAAGACAGACCTAAGCAAGAGAGAATCATCCTACTGCTGTACAAATTGCAGTAGCATTCCAGATATTCCATCGACTAAGACCTAACTCCATCTTTCATGGAATGCTATTGTGCTTCCATTGTTTCAATATTCTTCAAATTTTCCTGTAGTGGAACTCCCATGCAAATTGGGGTTTGGTCTTACTTTGTTTGGAATTTTTCAAGAGTTTCACACCACTTAGCAAAATCACATCTTTGAAGGTAATGGCACTTGTGGCACTTGGGTTGCCAACACAACACACATGCATTGGTCTACACTGGCAGCTGTAGCATTCATAGGATACTATGTACCCTGTACCCAGGCTGGAGTACAGTGAATGGAACAAGCATCTGAGTAATTCATTATGACTTCTAATGCAATCATGCCTAAGTATTTCCTTCTATTTCTTTTGTTTTTTTCTTCATATTACTGTTAGGCCATTCTATTGTCCTTTAAAAACTTAGGTTTGTATGTTATTATCTATGAATTTTATTTCAGGAAAGTAAAGCAGGCTGTATAAAATGTCTGAAGGAGGCTGGGCACAGTGGCTCACGCCTGTAATCCCAGCACTTTGGGAGGTTGAGGTGGGCAGATCACAAGGTCAGGAATTTGAGAACCAGCCTGGCCAATGTAGTGAAACCCCGGGCATGGTGGTGTACACCTGTAATCCCAGCTACTTGGGAGGCTGAGGCAGGAGAATCAATTGAACCCGGGAGGCAGAAGTTGCAGTGAGCCGAGATCATGCCTGGGCCACAGGGGGAGACTCCATCTAAAAAAAAAAAAAAAAAATCTGAATCCTGGGTCTGACTGGCTTAAGATTCACCACTTTATTGGCCCCTAAATTAAGAAGCCAGGGAGGGAATTCTGTCAGCTGATGAGCCAGCAATGCCATATCCAAGAAAAGGGGAAATAATCTCTAATTGTGAGATTCCACCCAGACTACAATAAAATGTTCTTGGTTCAGAATTGATCAATATTCATCAGCAGACTTGCATATGACCCTCTCTCACAGGTGAAACACCTGTGGTGCTTAGGGTGACCAAGTTTTAAAGTTAGCTTCAGCAAGTGACTAAGAGTCCCCAGTGCCACAGATTCTCTTTGAAGTTTAGGGAAAAGATTCACAGTAAATGCTTGTGTGTTGCAAAGCCCTCCTCAAGGACCTGCAGATTCTTCCTCAGCTAAGGAGCTCTGTATCTGTGAGATATGTGATTGTTAGGCCTCTATTCACCAGCCTGGAGACTTAGTTACAGCATCAAGATGCACTTTGGTAGTCTACTCATTTATTTTGGTGCTATGGACCTCATGGTCAATTATCCTCTGTGGAAAAGCCCACTTAAGTCAGCCACTGCAATTTTCACCCTGGCCCTTCTTTTTGTTGTGGTAGGTATTACCGTTTTCTGTTGGCATTTCATCAGGGCTCCTGAGTCTCCGCCATCTCAGGATCCTGCTATCACCAAGGAAATATAAGAGCTCATTTCACTGCAGTGTCTCCTACCAGTGTCCTGGCATTAGGAAAGAACCACTTAAGTGCTTTTCAGAGATGCTAGCAGTCTTCTTGCCAGTGTATTTCCCAAGGCTATGGTGAACAAAGTGTCACGTGCCCTTGAAGGACAAGTTAGAGGATGGGTGAAGATGAATATGACTCATCCATTTTGGTATTCTTATATTATTAGTTCTCTATATATCTTCTTGTTTATTATACCAAGATTAAAATTTTATTAAAAATTATTTTATAGAGACAGAGTTTTGCTTTGTCACCCAGGTTGGAGTACAGTGATTTTATGACAGCTCATGGCAGCCTCAATTCCGTGGGCTCTAGCTATCTTCCTACCTCAGTCTCTGGTGAATTTTTAATTTTGTTGTAGAGACGGGGTCTTGCTATGATGCCCACACTGATCTCGAACTCATGGGCTCAAGCAATTCTCCTGCCTCAACATCCAAAAGTGCTGGGATTACAGGTGTGAACCACTGCACCCAATCAAGGCTGTTTTTCTTTTTCTGGCATGCCAACTTCATTTAGTATTATCTACTGTCATGTCTAGGTTTCAGGAAAATCATCCTAATGTCAATCAAAACCACTTGTAGCTGCTTGAATTAGTTGATCAAATACATAATCTTTGGTGAATGTACTTGTGCTGAATACATTTGTTTGAGCACCTTGAGAATTCATTTCCACACATATTCCCAGATTTTTCTGACATGAAATTGTAGAGCCCAGAAATTCTTTTGGTATATAAGACTTCTCAAGTGTTTGACTTTCAAATTGTATTCCCAAGACATTCTGGGATCTGACTACATAGTTTTAAGACTAGTAGTAGAGAGAAATGAAGGATAAAGAGAGAATTGGCTTTTCCTTGCAAAGCAAGTTCTTCATATGATATTACTAGGGGGTCTTCAAGTACAGTAGAGATAACTTCATCAGACAGGGATGGAAGAGCTGAACCTTCTGTGGCAGTTGAAGGTTCAAGGCATTTAAAGTTCTCCAAATCTTCCCACATATAGTGTATTCATCAGCTTGGTCTACCATAACAAAATACCATAGACTGGGTGGCTTGAACCATAAGAATGTATTTATTATAGTTCTGAAGGCTGGGAAGTCCAAGATCAAAGTTTTAGCTGATCTGGTTCCCTGGTGAGGGCTTTCTTTCTGATTTGTGGATGGCTGCTGATACGACTTGGTTGTTTTGTCCTCTCCATATCTCATGTTGAAATGTGATCCCCACTGTTGGAGATGGGACTTGGTGGGTGGAGTCATGTTAGAGTCACGGGGAGTAGATCTCTCATGAATGACTTTGTTCCAACCTTGTGGTAATGAGTAAGTTCCCGCTCTACAAGTTCATTCGAGATCTGGTTGTTAAAGAAGCTTGGCATCTCCTCCCTCTCTGTCACATGTAGCATGCTGGCTCCCCTTCCCCTTCTTCCATGATTGTAAGCTTCCTGAGACTCTCACCAGAAGCAGATGCCAGTAATATGCTTTGTGTACAGCCTGTAGAACCACGAACCAACTAAACCTCTTTTCTTTATAGGTTACCCAGTTTCATATATTCCTTTATAGCAATGCAAACAGACTAACACAGCAACACAGCTGCCTTCCTCCTGTGGCCTCACATGGCAGATAGAGAGAGAGAAAGAGAGAGTGAGAGAGAGAGTGAGAGAGAGAGAGAGAGAGAAGGAGATAGAGGGAATGAGGTGGGGAAGCAAACTCTCTGGTGTCTCTTCTTATAGGGGCACTAATCCCATCATAATGTTCCTACCCTCATCTAAAACTAATTACTTTCCAAAGGCCCTATCTCTAAATACCATTATATTGAGGGTTTGGGCTTCCATATATTTGAATTTTAGGGGGATACAGGTCAGTCCATAGTACTATATATCCTCAGTACAATTCTCAGAGTTTGATTACTTTCCAATTCACATGCTAATTTTCACATATGATGCATGGTAAACATATGAATTCGGATAATATGATTCAGTAACTTACAGGATAAATATCCTCAATTATTGTTAATTTCCAACCACCCCCTGGCTCTTTGTGTCACTCCCTCAATATTCAAAATCCATTGAGTATCTGATTGGATAAGCCTAGGTTGCTGACACACATCCTGGTTGTCTTCCACCATGGGAGGTAAAGCCCTGAATTCTTCACCTCTTGGGGCTTTCCCTAAATCAGCTCAGGTTTGGGTAGACAAAATGAAATAAAATAAAATAAATAAAACACAACAACCCACAAACCCAACTATTTATTATAAAGATGTTTAGATATTTTTCTTCATTTTCATGCTATTTTAAATGACAGTCTGGTAAATAGCAAGGTTTTTGGTTATTTTCAGGATAGATTCTCAGAAGCAAAGTTTTTGAGTCAAAGGTCTTATAAAAATTTTAAGACTTATGATATATACTGTCAAGTGACTTTTAAAAATTTTTGTACCAATTTTGTTCTCACTCCAGCCATATTGGACTGATCCCATTTCATTGCGCCCACACTCCCACTGACCAAGACATTTTCTTTTCTGTCAACAGTCCATCATTCTTTCTTGAAAACATTACTGTCTTATCTTTTAATGCAACTTAGCATTTCCCCACTGCTTTCTTGATTTCTTCTGTAGCCCCTTAAGAATACATGGAGTGAGAAGGACACAATGTCATTTCTTTGGGATTCTTGCCCCAAATATACAACCCTTAAGCTGATTATGAGAGAATGTCAAACTCACTTGGATATTCCACAAAAAACCTGGCCTTCAAAAGTGTCAAGGTCATAAAGACAAAGAAAGACTCAGAAGTTGTCCCTGACTAGGAGAGACTAAGGAGATAAGATTACTAAATGCAAAGTGAGATCCTGAACTGGGTCCTGGACCAGAAAAGGGCTATTCATGGAAAAACTAGTGAAATTTGAATAATCTTTGTATATTAGTTAATGATATAATCTCTATGTTTATTTCCTGGTTTTGATAATTTCACTATGGTTATATAAGATGTTAACATTAAGAGAAGCTGGGTGAAGGGTGTATGATAGTACCTTTCTGTACCTGTATCATGACTTTTCTGTAAGTCCAAACTTATTTCAAAATAAAGTTAAAAAACACTCCTGGTTTGTGATGCTTATATCTTGTGTTTTGTCTGTAAATAGTAAAAAATAAGCAGCAAAAGTTAGTGTAGGGATCCTGGTCTTATTTCTTCTCTCCCCTATTTTTACTTTCCAGTGTCTCCTTATCTTATGAATAATGGTAAAGAGGTGTCATAAATGTGGCAAATCCCCCATACCTCATCCAAGGCAGACATAGCTAACGGATCCAGAGTCTTTTTCCAGTTGAGCTCATTTTCTGCCATCATGGCTTGGTTGGAATTGTCATGCTAGTTAAGATGTACTTATTGTCTCTGCATGATGGGATGCCTTACTGTTCTGTAATTCTTAATTGATTTCTGAAATTTGATTTGAAACCATGTATTTGCACCACTTTACATTTTAATACATGCTTCATTTTTTCTAAAGTTTTCTTTAAATAATTTAAGTATGCTTCTTCCATTTGTTTCATAACCATGTACTCTGAGCTCTTTAAGCTGTGCTTGACATTTTGTTATTTCAGGAGCAAAAAAGAATTGGAATACAGGCCGGGTACAGTGGCTCACACCTGTAATCTCAGCACTTTGGGAGGCCAAGTCAGGTGGATCACCTGAGGTCAAGAGTTTGAAACCAGCCTGGTGAATATGGCGAAACCCCATCTCTACTAAAAATACAAAAATTAGCTGGGTATGGTGGCTGCACCTGTAATCCCATCTGTTTGGGAGGCTGAGGCAGGCGAATCGCTTGAACCCAGGAGGCAGAGTTTGCAGTGAGCCTAGATTATGCCACTGCACTCCAGCCTAGGTGACACAGCAAGACTCCACTGCCTCAAAAAAAAAAAAAAAAAATTGGAATACATGATTCCACTCTTCAAAGAACTCAGAGTCCAAGTAAAGAGATGAAATATAATCACAAGAAAAACTAGATAATGTGTAAAAAACACATAATAAATATGATATAAAAACTGAAAGACTAAATTCTTAGACATTACAAATACACTAATGATTTGAAGGGCCAGTTTACGAGGGAATATCTTCTGGAGAAGTTGTGTTTCCTGTATTTGTGTAATGTGGAATTGCCTAGGCCTCACCAAATATGAGTATAAATGCAGATCATATTAATAGTGACAACACAAATTTCACCCCACCTACTCTTTATGAACTTGCAGCTGTTCTCCAAGTGTTGTGGAAATCCTTCAAAGATGGTGCACGTGAACGTACAAATGATCACCTCCTGGCCTTTGATTCTGGCTTCTAGTTGATTTCTGCTACCTGGGAAGGCACTTGACTTGGCTGCTCCCTCCTGGCCTTGCTGCTCTTGCACTCGATAAGAGAGCTGATGTCCGAGCTGAGGCCACTCTTTTTCTGCTGCTTGCTGGAGTCTCAATAGGTTTGAGTCACACTAAAGTCTGCAGAAAACTAAAGGGAGAATTCCTGTTACCCAGTCTGTATCCTACCTCATCTCTCTACACCAAATAGCATTCCTTGTGCCCATGAATTTCTCAGAATTCTTTGGAAATATAGCTCCTCACCTGGAACTGGATGAGAGAGCAACATTCAAGATAGATACCATGGATTTTTCCTCCTAGTACTCATGCAAAAAAAAAAAAAAATTCTCCTCAAGCCCAATAACCCTCATGCAAATTTACCCCTGGAAGAGCTAGTCATGGCATCAGACTAGTTCAGATATTAGATTTTCCAGATCAAGCTCAAGATGCACTGTTGAGATCTCACTGTATTTCTTACTTGTTATCATTATTTTTCATGTGGTGATTAAAGTTCTGAAATGTACTTTCATTTAGATTGCTTGATTTACGTCTTTGGGTAG
Source organism: Homo sapiens (assembly GCF_000001405.40). Taxonomy (NCBI): domain Eukaryota; kingdom Metazoa; phylum Chordata; class Mammalia; order Primates; family Hominidae; genus Homo; species Homo sapiens. The sequence goes on from NC_000007.14 coordinate 8,400,063, forward strand.
ACATCTCTGTTAACCAATATTGGGAGAATCTTCTAAGGGTCTGCCCTATATGTAATGTCATGGACAACACAGTAATGGATGAAGATACTGTCTGGATTTGGTGACAGTAAGGCTTTTCATTTCTAAATGTTTTTTATACTCTGTTTTACTCAGAAATATCATTAATCCTTGTACTGCGGTCATTTCCCTTAATGTTTTGTCCAAGGCTTATTTAAACTGTCAAGGGCCTTGATAAAATCCACCAGTGAAATTCCCCAACCAAAGAATACTCTGTGCCCTCTGGAGCCTCACTCTATTATGCTTCTGCTTGTTTATTATCTTCTCATCTTTAACACATCTCCACCCACACTCCTCGAGACAGCTCCTCAGTATTTCCGGGAAAATCAATGAAAGTTCCATACGAAGCATACTTTTTTTTAATTGTTGTTGTTGACTATTACACACTATCCATTGCATAGGACTCTCATGCACTGTTTCTGACCTACTATGTCCATTGGTCTTAGAAGCCTGAGGGTTGCTCCTGTTTTCCCTCTCAGTCTCCTGGCATGGACACGGATAGCACTGAATGTAATCTTAGTGCTTACTGGTCCCTCCTGTTCAGGAGTACACATTTACTAATGCAAATTCTTGATGATACTTACATGCCCTTGGACATAATTCCTATTGTCACTCAATTGGTCAGGATGGGGCTTTCTGTCTGCAGTTCAGTAGATGTACAGTAGCTTTTCCACAAAGCGTGGTCCATGGGTCACCTGTACCAGAAGTCCTAGGAGTGCTTTTAAACGTGTATGATCATTTTACTCCTGTCACACCTGCCACTATGTCAGAATCACTGGACTCATGAAGAAATATTTGCGTGTCTGAACCATCTTCATTCTTTTCTTATTCTTGATTGAAAGTTCCTTTTTCAATATACAATTGAAAACAGAAAATATCAGTTCCTCAGAATTTGAAGAAAATGTTTGATTGTGAGAATTTCCTGGGAGAGCTGTTTCTTCCTAAACCTAGAGCCAGAATTAGAGAGCTGGCCAGAAAGAATCAAAATCTCTTAGTATGAAAACAAAAAAATAATCTGTATTGTTAATAAGATTTGCTTAGTTTTATTAGGTTCTGTTTGGTCTTTGGCCATAACTACTTCACTCCATATTTGACTTTTCTGGACTTATTTTTACATTCATATCTATACCTCCATTTCATGGAAAGACTAGTTGATTCATTCTTTTAACACACATCTCTTTACTGAGACTCTAATTTGAATGAGACTCCGATACAAAGAAGAGCCAACGTCTCAGCTTTCAAGGAATTCACCTTTGAAGAGGGTAACAGACAAGAGGACAATTACTACCTATCAACGATGAGAGCTGTGGTTGAGGAGGGCAGGCCATAGCACAGCAGAGTCAACTCAGTCTGGGAAGGTCCGGCAGAGCTTTCTACAAGTACTAACACTGAGCAGGCAAAGACTGAGGGCAGCAAAGTGTCAGAGCTTTCTGGTGTGTGTGTGTGTGCATGTCCATGAGTGCCTCTATTAGTTTGATTTACTTTGGTCATCTTCTTTCTACTATTTTTATTCTAGTAGTTAAATCCTTATTGTTTTCACATCCCTCTCTACCTCCTTTCATCCCCTCCTCCCATTTTTACTGAGCCATTTCGAGGGAACCAATCCTCTCATCCCCACTAGCATTGGCCAGCCATACTTCTCCAAGTGTTCCTTCTGCTTCCATTTCCCTCTCTTCTCCCTTGTTCTTGTTGGACCTTGAACGAGTAAGTGCAGGTATTCCTTCAGGATCCCTGCATACCTGCACCTTGTGCAGTGGTCCCCATCAAAGACTGAACTGGCCAATCTCTGACACTGAATGACATTGAATGAGGAGGGATGATTGGCCCAAAAGAGGCGCAATGATTTCTCTCCACCCCCTAGTGAGAGTCAAGAGCGAGTAGTTTGTTACAGCCTTCCCCTGCCCTAGCTCTGCCTAATACCCTAGCTCTGCCTAAGTTCCTCCAGTCTGCTTGCTGCCCCATATGGATGAGTAAAGGTTGCCACATTACCAGCTCTTCAGAAAGATGTTAGAGACTTTGTTTATTAAGTGTCAGCCATACTGTATGATCTCTGGATCAAATACCTTGGGGCATTTAAGGTACCAGTAGTTTTGATTCACTTACGAATTAGTTGCTGCCTTCTCTAGGGTATTCTTATATTACCCCAAATTATCTTTGGGGGCCTTCTCTAGGGTATTTTTATATTACAGCAAATTATCTTTGGGGGCCTTGCGATCCCTCGTTTCTCCTTTAGAAACCATTTACATTTAAATTTCTCATTCTCTTCCTGTGAAACAGGCTTCAAGATAGGGCAACTGCTTGCACAGTATTTAATGCACAGTATTTAAAGGTATTTGGAAAGACTTGCTCTAAGGAAAGGTTAAAAATTTGACAGGGAAGGAGTTCTCAGTAGTGTGCTGTATGAGACACTTCTTGTGCATCACCTTGCTTCCTCTTAGCTGTGCTTCAGTGACGAGTTACATGCAGCTTTCCATGGGTGTCCTCTTTTAGCACCTCACCTCAGGCTGCTTCATGTTATCATGGCGTTTTTAGTGACAGGAGCTTGAGTTCTGTGCATGTGCAACCTGGAAGTGCCTGTGGACTCATCCTTGGCCAATGGGAGACAGAAGCCAATGGATAAAATGTGTCTGTCTCTCTTTTGTCTCCTGAGTGGACAGCTCTGATATTTCCTGAGACTACTTCGAATGCTTCAGCCAGGTCAGATGCGAGCCATCTGTAATGCAGTGGCAGTCTCAGCATTGCATCCTTGTATTGCTGTTTCTTTCTTCTTCTCTGTTTCATTCTAACTAGTCCCTCACTCCTGCTCCTTGCATCACATTCCCAAATAAACTACCTGTGCCTAAGACTTTACATCAGTCTTTGCCTTCAGAAGAATCTCAGACTGTGACATCATGAACATTTTAGCACATATATTTAATAATACCATATTTCTCTCTTTTTTCACTCTAGGAATTTTGGGGCCATCACTGAAGCGCTAGGAATATTTTATTCTATTTTTGCACTTCTCTCTCCTTTTCACATATTTCTTCCTTCTTTCATTCTTTTTTATTTCTTAAGCACTTGCTATGTACTAAGGATTATTTTATCAGTTTGGGATACATACATGAATAAAACAGACAAAGATTCCTGCCCTTAGAGAGCTGACATTCTGGTGGAGGGAGACAGGCAATAAACAGTAAACCACATAGTCTGTTAGAAGGTGATAAAAACTATGAGAAAAACAAAAATTAAGGAGGGTAAGGGGAAATCAAGAGTTCCAGGGGTTGGATGGGTGTTGTAAATTTAAATAGGGCAGTAAGAGTAGGCTTATTGAAAAGATGACATATGATTAAAGACTTGAGGGAGAGGAGGGAATTACCCTTGCAGATAACAGGAGGAAAAACTTTCCATCAGAGGCAAAAGCTGGAGCAGGCATGACACATTCAAAGAACAGCAAGAGTGAATTCCTTTTCTTTTTGTCTTCAGTCATCTTACTTTCTGCTATTGGCTATTCACTTATGGCAGGTGAGCTTCGCACACCATGATGCACTTTCCTGTATGGTTATTCATGGCTCCTGCTCAGTCTCCCATGAACTTCTAATTTCTTCACATTGTCCTCCCCATTTTCCTCTTTTTCCTTCACACACTCCTAACAATATTTTGCCATTTATTCAAAGGTAATCTTAGGTATATCCTTCCTCTCATGTTGATGGAGCAAACATTTTTGTTTTCATTTTGTAAGACAAGAAGAGGGACTATCCCAGTTTTATACAAGAAGAGACTAAAACACAGGAAATTTCTGATTGACTCAAAAGAGGAGGAACTTCCAGTCTCATGTGCTATGGATTTCCTAGTTTGATTGTGTAAAATAAAATCTAGTACTTCACACGCTTTAGGATGGTTACTATCAAAACAAAAACAAAAAACCAAAAATCTGAAAACAATAAGCATTGGTAAGGATATGGAAAAAAATGGAACCCTTGTGTACTGTTGATGGGAATGTAAAATGGTGCAGTTGCTGTGGAAAACAATACGGCAGTTCCTCAAAAAATTACAAATAAAATTACCATATGATCCAGCAATTCCACTTCTGGGCACATATCCAAAAGAATTGAAAGCAAGATCTCAAAGAGATATTTATACACCCATGTTCCTAGCAGTATTATTTACAATAGCCAAAAGGCAAAAGCAGCACACGTGACCATTGATAGATGATTGGATAAACAAAAGTGGCGTACACATACATTGAGGTATTATTTAGTCTGAAGTAGGAAGGATTCTGACACATGCATCAGCATGAATGAACCTTGAGATCACTGTTAAGTGAAATAAGCCAGTCACAGAAAGACAATTACTGTATGATTCCACTGATATGAGGTACCTGGAATAGTCCCATTCATAGACAGAAAGTAGAAGGGTGGTTTTCAGGTACTGAAGGGAGGGGGAATGGGGAGTTGTTTAATGGGTTTAAAGTTTTAGTTTTGCAAGAAGAAAAGATTTCTGAAGATTGGCCATATAACAATATGAATGTACTTAACTATTGAACTGTACACTTAAAAATGGTTAAAATGGTAAATTTTATGCTGCATATATTTTACTATAGTCAGAAAAATAAAAACTAGTAACAGAAGAAGTTTTCAAAAGACTTTGATAACCAGTTTAGGATGGTACTTGGAGAATCAACAGGCTACAGGAATTACTGACACCCATGACCCTGTCATCACTTTGCTCATATAGAACCTAGACTGTTTTGAGTGTCTGTCTGGCCAGCCTGGAGCTGTGCTCATGAGCATAAAACAGGGGAAGAAGAAAAGCCAAGGCTCAGATGACCAGCTTGGGGCTCGCATTCCTTACGAGCCAGAAGCTTAGATCTCTTAGCCCGGAATTCACAGGCTAAGCTGTGCCCTTGTACTTCGCCCAGCTTTTGCTAATATTAGTATCTCAAACAACCATGGTACATCTATCAAAACTAAAATAATTAACATTTGTACAGATTTTACAGATTGGTGCAGATTTCTTCAACTTTCTCTGGTGATGCTTTTTCTTTTTTCTTTTTCTTTTTCATTTTGGGATAACATGTTGCATTTAGTGGTTGGGTCTTCTTAGGCTCTTCAATCTGTGACAGTTTCTCAGTCTTTCCTTGCCTTTCATGACCTTGACAGTTTTTGAAGAGTACTTGCCAGGTATTTTGTAGAATGTTTATCAATTTGGGTCTTTCTTATGTGTTGTCATGGATAGACTGGGGTTATGCATTTATTTTAATTTTTTTAAATTTTACTCTAAGTTCCGCGATACATGTGCAGAATGTGCAGGTTTGTTACATAGGTATACACGTGCCATGGTGGTTTGCTGCACCTATCAACCCATCATCTAGGTTTTAAGCAGAACATGCATTAGGTATTTGTCTTAATGCCCTCTCTCCCCTTGCTCCCCACTCCCCGACAGGCCCTGGTATGTGTCATTCCCCTCCCTGTGTCCATGTATTCTCATTGTTCAACTCCCACTTATGAGTGAGAACATGTGGTGTTTGGTTTTCTGTTCCTGTGTTAGTTTGCTGAGAATGATGGCTTCCAAATTCATCCATGTCCCTGCAAAAGACATGATCTCATTCTTTTTTATGGCTGCCTAGTATTCCGTGGTGTATATGTGCCACATTTTCTTTATCTAGTCTATCACTTATGGTCATTTGGGTTGGTTCCAAGTCTTTGTTGTTGTAAATAGTGCTTCAATAAATGCAAATCAAAACTACAATGAGATACCATCTCATGCCAGTCAGAATGGCGATTATTAAAAAGTCAGGAAACAATAGATGCTGGTGAGTTTGTGGAGAAATAGGAATGCTTTTACAGTGTTGGTGGCAGTACAAATTAATTCAACCATTGTGGAAGACAGTGTGGTGATTCCTCAAAGACCTAGAACTGGAAATACCATTTGACCCAGAAATCCCATTACTGGGTATATACCCAAAGGATTATAAATCATTCTACTATAAAGACACATGCACATGTACTTTTACTGCAGCACTATTTACAATAGCAAAGACTATGGGTTATGCATTTTTTTTTTTTTTTTTTTTTTTTTGAGACGGAGTCTCGCTCTGTCGCCCAGGCTGGAGTGCAGTGGCGCGATCTCGGCTCACTGCAAGCTCCGCCTCCCGGGTTCACGCCATTCTCCTGCCTCAGCCTCCCGAGTAGCTGGGACTACAGGCGCCCGCTACCACGCCCGGCTAATTTTTTGTATTTTTAGTAGAGACGGGGTTTCACCGTGTTAGCCAGGATGGTCTCGATCTCCTGACCTCGTGATCCGCCCGCCTCGGCCTCCGAAAGTGCTGGGATTACAGGCGTGAGCCACCGCGCCCGGCCGGGTTATGCATTTTTAAGAATACCACAGATGTGAAGTGCTCTCCATTGTATCGTATCAGGAGTTACAGGATATCAACATGACTCACTACTGGTGATGTTAACCTTAATCTATTTTGTAAATGGTATATGCCAGGTTTCTTCACTGCAAAGTTACTATTTTCCTTTCCATCTTCTATTTGATAGAAGAGAGTCACTAAATCCAGTTCATGTTCAAGGAAAGAGGAATTCAGTTCTACCTCCTAGAGGGAAGAGTATTAGAGAATGTGAATATATGTTAAAACCACCACAGTAATTAATACTTATTTTGGGGGAGGTTCTTTGAAGCTATTCAACTATTCTGTTTCTCATTGAAATTTTACCCACTAATTTTAACATGCCTGACTGAATCTTATCAGCAGCAATTATTACTGCAGTATTTTGATGGAGATTTTCTGTTTCACTCCTTCCTGCCTGGCTTTACTCATAGCGAGGCAACTATATAAGAAAGATTTGTTTCTTCTCTATTTACTTATTTATTCAATCATTTGTTTATGTCAGTATAGATCCATGAATCTTTGTTTTATATTTTGGGTTATAAATCAGTGCTATTGCTATTTATTTTATTGCTCAATTTCTTTCAGCTTTGGTCATTGAGAACCCTTTCAAGTTGACTTCTGTGTCCTTTTGACAGGTTTTTATTCTCCCTCCCTCCTTCCTTTCCTCCTCCTTTCTCTGTCTGTCTCTTTCTTCCTTTCCACATTCTTATTTTCTGTAATTACAAGATTTTCCAGGTTCATCTTGTATTATCCCTGCCCCAGACCTACACTCAGCCATTTCTTCAAGGCGCACTGGTTCCTTTTATTGGAGAATAGTATTCAGAAACCAAGATCTGGATGCTAGATAAGAAAATTAGTTTTAAGAAAGAGTATATGTGAATGTTGAGGATCTAGAAATGAATTTCCTTAAAAGTTATGTCTACATGTCCTCTGGAGGCTCTTGTATGTTGAACAGTAGGTATTACGAGGTTTATAATGTATGTCTTAAAATCTGTATGTGAGAAATAAGTTCTATAAGATGCTGAAACAGTGACTACATGTTTACATCCATGCCATATGGAATAGCTACCATGTTTTATCAGAAATAAGTGCAGTGGCAGACCAAAGCTGGTGAGAAAGAAGGATGCCTGCTAACTCCCTGCTAACTAAATACAACAGATTAACCCTGTTTCCTTTCTTCGTAAGCTTCCTTAAAGCTAATCAAGCCCAAATCTATAATTAATTAGGTGACATTTAACTTCTTGAGTGCTTACTCTGTACCTTTTAGTCTCTGTTGTAGCGGCTTTTGGTAGATATTAAAATCTTGGCATCTTTGCTTGATATCCTTACGTGTCCTCTCTTTTTCCATATATGCTGCATTAACAATTTCCTGCTTCACTGCTCCTTCCTATAAAACAGTTGTAAGGTTTTGCAGTCTTACAGCAGAGTTGAGTAACAGTGCTTCCATTTTGCTTTATAAAAATTGGTCTCCTTTATTTTTGCCTAGTGTTAGTCTTAGCACAGTCACTCAAGCTTTGAGGATATTTAAATGGTAGCAAGGGAATCCACTGCCCCCATCAGCCGATGAGGGCTCAGCTTCCCTATAGTTCCTCTTGATCCTACACTGACTACATGTCTGATCTACACTGTGGGAAATGCCTGAGATCAGTGTTAGAGACTGGGCACACACATATAATAACTGAAGATTTGTGTTGTGCTTACATTCACCCAAATTCATACTGTGGGCTTAAGGAAAATTTTGGCCTTCAGTGTGGGTGCCATTGTTAATTTTGAAACTTTTTTAAGATTGTTGCAGCATCCCTCACTGAAAGAAGACAGTGCTTGAACATCTCAGAAAAGGATACGATAACTGGCCTGGCGTGGTGGCTCACGCCTGTAATCCCAGCACTTTGGGAGGCCCAGGCGGGTGGCTTACCTGAGGTCAGGAGTTTGAGACCAGCCTGGCCAACATGGTGAAACCCCATCTTTACTAAAAATACAATAATTAGCCGGGTGCGGTGCTGGGCACCTGTAACCCCAGCTACTTGGGAAGCTGAGCCAGGAGAATCACTTGAACATGGGAGGTGGAGGTTGCAGTGAGCAGAGACCTTGCCACTGCACTCCAGCCTGGGCAACAGAGTGAGACTCTGTCTCAAAAACAAACAAACAAACAAACAAACAAAAAAACAGAAAAAAAAACCCCAAAAAGCCCCTCAATTTTTACCTAATGTTGAACACAAGCTGAAGAACTATTTGAATGACATTTGGTTTAATGTGTTTAGTAAGTGCATGCCTTGCCTAATGCCACCAAATGTACACAAACATATTTAAGCAGTGTTCAACATTTTTGAATATGATGAAAACTTTTTAATGTTCCCTCACCTCTAAAACTTCCATAATAGCTTTGTATTTTTCAGGATCTTCTGAGAAAATACTTGGTGAGAAAAGCTCTTATGAATTCAGCAGTGCTTTGAAGTAAATCTGTATTTTTCACAATAACAGACACATACATTGGAAAATAGTGGTCTGCCTTTATGAGATATATAATATGTATTCAATATACAAATAACTCTTGGTTAACATGTTGATTTTGGAACTCCTTACAATAAGCTTGGGGCCAAGATCAGAGCATGATAGCCAAGGAACTACAGATACAAATAGCGGTTGATTTATTTTACTGATCTTATCAGAAATTCTTAATTAAAGAGTGGTAAGCAAACCAAGACTAAGCCTTAAAGGCAGAAGCATATTCTGTCAAAAGACTTATTAATAAGAACTATGCTTTATAATATGGGGGAGGGCAGAAGAAATAAATACATACTTTATAATGTCAAAAGACAATACACTTTTTCATTGTTTAATCAGGATTCTGTAGAAAAAGCTGAACTTTTTTTTTTTTACAATCACTTAATATCTGGAAGTAGGGTCTTGGGTAAATTAAATTGAAGTTTGTCATAATAAGAACAAGGCTCAACTCTGATGACCATTTGTAGAGCAGAGATTTCTCTTAAACAATAATATTAAAATGTGTCAGTGAAACAACCATTCAGATAATATTGGGGAGAGTTAAATTAGCACAACTTCCTATGATAGCAATTTGGCAAGATGCATTAAAAGCCTTAAATAGTTTGGCCCAGTAATCCTATTTAGTGGATATACAAATGCATTTAAACATTTTTTACATTGGTGAAGAATATGAAACCATCTACATTTCCAGCAATGGAAGTGTGGTTAAGCAGATTATGGTTCACTGACTGAATGGAACATTAAGCAGTTATTAAAAATTATACTTACAAAGCACTTATTAAGTAAAAAATGCATTTTAAATTGTTTATGTTGTATAATATTATTGGACAAATAAAGATTTCCAGATTTTTATAATAAACACAAACATCTTTTATAGTGAAAACAATACATTTGTTTATTTTCAAACTGTATATTACAAAGTAGTTTTCCATTTTTTATATTATTGGAAAGCAATATGTAAACTAGCAAGGTCATTGACTTTTTATACAGGCAGATTTTGATTCAAATTTCAGTTCTGGGACTTGGTAGGTGTGTGACCTTGGGAAAGTAGTTTAAAAGCTCTAGTATCAGTTTCCTCATCTGTATGAGTTGTTATCAAGACGTAATATAATAACACACATGTAAAATTCTTAATGTTAAGAAACAGTTAACAATTTCTATGTATGTATACTGGATTTGAACAAATGAAGAAATGAATGGTGGATGATGGGAATCAGTTTTCTCACTGCTGGAGAGTGATGTTAGATAAGCCAGGAGGAGGCAAGAGTGAGCCAGGTGAATCAACTATGGATTAGAGATAGAAATCTCCATATGATGTCATGTTTCCCTTAATATAAAGATGCATAAATACAGACATAATTGTAGATATGTATAAGCCATTTACATGGATTAGGATATATATATATATATATATATATATATATATATATATATATATATATTTTTTTTTTTTTTTTTTTTCTAGCTCTGTCTGCTGAGAGGATCTAGAAACAGTGACACCCTATTAGCGAGGAGCATACCCAGAGTACAGATCTTGGTTTCTAATACAATTCTTTCATTTAAGGAATGAGGGCTCCTTGGGGAAATGGCTGACTCTAGGGGTGGGGCAGGGAAAATACAAGATGAGCCTGGAGCATCTTGTATTGCTAGAAAGTAAGGAAGCAGTCAAAAAACAAAACGATGGGAACATGTCTAAGAAGCACAGGAGGTAAAAGAATTACCAATGGCCAAAGCTGGGAGAAGAACAAAAAGAAAAACAAAAAACAAAAAACAAAACAAATTTGCAGAAGAGAGAAAAAAATGTAGTGGTAGTACTGGATTGTAACCTAAAGATAAAATACATGCTTATGAATCCATACTTGTATAAATGATTGATCAAGTAAACAAATAAATAAATGGGGAGAGAGACACATCTTACTTATGGAAAGATTCCAAATAATTTACATAGACACTATCTCCTGCAAGAGATGGAGCTCAATTTCTCCTACCCCTGAATGTGGGCTGGGTATAGTGATTTTCTTCCAAAGAACATAAGGATGAAAAAAGGGGAAAAACAGTAACTTTATAATGGAGAGATCTGACAAACACTACCTCAGCTTGATGATCAGTGTTAACATCAACAGTGATACCACATTGATAGTATGTACTCTTGATATAATGCAATTAAAAATGACACTTTACCTCTGTTGTCTTTCCCCTCCAAATTTATAACCTCAGTTTAATAATGAGGAAAACATTAGGCAAATTCAAATTGAAGGACATTCTACAATATACTAGGTGATTCCTTCTCAAAACTGTCAAGGTCATCAAAAACAAAGGAATTCTGAGAGACTTTCACAGTCAAAGGCACCTAAGGAGGCATGACAACTAAATGTCGTCTTCTATCCTGAATGGAATCCTGGAACAGAAAAAGATTACTAGTGGAAAAGCTAGTGAAATCTGAACAAAGTGTGATGATTAGTAAATAGTGATGTTAGTTCTTTAGTTGTGGCAAAGGTACCATAGTAATGTAAGATCATGTTTGCTACATCCTGGCAAGTGGTTGAAAAGTTTCCTTTGAACTTTCTAATCCACAAATTGAGGGAGGCTGTTCCAACTTTGGTTAGCTATGAAGATTACTCACTCTTCATTCCCATCCATCCATTTAATTAATACTGATTATGCACCTTAAGGCCCATGCTAGGGCATTAAGGTACATTGGTGAAGAAAATGAATGTAGCCTCTGCCCTCCAGGAGTGACTAAAAAGTGCTTTCTGTAAATTTGTTGAAGTTCCTTATAGATTCTGGATATTAGCCCTTTGTCAGATGGATAGATTGCAAAAATTTTCTCCCATTCTGTAGGTTGCCTGTTCACTCTGATGATAGCGTCTTTTGCTGTGCAGAAGCTCTTTAGTTTAATTAGATCCCATTTGTCAATTTTGGCTTTTGTTGCCATTGCTTTTGGTGTTTTAGTCATGAAGTCTTTGCCCATGGAAAAAAACAAACAACCCCATCAAAAAGTGGGCGAAGGATATGAACAGACACTTCTCAAAAGAAGACATTTATGTGGCCAACAAACTATGAAAAAAACTCATCATCACTGGTCATTAGAGAAATGCAAATGAAAATCACAATGAGATATTTCTGTATGTTTCCTTCTAAAAGCTTTATAGTTTTAACTTTATTTTTGGTCTATGATCTGCTCAAAATAAGTAAAGTTTTATTGAAACACAGCCACACTCATTTGTTTATGTATTGTCAATGGCTGCTTTCCCCCTATAATAGCAGAGTTGAGAAGCTGCAACAGAGACCCGTGTGACACACAAAGCCAACAATATTTCCTACATGGCCTTTTACTAAAAAGTTGGCTGATCCATGTTCTAGGGATTGAGCAGGGACAGGGTTGGTTAGACACAAAAGGAGATAGAAAAAATACACTAGCGAGTGATATATGTCGGATGGTGATAGATGCAATGGAGAAGGATGAAGCAAGGGAAAAGGGATACCAAGAGCAGCTGCAAAGGATGTGGGGGGTCATTAGGTAGTTTAGGGTTCAAGAGGACCTCTCCAAAATGGTGGCTTGAGATTGAAGGGAGTGATTCATGAGGGTATTTTAGAGAAGCACATTGGGAACTGCAAAGACCCCAGGCTCTAAGAGAAAAGGGTCCTTAGATTTGAGAAACAGTAAGCGGCCACTGTGACAGAAGAGAACGTGGGGGACAGGGAGAGTGGAAGGAGCTGAGGTCAGAGAGGAGAGGAGAAGGGGAGGAGGGGCTGAGTAGGCATGTTTGAGGCCATTTTTTTCTCTGACATGGGGAATCTCTAGAAGATTTGGGGCCAGGAGTGGTGGCTCATGCCTTAAATCCCAGCACTTTGGGAGGCTGAGGCAGGAGGATCACTTGAGCCTAGGAGTTCAAGACCAGCCTGGACAATATAGGGAGACCCTGCCTTTACAAACAATTTAAAAATTTAGAAAAAAATTTAAAAATTTGCTGGGTGTGGTGGTGTTGCACCTGTAGTCTCAGCTATTTGTGAGGCTGGGCTGGGAGGATCGCTTGAGCCTGGAAAATCTAGGTTACAGGGAGCTTTGATAGCACCACTACACTCCAGCCTGGGTGACAGAATGAGATCCTATCTCAAAAAGGAAAAAATAAAAGATTTGGGGCAGAGGAGTCAGGTAATGGGACTCCTTGTAAAGGATTGGTCTGGCTGCTATATTGAGAATGGACGGAAGAAGGGCAAGGACAGAAGCAGGGAAAGCATTTAGTGAGCTACCGTTGGGATCCAGGCAGCACAAATGGTGGCTCAGACCATAGCCACACATGGAATGAGGGGCAAAGCAGGACTGCAGCTCCAGATCAGCCTCACTCCAGAGTCTGTGCTCTGTCAAATGCAAGTTCTAATCACAGAAACTGATACTTTAGGTTTGGGAAATGCAAGGAAACACTTACCTGCAAAGGGTCTGGCCTCCTCAAGGATTCTCTGAGTCCTATCGGGGGAATTTGGGTAGTTCTGATAGACAAATCCATAATAACAAGATAATTGGGGGATGCTAGTTAAATCCCTCGGGCAGCACTCCTTGGGTCTTTTGAGTCAGAGTAGGGACATCTTTAGCATCTGATTAAAGCTATGGAACACACTCTCTGGAAAAGAAAAAGGACACACACACACAGATTCGCAATATTTTGCATACATTTTTAGAGTGTTGATAGTCTTTGCCTCTAGGATTTAAGATTCTGTTGAGGTTATCTACATCTGAGCAAACTTCAAAATTGAGAATTGGAGGTTCATCAGTAAGAGGAAGTGGGCCTTCACGGAGTCAGTGGAGAGATACTAGGTTGTGCAAAAGTAATTGTGGTTTTTGTTATTTAAATTAATGTAGTAAAGTAGTTAGGCACATGTGAATATTATAGCAAGCTTTAAGCCATACTGAGCAAGTCACCTATTGTGACAACATGCAGACCAACGTTTTGCATATGTGTTAGTGAGAAATAACGTTCATTGTAGAACTTAAGACTTGTACGTTTTCAAGTTAGCATAATAATATTAATATGTTAGGCCCTGTTATACTACTCAGTTCCCTCTGATGAATTTACTGATTATTTTTTAAACACTACAGGAAAGAACTATTTTAACCTCGATGTACTTCTATTGTATTGAAACAAAATGATGTCTTTGGTGGTGTATTTTTCAAAAAGTAAATTTATTAATGCTAGAAAATACAGACATACTTGGTTTTATTGCATTTTGCTTTATTGCACTTTGTAGATATTGTTTTTACAGACCGAAGGCTTTTGGCAAACCTGCATCCAGGAAGTCTATTGGCACCATTTTCAAACAGCATGTGCTTACTTCGTGTCTCTGTTTCACATTTTGGCAATTCTTGCAATATTTCAAACTTTTTCATTATCATTATATCTGTTATGGTGATCTGTGTTCAGTGGTCTTTGATATTATTACAATTGTTTTGGGGTACCATGACCCATGCCTGTATAAGATGGCAAACTTAATGAATTTGTGGGTGTTCTGACTTTTCCACTCACTGGCCAGTCCTCTTCGCTTCCTTTCTTCAGGCCTAATCCCTGAGACACACAATATTAAAACCAGGCCAATTAATAACTTAAAAATGGCCTTTAAGTATTCAAGTGAGAATTTCACATCTCTCATTTTAAATCAAAAACTAGAAATGGTTGCGTGTAGTGAGGAAGGCATGCCCAAAGCCAAGACAGGCCAAAAGCTAGGTCTCTTGAGCTACACAATTAGGCAAGCTGTGAATGAAAGAAAAAGTTCTTCAAGAAAATTAAAAATGCTACTACAGGGAACACATGAATAATAAGAAAGCAAAACAACCTTGAATAGATCAAACCAGACACAATATTCTCTTAAACCAATGCCTAATCCAGAGCAAGGCCTTAATTCATTTAAATTGTATGAAGATTGAGAGAGGTGAGAAAACTGCAAAAGAAAAAATCTGAAGCTAGTAGAGGTTGATTCATGAGGTTCAAGAAAAGAAGCCATCTCCATAATATAAAAGTGCAAGGTGAAGCAACAAGTGCTGATACAGAAGCTGCAGCAAGTTTTCCAGAAGACCTATCTAAGGCAATTGATGAAGGTGGCTACAATAAACAACAGATTTTCAATATGGACAAAACAGCTTTTTAGTGGAAGATGTCATCTAGGACTTTCATAGCTAGAGAGGGGAAGTCAATGCCTGGCTTCAAGGCTTCAAAGGGCAGGCTAACTCTCTTCTTTGAGGCTAATGAAGTGATGAACTTAAGTTGAAGCCAATTCTTGTTTACCATTCTGAAAATCGTGGGGCCCATAAGAATTATGCTAAATCTCTTCCTGCCTCTATAAATAAAACAACACAGCCCAGATGACAGCAAATCTGTTTACAACATGGTTTACAGAATATTTGAAGCCAACTACTGAGACCTACTGCTCAGCAAAAAAGGATCCCTTTCCAGATATCACTGCTTATTGACAATATACCTAGTAACCTAAGAGCTTTGATAGAGATGTACAAGGTTAATGTTTTTTTCATGCCTGCTAATACAATATCCATTCTGTAGCCCATGTATCAAGAAGTAATTTTGACTTTCAAGTCTCGTTGTTTAAAAAATACATTTTATAATGCTATAGCTGCCATTCATAGTTCCTCTGTTGAATCTGGGCAAAGTAAATAGAAAACCTTCTGAAAAGGATTCACCATTCTAGATGCCACCCAAGAACAGATGTGTTTCATGGGAGGAGGTTAAAATATCAACATCAATAGGAGTTTGGAAAAAGTTGATTCCAACCCTCATGGATGACTTTGAAATGTTCAAGACTTCAGTGGAGGAAGCCACTTCAGATGTGGTAGAAATAGCAAGAAAACTAGAAGTAGAAGTAGAGCCTGAAGATGTGACTGAATTGCTGCAATCTCATAATAAAATTAGAGCAGATGATGACTTGCTTCTTATGGATGAACAGAGAAAGTGGTTTCTAGAGATAGAATCTACTTCCAGTGAAGTGACGATGAACATTTTTGAGATGACAACACAAGATTTAGAATATTTCATTAAACTTAGCTGATAAGGCAGCCCCAGAGTTTGAGAGGACTGACTCCAGTTTTGAAGGAAGTCTACCATGAGTAAAAGGCTATCAGCTAGCATTGTGTTCTATCTTTCATGAAAGAGTTAATCAGTGTGCAAACTTTGCCGTTGTCTTTTTTAAGAAATTGCCACAGCCACAGGTATGATCTGCCACAGTCAGACCTGCAGGAACCACCACCCTGATCAGTCAGCCACCATCAAAATCAAGGCAAGACCCTCCACCAGCAAAAAGATTATGACTGGCTGAAAAGTCAGAAGATCATTAGCATATTTTAAGCAAATGAGTATTTTAAAATTAAGGTATGCATATTGCTTTTTTAGACATAATATCATTACACCCTTAATAGACTACAGTGTAGCACAAACATAACTTTTGTATGCATTGGGAAATCAGAAAGTCTGTATGATTTGCTTCATTGCAATAGGCTGGAACTGAACTCTCAATCTCTCTTAGGTATGCCTGTATTGTCAATTTTCTTTGGTCTCTTTTGATATATTTATTTGACAGTTCAGTACAAGGCAATATCACAATTCCTCTTGTTACATTTACGCTACCATTCACACTTTGTAAATGAAGAGATTGAAAAAGCTTTATAGGGAATGTAGATTCTTTTTCATTTATTAACTTGGCTTGAAATAGAAAAAAAAAGCCATTCAGGCCTAAATGGTGAGTTTTCTCCTTCCTCCTGACAAGTGCAACATGATGAGAGTTGCACAGTAATGTTGGGTTTTCCATGAGCGGTCTAAACTAGCTATTAACCTGGTATGTATCTGGATTTGAAAGATTCAGACTGCAATTCTATTTCCTCAGACAATGCTCTTTATCTGACCCAATCCTAGCACTTCTTATCTAGAAGCAAAGACATTTTTCTAGTTGTTGTATTACTTTGATAAAGAGATTTGAGAGAGAGTAAATCAGAACAAGAATAATATAATATTTTCTCAAGGCATGCATGTAGAAGGTCTCATTCTCATGTGTGTTCAAGAACAAAGGGGTACATATTTCCTTAGTCAGTGTCATGCAGTGGCATACTGAACATATTTGACACTTGAAGCTGATCATTTTCTTTTCTTTTTTTTCTTTTCTTTCTTTCTTTCTTTTTTTTTTTTTTGGGATGGATTCTCGCTGTGTTGCCCAGGCTGGAGTGCAGTAGCATGATCTTGGCTCACTGCAACCTCCGCCTCCCGGGTTCAAGCGATTCTCCTGCCTCAGCCTTCCGAGTAGCTGGGATTACAGGCCTGTGCCACCACGCCCGGCTAATTTTTGTGTTTTTAGTAGAGTCGGGGTTTCACAACGTTGGCCAGGCTGGTCTCGAACTCCTGAACTTGTGATCTGCCCGCCTTGGCCTCCCAAAGTGCTGGGATTACAGGCGTGAGCCACCGTGCCTGACCAAAGTGGATCATTTTTTAACAACACATTTCCTCTCTATGACAAAACCATCTTCAGTAATTATCATAAAATAAAATTAGAGGCCTGTAGCTTTCATCCATAGGGATAGTGCCTAAATCTTTACTTGTAAGTGTTTCTGTGTCCAGCCATTGGTTTAGGATAATTTCTGGTTTCCTGACGCTGATCATAATATAACAAAATTTTGTTTCAAGGATTTGTTACACCTGCCTCTAGTGAATCTCTCATGCAAGGTAGTTATTTGAGCACTGTTAGATATGAGTTCTAAATTTCTCTTCAAAGATTCAATATGTCCGTATGTTCAATTCTTTGCCTTCTACTTTTAAACTTAACTTCCTCATAAAACAACCTTTTTGATCACCTGCTCCACCCTGACTCATTCCGATTACCTGCTCCACCCTGACTCATTGCGATTTCCTACTCTGCCATAATCATTTTTCCCTCCAAACCATTACCCCATCTCTCTCTGTAAATTAGCCAGTCGGAATTAGTTTAGCCTGTGCTGCCTAACCCTAGCCAATAGGGGAACTACACAGCAGCAGGGGCCACCTGCGTCAGGAATAAGAACCCCTTCCCCTTCCTTGTCCAGGTGTGCGCTCACCATTGCTCCGTCGGTGAGAGTGCACCTTTCTATAGAAGTAAATTGCCCTTCTGAGAAGAAAAAAAGAATATTTTATATTTGAGTGCTATTTCTTTTGTGGCACCGAAGCTTTATTTATAACAGGACTAAAAAGAATACAGCTGAGACTTTATTTAGATCAAGATATATTGTATGAACAGTTCTTTTTTACTTGCTTGCAATTTCATATTTATTTAATAAATGTCTATATAAATGTGTCATAATCTGGTCTGAGATATGCTTTTATTACAATTTGGTAATGAGGTTACGGGGAAGTGGCTGACACCCGCCTTAACATTCTTTTGAGACCGACAAGAATAACTTGAGAGTGTGCTCAACCAATTTTGTCAGCTCACAAAAACTAGGTATTCAATGGTCACCTTTATTTTCATGTTGCTTTGCTCCTTCTTATATGTGTAGGTATTCCACTCTAAAATGAATCGATTATGAAATGACTTACCTTATAAAAACAGGGTTAACCTTATAGTTACTCTGGTTTTCCAGGGAACAATGGCAATTAGGCATTTATCAATGGGATGAACCCAAACATGCAAAAGACTTAGTTCAACAAAAGAGACAAAGGCTTTTCAGCAATTTAAGAGTATTAAAACAATAGAAAATACTTTGACTATGAGATATCAAAATTAAACTTTGAGGTCTTCTTGTTTCCTTTTATTTGGGATGTATGACTATTATTAGTTTGGTTTCATAGGTGAACTGGGCTATACCATCATATGGCAAACACTAGGTGGCGCTGAAGGACTGTAATAATTGACCACAATTAGAGCCCTTTACAAATCACATCATTGTTGGAATCAAGAAGAGTGTGAATTTTTACATTAAAAATGATGCATATGATCAGATTTCTTTCTCTTCTGACTATGGCTTTGCTTAGTAAAAATCCAAGTGCAGTTTTGTCATGAGTGAAATAGAATTTATGCAGTGCTTACTAGGCAATAACTTTTCAAAACAAATTACACTGGGGAAACAACATCCTTTTGTTTGGGAGCTCCTATTTTCAAATTTTGTTGCTCCTCCAAGTCATGGTCTTAGTCTGGTTAACAGTCATCAACTCATTGTAAAGCATCCACAGGAAAATATACTTGATAGTCACCTCCCTAGTGACTGACAATTTCCCATTTTGTGCAGGTTTTTTATTTTTTTAAATTTTTTATCTTAAAGAGTTACTGTAAATCTTGGAGCATAGTAGAGCATATGAAAGGTGAAGGCTGTTTCTTCACCCTCCATTTGCTCACATTGTAAAAAAGAATGAAAAATGCCTGCTGCAGAAGCTCATATTTTTCATGTCTCATCTTTACTCCTCAATGAGAAAACTCATTTTGTAATCGTTTCATCGAGGGCTATTTTTGTTCATTTTCATTGAAGGGTATCTACTTCCCAGAACCTAATTAAGGTTTGGCAAAAGAGAGGATAGTATGCAAGGTTAATTAATTACATTTTTATTCTTTTTTTAGAAATGATAAAAGAAAGCATATACCTAGTTTTTCAATCAGCTTATTTGTTATATTCCTCTGCAATATATGGAGAGTTTCTGTCTCATTCATTAATTCTGAAACCTAAGACACAAGATAGAAGTAGTGAACCTGGGACTTAACATATAGAAATATATAGTCTTAAGATACAAAGTCTAAAGTATCTTAATATCTTACTCAATAGGAAGATCATTCCTACAAAATTAACATGAGTCTAATATAATTCATTTTATTTTGAATTATAGAAGCTTTTAAAATCCAAAACCTCTACATTATAGATTCACAATTCACCATCAAAATAACCAAAAAGCATTTAGTGTTATATAATAAAATAAAAAATTTATTCACTAATATATGGTTAAATTTAAGTTAAATTATCCCAACTTTATATTCCTTTATCAAAGATAATTATAAAAAATAGCACTTTGGTTTTGTACATAATTTCTCTGAAAATCTCAACACAACTTCAAGTTTTAGGACAGATGACTTTAGGGTATAAGCTATACACTGAGGGCACTTGGGATGCTGAGTGGCTGTCTTAACTAGAGAATATATTTCCTTTATAGCATCATATGTTGCCATATAACTCTTATTTCTTAGGTTTTTTTCCTTAGAGCCCATGAACAAAAATAAAGCAAATGAGATTGTCAGATTTGTTTTGTTAATCTTGAAGGATTCAATCATGTTGGGGTACCTGCTAGTTAATTATTCGCTCAGATCTCGAATGGAATGGTATCTCAATGATCTAAGATGGTTAAGAAAGCTTTCAAAATTCACAAGAGTTTCCACACTAAGGAAGTAAGTAGAACATCTTTTAAAATATATCTAAGGTATGGAGTTCAAATAGGCTCAAGAAAACATTTGATTAATAAACCATTCTTTGTTTTGTGTTCTTAAGATCAGAAATCTAAGAGAATGAACATGTGGCAGAAAGATGTTCACTCCAAAGAGAAAATGTATTCCCAGAGTACATTTCTAGCTTGCATACCATTACCGTTTGAGTCAGTGGTAGTCTGACAAAGCTTTGTAGAGGTACAGAACCAAAAGGAAAGAAAGTTGTTAAAGAACTATGTACTTTGCTGTGCTGTTATTTTTTTAAGTAAAGTAATCAAAACAGTTGTGAGACTATAAGTTTGTTATTAAGGAGGAAAAGAATATAATAGTAGAATTACAATTTCACTGGAAAACAGATTCAGCAAAATCTCATCAATTCTAAATGAACATGATTTGAAAACAATTTTGAGTTAGGATTCCAGTGGTTTTACTTATGTATTTATTTCCAGCAAGCAACCATGGTGGAAAGAGAAAATAACTGGATTTCAGTAGTTTTGGAATTGGATTCTGAATCTAGAACTGAATTAGGAAGTTTGGGTTCCAGTGTCCTGGAAAAACTTTGGGAAGGTTAACCTTTTTAAAACTATTTTATCATCTGTTAAATGTATGCTACCTACACCTGACAGCTGTCGTGTAGATTAAACGGGGTAATGTATGCTCTATCAGATAACTGTAAAACGTAAAAGCCATTTCCATCCATCCATCCATCCATCCATCCATCCATCCATCCATCCACCCACCCATCCATCCAACCATCATTTATTTATTCATTCTATCATGTATTAATCCTTAATTAAAAGCCTTTACCTGTAGTAATACTTTATTTCTCATTTTATTTTTCATTGATACTGAAAGTGCTAGTTAATGAATAGGAGAAACAGAAAGCCAAAAATGCTAAGCTTGGTCTAGGATGTTTTTTAAAGTGGAACAAATATAAAAGTAGAATTATGGAGTGCAATAGACAGCACAGGAAATACCTCATGAGGTTGACATAGATATGATACCTAAAATCTGGGGTAGCTATATATTAAAGCAAAAAGCATCCAAATATGGGACCAGAGCTATTCCTTGGTTAGTTTCTAAGAGGACAAAAGCCCTTGGATTGAATGAGGAATTTCCAAAAGATAAAATCATAATTAAAATAATATGTGAAAATGAGCAGCTTTTTTTCAGTAAAGTCAACAAAATATCCTGACTAAAGCAGAGGGCTGTGTAAGAAAATACTAAAAGACAAATTTTGGGTAGGGCCATTTTATGAAGGTCCTTAAATGTCAAATTGAAGAACAGAAATTTAATCTACAAGTTGCTTGAAGTAGTTAAAATCTAGGAAAAGGGACAGAGAAAAACATCGGAAAAATATTTATTTGGTTTGTCATGTATTTTTGGATACTCATTGATATGGTTTGGATTTGTGTCCCCGCCAACATCTCATGTCCAAATTGTAATCTCCAATATTGGAGGAGGGGCCTGGTGGGAGGCGATTGGATCATGGGGGCAGACTTTCTCCTTGCTGTTTTAGTGATAGTGAGTCAGTTATCACAAGACCTGGTTGTTCAAAAGTGTGTAGCACCTCCCTGTTGTCTCTCTTCCTCCTTCTCCGGCCATGTAAGACATGCCTGCTTCCCCTTCCCTTTCCACCATGATTGTAAGTTTCCTGAGGCCTCCCCAGCTGTGCTTCTTGCAAAGCCTGTGGAACCGTGAGTCAGTTAAAATTCTTTTCTTTATAAATTACCCAGTCTCAGATAGTTCTTTATAGCAATGTGAGAACAGACTAATACACTCATTATGGGCACAGAATTGTGCAAAGCACTGAGGGGAGTGTTGCAGATGTGAAAGGAGATACTGATTCTTTCCAATAAGAGCTTCCAAATTAGCTGGAAAGAAGATATAAACACAACTGAAAACTAAGTGTCACTGAGGGTGATCATAAAAATGTGCAAGTAAGCAGATTAGTCCTAGATGGTATAGAGACTGAGGGAGAAGAAAATTAAGTAGGATAAAAGTAACGTCCTGAAAGATGATCCATATTCACTGTCTGTACAACTCTTTCCTTACATTTTTCTCTTGAATCCCCTCCATTCTAGCTCTCCCTTTATTTACTCACTGAAACTGCTCTTGTCATGGTCAGCAAAGACTTCCATATGTTTTAATTAAATGGTCATTTTTAAAAATCTTACTTGACTTATCAAAGCATTTGATTCCATTGCTAACTCCTCTTTTTTGGTCTCTGCCTGCATCAGTGTGTGCTCATTCTCAGTCTCTTTTTCTGGGTCCTCCTCACTCCTCCACACCGACTGTTTAACATTTAAGTGCTCCAGGACTCTTTTCTCCTTTTTCTATATTGATTTCCTTGATGATCTCATGTCTTTAAATACCATCTATATGCTGATAATACCCAAATTTATGTTTCCAGCACCGACATTTACCCTGAATCCTAACTCATAATACTCAATAGCTCCGCATGGACGTCCAATGTACATCTCAAACTTAACATGCCTCAAACTGAGCTATCGATCTCTCCTCTTCCTCTGTCTACCTTTTTCTTCCACAGTCTTCCTCAAATTAATGGTGACTTCCATTCTCTCAAGTGTTCAGGGGAAAAACCTTGGAGACAACAGTGTCTTTCACATTCCATATTCAATCCATCAGCAAATTATGTCATCTCTCCCTTCAAAATATATCCAGAATTGGTTCATTTCTCACAACCTCTGCTGCAATCCATGTCATGAAGTCACCATTGCTTCTTGTTTGGACTATTACGGTAACCTCCTAACTGCTGCTCTTGCCCTGCTTCAGACTGTTGTTGACACAGGATGTACAATACTGTGGTTAAAATGTGAGTCAGGACATGCTTCTCTGCTTGGTGTAAAGCTATCCTGCAAGGACTTGTGAAGCGGAGTCCTTCCAGTGCCCTTCAGATGCTGCTCAGTCTGTCACCTCTGATATCAGCTCTTTGCCACTTCTTCCTAGCTCACCAGGAATGTGTCTGTTCTTCCCCAGACAAATTGGCATTCTTGCTGTCCCTCTAATGCCCAGTGTGTACTCTTGCCTCAGCATTTTTCACTTGATCTTCCCTCTACTTAAAAAGCTTTTGCTCCAAATATCCACATGGTCTACTTCCTCACCTCCTTCCATCTTTATTCAGTTTTCACTATCCTCAACCACTCCACTTAAAATTGCTTCTGCATTTTACTCCTGCCATTCTCTCTCTCTTCCCTTCTTTATTTTCTCCATAGAACTTATTGCCATCTAACTTAACCACATATTTTATCTTACATTACAATTTGTTTGTCAGTCTTTATGCACTAGAATATACACTCTCTGAGGACTAGGATTTGTGTTTATTTGTTCAGTGATATATCCACAGTACCTAGAACCACTGCTCATTCAATAAATTTGTGTTGAATGGATGGATGGATGGATGGATGCGGGAAGCTTCAGTGAGGAAGGCCTTGTTCGAGATGATGAACAATGGTTGGATTTGGAGATGTACAAAGGAAGAGGAAGTGGATGGAGAAGAGCATTCTAGTTAGGGGGAAGCTGCATAAGAAAGAACGTAAGGGCCGGGCATGGTGGCTCACACCTGTAATCCTAGCACTTTGGGAGGCTGAGGTGGGTAGATCACCTGAGATCAGGAGTTTGAGACCCGCCTGACCAATATGGTGAAATAGAAAAAAATTACTAAAAATAGAAAAAAATTAGCCGGGCCTCGTGGCATGGGCCTGTAGTCTCAGCTACTCAGGAGGCTGAGACAGGAGAATTGCTTGAACCCGGGAGGCAGAGGTTGCAGGGAGCCGAGATCGCACCACTGCACTCTCCAGCCTGGGCGACAGAAACTCTGAAAAAAAAAAAAAAAAAGAAAGAACTTAAGACTTGAATCAAGCCTGATATTAATATGATTGGGGGCAATAGGGCAATAAAGTGAAGCAAATGTTCTTGAGTGCACTTGCTATTAAATCTTTTTAAAAAATATATTTTATTTTTAATTAACAAATAATAATTATATATATGTTTAGAGTACAACATGACTTTATGATATAGTTGGCCCTCCATAGCCATGGGTTTTGCATCTGTGGATTCAACCAAAACAGAATTGAAAATATTTGGAAAAAAATTAACAATACAACAATATAAAATAATACATAGTTTTATTGTAACAATACAACAATAAGAAATAATACATTGTATTAGGTATTGTAAGTAGAGATGATTTGAAGTATGCAGGAAAATGTGCATGGGTTATACGCAAACACTATACCTTTTTAGATAAGCGACCTGAGCTCCCATGGACTCTGTGGAGAGGTGGTCCTAGAACTAATTCCCTGTGGATACCAAAGGACAATTGTGTATGTATACATCATGCAATGATTGAATCAAACTAATTAATGTATCCATGTTATCAAATCTTGATGGGTGGGATAAACAGGAGACTTTGACAAACTTTAATGTCTGCCACAAGGGGTTCAAATGTCATTCTGTGAGATGGAGTTTTAAAATTCCAATTTATCACCGTCTAGGATAAGGTTTCTCAAAGTGTATTCTTCTGACGACCTTCATCGGATCACCTGGATGCTTGCTAAAATGCCTATTTTAAAGATCAAAGCCCAGACTAGTAAATCCTAATCTAAAGTAGGGCCTGATAATGTGCATTTTACTTCACCCTCCAGGTGGAAATTAAGCAAACTAAGGTTTGGGAATTTCTGTCTTAGGGTATCTTAGATAGTTTCTAGCTCTAGGTTTGCTTGGGGATGGGAGAGAGGAAAGGAGGTAAGGTGGGAAAGGCTGTAGGTAGGGATGTAAACATTTTACCCTAGATTCAACCAGAGAAGCTTTGAATTTCTCTATTTTACCTACCATGTTTTTGAGTGAGAATTCTCTTGAATAAATAATTTCTTGGAAAAAATTAATGAATACATGAAAAGTAACCCTGTTCTAGACATGGGAAGATAAGAGGAGATTTTCTGTGTGTGTGCCGAGGAGTAACAGGGCAAATATGTTGTGTAAGCAAAAATCTATGGGTAGTATAAGGAACTGATCCACCCATCAAGTAAACATCTATTGGGCATCTACTGTGCAGTAGGCATCACACTAAGTGTTGGAGGTACAAAGATGGATAAGACCTTTGTACCACTACAGTCCTTACCACTATAGTGCTCATAGAAGTGAGATTAGTGAGAACTGGAAAACTAGTTGGGAACTGGAAAACCAGTTATAAGGTGTCTGTCCACATGTGAGATGATGAAGCCTCGTCCACGGTGCAAGGAGGTGGATGCAAGAGATATTCCGAAGGAAGGCTTGATGAGACAATGTGCCTGACTGGTCTATGAGATGAACACAAAAATAACCAGATTAATTCTGAGGTGTAAAGCTACATAGAAAGTTTGGGTGCCACAAATGAAGTCATGGGAGCTGTGAATAGGAAGATGTGTGTTGGGGGTGGGGGGTGGAGTATAGTATTGGGGGTATTGTCTAGTTTACCATTGAACATTTTGTATCAAAGAATGGCGGGCATTTGAGTGAAGATTCCGTCTGGCAGATAGAGATATTAGCCTGTAGTTTCAAACCAAAGGGGTGGGCTGGAGGGCAAATTGTTAGCCTGGGAGTGGTTAGTAGGAACAACCAGCACAGGAGACAAAAGGAAACTGTCATAGGTGTAGAAAAGAGACCTGGAAAGAGTGGTTTTATTAAATAGTTACTGGTAAGGTTAATTCAATAGCCCAGGGCTCCAAGGCCTAGTGTTGTTTTTCTCCGGGGATGGCTAACTCCATTTCCCAGGTCCAGAGTTGGTGGTCGTTATGATAATGGTATGCACAGTGCTTTCTGTAACTCTTCTCCCTCTATCTCCTTTCCCTGTTTCATCTGGTCCTGAAGGTAGAGTGATAAGGTGAGGTCTGGTTGTAACAAACTGTTGGGTAAGATACTAATAAGTGGTGAAGCAACTGAACTGTGAGATAGGATTTGGGGTGTACCTGTGCAGAGTGAGCTAGAATTTGGGGACATTGGGGTCTTTTTGGTATCACCACATACTTGGCTCTGGACATGAGGGGGTTAATGAATCTGTCCTGAGTAACTCATTCAGCGCAAATTTTCCATTCAGTTTCTGATTCTGAGCAGTCTCTGAGGATGTTTGCGGTGAAGGAGCTTGTGCCTTCTGGCCAAAATTTCCCACTCTAGTACTGTTCCTTTTGCTCATTTCACTTGGCTGATGTTTGCCTGAAAACTTCCTCCAACTACGCACTCTCTGAGAACTTCCTAGATGAGGACTTGCTGCTGCAGAGGCTCTGATATGCTCTCCTGCTGTGGGGTACACGAGGCTGTTTTTCGGACACTGAGCTTTCTGAGCATGATTGAACATTCAGCTCAATCTAGTTCAAGGTAAGGCTGGGGGTGCAAAACTGAATGTTGCTGTCCAGTAGAGAAGGGACATGTATAAACAGCATGGTGCAAATAGTAAGAATACTTTTTAGTACACAAGTCCCTGAGAAAAGTGGAGAGGATGAGAGGTGATCTTTGAGCAGAGGTTGTAGGAAGATGAGGAGTTTACCTAGAGATTGAATTGAGAGGCGTCAAAGCAAAGGAAAGAAGGTGCAGAGGCTCCAAGTTGAGACATATGGTTGTGTGTTAGAAGCTGTAAGGATAGGTAACTGATGAATGTGAAGCATGTAGTTGAAGAGGGGCCAGATGGAAGGAAAAAAAATGGAGTGGACAGAGGCCAGCTCACAGGGGGTCTCCTGTGCTGAGCTAGGGAGCTGGACTTGATTCTGTAAGCAGTGGAGAGTTTATGAGGAGATTTAAACAAGTGTCTGATGTGGGAACATTTTGGTTTTAGCTCCATCATTCAGGTAACAGTGAGGAGGATATATTTATGGAGACAGAAGCTGAAATGAGGGGAGATCAGTGAAAAGACTATTTCCACAGCCCAGATGACTAATGATATGAGCCTGGGTTATGAGCAGGAGCAGGAGCAGGAGCAGAGAAGAGAGGAGATAAGAGATAATTAGAAATAAAATTGAGATGTGTTGGTAATTTTATGTTTGATGTGGAGGACCAAAAAGAAGGCATAAGAAAATCTGGTACTTAAGTTTTCCAGTATGTTAGTGGGATCAGTTAGTCAGCTTTGCCTGTGATAATGCTGCAAAACAACACCCAAATCTCAACAGTTAAAGAGTAAACATTTGTTTCTCACTTTTGGATCTGCAGAACTACAGGTCAGCTTGGTGGCTATGCTCCAGATCCAGATCAGGCTCTGGTCTTCATGTGCTTTCTCATTTTAGGTCTCAGGCTGAAGGACACAGCTTCTACATGGTGCATGCTGTTCTCCTGGTGGCTGAAGGAGCAAGTGGAAACATGCTATGCCTCTTAAAGACTCTGATTATGATGGAAAAGAACAAGTAAGTAAGACAGGAAAGAAAGAAAGAGAGAGAAAGGAAGGAAGGAAGGAAAGAAGGAAGGAAGGAAGAAAGAAAGAAAGAAAGAAAAAGAAAAGAAAATAAAAAAAGAAAAAAAAGAAAGGCTTTGCATATATGGGGAGGTATACTTCTCCATTTCACCATGAGATCTTTTGGCAAAGGGCATGAGCTTAGTCCCATTACAAGTGGAGAACTCCACAGTGTGTGACACCAACTAACAGGATATATGTGTAATGTAATGACATAATTTCTTCTGTTTTAGGCATATTAATTTTAGGTTCCTCTAGCACATCTAAGTGGACATGATGGCAATTGAATATTCAGACAAAGAAAAACATCAGAAATGGACTTTATGAACTTGGTGGTCACTAGATGTTAATATATAATAAAAACATGGAACTAGACAGGATTGTCTAGTAGGAGTGAAAAGAAAGTTATTGATGGAACCCTGAGGAGCACCAATGTTTAATGTAGGAAGATTAGCACACAGATAATCTGAAAAGGAATGGTTAGTGGGTTATTTAAAATACATGGAGAGAATAGTGGCACTGAAACTAAAATAGTGGAGACAGTTACTAGAGAGAGGGGTATACATTAACGATCCAGTGATTCTCAGATTTTCAAGTCAGCCTTCGTGGAGATGAGTGTGAATGAGATCTTCTCATCTAACCCGGGAAGTTTATTTTTAAAACTAAATTGCTGATTGATGCTCATGGACTCACTAGGGATACAGTGGAATGATATAAATAAAACACAGGGTATGGTTCCTGGCATTTGCCTGGCACTTGGTAATTGGTAGCCATTACCCTGTTGAAAGCTATGGAGCTTTGAGAAATTACCATCTACTTAATACAAAATTTCATGTTAGACTATTTTGCTTTGAACTTTATCAAAAGCATTTTATTATTGAAACTAAAAGAAGCAGAAAAATGTAATATTATGTGATTTTTATAGCATGACCCCTGAAGTTAATTATGGTGAAATTGTAATATAGTTGTTTTCATTAATTTGATATTAAAAAGGGAGATTGAAAGATTTGTTGCATCCCTGTGATATCTCCTATTTAAAAGGTGTCTAATCCAAAACACTGTTATCACTATGACACTATGATATTTGGGTTGAAGCAGTTCTTTGTTCCCTGCCTGTATAAGTCATCTTGTTTTAGAGTGATGTATTCATATTGTCAAATCAGGATAAAAGCTGGACAAACATGTATGTTTCAAAATATCTAGGTACTTTAGATTATGGAGATGAACTATGCATTTACAGACTCATTTTCAGCTTCTGATAACCAAAGAGCTTGTAGCCTTTGTCCTTAACAATTTCTTCCATCCCTGCGTGGTTGAGAGTCCCAGTGTTCTTTCTGGCTGAAAGCAGATACTGTATTTTGCTTTGTTAACAGAACATTGGTTATCAAGTTCTCTGTCTCTAATGATTCTGTTTTAGGGAACTGTCAATTAATAATCTCTGGAGGAATCATCATAAAGAATTTCTGTAATGAGATTATAATGCAAAGGTTTGTTTAGTCACAATATTTTTTAAAATTTTAATTATGATTTTCGGGCGATGACCCCAATCTTTCCATCTTTTACATTCAACTGCCTTTTAAATGCTGGCTTCCTTCAATTTCTCTTATTATGTTCATCCTCTTTTTAAAGTTTTTGAGCATAACTAAAACTACCCTACCTTTGAGAACCCTCTGTCTTCACCTAGTAGAATAAATGAAATGTGGATACAAAGGCTGAGCATATAAATTACCTTTAAAAAAGAAAATGCCTTCTACATAAAGCTTTTTGATTCCCTTTAGTTTTTTTTTATTCTAGAGCTTGACGGCTATTTTTCCTCTCTAGTCCAGTGACCTTGTTATTAAAGCATTATTGTAAAGGTAATTTAGCACACATGCCTCATAGTTATTAACCGAGTTCTACCACATTCAAATACCAAATATTCCAGGCTGGTAAAAATCACTATGCAAATAATCCTTCCTTCCACTAGCAAAATATGTTGGGGGAGTGGAGAGGCCAGGGGCTTTTTTAGTAGTCCTGAGTGACATTTAAGAATTCTGCTAAAGGCCAGGCGCGTTGGCTCATGCCTGTAATCCCAGCACACTGGGAGGCCAAGAGGGGCAGATCACGAGATCAGGAGACTGAGACCATCCTGGCTAATATGGTGAAACCCCGTCTCTATTAAAAATACAAAAAATTAGCCAGGCGTGGCGGCGGGCTCCTGTAGTCCCAGTTACTCGGGAGGCTGAGGCAGGAGAACGGCATGAACCTGGAAGGCGGAGCTTGCAGTGAGCCCAGATCGCGCCACTGCACTCCAGCCTGGGCGACAGAGCGAGACTCCGTCTCAAAAAAAAAAAAAAAAAAAAAAAAAAGAATTCTGCAAAAGTAGTGGAAATAGCTTTGGATCTTTTCTAACCGATATTCATAAGTATAATAAGGATGCCACTTTGAGTGTAGATTCTCATAAATCAGTGACATTAAAAACATGTACAGAACAATTTACATGAAAAAGTAATATGATGAATTCAATACAGTCAACCTCTGACCTAGAAGAAAGGTTATGAGGGTGGAGCAGGGAAGAAATGCAGAAAAAATCTTTGGCTCAAACCTATAAACACACTTGACTAAAAAATCTTTGAAATGCACCAAAAAAGAATGTTTTTTCAAACTGTTAATATCTTTGAAAATCATAATGCAGTACACAATTGTTTTTTGGGAAGCAGGTAAATTTTTTAAACCTGCATTTAATCATAAAAGGTAAAATAAAGGAACTTTAGAATTAGAAATCATTTAAAACATCATGTAACCTTACTTCTGCATTATACAGAGGAGGGTACCGAGGCCAGGTGAATATTTAGGCACTTGTCCAGGACTACACAACATGCAAATGCCAGGTTATACTGAATTAAGGGCAGGAGGGTGATACAGTCTTTGTAAGTTTTCTATCACTATTAGGAAAAAAAATAGGTACAATGCAGTACTATGTACAAAGTGATGTAATTTGGCCTGAAGCTTAAGCAAGACCACAGCTGGATGCTTTGTAACAATAGTTCTCTGTTTTTACTTGGATTTTGGGTAGAATATGATGATATTAAGGTGTTTAAGACAGGTTCATTTTAGGACAAAATTTTGTAGAACTCAGCCTCTCTCTTTATGTCTCTCTTCTCTCCAGCCCCAAGATAATTCAAACCTCTCCCTTCCCTCTCCCCTGCCAAAAAAGAGAATCATACAAATGAACCAAACCAAAATAGATAATTACATTTAACAGAACTATCAGTATATGTCAGAAGATTCTAGTTTAATTTCTTCTGGTTTTAACTTTCAGGAAAGTTAATTTCACTATTTTCTTTTGATGCAGCCCATTTTAACCCTTTAAAAATATATTTCTTAGAGACAAAGATCTATATTATTTCTCGTACTGTTCATTTCAGGTTGGACCAGGTAGACATGGGGAAAAGCAGATGCAGAGGGTTGTGTTTTACAGTGGTTATCATTCATACTAAGTTTATATCTGTATTAAGTTGCATTGCACACAAAGTTTGGAAACAGTATTTCTGAAAGAATTTTCAGCATGAGTAAAGTCAGTAAAAATTGGTACAAACACTATACTTCTTAAGGTAATCACACTTTTGTTCTCACTCAATGAAGCTGACTGTTCATGTATTCTAAGAGTGCATTTTAGAGTAGGATACTACTTGAAACAGAAGAATGTAAGAAAATCATGCTTTTATTGCTCCATTGTTCTTTATAAAGCAAATGATAGGAAAAAAGGAGGGTGAATGAACCATTCTTGTCCACTTCTCCCCCAATATTATATTATTAAAACTGGAGTGGTTTAGCAGAAACGATACATTTTTCTGTGTTACTTGGTGGCTCGGTATCCTTTTCTGGTTGAGTATTATAGGAGATGAAGACCCCTGTGAAATATGAAAAATGACAATCCGCCACTGTTTTATATCACAGGCCAAGTATCTCATAGGATCCAGCGAAGGTTGAATGTCTGGGCAGAAGATCTCAGGTCATTAACAGAAAAAGCTCTTTGGCATCCTGTGTCATAGAACAAAGTGTCAAACCTGTTCCCATTACTAGGTGCCTGTGGTGCTTTTCTTAAATAATCAGTCCCATTCAGACAGACATTTTAAGGTCTCTGATCATCTTTCTATTTCACAAGCAGTATTTTTTTAAGGCTAAATGGCACTAGAAGCAGAATGTTTTTAAAGTAAGGTTTAGAAAAGAACTTGGTATATTCCAAAGCTAGCCGGATTCTTTCTCATTTTCCCAAAGGTCAGACAGAAGTTCAGCTCTGACAGCATTGTAGCTGGGAATCCAGATAGAGGCAGGCAACATTTGCTCCAGCTCTACACTCCAGTCTGGGAGGCCTGGGAGCTCCTGTACAAATAGGAATCAATTTTAGGATAGCCTTATGAATCCTAGAGGATGGAATTAGACAAAGCTTTTTTTGCCCCTGCTTTGACCATTTGGCCTCAGATACGGGTGCCCCAATACTTTAATTTTTCTTCTTTAAAGTTTAAAGTTTTTAAGAAAATGAAATAGCTGGTAAGTGAAAATAGTCAAGAAAACATTGTAATTATGCTATATGTACATGTGCGTTTTTTCTGAAGTGGATTTTCAGAGACACAGTTAGAAGGTGTGCTTCACTGCTTTATTCTGCATATGCCCCAATGAATTCCAGGAGGTCACAGCAGCAGAGTACAACTTTTAAGATTAGAAGAGCTTGCTCTTTAAAGAGTTATTTTTAGCTGGAAGGGAGAGTGTAGACCTCAAAGTGCTGGTAGGTATGTTCTACAGTGGGGATCTAATTTGGAGGTCTTTGGAGATCTGATTCCAGGGGAAGGTCTCAGTGGGGCTCCTCTTGCCTCTGCTGCAGGACTGGGTGGCTCTGCTGATTGTCACTGCCTTGTTTGAGGGGTGGTCTCCATCATCCAGGGGAATTCAGCCTGGGACCTATTGTCTAGAGTGTACATTGTATCTAGGCCCAGACCTGCCAGAGTGTCCACAGCCACACTTGAGGAAAGGACATTCCAGACTCATTAAATATCACAATTCGATTTTGATGTCACTAACTCAGGTTCCTGAGATAAATTTCCATACAATTCCTACAGATTGATATGGATATGTGCATCACCCCAGGAGAGGCTCTGGTGAAGGGCAGGCTTGGAGATGCAATGGGCAAGGTTGGGGAAGAGATACCCTCTTCCGGGTTCCGATTTGTGCCCTGAATTTGGGCAAGCTCAAGGAGCACTGGCAACCCCACCAGCACCAGAAGAAGCTGGTCCTGGCTGTCTCCCGAGACTGGTGAAACTGCTCTGGTGGTGGTGCACTGGAAGGGTGGAGGAAAAAAAACAAAAAACAAAACAGGGTTTGAGGGGGAATGGCAGGGACACGGTAGAGGCACAGAGATACAGAGACCTAGAGTCAGAAATCCTGAGTGAGACACACAGAAAGGCAGAAAAAGGCAGAAAGATGCTGAGGGACAGAGACGCAGACCACAAGAATGACAGAAGAAGGAGACAGAGAGAGAGAGGGAGTGAGAAAGATACTGAGAAATAGGGACAGTAAGGGAGAGACTGAGAAAGACAGAGACAGCCAGAGTCGGAGCACAGAGGCCGAGTCTGGGAGACGCTGGTTGAGTGGGAGGTGTCAGTAGCGAGGGAGGTGGTGACGGCTCGAAGCATCCCCCGTCCTCCTCCTCCCCCTTCACGCTCAGCCCAGCCGGCGGCGAGGAGTCCAGAGGCCAAGGTCGCCCAGTCCTCTCGGCTGTCTCGAGCTGAATGGCTGGCAGTCTGCGGCTCCCCCGCCTCCGGCCCGGCAGCCACAGGTCGGAGGCGCCCGGCGTCGGCGCTCGAGGCCGGCAGGGGCGCCCTGCACCCTCCCGCGCCCTTCCCCGCCCTACGCGACTCCCGGCTGCTCTTCCCGCCACTCCCCTGGGCTTTGCGATCTTCCCTACGCCCCCCGGGAAGGGGGCGCTGCGGCCACCGAAGACACCGCGGGAGCCACTTGTCCCTGTGGGCCCAGCCCGCGAGAGCCTGAGAGCCGGATCTGTTTACACAGGGTACTAATTAGTCTTTGAGGAATCATTCACCCACGTGCCAAAGTAATTGTCCGTGTCAGGAAGGTAGGCGTGCCAAGCCGCGGCTCTGCGGAGAAACCACGACCACCGCGGCCGCCGGAAACCCAAAGCGCTCCAGAGCGTCCCCGGGTGGCCGGGCAGCACCAGGGACAGCGCCCGGGACTCCACTGGGGACCGGCTCCTGGGCTTCCCAGCGTCGCGGGTAGAGGTACAGCTGCTCCGTGTGCCGCAGGCTCCAGATTCTCGCCACCCCACCCCTCCCTCAGAAACTCGGACTGCTCTCGTCTGCCGTGTGGTTCTCTTTTCTTCCGAAAGGCCAGTGTCTTATCTCTCCACTTCAAGTCCAGAGGACTTGCTCAGTCTCCTCCCCTTAAGTCATTTCCACCATCCTCAGGCAGCTGTGGGAAGCCGAGAGTCCTGGACTGTTCGTCCGGGTGCCAGCGCTGGCAGTCCCAGTCCGTCCGGTGCAGCAGCCCGGCGCATTCCCCTCTCTCCCTCCCTCTTGCTCTCCCTCCCTTTCTGTCTTCCTCTCTTTCCTCCTCTACTGCTCCCTCCCTCTCTTGCCTCTTAAGTTTCCTGCACCGTGAATCCAACTGTGCCAAGCCTTGGCTCCCGCGAACCAATCCTGAGCGCGACCCGGGCACTGGGACGGCGACTCCGCCAAAGCTGGACGAGGCAGCCGGACCCGTCTGCGCTCGAGCATGGAGACGGAGCGCCTGGGAGGGCACGTCCGGGGCGCTGGAGACGCCAGGCCCGAGTAGCTTCTCCATGGAGCCTGCCCAGAGCGGTCCCTTCTCGCAGGATTCGCCCCAAGTCCTGTGCGGTACGTACCCTTTGCCTCCGCTGTTCCCGGAGGGTACACCTGGGAGCGGGGTGGTGGGCACGAGGAAGGGACGGCAGGGAGGGGCGCTGGTTAGGAAAGAGAACAAGCCTGGCAGGTGACCCTCACAGCTCGGAGGAGGCTTCTTCTCTAGAAGTTAGCGACCGGCTGTACCCTTTGGCTCGAAAAAAGTAGTGCTAGAGATGTGACTGTGAGCATTCGTGGGTATCTCTGTGTGCGCCAGGGGTTCGAATGGGTAAACTGATCCCTGCTTTCCTGTATGCAAATTGCATTCTCTTTCCCCACCCCCACTTCACCGAACGTGTTGAGGTACCTAGCACCTAATCGCGGTCAGTTCTACCTACCTCTTCCTCTCACCGCGCCCCCCTCGCTCAATCTCTCTCTCTCCCTTTATCTTTCCCCTCTATCTCTCTCTGCTGGTGTGTACGTGTGTGAGCACTGCCAGGGCTGGCGAAGAACCAGCCGCCGCCTTTAGTCCGAGCCGCCGGGCCACCCAACACAAGGGCAGGTCTCGCTGCCGGAGAAGCCTGGGCTCCGAACCAGCCTGCACGCGGCTCAGTGTGCTCCGCCGCCTGGGAACTCGCACCCGAGGAGCGCAGGGGGCAAGGAGCCCCTCACCCTCCCTCTCGTCCGCCCGCCCGCCTCCCCAGCTGCGGACCGCGCGCTTGCTGGTCTCAGGCGCTGGATTTACTCGCTTTTCAATTTTTCGTACCCTCCCTCCCTTTTTTTTTTGGTCCCCCACTCCCCGCTACGACCCCCTTTCCCCGCTTGATTGTCAAGCCTAACCTTGCCCGCGTAGTCATGGGATGTCTAATTTTATTTGCATCTAGGCTGCTGAGAGCGCTCCTTGCTCTGTAAAGTGGATGTCAGGTGGATCTATGTTTCTGAAGGAACAAAGACTCAAAGAAGGCACCGCCAAGGAAGTTTGAGACGCGGGAGAATGCAGGCTGCGTGCTGGTACGTGCTTTTCCTCCTGCAGCCCACCGTCTACTTGGTAAGTCTTGGAAGGTTCGGGGCTTTCGCATTTTTACCCCGGCCGGGAGGCAAGGAAACTGGGGACACGCGGGAGAAGGGTTACGCCGCCAGTTCAGTGAGAGCAGCTTCCTAGCAGCTGTGTTGGAGCAACTTTGGCAAGCTGGTCTCTGGATTCCTGCGGATTTTCCGGGGTTCCCACCCCATTTTCTGCTCCAATCCCCCAGTCTCCTGCGCGTGATTCTTGAAAGGGGCTAGGGCGCCCCAGACACCCTAAACCCAAGGAGGTAGTGAGATGGGGTGCTTTATGTGATAGAGGGCCAACGAGAAGAAGTGGAAGGCAGGAACTCTCAGTAGCTCATGCACAGAGTTTAAACGAAGGGAAGTGGGGGTGTAGTTGGGTGGTGGAAAGAACAAATCTGCCCAGGTCTGTGAGTTTAAAAGTGAATCTACCCACCCACTTCCCCGATTTGGAGATGAGACACATAAAGAAGCGCAGTTAACTTTCTTTGACTTGTAAGGGTTCCGACAGGATAAGTTTAACTATCAGGGGTACTGCAAGCAATCGGAGTTAGGACAGAGATACTCCAGCAAACATGTCCACCTTCCTCTCGTCTCGACCTCCCCTTTTCATCAAATAACTAAATCCCATCTCCAGTGACTAGTCCATTATTAGGGAATGGTAGGCCTTGTCGCCAGGGAGAGAATTCTAAACAAAGCCGCGGTCCTTGTCCTTCAGTAGCAGAGTTTTCCGGGGGGCTGGACTTTGTACACTGCTGGAACTCGGCTCCTGGTTGAAGAGCTTTGTTGTGGTGAATTGGTAGCTGTTTGTGCCATGTTGAGACAAGGAGAATGAGATATTTCAGGTCTGGCTTCTGGGGTGGGAATGGGGGAATGGGGGTAAGGGACACTTGTGCCCTGCTGGTGAAGTTGTGTTCAGTGTCCCGACCCCCATAGCCCATCCTGGGCTGCGGGAGTGCACCGAGGGCTCGCTATGTTCTGTCTAGGGGTGAGGTGCGCTAAAGCAGCCCGAACTCTCTGATGGGCTACACCTCTGATTGGAGGTGATACTGGCGCTCCTCAATCCCAAGAGCCTTAGATAGAACCCATAAGCCTGAAAGAATTGCCATCCCTACAATTGACAGCGTTTCTCGGCCGTTGCCCTGGTGCATGTGGCTGCAAAGCTGCGAGTTGTGTGAATTCTGTGTATGTGAGTGACACGTATATATATGTGTGTGTGAATGTGTATTTAACCGATTTCAGCTTCAATCCAAGAACCCTCAATGTTGCCTGTCTTTGCCCCTTTATCGCCTGACCGTAGCAGCCGCGGACGCCAGAGGGCGCTGCGCATCAGCGTCCTCGCCCACAGGACACCTTGGGGTAAACAGGTGAAAGCCAGGGCAGCCAATCCAAAAGAACAGCCTTTCTGACTCTGTCACCGAAGTCTGTGCCTTTACCCGCTGGAACGCAGGCGGAATGCAAAAAGTGTCCTTCCCATTTCCCATCTTCAATCATTTTCACCCCCACCTGTGTTCAGTAAGCCCACTGACATTGAGAGACCATGGATGGAGGGCAGAAAGTTTGGCCAGAAGAAATATAGAATTTTTTTATTGAGAGATGGGGGGAGGGAATGCAAAGTGAAAGCGACGGGGGCGGGGGGGAGGTAATTTTAAGGATTCCCTTGACCATCGTAACCCGCTTGCCCTTTTCCTCTGCATACCTTTACGCCTGACCTGAACTTGAGGACTGTTCTTACGTCCTTGGGCTGTGCTCACACACACGGCAAGGGCTTGTGGCTATGGTGCAGTTTATTGCTTGGAGCAAGTATTTCGATAGTCTGGAAAATAATCTATCAAAAGCAGAAGTGAAATCAATACTTTGTGTTAAATTTTAAATGTGTTTGTTGGCAGTTAAACCGTTTTCCACTCATTACAACAACAGTGCTGGATTTATTCTAATGCGCTGCGTTCTCAACAACAAGCGCATTAATTCTCCTTTAATTGTAAACTGGGAGCATTTGAAAACCATTCAGTGTGCAAATTATGCTGATTCAATTACCGTTTAGTTACAGACTTCATTACCTGAATGCCTTTTGGCAATACAGAGAAAGGAGACAATTTTTCCAATTTCACTCAAAACAATACGAAATGTGAACAATAAAATAGAGAAGGCTATTTAGAAGTCCGTTCTTTTTTCTCCAATCTAAAGTACTTTTGTGTGTCGGGGACTAGAAACCACATGCACCACAAAAACTACAGCTGATGGCTGTGACCCAAGGCAGTATTTCCAGGGATTGTAATCCCATGGATATTTGCCAGCAGAATTCCGAGCTGTTTTCCTGAAGGAGCAAAAAGCTGACTTCTACCATGGAAATGAATTTAAAAGGGTGAATTGGGCAGTCATTTCGGGATGGTTTTAGGCAAATAAAGAAGTAGAGAGCCTTGATTAAAACTCTAGGGCAATGAACCGATCAAGAAGTGATCAAGGCTTCTTTCTTCATCTATTTCATTAAATACCAGATACAGTTAACTGGATTGATCATTTGTTTGTAGCTGCACATTGGAAGATCTTATCCCTTTGTAAGAACCTGCACTGGATGCATACAGATTGTCAGGAGCTGCTTTAAGTTACATTCAAAGAAGGCAAGAGTGGCAAAACCATTATTTTAATTTTCTCTTGAACTGACATAAGCCAGGGAAGAATTTGATGGATAATTTTTGTCTTTGTGAGCTCACACCACTAGTTAAGTGCCTGCATCACTCTGTTTATGCCTTACCTCTTAGCTGATATCTCAGTGCACCTTGACCTTTAAGCCCATGGTATCCTAGTTATGTTTCCCAGGGAGTAATCACCACATTAAGTCCATGAAACAAGACTTGTCTAGTTATCTCCTAAAGAAATATTTAGGCTTCTGTTTAAAGTGAATACCTTAAATACCCCCAAATTTGAGAATAACTTCTTATGAAAACTCTGCAGTAGGTCAATGCCCCACACCAAGCCACAGTTTCCTACCTGTATTTGGGTGAATGTTTGCAAAGTATGTTTCTGGGCCCGGGATTCTTTGAATGCTTTAGGTTGAGGATTTTTGTGTTTTTTGAGAGACAAGTCTGTCCTAGTTCAAAATAGAAGCTTATTTTAGTACTTTAATGGGAAACTAATTAGATATGTGCCCACAGAGTTACCTTCTGAAGCATGTTAGCTGGAATACTCAAAATCCACCACAGGACAAGCTCCAGCCATAAATGCATGGGGGTGGGAAACTAACTTTTAAAAATAAAGGTAAATAAAATTTCAGACTATTGAATGTTATGTATTGCAGATTTAAAAGCCTGAATTCAATAGGAGAGAAGTCTATGGTTAACAACGCTTATTAAAAATAATAAAAAAGTTTTGCAATCTTTATTCTCTTATTATTCCTGGACCAATTCCAGGATATTTTCAGTATGATACAATGGGATGGCAGGATGATAGCATTTTAACTTTATTGAAGCATATATTGAATCAGCTAGAAAAATATGGTTCCTTGCTCTGAAGAGTGGGGGTTCTAACTTGAATCAGCCTCATTGGATCAAGTAGAAGGATAGGCCAGGACACCAGGAAAGCATCTCCCACAGGGTGTGGCATTCTGTTTGGGGGCTCACCTGTGGTAACTCTCAGTTAGAGAGGTGAGTCTAATGAGCACTTTCTGAGCATGCTAATGAAAAAGCTACTCAGAAATTGAATCCAATGCATCCGACAAGGCATTGTATAAAGTTACTGTGACTAGTCACCCATCCACAGCTCTATTCTAATGAGAAGGGGTCCCACCATTTCTGCTAGGAATTAAATTGCTAATAATCAAGTTGCTTTTTAAATCAAAATAGGCATGAATTAAAAATCCTTTCTAAACTTGTGCCACATTATGAGCCATCTATTCTCTCAAATTTGGGATATCCTTAAAATGTGAATTCTACACCAATTGTTTAATAGAGTTTGGAGAGTAATTAATGTATCTATGGGACCACTACCTCTGCACTGTTAAAAGCTAGATCATTTGGGTGAAATCCACTCATTATGAAGATGGCTGTTAAGGTATATTGGAGCTGGGGGAAAAGCAGAGGGAGAGAGACCAGCAATGTCTTTTCTTTGGACTAGGTATGTGTGCTTCTCATTCTTTAAAAATTAAGCCAGCTGCACACTGAAAATTCTAATCAATTTGAGCTTATTACTGAAAATAAACAAAATAAAATAAATTTCCTGACAGTGGCTATTAAGTGTTCCCTATTAAGGCTAGTTCTTGGAGGCAGTACTAAAAGTTTCTCATTCCACTGCATTTCCTGACTCTTCTACTACAGACCAGCCTTTTAGATACATACGGGATTCAGACTAGATTTTTGGAAGGCCCTCTACCCCAGAAGCACAGCCTTAGAACTCATCAGTTTTAAGATGTATTCCTGAGCTCTGGGGGACACAGAAGTTGCTACTATTCTAGGCATTTCCCTGAAATGTTCAACTTTCCATTGACCAAGAAAGCAGCTCGCCCAAGTGTGTGGGAAGCACTTGGGTGGGACACTTTTCTGCCCCATTTCCAGAAGGATTATCTTGGTCTGAGGCCTTCTAGTGACAGCTTTA
Organism: Homo sapiens; assembly: GCF_000001405.40. Classification (NCBI taxonomy): domain Eukaryota; kingdom Metazoa; phylum Chordata; class Mammalia; order Primates; family Hominidae; genus Homo; species Homo sapiens. The sequence goes on from NC_000007.14 coordinate 8,440,357, forward strand.
GAGAAGCTGACTTTAGTATTCGGAGAGAACCAGGATTGCTCCAACTTTCTCAGCGGTATTTTTTCGGAAAGCCATTAAATTCGTGGCTCCTCTGTGCGAAGTTGATTTCTATTTGGCTTTGAATTGTTGACGGCTATTTCTTCCTTAATGAAAGTGTTGTCTGGGTGAAAAATATATCAGGTGGCTGGGAAATTGGTTGATTTTTTTTTGAGATAGGTGCCCAGTGTCCTATTTTTCTATCTGAGGAAAGATTTTCTGCAGACTACAGAAATTGACAGCATTGTCCGGGTAATAACCGTCGTCGACAATATTTTCGAAAGGGCATTTGAGTGCCGAAAGCATTTGGATATTGCTTTTTCCAATAAGAAATTTTCTGCCCTGAGCTTCTTTGATTTTATAGGGGGTGGGGAGTTGACTAGGGGGGCGATGGGGAAGAAGGAGCCTCGCATTGGCAAAGAGATGCCTTCCCCATCCTCCCAGTCCTGGAATACCAAGGTGCTTGTCAGCTTCACCTGGAATTCCTGGATCTGAAGAGCCCTCAAATAATTCGGCTGCGAGTCAAAAGGGAATTTCAGGAATGAGGAATAACACTCTTCTTGCGCTCCTGTAAAGCAAGTGATGGAAGCTCTGAAAGTTTGCCTGCTCTCAAGTGGGAAGTTAGGAAGTGTGCGTTCTTTCTGATTTTTTTAAAAATAAAAAGTGTCTAGCTTTGATTCGATTCAGGAAAGCTCCTCTTGGGCAACCATTGTCCGTTAGGGGCTTCAGATCTCATTTTAAGACCTTAACAGTCCTCGCCGTTCTAATTAAGGAAAGGCAGGCGAGCCTGCCAGCCGAGAGCGGTTGGGTCAGCGGCTTCATGGTGCAGCCGAGTCTCAAAGCGGGTCTGCACTCTCGCCTCCCTCTGCATTCTCTTAGCCACTATTTGCCTGGTCCCGTCGCGTGTGTGCAGGAAGTTTCAGTCTTGATTTATCCACTAGTCAAGTTCCCGACCAGCTCTTTTTCTGGATGTCAGCACTAACCCCCTCCCGGAGCTTGGTAAACACAGCGCGCGCATTTTTCTGCCTCAGATTGGCATGTTGACGACTCTGCTTGAAGGAATGTGACAATAAAGTGGGAAACCAAAGCTTGGCAAGCACTTAATCAAGGATAAAAAGGTTCCGTTGTAAGGATGTCACTCAATTTATTGTGAAAGTCGAATGAATTACGTTTAATGAAAGTGCTCCCCAGATGAATATTACCAGCAATTTCCTGAGTTGGCTCTGTCAGCTCGAGATGAGGAAATGCCAACCCAGATCAGAAAAGAGCGCCCGTCTCAATTACTATGCAAGCTTTCCAAGAGCGGCTTTTTATTGAGATAATATATTTTGGCGGCTTCTTCAAACCCCTCCGCGCGCCCAAGAGCGCGTTTGCGCATTTTCCAAGTTTGCCCTGCCCTCGCGGGTTGGTGGCTGTTGTTTAAACTTCTGATGAGCGCGCTGCGTTTCTGCTACGGGATGAAAACCTAATTACCTCCTCTGCAAAGAGCTTTCCCTAGTATATTTTATTGATTGCGGAGGTGGGAGCCGGCAGGGGGTCTGTGGGGGTGGGCGGGGAGGGGATTCTCTTGCTCCGGTGCCCTCTGTTGCCGAAAGTTCCTTAGGCGTCTAGTCAGGGGTTCGGGGTGGTGGAAAGCGAGATGGCGTTGGGAGCCAGGGCGTTGGGACGGCACAAGCAGTGGGGTCCCAGGAGCAGCAAGACAGTAGCTCCTCTCGGGCCACGGCTTACGAAAAGCTTTCCTAGCTCCTTCTTCCTATAAATTAATGAGGGTATTTTACTCGTTCAAGCCGGAAATACGATGGGGAGGGGGAGACACAGGCCGCATCCAGAGCGCATCGCCTCATCTGCATGAGAATGGAGAACCGGGAGGCTTTTCTTGTACTGTTTCTTTCTCCCACAATAAGACAAATTGCTGCTTAGAAAAACTGAGTGTTTCCTTAGAAACTGGCTTGCGGGAGCTCTGCGCGTCCCCGCTGAACCTGCCTCTGGCCGCGCCTCGCCATCACCCCCGCCGCCCTAATGGATTCTGAAGCGAAGGATCCTAGCTGCCGCGGCTAAGGGCGCAGGGGGAGGCCGCGCGTCCTCGCCACACCGGAAGGAGAGGGCATCCGGCTCACACATCCCACCCTATGTCTTAGACCCCGTCCTCACACATTGACTTTAAAAGGCCATTTTCCTTCGTCTTCTACAAGAAGCAAGAAACTTTTTTCGACGTAGGCTTCATACCCTCCCTTCGGAAACTCAGTCCGCTGACCAAAGCCGCAGTGTTCAGGCCCCGGGGTTTCCCAGCCGTAGTGGCCGCCGCCACAGCTGCGCGCTTTATTGTCTGCTTTCAGTCGCAGGTGACCTCGAGCGATCTCGACAGGTTTATGGAAACACAGATGCAGCCCTCTCGCGTCCGGAGCCCAAGTCCCCATGCAAAAGCGCTGTTTCTGGGTAATTTTCGTCGACGCCACCAAGCTTCGGTGCTTTTGGGACAGCGGGCTGGATAGCGGCAGTTCTCGGGAGAATAGGCCGCGGGCTATAAGATTTGATCGCGGGCAGGCGGGCGTGGGGCACGCCAGGGCCGGGAGAGCGACTCTTCAGCACCACGGCCAGCGCCACAGGCTCCGCCCCGCCTGGTGCCAGCAGTAGGGCCTGCCTCCCCCGCTGCCGCTCCGGCTGGGTCCTTAAAGTCGAGTTAGCACTCTCGGTTTCCGCAGATACCTCCTCAAGGCCCGCTCGCGACTGTGACGACCCGCCTACCCCTTCCAGCTATTCGGGGGGCAGCTAGCTCCCGTCTCTAGGTCCCCAGCATGACCTGCGGTCAGAAACTCTTGCTTGCACCCCTCTCCATTACCACACTCAGTGGTTGCGGCGTCACGTGATCACCACGGAGATTTTGCGAATCCTTCTTTTCCCCAACTTCTCCCCCTACCCAGTCTCCCATTCTTTCACAGTTCATTAAATCTACCCCTCCCCCGAAACAGAAACGTGAAGGCTGTAACGAAGAGCTAGAAGTGTCTCTAGTAATGTAAAAGTCTCAACTGACAGACAAGGAAACTGAGGCAACCAACTTATTCGCAAGAGTAAAACCCTATGGGGAGAAGCGATTCCTGCCCCTCTTCCCCCGGCGAGGAACACGGCTGGAGCCACCCAGGCGCCTTCCAGGCTAAGGCGCCTTTAGCGGCGCGCAGGGGTGAGGGAGAGGGTGGGGAGAGTCCTAATTATTATGAATTTCTAAAGGCGCAGTAATTATTCACGGGGAGCAGGACAAACCATGGCTAGGCAGGGAAATCGATATATTTGCTATCGAAAGTTCCTGGCTCGCCTTTAATGCAGACGAATGGGGGATGCAGCCTCATTATTTTCCGTGGTTAGGCTCGCCAGCGTGGGGCCTGATGCAGCGTGAAATCTATCATCATTAGACCCGGGATGGAGCGGCGGGGGGGAGTTTCTCTTTACTTACCAAACCGCAACAACAAACAAACAACGACGAACAACCGCCCCCTACAAACACTCATTCTCACACAACGTTGCCCTACCTCCCTCGCCGCTTGCCCTGGCCGCTGTTGCACACTCCCCTGGGGGCTGTCTGCACGCCCTAGAGCAGACACTGCGGTCACTTAAAGTGCGCCCAGTTCCTCCACCGCAGCGGTCACACCGTTGATTTGATCCAGAAATAAGACGGATAGTACCGAGCGTTGGCGCTAGGGGTTGTCTATGTCAAAGGCGAAGGTTGGCTGGGAAGTTCTGTCCGTTTCTCTTGCCTTAGCATAGGAGTCAATCCTTTTCTTGTCACCCGATTCTGCAAATTCTCGCTGTATTAAAGGAGCAGAGATCTGGCATGTAGTGCTCCATTAACCCGTAGCATAAGTTAGCTCGGACATAAGGCAAGCCCTCGAGAAGGGAACGAATCAGAAGGTGAAAAGAGCGGTCGGAAGGTGAGGAAGAGAAGGTTTAGGCGCAACGCCTCGGAGGTATTCTCTGAGGCCCTGGCGAGATTTCGGCCTTTAGCTTAAGGGCCAGCCCGCTAGTTTTCTAGGACTGGGTATAGGCCCCGCCTCCACCCACCGAGGTCACTGAACTGCCCAGGGTCTTGCCTGCTGGATTACAAGCCTATTCCCATTTCTCCTCTCTTCCGCAGTCCACCCTCCCTGGCACAGTCTTTTTCACACTCAGAAGTTGCCTGATGCCCCCGATGGACAGCTGCTGGGATGAAACTTGTATTCCTGTACAGGTGTCTTCGCAGTTACCTGCAATACCATAGTACTTAGGGTTAACTGAGGTGTGTGTGTGTGGTGTGCATTTGTCAGTGCCTCGTCTTCATCGTCTTCATCTAGCTCGCCCCTCCCTTATAACAGTGAATCAATCGCTGCAAAGAAGATAGGATGTAGCAGTTTTAAAATAACCTAACTCCTCCTTCATTGCAGTAAAATGATCGCATTTATAATAACATTAATGAGAACAAAATTAAAAATTATGGCCTTCCAGGCATTAAAGTAATACTATCTGTCCTCTTCTCTTGGATTTTCTTTTCCTCAGAGCCCAGCCTTTTTATGGCATATTGTGATTACCTGAGTGTCTTTGTTTCCTTGTGGTCAGAGACAGCTAGCCAACACAATACTAGGACTGTATGATGTAGGGCATGATTTCCTCCCACCCTCTTCATTTTTAGAGGCTTTGTAATTAAACTCTGTGAGATATACGTAACTTACATCCAGTGGAGAGCTCTTTTATTTATATTTATGTAGCATGCTGAGAAAGGAAAATTAAGGAAGTGCTTATATTGAAGTAATAAGCCTGCTTTGATATTAACAGAATTGTCCTCTTAATTTACTTTTCTCAAGTCTAAAGGACTATCTCTCTGAGATCAGACCCCACAGTCAAGCCTCTTTAAAGAGAGGTCCCAATAAAGCGAAAAAGACATTTATTAGCTTGTACTAACTTAGAGGAACAAAAGGCCAGGCTTACCACTCACTGGAAATGTACACTATGGTAAAGTGCAGTATGATGCAGGAAGCTGAGCAGAAAGAGGTGACTGGAAACAGCTGCAGGGCCCTACATTTTTCTGCCTCCCTGCCTCTAACCCACCACAATGCATAAATTTACACATAGTGTAACGGGGCCTTCTAGAGCTAAGATGAAGATACAAATTGGCAGGAATTTTAATACAATTGAAAACCGCAGACTAAAAGAAAGAGGCACTTTCTTCTCTAAGAGGTTATTGGCACAAAAATTACGACAAAGATTTAGAGAAAATTTCCTGGTTTTAAAGAGCCTTTTTCATTTACAGATTACACATACACATATACACAAAGCAAAGCAAGGTTATATGTTTCTATGTATTCACCTCTTTAGAGGATTCCATGGAAAATAATTGTGGAGAATTCTTTTGTTTTCATATAAGTTGTTCCAACATGGGTTTGAAAGTACCATTTCCTTGGTAGGAATCTGATACCTGACATTGCACTGTTGTCCTGTTTATGTCAGTGTTTTCAGCTACAGAATGAAAGTAATTTTGGTAAAGAGGAACTACAATGGCATGATAGCTGAAATTTTAGTCATGCGCACTCCAACCTCTTCAACTGAACTTTAGAAAATGATTCTTCTCCTTGTAACCTTGTAGCTGGATGTTATTAGAGGCCCATAGGTATATAAAACAGCTTATATAAAATTAATGGACTGCTTTACATTCACAATCTCTTACTTGTGAAGCCCTTGTAAAATATTGCATCTACTTAAAATAGGAAGAATATAAAGTTAGGTTTGGTGTGCAATCAATAGTTGTAAATGGTTCAGTGAAATATTTGATTGTTTTGAGTGAGTTTGACAATGTAATGGAAATTTATTGTCTGTCTTAGTGCAGTGATATGAACACTGGTATGCTAATCATGGGTTGTCCCTTCTTTTATGTACTTGACGTGTTTTGAAAGTGATTGTAAGAGTCCAAGGTAACATCTAAGTACATAATCAAAATTTTAGGAATGATGCATTTTCTTAACTTACCAGATACAAAGAAATTTATGGGTCACAAAGAAGTCATGGCTAAGAAAGAAAAAGGCCTGTCTAACATTGCTTTATTATTTTGCTTAAAATAATCAACAATATATGAGTTATGTATTGTTGATATTCTGTATGCATTTTTGAATAAGTAAAGGAATAGAGGTTTTGATTTTAGCATCAAACATAATAAAAATGAGGCTTTTTGAATGTAGTTAAATCATTAAAACCAAATCTCTTCCTGTTTTCCACAGGCACAATTTGAGGTCCTTATTTTTTTCTTCCTCCAAACAGAAATTAAAACTACATTTTCTCATTTATTCTGTTACATAGTGTATAGATCTCTAAGAAATGCCATAAATTCCACTATGATTTCCTTTTTTCCTCACTGTATATTTATATTGGGGGAATGAAGCATTTTTTTTTTCTTACCTTCCTGGACTGAGAATTATACACGGTTAAAAATCATGGTGACATTTTAAAAAGCTGTTCCCCTCCCCATTTCATTCCAATGATAACTAGAATAGTAATATTCTTTTTTTTTTTTCTTATAAGAATGACCACTGCACTATCCTGTTAACATCTCCTCTAAATCAGAAACAGTGCCGTGACTTATCAACTGGCTAGATGCACTGCTGATGCTGCCCAATACTTGATGGAAAACTCTTAAAAGCATAAGCTGGGCTATATGAGACCTGTTATATTTTCTGTTTGAGAAATTTTAAGTGAAAATTCCGTAATTAATCCTAAGTTTAATTCTAAAGCCTGTTTGCAGAATGATGAGTTGTGATTTGTTGTTGGAACAGCTGTGGTGTTAGTAATAGAGCTGTCTATCTAATCTCTGAAATTGAAGATACAAAACAACTTTACTCACATATTTTTTTCCAGTTATTTGTGAATAGTTTCTTTCACCAGGGCACCATCATTTACTGTGTTAGAGAATTAAATGCAGAGAAAGATGCAAGCCACTGCATGTGAAAGGAAGTTATTCATGCATGGTCAGTGTAGTATTTCTCTGGTCTTGATGTGGAACTTAATTGCTATTGATGTGGAGATTTTGCAGAACATGGCAGAGTTTTTGCGTCTTTCACAAGAAATATATAATTGAATGATGAGTGCCTGGTGTTAGCTTTTCAACCTTATTTCTTTTGGTTTAACAATGCAGAATTGTGAACAGCTGCAGCAAATAGGCAGCTACAATATCTAGCTATTATCAAATAAATGCAGATCTGGCATATGAGCTGAGCTACCACTTTTGGATCTGCACCTCTTGAATAAACATTCTGAAGTGTGGAAGCATGAAAAGTGAATGATTTGCCCTGAGGTGTTTAATCCTGCCTTGCATTCTTGACTGAAATTCTTCACAATTAGGGTGACTAACATTAATATGTGGCCAGATGCATTTGCACAGATTGATGGATTCCCCCCCACCCTTGATGTTCCTCGAACAAGTGGTTAAAAGTGTGAGAGGCTTTAAAGGCAAAGCCACGTGCCTCCAGGTGGCTGATATTTTCCCAAAGACCATCATCAAACTTCCAGCCAGGTGGATAATATCATGGCACCCAACCAGGTGTCAACACTGAATTCACTTGGCTCCAACGAGGACCTGGCCATAACAGAGAGCAAACAGGCCTGTTTTCAGTTATCCCAGGACCTCTGTCTCAGATCCCTCACTGCAATTCTTAAGGGAAGCAGCATTGTGAAAGACTGGCTAGGAGAAAAGAGAAGGTAATGGCAAAGTATTTCCTTAATTCTGTGACTTTGGGCAAGCTTAACTTCTCAAATCCTCAATTTCCCTACTTGAAAAATGGGGCTGACAATACCTCCCACCCATTAGAGTTATTATTGAGAATTCACAGAGTTAATGTATTCTAAAGAGCTTAGAAAGGTGACTGGTACAATGCAATGATGAACTAACAAAGAAAAAAGTCTTGCTAACATTTTAGAAAGAAGGGTTTCCGGACCAGGTTCCCATGTGCTTCCAGCACAGTCCTTATGAATATGACACAGAAGGGCTGATTCTATCCTAGGGCCATATTTTTTGTTTCCTTCTTTCAGCTAGTTGATAGCTATATAGTTGCTCAGTGCTGCCCAGAAAGCCATATGTATTTAGAGTGGATAGTTACCTTTACGATTACAGCCAGAAGAAAATGGACATTTGGCTGGGTGCGGTGACTCACGCCTGTAATCCTAGCACTTTGGGAGGCCGAGGCGGGCGGATTGCTTGAGCTCAGGAGTTTGAGACCAGCCTGGGCAACATGGTGAAACCCTGTCTCTACTAAAATACAAAAAACGAGCCGGGTGTGGCGGCACATGCCTGTAGTCCCAGCTTTGGGAGGCTGAGGCAAGAGAATTGCTTGAACCTGGGAGGGGGAGGTTGCCATGAGCTGAGATTGTGCCACTGCACTGCAGCCTGGAAGACAGAGCAAGACTTCGTCTCGGGGAAAAAAAAAAAAAAAAAAAAAAAGGACATTTCTACAGCAACTAGCGAATTGTTTATGGAAATGAAGAGACAAGTCATCAATAGGATCAATAAATAGATTGCCTAATTGAGATGAGAATCCTTGTGATGTTTTAATTCCATGTGGCAAACACTATGGCCATTTATTAAGATGTGATTTTAAATATTAATTTGTGAGTAGTATTTGCTTTAAATTACTTTTAACATTTGAGATTATCTTAAAATTTGCACACAGTATAATCAAAACTTATAATAGCCTACTGGGTTTCAAAGTCCAGGGGCCTTTGGCCAGGGGGCTTTTTCCTATTGAAGTTCATTCTAGCTGAATATCTGAGTGTGACACATTAACTCCCTGGAAGGACTTGTCGAAACAGTTTGGTGGAATGAGAGCCACAGTATCCCTCTCATATGCTGCTAAAAATATCTTGTATAGGTTACCCTATGCCCCCTTCCAAGGCATTGCCCTGGGTATCCAAGAAAAGTTCCTACACAAAAACACTATTTTGTTTTATATTTGACATTAGAGTGGGGAAGGTGTAAAGACTACTAGAAAGGATAAAACGTTCCATATTTCTGTTTATATTTTGAGGCAAGCACTGTGCCAGGACCTTAACATGGAGTTTTTTCCATTTAGTTATTTTAATGACCCTATAAGATGACATGTACTATTAATATTAGGTCATATTAATATCTTTACTGTTAATATATTAATATGCTCATGCTAGTGATATGGTTGATAATACCCATTTTATAGATGAGGAAATTGAGGCACTGAGAGTGTGTCTGGTGTAAGGTGGCAAGATTCTATCTCAGGCAGTCTTATTCTTGACCAGGGCTTTTAATCATTAACCCATGTTATGTTTGTGTTGGAGAGTCTCATAAAAATATTTCAAAAGAAATAACTGTTGCCTTCCATTTCAATTAAGAGTTCTTTTTTTCTCCCTCCTTTGGGCAGATCTTATTTGGGGAACTGGGGTCTGCCTAAATTGCTGTTGGCACTACTGTAGTTAAGTAGTTTTATTAGATGCAGTTTTTATTCTTTAGGGACTTCCCATCAAATGGGGATACAAAGTTAAGAAATGCAAGCTTGATATTGATGATTGTGACTGCAGCTTCTGCTCGTGGCATGTGGGACACAAGCATTTTAGGAAGTCTGCATCTATTGACCTGACCAATATGAAAAATGATCCCTGGGTCTCAGGGTAAGGTAAGAAGCGAGACTGGGACATAAAGTACAACCCTCAGTCATCTGTAGTAGATTTAAAAATGATACATAACATCTGTATCTCTTCTAACAAATCACACTCATGTTTTTTGAATTATTTGCCATGTCTTGGCAGCAGGAGGTGGGGAGAGAAGAGCAGAGTTCACTTCTAAGGGGGAAACCATATATACAAAGCATAAACTCTAACTTTCCTGTGGCATTTAATCTAATGAGTCCTGCCATGCTGACAGCTTACTGGATTTAAAAGGGGATGCAAATCTACACTCTTTTTAAATTAAAATATTTGCACAATTATACAAACTATGAAACTTCAAATCTGCTTAGTTTAAAACCTTACAGTCAAAAGAGTTTCAGACATCCAACTAACTTAGCACAGGTCTTTCATTGCATTCTGCATGTGTAAAGATGAAGTAGAAAACTTCCTTGACAATATTTTATAGAATTATTCAGTCTATGTTGGATCTAGGAATTTATCTATTTCTGAAAAATAAAAGTAGATCCAAGACACTTTTGCCCCAAGTGGAAATCCTCTGGTAAGAGATGAGGGAGGAGAGTCTGGCTTCATTTCAGTCTTGTACTACTTTTGACCTTGGGAGAGCTTAGTTATGCCTTGGGGCAAAAAATTAAATGTTCCATTTTGCAGCAGTATCATCTTTCACCTTTATGTGGATTTAAAAATGTAAATAAAATTGCTTTCTGTAAATGGTATACATGAAGGTCATATTCATATTCTCCGCAAGAATTCAAAATGCCATTTGACCCATCATTGGCTCAATAGATAATAATGTGTTCTATTAGTTTCTAGTAATCTACTTTTTAAGCATTTTATGACCCAATATTTTAATGCCTAGTTCCTAGTTTGTGAAATAAGTCAGAAATAAACCTTTTAGCACTTCATTGTAGATTTATTTATAGAATGTGTGCTTTCAACTTTGAACTTTAAAAAATGCCAAATCTTCCCAGAATATATTTCCTTAGTTATAAAATTGGTCTGGATGAACATCTGCACTGTGGAAGAATATGCATTTGAAAGATTTTGAGGGATCTAGCTTTTTTTTTTTTTTCAACTATCATCTGTGTTCCTTTTGCTTATTTTTTCTTATAGATCCCTTAGGAATTAGGGTTTAGGAATCCTGATAACAGAGTGCAGCCAACAGACTTGGGAAGTTAAGTGACTGTTCTGTCTTTCAGAGAGCGGGTGTCTGAATTATTTTTATTGCAATTTGGATAATAAGACCCTGATAGATCCTTGTATTTAATTGTCATGATTTTGATCGCTAATGACTTTTGATTGCTTCTTCTGGAGACACCTGTCAGCCGCTTCCGAAGCACAGATGGCTTTATCAGCAGCAGTAGGAGTTTCTTTTTCTTACTAACCTTGAGCTGAACAAATTATTTTGGGAATATGAACATACCAATGTCATCCCAAGTTTTTCTGTCTTTGGAACATTATTTTGTTTATTGAATAACGAATTGAGACTGCTCTTTTTCAAAAGCTTTTGGATTTTGTTTGATAGTAAAAAGCATTAGTCTTTTGTCTGAGTAGGTATGTGACAATTATTCAGTGGCCAAGGCCATACAACTATGGTGAGAGAATACTTCTCTGTTTACTTGGAACAGTTCTGTTTTATGCCCATTGCCTATATCAAAAACAACCCTCCTCTTATATTCAGAAGTATCCTGGTTTGGATGATTAAATTATATCATCGTCTTACATGTGATTCAATGTTCAAATGGCTGACTGAGAAAGGTCGATCATGAGCTATGAAAGATTGCTGCATAGGCAAGAAGAGTATTTCCATTTCTTTTTCATGATCCTTTCCCCATTAGGCATTCAGGGTCCTCATGGACTTGGGTGCATAGGGTTCACCATGGTATGTCTCATGGAACATAGCCCAAACTCTTTTCCTTAAAAATCTGGTAAAATTTTTGAATGAAAATTGGGCAGTACACAGTTAGTTACTGGAAAAGCTGACAGAAGAAAACTGACTGATTAGCCACTCAGATGTCCCGCGGTTTGCATCAGCCTGGTGAAATTGATTTGGTCCCAGGCCCGGAAATGGAACTTTGTCAGTGATTCTAGAGTTAATAGATATTCAGAAATAAACTGACTCTCACCAGAATACGTTTTTGATATACCCTTTTCTTGTGAGAAGAATATCTGAAACATTAGAGTACTTTCCTTTCTAACAATCCAATAACCGAATCCAAGTTTTCTATGCTGACAAACCCATCCAGTCTTTTTGATATACTCTTTCTTTAAATATGTTACCACCACTGATGAAACTTCAGTTAAATAGCTGTACCATGGACCTGTTGAATATTCCTCCTGTTCCCATTTTTGATTTATTATATCCACTGAAGGCATTTTTATCTCCCTTAATGCCTTGGTTCCTTGATAGGCTAGAATCTCATTGACAGCCTTGATTTTTCATCATGTTTTACAGCTCTCTTTGTAAGGAGATGTAAAGGCCTTGGGAGTAGAACTGTGAATGTATGATGCTGATTTAATAGGTCAGATTATTCATGGTGGGGAATTCAAGCAATTAATTAGGATCCTAGGCAAAGCCATTTAGGTATGTGGTGGAAAGAGGGGAAAAGAAAGCCTTTTCCATGCTTCTATTCAAATGTTTGACTTGTTTTTCTAGTGGGCATCCTAAAGACATATCTCAGTTTTCCTAAATTTCTTAGGATTATAGAAGTTGGTGCCTGATAAAGTATTAAAAAGAATGGGGGGTAGGGTGAGGTGGTCCTGGGGATTGATACTAGAGCCACTTCACAAATCTTCTGTTTTTGTAAATATATTGGCAAAAATTAACTGGATCCTTCTTGGTAAGAAGCATCAATGCAGATTGCTACTTCTGACAGCCCAGAAGATGAGTGTACTTCCTAGTTTGCTTTTCTGGGGAAAGTCTCATCAGAACATGTACCCCAGGAATATAGTATCTGCAGGCCTCTGGCAAGAACAGAGTTAATAATGATAACATACCAGAATTTCACTCCAGTTTGGAAACTAAAATGGTCTAAAAGACAGAAAGAATTAAGTTTACTTTCAAAGATACTTTTTTATTTTTTACAGAAGTAGAAGGAGAGGGGGAAAGGGGAGAGAGGGAGAGGAAGAAAGAAATACTTGTATTTGTATTTATACTGTATTCAGAAACTGTCATCATAAACGTATTACCCTCTCCAATGAGCTGAACAATTGACATGCGATCTTGCCTTCTTAGTCACCGAACATCTGAAAATCATTCTAAATATTTTAATTGGCAGGAAAGAGACAAAAAACCCACCCAAACATCAAACATGCACAATCACCAAAAATGTTATAGAAATGCATCATTGGTTGCCAAGGTGGCTGTATATGCCAAACACGGCATTTTTATTTCCAACTGTGGCATTTTGCAGTGGGGTTGTTTTATAAACTTAGTATATGAACAAATACGCTCTTACTCATGAGTTGTAAAGAACCATTTTCTTTAAGAAAATTTAATATGTTTTATTTATTAAACTGCCTTAGAGGAATATTGTGTAGGTTATTGTTGATCTGAGGACTAATGATATTGGTACTACTGCATCTCAGAAGTGAGTAATTCCTCTAACATGCTTTACACATAGTGGTTTTAAGATATTTGTTGGTTCACTAAGGATAACGGCTTCCAGCTCTACCCATGTCCCTGCAAAGGAAATGATCTTGTTCTTTTTTATGGCTGCATAGTATTCCATCTTATATATGTACCAAATTTTTTTTATCCAGTCTATCATTGATTGGGCATTTAGGTTGATTCCATGTCTTTGCTATTGTGTATAGTGCTTCAGTGAACATATGCATGCATGTGCATTTATAATAGAGTGATTTATATTCTTTTGGGCCTGTATCCAGCAATGACATTGCTGGGTTAAATGGTCTTTCTCCTTAGCAAACTAAGGAACAGAAAACCAAATACTACATGTTTGCACTCATAAGTGCGAGCTAAATGATGAGAACACATGGACATATCCAGGAGAACAACACACACTGGGGCCTTTTGGAGGGTGGAGTGGGGAGGAGAGAGAGGATCAGGAAAACTAACTAATGGGTACTAGGCTTAATACCTGGGTGATGAAATAATCTATAAAACAACTCCCCATGACACCTATGTAACAAACCTGCACTTGTACCCCTGAAATTAAAATGAAAGTTTAAAAAAGGAATTTGTCGAATGGAATTTTGTAAGAGAAAGTTAGTGGACTGCCTTTGGAACCCAGTAGTTTAGCAGTGAACTCTGTGATATGGTTGAAATAATGGGTAATTTTCAATGTCTTAGGTGTTCAGAGTTTAAAGGGGAGATAGATTTTAACCACTACAAGGTCTGAGACAAAGCATTTATCCTCTGCTTTGTGCATCATGCTTCTCCTTCTACAGGATGTTTCAGTTTTACCAAGCCCTTTGTTCATTTGTAAATTTGACTTGTATTGATTGGGAAGTGTCAGAATTAGGGCCAGTCATGGAGCTAGATGTAGAAGATTTTCTGATGACATGCATTGGCCATTAGCCACTCTTTCTGGCCCCCACCGTATCTTTCCTCCTCTATGATATACTCAAAATTACAAATAAGTGCAAAAAGCCTCTTTAAAAAGAGAAACGTGGCTCTAGAGGAACATTGGTGGCTTGTCGTAGAGTTAGAATAAGTCAACTTTTCCAGCAATCAGTGCTCAATGGAATCCCGTGATTGAAACTAGAGTCCACGTACCTATTGGGCAATATGACACTCTTAGTGAATTATAAATTTCTCCATTCCTGGGGCTTACTACATTAGACAGTCATCTTTCCTAGGAGCCACTGCATTATATATATGTGCTCATAGTAAGTTGTATTTCAGAGACAGAAAATGGATGAAGAGATTTCAAAAGAAGTATGTTTTCTTTGATAATTGCAAAAGATATTAAAAAATAGTCTAGAAGTCTAATTTATGATGCTGTTTTTTTCATTTGTGTAGCCATTAACAGTAGAGTAAATTGTGGACCAGAGGGCTACATGTTTGTGTCTTAGATTATCAGAGGTAACCTTGCAATCGTATGCCACGCCATTATTTTTTGTTAGACTGCCATATGAATCAATGAATTATTCCACCCACTATATTGTCAGTTCTCCTATATACATAAATCTAATAAAAGGAGATTAAAGCTGTGTTTGCAGAATTGTGGCATACGGCTAAAAAGAAAATAAATTGGCTTAAATTAAAGAGCAACTTGTGGCCACTTTAAACGACTAATCCTGAGACTTTAATCAGTTGTCATGATATTCCATGTATGAAGAAAATTGATGTGCAGTGTATTGTGTCTTGGTGCATAATCTCTGGCCCTATTTTCATCTGTGGTGCCATTGAAAAAGGAAATGAGTGGATCTTTTAATGGAAATCAGGACTGTTAACAGCTTTAGCAGAAGGGTGAAAGGTAAAGCTTTATTTCCTAGCCAGGACATTTCAGCTCACAAGGAGAACAGACTTCCCTCTTTCTGTACACCATCTGCACAGCCTCGTGGCCTGCATTGCCATTACTGTCCAGAGAGAATGTTAATTCCCAGAAAGGATCAGAATTTGAGCAATGTTCCAGCCTGGAATTTCAACTGTCATAGGCTGTTTGTGAAGACAAGTTGGGAGGAAATTGCCTGCTGCTTATCAGCATCCTCTCTTCGTTGCTTCTTCCAAAAGGGTTTCAGCCAATATTCAATATCAGATGCTGTTGGAGCCACTAGCCTATAAAATATTAAGTGGCTTGTTAAAAAGCACATTGGCATACTTATAATTTGTTCAAACCAAATATGAGATGGCAGGGTTTTCTTCCCATGTGTCCTAGGGGATATTTTCTTGCCAATCATTTATTTCCTGACCCTTATAGAGAAGGACAATTCTCTGGAATGGTACACCTGATCCTTGCAAGGTCATTAGGCAATTTTCTAGATGGAGCCTCTGCTCTGAAAATGGGAAGAGAGGAAAGCCAGGCATGGGTAAGTCATTTGATAAGTGGTGAATATGAGGCATAGGGTAGTTAATTGTCTTACCTGGGTTACACGTGTTGGAATGAGAACTCTAGTCTGATGATTTCCATTTTGCCCATGACAGAAATTAAAGCCACAGGATTTTACTGCTTCCCCATCTACATAAAGTTAAAGTCTAATATGTTACTAAGGAGGGCCTTACCTAACAACACTATGTTTTTAAGGGAGGTAGAGTTCTGGTTTGTCTTGGTAGTAGCTGATTACCTTGTTGATCACTGAATTGGAAATAATAATGAATGCATATTATAATTGTTCATCACTATTTCTTGATTCTAATGTTACAATAATTTCAGCAATTTTACAATATAATCTGTCTATCTCTGTAGAATTCACAGAGGTTGTGGGACCTTGAGTCTGGTCCAAGTGGCTCTGTGTGCTCAGCATGTGACAAAAATGATGAATGGAATTGCAGGTTTAAGGAAACAGAGGTCTTATTGGAATGACATCTGCTTCTCTTCCAGGCCAGACATGACATATCAGGGGTCAGTGAATCATGGTGGAAGAGAAATTTGACAGGCTTGAAAACGTAACTTTTTTTTTGTCTATTTGATTTTGAGCTGAAAAACCAAAACAAAAGTAGTTGAATTTTTCTATTATCCATAACTTTTTACATCCAAATCCATAAAGCTATATTCAAATAACTGCAGTAAGAAACACATTTTTGACTTTATGAGCCTTACAGTTTAAGGCATGTTGCCCTTTTATATCTATTCCATGGGTAAAGTCTAGCTTGGTGAAAGAGACATTTTGCTTTTGATTTGTGTTTTAAGTTTATTCCTTGCCAGTGATTTCTAACTCCATTTATACCACTGTCCCCACTGCAGCCTAGATAAGGTCTCTAACTCTCTATCCTTCTTAGATTGTCAAAATGGTGGCACAATATCTTCTAAACATTGTCCCTGGCGTCTAGGACAAAGAACCCCTAATGTCCACAAAGGTCAATTGAATATTTATGCTTGATACGAGGGTTTTTAAAAACATTGTGTAGGAACTGGGGGTTCTTCCCATTTTAAAATGGCTTTTAAGTGGTGTTTTCAAACTCTTTACCTGTGGAAGAGGCATTAATTCTTGGCTTTTCCACTTAATTTCTGGTGGCCTTGAAGAAATTCTCTTTACTGTGCAACCATTTTACAACAGTTGGCAACTGACACAAGGGAAATAAATGTCTACTTCTCTGGTCTATGTAGCCTAAATGTCTCAGACAATCAGAGAGCCTCTTCCTAAATGGGGGAAGAAAACAACCCAGAGATGCAATCTGTGGCTGGGTCAGGATTGGTACACCGATGGAGAAGGCATTGTCAAGCTATGCAGCAAAGAATCAGGGTGCCTGTGACAGCTAGGCCTGGAGGCCCACATTCTTAACATAGTTGGAAAACCGAGGGTCTAGTCACATACACTTCTTTTTTTGCCATTGGTAGAATGCTTTTCATTGCCCTAATTCTTAGTTTTTTTTTTTTTAATTTTATTAAAAAAAAACTTGAAAGGAGCCTCAGAAGGCAGGTAAGACAACTTCATTGGTCCATTTGGTCTCATATAGCTCCTGGCATTCTCCCATTGTTCATACTTGTATTTTCTCAGCATTCTCCTTGACTGGAGTGCTCAGTTCCTGGCTCACCTGAAATATTTGCATACTTATCCCTTGCTTCTCAGCCTTCTGGCAAAGACTAAGTGGAGGCTATGTGTGTATATTGATGTGTTTAAGATCAAGGTTGGCATTTCTGTCATCTTTGTTGCCATTGATTAAAATAATTGAAAAAAAAGTTAGAGCTATAAAAAATTAGCAACAATTCAGCCCAATTTCTTCATTTCAAGAACCAAGGCCAGGAATGGTTCACTTTCTTCCTTCAAGAGTTAGTCACATGCCAGAGGCAGGTTCCCAAAGCAATTCTTAATAATGTCATATTAAATGTTTTTATTGAATTATTTGAGAAAAATTTTAATTGGAACTGATGCATTTCAAAAATTATGAAAATAAATGCTATTCCATAAAAATAAAATGTTAGTGCTAGTGCAATTGAGATTTAATCTGATTGCATATATTCTACGCTTCTTCCTATGTAATCTGTGGGACTGTACTGATGTGAAAAGATGAACAACGGTGTTGCAAAGAGACGTGGAGAATCATTGACTTTAGGGTCTCTGGAATTGACTAGTAGGAAGAAGACCAGATGAGGAATTTTCTCAGGCAGTTCCATAACCTCTTTCTAAGTGGGGGAAGGAAACAACCCACAGATTCATGCTGTGGTTGATATATACTGGACCATAATTAACACATTGATAGAGAAAACATTCTAATACAGATTCCTAATATACCCTGATACAGATTCTCTCAGTTTTGGGTAAGGCTTAGAATGTAGAGCTGAAAAGTACTTTGGAGTTAATTTACTTCATCCCCTCATCCTTATTCCTTAAGAAAATGAACCAAAGAGTGATGAAGTGACTAATTCAAGATCACATAGCTAGTTTTAGGGGCACTTAAGAAGAGAATCCCAGACTTCGACTTTATGTCCTTCAGTATTTCTCCTACAATAAACCGCTCTCAGTCATTCAGTTTCTTGAAGTCTCAGTTTTCTAATATGTAAAGTGATGATTGCGGCATTTGGTTAACTATTCAATAGAGTTGTTGAAAAGAATAACCTTTAATTAATGAGAGAGAAGACAAGATAGAGGGAGAAAGAGAGAAAAGTAGGGTTTACCATAACTTCATAGAGTAGGAATTATGAGTAAAACACTGCAAATTTAGTAGGTTGAAATGATCTTGATAGAAGGAATCACTTTACACAACTGTTTGAAAAGATCCCTCCTGGCATGGAAATAGAATTTTGGGGTGAGGTTAAGAAGGAGCAAATGACACATTCCATTCCTTAAACTAAATTTATAAATTGATTATTGTCTTGGGAGCATTCTTACTCATAAAACTGTAATTACATAAAGCATTCCCCTTACCATAAAGTAGCTTTTTGATTCTGATCTATTCATGATTTTTCCTTGATTTTTTTTTTCTTCCAAGGAGAAGGAGTTAACTTAATGAACATCTTGGGTTGTCTCTGTGGTCTAATAATTTAATGCTTATCTAAGAATTTTAGTATTTTGCATGGAAAGTGGTTAATGAGGACATAAAATTATTCATTTTTACCTGAATTCCAGATGAAATGATATGAGAGAAGGATGATTAATTTTATCATGTAGAGACTTCACTGGATTTTACAAATTAAAGGCAAACACCCTTCACAAAAGTTCTTGGAGATGTGACAAACTGATTTATATTCCATTAATTTAACTCTATTTAGGCAGAATCATGGACTTCTGTAATAAAACACAAAATTAATTAAATTGCCCAATAGTATAATTACAGTTTCATCAGTAGAGAAAACAACTTTGAGTGCCAGAGTTTAAAAATGTTAAACTGCATTTTCAGTTTAATTTGGTTAAAAATGTGTAATTGTACTCTGCCCTGCCATCTTCTTTCTTCTAGAAACATTAATGCAAATGCAGTCACTGCTTTCCCCTACTAATGACTTCAGCTTTGATTCCAGTCTACTAAACTTTTCCACTGTGGGTCCTCAAGACTGAAAGAGACTGAGGTTGGGGCAGCAAAAACATTGAAATGGAATGGAAAGGGTAAGGAAAATCTAGGGGAAAAGAGTAAGGATGTGCAGTAGATATAAAATCCCATTATGAAGTCTGCATGTCTGTAAAGAATATGACAGAAAGCAATATAGACCCAGATATGCAATAAATATTTGTTGCACGAATGAATTCGTGAATGAACATTGCAGGGCTGAAGATCCCTTGAAAATAAAAGCAAACACGAGTTATATGAAACATGGGTGCTTAGCCAAACTGAGCTATGCTGTGACAACCCCAAAGGTTTAATTGAATAAGTGACTTTCTGTAGGATTACATTTCAATGTGTGACCTTCCTTGTTTCCATGTTAGGTCTTCTGTTAGTTTTGTTCAGATGAGTAAATCAAAAGCTTATTTTTATACAAAAGAAGCTCAATAAATATTTAATTTACAAATGTAAGGATGATATAAATATATCATTTTTCCCTAGGCTAGATTTTTGAAGTTAAACTTTTGTTAATTTTATATAAAATTTGTGCTTGCTTAAGCAGCACATAAAGTAAAAAAATTTTACCTGAAATTTATTATTTACTAATTTTGTACCTCTGATCTTTTTTATTCATTCTCCCTAATGGCCTTAGACTTCCCATTCCAAAAGAAGATGAAAGTAAAGAGGGACTGTCTTTATATCTATCTTTCCTCGTCCATTTAGTTGTTGCTGTTTTGGACTATATTTTTGTTAAGAATTAATTTTTTAAAATCAAGCAGTAGAGTACAAATTCAGGGGTTTGAGCCTTGATAGCAAACTTGACTCCTCTTTGCATGGCACTCTCCTTAGGATTTTCCTGAAGCAGGTTTGTTTAGTTAGTAATAGAATGTGATCAATGGGAAGGTTTGGATTCAATGAGAAGGCTATCTTTTACATTTTGCATTGACCATTGGACATGCCTAGCTCTGATCCCTCTAGATGAGTAGAAAGTTAGGGGAAATAAGCCAACAGTGTTTTGAATGGTTATTGCACTCCAGGCTTTTGTTTATTGCTTAATGGAAAGTAGAAAGAAAAACCACATGAGCCTTGCAACGGACATGCTTGAGTGTGAATCTCAGCACTCCCAATTATTGACCACCTATCTTTGGAAAAATTATTCAACAACAGTCAAACATCTGTTGGCTAACTATAAAAAGGAAGATTGGAGTGATCATCTCCTAAGACTTTGTGAAAAATCAATGAAATAATCCATGTGAAAGTACCTGGCACTCACTCAGTAGGGCCTCATCACATTTCCTCAACTTCATTTCCCTTACTTTTGGCTATTTGTGTTTGGATCTTTTCAATATTAGGTATTAAAAAACTGCCTTACACTGATGGATAAGTATTGGATGGACTAGAAATGTGGTAGCCATTGTCTCTTTGGAGGGTTATGAAAATACACAAAGATTGGAGAATTGCTTGGAGAAGATCTCAGCACTGGGTTGCAGAGGAAGAGAACATTTGGGGAGTGAACCATGCCCCCTTGCATTCAGTCTCTAATTGTTCAGTTTTCAATTCTCCATCCTCCCTCTGTCACATTACATGGTTAGGAAGAGATTCCAGTTGGCACAAATCCCTTTCTCATTCTCCAGGTTGTATTTTTTTTCCTTTCTCTCTTCTTTTGCTTAAAACACCAGTTGAAGAAAGAGTAACTTCAGTTACTCCCAAGCTCTAAGGTGGAGAGAGAAATAGAAAACATAAAAGAATTAAGGAGACTTGAAGACAGAGGAAGCCTTTGTAGAGACTCTGAAGATGGTATTATTAATGTGAAGTAGATAGCGTTATCTAGGTCACTGTATTTTCCTCAAATCCAAATAGCTTTGTTGTTTTGCTCACTTTAAGAATAAACACACGGCCGGGCGCGGTGGCTCACGCCTGTAATCCCAGCACTTTGGGAGGCCGAGGCGGGTGGATCATGAGGTCAGGAGATCGAGACCATCCTGGCTAACAAGGTGAAACCCCGTCTCTACTAAAAATACAAAAAATTAGCCGGGCGCGGTGGCGGGCGCCTGTAGTCCCAGCTACTCGGGAGGCTGAGGGAGGAGAATGGCGTGAACCCGGGAGGCGGAGCTTGCAGTGAGCTGAGATCGCGCCACTGCAGTCCGCAGTCCGGCCTGGGCGACAGAGCGAGACTCCGTCTCAAAAAAAAAAAAAAAGAATAAACACACAAGTGCATACATGCACACCTACATATACTCAAACACCATTTAACACAAATGGAGTCATACTCCACAAGCTACTTGGGGTTTATATGTAGTATATTATTTTTATATTAATATAGATGTTCTTTTCTTAAAAACATTACTCTTTTAAATGACCACACTGTTATGTATATCTATATATCTATATCTCTATCTCTCTGTCTATTTTTTGAGAGAGTCTCACTCTTGTCACCCAGGCTGGAGTGCAGTGGCGTGATCTCGGCTCACAGCAACCCCTGCCTCATGGGTTCAAGTGATTCTCCCACCTCAGCCTCCCAAGTAGCTGGGACTACAGGCATGCGCCACCATGCCCAGCTAATTTTTGTATTTTTAGTAGAGATGGGGTTTCACCATGTTGGCCAGGATGGCCTCGATCTCTTGACCTCATGATCCACCCACCTTAGCCTCCCAAAGTTCTGTCATTACAGGCGTGAACCACTGCACCCGACCTTGTATTATAATTTATAAATATTTTATGTATTTAAAGAACATATATGTGCTAGGCACTTTACAAATGTTAACTCATTTAATCTAGATAACAGCTCCCTGGTAATAGGTTCTGCTATTGTCATCACTGAGAAATGGAGAAAAAACTGAAGGATACAGAGGTCAAATAGCTTCCCACAGTCACTCAGCTAATGATGACAGAACTGAGATTCAAATGCAGGAAAGCTGGCTCCACAGACTGCTCTTAACTGCTAAGCTATGCTCCTTCCAGTCTCCTATTGATGAACATTTACATTATTTTCAGTTTTATGGTTTGTATCAGAGAAAATGCTGATCCCACAATGTATAGATATCTCAAAACAACATGTTGTACATGATATATACAATTTTTATTTGCCAATGAAAAAATAAAACAGAATACTTGAGATGAATACCTTTGCATATTTCATTTATCCTTTTACTCTTATCACTGTTATTTATCTGTGTATCATTTTGCATTTACTTAGTTATTTCCTTTGGATAAATTGCTAAAAGAGGAATTGCTGGATTGAGAGGCTTATTTTATAGTTAGACTAATAAAATCTCAAAGTTTGAAGAGACATTACAGACTACCATGTTGCTGCCCAGCTTCTCTTTAATCTCTTACTTGAGGTAGGTGTTACATAGATTCCTTTCTCTTTTGTAATCTCCCTTCTAGCCCAGAAAATTCTTTACTTTTTAAGTAAACATTGGAATTTACTGACAAATATAATTCATAAGTTTAGGGGTAATTCTTCAGTCATAGCCAAGGCAATGGAAAATAAGCCTTTTATAATAGATCTGAAATTCTCAAAAGTGAAATACATACTGCTCCTTTAAAACACAAATTGAGGCATATTTACATATACTGACACTTCCTTCTTTTTCACTTACCGTCTTGGAGGTATTACCAAATGGTATCTATAAATGTATCTTTTTTTTTTTCATGGCCACATAGTATTTTTTTTATCATGAACTGTAATTTACTTATTGAAGTCCTCAAATAGACATTTATATTTTTTAACCCTTTGAAAATATAAACAGTGTTGCAATGACTACATATACACTCTTTCATGTGCAGTTATATTAGTATTATAAATTCTTGGAAGTGAACTTGCTGGGTCAAGGATATGCCAATTTAAAATTTTGATAGATATTTCCAAATTGCCATTCAAAAGTTTTGTCCCAAGTTATGTTTCCACCAAGAATGTATATGAGAGCTGTTTTTCATATCCTTTCCAACTTTTTGATTATTAGTATTTTCTTAGATTAAAAAATAGCTACTTATTTCAATTATTTGCATTTACTTAATTTTGAGTGAGGTTGAGTACCTTTTACGTGCCTAAGGCCATTTATATTGCTTTGTTCTATGGACTGTTCATTCCCTTTTTGAGTTAGTCACTTAAGCTTTCTAAGTTTAGTTTCCTTATCTGTAAAATGAAGGTTTTGAGGGATTAAAGATTATCTAAGGGGTTTTGTACAGTGTCTGGCAGAAAATAGGCAATTAATATAAATGTTGACTATTGCTGGCATTATTTCTCCTACTCCATATTTGCATCTTTGTCTGTCATTTGGACCTTTCTTAGGAGTTCCTGATTCATATTTCTATTCACATATTTTGTTCAAAACCATATGTTCCCAGAGACGTCTCTCCTCTTCCTCCTCCTCCTTTTCTTTGTTCTCTACCTTAGTGGCTCTTAAGTGCTCCTGCATAATCAGGTTTGACAATTCTCAGTGCTCTTTGTCCTTCACTCCTCACTCTTCCTTCTCCCCCATATCTAATCAGCTGCCAAATTGTATCAGTTCCACTTTAATAATCTATCTCCATTTAACCTCCTTCTTTCTTAGCCATCCCTAGACATCTTTATATCCCCCCGTAAAACCTTTTACCAACAATGTATGAGAGGTCCTTATCTGTGACCACTTGCCACTTCCATCTATCATTTTCACTCTTTTAGGAATATTTCTTTATGAAAACAAAGATGCTAGTATGCATCTTTTTCAAATTATTTGATAGCCATCTGCTGCTCATAGGTTAAAGTCCAAACTCCTGAGTCAGACATTCAAAGCATCTTGCAATTTTAATCTTCCAGTCTTTTTACCCCACTACACTAATTCTTTCATGATCCCAAAATGTCTTCCTGATATTTAACCATCCTAATCAATCTTTTGTCTGCTCCCTACACATGCTCAAGGCACCTCCTTAACATATATCACTTGCCTGTAGGAGTCAAGAAGATCTAGATTTGAATTCTGTTTAGTTCTGTTAAGGCAACCTAGAAAAGATAACCAATTTCCTCGTTTATTAAAATCTAGGACAATAAAGGTGGAATGATGCTTCTACAGAGTTTAGTGGAGTGAGAGGCACAGAGCAAATGTGTAATGCGTGTAGTGTTTTTTTTTGTACTTGAATACTATTATTGATAGCTTATCTGGAAATGTTTTACTCTCCTAAGAATTCATATAGCAGGTGTATCACTCATTGGGATGGCATCCTTTATAGCCAAGGATTCATATGCCCATGTTCTGGAAGGCCTGAAAGTTAGCCTAAGTAGTTTAGACTGTGGACTTTTGATGTTTTTTTGAATGAGGGAGAGAAGGACCAAAATGTGCTTTGGGAAACAAATCTGGCAGCCTAAAATAATCCAGATGGGAGAGAAGGAGACACGAAGACCTATTAAGAGGCGGATATAGATACCAGGACTTGGGAAGGAGAACAATTCTAACTAGAAACAGTGGGACTTAGAAAGGACAACAGGAAAATTTATAGTATAGGGGATCTCCCCAAAATCTAAAAGAAAAGCTTTCAATTGCACAAGGAGGTCTCAGTTTGATGGAGAAGTATGGGTAAAATCCAGCTGAAACCCCCAGAGGATTATTATAGCATCTTTACAGAAACATTTTTCTACTGGAATTTCTGTTATAGCCCCCTTTCAGTGTGATCTATATAAAGAATTTAGAATAGTGGAATTTTCTACTCGCTCCTCTATGCTCAGGTGACATTGGGGATTGTGTCTCCTGAAGGATTAATTACCTTTTATAAGGCCTCTCACCCCTGAAAGGCTTCCTTTTAGGTCATGGTCCAGCTCAGCCTGGGTTGAGTTGGGAAGGATTGTATGTGGGATGCCTGCAGTGTCCCTGACAAGTAGATAGATGAGCTCTCATTTCTCATATTGTGCTATTAGGCTCCCAAGCTAGTGTAGCGCAAGATACCAGGAAAGTATTGCAAAGCAGGGGGCATTTTCACGGTCGCTTTCCAGCTGTTGGCTGTTAGCAACAACATCCATTCTGCTGCTGACACTCTGCTCTCCCTGGTGGCACTTACACTTAGAAATTATTTAAACCACTTAAAGACAGTAGAATATTTAAAAGTCAAAATGCCTGCTTTCTAATTATTCCCTAGACCTCACTTAGCAATAGCTGGCTTCATGTCACACAACATGACTCTCATGGGGATTACAGTAGCCCCCTGAACAGAAGTGATGGTGTTGGCATGCTACTAACTAAACTGGAGACTGTTGTGTCCACAGCCTTGAAAAGCAAAGAGAATCCCCTTCTGTCCCCCATGTACTGCAAAGTCTCTAATTCAGAGGATAGGGCAATTTCAATGGGTTGTTCTTAGGTGGTTGGGGGAATCTTGAGGCTATTCCTTGACTCGCTTTAATTCACTCAGGTCATTCCTAATGAAATGATCTGTGAAAAATGTGAAGTAGTGTAAAGGGGATTTGGTACTGTTGGCTTCTCTTGACCCTCACTGACTTTTGTGAGTACCTTGAAAAGTCATTAAAAAATACAAAAGGATTAATGAGTTAAAGGAAATCAAGACTGGGACCATGATATTATCAGGAAGTTTGTTGAATGAGCTTTTGAATTTGCTTTGTTAAATCTTGAAAATGGCATTAAGCAGCTAATGGAGTTGATATATTAAATACAACGCTAGTCTGTATACAAGATGGACACTAGCTAATCAGTGATGTGCTACATCAATTGGTATGGGAACGATGAGCTCTTTTTATTAGGTCAGCAGAACCAGTGATGTATGGAAGCACTAAAATGAAGGAACAGATTAGGCTGCTCTTTGCAATTTTAATTATGAATTTTTATGAACAGAAAAATGTAGACATTTTTGACTGCAAGAATAAAGGTGTCTGCAACATTTGCTGGAGTTCTGATCTATTCATGTTCTTTTTTCTTTAGCCTCACACCTAGATAAAGACTCGAAGGGACATTGTAAATTAACGTATTCTTAGTTTTTAGTATATCATTAAGGAAGATGGTGTGGGGAAAATCCTTTCATCTGATGGCTTGTGATATTACTCATATTACCTATTTTTAAAAAAGTAAATGATCTAAAACTTTATACCTTGAAGAAACTTTGGGAAGTCAAGTTCTAGTCTTTCGTTCCCTTGTCTTGAAAATTTACTTTTCTTTCTGTTTCCGACCTGCCCCTCCCACCCTGCCCAGCTCCATTTTGTGGTTGGGAGGTGGTATAGGATAGTGGTAATGAGCACAGGGTCTAGAGTCATTAGAGCTGATGGGAATGTGGACTCTACCACTTGCTAACTATGTGACCTGGGACCATTTCCTTAATTTTTCCAAACCATAGTAGTTTCTGCATCTGTAAAATGGAGATAATAGCCTCCCCTCCTTCCAGGGCTGTTGTGAGGATGAATAATATAAATGCAAGAAATATACAGCAGCTAGCACACTGACACTCAGTGTTCAGTGAATTTAAAAAATTATTTGGTATATGAATCTTGGAAAGTCTTCCTATTATAGAGTACTTTCTTTTTTATATGAAAGTCCGTCACTACTTTGGGTCTCTTGGATTTTTCTGATAATGATACTTAAAGTATGCCCAAGTTTAACTAAAATCTGGTTTAAAAGGTCAATGTATTTTATAGATCTATGAAAGGGTATTAATAGCTAAAGACTGTGAAATGAGGAGCCACAGAAACATCAGGTGATGAAGCCTCTTCTGGAATTCTCCCTAAGGTCATATCATGCACATTTGCATATAGTTGGCATATGATTTACAGAAGCTTCCTGTCTGTTCTGAGATATTTTTAACTTATGCTTTTATTATGGCTCCCCTTAGGACACTAATTTCCTGAGTTTCCCTAATCTTCTTTCAGACTATCTTACATCTTACACTCTTTATGTTGTTAACTTTCTAAAAACATGAGCCTGAGATAGTAGATATATAAGTTAAGTGAGGGATATATAGCGGTGGGGGCTAGCACATACCTTTGACTGGGCTTCTTAACCTGTAAATGAAAATGTTGCATTTTGGGTCTAGCATCTTTAGATCTTGTGAGAGGATCTTGGAAGTTCAGGGGAATCAGGTTGAAACTATGACCAGTTAGTTAATACAGTGGTCAGTAACAAGATAGCAACCTCTTTCAATTTAGAACATTTTATTTAAAGTGAGTAATCATGAATACACATTTCCTTAGAAGAAAGGAGTTATCAGGTGTTCTGCCTGTTTTCTTCTAGAAAATTTATTATCAAGCATGGCTATTTATTTTGAGTCAGCTTCTAAGTTTTTCGGGCATTGTATACTATCAGTATTATTGATTGTACTCTGTAGGAATGCCTGTAATTTGTATGCAGTTAATTAATAAAGTTTATTGAGCATTTAGTTGTGAGATAAATTGCGCAAAAAGAAAAATTTGTGATCCATCCATACTCCATTTAAATAAAGCAAGAAAGATAAGGAAAATGGTTTGTGCCATGTTTTAATATACTTTCACCAAAATTTCTAAAACAAAGCAGGCTATAGAATAAATAATCAATATAAATGCTTCCAGAATGTAGCATATGAGATATTCTATAAAGATAAATCTAGAACTTGGCTAGAGCATTAAAAATAAAGTCAGACAAATGTCAGACAAATGGCCAAGTAAGAATGATCTTTCCTTGGAGTTTTCCTAAAATGGTTACATAGGTGAGTTTAGACAGTTGAAGGGGATTTAAACCCAGTTCAGAAATTTAAAGCCTATTCACATTTTATCTTGAAAAATGTCTTCTTTGAAAATGCTGACCGTTAGATAAAAGCTATGCTTGCAACAATCTGCATCTGTTTTACTATATCTCATTTTAAGATATTTTGTCCATGAATATAAAATCTTTTGCTTTGCTTTTTGGTTTTGAATTTGTGTTGTGTAATCAAAGATAATATCCCATGTCCTGCTATCTTATTTTTCATCAATACTCAACCAATGATCAGGAAACTATGGCCTGGGATTCTTTTCTGTACCTTAGGATGTGTACACTCCCTGGAAGTCTCCAAGATAATACTGGCTTTGGAAAGTTCAAAGCTTGGGGTTAAGTTTCTATGTTGCTTGCAGGTGACTGATTGAAAATGCTTTTTTTATTTGTAAGTTTTTCCCTAATGGTTAAGTTGTTATGATAGTTCAGTTCTTAGATTTGAGCGACTATTCTAGTTGTGCTAGTGTAAAAGACAGTGTAAAAAATTACCCAAGATAATAAAATTATGGAAAGGTAGTTTCATCTAAAATAATTTATTTTCTTCTATTTCTGGAAAAGTATATAAGGCAATTTTTAAGAGTGTTAAATTTTTATCTGTGATTTTGAGACCATTTCTTTTCCATGCAATTGATATAACAATCTTGTTTTTAACTGAATGCTCATGTTGAAATTCTTATTTTTAATTCATAAATTTGAAGTTTACATAAAAAGTAGATTTAAGTATCTTTAAGATACAGAAAAAAGAAATATTAAAATGTAGAAAAAGGATGTCAATTTTCTTAGAGTCCCATATTATACAAAGAAAGGGGTGAATGTTATTTTTTTAAAAAAGTACCATTATAGTGATTTTTTTGGGAAATTCTACAATCTCTGAAATTTAAATTCTTGGACTATTTTAGACTTTCACATGAATTTATCTAGACTTTGAAAATGACTTCTATAGTGACCCATGGACTTTCTGTGATAATAGTCACATGAACATTAAAAAAAAATCTTTATTTGCTAACACATTTTTATTGAGTATTTACCGCCAAACACTGTGCTGGATGATTTAGCTCCAGCTCAGCAGCTCTCAGTTTTGTGAGTATAATCAACTAGGATCTAATGACAGAGAGCGTCAAATGTATATGTGCTCTCAGTTTCTTTTCTAAGTCCTGAACAATCGTTCCCTCTCCTCTCATCCTTTCATGAAACTACTAGTCTTTTATCTCTCTCTTTCAAAGTATGGTCCCAGGAAACAGTCAGATAATCAGATAACTTACATCTTATATTGAATAAGCTAACTTCATTATGAAGGTTACCAGGGATCTTTACACTTTAATTCTATCGAATTGTGGATTGAAATGCACACTATGATGAGGGTAAAATACACACTATTACTATTATTGCTAACTATAGAAGTCTTCCATATGTATGATAACTACCAAAGACTAGACATGCTGGGCATTTAATATACATTGTCTCTAATCCATGCAACAATGTTTGTGAAATGTCATTATCCTTACTCTCAGTTTACAGATAAGGAAACTGAGCTTCAGTGATACTGGCTTGCTAAAGTCCATATGGCTAATTATTAGAAGAGCTGCAATTCTTTCCTAATTCTGACTGCTTCCAAAGCCCATGTCCCTCTCATTCTACTAAACTGACCTCCAACTGTATCTTAACATTGCATACATTAGACAATATGGATTATATGTCTTGTGTATGTAGTTGACATGCATGCACTACAGGAATCCAGCTCAGGTATGGTCAAATTGGTTGAAAGTACTTTTGGGCTGAGTTTAGCTTAAGCATCTAGAGTTGGCCATGGCCCAACATGTCAGGCTTACAAAGAAAAGTCTATTTCCCATTTACACTGTACTTTTATCGCTGGATAGATTATGCAGAGATCTACATTGACTATTAAGTTGGCTGAAATGTGGATTTCTATCATTTGATGCACATATAAGTGATGTTAATACATGTCAACCAAGAATGAGAGGGAAGTTTTTGATATGTGGTCAAGAGTAACAGACTAACATTCTTGAAGACGCCTGAATTTTTTGAAATAATTTTCCTACAAAGGGAAACATTTTGCTTTGTTCAAGTTGTGGCTGTTCCCTAGATTCTCAGAAATTCATATTTTGCTTGAAGCTGAATCACTTCTGAATATTAGACCATTTAGGGCAAACTTTAGCTTTGTAGGGAAAAAATGCAGAGTAGGAACAGATCTCAGGAAAAGGTAGACCTGGTGCCTGGCTAAGCCAGTGGTGAAGTGTCAGACCTTTACTGGAAGTTCATGAGAGGGTGAGCATGAAATAAACACCCACCTTTAAGACTCTTGCTTAGGCATTTCATAGCCTGGTTTACATATGTATTAGTATGATGGCTGTTTATCAAATTCTTTAAAATGTCCTGTCAACTTGTCACCATAAAAACATTGTTGCAAAGGTCCTACTTTTGTAGCATGTTTTCAAGGCTGGCAATTGTGAACAGTCTTCGTCTTCACCAGCTATGGCTCTGCGATGATGAAAATTGATTTTTTTTTTTAAGAAGAAGGAAATAGCAGAATGGCCTAGACATGGGAATGGGATCTTATAAAATTCTATGGTTCAGAGAGGATCTTACAAATTTTTCTGGAGGTTAGGGCAAGAACAGGAAAAGTGAACAGCTAATTGGAACTTCTTGGGTTTCATTTTTTTGGGTGATTGGGGTAGTGGGCAGATACAAAGTGATAGCATTTGGGTTTTCAGTGAGTTTATATCTGAAAATCAGAGCTAGTGCAGTAGGCCTGGTTTTACCCAAATTGCATTTGAATGACTTATGTGGAACTGCCGAGTTTAGCGTCTCAAAATTAAAGAAAACAATGGGATGTGGTCACCTTTAAATGTTACTCTTTAAGGCAGAGATCAGGCCAATGTGGCGGTACTCTACAAGAAAAGCTGTGCTTAAGGGAATTTATAAGTGGAATGAACCCTCACTCTGAGGGGAAGGATTTGTGAAGAGTAAAAACTCTGGGTCACACGAATATCATTAACATAGAAGATATATTCTTATAAAACTGACCTTTAGTTTAGAAGAGGGTTGGAAGGACAGAGGGTTAAGGATGAGTATTAAAAAATCACAGTCTCAATTCTGCTACTTAAGATGGGGACTGCTGAATCAATGGCTGCTTTGGAAATGGGTTGTAAATACAACAGCAGACAACCTCCCTTAGGAACTCATTTTGTTGCTTCCTACAGAAAAGATCTTGACTTGGCATGGAACAGTAGGAGGAAGGATTCATCCATGGCCTTCAACTAACTAGAGAAATCACTTTTTACCTTTTTATTCTTGAACTATCTATATTTATTTTTTTCTTCCCTGGAGACTAGAGCAAAATCTTTGTGAAGGTTTTTCTTTACTCATGAAAACAAGTACGCTATTACTCTTACATTTCTCATTTTTAACATGTTTCACTGATGTTCCTTTGTTCAACTATACAGGAGAGCATCTTAAATTCTTTTCATTTAAAATAACAAGTTACAAAAACAGTAGGTAGAGTATAATCTCATGGTAAATGGTGTTTACCATAAAGCTAACATTGATATTTTTCCTGAGAGAGACATTACGGGTAATTTTAATTCATTTATTATTTTTTTGATATCCTACACGATGGCCATAAAAATTTAAAATATAAATAATATTATTTTATCATATTTATAATATAGTAGCAATAAGCCATTATTTCATATCCCAAACACAGTAGCTATTATTTTATTTCCATAGGTGATGTGTCTTCTTTTTGTGCTAAGGATATATAAAAATAACTTACTGATATAGGTATATTCATATTGGAACTGTACAAATTTGTAATAATTGTGCTTTGACTTGTACAACAGCTCTGCTTCTGTTTGACTTTGTTCAAGTCATTTAAGCCCTTGGGGATTGTTTCCTCATCTGTATAATAAGAGACTGCAATAAATGATCTCTAAGGCCCTTCTAAAATTCTGTGATTTCATGAGTGAACACATTCTTCAAAGTACTTTGATATTCATGATTTCATTTGATTCCTTGACCACCTGGTGAGGGAGATAACAACATTGCCATTTTACAAATGAGAGACTGAGCCAACGAGGGGTTGGGTGGTTTGTCCAAAGTCACCCTGAGTTGGTATGAGACCCTGTGTGAGGCTATGGCTGTCCTTCTGTGGGCCCAGGCTTTTTGCCTCTAGTGCTGTCAGAGACTCCAGGATCTGGATGCCACACTTCCTTGGTGGAAGGAAGGGCCCAATTTCCTGGTAGGGAAGAGAGTCTGGATAGGATACCACAATCTGAGTTCCCTAATGGCAGAGAGGAGATGGAATAAATCCCAGGCCAAGTCAGGGAAGCTGTTGGTTTCAAATTCTCCTTCTCAGTCTTATAAAGAGTTAAACTAGGCTGCTGAAGGAATTGACTCATTAGCTGCAATAGATTCCCACTTGTCTAATGAAGGCAGAAGCCTCAAACAGAAAGATCTAGACTAAACAAGGGGAACTCACTTGGTTTTAGCACCTAGTCCTGGCATTCCTACAGGCTTCTAGAAGTTTGGAAAAGCCATTACTGTTCTGAGATCTCAGTTTCTCTATAGTCCAACAATATGGCCAATCTACCTTGTCACTGAAACATCTCCTTGTGGGCCTTCCATAAGAGGCACATATTACTACCAGTGTTATGTGCTGCTCTCCAATTCTAAAAACAGACCAAGATCTGCACCCAAGAACCACTTTTCTGGTTATGGGGTTTAGACATGGCATAACTGATGGTCTTTTAAAATCTTTCTTACCATTTTCGTATCTGAAGTTTTCAGGGAACACCTTTCAGATTAATTCTTCAATGTAGGGAAATGGCCATTGTCAAGTGCCTAGGACTATACATGCTTTATTGAGCGGCTGTTCCCAACCAAGGCTTGAAAATCATTGACAAAAGCAGGCTGTATTATCTAAGTTAGTTGTTTCAATGCATTACACCCAGGCTATGTTATCCATCATAAATGTACAAGAAAGCCTTTTTCCCACTGCTATTGATTTTCGCATGGTGACTATTTGTTTGTATTCTTGACAGGATGATAGTCAGCTGACATTGCTAAGCTCTAGTGTCCTATACCCCCTGCCATCTAAAACTGGCATGCGGGTGTGAGGCTTCAGATTAACACCTACTTAAATAATTGCTCTCTTATTGGAGGTTTTCCATGTAACTTATTATTGTACTGTATTATCAGTTCAACATCTTTTCGCTCCCACACAAACTTTTGTTATATTTTTTCAGTTTCCATCTCTCTATGCTGTGTTTTCTGTATAAATAAGCTTATATTATCATTTGCTAGATTCTAAAGGCATTCTAAGGCAGTACACAGTGATTTGAGGTAGACATCAGAATGCTGTGTGTGTTTTTTTTTTTTTAAAGAGAAGGCAAATTGCCAAAAGATAGACCAGCAATGATAGACCTTCCATTTAGTTAATTTCACAGCCCAATTTGACTAGTCTAGATGAATCTACCCCCAAAGAACCGACGGTTTCAGCTTGGGCAGGATGTCATTTCTCTTTTATAGGCTACTCAGATTTCATTTTCCACTTGAACTGCTGCAGGTATCCTGAGCTCCCTTCAAATTACCCAGGAGCTTGATGAATAGCTGGACTCACCAGTGAGTGGACAGCTCATTAGCCAATCTACAAGAGCCTGCTGTGACTACTCTGAATCAAAAAGCCAGTTTCTAATGGTGGATAGCCAATTAACAGCAAAATATAACCTCGTGAATTTTAACTTACCCTGTCAAAAGTCTGAGTTTGTTCTCTTCATGATGTTTATTTTCCTTATTGTAATTAGGAATGTGAGAGGACATAGAATCAAGAATGAGGTGTATAAAAATAATTTTAGGATTGCTACACATATTTTGTGTTTTTTTTCTTTCTCTTCAGTTGGTGCAAACAATTTTGATCAGTTTCTATCAAATGGGTGCTGAGAGAAATGATACAGAAAAAGAAGTAGTAAAGCTTTCTTGTTTTTATTAATAACTATTGTTTTATATATAGTACCAAATTGGGAAATATAGAGAAGTCTAAAAATGAAGATAATCACCCACAATATCATCATGCATAATAGACTCATGCTACCATTTGATTATACATCTTTCTGTCTTCTTGGCCTTTGTCTCTACTCCTTACTCTCTCACACACATCTAATTAACACATACCAAGTACGTATGTTTAAACACATTTACAAAAAACAGGTTGATGCTCTGCAAACTACTTCGAAATCTGCTTTTATAGTTGATCATTATATTGTGAGGATCCCTATATCATATATCTGACAAAACTTTAATAGTCGCATACTAACTCTCAAGGTTTCACTCAATCTAGCCCTGATCAGTCACCTTTTTCTTCTAGTTCACTTCATCGAGGTCTATACTTTTTCATGTCTCTTTTTTCCAACCTCACTTTTATACCCCTCTCTCCATCTCTAGTACATTATCCACTTCCCACTGGCTTTTTCTTCCCTCTCACCTGGAATTTAAGAGGAACACATCATGAAGCTGCGGCCATGCTGGTTGGTTCTTCTAAGTACCTTCTCCCAGGGTGAGCAGAATGAATGCTCCTGAGGCTTATGTGTGAGGACAGTCCCAGGTCTGAGAGCAGAAATGCCATTACCAAAGTCCCAGCCCTGGATATCACCCCTACTTGTGGGAGGCCATCCTGGTTTATGGAGAGGCACTCTGACTGGGGGGTGGGAAGAGGGTGTTGAGAACTTGTTTTCCTGCAGTGTATTATTCTCTTTGCCTTTTCACCTCTACATTCCTAGATTCCTTCTTTAGAGACCCCTAAACTTCAGTTGTTTAACTCTTGTGTAAAGAGATCAAGGGTGTGAAGCCTGATTCCCAATCTGGCCTGTCCCTCAGAGGCTCTATTTGAACCCTGCTGCTTGGTGTCCCCAGAGAGAATCTCAGGGACTTTGTTTCCTTTGAGGTTTACCTTTAATAGGAACCTTTCTGTTCTATAACTAAACCATAAGGTTGAACTATGTAGCTCTGGCCTAAAATCAATGGATAATTTGGGAAAATTTGGTATTAGGTATGTGAGGGAAAATTAGGACTTGATTTACAGTTGAATAATAACTAAACCCATGGAATGAAGATTTCTAAATAAAAAACAACAATAGCCATGCTGAAAACCCAACTAGAGCAGAAAAGTGATCCTCTGTGAATTGCATAAAGTGGATGTCTTCATATGACTTTCTTCTCTGCTAACTGCAACAAGGGAATCGGGACTGATTGCTGGGGAAAGTTTAGTGTTCAAAGGTTTTCTTCTTTGGTGGGAAGCTCTTTTTTTTCCCCTTTCAGGATATTAATGCTAGTGTTTTCTAATTTTTAAAATCCTTTTACCTCTTCACCTCTTCTATTCTTGTCTTTTGCTCCTGTTAAAATAAGAAGGATATAATATCACATATATAATTATTGATTAGGAACACTAAGCCATTTGATTGAAGTAAAATTTAGTCATATTAAAAATGTTATCTTGAACTGGCATTTGAATTCTGTAATCTTTATCTCTGTTTTAATTCCAGATAATACCCATGTCTGCCACCCCTGCACAACCTCTCCAACTTCCACTCACCTTGCCAGCAAGGAATATTTTTGTTTATTTTTAAGGCAATGGGAGTGGAGGTAGGGTGAATCTGAAATGATGCTAATATTGCTCTTACATGATGCAAGTAATGTTCTGAAAGTAATTTGATAAGTTCTTCTACAGTAGGTTTCTTAACATTTTGGGGACCATAGGCCCTTTTCTAAATCTGAAAATATTTATGGATCTTCCATTTTAAAGACTTAATTACCTTTCCCTATTCTGTGTGTATTTAAAAGATGCCCATGAATCTCTGGCCTGTTCTTGGCAACACTCTGAGCGGTGCAAGTGAGTGTGGATATTCACAGTAGAATGCCCTGTTCTTTCTCTGTCAGCTGACAAGTTTCTTCCCTCAAACACTTAACCTACTTTTTCTAATCTTTTTCTGTTCTTTCAGGCCTGGGTTTGTATCTTCATGTCCCCAGCACACACATGCCTTTTGAGTCTCTCCTATAGAATCCTCTTACCCTATCTGAGTTTAGACGCAATTCATTTTTTTTTTTCCTTTCTAACATTACTCAAACCTTAGCTTGTTTTTCTTTTCCCTCATATTCATATGAGGGATTCATATAGATTCATATTTGGTGTTCTTTGATATATAGGTGTTATGTTGTTTTTTAATGATGTTTTTACACTAACCTTCCTGATCTGACATCCTTAAATGCAATGCTATACATTATTTATTTTTTCTACCTTAGCTATGAAGTATATGATTAAAAGGCTTCATGTTAATAAAGATAAAAAAAATAAAAACTGTAATGTGTTATACAAAATAAGCTAAAACTGTAAGAAAATGGCTCAATACATGGATTAATTAAATAAAAATACCCAGCAATGAGAGGGTGTAACTCAGGAAAGAACCAGAAATTTTAACCAGGCACAACCAGGTATTGTTGTACTTAAAAATCTAACAACCATATAGAACTATTCCCAGAGCTGACTATAGGAGATCACAATGTACCTATTTCCTTATACTTGCCTTCAAATTTATTTTAAATTGAAGACTAGCTGGGAATCTTATGCCAGAAGAAGACACCTAAGTACAAATATGTTCACGTTTTTGTGAGACTTGGGGTTTGTCTGTATGTTAAGCAGTACCCAAAAATACACCATGTCTGTGTAGTTGGGAGAGTAAGCAAATGAAGAATTCCTTTTCTCCTTCTTGGTTCTAAAATGGAGACAACCATATGGGGCATGACTCTATAAAAAGTACTTCCCTGGCGGATGACCTGGGACAGCAAATGTCCACAGTTTCTATAAGCAATTAAAGGAAGGTCTACCCAAAGACTGATATGCTTGTATACATTGTGTTTTACTTACTCTTACTTGTTCCCCTCCCTACCAATCCCCTGCTGTTCCGGAGCTGTATTTTTTTTTAAATAATTGTGTTGCTAGAGTGCAGGTGATTGATGGCTATAGATCATCACTCCAGTGGTCAAGCTGAGTTGTTAATCCAGCTAATAAACATACATTTTGTGGACATGAGGATGACTGGGAAAATGGCAATAAATTTTCTTTCTTTCCTAGACTTTTGCCTAGCAATACATACAAATGTACAATAGGATAGAGAGAGCTATGTAATTAAAAAAGAAATATGCAAATGTGCCTAATTTTCTCACAAGTCTTAATGCGCCTCTTAACGTAATTCTAGATTTAATGGCACTTTGGTGCTTGGGTCAGACCAGTGATTCTTAATAGGAATCACCTCCTGCTGCAGGGATGGTGCTGGGGGAGGATGGCTGCATCAGGATCACATAGATGAGTGTTTAATGTGCTGCCTTAAGGAAACATGCTTTCTGAGCTGAAAAATCATCACTGTCTAGTTAGCCATTATTGCTATTCTATTTCTTATGTGTCTTATTGTAGAGAAAGATTGAGAACCACGTAAGCTGATTGTCCAGGGACTTTATTACAATTACGTGTTTGAATTTCTGACTCCCTTATCAGCTTTTAAATCTGGGATTTAAAAGGCCTGAATCATGTCTGCCTCATTAATCATTCTTGCTAATCATTAATAATCTTGTTAATAATTTGATTCCCATTGCTACACTTATAGTAGGTGCTCTTTGGATATTTGCTGAATGAATAAAAAGATGAATGCATGATGACAAGGAGACATTGCAGTTGGAGATTTCTCTGAGATTGGATTGTCTAGTTGGAAATTACCTTGCATGAGAACTTGCAAAAATGTGTAACTGTCTCCTTTCCTCCAAAAGCCACCAGAAAAACATGGTGTAGGTTTCTTAACATTTGATAAGTTCTTCTACAGTAGGTTTCTTAACATTTTGGGGACCAAAAACTGTAATGTGATATATAAAAATAAGCTAAAACTTTAAGAAAATGGCTCAATATATGGATTAATTAAATAAAAATAAAAATACCCAGCAATGAGGGGGTGTAACTCCAGAAACAATCAGAAATTTAAAAAATATCAGTTAAGAAAGAATAAACATAAAACCAAATAAACAGAATGGATAATTCCTTAAAAGAAATATAAAGTAAAATGGACAAATTTTAAGATCAAAAAGAAATGAAGAAGTAAAGTTTTTGTAAAGAAAGATCCAACATAAGTATAATGGAAATTTCTGAAGAAATAAACCAAGAGAACAGAACAAATTCTAAAACCATAATTCAAGAAAACTTTCCAGAAATAAAAAACTGATTTGAAACTACATAGTGAAATATGTAGCTGAGAAAGTCCATCCAGAACAACAAATGCCAAGACATGTTCTAGCAAAATTTGATACAAAAGGAAACAAAGGCCATTTGAGCATATTGATCAAACCAAAAGTGATTTGTAAGTGAAAGAAAATTAGATTATTATCAGACTTTTTTGATAGCAATTCTTTATAACAGAACAAAATGGAGTAACATACTTAAGAAATTCAAAGAAAGAAAATATGAGCCAAAGATTTTTATATCTAGAAAAACTGACTTACAAGTATAAAGGGCTCAGACTATTATTGGCATACAATGACCCAAATAATGTTGTTCCCTTGAGAACTTTCTGAGAGATCTACTAAAGAATGAACTTCAGACAATAAAAAATAACTATGGAGATATTGTCATAAGAACTGGTGATAAGTTAAAAATACTGTTTGTTAACTGGTTAACATATATTGTTTAACTGGTTAATAACTGGTTAAACATATAGTTACTTGTAGAACTAAGATTAAATGAGGGTTAAAGATCAAGTATCTATAAAACAGCAGATTTAATAAAATGAATATAAGGAATAATTTATTAAAGTGGGGATACAAATGAGGTAAGCATGTTAAAATGTTTAAAAGCTATTCTCATTAACTTCATTGGTGGTGGTAGTATTGTATTGTTATTCTTAGACAGTTATGTAACTAATATGGGAAAAGATGAGTAATTATGTGATT
Source organism: Homo sapiens (assembly GCF_000001405.40). NCBI lineage: Eukaryota > Metazoa > Chordata > Mammalia > Primates > Hominidae > Homo > Homo sapiens. The sequence goes on from NC_000007.14 coordinate 8,479,354, forward strand.
TTCTAATTCTGTCATTCCTGTGTATCTTTGAGCATTAGAATTTTTGTTGCAGAAGAAAGGAGATACAGATGTAATTCGGAAAGGGCTGTATTCTTGAATTTAAATTGGAAGTAAGAGTATGAACTCAAGACGTCTTTCATATGTATAAATGTATATCTTTGTATATCTGTCTCTGCCCCCTTAAAGGCTTAGGAAAAGTGAGCAACTTAGTGCAAAAAGCACTCCTAGCATCCAGATCGTGGTGGCTTTGAAATAATATTTCTCATTAAAAGAAACAGGACTTAGAGAAATGACTAATTCCAGGTCTGGGGCAGGAAATGTATAAGATGAATCTGGAACATTTTGTTAAATCATATAGCTAGGAAGCTATCAGAAACTCCTGTGGTTATGTCAAAAGAAACTCAGGAATCAATTTTAAGAACCTCCAATTGGGACAATTTAAGCTTCAAAAGAGATAATAATTGCAGTGGAATAAATCCATAAAATAAGTTAAATGTGTGAGTAGATAACGGTATTTTAAAAACCTAGTTACCTTCAGAAGACGCAAGAGAACTAGTTCGTTGTCTTGAAAATGGGTAAATAGAGGGAAAGAATGTAACATTGATCCTGCCTTTCCAATAAGATAAAAAATAATTAATAAATAAAATTAGAGATGTCTAGAAATGTATACAAGTGATAAAACTATAAAAAGTGATTGCTATAAAAGTTGGGATAGTGGTTACTTTTGGGAGGAGGGAGATGTTTGAGATTTGGATGGGGTACACTGATGAGATTTCTTAGGTAGCTGACATAGGTCTATATTTTGATATAGGTGGTGGTTGCAGGAAGTTGGCCTTATAATAACTCATTAAACTATACATATATTTTCTGTGTGGTTTTCTGTATTTGTTTTATTTATAATTAAAAATTTGAAAACAAAAGAGAAAAAAAGGTTGGATGGAATTTTTATTTTCTCTCCTGGATGAATTCTGTGACTCTTCCTCTGCTCATATATGTGGCCTGAGATCTTATTAAATGCCTACAGTTCAAAACTCTTGAAATGGAAGGCAAATCTATCTTTACCTGGGTATGCCCAATGCTCCAGAGAATAGCCATGATTCAGAATGGACAATTCTCTCTTGGAATCCAGAATTATTCTGCACTTTATTTGCCTCCAGGGAAAACAAGGTGACATAGGCTCGTTGTCACCAGTGAGAATTTCTAACACTTGGTGTCAGGAAACTGGGCAATAAATCTCAGTGGACTAAACCACTGCCCTAAGTGGCTTAGTCATGCCTTAACACTCCCTGAATAGCCTCTAAAAATGACTGCAACAGCTGTACTTTCCAGAACCTAGAGTTGATCTTTATTTAATTTATCCATCTATCGTGTGAACTTTGCCACCCGGCAATTGTAAGAAGAAAAATGAGTCACCAAGATTTGTACATTGTGGAAGGCAAACTTCCCCCTCCCCACCAAGCAATCCTGGAAATTAAATCTTTTATTCCTTAGTGATTCACTAAGTGTTTGCAATCATGGTCCACACATTTAGTTGTTGTCAAGATGGATATTTCTAAAGGTATTATTTTTTCATTTCATGGTGAGACTCTTTTTATCTTCCAGACACTTCAATTACTGACAGAAACTAGGCGTGAGAGGCTCAAACAGTGAGGTTTCATTTGTACATCGGTGCTCAGGATGAGGATCACACATGTACTATATTGTGTTCAATGTCTGATGAACCACAGCAGCCTCTTTTGTGGATGTTGGTTGAGAGTTCTGAAGCTCAATTAAAGGTCTCCCTTTTCAGTCAATATCTTAAAATATAAAGGAGATACCTAGTGATGATTATACTGGTCAACTCCTTTTTCTCCTTTGCGGAACTCATATAGAAGAAGCTGCATCATGAATAATGCTGGAGTGACTTGAGAGGTCAGAAGGCAAATTATTCACATGAGGCCATAGTGCATATTTCAGAGATACCTACGCAGAGATGTCATTTATCTGGTTGCAGTGGTAATAGGATGGGTATAGAAAAATCTTGGGAAAGAAAAACACCTCCATGAAAATATTTGTTAGTGGTTGTGAAAGATCTTTTGATTTGAGGGTTTGAGGGTATTGGGAAATAAAATAAATACTATGAAATAAAACACAGAGGTCAGAAGTGAAATAGTGAGCCTGTTTTCATTGATCTTGGATTTGTTCATAATTTAGAGACATCTACCAGATTGAAGTTAGCATTCCAAGTAAGTGATGTAATTTATAAAACTGAAAAAACCCTAAATACCCACCAAAATAAAAATGCTTTATCTTGCTTTAATAACTTTAATTTCATCTTATTTTTTCATTTTTATTTCATTTTAGATTCAGTGGGTGCATATGCAGGTTTGTTACCTGGGTATATTGCATAATGCTGAGGTTTGGGGTATGAATGATCCCATTTCCCAGGTAATGAGCATAGCACCTGTTAGTTTTTCAATCCTTGCCCCACTCCCTCCTTCCTCCCCTGTAGTCCCCAGTGTCTATTGTTACCATCCAAATGACTTCTGAGCCCTCTGGAGTTCTTGCATAGATCACACTCAGTGCTGGCAGAACAGGCTGACTAGCACCTGATGCCCCCTCTGGACTGCTTCACTTCACCTTGGACCTGACGCACATGCAGCCTTGTTGCCTTTTTATGGAGCTTCCTCTAAGACTGACTTGGGAGGCTCAGAGCATCTGGTCAATGTAGGCAAGTCCGTAGGCTGGGATTACGCAGAAGCTGTGGCCCAACAGAGTGAAACTGCTGAACTTCAGCTTTCTCACCAGTTTGCTTCACTTTAAAGAGCAGCCTCAGCTTGAACAGCTGGGGCTAAATTGCAGGGAAAGTGTTTCCGTGAGCTTTGCTGGCTTTCCCAAATGAGTGTGTGGAATCTGGCCCCTGTCAGCAGTGCCAAAACACAGCCTTCTGATTGTGCCTCAGTGAATGAAATGAGGGTGGCTTCATTTCCCTTTCTAACATCCATTTCCCACACAGTCAAGTCTCCTCTAGCCAGGCCCACTTCTGTTTTTAGCAGGAAGCTCTTGAGGCCAGGGAAATCTGGAAGTACTTATTGTTTATATGGCACTGGGAGTCTTTAGGTTCTCTTTTGGGCTTCCAAGCTTAAACTGACAGATTTGTGGCTCAAAGTGAAAGCTAGCCTGCCCTAGCTCAGGATTCAAGTCTCAGCATTTCAACCTTTTTCTCTCTCTGGACTGTTCTCTATTTTGGCCTTTTAAATCAGGGGTGGAGAAGACTTGACAGGTATGCCTCCATTTCTCCCTCCTGTACAAAAGGCCAATAATGCTCATGGTCATTGACTTCTTTCTGCTAAATCCATATTCAACCTCAGAATACTTAATACTATGGTCAATCAATCAGTTAGCCCACATGTTGAATCCTGTTTGCTGTTTGGTAGGAGTGACAGTGGAGAATAGTGGCCCAAGAGACTGATAAGCGGGCCTTATCCCAGCATTGTGATGGATGGTGTCTTGGATAGAATGGTTAGAAGAATTGTCACTCTAGCTCTATCACTTACCAGTTAACTACAGCTACATTTGATTTCTTGAAGCTTAGTTTTTGTTATCCAAATAAACGAAATATCTTCTCTAAATACATTACATTTTGTTGTCAATATACGGAAATAAACAAATGGGTGTGGATTCCTTTGCAAGCAGCCTAGTGTGACATGCATAGAAGCTGTTAGCAATGTAATATTAATACATTGCAAATTCCTGCTTCTCTATTTCCTAGACTTACAGTAACAGTTATATACTAGGTGTTTTAAGAACCAAAAATTCCCTATTAATAGTGCTGTGGGAATGTACATTAGATTGGGAATCAGATTTTTGTTTCTGTGCTACAAGTAATTGCTTATAATATCTTGGTTGTTTGGGCTCTACATCCATATTTATAAAATTATGAGGTTGAATTAGAAGTTTTAAGCATTGCTCTTAGCACTCAAAACTAAAATTTTATTTTATTTTCTTTTTTTTAAAAGACAGGGTATTGTTCAGTCACTCCGGCTGGAGTAGAGTGGTGTGATCTTGGCTCACTGCAGCCTTGACCTCCCAGGCTCAAGCGGTCTACCCACCTCAGCCTCCAGAGTAGCTGGGCATGGCTAAATTTTGTATTTTCTGTAGAGACTGGGTTTCCCTATGTTGCCCAGGCTGGTCTCAAACTCCTGGGCTCAAGCGATCTACCCAGCTCAGCCTCCCAAACGGCTGGGATTACAGGCGTGCACCACCACACCTGGCTCAAAACCACATTTCTAGTGAAATCATATGAAACCCTGATATGAGACATATAAAAGAGCTGTGCTAAATCATGTCAGAGTGGGGTGTCCAGAGGCCTGCCTGTTTGACCTCTTCTGAAAGTGTCCCAGAAGTACTCTTGTAGCATCTTGGGATCCCCTGAAAATTTGAAAACCACTAGACCAGATGTTCTCCAAGGTCCATAGAAGTTTTAACATTCTACAATGCTAAATGTTTAAGGAAGATTATTTTCTCATTGCCTTTATTAACTTTCCTTTTATATGGTGGAAATAACTGGAAATTTATGGCCATTCCTATGCAAGCACAGCTAGCAACTAGAATAAATAACACTCCCCCCACCTTTTTTTTTTTTTTTTTAAGAAGTAGACCATAGAGGATGTCAGAAATGTTTTTTATAGTCTTGTCTGGGAAGCCATTTGCTTCAGTAAGCCTTGAATCTTCATATGCTCTGCATGCAACAAACCAACAAACAAATTTCTACAGAAATCTATTTAGTGTCTTCCATGTGCCAATCACAATGTTCATACTGGGGCTACAACGGTCACTAAGACACTGCCCTACCTCAAAAATCTCACATAGTCATAGTTGTTTTCAAACTGTGCTCAGCAAATCACAACAGAAACCTCATATTTTGGGCCTTACATATCAAGAATTTGTTAGGTTTCTAAGGGCTGGCACCATAACATAGCTTGCTTTTTTGTGCTGGAAATACTTGGTCCGCTTTATTCACCGTAGCTGGTCTAGGTCTACACCATCAAGCAGGATGATGGCAATGCCTGTGACTGAGAGCTCAGTGATAGCAGCTGTCAAAGGATATGTAATTTTGACAAAGCACTTAGACTTTCTTTTCAACAAAAATAAGACAAGTTATTTTAATAACACATTTTAAATAATCCTAGGATTTACATTAATGAATGAAATAAGATTAGCCCTGTAAGTTTTAAACTGTATGCAACATAACCACTTCATAAGTTGCTTAAGGGTTATTTATTTACTGAACTTGTTTGAGTAAATGTCATAAAATCGAGCTTTTAAAAAATGATGAAAACTCAAGGTATCACTTTTGAGAAGTAGTAATAGGAAAATGGACGTATGTAGGTGTATTTAATTTCCTCCTTTCTTTCTATAAAAATAGTGGTATCCTTTCTTTAATCAGGGAAAAATATTGCATTATTCAGTAATGGATCAAATTCCAGCAATGACATTTTACCTCTGTTATTCTATACTCTATTTAGATACAGAAGCCATCACTTAAGCAATTTGCAAAATATGTAAGCTTCTAAAAAAATATACAAGTGAGGTAATTGTGAGTCTGGAGCATATTTGTTAGGGCACTGATATGGTTTGGCTCTGTGTCCCCACCCAAATCTTACCTTGAATTATAATAATCAGCCCATGTGTTGAATTCCCATCAGCCACAGGGAACAAAATGGCATTATGCCTCTTCTAACGTAAGAAGAACTAGAGGAGACATGTCATGGGAGGGACCCGGTGCAAGGCAATTCAATCACGTGGGCAGGCTTTTCCTGTGCTCTCTTTGTGATAGTGAATGAGTCTCATGAAATTTGATGGTTTTATAAAAGGGCAGTTCCCCTGCACGTGCTCTCTTGCCTGCCTCCATGTAAGATGTGACTTTGCTCCTCATTCACCTTCTGCCATGATTGTGAGCCCTCCCCAGACATGTGGAACTGTGAGTCCATTAAACCTTTTTCTTTTATAAATTACCCAGTCTTGGGTATGTCTTTATTAGCAGCACGAGAACAGACTAATACACCAAGCCGAAAACTGAAGCCAAACTAAATAAAAACATGTCAACACATCCTCCAGAGGGTCTTGTTCGTGGATATCTCAGAAGTTCCTCAGAGGAACTTCTAATTTCTCATTATCTTTCCTCACTCCACAGAAGGATGGCACAAACAATGACTCTGTTCTTCTCCGGGCCCCATGAGCTCCCATTGTCTTCCAGGAGATAGGTAGGGGTGGAGGTGGGATAGACTAGAGGTATAGTATTTTGCTTAAGTGGAGGCGGGGAGGGGGCTCAAAAGACTTCTCATTTGCCAAAGTTCTTTGCAGTCTAAATATTATATTAAAAAACAACTATTTTTCAACTGTAGGCTAATAAGTTTCAAGGGAGACATCAGAGGCAATAATTACAAATTATTTTCCTGAAGAGAACATTTTGGATTCAGGTATTGATTAGGACCCTCTGTGAAAATGAAAAGAAAACCAAGATGAATAAACTTAAATCAATGTCATAAAAATTAGAACAGCAGCTGCCAGAACCATTTGTGGGTTAAACTTCATTGGTGTTCATCTGGCATTGACTTTAGTTATAAAGATCAGTTTCAACTTACCTGGTGTTCCCTTTCCAGCCTGACTTATGAAGATAAAATGCCTAGAAAGAGTTACTCTTGGGATTTTAAAACATATGATGGGATTTGAGGTACCCCATAAATGCCATTTCTTTCCCCATCTGAATAAGTCAAAAATATTTTATTTCTGATAAAATTGATTTTGGAGATTGTAATTTTTATCTGCTTGCAAGTAGTTTCCCTCCTTCTGAAGGAAGAACTAGACAGAATTCCCTTCAGCCACAGGGAGCAAAATGGCATTGTGCCTCTCCTGATGTAGGAAGACCTAGAGGAGTAGAGCAGAATATATTCTTTAAGGAAGTAGAATGTTCTTTAAGGATAAAGCTAGGAAGCAAGGCCTTGGTTCTGACTGCCTGTTTTACCTTCCAAACTCAGTCTGATTAATTTTCTCCTCTGCAGCAGATAAAGGCTGGCCTATTGTTTTAGTAAGCTCCTTTACTTGTAAGAATCATTTGGAAAGGAAGGAGTATTCCCTCAAAGGATACATTCTTCTTTTAATAAGACTGCCTTCTGCCACAGACCTGCTGTGTGAACTCAGACAAGTCATTTAACTTTTCTCAATCATTGTTTCCTCATCTGTAAGACAAGGATCATAAAGACCTGCCTAGTAGATTAATTAAGCGAGATAATAAATGCCATGCTGGATCCAGCCCTGCCTGCCTCTCCAAACTCATCCTGTGCTAGTCTACACTTATTTCTAATGTTCTGGCTTTCCCATCTTTCTTTCCATTCCTGGCATACATAATGTTCTTTCTGACCTCATAATTTTTGGTGTGCAGTTCTCTCTATCTGGATAGGTCTCTTCTCATTATTTTTGATCTGGTTAATTCCTACCTTTTAATCAGTTCTCAGATTAAATATAACTTCCTTAGTTAAACCATTCTAATCTCCCTCATTTATTTAAATTACAGGCCCTTTATTATTTCTTGCATATAGCCCTTGTAAGTAATAATTTATCTTTCTTTGATTATTAGTTTAATCTCTATTTTCCATGATCAGATATTATGCATATAAGAACAAGAACCTATGTTTTTTTCATTTATCATTGCACATTGAGAGCCTTTAGAGTACTTAACATAATAGTTTCTCAGTACATATTTTTGAATGAATATGTAATCTACTTATCATATATTCTATAAATAGTAGTTTCCTTTTGTTTCTCCTCAATATGTTATCAGTTCACTGGTTTGTATGATGGTAGATCCATCATTAGTGATATGGTTTGGCTGTGCCTCCACCCAAATCTCACCTTGAATTGTAGCTCCCCTGGTGGGAGGTAACTAAATCACAGGGGTGGGTTTTCCCATGTTGTTCTTATGATAGTGAATAAGTCTCACGAAATCTGATGGTTTTATAAGGGAGAGTTCCCCTGCACATGCTCTCTTGTCTGCTGCCATGTAAGATGTGACTTTGCTCCTCATTTGCCTTCTTCCTTGATTGTGAGGCCTCTCCAGTGATGTGGAACTGTGAATCAATTAAACCCCTTTCCTTTATAAATTACCTATTCATGGGTATGTCTTTATTGCAGCAGTGGGAACAGACTAATACTGTAAATTAATCTAGCTTCTCTCTTGTCCTTCCATTTTATCACTCTACTTCCATACTACTTATGCATTGGTACTGTATCTCTCTAATCACTGTAACACTTTTAAGTGTCTTGAAATATAAATCTTTTTACTTCATTCACTAGCTTGCTCTGAAACAAGTGACTCTACTCAAAATAGAAAGAATAAAATTTTGGAATTTGTTTAACAAGGGAAGCTTCCCCATTTGGAGTGAGACCGTGGGACATGAGACAGCTTCGGACTGTGGGAAGGGCTCACAGTTTAATATTAGAGGAGGTGTTTTGAATTTCTCTTTCAACACCAGATTGCCTTATTAAGTAATTTAAACTTCCGAAACTTAATTTCCTTATCTGAAGAATTTTAAGGGTCACATAGAATAACGTATTAAAGAGTTAAATTATAAAAGGCCATTACAAGGCTTACAAAGGTCATCAGTTGTAACTTGGCAGGATTAGGTACTTATCAGGCTCTGCCACCAGATTATAAGCCAGTTTAGGGCAAAGTCTTTACTCATTATTTTGTCTTCCATAGTTCTTGCTCTTCATTTGTTTAATGGTGATAACAATATCTAACTTATAGATCTCATGAACACATTTTATGGAAAGCATTATCCTACAGTAGGTAACTTTTCTTTTTCTTCTTTTACCACTATCCCATACCATGGGACACATACTATATCTTACATATTACATCTTACATACTACATCTTACATACTACATCTTACATACACATTTATGTATGACCATAATGTGATCTGTCAGTTTATAAATCATACATCCATTAGTTGTGATATCAGGCTTCAAAAAAAGTAATGACTTCCCTCTTAAATGTTTATAACATTTGACCATTTAATAACTCTAGAGATTAAATTGATTAAGTGATTTTCCCAGAAGCATAAAGCTAATCTTATAGAAATCAAAATGACTGAAACCCAGGCCTCATCTCCCTTGGTTTTGTAATTCTTTCTCCAACCATGGCCGCTTATAGTGCTACCAGAAGGTACATAATGGGAATTTTATTTTGTGCCTTTTATTCTAATTTGTATGTTTTTGGTCTTCTGAAGGCTAATCGAGGACTTGCCTCTTTCATGTTCGCCTTCATATAGGAATTTCTGACCTAGATCAATCACCTATAGCTGTGGAACCAAGAATAAATCTACATTGAGTTTCTACATCTGTAAAATGGGCACAATGGTAGGACTCATGTCAAAGCTTCTGAGGGTTAAATGAGATAATCTCTGTATCAGACTGTGTACAGTTTCTGGAAGATAGTAAGAGCTCAATAAAAACAGCTAATGCCATTGCTTCTGTTAAGATGATGGGTTTTGTAACTGTCAACTTCATCTTTTAGCAGCCTACTGAACTTCAACAACTCTGTTTTGAATTCTGCAGTAAGTTCTCTTAATGTCCCAATACTAATTGTGGTTGAAGAGTCTTTGGACTCAAACCTTTCAGAGGCAGATAATTTTGTTCCTTGCATTTGCAAATCATCACGTATGGGGCTCTGATAGATGGGATGTGATTACAAGATTCGTGTCCAAGAGAATTTCATGTGATTGGCTGTTTCGTTGTCAGGGCTGTGACGGGAGGGTAAAATAACAGCAACGTCTGTCCCCACGTGCTGGGGAAGATTCGGCCTATCTAGGGATGTTCTCTTCCTTCTTCAGTGTTCTATACAGAACTCTCTGGAAAGGGGGTGGCCTTCTCATATCGAAAAGGACCCTTCTTCATTCTAGGGAGTCTGAATTTTCATAGCACCATTGAGTTATCTGTTCCAGTTCCAGAAAATTCTGGTGGTATAATACAGGGGATCAAGCTACTAACCACAATGAACAAAGAGAAAGGAACTAAAATTTACTAAGTGTGTATGATGTGCCAGGTACTTCACTTGGGTAGTTTAGAGCTATTCTCACATTTAGTGTCACCAACTCCACTGAAGTCTGACTGGGGCTAATGGTTGAGTGGGTGGTGCTCTTACTATTAAACGGTTGATTCATTCATGAGACCCTGGGCTGTGCAGACTGAACATTTTCTTAGCCAACATTGGCCCATCTGAAAATAATGGGCAAATATTAGGATACTGTGATTTAGAAAGAAAAGCTCAAGATTCCTGCTTTGCTATTCCATTTGACAAAACTACTCAGACTCATGGCATATTAGTATTATGAATGACATGTTGAAAGGACCTGCCTTAACATACCCTTAATTCCCTTAGCTGGACATTTAACCTCCACCAACAAATTCAAACCTGCTCTCAGTTAAGGGACCAATTTAATGGATGTATCAGGAGAATTTCTCTGCATCTCAATAGCTTTGCTGGGTCATGTTTTGGTCTGATGCCCTGGTTCAAGGTAAATTGGTTCTTGATTTAATTAAGCCAAACAAATCTTACTCTATTGAGCCTATGTCTTGGTCCCTCCAACACTCAAGTTCTGCGGTATCTTCAGTGGAAAAGCCAGAGGCTATTGTATTCCTGAGTCCCAGCCTTAAAAGGAGTGTCCTTCAGTATCCTACTGACTTAGTCTGGCTCTTTGAAATATCCTCTCAAGGCATGTGCTTGATTTGTGCATTCAAAGTCCACAGTTTTCCAAACCAAATATTTAAATGCTTTTCTGCTAATAAAAAATAATTTCATGAATGCTACTTAGAGGGAAATTAACCAAATCATTCTGGCAGTAATTCAGATTAATTTTAAAAAACACAGGAGAGATTAAAAGAATGCATGAATGGTAATCTAATGAGTACAGAAATTACTAGACTAACTTAAATCCATGTATTCCAATGTTACAGTAGGAGGTCTGGGGAGTTGCAGAGAAATAGCTGCTTGTAGTTACACATACACAGGCTGTTTTTTTTTTTTTTAAGCAAATTGTAAATTTAATTAGCTGATTACAACTTTGTAACCAAATTGTTTACTTGGTACTTCATAGAAAGGAGTATAGTTTTCATTCTCATTTAACCTTCTCTGAGTGAAGGAATGTGGAAGTGATGATTCATTTTTTGTGGTCCTACATTTATAACTGGGGAGCGCTTTGCTTCCTGTGAAGCAGATCGGTTCCAATGTTTGTGGGAACATTTTGACTACAACTGTTTACTAGTATAAAAATCTGTGTTATAAAATGTGAGAATCACTGTTTTCTATGTAAGATGTCAATAGTTTTAAAATGGCAATAAATATTTAAGGGGGAAGGAGACAAAATATTTAAGTGATTCTAAAGCTTGATATCCCAAGCGATATAATTTAATCACAACAGCCCCACCTTCCAGGTCTTTAATGTTTTACCAAATACATTTTATGAATAAATATTAGCCAAGTACTTCTGGTGTTTGTGATTAAATATTAACAGGGTTATTTTTACAAAATGCATAAGAACATTTCACAGGACTGTGTCTATGAATGTAAATAGGTTGACAGACATTTTGACAGATGCTTATGATTTCTTGTAGTGACACCTGCGACACCTGCTTTGGTTATTATTTACTATTAGAAAAACATTTTTTTTTGCCTAATGTTCACCAGTTGCCTTCTTCCTCATCAGTGTAGCTTGTAGTTTATTATCCTCTGAAAATGTAATTTTACCAGAGCAATGAATAAAAAATTTTGTAATTTATACTAATAAGCTTGAACGGGAATCCACTTGCTTTGGACATTTCCAGCCAGGCATAATTTATCCCTATCCTTGGCTGTGAAACAGTGCGGATTTTCTTAACTGAGTCCCTGACAGATGGTTTCAGTGTTTTCAGGACTCCATTTCCAATCATTTTGCCCATATTGCAAAATTGGCCTTGAAAAAGGGTAAAGAGTTGTTATGCTGCATTAACATCCCTTCAGAATTGCTTGCTGTGAAGGGCATGAAGAAATGAAGGAAATCAAGACAGTAAGGTTTGAAAAATATGCTCCCGGAAGTTAGAAATGTTAGTGACATATTGATAATCCCAGATTACATCACGATCTCCATTTGATTTTGATTGTAAATCTCAAAGACACATTAAATACACTAGTAAAAACACAAATATTCAGTTAGTGTGGCTCATAAGCCATTCTGATGGTATTCATAATGTGGAAAGCTAGAAAGGGCTATCGTTTAGGCTGGCTTCCCATCATCTTAAATCCTGCTGATAGGTACCACCACGGACTGTTAGATGAACAGGGATTCTCACAGTACTTTTCAAGTCTTGCTACCAGCTCATGATGAAAGCACTGAAATATCTACATTCATTTTCCAAGAAACATGAATTGATCACATTCAGCATGCCAAATTTTCATTTTCTTTTGCAGCTTCAGCTGACTGACTTCTTCATCTAAAGTGCTGTTCTTTTCTTTTCGTCGCCTTTTAGTTTATGATCAAAATCAATGAGGACTGAAGCTTTCCACAGCCATCTATAAAATGCAATTACTGTATACAACACACAGTAAAACTCCTGTGGTGTGTATGTTGAGACATAATTTATGCCACTTACCTCCAGAGGTATCGATCTTTTTCTGTGAATGTTTTACAAAAGGGTCTCTTGAGTGCAAGCACAAGGAAATATGTGGCCATTGGAGCTGATCTATAATTTGATTAATAATGACCAATCTTTTGAACTTGACTCCTTACTGCACTTTTATTGTGATCCGACATTAGAATTTTAGATTTTTTCCTTTTGTCATTCTTTCCAGAAGCATAGTTATTCCTACGTTTTGACGTGCTAATCTTGTTACTTGCCTTATCCATGATGTCACTCTTATTAAGTTTGGCAGCACTACAGGGTGATGAATACTAAATTTGGAGTCAGAAGATCTGAGTTTGCTTTTGATTTAGCCATGTAAGAGCTGTGTGATTGTAGGTGCACTGCTTACATACCTGAGTCTCAGTTTTAAACTCTGCAAAATAGAAACAATAATCCATTTCAGGGGATGCTGTTTTCTGAGGAGTAAATAAGATATTTATTTATTCAACAAATGTTTATCAACTAGGCCTTTTGACAGGTTTTGGGGGACACAATGGTGAATAAAACACACATGATTGCTGACTTCATGGAGCTTACACAATCAACTGGTATGTAAATAAACTTCATATGCTTTAATATGTTATACACATGGAAGATGGCGCCATCATCATCACTGCTATGACACATTGTGGTTGTTGTCATGCCTGAGAGTGGAAAGCACAATAATGCTGATGCTGTTTCTGACAGTGGGTCCCATTGGTGGAGGGAGCACTTAGAACTAATGCCATGGAAATTGTTCTGAAACTGCACAATGAGCCTTCTTAATGCTCCAAAGCTTAGCATTTACTAGTTTATCCCCTTAAGTTTGGCTGGAAACTCTATTTATTGATTATTTCCCTTGTAGCCAGAGTGTTCTAAGTGAAAGAGACAGAAAGAAAAAGAAGGAAAGGCCTTTTCTTTTGACTCTCCTAAAATGTAATCTATTAGAGTCAATGAGCACAGGAAGTTCATTTTCAAAGAACAAACCTTCCTGATTCATCCACGGTCCCTCAGGATCTTATCTTGGGGCAGCATGTGATGAATAATCCACTCTCCTCTCGACTATCTTTGTGAGGCAGGGTAAATTTGTGATTAAGGGGTTGTGGCCCTTTGACCTAGAATATATTTGCCATTGCCAGGGTTATATTATGGGATTTTCTGCCCCCCAAATAATGTGAGGACAATGGTTAGTTCACCTGAAGGAATGTCTCCTGCTAAGGCTCTGTACCAGCCATGGAAGGAAGTATGTTTTAAATTACTTGCAATTTTAACCCTATAGCTCTGGCTATTTCATCACGGCTGGAGGAAATGTAGGGTTCAAACTCAGTACTTCGCTGGCATAGAAAATGGCAGCAGGTAAGTAATTGGTATATCAGACTGCCTTATGCTTTGACTTTGCTTACTGCTGTGCCCAGAATCTCATACTTTGCTGGAACATTTGGACTATGTGAAGAAAGAACATTTTGTCCTGCTAGAATGAGAGAACAGCTCAGGCTAATTTACCTTGAGCAGAAAACTGGAGAGTAGTATTAAACTTCATTGTTATATGACTACAATATATTTTCTCTCCTTGACCTGGAGTAAATGTCCACTTACGGGATTAGAAGAAAATTAATTGCCTACTTTTAGCTCACTGAAGTCAGGGACATAATAAAATGTTCATGTATCTGTGATCAGAAAGATTGTATTGTCAAGAAAATGTTCCAGTGGCACATGGCCACTTTTTGTCTTAAGCACAAAAGTCTGGAAGAAACCACTTCTAGTCAGATGCGATACTTGTGAGTACATGAAAAGTTAGCTCTTTCTCTCTCGGTCTCATTTTCTGTAAGTTTTAAGTGCCAGGAAAAACATGGGTACTATTGGGCTAAGATCCATGGGATGGGATATTTTATCATGTTTTTGTTCACTCAAATAAGAAAAGGGATCCAAAAAATAAAATGAGGGTAAGCTTAAGAAGAAGTTAGTTGATTTTTATAATCATGTTTTAAATTAGAAAAGTTCTTTCTTATGTATAGTATCCTAGATTTTTTCCGTCTCAGGATATTGAAGGCCTTTACTGGGAATCAAGCTGTCAGCAGGCTCACAGGGAGGTACTACTTGTCACACTCTGTTTTCTAACTTGATTTTTCAAATTAGATTTCTTGATTTTTCATAGTAGAGTGATTTTTCATAGGAGAATGATTTTTTTTGGCAGAAAGGCATAATTTCTTATGTAAATTTTTATTCCTGCAGAGGAAAAGGAATTAATTTTCATTGACTATACAGAATGTGATAAATCCCATGATTAGCATGTTACACATATTTTTCAATTTTTATCTCTTTGTATCCACCTGTGAGATAGGTAGTATCTTTTTCTTTTTTACTGCTGCGGGAATTAGGAGTTAACTTAGTTTTTCTGCAACCTTATTTGACATCAGTAAGGCTCAGTTTCTCATTTGTGAAGTGACGCTGATCATGCCTTCTTCATAGATATTTAATGATATAATGTGTGTAGAGTGAAGATCACAATCACATAGTAACAGTTTCAGAAAATTGTTGCTTTTTAAAATTTTCATTATTATTACTATCATATTTTTCCCTACCTCCAAATACCTTGACAATGCCAATAATGGAGTCAATCATCTGAATGGTGTATCTTTGTGCAGTACAACCAATTGGTTCTATCGAGTTGACAGAATTATCCTGAACTTAAGTCACTGCATTAATTGTTCTTATTCCAGGTACACATAATTTCATGGATGAATCTGCATATGCATATAGAATACAACTCAACTGGTTTAGTGGTCTAGCTTTTATGGGCACAGAGTAATAGATTGTGGTGGTGAGAACATGATCCTAAGAGTCAGAGACCTGAGTTCTAATCCCAGAGGTACATCCTGATTGTACTCCCACTAAATGCTGTCTCTTGGTTAAGTTCATGCTTTTATTTCCTCATCTGTAAAATGGGGATAATATAGATTTTTGTGAGGTTTAAAAAGGGATGTTAAAATGGAAGTTTCAGCAAGATATCATGGATTAGTTAGGTTTCTCCAGAGTAATAGAATCAATAGGAGATAGGTAATAGGTAGATAAGTAGATAGATAGGGATTTATTTTAGGAACTGGCTCAGTGATTGGGGGCACTGGCAAGTCTGGAGTTTGTAGGGCAGGTTGGTAGCCTGCCTACTAGGATTGATGTTGCAGTCTTGAATCTCAAGGTAGTCTGGTGGTAGAATCCTTTTTCCTCAGAAAACCTCATACTTTGCTCTTAAGGCCTTCAACTGATTTGATGAGACCCACCCACATTATGGAGAGTAATCAGCTTTAATCTAAGTCTACTGATTTAAAGATTAATCACATCTAAAAAATATTTTCACAGCAACATTGAGGCTTGTGTTTGACCAAACAACCGAACACCATGTTAGGTAAGTTGACACATAAAATTTGCCATCACACACCATGATGCCATGGATGAGAAATTCTGAAGCTGGTTTTCTGTAGATTGACTTCATAGAGAATATGACTTAGAGCCAATTCCATACTTTTCTAGCATTTTTTTTCATATTCTAAAAATGTAAGAGGGTCTATGGAGAAGGAAGAGGAATGATTTAGGAGGAGATGTAACTGAAGAGAGGCATATTATTTTGTGGATATGCAGAGGAAGAAAGAAGTGGGATGGGTGTTACCTCCTCTGCCTCAAGCTTTGTGAATGAGATTTCTATAGGACCACTCAGAGAATCTGAAATATGTTCCTTGCATGTGGGAGAAAGACTTAGAGGACTGGGGCTTACACAGGCATGGGAGTGGGGAATGGGCCTATGGCAGCAGGATAGACATGGCTGCCACGGTATTTGTTTGCATTCTTGGAATTTAGTGGGGCAGGCAAAGCATGTATTGTGTTTCTGGTGAATCACAGGAGAGAGAACTATTGTGGGCTTGTCATGGGTCTTTCTAATAGGGCCTCCTGAAGGCACAGAGGGTTCCTGTGGAAAGAACTTAAGTATGAGCACTGGATTTATAGGGGCTTAAGAGGGACTAGGTGGTAGCTAGTTTGAATGAAGTTATATCAAATGAGTGGCAGCATTAGGATTCTCCAAACAGCACACTAAAAGCCCACTGGAGAGTCAGCTTCAAAATCTGCCAGACCTGGAGAGTGCAAAGATTATTACAATAGTACCATTTCATGTCGGGCCTTTCTTTACCCCTTACCTCTCTTCACACACACAAGACCCCTTCACCAATCTCAGAGGAGCTGGTGTGTGAAGGGTGAGCACAAGGTAGACAAATCCAGAAGCCAGGCATGTTCCTCTTTCCTTCCTCATTGTTTTCCATCCAGCTGGAGGAGAAAGAAGGCAGAAATTTTAACATTAAATAAAATTCAGACTTTTGATGAATATCATAATCTTGACACTCTAATTTCTAAACTGAGATTGTGTTCATAATTTACAGCAATAGTAATTGCAATTTAATATAATCCAAGAGTGGGCAGAAGAGCCTTGAGACCTGCCCAAGTCTTTAATTGGAGTCAATAAGAGACAAAAGAGAATTGTGTCATGAGTACTTGAAAATGGTTTTCAAAGGGTGGTCCCCAGACAGGCTACAGTAGCATCGCCTGGGAACATGTTAGAAATGCAACTTCTTGGGCCCCATCCCAGAACTCAGGGAGAGGGAGCTCAGCAATTGCAAGCCCTTCAGGTGACTGTGAGGCATGCTTTACTTTGAGATAACTTGTCCTAAAACAATGTCTCAATGTCTCACAAGAGAAAAGTAGTTTCCTTTTCTTATGCTCAGATATATCTATTTAATGACCCATGCTTCTCATAATAAATATAAAGGAGGTAGGTAGGTAAATAAAAACAGATTTTTTAAAAATTATACTTTAAGTTCTAGGGTACATGTTCACAATGTGCAGGTTTGTTACATATGTATACATGTGCCATGTTGGTGTGCTGCACCCATTAACTGGTCATTTACATTAGGTATATCTCCTAATGCTATCCCTCCCCTTACCCCATGACAGGCCCTGGTGTGTGATGTTCCCCACCCTGTGTCCGAGTGTTCTCATTGTTCAGTTCCCACCTATGAGTGAGAACGTGCAGTGTTTGGTTTTCTGTCCTTGCGATAGTTTTCTCAGAATGATGGTTTCCAGCTTCATCCATGTCCCTACAAAGAACATGAACTCATCCTTTATTACGGCTGCATAGTATTCCATGGTGTATATGTGCCACATTTTCTTAATCCACTCTATCATTGATGGACATTTGGGTTGGTTCCAAGTCTTTGTTATTGTGAATAGTGCAGCAATAAACATACGTGTACATGTGTCTTTATAGCAGCATGATTTATAATCCTTTGGGTATATACCCAGTAATGGGATGGCTGGGTCAAATGGTATTTCTAGTTCAAGATCCTTGAGGAATTGCCACACTGTCTTCCACAATGGTTGAACTAGTTTACAGTCCCACCAACAGTGTAAAAGTCTTCCTATTTCTCCACATCCTTTCCAGCACCTGTTGTTTCCTGACTTTTTAATGATCGCCATTCTAACTGGTGTGAGATGGTATCTCATTGTGGTTTTGATTTGCATTT
Source organism: Homo sapiens (assembly GCF_000001405.40). NCBI lineage: Eukaryota > Metazoa > Chordata > Mammalia > Primates > Hominidae > Homo > Homo sapiens. The sequence continues at coordinate 8,497,600 of NC_000007.14, forward strand.
CTCTGATGGCCAGTGATGATGAGCATTTTTTCATGTGTCTTTTGGCTGCATAAATGTCTTCTTTTGAGAAGTATCTGCTCATATCCTTCCCCTACTTTTTGATGGGGTTGTTTGATTTTTTTCTTGTAAATTTGTTTAAGTTCTTTGTAGATTCTGGATATTAGCCCTTTGTCAGATGGGTAGATTGTAAAAATTTTCTCCCATTCTGTAGGTTGCCTGTTCACTGTGCTGGTAGTTTCTTTTGCTGTGCAGAAGCTCTTTAGTTTAATTAGATCCCATTTGTCAATTTTGGATTTTGTTGCCATTGCTTTGGTGTTTTAGTCATGAAGTCCTTGCCCATACCTATGTCCTGAATGGTATTGCCTAGGTTTTCTTCTAGGGAATAACAACAGATTTTAACCTGTTTCCTTATAGCAGTAGTATTAAAACTGAAGTTTCCTCCTCTGTATGAGACAATCATAGGGCTCTGCTTATTTTGTGAGAATATTGAATCAAATGAGCTAATATCTGTGAAAATGCTTTTTAAACCATGAAGCATTGTACACACGCAAGTTATTATTATTACAAGTACCTTATTTAGATGGACATCAGCTTCATTTTGAAAGGATATCCCTGGGGTTTGCTGATCATTTAACTTTCATTATCATACCTGTCAACCAGTTTCCACCGCTAACCAATTAAGTATCAGGCAGAAGAGCCAAATCAGAGGGGAAGATTGGTAAAATCAGTGCTGAATGCTTTAATTTCAGTGGGAAAAAGTAGAGTTGATAGATTTTTGTCTTGGCTGAAATTGGATATTTAGAGTAACTTAATGACTACTGGTTTATCAGTCCCTCTATTTTTTCCCCCTACTTTTGAAAAGGTTTCTGCCAGTTCCATAGACCCAGCCTTGGATGAAGTTAATAAAATTTGCAAACCAGAAGGAATTTCAGGATGAGATTGATTGTTTTTGAAATCTCCACTTGTGGAAAGTTCTTTTCATATTGAAAATAGTCTCTCATTTTTTTGTTCTTATTGGAACATCTCTTTTTCAGTTCTATTGGGAAATTATAGCATGATGGGTTTATAGATACTGATAATTGTGTGTTACAAACTTCAGCATGCTAGCAGTCAATGAACACTCTATTTTCAGGACCTATTATGAGCAAAGTCCTAGGGGAAATATCTAATGTGTCCTTGTTCCAAGTTGTTCTAAGAGCTTAGTAAGAGGGATAAGATTTAGACCTAGGAAAGGGAAATGTGATGTCAGTCAAATAGAATGTAGGTTAGAGTTGGGTAGATAATGCATGAGTGTGGGTGGCTTCCTTGAGAATTTGAGAATTTAACTCTGATTAAATAAATGTCATATATTTTATGTAACATTTGAGTATAAAGTTTGGTATTTGACATTCCAGGAGCTTGGACTTGAGAGAGTGTTTAACATGAAGTGAACAGATTCTACATAGTGTAAAGCCTCCTATCAGGTAAGATGATGCGAGGCACTACAGGTGCCTGGGTGATGATCAGTGGTGTTGGACAGGAAGTATCTTTGAGCTGTGCCAGTGGAGAATTCTTTTTTGGTTCCTATACCAAGCAGGAAAGGATGATCCTTAAGGAAAGTACTTTAAAGTCTCTTCTATCACCACTACAAAAAAGAACAGTTTGTTTGAGCATAAGAATGCTCCTTCCAGCTGAGACAGCACAGACAGAATGCCCAGGTGACCCCCAGCTGTGACAGCTGTACACAGCCCTCCCAGGGTTCATAGCAAACAGCCAGTGCTCCAAGACTACTTTCATCAAATACTCAGCCAAAGACCAAGGCTCTGTAATAAGGGCCCTGATACAAACAGCAGAGATCCCAGCTGAGCTATACCAGCCTACAAAGGCTAGTCTGGATTTGGAAATTAGCAAGAATGAGACTTGGATTCAGCCTAAGTAGCTTGTAGTTTGGTTAATTATTGAGCTACAAAAACAGACAGTGCAAAAATAAGGGTACAAGTAAGTGAGTGTATGCAGCATCTTCCCAGGACCTCCCAGGTTCCACACAGAAATGCTCCCAAATTCGGTAATCAATACTCATGCCTAGTGGGAAACTCACCAAGTCAGAACAACAAAAGCTAGACTCCCAGTGGTGAGGCCTAAGGAGCTCTCAAATGTCTATTCCCCGCTATTTTTGAGGCCTTTACTGCATGCCATAGTTGCACACTTCTGAGCATTGGCCTCTGCAGCTGGACGAGCCATGGCTTTCCATAGAACCACAGATTTTACAGAGAGGGAAGGACTGGGCCAGCAAAGAGCCTCCTTGTGCGGCCACATTAGGAGTTAAAGGTGCTCACCACTTCCCTCATGAGGAAGAAGCATGTACGGACAGAAAAATCTCTTCATATCCTTTATGGTTTGTTTTGTATGGATTCTGTGTACTATAAAGCGAATAACATTTTTATAACAGAATGTGGATTGCAATATTTCCAACAAATCTTTTTGTTCTTTTCATATGTTTGTGAGTTAAAATACTGCATCCAGGTATAAACTCACACAGGCAGAAGTTTCCTCGCCATCAGGTCAAGATCCTGGATCCCAAAGAGGGCAAAAATGACAAGGCTTTTTGGTGTCTGGCATGGACTTAATTAGTGGTCACTTTTAGATTCTAAATCTAAGTTTTACTTCAGCAGCATCAATTACCTTTTGTCTAGTAGTCCCTCAGGTAACAGTATTGGATCAGATAATTTCTTTATGTTTGGTGTTTTAGGGAATTTCTGAAGTTTGGTTATCTGAGAAAAGGCAGGATATCAGGATGATGAATAGCACAGACTTTAGGGTCAGGCTGCTTGAGTTTGAATTCGAGCGTGGCATTTTCTAGCTGTGTGACCTTGGGCAGGTTGCCAACCTCTCTGTGATTCAGAAATGGCATCTGCCTTATTTGGCTGTTGTGAGCATTGAATGAGTTGCTGTGTTTTGAAAATTCATAACAGTGCCTGACATGTGTTTGCTATTATTATTTCCAAACACAAGACTCTTTTGTGAAGGGCACAGTATTATCTAGACTGCTCAGGGTTTGCCTGCTTCTGTCATATAGAATTTTTGAAAGGAGCTTGTTTCTTAACTAGCTTTATGGCAATAACACTGTCTGTAACCACTGGAACCAGCTGATGCATTATCCATAATCCTAATAGCAAAATACAGATTCAACGTCTTTTACTTTCTTAACCTCATTTTTCACAGTGTTACACGATTTTGATGCAGGTCTTCTCAGTTGGTCCTCCCATTTTTCAGACATGTGATCAATGGTTAAATAATGACGTAGGGGTCCCTTAGCTTGTGGTTGCAGCCTGAATTTGAATATACACGTCTTTAGGCACTTAGCTCTAAGAAGTGTCCAGTAAAACATAATGTTCAGAAGTAAATAGCATGGAAGAGGTCTCTAACTCAAATCTTGAAAGGTCTGGTCTGCAATTGTGGAAGGTGTCTTATCCTTTAATGACACTTGTTTATGAGTTGGGATCTTCAGCATAGTTTTGGTTTTTGCTTTTAGAACTTTGAAAAATCTATCAGCTGTCACAGATACGATTTTTGTCATCTAGCTCTTTTGAGCTCTAGGGATCTGCCTTTTCTAAATTTCATAATATAATGTGGCTATCAGTTCTCACCAATGAATTGAAATTAGGCTTTTCATGTGCACAATGCAAACATGAGAAACCGTAGTTTGTTACTGAGTAATGAAATGGCAAATAATCAGTTCCTGGAAGCTTTTAGGAGTTGTACCATGCAAGATATGACTACAAATCATAGCCTGAGTGCCTGGACACAGTGATTTTCATACCCAGCCATGTATCCTGGGTAGAGCCTTTAAAAATGTGGATTCCTGGGTCCATTCATGACTTGGGAATCCATATGTCTTATGAACAGAATTATGTAAAAAATTTCATAGTGATTCTGATGAACCACTTTCCCAAATGACACATTAAAATAATTTCAAAACTCTAGAGTCACATTTCAAATATTAACATTAAAGCATTTGGACACTGGTAGGAACTTACATTCTACCATTTTACAGGTGAATAAATTAAGACTGGGAATGGTGTAGCAATTTTAGGGTCATAGAGGTTTAGAGCAAGGAGCAAGTACACCAATTATCTGATATGTCATTGGCGCTTTATAAATGAAGAAAATGAAAACCAGTGCAGCAAGTAAAGATAGGGCTGTCATAGCTCCCCAATGCAGCAACGAGAGCTATAGCAAGAACAGACTAACAGTCTTACCCAAGAGTCGTGGGTACATCAATGAAGACGGCAATTAGAGGGTAAGGCCTAGGGCCTATATACCCATCCAGTGGCCTACACAGATATTCGAAAGTTGTCTTGGAATATTATACAATTAGAGAAAAAAATTAATCTGAGATGTCATCTGAGTTTGGAGTGATCTTGTTGCTTGTTAATGGGGGAGTTAACAGAGTGGAGGGAAAAAACATTTGGCTGAGAGCTGGGAGATCTGAGATCTCTTCTCATGTCTATCATTAATTGGCTCTGTGGAACCGTGTGTAAGTCACTTAACCTCTTCTAGCTTCAGCTTCCCTATCTCAGAAATTACAGTGATAATGTCTTTACTAAGTATTTTTCAGAATTGTTGTGAGTATACATTTTTTAAATGTACAGAAATTTTAGATTTTATTGTACTAAGATGTGTTTAATGGCAAAAACTAAAAGGAAAGCAAATATTAGTTTTTCTTTTCCCAGGATTCCCTATCAAGGGAACATTTTGATGAGGAACTAGGTCTAAAACTATATTTATTTCTTTTTTTTCCTGGCCCTTATGTTAAAGATTAATTTAACAAACATTCATAAAAGTGCATATTATGTACAAGGTGCTGTCTTGCACTCAAGGAATAGGATTTTATTAATCCTCTTACATCAGTCAGAGTCCAACCAGAAGACAGAAACCACACAGTAATTTGAGTAGGGTAAATACAATATAAAGCATTAGTGGTGTGACAAGGGATTGGAGTAATGAGGGATTGGCTAGTAAGAAGTAAAGAGAACTCTGAAGAATAGAGGAGTAGCAAGTATAGGAGCACTCACTATGCCCAGGCTGAGATAGAGCTTTCAAGGAAGAAATAGGTCTCCTGTACCCAGGATTAAGATCCAGAACTCATTAGGAAGTGCATAATCATGGCTCACTAGATGGTAGAGGAGACATCAAAGTACCTCACTGGCAGAAGTTACTGCAAGCCCATCTTCTGGAGTGCTGGAGAAGCTGTTCACAGAGATGGGCTGGGCCTCCGAATGTGCAGCAATACTGTCTCAGAAGTTTTGGGGAAGCTGCTGGGTGCTAGGTGGGGCTGGCCACTTCATGATGCACAAGGTAGTACTAGAGAACCCATCCATGGTAAGGGCTGGATCCTGGAAAGACCACATATTGCAGGAGCCTGTTGAGTGCAGTGTCTTGGAACTGGGTGGGAAACCACTGAAAATGTCTTTTTAGTGCCCTTTCATGATGGTGCTTTGCTTACACCAGCTGGCAAAGAGAAATATTTGAAGGGCCCCGATCTATTTGTGCACAACAGACAACAAAGGGTGAATATGGAGCTTCAAAATCAAAACATTGATAACTGGAACACTTTTTAACAGTTCTGTGAAATAGGTACTATTATTATCCTTATTTTATAGATAAGGAAACTGAGACACAGAAAGGTGAAACAACTTGCACAAGGAAGGTCACAGGAGTAATAAGGAGCAGAGCTAGGGTTTGAACCTGAGTATTTTGACTCCATAGTCTACTCTGAATTCCTCCCCTGTGCGGCCTCTTTGTCTCCTTCCTCACCGGTGATGCATGGTCAGTGTTATCTTGCATTATCCTGTGACTTTATATGCAAGTCCCACTACACTTGAAGATTGACTCTTACATTTACAGACATCTTTAAAGTCCTGGAACTATTTAGCACAAAGTTTTCTTGATACTTTTTCTGCCTTAACTATTTCTTCTGCTTGTTTTTGATGTTTCTTCAATTTCTGCTACAATCATGTGTCCAACCCAAACCTCAAACCTACTTTCTTTTTAGATTTCCTGATGCAGGTAAGGAAGGAAATGTGAAGGAGTGGTTTGATCTTCTCTGTAACATTTCTCTGTTTTCTGCTATCTTGCCACACTAGTTCAGACCCATAGAATTTCTTGCCTATGAACACGGCCTGCCTAGCAGTCTGTCTGCTGCCCATTTAAGGTCCGGTTCATCCGGAACACCATCACTGCATTAGCCTTCCTGAATAGCTGCCCTGGTCACATCACCACTCTCCTCAGTAATCTCCAATGCTTCCTTAGGCACTGCTCTATTAAAGACTATTCCCTCAGTTCAGCCTGCAAAGCCATCTACATTGTGGTCCTAAGTAGACAGCTTTCCAGCCCTAGCTCTCCTGTCTTCTACTAGTGCCTATTCTTCTGCCTGAAGTTGCTATTCAGTGTTTCCTCAACTTTGTTTCTGCCCTGCCCCTGCTTCATTTCAGGGATGCATTATGCCAGGGGCTTTTCTGTCCCCATGTGTGTCCAATGTCACCCATCTTAGATGTCCCTCTTTCCACAAAGCCTTTCCCATTTCCAAACAATCTTGTTCTCTTTTGAAGCTCTAGAATGCTATATTTTTCTCTTGTAGTATTGCTTCTTAGGATAGCAGTACTATTCTCAACCTCCACCCTATTATTAGATCACAAATTCCTTGAAGACTAAGGCAATATTTTACTAGTTTTTCTTTCTTTCTTGTTTCCTTTCTTTCATTTTGTTTATATATAATTGTATTTTTTTCAGTCTGAGAGGCCACTAAAATAGGTTTCAAGGTGTGGATTTTCAGTCAAGTTCATAAGACTCAATTAGATTTACTGAGCAGAAATTTTACTTAGAAAAAATGTAGAACAGGGAACTCACCTATGTAAAGCAGCATCATCACAGAAACTGCAGCCACTCAGGAGCAGTTTCTATCTCTTAGTCATGGCTGGGACATGTTTTTGTCTAAGATTAATAGTAAATGAATGGAGAACAAGGCCTATCAGAGAAATCACATGCTCTGCATTCCCTTGATGCTATGGACTGAATGTTTGTGTTGCAATCCTAACCCCCTAAAGTGATGATGTTAGGATTTGGGGTATTTGGGGTAATTGATTCATGAGGATAGGGTTCTCATTAACAGGATTAGTGCCTTTTCAAAAACAGACATGAAAGCTTGCTCTTGTTCTCTGCTCTGCTAAGTGAGGATATAATGAGAAGATGGGCAACTGAAAACCAGGAAGCAGATCCTCACCAGACACCGGATCTGCTGGTTCATTGAACTTGGACTTCCCAACCTCTAGAACTGTGAAAAATAAATATTTGTTGTTTGAACCACCTTGTCTATGGTATTCTGTTGTAGCAGCCCAAACTTACTAAGGCATTCAGTTTGAATGCCCTGCTAGCTACACAGCCCTGCAAGAGTAAGGGACATTCACTACCATGGTATCCTGCACACAGTAGGGGATCAAATTTTTTTTAAATTCAATTTTTTGTCATTTTTTGGTTAAATGTCTGATTTTACAGTGCACTGAAGGTCAGTGTTTTCCTCATATTAAGTGAATGCCAGGTCTCTGACCTACTGCTGGCTTGATACTTTCTATACGTACCCTTAACTCTCTGTTTCTAATTCTCAGCCCCATTGAGACCTCCAGTCACTGCTTGGTTTTCAAAACTTTCCTAATAATTTGGACTCATTTTCAGTGCCAACAACCTTCTTGATCTTTGAAGGCTTGTCTTAACCTCCTCTCCAGTTCTGGGTCCTTTATATTGCTCTATAATTTGCCCCAGAGTAGCCTGACTGGCCAATATAGTCATTTGTGAGCAATATACCATGAGAATACCTATGCCTAGAAATAAATAATAGACCTCAACATTGCAGACTGGATTTCTGAGCCACTCAGCAGGGGTTCCTGGTAGAAGCAATAAAAGAAAAACAGTCTTAAAATCACATTTTTTATATTAGCAAATCTAAATCTAGGGGATATCAGAGTGTGTACTTATCAGATAATTTCCATAATACTTTTTGTAAAACTTGTGCCCATTAGGTTTCTTATGTGATTAATTGGAGATTTCAGTTTGCATTAAAGTTTTGCATACACTGAACATTCAATCATTCAATAAAAGTTAGTTAAATAACTATGTTAGGCACATGATGTTCTGTTCTCAATTACTAGAAGTGTCATTGTTTGCTAGAAAATTGACTCTGAGGAGCATGCAGGTGTTTCTGTGTTCTAAACTTTGTTGTGCATAAAAACCACTTCCCATGCAAATTAAAAGTGTACATTTCTGGGAACCATTTTGATTCAGTAGAGACAGAAATGGGCCCAGACACCTGCATTTTTATAGTGTCCATATGGTTCTGATGTATGTGATCTGAGGACCATACTTGAAAAAACAATAAATTAGTCTTTACCAAAAGCATTCAAGAGTTTCACAGTTTTAGAGGTACTTTCTGAGTTGAACTCCAAAATATCCTTGAGGAACTTAGAGAGATTTTTAAAAACAATTTTATTGAAGTATAATTTATCTATTATAAAATTTACCTATTTTAGTGCACAATTCAATATTTCTAATACATTTGTTGAGTTGTGCAACTGTTGTTGCAATGATTTTTACCTCCTCTTCCTTGCCTGGATTGAAGGAATTCTGTTACTCCAAGGGAAGACCAAAGAGTCAAAGACCCAAGTTTGAGTTTTGGCTACATCATCCAGTGTCCTGAGACCTAGGAGCAAGGGACATGGGTCTTTCCATGTCTTAGTCACCTCATTTATAAAATGGGGATGCTATTAATATTTCCTTTATAGGATACTTGTGAAGATTAAGTGAGAAAAGATGTTTGGAGTGCAATTTGTAAGTTTATTCAACTATCTAGTGAATGAATACCTACCTTTGGTTGCTTACTTGCTGGTCTAGGAACAGACTATTAATGAGTAAAGACAGATACCATCTCTGCTCTCCCTGAGCAGATAGCCAGTAGGGACAGTGTGTGTTTGATGAGAAAATACAGCAAATAAATTTGATTTGAGTGGGAAGACAGGATCCTGTTTAAGGAAGTCAGAGAAGTTTTACTGAAGGAGGTGATGTTTGAGATAAGAGCTAACAGATTAACTGGCATTAATTAGGCAAGGAGATGGTGGTGCTAGCATATCAGGGGGAAGGAGTGAGGGCCAATGCAGCAGAGGGTACATGGAACATTACAAGTATCTGAACAAATGCTAGGGTAGCTGCAACATGAGGCTCAATGAAGAGGGTGGTGCTGGGGGCAGGCACCAGACCCTGCATGCCCTGCAGCTCATGTGAAGGTTTGGTTCCAATCCCTGAAGGGCTTTCAGTGTGTGTATTTTCATGAGCATGGGTGTGACATGATCAGATTTGCATGTCAAGTGCCCACCCCGGGAAGATGAAAGGGGAGTAGGATGAGGGCAGAGGTCATCAGAAAGCCAAATGGGAAGCTATGCAACAGTTCAGGTGAGAGACAATGGGCTAAGGTAGTTGTGGCAGACCTGGAGAGAGGTGGGTGCAGAAGAAGCAGATTTAAGGGATGAAATTGATTGGGTTTAGCTATGGGTTATATTTGGGGGTGGCGTGGGGAGAAGGAAGTGTCTGAATGACTATTAGATTTCTGACTTACATAATTGAATAGGTGGTTGTTAATACATTAGGGCATGGAACACAAAGATGAAGAATTTGAAGGTGAAGGGGTAGATCATGAGTGAAACAGAAGCAAAGCATTTACACCAGTGTTTGACATAACCAGGGATAGCCACTATGATGATGGTGATAATTTTAAGATGTCATTGAAGCATCCTAGTGAACATCTTAAGCTGTAATGAGCTATACTATTATTATCATTACTTTGGTCATAAAACTTGGCAAGCAATATTTTAATTCATGTTTTAATTTCTTACCGCATATACATCAAAATCACTTATAACATGAATCCTTCTAGTAGTTCCCCCAGTGGTATAAAAGCAGGATTTTACCGTATTACATAGGTGCACATGTTTCATAATCTTCTAAGTTTATTGATTGAAGCTGAAAGCTGCAGCTAGATCATTCCTCAGAGTGCCTCTAGGGAGTGTTACATTAGAAAGATAACAGCAGGCTTGTAAATTAGTACAGTTTACCAACCCACAAACATTTGTCACCCTCTCCCCTCCTCACAGGAGAAAATAAGCAGTCTTTCCTCAGCACCTCCTGCCTCATGATTTGTTTGGCATAAATTGCTACCTGCCTTGTGGCTGGGCAGTAAGCTAATTTAAAGGCTGAATGAGAAAGCTCAGAAAACAGCCAGAGTGTTCTATTGAAGTAGACGGTCAGTCAATAGGGAAAAAAGGGAATAAGCTGATTAATGATAAAATCAGGAACACCCTTTGAAAAGAATCTTTATGCTTTGTCAAGCTAATTTCAGTGGATCTCATATCACTGGTCACCTGGTACCCATCCAATATTCCTGATTTCAAGTTTAGACAGTTCTCAGTATATCACTGTCAAATCATGACTGATATTCCTTTCAGTGGAACAATACTCAGATAATTGCAATTTAGCTTTTCTCTCTATTATAAATTTAGTTGTCTCTTTACCTGTGCAACAAAATCATAATTAGATGAATACCTGCATATTTATAGGTATATTTCAACCCAACAGACGGTCTAGACATTTTCTGCTAACAAACTTTGATTGATTGTTAAGGGCATGTGGAATCAGTAGTTGGCTATGTTGAGTACATCTCTGAGCTTTGCTTTTTCCATCTGCAAAATAGAAATAATATTATCTCCCTCATAGGGTAATTGCTGGAACTAAATGAAGCAAATATCTGTCGCATATATCTGTAAAATTCTTTGAACAGTGCCTCTTACATAAAAAGCATTCATTCAGTGAAAGCTATATTATCGTTAAAGAGTTCCTTCTAGCTCAGCCTGGGGAGATAGTGTGTAACCATTTCTCCATCCTTGGATAAACACTGTGGGTGGAGTTTGAGTCAGACCAAAATAAATTGCCCTTCATTTGTGAGATCTCATATTTGCTAAGCATCTTTTTTTTTATGTCTTGAATGTAAATCCTGGAGTTCAGAGGCTACAGCTATTTCTTCTATAACCCCAGTGTCTGGCCTCATGTGCTGCAAAGGGTCTAAGTTCAATCACTGTTTGTTGCATCAATGAATACATAGCACAGTGATCTGAAGTCTTTTCATTGGCCCTCAAGTCTCTGTGGAAGGAAGTTAGGGTCTTGTAAAAGGAAAGATATCAGTCTGAGACTATTAATTTTATGCCTATGGTCATTTGGGGAGGCGGGCACATTAGAGGAAATAGGACTAGATCCATGGCCAAAGATAAAGCTCAAACACAATTTCTTGTGGCATAATCCAAACAAGCGATATTCGTAAAAACAACTCCATATCTGTGGATATTTTCTTGTTTTTAGATGACCAAATTTGTCTGAAGGAGGCATGAAGCACCATGAAGTAAAAATTCTAACACTTGGTGTAATTTTGATATCTTTATTAAATGACATTATCCATTAGTGCATGACTGCTGAGCCTACTGTTTACCAGCTTGAGGTGAACTGCAAAACTTATATATCTTATTTAAAAATTAAAATGTTGATTCTACAGGGTTATCAAAGAATCTAAGACATGATGATTTCATATTGCAAGTTATGTAAATGGAATTAATTTTGGAAGACATTTTGTACAATTTAAGTAGCTTATTTCCACATTAATAAATATGATGTGGTGGCTAGGATAAACACCTTGCTTTGGAAGAGCACGTTTATTTTCCAAAGACAGTGTTAACTTGTGCCCTGTCATAGAGAGTAACGACATATGTGGAACATCTATTCTCTTTATTTCTTTCTTCTTTTTTCTCTCTCTGGAGACTAACGTCTTCATTTACCTAAGGTCTCCAGCAATTGGAGGCAATCGTAAGGAAATTGGTAGTCCTCTGATTCTTCTGCTCCATTGTATTCCCCCTTCTTTTTCTGAGTGTGTGCTTGTTAGGGAGCTTGCAAGGATCTACAGTGGGCAGAAGCTTGTGTTTCATCTGAGAGAGGAGAGTGACAAAAGGGGACTAGGAAAGTCAGGCGTGACATGTCTATTTGGTGTGATCTGAGTTTCTTCCTGTGTTTTTCACTATGGGCTTCACTCACACCCATGAAACAGTTAACACATGTTCCAACAAAAGCAAAACCAATGTGAAAAATGTCTCATCAATGCCTTTGTGTGGTGAGCAATGGGAAGCTGGGCAACAACATTTTTTCATGTAGCTGAGAATTAGCAATGATTATTTCTTCTTAAAGCAACATCTGCTTAATGACAGCTCTTTTAAACTTCATCAGGAAAAAGTGAGTGAAAAATCCTGTTATAAATACTACAGTGAAAGATTCTATTTAGATGTTCACTGTTTCAAAGTCACTAGCTCTGAGCTAATCCTAAGCTTCAGAAGCTTACTGTGCACCCTGACATGCTGACTATTCAAATGGGTCTCTCTCAAGATGGCTGGGAAAATTGTTCATATACAAAGGAGCTCAGCTTTAGCACCTAGTGGGGCTGAAAGCCAGGTGTGACAAAGGGTGCCTGGGGAGGCCAGAGAGATAAACTTGACATTTTGCCCATTTTCAACATTGAAATGACTGTTTATAAGTCAATGATGAATGTAATCATAGTCTTAATTAGTAATTACTAATGTTTATCATTATACACAAATATTAAGTGAAATACTTTCACAAACATTATTTTATATAATTTTCACAACTACCTTCTGAGGTAACTAATATGCCTGTCTCACAGATGACAAAGTTGAGGCATAGGGAGGCTGAGACAATTATCTGTAGTAGAATTTGCACTCGAATCTAAGATTAAAAAAAAAATCTACATGTTCTGCACATACAATTCTAGCATTAGCCCCACTAACATATAGGGCCACAGGGGAAAGTAAAATGTTTTAAAATTTTTTAAAGTTTGGTGACTGAAGGAATATTATATTTTGGTTTTAGGTAGAATGAGAAGTGTGGGCACAAAAGCATGGAAAGCCTGCTCCTTTTTGAAGAATTATACAAATACATAGTCATATAATGTATAGGAATAGGTAACTTTTAAAAATACTTTATATGCGTATGTTCATAATGTATGTATTTATAACCACTATCAATATTAATTTAAATATTCTGTTATAGGTTCAAACTGAGGGATTAGTATATATTTAAGGCATTTGCCACTCTACACTGAAAGTATAGTCTCTCTCAATAGGCACTTGCTTTTTGGCTCCAATTCATTTTAAGTTTGAACTTCTGAACCCTTCCATTGGAAGTTTCCATTTATTTTGTCATGGGCTCTTGGGAAATAAATACCTGTAGTATGCTGCTACTAGTCTGATCTTCTCTGCTTCCCTGACCTTGGATCAATAAAGGAGGGGTCAAAGTAGATGTTCTCCACTTTGCAGAAAAACCTTATTTTAAGTAGAACAATAGAGCTTGGTTTAACCTGGAATCCAAAAAGAATAGGACTTGAATTACAATTACAGGCAAGTCTTCTAAAAAAATTAATGCATTATGTATAGCATTAAAGAATTATTCTAACCCTTAGTGATAACAGGCAATCTGGGGCATTACTCATATCTCATTTGTAAATACTTGCTATTTTTCCAGGCTTTGTGTTGGTGACTTTCTGGGTTAATTACTGAAGAGTCTGTTTTCTTTTCCATAGAGGCCACAACTCTTGGGACAGAGGCTGCCAGCCACAATTTTGCATTTCCTTTCTGCATGTGGAACCTGTCCTGCCTATGAATGTTGTCCCAGCCTTTGATTTCAGATTTCTGCTGCATGCGGCCTGGGCTCCACTGCTGTCTGGCACCCTGCTCCCTCTCTCAGATGTGAGGCTGGTGTGTACAGTATAGACTGACCCTCATTCAACTAGAGACCTTGACATATCTCCTTCACTCTGTAAGGAGTGGAGATGAACAGCCTAATAGTAGAACAAAAGAAGAAGCTGCACATTGTACCCAAAGGATTTGGGGAAGACTTTTCCACCTCTCTTCCAACCCCCTGGCCCCAGTGAACTTGTAGACTATATGTCACCATGCGTTACTTTTCTGGCACCAGTATACTACAGCAAATAACAATTATTTCTGTTCTGATGCTGAATTAGATTCTTAGCTTTAAATCCTCTCACACACAGCAAGTTTGTAGACCCTACTGAAGATTCTGGCACAATTTCAGTCCTGGTGCAGGCAGCTTCAATAAGACATGGTCCAGGGGACTGAATTGAAGGCATATTTTCTTTTATCAAGGTTGACTGAAAGAAAGTAGCCACCGGGAGGTTCTGACAACTCAGGAATGGATGACCCTGCCCAGTAGCTCTGGCCCTTGGCGCTCAGCCAGGGCAGATGCTAGAGATGAGTCTCACTACAGCTGCAGATGCCAAAGCTCAAGATGCATAATCCTGAGCTTGACAGCTGCCAAACTAGCCCCCTGAGTGTCCAAATGAGTTGGCTCTTCTGAAGGAGATGACAGGAAGGAACCAGAGGGATTGCTGTGGCTCCTCTCCAAATACAGCATTAAAAGGAAGCCAAGAGAACTTAGCAATTTTGCCTGTATTGTAAGAAGCGCAAAGAATCATGTGATAATCTTAACCAACTGTTATTTCAGTGGTTGGAAGGGGTTATGAGCTAGATCCCTTATATTTTTGTAACCCTTTTTGAATTTTAAAACATTCATTAATTCCATCATTTGACAAACATTTATGAAATGTCCACTGCATGACAAATAGTGAGAACACAGAGGTATATAAAGGTAAAGGAACTTACCTTAAGGAAGTGACTCTTAATCTTTTTGAACACAGTCTAATTAGAAGGGGACAATACTGTGGCTCATCAACTCTAGCCTTTCCCCTTTTGGTAGGGGATATTTGAGAGGGTGATTATGATGAATTTACTTTAGGATTAGTGGTTCGTATTTGAATCATAGTGCCCAGTCTAGTAATTTAAAAACTAGAGGCTAAAATGATTTTGATGCAAATACACATTTCTTCATACTATAAAGTTAACCAAGTAGCACAAAGTAAATTAACAACTAGAAAGTTAAATTAATAGTATTTCTTACTAACGGTAACAAATACAAACCACCCCCAATTTATTGTACCCATAATAAAGTGTTTTCTCCCAACTGCAAAATTCTATCTGCTTATGCATGTGTAGAAAAGGAGCGTTTCCATGTTGAACAGAATTGCATGGCAGCCAGACTTCTTAGCAGAAAACCAAATTAGAATTCTAACTACATTCTTAGAAACAGTAATTTTCATTTACAAACACTAAATGTTAGAAACTTATGACACACTGGATATATTACTAGCAAGTAATCCTTAGTGGTACAGGAAGATGAAGCTATACAGTATCGACCCTCAGTCTCTCTAAGGACCTGGAAAAAGGTGTTCTTTCTGAGTGTGTACAGAGTCAATATGAGAATTACTAAAATAGAAATATGCATGTGGAAGACATCATAGAAGAAGGAGGGAAAAGTGCCCAACTACCCAAGTAATGAGAGAACGTTACTTGGGACTGGTGGTCTTTGAATGGGGTCATGAACATGGAATAGGAATTTTACAGGTGGATGAGGATGCAAAAGGAACAGTCCAGGTGCAGGAAACAGAATATATAGGGATATCACAGAATAGAATGAAGGGATATCACAGAATAGAATAGGTTCTCAGTCTCTTACCTGCAATTCTGAATTCCCCACATCTTTAAAAACTGAAGGGTTTTCTTAACTCATGTGGCAACAAAATTGACCTTACGTGTTGTGAGGCTACATGTAGTTTCTACTTATCAGCATTAATATTCACATATTTGGTTGCAGAAATATTAAAGTGTTGATTACAATGTATACCAGTACATCCTGCTGGAGGTTTTACTTAATAGATGCTACATGCATCTATTTCTAAAACCTGAATAATTTTGAATTCCAACACACCTGGCCCTAAGGGCGGCAGGTAAGGGATTGTATACCTTTGAGTAGCTACCAACATTGCATTATGGTTTGGGGGAACAAGGAACATTTGGAGATGTGATTAGAGATAGGATGAAAAAGGTAAGGAGGAGTCATCTGAACCTCTTGAATTCCCTTTGAGCTCTCCACTAAGGCTTTCAAGAGAACCACCTATGTCCTATGGTTTGTCAGACTTGCCTGCGTCTTGCTCCATGTATTCGTTTTCTAGGGCTGCCGTAAAAAAGTAGCACAAACTTGGAGGCCTAAACAACAGAAACGTATTGTCTCTCAGTTCTGGAGACTACAAGTCTGAAATCAAGATGTTGGCAAGGTTGGTTCTTTCTCAGGGCTATGAGGGAAGGATCTGCTCCAGGCCTCTCTCCTTGGCTTGTAGAGGACCATCTTCTCCCTGTTTCTCTTCACTTTGTTTTCTCTCTGTGCATCTCTCTGTGTCCCAATTGTTCCTTTTTATAAAGACATAACAGATTGGGGTCTATCCTAATCATCTCATCTTTGCTAATTACTTCTGAAAAGACTCTGTTTCCAAATAAAGTTACATTCTAAGGTACTGAAAGTTAGAACTTCAACACAAGAATTTTGGAGGTACAAATTTAATCCATAACTTACCACATCTTGCCTGCCTTCAATACATTCTGCTTTTTATATTAGTAGGCTGAAGCTATAAGTGTTGCTTCTCCTTCATAGACTCTCTCTCTCCGACATTTTTAAAGCCTTATTATTTGGGAAACGTACAAGTTATTTTTCTCATTTAAAAAATCCTCACTTCTAAGGATGATTCAGAGAGGTTCAGTGACATCCTTGAAGTTGCACAGCGAATAGCAGACTTGGGAATCAGTCTCAAGTGTTTCTACTACTATGGACAAGCATTTGGCTTTTGCCCAATGCATTGGAAAATGGTTAAAACAAAAAGAAGAGTCCATTCCCTGATGCTACCTCAGGATGGTAGATAAAACTTCATATCCCCCATGTGCTGTGTGTGTCATGATTGTGGACTTATGAAAGTTATAGGGTCTATGTTCCAAGTGGGTAGATCCCATCATCTCATTGGTCTTTTAGACTCTTAGCTTGTGAGATAATGTAAGTTCTGTACATCTCTCTGATCCAAACAGACACTGTGCAAGACTGCATATTAATTTTTTAAATTGCATGCTATTCTTTTTCACCAAGCGGATGTCCATCTCCACTCCACTTCCTGCCCCTCCACTCACCTCCCCTTGCTACAAGTCAGTAGTTCAGTTGAGATGATTTAACCCAGATTACACACTCTAAAGGAAATTTACTTTACTGTCTTAGTTTCCAAATGTTTTACGGTCAGTTTAATTCATATGGCCCATATGTCTTCTGTCCCACACAGAGGCAGCTGCATACTTAGTGCCTTTTCTCCCTTCCCAAAGAACATTAGAATAAACAGAGCGTTGCAGAAAGTGATGCCTGTGTGTATGTGTGTGTGTGTAAGAGTGCACACATGCAAGAGATAGTGAGACTAAGAAAGAGAGATTATAGTTTACAAAATGCTTTCCAGCTAAAATGACCTTTTAAAGGAATTTCTAATCTAGCTGGGCTGAAAATGTTTCCCATGGGGGATGATTGTAAGTGAGGCAAGAAGTCTGCATTTCTGGGCAGATGTGTGTCTAGGTGGGAGGTGGGATAAATTAGAGAACAGTTCTGCAGCATGTCCACCAGTCTGTGTGATTTTGCTTCATCATCATCAATTAATATTTATTGAGGGATAGATCATGGGACACATGGTACTGTATGCTGCTCCAAAGGCTAATATTTTATCTCCTGCCATGGATTCCTGGAGAGCGGCTACATTTCACAGCTAAATTGTGGATACTTGAACAGTTGGTTAAAGGGATTCATTCATGTGTTGTTTATAAAAATGCTTCACATTCTTTGGAATCAAGAAAAGCTTTTATGAATCAGTATAATTTTAGCTGATTATCACAGAGAGGAAGAGAAATGTATATATTGCACCAAAAGTAGTTTGCTTTAAGAATAGATTAATAACACAACTCATGAATTCCACATTACTTTTTACCATGGTGTTCTAAAGGGCTGTAAATAAGACCTAATGCATAAATTTGGAATCATTGTTGAGAAACGTTTTTATTGCAGGTGTTATCATTTTCCTCATTCAACAATTGGTAGGCCTGAGCGTTTTAATCACGTCTGTAAACTCACATGTGGAACATGAATCTGATCACATCAGCCCTCTGAGCCAAAGCAAATTGAATTAAATACTAATTTTTCTTCTGTATGGCCCATGGGTTACTCATTACTCTGCTATCTTACCTAACTCTAAATCTTCCCTTCTTCTGTTCTTACCACCTCATGTTCCCGCAGCCTCTCACACACTCATGCATACCTATCTGGTGTGCATGCACCAACTTCTGTCTTAGTCATATATTTTTCTGCCACCAAACCTTCGATTTGATTGTTTACTCATCTGTAACACCATAGGCTATTATTCAAATCCTGCTTGCTTAAGTCTTGGACATCTTTAAGGAGCTATTCAAATATCACCAGTTATCAAGACCATTTTTTGATGTCCTTTCCTTTCCATCATTAGTAACCTCTCTATTTTTACCTCTTTAGCCATTACTCATCAGTTGGATCGTCTACTATATCTCTTTCCTCCCGCCTCCGCAATTTCTCATGCTTTATCTACTTGGGATTTGCTTATTAGTTGCTGAATATTTCATGTTACTGGCTGGGTGCTCTCGTACCTTAAGGCAATAGAATCATCAATCAATAAGAAACCAGTTACTCAGAATATTTGTTTCGTTGTCTACTGTGAAGTAATAAACACAAAGAGCATTACAGTGAGCATCAAATGATGATTTAATACTGTTTTTGCTGATTAGGAATTAAATTGTTTTGTATGAAATGTCATTTGAAAGTCTTCAGATATCACCTGGTGCTCAAGGATATCTTGATCCTGCTGGGGTTTCCATTAAGTTGATCAATAAAAGTGATGGTTTTGTCCTCGAGGAACATACTTGCCCAAGGCCAACAGCAGAATGGGGGAATTGCTTCATCTAAGTTATTCTTGCCTTTATTATATACTTTCAGTTATTAAGAGGAGGTAGAACTCTGGAGCCTTTTGAGTTTAGAACTTTAGTGAGAAGTGGAGAGGGAGAGAAAAAGAATGAATCTCTTGTTACTTATTCCCACTCAAACAGGTTTGCAAAGCTGTTTATTAACAACAAAATCATGAACGACTATAGAGAGAGCCAATGCCCAGGGTGCAGAAGGTGGATGGAAAGAAAGAGGGCAGATCTTTTCCCTTCATGATGTGTGGTCTGGCCATCTTAGGGGCTTCTGTTTTTGTTTTGTCCTTTAGGGTTTAATTAGATAGGATTCATCATTGAACATCTAAGAAAGCATGTATAAGTCAATAAATTATAAACAAACATTAATCAATGGATTGATCCAATCCACAAATGTACTGAGCACCTACTATGTTCCAGGCATAATAAAGCACCAAGAACACAACAGTAAAGAAGATAGATGTAGCATTTGCCTTTGCTGAGCTAGCAAACTAGTGTGCATAGTAGTGACTCAGCAGTGAGCAACAGTGGCGGGTGACTAGGCTGTTACAGGGGAAGGACAGGGTGTTGCGGGGCCACAGAGAGGTACCTCACCCAGATTTGGAGGCTCAGAGGTAGAGTTGTCTAGAAATTGGGACTAAAGGGTAAATAGCATTTAACTGATCAGAGTGAGGAGAAGAGGATTGTAGGCATGTGGAGGACATATGTGGAGGACTGGGATGAAAGAACATGGAGTGTATGACTGTTGACATGGCTGAAGCATAGAAGCTGGGGGCACAGTTCGGTGCTGTCAGATGTAAATTTTGTTTCTGGGGGAGCCCATCTCCTAGGTAGGGGAGTAAGAAGTGGAGTCTGGAGTGATCCTTGCACATCAGTGTTTGGTTATGTTGCTTAAGATCTGACTCTGAGTTTGAAGCAGACAGATACACAAGGACTGAAGGGATATTTCTCTTTAAAGAGAACATACGGCACTGGATTACTGAGCCCTCCCAGAAGAGATCTCTCCTCATATTTGTGCCTGGGCTTCTGTTTACAGAAATGGTGGAGCGGAGGTCAGGGAAGTGGGGAGAGGAACAACATTGATTTTTCTTATACTCTACTTGGGACATTTACAGAGGCAGTTCCTGGCAATTCTTTGAGATAATGTAACATAATGCACTGGGAGAGAGCTAGGGAGATAATCCCTGACATCTCTGAAGAACCGTTAGGAGTGAACAGAGTTGCCTGGGACCATGTTTTGGTGAACAGAATTGTTTTTGAAATTGAGTTTCACATAAGCTTGATGTCCTGAAGCAGTTTCTTTCCACCACTGCAATATTCATCAAACATGCAGATAAAAGGTAGACAGGAAAAGCAAATTCTTAGGTGCTGAATTTTAGTAGCTATATTTGTGAAACTTTGTAGGCCTGAGGTATGCCTTCATCTAAATTATGACAGTACTTTGTACATAGTAAGTGTAAAAAAATATTATTAGATTGAAGTTAACATTTGAATATATTACTAAAGGGTACAGGTCAATATGAAATTCAAGGAAAAACCCAGACTTATTTTCTTCCATATTAAGAACGATTTGTTTACTTCTTTTGCATTATTCCTACCTGGTACTGATCAGGGGCCTGGGTATGTAATATTTGTTGAAACATGGAAGGAGTGTAGTCCCAAATAAGAGTAGCATAAATGTCTTCATCATCAACAACATAGTTATTATGTCTCACATTTTCAAGGTATTTTATTATATACCTAACACATAAAATTATTAAAAAAGAAAATATTGATGGCAAAAACAGAAGAATATATAAAGCATACATTTATTTCCTAGCTCCAAGTAGCTTTCCGTCCCCTTGTTTATAGAGGCAGGTCTTGCTGTGTTATGCAGGCTGGGTTGGAGTGATGCAATCTCACTGTAACCTCGAACTCCTGGGTTCAAGTGATCCTTTTGCCTCAGCTCCCCAAGTAGCTGGGACTGCAGGTACAGGACACCACACTCAGCTAATTAAAAAAAAATTGTAGAGATGAGGTCTTCCTATGTCTCCCCAGGTGGCCTCAAACTCCTGGCCTCAAGCAATCCTCCTGCCTCAGCCTCCCAAGTAGCTGGGATTATAGGCGTGAACCACTGCACCCAAGTAGCTCTTTCTAATCCATGGGTTTTGGAGCCACATAAGCTTGTGCTTAAACCTAACAGTTTCCACTGTTGAAGTAATATAGGGGCAAGTTCTTAAATTCTTTATATCTCCTTCCCCAGCTTCCCCCATCCCCTGTTCATTTTTTTTTTCTCCCCAAAGGCTGGAGATAGTGCATGCTGATTTTGTAGTTTTGTGAAGCTATGAGGAGATTGTATCTTTATGTAAAGCATGTAGCAGAGTGCTTGGCATGGGTAGGCTATTGTTATTTGTCTCCTCAACTTTCCATTACCCTTTCCTTTGTTCTGAAGAATCAAGCTTCTGAGCAGTATGGCTAAGCCTCATTAGTATTATCTCATTTATTCTGAATTTGTTATTTTGCCAAGAATAGACAATATATTTTGTATACTCTATAAGGGAAGATTTCCTTAAATAAATGAATGGTGTAAAAAATTATAAAAAAGGTATTACATTTACTCAAAAAACACCTTTAGAAAGTGTGAGGCAAATGACACAAACATTAATTAAAGTTGCCCCTTCCTATGTAGACAGTCCCTAAAAGAACTGAGTAATATATATTCTGCAATTCACTTGTTTAAATTCAGGATAGCTTAGCCATGTTGTTTGATTTAGTAAAATTTCCTACAGTGTTTCCCAACATTAAAAATGCTATTTTGTTTTCAGCAATGAACACATTTAAACTGAAGATACACTTAAACTAAGGGATTCCAAGGAAATAAAAGGACTAGGTTATACAAGGAAAGAGTTCTAATATGGAATAAGCATTTTCATTGCTTTTTTTGCTGTGAAATTGAATTGTCAGTTTTCCTATCTTCATAAATTGCAAAACAGCATTCATTTCCTTGTGCCTTCTTCTCTCTCTCCCTCACCGCTCCTTATGTTTTTACCTTTCCGTATGCGTGTGCATTACTTGAAAGCCATGCATGGGCTGAAGGATGTTGCAGTAGAGAAAAATAAGAAGGCAAACAAAAGCTTATTGAATTCACTGTTTGTTAACAAGAAAAAAATATATATACACATACATATATTTATACACATGTATACATACAAATACATGTATATGTAGGTGGACATGTACTTGCATAGACATTAATGTATCATTTGAAATGAGAAAGTTTATTGATGAAAACCTATCATCTTAAAAATCTCACTGCCACAGTAGCTACAGATAAATTTCTAGTGTTTTTCACTATCTCCATCATAATGTTTATAAAAAATTATTTATATAAAGATGATGCATAATATATATATTTTCATTATACAAAAAGAATGGGGTTATAAACCCCAAATTCAAAAATGAGAAATACGGATTGAAAAAAACTCCTTGATCATGTGTCACGAGAATCTGGAATAATCTTCCAATCTTTCATGCTGACCTGGATTAGGCACTCAGAAAATCCATTGCCGCTATCCATCCTCTCCTGCCAGTAGTAGCTAGACAACCCAAATATAAGGTTTTTTTGCAAGTCACTGTCTGACTTTTTCAGACAATTCAACAACTTCTTTTTAAGGGGAAAAGCAGCAGCATTTGTTTTCCTTCAAAGCATTCTTGTTCTATGATTGAGATGACATGGTTTTTGGACTGCTCCCTGCAGGAGGAGAAGCCAGACGGAAGGTGGCTTTCTCTCAGCTCTGGCAATTATAGCAAAGTCATAAAACCCCAGGTAAATGGGAACTCTTTAAACATTTGCAGATATAAGTCCGACACGGTAGGAAAGTGACCCAAAGGGAAGTGCTTATTGATCCATTTCCCCCCAAAGCTGTCAGTGATGAATGAACATCATCTAATTTAATAGGAACAGCTCTAAGCCTGCAACCTTGCAGGTATTCTCCCTGGTTTTTCTTGTGTGACTGTTTGACCATGCCCAAGAAACTTAACCTTTTCAGTGTCACTCTTCCCATCTGTTAATGGGGATAACAGTGTTTCAGTTCTGAGCCTTCTTATCTAAGGTAGCTCAGGAGAAATATGCTGTTGAGTTGCATTGTATCATAAACATATTTCATGCCGGGTTTTGTCACTTCATTTTCTCTTTGGTAAGGCCTTGTCCATCACTGCAGAATTCATTCTGTCCTTATAAAGCAGTGAAGGGGGACATTTCAAAGTTGTGGCATTCACATGCAGTTGATTGAGACAGCCACAAGAAATTCTGACATCCCTGCCAAATTCATTTGTCTTGTAAGCTGCACTTTTTCTGCAGCTAGATGTTGGAGCAAAGAGCTATGGAAGAGACATAACTTGATCAGATGATGTTTTCTCTGTCAGTTTTCAGATTAAATCCATCAATAAATACTTCCTAGGGTGATTCTAGTATATATGAGGTGTAGTTCTAGAAACTCAAGCAGAATCCTGAAGATGGATATGATGAATGTTTTGCACTTAAAGACTCTAGAGTGCTCAGACAAGTTAGAGCCACTACCAAACAATCAAAGTGCAGTTTAAACCTGCTTGGCATCACTGATGTCCCAGTCCATTTGGGAAATATGATGTACACTCACTGTGATAGAGAGTGCCGGGGCTCATCTACATCCAGTTTTCCTATTCTCTTGGAACATTTGCCAGTGCTATAGTTCCCAGCCCCCTTGCTGTTAGGTGGAACTGTGTGATGAATTCTAGCCAATTGCATAGTAGTGGGTGGGATGTATGTCACTTCTGGGCCAAGGCATTGAATTGCTGAGAAAGCTACCTCCAAGCTTGCTTTATCTTTCCCCACCATGGTATCCTTGAAGGCCAGGTGTTGAGATGGCAGCATTGCCAGATGGAGGGAGCTGGGATCTCTAGTTGTTGAATGATGGAGAGACCCTAATAATCCCCACTGGACTTTATGTGAGTGAGAAATACACTTTTGAAGGGGTTCGCAATTGAGATATAGGAGTTTTTAGACATCATTGCATAGTCTGGCCTATTTTGACTGATTGAATGTTAAATCATAAGAATTAAATGGCAATGTAAGACAATGGCAGTGTAACTGTCACAAGCAGGTAGAAAAATAATTACCAAAAAAGAATTCAGGTGAACAAGCTTCCTCAGCACATGGGAAGATAACCAGTGTGGGTGGAAGCGATTTGAAGGATATGGAGATTTGGATAGGAGGAGGACAGAGGCAGGAGGAGAGATAGCCTGAGAAGAAGACAATGAGATGATGTTGTGAGCCAAGACTACATGGCTGCAAGGGAGAGTAGGATACTGACACTGCTACCTTGGAAAAGGGAAGAAAAAAGAAAGATAAACTTTGTTTTATTGAAATACTAAAAGCTATAAACTCATACACATATAGGTAGTTATTGTTCTTAAGAGGCATTGTTTCAAAATTTAGGACTACAATGCATTACTGACATTCAGGGTGGAGAATATCACAGTTGATTATTTGAAAGAGAGCAAGACAAGTTACAATTGAACAAAGACCATAAGAATCCCTGGGCAATAGGAGGCCGTTCTTGTGAAATCCAGGACACCAAGCATGAGTCTAGCTCTATCCCTTGGTCCCATTTTCTGCTGGGCTAGCTCTCCAGTTGTGTGCAGTGTTGACAATGCAGGCATAGCATTCATTGCACAGCATTGAGGCCTGTAAATCAGCTAGTTCATACAATTGAATGTGATGACTAATTATGTCCAACATTGCTAAAAAGTCCCTTAGAAAATGGATCTAATTTGTTTTATGTAGTTAATATTATTTTATTGAGTATGCATTATTGATTTTATAGAGTAGACAATTCTTTGAGAGACATGTTTATGAATTTGTATCAGCTCTAGCACCGTTTTTTTAAAGCACAGGAGATGCCAGTGAGGGACTTAAAATTCAAGTCCTCATTTTGTGATTGTTAATTTTATTCCATTGTCATTTAGATTAATTTCCTCCTGCATTTCAGAAAACTAATTTTCCTATTTAAAGGCTGAATTGTGAGCCCAAGTCTGGTTCCCTCAGCCTATATCTTCCATAAATGCCAAAGCTGGATTCATTCCTGCTTCCCACCTCTAGGTCCAGCCCTAGGTGCACCCTGTCCTTCTGGTGGAGACAGTGATTATATTATGATCTGAGTTCAAAGGCCTGCAGGCTCTGTAGAGTCTACTTTGTACCCATGGGGCTTCCCCTTAGAAAGTGTTACAATGTGTCACAGAGCATTGGCTATGGAGACAGATGAACCTGAATTTCAGTCCCAGCTCTGTCATATACCAGCTGTGTAACTTTGGGCAAATACACTTTTTGTGCTCAAGCTTCCTCATCTGTAAAATGGGAATATGCAGGTATACTAGTTGTGAGAATGCTAAGAGAGGATGTGTTTCATGTCAGAAGATAACAGGCATGCAAAATGATTGTTGGATGAGTGGATATAACCAGTAATGCTGGCACAGTTTAGTCCAGTACTTCCTTTGACTGCACTGGACCTGACTGAGGTCCATCTCAAGCCCATATCTTCCAGAGTTACAGCAGAGAGCCTATTGTTACCTTTCACACTTGGTGCCTCATAACAGGCACACTCAGAATTTCTAATATTGGGAGATGTTAATCTGACCTCTTCTGGCACCTGTATATTGAAGCTGGGGTCCCCCCAACCAGGTTTTCACTACATGAAAATTCTTAGAGTCTTTTCTTCTCTCATGATTGTACAAAAATAACTGAAGGATTTGATAAATATGACTGTACATTTGTCCTTTATGAGAATTAAGTACAATTTTCTCTACACTAGCACTTCTAAAACTGTGTCCCAAGGAACACTAATTCTCTGAATGTTCTAAATGTTCTTAGAGGGAAAAGAATAGGATTCTAAGGATTAGATACATTTGGGGAAACTTGGGTTAAGTAATCTTTTTTTCTTTTTGTTCAGGATTTCTTAAAGCGTTTGTAAAGTAATTTGTACTAAGGAGCTCTAAAAGACCTGACACAGACTAGGCATACAACAAACATTTGTTCCATGAGTGAATGAGTAAATGAACAGCTGAGTTAAACCTAAATTTCTCTTTCTGGATCCAGTTTTGAAGCCTCATCAGCTTCCCCTCACTCCTCACCCTTCATACATTCTATATCATGGGTCTGGACATGATTGCTGTCCTTCCCCACTAACCATTTGCTTTTGCCAACCTGCATGCCCCTATCCAGAAAATCAAGCGTGAGAGAAAACACTAGTGTTTCTCGTGTGTCAAGGATACAGGAAAGCTATCTTCAGCCGGGCACGGTGGCTCATGCCTGTAATCCCAGCACTTTGGGAGGCTGAGGCGGGTGGATTACGAGGTCAGCAATTCAAGACCAGCCTGGCCAAGATGGTGAAACCCCTTCTCTACTAAAAATCCAAAATTAGCTGGGCCCAGTGGCAGGCACCTGTAATCCCAGCTACTCAGGAGGTCGAGGCAGGAGAATCGCTTGAACCTGGGTGGTAGAGGTTGCAGTGAGTGGAGATCGTGCCATTGCACTCCAGTCTGGGTGACAGAGTGAGACTCTGTCTCAAAAAAAAAAAAAAAAAAAAAAAGGAAAGCTATTTTCATACTTGTGAATCCTTATAGAATGAATGTAGTGACCCCAACAAATCTTGGTCAATATATATCCTCTTAAGGCTTGGCTCTTTTCCCCTTGAGATGCTATGCTCTTAAAAGGAGTACCTCAGGTGGGACTTACAGGAGTCTTTCTGCAGGATCTGCTTCAGAGGTTCAGCTGTC
Source organism: Homo sapiens (assembly GCF_000001405.40). NCBI lineage: Eukaryota > Metazoa > Chordata > Mammalia > Primates > Hominidae > Homo > Homo sapiens. The sequence continues at coordinate 8,524,452 of NC_000007.14, forward strand.
CCATTTTTTCCTTCCTTACTTACACTGACTGACAATTACCTTTTGGAAATCATAGCATGGATTGTTCCTCTCTCCTTTGCCCAATTAAGGGGACTTTTGTTTAAAATGACAATGCCAAGGTGTCTGATATGGTTTAGCTCTGTCTCCACCCAAATCTTAACTTGAAATATATCTCCCAGAATTCCCACATGTTGTGGGAGGGACCTGGGGGAGATAATTGAATCATGGGGGCCGATCTTTCCCATGCTATTCTCAGGATAGTGAATAAGTCTCATGAGATCTGATGGGTTTATCAGGGGTTTCCACTTTTGCTTCATCCTCATTTTTCTCTTGCTGCCACCATGTAAGATGTGACTTTTGCCTCCAACCATGATTCTAAGGCCTCCACAGCCACATGGAACTGTAAGTCCAATTAAACTTCTCTTTTTCTTCCCAGTCTCAGATATGTCTTTATCAGCAGTGTGAAAATAGACTAATACAGTAAATTGGTACTAGGAGTGGGGTATCACTGAAAAGATACCCGAAAATGTGGAAGTGACTTTGGAACTCGTAAACAGGCTTAGGTTAGAACAATTTGAAGGGCTCAGAAGAAGACAGGAAAATGTGGGAAAGTTTGGAACTTCCTAGAGACTTGTTGAATGGCTTTGCCCAAAATTCTGATAGCGATATGGACAATAAAATTTAGGGTGAGGTGGTCTCAGATGGAGAAGAGGAACTTGTTGGGAACTGGAGCAAAGGTGACTCTTGTTATGTTTTAGCAAAGAGACTGGTGGCATTTTGCCCATGCCCTAGAGATTTTTGGAACTTTGAACTTGAGAGAGATGATTTAGGGTATCTGGCAGAAGAAATTTCTAAGCAGCAAAGCATTCAAGGGGTAACTTGGGTGCTATTAAAGGCATTCAGTTTTATAAAAGAAGCAAGAATAAAAGTTTGGAGAATTTGCAGCCTGACTATATGATAGAAAAGAAAAACCCATTTTATGAGGAGAAATTCAAGCTGGCTGCAGAAATTTGCCTAAGTAGCAAGGAGCCTAATGTTAATCCCCAAGACCATGGGGAAAATGTCTCCAGGCCATGTCAGATAACTTCACCGCGGTCCCCTCCCATCACAGGCCCAGAGGCCCAGGAGGAAAAAGTGGTTTCATGGGTTGGGCCCAGGGTTCCCATGCTGTGGGCAGGCTAGGGACATGGTACCCTGTGTCCAAGCTCCTCTAGCCATGGCTGAAAGGGGCCAACATGTAGCTTAGGCTGTGGCTTCAGAGGTGGAAGCCCCAAGCCTTGGCAGCTTCCACGTGGTGTTGAGCATGTGGGTGCACAGAAGTCAAGAACTGAGGTTTGCGAACCTCCACCTAGATTTCAGAATGTGTATGGAAATGTCCAGATGCCCAGGCAAAAGTTTGCTGCAGGGGTGGAGCCCTCATGGAGAACCTCTGCTAGGGTAGTGCATAAGAGAAATGTGGGGTTGGAGCCCCCACACAGAGTCCCTACTGGGGCTCCACCTAGTGGAGGTGTGAGAAGAGGGCCACTGCCCTCCAGACCCCAGAATGGTAGTTCACCAACAGACAGCTTGCACCATGCACCTGGAAAAGCTGTAGACATTCAATGCCAGCCTGTGAAAGCAGCCAGGAGAGAGGCTGTATCCTGCAAAGCCATGGGGGCAGAGCTGCCCAAGACCATGGGAACCCACTTCTTGCATCAGCGTGAGCTGGATGTGAGATCTGGAGTCAAAGGATATCATTTTGGAGCTTTAAAAGTTGACTCCCCTGCTGGATTTTGGACTTGCATGGGCCCTGTAATCCCTTTGTTTTGTCCAATTCCTCCCATATGGGGTAGCTGTATTTAACTAATGCTTGTACTTCTATTGTATCTAGGAAGTAACTAGCTTGCTTTTCATTTTACAGGCTCATAGGCGGAAGGGACTTGACTTGTCTTAGATGAGACTTTGGACTGTGAACTTTTGGGTTAATGCTGAGATGAGTTAAGACTTTGGGGGACTGTTGGGAAGGCATGATTGGTTTTGAAATGTGAGGATAAGAGATTTGGAGAGGCCAGGGGTGGAATGATATGGTTTGGCTGTTTCCCCACCCAAAACTCAACTTGAATTGTATCTCACATAATTCCCACATGTTGTGGGAGGGACCCAAGGGGAGGTAATTGAATCATGGAGGCTGGTCTTTTCCATGCTATTCTCATGATAGTGAATAAGTCTCATGAGATCTGAGAGGTTTATCAGGGGTTTCTGCTTTTGCTTCTTCCTCATTTTTCTCTTGCCACTGCCTCGAAAGAAGTGCCTTTTACCTCCTGCCATGATTCTGAGGCCTCCCCAGCCATGTGGAACTCTAAGTCCAATTAAACCTCTTTTTCTTACCAGTCTTGGCTATTTCTTTATCAGCAGCATGAAAACAGACTAATATAATGTCTCAGCAGAAGTAAGGCACAGGTAAATATATTGTCGTGCATAAACTTCTGTTTCTTGGAAGACAGGGGCTATCATAGCTTTTAATTCCTGTTCTTGTAATACCAGTCAGGACCACTCTGATGATAATATCTCACCAGAAATTCTCCTATAGTAATTTCCCAGCAGAATTTGCCCCTTACCAAAAAAAAAATGGGTAGAATTTTCCTATTAATTGGTATTTGGGTAAATCAGGTTTAATAGCTTCCTCTTCCTCTCTCATTAGTGGCCAAAGTAATATTAATAACTGACATTGAGTAGGAGAAGGCAAGGCCATTTTGAGTGGCCGCTTCCTATTATGTGGAGATTCTGGTTCACGCTATTGTTGCAAGGAACCACGTAGTGACGTGTCGCCTCCCATGCAGCCTCAGCTTTTGCTTTCTTGGATGCACTCCAGAGGATGAAATTCTGATCCATGCATGATGGCTGGACAGTAGGCAGAAGGGGGCACTCAGTGAAGCTCAGATGGCCTCTAAATTGCTTTCAGAATCTTATCTGCAGTGTATACAACTCATTTTCCAGCTGCAACATTTTGTCTTTTTGGATAAAACTAACATGGCTCCTCCTTAAAAAATGACAGCATTATGGCTTTGGCAAACCCATAGAGGGGTCAAGTTAGATCCACACAATCAGAAGGGGGAGACCAGTGCAATTAGTTGGGACCAGGACTTAAATATTTATAAATCTGGCAGGAATTAGTATAGGTGTTCCATACTTTTGAATGAGACTTTTCCGTGGACCTGCTAAATGGATCCAGACTCTGGCAGGAGAGAAATGAACTTGTTGAAATTAGCTGAATCTTTGTCATGTCCTCCAAATGGCTCATTCATCCAGGATCCAATATGAAATTGTTTGACAGACATTTTCCTCTCCTGAAGAGACCTAACTATTGTAATTCAACATGGCAAAAGGACACCCACAACTTGATACACTTTTTAGTGTGAGAGATGGGAAAAGAAGGAACATGGGATGTGGAAATTGATCAGATAGATTTTAATCCACTGTCAATGACCCGTGACATGCTATCTATTTCTAATTGATCATTTGGTAGAAAAGAGTTTCCTCGGGAAGAATCTTCTCTCTGTAGACTATTTTCTTCGTGTTAGTTTTCTTTCTGTAGCTGATAAAACTCATACGGGTGGTTCTTTGACCTAGCTCCAAAAGCACAATAACCGATGGTTCGAATGAGAGAGAGGAGCTGTGGAAGTGGGGAGAGAGGAGTGGGGAAGTGGTTTCATTTACAGAAAACAGAAGCTAGAGAAGGGAGCAAAGGCTTATCTTGCAAAGCCCCCCTCCTCCCCTGAAGGGCAAGCTTTGGGGCCTGTGGCAGTGCCCACCAGCAGTGGCACAGATTGTGCCCTTCTCCATGGTACCTGGGCTGCTTGCTGAGGTAATGGCTCTGGGGGGAGCCAGAGTGGGTGGAAGTGCCCATGCAGCTTGGGGCTACAGCCTGGACATTGCAGGAGAATGTGGTGGAATTTAGGCATGACTTTGGTTTGCAGAAATGCTTTTGTTTTTCCGACAGATTGCATCCCACAAGTAAACAACATGTACAGACACATGATTCATTTTAACATGAAATCTGCACAGATGAAGTGCAAGGCATAAACCATATTGAATCGTCTGTCTTGTTTTAAGAGTCTTTATCTGAAAGGATGCCTTATTTGCATATGAAAAATATGTTCCTTTTTGCAGTGGTCTCTTCTCCCTCATTCTTCTTTGAAGGAACAGCTTTAGTTTGCTACTGACAATCATAAGGTTTACTTTGTTGAAGAGTAGAAAGAGACCTTAGGAAAACTGCACATACTTGCTTCATATTTTAAGTTTTATATTAAAGTTGAGACATCTGTTTTTCTTGTCCCAGGTGGACCTTGAAATAAAAGCAGAAGCTTATGATACAGAAGAGAGTACATGAGTTTTCTATTGCTCTAATAACAAATTTCCACAAATTTAGCAGTTTAAAACAACACATATTTGTTATTTCAGTTTCTGTAGGTCAGAAGTTCAGCATGGCAGCACTTGCTTCTTTGGTTAGGTACTCACCAGACTCAATCAAGGTATCCCATGTAGTTCCCATCTGGGGTTCAGTGTCCTCTTCCAAGTTCACCAGTTGTTGGCAGAATTTAGCTCCTGGACCTGTTTCTTGTAGGACTCTATTCCCTTGACATATGACACCTGTCATCATCAAGTTAACAGTGATGCATTTACTCCTTCTCACCCTGGTTGTCTCTCTGATGTTCCTCTCTGTCACATCTCTCTGACTTCTTCTGTCCTTTGATTTTAAAGACTCACGTGATCACATTGGGTTCACCCAAATAATCTACAGTAATATCTATTTTCAGGTCACTAATAACCTTAATTATATACACAAAGTCCCTTTTGCCATGTAAAGTGACGTAGTCATAGATATGGCACCAGGGGGCCAAAATTCTGCCTGCCACAGAGAGGGATTACAGCAGGAAGCACAGTATAGGCAGCTGTGTGGGTGCAGTACACATGGGAAGGTAAAAGGACATATGATTAAGTGTTTTAGAAAGGACAGTAGAGATAAGGAGACTTGATGGGAGTCATGATAAGGGTTCACACCTGCCAAGATCTATTGTTCATGCTGGCAAGAAAGGGCTCCATTACCAGTAGAGTACAGTGGCTAAGTGTGGATGGCAGGATCAGGCAGCCTGCATTCAAGTCTTGGCTTTGCCAGTTATTAAATTTATTAACTCAATCAAATTATTTAATTATATTAAGCTTAAATTTTCCCATGTGTATAACAAAGATAATAATAAAGCTTAGCTTATAGGGATGCCATGCAGATTAAGTGAGCTAGGGCATAGTCTGGCATACAGTGAGTGGTCAATACATTTTGTAATTTTTATTATTACCTCCTTTTCTTCCTGAATTAAAAAAAATGGTCCAGAGTAATTACATTAAGCTGAGAATGGCATGAATTTAATTTCTGGCCTCTCTCTTCTACCAGCTACCTGGGTGATCTTTCTTTGTCTCACAATTTTGTCACTTTTAAAATGAAGATTATGTTAATTATGCTAATCATTCCAAAAGTAAGTTGGTGATTTTAGAGCACTTTGAAGTAATCACTAGTTATTTTTGAAATGTGTATGATAATTTAGGGGAAAACAATCCTGATTTCTTTTAGCTCATTCTGTATCAGAGTCACCCTACAACTAATGGTAGAGGCCCAGGACACTTACCACGGGATGTAGAGAAAAACCAATCATCATGAAGAGCCTGTTGGAAGTGGACTTACCCTATGGATGGGCAGGGTAGCTGGTTGGCTAAGGGGTATGAGTTGTGAGATGTCAGAAAGACAAACTGCCCTCAAATATGTGTGCTATTAACCTGTAGCAAATGCCTCAAATATTAATTTTAGAGATCTTATCTTTTCCAATATTGAGACCTAAAAAGCAACGTGTTAGAATACAAAGAACATTTCGCTCACAAAAATCTAGATTGGTTCTAGGACTAATTAGCCACATATCATACATCCTTTGTGAGTCCCATTTGTGAATGAAGGAGGTTAGTCTAGAATGATGTTTGAAGTCTTCTCCTTCTTCTAGATTCTGTGAACTAGACATCTAAGACCTTTGATCTTGGAGTATAAAAATCAGACAGCCATTCTGGTGAGCAGCAGTTGCTCCAGAAGGTCGTCTCTGAGGAGATGAGCAAGAAAGACGGTTGTTGTAGGGTTTCTGCAAGTGTCAGTGAAAACTTGCCTGGAGGGGCATGAGGGAGGAGGTGAGTCAACAGAGGAGATGTTCTCAGGGGTGAGGTGAGAGCAGAGGGTGCCATGCAGGCCCTTGCCCAATTGTCAGCCCTGCTGAGGAGCTCTGACTACAGGCATCATCTATTCAGACATCTGGTTTGTACTATAAAGTTACTAGCCTGTTTCCTGGGCTGATTGAACTCTGTTGGCAAAAGCTTTGTCTATAAATGAAGTTAATACCAATTTATTTGTCTGAAGGGAGGGGGTTAAATTATACATGTTTTTGAGGTTCAGTTAGCAATGAGGTATATTTATTCTGGGATGTACATTATCTCTTTTGCTTCAAAAGAGGACAGAATGTAACCTAAGGTTTTATATGTTGTAGTTTAAGGAGAACTAGAATGGGGATCAGAAAACATTATTTTCATCTTTGCTCTGGCACTGAACAGAGACACAAACAGGGGCATTCTGAAACCCATCAAGATTCTGTTCCTTCTTGGCAAGTGGAGATAATAATATCTGCCCTGCCAGCCTATTAAGCCATGTAAAGTGCTCTGCACAGTGTTTCACTTAGTAAATCCTCCATAACTATGAGCTATTATTTTTCCAGCCCTGGCACACTACCTGAAAAATTTGAAACAGTCCATAAATAGCTATAGAGTGAATGAACAAAAAAAGGGTATAGTGAAGTTCAAAGTAACTTAGTGTGATGTACTACATAATAATGTCATACTCTATTTGTTGAATGAAGCAACAGTTTTTACATGTACAGAAACATTGTAGAAAAATTCTTTAAACATCTCTTCCCAAGTGAGGTGGATGGCATAATGTGTCACCTAATATCAGCGATCTCTTCTGTGAGCACCCTATGTAACTAGAACTCCCTTCAGTTACTGTACTCTCTATTCTCTATCTTGCCTTATTTTCCATCTCAGCACTTACTTACTAACACCTGATGAGCATTTTTTTGCTTGTTTATTGTCTGACTTCCCCCACTGGAATGTGACATCTATAAAGGTAGGTTCTTTGCTTGCTTTTGTAAATTCTTGTTGCTGTAAACTACATTGGTAGAACAATACATGGCACATAGTAGGCACATAAGAAAGATGATGAGTTAATATATTTTGGGGATGCCTCCATTGTGACAATGACTTCTCTTAAATAATCAAGCTGTTTTCACTCTATCCACCATTACTTGCAGCCTACAATATGTTCCATCTGGTGTTAAAGCAGTAGCAGTATTTTTCTGTGTCTCATAGTAGGTATCTCACATATGGTTGGATCTTATTACCAGGACCTGGAAACTATTTGTATCTGATCCTTCGTCTCCTTAGGGATGGTCAGGATAACTACTTCCCAAATGGAGGTACCCTCAATCCCAACAGCTACAGTGGTGTCTAAGTTAGGGACAACACCAGTAATTCTGCTCTGTGCTCCATAAAAAATTAACAGCCATAAAAGTCAAATCAGCTTCCTCTCTAGCAAATGAACTTTACAACCCGCTTTAGCTTACAGACTCTTAGTAACCAATATGTAAAAAATACCAACCAGGGAAAGATATTTTCCTGCTTTATAGGCTTTAAAAAAACCATTTAATTCAATCTGGCACCCAGGCTGAATGTAAAATAGCTGCAAAGCAGTATTGATGGAACAACACAGGATATAATTAAATCTATGTATCAATTCATCCAGTGTAAGATAAAAATCAATCCCGCTCAAACAGACACCTTCAGGCAGGAAAGAAGGAAAGCATTTGCTGCAGCCTGCCCCTATGTTGTACCCTGTTGGTTTCTTATTGGAGCAATACTCTCACCTGCTCTGAAATTATCCTTTCATATTTTTTTTGGGGGGGGGGGAGGGGGCTGCTTTTTACAGGGCTCTGAATAAAATATGAGTTTTTGAGCTTCCACTGCGGTTTTGAAGTTACTCCTTTCTGGAAAAAAGTGACAGAAAGCGACTTTCCTATGTAGACCACTCAGGAGCAAAAATCCATGATCTGAGGTCTGAGACCTTCCTGGGGAACTTGTTAAATGTGCAGACTCTTGGGCTCCATCACAGAGATTCTGATTATGCTGGTGGTGGTCCTCAGACCGTAGCGTCATTTGCGCCCTGGGTGAGAATCCGGACCCTATCACTCAAACATTCTATGGCCTTGGGCAAGATAATTACATATTTTTATACCTCCGTTTTCTCATTTGTAATTCAAGCTTATGCATGGTAATGTGCTCTGGGTACATTCTCATTTAATCCTACTTTCTAGGTTAGTGTGGGGGTAAATGAGGCAATGTATGTTAAACATTTAGCTTAGAGCCTGATAAATAGTGTACTATTGCCACTGCCAGCAGCCAGGATTACTGAGTGCTTGCTGTCTGAGGGGCACTGTTCTGAGTGCTTTACATGTATTCCCTCTTTTTAAATCTTAGGTTGGTACTGCTATTATACTTATTTTATAGTTGAGAAAACAGGCACAGAGAAATTAAGTGACCTGTTTTAGGTCACACAGCATTGAGGTGATAGAGCAAAGACGAGAATCCAAGTTTGTATGACTTCAAACACCACATATTTTACCCACTATCATTATGTATTTTCAGCTATAGATCACCTATCTTTTTTTCTTCTAGCTTTACATCTGGTTGTCATCAGCCCAATACTGAAGTTGTCTTCCTGGTTAATCTGTTGTTCTTTTATAGGTTCTGGCACTAGTATACTTTATTAGTGAAAGGACTCTTAACCTATGCTTTTAGCATATATTCTAAAATTAGAATCCATATCATAAAATGTAAGAAGTGCAAATAATCTGATATTCTGTCTCCCTCCCCTATAAAGATCAACATTAGGTGACATATAGGAAAACTTAGCATTTTTAAAAAAATTCAGGTTAGTGTTCATCCTCAAGGGGAATCATGAAGAAAATGTTTAAAAACCAATTGAAAATTTAGTATTGTTTATGGTTATTTATGGCTAGCGGTATTATAGGCAACTCGCCTATCTCTTTACATTTTCTGCTTTTTCCAAATTTTGTACTACAAAGAACTGATACTATTAATACTTTTATAATCAGAAAGAAATTCTTTCTGTAAATAAAAAGCAAATTAATTACAAATAGGACCCAGTGGCATTGGTCCCACGTTTCTTCAGCCTGCTGTTCACTCCTAAGCATGCATCCTGGTCATCTCCATAGGACACCCAGAGAAGAGCTGATCAATATTTTGGTGTCAAGGGGAGGAAGAAGGAGCTGGTGAGAGGGAATATTTTGAAATTCTTTCTGTGAGCTCTGTTAGAAGTATGCCTCAGTTCACTGACGTTGAAAATTAACCTAGGGTGATCAGAGGACTAAGCCCCAGAATAAACAAACAAGCAAGATAATTCATTTTTAATTTTGACCAAATGTTAACAACATATTGTGCTTCCATGATGCCAAAACTTATTAGTTTAATGAAAAACAACATCAGTTAAGTCATTGGAAACACACAAAAATCAATATGGGTGTTATTCTATAGATCAAGCTATCACTTTATAGATGGGATTTCTCTACCATTCATGTATTTGTTTATCACTTGACATAGTTAGAGGTCGCTCTGAGCAGATGCTGGTGCCTCAAAGACAACAGTTATGAAAAAATGAAGTCGGAGAAGGAAATGTGATGAAAAAGTCTCTAGTACCCTTCAGAGCCATAAAGGAACCACTGGAAACATTCCATTTTCTAATAAAGTGATTACTAAATTTTAAAAAATAGCACAGTGGAATCTATTTACTACTAGGTTGAAAACGTTTGGGTATAAAGAAATTGTAGACTGTGTAAAAACATCTTCCACACCAATAATAATCTCCCAGCCACGCTGATGCATTAAGCTACTTTATAATAAGAGTTGCTGGGTAGCTAAAGGGATAGGAGGCTCTGGAATGAAGGTATTTCATATCTCATATAAAAGCATAGTATGTAAAATAGGGAGAGATGTTATTGTAAGTTCCTAAGAATTTGGAGAAGAAAAGCCTTTTATTTATCTGTGTAAGCTAAAAAAGAAATATCAAACAATAACAGTATCTTACATTTATAAATTATCGTACTCTCAAATATTTGACATGATTTCAGGTCTCTTTTATCACTCTATTCCTGCTAACAGCGCTGTGTCAGGTAGGCATTATCACCCCTGATTGATGAGGAAATGAAGGCATTGTTAAGTCATTTGCTCAAAGTTACTGGTAGGGCAAAAACTACAACGCAGGTTATGTACCTACTAAATTGGAGTTTATTTATACACTGCATTTTTTTGTCTGTCTTGAGCATTTGTCATCATGGCACAAATGTATCTGAATGAAACATGAAAGAAAATAAGCAAATAGACAAAAAGAAAAAACCCAGTACCTAATTTGCTTTGTTTACATATCATTTAATATTTAGACATGCCCAAATCAATGAAAGTAAAGTGCAGTGTTCCAAAAAATGTCTAGGTGATTGACTACTATCTTTCCTTGTATCCAGATGCTATAGCATCATTTAGACCCAGATAAAGTTAAAATATAGACAGACAGACATGAACACCAAAAATCTGAATCAAATTATGCATTTGGTAGTAGTCCTATCTTTGACTCAGGTTTGAATATAGCTAGATGCCTGTCACGTTTAGGTTTGTACCAACAAAAAAAAGGAAACAATCAGTGGAAATAATGGGGACAAATTTAGAGATACATAATAGAATCTTATGCTTCATTTGGGATTTTTTGAAAAGATTTGTTAAAAGAATGTTCCAATTTAAGCCCTTGATGATGTACTTCTGAATAACCTTGGCTATTAACAAAAATATACCCTGAAATTAGATGACCTGGATTCCTATCACGTGAGACTGATAATGGATATGTGCTGACACTGTCTTGGTGACTGGGATTAATTGGGATATGGAATATAGCACTGGAAAAAAAAATCCAGACAAACCAAACACAAGAACAAACCAAGACCCTGCTGTCATGGTGGTCAGAGTCTAGTAAGGGAAGAAAGATAGAAAATAAAAAATCCTAACTATATGCCATTCCAAGGGGCTAGGATGAAAAATAAAGCAAGGTAAGAAGAAAGAGATAGAGAGTGACTGGGGTGTTCTTTTAGATAAGGGATCAGGCAAAGCAGTTTGTGGACAAGGTAAAATTTTAATAATAAATTTAATTCAATTTACAATTTTGAAAAAGCTGGATTTTTCAAAGGTGGTTGATGTGAAAATATTAAGGCAATACGTGGTGGCAGAACCATGCCATGTTTACCTTTTGTTCACCTGCTGTTTCCTTTGCCAGAAGCATCTCCTTTGTTCCCATATCCCACCCAGGTATCTCCTTTGCCTAGGTGATTGTGGTAACTCCTGTTTATTTTTCAGGTCTCAACTTGTGTGATCCTTTGCTCAGATGGGCATTCTCTTCAATTCCCCCTAAACACCTTGTACTTCTACTTTTGTAATAGGAATCACATTTGTAATTGTGTGTTTATTATCGGTCTTCCCACTTGATTGAGTTATAAGAGTGCTAAGATCATGTTGCTCTGTTAACCTTTGCATTTTCTTTCTTCTATCCTTGTGGAGCTTGCAGATAAGAAAATATGAGTTTATCTCCTAGTTGGGGAATTGAACTCACTCACATGTATCAACGCATATAATAATAGAATGTTTGAAGCTCAATGCTGATCACATATTGAGGGGAGTAAACATGGGTGTCAGTAAGTTAGATTTTGGAGTGATAAGAACATGGCTTTAGAACATTTCTGTTTTTTTGTGATTGCATTGTGTAGCTAGCAATGTCCTGTTGTTGTTTGCTGTTCTTAAGAAAGGTACCATGTAACAAACTCTGGTAACTGAAGTCACGAATGGCTCTTTTTGCTAGTAGTTTGCCTAGTTAACTGGTAGCTGACAAGCTAGTTGTATTTTTGGGGGTTCTTTGGGGAAAGTGCTTAATAAGCTCAGCTATAAACTACAGAAAGGAGGCTATTGTGACCATTGGTAGACTTAAAAAAAGGAAGTGACGTCATTGGTTCACTTGCTCTTAGAGACATTCTGGTTGCTAGGTAGAAAATGTATTGTAAGGGGCCCAGAGAAGAAGAAGAGAGACTGTTTAGAAATCTATATTAATATCCCAGACAAGAGAATATGGTGGCTTAGAGTTGTGGAAATGGAGGAGAGAAGCATTCATATTTAGGTTGTGTCTTGGAAATCGGATCAAGAGGATTTGTTTTATGGATACAGGGTGAGAAGGAAATAAAGATGTCTGCTGATTTCTGGTATGAGTATCCAGATAAATGGTGGTGCCATTCACTGAGATGGCAAGCCTTGATGGTGGCCAATTGATAGTGAGAGTTTTATTATGAATAGTTTTAAGTTTGAGATGCCAAATTACACATACAGCTCTATGTTCTGGGCTAAGACTACAAATTACTGCATTTATTATGATGTTTGGAAATAATTTTTAAACCTTTTCTCTCTGAATTGTGAACTCCTTCTCAGCATAGCATGCTTTTGTATTCCCTCTTGTACTCCTTATTTCTGGAGTCTCTCAATTACCTGGACGGATGAACGGATGGATGATGACAGGGACTTCTACACTGCTTACTCTTTATTTCTCTGTATTTCCTCTCCCTCTCCCCCTATTCACTTTATGTGCCACCTCCCTGCTTTCTGAAGTTTAACAGAAGCACTGTATTAATTTGTTCTTTTGTTGCTAATACAGGCATACTTGAGACTGGGTAATTCATAAAGGAAAGAGGTTTAATTGACAATTTGGCATGGCTGGGAGGCATCAGGAAACTTACGATCGTAGCAGAAGGGGAAGCAAACATGTCCTTCACATGGTGACAGCAAGGAGAAGTGCTGAGCAAAGGGGGAAAAGCCTCTTATAAAACCCTCAGATCTCATGAAAACTCATTCACTATCATCAGAACAGCATGGAGGTAACCACCCCCATGATTCAGTTACCTCCCACCAGGTCCTTCCCATGACACATGGGGATTATGGGAACTACAGTTCAAGATGAGATTTGAGTGGGGACACAGCAAAACCATATCAAGCACTAAACTGGGAATTATCACATTTGTGTACTAGCTGTGTGACACTGGGAGCTCTAATTAATATTTTTCTGGGCCTCAGCTTCTTCATCTGAAAGATGAGGCAGTTGGACATGATCTCTAAATTTCCTTTCAGCTTGAAAATTCTGTAATTGGTATTTTTTTCTCTGAGATGTTCAAATCAAATATGTACTTTTAGACCTTACTTTTTATATTTTCAAAGGCATGCATTTTTAGAAAGAGACAATTTAGAGATAATCAGTTCAACTCACTCGTGTGAAAGGCGAGGGGAATGGAGCCCTATGATATGCTCCTCCATTTATAAAGTAAGGCTACCAATGATAGTAACAATAGCAATAGTTACAGCAATGATGATTGCTTCTCATCCTTTGGCTAAGATCAAGTGTAATAATAGTAATGATAAAAAGAACACCTATATCAAAATATTCTTGTGGAACTAAAATTAGATAAAACATATAAAAGTGTCTAGCTAGGAGTAAATGTTCAATAAATATTGATTCTCACAGTGGTTTTTAATATTAAATGTCATGTGACTTGCCCCCAAATATCTGGCTGGTGACTGGCAAAGCTGGGACTGAACCATTTCCTTAAGGCATACAAGCCATTCATTTTTCTTCTAGGCCCCTTCTTGTCTTTTCCTCCAACAATCAGAGCTAAACCATCCTTCTTCATACAATATGGAGATAATACAGTGAAATAGTTATGAACATACCTTAGGGGTAGGATAAAACCTGGGTTTCAAACTAAATTCTGATATTCTCTTTCTGGGACACTGGGTAAGTTACTGAATGTTTCTGAATCTCAGTCTCTTCATCTGTAAAATGAGGATAAAGATAATGGGTACCAACCTCAAAGAGATGTAGTAAGGATAAAAGACATTATGTCAAGTACTTGGAACAGGTCATGGCATGAATAAGGTCAATAAATAGTATCTATCTTAATTATCAACTTTTCCCCCACGTGCTAAGTGGCAGAAGTTCTCCACATTGTCTCCTCATTGCCTAGACAGAAGTTATTACACGTACTCTTGAAAGAAGACTTGGACATTACCACTCATGGCAGAAAAATATATCAATTCAAATGTTGACTGGAGAAATATTGTCAGAATCATTCAGTTTGGATGTTAGAAGGTGACGGTAAAGCTGAAGTCCCAGACAGCAAGCTGTATGGATTTGAGCAGAAGGATGGAGAGGCATTTAAGAGGGTGGGCAGGAAAGAGATGAAATTAGCAGACTATCCAATGTGTTTTGAATGTTTGAAAAATATTACTAGTGGTTGGTAGATGTGTGGAAATATTTTAAAAATTCAGTGATAATTCATGTAAATCTGAGTAAATGAGGCTAGTAAAAGAAATGTCATCATTGGACATCATTTGGCTCAACAGCGAACAATATTACACAGACAAAGTTATGCAAACACTGACTACCTATGTAACCATAAATTGCAACTTCACTCTCCTGGGAAGATGGGTAGGTGGAAGGGGAGGAGTTGATGGTGGTGCTGAAGAAAAGCACCACTATCAGCTAAATTCTCATCTAAATTGACAAGAAGCTAAGGGATAATATCTAAGCTTGATAAATAAAAAATATAAGATTTATATTTAGAAACTTGCAGAAAAACAGCTAAAGAAGCTGCAAGTGGCTATACTTGGAGAATAGGACATGGGGAGTTAGAGGTTTGTTGGATAGAGGCCACTGTCTTTTCTTGTAAGCATTTATGAACTGTTTGACTTTTAAAACAATGATCACTCTGATAGCAGAAATAGAAAAAAGTGATAATACATACTATCTTTTCTTTTCGTAAATAAGTTATATATGAGTTATCAGTAAAATTTACATGAAATTTTTCCTTTTAAAATGCTTATCAAGACTTTCACAGTGGTTGCAGAACTACAACCCTCACATATTATGTATAAGGATGTTTATAAAATACCGTATTGGATGATAGAATTTTTCTCACATTTATATACAGATATTGTTAATGCTGGAAATAAAGCATGTATTGATTAAATTATCAATGCACATGTATTAATAATATTACCAGACACATGTCCACAAACAAAAATTAAGGTTATAATTTTTAAAATAAATAGATACCATAATAATGCATGATAATGCTTATTGTTTTACTATACTTTTCTTACATTGAGTGCAGGAATTGAGTTTTTCTCATCTTTGATAACTCTTGGAACCCAACAAGGAATATATGAGTTACAAATATTTTCATTAGTGACTTTTGTTAATTATATTTCTTCTTATGAATATGTGCAAGACAGTAAACCTTTATATTTTGTTTTAGATAATTTACTTTGTTAAAAATATGATTTTGATAGTCTCATTTAGTGGTTTTGTTGTATACTTTTTGGAAAATATGAAATTCTATTACACGCTAATTTTATAGCAGATTTATTAGCAGATCCTACAATCTTAAAAACAATATAGTAGTGATTCTTATTTGGGGAAGATCAATGACAATCACAGAATCACCTGGGAAATTTCAGAAATTAAGTTACTACCCACCTTGGATATTCGAAATAACTCTCCCAATACCATGGGAGAGCAGGGTGATGGTTCTTATCAGAATCTGAAAGAAGTAATCCACTTGAACTGGGACTTCTGCTGTCGGTAAAAGTGAAGTAATTGGGGCCAAATTTACACTGAAACAACCAAGAATTAATAAAATGTGTGAAACGACAAGTTTAAAGATGTTGGACATCAGACACTGAAAGATAGTGAATCCCTGAGAGTAGAAAAATAAACAAGGTGAGCCCCACAGTTTCCCTTACTTATTGCCTTGAGAGGGTTTCCAGGCCACTGTGCAGGGAAGGAAAACCCAAGTGAAGCCCAGGGGACACCCTAAGTGAGGAGATGAAGCTGAGTGAATGGGGAGGTCAAGGCGGTTAGGATTCACATACAAAAAAAGAGTCCTCGAAAGGAGAGAGCTGCTTTTAAAGAGAATTTCCAAGGTCTGCAGAGAGTACCTTTCAATTCAGTGGAATAATAATTACCATGTAAATGTGAAGAAATTAACCAGCCTACAGAAGGAACCAGCTGAAAATGTTAGGGGTAACAGTGGCTAACACTCACACAGTGCCAGCAATAGTGCTGGTTTCCTCCAGTCAGACTTGAAAACCTCATGATTCATGGGCTGAAAGGTTCTTGTCTCAGTGGTGAAGAATAACTAACCCATGACTGAGCATGCTCCAGACCTTCCCAACAAATCATAAAACCAAAGCCAGAATGAATCAAACTATTTCTAAGTAACAACTCTTCCAGAACAAAGCTTAAGTATATTTATTGAAATCCAAAAATAATGAGCACCCATCAAGGAAGATCTACAATGTCTGGCATTTAATTGAAAACTATCAGGCATGTAAAGAAGCAGGAAAACACAACCACTAATGAGGAGAAAAATCAAACAATCAAAAGTTATCCAGAGATGACATGAATGTTAGATTGAGTAGATATGGAAGAGATGGACTTCAAGGTAGTCATTACAACTCTATCCCATATGTTCAAAAAGTTTAGATATGGAAGATACAAAAAAGACCTAAATTAAACTCTGGAAAAGATGAATAAACTTGAAGACATAACAATAGAGATTATCCAAAATGAAACACAAGAGAAAAGAGGATATGAAAGAGGACATCAGTGAGTTGTGGGATAACTTCAAGCAACCTAATATATATATAATTAAGGTCACTGAAGGAAAGGGAGGGAGGATTGGAAAGAAAGATATTTGAAGAAATGATGCTTAAAATTGTTCCAATTTTGATAAAGTTATAAATCCAAGAAGTCCAATGAGCCCTAATCACAAAAAATATGAAGAAATCTTCAACAAGGCACATCATAAACAAATTTATCAAAACCAGTGATAAATATAAAGAGGGAAGGGCATTAAAACTGGTTGCCACATGGGTAAATAAAGAAGAATTTTTGGTATAATTTAAATCTCAAAAATTGCTTAAACCAAAACAATCACAATGTAATATGGAGTTAAAAACATGAGTGAGAATCAAATACATGGCAGTAAAAGCACAAATGCCAGAAGGGGGAAAATGGAAGTATATTAATATAAGGTTTTTATACTATATATAAAGTGGTATAATATCACTTGAAGGTAAACTGTGATAAGTTAAAGATGTATAGAGTTAACTCTAAAGCAGTAACTAAAATAACAAAACTAACAACAGAGAGGATAAAATGGAGTAACAAAAATATTTAGTTAATCCAAAATAAGTGAAAACAGAGGAAAAGAGAAAGAACAGATAGAACATTTAGAAAACTAATAGCGAGATAATGATAGATTTAAACCTAACCATATCATGAATTAAAATAAATGTAAATAGCCTAAATATTTTAATGAAAAGGCAGATATTGTCAGATTATGTGAAAATTAAGATCTATTAATAACTATATGTGGCTTGGGAGAAACACTTTATCAATTATAAGAAAAAAAAGAAAAAATATACAATGTTAACATTAACAAAACAAAGCTGGGTTGGCTATATTTAATATAAAAGTGGATCTGTGAGCAAAAAAATAGTACTGGATATAAAGAAGGTAATTTCATAATAATTAATGGGTAAATTCATTAAATGGTCATGTAATTATAAGCATTTATGTATCTAATTTCAGAGCTTCAAAATACATGAAGCAAAAATTGCTAGAACTTTTATAGCAGTGAGAGAGTTAAGAGATTCCAACACCACTTTCTCAGTAATTGATAGAACAAGTAAGCAAAAAAAATCGTAAACTATATGGAATATTTGAACAACACAACCAAAAAATTGATCTAATCTGCAGGTATAGAAAACTCTATGCAACAAGAGCAGAATATACAGTGTTTTCAAATCTACATAGTGTGTTATCCAATGTGGATCATATTCTAGGCCATGAAACAGTCTCAGTAAATTAGAAAAGTATTCAAGTCACAAAAACTAGTTTCTCTGACCACAGCAAAAATAAATTGGAAATCAGTAAAATAGTCCATTTAATAACTAAATGAAATTACTTATACAACAATTCAAGTGAAAGTCTCCTTTGATTTTAGGGACAAAAACCTATCAACTCTCACCTCAGGAGGAAAAATTATTATGTTAGATTATGCAAAAATTACCAATATAGGAATACCATTTTAGGTACAAGTTTACACAGGCAAAATAATGTGGGTACTATGAGAAAGACTTATTCAACAAATATACATGTACTTTGGATAAATGGAAGGAATTAGGAGACTTTGAGATCTGGAAGGTATAATGCATAGCGTAATTTTATTTTCTCTTTGCATTGCAAATACAGCCTAAAAGTCACTGAAAACACTTTTCCTTCAGACAACATTTAAATTGAATTTACATGCATTTGAGCTATCCCTCCTTGACCCCCATGATGATTGTCCTTTTGGGGGTAGATATTTTGAAATTGGTTCTACCATGTATGTGTAGCTAACTCACTTCATTCATTATTTCTGCTCAATACATATACTGCTACTATAAAACTCTTCATTGACCTTCAATTGCATCTCATCCACTCCCACCTATGTATTTTTGCTCATGTTGAAACTCCACATTGAATATATTAATACCTTTTCCTTCCATTTTGCTTTCCAAACCTTATCCATGCAAGCTCCCATCTTACCTGCTATGGACTTCTCCTCTATTATTCTGATGTGTCACTTATGTTTCTTCTCTGAACTCCTACAGAATTTCATAGATAATTACGACTAAAGCAATATCACACAGACTCTCTTGTTAATTAATTTTGTATTCAGCAGGTTTTAAACTATAGTATACATTATAATTACTTGGGGGTGATTGTAACAATGCAGATTTGGGGCCAAATCCTCAAAAATCCCAGACCACTAAAACTGGGGGCTCAGGAATTTATATTTTATAAAAAATCCCAGGAGATTCTGATGTGATGATTTGCAAATCACACTTTGGAAAAAACAAATTTCTTTAATGGATTTTAATAATTTGTCTAGTTCACACGTAGATGCACAGTATCTAATCCTTCTTTTATATTTTTATGTCAACAGGTAGCATGCTAAGCATATAATGGATCCTTAATAAATGCTTGTCCACCTATTGACGTAGTACAGTTAAACATTTTGTGTATGTACTCTTCAGTTAGCTTTTTAAATAAATGATTGCATACCAGGTGTTTTAATTTTTAATTTTTTTTCTAAGCTTATGATTTTGCTTTTCATTTGAATAATGGAATTTTAGAGCTGGAAGGGATCTGTAGAATTAATTTAGCTCGGTTCTCTCTTATTTTTTCTGGAGGCAATTGAGGGCAAAAGAGGTTAAGTGACTTAACCGAGTTCATACAGTTAATTAGAAAGAGAGCTACATCCGCAATCCAACTCTCCAGGCTCCCAAGCCTAGTGTTCTTGCTGGGGCACATGTTGCCTCTTACCAAGAAATTTGCCCGGTAGTTCTAGTTAGTCACACAAGTGAGAAGATTCAAACATGCATTTGTCAATAATTTGAGTGACTAAAAACTTTATGTCACTCTTTAGAAATCACAGCAACTGTTGCTTTAGCTTGTTTGCTGTGGATAACTTAGATTCAATACTTCTTTGTTTTGGGGGCTTTCTTGTACATTGTAGAAATTTTAGCAGGATCCCTGACCTCTAATCCCTCACTCATTGCCAGGAGCACCCTCCTACCACGATTGTGTCAATCAGAAAGGTCTTTAGACATTGAAGAATATTCTCTGGCAAGCAAAATCACCTGCAGTTGAAAACCTCTACTTACAGACAAAGACATAGATCACAGATTCTTGAAAGACTCATAAAGAATGTTTACATGGAAGGATGCTTGGCATTTGAAATGATCCCTACCCGAAGACATCATAGGCATATGCCATAAACAAAAGAATAGTGAAGTTAGGAGTGCAGTGCAATGTTATAATGTAGACCGTACTGAGGCAGATGATGGTGTCATTTTGATTTTACGGCTTTTGTATTTGTATGAATTTTTATTATGCTTCTTAAAAATTTTACTTATCAGTTCTAAAGTGCCTGTTTCTTTAAGTAGAGCATTATGTTATGGTATAAAGAGTGGTTTTCATCATTTACAAACCAACATATATCTATTCTAGACATGAAGCATTTGTTTTGCAGAATTTTCAAAAGTCAAGAAAAATTATGTAGCTATACCCTTTAGAAAATGTAAATACATATAGTGCTTTGTTATATGCAATGTCTTATCTTCTTTTATTTACTCTTTTCTTTGATTGCAGAAGCTTAGGGAAGCTATTTGACCACTTAGTCTAGCGTGACCTTAACAGAATAGTTTCTTAATGGATATCTACTCATCTTTGCTGCAGTACTGAAGGAAACAACTTCTTTCTACTTTCACAGAAGAGGATATAAACTGAGGTTTAACAGATGAGCAACATGTTATCAAGCAGCTACCAGGGAAATGTCTCTTCAGTGCTATCAAGGGTCCAAAATAAAGGAAGAGGAATATTATTCAGGGAAAGTTTTATCCCAAAGAGTAGCTTGTGAAATTGAGGCAGCATGGAGGGAGTAGAAGATTGAGTTTCAGTTCAGGCTTTGTCACTAGGACAATTTCTACTCTTGGGATCATTTTTATTCATCAATTAATGACAGTGTTGGGCCAGTTGATCTTGTACATGCCTGTGCTGCATATCTACAGTAGAAATTGTAATTATTTATGTTGCTCAAAATAAAATATTTTTAAGCAAAAAGATGAAAAATAGTATTAGAAAAATGCCTCAACTGATAACATAAACAACATAAACCTAATCAGGAAATACTGTCCTCTTGTAGAGTTAAATATGAGATTTTACTTCGAGGGCATATGTACATATATACCTCAATACACAATGGTTCTAATTAAAATAAAACAAAATACTAATCTGCAAATAACTTTCTTTTTCTATGTTTGAAACAAAATACTGTATTTGCTCTTAGCAACTCTCTGCTCAGTTAGGTCAATTAGTGGTTTAATATTTAAAGGAAATACTCAGCTTTATAATATTGATGATTTTCATAATTAAAGAAATTATAAATATCAACTGCTTAGACTCCAGTGAGCTTATTAACATGCAGTAGAGAATACAAATGTTCATAACTGATACCATTTTTCTTAATCCATGGCAACTAAGCACTGTCAGCCCTTAATACAATTACATCAAGCTCTCATACAAGTTAGCTTATGGCCAAATGGTCTGACACAGGCAGTCAATATCTGGGCTTAATTATGTTGATAAACAACAAAAGTCACTTTTTTGTGTGTAGGCTAAATGCTCACAGTGGGTAGAGAGACCAGCTGTTGTACTTTTGATTTCACCGTAAAGATTGTAGCAAAAGGTCAGAACTCTTTTGATGCCAGCTAATTAAAATATCAATAATTATGCAACTTATAAATTTGCTCTTAGTGTGTAAAGCTGAAACCTCTTTTTCATATATTTTGTGGCTAGGTACTTTAGGGTAATTATTTTGATGTGTTAAGTGTCAAGGAGATTGACATGTTAAAGAATACTCAGGCAATCATTCCTGGAGTTGGGTTTTCTTCCTTCACAAAATTGAGTACATGAAAGTATGGTCCTCCCATTCATGACAAAGGGAAACTGAGTTCGGGAGAGAAAGTCACAAATATGGAGGAAAGTATGTTCCATCAGATCATTACTGAAACGAGATGGGGATATTCTTTACTAGTGGTTTTTGGGCCTATTATTATATGCCTGTGAGTATTCCAGCGTAATTAATTGTGTTAGCTTCCTTAAAAATTTGTCCCTTTAGATCACACTGCAATCTATGGACTCTGTCTTAGAGTCACTGAGTGTTCTTATTAAAATGCATATTCCCTGGCCTCATGGTCAGATGTTCTGTTTCAGTAGGTCTGGAGTAGAGCTTGTGAATATACTTCATAAATATTTGTTCTGATACTCATTAAAAGTTCTCAAACCACTAACTTAGGTTGCAGGAACCTAAACACTGTTAGGACAAATATTTTGCCTATTTGCTTGCTTATCTTTCTGCTCATTCATCTCCCAGTGACCCCTCTTCCCTGCTCCATCCCCTACCATAAGCTTGTCTAGGTTTCAGTGAACTGTCAATTAGTATCTGCTAATTGGTGCTTAACGTATTGATGCTCATGGTGGTATTTTTGTTTCAACAACAATAGTAATAACAGCAACAACCACAAGAACAGTAATATCTGGTTTACATATTTGAAACCTTGTATCTCTTTGACCCTCAAATACTTCTGGTGCCACAAGTTGTAGGGAATTTTCATACTGTGAGATGATACTGGCCTTGGACTTTCATGTAATCACTTGAAATGGGTCAGCAAATTGGGAAGTAGGAGTACTCTTGAACATCCTCCTAAACTGAGATGGTTAGCAATAACTGAAGTCTATATGGAAGTAACTGTAAACCATATAAATATTTCCCATTAAGGTCCAACTAAATGTAACGATTCACAACCCAATGCCCCCTTAGGTGAATGCCAAAAATTCCTGCACACAATCGCTGCCACAGCACACAAGGTTATTGGAAGTGTGAGGGAGGGGGAAATTGGAGGAGAGAAAGATAGTGGCCTTAACGTCATTGAAGTATCTTCTTTTGCAAATTTTAGAAAAACATATAGATTACGAGAATATGTGTTGTCCTTCTCTTAAAGGGTTCCAGATAAGTAAGGGGCCCTGAAGCTTAAGCTTCACTCACTTCTCAGTAAGACAGTTTTGCCTGTACACCTTGCTCAGTAATAGAAACAGCACAAGATGTATATATGATAAATAAATGAAAGACTAGAAAACGTGTAATTCTTTTTTAAAAATTATTTTAGATTCAGGTGGTACAGGTGGTACAGGTACAGGTTTGTTTCATGGGTATATTGCATACCGAAGGGGATTAGTCTTCTAGTGTACCCATTGCCCAAATAGTGAATATTGTATCTGTTGCCCCTAGGTAGTTTTTAAACCCTTTTCCCCCTGCCCCACTCTCCTGCCTTTTGGAGTCTCCATTGTCTACTATTTCCATCTTATGTCCAAGTATACTCATTGTTTAGTCCCCACTTCTAAGAGGGAATATGTGGTATTTGATTTTATGTTTCTGAGTGAGTTCACTTAGCATAATGACCTCCACCTCCATCCATGTTGCTACAAGGGACATAATTCTTTTTTCATGGCTGCATAGTACTTAATGGTATATATATGAATTTATCCAGTAAACTGTTGATGAAAACTTAGGTTGGTTCCATGACTTTGCTATCGCGAATAGTGCTTCAATGAACATACAAGTGCTGGTGTTTTTTTGATATGATTTATTTTCCTTTGGGTAGATACCTACTAGTGGGATTGCTGGGTCAAATAATAGTTCTATTTTTAGTTCTTTAAGAAATCTCCATACTGTTTTACATAGAAATTCAACTAATTTACATTCCCACCAACAGTGTATAAACATTCCCAAAAGGTATAATTCTTATCCTCCCACCTTTTCAGATGAAGTGTTGAAGTTGACCTGTTTGAAATCACTTAACTTATTACAATGGGACAAGTATTAAAAAGGATACTTCCTGTTCATGGAGTTTACCATGCTCCTCAATGAGCACTACTCCTAGTGTAGCTCACTGTCACTTGGTTTCCATGTTGGACATCGCCCTGGTTTCAGAGACCAATCTGCATGGCGACATTTTTTTCTTTAAGAAAATTTCTATCTGCATGGACCCATTCTTTGTTAAAAGGAATCCAGAAGAATGTGACAGCCACTATTAGGTTATTTCTTCCAGATATCAAAACTCTTTGACTTAGTTAACTTGTGAGTTCTTAATAAGCCTATAAAGTAGCTGTATAAATGCTGGGTAATAGAGAGAGATAGAGGGATATTCAGACTTTTGGGTAGTTTCTCTGCGAGACTGCCTAATGTGCCACTGACGCTGTCTCTGACATGAGAAGGACTTAAATGCCAGTTTACTAAAGTTAGTATTATACAGGGGTTGATAGCCTGATTTATGGAGTTGGCATTCCTGAGTTCTTAACACAGCTTTGCTGCTTACTATGGGACCTGTGCTCATTCACTTAGTCCTATTTCGCTATCACATATTCACTATCTGTTAAGCATAACTGTTTTGAGGATTGAATGAATTAATATGATTAGTAAGTAGTCAATAAATACTGGCACTTACTGTTGCTGTGCTTGGTTTTGTCTTTGACACTAACTAGCTTCTTGACATCAGCATCAGTTTTCTCATCAGTAAAAGGAGTAGTTAAATGGTAGTTAAGATTCATAAAATTCTATGTTGAGGAATATTGGATTATACATATTACACTCAGAAAAAATTATTTTGAAGTAAAAGCTGTTGTAGAACTCCTTTGTTTAATAATTGAAAGATAAAGTCCCACTAATTATCCAGCATCTTAAAAGATAAATTAAAAAATCCAGTAAGTTGGTTTCTTTCTTTCTCTTCGGAAACAAGTTTACTGAAGAGCCAGTCTTGTTGCCTAATGAACCAAGAACCCAGACCCTGGATTTCATTACTGTTATGATTCCAGATCCCACTAGAGTCTCTTATCAAATGTGGCCTCATTAAGTGCAACAGGTAATGCAATTCTCCATTAAATTATGCTGAGTTAACTCGTGACTGACATGAGCCAAAATGAAATGTAATTATTTTAAATCGTTCCTATTGGACTGTATTTGCACATCACAGACAGATATTAACACATGCACCACTACTTGTGAATCCTCATTTATCCAGGCTTTATTCTGAGTAAGTATACTGAATGCCAAGTCTTTTTAATGAAGCTTCTGTCAATAATAAAAGCGAAATATAAAACAACTCCTGTGTTATCCTGTTTTGAGTAAGTTGTTTCTAAGATTAATTCAGTAGATTGTTTTCTTCCCCCTCTATGGAAGAGAGAATTACTTATAAACAGACCCAGCCCCCAATATTAATCTCTGCTTTTTGGAATTTTGTAAAGATATTTATAACTTTGAAAAAAGAGAGAGTACACTGCCTTATAATAATTGCTAAGATTTTACACCAGAAATGCTTATAAATGCCATATATGTGTAACTAATTAGCTAATTAACTTACTTAATCTGTTTTTACAGAGGAGGAAATAAATGTACACAGAGATTACACATTTACCCATTTATACATTTTAGCTAGTGGAAGAGCTGGATTCACACCCTGGAAGCCCAGTTTCAGTGCGTGTTTGTAACCACTAAACTACCATTGTTTCTCAAATTCCCTCTAAATTATACTGGTTTCCTTAGGCAGAGAGACACACTAAGCACTGAACAGTGAGGATTGAACCCACAGAATGCAAGTTTGTATCTGGTGATATATATGTCTTATTTTGTTTCTCAGTTAGAAAGAATACAATATATCAAATGCAACCCAATTTTTAAATAGGAGAAACCACCAATAGGTAGTTATAAAACTTGCCTGCGGTGATCTGGAGACTTTAGTGAAAAGCAGGAATAGTACAAGCTTGTGACTCTCACTCTGTCCTTGGCTAAAGCCACTAGAGAATGTGTCTGCCTAGTGACAGCCATCAGTGGCTGTAGGGGATAGAGATGACTTGGACACAATTAGTGATTCCAGAGGGAAGTGACAGAACATGAAACGCCTGGGGGCAAAAGGGGGGTGTTGCTGGGATCCAGCTTATGGTAATAACTTCACCAACAACCTCAACTCAAAACAAAATGGATAATATATTTTAAAGGGCATTCCAAAAGGATCTTACTATTCAACCCTTGGGTTCCACTGTTATAGAGTGAGCCTGCACTTTCATTCCTGAAGTCTTTTTTTCAGAGGCAAAGACACATGGGCAATCCTATAAAGTCTTCCCATGACTTATTGGAAGCATAGTGCTTCTGTTTTTCATTGACTTTTAAAAATAGTATTACTTTATATCAGAAATAATAACTCTTGAATAGACATATTATATGCAAAATAACCCATAATACCAACTCAGAGAGGAAATGGGAATTATTTTAGTCCCACCATTCAGAAACTATCAGTTAACATTTTTCTATATTTACAGCTATAGTTATATCTATAACAACTTTTGAACCACATGCATCTGCAATTTTGGATCTTGTATTTCACTTAAGGTGAATAGTTCTCCAGGTTGTTACATATTTTTAAATTTTAAATTTGAAATACCATTTAATGGGTGGATAATAACCAACTGCACATTGTACCATAATTTATTCTACATGCTCCTGTTGAGCAATTAGATTGTATACAGATGTTTTCAATTTTGAACAACACATATTTTTATACTTGAGTCCTGGAATTTTAAAAATTATTTTTAGGATAGTCTTTCTTAGGATAGGCATTTGTCTTCAAAGAATGTACAGTTTTAAATAAAACTTCTAATATGTATTAGAAAATTGTCTTACTGAAATATCTTAGTTTTTTAAAAATTCTATCAGCTGTGCAAAAGGATGTCTGTCTCATGAGATCCTCAAAAAATTAAAGATTATCATTAAAAATATTTGGTTAATTTAGTAGGTCAACTATTATACCCTATTCAATTTCTATTTTTAAACTATTTGTCATCTGTGTTTCCTCTTTTACAAATGAATTGTCTACTCATATCCTTTGTCTAAGATCTAATACATTAAAGAAGTGTTTGCTACTGTATGTTGTGATCAAAATGATGAATTCTGAGCAAACTTGGTTAAAGCAAAACATGCTAAATTCCAACTTCACAAGGAGTTTAAAAGTTTTCCTTTACTAAATAAAATTCAGCCAGACTTTTAAAAATGAGATATGTGGAAAGATTTAGGTGAAACAAATACCATATTTATAATATCTTATAAAATGGTGATGAATTATATATAACGCAGAATTATCCTTTACGATTTTGGAACAAGGTAAAATACTGTGTTTAAATAAAATAAGAATTATCCTTTACAGTTATCTTTTACAATTTTGAGGAAATTATCCTTTACAATTTTGGAAGAAGGGAAATGCATTCTTTTTTAAACAGAAAAACATTCTTTTAAAATAAGATTTAGGAATATGTTTCATTCCTAAGTCTTATTTACTACTGTAACTGCTCATTGTTTCTGAATTCCTACAGTGCATTATAACGACTTTGAAGAGCAAACAAATGAGCAAGAAAACAGTGTTGTACAAATATTGTCAAATATTTTTTCTCCATGTCCAACCATTTTAGGTTAAACAGTCTAATAGCTTTCTTCACCTTGTTCACCAAGTCAGCTTCCAATTTGTTCAAGTAGATCTATAGCTTTAAAGATGTGCATATTTTTTGAACGTTTTTTCCCTTAAATCCTCTGATGTCTCTTTTTTCTTAAACAAAAGACACAGTTTGCTTAGCTGCAAAATTTGTCTGTACTTTTCAGAAATTAATGTGAATCTTCCCAAGTCTAAGAACAATAATTCTATTTTGGCTTAACTCCAATTGTCTGCAGAAAAAAAACCAAAAAAAAAAAAAAAAAAAAAAAAAAAACCACCAAAACCACACAAACCGTTAAGGAGAGTAATGTAATTTGTAGAAATCTGCAGGAGGCCTTGGTCCTTGGTCCAGGAGTACTACTGCTGACAATTACACAAATAATGTTCCTATGCAATTATCCCAGCAATAACCGATAGCAAGCAAAAATTATAGAGGCCTGATGGGATTTATACTCAGAGGTTTCTATGTAGCACTTTGTTTGAATGAAAATGGCTGTCTTAATTTTTTTTTCTTTTCTTTAAAGAAAATAATCAGTCAGCTTCTTAGGAGAACATAATTTTCTTCCATCTAGGTTTAAATGGCATTAGCACAGCAATCAGATGTCAAGGTGAAAGAAACATGTCTGCCCCGGGTACATAAATGGCAAAAATACCAGGTAATATGGGTACCATTTCCCTGGCTTTTGCATTTTAAATTGCATTAACCTTGTGCTGTGTAGAGTTATGATTTCTTGAACTGTTTTCACTCTAAAATGGGCAATCAGTTCTACAATTTAAAAATGTGCTATGTGCTGTCAAGTTTTTCTCTTGGATGCGAAGGCACAGAAAAATACTCAGTTTGTTTTGGTTTTCATGTTTGCATGATTACTGCACTGTATTTATTTCCACAATTCCTTCAATGTCACCATTCGACTACCCTTAATTAAAATCTGCTTGTATTTGCTCTTTGCCTAGGAGATTACATCTCAGGACATTATGTAATACATTTCAAGCAAATCAGATTGGAAGAAATTATTTTTTCCTTTTTTAAAAGATGCAGGTATTAATGGTCACGTATGAAGTGTATTGAAAAGTAGTAAAGATCTATCGTTTAGGAAGTCAGACAGCCATTTTTACAAAAACTAAATACAACCACAAAATCTAAGAAGGAAGAAAGAGAGCACATATGTACCAAATTCCCTTCCAGTGATCCCTTTTATAAAACTTGACTAGAGGCAAAGAGAGAATGAAAAGCAGTTTTTAGTGAAGCTGTCTTTGGAAATTGTGCAGATTCTCTTTGGCTGAAAAAGAAAAAAAGCAGAGCTGGACAAACAAATTTATTTCTCTATCCTTAATGGATTAAATGGAAAATGAATTCCAGTGGGCAAACCAGTTTTGTCTTCATTGGGGTTTAAAAATTTATATTCCAAAGGAAATTTGGTAGCTTTTAATGAAAGTTCCAATTTTTTTTTCTGAGGAAGGTGGTGGGCATTTTTTTTTTTTTTTGCTTATTATGTGTATTAGAAAACATGAAACAATCTAATAATTTTCTATATTTAAAATGATGGAGCAGAAATTGGCTGGTACATAATCATTAGTAAATAAATGCTTGTTGGATTAAATATTACTTGACATAGTCTTGACTTGAAGCCTAGGCCAGTTTTATGACTGACTGACTAATGAGGAAGATACCCAGGTTTTAGCCTTAATTCAGAATGGGTCTTAAAGGAATGGAGGGACTGTCCAGCAAACTTTCTCAGGGTAATAGTTTAGAATATATGTGGCAGTAAATCTCTAGTTTCATCTATCCACCCAATACTGTCTTTTCCTTACATCTTCCAGCTAACTTATCTCCACAGATTTAATGCATCACCAAGTCCCATCAGGCTAAGATGTTCAAACACCCTTGGTTTGAAAAAATCATCTTGAGCCATGATCAGTGTAGTCATTTGTTCTGTTGGATAAAAATAAAACAAACTACAGGTTTCCCCAAGTTGAGATCTATTACTAATTCCAAATCATCACATAATTCTCTAATGAGTGTTGAGATTTCCTGTGGCATTGGAAAAATTTTTCAATTATATTTATTTCCAAGAACATTTCTTAGGAAAATAATCCTTTGATTTAACTGTGGAATTTAGTATTGAATCTCTAGAAAGCTGAAATGGTTATGTCAGTGGCTGAAGTGTGGTTTTAATCTACTGTGCTGTAAGAGGTACACAAACTGATTACAGGTGGAGTTATGCTTGTTAAGAGCTAAGTAAGATCTTGGTCTCAACAAGATGTGGGACTCAGGGAGCTTATAACATGATGGAAGAAAAAAGCAAAAAAAATAAGACTATGCCAATGTTAGATACTATCATTGCTTAGGTGTTAACCTTCAGGCATTTAGGATGACACCGAAGTTGTCTAAAATACAATAATAGCCAGGGGCAATCCTTCAGTCTAATGAGACAGATGTGATCCAAACCTGGGGATGATGCACTTGTCAGAGGAGGAGCAATACCGACCATATGGTGGGAGATTGACTCACATCCATCAGAATGAGCCGGTCGGTGCTCTTAGGATTTGAAACTGAGAATGTTGTGCTTATGGGGATGTACATGTTTTTGGGTGTATGTGAGTGGGTAAATGAGCTGCAGTCCTCTGTACCCTGAATTGTGGTCCATAAAGACATTTATAATAGGCTCTTAGTACATTAATATGTGTTATCTATGTTCCACATACTTCCACATCCTTTCTTAGGTTCACATTTCAGGAAAAGCAAAAGAGTATTTGGGTAGAAAAGAGGCTCTAGAGATACCTGTCTTAAAACCTGTGTTAAAAAACAGAACATGGCTGATCTATTTCCTGAATTCTTTGGCCTTTTAAGTATAAAGTCCTTCTGTTCTTTAGGAAGGCTCTTTGCTTGAAATAATACAGCCCGTTCACCAGAACAGTTACGTTTGTAACAGTATGTGAAACAAGACTTTAAGGATTTAAAAAATGAAAGAAACAATCAAGACCTTAACTTTTCTAATTCCAGTTTAAATTTTTTCTTGATCCTATTAGAATTTTAGGAGGGATATCAAATTGATGGAAATTGCCATGACGTCTTGAATCACAGGGGTGTTAAATCCCTTTTGGATCAAGACACACATAGATGTCATCTTCTGCCAGAGCTTGATAGTAGGGAAGGGCAGTCCTTGGAAGGCAGTGTGGTTTGGCTTCGTTTCTGAAAAAGTGTAGGTCCTCAATAAAAGGCATTGAATGAAAGGACTGAATGCAACCCAGATATGCTGGTGTCAAGAGCCTGTGGTTCTAATGGTCAGGAGTGAATACAGTTCACTGGTTGGGGAAAACTAACACGCAACTGATAGACTGAAGTCCAGTGGGAGTTATTTTCTGCTCAGCACTCCATTGGAGGCTGCATTTGTGAATCAACTAAGAGCAGCTTTTATTGATATGGTCACTTTGCTTTTAGTTCCCATTTTGAAGTGTGTCTCTTTGATGGATGTGTAAGGAATCTGCTTAGACACCTCTGACAGAAGACACCAGGCAGAAGATACGAGTAGATTTTGAACAATCCTGATTCCACAAAAGAGATGACACAGACTGCTGAGTAAAACACAGCAAGCCAGTTTGTAAAGAGACCAAGCATTACATGACAGAAGCACCTAAGTCACTTTTCAGGTTGCTTGTCTTTGAGGGCTGGAGAGGAGGCTTCTTTCTGAAAGGAGAAAAGAAAAACTTTCCCAAGGCCAAAGCACACCAGGTTGTAAAAGCTTGGAGTAGAGCTTTGCTGACCTCTTGTCCAATCTCCCCAACCTCATTTCTTTGTTCGTCTTGGCAAGGACCCTCTGCTAGAATTTAGGCAGTTTCCTTCACAGATCTTGGCTATAACTTGTTCATTACCAGTTTTGAACCTTTGCGTTTGTTATTTCTCACTTACTGAATGTATTCTCTGCCTGATTCCTGTGTGTCTACTTTATATTTTTTATCTTAAAAAATCTGGCTTACATCTAACTCTTGGGGAAGCATTTCATATCTAAGCTTCTCCTGTCTATGTCCTATGTCCCCACTGGGCTTTCTATCTGTACTTGGAACAAATGGATCTAGTTTAGACAGTATAATTTGCACTGGGGTTAAATATTTGTTAACTATAGATAGTCATTCTCTCTAACTATAATATAGGCTCTTGAGGGGAGGAACATATTTTTACTCATGCAGTTGTATTCGTCCTTCTTCCCTCCATCCAGGATAGGCCAGTGATTGGCAAACAGCAGGCACTTAGCCCATGTTATGGCTATTGATCCAAAAATAAGTATCTTTATAATGGGCCCCAACTCAGAGAAGGTGAGCATC
This sequence comes from Homo sapiens, assembly GCF_000001405.40. NCBI lineage: Eukaryota > Metazoa > Chordata > Mammalia > Primates > Hominidae > Homo > Homo sapiens. Next base: position 8,556,192 of record NC_000007.14, read on the forward strand.
AGGAAAATGGAAAAGAGTGATTACATAGAGTGTGTGTTCTGGGTGTCTACTGCTGCCTAACAAACTATCCCCAAATTTGGTGACTTGACACAACAGTCATCTGCCATTTAGCAGGGTTTGGAAGTAATTGCTCAACTCTGCTGTGTGTGATGTTAGCTGGATTTTCTCTCTACTGAGTCTGGAGCATCTACCTCCAAGATTGCTCACTCACCTGGCTGTCAAGTTGGTTCCGGTTGTCTACTGGGAGTTCAGCTGCAAGTGTTGGCTGGGGGCTTTGATTTCTCTTCATGTGGGCCCCTCCACCAGGTTACTTGTGCTTTCTTACAGAGTGATCAATGAGTTCCGAGAATGCTCCAGCAGGCAGAAAGTAAAAACTAACTGGCCAGTTAAGAACTATGTATGTCTAGAACTGACACAACATTACATCATCAGAAACAAACCCTACCTCTTTTTGGGGGAGTAACATGATAGTATTGCAGAAAACCACACTTGTTTTAAACATAGGTATTTGGAAAATACAGACTGCTATATATTGTGTTACTGATAAAACTACTACACAAAGTCACATTACATAAAGCATGGAAACCCCTTGGTAGTGAACTCTTTTCAAACCAAAGATGATAGTTAACATTTATTTAATGCTTACTCTGTGTCAGGCATGGGCTAAAGGGCTTATACATGATTTCTCATTTGATTCTCACAACTTATGGGTCAGACATTTATTCCTGTCCCCATTCCAGATGAAGAAACAGATACGATGAGGTAATGTACCTTGCTCAAGGTCATAACCATTAAGAGGCAAAGGCAGGATATGAATTGAAGTCGTCTAAATTCATAACACATACGCTTAACTCTCCTGTTTCCTAGTCGATGACTACATAGAATGAGACATTGTAATGTAGCACAGAGATATGAGAAATACCAGTGGTCACTTGTCCAGAGGTTTAGAACCTGTGTTTGGGTCCATACATGTGCTTATGGGACAGTTGAAACCTCTGTGATTGTGTTACAGCATTGTTCATGTGGGTACATCCCGGGCTTTTGTTAGTCTTAAAAGGGCATGCATTGTAAATGCTTAAGTGTTAAAACAACAACAACAACAACAACAACAACAATGTGATTAGACCCCTCTTCCTAAGGCAGGCTCAATCTCAAATATCTCATAACAATGTCAATCAACACCTTCCTTTAAAACATTCAGAAGGAGGCTTCCATGGTATACTGGGGTCATGCTTGCTTTGGGTCCTGTGACAGACTTGGTCAAAACCCTAGCTACTCCTTTGCAATCCTTTTAATCTTGGGTAAATTATTGACCCCTCCACTCAGGGTCTGGTTTCTTGGTTTGTAGACTAGAGCTAATGTCAACCGCCTTTAAGGGTTTTGATGACAGAATAATTTACTGTGTGTAATGTACCCAGCAGTAATGGGGTTTTACCCATTGTTATTTCCTTTAATGGTATTTTGAGTATTGTACAGAACTGGTGCAGTAAAAACATTTCCTTCTCAAGTAGCTGCTACCTTCTAAAGGCAGGACAAACCTCCAGTGAAATTCATCTCTCACATCACTCATATACAGCGACATAAACTGCTCAGCTCACTTTTCAGGATTCAGTAGAATGCTGGACCCATATTTTCCTCCTTGTGCTAAAACATTCTGCAGATTTAGTACCATGTAAAGGCATACAGAAAATCAATCCAGGCAATTGCTTCTTTACTTTCTGATCAGTTCCTCCCAGTTTATCCCCAGCTTTGAATGTACTTCATCTCTTCTATGTAGACCATTATCCTCTCTGCCCGCACAGTCCTATCATAAAAAAAAGGTTCAAAGCACTTCACACACATAAAAAGGCTTGTTATTAAAATTTCTCTTCTGTCCTCCCTAATTTGATATTTTCTGAATAAAATCAGAGAGAGATTTCTATGAAATTTATGTATGAGAAACATTTTGATTTTAAATTCTTACAATTAGGTTTTATATGGGTTTCTTTATTATCTATCAGCTTTCAAGAGTCAAAATTGTATCTGTTTATTTGGTTATTTTTTTCGGTGACACATTTTATCTATTTTATTTTATTTTTTGGCAAACATTAACAAGTCTTTTTGGGAGGTGGGAACTCCTGTGCATAATGGAAGCGAGTTGTAATTCTTCCAGAGTGTTTTTCTCAGGTGCCACTGGACATCCTGTTAGACTTGAAGAGTTAGAGCAGCTGGAGCTTGGGAGAGAATATTAGTAAATGGTTAACAGTAAAATCGGCTTTTAATTTTATCTTTTTAATGTCTAGGAGACATTGGAGCCAATAAAGCTTAGTTACTACATAAAATGATATCTATTAACAATGCTTCCAGTGTGGTCTCTTTCTTTGTTCTTAGAGCCTTTTCTTACAAGTAGGTTTAGTTCTTTAAACCTTTGAATGTGGCTCCATACTGAGCTAGATTCTTATATCTCATAGGCTCAAGTCACCTATGAGCCCAACCTTTTCCTTTTATATGATTGTTACTGATATTTAATAAGTTTCATTTCTCCTTGTTATTTTTAAATTAAGTTTCATCAGCCTACAGCAGATTTCGAGGTATTTTCTAGTTAGAATCGATTGTTTAAACTGCCCACCTTTCTTGCTTGCTTTTCATTTTGTTTCATAGATGACTGCCGTCTTTTGTGTTGATTATCTTGCTATAGTTTGTTTGTTTGTTTTGATCTGTTTTTGGAAGTATAGTGAACTGCAGGAAAAAATTAAAAACAATAGAATATTGATTACATCCTAATATTGGGATCTTTTTATTTTATTTTATTTTGAGACAGAGTCTTGCTCTGTTGCCCAGGCTGGAGTGTGGTGGCATGATCATAGCTTACTATAACCTTCAACTCCTGGGCTAAAGTGACTTCCACCTCAGCCTGCTGAGTAGCTGGGACTATAGGTACCATGCATGGCTGATTTTTAAAAATTTTTTAGAGACAAGGTCCCATTATGTTGCCCAGGCTGGTCTTGAACTTCTGGTCTCAAGTGATTCTCCTACCTCAGCCTTCCAAAGTGTTAAGATTATAGGCATGAGCCGCCACGCCCTGGTGGAATCTAATTTTAGAACATTAATATGAACATACAAAAAAGTCTTAATTTGATTGAAAAAGAAAAGTCCTTTCTTTCTTCTGTCACCTCCCGAGTGTCTTAGAAGATCTGTATTTACAATTTCCCTTAAATTGGTAAGACATGCTTTTGCCTTAGGTGTTTTCATTAAAATTCATAAACACCAGACAAACTCATTATTTGGATGCCCAAATTTAATAAAAATATAAATTCTTTTGGTTCCTATTTTCTCCCTACTTTCTTAAGACACAGTAATTAATTTATGCTGAGAACACTCATTTTTGTCTTAGCTGAGTTCCCTAAAACTTTCAGCGCTAAGTTAACAGGTACATGAGCTTTTTTCCTCAGTTAGATGCCACTAGTCCATTCAGTGTTGATAGAAGGCTGGGGTTGGGTCTGGTGCCTTAGCAGGGCCAAGTGTAGACCTTATAGGTTTAGGTCCGTAAACTTCACCTTATATTTTTCCTTCCAGATAATGCTACATAGACATGGATTTCAGTCATAGAAACTCAAATGTGTCACTTAATACAGAATGAGTCTTCATGATGTCACCAATTTGGAGTGGGCATAGCATACTGGGCCAGTAGTCAACTTGCCTGCCAAATCTGATCCATTTGTAGTGGTTGTTTTTCTGAAATTACAACTAGGCTGACATGAAAGATTGCCAGAATCGATTATTGATATCTACCATGAAGTCGGGAGAGAAGAATGGTAACGGTAGAGCCATGCATTTGCCGTCTTTAGGCATTATTTATGAAGAAAACAAAGAAGGACTCCTTTTCATTTTACTTTGATGCCTCAGTTACAAAACAGAATTCTACTTGAAAGATTAATATAACTCATTGCTGCACATCTTGAATAATCCACTTAATTTCAATATTCGTAGGATAGTCAGGTCATATAAAAAATAATAGCATATGTAAAAGTCTAGTATTATCAAAAAATTATAAGCTGTGAAGTTTGACTTCTCAAACCCAACCTTCTCATACTATAATGCAGATGTGCTTTGCTTTACTCCTTGGCATTAGATATTTCAAAGACTGTTGACATTTGAAAACCAGAGTAGCTGAACATGGATTTTCTAAAGAACACACTCTAATTCTAGAAAAAAGGCAGTGTGATCTTTATTATTTTGTTTGATGTGACAGACTGCAAGGGAGTATACTCTGTGGTCATAGGGATACTCTCATTTCAGAAGCAGCCACTTACTTGAATCCACATTATTACTGTTACGCCCTCCAATGGTAGGTTGTTGGCAAGTATTTATTACCCTTTCTGCAGTGTGTAAGTTAAATTTCTTTTCCAAGGCAATGGGGCCCTAAGGGAAAATCAAGGAAGGGGGAGAGTGAGAGGAGCCTGGGATGAGACGTCTGGTTCTATAACTTCCTTCCAAGCCATTAGTTGATCTCTTGGATCAGCTTTTCTCAACCTTTTGTGTGTAACTTTCCTGGCAGAGTTGTTGAATTATGTGCAGCCACTTTCAGCAAGCTGCTTAGGTCAGGGGGCTTTTCTTTGGCATTTAGCTCCCACATACTTAAACAAAACCTCAATTTGCTAAGGTTTTTAACACTAGAAGCTTGTTCTCCTTATCTGGTTGTATTATTTCTTCCACACATTGTTATTCATAACACATCTGGCTGCAGGTTACAGCATTTTGGCTGAGCTTCACCATGCTAACCTTTGTTACCTCTCCTAGGGTTTAGGAAACAAGCCCCTCTGGATTGAAATATTAATGATCATAAGTACAACAGCAACCCCTCTGCTTTTCAAGTAATGCAATTCTAAGCCGAAGGGCAGCAGCACCAATTATAACTACGGGAATTCTATATACTCTCCCAGTAGGATAGACAGATGCACATACAGGGACTCAGCTGGGCTCTGATACTTGTAACTCAATGCTTCCTTGTGCTTTGGTGTTTCGAAGCTCTGAAAGAGAAAAATGATTCTAGCAAGGAGATTTGGTTGGTGAGGGAGAACCGCTCACAACTGCTGAGCTAGCTGTATAGCAAATTGCCCTTAGGTAGGGTCTCCTTACTTCTTGTAACACTCAGTTTTGGAGATGAGGGAAGCCTATGTGACACACACACACACACACACACACACACACACCTCTCTCTCTCTTTTTCTCTTTCTTTTTCCCTCCCTCCTTCCCTCCTCTGGGCTGTTTTCAGTAATTAGAATAGTGTACCAAAGAATGTAGTAGTACATTTTATTTTCAACTCAACTGCCACCTGAGAGACGCCCTGAGACATTCAGCCCAAGGGTGAAAACAAATGAGCCAAGATTATAAAATGGGTCGAGTCACATGGTATAGGGAGCCTGTTGGCAGAAACAGATTCACAGACTGAATCTTTTGAGGCTGACTTTTCTGCTAGACTAGTCCCTAACTCCAGGCTGACAGTCAAAAGCCTTAGATGATTAGAGGGCATAATGAGGTTTTGTAAAGGTCCATGAGTTCTCAACAGGAAGAAAAGAGAAAAAAAGTGTAGAGCACCAGGCAGGGAAAAATTTAGGTATTTACATAAAAAGAGAGTGGTGCCAAAAGAATAAAACTGCAGAAAGTCGGCAAACAATGGGGAAAATGTTGCTGAGAAACAAAAGAACAAAGCAGTATGTGATTTTTTAAAAAAAGTATTGTATATATTTAACAACATGATGTTTCGATATACATATACATAGTGAAACGGTTACTACGGTCAAACAATATTAAGCATCCAAATGAGAGTTACAGATAATGGCACTCATCATTTATTGAATATCTATACTGTTCCAGGCACCATTTTAAGTGCTTGGCATGCTATTGACTTATGATCCTTGTAATGACCCTGTGAGGAAGGGAATATTTTATTACCATTTTACAGATAGGAAACTGGAGGCACAAAAACCTTAAATTTTAATTTGCTCAAGATCAACCTTACATTTTTAACCATTATACGTCAGCTTCCTCCCAAGAGATTGAAGAGGCTTTTTAAGAAGAGGTTGGAACAGTTGGAAAGGCCAGATGGAAAATATTGATCCTCAAAAAATCTGTAGGATTGAGCTAGGCAGGGGAGCTGATGTCTATTCCAGGCAGATGAATAATATTAACAAAAGTACTTCAGCAAAAGAGATACCTTACAAAAGAGAGCTTTGTAAATGCATGATTTTTAATGGTTGATTCATTTCCTTGAAGCAACTGATTAACTTACTTTCCTTTTCCTCTATAACTCTGAATTCAGCCCTGGTGATAATGAAATGAGTTTTTTTTTTTTGTTCTTTTCTTTTCTTTAAACCGTAACTTTCTTAAATGTGATTTTTACAGATATTCTTTAATGACTAACACATTCCTGTGCTTGAGTGATGTTAAATGGAAACTTTAAAATAAATCTAAAAATAAATACAGTTGATGGATATCCTAATAGATAATATCCTAATGGATATTGTCTTAACATATCCTAATGGATAATGTTTAATATAAATGGGAATGCTCATGGTATAAAAAATATGTCTGGTATAAGCTAGTGTTGTTTAAAAATGTGTATTGGTATGTGCATATATTTCAAAAAGATTGAAAAAACATATCTCTAGTTATCTCTGAGTGGTGAGAATATCAATGACATATACTTTTTCTGAATTTCCTAATTTAAAAAATGACATGTATTATCTCTATAAGCAGAAAAGATGCCATCAAAAGTAAAAATAAATATGGCTCTAACATCATGTTTTAGAAATGGCTCCAGTAGATAATTAAGTTATGAATTCTAACCTATAAGCATATACATACTTAGTTCTACTTTTTATTTGAATTAAATCTTTTGACTTTATATGCAAGATAGAACATTGACTTCCAAATCTGTAACAGAATTAGTCAAACCTCAGGAGGTCAAAATGAAACCAATTCTCTATCACACATTGCAAAGAAAACTGCCAGTTCCTGTTCTAAACTTTGGGTCCTTGAATTCTTTATCTGATTTCTAGTGTACAGCACTACTTAATTAGGAGAAGAAAAACATTGTTGTGTATTTTAAAAAAGAAGAAACTGTGTCTTAAGGCAAAAATCAGCCTAATTTTCTGTAGGTTATATTCAGTCATTGTGTCTGAATTCTTAGAGCTCTTTGAGAATGCCCACTAACTAAGAATTTGGATATATGTGCTCCTAGTTAGAGCCTAGAATGAGCAACAAAATTGGTGTATTCCATTACAGAAATATAAACTTATGAAAGCATAATATGTTGATGTTACCATTTTTATTGATGACATAGGAAAGGAGGATGCAGAAGGGATTGAAACAAGACTCGGAAGCACTTTCTGACTATGAGCAATAAGGTGTGAAAAAATGTGGAGAGCTAGTATGAGAGCTGGTAAAGGGAAAGGATTTTAGGAGAAGTCAAATTTCCTTGGGGTGATTCTGGTTGGGGGAAAAGGTTACCCATTTGGAAATTCCTCCTTCTCTATAGATTGAGACAAATATCCCCAGCAAATGCTTTATCTTTTTACCTGGAGTCCAAGGCAGCCACTGTGCTCTGCTAATAATGCACGCAGAAATTCTTTGGGAATGCCACTTATTGTGGTTAACTGGCTTGCCCAAACCATAAACCCTGGAGGGAGCTTAGTTAAAAATTGATGGGCCATTGAGATTAAAAGAGCAAAACAAACAGCCACAAAACAAATAAATAAGTGATGCTTCTTCAGTTAGCCAATGCCAGAACTCTTCACTGCCAGTTGGAATTTGAATAGGGTAGAATATATGCAAAGAACAGGCAAAATGCCTCTCTCAGTTCCATTGCATAAAACTAAGAAACTTCCCACCTCCAATCCTTCCTCTTGTCCCCAGAGCACAAAAATTATAGATTTAGCCCATGCTTTTTGACTATCTGCTCACTCCTTGGGCAGAAACATCAATCACCTTGCCATCCGCTTACTCTGATGGGGCTGCATAGTTTTTCTTTTTCATTGTCTGTTTGCCATCCTAGCCTCCTATAGCAAAACAGATTCAAGCCAATTGCAAAATTAATTTTAAAAATAAATGTCTTAAACCAGCGTAGCAGTAAATTAATTTCATGCCTAATCTAAATAGTTCTGTTAATAAAAGTAGAATGCGTATGGTACTTGAGAATGACTGTACAGGGGATGATTTTGCTGGCTTTCTCCTCTGGATGTGACATTGCTCATGGCTCTTCCCAACTGCTGCCAGAAGCTGTGTTGATTGTAGGTTGTGGGTGCTTAACAGCCATCTGGAAGGAAAGTTGGCAACACCTAGTTGAAAGCATATCTCAAACTGAGGGATCCTGGCTGCCATCTCGGTTAGTAAACACTGTAGCTTCCCCACTGGATTGAACACTTACTCCAAATTCCTAATGGGAAGAGAAAATCAAGAAGGAGGGAAAAGAATAAGCATCACTTGAATGCTTTACAAACTGGCCATTCATTAAGGCAGGATGCTTTTCTTTTATTCCAGAACTCAATCCAGGTGAAGTGTGGTCCATTTCTTTCTTAATCTCATTAGATAGAGCTAGTCAATTACTGCTCAAGTTTAAAAAGAATATGCACTCTGTGCTTTTTAGAAACCAGAGTTTGTAACAGTCTTTGCTGGAAATAAGCAAAGAAGCAGGAGACATAGGATGATTTTGCTGTATGTTTATTCAACACTACAATGCCAGTTCTGGAATTATTCTATTGAATCTTTTTCTCTTATTTGCTGGACTGTGTCCTCTCAGGAAGTAAACAAGTAGACTTCAAGAGTCCCTTAAATTTTGGATTAGAGGTAGCAGTAGTAATAAAATAGGGAGCTTTTGTTGAGAACTCTTTCCTGCCCAATCACCTGTGGCATATAAGACGGCACCACAAATCAGATGTGGCCCTGTGTATTCTTTCTCATATTTTCTTTCTCGTAGTTTTCAGGGTCATTCTCAGAAACCTGGAGAGTGATGATGGATAGATTCCAGCCCACTGTCACTCTGGGTGGGTCCTTTCAAAACATCAAAATGTGATTTTGCTGTCATTTGAGTGTCAATTTCTTTTCTCTCAAGAGTATTTACCAAGAACATCACTGGAAAGAGTTTGTCTTATACCCATATTTTAAGCACGCAATGCAGGATCTTAGTATTTTTAAAGCCAAATAAAGCAAGGAAGACATAAGTCAATAGAGAAATTGAAACATAGAATCTAGATTTGTTGCTTAAATCTGATTCAAGAGCTTATGCAATCCTTAGAATGGGACTATTTCTATAGAATCACAGTGAGTTTGACATAAATATAAAGGAGAGAGGGTTTAGGTATAACAAACCTTGTTGTGTTCTAAACTAGAACATTTTTATCCAAACTAGATGTTAGTTTACTTTTATACTAGAGAAAAAACATGAAACTATGTAGCAACAAAATATTGAAATATTTTGACTTACGCCACATCTTTTTAAACTTTATAATTTTATTTTTTTGGGTGTTTCACTGGTGTGTTTAGGTGCCCTCACAACATATTTTGTGGAATAAACTTATACTACCTCTTGGCCCATCGTTACTTTTAATGAGAGTTTTGTGAAGCACAACTTTACAGTGGGTTTGGCTTTCTATTTCTATGATTCCTGGTGAATTTTAGGGCCACAAATTCAATAACAAAGTTGTTAAAGTATTCATTTAGTTTAGTATTCTCCCACAAACCTCACTGTAGCCTAACTCTCTTCCTTGAGTTAAGAATGGAGGATCCTTTGTGTGTCTTAAAGTGCTGACAGTTTCCCTTGGAAATTCTGTTGGTTTGGGGCACCCTGGTTACTCCAAAGTAGGTGGGATGATGCCAGATGAGGACTTTACTGTCAAGAGAATCCAGTTGTTATTGCTTCCTTCTTATCCACTTTGCTTACCAAGTAAGCACAGCATTGTGTTTTCTGAGTCTCTCACAGAGGCTCGAGCAAAGGAGCTTCAGTCTCTCTAGTTCTTTGGCACCATCGATTCTGATGACTCAGATACTTGTCCAGATGGAATCATTGGAATCTTCTCTACATAATGACACTGTGGTGCTCTCTTTTGGAGGACCATGAAATTGTTCCAAAATTAAACCTGTTGTTTAGCTTTGGTTGCATGGACAGAGACTATGATGATTAATTTTAAATGTCCACTTGACTGAATTAATGAATACCTAGGAAAGTGGTAAAGCATTATTTTGGGGCTTTCCTATGAGGATGTTTCCAGAGGAGATTGGCATGTGAGTTTGAGTGGACTAAGTAGTGAGGATCTACCTTAAAGTTGGGTAGGTAGCATCTAATGTGTTGGAGCCTTGGATGAATAAAAACAGAAGAAAGGCAAATTGGTCTCTGTCTCTCCTGGAGCTGGGACACTCTTCTCCTGCCCTCAGACACTAGGACCCCAGGTCCTCCATCCTTGCAATTCTTGGACTTACACCAGTGGCCCTCATGAGTTCGAAGGCCTTTGGCTTTGAATTAAGAATTATACTATTGGCTCCTCTGATTTAGAGGTGTTTGGACTTGGACTGAGCCATGCTACCAGTATCACAGAGTCTCCAGCTTACAGGTGGCCTGGGTCTTGGGACTTAGCCTCCCTCATCATCTGAGCCAATTCCCCTAATAACCTCATATTCATTCATATTTTTTTTCTCTCTCTCTCATCTATCTATCTACTGTTAGTTCTGTCCCTCTGGAGAACACTAATACAGAAATCATCATTTACTCAAATTGTTTCAAGAACAAGAAGAAAAAAAGAATACTTAAAGATTCATGTGGCCTAAAATTTTAGTGAAACATTCAGGCTTCTCTCTTGACCGTCTGCTTTATCTCTCACACATACACATCTGTGATGGAAGCTTTGCTTTTCTACGAATCTTCATTATACACTTCCTACTAACTGGTTTGGCTCTGGTCCCTTATACTGTTAGTTTGCTTCAAATCTTATGTTTCCAACTCTAAATATGATTTTATCTCCCCCAAATAACAGTTTAAGTTCTTTTGGGTTTTCTAGAAACCATTTCTTGAGAAGCCCTGTTTCATTTTATTTTAAATAACAGGTCCTTTCAAAGATCACTTGCTAAGTATGAATTATTTGCCTTTGGTTCATGTTTGCGCCTCTGGTCAAATCATTTCTGCAGGGGTCTTATAGTAAATACTGCACCTAAGAACTATGAGCATTACATTTCTTTGTGGAAAAGGCTGTGGGCAGGGCCCACAATGACTAACCACCTGTGTATCTGATATGCAATCCTTAGAATGGGACAATTTCTATAGAATCACAATGAGTCAGACATACACCTTGTTTCATTCTAAACTAGAACATTTTTATCCAGTAACTAAAGTAGATGTTAGTTTGCTTTTAAACTAAAGAAAAAACATGAAACTATAAAGCAACAAAATATTGAAATATTTAGACTTATGCCACATCTTTTCAAACTTTATAATTTTATCTTTTTGAGTATTCAATGCCACCAGACTGAAGCCTGCATATTTCTCTGAGGTGCTCTCTGAGGTTAGTTTCCTGCTAGTGTGGCTATGTGGAGTGTGATGTTCTTATAATCGACCTAAATATAGTTTAGTTAAAGGAGAACATATGGTCTTTCAGTGTTGCTCAAGGCATGATTTCACTGGACTAATTTCAATCAGGTACTTTGTTTTCAGTGCGGCACTTAACAGAATCATAGGCAGTCTGAGCTAGGAGTGGCCTTACATCGTCTACTCCAAATCAAGTCCAACCCCTTTATATTTATAGAAAATAATTTGGCCGAATACAGGTAATCTGTGTGGGTGAAAATAAGCTTGCTGAATTGCAGGGCGAGTCTTTTTTCAACGTCCCATGCTATTTTCGGGATAGATATAACATATAGCTTTAAAATTGATATTCATCCTAAGTCCTTCAAATACAGGTAAATAAAATAGAGCAGATTATGTGACACTAACTGTAAATGTCCTGAGAATGGTAGAAACCTCTGTTGACTATAACTGGTTCTAAACCAAGATGGTGGAATTTTATTTTCTCAAATGTTTTCAGCATTTAAAATTTCCCTTGTATGTCTCTCTTAAGGTCCCAATTTCCTCGAATAAATAGGCAAACAAGAACTAATAATGTATTTTCTTTAGCTACATTCTCCCTCCTGATGCTATGATTTTTAAAAATCTCATGCTTTCTGCAAATATTTTAAATGATAAATTTTTACACAAGGCCCCAAAATAGCAGCTTATGTGCAGATGCATAAAGAGAAGGCTGTATTTTGTATGTAAACTATGTTAATGCAATGAGGAGACCATTTTTTGTTTCTTTTCACAGCATTATGACCTCCTAACTGTGGTTCTGTTATTTTGTATGTGTGCAAATCTCCAAACTTGATGCTTTGATCAAGCAATATGTCATCAAATATCCCTTACATAATGCATAAAAGAAAGTTTTCATTCTTAGCAAAAAAAAAAAAAAAAATTCTCATTTCAACAGAATAAATATTTATTGAATCAGTGCCAAAATGTTCAGTGAAGAACTGAGTACCCTGCTGGTACTTGAGGTCTATGTCAACTACAGTTTGATGGAGGGCTTTTTCTTTGGTCCTTAAATGGGTAGTATTTTCTAAAGCTAGAGACTTTTATCTGCCTCCAAGTCAGTACTGAGTGCAGTGTTTGATATCTTTGCATTTGTAACCTGACCCATTTACTGAGCAATGCAACAGGGATTTGATCATGGATAAGAATTCCAAGTTAACAAATGCAAGGGGATTATGGAATTAGAAAAAAATTATAATTTTAAAAGCCTTTAAAATATTGACCCTTGACAATATAAGTCTATGAATTTAAAACTGTTTTGATGAAATTCGAACACAGAGTAATTAATGCATCAGGTTGCCAATTCTGATGCATCACATCAATCTACTAATTTGGGATTACCAGACATTATGTGCATTCTAATCAATAACTCTGGACATGGAGAGCATCACCTATGAAAGTTTTGCAAAAATAATTGAACCTAAATCTAATTAAGCTTCTACACCTAGCTACCAGTTCTACATAAATGTCATGAGAAAATTAGAAAAGGGGGAGGAGCCATTGTACTTTAAAAGAAACAATATACATAACAACCCATTGAAAGGGATATACGTTGTTAGGATTTAAATTCAAATATGACTATAAAAGAATATTTTTGAGATAATCAAGGAAAAATAGACAAGTATTAGATTTCATTTAGAGGTATTAATTTTGTTAAGTGTGATAATCTTATAACTATTTTAAGATATCTGTTAGCAATACATACTGATAAACTTATGAGTAAAATGATATAATATTTGGGACTTACTTTAAAGCTGTTCAGTAATAAAAGAAAATGTGGGAGGGCAGGAGCAGTCATGAATGGCAAGTTGTAATTAATTTTTGAAGCTGGATGATGGGTCTATGGGAGATTATTACACTCATCTCTATTTTTGTGTGTGTTTCAGAGTTTTCAAAGTAAGAAAATTACAAAACAAGCTAACAGAGGTTTGTCTTCTTCCTAGAGTGGGCAAGATCTTTAGAACCACAACTCAGGTTTGACTTGGTAAGAAAAAATGATATTCTGTAGGTTCCCACACTACTCAACACTGAAGGCTGACAACTTATTTATTAGGAGAGGGATACCTACGGTATTACTTTGGTCTATTACTGGTTGTGTGTCTATGGGCATTCACCTCTGTCAGCCATTAGAGTTATCATTTGTGATGTGAAAATAATAGTACCCATAGTATATGATTGTAATGAGGTTTAAATATGACAATGTATGTAAAATAGTTGGTACAATGCCCAGCATTCATTCACTCCTCAATAAAGTGGAGCTGTTACTGTCTTTACCTCACTTAACAAAGATCAATTGAGTGCCAGTTATGTGCCAGAACCTGTGCAATATCCACAGGATTTTATGACAAAAAAGATACACTTCTCCCCATGAATGGTTCTTAATTTATTTAAAAAATTGACTCAGAAGAGATTGATGTTTTGTTGATATAAAACTGTTAAATATCAGCAGTTTCATGCAGTTCAACTTGGTAACTAAAGTGAGATATGATAATGGAGGCAGCATAGTTAAGATGATAGATTCTAGCACTAGACCTTTTGGACTTGAAACCTGGCTCTGGCATGAATAAGCTGCGTGATCCTGGGCAAAGTCATCTTTTTGTGCGTTAGTGTCATTGTGAAGTGAGGGATAGAATAGTACTTACCTTATAGGATTGTTATGAAGACGGCACATAACATACACAGCACAGTAATTAGTAAATAATGAGCCTTGTATACTATAGTAATCAGCATATGTAGAAAGTGATGTGCGAAGGCACCCAATTGTGGGAAGTGCAGATAATCATATTGGGTGTTGGGGGTTTTTACTGAGGGGATCATAGAAGTTTTCACAGAGAAAGTATGACATTTGAGATTCAACAGGAAGAAGGAGTTATGCAGGCAAAGATTACTCTAAGTACAACTTAGACAAAGGACCTGGAATGTACAAAGGTCTGGAAGTGGGAGGGAAGAGTTTCAGGAGCAGAGAGAAGTGGAGTAGGGTTAGAGTTTAAAATGTGGGTCTTTGGAATGGAAAGGAACAGGGCATGATACAGTCATGGTAGATTGGGTGGTTTATATTTTGATAATTTGGTAGGCAAAAGAGTCATAAGGAGATCTTAACCAAGAGAACAATAGCAGTATTGTGATGAATTGCAATTGAGGGAAGACTTCTTGGGAGTTTATAAAAATAACCTACTCAGAAGGTGGTTTCTGTTATCAACAGAATCAGTATATATATGTCTGTCTATCTGTCTGTCTATCTAATCTAATCTAATCTAATCTAATCTAATCTAATCTAATCTAATCTAATCTAATCTAACTCTGGTTAGAAATGGGAATTCCTGGTCCCACTTAGAATTATGTGGTCCCACCTCACCCAGAATCTTTAACAAGATCTCCAGGTGAGCTATAGCATGTTGAAATTTGAAAAACACTGGCTTGACAATGTCATAGGAGAGTCTGGGCTAAGACAGGAATAGTGGGATGTAAAGGAGGGTGTGAGGACCACTCCCAGATATATTTAAGAAGTGGAACTGAAAAGATTTGACTGATATGGTATGGGGATAGTGGGTAGTAAAGAGGATGCCCATCGAGAATATGTCTGTGATTACTTATTAGGGTTTCTTTGTGGATGGCAATGGGAAACACAGGAAAAGGGGAAATTTGGGGGGAACAGAGGTGGGAAAAAGAACTCATTTTATTGCATATTAAGCAGCCTGTAGGACATGGAAGATCCATAAGAAATGGATTGAGGAAAAAGGAGTCACTTTATAATGAGGAAAATCTTAAGAAAGCGGTTATCTTAATGTCAAGGAAGAGTCCCAAAAGGACAAATGCTAGACATATCCCTCTCTACTGTTCTTCTACAACAGAACAAGGACAAATTAGAATTGGTTCTCTAGTAAGCATTAACTACTCTGAAAAATTTTGAGCTTGTAAAGTCAAAGATCTCTGGTTCCTCTGTCAAGTATAAATGCATAAAAATAAAACCGTAAGACACAACAAAGCTTGGTAATTTGTACGTAATTCTCCTCCATAGACTTGGCAGGAATTCAAGCTCTGGAATTGGAGAGGTTAAGGAGTCCTAGTGATTCCTTGGCATCATTGTTGGTGGACTTGTTAAAAAAAAAAAAAAACACTTGGTTTGGAAGGATGTGAATAATTTAGATATCTGAATTCACTATCTGCTGAGTTGAAATGAAATGCTACCAAGGGGTAGGCTTGAAAGGTTATTTAGCCAGATTGTGGAATCTCTAAATATGCAATCACTCCCCAACTCAGAGTTGCCACATTTAGCAAAAAACAGGACACCCAGTTAAATCTGAATCTTAGATGAACACAAATAATTTTTTAGTATGTCTTAAATAATGCATGGAATATACATATATTTTAAAAAGAATCATTATCTGAAATTCAAAATTAAGTAGATGTCATATATTTTATCTGGATACTTCCTCCAATGCCCTAATTATATTAAATAATTGCAATATATATATTGCAGATATAATGAAAATAGCAAATAATGTTTAAGGGCTAAGCTGAGAATTTTGTAAAACATTATGTAGAAATTTAAAGCAGTGATTAATACAAACATGTATATATTCAATTTGGAGAAAAAGAAACAGAACAAGCTTGCTGGAAAAATTATGCCATGATTTTTCTTCCTGTGCTTATGATAAAATTACTGACTTATTTTTTAAACCCTGCATACGTTTTAGCACCTCATTCTATAATCATAATACAGCATTTAGTGGCAAGACAGTCTATTATTAAGGTGTAAGGTATCAAACAAACAGTAGACATAGAGCTGTGAAGGTAAAGCCTGATGCTTATTTTTTTAAAGCAGACTCTGATATTAAGCAGATGTGCTTGTAGTGAACAAGGCAATGTTGAAAAATCAAACTCTATTGCAGGTAGCATCTAATACATAATGGAAACCTCCTTTTCGGTTGGATCTGTTTTTTAAAATTTTAAGACTTGGGTATATATTAGTTTTTTTTCAATTAAATTCAACAAATATATCAAACAGAATATGCAATTAAAAATAGTTGGAAGTAAGAAATATTATGAGGCCACAGAGAAATAAGGAATTACTTCCATCAAGGGTCATTTGAGAAGGTCTTACAGAGGGCAGCATGAGAGCATCTTCTTAAAATACAGGATTTGAAAAAACCTCAGTATGTTATTTTTTTTCTGATTAAAAGTAATACATGCAGGAATTTTGTAGAGGGGAGTTTAAAAAAGCAGCAGAAAACAATTACCCTGAATCTCAAGACCTAGAAATACTGATATTGTTTTGATATATTTCCATCCAGTCTTTCTCTGAGTTTTTTTTTTTTTACCCAGTTAAGATCATACTGTGTACATGCAATTTTCTGTCCTGCTATTTCACTTAACAAATGTCTTAAACATTTCTCCTTGTCATTAAAAACTCTCTGTTCACATCATTTAAACCAATCATACATTATATTGGTGAGTAGTGATTTTCAATATAATTGTCTAACTTTGGGTTTTTATGTACTGATAAGGTTTTTAAGCAACTGTTTTACATTTAAATAAATTTATATCTCTATTTCTGAGTCTTAGAAGTAAATTTTGGGAATTAAGGGTATAAAACGACATGAATGGTCTTGACATACATACTACCGAACTACTTTATAAATAGATTATCCCAATTTAGACTTGAAGAGTCAACAGATAGAGACAGGAAACAAAAGAGCACTATAGGGCATAGGTGGGGAAGTGTAGTATGTATTTGGCAACAAGGAACAGTTGGAATATTTTGGAGCATAATGCATGAGTGATGGATAGGTACAAACAGCCTGAAAAGGCACTTTAGAACCAGGTTATGGAAGCTCTTAAATGCCAAACTAATGCAATGAGCTTTCTTTTTGCAGGGAGTTGTGAGCCATGGAAGGCTTCTGAGTAGGAGAATGCCATGACTTTAGAACTTTCTTCCAGTTAATTATAGGTTATTAAATGTCTCTGAACTTTTGGATCATGACCAAATAATATTTAAGGTCATCAGCTATCAAAATTTGAATGTCTGGAAATAAACTATGCCATTGGCTCCTGATGTTTAAAGACATCATTGACATTTACCTTATTGAACATAAATTGATTTTTACACACTTCTGTCAGTGACTACATAAAGCTCCTGGAAGGTAAAAAGTGCTAGGTCAATTCTATGTCATGGAAACCTTTAAAGGTGTACTCTGGTGGTATACAGAACTGTGAGTGTCATAAAGATTTATTGAGGATTTAAGATGTTCTTAGGACCTTCTAGCTTAATGATGTGCCCTGTAAGTGTTCAGGCTCTGAGCAGGACCAGAAGAGCAAAAATGGTATAAAAAGGCTATTCAGGTACATATTGTCTATTTAAAATCTGTACACGGTTTGCACCTTTTCCCTAAGTGTTCTGTTTGTCTATGACATGAAATATTCATCTGAAAAGCTAAATAAAATACTCAAATTTATTTTATATTTTCTAGGCAAAACTGTTTTTTTAAATTTTCAAAATTAAAAACATTTTTTTAAGAGATGGGGTCTTTCTATGTTGCCCAGGCTTGTCTCCAGCTCCTGGGCTCCAGCGATCCTCCTGCCTCAGCCTCCCAAGTAGCTGGGACTCTGACTCGAACTGACTTTATTTTATTTTCTCTCATCACATAGATGTTTTTATGGAGCCATTACAGATTCAGTTTAAGATTGCTCAGTCTAGTCAATAGGTTGTCTCTTTCTGAAGGAAAAAGATGGAATCTGTTAACTTCTTTCACATGAGTGCATACCCACAAAAAGGAAGATGGAACCCCAGATGGAGAAGGAAGGCCAAACAACACCACAGGTTGTTTTCCTGGTGTCTGCATCACATGTACTTAGTGGGTGGGACAATGAAAGCTTCCAAATTTAGAATCTATTTAAACATTGAAGGTTCTGTGTTTCAAATTCAACTTGATCTTGTTCAGCCTTGGATTCCGTCTCCTGCTGTCACAACATCCCTTCTCAATTCGAAAGGGAAGAAAAGAGATTCATAGGACCTCAAATAGAGTTTCTCTGGCATGGCTGTGCATCAAGTGTAAATGAATCAGAAAACTGAGCATTAACTTTTACTTGAAATAGATAAGACTTTAAAAAATAGGGATAAAAATGCACTGATGGTTTGAAATAGCAATTCAAGTAGTTTTATGGCACTTACCACCAGACATGCTTGGTTAAGAGAGTGAGGTACTCCTTCGACATTATAGCATTCGTCGGAGACGTTCTGTTAAATCTAAAATGTAAATAGCTTCTCCCTTTTATATTATGTTTGACTCTGACATTAATGCTGTATCCTTTAAGTGACTAAAAGAGTATTTCTGACTAAGCCTTCTAATTTTGTCATAAAACTTTGCTCAGAATGAATTTTTGCTTAAAAGGCCAACTCTAATCCATTTTTCTTTTGGCCAATTTAAAGCAAATAAATCAGGTCAGTTCTCTTTATGACACAAAAGGGAAAAATGATAAGTTTTCTTACTTCATACTCTTTTATTTTTGAATTTCTACAACTAAAATGTCTCTTTTTCTCCTTTAAGTACAAGCTGACAGGTCATTAATCCTTAATGTGAATTTATACCTCTGGGTATTTTGGGAAGAAAACTCATTAAAATTCTTTTGTTTTATATGTGACTGTCCTAATAGAAATTTGGAGTTCATGTTTAGAATTTGTTTCAATGAATAGAAAGCATAGAAATTCTTTTAAAAGAGTTGAAGTATATGAAATTACTTCTACCTACAGTCAATGCTGTTGCTCTGATCTTAAAAGTCTGCTGCTAACTTTTCTGCAGAAAGAACATAAGTTCTGTAAGCTCCATATTTTCAATGTGAATAGATTTATTCCATTTGAATTATCTGGATAGGCCTATGCACTTAATATAATTTTCTATAATGTTTCCTGTTTTTCTGTGAAGCACTGTTTTATTTTTCTTTAATTCTACCAAAAGGTGAGGCATTGGGCAATGATCTTTTTTTTTTTTAAATAAGCTCTTACTTGGTCAAAGTTAGCTAGCTATGGCTTATGTATAGGCCCATTTTATGGATACTGGTGGATATATTCTGCAGCCTGTTGCTGGATCATAGTTTCCCATTATTTCCTCTCTCTCCAGTTTCTTCCTTCTTTATAGAGTGCTTGAAAGCCTTCTAAATGAAAAAGAACTGCTATCAACAAACTTATATTTCAAGATTATTAGAGAGATTTTATCATCTGTAAAAACTTCCCATCTCAATAGGGGATGGGTATACCTGCTTCTCTGATTGTCCAGAATAGCTTCTATCTCTTTTTATTCTAGCCACTGATAACAACACAAGAACTGATGAAGAGAGATATGCCTTTTATTTGCTTTCTTTTTCTTAAGCAAGTATATCAAACTCTTCCATGGTCTTAACTGTATTCTAGGCATATGTTTGAAAACTCCATTCATTTCATGTTTCCATACTTAGCAAACATCAACTATGCCTTGAACACTGTGTTGGGCACTGGGAGCACAATAATGACCAAAGTAGTCATCATCCATGCCCTTTGGGGTAGGAGTGAGGAGAATGTGGCAATCAATGCTATCTGACTTGTTCCACAGGGAATAAAAGTGACAGCTGCGATAAGTGGTATTAAGGACAGACATGGTGCTATCATGTGTATAATAGGAAGAACTAATTTCTACTGAAGCGCAAGGAAACCTTTCTTGAAGTACGTTTGAATGAAAGGATGTACTGAGGGACATTCTAGACAATGTAGCTTATGGAAGAAAGTGGTGAATGACTGTAATGTAGGACTGAAGGAAGGCTGCAGCCTTCTTTCACACGTAGGCTTAGGAGGGGTCTTGTGAGGTGAGGTGGGAAAGTTATATTGGGACCAGATCGTACATGACTTTGTGGAACAGACAGTAGAAAAAAAGGATCTAGGAGATAGTGATTTATTAGATAAGAGAGGTGAGGGAGAGAGATGTGATAGGATAAGTACCATGTTTTTGACTTGTTCCTTGTACTGATGATGGTTGTTCTTCATTGAAATGTTGCTTTTCTCTTGAGTTCATTAGATTATAAACTCCTATAGGGTCAGAGTTATGTTTCCAGATGAACTAGTAATCTTGAATATTAAAGTAATCAATTCTGGTCTGCAAAATTCTCTTTTTACTCTGAATGGCCTTTACTCTTTTATGGTGAAAATTTACAAATATTTACTCAAGCATCTGAGTTCCTTTAGAAACAAGGCCAAAGAAAATGCAAATAATGTTATTATTATAACTTTGAAATAATGTTATTATTAGAACATTTGAAATGATAATAATATTAATACTGTATTAGTCAGGAATTCTAAAAGCTCAAATCCTCCCTGTATTGTTTAATGTATTTGCATAACATTCACGGGAGTATCTAAATTGTGAATTTCCATTACAAGGATAATGCAAAAAAGATTGACTTTGGCAGTTTCTAATCCTCTTATCGTTTCTTTTAATATAAGTGATAAAGTTTATTTATCTATACATTTTATTCAGAGCTATGCTAGTGGATCAAGTAAGACTGCATTCAGAAACCTGGGAATTGTTGCAGGGGTATGTGTCTTCTCCCACTATCACTAACCTTCTCCTCAAAACCAGGAGAGTAACAATCTTCTTTGCTGTGGTGATTGGGGAATATGTATGTGTAGTTTCATTACTTGCTTCAGTATTCCTTGTTTTTGTTTGTTTGTTTGTTTACTGTTTACATCAAAAACTACCATTTGTTCCTTGGGCCACCCTTTCATCTATTGATCTATGATTCCAGCCATAGTTCCCTTCAAACATTTATTATCAATTACACACTGTGCATGAGGCACTGTACTAGTGACTCTGGACAGAGAAAATGACATCATCTGTGGAAGCCAGCTTGAAGGCTTCCAGTGCTCCTTACCGCCTGATACTGTGCCCTTGTGTAGTCTCCTTCCACAGTGAGTCAAGGCTTGCCTGTGTAACTGAACAAGTATTACGGAGGTGATGATGTGTGATTTTCAAGGCTTGGTTTCAAAGGGCATTGGGTCTTCCATCTTGTTTCCTTGAATCACTTGCTCCTTGAATCACTTGAGAGAGGCTTATTTGAAGAGGGACTGAGGCTACTTATCGTACCAAATTGTGAGCCACATGAGTGAGCAGACACCTTAGAAGTGGATCATCCAGCCCTATGCAAGCCTTCAGATGACTGCAGTCCCAGCGGACCTCAGACAGAAACCTCACGAAATACTCTGAGCCAGAAATATCTAACCACACTACTTTTACATTTTTTCCCCATCAAAACGTTGAAAGATAATCAATGTTTCTTATTGTTTTAAGCCACTAACTTTTGGGGCGATTTGTTACACTGCAGTAGACTCCAACACTGGTTCCTACCTGAAGGTATTATTCTCCCTTCTATAACGGAGGAGGGTAGCATGGAGCTACTTGATTTACAAAGGGCTTTCATCCTGATAAACCCATTGTAAGTTGAAAATACTGTAAGATGAAAAGGTCAAATTCAAAATTTGAAGTACAGTTTCCATTGAATGTGTCTCCCTTTTGCATGATTGTAACTTTGAAAAATCCTAAATCAAATCATCGTTAAGTCAGGGACTGTCTATATTCACATCTCAGCCATGTCCCAAACAATAATAAAGTTCAACTATAGCCTCAGCAAATAGACAGTTACAATTCGAGCTTTTCAGAATTCATGCCATAGATAATAGTAGTGACTTAGAATTTTCTAGCAATTTGCAATTTACTTTTGCAGTTCACCAAGTACTTTCATACAATAACTATAGTCCTCTGAAAGCAGAGCAGATTTTATAGATAAGGAGTTAACAAATCTGTATTGAGTAACTACTGCAGGCTGGTCATGAACTAGGTACTGAGGTCATAGCAGAAATAAAGACGGACAAAGTCTCTGTTTTCACTGAAGAGGGGAGGAACACTTAAATGGTTACCAGAGCATGCTTGCTGCCAAGGATCAGGCATAAGTTGCTATGGAAACATAAAACAGGGGGAAGCCAAAGTAATATAAGGACCAAGAAAGGCTTCTCTGAAAGCATTTTAGTTCAGTTGAGCCTTACAAGATTGCAGGAGTTATCAAATGGAAGAAGTGTGGTAGGTAAAGATGAGGCAGAATATTCTAGGCATATTAAAGCCTGAGTCAGGATACAACATGTGTTGTTTGAAAACCTGAAAGAACTCAGGTATGGATGGAGCAGGACAAGGAAGAGGACACTTGGTGCTAGATGATGCTAGAGAAGCAGGCAGAGGCCAGGTACTCATCACCTTAGACCACTCAGTACCACATGTTTGTGAAAGTTAAAGGGAGAAACGTGAAGTGCAAGGCTGCGTGTGGCTGATCTAGAACTTGAACTCAGATTTTCTTTCCAATCCTTTCATCTTTTAGTACTCACTATTTCTTTATTAGAGTATCCTTGACAGATAGAGAGCGAGCAACCAAATACCTGCTTTAAAAGAGAGGAATAAAACAGATTCAGTGATGGCAAAGACAAGACTTACCTAAAATTATAACTCATTTGTGGTAGAGTAAGGAACTTCGCTATTAATCTAAGATTCATGGAATTCAAGTTTTTTTTGTTTTTTTTTTTTGTTTTGTTTTTCTGAGACAGAGTTTTCACACTGGTTGCCCAGGCTAGAGTGCAATGGTGTGATCTTGGCTCACTGAAACCTTTGCCTCCCAGGTTCAAGCAATTCTCCTGCTTCAGTCTCCTGAGCAGCTGGAATTACAGGCATGCACCACCATGCCCAGCTAATTTTGTGTTTTTAGCAGAGACGGGGTTTCTCCATGTTGGTCAGACTGGTCTCAAACTCCTGACCTCAGATGATCCGCCCACCTCAGACTCCCAAAGTGCTGGGATTATAGGCGTGAGCCACCACGCCTGGCCGGAATTCAAGTTTTATGACACAAAATTCAGAATGTAATTTGTTTTATCCACTTGGTTTCATTTAAATCACATGATTGTTCCACTTGATTGCCAGAAGCATCTTTGGCAGTGTTGCAGAGCATAGATCACAGGGGCTATCAGAGACCTTGAAGGATGGTCCAGCTATAGCCATCCCTATTAAATCCATTGGGGGGCATCTAGGGATCATCTAGAAGCGGGTCAGGCATTTGTCTGCATTGAATGCCTCTGGCTTCAGACCTACAGAGAAAAAGCAAAGTCTTTACATAAAAAACGGTTGATGTATTTGTTATCAGAAACAGTGAGTGGAGAGAGATGGGAAGAGTCTGTGCCATTCCACAACTACTTTTGGCCAAGAACTAAAAAGCATAAAATGGGCAGTGGCTGTTAGTTAAGGAGAACAAAGTAGGCTGAGGCCCTGAGGCCTGCTTCACTGGGGAACGGGCATGTAAGGATATGGACGGGACTTATGACCTTCCATGTAAGAGAACAGAAGGAAGGTAGCTTATGCAGCATTTATATGCCGAATCAAGAATGGGTATGGGCAAAGGATAATGCTGATTGAATATGGAGTTTAGAGGAGATAGTCACAGGCTGCTATTGTTAAAAGTTTATACTTCCACTGCCTATGACACCTTGAAAGATTGAAAATAAAGGCAAGAAGAGAGACAGGATGTTACTAACATCCACTTACTCTTGGCAGAAAAAGATTAGGAAACCAAGAATTCTTGAATTACTAACCAGAGACTGCTTCCTCAGGCAAGAAGAAGCTATTACTCTGCTTGGAGATTAGGGGGCTGAGAATGGGAGAGAGGCTGATCCTTGGAAAATTGCAAAGCTGCTGAAGAGGCAGCAGCTGAACATATTTTCCTTTTATTTTTGAATGTTTCAATGTCTGAAGAAAAAGATATCAGTCATAGTACTGACTGGCAGTGATCCAGAAAAACCTCTGGAGAGCTTAGAATTCTGATTGGCACTTGAGTGAAGTTCCCTGACACCCAAGCTGAATCTGCGGCATTCATGCAGGCTGAGTTGTGTTGGTCACTTTTTTTTTTCTTCTTATGCAGAGGGAAAAAAAGTAGTTTCTGGGGCCTGTTAGGCTTAAATTCCTTCCAGAGCAATTAGGGCACCTGCTTTCTTCAAATCTCTGTCCTTCTATCAGTGAAATATTTTAACATCTGGAACTTGGCAGATGGAATTGTTCTTATATTCTTAACATTTTCCTTTTTATTTGGATTTTTAAAAACATAACCATCAATTCTTCTAGTCCTCTAGTGTTTCTGAATGAGTGCTCATCCCTGAGAAATGCTAAATCCCTGAGCAAGAAAGGGAGTTACAATCAAGGACCAAATGGGAGTACATTACATTCACCTTCCACCTCTACCATTCTAGAAATCTTTGGTCTACAATCCTAGAATTTTCAGGTTTATTGAAATTTTCCCCAGAGGGGTTAGGATGGAAGAGAAAGCCATTCTCTTTCTCATTCCTGTTCTTCCTTTTTTTAAAAATATATACTTATTAAAGACATCTATGTATCAGGCATTGGGGAAATAATATGTATTAGTCCATTCTTGCATTGCTATGAAGAACTACCTGAGACTGGGTAATTTATAAAGAAAAGATGTTGAATTGGCTCATAGTTCCACAGGCTGTACAGGAAGCCATGGCTAGGGTGGCTTCGGAAACTTACAATCATGACGGAAAGCAAAGGGGAAGCAGGCACATCTTACATGGCTGGAGCAGGAGGAAGAGAGAGAATGGGGGAAGTGCCACACAGTTTTTAACAACCAGATCATGTGAGAGCTCACTCACTGTCATGGAACAGCAAGGGGAAAATCTGCCCCCAGGATCCAATCACCTCTCACCAGGCCCCTCCTCCAACATCAGGGATTACAGTTCGACGTGAGATTTGAGTGGGGATACAAATCCAAACCATATCCTAATGATTAGCACAACATGCTGGAGTCTTCACAGAGCTTAGAGTGTAGAAAGAAACACACATATGAAACAGAGCTTTTATAGTCCAGTGTGATAGGAGCCAAAATAGGAAATTGTAGGTAACTAGGGGACAAAGTAGCGATATTCAGCTTATTTGGGAGGGAGAGTACAGGAGGTCAAAAAGGACTCCCCAGAGAAATTGCCATTTAAACAAAGTAATAGTGTCATGGGCTCCTTGGGGTGTTGCTTTGCTAGCCAGAAACCTCTGTGGCCAGTTGCATCTTCTGCCCCTGCTGCCTCTGCTTGTGCTACCAGCCCAGATCCTATACCTGCCAAGGGCGAGACAGGTGCAGAGTGGTGAGGGGTGTGTGGGTGAGCAAGTGCTGGGTCTGGCGTCTGCACATAGCCAGGCATACTGGCTGCTGTGGCAGGGTGGGCAGCTCCGGGCACCAGCACAGGTGCTGGCTCTGTGACAGGCTGTTGCTGGATCAGATGTACTGCACGCAGCTTCCACTGTGGGCACTGGCATCTGGATGAGGGGAACCCAGTGGCACTGGGAAGCTTGTAGATGCCGGGAATCACAGAGCCCCAAAGACAGTGTCATAGCCCTGGCTCTGAGAGCCTCCAGGTCTGGTTGCCTTCTCATTGACCACAGTATGGTGAGTGGGGTCTGTGTTTCAGCCCTGTTTGCGTTATAGCTCTTTCAGTCCTGCCATTTGGCAGGTCCTGAGTTCTTGTCCTGTGACCAGGAAGAATGAGGTATGTGCACACCCAACTGGAGGGCGAGCAAGGTGGAGAGGAGCTTCACTGAGTGATAGAATAGCTCGCAGGAGACTTGGAGCATGTAGCTCCTTTCTTCAAGCAGGTTGTCCCGACGAGTGTCCAGCTCTCAGCAGAGAGGAGACCTGCAGTGGGTAGCTCTGCAGTGGGTAGCTCCTTTCTGCAGGAAGGTTATCCTGGTGACCCGAAGTGGGTTGCTTCTTCCTGTAGCTGGTAGTTCAGACAACTGTGTGAGTCTGGCTGTGTCTAGGGGGTTTTTATGGGCTCAGAAGGGAGGAAGTGCATGCTGATTGGTCCATGGGCCCCACAGGTGGGCCAGAAAAAGCACTATGAGTAAATTCTCACTCTGGGTGCTAACTCCACCTGGAACTGACAGTCCAGCCCCCATGCTTCAGGCTGTCCCTGGCTTGAAGGTGGAGCTTCACTAGGGACCCACCCCTTTCCACCCAGGAGCCTGTCAGCCTCCTGCTGCCATCAATTATGTTGTCAATGGCACCCAGGCTGTTCACGCTGAGGGGCAGCTGCAGGCCCACGCCAAGCCACCCTCAGCACCCCCTTGGCCTTCCTCCCATGCCTGTTGGCACCCAAAGTCTGAAGGGGGCCAAGGGGGCAGGTGGCTGGCATGTCAGCACCACCCTGAGTGTGCATACACTTGGCCGGGTTGTGACAGTGCCCAGGCTTGGTGACAGATCCCAGCTGTGCTTAGGGATCTGCTCAAGTATAGGCTGGATGCTTTCTTGCCCACAAGGATATAATGAGGACTCCCATCCTGACTTCTAAATTGTCTGCCAATCTGTATATCTATTATGACTTCCCAAAATAGGTACAGAGATCTGGCATTTCCCAACCATCTACTATAGGTAGACACGCATTGTAAAGTGCCTTCTGGGGTCTGGAATCAGAGTGTCTGAGTTTGAATCCTGGCACAGCCATTTATTAGCTATGTGACCTTAGGCAAGTTACATGGCCTCTCTATGCCTCAGTTTCCTTATCTATAGGTAAAATGTGGATAATAATAGTACCTGTATCATAAGATTATGTGAATTTTAAGTGAAGTAAGGTCAGTGCCTAACAGATTGTAAGCATTCAATGCATGTTTGCTATCATTATTATTATTATTACCCCATTATTACCCCCATCTTACAGTGGGAGAGACTGAGTTGCAGGGGGTTTAAGAAATGTGTTACACAGCACTTAGTGATAGAATCGAGGATGCCACTACCCTGGTGAAGGATGACATACTCTGCTTTTCTGGTAGAGAGAGCAGATATTGAACAGGGGCCGAGAGCAACAAGTGCAGCAACAGTGGTTCACAGACATTTGCCAGGTGGTCAGGACTTGAGAACTGACAAAGGTGAGAGGGCAGGTAGTCCCCTCCCATTCCCTCTTTATCTTTTGGAACTCCTCTGAGAGGTGGAGGAGAGGTAGGGTAGCAAGTTATTCTTTCATGCTACAGCCCGGTCATGGAGCTCTTTGTTGGATATGGAAGATGTAAAGTGGTGGTCAAGCTTCCAGTAGCTAATGGCATACAGTGAGAACACAGTTATCTGCATGGTCTCTCACAGAAAATTTAACATGGCTGAGCCTGTCAGTTCTCCCAAACTATTAATAAGTGTAAGCTAATTTTTCTTCAGATATTACTATGCATTGGATGCTGTTCTGTGTACTTTACAGATATTAACTCAATTAATATTCACAACACATTGGTGAGGTAAGTACTATTATTATCCTAATTTTATATACGATCAAACTGAGGCATGGAGAGGTGAAACAACTTGCTGAATCTTATAGAGCTGTAAAGTGGAATCAGGACTTGGCCCTAGATAGTCAGACTGTAGAGCCTGTAATCTTAACCTCCATACTTAGAACTTTCTTAACTGTGAAGATTAAAAGAGACTATTGAAACACCAATAACATTGTTCCCCAATCCCTGTAGGAGCACAGAATAGCTTAGTTTGCCTTCTTCCCCTACAGACTTGTCTTCCTCAACAAGAAAATAAAGCTTTAGTTTATTTAACAAATATGCATGCATATTTTTATTATATATAAGCTATTTAGGTTTCATAGGGGGATAAAAGATGAATAAGATTTCCTTTAAGAGGTCAAGATCTAATAAGCCAAGCTTTCTATAGAGACAAATACACACTCAGAGATCCAATACAAAATAAAGTATTAAATGGTATCACAGAGGGATAAAGTGATATGGAAATATGATCAGTACCATGGGTTTGGAGGACTTGTTCAAAAAACATTTGTGATTTATTAGATCCTTAACCACTGATTCCAAGTGGAATCTGGGGGATCGGAATGGAGATGGTTGTTAAGGTTTGAAGTTGTTTGTGTTCACCATTTAAACATCTAGTAATTTCACAATCCTTTTGTGTCCAAGGTATCCCATTTCAAATTATTACCTATCTCAGTGGCCTTTTCACATTATTCACAATCTTACATTACTTTGTACTATGTATCTTAAAACATTTCTGTCTCATTTAGACTGCTTAGACTGACCACATAGGAATTGCTTTGGTAACCAGGACTATCGATATCTCTTTCTGTGTTAAAAATTGACTTAAGGCCTCTCTACAGTTTAAAAAAAGTTGTCATTTTACATTTTGATTACTTTTCTATATTGGAGATGTCAGTAGTGTTCAAAGTCTGGAAACTGGCCTACCTAATATTTTTACTGCTCTCTTTTCATTGGGAAATATCAGTAATTTGGGGGACTTTCTCTAAAATTATTCTATGTCTGCAACATCTGGTAACATGAAATACTTCGTTTGCTTATAATTCTTTCTTCTGTGTTTTTAAAATATAAAGAGATGCCTCTTCTGTTTATTTGTGCCCTTGTAAAAAGGATCCAACCTGCTGACAGGTGCCCAGCTCTGCCTGTGGGGTCCAAATGAGGTATGCTTGCTCTGCCTGGGAGTGGGGAGTTCAACTGAAGCTTTGTGTTTTTGCTATAAACAATCCTTTATTATGGATCTTGAACTCTGGCTTTACTATAACGTAATTCTTAGAGAGTAGCTCAATTCTTTCAGTGTAACTTGATATAATCATTCATGGGTAAATCATAACCAGGATTACTGATGAAAGAGCCAGGGTTGGTAGAAAGAGTCGTAGGGACAGGGAAACTTGCCCCAGTCTTGCTGCTCTTACATTGAAGTGTCTCGTATCTAAGAGTCTTAAATATGTTTTATGAATCTATTTGCATCCTTGCACTCAATCTGGTAATATGATATGTTTTGGCTGGACTGTTTATATTTCAAGAAACTTTGTTTGTGTATTAAAATAAAAAAGATGAATGTGCATCACATATGTTGAAACATTTGCAATTAGTTGGTGCTACTCTCTTAAGTGATTGGGCAGGGCAGGCAGACAGCCAGCCTTGGCAATCTTTTCAGATTCTTTTTCATGCCAATTTGCAATTTGTGACAGTGCCACATTTTTATCGGGAGGGCTTTATTGAGCTTTGGAAAGAAGTACTTCTTGACCTGAATAGGTGGGTTCTTGGCTAGAACCCTAGAACTGTTTCTTCCTCTAATATTTTTCCATGGGAATGTTGGGGATAAAACATTATAGAAAGCTCAGTGTGGAACAGACATCGACCCTTTTACAAGTTATCATGGAGAGGTTTGCAATACAGTTTGCTGTAGAGATGGAGTGATAGTAACACAGAAAGTCTTGAACGATCTCATCATGAACACACCGTATCTATCTTAGTTGGTTAGATAAGAATGGAATCAATTGACTAAATCAAATGAAAATTTTAATCCAAAAACACTGAGGAACCTAAAATGCTGGAAATTCAAATCCCAAAACACGCTGTTTGGGATACTGTACTAGAACCTCATAGAACAGGAATGCAAGGGGAGAAGATTGTGGAGGGAGGTTGTATAAATGGGTTTGAGAATTTATTCCTGATCTCAAAGAGTAGGGAGTTTAGTATGGAATTCGATAATAATTCATAGAAACTTAATTAATAAAAGCCCATGTCATATGAACCAGTGCCAAATTGATTGCTGGTATGCAAGTAGAGACCACAGGATCTAAGAGGAAATGAGGACCCTGAATACTGTGATGGTCAGAGAAGTTTCCAAAGAAGACATGAGTTTTGTTCAGTCTTGAAGAGTAGAGCCAAATAGCCAAGGTAGAAAGGGGATTAAGGAACAGCATGACCAAAAATTCTGGGGGAAGGAATGGCATGTTAAGAGAATAATGAATATATATATATATATATATACACACACACACACATCGAGTAGAAACTTCACATACTGTAAGTTGGAGATTTATTTTAGGATAAAAGTAGTGATTTTCAAAACTTTTAACCTTTTGCATTCCAGTTGGAATAGCTCTAAGATTTTTCTTTGTGTTGGTTTTCTGTGTTGTTTTACATATTTGATAATGTGGAGTAAGGTATTTCAATTGATTTGAGTTGGGAATTTTAATGCATCAGACTATGAAGGAGAAAGTAAAACACCATGCAATACTCTATCCCTTAGAGAAAAGACTATTGTTGACATTAGGTAAATATTCCAGGCAATTCTCTTTGAATGCATAAAGATGGATACATAGATAATTATTAGATAATCATAAATAATAAAAATGGGATCATGCTATACCCGCTTATAAATTATATTCTCTATTATTTTCATGTAAAAATAGTGTCAAAATACAGTTAAGACTTTACATGTCAGAGAATTCAAAATGACATTTCATTTCCTAGTCATATCTCAGGCACCATGTTTCTCATAACCTTAATACCTTTGTGACATTTATTTGAAAATAGTGGCTGTGCAATCCTTTATTTTAAATTTCCTGGGTTCGTGTATATATCTCTAATTCTTATTCACAGTGCTGCATTTATTCAAGGGCAGATTTTTAAACTTTTTTTTTTTTTATAGAGGGGAATGGAGTGCAGTTTTGCTATGTTGCCCAGGCTGGAGTGCAGTGGCTATTTACTACAGTGATCAGGGTGCACTATAGGCACCAACTTTTGAGCTCAAGGGATTCTTCCCAATCGGCATCCAAAATAGCTGGGACTATAGGTGCATGCCACTGTTTCTGGCTTCAGGAGATAATCTTTTTAAAATTATACTTTAAGTTCTGGGATACATGTGCAGAACGTACAGGTTTGTTACATAGGCATACACGTGTCATGGTGGTTTGTTGCACCCATCAATCCGTCATCTACATTGGGTATTTCTCCTAATGATATCCCTCCCCTAGCCCCCAACCGCCCAACAGGCCCCAGTGTGTGATGTTCCCATCCCTGTGTCCATGTGTTCTTATTGTTCAACTCCCACTTATGAGTGAGAACGTGCGGTGTTTGGATTTCTGTTCCTGTGTTAATTTGCTGAGAATGATAGTTTCCGGCTTCATCCATGTCCCTGCAAAGGACATGAACTCATCCTTTTTTATGGCTGTGTGGTATTCCATGGTGTATATGTGTCACATTTTCTTTATCCAGTCTATCATTGATGGGCATTTGGGTTGGTTCCAAGTCTCTGCTATTGTAAATATTGCTGCAATTATGATCAGACACTTCTCAAAAGAAGACATCGATGTGGCCAACAAATGTATGAAAAAAAGCTCATCATCACTGGTCATTAGAGAAATACAAATCAAAATGACAATGAGATACCATCTCACGCTAGTTAGAATGGCAATCATTAAGAAGTCAGGAAACAACAAATGCTGGAGCAGATGTGGAGAAATAGGAATGCTTTTACACTGTTGGTGGGAGTGTAAATTAGTTCAACCATTGTGGAAGACAGTGTGGCGATTCCTCAAGGATCTGGAACCAGAAATACCATTTGACACAGCAGTCCCATTACTGGGTATATACCCAAAGGGTTACAAATCATTCTACTGTAAAGACACAGGAGTGAATTTTTTAACATGTTAAATACATTGTATTAAATGACACTATGGATGCAAGTGGCAGACATAACTTGTACTAACTCAAAGAAGAGGGAATTTATTAAAACTGCACTGGGATATCTGATATAAATCAGGAAAGACAGGGAAAGTTGTGTCCCAGGACAGTGAAAAAAAAATGGAATGGAATCTCTGCTTATTTTTGCACATTGGCCTTCTCTTGCACAACAGACCACATAACTACATGGTGGGGAATATGGTTGTTCAAGGCTCCCAGGCTTTAATTTCCACAGCCCTCCAGAGAGGTACTGACTCTTTTTCATTAGTTCCATCTTGGAAGACTTTGGGGAAAGACTGGTGTGGCTTGGGTTAGGTGCCCAATGGATTTTGAATAGAGTCACATGGCACACACCTGGTAATTGGAGTACATTCCTGTTTATCTTGTGTTCTAAGATGAGGGAGCTGAGCAGCCACCCTCCTCTAATTGGTGCCAGATATATACATAAAACTACACTTGGGTTGACATGGACAGGGTGCTTAAAATGCGATTATAAGGCCATAAAATTTAGAACACTTTGGAACTTCATTGTTTACAATTAAGGAAATAAGGTTGATAAGTGTACAATTTATTTACATGCATGCTGTAATCTTTAAAAAATTTCCTTTGTGTATTAGCACTATATGGAAATAGAAAAAAATCTAGACTATCCAAGTTTGTAATTTAAGAATAAAGCAGTATGTTATTATCAGTGGAGGAAAAAGGATTCAAAACAGCTTTCTGGTGCAATAAAGTTTGCCTGCTTTCACACCTGGATAACTGACTTTTAGAAATATCAAATTTAACTTCTAAAATATTTTTCCTCTGCTCTGGGCTGTGGAAAGGAGGCTATAGGTGAATATTAAAAAATGGTGACTAATCTTAAAGTATAAGATGAAAATGGACACCTAAAATAGAATCTGAGAATCAGAGAATTAGAGGTGGAGCTGAACTATCTTTGGCAGGCCCGGTCACTTGCATCATATTAAGTCACAAGGTATAAGATTTTTGAGCAAGACTTCTGAAAATTGTAGTTTTTGATGGGTGCAATATTAGTCCTTGAAATATTACTATCCAGAAGGAGAAAGTAAGTATGCACACCAGCAAACAGGAGAAGATAGCTGAGAACTATGTGGATGGAATCCTGCTGAAGACATGAGATGGTGGAAGAGTGGTTTCTGAGGGAGTATGTACCAGAGAGGGTATTATACCTAGCAAAAAGTGAGGGTGAGGAGATCAGCTTCTGATGCTGGACTCCAGGGGCAGGAGACAAGAGCATTGGTCATGCAGACAGAGCAGGTGAGTGAGTCAGAAAAAGAACGAAAAAGATAACCTGAAGAGAAGTTGGTGAATAAGTATAAATCTTGAACCAAATATGAAGTTGGGGCTGAACGGAAGCTATTAAAGACTATGCTCTGGGAAAGGACAAACAGACCAGAGAGCAGGTCTACAGTTGTAGCTGCACCATCCAATAGATAGCCACCATCCAGTAGATAGATAGCCACCATCCAATAACCACCATCTAACAGCCACCATCCAATAGATAGCCACTAGCCACAGGTGACTCTTTAACTTTATTAAAATAAAATGAAATTCAATTCCCCAATCTCATTAGCCACATTTCAAGTGCCCAATAACCACATGGGGTTAGGGGTTCAAAGTCAGTGCAGGCATAGAACATTTCCCTCATGGCAGAAAGCTCTATTGGATAGCACTGAGAGGCTATGACAGTGAGCCTGAAGTGAACATGAACCTGAAGCCTTGACCCATGTCCTGGCTTCATTCTTCTTTTCATAGTTATTGGAGGTTGACTATGTTGGGAATCTACTTGGATTCTGACACTAACATTTGGGGGCAAGCATCTAGCATCACTAGAGAGACAGATACTGGAGGGTGGGTTTAGATACGAAACTCTGCATCCAGAGTTCTCTACTTCCTTCCAAAATATAAATAAGTAAGTAAGTCTAGGTCTAGGCTACCAGGTAAAGACTTGTTTTAATTATGGTTAGCCAAACCCTAGAGTGATCCTTCTGCTTCCAATCAAGGCTGTATCTAAGCCATATAAAACAGTCGACTGGCCAAGCTCTTTTTAGATGTTGCTTCATTTCTCCAAGGACATGCTAACTTTGTCCAGGATTTAGTGGGAAAATTAGAACCTTTACAGATGTCAGGTCTTTTTACATAATAGCGACAACACCTGCCTTACCGCAAGAATGTGGTGGTTTAAGATCCTGAAACTAAAGCCATCTCATTTTTGCATAACTCAATCTGTTCATGAACAATAAATGTTAAAAATTGAAATTCACATTCTGCTATTTGTAAATATTAATTCTTTGGCTTGGTGTATTTATTTTAACTTAGATATTTTTTGCCCTCATCAATGATTCTTCCTAGAAACAGGGACCTTTTTACAGTAATTGACTCCAATTTTGTTGAACTGGTAAGCAATTAGGATTAGCATATTTATTTAGTTTTTTTGCTAAATTTTGCTCTTTTAAAAATGGTATTGAGGAATAATGTCAAGGCAACACATAGAAGCTCATTTTCTCACTCGTTGAACTGTTCCTATTTTTAACTCAATGGCTTTTTAAAAAAATTACATCGGCTTTCTGAGGCTATTAGGCTACTCTTCAATTAGGTGTTGCTTCTGTGTACACAATAGCATGCCAGAAGCTGGAAAGTGCTCATGCAGTTTCAGAAGTGTTTAATTTGCTACCAGGGAATAGCTTAGTTTAGAACAGCGTAAGAAAAGCAGAGAGGAGAAAACAAGATACTATTTCTCACACCTACAGTTACCAAAGAAGGATAATAAAACCAATGAGACCTAATGTTTATTGAGTGTTTACAGTGGGATAAACATTGTGTCGTTCTTTCATGTGTTTTCTTCGACCCTCACAAGAATGATTTCAGGTAGGTAAGATTGTTATTCCTATTTTGCTGATGAGGAAACTGAGGCTTATAGAGAAAGAGCAATTTACTCAATGACACAGAGCTAGTAAGTGGTGGATCTAAGATTTAATACTCAAATTGTTTGATTCTAGAGACCTTGTTTTTAACCACCACTTTCATATCTTAGTTGACTAAGATGGCTGTTTACTGAACACCTTCTTTGCTTTCCCACCTGTATCTTTTCTCAAGCTGGGCTGGAAATACCCTACTCCTAGTTGTCTTTGAAGTTTTATCATGCTTTAAGATTCTTATCTCCTCCAAGATTTTCCACATCTCTTCAACCAATATGAACATTCTTCTTCTCCCTTAATCTTGCAAAACTTTGTGTTTCCATTCCATTATTTGCAAAGCCTGCTTTGTATTGGAATTTTATGTCTGTACTGTGAGCTTCTGAGGAGTCAGAACTTTAACATATAGAAGTTTTATTTCCCCTGGCACCTAGAAGTGTGTTTTAATGTGGTAGGTACACAAAATATTTTTGTTGCTGACAATTTTGAAATTTCACTCACAACTTAATGAACACTGTATTTGCTGACTTTGGGTTGAAAGGGAGGGTGAAAGGGCTGAGGTTTCTTTTTTTTTTTTTTTGATAGTCTCTTTAGTTGCACTTCCTTATGTTTGAGGACAAGTTGTCTGTTGTCCTTTAATGGTGACCTTCAGGGTTACAGGCATTCATTCAACAGATACTCATTATCATCTTTCAGTCTTCTAGGAGCCAGGCATATGATGGTGACAAAGACTGATTGTGTCACTCTTCTCTTGGAGTTAAGGGATAATCTGGAGAGGCGAAAGATTGTCAAAAGTTGTCATCTAAATATATAACTGTAAGGGTACTATGGAGGAAACCAAAGAGGTGTTAGGATGAAGTGATTGAGGAAGTGATATTTAAGGGAAGACCTGACAGGTGGAAAGGAGAAAGCTGGGATGAGCAGAGGAAGGTGTATACTCATTATGGGACATGATGTGTGAGAGTCCTGGGGTAGGCAGAAGCTTGAAGAATTCAGTCACCATCTGTTCAAATGTCACGCAATACATAATATAGCAACAATTGCTTTCTGGTGGTCAGTTCTCCATAATCCATGCATGACAGGTTTATGTGCATTTCATGGTTATAGTTTAAACCGTGCCCATATTTCCATTTTGTAGGGGCTTTAGCAGCCACTTAGGGGTAAGTCATGCCTTTTGTAGGCTTGTTTACTTTTGAAGTTGTAAATTGGGTTTAAATTATAGCTTCTTACAAAGCAATCATCATATTTACTGTTCATTGAGGACTTATATGTTAAGTAGTATGTTAACCATTTTATTCATATTATTTCTTTTAATTCACTAAAGCAGAAATCTTGGCAAATGTTTCCACAATGGGCCAGATAGTAAATATTTTAGGCTTTACAGAGCTCATCGTCTCTGTTGCAACTATTTAACTTTGCTGTTTTAGTACAAAAGCAGCTGTAGATAATATGTTAATAAATAGGTGTGGCAGTGTTCCCGTAATGCTTTATTTTTGGACACTGAAGTTTGAATCTTATATAATTTTCACATATTGTGAAATAGTCTTTTTTTTTTTTTTTAAATGTTCCAACCATTTAACAATGTAAAAACCATTCTTAGCTCACAGGTCATACAAAAACAGGCACTGGGCAGCATTTGGCCCAGGGGCTGTAATTTACCTACTCCCACCTGCTCTCCTCATTGTCCCCGTTTTACCAACACAGAAGCTGGAGTCACTGGGAAGTTGTTTATAGCCAACCCAGGTCTGGTAGATTCCAAGGTCCATTTCTTTAACTCAAATGCCTCACAGCATTAACAATTTGTTGGGTTCCCAGAATGATTTCTTAATAGTTTCTGGTGTATAAATTTTAGTCCCTAAGCAGATTGCATGTTTCTCAGAGTAAGAAGCATTTTTTTTTTTTTTTCTATTTGTCTTGTTTCCCTCCACAGGAATGATGGACTTACAGGAGGCATTCGGTAACGGGTTATCTGCCCTTCAAATGGTTTCTCTGGAAGTGGCTATGAACTGTAGATTTTTGGGAATACATAGCAATCATATTTATATTGCCCACCTAATTTAGCTTTTTAAAGCAGGGCCCTGAAAACTGATTAGAAAGATGATTAAAATCCTGGATGCCATTTTCACATCATATTTGTAGAATTAGTGTCATATTTCCAGTTTTCAAATGCAAATCTTGTAAAACAAAAAAGTTGATTTCTCTTCCCTTGTGGAATAAATTGCCCCCTAGTCTCCTGAACCATGGGGAATTCTTTAATTTCTTGTTTTTAAATTGTGCCTGTGGGGTCAATTAAAGGTGAATGTAAGAGCTTTCAAAATCTAAATAAAATGAGTAAATAAATAGAAAAAGCTTGAAGAAATTCATTAATAATACACCAGTAGCCAGTTTGTCTTGATGTCTTGCTGTCTCTGGACCTCTTCATCTCCCTTCCTAGTTACCTTAAAATTAAAATTCAGATGTGACAAAACTGTCGTTAACATGTAGAAAGTGGCTAATATTTTTAACAATGAGAACTGGCCTTGTCATTTTGGATTCTGCTTATAACAGACATTTTCCATAGATTGGAAGATCCAAAATGTACCTTGGTTTGGTAAAAATATATTTAAAGCATACACGATACGTTACATACAAAAATACATATATTTTTACAAACATTTCAGCTTATGATAACATTTTTAGACATCAACTTAAAAACATGTAAGTGGGTAGTTTTTCAAAATTCTTGTGGGAGGTATGATAGCAACAAATTTTGAAGACCACTGCTTTAGGGCATTTTTGTTTTAAAGGTTTCTCTGAAAGCCAGAATTCTTCAAGATCCCTAATGATTATCTACCTTGAAAGGCCCACGTTTTACTAGACCACCACACTCCACCCCCCACGTTTACTTGAATGGTAAATGTTAAGAGAATGCTGATGAAATGACACGCATACAAGCTACAGTAGTTTTGAAAAGAGTCTTTTTCACTCTGTAGTATTTGCAGGAAGAGGAAGTGTTTTGATATTTACCTTGGGTAGAAACATGAAAGGGCCGTTTTGAAGTTTCACATATTTCAGACATGCAGAAGTATGTCATTGTTGACGATGGTAAACAGCTGGTAAAGATAACTGCCTGGAACAGCTGGAGGAGGGAGTTGACATTACCCTGTTTAGAAGTCTGGAAACAGAGAAAGCATATTTTTTTAACTACAGTGTACATCAGCAGCATAGATGCATAGTCTATGTGCCTATAAAGCAGCCATTCAAGCTTAAAAATATGTTTCTCTTTGCTTGTTTGTGGGACAAGGCTGTGAACAAAATAAATTAAGTGAGGAGGTTCTGACCTCCGCAGCTGGCTTCCACAAAATGATATGAGGACTTGGGGGGAAGAGAAATGAGTTTTGTCTGGCCTCGGTGGAACCTTCTCAAGGGAGCCTTGGTGGCAAGTTATATTTCTTTGGAAGTCGACTTGACTTTACTCTGGTTCAGGGAAGGAAGATTCTACTTAATAGAAACCTGGTGTCCCTAAAGAATCAATGCCGCTTCCAATTGGCATTTTCAAATTTAAACAAATTATTGTCTTGTGTAGGCTCAGCCTTTTCATTAGATTTTCATGGGGAATAAACTTCCTGAATTTGCTGCGGGCTGAGTGTGTATTTCCATTAATTAGCAATGCAGGAAGCAGACACCAAAAGGTGAGCAAACCTAGGTAAGACTCAAAAGCTCTTGAACCTGACAAAGCTACCGAGGTTCACAAAAGTGAAGTTACAGCTTCTACACTAAGTGGAATCTCAAGGTCACCCTGGAGAATTATTTGGCCCTAATTTTCAATGGCAACATCATCATAATGTTCTTTGGAAGCACACTTTTATCTGTCTTTTAAAAATGACATTTGGTTTTCTCTAGTATAAAGAAGGAGTGTTACTTCTGCCAGTATAAATAAATAAATAAATAAATAAACAAATACTTGATTTCAAGAATTCTGGCTTATGTCACTTCGAGCAACCCCAGTATAAGAAAATATAAAATAAAGACAACAAATATGCATTTAAAGAAGTCATGTAATGAATTTTAGTGCATTTAAAATATCATTGGATGTAGAAATAATGATTTATTTTTTACTTAAGAAAAAATGAACTTAAAGCCATGTTTACCGTAAGTTGAAAAGTTGAAAAATGACAACCATCTGGAAATTATTTGGTAAAATATATTGTAAACATATATATATAGTAATTTCATAATTTAGTTTACATAGCGAAAATCCTTAAACATTGTAAGTATGAATTAGTCATTGGATACATAATATTGATTTAATCTGCTAGGCATTTGTTTGAAAAGTATTTGATAAAATCCAGTTTTTAATGCTGCAACTTCTGACAATTTGTGAAAGTGTATCTGACTTCTACGGAACTCAAGAGTATACTGACTATATTTTAGTTGAGCTTAGTTATTTGTGTGTGTGAGTGTGTGTCTGTGTGCGTGTGCATGTGCGCTTCTGGGGAGGGATGGTTTTCTTTTGAATTTTTCAAGTTTCTTTCCGTAATGAAAGGAAAATTGAACAAACATCA
The DNA here is from genome assembly GCF_000001405.40 of Homo sapiens. Lineage (NCBI taxonomy): Eukaryota > Metazoa > Chordata > Mammalia > Primates > Hominidae > Homo > Homo sapiens. Next base: position 8,595,826 of record NC_000007.14, read on the forward strand.
TCCTTTACCATCGCTTTTAGTGATTATGTACCCATTTGAGGCTCGGTTTTACAGCCTGTTCTCTACTCTTAAAAGGTTATTATAAGGACAGATAAATAATAGGTTAAGTGATTTTTAAGTTACTCAGATGAATTAATTTGTAAATTTAACATTGTACTGACATTCGGATCCCTTTAAAAAATTTAGCATGCAAGTTTGATATGTCTATGATGTACATGTCACAGAAAACAAATGGTATATATATTCACTTAGGCATTATATATTTTTTTCCTGGGGATTTTGCATTATTCAATTTTTATACTTATAAAATTAGTTAAGGTTGAGGACTATTGAAGTCCTGTTTCTTCTAAGGTGAGCAGAGTGGTTGAAATTGGAAAGTTCATTTCTGCTAAGTATGTAAGCTCATGAGCTAATTCTGAATTGCCTGGGAAAATTCTGTTCAGGAACAGAATGACAGCATTGGTACAGAAATAAAACCTTAAAAAGGATAAGAGTGCTTCAGAATTAGAGTTTGGAAAGTGACAGAATAGCGTACCTGGAAGGAGTTAATGAAGACATTTAGTTATTAGGGCTCTTGGAAGAATGTTTCCTGCTAAATGGCCCACAAAATCTAACATCAACCACTGCCAAAGTGTTTTTTTATTGGAATGAACTTTACTATTATATCTTAAGTCAGCCTATGCAGGCCAGTTAACTGTCATGTCTAAGAGTCTACCATGTGTCCAATGGAGATTAAAGATGGGTGTCATTTACCTTTCAATATCATAAGTAACACTCATTAAACATTTACTATGCTAAAGCTTTATAGAAATCAGATTTTCTAATAATCCTGATAGCTCTCTAAGGTATATATTATCATGATCCTTATTTTACAGTTAAGACATTAAGGCACAGAGAGGTTAGGTGACTTGCCCAGGTCATGCAGTTGATAAAGGCTGATGTTAGTACTTGAAATCAGGGAACTCTGAAGCCTGTGTTCTGAATCACTGCTTTTACTTTGGGAGTAGTGCTTGAAGAGCTCACCTTCTAATAAAGGCGAATGGGTACATACAATTTTAATATAGTAGGATAAATATAATCAAACAACTATATGCAACGTGCAGGAATCCTATAGAAAAGGAACTATTAATATTATTTGTGGGAATAATCTTGGTATGGGAAGAAAGGCAGCTTACAGAGTCAGTGACACCTTGGTAAAGCACTGAGGATAAAGAGAGCCCTTCCAGGTGGGCAAAGTGGGGATGGTCATTCACAGCTGAGGGAAGAGTCTAGCAAATATAAGAGATTTGCTACTACAACATGAATTCATAGAGCTGCAGATACTAGTTATGATAAATTTTTAAATGGGGTGGGAGTGGGTGAAGTGTTCAAGAGATGAGAATAGAGACTGACAACAACAAAGACAGTTGGGTCTTTTCAGCCAGAGTACGATGTTTTGGCCATTAAAGGGTAAAGTTTATTTAGCTAGATTGCTTAGTTGGACATGCATGGTGGACAGACGTGGTGGCTGGGAGACCACTTCGGGTCCAGTGCTAGAATCTAACCAAAGATAATGGGGGTGGGCAAGTGGGTGGATGGTAGAGCACCTGTGTTAGGGAATACAAGAGTAAAAGCAGGCTTGGGGAAGATAGTGAGTTTGAATAAAGGTTGTACAATTACTTGATGAGTCATTCAGTGATATTTTGTACTTTCTTTATGTCTAGAATTTTCTTTAATGTACATTTGTATGGGGACAGATACTCAGAGGAACCAGTTTTAAAAATCAAACAGCCTCTATTTGCTCATTCAGTCATCAGAGTTGTCTAAAGAATTAGAAGACTGAGTAAATGCCTCCAGCTCTGCTTATGTAGTCAGGTCCAGGATGTAAAAGGAGGATCCGGGTGGGGGGCGGGGGGGCAGTGTGGGGAGCAGTAGCTATCACCTTTCTACTTGGCAACATGCCTTACTACTCTGAAGACCAGTCATTCTTTAGCTACTGTTAATGCTGATTACACAGAAAATTGCACAACACTTCACTTTGATTTGGCCAATTGAAATGCCCTTTTAGCAAACAAGTGGCACTACCAAATCAGTCAATTCCTGGATCAATGCAAATCTGAGAGTTCTTTTACTGCGGAGAGTGGTCCTATCATTTGAGTGTAGTCAATTAGCAGAGGTGATATGAAAACCTCCAGCTCTGCTATAGAAAGCAAATAGGCTTTGCATGATTATTAAGCAGTTTTCTCATGTGTTCTTTCCTTGATGGAGTTAAAGGCATTAGGGTTTGAATCCTGCCCATGCTCATATATAGAGCATATGTCATCCTCTCCATCTTTATTGCTATTCATATTGAGGTCAATTATGAGCTGCTGTTTAATGTCACCATGAAATTGTTCAATTATTTTCTCCCAGCGTCTAAGCAGCTATCCTCAAAGGGATTTGGGAGGAGTGGTATTAATACTGAGGAATTCTTAAGAAGCCAGTAGGCCTGCATGGCTCTCCTTTTATAATTCACCCCGTCTCAATTATGAGATCCAAAATGCTTGATAAGTTGTTAATGAATAGCTTAGTATCCAATCTTCTCTTTGGCTAATATTGGGGCACATAGACCTGGTTCCCTTCCTTGGTGGTGGAGTTGTAACTAAAGAAGGGAAGCTGCTATCTTTGTCACGTTTCCCCTCTCTCCCGCAACTAGACTCTTCTGGAGCGCCAAGGGCCCTTGCTTGGTTATTCCTAACTAAGGAACAATTAGGATGAGTTTTCTTTTTCCATTTTAATGTTGGAATGGGAAGCAAGGGGGTAGGGGAAAAGAAACCTTTTTTATTGAGTGAACCATAAGTATATTTGTACAGCGTCAGTATTTTTCTGTTTGCAGTTTACAGATAAAATGTACTTGTATCTCTGTTATTATTGTCATGATCTGCAGGGGGATGCAAAGAGAAATATTTCTGTAAAGAAACAAATATCAGTGCTTTTCTTGAAATAGATCATGTTTCAGTTACTCCTTTTTTCTCTGTATAGCCTGGTAAGAGTTTTCTGAAGCCAGCCTAATTGCTTCTGATCATTGTATGCCTGCTGTAGGCTCTGGGATTTGGTTATGTCTGTAGCAATGCAAAATCAGCAAAGTGTCTCTTTGAGACATTTCAATTTGTTCATTTATTCATCCAAACTTTTATGCATAAGGCATTGTGCTAAATTTATTGGGAGAAGGGGTATAATTGGATGAATCAGCCAGGGACCCTCTTTAAAGGAGTTTGTGATATAATGGAGGCAGTAGACATGCAAACAGTTAACTCAAATACAATGTAGAATGAACTGTGTTATAAGAGGAACAAATAGAAGGCTGTGGGAGAAGAGATGAAGAAGCAGTTCTCAAAGAGATGACTTCCTGGAAGAGAAAATATTTGAGCTGAGCCTTAGGAGTGAGAAGGATAGTTATAGGTGGCATGGGATTGGTTGGACATTCAGGATGAGAGAATGCCATCAGCACTCACGAAGGTCATTACGCTCTACGATTTCATCTTCTTAACAATTCCCTGCCATGACTTTTGTTGTGGCTTTCAGAATCCTTCTATTTCCTAATGCTGTGTTACTCCTCTGGGCTCATCATTTTTGAAAATCTCATTCTCATCCTGTCTTCCCCACTTAGTAAGTACAATAGTATTCAATTTTCTTGGCTTAGTGTATGAGGTCTGCCATGATCTGGTAGGCACCTATGTCTGCCATTTCATGTCTTTCTGCATTTTAATTTAGGATTACCTATTCATCAGGCATGGATTTTCACCCGTTTGTCTTACTGCCTTCAATTCCTTCATTTCTTACCTGCCTGTCAAACACTAAGTTCAATCACTTCAATTTGTACTATTGTTAGCACTCAAGACCTGGTTTATTGTACTAGTACTGCAGGCTAGTATGAGTGGAGCCAGTAAACAGCACCATTACAGAGTGCTGTTTAACCACACTTGTTCATAACTTGTGCCCATGTTACCCTTAGATAGGAAGATTTTTTTTTTTTTTTGGTGAAGGGAGGGATTGTTGGTATTAGTTTAGTAGCAAATATAATTTTCATCTTTAGTCATTATTTATGTATCTTTCAGTCATATTACGATAACTATGCAGATGCTAAAATAGGTTAATTTTGGAGGAAGAGCTTAAGAAATGAAAGATGTGGGATTGTGGGAGTGAGAATTATCTGAAGACAGTATTAGTAGTTGAAGGAGGGAAGGTGGCGTTGGTGGAGGGTATTTTCCAACATTTTCAAATTTCTTTCTAAGAAAATATTTATTTATATGATGTTGGTCTTCAAATGAGAAGTTTGATTCAGTAAATAAATATTCAAAAAATGATTATTGCAGGGCATTGGGTATATACTCGTTCTGGGGTATAAGAAAGTAGGCAAAGGCCTACTTTCTTACTGTGTTGACTTTTTAACCGAATCCTTGGAAACCCATGCCAGTGATTGAGAGGAACCATGTAAAAAGCTAATTTGGAAACCTGAAATCCCAATCAGGAGATTTTGCAAGGTTCAATTTATTTCCTACTTATGCTTTTGCCCATTCAGTGCCTGACCCACTGGCTTCTGGTGGTATTGGCTTCCTTCTCTGATCTATCTGTTTAGTGTCAGTTCCCAGGTATCAGATTGCATAACTGAACCATCTACTTGACGTACCTCTGTGCACCACATATGTGAAAGGCCTGTCACTGTGGTCAGATCTGGTTTGCAGATCCTGCTGTGTGGACCTGCATCAATGTCTAGGCTCTGTCTAGGACAGTTTGGGAGAGATCAGACGTAGATGTTCAGAGCAGAAATGTGGATTAAGTGGTATGACAACTAGTTCTAAGTCTTGAACTTTAAGCCACTTGCCTTCATTGAACCTTCTCTCTTCTCTATTACTTATGATTGACTTTTGGTTTCACAAGAGTATTTAAATTTTATTGCATAATATAAATGAACCACTTTGTTTTCATTAGGGGACTCCATACAAATGCAAACACTTTGTTTAAAAACAGAAGTATATACAGTTGTCCCTCTGTATCCCTGGGTTCTGCATCCCTGGATTCAACCAATCTTGGATCAAAAAGATTAAAAAAAGTTATGTCTGTACTGAATGTGTAGACCTTTTTTTTTTTGTTTTACTATTGTCTACATAATATAGCATAAAAACCATTTACATAAAATTTATTGCATTAGGTATTATAAGTAACATAGAGATGATTTAAAGTATATGGAAGGATATGCATAATTTATATGCAGATATTATGACATTTTATATCAGGAACTTGAGCATCCCCAAATTTTGGTATCCACAGGAGGTCCTGGAACCAATGCCCCTCAGATACCGAGGGATGAGTTTATATACTTTTCCACATGGTGATCACAATTTCTTCCTTCCTGAGCCTTATGCAATTAGTTACTATCATTTCTCTTTTCTGTTTTTTTTTTAAATCCCATTAAAGGAAGTAACCAAACTTCTTTTATTAGTATCTGAATTTTAATCTACTATGGTGTTTGGTCATAGGAGAACCAGACTAAGAGGAAGTGAAAGAAATATCATTTTTGTTGCCAAATCACTTTTCAATGCATTAAGGGAAAAAAATGCAAAAAGACAATGCTACCAAACTGGTGTATCCAGTGACTCTGAGGTTACCCAAGTTCTCAGCGCTCTCTACCTGTTCTTCAGGATGAAAAGTTCTCAGTCCCTTCACCATTTTCCTTTTCTTCCTCATGTGAAGACCAAGGTATATTATTCCAGGAATGATTAGTGATGTTGACCCTTGTCCTCACCAAAGTTATGCTTGAATCGTCTTTCATTGAAAATAGGGACAAGTCCCATAAGAGGTACATCTACTCATCATGGAATAGATCATGTCAGGACCCAATTCCCTAAAATACAGGAAGTCACTGTGACCTTGTGCTTATTTAGGGCCTAGCTGCTCTGTGATGAGAAACTCCTTCACTTCCCAGATTTGTGATCCAACTGGCTGTTCTTCCTGTAACTCAGAGCCACAATGCTATTCTAGGACCAGACTGCAGGATATTCGGTAAAATGCCATCATTTGTTGGCTGCTGGAAATATTTGGCTTTAAATCAGTTACAATAAAAGTCCAGACCGAAGACCAATGGCCACATTTTAGCTTAATCAATACTGAAAGTTAAATACTTTTATGACTTTCAATTTTCTTTTGCCTCCAATCTCTTATATATATGTTATAGTAATAATAATTAGTATGTTCAGTATTGGTGGATATAGTATATCAGAAAAGTACACAACTTGCTTTTAAGAGTACAAACACCAGTCATGTTCATTGTAAAACATTTAGAAAATGCCAATAGGCAAGAGTAGTTAAATTCTGTTACTCAAAAATTTTACTTTTGTTAATATTTTGGTGTTATATGCTTTTTTAGTTATTTCTCTTTATATTTAAAATAGTTTTGTAAGTGATCCACGAATGTGTTCCAAATTTTTCTTCCTTCATTAGAGATCTGAACACATTATTCCTAAACTCAAAAATCTTTACTTGCTTTCTGTTGTGTCTATAGAATAAACTCAGTCTCCCTGGCCTGTTTTTAAGACTCCTCATGGTCTTTTGACTGTTTCCCCTTAAATTTTCTGATTTATACTTTGGTCTCTGACATATGAATAGGTGCAGTTTTGGGTACTGGGTTCCTTTGTCTCAAATGCCCTTTCCCCTTCATTATCCATCTGGCTAAGGCTGTTCAAATCCTCTTTCCTTTGAATGTTCTCAGAATTAATGTCTTGCTTTACTCTGCTATTCAGCTCATTTATATTAAGCATAATTCTCAGTCTTTCCTTAACTCCATGTTTACATACTGTTTTCTCTACTAGATTTCAAGTCTGGAAGGAGAGGATTGTCATTCTCACAATTTGTTGTGAAGACTCATTTACTGTCAGTGTTCTCCACTCTGCTATTATCTGTATAAAGGCAGGGTCCACCTTCATAGCTCCAATATCATGTTCCTGTTGGCTGGGGAGAGAATAGTACAAACTCAACAATAGTGGACTTACCCTTGTGTCTTTTTTTTTGATGGAGTCTCACTGTTGCCCAGGCTGGAGTGCAGTGGCACAAATTTGGCTTTCCGCAACCTCTGCCTTCCTGCCTTAGCCTCCCGAGTAGCTGGGATTACAGGCGCCCACCACCATGCACAGCTAATTTTTGTATTTTTAGTAGAGACGGGGTTTTACCATGTCGGTCAGGTTGGTCTCGAACTTCTAGCCTCAGGTGATCTGCCTGCCTGGGGCTCCCAAAGTGCTGGGATTACAGACGTGAGCCACCGTGCTCTGTCTACCCTTGTGTCTTTTGCAGCTCTTAGCATAATGCCTAGAATATGGTAATGCCTAAGAGATATTTGTTGAATTGAATTGTTATTGACTGTAAGTAAGGAGCATACATGGGCTATGTCCAAATTTGTTGGAACATTTTTGAAGGAAGTAAGCTTATTACTCTGAAACCTATTCAGTAGTATAAAGCATTTTGAATAGAAATACAGTTAAGTATTATTCCAGGTAGCAAGGTGTATTACAGAGTGTTCTTAGTGACCTCAATAGCCACTATCACCTTTTTAAACGTTATTGTTCTTACTATTTTTGTTTTTGTTTTTTTGCTCAGCTGGACACATTGTCATTAAGATTGAATCAATAATTTTGTCATCAGCCACCTTCCAGGTAGAGGATTCCACCCATTTGCTTAAGACCCCTCAAGTCTGCCTTCATCATTTTGGGTATCATGGGTCTTTACTATCATTTGTTTAGCTTTTCCACATTTTGTGATATCTTTTCAGCTTTTACCTATTAGAATTATTTTTCCAAGTCTACTTTTGGATAGAATATAATTTTACTGTTTTTGGTTGTTCTCTAAGTGACATTGAAAGGTACACACTTTTTATTTTTATTTTTTACTCTCTCCAGGATCTTAGTAGGAAGGAATGCATTTTATCTTTCACCACACTGTGTAATCTCCTTGGCATCCTCTCCTTTATTTGTTGGATTTTTCTTTTAATTAAAAAGTCATTCCAGGTATGTTTTATTGCTTATTTATTCTTTCCTTATTTACTTTCTCAAAAACTAATTGAACATAGGAAAGTAAATCTTTAATTCTGCTAAAAATATCAAGACTATTATTGAAATCTATTCTTACACATTCTTTAAAATGAGCACCCCAAATCATTGTTCTTTCTTGGGACAAATGCAATGAAGATAGTGTGTTAGCTATGCGATATCATCAGTGGTGTGCAAATGAGGAAAAAAATAAAAAAAAAAGTGGATGGTTCTATCCTTTCTTCTAAAGACTAAGCTGGTAGCTGCCCTTAATGTTGGTGGCATTTTCTAAGTCAGAATCATGTACTACTTGGTACATTTAGAATGATATAAGAAGTGATTGGGATTAAGTTGTTATAAAACATCATGTATTTTTTAAACTTGTTGATTCAATGTTCTCTGCAACCCTTTTCAATATAGCCTGATCTTTTATATTTCTAATTATCTTGTACAAAAACATATCTTGAGCACCTACCTACAATGTACCCAACACTGAATGTACTCTTTGAGTGGTACAAATGGAATATAAGGTGTTACAATGAGAAAATACACTAAAATGGTTTCGCCTGCATTTTCTTTTTAGTTGCGCTATTCCTGCTTTCTTACTGTATGATTTCCTTTCTTTGTTACATAGTAGATTGCCTTTCTCTCACCACATTTTTGGTTAAAATTGACTTATGCAAGAGGGGCTTTGAAGTGAACAATATAAAAAATATAATTTTCAGTCAAACTTTGAGCTTCATGGTTATATGTTTTTCATTGCAATTTAGAATCTATAATATTTTATCATACTATATATGCCTTATTTGTGATTTGGAATTTGTACCTGAATTATTTTCTAAAACAAGATATTATAGGCAGGTTCCAATATGGTACTAGACTACTAGTGGCAATAGCATAAACAAATACCAGTTTTGAGATTTGTGAATACACATTTCTTACAAATTTGTGGCTGGTCAAAATGCTGACTTTCTGATTAATTAGAAGTCTGTAGCCTCAAATAAGCCCAAATCTATTTATTCATGTCATAGAGGGGATACACTGAGTACTTCCAAATAATTTATATTATATGGAAATAGTAACATGCTTGCCATTTTTTCTCCACCATTTTAGATTGATTCTTAAATATCACAACATTGTACATCATTGCTAATTGTCAGAACTGCGTACCATATTGCCATATTTACTTCTATAGCTTTTCCTTTGTATTTTAACATTTGAAATAACTTCAAGTGAATTCATTCAGATTCATTCTTAATTACTAGATTCCTAATAGGACTGTTTAAGGAATGCCTTATATTTGATGTGTGGAAAATGAAAGGTGATATAAAAATGCAGTGTTATAGGGTAGCTTCTGTGTAATTTTGGCTCACTGGAATGCCAGTTGGGGAATGGCAAAGGCTAATACTCAACAGATGGCAAAGTCCTAAAACCTATAATAATGGTTGCAGTTATTTTCATTACTGTCATTTGAAGGCACATGCAATAATGTGAAAAGGCTTGAACTGGGTAATCACAGTAAATATACTCAAAGGGACCAGATGCATTTCAAACAATCAAAACGGTGATGGATATTCAGGCTGAGTGCCACTTCTGCACATATTCTAGGTACATTTATTGCTAGGGATTAGAAGCAACATTACTTGTCACAGAGAGGAGCTCCATTTCCCCTTTTAGTAATAACAAGCAACAAAAATTGACATCTGTTATAACACAGACAGAATATTTCACATCCTTTATGATTGTGTGTCATTATCATGCATATAAATTTAGTTTGCAGATGTTCAACGTCAGAGATCAAAATACCAATTTTGCCTACAAAAGAGTTGCAATGGATACCGAAAATCTAAGCACTTTTGAAAATAGATAAGTTAAATCTTTTAGAGTGGGGACAATAAAAATCAAATAAGATTAGGAAGAAAAAGCATCAAAAGGCATCAGAAGGGGCTGTGTGGAAGTTTCAGAAGATCTTAATATTTCTATTTGCAGCTTTGTAAAAGCACCATTCTTGATTTTAATCTCCAGAGACTGTAGTTTGGAGTTGTTATACATCTTTGTTATTTTCTTCCATACAATAAATAAAATGAGGCCAACATTTTTTCCTTGAAAGAATCTGTCATTCCAGAAAATTAATTAGTTCACATATGAATATTCATAATTCTTCCTGTGTCTAATATGTAAAAATAGTTCTTGGTGATTTTGTGCAAGGGATTGGGTAGCAATGACCTACAATGATGCTATTAAACATAGTACAACAGACAAGTTGACCTTTTCAGGTATTCAGTACTCAATTTAACATCACTGTTTGTTCTATATATAATTTCCTTTATTACATTTAGGAAACAGATGAACAGATTGATAGAAGATGAGAGGAAAATTGTATATTTTGTAGTACAATATAAAACACCTAAGAATAAAAAAAAATATGTTTTATGGAAAACTCTTCTCCTTTTCCCCACCCTACGTAACCCCTAACCACATACAACTTCAACCAAAGGAAAGAAACCTACGTTACTTGTTTGAACAATCTTGTGCCTGCTTCAAAGGTACTGTTAACAATGTGATGTATTTTGCATTTGCCTCTGGGGATTTACCACTCAATATTAAAGTACTTCCCACTGTGACATTTTAAAAACTGTCTCTTTCCTCTGCTGAGCTAAAAACATAATGGGGATCAAGAAAACCATCTGAAACAAGCATAGTATAAAATTTCTGCCAGGCATTGGAAGTTAAGGCATGGTTTTTGACCCTCCTTTTGTACTGGGCAAAGATACAGGACTGCTGCCCTCTCACTCTGCCTTTTCAAAAGCTTGTTAAATGAATTGCCTCTGCCATATTGTAAACTTGACATATTTGCCCAGGGTCTTTGGTTCAAATCTAAGTGTATATCCTCCTAGTCCAGTGAATATGTGCAGAATGATATTTGTAAATCAAGACATGATAGTGATGCTACTTTCTGAAGAATCTAAAAAAACAGAATTGGTAGGAAGCTGGGATTAGATGATGAGAACATATAGTTTCTTGAAAATATTTTTATTTTTTTCTAGATATATATTTCTACCTTGAAAAGCAAACCACTAATTTTATTGATTGCTTGATTTCTGATGTTTTGTGAATATAACCTATTCTTAGTAAATTTGGTAATCTGAGGACATATTTTATTGAATAATTTTAGTTGGGGCTTTAATTCTAGTTTTTCCTGGGACAAATATACGGTTGGACTCATATATATCCTGGGACCAATACAGTTTAAATTATAGTAAAATTAACAAAATTAACTCGAAGTTTGAACTTGAACAGTGTGAAATCACATTGGAACATTTTAAATTTAGTAGCAATAATTGGCCTATCCATAATTAATACAGTACTTATATATATTATTGCTTAAATAGGTGTTTAAATTTTACATGCTCTGGGTGATTTTGCTTAAATGAGTTAAAAGCACAGTTTAATTAAGACCAATGAGTTGCTAGAAGAATGCATTTGGCTTCATACTTTTCTTGGATCGTGTCACTCGATACAGTACTCACTAACTAGTGGCAAATAAAAAAGTCAATAAATTCCTGTTTCCATCAACTAGACTAATGAACTTCATTAGTTGATCATGTTATCAGTATAATTACTACAGACCACATTTTGCCCTTGGCTATTAATGCAACAGACTTCTGTACTTAGAAGAACTGCCTAAGAAGAGAACTCAGGTTAACTCTGGCAAATAACTTTGACTCTTTTCTTTCTAAAATCATTATTATATCCTCTGGAAATAGAGTATCCCATATACTCAGCTATGATGGTTTTCACATTGAACTGTGGGAATATGTTGCTAGACCCCTTTGCTTTGTTATAATTGTGTTGGCTATGCCTTTATGGGATACTGTTGTGGGTTGAAATATGTTCCCCAAAAAGATCTGTTGAGGTCCTAACATCTGGTTCCTGTGAATATGACCCAATTTGGAAATAGAGTCATAACAGATGTAAATTAAGATGAAGTCGTACTGAAGTAAGGTGGACTCTTAATCCAATATGACTGGTGCCCTCGTGAGGTGAGAAGAGACACACACATACCTAGGGAAAATGCCATGTGGCGATAGAAGTCAAGATCAGAGTGATGCAGCTGCAAGCCAAGGAATGCCAAGGATTGGTGGTGACCACCAGAAACTGGGAGGAGGTAAGGAAGGATTCTATCCGGAGTCTCAGAGAGAACACTGCTTTGCTGATTCCCTAATTTTGGCTTCTACCCTCTGGAACTGTGGGAGAATACATTTCCATTGTTTTCAGCCACCCAGTTTGTGGTACTTTGTTATAGCAGCCTGAGGAAACTAATACAAATTTCTTACTTGAATTATTAACCATAATAGATTAACTACTTAGCTAGTTAGGAGGAAGTGATCAGCTGTTCTCAGGGATAAATGGAAGTCTTGAAAGTCCAAGAATTATTCATTAGGACAAATTCTTAAAAATTCAGTGATTTTTTTTTTTTTTTTGAGACAGGGTCTTGCTTTGTCATCCAGGCTGCAGTGCAGTGGAGTGGTCACAACTCACTGCAACTTCAGCCTCCTGGGCTCAAGCAAGCCTCCCACCTCAGTAGCCTCCCACTCCTGATTAGCTGGGACTACAGTGATGTGTCGCCATGCCCAGCCTAGTGGTATTTTTAACAGATAAATAAGAATGGAGGTAGTGGCAGAGGTGGAGTGAGAAGAGAGACAAGTAAAATATAGAAATTTGAGGGAAGTGAAATGGCCCTTTCTGTATTTTTTTAAAAATATGGAGGTTTGCATCTTCTTGATTTGCAGCTTTGAAAACATTGACTTTTTTGTGCGTCATATGACACTAATAACAGAAACTACCCCACCAAAATACCACCACAAACTTCACTTAAAATAAACTCCAAAGAAGAATCCATTTTTCGTGTGATATGAATGACAAATGATTATAAGGAATTTTAATAATTTATATAAAAATCCAAAGAGTCATATTGTAAGTACTGACAGGTATACTAGGGAGTTTTTGATCACACTTAAAAATTACTTGTGTAATTAGGTACAACATTAAAATGAGAACAGGGATATATACAGTAAGTCCTCACCTAATGTCATTGATAGGTTCTTGGAAACTTGACTTTAAGGGAAATGACTACTCTATAATGAAACAAATTTTATCCCAGCTTAAATGATATAAATGAGAGTCATTTTGCTTGACATCACTGTTTACAAGAACCTATCAGTGATTTTAGGTGTGGACTTATTGTGTGCATAATTCATATATTATTTAACAATATATTAGGTCCAAAGATATATCTCTGGCTTTCTTATTCTACAGATGGTTAATGTCTGCTAGCTAAGCTAGGTAAGTTAGGAAAAGCTTAGAAGCTCAATACATGTAAGCAAATAAAAAACCCAAAAACATCATTTTAGACGATTCTTTAACCTTCTATTCTAAAATTATGGCAGGCACTATACGTAAGGGCTTTATAGTTTACATTTTGTAGACGAAGAATATAACAATCAAGAAACAGTCTAAAAAACTGGCAATGGAAGAAAGAATGAAGAGAAACCCAAGACTTAGCTAATTCATGATGTTGCCTCAAATATCAAGAAGCTGGTATTATGCAAATGGATCTTGTGAGAGGAAATGAACTCAGAACTGAGATTATGACTGTGACGTACTTTGAGACACTTTCAGAAAGATTGAAAGACGAAAAGATATTTCTTGGTACAAAGCACATTATGATTGATGACTGTTTGAGGGCAGTTATCTTTAAACTAGTATTACAGACAAAAATCCCATCACTTGTGTGATGTCCTCCATTGTGTTGTAGATTTTATTAGCCTCATGGTTTTATGTGAGCAAAGAATGATCTCAACATGACACAATTTTAATATATTTTCTCCCAAGCTCTCAGAGCTATTTTTGTCTATTAATTTTAACATAACAGAGACTGCAGTTCCCTTATATTTTGCTGTTCTAAGGGAGAATTATGTCTTTTATTTTAAGCCAGGTAGAGGGAAAGCATTTTTGTTGTTAAAATAAGTGAGGATGATTATTTTTCCCATTCAGATTTTCAAATCCCTTGGCGAAGAAGGTATTGCATTATTAAAATTTACTTGTTTGATTTAGAGGTACTGCTTTTGGACATGGTAAGAGTTTTGAACTTTAATTTTGATTTATTTGCTTGCTAGAGTGATAGCTATGAAGAATTCATAACATTTTATTTTAAATGGAAATTGCTAACAGAAATAACTGCACTTTATAATCGTTTTGAGATAATTTTGGTTGCAATTTCACATTTGACTAACAGCATTAGAGATATGATTCCAATTAAGGGAAGTAGTAAATATTTTCCTTTGAAATTTCTAAGAAAGGAGAGCCTTTCTGTGAATTAATGCATAGGTTGATATATGCAGAAAACCAAGCACTCTCCATAGCACAAGAATGTTGAATTAGCTAGGAATTTGCACTGAATTAGCTAGGAATTTTATACACCTGTCAACATTCTCCCCTTTCCTTATAATTTTCTGTCTATTTCCAGATCTTCATTCCTCATGATTCTATCACAGGACGTGTTAGAGGAGCACACATCACTATGGCTTATGACATTTCAGAAAACATAACTTAAAAATTCCTTTGCAGAACTTTATTACAGAAAAATTGATCACATGTAGTAAGGAATAATAGGATACACAAAAAGTACCACATAGAACAGTACAATTTTAGAAAGGGGAGAGAAAGAAGGAGAATATGTATCCTTCCAGATGTAGATCCCCAGATGATAACAGGGCTATTTCTGGGTGGTATGATTACAACTGGTTTCTATTTTCTTCCTTTTGTTGATTCATTCCCTCTAATTTTTATATGATTAACATGTATTAATTGTGTAATTTTTTTTCAACTTAGAACAACTGAATTAGGGTGGATGTTTTAAATCCCATCTCCATAGTACAATCAACACACTAGATATCAAAGGCTCTTTTTTGGAACAGGAGGGCAGACTGCTATTAAATATTATTCCAGGGATATGCAAATGTTTAAGAGGCTCAGGTGGGCATGGAACAAGTGTGCTGGGAGGGTATCACCAATGGAATAGCCATTAAGGGCCTAGGCAGCACTTAACTTGAGTCACAATAGCACTGGGTCTGGATAATAGCCATTGTGGCTGAAACGCCGCTTAGAGTTGTACTCTGTGCCAAATTCACTTTACCCACAGAAATTGCAAATGAGTTATCATTCTCATTTTTTCCTTTTATTTCTAGTTGCCACATCATTGTACATATTTATGTGATACAGAGTGATATTTTGATACATGTATACAAATTATGATACATGCCATGATCAAATCAAAGTACTTAGATTGTTGAAGGGCAGGCAGAAGACTACATGATATAATTTGATGGGCTTTTAAAATGTTCCCTTACCCCCAAGTTTCTCTCAATCGGCTGGCCCTAGGGTTTTCAATTACCTCTGTCTTCCTTTGGGTTAAATCACTGTATTTTGAGAAAATGTCTTTGAAAATACTTGCGTTACATGGTCAAGACCACCATTCTACAGATTACTTGCTAAAGACCAAATCTCTGAAGAAATGAGCATAAAGTAAGAATATTGACAGAGGAAGGGAGACAGAGAATCGTTTGGATTGTTGATCACTATCAGTAGCAATAGGTGATGAAGTCAAAGTGGAGGGTTTTTTCACCAGGACTCAGTGTGAAAATCCTAAGTATTTGATGTGAATTTGTGAAGGAAGGCACTGAAATAGGGAAAGAAAAATTTTAAAGCTTGCTCTGTACAGTTAAACCTTGTGGCATATTTAACAAATATGTTTTCAATAACTCCAATGATCTCTTGGTATGTTGGAATGCATAATTTTGCCAAATTTGCATAAAGTTCATGGTAAAGTGATGATAGGAGACTTTGGTTAGGTAGTAGGTGCATCTATCCAGCCACTCAGCATCTCTTTCTCAGCAGGGCTCTTTTGTGTGTTCTTGGTACTACTAAGTCTAGAGTAACATGGAGAATTGTCCTACAATATTCTTAGCAGTGAAACTTTAGGCAATTAATTTGTAATGTCAGAAAGTTCCCAGCGTGCATGTAACACTAGAAGGAAATGTGATTTCAGAATGAGCCAGATGCATTTATAAATATTTCAAGATTGTAAATTTCTTGAAGTTTCCAGAGTAATAAAGAATATCAAGAACTGACTCTTTGGGAATTCAAGTTGTTATAAAGCTAATTGAATATGTGAAGGCATGTTCAGTGTTTGAGTTCTTTTTCTCTTTTTTTTCCCTTCCCCTTCTTTCCTTTCTCTTTCTGTCATTTCTCCCTCTTTTCTTTACTTTACCTCTCTCCATCCCTCTTTCTTTTTCTTTCTTTTTTTTACATTCTCCCCTTCCTTTCTTCCTACCTTCCTTCCTTCCTTCCATTTTTTTTTCTTTTTCTGCCTTTTGAGTATTTATAGTGATATAATCAAGCAGCTCAGGGAATTTGGCTGCAATAAAGGCTGTTTTGGTGACTCCCTGCTTCTCTTTTCTTCTCTCAAACATAGTTTTGAGAAGAGGAGATATAGTGCTAGTAGCAGCACTCAAGAGACACTTGATTAAACTTGAAATTTTATAAGCATTCCAATGCTATTACATTAAATGTATATAAATACTGACTTGGCCAGTTTTGCCAAGAGTGAATTAATAAGCATTCATATGTGCTAAGTTATAAGAGAGTCTAATCAGTTCTGCATTCTAACATTGCCTTTTGCTTCTACTCCTGTTACAGTCCAAAGAGAATATTTAAAAGATTCCATGTTTATATTCTTATTTCTTGATATTAGACCACTACTTATTTTGTTAGCATTCTGTCTTCACAGTCTGTCTCATTCATTCATTATACCCTTTTCCTGGCCTGGTATCATTAACCTTGCTTTGTAAATAAAGAGAGACACAGAGGTCAGCCTTCTTGGCGAGTGTTTTGTCTACTTATTGCTATTGCTGATATTAGATAAAAATATTGAAAAAATGCAGCTTCATTTCCTTGTTTACCTTACCTGAAGTTAGGTCTCAATTATGCACCAGGGGATTCTATGCTGCAGTGAAACTGCTTTGTTGGGTAGGATGTGACCAGGGAATGCAGACTAACTTTCAATTTTCTGTGAAAAAATAATAATAAAGATGGTCAGTGTGTTGCCAAACTATAGGGATATGTGTGTTTTTACTTATCACTCTGTACATGTGTATCCACATTTACATAACCATGTTTGAGTTTTCATGCCACTACTACCTTGAGTCTTCCTTAATATATAGGATTCAGAGGGTTTTTTTTTCAATCATTATCTCCATTACTTTCACATAGCCAATTTCAATAATTATAGTCATGTTTTAAGTTTTGCGCACATTTTCTTTTAGCCAGAAAAGCTCCATTTTAAATGCTAGCAAATCCAGTAACTCAAAAGCTTTCAAATATAGTCTATTGTCCAGGGCTTTCGTGGTGCATTTCAACAAAGAGAATCTCTATGCTCACTCAATTTGCAAACATCTGGAGGAAAATAATGTGATAATTAGAAGGCACCATGGGTTCATCAAAAACAAATCATGCCAAACTAACTTAATTTCTTTCTTTGATTCCTTAACAAGCTGAGTGGGAACACAGAGGGTATTTTTATTATAGTAAGACACTTGATGTAGCTTTCTAACAATCTTAAAAGGCTTAGGGAAAATGCAGATTAGGGAAAATGACTGGTTAATGTAGGATATCTTTGTAAAAAGGGACCAGCAACCATTATCTATCTATGGTTCAGAATACAGTTAGTAGAGGCTGTTGGATAAATTTTATTTTATTTATTGTATCATTCAATATCTTAAGCCTTTGACTTTGATTATCTATATTTTATATCTCATAGTGTTTTTTAAGGTAACTGGCTATAGGGATTTTATTTTTAACTAATAACATTGGTAATTTTTTTCTAGAAAGGAACATATATCTTGGCCATCTTTTTTCATTAAAAATCTATGAAAATCATACACACACATATACATATAAATCACATATAGACTGAACACACGTGTATATATAATTCATAAAATTATATCATAAATCATAATCTTAGTTTCAACGACTAATATTGTTTTAATAACTGTTCTTATGGTTTTGTGTCTGTCCATAATGTTTTTATAAAAGTGAGAGTATACTAAGTTTACTATTTCTGATTTGTTTTACTTTAATAGTATAGTGTTAAACACAGTCCTAAGTTGATAAATGTACTTTTACAGATTTATTTATAATTATTGCATAGTATTTCCGTGGATGTGCCATAATTTATTGACTCGTCTCCCTTTGTTAGATAGATTATATCTTTGTTGTTGTTTTTACAACTATAAAATATAATGGAATAGCTATACTTGTAGTTAAAACTGTTTTCTTATACGGCATATACCTAGACATTGTATTATTGGGTAAAAAATGCAAACATTGTAAGAATTTTATGTGTGCTCTCTAAATGCCTTCCAAAAGGTTGAACCAGTTTACATTCCTACTGGCTGTTTAAGAGAGGATGCTATATATATGTATTCATATCTATAGACATATATGTCTGTATGTGTATATATATGTAGATATATGTATATGTCTATAGATTTTATGCATATGTCTATAGATATGGATACATATATATACATACACGTTTAGAAATAGACATACATGTGCACATATAGGTGTATATGTCACATACACATACACATTTAGAGATAGAGACATATCCATATACATATATGTAGGTATGTATATGTCTATAGTTTCCATTTGGAAAAAGGAAAGTTCCTCTTTGGGAAAAATGAAACTCACTGGAAAGATTTAAATGATAAAAGTTGCCATAAATATTTTAGAAACTCTATGTTTGATTATGCAGCTGTGATGAAAGAATATCAAAATATAGGCTTAAATTGACTTTTCTCCTACTTCTCTGTAAAGATTTATCAAAAGGAGAGATTCATTTTGTGGCAGTTATTGTTCTTATTGAACATCCTGAAATAAGAATTATTCTATGCCTCAAAGTAACACTAAATTATATTCTTTGTTAATATATTAAACAAGCAAAGGTCTTTTAAATGGTGTTTGAGATTAAAGATTCTGTTTTGTATTTTAATTCTGCAGCAAATACAGCTTCCTAGCTTCTACTGTTAGTTGGCTCTGATTTCTAATTCTCATCTCTTCTTTCTTTTTACTTGTTGTGCCTCATTACAATTTCAAATGAAACTGTATGACGCTGATTGGAATTGTTTCTATTGGGGGAAAATGTACGAATTAGATGTGCCCAGGAATTCATCTGCATTTGAGCCCTGCTATTTGTTTGACACAATGGGTTTTCAGGAATGGGATTGCGGGAGCTAAATCTTTAATAAAATTGTTATTGACTGTCCCTGCAGGAGGCAGTGCGCATGGTGGCTAAACATGAGGATTCAAACCCTCAGCTCTGTAGCTTATTGGCTATGTAATTAACCTCTCTGAGTACATTTACTCATCTGAAAAATGTAATGATACAAACCTCTTAAGGTTGTTGAGAGGATTCGATGGGATAATTTAAATGAGTACAGGGGACTTAGTAAGCTTTCAATAGATGTTAGGTGTTACTGCTATCTCTTGGTGATCCACACTTCCCTCAGATGGGAGGGCATAATCTTTCCTATAGCTATTGCAAAAATAATCTGACTCTGCTTGTCCCATATTATTGCCTCATTTTGGAACAATTATATCAGAATCTGTAAAATAACTATTATGTCAATATTTTCCTGCCTGTCTCCCTTCCCTCTTTCCTTCTTTCCCTTTCCTTGCATTTATTGAGAACCAAAGGTATTCTATGCTTTGCTAAAGATTGGAGAAGGAAAACTGATAAGAATCATATTTTGAAGAAGGTAACACACCAGTGGAGAAGACAGATGTTAATCAGGTAATCACATAAATAAATGTAAAATTGCAAGGATGACAAGTGCTACATAAATGACAGCTGCATGGGTTATAAGAGCATATAGGAGATTGGAAAGACTTCTCAGAAAATGAAACAGGGAAATAAAGTATAAGAGGTAAACAGGTGAAGCAGTAGACTTCTACATAGTCTCCCTATTTTTGCCGTTATCTTCTTAAAGCTTATTCTCCGCATAGCAGCCAGAGTGACCACATTAAAATGAAAGATAGATTATATTAGATCTCTGCTCAAATCCCTCTCATCATGACTTCATTACATCTCACTCAGAATAAATCTCGTAGTTCTTATTTTGTTTTATAGACCCCTATGTGATTGGTCTCCTGCTACCTTTCTGACCTCATGATCTTTCACTCTCTTCTTACACAGTCACGTTCAACCACACTGGCCTCCTTGCTGTTCTTGCTGTTCCTTGAACATATAGGTAAACTTCATTTTGAAGTCTTTTGATCTTGTTCTCTGCCCAAACACTTTCCCCAGGTACCCCCTCACCATATCAGTGAGCTCTTCCCTGATGACCCTATAGAAAATAGCAACTCTGTCTCTATCAGGACTCCTCATTGCCCTTATGCTGTATTTATCACCATCCCACATTTTATAAATTTACTTGTTTATTTTTTGTTCTCCCTCGTCATCTCGACTCAACTTGTTAAAAACATCATGGGATCAGGAGGTTATGTTTACTGCTGAAATCCCAACTCCAAGTATAGTGCCTTGAAGGTACTAGGAACTCATTTAATATTTGAGGAATGAATTAAGGAAGAAGAGACATGGTGGTAAGAGCATTTAGGACAGAGAGCGAAGCATATGTAAGGGCCCCAAGGCAGGTAGAAGCATGGCAGCCAGGGGGGACTGAGGGAAAGACATTGTTGCTTTTGAACACAGTGAACTAAAAAAAAGTGTGGAATACTAGAGGCAAAAAAGGTAGGTAAAGACTGGATCATACAGTTATAAAGATTTTCCCCTAAAAACAAATACAAGCTACTGAAGTATTTTAAGTTGAGATGGGGTTGAAGGACCAGATCAAGTTTATGTTAAAAAAAAAAAAAACCACTCTGGCTGAAGTATGGATATCAGATTTGAGGGGAGGACAGTGTGAATGTGAGTAGATCAATTAGGAGTTCGTTATAGTAGTTGTGCCAAGAGATGGTGCCAGCTTGGGCCACTGGCTTCAGTGGATAAGAAAGGAGCGGATTGTTTGAGAGCAGTGGTTCTCAACTGGAGCAGTATTTGACAATGTTTGGAAATACTTTTTGTCATTACAATTGTTGGGGGAAAGGGGATGTCTACTGGCATCTATTGAGTAGAGGCCAGGGATGCTGGAAACCATCCTACAATGCGCAGAACACTCTCCAATTATCCAGTCCCAATGTCAATGGTGTTGAGATTGAGAAACTTTGTTTTAGAGGTAAACTCAAGAACTCTCTTCATGAGGTACAAACTCAGAACTTGCTGTTGGAGTAGACATGGGAGTTGAGAAAGTGGGTATTTCCTATAAAAGAAAGGAAATCAGTATATCAAAGAGATATTTGCACTCCTATGTTTGTTGCATCACTGTTTACAATAGCTAAGATTTGGATGCAACCTAAGTGTCCATCAACAGATGAATGAATAAAGAAAATGTGATATATATATACAATGGAGTACTATTCAGCCATAAAAAAGAAGGAGATCCAGTCATATGCAACAACACAGGTGGAACTGGAGATCGTTACATTAAGTGAAATAAGCCAGGCACAGAAAGACAAACCTTGCATGTTCTCATTTATTTGTGGGATCTAAAAATCAAAACAATTGAACTAGTGGACATAGAGAGTAGAATGGATCAGAGGCTGGGAAAGATAGTGGGGAGATTGGGGGAACATAGCAGAGGTACAAAAAATAGAAAGAACAAATAAAACCTACTATTTGATAGAACAACAGGGTGACTATAGTCAATAATAACGTAATTGTACGTTTTAAAACAACTTAAAGAGTATAATGGGATTGTTTGTAATTTAAAGGATAAATGCTTGAGGGGATGGGTACCCCATTCTCAATGATATGCTTATTTCACATTGCATGCTTGTGTTAAAATATCTCATGTACTCCCATAAATATATACACCTATGTACCCACGACAATTAAAGTTTTTAAAAAGCAAGTGGGTACATCTCATGTAACCCAAAATATATACATCTATTATGTACCCACAAAAGTTAAAAATTTTTTAAAAGTAAATTAAAAAAACTTCCAGATTTGGGGCATGGGTAACTAAACTGATGAGTGTCACTCGCCGCAGGGTTCTTCTGCCCATAAGGAATTATGATTTCTGTCCAACCTACATCTTTTCTTTGATGTTAACAACACTAACCAAAAGGGTAGAATGGATACTCATGTTTGTACTTTATGATCTGGGCATTTTGGGATCTATTTTATGGTATTAGCATGGAGGTTAGGAAATACAACATTTAATTTGATATTTTCACTCAATTATCTGATGCCACTGATTCATCTGACTGTATTCATACAGCTGACATCTGTGGCACTAATTCTCAGAGCTGGCTTCATCAAAATAGCCATTGAATGCATCTTTTAGGGAGCATCAACACTGTGCTAAGAAAATCTTGGATGTTTAGCCAATGAGCGTAAAGGTAATTAAATATTTTATTAACTTTGTATATAAGAGCTCAAAGCACTTTCACATACATTTTTCCTTCATACTCTTTATGTGCTTGTATTGGCAGAAAGAGGACAAAGTAGCTGTATTGCATTATAGCACAAACTTTCAGGCAATGAGACATTCCTGAGGCTTAAATTTCACTTGCAAACTAGGAGAAGAGGTGGAAAAAAGGAATCAGAATTTACCCTTTTGCTAATGCATTGTTTCCTTAGAAATGTAATCACTGCATCATTCTTTCATTTTGAGAGCCTTCTGAGATTATACAAGATATTTAATCCAATATCTTTATATGTTGAATCTGCATAAGAAGAACTGGAGAATGTGTGTTCTTTTTTATTTTATTTGTTTGAATGTATGCTAAACACACTCTACAGAATTCAAGGAATGCTAATTATGTGTGCTGCAATTGAAGTTATCTGGACCCAGTTTTTTTCTCTTTTGCTGCTGCATTTTTCATGGCAAGAATCTGGTAGAAGATGAAAATTATAAAATTGAAATCTTTTCAGTTTGTGTGTTACTATTTTTAAGCAGGAAAAGTTTAGTATGTACAAAAGAGATGGTTTCAGTGAATTCCTGTGACATTAATGTGCTATTTTCTCTCTCTAAGAAGGAAGTTGAGAACTTGAGCTTGATTTTAGGATTATGTCTGCCCTGGTACCCTTGGCGAACGTTTCTGCTTTTGCCATGTGTTCCTGGCATAGTTTTGAGGTGGCGTGCATTTTGAAGGGGCACTGATTTGTGTTTGAAAGAAATTAGGTCCTCTGTAATAGTCAGCAATCCCTGTCTTATCTCCTTGGTTCAGATTGGCCTCTAATCTTCTATTACCTCCAGTTAACTTCTGCAGTCTGCTTCTATTCTCTTGTTAACATTTGTTGCTGCATCTGGGATGAAGCTTATAATTATGTGTCCATTGCCAACTCTTTACTAGAGTTTTGGTTAATCCAGGTCTTATTTTGTTTATGTTTGCTTAAGCAAATGATGTTCAATGCTCTTTCAGATATCCTTTAAAGTAATGGGATCAATAATTTAAGCCTTTATAAGTATGCATATCCTGGCTAACCTCATTTTACCCATGTGTCTGTACTGTCAGTTATATTTACATTGAGCAACCTCACTGACTCTTGTGGATTTATTTAACTATGAAGCAAAATAATAGTTATAAATTCAGTATGAGAAAGTATTACAGATATCATGTCTTATCTTATTCTCCAGCGTATTTTTTAAGTGGGAAACTGAGTCCCAGAGAAAAGGAATAATTCTCTGCATTTGTAATAACACTCTGTAGTTTACAAAATATACTAATACCATTATTTCATATGATGTTTTCAGTAATTCTGTGAGGTGTGCTAGGAAGGCATTATTATCTCTATTTTACAACAAGGAAGAAAAGATGTAGAGAAATTGAGACTTGCTTCCTCAACTACCTACAACAAGTATGTGGTAAATCTGGATCTAAAATCCAAGACTTAAGGCTGTTAACCAAGTGTCCTTTCCCAAATATGATCTTGGCTCATGAGCAGAGTTTTTCCATCCACGTACTGCTGTGCTGTAATGTGTTGAGATACTGACTCTCTCAGCACTTAGAGCTGCCAGAGTAGCCGTTGACCTCTAGTCACAAGGATCCTTCTCACCTCAGTGCAACACAGAACTACTATT
This sequence comes from Homo sapiens, assembly GCF_000001405.40. Taxonomy (NCBI): domain Eukaryota; kingdom Metazoa; phylum Chordata; class Mammalia; order Primates; family Hominidae; genus Homo; species Homo sapiens. The sequence continues at coordinate 8,620,136 of NC_000007.14, forward strand.
ATCTTCTGTGTACCTCGACATTGAAAAAACACAGAAGCACAGTTCTAACATATAATGGAAAAAGACCTGATTAAGTCACTCAGTGAGTTTATTGAAAGATTACTAGGTGCCTAACAGTCCTGGGAATGTTTTCACAGTCTGCATTCATCCACCTCTGATACTCATATATATTTACCTCCAAGGAACCTCCCCTTCCTACCGACAGTTTGTGTGGTTCCAGGAAGCCAGCTGACAACAATTCTGACCCAGGTTAAAGATGTGGGCCTCAGTAAGCCTCTGTGCTGCCTCTTCTTGTCATGGTGATTAGTTCAAGGGGAATTATGGAATTCACCCAGAGCCAACCAGATCTCATGAGACTGTGACTTTTGGGCAAAAGAATATTGCTACTGTTCTGTAACAGACTCTGGAAGCATGCAGGCTGAGGCTGCTGCCACCAGCCTGACTCCTCATGTAGCTTAAGATTGAAGCCAATGCTGGAATTAAGGAGATCTGAGAGAGAAACTGAGCCCCGCTGATACCATTTGATGTCAAGCTGACAAAAAAGCTGAAGCTAATTCTACGCTTTAGAATTATACGAACCAATACATTTCTCCTTTCCTTAAAATGATTAGATGAAGTTACCGTCACTAAAAATCATCTGTATTCTTTCATAAATGGTTAAAAATTCTAATTTGTCACTTTAAAGGCCTCATGGGGACAAGGACGATTTAGAAATGGATGTTCCAATTTGATCTGATCTCTTCCAGGTTGTATGTTTTTCTTCTCCCTTTGAAAAGGTAATTCATAACCTATGAATAAAAACGCTCTCTCTATAAACTTTCACACAATCTAAAGGTGTTTTTGTCATAGTCAGTTGCCTATATTAATTCATCAAATAATTATTGTTATGACACTGAGGTAGGCTGGGGAAGAAGACATCATCTTTGCTGTCAAAAAATTTATAATTTAGTTGGTAGAAAAAACATGTTATAATGGAAAGAAAATTAAATTTAATTAATGTATATAACTAAATCTGATGTGAGTGTCACTGGAGTAGGTCAAAAGAGGACAAGGTGCCATAGATTCAAAAGTGATAGTCACCATGAAAGAGAGAACTGGAGTCAAATCTTTAGGATTTGGGCAGGTGACCAGGAAGAAGTCTGTCCAGGAGCTGCAGCATAGCACAGACAAAGACTCAGACAGGAAAGAATGGTGTTTGAGGAAGGTAGTGACTCAACAAGATGGGTTGCAGCAGAGGAGTTAGGGTGAGCAACAGGATAGCTTGGAAATTTCCATCTTTGACTTTTGAGAAGAACTTTGGGACAAAGCTCTTTGCTTAAGATTGGTATTGAGAAACAATAACATGCTAGCCACTCTTTTTTTTTTTTTTGAGGTGAAGTTTCACTCTTGTTGCCCAGGCTGGAGTGTGATGGCACGATCTTGGCTCACTGCAACCTCCACCTCCTGGGTTCAAGCGATTCTCTTGCCTCAGCCTCCCGAGTAGCTGGGATTACAGGCGTCTGGCACCACGCCGGCTAATTTTTGTATTTTAGTAGAGACAGGGTTTCACCATGTTGACAAGGCTAGTCTCAAACTCCTGACCTCAGGTGATCCACCTGCCTTGGCCTCCCAAGGTGCTGGGATTCAACTCTTTATTGAGCACTTACTACATACATGACATTAGGTTAAAACTTCACATGCATTATCTCACTTAATAATAATAACTTTCAGGTAGGTATTATTGTACCTACCAACCAACCCTGTAAGTGGATGAGGCAGAATGAACCAAGGACAGTCTGCCTCTGAAGACCGTGCAGTTGCTCTGGCCATGAAATTCCATCTGTCTAAGATGAACAGAGCAGTCACTTTGCACATGTCATGTAAGTTTATAATGGTCCTCTGCACATTTCGGTGAGTATTGGTATTTTTGGCAAGTTTAATATTCGGAGTTACTACTAGCAAATTCTTAGAATTACTAGATTTCAGGCATTTAGAAAGCCTCTATTTTACCATGAAATTCATTGTTATTTATTCTACACTTAAAGCAAGGGAGTGAAATCTCATAAATTAGATTGAAGTAATAATTATTAAGAACATCACAACTTCTAGGGATTGAATTAAAGTATTTGCATTATTATTTCATTTTTCCCCAACAGATTGTGAATGAGGATGTTGTTATTCCCTTTGTATAGACAATAAGACTGCGATCAAAAGTATTTAAGTAGCTTATACAAGGGCATATAATTAGTGTGAGCAGAGCTGTGACTTGAATTCAGGTCCTTCAATTATAAGTCTAGTTCTTTCCCAACTACATTAGTCTATAAGTGGCCAAAAAGTACATATGAAACTTGGCATTTTATATGTATTGGAGTTACATTAGACCTTAAGTGGCCATAGAGTAACAAATGAGACTTGGCATTTGTGTTTACTACTAGTGAGTGTGAAAAGCCTAAGTAATTATCAAATACGAGGGATAATTTGACAAAGTTAAGTCTCATTCAAACTGAAAGTTTGAATTTTCCATTTGTCTGGTTATTCTATGATTTGTCAACAAGTCAGGATAACAAATATTTATTGAATACCAATTTATTAGGTAAAAGTATATGCTAATGTAAAAAGAACTTTGTGCAAACGCTACACTAATGGAATAGAAAATATGGTTGAGGACAAGGCGAAAACCTATACAGTACAAGTGCGAGTAATCTCTGAGAAACGATTAAATGAATATTTTGAGGTGGGACATAACTAATATATCATAGGAATATTAAGGACTATGAGTGCAGAGGAAGAAAATATTTGTAGCTGCTGGAGTGGTCTTGGGAAATGTTAACATGAAATTTATTGTTATTAATGAAGGAAGTATTTGAACTACTCCTTGAGGGGAGGACTTGGAGAAATCAGAAAGAGCAAAAGCAGAGTGGTAAGGAAGTATGTGGTGTGCTCCAGGGAGCAGTTTGTCCAGAACCAATATTTAAATACAGGGTAAAATCACAGAAGTGGGTCAGGGCCAGCTTGAGGAAGTCTTAAAGAAAAACTAAGAGGCCTGAATTTAATGATGCAGGAGGGATTGCAGTGCAGGGCTCTGCAGGTGCAGAGGAGTGGAGACAGGGAAGACTCTGGGAGACGAATTAAAACAGGAGAAGAGTAGAGACAAAGGTTCATTTGTTATAGAAAATACTGGGGAAATTGGATGAAATAACTAACACAAACTACAAAGTGATTGGAACAGGTCAGGTCCCCACAAGTTAAAGGGGGAAGAATAAATAGATAAATGGCATTTCAAGTAAACAATCAGACAAATTTAATTTATCTGACATTCTGTAACACAAAGTAAACTGTCATGAAAACTAAATACTTGAGAGAAAAATTAAAAAGATAAAAGAAACAGAGTAATTAACTACAAACACAACTTGTAAACTGTGATCGAATCATAGTTAACAAACAAAAAACCAAAAGCTGGGGGACTAGCAGAGAGATTTGAATATAGACTGGATTTTAGGTAATATTAATGAACTGTCAATTTTTAGTTTTGATAATAATTTTGTGGTATAGTAAGAAAAAGTTCTTATTTTTAAGAGATATATACTGAGAAGTCTCATATGTGCCTTTTATTGTCAATTTTTTTCTGCAAAATATATGTATATGCATATGTGTATTTTTATTTGTATTCTATCTGTATCTATATTTACATGTAAACCTTTTCTATGGCTTTGTATGTATTTATATCTACATTCATACTCAGACCCATACTCATAGTCACCCCATCCCTATCTCTGTATATGTAGCTAGATCCAGATATGGATCTAGAAGAAGTATATGTGACATAATGTTAAAAAATTTTTGAATCTAGTTTATGGATGTACAGATGAGCAACGTGCTATTCTTATAATTTTTTGGTGTGTTCAAGATTTTTATAATAATAATTGAGCTAGAGGGAAGGGGGATAAATAGGTCAGGACTTGGAGCCTAAAGGAGAAGCAGTGTGAGTGGAAAGGAGGAGCAGATGTGCAGTGATAATTGGTAGCACAGGGTGAGTTTTTTAACCCAAAGCATCAGAGGAGCCTCTTAGGTATGAGTTTTGGCATTAAGGCCTTACTGATTGGCTGTGGCCACATTTTGAATAAGGGCAGGAATGTCTTTAGAGAAAGTAAGTTTGAGGGAGAGAATGTACTTGTTTTCAGATGGGTTTTGTTTCCAGTGAATATGAGCTTTCCAATTGAACCTTGTTGGAGGAAGGTTGTCCAGACTCTGAGAAGATCAGAGCTAGAGATGCCAATTCCATAGTCAGACACAGCAGATGGCAGTCGAAATCATGAAATTGGATGAAAATTATGAGTAAAGAAGTGTGCAAAAGGAAAACTGAGAAAAACCCTAAGAAATGCCCATATTTAGGTGGTGGAAAGAAAAAGTGAGGAGAGCAAAGCAGACAAAGCAGGCCAAACCAGAAGGGAAAAGATAGTGTCATGTGGAGAAGTGGAGGGAGCACACAGCCCATGGTGAACACACCATGCATCTTTTTGAATGAATGAATGAATGGAGTTGTACAAAAGAGTGAGGGTCATTAAAGTAAAGATAAAGAGAACAGTAAAGACAATTGCAGAGTGAATGAAAGGCATTTGGGATTAGGAGTTGAGAGGTTATTTTAAACTCAGACTAAAGGTTTGGTGGAGGCTGTTGCAATGGTTCATTGTGGAAGCAAAAGCCAGCACGAGAAAGTGGGGAAGCTGAGTAGTAGAGGGCTCCTCAGTGCAGTTTGGGGATAGGAAGACCTGGATTCAAGTCATGACTCTTAACTCTATAACTGCCTTCCCTGGGCTTCAGTTGTCTATTTCCCTAAAAAAGTGGGGTAGGCTAAGTGATGTCCAACATTTCTTAAAGCACTCACATTCCACTGGCCCTTCAGCTGTTTTAAAATATATATTTAGAGAAGACTGTCCCAATCCATATTGTAGTGTCATTTTCAGCTTCCTATGTGTCACAGTTGCTTTGACTATAGAGTCCCTATGTAGAAATAGAATTATCCTATTCTTTTTTTGGCAACCTCACTGATTTACAATGAAATTATTGGAATGGTCAATAGATACATCCATATAGCATTTTGACATAAGCAAAATGTAACTTGACTGAATAGTAAAATAATACTGTAATTTTTTATTTCCAATTTCAAAGATTATTTTAAAGAACTGAGGAGATGATATATTATGTTGCTATGCATTGGCAATTTCTGGTAGGAAGTTAGGGGGAAGATCAACTCAAATTCTGAAACTTTACTCCATTATAAACTTTTCTACATCCTATTAGTTCCAAATATGCAGAAAGGGATTGTGCAGATGATACCATTCTGCTTAAATGACAAACCTGGAATGATGAATGCTTTTCCTGGTCAATTAACCCCTGCCAAAGCTCTCAGTGACTAAAAGAAATGCTGTGGAACACAGTCTCAAGTAGACTATAAAATATACAATTAGAGGTCTTCTGAAGAGGATAGTGTTCCATTAGAAATCTACCAGCTCCTTTTAACTCTATGGGTCCCTATTTCTCAGAACTTTTACCAGAGGTTTGTTCAGAAACTGGCTCATCACCAGTTTTCTTAACAAAGCTTTCAGATCTTTGTTATCACACAAAGAGATAAAGAGTCTGAAATCCTCCTTATGATTCAGGCATCATCTGTTATCCTAGATCAATGTCAAGCTAAAGATTTTTGGAAAGGATTTTGGCAAAGTGTAATTGTAGATTAACCCCACAGCCTTCCATTAGATAAATGGCATAATGGGAAGTTTCAAACAATGAGTCAGAGGACTGGGCTCTGATCTTGAGAAAGCTGATTTTCTCTATGACCTTCAATTAGTTATATAATCTTTTTGTCTGTGAATCTTTTATCTAATCTGTGATATATGGTAACTACTTTTTTGTTTGTTGGTTGAGGACTATAGGAAATACAAGATGTTATTTTTTCTCATATGTTGGGAAGACCCATTCTTTCTGCATTTCTTCTAAGGGACCTCTTTCTCCTTAAGCACGTGGACTTCACTGGCAAACAAAGGATGTATTTAACCTGATGAGGAAAGTCAATTCTGAAAAAAAAAAGAACATTTTAATAAGGAAAGTGCTGGTAGTGACCTCATATTGAGTGTAATGAAGCATGGTTGGATATACATCATAAATTATGCATCTTTGGGCCTTAGTCTATTCCAAACTGCAACTTTGTTGAACCTCATGGACTATAATTCTGATGTGTCAGTGGGATATACTCATTGTCATGCAGTTTACTTTTTTTTTTTTTTTGGCAACTTCAAATACTTACCTTACTCCAGATCTAACTTTCTGCTGAGGGTAGCTTGCCACCCACCTTGGATTCCATTACTTTCTCACTGCCATGAGGGACTCCTTTCCAAGCACTTGAATTTTCATTTTTTTTCTTTTAAATTACTCCTTACAATGACTGATAAGAGATAGGATTCATTAGCACACTTTGCTAGTACTTTGTGCTAATATTACACTGAAGTCAGGTCATATGAAATCAAAGTGTTCTTTAATTGTCCATTTTGCACATTCAACATGTTGCATATGGCCCTTCAGGATCTGGTCCTTGATAATGTCTTCTACTATTTTTAAGGCATATTTCACTCTGATTTTATGCCTTAATAACAGTAAAGTAGTAATTTCTCCCATGCGATGTGGTGTTTATCACCTGCAAGCCATTATCCATGCTTCTCTTATTCTTGGGACACTTTTTCTGGGCACTCTGCCTACTTACCTTCTATTCTTCCTATACACCTCTGCTCAGACTCCCTCTTTACCAGGGTCTTTTTCCTGACATCCTCATTCCTTTAAGCATAAGGACAAAGAGCCTCTCTGGGTGTTCTTTGAATATCCTGTGAACGCCTCTGACTTTATGCCCCCACCTTGTTTATATTTCTGTTTATGTCTATTATATTAATTAGACAATGATATTCTGCAGATCATTCCAATACCCAGCCCAGTGCTTGGCACACAGTAAATGGCTAATATACATTTAAGTGAATTGGCCTACTTGGAAGAAGAAAAAGATTCAGATTAGTGGCCATTTTTATGTATATTTGATGTCCAGCAACTATTATTTACATACCTGGGAACTCATGCATGACCTCGGGCAAGGTAACAAGGGAATGCTCATTCGGTAAATGAGGCAGAATAAAAAACTACTTGTTAGTCTAGAAATTAAGGCCATATATAGATAGGCAAGTCTATATGGGAGGAGAAAAGAACTCAGGGGAAATAGGTAATGAAATAAGCCTCTTAAATATGCAATGTTCTTCAGTTAATATCTCATATAAAACAAAGAAAAGACTTCCAAGCCTTCAATATTCTAAGTTGCCATGGCAGCAGCACCATCACTCTTGGCTCTTTGAGTAGTAGGATCGCAGGGGGAGAAAGGCCTGACACTAGTAGGCAGAATGCCAAGGGGCTGGGAGAGGTTACTGAAGCATTTTATTACTGACACTGAAGAAATGATTATAGATCATGAAGCAGGAGAACCTACCATACCGTGGCAATGAGATTCATTGGTTTCCAGAGAGTTGCATTTTGACTTTTAAAAGGAGATTTTAAAAAATGATAGTCAAATTGCACTTCAATGGATTAAAAAAAATAACCATTTTAAAAGCAGAAGGGTAGAAGCTGCTAGAGAGTGTATTCAAATCCATGCTTCTTAGCAACCAGACCAGATTTCATCCATAAAAGAAAGCCAGAGGTACAATAAAAAAAGCCTCTTTGGTTCTCTAGAGAATATAAAGGCATATTAGAAAAAAAGAAGCACTTTGAGATCTGTGGATAAAAGGCACTATATGGGCATAAAGTATATTACAAAAAGAGAAGGACAAGGAAGAAGTGATGTCTAGACTGGGCAGGTTATCTTGGGTACGTATGAGAATAATTGCCAAAGTCAAAATGAGAGATCATGACAACTAGAATCATTAGAGTGTTCAGAAGTTAGTATTATTTTAAAACATAACAGATATATATTTTTTCCTGAATCAAAGCAAAATAAATGTAAAGGGAAAATAGAGAATATGTGGATTACTTAGTAACTACATACTATTTCCTCAAAAGATTTTCACAGTGAAGAGAAATGAAAAAGTGCAAAGAAAAAACGTCACTAACATGTTACAGAGTTTGATGTTATCTATCTTCGAAGTTTCAGTGAAATTCTACACAGTAATTGATTCTTTCTGATTCAGCCAAGTAGGAAACATTAGAACATTTTATGCATAGGTGTTTTTTTTTTTTTTTAGATAATGTATGGTTAGAAGAGTCATCACAAACAAAAAAGCAAAAACCAAACTAAACCAAAAACCCAAACCCAACAACAATCAAACATTTAAGAGGAAAGTCAGGGACAAGAATGTAGTTTCTGGTGATAGGATAAGAAAAATTACAAGTTAAACTAGAACTCTCATTTTCTCTAAATTAAGCCAGCCCTTTTTGTGTATGTATAAAAAAAAAAGAACTGGGGGGTATGAAAGAAATGATTCTTTTCATGTACTATAATCAATGCAGAGATTATCTTCAGGAAGATTCAACAATGTTCTTGAGTGGTATACAAAAAGCCTGATGTATTTGAAAGAAAATAAATATAAATGAATGTTTTCTGGATAAATGAAGAAGCAAAGCTTGGAAGTAGAATGTGTAAATTTAGCAGAGATTTGACGCGTATGTTTGAACAGACGGTGGTGCAGTTGTTCTCGTCCGAGGTTATTTTATGAAAGCTGCATTTTCCCTTGAAGCCAGACCCCGTATGGGGTTGAGATGACGAAAGCCTCATGTATCTCACTATCATTAGGCTAATGAGATTGGTCAAGGCCACAGGCATTCTAGATCTTGGCAAAATTTAAGATAAATCTAGTAAATTCTTCTAATAGCTTTGTGCTGTTTTTGGAAAGAAGGAGAAAGATAAGAAATGAATAAAAACAAATTTTCGAATACAAAAGATTCCATTTCTGAAATACTGTTCCATTATGAAAATGATTGATATTAAGATAGATTATTTACCCCCATTGTTATAAAATTTTATGGTCACAGAAATAATTTAAACCAGGTATTTGTAAAAAATCCAATATGTAAACACAAATATTAGGAACATTTGTTTTTTAAGCATTCCCTTTGTACCCAAAACTTTCCAGTTTTTATAGTGAAGAGTTTTGAAAATTATGGTGGATGGACATTGAAAATGGGTTAGTTTAGCTGTGAAAAAGTTTATTTTTGAGCTGAGACCAACTGTTGGAAATTATAGACAATTTGTAACTACTAAGAAAAGTGAATTGGTGGGAGCCATAATGAATGCTTTCTGATAGGAGGCTTATAATGACTTACATGCAGTTGGGGGAGATATTTCATTTAAAATCTTTGGGCAGGTTTTCATAGCTAGTTAAAAATAATGCAAACTGATTTTAAGTTTGGTGTGTTAATATTACAAGCTGTTATGTATATAAGTCATCGAGATTACTAAAATTGCTCTTTATATTGGTAGGAAATAACTCCATAGTATTGTCTGTAAAGTAGAGGCCACTGGGTGAAAAATGCTTTGATTGCTGTCCAAACGCTGAAGTTATAATACAGTGCAGAGCAACGCCCAATAATAAATGGAAGTACCATCTGCAGTATATTACAAATGAGTCACTTTAAAGCCTTGTGTGGGACTTTTTAAAACACAGTTGTAGCTGCACAAAGTAAAGTGGGGAGTTTAGAAATTGCCTGGTGCTTTTATCAGCTCAAGCAGCTACTATAGATAATTTAGGTCCTACAACCTTTTGCCTCTGTGAGAATTAGATATTCTTGGCCTGAATAGCTTATATATAGCTTTAAGTTCATATATCTCTTGATTTGGTTGTACTGTGCTAAAGAGGCCAAGATGGGTGGATTGGTGAACATTTTACTCCCCCACATTTCACCCTTGGGTCTTAAGAAAAAAGCATACTATTAATTTTGCCAGAATAACTTCTGTTGTAAGGCATACTGATGGTTGTTCAGACGCATCACGTTGACATAATACTATGATAATAGATGCCATCAGAGGGTGACATTCTAGTTCTGGGTCCTGTGCTTCATTAAGAGACTTCACCTGGAAAGTTTTTCCTACTAAGACATGTTCTAAGATATAATAATTAAATTATTATTGAATTTAATTCAATCCAATACTGAAAAACTAATTGAAGAATTAAAACTGTACAGTGTTTTATAATGTCTCACTATTCTCAAGATATTTAATGATACATTTTATGTCCAGGATTGGATATTGTTTCAGGTGCAATGCTTCCTCATGGGAGCTCCCAAGTTGCAATACATTCCCACCAGTGCTCCCCATGCTGACCAAAGGAAAACAACAGCAAAGATTTTGAGGAAGTAATGCAAACAGAACTAAAGACAGTTGGCATAACATTTATAAAAATGTTCTACAAGCATATACGTAATAAAATCCATCATTCAACATTCTAAGTTGTCATTTTACGAGGAAAAGAAACATGCCCAATGTAATTAAAACTACTGAACTTTTATGTCTTGAGTTTTTCAGTTCTCTTGTTGCCTTTGATACTACTGAGCCAAAGTCAAACTATTGAAGATTATGCATAATTTGACTTCACTTTATTGTTTGAAATTACAAATGCTGGGTTTTTTCTCCTTTTTTAACTTTTAACCTTTAAGTTCAGGGGTATAAGTTCAGGTTTGTTAAATAAATAAACTTGTGTCATGGGAGTTTGTTGTACAGGATATTTCATCACCAGGCATTAAGCCTAGTACCCATCAGTTATTTTTCCTGATCCTCTCCCTCCTTTCACCCTCCACCCTCTGAAAGGCCTCAGTATGTGTTGTTCCCCTCTATGTGTTCATGTGTTCTCATCATCTAGTTCCCACTTATAAGTGAGAACATGTGGTATTTGGTTTTCTGTTCCTGTGTTAGTTTGCTAAGGATAATGGCCTCTAGTGCCATGTATGTCCCTGCAAAGGACATGACCTCATTCTTCTTTTATGGCTGCATAGTATTCTATGGTTTATATGTACCACATTTTCTTTATCCAGTCTATCATTGATGGGCATTTAGGTTAATTCCATAGTTTTGTTATCATGAATAGTGCTGTAATAAACATACATGTGCATGCGTCTTTATAATAGAATGAAAATTAACTCAAGATGGATTAAAGACTTAAATGTAAAATCCCAAGCTGTAAAAACCTGGAAGACATCCTAGGCAATACCATTCAGGACATAGGGATCGGGAAAGATTTCATGATGAAGATGCCAAAAGCAATGGCAACAAAATCAAAAATTGACAAATGGAATCTAATTAAACTAAAGAGCTGCACAGCAAAATAAACTATCAGCAGAGTAAACAGATAACCTTCAGAATGGGGGAAATTTTTTGTAAACTATGCATCCAACAAAGGTCTAATATCCAGCATCTATAAGGTTTTTTTTTCTAGTATGGTGCTAATAATAGGATTAGCACTTTTCAACTTTTATTTTTGACAGCTTTGTTGATTTGTTTTATTCTTAGTATGTCCACGAAATGACCACTTAAAGGATTTTAACAGTTTTCGGTCACCACAATGTTGATAGCACTTGCAGGTGCTGTGGTCAACATCCAGAAAGCCATGGATTATTGGATATTCCAGGTGTCAATCCATTTAATTCTATTCTATTCTTTAATTTCTAACATTCTCTTATTAGAAGCAAGTTATACCTTAGAAGTGTTGTTAGGACACAGCACTAAAAACTATAATTCCAATTTCCATGTGTCTTTATTTTATTTCAAATGTATTTGATCAAGATGAGTATTACATTTTTGTAATAATAAATGTCCTCAGTTTTCTGGTCTGAAGGAGGACACCATTATTCATGTGTAGGTTATAGGGTATTCTTTACTGTGCCTGAGATAGCTAAAATATTGATAAAGATTTAGAGATTCCTGTAAGTTCAGCTTTGAGACCTTATGTCTGCCATTCAGGGAGCGTCCATCAGATGGCTGTGGTAACTTGAAAATTGCCATATACTTCCTTTTCTCTCCAGGGGCTGAGTGTTTACTAATAATTAAAATTTTCTTCCTCCAATTAATTTATTTAAAATAAATATATTGAATTAAGAAAATCTTATGATGACTAACCAACTAATTTTAGCTTGAAGCAAGATTGAAGATTTAAAACATCTCATGGCTTTTCCAGCAGTAGTTTTCTATCAATATTTTATACGTTGATTGCAATTTACTTCTATATTGGCATTCTTGATTCCATTGCTTACCTGTTTACATTCAAGTAGATGTATAACTTTATGTCTTTGGCTCTTTTTCTCTGGTAGCCTCATTTCTGACTACTTCGAGGGTTGCTTGGCAGTGGTGAGTGGGAAATCAGTCACTTTAAGGGTTATCCTTTGATTTTTCTCACTTATATGCTTAGCGGCTAGTCTTGTCTATTTCCCAAATGCAGCAACTGGCACAGTGACTGGAGCATGGAATCTGTTCTTATCGCCTTATGATTCTTCTGAATTAGAAAGCATTCTCCTCAAAGATGGCAGCTGTGTGGCTAGCTTTCTCCTTGTAAGTTAATATACTGTTGCCTTAACTTACTCTCAAATTTCCCCTCCCATGAGAATTTCCGTGGTGTAGAGCTGTAATTGTAAAGTAGGGCTTCTAAGGCCCCTAGAAATATTGTAGTTTGTTAGAAGATTTTGAATATATCTTTCTAGAATTTTATTGAACCACAGTCTACTTAGATGAGCATTCTAATAATCAAGTACCTAGTGAAAAGGAAACATGACAAATATATTTTTGGGGCAGATTATTTACTGCTCTGTGCATTATTACATCACTTCAGCCACAAGAGTATGGATGATTCTTTTTCAAATTGTAATTAATTCATGTGTTGAGAATGTGGGAAACTACTTCATGAAATTTTACAAATATTATCAGTGATGCATCCATGTGCTTCTACATGCAACCAAACTCACATAAAATCAATTAATAATGAAGTTAATACAACCATAATGTATCATTAAAATAAAAGTAACAGGCCGGGCATGGTGGCTCACGCCTGTAATCCCGTCACTTTGGGAGGATGAGGCAGGTGGATTACGAGGTCAGGAGATGGAGGCCATCCTGGCTAACATGGTGAAACACTGTGTCTACTAAAAATACAAAAAGCCGGATGTGGTGGCATGCGCCTGTAATCCCAGCTACTCAGGAGGCTGAGGCAGGGGAATCACTTGAACCCAGGAGGCGGAGATTGCAGTGAGCCAAGATCGTGCCACTGTAGCCTAGAGACAGAGCGAGAGTCCATCTCAAAAAAGACATCCTTGTTGATGATCTCACAATAGAGTTTCCTTCTTTAGAATTATGCGGATGTGAAAGCGCACACACATTGTACTACAGTGTTGCGTGACAACCGAATTTCTCAGTAGAATACTGAATTTCAGCCTCAGTAAGCTCTAATGATCTTCTAACATTCATTTATAAAACCCAAACTTTAGAAACACTTAACAAACCACTCAACAGGATGTTTAGTAACGTTTAACAATTTGCAAAAAATAATTGCCAATTACCCAGAAGACCTGAAAAAAGAATTCGTAATTTTTATACAGCCCATGGTTCATCAAGCTGAACCTTGCATGAGCTGACAACAATGCATGTTTGACAGTCTCTCTTGAGTTGAACCCTCTTTTTGTGGATGACAAAACTGAGGTCTGCGGAAGGAAGGTTCTTGTCAGTTGTAGTAAAGTTAAATATTTTTCAATTTTTTGTGTGAAGTATTTGCTTAAGAATTTGAAGTCCAGGTTATATGCTGGGCCAGTTTCCTTATTTATGAAAACACCTTTGCTTAAGAGCATCTGTAAATAGAGATTTCTTCCTATTATGGGGTCATTTATTCCATTATAGGGTAATTCTGATTGTTTGAAAGTTGAGTCTGATGTGAGGCTGAAATCGAATCTGTCTCATGACAATTTCTATTTATTTTTTCATTTCCTGGTGATGTCGTTTAGCTGTGTCCCCACTCAAATCTCATCTTGAACTGTAGCTCCCATAATCCCCACGTATCATGGGAGAGACCCGGTGGTACGTAATTGAATCATGGGGGCGGGTTTTCCCATGCTGTTCTCATGATAGTGAATATCTCATGAGAACTGATGGTTTCATAAAGGGCGGTTCCCCTGCACATGTTCTCTTGCCTGCAGCCATGTAAGAGGTGCCTATGCTCCTCCTTCACCTTCCACCATGATTGTGAGGTCTCCCCAGCCATGTGGAACTGGGAGTCCATTTTTACTTAGTAAATTTAATTTACTTTGTAAATTAAGTCTTTTACTTTGTAAATTACCTAGTCTTGGGTATTTCTTCAAAGCAGTGTGAAAATAGACTAATACACCTGGATAATGATAAGGTTTGTTTTGTTTTGCTATCATACTCATCTGAGTGTTTCAGGCCTATGATATGGCCAGATTTGCATTAACTTACAAAGCAAGAGGTATAAAATTCTTTGGAGTGAGTTCTTTCTTCTGCAGTTATCTGCATGGTAGAGATTGTCCAGAAGAGTTTTTTTTTTTTTTTTTTTTTTTTTTTTTTCCAAAGAGCAGCCTCACTTCACCATGTGATTTGCTTTGAGATGGAAATGGCCCAGGAAATGATAGGGTTTATATCTATCTTCTTACTTAATAGGAAAGCATGCAGATGTAAAGAACTCCTCTCTGCCCCAAATCTCTGATAATTTCCCCAAGAATAAGTATTGAGAACTCCAGAATTCAGATGTTTCAACTCCTTCACAAGACACTTTTAAAGTACTTGAATAATAATTTCTGTATAACTTTCTGCTGTGTGTAGAAATGACTCTTTTGCTTCTCACCATTGACATATTACTGGAAGTGCAAACAACATTTGATGATGTAGCTATAATACTGGGAGTTTTGAACAATAGCTATCTCTAATCACATTTGTCAAAAGCAGACTAGAGATCTTACCTGTCTGAAGTTGTCAACCCGTAGGCCATTTTTCTAGAGGCAACCTAAAGTGCTGAATAAGATTTGCAAGTGGAAAAAAATGCTATGTCACCGAGGTAGAGGTAAGCTTGGAGCCCAAGTACTGTGCATAATTCTTCAAAGGTTATGAGAATGACAGCTATTAGCAGGCTGAAGGCACAATTCTTTAAGAACTAACACACAGCAGTCTTTGTTGCCTTTTGCCCTAAAATCTCACATCACATTCTATTTGGTTAGACAGCTATTGAACTCAAAAGAACTTCAGAGTTTCTTTCAAGTTTCTTTTCCTACCTTTCTCTTTTTAGTGGTATAAATGCATTCAATCTCTTGGGCACCCTTTGAATTATTTTATTAAATTCTGCAAGATCTTAGTGATTGGTTTCTGGTATTTCCTCCATTATCAAGACCACTGCTAAATCTTAAGGGCAATGTTATGGGTATAGAAAAAAGAAAATAAAGATGCATCAAGATAGATATGTTAGATAGAGAACCATCACTCAATTACCTGCCAGAACGTTGGAGAGTGACTGTGATGACACCGGGTCTAAAAGCATTTGAAATATTTAAAAAGAAATGTAATAACAGATCAACCCCCTATAGAAATCGTATTTTATTCTACTGAATTGTTTCTTGGAAGCATTTACGTCTTTAACCAATGGAAAGATGAAACAGCTTTTTTTCTTTTTTTGACAATTAAAAAAGTTTGGTCCAACTGAATTTAGAATATATACACTTGGATAGTTTGCCCATTTGTTTCAGCTAACTGGTAGGGTTTTTAAATGTGTACTAATTGTACCTCCTATTTATAGAAAAAAAGTGCTGTTCTTTGAGAGAGAGAAAGAATCCAGGAAATATGATGCTTAAAGGTAATGTCTTTCACTACACCCACTGAAGGTCACTTTATCTATCCAAGGGTAAAGTTTTTCTTTCTCTCTTTTATTTTTATTGAAGTTGGACTGCAGCCTGCATAGACTTTCTTTTTCCTTTAAAGATATCGTTTTCCGCCTAATTGTGCCCAGCTTCATTTATACCCTGAAAAGGATTGTGTTTGTGCTTACATACTCAGGAGACTCTTTCACTCAATAGCCAAACTCCAGCAACAGCCCTCTGGGATATTTGAGTAAATGTAAGTGAAAGTTCCCTGTGTTTGTCTCTGTGTTCTTTTTAAACAAAAGTTTAACTCAGGGCACCGTGGGCATATTTAAAGAAATTTATCTGTAGAACTGTCTTCCAGCTAAGATCTGAAAAATACATTTTGGCCTGCAAAAGTGTTCATCAGTCAGCAGAATTTCCAGTAATGCCTCTTGTATTTTCAAGCCACTTTCTCCCCATATTAATAGGTAAAAGAACTAGCAGCACATGCCTACAGCCCATAATGATGTGCCTTTAAAACTTTCTGTGAGAACTTAGCAAAGGATTAAAAAGGAAAGGGCAAACCAAGGATAGCAAATTGATTCAATTCCAGTGGAATGCCAATTCCAGTCATTTAGTGAGTATGGCATCCCATGCAAGCTAAGGGGAATCATGAGGATGCAGTCAGTAGGAAAGCATGCTGTGATTGATTTGATTTTGCCATGGGCATGGGAAGGCAAATGATGACATACGTTACACACGTATTCCACGTCTGGCTTAATCTTCAACATCAGGTTTGTATAGTCCTACAAATTACCTGTTTGGGTTTCTGAGCTACATCATTCATATTCTGTTAATTTGGGATTCTTACTTCCAAATGAATATGAAGATTTGTATTGGATTTCTTTAACTAGTGAAATGTTCAAATCTGAGCAATAATTGAAGGTTCAGTAACAGGCCAGCTTTGCTTGCTTGGTCTTCCAGTTCTAGATCTAGGGACATTGCTTTGATATTTATGACCATAACCTACTTTAAGCAGCCTAGCTTCATCTCCTTGAGAGCCCTGTGCATGGTACAAAAATCCTTTTGTGTACATTTTGTCCTTTTTCTTCCTGGGAGCAGAATCATGGTACTGCCTATAGACATGTGGTCAGCCTTTACACTTAAATCAAGAAAATGGCAGGACCTTTGTCTTTTGTACAACTGTAAACATTTGAATGTCCCTTACACTTCATATTTCTCATCTTGCTCACTGCTGGGACTGACTCTTTTTTTTTTTTTGAGAGAGAGGGCCTGGCTTTTTAAACCAGACTGGAGTTCAGTGGTGCAATCATGGCTCACTGTAGCCTCGACCTCCTGGGCACAAGTGATTCTCCTACACCAGCTTCTTCAGTAGCTGGGACCACAGGCTCGTGCCACCATGCCTGGCTAATTTAAAAAAGTATTTTTTAGAGATGGGGTTTCAGTATGTTGCCCAGGCTGGTCTTGAATTCCTGGGCTCAAGCAATCCACTCCGTCAGCCTCCCAAAGCGCTGGGGATTACAGGTGTCAGCTACCGCACCTGGCCAAGAGACTGACTCTTATTTCCTGTTCTGGTCAGTGAGGCTGGGCTGTCCCTGATTAACCTGCTTTTACATGATCTAATTGGCCACACTAACAGCTCCTTTTTATTTTTAGATGCTGTGTTTAGATTTTTGTTTTGATTCAGAAATAAATTTTAGGCTTTGAGCTACTTTGGCCTTTATTAATTTGTGCAATGAACTCACAATACAATACATGCTCTTCAGCTTCATTGAATTTGTTGTTTACACAGAGATTGATATTTTTCTTACATAAGTGGTTTAAGTCAGGAAATAAATAACTTATTCAACTGGGTAAATATATTAATAAGAAGGACTTTGGTGATACGATTTAAAGCAAATCAAAGAAATTTATTTTAAATGTGCTCCTGGTTTTTAAAAACATGCACTGAATAAGCTGAGCCCATACCTGGAATAGGAATCCAAGTCTAGACTATCAAATTAAATAAAACAAACTCCTCCAAAAATAAAAAGTCAGCTAAAGAAAATTGGAGAATTGAATATAAAAATGGATGTGGTGCAGGTGGCCATTACTTTGAACAGAAAAAACTCCAGCTTGTAGCGACAGAGATGAAGAACCTGGAGAGGAGAATGCTGATCTACTAAAGCAGATGGTCCAAACAAACACGAGCTAGGAAAACAAAGCAGAAAGTCTGGGAGAAGAGCCAACATCTACAATGGACTAATAAAAGCGAACAAACACCTCGGCAACCACATCCGACAGCTAGGAACCTGAATTGGCACTGCTCAGCTCATTGTTTTGGGCATATCAGAAAAAGCAGAGGGACCACCAGCCCGTAGATGCTCCCATTCACTGCGGGCCAACAACCACTGGGGAGAATTAGAATCCTCCTGGTGCCAGGAAACCTCTTGAAGTTTGCATATTACCACAGCTAGTGCTATTCTCATTCAAATATACCAGTAAACCAAGGAATTGTGTAAGATATTATATTAAAAAGTTGTAATCCACAGTAGAAAGCTTTAAAGAAAGAGAATGGTGAGAACGAAGGAATGCCTTATTTAAGGATTGATTGTTGTATTTTTCATAAGTAGTTGTGTTTTTAGTTAGATAACAAACACTTAGAGGGGCTTTTAAGAGGGAGAGAGAAGAGCAAGGAATTCAAAAATTCTTTTCTTTGTCCATGCAGTGCTGTGCATATTAATTTGGTGAATGATTATTGTGTTTAATGTTTCAATAGTATGATTTTAACAATGGATCCTATAGTTAATTCTGTATAATAATTTGTAATATAACCCATCTTGGCTGCATTATTTTTTACCCACTGCACTTTACTGCTCGTATTTTACAATCACAACATAGTGGTTACGATCTTTGGGGACAGCTAGACCTTGGCTTGAATTACCTACTTCACTTACTCTTTGACTATTGAGAGGTTTAAGTTCCTTGACCTCTCCAACCCTCAGTTTCCTCAACTCCAAGCTGAAGATAATAACATTTAATGAAACATATATTGAAACTATGAAATGAAATGTATAAAAAGTGCTTAGTTTTTGGCATAGGGCAAGCAGTCGATTACTGGTAGCTATCAACTTGTTTTTCTGTCAGTGCCAAATAAAATTGATAACAGAATTACTAAAAAATCATATAAACTAATAAGGAAATCTTTAATAACCAACTAATAATAGAATTAGTATTTTGAGACTTCTGACCTTCCTAATACCACATTATCAAACTTCAGATCTGTCTAGAACTATTTTAATTTGGAAAAAAAATAGTCTGATAGCTGCCTCTATATGGGCAAATGGAGATACAAGGAATTCTCCAGAGAATGTGTAGTCAAACAGATTTTCACATCTTGATTCCAGACACTACAAACAAAAGGCATGAACATTTACTTTAGATAGATACAGCCACATTGTCCTCTAAAAGAGTACTTATTTACATAGCTACCATCGGTGTAAAAGAAAAAAAAAAGGCTGTTTCTCTATATACTTTCAAATTTTTGCCGATTTGTTGGCTGAAAAGTTGTACCTTGTTATTTTCATTGACATTTTCTTAATTATTAGTGAGGCTGAGCATCTTTTTATAAGTTATTGGCTACTTACCTAGTGATATGGTTTGGCTGTGTCCCCCACCCAAATCTTAACTTGAATTGTATCTCCCAGAATTCCCACGTATTGTGGGAGGGACCCAGGGGGAGGTGGTTGAATCATGGGGGTCCATCTTTCCCATGCTGTTCTCATGATTGTGAATAAGTTCTCATGAGATCTGATGGGTTTATCAGGGGTTTCCACTTTCACTTCTTCCTCATTTTTCTTTTGCCCCGGCCATGTAAGAAGTGCCTTTCGCCTTCACCATGATTCTGAGGCCTGCCTAGTCATGTGAAACTGTAAGACCAATTAAACGTCTTTTTGTTCTCAGTTTCAGGTATGTTGTTATTAGCAGCATGAAAACGAACTAATAAACCTAGCTTCTGTTAATTGGTTGATCTTATAGTTTGACAACTTTTCTACTCAATTATTTGTGTTTTTCTTATTGATTTATAGGAACTCTATACATATTTTAATTCATAATGTATATTGCAAATCCATATTCCCATCCACTACCTGCCTTTTAATTTTTGGTTGTTTTACTCCATAGGAATTATTACTATTTATGTCAGTGTACATCTTTTTCTGTAAGGCCTTTGGGCTTCATATCTAACTTACGAAGATTTCAAATTCAAAGAGAAATCTGTATTTTAAATGCTTCTAAAGTTTTAAAAAATGTTTAGTGATTTATACAAAATTGACTTTTAAAATATTATATGGGGTGGAAATCAGAATTAATAATTCCATTAATGTTTTCTCTGTAAGAATATTCAGGGTCCTCATGTAATTTTTGAGTACTCCATTTTTTTCACCACTGATTTGAATATTATATTTATTAAGTATTAAATATATATATAGTTTTAAATTCATTTTGCTTGCTTTCTTTGATCTAGTCATACATTTCTGTATCCTGTACTTCTTTACTTGTCTTTAAATAAGTAACATAATCTTAAAATGAATTGGCTTTATTGTGTGTTTTAATATATAGAAAGTGCTCACTCATTATTTTTTATGTGATGGTCTCATAATTCTTATTCTTTTAGATAAAATTTAAAATTAGCTTATGAAGTTCTATCAGAAATCCTGGTTGGGCATGGTAGCCACACCTGTAATGTTAGCACTTTGGGAGGTCAAGGCAGGAGGACTGCTATGAGTCCAGGAGTTTGAAACTAGCCTGGACAACATAGGGAGACCTCATGACTACAAAAAGTAAAAATATTAGCCAGGGTGGTGGCGAGCCTGTAATCCCAATGACTCATGGGGCTGGGGCTGTTGGATCTCTTGAGTCTGGGAGTTCAAGGCTGCAGTGAGCTGTCATCACACCACTGCACTCCAGCCAGAGCAACAGAGCAAGACTGTCTCTAATATAAATAAATAAAATTAAATAAAAATTTAAAAAGTGTTATTTATATTAGGCTGAAGTTTCAATTAACTAAAAGTTTGTGAAGCTGTAGCATTTTAATTGCACAGACTTCCATGTAAGAACAAAGTTTTCTTGTCTTTAAAAATATTTATTTAGTTAAGTTTTATCATATTCTTGATATTGATCTTTAACACTTTCAATAACATTTATTCCTAAGTATTTTATAATTTTTAAGAATGGGGACATTTTTATTGTTAATTTTAAGCTATCATCCCTACCAAGTATTTGTTTATTAATTTTCAAAGTAATACCTGTGCACAGTTTAATATTAAATAATAAAAAAGAGTTCTCCTTGGATTGAAAACCCTGGTGTGCGGGAGCAAGCTTGTGTGGATCTCTTCCCAACTCTGTGTTCAGGGATGACAAATTGTTATTTTTAAATTGGCCATGGTGGGAGTATTTCTACTACAGAAATTGGCATGTGCTATAAATCTGAACTTTTTTTTTTCCTGGAGAGCAAATTTTAAACATTTATCAGCCTAACACTGCAACAACACTACTCCACTCCAATTCCCACCCCCAGAGACAACAATTTTCAACATTTTTAGCAGTCTCTTCAGCTATGTGTATCTGTTTCTAAATATGCTTTGTTGGTTTCCTTTTTCTTTTTTAAAAATTTCATTAGCCATTGCTTATGGTATTTACTTCCCACCTTGAGGGATGAGAATTTCCACCACTCCTCTTTCTATAATAGTTTCTATAATAGTTACATCTCATTTTATTCAGGCACACTATTTTGATTATGTCCATATTTTTCATGAGTTATATACTATAATTTAGTTTTCATTCTTATACAACCTTTTTGTCCTTATTTGAGTTAATAATTGCCTAATTTTTCTTAGCTTAGTTTTCTGTGAATATATCACTAATTATCCTCTTCACTCAATGAATGTGTGAAACTTCTACAATAAAATCAAATGCCAGGGAGTTTACCTATAAGCTTCATTTCTTCCCCTTTGGAGACATTCCTGGAGCCCTGCACCTTCCTATTCCATTCTGCTCTCGATGTTACTATGGAAGTGTCATCCTTGGGCTTTCCTTCACCATCATTTTGGGAATTCCTTTTACTTCTGTTCACTGGAATTTATTTTCCTGGGCTATTTCTATATGTTGAACCACCCAATTAGCTTCCTTAAAAAGGGTGTTTTGAAGATCCTTTTTACGGGTACTTTGCAGGACTGAAAGTATCCTTATTCTTGCATCATACTTGGTTGATAGTTAAACTGAGTATAATGTTCAAATTGGAAATCATTTTTCTCTAGTGATTTTAAAGACATTGCTCTGTTGTCTTACAGATTCCAATGTTGCTGTAAAAAGGTCTGATGCCATTATCATTTCGAATATTTTGTAGGTGGCCTCTTTTGTTCTCTCTCAAAGCTTTTAAGACTTTCTTTTTAAATCACAGGTATTCTTAATTCAAATGATATCCCTTAGATGGGCATGTTTTCCTTCATTTGGCAGATTTTTTGAGGATGAGGGTGCTTAAGCAGTTCCCTCTGAGATTTATTAATTTTTAAAATTGGTTACCAAAAATATATAAAAAATACTTTATCTTTTTAATGTTGCCTTTTTGACCATCTGTCTGGATTTTGTTATTCTAACATTCTAATTTTTTTGTTGATTTTCTTGGATATTTTACATGAATATCATCAATAAATAATGACTTTTTATCTATTCGTCCATATTTTCATATTCCTTATTTTTCTTGTCTTATCTAATTGTCCAAGACATCTAGGTCAATGGAGAATAGTAACTGCAAACAGCAGATATTCTTTCACTTTCACTGACTTTAATGGGAAAGTTCTTAATGTTTTACTATGGATGTCTGGGCATATACTTTTTTTTTTCCTTTTTCTTTTCTTATTTTTTTGAAATGGAGTCTTGCTCTGTTGCCCAGGCTGGAGTACAGTGGCCCAATCTCGGTTCACCACAACCTCCATCTCCTGGGTTCAAGCGATTCTCCTGCTTCAGCCTCCCAAGTAGCTGGAACTACGGGTGCACGCCACCATGCCTGGCTAATTTTCGTATTTTTAGTTGAGACAGGGTTTCACTATGTTGGCCTGGCTGGTCTCGAACTCCTGACTTCATGATCCACCTGCCTCAGTCTCCCAAAGTGCTGGGATTACAAGCATGAGCCACCATGCCCGGCCAGGCATACACTTTTATAAGTGAAGGACACTTGATTTCATTCCCAGCTTTATATAATTAGTATGATAAATAGCTGGTACATTTTCGCTATTTTATCTTGACATTAATTTTTAATAATATATGTATATGTACATATATATTCTTATACATGTGTAATTTTGCATTCTTTGGAAAATTGATTTGAGGCTATGATGAATTATTTTGTTAAGAAACTGCTGAATTGTTGCTAATACTTTATTAGGAATTTTACATGAATATTCTCAAAATAGGTGTTCTAAAGTTACCTTTTAAGTGCTTTTCTTCTGCTTTGATCAGGTTATGTTAGCCTTTAGAAATGTTCTGGCTAATCTTTTGTTAATATGACAATTTGACTGATTTATTTAAATCTCACTTGTCTGAATATATTGAGATTTTTTTATTAGCCTAATACATGTTCAGGTTTTATAGTTATTGCAAAGGACATTTGAGATAATATATAATACGAACAAGATTTCTCTATATACCTACTTATTGTAAGCTTACTAATTATTGTTATTTAACTGAACAAAACTTTTTACTTTTAGGTTCTTTATTACTTTATTACTTTTGCATAGAGGTTTATTAGAGTACCCTTCTATGATTATAATTTTTGACAATATCTTCCTTCATATATAAATTTTAACTTTAAATTCCATGTTGCTTAGTGTATAAAATTTAAAACTATGTGGATTTGGCCTTCTACCAATCTAAATATTCATATTGTTTCATTTCATACTTTTGTTCTTATTTTAGTATTACATTTTTGCTAATAGTAATACTGTAGCACGTGCTCATAGAGGGCTTTCTTTGGGGTTCATGGACAACAACAGGCTGAAAATCTTTGCTCTTGGATTAGAGAAATGTGGTGTGTTCCACAGCTGGGCGTTACACACTTACATACTACATAGTTATCTCCCTGTCTTTTGAGGAGGTTTGCTTTGCTTTTCTTTCTGGCCTGGATATCTAGGCTAAAAGCCCTCTCATGGAAGAGTTTTCTTTCTTTGGAAAGTAATTCTTAAGACTTTAACCTGGGAAGCAAATGTCAGTGTTCCTAGATGTTTTGGTTTTGGTCTGGGAGAAGGAGGGCCAACACTGACACAGCAGTTGCTGTTTGACTGATGGTATTTTAATTAATTGTACCCATGAATGTCCTGCTGTTTGAATTTGCTGACTCTGAGCTTGGAGTTTCTCTGGAGTTCCTTTGGGAAGAAAGGTTCTCACCTTGGCAATGGCTTTCTCTCAGGCCTACTTTCGGTTGAAGTTTTTTCACTGTAGTTTCTCTCAGTTTGATCGTCTCTTTATTCTCTTGTCTAGAAATCCTTCTGTATTTCTGGTTTGTTGATGGCATTTTTTCTTCTTGATGACTGCAGTTATTGTTGAATTCTTATTTTAGACTATTTTTTTTTAGCCATATTGGGATTTCAGAAAGAACATTGTGCTCTGCCTGCTGTCTCAAGTTGATAGTGTCATGTTTTTTAACAGACTAGGACTTTTTTTGTGAATATAAAATATCTAATATCTAAATATAAAAAATATAACCATTACCATCCAGATTAAGAATTAGAATATGATAATGACCATTGGATCCCATTGTGTATTACAGCCCAGCACATCTTCCTCCTCTCCAAGTGGTAACCACTCTCTTAAATTTTGTGCACATCATTCCTTTGCTTTTAGTAATAATTTTACTATATATGTTTATCTCCCCAAACAGTATATGGTTTAGTTTTGCATATTTTGTACTTTATATAAACAGAATGTCTTCTTTGGCAGTTTACCTTTTTGCTTAGCATATTATTTGTGGGATTCATCCCTGTTGATAAATGCAGTTCTAATTTATTGGTCACTTTTGCAGATGTACAATGTTCCACTGAATAAAAATAGTGCTCGTTCTCTTGTTGGTAAACATCTGAGTGGTTCTAAATCTTTTTTATTAGAAACAATACTACTATGATTCTTTTACTTTTCTTCGAATGCACACAAAGAATTCTTACGGTTTATACAAATAGGGTTAGAATGATTGAGTCATGAACTATATACACATCTTTAATTTTATTAGATAACTTAACCTTTTCCCAAAAGTTGTACCCAGTACATTTCCACAAGTTCTATGTCAAAGTTTTCAAGGCTCCTCTCCCTCAGCAATATTTTCAAAGCTTTAAAATGTCTCCAAATATATTATATGGAAGGTTGTATTTCATTGGGCTTTTCATTTACAGTTTGTTGATTCCTATGATCCTGAACATCCTTTCATATGTTTATGGTATTCAAACTCCCTCTGTGATATTCTCCTTTATATTATTTGCACATTTTATTGGCATCTTTTTCTTTTAAATTTACTTTTAGGAGTTTATTAAAATAAATTTTAGGTATCAACCCTTTTTTGATTATATCTAATGAACATCACATATATTATAAATGTATTATCTCTTTTTACTTCTTCTAATGTTTTCATCATGGTTTGGGCTTTTTGTATCTTTTAATGGAAATATTTCTGTATCTTGGTCTTAAAGTTATTGTAAACATTTTAATGTTTTGTTCCTTATATTCGAGTGATCCATATGGAATTGAGTTTTGGAGTACATTACGATGTAGTAACACAATTGTATGTTCTTATTTCATTTGGAATTCCCAACACCATTATTTCTCCACTGATAAGCAATTCCACTTGTTATATATCAACTTTACATATATTTATAGGTCCAATTCTTTGTTTCATTTGTCTCTGTAATCTTTTTGCCAATTCCATGTGTGTTAATTGTATTTTTATTATAGGCACTAATGTCCATGAAGTATTTTTTTCCTTTGTACACGTTTTAGTAACATCTTGTCAAGTCCTCTCATGACCCTGTAGATATTTTGATTTTGCTATTAATTAAATTAATGAATTTTGAAAAATTGACATCTTTTACATATTATCATCCTATCCATTAATGTGACCAACTCTTCAACTTTTAAATGGTCTTAAAATATGTCTTTCAGCAAAGATTTTAACTTTTTCTATGATGACCCTGTGTCACTTTTCTTAGATGTATTACTGGGTGTAATTAGTTATTTTATTTTTTATTGTAAATGAACTTATTAGAGATACATTTTTAAACTCTCCGTGAGTGGTAAATACAAGTGCAATGGATTTTTGTACGTTTATCTCATATCCGACAATCTTTTAAACTCTATTATTCTTATAACTTGTATATTATTTCATGCTTTATCTGTCCACAATTTGTACGTAATGACAATATTATTTCTTTTTTGCCTATCTTGATTCACTTTATTTTGTTTTCTTGTCTGATATTCCTGGCTATAACCTCCAGTAAACTTTAGAAGAGAATGCTAATAAGGAGTATCTTTTTCTTGCTTTTAAAAGAAATATGACTATAGGCTTTGTTGTACTATTTGTAGTTATATTTTATCAAGTTCAAGCATTCTCTTCTATTCCTAGTTTCTGAGATTTTTGTTTTTAAAGTCTTGAATGCCAATTTTATAATATGTTTTTCCTATTCTATCAAGGTGATCATATAATTTTTCTCATTGGATGTGTTAATATAATGTAATATAAATCTTGCTGGAAATCAGTGGACCCCAAACAGTCCCTCTATAATTTTATTTTTATTTATGTTTATTATTTATTTTTAAATAAGGTTTACTTAATCAGAGAGCCTCTGAAGGCATCAGGTTTCTGTCATTTTTTTTTTTAAAGGCAATAAACTGGCAACTCGGGTGCATGATGGGTAGGAACTGGGCATGGGGAGCTGGGAGGGGTACATGGAGAGAACACAGGGGAACAGGCACTGGGGAGGGGAGGAGAGAGAAGAA
The DNA here is from genome assembly GCF_000001405.40 of Homo sapiens. Lineage (NCBI taxonomy): Eukaryota > Metazoa > Chordata > Mammalia > Primates > Hominidae > Homo > Homo sapiens. The sequence continues at coordinate 8,646,995 of NC_000007.14, forward strand.
GGTGGAGGAGTATCAGATGGGACCATAGAACAGTCAGACCCAGCTCCTAGCCACCCCTGGGACAGGCAGACAATCGGACAGACACGGATACAGACACACACAAAGACACGTGTGTTCTGTGAGCTCAAGAGCCTCTGCTGTCCTGCACAAGCAGGGATCAGTCAGAGCCAAGTGTGGAGAAACTCAAGCAGATGCACAGGCTGCGCCTGATCCCTCAACCCTGACCCTCAGGCCCACAGTGTCTCCACTGGCCACCCAGAGGCTCTCTCCCCAGGGACTGGACATCCAGGCCCAGCGCAGGTCATGGCAAAGCAGAAGTCAGCTAGAAGAGAAAACCTCCAGACCACTCATGCCCAGCCCTGGCAGGAAAATAAAGGGGTGGGAGGCAGAGAGGCAGGCAGTCCTTCTGTCCATCCATGGTCACACGATTGCATTTAACAGGAAGAAGACAGCCCCCAGTGCCAGGCCAGTTCAGCCATAAAATATATATATTTTATATATATTTCTTTGATTTCATTTATGAATGTTTAGGTTTTAATGTTTATATTCATGAGTGTGTTGGTTTGTAATTGTTTTTCTTGAAATTCTTTTGTGTGGTTTTTATATCTCTAAATGATTTGGTAAGTATTCCCTATCTTTTAATCGCTAGTTATGTTTAAATGATGTTGGAATTATGTTCAATTCCAATATATTATATCCTACTCTAGTAGAAATTTTCTGTAGGCCTAGTGTTTTATCTTGTGTGAAGGTTTTTAATCACTGATTCAATTTTCTTAACCATTCGGTTTTTTTTTTTTAACTAAGTTTGGTTAATTTTTTCAAGTAATTTGGCCATTTTATCCCTAACCCATTATCTTATCCTAATTTATCCTTGACCCATTATTTCCCTATGACTGTGTTTAAAAATTTGAAATATATGAGTTGATGTAGTTCTTATAATGTGTTTCTATCTTAATTTTTAGTCAAAATATTACATGGCCTATATGAAACTATCCAAACTCACTGTATGCCTTTTTAAAATAAACTTTTAATTTTTGTGGATACATACTAAGTGTATATATTTATAGGGTACATGGGATGTTTTGATACAGGCATGCAATGTAAAATAAGCACATCATGGAGAATGGGGTATCCATCCCCTCAAGCATTTATCCTTTGAGTTACAAACAATCCAAATTATATTCTTTAAGTTATTTAAAAATGTCCAATTAAGTTATTTTTGACTATAGTCACCCTGTTGTGCTATCAAATAGTAGGTTTTATTCATTCTTTTTTTTTCTTGTAGCCATTAACCACTCCCACCTACACCCAATCCCCCCACTACCTTTCCCAGCCTCTGGAAACCATCCTTCTACTCTCTACGTTCATTAGTTCAATTGTTTTGATTTTTAGATCCCACAGATAAGTGAGAATATGTGATGTTTGTTTTTCTGTGTCTGGCTTATTTCAGTGAACACAAGGATCTCCAGTTCCACCCGCGTTGTTGCAAATGACTGGATCTCATTGTATTTTATGGTTGAAGAGTACTGCATTGTGTATACACACCACATTTTCTTTATTCATTCATCTGTTGATGGACACTTAGGTTGCTTCCAAATCTTAGCTATTATAAACAGTGTTGCAACAAACATGGGAGTGCCTTTTTATTATAAACTTACATAAATCCCTCATGTGTGCTTGAGAATAATGTTTATTATTTTATTCTTTGGAGCAGATCTCTGTATTTGTACATTAAACCAAATGTGTTTTCTTGAAAACATCTGAAACAAATTCATTTTTATTTGTATAATTTATCAATTACTAAATGAGGGCCCTTCCTTAGAAAGCCAAAACTATATGGGGAATTTATCAATTCTTATTGTAGTTTTTTAAAAATTTTTGTTTTATATAAGTATATACAAGTTTCTAATTGGTATATCCTTGTCTTACATTGAAACATTATTATTAGTGAGATGACTCTTTTTCCAATGTAATCATTTTTGCCTTAAAAATCTGCTTTTTTTTTTTAAGATTGCTATTTTACTCTCCATTACTTTTTTAGTTTTTTTTGTATTTACACCTTTTTCCTTTTGATGGTACTTATTCATCTATTCCATATATTATATTACTTTTCTTTCAACCTTTATATACATCTCTTTAAATCAGCCCTAAGCTGAGTTTACAAAAAGATGAAAGTCTGTCTACATACCATTTTCTTTTTACTGGAGAGTGAGTTTAGTCCATTTACATTCATTGTGATTGCCAACATATTTCAGTATAATTTTGCTATCTTATTTTGTGCTGTTTTTCATATGGTATTTATCTCTCTCTTAAAACGTATTTCTTTCCTTTTTTTGTATTCAATGTTTATTTTGTTTTACTTTTTCCATTTATGTTAGGATGTACGTTCAAACTACCTACTTTACAAACATGAAAATCACCATGCCTCTCAACACCTGTGTGTATGTGCACCTGCATATACACACACAATTATACTCTTACACACACATCCAAAACCAAGACCAGGGCAAAATATTTCCTTAGTATTTCTCTTCGGTGGGTGAATTTTTAAAATAATCTATGTTTTTACTGATTGTGCAGCCCTTTGGAGACGCGTTCTTTCCAGCTTTATGTGCCTAGGTTCCAAGTCTATTGCAAGTGACCAAGGCCTTGTTTCTTGTCTTTGTTGGCTGCTAGAAGAGAAATGGAGTTTGAAGTTTAGCAGATGCTTTTATAATAGCCACAGCCTTAAATTATTGCTTATAATTTTCTTCTTTATTCCTACTTTATTATTCTCTTTTGAGTTTTTTTCTTACTTTGCAGAATAAACACTAGTATTACTTGGTGTTGGGTAGTGGGTATGTTCAGGGGTTATCTAATCTACCATCTTGACAGAAACAGAAGCCCCCAATGCTATTTTACTCTTCATTGCTTTCCTGTGATATCCTCTATATAGGTAAAGAAGGCTTAAATTAAGGAGGGACTGAAATACTATGAAGTACAGTCAGTGAATTGGACATTGGACAGTTTTACCTGGTGAAACCTGTCTACTTGGAGGTCTGTATCACTCAAGAACTCTGTTGCTGCTATTTCTGGACAGTTGTACAAGAAGGATGCAATGAACAATTTTTATCTTAATTTACTTTGATTTAGAGAAAAAATAGTCTGTGTGATATAGGAAAATCTGATCCAGCGTCTTTTGTTCTTAAGGTTTTATCAGCATGATTTGAGATTAAAATGAATTAGAAACTTCCAAGTCTGCCTTTATTTTTTTCTAATACAATTATTTGCTAAATATGTAAAAAATAAAAAGTTTTCAAGATTGCTTAGGTTTATTACTATGTGATATTCATCTACATAGAAGAAACAAATACCTTATAGTTCAATTAAACTAGCCTTTACCTTATGTGATTTTTATAACATTTAGAAGGATGTCTTGTGATCTAAAGACACAGCTTCTTGGAATGAGCCTTAATTAGCAGTCTAAGTTTTAATATTATGTTTGTCACTGATGCAAGTCAGGTAGTTTATACATTTCAGTTTTGTCTTCTACCAAAGGCTGCCTAATCCTAACTCTGAAAAATGTTAGAATATGCTGGTATTCTTGCAGCTTTCTCCTTTTTGTTTTTATTTTTCAAAATACTTGCATGTCTGTACATTATACAATGACAATCATGTGGCCTCTTGCTCAGTCTCTTTAGTTGCCACATGGCAACTGTCTCTCAGCTATCATTTCAGTTTTGGCAGCATCCTATTGTAATTCACTTGTGTATATCAATGACTGGAAAAAGTGAAATGACAGTGCTGTTGAAATAAAGGTAGAAGCCACTAATACAGACGTAAGTAGTATTTAGTCTTATTCAGACACTCATTGTATTGACTGAGTTCAATGGTAAAGTAAATGAACAAAACTAAATGGCATGAATAAAATGTTGAAAATATACCATTGAAGGTTGATCCAAAAGATGGGATTTCATTTGAGACATAATATTTATTTATTTATTTATTATTCTTATACTTTAAGTTTTAGGGTACATGTGCACAATGTGCAGGTTAGTTACATATGTATACATGTGCCATGCTGGTGCGCTGCACCCACTAACTCGTCATCTAGCATTAGGTATATCTCCCAATGCTATCCCTCCCCACTCCCCCCACCCCACAACAGTCCCCAGAGTGTGATGTTCCCCTTCCTGTGTCCATGTGTTCTCATTGTTCAATCCCACCTATGAGTGAGAATATGCGGTGTTTGGTTTTTTGTTCTTGCGATAGTTTACTGAGAATGATGATTTCCAATTTCATCCATGTCCCTACAAAGGACATGAACTCATCATTTTTTACGGCTGCATAGTATTCCATGGTGTATATGTGCCATATTTTCTTAATCCAGTCTATCATTGTTGGACATTTGGGTTGGTTCCAAGTCTTTGCTATTGTGAATAATGCCGCAATAAACATACGTGTGCATGTGTCTTTATAGCAGCATGATTTATAGTCCTTTGGGTATATACCCAGTAATGGGATGGCTGGGTCAAATGGTATTTCTAGTTCTAGATCCCTGAGGAATCACCACACTGACTTCCACAATGGTTGAACTAGTTTACAGTCCCACCAACAGTGTAAAAGTGTTCCTATAATTTTAAGTTGCTAAATAAAATTCTCTGTACCTTTCGGATTTATTCAGATTTAATTTAAGCCTTTCGGATGAATTCAGAACATTTAATTTTGGTTCATCATTTCAAGTTTACCTTTTGCCTTTATCCTATGTTATGATACATGAAGAAAAACATTAAGAGAATCATCAACTGCCTGGTGGTTATAAATGTACTGGAAATATTTTTCAATACATTTTTGAAAATGCTTGTAATGGATAATTCATGGCTAAAATAATTAGTTCTTTTTTGTGTAGTCTATTAATTTTCGAGAACAAGTATAATATTCTTTAAGATACTTTTTCCTACTTTGTCTTATTCTGTATATTTTTTCTGACACACAGAACAATATAAGGCCATTGATCCTCCCACCTCCACCCTATTTTCTGCTTCTTTTTGGTAAATCTTAGAAGCATTTTAAATTCCATCTGTCCCTTTTTAAGCTTTCACCAATTTACGAAGGACTTATTCACTTTCTGGAGCACCTAGCTTCAATCTCAACCTTTACTTGACAAAATAAGTCTTCCATGTAAACATATATTTGATGAAAAAATTTCAACAAACAATGAATTATTATTATAGAAAATGAGAAAAAGCTGTAACAAAATCACCTTTAATCTGCCTGCCAAGAAATAACCAATGCTACATTTTGATATAAACTCCCTGAAGTATTTAAATTTATGTGAATAAATTTTACATATGTGTTATTTTATCTATTTTATGTAGAGAAATGAATCAAATAATAGTTAATGAAAGGTTTTATCATTTCTTTTTATTCATTCAAAATAGAGCCATTTATATCATACTTATTTCCATATCGATAAATGTGCCTCTACAACTTATATTTTGTATATAACAAAATTCTATTACATGATATAACAAATTTTAACTAATCCTCAATTACTAGAAATTCAGGAGGTTTCTAAGAACATTATTACACACAATTTTTGAGCACCTACTATGTGCCAGCTCATATTTGAGGCACTGGAGTTTAGCAATAAACAAGACAGGTAAGTTTCTGCTCATATGGAGCTTATTTCTGGAGAGTAGCCTTGAATTAATCTCTATTTTCTTTAACCGAGGTATTTTTCCTCATTATCACACAGGTATCTTAGGTTGTTGTCCAGAGGTGATGCTTTTTATCCTTCTTAAGGGAAAAAACATAACTTGGATGTATCTCCCCATCCGTTTCTTCCACCAACTATGAGTAACAATTCATGGTTAAGAGATTTAATTCTCTTTTTTGTGTAGCTTATGAATTTTTAAGAACAAGTACAATATTCTTTAAGAGACTTCTTTCTGCTTTGATTTTTTTAATATATTTTGTTAACACAGAAAAATATAGGGCCATTGATCCTCCCACCTCCACCCTATTTTCTGCTTCCTTTTGTTTATTTCCAGAAGTATTTAAAATTCATTTTGTCTCTTTTTAAGTTTTCACAAATCTATGAAGAACTTTTTCACTTTCTGGAGCGTTTTTCACATTCTCTGCTTTTTTTTTCAAGGCTTTGATGGTACAGAAAAATGACTGCTCTTGCAAAACTAAAAGTGTAGCTGGAATATTTGTATTTATTGATTAAGAATCATCTTTTACTATCACTCTTTTTAAAAATAAACGTTCCTAAATAAACACAGTTTAGTATATATGAGTTACAGTACAGTTTCATCTAAGCCTCATAGACTACATATATTTTAGCAGTTTTGGTGGTGGAGTTTTGACAGCCACTTTTTACTCTTGCGTTGTCCTGTGTGGCATTGCTCCATATCCTTAACCATAAAAGCTGAGGTGATTTCTATAGCGCTCGTAAGCTCTGGACAGAGAAGCATTGCATTAGCTACCGTAAAAATAGTTCTTAAGACTCTGGTACAAATGACTTTAAACCCTTTTGTATATATGTAATCATCCAATCTTTTGGCTTTTAGTTCTGGTTTCCCATAAAGATGTTATACTACCTTTTTCAATTATGGTAATGGCAGGATTTTCAAAGAAGGATAGTCTATACCAACAAGCTATTCTATATACATAACTTCAATTTCTGTCCTCTAAATCCTGGGGAATATTTGCCCTCTTGAATGCAGAAAGGCAGCCCATCTGCTTCTTTGGGTAATTTACTTCATTATTAAATTGTTCTATAAGGTGATAGGAGAACTTTTCAGAGGAGTTTTCATCTTATCAGAAACATGATATACCATTGGACTTCATGCATTTTCTTGTTTTCATTTCTTACAATACATAGCTGACTATTTTCTCCTCTACATACTTTTGCATGGCTAGGGGTCAACTCCTATCGTTAGAAAAATGTAGATTAAAAGTGGCACTATTAATGTAAGAGTTAACTTTGCTTGGATTTCATGTGTGGAAGTTCAGAGATAATTAATTGGGCTTTCATTGTAGTTTTGCCTTTTTCATTTCAATGTATAAATCTATTTTCAGGGAGGGCTGGCTAGCAGGACAGCAGAAATCTAAGACTTCCATAACCTTCACCTTTTGAAAAACTCTTCATTGCTTTTGGATAGTCTCAATTTCTTCTTCTATTTCTCTTAAGAAAATTCAGAATTAGTGTTGAAACTTTTTTTTTTTGTAAAATCAAACTCTGTTAGATCCTTTCAAGTAAGTCATTTACCACAGATTTCCTGGAGTTAGATTCCAACTAGTATTTATGTTTTTAGTTGACATTTAGGAAAGGTTTTCAGCTAGAGTTAAAAAGAGAGTGAGGGGCGAATATGTGTAGCTCAGCTGTTTTGAAAATGATCTGTTTGTAGAAGGCCACAAAGCAAATATGATTATCTTATTCTTACTCTGAATTTTCACCACTAAAACCACATTCTATTGAAGGAATATATAATAAAAGTGCATTATCATATAGTGTCACAATGAGGGATTCAGGTGCGAAGGGAAGACTCATTCCTGTGAAAACATAGCCCATCCCCAGCAGTTGGTAGAAGGATTTGCTGGAGTTCCTCCTCTTTGTGTGGCCTATAAAACATTCCATGAGGCATGTGGCAATAGTCACAATGATAGTGGCCTTATCTCCTCCAGTCTTTGCATCCTCACTCAAGCCACCTCTTTTCATAGACACATACTTTATGTTTGGGAAGAGGTGCTCTAGGTGGGACACCCCTGCCTGCTCCAAATAATTCCTACTGACATCCATGGCAGGTTCATTCTATCTGAGCTGGAGATTTGGGAATTTAGGTGGGCACAGAAGAAAGAAGGGGTTTGGGGCAGTGTCGTTTGGATGATTTTGACAGATTCTTCCTGGGGGTAAAGAGAGATAGGTGTGTCTAATCATCCAAGGGAAATAAAATGCAAAGGTGTGTGTATATGGAAAATCAAGGGAGAGGAAATTAAAATTATCCAGATTGCTTATTTAATAGTCAGGAAACTCAACTTTCCATGAAGGTAAGATTCCCCACTGTGTCTTTTTCTTTTTCCTAGAAATTGACCAATTTCTGAGTAGATGAAAAAATACAGGTGGCTGGGCGAAGTAGCTTATGTCTGTAAACCTAGCACTTTGGGAGGCCAAGGTAGGTGGATTGCTTGAAGCCAGGAACTCGAGACCAGCCTGGGCAAAATTACAAAACCTTTTCTCTACCAAAAATACAAAAATTAGCTGGCCGTGGTGGCATGTGTCCATAGTCTTAGCTACTTGGGAGGCTGAGGTGGGAGAATCGCTTGAGCCTGGAAGGTGGAGGTTGCAGTGAGCTGAGATCGCGCTACTGCACTCCAGCCTGGGTGACAAAGGGAGTCTGTCTCTGTCTTTGTCTTTGTCTTTCTCTCTCTCTCTCTCTCTCTCTCTCTCTCTCTCTCTCTCTCTCTCTCTATACACACACACACACACACACACACACACACATCAGATATGTCCATCACACGCACACACACACACGCACACATGCTTTCATGGTAGTTTTGCCTTTTTCATCTCAATGTGTAAATGCATGTGTGTGTGTGTGTGTGTGTGTGTATGTTTATGTGTGTGTGATGGTCATATCTCATATATGATTATTGTTGATTATTGAAAGATTTTCTTCATAGGATACTGCCCTTGTATGGAAATATCTATGCAGAGAAGAGAATAACAAGCAGTTCAAGAAGAGTTCACAGGCAGCCAGGCAAAATAAGGATCTGTTTTTTCAGACTCTTGCCTTTGCCTAGAATTCTCTCCTCAGCTTTTGCATTTGGGAAATGTGACAAAGTTTTCAAGGTCCCTTTCATATATCAACTCCTCTGAAAATCTTTCCTTGATCTCTAGCAGAATTAACCCTTACTCCACTGTGTTCCCTTGGCACAACCGTAAGCACAGTTTTGTTTTACAATATTATATTTTGTTGTGCATGTGTCTTTCTCCCTAGCTACACTAAACTATATGGGGCTAGGAAGGCATTTAATATTGCATCTCTAGTGCATAGCAGTTTGGTGGCACAAATTAGATGTAAGATAAAATGTTATTGAATGAATGATCTTCATCTAAGTGATTTATATCATTGGCTTCAGTTTATGTTTACATCTTGGTTGCTGCACAAGGAAGATATGTATAAGAAGGAAACGTAGCAAAGGCAAAATATTCTAGTTCACTTCTGATAAGACAAATAATAAAGCTAATTAATAATGAGTAAGCGTTACTTGCTTTTGCATCACAAAAACACAAGTAGGTTCTCTGTAATATTTGTAGAATAAATGAATAATTAATAAAAGCTTTTTAAAATTAAACCCTTAATATATGCTAGACACTGAGTAAATTTATTTACTTGTCTCATTTTACTTCTATTAGACTGGGAGCAAGGTGTTGTTATCCCCATTACAGAGAAGAGGATATAGACTCAAAGAAATGATGCAACTTTACTAAAATCGGATAACTCACAAACTGTAGAGTTAATGTTTTTTTTTTTTTTTTTTCAGAGGGTGGTTTTTCTTTTTTTTTTTATTATTATACTTTAAGTTTTAGGGTACATGTGCACAATGTGCGGGTTAGTTACATATGTATACATGTGTCATGCTGGTGCGCTGCACCCACTAACTCGTCATCTAGCATTAGGTATATCTCCCAATGCTATCCCTCCCCGCTCCCCCCACCCCACAACAGTCCCCAGAGTGTGATGTTCCCCTTCCTGTGTCCATGTGATCTCATTGTTCAATTCCCACCTATGAGTGAGAATATGCGGTGTTTGGTTTTTTGTTCTTGCGATATTTTACTGACAATGATGATTTCCAATTTCATCCATGTCCCTAGAGTTAATGTTTAAACTGAGGATTGTCTTACTCACTTTCTCATGAAGGTCTTCACCACTCTGCGAGTTTCCCATGAATTTACAATTCTTCAGCAATGGATTTTTTATTTTGGTCCTCATTCCAATTGTGTATGGCAGAGTAAGATTCGAGTTTCCACAGCTGGTGGATCTTTGATTCAGTGTTTATTGTACTTCTATGTACATGATGTCCTAACTGTTATAGGATATACAGTTTTAGCTACATAAGGGCAGGGATTGTGTTTAATTTATTTCTTAGTCTTACAGTGTCTGCCTGACACAGCACATTGCTAATAAAAGCATACAAACATTTAATTTGAAATTCTGAATTAAAAGAGCAAAAAACCAGCACCATAAATGCCATAAGGTAGTGCAAGTGCCAAAGAAATGTTACAAGGAAAATGGGCTATGAGCTCAGAATTGAGAGGAATCATTGTAGGTGGGAATTGTCAGGGCGGTTGGATTTGATAATTTTGTAAGATATTTTGAAACTTCCTGCCTTAGGTTATTTTTGATAATTCCTGTATTCTTTTGAGCAGTGATTTGCAGGACATTTCCTTTCACAACAAGGGTCTGGACACTTGACTTGGAAACAAGGCGAAAGTAGAGAAGCCCTGGCCCACTCCTAGGCAGTCACTGGAGGAAGGGTGAGGAATTTGGGAAAAGCAACCAGCATCAAATCAGAGATGAGGGCTCATGGCAGCTGAAAGGGAAGGGGACAGCAGCCTGGAGTATAAGATTCAGGTATGATTTATGATGAGAACTCCAGCAGCAGGAGATGTCAGGGATATTCCCAATGTTATAAACTTCAAAAATTAAAAGTTTCTTGGCACCAACAAAATCAATTGGAATATTAAGAAAGCAATACTGGACCAGGTGCAGTGGCTCACTCCTGTAATCCCAGCACTTTGGGAGGCCAAGGGAGGTGCATCACCTGAGGTCAGGAGTTCAAGACCAGCCTGGCCAGCATGGCGAAACACTGTCTCTATTAAAAATGCAAAAATTAGCTGGGTGTGTTAGCACGCACCTGTAATCCCAGCTACTCGGGGGGCTGAAGTAGCATAATTGCTTGAACTCGGGAGGCGGAAGTTGCAGTGAGCCGAGATCGTGCCACTGCACTCCAGCCTGGGCAACAGAGCAAGACTCCATTTCAACAAATAAATAAATAAAAATAAAAGCAACACTGTTTTTTGAAGGAAGGACAAATTCAGTGAAATGCAATAATTCAAAGTTAATTTCACTCTGCATTTCTGTTTTCAGACCAGTATTTAGTGACTTCGAAAATACAGTATTTCTATGTCCATGTATACTTTCTACATAAAGTTTGAATAAAATTAGGCTTAACACTTATATATTAATACACTCTCTCAGTGCCTAAATTGTAAGTTCCTACTACTATGTTTTATTCTTTTTATCTTCAGTACTTGCCCTGGTGTCTAATTTATGTTAAGTGCTCAACGAGTGTTTGATTAGTGAACACATTTCCATTTAGTATGTGGCAATGTTTAGTACTTAAATTTTTTCTTAAGTTTCCCTTGGTTCACAACTTACACATTGTAACTACAGCTACAATAAATTGAATACAATATGCAGTACCAGGCTCCAAGGAAACTTGCTTCATGTTGATTTGTGCTTATGAAGTTGACTTTGGGATTTTAAAAAACATACAGAATAACTGTGACCACATTCAGACATTTAAAAAAGGTTTCTTATCTATCCTTGGCTTTGATTTGTAAGTTATATAATCAAGATGAAAACAGTCATTTATAATCATTCCTGGTTCCCATATCACAGTGTATTTATAAAAACAATATGTAGCACTATGTGTATTATTTTATAGTGTTACGTATCGTCCTTCTTTTGGTTGCTTACACTCTAGTAGAAAAAAAGGTCAACCAATTTAGGTTACCTATAAGAAAATAAAATAATATTGATTAATGTGCATACAAAGTCAGCGTGAGGTAGAATAGATGATTTTGGGACAGGGTAGTTTAGTTTTGAATGGTCTAAAAGAAATAATGAATTATATGCGCAAGATTTATATCTGATAACTTAATATTTAAATGCTGTGATTTACAGAAGAATAGTAAAGGGAAAGCTGGCATAAGAATATGTATATATATATATATATTTTTTTTTTTTTTTGCTAAAACAGAAAAAGTATAAGGTGAATGCCCCAGCAAATGGGTTTGTTTCATGTATCAGGGCCAAGTGACAATTGGCTCTGTGTGGTTATAGTTTTCAGTCCCACTTAGAGGGATGTAGAAGAATCCCAGAAGTTTTCAAAGCTGATTAACAACTTAAAAAGGAAGATTACCAGAGTGCTATTGACAATAACTAAATGGAGATAATAAACGGCCTTAAACAGGTTTATCAGTCCAGAAAACATTGCTATTTAGAAAAACATTGGATGCCTTCAGTATTTAGGGATATTGTTTCTCAGACCCTCTATTAAGGGTATCAGAAGACGTTTTCTTTAATCAAGGCTTTTAGCTTCTTTGCGATGTGTTCAAACATCCTCCTTTAGCTCAGAGAAGTTTGATCATCTGAAGCTGTCTTCTCTCAACTCGTCTGGAAACCGTCATTCTCAGCAAACTATCGCAAGGACAGAAAACCAAACACTGCATGTTCTCACTCATAGGTGGGAATTGAACAATGAGAACACTTGGACACAGGAAGGGGAACATCACACACCGGGGCCTGTCGTGGGGTGGGGGCAGTGGGGAGGGATACCATTAGGAGATATACCTAATGTAAATGACGAGTTAATGGGTGCAGCATACCAACATGGCACATGTGTACATATGTAACAAACCTGCACGTTGTGCACATGTACCCTAGAACTTAAAGTATAATAACAAAAAATAATAATGAAAGAAATTTTCTTTAAAAAGAATGAATATAACCTAGAAATGCATTGTGTTATTTTTTCTGTCAACTCAAATTATTGTGTACTGTGCACTTAGTCACCTGAGGGTGCACAGCACAGCAGATAGTCTCAGCTCTGATGCAACTTATCATCCAGTGCTAGGGATGTGTGAATGATTGTGCAGATAAACAATTTGGGGACATTTCATAATACAGAGAGACGTGCTGGGATGGTATTGGCGTCAAGTGTTTGGGGAATACTTAAGAGGAGCAGAATCCTGCTTGAGAAAAACCCAGTGTGACTTTCTTCATCTTGCAATATTACTTTAAATTAATTTAAATTGCTAAAATATGGTAATGATAATGACAGCAGATACATGGAGCATCTTATTATGTGTCAGCACTGTGAAAATATTTTATATAAATTATTTCGTTTTAATTCTTAAAATTACACTGCCAGATAGGCATTAATTTGTTTTGTTGTTTCTATTTTGCAAATAAGGAAAGTGAGGCCTAACATTTTAAGTAACAGTCTGAGTAGCACAGAATTAATCAGGGGTGGTGAGAGGATTCAAACTCTTGGACTTACCTTACAACTCTTAACTTACTGAACCTTTAGCTCTTAAAACTCTGTTAACTTACATAAACACGGGTGAAAGTTTTGAAAAGAGACACTAAGCAAAAGCATAGTATTTTTTGCTAAAACAACTACTGTTCAAAAATTAAGAACAAACTTTCCCACATTTAAGTAGCTATGAATTTTAAAGATTGCAATGCCAAACTTGTTGAAGTTTTAAAAATGAATAAGGCTCAAATGTAAAACTCATTTTTTGGCATCTGAGGACAGGAAATGTAAATTTGAAATGAATTGGACAAAAGTAAAGCTACTCACTGAAACTGAAATCCTTTGTCATAATAACAACTGCAGGCTTCTTTGGCGCAATAATAATTGTAAAATTTTAATGTATGATTGAAGCAGAACTATCAGACAAGGAAAAGATTCACAATCTTTCCAATAATAGATATGTTAATTTTTTATGACACTGTACAAGAACAAGTTTAAGGTTACTCTAGAAGGTTAAACATTTGATTTTTAGTTTTACTATTTGTCTTTTATTTATCAAAAATTTCCAGTCTAAAAATGGTTAATTTCACAAATGAAGAAAAGTATCAATTATGGAAAAATCAGAGGACATAATTTTTATATCATTCCTTTTTTTTTTTTTAAAGTAAGTGGCTAACACATTGCCTTATATGGAACGATCTTTTCCTCAGGAAATCTCTTTTGATTAAGAAGCTGCACAGTGACATAGAAAAATATAGCAGAGTGATTGCTTCCTCTACAAATCATATCTGAATAATAAGTAGTCAAAGCAAGAATAACTGGGAATATTGAGGTGTCTTCATTTTCTAACCTCAGAATATTTCACCAATTTATTTTATCCTTAAAATGCATTTGAAACTTTTTGTTGCCTTAAGGTTTGCAGCACATAAAATGATATTGTTGGAGAACAATTTGAACTGAGGATGGGTTATGAAAAGATCTTTTTATCCCAAGTAATACCAATACCAAAGTGACTATTTCCTGTGCCTACTGATTCTTAAATGACAATTTGGCTCACCACACTCAGACTTCTCAAAATAGTTCAACCTAAGTGGATCTGACAACTGCCTAGAAAGCTTGTCCGACCCACCTTATTTTGTTGTTGCTGTTTTTCTGTTTTGTTTTGGGCTTTTAGCAGCCTGAAGTCATGTTTTTTGTTTTCTGTCTGAAGTGGTAAGCAGAAAAGAGGGGAGAGGAAGGGGCTTTACTGGCCCAACCAGAAACAGAAACTAAGAACCTATGTCTGTATTCTCTCCCTTGGATACCTGAAAAAGGACATTAAAAAGTCAGTGTAAAACAAAGAAAAAACAAAAATGTAAGCGAAATTTATGACTTTGGTTCAATTATATCCCAGATATCCCAAATCTGTAGAAATAACCAAGGGGAGATCAAAATTTTTCAAGTATAAAGGTAGTACTCAGTTTTTAACTTCTTAAATGAGGAGTGCCCCTCAGTCTTCTGTTATATAAAAATTTACTGTTGCATATGTTTCCAAATAATGAATTACCAAGTATGACTGATACATAAAATTATACTATGAAAGAAAACTTACAAGTATTTGAAATATATCAAGTATCCCCCCCAAAAAACAAACCAATTAACTTGAAATTGTAAATTACACAAAATGTAATAAGTAAATTAACATATAAAGTCTTTTGTAAATTAAACAAAATATATCAAGTAAGTTAAAATATAAAGACTTCCCGGATAGATTCCAACCAAAAAGTTGCTCAGGAGCTTGAAAATACCTTCTTAAATGCTTTGGCTCACATTTCTAGTTTAAATGATTATTGCATATATTTTTGAGACATGGCATATGATTTTATATATATATATATATATACACACATATATATATACACACACATGTATCTCAAGAAGAGATGGATAGTTGTATAGCTTGATATTTGTTTCTATGTTTGATTTAACATTGTCATATAAATTTGTAACTGGCACTACATGATATTGATGCCTTGTGATTCCCATAAGTAAGAAAAGTGGACAGTTGTTTTTTATTTATTTCCGTTCATAAATGTCAGAACAGGTACCCTTAAACTATGGGGATAAGTTTTGGCTTAAGTTACTGGAACTTTTTGACCAATATATTTAACTAGAATGAGAAAATGTACTTTGACAATTTCAAGCATAGTTATGATTCTATTTCCTAAATAAAAATTGTACAAAATTTAATATTTTACTTTTATGTAGGTATTTTTTTTAAATTTGTGAATGAAGGACTTTCAATTTTTTATCAAGTCTGGGTGAGTAGTAGTTGTTATTGCATTACCTTTATGCAAATTAGAAAACTGAGAAGTGACGAAAGTCAGATAGCAAGTAAATAAGTATCAGTCAGGGCTGGCTGGCTGACTTCAGGTTCAATATTCTGTTCATTAAACTACAAGTAATGTTTTAAATCTATTCAATGTTGCAGTGATATCAAAAAGCCATAGTTTGTGATATTTGTGCAGCTACTAGTGTTGTTTCTTAAATATATTTTAAAATACGTGTCATTATTCAATGCTTGGAAGATGCAACAATAAAAGGTTATGCATTTTTTAACAAGTGAGGACATTTCTGTATAAGATTATCTTATCCATGTTTTTATCTTTATCAAAAATTTACTGATTATAACACAGTAAGTGCTAAAGGAAGGTATGAGTGTAATACTGTGAACTGATATGGATAGAATATTTTGGCGTGTTGGGAGATGAATGCTTGCCTACAGAGGATTGATGACAAAGTCAGAGGGTATCAGGATGTGGTCCCACAGAAAGCTCTGGGCTTAAAATTGAGATATTGGAGTCATTTAGTATACATGGAGTCAATGTTTGTGAGTATCTAAATTCTTACTTGCAAAAAGAAGGAGATTGGTAGACATCAGGGTCCCCCATCGTTGAATTCTGGCTAATTCTGCCTTATCATCCCTTTCGCACTCACAGTGTGCACAATTTTCCTTTTTAAATCCCTTTGGAAGAGGATGCACTTGACATTTAACTATGGGCCCCATCATCCTTTCTGGTCTCACGATCCATCTGATTTACAGTTTTTGTTATCTGCCTAGCCCCATTGTAGATTAATTCCAAGTTCTCTTTTTGCTAAGCAAAACAAAACAAAAAAATCCTTGCGGCATTTTCATCTAAAATTAACTGGTTGTATGTGTAATTGCAAACAAATAATAGCTAAAGCCGGCTTCTGTTCCAGATAATACTGTTTTAAGGCTACAAAACCTACTAAAATTGTTAAAGGTTTCTCAATTGCCAAAATATAAAGATATCCCCTTACAAAATTATTAACATTAATCTAATAGTCTGATTTATGAAAATTCTTAAGAAGTACATTAATTACTTGACTAATCAGCCAGGGGATCCAGCATTAGCTTTCTCAAATTTAACTGAGCTGAAAGGAGTCTAATCCTGTGATACAGAGAAATAATTGGGTTTCCAATGTCTGATAGTCTTAATTCATGGAGATAGCTTGAGTCCCTTGAAGAAAGATCTGGTCATCAGGGTCTGTTACCCTCTAATCGTAATCCTTATTTCTTCTCAAAGGTCTTGCTACCCTTTTTACTGGATTTAGAACGCCATGTATGATGCTTTAACTTTCCATCCGTAACAGATTTTCTCTGTCTGTTTTGGGTATTTCCACTCATTTTCTTCTCTTTGTCTCCCATCTTCCTAGAGAAAGAGAAGTCTTGTTACCCTTTTTACTGAATTTAGAAAGCCATGTATGATGCTTTAACTTTCTATCCCTAACACATTTTCTCTGTTTTGGGTATTTCCACTCATTTTCTTCTCTTTTTCTCCCATCTTCCTAAAGAAAGCGAAGGGTAAGCTTATCCCATCTCCTCCCTCAAGTGCTTTCTCTTTCATTTTTAATTCTCTTTGCCTAGCTTTTTCCCCTTTGTGAGGACCAAGAAAAATATCCTGTGCTTCCTAGAACATGTGCACTCTTCTTTCCCTCCTTGTATTGCCCAACTTGTTTAAAAGTAATCTGCACAAAGCACACTTCACATGTGCCTCAACTGCTCACTACCTAACCTCTTACAGTTGGTAATCTTCTCCCACTGCCCTTCTGAAATTGCTTCTGCTTTGCCTTGACTGGCATTTATTGCTTTCTGTCTGATTTTAAAAGTGATATCTATTTACTGTAGAAACTTACAAAGATATAAAAAAAGAAAGAAAAATTACCTTTAATACCATTCTCCAGAGATGCTGGATTATAAGGCACTTCTATTTTTAATCTTTTGAGAAACCTCTAGACTGTTTTCCATAATGCCTGTACTAATTTATATTCCCACGAACAGTATTCCAGAGTTCTTTTTTCTCACCTCGTCACCCACACTTCTCATTTTTTGTCTTTTTGATAATAGCCATTTGAACAGATGCAAGGTGATAGCTCATTGTGGTTTTAATTTGCATTGCTCTGATGATTAGTAATGTTCAGCATTTTTTCATATACTTCTTGGCCATTTGTATGTCTTCTTTTAAGAAATGTCTATTCAGTTTATTTGACTGTTTTTTAATTAGATTTTTTTTGCTATTAAGTTGTTTGAGTTCTTGTATATTTTGTGTTTTAATCTCTTATCAGGTGTGCAGTTTGCAAATATTTTCTCCCATTCCATAGGTTATCTCTTCACTCTGTCAATTCTTTCCTTTGCTGTCATAAAGTTTTATATGTTATGTAATCCAATTGTCTGTTTTCACTATTGTTACCTGTGCATCTGGGGTCATATAAAAAAAATCACTGCCAAGACCAATGTTTTGGAGATTTCCCCTATGTTTCCTTCCAGTGGTTTTACAGGTTCAGTTCTTATATTTAAGTTTTTAATCCATTTTAAGTTGATTTTTGTAAATGGTGTAAGATAAGGATCTAATTTCCTAATTCTACATCTGAATATCCAAATGTTTCAGCACCATTTATTGAAAGGGCTGTCCTTTCCCCATTGTGTGTTCTTGGCACATTTACTAAAAATCAATTAACCATAGATACATGGATTTATATCTTGGCTTTCTATTCTATTCCATTAGTCTACTTTCCTTTTATATGCTATACCATGCTGTTTTAATATAATTTTGTAGCATATTTTAAAGACAGATAGTGTGATGCCTTTAGCTTTGTTCTTTTTGTTCAAGATTGCTTTGGCCATTTGGGGTCTATTTGTGGTTCCATATAAATTTTAGGACAGTTTTTTTTCTATTTCTGGGAAAAATACCATTGGGATAGTTATAGAATTTGCATTGAATTGGTAGATAACTCTGGGCTGTATGAACATTTTAACAATATTATTTCTTCACATTCATGAACATGGGATAGCTTGCTATTTAATGTGTTTAATTTATTTCATCAATACTTTATAGTTTTCAGTGCACAGATCTTTTACCTTCTTAGCTGAATTATTTTAAAGTATTTTATTTTTTGGTAGCTATTATAAAAGGGATTTTTTTTTAGTTCTTTTTTTGGAAAGTTTGTTGTTAGTGTATAGAAATGCTACTGATAATCGTATATTGATTTTGTATCCTGCAACTTTACTGAATTGATTTATTAGTTCTAAGAGGTTTTTTTTTCTTTTTCTTTTTTTTTTTTTTTTGAAGGAGTCTTTGGGTTTTTCTATTTGTTAAGACCATGTCATCTACAAACAGGGACAATTTAGCATTTAATTTCCAATTTGGAGACCTTCTAGTTCCCTTTAGTTCTTTCTTTTGTCTATTTTTTTCTGGCTAGGACTTCTAGTACTACACTGAAAAATGTGGGAAGAGTGGGCCTCCTTGCCTTGTTCTTGATCATAGATAAAAGCTTTCAAGTTTTCACCACTGAGTATGTTAGCTTTGGGCTTGTCATATATGGCCTTTATTGTGTTGAGGTACATTCCTTCTATTACCAATTTGTTGAGAGGTTTTATCATGAAGGGTTATTATGTTTGTCAAAGGATTATTCTGCTTCTATTGATATGATCATATGGTTTTTGTCTTTCATTCCGATAATGTGGTGTATCACAATTATAGACTTGTGTATGTTGAAACATCCCTGAGATAAACACCACTTGATCATAATAAGAAATCCTTTTAATATGCTGCATAAGTTCTTTGCTAGTATTTTGTTGAGAGTTTTCATATTTATGTTCCCCAGGGATATTGACCTGTAATGATCTTTTCTTGTAGTGGCTTTGCCTGGTGTTGGTATCAGGGTAATGCTGGCCTTGTACAATAAGTTTGGAAGTATTCCAATTTCTTTAATTTATTGGAAGACTTCAAAAACATTGGTATAAATTATTCTTTAGATGTTAGAATTCAGCAGTAAAGCCATCAAGTCCTGGCTTATCTTTGCTAGAAGACTTTTTATTGCTTATGTAATTTCCTTACTCGTTATTGGTATGTTTGGGTTTTCTATTTATTCATGATTCAGTTTTAGTAGGTAGTGTATGTCTAGTAATTTATCAATTTATTCTAGATTATCCAATTTGTTGGC
The DNA here is from genome assembly GCF_000001405.40 of Homo sapiens. Classification (NCBI taxonomy): domain Eukaryota; kingdom Metazoa; phylum Chordata; class Mammalia; order Primates; family Hominidae; genus Homo; species Homo sapiens. The sequence goes on from NC_000007.14 coordinate 8,666,813, forward strand.
ATATGATTGCTCATAATAGTCTCTTATGATCTTTTGTATTTCTGTGGTATTAGTTGTAATGTCTCCTATATTATTTCTAATTTTGATTCTTTTTTTAAAAATTAATCTAGCTAAAGGCTTGTCAATTTTATTATCTTTTAATTTTTTTGTTCATCTACTATAGGTTTTTGCTCTGTAACTAACATGAGGCTTGCTTAGAACATCTTATAGTTATAACTATGGTTATTTTAAGCTGATGACAACTTTTATCACATTAAAAACTGAACACTTTTACTCCACATATTCTAACATTTTGTTTTTAATGCCACAGTTTAATTTTTTAATTACATATTCCTTAACACATTATTGCAGCTGTTTTTTTAAATACTTTTGCATTTTACTCTTTATACAAGGATATGTGATAATTAGCCATTACATTATTAGCATATTCTGAATTTGACTTTCACCAGAGAGTTTTACTTTCAGATGATTGTGTGTTATACATTAGTGTCCCATTTTTTTTCAGCTTGAAGAACTCCCTTTCACATTTCAGGTCTGGTAGTAATTAATTTCCCAAATATTTGTTTTGTTTTGTTTTGTCTGAAAAAGGCTTTATCTCTCCTTTGTTTCTGAGAGTATCTTTGTCAGGTGCAGTATTCTTGGTTGACAGTTTTTTTTTTTTTCTCCGCAGCATTTTGAATATGCATTTGCCATCCATTATCTATTGGCCTTTAATGAATTTTTTTTCTGTGAAATCTGATTCTAGCCTGATTGGAACTCTCATATATGTGATTTGCATCCTTTCTCTTGCTGCTTTCAGGATCTTCTATTTGCCTTTGATTTTTGGCAGATTGTTTATAATATGTCTTTGTGTAGTCTTATTTAGATTGAATCTAATTGGAGACTCTTCTATACCTAGATATTTATATCTCTACCTAGATTTGAAAAGTTTTCTGTGATCACTTATTTGCATAAGCTTTCCACCTCTTTGTCTCTCTCTTCTTCTTCTTGAACTCCTAAATCTTGAATATTTGATCTTTTAAAGCTGTCCCATAAATCCCATGTTTTATTTATTCCTTTTCATCCTCTTTTCTTTTTTCTCCTCTGATTGTATATTTTAAAATAAACTGTTTTCGAGTTCACAGATTCTTTCTTCTGCTTTGATAAATTCTGCTGTTGATGTTCTCTATTGTATTTTGTTGTTGTTGTTGTTGTTGTTTAGTTCATTATATTTTCCAGCTCCGGGATTTCTGATTTAGAAAAAAATTATTTTAAATTTCTAATTTGGTTGTTTATTATAGTTTTTCTGATATCATTTTATTGTTTCTCTGTATTTTCTTGAAGTGTTCCAGACTTTCTTAAAATAATTATTTTGAATTATTTGTTAGACAGTTTGTTTCTCCATTTCTTTGTGGTCAGCAACTGAGAGATTATTGTATTCTTTTGATGGTGTTATGTCTCTTTGTTTTTTTTTTTTTATTTTGTTGTTGTTGTTGTCTTATGTTGATAACTGCACATTTGGAGAAGTTGAGACTTATTTTAGTCTTTGCAGACTGACTTTGTCTGGGAATACCCTTCAGCAATCAGCCCATCCAGAGATTCTAGGCAGGCCATTTGCTACAGTTTACAGGTGAGCTTGCTACTGGAGTTCTCATGCAAGCTTATTTGATTCTTGGGTTCAGCAGGTAGGCAAGCCTGATGCCTGGGTCCATGGGATTGGGCCTGAATCCTGGATCCACTTGGGTAGACCTGTTGATTGAGTCCATGGGGGTGGGCCTGGAGCCTGTATCTGCAGGGGCTGGCTTAAAACTTGGGTCCACAAAGGCTGATGTACTGGTGGGATAGGCTTTGAGCCTGAGTCTGCAGGGGCTGACCAGGTACTGGCATGGGCCTAGGACCTGGGTCTACTAGAACAGGCCTGGAGCCTGAGTTCATAGGGTCTGGCTTGGTGCTGCAGCAGGCCTGAAGCTTGTGTTCATGGGGGCAAGTATGGCTTCTGGGTCCATTGGGGGCTGGCCTGGAGCCTGGGTCTGCAGGGGTTCATGAGGGCTACCCTAGCACTGCCCTGGCACTCAGGGGTCTACTGTAGTTAGGCCGAACCCTGGGTATGCTGAAGCCAGATTCGACTCTGGATCCAACTGGAGCATGGGTCCATGGGGACTGGCATGAAGCCTGGGTCCTCTGGGGTTGGCCTGGAGCATGGGTGTGTGAGTGCTGACCTGGAGACTAGTTCTATGAGGGCCATCCTGGAATTTGGGTCCACAGGGATGGTCCTGGAGCTTGAGTATGTTCCAGCCAATAAATTGCTGTGATTTACTGTGATGGGTCTGAAGCCTGTATCTGCTGGAGGAGGCCTGGACCTCGGGTCTGCTGGTGTGGGTGTGTGCTGGGGCCAGCCCAAGACTGGGCAGACATGGAGCATGCGTCCATGGGTGCCAGCCTAGGTCCCAAGACCAGGAGTGCTTAGCTAGCCCTGTGTGGACCTGAAGCCTGGGGCTGTGTGGGTCCACCCAGCTCTGTGCTGGTCTGAAACCTGGGGTAGTCGTGGAGACCAAAGGGCCTGGCCTAGAGGTTGAGTCTGAAGATGCTGGCCTGATTACTAGGGATGTGGGGGCTGGCCTGGCACTGGGGTTGACCCGAATCTCAGACCTGGCTTGGGGGACAGTATGAAGCCTGGGGCTGTAGGAACTCAACTGGTTTTGGCACTAGCTTGGAGGTTCAGTCTGAGGGTATTAGCCTGAATTCTGGGAGCATGTGGGCTTGCCCAGCTGTGTTTTACTGGGGTGAACCTGGTGTTGGAGTACAAGGCAAAGTCTTGGCACCAACTCTGAGGTTCAGTCTGAGGTCTGGGAGCATGTGTGCTTGCCCAGCTGTGTTTTACTGGAGTGAGCCTGGTGTTGGAGTCCAAGGCCAAGTCCACTGCTTTCTTCCCTCCCTTTCCCTCAAGCAGAGAGTATTTCTCCCCATGCTGTGCTGCAGGGGAAGGATTGATGTGGGTAATGTACAACTGTCCTTCCTACTCTCTTTAATGAATCTTTTCTTATTTTTGTGTCACACTCAGGTGCTATAATTTTTCACCTGTTTCCTTAGCTCTTGTAAAAATATTTTCATGCAGGGATAGTTGTTCAAATTGATGTTTCTGCAGGAAGCCAGGGAATGAGGACTGGAAAGTCCTATTCTGCCATATTGCTGACATCTTGCTGATCAGAACCCCAGTCTTCAGTTGTTAAGGATTTAGAATATTTTCTATTATAAACAAGTATTGGAATTGCTCTCTTGAAGATTATCAGTAACCCCTAATGACGTAAACCAATGTCATTTTCTGGGCCTTCTGGCATTTGGAATGGCTGCTGCATCTTTTGAGATGAACTTCCCTCTGCCTTTGATTCTCTTTCTTTTGTTCTGACTTTTTATTCCTCTCCCTCTCCTAAATGTAGATGTCCTTTGAGGTAGTGTCCTTTGCTTTCTAGTCTAATAAACTCTTCTCTGGAAAATTTACTTTTCTGAAATTTACATTTTTAGTGTTGAAATCTCTCACAAGTTCTATCCCTTTTTTCTTCTTAAACATTTCTACTTAAAACCAATGTTAAAACCAAATTGGATTTACCAAAGATTATATAAAATTGAACTTCACTAACCCCAAATTTATGACTTTTTGTAACTTACAGATTTAATGGTACTAACTATTGTCTGAATTATCCAAGCAAAGCTTCTCATGTAAACTCGTGCATCTTTTCTGCCAACATGTCCAAGTCCTTTTGTCCCCTCCCTTCCTTTCCATTTAATCTCAATGAAATTCATCCTCTACTGTTTTAACAGAAGTTATAACTTCTATTAGCATCACCTTTAGGCTGCCCAATATCGTCATTTACCAGAAAAAATGTGTTCTTTAAAACATAGGTCAGTGGTCCAATATGTATCACAATATAAAAGCAATTTGAAAAAGTTTTTGATACTTCAGTTACCTGCATCACAGAAGAGTTTTCTTTTTCTATGTAGAGGGTTAGGGACAGGGTCTCTTTGTTCCTGCTTTTTCAAGGATTTGTGGTCTGGAAGGTTTTTCACTATGGGTTCCCCTCTGATACTGCTTTCTAATCATTGAAATCCATACACAGTGTATTAGGTAATATCTAAGCTGATAGCACCTCTGACATGGTCTTATCTACTTGGGATGTACTCATCTGCCTGAGTCATCGTCATGTTCTTTAACAAGAAATCATTCAAAAATTGCCCTACCGTGGTCTGTGGACAGTTAAGACAGGCACTCCACAGATACATACCATTCAACTCTAATAAAGGCTACCCATTTTTCAGATTACTTTTTAAGGCAAAAATACTTCTGTACAAATAGTTAAATAAATTACATATGCTATTTTTGTGTGTTCGTGGTGCTTAAATGAACAGTTTTATTTCTATGTGAAAGAGAAAAAAATGGTAATGTTATTACAGGAAAATACTATCATGTTAAGAAGAACATATGTTTGACTAAGATTTTATCATATTAAGCACCCAGCTGTCTTTGGCCATTGAAGCTTTCTTGGACAGATAGGTTCCTGAGCATTCTAAAAACACTCTTTTTGATTGCCAATATGATGTTTGGTTTCAGAGACTTTCTGTCTCATGTATTTGCCATAAAGAATGAACATACTGATGCTCTCCCTCAGTTTTAGCAAGAGAAACATTTTAGAGCACTGGAATGAGGTACTATGGAAGGCTGTATAATTACCTTCCATTAAGGTCTTTAAAAACAGAATGGCTATTTATATTTCTTGAATTGTCTTAAAGAAGCTCTTTCTACATGGGAGGAATGGTTCTGTGATGGTTTTTGAGGTCATTTTAGGTCTTGAGTAGTTTTTATGTTTTAGATAAGTTTGGTACAGAAAAACACACTTGTTCAGAAAAATTGGGTCTGGCACTGGTTCTATCATAAGGTTATTGCATAAATCCTAATTCTGTCACCATTTCTAAACAGTGTTTTAGGATGGAATGAAATAATAAGTGTAAACATTCTGTCGCCTCTTTAGAAAACAGCTTGATTTGAATTTCTCTGATGGCTAGTGATGATGAGCATTTTTTCATGTGTCTTTTGGCTGTATAAATGTCTTCTTTTGAGAAGTGTCTGTTCATATCCTTTGCCCACTTTTTGATGGGGTTGTTTGTTTTTTTCTTGTAAATTTGTTTGAGTTCATTGTAGATTCTGGATATTAGCCCTTTGTCAGATGAGTATGTTGCAAAAATTTTCTCCCATTTTGTAGGTTGCCTGTTCGCTCTGATGGTAGTTTCTTTTGCTGTGTAGAAGCTCTTTAGTTTAATAAGAAAATGTGGCACATATACACCATGGAATACTATGCAGCCATAAAAAATGATGAGTTCATGTCCTTTGTAGGGACATGGATGAAATTGGAAACCATCATTCTCAGCAAACTATCGCAAGGACAAAAAACCAAACACCGCATATTCTCACTCATAGATGGGAATTGAACAATGAGAACACATGGACACTGGAAGGGGAACATCACACTCTGGGGACTGTTGTGGGGTGGGTGGAGGGATAGCATTAGGAGATATACCTAATGCTAAATGACGAGTTAATGGGTGCAGCACACCAGTATGGCACATGTATACATATGTAACTAACCTGCACATTGTGCACATGTACCCTAAAACTTAAAGTATAATAATAAAAAAAGATTAAAAAAACCATAAAACACACCATAATAAAATGAAACCCCTAGGGGAAAAAAAAAAGCAAACAGCTTGAAAGACAAATCCAATACAGTCTTGTCTAATTGTTTTTTAATCTCTATACAGCTGAACTGTTGTGATGGTTGAGGCAATTAATAAAAGAAGTCTGCATTTTGAAGAAATAATAAGTGAGAATAGAAGTCAGGGAAGACCATTGTTTCACAGAGGCGACCTAAGTGGTTTCAACTTATACGAACACTGTGTGCTAACAGCTGTGGGTCCGTCCTCCTTTTCCAACTTTGAGAAATTTTCTCCTTTCAAACGGTTCTTTCTTATCCCACAGTCTGCTCTGCCATCTCTTTCCTCATTACTTTTCTTGGCCTGAGCATCTGTTCTTTCCCCTGTGTGCTGCTAAGGGAAGAGGCAAGGTGGTAGAGTGAAAAGAACAGGGATTTTGAATGAGGCAGACCTGGATTGGAATCTTGCTTTATTACTTACCATCAAGATTGCTTTAGTCAAGTTACATATCTCCATCTAAAACACTGACATAATTTCTGTTACAAAACGAGGTGATATATTGAAAACATCTTAGCAGGGTTGCTGACAAATAATGAATTCTTAATAATTATTAGGCATTATTGCTCTATTTTCATATGGCCTGTCAAAATACCACCACCACCCAATTTAAACATAATTATTTTAAGCCTAATAAAAGGAATATAAATTGGCTTTAGAAAAAAAGTATAAATAGGAGCAAAAGTTATTTGAGTGAGATAGCCAAACATAAATAAAAGCAGGCATTATTAACATAAACAGTTTCAATTAAGATGCATGCTTTTAAACTGAATACTTTATGAGAAAAGTATCAAGTTCTCAGATATAAGTTGAGGATGGATACCTCTGGTAATTTTCCCAAATTAGAGGCCACTATGAAGAAATAATATTTCAGATATATACTCAAAAATGGAAATGTATTTCAAATCTGTATGTTTGTTGGTGAAAGCATGTGATATTTTCCAAGTCAAAGAGGCTGTGTGGCATTAGAGTTAAGTGCAGTGCTGGGTTTGTATTCCAACTTTATTAGTTACTAGCTGTATTATCTTGGGCAAGCTATCTAACTGCCCCATGCTTCATGCTTTCATGCATACATTTGGAATAATAATAGTTCTGTGCTTACATAGTTTGTGTGTGTGTGCATGTATGTATGTATGATAATTAACTGAATTATTTCATGAAAGGGATTACAACAGTCTTCGGCAAAGACTAAGTGTTCAATATTAATTAGGTGCTCTTATTGCTATCATTATTAGTAGTAGTAGCTACAGGAAGATAGTGCTACTTGAAAAAAAACACATCTTCCCCAAATTATTTTATGGCTAACATGGATTGAGCATTGAATATCTTCACAGACTAGAAGAAAACACTGTTTGAGCCTAAAACAAGGGGATCAATATTATCAGTATTTCATTTATTTATTGATGAAGAAGTTAAAGATAGCTACAATGTTGAAAGCTACTCCACATAACAAAGTAAAGATCTATTGTCTACTTGGTTTGCAAATAAGATACAGTATTGGAGTTGTGCCTAAGTAAAAATTATTTTTTCTATTGTGAAAATATCAATTACACATTTATTTTTTGTAAGGTACATTTTTAATCAATGTCCCTAGTACTTACAAACATATAGACACACACACACACACACACACACACACACACACACACACACCTATGCAATTCAATCCTTGCTGCAATTCTGCAAGGCAGATATTAATAGTTCTATTGTACAAATGGAAAAATTGAAGATGAGAAAAATTCTGTGGGTTGCCTAAAGGGATGACTAAACTGAGTAAATGGGATACTTCTTGACTCTTCTTTGGGTCGCTTTGTTTCTCTCAAAGTATATTCACTTCCCGAGAGTATGACTATTACACTTCTCTGTGGACCTCTGCTATATTTTATGTTCAGAAAACGTACCGTATTTAAGAAGAAAGTTCATTCTTTGCAATTAAACTCTACTAAGAAATATGGGTGCATTCGTATGGAGAGCTGCTGAATGCCTGAGTGTGGCAAGGAAATCTCTGGAGGCAGAATGGAAACAAAACTCACTCTAAAGGAGTTTGGGGTTCCAGGCATTTACAAAAGTAGAAGGCCAGAGATAAGCATGGAAGATGCTGATCAATAGACAGACTGGAAAAATGTGACCATAGTCACAGAGGGGTTCAATTGTAGCTGCATTAATGAAGCAGGTTCTTGACAATTTTGGTAAACCATGCTGATAGCCAGCAGCATGCACCAAAGAGTAAATCATGCTCTCTGGAGGCCTATCACAGAAGGGATGCCAACTAATGAGATTCCACACATCATTGTGATGAGGTATGAATGCTCATCAGGAACAATCGACCTAGAAACCGAGGCCAGTATTTCAAGGGGTATCTTACGGTCAAGCCCTTACTGGTGTAGACAGCTCCAGATGAAATATATAATTGTTCTAAGCCAACTTAGTGACAGAGCAACCCTGACTATTTCCTACCAGGGCTGACAGGTTTTTTGGACTGGGTATGGATGAGTAAACCTTAAAATAGAACAAGGGGTAGGCTAAATCCTTCTGGTCTTGTGTGTTGCTGAGAGAATAGGAACTCTGGAATCAGAGAGACCAAGATTCAAAACTCAGCTCTTCTATTTATTTTATATAATATTGGGTAAGTATTTACCTTCCTAGGCTTTAGTTTCTTTATCTCTAAAATGGGACTAAGAATACCTACCTCAAAATGCCTAATATAATATACATAAATTTCTGTAATGTAACATCTGTTTAATAATTTTTATTTTATTTTATTTAAAAATTTTTTAATTTCAATATTCTAATTTTTAGGCATAAGCCAATAAATATTAGTTTTATCAGCCTCCTTCTATTAATATTTGAGACCAGAATTGATATACAATGTACTTCATATCTTTTCCTGATTATAATTTCCTCACATTCTTGCTTTTTTCTTAAAGTTGATGATGCGTTTATTCATTCGACAATCAGTTATTGAACAAATATAATGTGCCAGGAACAGTGTCAGGTACTGAGACTGCAGAAACAGAAGACATGGCCTTTCTTCCAAGTTAATCATTGCAGCATTCATAGACAACTTCCGTACAATATGGTGAGTACAGGATGCTAGGGGAGCACCTCGGACAGATAGAGTGATGATGGTTAACATCTGTGGTACATTTTAAAGTATGAGTATAGGTTATCCAGGTAAACGTGGATGAGAATAATGATACATTCCCCCAAAAGGATAACACATGGAAAGATATGGAGGCCTTGCATGGACAAATATGGGTCTCTTTCTTGTGTTTTAGGCCATTTATAATGTGTAAATGGATTCCAATAAATTAGTCAATTCAACTGCTAATCACGGACACCCATTTCCATCTAGCCTTCTCTTTTGCCACTTGTTGGTCATTCTTGGCTCCAGCTACCTCTAATTATCTAGTTTTCTATACTGTTTGGCTGTGTAAACTAACAAATCTCTAGGGATAGGCTTTAGATTTGCAAGCAGAGTCTGGATGTTTTTCTTAACAATTTAACCATAGTCAGTGCCACAGATGTGTTAGCAAAAAATAAAAGTGTAAAGTTTTATTGGGAATTAACATTTCAATGCAGTTGCTGCTGTACTTTACACACAGCCTTGAAAACAAGTATTATAAATTGAATAACCAGAAAAGATTATAACTCCCTACGTCTAAGATGTGTGTTATCCTAAGTGTCTATTGTGTGCAATAATGTAACTAGTTTAAAAACAGTGTTCAAATTTTGTCCAAATAGTCTATCAAAGCAAAGGATGGAATTCTGGTGCTCTGTACTTTAGTTGGCTTGTGTGTATTAAGATGAGTAGCTGTAAACTGAAGTCATTTGCATAACACTCCACCTGAGGGCCCCAAATCAGGCCTCATCTATGCAATCGTGATTTTTATTTTATTTTAGTTAGATAATATATTTTGAACAAAGGAATTTTCTGTTTGTATATTATTACCTTTAAAATGTCACTTTGTCTAGCAAAGTGTAAGCTCACAGAAATGTGTGGATATATAGAGAAATGTTGAATAAACACATTTACATTACTAGAAAAGAAAAAGTGATGGCTGGTGACTTAGGATTCCAAGATGTGCTTATTTATCAGTATAGAGCTTGGCTGCCTCTTTATAGTTTTCTAGTACTTGTAGGAATATTAGTAAGTTGCTTAACTGGGTAAAGAAGTAGCAACTTAAATATATATAATCCATTATGACACAGGGCTTAAAGGCCAGAGAGAAAACATACTGTTTGGGACCTATAGTTTTATACTCTGTTGTTTCAAATCTCATTATTTATCAAGAAGTGTAAAGAGCCAACCAAGGTGATTAAGGGGGAAAAGACTTCTGAACCAAATATGTTTACTCATCACTCTAAAGTATATGGGCTTATGCAGAAATGCTAACCCTGCTACAAATTTACACTGTTCAGCAAATACTGGGTCTCTATGTTTTGTTTATTCCAATTGTGTCCTTTAGTCTCTGAGTCTCTGAAAGCATGGTACAGGTTGAATGTAGCCATCTGTGATGTCCTGTCTGATGTATCAGAGTTATCTTGACAACAGACAGCAAAGTTATAGATGTACTTTGTTTCATACTAATCTGGTATTGAGACCTAAGGAAACTAGAATAATTATAAAGGGCAGTTTTTGAAGAAATTCCCCATGCTATGTTTAACCAGGTTGATAATGACAGAATTTGCAAATTAAACTAAATTAAAAAATTTCTAAGGTTATAACATTTATACTAAGATCTGTGATTCCTTAGAAAGTTAATGTTTTAGTTGGGTTCCATTTAAGTAGAAGGTTGTCAGAATGTGAATAAAGAAATAATGGGAAGGTATTTAGAAGTGCATTTAAGAAATGACAGACCAAAGAGAAAATGCTAGTTTGTTAATAGGAAGAGTAGACATTAAATGAATTATTTGCTAAGATATTTACAGGGAAAGGCAGGGGACAGATGCCAGCCACAGACATGAGTTTCCCCAGAGAGGAAAAGAGGAACTATGATAGCACAAAACCAGATGATCAAGGTATTAGAATGTGAAGTCTGAGAAAAGCTCCTGGCCATATGGAGCCCATCCCATTACTGTGAAATGAAAAAAGAAAGAAAGAAACCTTCCTCTCTATGCTTAGTTTCCAACTATACAAGGCACTATATTAAAAGGAAATGCAAATGCATTTAGTTTAGAAGAAAACTAAAGATTAATTTAGCTATGAACAAGATGATTTTTATTGATAATAAAACAATGCATTTTACAGGTTATAAATTGAAGTTTATTTGAAACTTATAAAATGACTTAATAAAATATACTCTCAATCTTTTTGTCACCGAAGTAATTAGATTACATTACCAAATAGTTGCCCAAAGAATTAGTGTTTACATATATATAAACATACATACATTTATATATATTTTATAACTATATATGGTTATAAAATAATCTTTAGTATCAACCAATATAAACATCTCAATGTTGTATGTTTCCAGTGAAAATGAAGAATAATTAGGATTAGTTAAAGCTTGATGGAGTTAGAGGATACTTTTGAGAGAAAATGTTGGATAGGAGGAATACATTTATCCTATTTCAAGTACTCTCTAAAGTAGGTGATTTCCTAAGTGTTTTAGGTCGCTAGTACACTAGTACTATTGTTTAGTAGCCCAAGGGTCTACAAAACTCACCAAGTTATGGGTTCAGAAGCAGGTTATGCCAGCCGTTAGTCCAGAAGTTCAATAAACCCCACCTCTAGGTGCTTGGTCTAATTGCCATTATATAAATTCACATCTTTCCCTTGAGTAGATATATTTTTCCTTTTCCTTTACTCCTCTTAGAACTACTTATGTCTCTCTTATGTACCCTTTCCCCTTCTAGAACATCTCTTGGGGTCTGTGGGAGTTTCTCATTTACGGTCCTTTTGCATCTCCAGTGTTTTTCTCCAGTTGCATCCTAGCTTCCTCTGGTTGTTGCTCACTACAGCCAGCATTGGAGCTGTTTGCTGGCTGTAGTGGATGGGCAGCTATGCCAGTGTTCAGGGGCACCCATCCTCTCGTGATCACCAAAAATCTCTTATTAATCTCACTCCCACTGCTCTCAGCCAAGTCACAGGCTCCTACGGGTCCGCAGAGCCTCCTGTTAAGGAATGGGTCACTTCCTATTAGTTGCTGCTCGTGTCATTTAGGCTATTACCACTGCCTGCAGGTTTGTGGTCTGCACATGAACTACTCCTAGGGAAAAAAAAAATAGTCCTCTTGTTGTTATTTTGTTTATGTAGAGTGGTCCCACAGCAGAGTTGCTTTGGACCTTATTATAAAATCTATTTTATCCTTGCAGACCTCTCCTCTCTTAGTTTTGGTTCACTTTTCTAGATTTATCTTTGCTTTATCCAATTTTTTTTTTTTTTTTTTTTTTTTTTTTTTTTTTTGTTGAGACGGAGTCTCGCTCTGTCACCCAGGCTGAGTGCAGTGGCACGATTTCGGCTCACTGCAAGCTCCGCCTCCCGGGTTCACGCCATTCTCCTGCCTCAACCTCCCGAGTAGCTGGGACTATAGGCGCCCACCACCACGCCCGGCTAATTTTTTGTATTTTTAGTAGAGACGGGGTTTCACCGTGTTAGCCAGGATGGTCTCAATCTCCTGACCTCGTGATCCGCCCACCTCGGCCTCCCAAAGTGCTGAGATTACAGGTGTGAGCCACCGCGCCCAGCCTGCTTTATCCAATTCTTATTGGCCCCTAACATTTTAAGAAATAGTTCTGTAAAGAACACGTTCAAGTGTAATTCAGTACAATTTGCAACATTATGGGCTAGACAAATATAATTTCAAGGAATTGGGGTGCCGCACTGGAGAGCTCTATGAAAAGAGAAACTGTATCCCGTTTATCTGTGTATCTCATATAATGGCCAGGATGTTTTTTAATTAATGTAACATGTTTAATTGATAACGTTAGAGTAAGAATTAAGGAACACTCTAATCATAGCAGGTTTGAAATTGTTAATTGTTAAAATCTTATTGTCAATTTTCCCTCAATGTTTCTTTGTCACAAATTAACTTTTGTTATTATTTTTGGTGTGAGTTGAAAGTCTTTGGTTAAGAACAAATATTTGTGATCAAATGTGTCTGAATTGGGTGAAGGCTTGTTTCATGGTGGCCTTAATCACCCAAGTCTATTTGTTGCACTCTCTTCATTAAGATTTAAGCTAGGCTGGGCGCAGTGGCTCACGCCTGTAATCCCAACACTTTGGGAGGCCAAGGTGGGCAGATCACGAGGTCAGGAGTTCGAGACCAGCCTGACCAACATGGTGAAACTCTGTCTCTACTAAAAATACAAAAATTAGCCAGGTGTGGTGGCGCGTGCCTGTAATTCTAACTACTAAGGAGGCTGAGGCAGTAGAATTGCTTGAACCCAGGAGGCTGAGGTTGCAGTGAGCAGAGATTGTGCCATTGCACTCCAGACTGGGCAACAGAGCGAGACTACGTCTCAAAAGCTAAATCATCTGTTTGAAACCCTAGTATGTTTTCAGACACGGAGTGGTATTTGTTCATGACCTGATTACTCTCATCAACAGCATAAAGCTTTTATTCAGTGCCATTTGTGGGTTTTCCTATGCTGGTAATTGTATAAAAGAAATTCAATTCATTTCAAACATTTATTGAGTACATGTGATGCATCAGGTACTATGATAGATCCTGGGGATATGAAGGTGCATTAAATGTGGTAAGAGTTTGCTGGTGGTGAATCGGGGAGAGGGATAGTTTGTTTCAGATGGAAGGAACAGCATATGCAGAAAGCACAGAGTGTGGAAAATACATGGGCTGTGTGAGGTCAGATGAATAATCAGTGCAGGTAAAGTTAAAAAGATATGCAGTCTGTTCTTCCAAGCCATATAACCTAAGATTGTAGATTGCATTGAGAAAAACAAATCTCGTGTCTTATAGATTATTTCTCCAAATGACTCAAGAGAAAATGTTAGGTAGTATATATAGATGCTTAGTTAAAACTTGTTCAATGACAAAAAAGCATTTTAAAATGAAACAAAACTAAAAATATGTTTCTGATGGAAGTAGGAAGATGGTGCACATTTCAAAAAGTGAAGTACAATGCCAAGACACTTGTGCTTAGTGACTAAGGAAAATTGTAGAATTATTATGCAATGATCAAAGGAATGAATTCATGTAATACCAAGGATCACTGTAACAGTTATTGATATAAAGTTAACACCTGGAGCTGCCAGTGCTAATGAGGTAGCTCCCATCAAGGATACCTGTGATCAGCATCTTTTATATGCAATAAAGTGCTAAAACAGCTCCTGCATAAGCCATGAGGAAAATTTCTATTAACAGAATATTAGTGCTGGAAAAGGATCACATGACCTAAAGGTATCAGCAACCTTCTGAATACTTCACCTGGGACAGGGTTAAGAGACTATTGAACTAGATGTTTTACAGATGAACAAACTGAGGCTACAGAGGTAAAGAGAGTTGCTCAAACACACAACTGGCTAGTAACAGAGCCAGCGCTAATGTCCGGTACAGTGCTCCTCTCCTAGACTTTGCTGTCCCTGGCCAGCCCCTTTATGTTACATAGTTAGATAAGTAGATATTTATGACATCATTAAGTGGCATAAGTCATTTAGCTTCAGAGCTATAATAATAAAAATCCATCCCTTTTACTTTTAGATTTGAGACCTTTCTACCATATCACACCATCTTTCATATATAAGCGTTTATCTTCCGACCAAAGTGATATATGATGCAAAAATACCAAATATAAACTGGAATTGCTTTATGCTTCTTTCTGTGAAAGTTAAGTAATATTTTGAGACAATTTACCCAGTAATGTGGATTTCTTTAACTTTGTAGACACCAAAGGGACCTTGTGTTTATTATAATATATATATGACATAAATTGTAATATATAGTTCAATGAAGCTACTCAGAGTGGGGAAAGTCCATGAGTTGGAACTGTGCCACTGCCCTGACGTTTGCTGCATCCACTGACCCCTTGTCTCCTTGACTAGACAGTAAGTCACAGGATTTCTAGGAAGGGTGTGTGCATGTAAAGGGCAATTACAATACTTCAGGCATTTCTTCAGTGTTAACAGTCATATCTAAATTTTGATTCCATAATATACAATGTATGGTGAAATGAAATCTTAATTATTATACTGCATTACAAAGTTTATGTTTATTAGTACAGTGTGGCTGTTTTTCTTGACAAACATCAGGCCTGTGTCAGGCTGCATCTGAGATGATTGGGAGACATTGGCCTATCTGGCCTACCACATCTATATTTTTCCAGTCTTTCTCTACTATTGGGAGGTTGTAGAAACTTGTCCAGCCCATATGTGCGTCATTTACTGCAGTGAAACTGAGCTTTGCCCCTTTTCTAGAAATCTGAAAGTTGAGATCCAGAACCAGAAGTCCTCAGGGCAATTATCAGGAGCAAAAGCAAGGAGGCAAGGGAGGAGAAAAACAGGAGGAGGAAGAGAAGTGAAGGGTGAGCATGCCAGTGGAAGGGTCTGAATGGGTGCTGGGGTGAGGGGTGATTGATCACCTTCACCTTTGTGCTTGAGTATGCCTGTTTCATTGAAAGGGCAAGGGAGGGGCCGAGCAGGCAGTGAGGATGAATGTGGTTACTTAGGGTCCTGAGGAGCACAGGTGGGAAAATAATTCAGACCTCTATAAGTCTCTTCTGGCCTTAGAAATAGTAATTCTCAAACCTAGCCGTGCCTCAGAAGTTCTTTGGGATCAGATTCCCAGGAAGATGCATTCTGACTTCATAGGTCTTGGGACGAGATCAGGAGAGTATGTGTTTTAAAAGCACACTAAAGGATTCTGATACACAGCTGATTTGGGCTATATGCCTCTGGAAATTCTTTACAGTACTCACACAATGATTAAATGATTATATTTTAATATTTAATAAAGACTCTGGAATATTTACAAGATACCACTTCTACTTTACCAAATTCCTTTGCTCCATATAAAGGTCATACAAATAAGAGGCAAGACTTTACTCTCCTATTCTTATATCATCTGGGGAAAAATCACTTGAAATAAGCATCAGTGGAATCAACATACAGATATAAAATTGAAATATAATCTCATGCCTCTAGTGCTTAATGGAAATGAGTACCCACCAACTAGACTTTGGGCATGAATAAATAGAAGTATTGACCATCAGTCAGAAGCAATCATTATAACATTTTATAAAGAATGAGTGATGCTTCTTCAGAAATGCAGTACAAGATATGCCATTTAAAGGAATGCACACATTATTAACCTTTTAATAGTTCAAGTCATTAGAATGTGATGTTGAATATTTTCAGGTATCAAGAGAAGATGAATTTACCACAAGGCAGCTTATTCCAGCACAAAGAGCCCTTGATTTCAATTCAAGAAATCTGGGTTCTAGCTCTCATTCAGCTACTAACTAGCTGGGTATATTTTTCTGTTTTGCATTACCATAAAGGAATATCGTGTAGCTTGTGAAGAAGAGGTGTTTATTTGGCTTGGAGTTCTGCAAACTGTGCAGGAAACATGACACCAGCATCTGCTTGGCTTCTGGTGAGGCCTCAAGAAGCTTTTATCCAGGTCGAAGGTGAAGTGGGAGCAGGTGTGTCACATGGTGAGAGATTAAACAAGAGAGATGTCAGGCTCTTTTAAACAACTGTCTTTTGCATAAATGCATAGAGCAAGAACTCACTATTGTGGGGAGGGCATCAAGCCATTCATCAGGGATCCAACTCCATTAGGCCTCACTTCCAACATTGGAGATGACATTTCAATACGAGATTTGGAGGAGAGAAACATCCAAACTGTTACACTGGCTGAATTGCACAACACTCCTTAGTGTCTTAGAAAAAGAGTGGGGCTATATCTCCAAAGTTTCCCAAAATCAAATTTTCTATGATACTTGTCATTGTGATTTAGAATTCTTACACAGGAATGGGTCAGATTACTGCAGTACTACAGTGGTTGGTTGGCAGAAAATGATTCAGCCCAGTGTGCTTTCTTCTGGTAAAATGCTACAACTGACAAGATCATTTCTGGGTTTGCCATTTATAGTCTCTAAATATCTTTAATTTAAAAATAACCTATTTTTTTCCTGGCTTTTTGATCTATTAGGTTGGCACAAAAGTAATTGCATTTTTTTGGCATTAACTACTATTACTTTTGCACCAACATAATTTTTTTTGTTCTAGATCATCTTGTCACTTAACAAATATATATTGACACATATTATGTTCAAGACACTAGCCTGCTTAATATGAAAAATATACCCCCAAGGAATTTAGAGATTAATAGAGATGACAAGAAATAGACAATGCCCAGGAAGCTAGAGACATTGCTATAAAATGATAATTATAAGAATTCAGACTAGGAGACCTTATTTCTACTATGAGTCTGCTTTATAGAGATGGCATCTGTGTTGCATACTAAAGTTCAGGAAGGATTTGGAAATGGAAATTTGGTGGGGCACAGCACTTCAGGTAGAGAGAGATGAAAGAACTGTATCATGTTTGGAGAACAGTGAATGATTAAGTTTGATGTATAGGACATAAGAAGAAAATCCCTGGGAAACAAGCTGAAAAGATGGGTTGGATGAGTGACAGTGAGGCTCATGGGTCTGCCTTTTCAGGAAGAAACTTTCTACGGTCAGGCTATTTCTGGGTTTGTTAATATCATATTCCTGCCCGTGAGGCACCTTTGCCATTAGCTGTGATCACCACATAGTATGTGTGTGTTTCCTCACACCAGAGCTTATTTTCAGGAGACTTTTGACATGGTATCCTGGCCTTGAAACTTGGCCTTTGATATGCGATACTTGATGTGAAAGGTTAGGTTCACTGTTCCTACTTTGTTGACTGTTTTCTTTCAGGCCATATTCTGGTTTTATTAATTCTTAGTCTCCTTCCTTCAGTATGTTTTAAGATGGTATGTATGAAGGAGAAACTGATGCTTGAAATAAAAGAGAAAATGCACGTCTCCTGATACTAAGCACTAACGATCCTGGATGTTCAGAGCTTCATGATCGTCTTGCTAACAATCTGGCACACTTACAGAACAGTAACTGCAAGAAGAGACTGTTTGGAGAGGTTTTACTTTCAATAATAAACCGGATATACTCATTAATTATATTCTAAAACCAACTTTTGACATGGTGAGAAGAAAATTTCAAGTCATTTCCTTCAGTGTCCAATGTCCCCTGTGCTATTTATTATATTCCTCTGGAAACCATTTTGTTTAGCTATTGAAATCTATTAATTTTGTCCCATTGGTCATATTTAGGCCCTTCTATAAGATGTACTTGCTGTGTTAATTATTTAACTATCTTCCAACATAAATAATGTGTGGGTTTGATTTCAAGTGTAGATGATCCAGGATGTGTTTTAAAAGGCTCAAATTCGCCATGTTGCACTGTATAACTACATTAGGTGTGTCTGGGAATGGCTCTGAGCGGAATTAGAAGTAAGGGAACTTTGTTCTTCATCCTAGACCTACTTTTCTTGTCCCTTCCCTCTCCTGCCAGTGGTCTTGGCTTCTGTCTCTCAGGAACAGTTTCTATCTGTTCCTTTCAAAACCTGCCCTTATATGATGCTCCTTTAAATTAATTCACACAATAGTTTAATCAACTGATAACTGAGAGTTATCCTTTATTACGTGCATTTGATTTAATAGGTTATAATACCCTAAGCCAAATGAGTTTTTTTTTTTTTTTAATTAGGTATGTTTGAAGTAGAGAGGCATTCCTGGCTTATTAAAATGTATCCTTTTGACTTTTAGATCCCACAGATAAGTGAGAATATGTGATTTTTATCTTTCTGTGCCTGGCTTATTTCACTTAACATAATGATCTCTAGTTCCATCCATGTTGTTGCAAATAACTGGATCTCATTTTTTTTTTTATGGCTGAATAGTACTCCCTTGTGTATATGTACCACCTTTTCTTTATCCATTAATCTGTTGCTGGACTGTTAAGTTGCTTCCAAATCTTAGCTATTGTAAACAGCGCTACACAAAACATAGTGCAGATACCTCTCCTTTGATATGCTGATTTCCTTTCTTTTGGGTATGTACCCAGCAGTAGGATTGTTGGATCATATGGTAGCTCAAATTTTAGCTTTCTGAGAAACCTCCAAACTGTTCTCCACAGCGGTTGTACTAATTTACATTCCCACCAATTGAACTCATCGATATAGAGAGTACAAGGAAGGTTACCAGAGCCTGGGAAGGGTAGTGAGGGAATGGCGGGGGGAAGTGGGGATGGTTAATAGGTTAAAAAAAAAATAGAAAGAATGAATAAGACCTATTATTGGATAGCACAACAGGATGACTACAGTCAAGAATAATTGTACATTTTAAAACAAAGAGTGTAATTGGATTGGTTGTAACACCAAGGATAAATGCTTGAGAAGATGGATACTCCAATTCTCCATGATGTGTTTATTCCACGTTGCATGCGTGTATCAAAACATCTCATGTATTTCACAAATATGTACAGCTACTATATACCCACAAAAATTAATTTAAAAATGAAAAATGTATTCTTTATCCTCTCCTATCCCAACCGAAAAGAGCCATTTTAAAAAGTTAAGTATTTGATAAAATATTCTAAAGCTCTTTGTTAGGTATGACCTTAAGTTTAGCAAACATGCCTGATATTTTATACCTACAAGATTCCTCTTTCTAGTTTGCATTTAGAATGTGCTTTATTCCTCAAGTGTTTGGATGTTTCTTTCCTTACGTCTAATGAAAATTCTGTATTGCTGTCAAAATTCAAAAAGAACCATTATCATTTCTCTGTGGTAGTTCAGGAAAATTTAAATTAGATTTGTACTCTTCAAAATCAAAGCCTGTTTAGGCATAAACAAATTACATGCAAATAATGCAGAAAATATCAGGTGTATTTATTACACTTGGATATGACCTTTGGAAAAATAATATAGTGCCTGGTTTTGTTAAAGAAGCAGTGGAGAACTGTGGCTGAATAAAAAGTCATCTATACACAGTAAAAGTATAGTTTCTTTAAGTAATTGTTCATATCAGAATTATACTCCTGTTCTGATATGTAATGAGAAAAAGGTGAAGAAAGTTAGCTCCACAAATGTGCTAAAGACAAAGAGACAAGTGGCATTATTTCATCTGCCTTTGGTTCTAATCTTGTTAAATTAGGGGAGAGAGGAGAATAATCTTTAAAATGCCATGTGTGGAATGTCATACATGACTGGAATCTAGGTTCCTTCAAACCAACTTAATATTATGATAAACTGGAACTGTTGTCATTGTTGTCATTTATGCCATCACTGTATTTATGGCCAAGGATGCTGCATTTTATGCTGAATTACACATTACCATAAACAAATGACGATAATTTTGATGCCTATAAGAAGTTTTATTTTTTAATGAAAAAAAGCAGGCAAGAAGTTGTACCGTTTGGCAAGATAGAATTTTCATGAAGACAAAGTATGTCATTGTTCATATAATGTAGTTTGGCAAGTGCTAAGTAAGGGTCTCAGTCTCAAAACAAGACACCCTTTTGACTTCAGCAGATATGTAAAGGCTGTTCATTACCTTCCTACTTACTCCTTTTGGTAGATTTCACAGTATGTAATGCATCAGTGCAGAGGCTCTCAGGATACCATGCATGTAAACTGTGATGACTGGTGGAGTATTGGGATCATTAGACTAAGTTTGGGTTGTAGAGGATTGGGCACTGCCTGAGTGAGCTTTTGGAGGTGAGTGAGAAAAAGGAGCAGGGGGACTCCAAGAAGGAGGAGTGCTAACATGAGACACAGAGAATCCAAATTTCATCAAATCTTTTAATATTTAGTAGGACTAATTTTAGGCCCAGTATTACTAATTTTTTCCCATTTGATATTTAGCTTGTGAAAAGTCAACATGTAGACATTTGGTTGGGAAAAATGTTATATTAAAACATCATTTTACCTCATTTTTCTAATCATAGAAACATGGTTCTTTTTCCTGTAATATTTATGTCTCTGGACATTTTTGTCCCTGAACATGCATGGGTACAAAATCAGAAAGAAATGAGCTTAAATACTGCCTTTGCACATAGGAGCAAAGTGATTTGGGGCAAGATAACCACACTGATCATAATTTTCTCATTTGAGAAATAGAGATAATAACCTTGATGAGATTTTTACGGAGCAATATGATGATATCTGTACATCACCTCATTGAGTGCTGGTACATGGTAATGTTCAAGGTTAGCTAGTATCATTGTCATTGATACTACTGTCTCTCTGCTGAGACATTCTGAAAATTATTTCTTTCTAGAAATAAGCCTTTTGGTCAGACTTAACAAAAATGTTATTTTATTTTTAATATATTTGAAAATCAGGACTATCAGGCTCTGTTGCTTTTTTTCCACGTGGTACAAATACATGCAGAGTTGATTTGATTTTAAATAAGTAAGGTATGAGAATCTTAGTCAAACCTTTTTTATGCCAAGAAATGTAAAGATTCCTTATTTGAATATTGTTGTGGTTCTTTGTATAAATGCAATCATTATGAAATGTACATTATGACTTGCTTCTCCATGGCATCTTGGACAAGAGCTTTTGCTTACTTTGGCAGAGGTCTGTGTGTATAAGGGTGTCTTCAAAATGCACAGCTGACTGATCAAAGGGATGCTCTAGGATCTGATGTTCTTGATGTAGGTAAGACTCATTATTCAGAAACTTGATAAACAGAAATATAAACTTTTTAATAACACTAATGTAAGTCATGGAACTGATTCATTATACATTATAAATTCGTTTACATATCTTGTAGTTAATTCAACATTGTAAATGTTATCTTCTATTATTTAATGTCCTGTAGTATATATCTGGGTAAATGTGGTTCTTATTTTTTTCTGTTACTGTAATATATTAGATTGCTGCTTCTGTCCTTATTTTGCATATCTTCCTTGCTTTAGGCCAAACCAATCTTTAGATTGTGTCTGCCAACAGAATTGGGAAGTACAGTTAAAGAAGCAAAGGATTACAGGTCATTGATCTGTTGCATGACAGGCAAAGATGCGATAGAAAGTAAGTGATGTTTTAGCTTAGTGTGTTGTATTCAAATTAGACACATGTATGTGTCTTCTTTTCACTTATAAGGCTTTGGCACTCATCAGACAGTCCTATGCTGGGAAGGGGAATTGTAACTCCTGCTCTCATTTATCTCATCATCTCCTAGTCTTGTTGAGAAATCTACTTTGACTTTGCAGATACATTTTCATTGTATGACACAGTTAATAATTAGGATTTCAATTTATCAGAAAGTAATTGATAAATGTTGCAGAACAGGATTACAGCTTTCAGGCACATCCTTCTAAAGGTGCTCTTGGATACTGTATTGTTACATTTTGAAACTGACATCTGTTAATGTTTCTAGGTACCTTCGTTTTCCATGGTCTTTGTTTTTGATCTCTTCTGGTGCTTTCCTTAATTATTACAGCACCAAATTCATAGTAGTCTCTTTTTCAAAAAATGTTTGCTGACTGAGTATTTGCTCTTATGTCTCTGGAATTTTTTAAAGCACGTATTGTGCCATTCATTATCTAATTGATAGAATGAGAGTATATAGGATGGCTAACTTCATATAGGAGGATAACCCATAGTTTTCAGAGTCAAGGGCACTCAGCTTTGAATCTCATTCTATCCTGTACTAGCTGGAAAAAATAAAGTAGCTTCACTGAGCCTAGTCTTTTACACAAGTAAAGTAGGTGTGCTTTCTATTACATGCTACATTCTATGCAGATGAAGTGAAAAAAAAAAAAACCAACTTACTATCAGTCAGCTCGCTGGCAGGAAACATAGGACATATTCAAATGGGAAATTGAGGGAAGCAACACCTTGTAAAAGTATGGGCAAGTTTAAAGGGGACCTACAAGGTAATATGAAGTATCCTGGACCAGCAACAGTGGGGGATCCTCGCTATGCATAGGCCTGAAGGGGAGTGATAGGAATGAAGTTTCTAGAACCCAGAAATAGTGTTAGGGTGTAGGAGAGTGCCTTCTGGAACGGAGGCCTTTGGTAGAAGAATGAAGCTGAACCATAGCCTGGTAGGGCATGAGAACAGGGAGTAAATACAATAACTTGACTTGATTCCCACTCTCCCATTTTCTGCTAGGGCTTCTGATTGGACAAACTCAGTCAGAAAGGAATCCACTAATGCAATTTATAGAAATTAGCCTCTAGGGAACAGAGAAGGGTGGAACTGAGAGGATAATAAACATATCTAGCTATCTATGGATCTATCATGGACTTAGTGACTGCTACTTAGCATATAGGGTGGCCATATAATTTATTGTCCAAATTGCAATACTTTTGAGAACAAAAGGAGACACCACTATTAATAACTGCACTAGGACAACAGGCATAAAGCAGAGCTGAGCCAGGCAAATTAGGCTTACTGTTACCTTACTAAGACCATAATAAGCCTAGGTGAATATGAATTGCCTTTCCTTTTTTAACCACTTTTCTCAGATTCTTTCTTTTCTTATAATAGTGTAATGTGAGTATTTTGAGAAAGAAGATTGGATTATTTTAATAAAGCAATCTAGACTCATACCCCTGTGGCAGGCTTTCCAAAGTCGTAATTATTACTGAGTCCCTTGCTAACATCTGCCAGAAGAGTGCAAAGGATTTAGGTTATTCGTTAAACTTAAATCCTGATTATCTTGTTTAGTAGTCTCCCATTGCTTAGAAACCTCTTTTGAGCACTGAAGACAGTGGAAGCAGCAGAAAGTCTATTAATAAATGGGATATACATGCTTTGCATGAAGAAATTTGGTGAGCTATTTATTTTTCTCTAGCCATGGTCTTTCTATTTCTATCTTAAACCCAAGTACTTCACATGTAGGTTGCTTTGTTTTTAAAGATATCTATGATTAGTATTTTTAGTTTGTGTTAATATTGGTGATTGACCAGGAATGGTTTTTAATGTCTTATTTCAAGCAAGAAATAAGAATACTAATGAATACAGGGAATTAATGATATCAACAAACATTTCAGCATAGATACTTGTAAGTTCAAAGACCAAAAATATTTTATTTAAGTGAAGAAATGTCAGTAGGATTAAATGGAATAAAGTGCATTTGGAACAAAGGAAACTCTATGGAAATTGTAGTTTACCTTGTATATATGTCTTGACTGTGATTTTTTGACAGCAAACTTGAGAAATAAACAATCCTGGTGATGTCTGCTTATCAGTGTTCCATTTTCATATTGACGCATTTACTGCCTCGTTTGTGACATCCCTGCCAACATCAATAACCTGCTGCTTCCCTTTCCTGGCCCACTGACTTTTTGAAAGTGCTTGCTTTGCCCAACTTTGATGTATCCATTTGTTCATAGGATCTTGCACTGCTCCTTTGCCATTCATTCAGATTTGAATGAAGTCTCCTCAAGGAGTGACTTACTCCTTTCCTCTGAAGACTTCCTTTTAGTTAACAATTGGTAGATTCACTTGACTGTGAGTCTAACTGATTGGGGTGACATATGGCTCTCTCAGCCCTAGTGTTTTTCCAACCCTTTTGAAAGACAGGGTATAATCCTAACTTTCCAATGAGTTCTTTTTAGAACTTCTTTATTTTATTTTATTTTTTTTGAGATGGAGTTTTACTCTTGTTGCCCAGGCTGGAGTGCAATGGCGTGATCTCAGTCACCATGACCTCCATCCACCTCCTGGGTTCAAGCAATTCTCCTCCCTCAGCCTTCTGAGTAGCTGGGATTACAGGCATGCACCAGCACGTCCAGCTAATTTTTGTATTTTTTGTAGAGACAGGGTTTCTTCAGGTTTGTCAGGCTGCTCTCCCATTCCCGACCTCAGGTGACCCGCTCTCCTCAGCCTCCCAAAGTGCTGGGATCATAGGCGTGAGCCATTGTATCCTGCCCTTTCTAGAACTTCTTAATGTCACCTCTACAAAAACAAATTAAGGAATTTACACAATTTGGTATTGGTAAACATGATTTTTTTAAAAAGCATATGAATTATAATAAAATATTTTTTGCTACCAAATACAATTTTTTAAATTGAAAAGTAGAAATGGAAAAATTTTAACCACTGAAACTGCCGTATAAAGGTAAAGCAAATATTTGCAAATAAGCTGGTTAACTAATGTATCTATTCATTCACAAAATACTTTTTAAGTCCTGTTATCACCAGATGTTCCAGGCATAGGGGTACAATGGTGAGTAAGATAGGCATGTTCTCTAATCTAATGGAGTTTAAATTTTAAATAGGGAAGACAAGCAATGAACAACTACAACACAAGTAAACAGTTTATAAACCATCAGAGACTATCAAGTGCTATGTGAAGAATGCTGTTATGGAGTCACAGAGTTGCTGCCTTCTAGGTTAGGGAAAGTCTTTTGAAGGAGGTGACTGTTAAGCTAATGTCTGAGTGACAAGGGGCACTAGTCAAGCAATGATCTGGGGAGATACTTTTCTAGTCTGTAGGAATCTCCAGCACAAGGGGGCTGGGGCTAGAACCAGCTTGGCAGGTTCTAGGCACCAGAAGATGGTCAGGGAGGTTGGAGTGAGCAGAGAGGAGAGTGCTATGAGATGGCAGGGAGGGCTTACTAGATTCTGTTGGGCTTTGTAAACCAGGATAAAGAGTTCAGATTTTATTCTTTGTTCTCTGGAATATAATTGAAGTGTGTTATATAAGGAAGTGAAATGATTTGATGAACATATTTAGAAGATCACTCGGACAGCTGAGTGAAGAATTAACCACACACGTAAGCCAGAAAGGAGGCTTGAAGATTATTGAAAAGCTATTGCACCACCAGTGATAGATAGTGGTGGCTGACAATAAGGTAGTGGTGACAGCACTGGAGAGAAATAGGCAGAATGGGGTCAAGTTTTGCTTTGTTGGATGTTTGACTTTAGAAAGCAGTCTATAGGAATATAATAGTTGGTGACTAGAATCAAAGGATTGTTTGTTTCTTTTTAACAGAACAAGACTTCCTAGGTAAGAACTCAGAAGGGACTTATATGTGCTCTAGCTATACTACTTTTTTCCTGTTTAGTTTTCTTGGCCTATTATCTGGAAAAGTGCTACTCAACCTTTCTCATAAAATATTATGGGAAAAGTCTCCATAGTTGCCTCTCAACCTGTCCATATTGACTGGGTGCTTTGTGTTAGTCTAACTCCCAGTATCCTTTGTGTACACAATTGTAATTCATACATTTTTGTGCTATTTAGAAAAGGGTGATGGTAACTTCTAAAGCCGAGTTGAAAGAAGCATGATAGAAAGGGATGCTGTGTGTAAGTAGGTTGTTAGGTAGATGAAATGACCCATGCTGAATGAATGTGACAAGGAAGAAGGGGATTTGAACGAATCACCCTTAGACAAAACACCGCCTGTAAGTGATTCTAAGGATGCATTACAGAAGCCCGTTACAAGTAAGTGAAGTCTTCCTACAAGCCCACAGCTGATATCTTGATTAAATATTTAGAAGGAGCTCTTAGGAAAATAGAAAAAAGAGGCAAGTGAAGGGGCAAGGAGGAAAAATTTAGAGTGGAAATGGAACTTAAGCAGAGTCAAAGCAAGAAGAAGGGAGAGTCTCATTCTCCATTTGCTTCAAAAACAAAAACCAAGAAACAACCCCCGCCGCCAAAACAAAAACAAAAACAAAAAAAACAAACCTCAGTCTGTGAACAAAGCCCAGGTCAATATTTGGTAGTAAGAACATTGACTTTAGAGTCAGGCAGGCCTGAGTTTGAATCCACATTCCAAGTTACATGTGTGTCCTTCTGTGCGTAAGAGAGGGATGCTTATACACAGCATCCCTTCCTATCATGCTTCTTTCAACACAGAATTGCCTTTGAGTCTCAATTTTTTCATATAGAAAATGGAGTTGTAATGTCTAAATCATAGTGACCCTAGAAAACATTTAATGAGATGGCTGTATTTGACTCTAACTCCTGTCTGTTTATCTAAGTGTCTTTGGCAAAAGACTTAATCTTTTAAAACTTTGTTTCCTCATCTCTAAGGCAGGACTAATATCTATGTCACAAGATTGTTGTCTAATACATTATCATTAAGTGTTATTATTTTTGAAGGTTCATTGTTTAAAATCTCAGACCAGAAAAGGCAATCAATAAATATTTTTTCCTTTGTTATTTTCTTTTCTTCAAGTCTTGTATATTATTACTGTTCATCTTCCATTACAGAAAATCACTCCCGTACACAATGTTTATAAGTTGGTTTTCAAGTTTGCTTAAATAAGTACATACTTGCTTTGAACTATTTTTCTCCTGGGATCTCTGCATAATTTTTTTCCTCTCAGTTTGGTGTAATTACTAATGGCTTCTCTTTTCACTCTAAAAGTGTCCCAGTTTGGACAACAAATTATGTCATCACCCCACTTATGGTTTCTATTACTTATGTAATCATCCAATGTATAATTTAAAATATATATCTTTTAATTTTATGAAGAAAGAGTCATGTCAGGATGACATTTGTAAAACAGTTTTCTGAAACAAAGCAGTATCTTGTTTACTGAATATGCAATGAACGAATCCACTGGCAAGCCCTGATTGATTAGGACACTCATGATGATCTGTCACTCCTGGAACATGCTGGGGCAGACCAGTTACATTCTTGTGGATCATTTCCTCAAGCTGCATGTCATGAAAGTGCTCATGATGTTAGAATGCAATCCACTCTTTCCTAAGTGCAGGTGCGTGGTGGTCTCTGAGATTCAGATGCCCCTATGTGCATTGGTTGAGTTGTCCCTTGACACCCATGTCAGGGATGCTTGTAAAAGCAACATGACTGTCTTTAGGGAAAATGAATTTTTGAAGTCTCAACAGAAAGTATAGCTCAGTGCTTTTGGGGGAACCACAGGGATGACATTTTTTGGGAATGGTGATTTCATTTCTCAACTTGGTCATATGGTAGAGAAAAAAAAGGCTCTTTTAAAAGTATAGTCTGGACATTGCCCTAGTACCACATCAGATTGGAAAACTATGAAACTTTGAATTCTTAATATTTCATTTCTCCTTAAACGGGTTATAATAACACATCTATTTTTTTCATATTTGATTCATCATTTGATTGATTTTTATATGTTCTAGCAGGAAAGGAGCTAAAAAATTCATAGTATTATAATTAACAAATGTCAAGTACCTTTACAATTTATCTCATTCTACTTTCTATGCCAACCTCTTTCCTATCACAATATAACTAGAAATTCATATAAAACAGTCCACATGAAATAGCATCTGCTTTCAGCTGGCTTTCTAACTTCTCAGAGTTAGATACATGAAAAAAAGTTGAAGAAAATGAGAAGAGAGTAAAAAATAACTGTTAAATTAAGTTTAAAATGAATACTTCAGGGCAGGATTTGGGATTCTGTGGATAATTCAGTCTACCTAGGAAAGAAAATCTCTAAATACATTATTATTTTAAAACCAAGTATTAGAGGGTTTAGACTTTTAAAAGCATTGGATATAATTTTGGATGTCTGGCAGAACTAGGATATCAACTTTTATTAAAACAGTCCTTTTAGGAAAAAACATGAAATATTCATTGCTGATATTATTCCAAATTTTCTTCTATATTAAATCTGGAATTAGAATAGGGTACTTTTAATTTTTATAATGGTAGGTACATTGTGCTGTAATAATATTAGCTCCAATTTAAGGTCTTGGCGGATGCTAGGTCTTTGAAGTTTACTGTCTCATGTAATCCTCCCCACCTTCTTAAGAGTTAGGGTTATCTTCATAGCACAGGTGGCGAAACTGAGGTTACTAACTTGGTCAAAGCCACACAATTAGTGATTGATGGAGCCAGTTTTCAATGCTAGAACTTGCTCTTTTACCATGTTACAGAATGTAGTTTGTTTACAAGAGTTATTATGTTTTTTTTCCTAGATGTCATCATAACTTTAGTGGAAGTCACAATTTACTGCAATCATAATGTTTGCTAAACACCTCTTTATCCCTTACTTATCAGATTGCCATCATTAGCCTTAACTACATTGCTATTTATATGACCTTTACCTTCTACTTTTCTATGGTTAAGTAGATATGAACCATTTCAGCCTTCTTTGTTAAGGAATTTTGGATATTTCTTGGTTCTGGTCTTCCAACTTAACTTCTAATATACTAAGTATTTTGTGCCATAGTTAAACGTTTACTACCATTGACAAGAACTGTCAGCACTCAAAACTTTTTTATAAAGAAAAAATAGCCTACAAATGTTAAGATTCAGATTGTTGAATTTTAATCAATAGGAAGCTTTGCTTACCCTCTGCAGTGAAATTTTCTAACTGAGATTAAACGTGGTTCCTATTCTCAGCTGTGCCCCAGTGAATGTTCATGGAGTCATTGTATTGTTTCTTAATTTCTTCTTTTTAAAAATATTGATGTACTCCTTAAAACTGAAAGAAAATAACACCATGTGTCCAGGGATTTGGAAGCATAGTCTGAAGTAACTTCTAATAGCATAAAGTTTCAAGTTTTGTTTCATATTAAAAATTCATGTGTGCACTGTAACTTGTATATTCTTATCTCTGATATAAATATATTGTCTAAAATACTTTCACATAAAACTGGTATTTCAGGAAGACGTGCTACATTTTCCTCTGGTATGAACTGTTTTGGAAAACTAACTTACGTTTTCTGGTGGCACACATAGTCTAGTTTGAAAATCATGAAGCTAAAGAATTTTCTCCAGGAAATCCTATTAGAAAAAGGAGCCACTCATCCATTTATTCATTCAACAGATATTCTTTCCTGAATTCACTCTAATGACTATGGGGACATTGGGCACAGGCTAATGACTAATTTCATCAAGGTTCTTGCTTTCATGGGTCTTACATTCTGAGGAGGAGTATTACTAAATAACTAAGTAAGCCAGAAAATGCCATATGACAATATTAGGATGAAAATAAAGCAAGATATTGTGATTGGAATAAACATGGACTTTTTCGGATCCCATAGGTTGAGAAAGATCTCTCTGGGGATATAACTTTTTAAACGGACACCTGAATGATAGGCAAAAGTCAGTCATACAAATATATGTTGCAGTAATTTCCAGGCATATAGTTCCAGCATAGAGCAAAAGTCTTAGGGCTGAAATGAGTGTGACTTTGTCTTTTATCAGAAAGAAGGCAAGTTGTATAGAGAGAGTAGAATAAAAGTGAGGCCTGTAGTCCCAGCTACTCGGGAGGCTGAGGCAGGAGAATGGCGTGAACCCGTGAGACGGAGCTTGCGGTGAGCCGAGATCTTGCCACTGCACTCCAGCCTGGGTGACAGAGCAAGACTCCCTCTCAAAAAAAAAAAAAAAAAGTGAGGCCGGGCACAGTAGCTCATGCCTATTATCCCAGCACTTTGGGAGGCTGAGGTGGATGGATCACTTGAGGCCAGGAGTTTGAGGCCAGGAATTTGACACCAGTCTGGTCAACATGGCAAAACCCTGTCTCTACTAAAAATACAAAAATTAGCTGGGTGTGGTGGTGGGCGCCTGTGATCCCAGCTACTAAGGAGGCTAAGGCAGGAGAATCACTTGAGCCAGGGAGGCAGAGTTTGCAGTGAGCTGAGATTGTGCCACTGCACTCCAGTCTGGGTGACAGGGAAAGATTCTGTTTCAAAAAAAAAAAAAAAAAAAAAAAGTGAATGATGAAGTGAGGGGACCAGATTGTCAAATACCTTGTAGACTGTGGTGCCAAGAGTTTGGGCTCCATTCTCAGTGTGAAAGATGCCAGTTGGGGGTTTGAAATGGGAAAGTGACATGATCTGGCTTATCCTTTTAAAAGGTCACTGTGGATGCTGCATGGATAATGGATTATAAGGGTAAGAATAGAAGTAGTGTGACCAGTTAGGTGTCCTATGAAATGGTACAGGTGAGAGATGATAGTGGCTCAGACTGCAATAGTAGCCATGGCTGCTATTAGTGGTATATTTTAGAAGTAGACAGAAGACTCACTCATTGTTTAGACAGACTGAAGTGCTGGGGTAAGGAGAAGAGTATTGTCAGAGATTTTAACCTGAACAACTTGGTGTGTCTCTTTTTTTGTAATTGAGATTTTATTGGTTGTGTGATAATTAGTATATACATTTCAATTTGTACACCATTGATGAGATGGGGAGGATCATGATTTGAGGAGAATGAACAAAGTATCTGTTATGGAAAATGCTTACTCAATATTTAGGTGAAGAAGTCAGGTAGGATACAGAAGCCAGAGAAAGTCTCAGGCAAACATGTTCCAGAGAGCGAGAAAACTGTAAGTACAGAGGCTAGAATAAGCTTGATGAATTTTAGGACCGGCAAGAGAGCCAGTGTGTTTGGAGAGTGGAGCAAGAGAGACACACTGGTAGAACAGAGATCACAGAGATGACTCCTATAGGCAGGATCATTTATGGCCTGAAGGTCATGCAAGATAATTTGGATTGCATTCTAAGTGTGGCAGGAAATCATTGGTGGATTTAACCCAAGTAAAATGGCCTGATCAACATTTGTAAAGTGATCACTTTGGTTGTTATATGAAGAACCAACGGGGAAAGGACAGTGCAGAGAGCAAGAGTAGAAGAGGGAGATAAAAAGCTTACTAGGAGGCTTTCGGAGTCAGAAATACTGGACGTCTTACAATGTATGGCTGAGTTCTGTACCATGACAAACATTTACACCAATATTCCATGTGTTGTTTGAATACTCAACTGAAGATTCATGGAGGTAATAAACCTATTTTCAATTCTATAATATATATAAATACAAACCATTTTTGCATAGTTTTATTGTACACTAAGTTTTTCAGGAATACAATTATTGCACATATTGAAGAAAATGTTGTACTTGTTTCGTTCAGAACTATAACAATAACTATTCACCATTTTATAAAATCAAGTCATTGATGGTAATGCCACCCCTGGTATTTAAATTGGTGTGGCCAATATCTCATACCAGTATATATCTGTGTTTGTAATTGCTATCTTATTGATTGCTCTATGTATAGGTATAAGCAACTGATTTCAACATGTCTTGTAGCATAGTAGTATCTACGCATTTACATATTGAAAGACATCTTATGGGGTACTATACTGATTTTTTGTAGTGTATATAGGTTACAGTATCTATGAATTTTATTTCAGAGTGATAAACTATTGCTATATGAAGGAGGCTATTAGAGTGATAAGTTGAGAACCACAGATCTATATAATTATGGATAATCTGGAATCTTAAGTTTATGGTTATGACCAGTTTAGGCTAGATGAAATTAGAATTGGTAGTCTCTTATATCAATGTAATTTTCCCAGGAACACATAGCTAATCAGCCACTTGTGCTAGTTTTGAATTTAGCCCAGAGTGTCTCTAAAGCCCATATTCATTACCATTATACCATTATATCAGGGTAAAAATTTATTTTCAGAAGTTTATTCATTGTAGTAGAGTATGCTGCTTAAATTCTTGGTGCAAAGAAAATGTTTTAAAGCTGTGTCTCTATTAGCAATAAAATAAATTTGTTGATTCAGCCAATTTAGTGATACAAATAATTACATTTGGAGGATTAGAACAGATCAAATTTTTTTGGTCCATTATATGATGAACAAAATCTGATTGTGGTTTCTTTTCACTCAGATCCAGTTGTTGAGATATCTTACAGAAAAGGCTAGGTTTTCTCATTTTTCATTTTAAACGTGAAAACAGGTTCCTATTTGTTTCTAATTATCTTCTCTTATCACAAACTTGCCTCATACTTGGTTAGATAAATGCTTCAGGACTATCACAATGGAAAACATACATACTTTTATTTTAAGATTTTAAAACTACTAATTGTTTATTAGAAAAGATCTTCAGTTTTTATCTCTGATTTTCCCTTTGCAAATTCACATAGTGAAATGTTCTTTTTGGTGTCAATGTTTTATCTCATCAAGTACCAACAATATTATTATTCTGCAGAAGAATAGCTAAGAAGGAATTAACTTGGCAGTAATTCTCATAAAAAAGTAATTTTGAACAGATATGACAGTTTTGTGAGCCATTGTCCAACTATCACCAAAGCATTTTAATTTGAACGTTAAAAGAATTTGCAACAGTTAAGAAAGATAGTTGCTAGGGAATAATATATCAACACATTGTGTACTATATCAAAGAGTTTTTTGATAGGGTTTTGATGATGGGGAAAATACAAGTTAAAATAATCTGTCTTCCGTTTGGGCCACTTTGCATTGGAAATTGATGTGGTTTTAAAAGATTGATTTTTAACGTTTCCTTTTTATTGTGGGGCAATCCACAATATCATGGAGGATTTCTTAATCTTCATGTTGCACCTTGCTCTTCATGGTGATTTGTGCTGTCTTTGTCTTATGGATAGAAAGGGAAGATCCACTTACTATGTGGAAGATATAGAAGAAATTAATTACACTGCCTGTGGTTATTATCTTCACAGAATCAAATTACTTGGTTTAGGAAATATTTCATGTGTTAAAAATCCAGTGTGAACCAGAGATACTGCACCTCAACCAAATGAATGGTGAAACCTGAAGATAAATTTTCTTTTCATTACTCTGCCTGTGAAAGGCAGCAGAGCACATGTTTAAAAGCTCTCCAGTGAGGCACCTGAGAGAAACTGTCATCGTTTCTTTACCAAATTGAATTGTAAACTCTTCCTATTTAGGATCGTTTATGAGCAGTTTGAATGTTATTTAACAAGCATAATGTTGTGGAGTAGTGTTACATATTGCCTAAGAAGGAGGTTTCTATTACTTCTATTTATCTTTTGCATCAGTGTTTGACAGGTAACAGATGAAATTCCTTTTCTAAAATTAAATCAGGCTTCATTTCTGTCTTTCATCCATTAAATCAGGCTTCATTTCTGTCTTTCACCCATAAAGGATGAAACATCATTTGCTTCTTAGACAGTTCCTGTACTCTATCATCTTTCATTACTTTTATAAGTTCTGTCATAAATGCTTTACCTCTTTGGCCTTGGCTTCTAACGGCCTATTATAGAGATAAGTGTCTGGGTTTGATAATATAAAAACCTTAGATGTTGCTTTACCCTCAATTAAAAAGTACTTTAAAAGCAGCATTAGAGTACAATGTGGTCTTTCACTTTTTTATTATATTTGCCTTCTTAAATAGTTTTCGTTCTTTATGACCATGAAGAGCAGTGTTTGCAGAGAATTTGGGGTAGCTCCCTTTACTGAAGTCCATAGCTGTACACCTGCCTTCTGGACATCTTTACCTGGTTATCCCACAGCACCTTAAATTTAGCCTGATCACTGTTCCTTCCCATGTTTTCTCTATTACAGAAATTGGCAAATGATGGTCTCTGGGCTCAATCTAGTCCACTGCTTGTTTTTGCATGGCCTTGTAAAGTGAGAATATTTTTATATCTTTAAATGGTTGAAATAAAATAAAAAGAGTAATATTTCATGATATGTGAAATTTAGATGAAGTTAAAATTTCTTTGTCTATAAATAATGCTTTTTTGGAACACAGCCACACTTGGAAAGTTTCACCACTCTCTCAACTCCTAATCTTAAAACCACTGAATCACCTTCCAACCTTTCCTTTTATTCATATTCATATTCTGTTAATGTATATAAGGCATATCTCCAAGGCCAAACTTCTCTTTACTGTAACCTTTATCTCTTGCCTGGACGATTGCAATAGTTTTCCATAACTCCTGCTTCTCTTCAATAAAATGTAATTCTATAATGGTATCAGAATTATCATCTCATGAGCATTAATAAATTAGATCATTTTTCTCCCATGTTAAAGATGTCATTGGGATCCTTCTTTCCATAGAACCCAGTCCAAACTCCTTAGCACTGTAACAAATTCTTTCATTCATTGGCCCTGATTCTTTTTCTAGTCTCATCTCCTGTGGCTGCCTGTTCCCTCCTCTTGCACCTCTTGCATCTTAAATTCCTACAAGACAGTACTTCTTATTGTTCTCCCCCAATATGTTGATTTCTTTCAAGATTCTCTGCCTTCGTAATGCGGCTGTCTTATCTTTATTCCCCTTTTACTACTTTTTACATAGCAAACTTGATTTAAGTTTTTGAGATTCAGCTTAAATGTCACATTTAAGAATCCTTTTCAAGGGCTTTCAGGTAAAATTAAGTGTTCTCCCACTGAATTTCTGCACTTGTGTTTTAATCATCTATGTAGAAGTTGGAGCTCTTCCCCATTTTGTATCCTCAGAACCTAGCATTTGTTACAAAGATAGTCAGTAAATATTTGTTGGCTGAATAAGTGCTCATTTACTTTAGAAAGATTCTTCAGTTTAATTCAGCAGAACCAAAATTCTAAAAATAATAACAATCAAGTCTATTATTCTATATGGTCTGGAATGAACCTCTGAATCTTTGTGGGTGATTATCTAAAAGTCTCTGATAAGCATCTAGAACAGTCTTCCTTATTTAATTCTGTGGTTTCCTAACTTGCAAATTTATTGAATAAAATGTACCAATTTATCTGTTAACTATTTGCTTCCCAAATAATTATTCATGATCCCAATTAAAGAAAAAAAAAAAAGCCCTCCGTATTCTAACTTTTGTTGTCTGTGTTATGTTGATTTAGTTTTAATCAATGAATTAATTATTTCTATAGGCAATAGTTAAATTTTCAAATTCAGCTTTTTCTGGTGCTTTTTGGTATCTCAAAGATTAGAATGGCAAGAAGATCAGGTCATGTAGAAATAGTACATGGCTCTATCACCTCAAACTTTTATGCAAATTATCCTAGCTGGATCATTACATATTGCATACATGTATTGAAACATCACACTGTACCCCATAAATATGTACAATGATTGTGTAAATAATAAAATAAAACTTAAAAAAATTATGTGTTATGTTTCACTTATTCAAACCCGATATTTATTTGAGGAATTAGCTAAGCTTCTGATGTCCTATCATTCCCCATGCTCTGTCCTTGGATTCACATTACTGCTTGTTAGCATATCCATGGGAGGCTAGTCATGGGCCTTACTGAACTATTATATATGTGCCTTACATAGACTGGTTGGATGGGAAAGAATATAAAACCATCTAAATAAAGATTTTAAGATTATCTATGAGTTTCATTCTTCTATTATTTTCCTGGCTCCATTTAGTGTGGACAATAATGGTGAGACAAACTTATAATTATATAGTTCTTTATACTTATTTAAAGTGCTTTCACCTACATTATGCCTCCTGCTAGGAAGGCATAGGTGGTACTGTTACAGAGATTTTTCAAGTGAAATGGATGCTCAGGAAAATGAAATTACTTTCTAAAACTCTTACAGTTAGAGATGTGATAAGAGTAAAACTTAGTTCCTGACTCCATGAAACTTTTCTGATTTTTTCTTCATATAAAATATGTGCTCATTATCCAACTATTGCCTCTGGGCTCTAAAACTACCCTTCCATACTCTGATCTGTGGTACAGGGATAGGATTTGCAGGGTCCTGCTCTCCTTCATTAGATGGCCTCCTGTTAGTTTCTGCCAATAGAGGGCACATGAGGAGGCTAGACATTGCTGGAGGAAGAGAGGGATTTTACCTCTCCCTTTTTGCTGCTGTTTCTGTCAGCATATCCCTAGTAATTGAAGTTGAATGGAAACTTATCTTGGCCTTCCCCAAATCAGCCTCATCATACTTCCTTAGAGCTACCAGCATCCACAAAGCAGTGCCTCTTCTCAGAGGTTCAAGTCCCAGCCCCTCCTGTGAACTTCTAGATTCTGATCGCTACCACACCTCTCATATTTCTCAATACTTAGTCATGGTAGCTGCTTTCTGCAATTATTACGTCTGTGCTACTTTAGTGTTCCATTCATGCTTTCTCAGTCCCCTAATTTAATACCTGTGAAATCACTTCCCTAAGTTATATGCACGCTATTGAAATACCTGGTTTGGTTTTTGTTTTCCTGAAAAAATCCTGCATAATGGTATGCTTGTTATCAGGAGTAGTCACAGAAAATATACTCTGGGATTAGGTGATATTCTGGGGTTGGTTTGGTTATGTATTTGTCTTTGTCTTGGAAGCAGTACTGATTTTTTTTTGCTTATAGTATGCAGTGGCGCTCAATTAAATTATTATCTATGGTTGATTGAAATGAAGTGTCTGCTGAAGCAAGTTGTTGGAGGGATTAAATGGGTGGGATAGCTTTTTATGACTTCACTGAGGAGCTTTCGAAAAAGAAAAGGGCAAACTCCTTTCTTTAAACCCTTGTTTCAAATCACTGTTAGATAATCAGAGAGCTTTCATAGCATCCCTGAAAGATTTTATTCCTTATTATTGCGGGCCAACCCACTAGAAAGAGACATAAAATTACACCACCCTCCCTTTGTTCAATTATTTCACCTGGGGAACTTGCAGTACAAAGGGATGTTTTTGTTTCCAAACCCCTTCCTATTACTTCCAGACCCAGAACTAGAATCAGATATCAGAATACTCCAGAGGAAGAATGAAGTCTGACCCAGGATAAGATAACTTATATTCTAGAATGAATGAAAAATTTTGCTAATTTATATCAAAAGTTTCAAGGGTTTTAGACTAAGGAGGAGATATGTAATGATATATATATAGCATAAGGTTAAACTTACTGCTATGGTTAAATTGGCAGAAATTTGTGATTTCATGTTTTAGTTTGTTTAGTATTTTAGTTCCAGCTCTCTGCTGAAAGTGGTTGTAAAAATTTATCTGGTTAGTAACTGAAACTTTGACTCAGTGGTAGCCTAAATTCAATGAGGTTGAAATCCTAGAACTTCTGTGGCATACTATGAAGGAAGGAATAAAAGAGCATATGGAGGTAGGTAGGTATTTTGGAGTAGATTTATTCCATGTGTCTTGCACAATCGATTCTCTCCATGCCATCACCACCACACGAGACACTGTATTCTCAGAGAGATCCCAAAGGACATTCTTTTAACTTAAGCATTGAGAAATACATTGACAAATAGAATGCCCCAGAAGTCACTCTCTTCTATAAGCCAGAGATGATGGTGGGAGATGCTGCCAATGAGATAGCTTCCTGAATTCACTGGGGTTTCTGGAATTCTACAGGGGCAAGGTAATTCCAAGTGGTAATGCCTAGCCTTTAGAATTAAGGGGAGACCATTAGTAGAAGGCAGGAGTAGCCAATTAGCATGGAGCATTTTTATTATCTGCATGGATTTTTTGGTTATAGATAATTATGGTATTCATAAAAGCAAATATATAAACACTTTTCTAAAATATCACTTAATCTGTAAAAAAAAAAAGATAAAATTGTAGGTCTGGTGGCCAGGAACTTGACTTGCATCACCACAGTGAAGGGTCCTGGCCTCTCACTGAGTTCGTAGGTTAAGTCAGCTTTCAGAACTGGAGGCAAAATCCTCCTAAAGGTGAATCCTAAAGTACTTTCACAAGTATATATAAAATCTTCCTTCAAGTTCTGCCCAAAAGGACCTGCAACCACTAACTAGGGTGACTATGCACTTGGGAGAGAGAAATGCCCAAAATATATAGGGATTAGTAAATGTTGTGTCTAAATTTATACTAATTCATGGACCCAAAATGCTACTGCAGTCCACTAGTCAAAGTGGAGATTGTGCTTGTCCTGACACAGAGCCAGGACTAGGGTAAAGCAAGCCAGGCATGTAGGGCATACAAAATTGTAGACTGCACTCACAGGTTTATGCAAGTGCTGAGTCTTCCTGAAGTCTCAATCCTGAATTAACAAATGGAGTTTTGCACACAGTTTATCCCCTTAGTGGGTCCATGGACCCATATTGAAATTACTTCTCTGGCATCTGTGTGAATAATTGCAACACACTCAAACGGCAACTGTCAGGTTCCATACATTTATCCCTGATTCATGAAGTGAAAGTTTTTCTGGCAGGATGGGACATGGGTAAACTTCTGGAACTTTTCATCCCTGCCAGGACGGTGAACCTAAAGTAGTACTGCAACCCTAGAGAAACTGCAGATTAGTGCCACCACCAAAAGCTTGAAATATGCAGGGGTGGTGGTTTCCATTATGTCCTCATTTTATTTCCTTGGTCGTATTTTGAAGAAGATATATGTATCTTAAAGAATTACTGTGGATTATCTTAAATGTAATCAGGCATTGATTCCAGTTGCAGCTGTGGTCCCATATGCGGTTTCTTTATTGAAGCAAATCAACGTAGCCCTTTGGACGTGGTGCACAGTAATTGATCTGGGCAATAGTTTTGTCTCTATGACTATTGCAAAGATCACCAGCAGCAGTGTGCTTTTACCTAGCAAGATCATCAGTGTATCTTTAAAGTCTTACCTCAGGGCTATGTCAACATTTCTCTCTGCCATAATTCAGTCCTCAAAGATTATGGTGGCACAAATCTTGGTTAGCTTATTTGGCTTTGGGGGACAACATAAACCACATTTCTTTGTTGCTCCACTGTGTCTACTGAGTAACTGAAAAGGCATCTCATAGAAGGAAAAGCCTCTGCAGCTAGTAACACTGCAGTGCAAACTACTCTTCTACATAGGCCTAGTGTCCCAGTAGACATAATAATATTTGATGTATCTGGAAATGGAGATACTTGTGGAACTTCTTAAAAACCCTTATAGGAGAATTAGGGTTATAGTCTCTATGGTTTGGAGAAAAGCTATGTCAACTTCTGCAGTTAACTAACCTCTTTTCAAAAAATGGTTCCTGCAAAGCTATCAGGCCTTGGTAGCATTGGAATACCCGAACATGGATCATCAAGTAACCGTGCAATTTTAGCTGCCATCATAAACTATTTGATTGGGCATGTGTGCAACAATTTATCATGTGTGGAAGAATATGTTAGAGACCAGGCTTAAGCAGATTCAGAAGGCACAAGCAGGTGTCTCAAACTTTTACTACATATAATCCTTCTGCATTACCTCTCCTCCCTCAATGCATAACTAAGCCCTCATGGGGGAATTTCTTAGGAATAGTTGAGTGCCAAGAGAAAAACTCGATTGAGGTACTTGAGTGATCCGTTTGAAATGGTCAGAGTGTGAAGATGTTGCATTCTATGTAAATGTTCAACAAAGGCACTGCCAGAGAACAGGCTCAGAACAACCATGTGGAATAGAAGACCCATCCTCTGGTTGTCAGTTGGCCTCTCTCCTCAGCCATTCTCATTCCGACTCAATGGGTTCATGGTCATGGTGGCCATGGAAGCAAAACTAGACACTATTCCTGGGCTCAACAACACGAATATTCCCTTACCAAGACTGGTCCAATTGCTGCCAGTCCTGAGTGACTAATCTGACAGTTGTAGAGGCTAAGGCTGTGTCCTCTGTGGGTACCCCATTGAAGAGGGAGGAGGAGTCCCTCTTAGGAGCAGATTGACTGTATTAGACAGATTTGTTTTCATTGTCTAAAAAATGTTTTTGAGATGCAGAATGGTGAGAGTGAGAAGGGGGTGAGTGATGAGAAATTAATGGGTACAATATATATTTTTCACACGATGAATACACGAAAATTGCAGACTTCACCAGTACACAATATATCCATGTAACAAAATTGCACATGTGCTCCATAAATTTATAGAAATTAAAAAACAAAAATATTTTAATATGTTTTAATGATTATTGACTATATTAGTTTGACTTTTACTATTTAAGCTAGAAACCTGTATCCTTGACTTCCATCTTTAATTTGCTCTCTAGCACTTCACACTCACTCCACCCAATATTTCTTATAATTACAAGGAATTTATTTGGCATTTGTAAACACATTATGCTTTTTAAGCTTCTAGCAGGCCCAGCTTTTCTATTCTACCTGGCCAAAATAATATTCAGTATTCAAGACCCATCTTAAATATCACATCCTTTAATTCCTGACAACATTTCCTATGTATTTACAGCATAATATTTCTCAGGCTATTATTAAGACATGTTATAAGTGCATGTTTACCCCATCTAAATAGTATGTTCCACAAGGAGTTGCCAATGCTATTATTGCATCCTGTCCTTCTGCTTCCAACTCAATGACTATTATATTGTTGGTTCTCAGTATGTATTAATGAGTGAATGGAATATGGTGCTTTCCACTTTGTTTCTGCTTTTACCATTACATTGAATGGCAATGAGTATATATATATATACTCATCATCTCATACAGATCCATCAGGATCTGTAGGTCAGTTTGAATAATGATAGTAAAGCAGTAAGACATATGAGAGATGAGCATTGGTCTAATATTCAAAGGCCTAACTCTAGGATTTGCTAGCTGTGTGACCTTGAGAAAGTCACTTAACCTCCCTGAGCTTTGATTTCTTCTCTTCTAAAACTAGGCCTCTTTTAACTTTGTAATTCTACTGCTTAATTACTCACTTCAAAAAAAGAAATAAATTGTATTATTGGAACAATTAACTTTTAGAATTTCCCTTTCTTATTCTTTATTTTCATATAGTTTAATTACTTAAATAATGCAGATAAAAGCTTTTTTTTCTTTTGAAAATGATCAATGCTTAAAACTTTGCTAGGATACAAAACATAAATCTTTAAATAATTTAATATGCACTCATATATATGAATATGCAAATTTTAAATGGAATTAATTTGAAGCTGAAAATATTTATAACATGCTGTTACAAAGGATTCATCCTACATTTGGAATCACTATAGTGACAAAGAGCCAAATCATGGTCTATAAAGAATTCTTAATTCTTTTCTTCACTCAGAAAAATGATCAAACATGAGGAACCTGATGTCTGTTAGTTAATTCATTCAACTGACATGAAGGAAGATATGTTTTTCCCCCTTTGCTTATCTAGGTGTTCTAAATTTTGTCATTCGGTCAAAATAGATTAAGAGATATGTGTACCTAGAATGCATGTTTTTCTTTTCTTTTTTATTTTTTTAAATTTTTTTGGTTTTGAGATGGAGTTTTGCTCTTGTTGCTCAGGCTACAGTACAATGGCACGATCTCAGCTCACTGCAACCTCATCCTCCTGGGTTCAAGTGATTCTCTTGCCTTAGCCTCCCGTGTAGCTGGGATTACAGGCACCTGCCACCATGCCTGGCTAATTTTTTGTATTTTTAGTAGAGATGGGGTTTCATCATGTTGGTCAGGCTGGTCTGTAACTCCTGATCTCAGGTGATTTGCCTGCCTCGGCCTCCCAAAATGCTGGGATTACAGGTGTGAGCCACCATGCCTGCCTAGAATATGTGTTTCTCTATATCCACCCCATACAATTTTTTTTTTACAGAATTGCATTTACTGAATTGGTGGTATGCTATTATCATACTATGAAGAATGCTATAAGGAAATTATGAAATTCACTTTTGATGGATTGTTAGCAAGAACATCCTTGATATTCTCTATATCTTGCTACTCAACATGTGTTCCATGACGAGCAATGCCGACAATACCCAAGAGCTTATTAAAAATTCAGAGCCACAGGCCCTACCTGTAGATGAACTGAGTCAGAATCTGCATTTTAACCAGAGGCTGAGGTGATCCATATGCACACTGAAGTGAGAGAAGCACTGGACACCATGACCAAATAGTGTCCTTTTTATGAGATTCCTCATAAAATTGGCTTATGATAAAGTTTATTTATCTTAAAATAGTAATTATATGATATGACAGTATACATAATTAAGAAAAAAACTGTGCTTCTCCAAATAAGAGTATTTGTTATTGTTTTCAATCTTTTGAACACTGTTGATTGTTGGTTGATCTCATTTCCCTATCTGCTTTGGCAGTGTGTGCTACCACTTTTGAGTACTGTATGGTAGTCCTCTTTGAAAGTACTTTTCTTACCCTTTTATTTGTTGATTTGTATGTCATTCACATGCTCCCTTTGCCTTGATACCTTCAGTTTTTAAAATTGTTAAATGGTGTATTAGGTGCTTTGAATTCTTGGTGGGATGAGTATAAAGAAATAAAACCAAAATAAAGAGCCTAAATATTTCCAGGATTTGTTATATAACTTGAGCATTGCAAACCTACTCTTTCCTCTTTGCCACCTACCTCTCTGTAACATCATAATTAATGTTCATTATGAAGATTTTTGAGGCACTCTGGGGGTTACAGTTATCAGAGAAGTATTAATTATACTCAGCACACTATACTGTACTTACTGAGCCAGAAACATGGACTAATATGTTTTATAAAGAATTTAAACAAGGGTGGAAAACCCAAAAGATTTCTGACTAAATCAGAACATTCACTTCAATTAAAACATTCCATTTTATGAGAACACTGGTGAATATGAGTCTGTTAAGTCTTTATAGATAAATTATTTTTCTAGTCCTTTTTTAAAACCAAAGTACAATGATTTTCTAAGAATCTAGAAATTATTTACATCAAATTTGTACTGTTAAAACAAGTTTCAGGTAAATTCTGAGCTAATGTTAGGCTATATATCTTTACCAGCAGGCAGCCAAGTAGTTGAACTTACTGCCTCAGGAATCCATTGAACCAATAGTGGCTGAATAATTTTATGACCAGTAATAAGGCTCACAAGTTATACATGCTAAGAGAGGGGTAATCAAATCTTATGCTTCAGGGCATAAATTAATCACTGCAGGGGTCAGAAAAGAATCTCCTTTGCCCTATGAACAGAATTGAATAATTAGGCAGTATCTGTATTGATACTGTTTTAAAGCCTTGTTCTTAAGCATCAGAATTGGTTTTAAGAACAATTTTGTGACTTCGTGGGGGTGTTTGAGCTCTTGATTAGAAGAGGAGGGGTCCTGCAAGTTGAGCAGTTTATTCTGGCAGACAGAAAGGTTGGGCAGCTTCCTGATTCCACACTGTTCAACCTGATTTTCATTAAAAGCTCAAAGTCCCTGCTGTTAAAATGTCTCCAGGCAGCTGGGGCAAATGGGCCTCCTTGCCTATCTGGAAATCTTGTGGTGGGTTTTCATCTTTTAATCAATTCTTCCATGAGGGAGGAGGGATAGTTTACTAATGTGCGAGGTTTGTTCTCTGTCTTCTGCAACTCATATTTTACATTTTAAAGAAGCATTTTTCTGGATTGAGGAATTAAGCCTTGAGTACTTTTTCAGGAAAACAAGATCAAGGGGAAACATGATAATCAAATGACATTGAAGGCCAAAATCAACTGCCAAACTCATAAATCTTTTCAGGTTTTTCTACATGGTTGTTGAACAAAGCATGTCAACTGTTACGTTTTTTGTTTTT
Source organism: Homo sapiens (assembly GCF_000001405.40). NCBI lineage: Eukaryota > Metazoa > Chordata > Mammalia > Primates > Hominidae > Homo > Homo sapiens. Next base: position 8,710,653 of record NC_000007.14, read on the forward strand.
TTTTTTTTTTTTTTTTTTTTTGAGACGGAGTCTCGCTCTGTCGCCCAGGCCGGACTGCGGACTGCAGTGGCGCAATCTCGGCTCACTGCAAGCTCCGCTTCCCGGGTTCACGCCATTCTCCTGCCTCAGCCTCCCCAGTAGCTGGGACTACAGGCGCCCGCCACCGCGCCCGGCTAATTTTTTGTATTTTTAGTAGAGACGGGGTTTCACCGTGTTAGCCAGGATGGTCTCGATCTCCTGACCTCATGATCCACCCGCCTCGGCCTCCCAAAGTGCTGGGACTACAGGCGTGAGCCACCGCGCCCGGCCGTTACGGTTTTATGATAACACAAGGATACTGTATTCCATGGAAAGTAGATTTTATTTCCTACATCTTTCTGCTATAGCTCTATCCTCAGCAGTTTTAAATTTAGATATGGCAACATAACTTTCAAGTTATCTCCCTGGAGTATTCCTACTAAAAGGAAAACTAAAGGGTGAACCATTTCCAAGTAATGACTGCCTACGAGTGGCCTAGATTCTCAATACACCTGGAGAAGAAAACAAAGACTTTACGGACATACTTATTTTTTGACCCCATTGGCCTTCTAGATGTTTGTATATTTGGTTCTCTTTGTTCTTACTTTGTTTTCTTTTTGAAGTCAGTAACATATTGTTAGGCTAGTCCAGCATGGGTTAGACATATTTATTTTTGATGTAAAATAGTATATTTTTTTCATGAAAGGATTTACTATATCCTTTCTAGAGGCCTAACACTGAGGCAGGCATGTAAGTTAAAATAAAGGCAGCAAGTTTTCTCTTTGGAAGCTCATAATCTGGTTTGGAAACATAGGCCATAGCCGGAAAACACAGTTAAGTCATGTTACAAGCAGTCAGGTTAAGTGTCAGAATAATGGTGTCAACATGGGCTGGCACAATTTATGGAAGGAGTGAGGCTGCTCTGGGTACTGAAGAGTATGCATGCTTTTTTTGGGGTATGGGAAGAAAGCTATCACTTGGGAGCATGAGTGTGTGCATGTAGGGGTGTGTATGCATACATATGTATGTGAGGGGATGGAGATGCTGCAGAATGAACAAGGACTTGAATTCAAGAAGGAACTGAAGGTAAACAGGGTCATGTAAATGGAAGGAAGCCTGACCTCTGAGGAACTGAATGCCAGGGTAAGCGATATTCTAAAGAGATTATAAAGCCATTGTTGAAAGCAAATTTTGGGAAGGATATGGTTACAATAGGGAAGCTGGGATAGAACAGGAAAGGGCCAGGGTCAGGAATTCTGACTAGAATGCCATCCAGTTGTGAGGCAATTATGTTCACATTATCTGCCATTCACTTGGGTTTCACAACTAGAAATTCTTCTTGATCAGCTTGGCTTTTTATTTCCTCTGAAAGCTCAAGGTTGTTCTTTGCCAAAAGAGAGTCGAGAAGTGGAGCTTGATTTCACTGACATGTGCTAATGTGACTACAGCACTGGTATAGACTCTTAGGAGCTAGATTCAAGCATCTTTATGTTTAGATCAAAAACGAACACAAGTATGTGCCCCTAAATCAGTGTTGAACTCGGTATGTTTAATTTCAGGATCAGTTTTCTTTATGTTATTTTTTTCCAACCAGGTATCCAATATTTTTTACAAGGCCATTCTCTTGAATTAAATATACATTAGATATCTCATCTAGATAATAAATCTTTGTGTCAGCACCTATCCTGATCTCACCAGATTTCATTTTGCAGCATTTCCCTGATGCTTAGCAAAGTAAATCAACTGCTTTGACAAATGAGTAGCTTAAACTCCTTCAAAAAGTCAGTCAATAGTGCCCACCGAATGAAAATTCTTCCCTCTGTGTCTTGGGAATACAAAAAGAACTGGATGACTAGTCTCCACTCCTCATAAGATTTCAATCGAATGAGAAAAAGAAAAAGCACAGACTAAGCATTAAATGAAAACATAAAAAATCCTAGAATAATAACATCTCTGCATCAAATAATTACTGTGTACCAAAAACTTTACAAGCATTATCTCATTGACTTCTTATGTCAGCCCCATGGGTTGTGTTATCAGCATGAATAATTTTGCAGATGAGGAATATGAAACTCAGAGAGGTTAGCCTCCTTGCTCATGGTCACACATCTAGTAAATTGCAGAGTCAGAATTCGAACTCTTATTTATCTCTTTCCTCTTGCTGCTTTTAGGATCCTTTCTTTACTCCTGACCTTTGACAGTTTGGTTATAAAATGCATTGAGGTAGTCTTCTTTGGGTTAAATCTGCTTGGTATTCGGTAACTTTCTTGTACTTGAATATTGATATCTTTCTCTAGGTTTGGAAAGTTTATTATTCCTTAGAATAAGCTTTTTACCCCCCTCTCTCTCTACCTCCTCTTTAAAGCCATAACTCTTATATTTGCCATTTTGTGGCTATTTTCTAGATAGGCTTTCTATTTTCTACAAGAAGCTTTCTTGTAGGCATGCTTCATTCTTTTTTATTCTTTTTTCTTTTGTCTCCTCTGACTGTATATTTTCAAATAGCCTATCTTCAAGCTCACCAATCCTTTATTCTGTTTGATCAATTCTGCTATTAAGAGACTCTGATGTGTTCTTTAGTATATCAGTTGCACTTTCAACTCCAGAATTTCTGCTCGATTCTTCTTATTTATTTCTATTTCTTTGCTAAATTTATCTGATAGGATTCCGAATTCCTTCTCTGTGTTATCTTGAATTTCTCTGCATTTCCTCCAAAAAAACTCTTTTGAATTCTCTTTGTGAAAGGTCACATATCTCTGTCTTTCTGGATTGCTCCCTGGTGCCTTAGTTTGTTTGGTGACATCATGTTTTCCTGGATGGTCTTGATGCTTGCAGATTTTTTTTTTTTTGCTACCTGGGCATTGAAGACTGAAATATATATTGTAGTCTTTGCAACCTTGGCTTGTTTTTACCCGTCCTTCTTGGGAAGCCTTTCCAGGTATTCAAAGAGACTTGTGTGCTGTGATCTAAGTTTTTGGTCACTGCAGCCATATCTGCATTAGGGAGTACCCCAAGTGCAATAACACTGTAGTTCTTGCAGATTTACAGAGTTATCACCTTGGTGGTCTTGGATAAGATCCAGAAGAATTCTCTGGATTACCAGGCAGAGATTCGTGTTCTCTTCCCGTAATTTCTCCCAAGCTAATGGAGTCTCTCTTTCTGTTCTGAGCTGCCTGGAGCTTGGGAAGGGGTGAACACAAGCACTCCTTTGGCCACCACCACTGGAACTGCACAGGGTCAAACCTGAAGCCAGCACAGCACTGAGTCTTGCTCAAGGCCCCGGCAACCACTGTTTGGCTACTGCCTTGAATACTAAAAGACCTAGGGCTCTACAATTTACAATTAGCAAGTGTCAAAGCCAAACAAGGCCCTGGGTGGGTTCAGAAATGCAGTCTAGGATCCAGGGTCTAGAGTGTGAAATCTTTTAAACCTACCTGGTGCCCTAAACTACTGCAGCTGAGCTGGTACTGAAACCACTACACAAAGTCTTTCCCACTCTTCCCTTCCCTTTCTCCTGGGAGAGGAGCCTCTTCCTGTGTCCATCACCACCATAGGCCCATGGAGAGTATTGCCAGGCTACCACTGGTATTCACTTAAGGCCCAAGGGCTCTTTACTCGGCTTGTGGTGGATGCTGACAGACCTGGGACTGACTCACCCTTCAGGGAAGTATGCTTCCCTCTGGCCCAGGATAGGTCCAGAGATGCCATTCAAGAGCCAAGGCCTGGAACTGGGTACCCAGGACCCTGCTTAGTGCTCTTCCCCACTGTGGCTGAGTTGGTGTCTAAGCTTAAGACAAAGTCCCCTTTACTTTTCCCTCTACTTTTCTCAAGCAGAAGGGGTGTTTCCATAGCCACCACAGATGTTAATGTGCTGGGTCACACATGAAGCCAGCATATATCTGTGTCTCGCCCAATGCCCACAGTATGTACTACCTGGTTACTGCTGCTGGTTATTCAGGGCCCAAGGGCCCTTTATTCAGCAGAGGATGAATTTTGCCAGGACTGGGTCTTTCCCTTCAAGGCAGCAGGTTCCTTTCTGGCCTAGGTTGTATCTAGAAATGTCATCGGGTAGCAAGGGCCTGGAATTGGGGCCTCACAACTCTGCCTGGTGCCAAATCACACTGTGGCTGAGCTGGTATCCAAGTTGCATGACAAAGTCCTCTTTACTCTTCCCTCCCCTCTCCTAAAGTAGGAAAGAGGGATCTCTTTTGGAACTTGGAGCTGCCCTGCCTGGGGTTGGGGGATGGGTGGCACAAGCACTCCCTTAGCTTCCCTGGTTGGTGTCTCATTAGGTCACATGCCCCTAAGTTCATTGGCTCTGAGCCCAGCACAGCACTAGGACTTGCCTAGGAGTTGCAGTCCTTGTGGTTTAGACAGCCTTTCAAGTTTATTTAGGATCCCAGAGCACTTTAGTCTGTGGTGGTGAGGCTTGCTGAAACTCAAGTTCTGATTGCTGCAATAGGCAATTCCCCTCTGGCTATGGCTGGTCCAAATGCCCCCTCTGTGGGTGCTGGCCAAGTTCTGTCTAGCTTTGGCAGCACTGTGTTCCAATGCAAAGTTCCACAATCACTACACTCTCCCTCCCGCAGGTGCCCAGGTTCTCTCTCCATACCACATGGCGAACTGCTGTGAGGGGATGGGGTAAGGGTGGCATCAAAATTTGAGATTGTCTTTCTTATTCTCTTCAGTGCCTCTTTCAGTGATATGAAGTTGAAACCAGATACTGGTTTTTGGTTCTTCTGAAGGTGCTTTTATTGTGTAGATAGTTGTTAAATTTGGTGTTCCTGCAGGGAGGACAATTGGGTGTCAGGAGGAGGCTTCTATTCGGCCATCTTGCTCTACTTCCCCAGAATCTGAACTCTTGGCTCTTGAATTTTTCAGCCAGATCTCCTTTCAGGTTGCTATAATCAGTTATAAAAAGGCAAAAATGCCAAAGTTATTGTTTCTTAATTAAAAATAAAATGATTTGGGAAGGTTACACAGAGTCTGACTTAGGAGCCACTAGGGTTGTGGAGAAAACACACGGGTTAGATAAGAGTCTTCAAGAGAAAATTCCAGGTGAGGGAAATGGCAGGCTTGTAATTACAATGCAAAAGACTACGGGTGTGGGACAGCAAACAGGACCAGTGAGTTGACGTGAGAGATGAAGGGAGAGGTGTCCCCAAATTAAGAGCATTATAAGAAGTTGAAATCCTGACTTGAAATCTTAGTGCTGGACACATAAAACATTATATGTGTGTGTTTGTGTGTGTATATTTACATATACATATATATATAAATGTATTAGCAGTTGTCAATGCATATATATGAATATACATATATGTGTACATATATGTATATTTACAATGGTGGGTTGTAGGTGCTGAGCACTAATGTGAGTTTCACATGGCAAAAACAAAAGAGGGACAGCAGATAAGGTGAAAAAGCCAGCATCTTTGGGTATTAAGAAACCCAGAACCACAGGACTTAAATTATCCTTAAAACTCCTTATGGCAGTAAAGGAATGTGAGCGTCAGAATAAATTTCATACCTAAAAATTTCACATCTTACTCTTTTTTATATTACACTCCTCAAAACTTCAGAAAGTCCTCCCATATCATCTCCCCTTTAAGGTGGCCCTGACTATAGCTTTAATCTGCAATTCTTTGTATAAAAAGTTCTAGGAAATGGAGTTTAGCCAATATAATTTTCCCAAACCTTGGACCATGGGATTAGGATTAATCGAGGAGAAAAACGGCACCAATATTGTTTGCATGAGATTATAAAATGTCAGTGTGACAAAATTTTTTGTTTAGAAAATTTATAACTAAATTTATTAAGTACAGATTTTTATCCAATTTATTGTATCAGACAGCAATAATTCAAAAGAATTCCACCTCTGCATTACCAAAGGGCAAATATAAAAGATAAGAAAAATTTAAACTTGTGAAAAATATGTTTCTGTACTTTTCATTGCCTTTCAACCATTTTGAATTCTTTGGATTTTGGTGTTAAAAGGGTATTACTGGGATATGTCTGTGTTTCTAGGCTGATGAACAATGAAGAGTACATGATTTAAAAAAACCTGCAGGGAATATTTAACTAGTATGTACCAGCAATAAAATATTTAAAAACTTATGTACTAGTTGGTAAACAGTCATTGCCCTGAGCCATTGGAGTGTCTTCCCCTACAATCCTTTCCTCCCACTGCTGCATGGGGCACTCTAGTCTCTGGCCCTTCCCCCAGGATTATTTCTTCACCTCCCTAATGCACAGTATCTAAAGGGTTGATTAGTACAGCAGTGAGGCTCCAAGACACTGCTCTGGTGCCCCAGTACCCACCTTCATGTTGTATAGTTGTTAACCATTTTGAATTGCACCCCAAGAAATAACATGCAAGTTACTGGGTGAATGTGATTGGAAATGTAACCATGTCTTCTCTTACTCAAGTACTTCTGTTTGTACCTCTTTCTTTCCCTACTTTTCTTCCCTTAGTAGGTTTGCTAAGAAACATACACATATAACTTTGGAGATGATGCATCCTTTCTCTTGAGTTAAGTGTGTCTCTAGCTGTATTCATGTCCTATATTCTTGTTCTGATTTTAAGAAAAAAAATGTTGAAAATAATAAGAGTGGTATTTTGGTCACTGTATTTGCCTATGGGCTCAAAACAAGAAGGATTTATTATGTATGTTTCCCCAAAGCAGAACAGTTCTGAGATTGATGAAAAAACTCCAACAAATTGACTGACTGATCTTTAGTGAGTCAACCTCTGCAAAATGTTCCTAGGATTCGGCTGAAAGAGATAATGTGTGGATTAAAAAAAACCCCTTAGATGTATCTAAGATTCCTGAAGCTCCATCACTGAATTAATCATAACTTTGAAACATTAGTTAAAGACTACCCTCTAAGTCCCTTTTCTGACTTTTGATTTTTCACTGAGAAGTCCAGAATAAAGGTGCCTTCACTTTCTGGGCCACAAGGCACTGGAATGAAATCTTTTGTAATACCAATGAGACTTGTGCTCCCATCTAAGAGATGCTAGCTCCCTCCTGCTACATATGTGGTAAGCTTATTTTTCTACCACCTGTGAATATAGTTTAATAATGACAAACTTCTTGATCTTTACATCATTCATGTCTATTTTAAAGTGCATTTGAGAATAAAGGATTCTAGGTTTTCCTAATAAATATTAAACTTTAAAATAAAAACTGGATCATGTGGGTGTATTCTTCTCTCTGTGTGTATATATATATATATATACACAACATGTAGATATGCATGTGTATACATATACACATAGACACAGAGCCCCTATATACATTTATTTTGGCTTGATGACTCAGGATGTAAAATGTTGTTTCTCTTAATGTTTAATAATACATTAATGTATTTCTGGTACAATACTTCTTTAGTTGCTTATAATATTCCTTATGATGTGGAACTGTTCTTTACATTTCTACTTGAAATGCATTTGCTCTCTCTCAACATAGAGTATTTATGCAGTTTTACTTACAGTGACAAAGAGATATTTCTTTGAACATATTATATGTAAAGCAGGCTTGAACTCAGCTTTTGATTAAAACATAGTTATGTGGCCTTCTAGCTCAGCTGTAATTGCATTTAAAATTCCTTTCTGCACTCTACTGAAGACCGCAAACCAATATTAATAAAGTAGGCTTAGAGCAGTGTAGCACCTGAGCAATTGGTTCTTGACAAACGTTATTTACCTAGCTAGAGTTTCATTTCAGAGCTAACATGTCTCTGTGCTACTTGAATAAAGCACTCATCTGAAAACTCTGTTAGACATTTTAACCCAATTTAATTTATTCCCTGAAAGTTTAATCCCCTGTTGAAAAGAGTAGTTGCAAATTTTCTGGAGTTACAATTCACTGAAGTGAAAAATAGTTAATGACATCAAGAGTTTAGTTAAAAATCTTTCTCAAAATGTAAAACAGGGGGCAAGAGTTAATAGGATATTTTATATAGTTATATTTCAATCCTTTTCCGAATCTTCCTAAAGTCACTTGCTTCTCTACCATTAAAGAGGTATGAAATGAGTTACTTAGACATCTCCAGGAAGTAGGGGGAAAAACCACTTATATTTGAAACCAGAAAAGCAAATCTCTTCTGAGCTTTGTCATTTAAGTGGCACATTCAGTCCTTTTATATTTTATAACACCCTTTTTGTATCACATCCACCAAACGAAGCAAATATTAGGTGCCGGCCATCTACAGCTTTCTACCTAACTGTATGAGGAAGCAGGGTACAGTCTGCAACACAGAATGCTTTGGCACTCATATGCCATCAACCCAGACTTGATTTTATGCAGTAAATTGTCCAACAGAAGTCTATTTATCTGTTATTGAAATATTTTTGGTTTCACTGCCAAAGAGGATAAAAATATGGGTGGAGAGAAAATAAAATCTGAATTGACTTTGTTTTTGGCATAGTAGAAAGCATTTTGGTCCCCTTTATAGTCTCTTAAAAATTTAATTATTCATTTGGCAGATATACCTCTATAGCACAACTGGATAGTTGTTTTAAAATATGCAAAGCGCAGATTTCAGACTTAATAGGAGATAATGACTGCTTTATAGCCTGTCAGGTCATGGCCTACTTGGCCTAGTTACAGAGATATTGCTTCATGGTTCAGTGCTCCAAGAGCTGATGATGGCTCCAGGCCAGCAAAGGTGTCATTGACATAATAGAAAGTAAAGGTTTCTCTGGAACTCTAATGGGATGCTCCATAAAGCATAGATCAAAAATATTATGGCTTGGATAGTACAACCCTAGTGGGGACATTGGGTGGTATTTTTCCTCCATATGTCATTAAGAAAACAACCAAAAATTTATGTGCAAAGTCATAATTTCACATTCTAAAAGTAGGATTATTAATGAAAATTATATTATATTTGGTGGATAACCATTTGAAAAAGATAACAGTGTTCTGGTTGCCTAAATGACTTGGAAAGTCACCATTTAGGCAGTTCCCATAAAAAAGGCATCTGCCTTAAGAGCTGTCAGCCTGCAGCCTGGCTCCAGAATCTAGGCTCTTACCACTATGCCATACTACTTAAAATGTGCAATGTTTTCCGACGTGAATTTAAATTATGGAAATGAAATACTTTTATACAAAACTAACGACATAGATCAATATAATTGTATTGATTATTAATGAGTAAAAATAAAATAAAAAATACAATATTATTAACCACTGAGAAGAACAGCTTATGTACATTCTAATTCTCAAAATAACACTGGGACAGGGGGATTCTATCTCTAAATTAGAATAAGAAAATTTAGATTCAAGAGATTATGGCTTCATAATCAATTGTCATTTGGCTATGAAGTCCTTGCTGAATATCCTTGAGTGTCTGTATAAGCACCTGGTGTATTATGAACAGTATGATCTGCTTGTCAGCTCCTTTTGGAGAATGATGATTGAGGTTACACTTTAACTTGAAGTTCAAGGATTGGGGAATGCCTCTACTTGGTTAAGTGTCCATTCTTGGTTCATATCTGTTCAATGAACTGAATCACCAAAATGTACACTCTTAAATAGCAATAGGTAGTACAACCACCTTTCATTTGGTAATACCAGTAATAGTAATCTTGTGGTTTTGGGTCAGAACAGCAGGATAAGAATTCGAATGCTGTTTCTTGTATGTGTGATTCTAAGGCCATCTCTTGGGGCAGTGGGTCTTGCATTTCTCTACTCTATCATTAGGTTACTGGTATCTACATCACAGGCAGATCTGTGGGGATCAACCCACTCACATAATGTATTAACATATGATGGAAATGATAAACACTATGCAAATATTTGTTTAAAAATCTTTATGATTAAAATAAAATAATGTCAGCCTCAGACTGAAAGATAAGTTTAGTAAATCCAGCAAATGGATTTTAAAAAACATTAGCTTCGCTTAAACAAAATGTGAAATGAAACAGACCACAAAATGACAAGATTTAATGAGCTTATTATCAGTAAAACAATTGAATATAATGCAAATTAATTACCTGTAAAATTATATTAAACAGGCTAAATGACTTACTAGGCGATGATTTTGCATAGTACAATAATATTTTACTCTCTGCAACTACTAAAAACATTGCTTCCTATATGCTCAAACCAAGGAATTCCGTTTCTCTAATATCAATTTGTCAATCTAAAGTTCTAGAACTTTCCTATAAAATGATTTGCAGTGCACATCAGTACAACCCAAACTGAGGGACATTTTACCGATTAATAGCCTATGCTGTTCAAAAATGTAAAGAACCAGAAATAGAAGGGAAATAAGCTGTAGAGTCATGACAACTGAATGCAATGCAATTGCATGTATTGGATATAGATTCTGGACTAGAAAAATTGGTAGGCATAATGGGGTAACAGATGCCATTAGAATAATGGCAATAGGTTAAATTATGGTAATATATCAAGGTTAAATTTCCTGATTTTGATAGTTCTACTGTGGTTACATAAGATAATATAATTTTCTTAGGGTCTACTCCAGGACCTGCTTAAGGGTAAATGGGCATGGTGTCTCAAAGTTACTCTCAAAATGGCTCAGAAAATTTATACACACATACATACATATATGCATAAATATGAGAGAGAGTAAGACAGCAATAAAGTTAATGTGATCAAATGAAACTAATTGGTGAATCTCGGTAAATGGCATATGGAAGTTTCTTGTAACTTTTTGTAAATTGGAAATTATACCAAAATAAAAAAATAAAAATCTAAATACGTTTTTGTGCAGATTTAAATTAAGATGGATAGTCTTTGCAGTCTATTTAAGAACCAAGATTACTTAAAGAAAGACAGTTTCACTTAAAAATGCATTTCTTGTGGCTCACGCCTGTAATCCCAGCACTTTGGGAGGCCGAGGTGGGTGGATCACGAGGTCAGGAGATCGAGACCATCCTGGCTAACACGGTGAAACCCTGTCTCCACTTAAAAAAATACAAAAAATTAGCTGGGCGTGGTGGCGGGCACCTGTAGTCCCAGCTACTCGGGAGGCTGAGGCAGGAGATGGCTGTGAGCCCAGGAGGCGGAGCTTGCAGTGAGCTGAGATTGTGCCACGCACTCCAGCCTGGGCAACATAGCGAGACTCTGTCTCAAAAAAGGCATTTCTTGATTGTTTAAACGATCATCCAGTTCGAAAAAACCATAAATCTCATACCTTCCTTTAACATTATGTGAGACTATGAAATAAACATTTTAATTAAAAGGAAATTAATGATACACTTAGAATATGCTATTTAATTTCACCACCCCCATGGCAAATTCCATGATCCTTCGTAAATATTACAGATCAAGTTACCTTGGGTTTACTTTAGTACTTCCTGTTGAGAGTTACTGACTTTCAAGGCTTGTAGCAGGAGAGAACCTCCAAAATACCAGGACCTTTATTCATTAGAGGGTGAAAAGTACCAATGATGTGGGTTATATGGAATGAGTTGACTTAGAGATGGATTTGAAGTATGCGAAAAAAAAAGACTTCCATGGAATAATTTTTTAAAAATTTTAATATTATAGTTATTTAACAAAAGCTTGCTGATGGATTTATTTATTTTTGCCTGGGATAGAATAGAAAATCTGACATTTTACTTTTACTTTCCCCTTTTAAAAGCAAGACTTCTGAAAATAGGAATGAATGAGATTTTGGGAAACACATATAAAACATTTTCCCTTCAGAGCCTGAAGAATAATTGCCTCTGTGTTATCATTTGCTTGACTGAAATTCTGTTACAATGGTTCTCTCATTTCAATTCTCTCCTTCCTCACAGTCCTCACTGTTCAGATAAAAGCCTGGGAAGATCTGTGCACAAGTTTGTGTCCAAAGTCAACCCAAGAGACCCCGAGGTGTAATTGCAATAGACTAGGTTAATGCCTCTTTTTTAGGGGTTTGCAAATGGTGCCAATTTTCTAGTATCTCTTCCTTTCACAAAATTAAAACTTGCCAGCAAAGTTAAGCAAGTTCCTTGTTTTGAAGTGATTTGGTGATTTCCAGAGCTTTGAAGCTTTAAAAGCTCTGAAGAAGACGTTAAATACCAGCTCTCAATAAAGGAAAACCTTGGAATGCAAGAGGAGTGGGCTGGATGGTAACGAACCTTCATCACAATTTTGGCTCTGCTCCTAACCATCTTGATAGCCTTTTGTGAGTCACTTTAGCTCTATGAGGCTCAGCTTTCTAAGTTATAAAATATGTTCAATGGCCCCTTCCAGCCTCAGATGTTTAGTGATTGTAACTCTCAACAGTCATGGATTTTCATGACACAACCACAGAGCAAAAATGTCACAGTCAAACTGTGTTTATTTACACTTTATCAACTGTAGAGTCAAGCCAAAAATGCCTTCAATACTCACATTTTAATATCGTTTTAATTTGTGCTGTTAATGAACACTTTTACAGCTCTATTTTAAACCGTTGCAAACATACCCATAAAATTGTGTTTGCTTCGCATTTTAAAAACCCCACTGCATTTCCCAAGCAAATAGGCATTTATGCAAACAAATAGCCTAACACGTGTCTAACTGCCTGTTTCAAAGCAATTATTATTTGTCAATACAAATGTCCACTTGAGTAGTGCAAAGAAAATGCTCCCAGAAAGTTTGGCAGGCTCTGTTCTCTGCTTCAATTCTATCAGTATTCTTTTCATTACCACATTAGGATCAAATTTCTAGAAATTCAAGGAAGAAAATGTAGAATATGATGCTAACTTTCTTGCCACTAAGAGACCATACTCACTATTTTATTAAGTTTTGCTAATGTTTGTCAAGCCCCCCAAAATATAGTTTTATGCTCATCTAGGTATTTTGCTCTTATTCAGTTTTGTCTTAAGTAAAAATACATTTATTTGGGGATTTTTGGTATAACATTTTTGGTTATAATGGCCTGTAGCAGTCACTTGTATTTTCCAAGAAGAATGCCACCTTTTCTTCTTGTGCCACTGTGCATGATTACAGAATTACACAAAACCTCCACAAAGGATTACAATACAAACACCTTTATATCTGCCAGATATATAATATTTAGGAAGGATTTGTATAGGGTGCTATGAGTGGATCAATGATTGCTGTAGAAATGAAGTTTATGGGGAGCTAGATAATGCGGAGTTAGCTTAGCTAATGGGAATGTGTAGATAGGATTCCAGGAAGGGGAAGCAGCTTATACACAGGTTCTAAAGTTGGAATAAAGAGAGCACATGAAAAAGTCTGATGTGCAAAAATCCTGAGACTAAAGGGAAAAGTAGCCAACATGAAGCTAGAGACATAGACACATGTTGCATTGACTTAGACTACTTTCCAATAAGTAAGCAAGTAGATAAGTTAATAAATAATCAAATAAATAAATAGGTAAGTGTATCTGAGCTTTGAACATCCTTTCTCTCAGGAATAGGGCCCACAATAACTTCTTTAGTGGATGACGGCTTTTAGTAGTAGTTCCTTCAACAACAGCTGCTCCTTCCAGGTCACTAAAGCTCACAGAATAGGTGGTTCCCACAGAGTGCCTCAGCCAGCAGTTACCACAAAAGTTCCTGTCCATCTTTTTTCAAAGAGACCTGGGACCCTTAGTGACACAATCCTGTCTTTCAGCACCATGAATAGAGGCAGCTGTCATATGTCCTAGCTGTGCCCTCTAGCGGCAGCTGGAATGTTACCCGGCTCTTTGAAAAGGGTAATTAAAATACCTCTCAGTATTTGAAGTCAGTGAGTTTAGGGACATACTAGGAGAGGAAAGTCTTCCCCAACGACCTGTTCTCTCAGTTTGCCTATGATGCCTTCTATCCACAGTGCTCAAGGTAAAACAAACTGCTAATAATGAGTAAGCCATTTTAAGCTACATTAAAAGAGGGTTGAGGGAATTTCTGAAAATATATACAAATTTTCATCCAACCTCTCTATTGTGACTTATCTTACAGCATCTCTAGTCATTTTGAGGTTATGTCTGCCTCATTCTCTCTATGACCTATTTCATCTTATGATGTTTGTATGAATACCCTTCTTTGATTTAATGGAACTGTTTACTTAAGACTTGGCTCTTTTTGTTACCAAGGATATTTTTTCTTTTAACTCCAGGAGCACCACTCAGTTTTGTGTCTGATTAACTTTTCTTAACAGAATCTAAATCCAGAGGCCATCTTTTTGCTTATTTATGAGATCTCTCTGGCTAAACATCTTTTTTCATTAGCACATGTCTCTTCAGTATGAGATTTCACACACCATGCTTTAAGAACCTGGGAATTGAGGAAAATGGTGATGCAAGACCAAAGCAAAATCTAGCCCAGGCTTGTGGACAGCAGCAGCATCTGATTCCAAATCTGGCAGTAACTGGTTAAGAGATCTGCAGAGGGCAGAGTATAGTAACCCAGTGCTAGGAATCTTGCAAGGGAGAAACAGAAGGTCAAGGAATGGATGTTACCTTCTTAGGGAAGAGCTTTTTAAAAGAATTCTCAAGGGAATAGTTTTCTTATAGAAATAGTGGTGTTTGATATTCTCAGTGCATGAGTTGTATCTTCCCTGAGCTATGCCGAAGAACCCATTGTAGGACAGGCGCTGTGACTCACGCCTGTAATCTCAGCACTTTGAGATGCCAAGGCAGGCAGATCACTTGAGGCCAGGAGTTCGAGACCAACCTGGGCAACATGGCGAAACCCTGTCTTGACTAAAAATACAAAAATTAACTGGGCATGGTGGTGGGCGCCTGTAGTCCCAGCTACGCAGTAGGCTGAGGCATGAGGATGGCTAGAACCTGGGAGGCAGAGGTTGCAGTGAGCTGAGATCCAGCCACTGCACTCCAACCTGGGCAACAGAGTGAGATTCTGTCTCAAAAAAAAAAAAAAAAAATCCATCGTAGGGCCTGGTACTCTAAGTTGGATGTGTTTTTACCACTTCTTGCTCTGGCCAAGGCATGATTCACCAAAAATATTTATTTACTTAATGTAAAAAATTCTTGAAGGAATTCAAACTCCAGCATCATCCACCTTTGTTGAAAGGGTGAGAGGTCTATTCTATCTACTAGACTTTATTTTTTCTTAGACAATGCCACACTAGAACATTGGATTTGCTCTGCTTCAGAGAGTTGGAGATTCCCAGGACTTTTATAGGAGTGTGGAGAGGCTCTATTTCCAGGATCTTTACCTATTTTTTTTTATTTCTGGGTTGACCGACATTGTCCACTCAGCACCTGGAAAGTTCTGAGCACTGTCCATGCACAATACTCTGATCAGAAAAAGACACTAGAAGGGTTTTTGAATCAATCTAAGGTCTAAATGACACAGGAATGTTATTCCTTGGCAACTAATCTCCATTATTTAATTTATATAACGCTTCCTTCTAACAAAAGGCTTCCAGGTGAAACTCTGGATAATCAGAGTGTGTTAATTTAGGCATATTGTATCAAAAATATCAAAGTCATTATTTCCTTAGGAATTTGGACTTCTATTGGATAAGCTGTGTTATTATTGCTACAAAGTGTGTTTTTATATAAAGTTGTATATAAGAACATCTGTATGTATATTATTAATACCAGTGGCTAATAGGTACAAATGTCTTACATATACTATTCTGAAAATATGGTTGGAAGGTAAGTCAATCCTTCCTCGTTTGCTTCTTTTTCTTTTTTTTTTTTTACACTTTACTGCAATAATTTTCATTTTTTTGTTTGTTTTTTTTAAATGTATTATTATTATACTTTAAGTTTTAGGGTACGTGTGCACAATGTGCAGGTTAGTTACATATGTATACATGTGCCATGCTGGTGCGCTGCACCCACTAACTCGTCATCTAGCATTAGGTATATCTCCCAATGCCGTCCCTCCCCCCTCCCCCCACCCCACAACAGTCCCCAGAGTGTGATGTTCCCCTTCCTGTGTCCATGTGTTCTCATTGTTCAATTCCCACCTATGAGTGAGAATATGCAGTGTTTGGTTTTTTGTTCTTGTGATAGTTTACTGAGAATGATGATTTCCAATTTCATCCATGTCCCTACAAAGGACATGAACTCATCATTTTTTATGGCTGCATAGTATTCCATGGTGTATATGTGCCACATTTTCTTAATCCAGTCTATCGTTGTTGGACATTTGGGTTGGTTCCAAGTCTTTGCTATTGTGAATAATGCCGCAATAAACATACGTGTGCATGTGTCTTTATAGCAGCATGATTTATAGTCCTTTGGGTATATACCCAGTAATGGGATGGCTGGGTCAAATGGCGTTTCTAGTTCTAGATCCCTGAGGAATCGCCACACTGACTTCCACAATGGTTGAACTAGTTTACAGTCCCACCAACAGTGTAAAAGTGTTCCTATTTCTCCACATCCTCTCCAGCACCTGTTGTTTCCTGACTTTTTAATGATTGTCATTCTAACTGGTGTGAGATGGTATCTCATAGTGGTTTTGATTTGCATTTCTCTGATGGCCAGTGATGGTGAGCATTTTTTCATGTGTTTTTTCGGCTGCATAAATGTCTTCTTTTGAGAAGTGTCTGTTCATGTCCTTCGCCCACTTTTTGATGGGGTTGTTTGTTTTTTTCTTGTAAATTTGTTTGAGTTCATTGTAGATTCTGGATATTAGCCCTTTGTCAGATGAGTAGGTTGCGAAAATTTTCTCCCATTTTGTAGGTTGCCTATTCACTCTGATGGTAGTTTCTTTTGCTGTACAGAAGCTCTTTAGTTTAATTAGATCCCATTTGTCAATTTTGGCTTTTGTTGCCATTGCTTTTGGTGTTTTAGACATGAAGTCCTTGCCCATGCCTATGTCCTGAATGGTAATGCCTAGGTTTTCTTTTAGGGTTTTTATGGTTTTAGGTCTAACGTTTAAGTCTTTAATCCATCTTGAATTGATTTTTGTATAAGGTGTAAGGAAGGGATCCAGTTTCAGCTTTCTACATATTGCTAGCCAGGTTTCCCAGCACCATTTATTAAATAGGGAATCCTTTCCCCATTGCTTGTGTTTCTCAGGTTTGTCAAAGATCAGATAGTTGTAGATATGCGGCATTATTTCTGAGGGCTCTGTTCTGTTCCGTTGATCTATATCTCTGTTTTGGTACCAGTACCATGCTGTTTTGGTTACTGTAGCCTTGTAGTATAGTTTGAAGTCAAGTAGCGTGATGCCTCCAGCTTTGTTCTTTTGGCTTAGGATTGACTTGGTGATGCGGGCTCTTTTTTGGTTCCATATGAACTTTAAAGTAGTTTTTTCCAATTCTGTGAAGAAAGTCATTGGTGGCTTGATGGGGATGGCATTGAATCTGTAAATTACCTTGGGCAGTATGGCCATTTTCATGATATTGATTCTTCCTACCCATGAGCATGGAATGTTCTTCCATTTGTTTGTATCCTCTTTTATTTCCTTGAGCAGTGGTTTGTAGTTCTCCTTGAAGAGGTCCTTCACATCCCTTGTAAGTTGGATTCCTAGGTATTTTATTCTCTTTGAAGCAATTGTGAATGGGAGTTCACTCATGATTTGGCTCTCTGTTTGTCTGTTGTTGGTGTATAAGAATGCTTGTGATTTTTTTACTTTGATTTTGTATCCTGAGACTTTGCTGAAGTTGCTTATCAGCTTAAGGAGATTTTGGGCTGAGACAATGGGGTTTCCTAGATCTACAGTCATGTTGTCTGCAAACAGGGACAATTTGACTTCCTCTTTTCCTAATTGAATACTCTTTATTTCCTTCTCCTGCCTAATTGCCCTGGCCAGAACTTCCAACACTATGTTGAATGGGAGTGGTGAGAGAGGGCATCCCTGTCTTGTGCCAGTTTTCAAAGGGAGTGCTTCCAGTTTTTGCCCATTCAGTATGATATTGGCTGTGGGTTTGTCATAGATAGCTTTTATTATTTTGAAATATGTCCCATCCATACTTAATTTATTGAGAGTTTTTAGCATGAAGGGTTGTTGAATTTTGTCAAAGGCCTTTTCTGCATCTATTGAGATAATCATGTGGTTTTTGTCTTTGGCTCTGTTTATATGCTGGATTACATTTATTGATTTGCGTATATTGAACCAGCCTTGCATCCCAGGGATGAAGCCCACTTGATCATGGTGGATAAGCTTTTTGATGTGCTGCTGGATTCTGTTTGCCAGTATTTTATTGAGGATTTTTGCATCAATATTCATCAAGGATATTGGTCTACAATTCTCTTTTTTGGTTGTGTCTCTGCCTGAGTTTGGTATCAGGATGATGCTGGCCTCATAAAATGAGTTAGGGAGGATTCCCTCTTTTTCTATTGATTGGAATAGTTTCAGAAGGAATGGTACCAGTTCCTCCTTGTACCTCTGGTAGAATTCGGCTGTGAATCCATCTGGTCCTGGACTCTTTTTGGTTGGTAAGCTATTGATTATTGCCACAATTTCAGATCCTGTTATTGGTCTATTCAGAGATTCAACTTCTTCCTGGTTTAGTCTTGGGAGGGTGTATGTCTCGAGGAATTTATCCATTTCTTCTAGATTTTCTAGTTTATTTGCATAGAGGTGTTTATAGTATTCTCTGATGGTAGTTTGTATTTCTGTGGGATCGGTGGTGATATCCCCTTTATCATTTTTTATTGCGTCTATTTGATTCTTCTCTCTTTTTTTCTTTCTTAGTCTTGCTAGCGGTCTATCAATTTTGTTGATCCTTTCAAAAAACCAGCTCCTGGATTCATTAATTTTTTGAAGGGTTTTTTGTGTCTCTATTTCCTTCAGTTCTGCTCTGATTTTAGTTATTTCTTGCCTTCTGCTAGCTTTTGAATGTGTTTGCTCTTGCTTTTCTAGTTCTTTTAATTGTGATGTTAGGGTGTCAATTTTGGATCTTTCCTGCTTTCTCTTGTGGGCATTTAGTGCTATAAATCTCCCTCTACACACTGCTTTGAATGCGTCCCAGAGATTCTGGTATGTTGTGTCTTTGTTCTCCTTGGTTTCAAAGAACATCTTTATTTCTGCCTTCATTTCGTTATGTACCCAGTAGTCATTCAGGAGCAGGTTGTTCAGTTTCCATGTAGTTGAGCGGTTTTGAGTGAGTTTCTTAATCCTGAGTTCTAGTTTGATTGCACTGTGGTCTGAGAGATAGTTTGTTATAATTTCTGTTCTTTTACATTTGCTGAGGAGAGCTTTACTTCCAAGTATGTGGTCAATTTTGGAATAGGTGTGGTATGGTGCTGAAATAAATGTATATTCTGTTGATTTGGGGTGGAGAGTTCTGTAGATGTCTATTAGGTCCGCTTGGTGCAGAGCTGAGTTCAATTCCTGGGTATCCTTGTTGACTTTCTGTCTCGTTGATCTGTCTAATGTTGACAGTGGGGTGTTAAAGTCTCCCATTATTAATGTGTGGGAGTCTAAGTCTCTTTGTAGGTCACTCAGGACTTGCTTTATGAATCTGGGTGCTCCTATATTGGGTGCATATATATTTAAGACAATTAGCTCTTCTTGTTGAATTGATCCCTTTACCATTATGTAATGGCCTTCTTTGTCTCTTTTGATCTTTGTTGGTTTAAAGTCTGTTTTATCAGAGACTAGGATTGCAACCCCTGCCTTTTTTTGTTTTCCATTTGCTTGGTAGATCTGCCTCCATCCTTTTATTTTGAGCCTATGTGTGTCTCTGCACGTGAGATGGGTTTCCTGAATACAGCACACTGATGGGTCTTGACTCTTTATCCAATTTGCCAGTCTGTGTCTTTTAATTGGAGCATTTAGTCCATTTACATTTAAAGTTAATATTGTTATGTGTGAATTTGATCCTGTCATTATGATGTTAGCTGGTTATTTTGCTCGTTAGTTGATGCAGTTTCTTCCTAGTCTTGATGGTCTTTACATTTTGGCATGATTTTGCAGCAGCTGGTACCGGTTGTTCCTTTCCATGTTTAGCACTTCCTTCAGGAGCTCTTTTAGGGCAGGCCTGGTGGTGACAAAATCTCTCAGCATTTGCTTGTCTGTAAAGTACTTTATTTCTCCTTCACTTATGAAGCTTAGTTTGGCTGGATATGAAATTCTGGGTTGACAATTCTTTTCTTTAAGAATGTTGAATATTGGCCCCCACTCTCTTCTGGCTTGCGGAGTTTCTGCCGAGAGATCCGCTGTTAGTCTGATGGGCTTCCCTTTGAGGGTAACCCGACCTTTCTCTCTGGCTGCCCTTAACATTTTTTCCTGCATTTCAACTTTGGTGAATCTGACAATTATGTGTCTTGGAGTTGCTCTTCTCGAGGAGTATCTTTGTGGTGTTCTCTGTATTTCCTGAATCTGAACGTTGGCCTGCCTTGCTAGATTGGGGATGTTCTCCTGGATAATATCCTGCAGAGTGTTTTCCAACTTGGTTCCATTCTCCCCATCACTTTCAGGTACACCAATCAGACGTAGATTTGGTCTTTTCACATAGTTCCATATTTCTTGGAGGCTTTGCTCTTTTCTTTTTATTGTTTTTTCTCTAAACTTCCCTTCTCGCTTCATTTCATTCATTTCATCTTCTATCACTGATACCCTTTCTTCCAGTTGATCGCATCGGCTCCTGAGGCTTCTGCATTCTTCATGTAGTTCTCGAGCCTTGGTTTTCAGCTCCATCAGCTCCTTTAAGCACTTCTCTGTATTGATTATTCTAGTTATACATTCTTCTAAATTTTTTTCGAAGTTTTCAACTTCTTTGCCTTTGGTTTGAATGTCCTCCCGTAGCTCAGAGTAATTTGATCGTCTGAAGCCTTCTTCTCTCAGCTCATCAAAGTCATTCTCAATCCAGCTTTGTTCCCTTGCTGGGGAGGAACTGTGTTCCTTTGGAGGAGGAGAGGCGCTCTGCTTTTTAGAGTTTCCAGTTTTTCTGCTCTGTTTTTTCCCCATCTTTGTGATTTTATCTACTTTTGGTCTTTGATGATGGTGACGTACAGATGGGTTTTTGGTGTGGATGTCCTTTCTGTTTGTTAGTTTTCCTTCTAACAGACAGGACCCTCAGCTGCAGGTCTGTTGGAGTACTCGGCTGTGTGAGGTGTCAGTCTGCCCCTGTTGGAGGGTGCCTCCCAGATAGGCTGCTCGGGGGTCAGGGGTCAGGGAACCAGTTGAAGAGGAAGTCTGCCCGTTCTCAGATCTCCAGCTGCATGCTGGGAGAACCACTGCTCTCTTCAAAGCTGTCAGACAGGGACATTTAATTCTGCAGAGGTTACTGCTGTCTTTTTGTTTGTCTGTGCCCTGCCCCAAGAAGTGGAGCCTACAGAGGCAGGCAGGCCTCCTTGAGCTGTGGTGGGCTCCACCCAGTTCGAGCTTCCCGGCTGCTTTGTTTACCTAAGCAAGCCTGGGCAATGGCGGGCGCCCCTCCCCCGGCCTTGCTGCTGCCTTGCAGTTTGATCTCAGACTGCTGTGCTAGCAATCAGCAAGACTCCGCGGGCATAGGACCCTCCGAGCCAGGTGCGGGATATAATCTCCTGGTGCGCCATTTTTTAAGCCCGTCGGAAAAGCGCAATATTCGGGTGGGAGTGACCCAATTTTCCAGGTGCCATCTGTCACCCCTTTCTTTGACTAGGAAAGGGAACTCCCTGACCCCTTGCGCTTCCTGAGTGAGGCAATGCCTCGCCATGCTTCGGCTCGTGCATGGTGCGCGCACCCACTGACTTGCGCCCAGTGTCTGGCACTCCCTAGTGAGATGAACCCGGTACCTCAGATGGAAATGCAGAAATCACCTGTCTTCTGTGTCGCT
This sequence comes from Homo sapiens, assembly GCF_000001405.40. NCBI lineage: Eukaryota > Metazoa > Chordata > Mammalia > Primates > Hominidae > Homo > Homo sapiens. Next base: position 8,732,312 of record NC_000007.14, read on the forward strand.
CACAGTGGGAGCTGTAGACTGGAGCTGTTCCCATTCGGCCATCTTGGCTCCTTCGCCTTCGTTTGTTTCATTCTAGACAGAGTTGCACTTTGACTTTAAGAAGCTAAAAATTTGTCTATTACCATTCATATAATAGCCTTGTTATGGAAAAATCATTTGTATTGACCACTAATTCAGGTAGAAAGAAGCAATTCCTACATATAGAACACTTCTCTCTTCCTGAAAGGCATCTGTATTTACTGACAAAATGAAATCGTTTTATGGGTAATACAAAAGTGATTCTGAAGTGTCTGTTTTAGCAAAGAAATAGTCTTTTAATGTGTTATTTTAAATGTTTTATTCATTATTATAACCATGTACTCAGGGGTCCTTAGATGAGATACGCCTTATAACTTTTAAAAAAATGTAATATAAAATATAAGCTATTTTTTTCTGGGTTATTGTCTCCTTGTTAGTGGTGAATCAGTGAGTGGTGAGGAAATGTGAAGGCCTAGGATACAACTATTTACTATTGTAGACTTTATAAGGACTATACCCTTGGGCTTCATGAAATTTATAATTTTTTAAATTTTTAAAAAAATTTTACTTTAAGTTCTGGGATACATGTGCAGAGCATGCAGATTTGTTACATAGGTATACATGTGCCATGGTGGTTTGCTGTACCCATCAACCCATCATCTACATTAAGTATTTCTCCTAATGCTATCCCTCCCCTAGCCCCCTACTACCTGACAGGCCCCCTGTGTGTAATGTTTCCCTCCCTGTGTCCATGTGTTCTCATTGTTCGACTCCCACTTATGAGTGAGAACACGTGGTGTTTTGTTTTCTGTTCCTGTGTTAGTTTGCTTAGAATGATGGTTTCCAGCTTCATCCATGTCCCTGCAAAGGACATGAACTCATCCTTTTTTATAGCTGCATAGTATTCCATGGTGTATATGTGTCACATTTTCTTTATCCAGTCTATCATTGATGGGCATTTCTGTTGGTTCCAAGTCTTTGCTATTGTGAATAGTGCTGCAATAAACATATGCATGTATGTGTCTTTATAGTAGGATGATTTATACTTCTTTGGATATATATACCCAGTAATGGGATGGCTGGGTCAAATTGTATTTCTGGTTCTAGATCCTTGAGGAATCGCCACACTGTCTTCCTCAATGGTTGAGCTAATTTACACTCCCACCAACACTGTAAAAGCGTTTCTATTTCTCCACATCTTCTCCAGCATTTGTTGTTTCCTGACTTTTTAATGATCACCATTCTAACTGGCGTGAGATAGTATCTCATTGTGGTTTTTAATTTGCATTTCTCTAATGACCAGTGATGAGCTTTTTTTTTAATATGTTTTTTGGCCACATAAATGTCTTCTTTCGAGAAGTGTCTGTTCATATCCTTTGCCCACTTTTTGATGGGATTATTTTTTTCTTGTAAATTTGTTTAAGTTATTTGTAGATTCTGGATATTAGCCCTTTGTCAGATGGATAGATTGCAAAAATTTTCTCCCATTCTGTAGGTTGTCTGTTCACTCTGATGATAGTTTCTTTTGCTGTGCAGAAACTCTTTAGTTTAATTAGGTCCCATTTGGCAATTTTGGCTTTTGTTGCCATTGCTTTTAGTGCTTTAGTCATGAAGGCTTTGCCATGCCTATGTCCTGAATGGTATTGCCTAAGTATTCCAGGGTTTTTATGGTTTTAGATCTTATGTTTAAGTCTTTAATCCATACTGAGTTAATTTTTGTATAAGGTGTAAGGAAGGGGTCCAGTTTCTGTTTTCTGCATATGGCTAGCCAGTTTTCCCAGCACCATTTATTAAATAGAAAATCCTTTCCCCGTTGCTTGTTTTTGTCAGGTTTGTCAAAGATCAGATGGTTGTAGATGTGTGGCATTATTTCTCAGGCCTCTGTTATGTTCCATTGGTTTATATAACTGTTTTGGTACCACTACCATGCTGTTTTGGATACTGCATCCTTGTAGTATAGCTTGAAGTCAGGTAGCGTGATGCCTCCAGCTTTGTTCTTTTTGCTTAGGATTGTCTTGGCTATACGGGCTCTTTTTTGGTTCTATATGAAATTTAATGTAGTTTTTTCTAATTCTGCAAAGAACGTCAATGGTAGCTTGATGGGGATAGCATTGAATCTATAAATTACTTTGGGCAATATGGCCAGTTTCACAATATTGACTCTTCCTATCCATGAGCATGGAATGTTTTTCCCATTTATTTTGTCCTCTCTTATTTCCTTGAGCAGTGATTTGTTATGATTTCCGTTCTTTTGTATTTGCTGAGGAATGTTTTACTTTCAAGTATGTGGTCAATTTTAGAATAAGTGTGATGTGGTGCTAAGAAGAATGTATATTCTGTTGATTTGGGGTGGAGAGTTCTGTAAATGCCTCTTAGGTCCTCTCGGTCCAGAGCTGAGTTCAAGTCCTGAATAGCCTTGTTAATTTTCTGTCTCATTGATCTGTCTAATATTGACCGTGGGGTATTAAAGACTCCCACTTTTGTGTGGAAGTCTAAGTCTCTTTGTAGTTCTCCTTGAAGAGGTCCTTCATATCCCTTGTAAGTTGTATTCCTAGGTATTTTATTCTCTTTATAGCAATTGTGAATGGGGGTTCACTCATGATTTGGCTCTCTGTCTGTTATTGGAGTATAAAAATGCTTGTGATTTTTGCACATTGATTTTGTATCCTGATACTTTGCTGAAGTTGCTTATCAGCTTAAGGACATTTTGGGCTGAGACCATGGGGTTTTCTAAATATAAAATCATGTCATCTGCAAACAGGGACAATTTGACTTCCTCTCTTCCTATTTGAATTTCCTTTCTTTCTTTCTCTTGCCTGATTGCCCTGGCCAGAACTTCCAATACTATGTTGAATAGGAGTGGTGAGTGAGGGCATCCTTGTCTTGTGCCAGTTTTCCAAGGGAGTGCTTCTAGCTTGTGCCCATTCAGTATGACATTGGCTGTGGGTTTGTCATAAATAGCTCTTAGTATTTTAAGATATGTTCCATCAATACCTAGTTTATTGAGAGTTTCTAGCATGAAGGGTTGAGTTTTATTGAAGGCCTTGAGCAGGTATTGAGATAATCATGTGGTTTTTGTCATTGGTTATGTTTATGTACTGTATTATGTTTACTGATTTGTGTATGTTGAACCAGCCTTGCATCCCAGGGATGAAGCCGACTTGATCATGGTGGATAAGCTTTTGGATGTGCTGCTGCATTTGGTTTGCCAGTATTTTATTGAGGATTTTCACATTGATGTTCATCAGGGATATTGGCCTGAAATTTTCATTTTTTGTTGTGTCTCTGCCAGGTTTTGGTACCAGGATGATGCTGGCCTCATAAAATGAGTTAGGGAGGACTCCCTCTTTTTCTGTTGTTTGGAATCATTTCAGAAGGAATGGTACCAGCTTCTCTTTGTACCTCGGTAGAATGCTACTGTGAATTCATCTGGTTCTGGGCTTTTTTTGGTTGGTAGGCTGTTAATTACGCCTTAATTTCAGAACTCATTATTGGTCTATTCAGGGATTCAATTTCTTCTTTGTTTAGTCTTGGGAGGGTGTATGTGTCCAGGAATTTATCCATTTTTTCTAGATCTTCTAGTTTATTTGCATAGAGTTGTTTATAGTATTCTCTAATAGTAGTTTGTATTTCTATGGGATCAGTGGTGATATCCCCTTTATCATTTTTATTGTGCCTATTCGATTCTTCTCTTTTATTCTTTATTTGTCTTCCTAGCCATGTATTTTGTTAATCTTTTCAAAAAACCAACTCCTGGATTCATTGATTTTTTGAAGGATTTTTTGTGTCTCTATCTCCTTCAGTTCTGCTCTGATCTTAGTTATTTCTTGTCTTCTGCTAGCTTTTGAATTTGTTTGCTCTTGCTTCTCTAGTTTGTTTAATTGTGATGTCAGGGTGTTGATTTTAGATCTTTCCTCCTTTCTCCTGTGGGCATTTAGTGCTATAAATTTCCCTCTAAACACTGCTTTAGCTGTATCCCAGAGATTCTAGTATGTTGTGTCTTTGTTCTCACTGGTTTCAAAGAACTTATTTATTTCGGCCTTCATTTTGTTATGTACCCAGTAGTCATTCAGGAGCAGGTTGCTCAGTTTCCAGGTAGTTGTGCAGTTTTGAATGAGTTTCTTAATCTTGAGTTCTAATTTGATGGCACTGTGGCCTGAGAGACTGTTTGTTATGATTTCTGTTATTTTGCATTTGCTCAGGAGAGTTTTACTTTCAATTATGTAGTCAATTTTAGGATAAGTGTGATGTGGTGCTGACAAGAATGTATATTCTGTTGATTTGGGATGGAGAGTTCCGTAAATGCCTATTAGGTCCTCTTGGTCCATAGCTGAGTTCAAGTCCTGAATATCCTTGTTAGTTTTCTGTCTCATTGATCTGTCTAATATTGACAGTGGGGTGTTAAAGTCTCCCACATTTGTGTGACAGTCTAAGTCTCTTTTTAGGTGTCTAAAAATTTGCTTTATGAATATGGGTGCTCCTATATTGGGTGCATATATATTTAGGATATTTAGCTCTGCTTGTTACATTGATCCCTTTACCATTATGTCATGCCCTTCTTTGTCTTTTTTGGTCTTTGTTGGTTTAAAGTCTGTTTTCTCAGAGACTAGGATTGCAACCCCTACCTTTTTTTTTTTATGCTTTCCATTTGCTTGGTAAATATTCCTCTATCCCTTTATTTTGAGCGTGCGTGTGTGTTTGCATGTCAGATGGGTCTCCTGAATACAGCAGATCGATGAGTCTTAACTCTATCCAATTTGCCAGTGTGTGTCTTTTAATTGGAGCTTTTAGCCCATTTACATTTAAAGTTAATATTGTTGTGTGTGAATTTGATCATGTCAGTATGATGCTAGCTGGTTATTTTGCCTGTTACTTGATGCAGTTTCTTCATAGTGTTGATGGTCTTTACAGTATGGTATGTTTTTGCAATGGCTGGTACTGGTTTTTCCTTTGTATATTTAGTGCTTCCTTCAGGAGCTCTCGTAAGGCAGGCCTGGTGGTGACAAGATATCTCAGCATTTGCTTGTCTGTAAAGGATTTTTATTTCTTCTTCACTTATGAAGCTTAGTTTGGCTGGATATGAAATCCTGGGTTGAAAATTCTTTTGTTTAAGAATGTTAAATATTGGCCCCCAGTCTCTTGTGGCTTGTAGGGTTTCTGCAGAGAGATCCACTCTTAGTCTGATGGGCTTCCCTTTGTGGGTAACCTGACCTTTCTCTCTGGCTGCCCTTAACATTTTTTCCTTCATTTCAACCTTGGTGAATCTGACAATTATGTGTCTTGGGATGGCTCTTCTTGAGGAATATCTTTGTGGCATTCTCTGTATTTCGTGGATTTGAATGTTGACCTGTCTTGCTAGATTGGGGAAGTTCTCCTGGATAATATCCTGAAGAGTGTTTTCCAACTTGTTTCCATTCTCTCTGTCACTTTCAGGTACACCAGTCAAAGGTAGGTTTGTTTTATTCACACGTTCACATATTTCTTGGAGGCTTTGTTCATTCCTTTTCATTCTTTTTTCTCTAATCTTGTCTTCACACTTTATTTCATTAAGTTGATCTTCAATCTCTGATATCCTTTCTTCCACTCGGTAGATTCAGCTACTGATACTCGTGTATGTTTCATGAAGTTCTCGTGCTGTGTTTTTCAGCTCCATCAGGTCATTTATGTTCTTCTCTAAATTGGTTAATCTAGTTAGCAATTCATCCAACCTTTTTTCAAGGTTCTTAGCTTCCTTGCATTGGGTTAGAACATGCTCCTTTAGCTTGGGGGAGTTTACTATTACCAACCTTCTGAAGCCTACTTCTGTCCATTCGTCAAACTCATTCTCCGTCCAGTTTTGTTCCCTTGCTGGTGAGGAGTTGTCATCATTTGGAGGAGAAGAGGCATTCTGGATTTGGAATTTCAGTCTTTTGCACTGGTTTTTCCTCATCTTTATCTACCTTTGGTCTTTGATGTTGGTGACCTTTGGATGGGGTTTCTGTGTGGATGTCCTTTTTGTTGAGGTTGATGCTATTCCTTTCTATTAGTTTTCCTTCTAACAGTTAGGACCCTCTGCTGCAGGTCTGTTGGAGTTTGCTGGAGGTCCACTCCAGACCCTGTTTGGCTGGGTATCACCAGAGGAGGCTGCAGAACAGCAAAGATTGCTGCCTGTTCCTTCCTCTGGAAGCTTTGTCCCAGAGGGACACCTGCCAGATACCAGCTGGAGCTCTCCTATATGAGGTGTCTGTCGACCCCTGCTTGGGGGTATCTCCCAGTCAGGAGGCACGGGAGTGAGGGACCCACTTGAGGAGGCAGTCTGTCCCTTAGCAGAGCTCAAGTGCTATGCTGGGAGATCTGCTGCTCTATTCAGAGCCAGCAGGCAGGAACATTTAAGTCTGCCAAAGCTGTGCCCACAGCTACCACTTCCCCCAGGTGCTCTGTCTCAGGAAGATGGGAGTTTTATCTATAAGCCCCTGACTGGGGCTGCTGCCTTTCTTTCAGAGATGCCCTGACCAGGGAGAAGGAATCTAGAGAGGCACATTGGCTACAGTAGGTTTGCTGAGCTGTGGTGGGCTTCACCCAATCCGAACTTCCCCCAGCAGCTTTGTTTACACTGTGAGGGGAAAATCGCCTACTCAAGCCTCAATAATTGTGGATGTTCCTCTCCCCACCAAGCTCAAGCATCCCAGGTCGACTTCAGACTGCTGTGCTGGCAGCAAGAATTTCAAGCCAGTGGATCTTAGCTTGCTGGGCTCCTTGGGGGTGGGATCCACTGAGCAAGACCACTTGGCTCCCTGGTTTCATCCCCCTTTCCAAGGGAGTGAACGGTTTCGTCTCACTGGAGTTCCAGGCACCAGTGGGGTAAAAAAAAAAAAAAAAAAAAAAAAAAAAAAAAACCCTGCAGCTAGCTCTTTGTCTGCCCAAATGGCCACCCAGTTCTTTGCTTGAAACTCAGGGCCCTGGTGGTATAGGCACCCGAGGGAATCTCCTGGTCTGTGGGTTGTGAAGACTATGGGAAAAGTGTAGTATCTGGGCCAGAATGCACCGTCCTTCAAGGCACATTCTCTCACAGCTTCCTTTGGCTAGAGGAGGGAGTTCCCTGACCCCTTGTGCTTCCTGGGTGAGGCAACACCCCACCCTGCTTCTGATTGCCTTCCATGGGCTGCACGCACTGTCTAACCATTCCCTGTGAGATGAGCTGCGTACCTCAGCTGGAAATGCAGAAGTCACCCGCCTTTTGCATTGATCTTGCTGGGAGCTGCAGACTGGAGCTGTTCCTATTTGGTCATCTTGCCAGTCACCTATTTTCCTCTTTTTTCTTTCTTTAAAATAACCTTAGCATACTGTACCTTTTTTCTTTATAAACTTTTAATTTTTTAAAACTTTTGATTATTGTGTAATAACACTTAGGTTAAAACACAAACACACTATAAAGCTGTACAAAATATTTTCTTTCTTTCCATCCTTATTCTATAAACTTTTTCTATTTTTTAAATTTTTATATCTTTTGCTTTTTAAACATTTTTAAAAATGAAGACACAAGCACACATATTAGCCTAGGCCTACACAGGGTCAGCATCATCAAGACATTATTAGGTGATAGGAATTTTTCAGCTCCATTATAATCTCCTGGGACCACCATTGTATATGCAGTCCATCTTTGTCTGAACATCAGTAGGCAGTGTGTGACTGTACCTCTAAAGATGACCACAGAGTTGTCAGAATTATGCTAATTCCCACTTCAGTTTGTTTGGATTATTTGAGCTGATGTAATGTTTCCAGTCAGGAGACAAGTATAGAATAGCAGTGCACATTCTGAAAGCCTTATTTTCCTTTCTCCTTCAGGGTTTCATAACCTAACTTGGCATAATAGGTCTCATGTGTTGTGCTCAAACTGCATGTAACGCTATATTTATGCCTTATATTTGTAGCCCCTATATTTATACCTTAGTATAAAAGAAATGAAGGAAATAAGTGCATATCCTCTTATCTGATTTTTACCCAGAATTACATAGATAGCTTGCCATTGTTTGGATGGCAAGAAGAATAAATACAGGCATGTATTTATCCCCATGACATGCACTACATACAAATTTTTCAGTTTTGTCTTCACAAAAACCCAATGAGTTAGGTATTATCTAAATTTTTTAAATGGATAAAATGTGGCTCTAAGAGATAGACAATGATGAAGTAGCAGGATTTGCATTTAGACCTATGATCTCTGACTGCAAAGCCCATTCTCTTAGTTCCTATGTAATACAGGCTCCTGGAGCCTACTGGGTTAAGAGAGAGCCATGAAGCTCCTTTTCTGCTTTTCCATTGTTAATGCAGCTCTGTGGTACCTGAAGCACTGCTTTGCATGAAGGAAATGATGTACCTTTTTTGTTGCTTGTTTTTTGCTTTTGTTTTTTTTTTCCTTTAAATTTATTTATTTATTCCCAGCTTTACTGATATGTAATTGACCAATAAAAATGGTATATACTCAAGGCTTATAATGTGATGTTTTGATTTATGTATACACTGTGAAATGATTACCACAACCAAGCTAATTAAAATATCCATTACCTCACATAGTTACCATTTTGTGTGTGTGTATGTAGTGAGAACTCTCCTACTCTCTTAGCAAATTTCAAGTATAGAATACATTGTTAATAACTGTAGTCACCATGTTGTACATTAGAACTCCAGAACTTATTCATCACATAATCAAATGTTTGTATCCTTTAACAAACATCTTTCAATTTCCTCCATTCCCCAGCCTCTGGCAAATACCAGTCTACTTCCTGTTTCTGAGTTCCACTTATTTGGATTCCACATACAAGTGAGATCATGCAGTATTTGTTTCTGTCTAGCTTATTTTACTTAGCACAATGTCCTGTAGGTTCATCCATGCTGCTACAAATGACAGGATTTCCTTCTTTCTTAATAATTTTCTCATCCATTATGCATATTTCTCATTAATTATATAGCTCATATCTTCTTTTTCCATTCATCCCTTGATGGACACTTAGGTCTATATCTTGGCAATTGTGAATAATGCTGCAATGAATATAAAATGCAGATTTTTTTTGAGACCCTGATTTCATTTTCTTTGGATATAAACCCAGAAGTGGGATTGCTGGATCAAATGGTAGTTCTATTTGTAGTTGTAGTTTTTTGAGGAATCTCCAGATTGTTTTCCATAATCTCTCTACCAAGTTATAATCCCATCCACAGTGTACAGCTGTTCCCTTTCTCCACATCGTGTTCAGCACTGATTATTGTTTGACCTTCTCATAATAGTTATGCTGACAGGTGTGAGGTGATATATCACTGTTGTTTTGATTTACAGGAAGGAATGTATTTTTGAGGTATTAAAACACTACTTTCCTCTGGCTTATGTAAAATGCAGGTACTTTGGGTATTATCAATAAAATACAGGCTCTAAATTTGTAAGAAAGGAATCTCTGAGTGCCATGTGTCCCCCTAAAATATTGATTGTGAATCAAATAACATTCACTATTAAAATAGATGTAGCTAAGAATATGAACCATACAGGTAATTTATTAAGTGCTTACTCTATGCTAGGCACTCCTTCTGCCAAGATACACATGGCATAAAATAGAAAGAACATCTTTCAAATATTCTTAAGACTGTAGTCTTGGGAAACTAAACTCTTGAGATAATTGTATGAAAAAGAGTCTAACACATCTTTAAATAGCTGCCTACCTTTCTCTAAACTAGTTAAGAAAGGGTCTAGTGAAAACATGGGCACCACGTAATCTACCTTGTAAGATTCAGAGTGCCTGAGATAGAATTCTAAATTTCTTTGCAGAGAGAAAAAGCAAAACAAATTAAAAGATGAAGGAATACTATATCCATGTAAGTCTATGGCCAGTAAAGACACTTTTGGGTATGGATGACTCATTTTATCCTATATGAACTTCTTTTAAAGTAATCATACAAATATATACACCCAGAAAAAATGAAAATTCAATGAGAGAGGGGAGTGGGATATCTGAAAAAGCAATGAGCAAAGAAAACATTGGAATTGAGGCTAAAATAGTAACTATGTAACCTGGCTATAAAACAATGTAATAATTAAGGATCTATCACACAAAACGTATATAAAATGTAAAAATACGGTATATTCATAATATAGAATTCTAACTATACTTAAGTTTAAAATAAAGGTGATGTGCATTGTAGAATGTTTAGTTAATAAAATACAGGTGATATATCTGAATATACTAGCTGAGATGTGTCTCTGAGATATTTTGTTAATTGGAAAATATATAATGTAATTTATAAAATAGACACCATGTATGTAAGATATTTATATATGAAAAAGAAAATACTTAGGAACAATATATACCAAAATTTGAACAGGTTTTATCTTTGGTGGGGGTGGGATTGCAAGGAAGCAGGGGTTGATGATGAAGAACATCTTTTACATTTTATTTTATTAATTTCCTATAATGTTTAATGTTTTAATAAGCATAAATTAATGTAAAATTTCATTATTGAAATGGCTTTTAAAAATAAAGGATATATCCTGTGGAATAGTGAGAAGTAGCTTACCAGCAGTGATTTTGGACAAGTGCTATTTGAGTTTCCATATCTCTTCAGTAAGCTGAAGACTTTGCTATTGACCTCAAAGTTAGTGAGTGTGTGCGTGTGTGCGTGTGTGTGGTTTAAATGTAATACAATGCCATATGTAAAGTGCTAATTACAATGTCAGTGATATAGTGTGCCCTTAACCAATAGTAGTCAATATTATGCAACATATATTGAACATAGGTAACCATAAACCACTAAAATGAAGTTGTAATCATAGAGCAATGTTTGTTTGTTGGTTACTTATTCACCAGTGAGCAATGTTGCTTGAGCAATAGTTTTTTTTTTAAACATTTTTGTTTGTGTTCATACATTTGGTGAAATAAATATAAATTTTTCAAAGCAATCTTGAGATTATTTATGCTGAACAGTAATAGATCAACAGTAAAATATGCAGGTTGGTAAAAGTTAAAAGACATCTCATTTCTCATTTATAAAAAGAGATATACAAATGTTTGGAGACACTTCTAGTTGAAGATTGTATATATAAAAGAGATATACAAATGTTTGGAGACACTTCTAGTTGAAGATTTTATATATAAAGAAGTAAACATTTTGTCACGTACAGCCAGAATAGTTGAAGTGGGAGTGAAGTCGAGAAGTGGTTTATTCCCCCAAAATGGTGTCTTTCAACAATATTTTAAAAGATAATGTATTGGCATTATGGCATTATTACTATAAACCTATTATGAGATGATATTAGAACAAGCAGTGTGTAATTATGCTCCTAAGACATGTATAGGAGGAGCTAGAGCAAAGTGTGGCAACTCTTTTTTTTTCTTTTCTTTTTTTTTTTTGAGATTGAGTCTCGCTCTGTGGCCCAGGCTGGAGTGCAGTGGCGTGATCTTGGTTCACTGCAAGCTCCGCCTCCCGAGTTCATGCTGTTCTCCCGCCTCAGCCTCCCGAGTAGCTGGGACCACAGGCACCCACCACCGTGCCCGGCCAATTTTTTTGTATTTTCAGTAGAGACGGGGTTTCAGTGTGTTAGCCAGGATGGTCTCTACCTCCCGACCTTGTGATCCGCCCGCCTCGGCCTCCCAAAGTGCTGGGATTGCAGGCATGAGCCACCGCGCCCTGCCAAAGCATGGCAACTCTTCATGTGCTCACACTTCCACCATCCAATGGTGGTTTTTTCTCTCTAGCCCCAAACTCAGTTTCTGTCCTAGGTATGCTCCTTTGATGTTAGATCTAAGCTTGGTCTTTGTTTAATGTTGAAGAAAATGACCCTTGTCTATGCCCCTATTTGTATATAGTCTCAAAAGAATCATATATTTAAAAATGCATACACTTATGTTAATAATCTTTATGTCTGAATGTTTCTGAAACAATGAGACACATCAAATTTGTGGAAATGGTATCATTGAACTAGAGAGCCAGCTCCTTTGGTAATGGGCATTGGCCACTTTTGACATGGAAAATTATCCTCAGGAAGTATATTTGGTGTTTTCATTATAATATTATAGAAAATATTTATAGAAAAAGGTCCATATGCTTTGGTTTTTTGTTTGTTTGTTTGTTTTTTGGTAATCATCTTTATGCTATAGTCCTTACCACTTCTGATGATCAACTGGCTCCTCTTCTGCCTGTCCTCAAAGTGCTAACATTTTTAAAGATATTCTTAGCATACTTCTTTATTACCACACGTTTCTTGCACAATACCATCTACTCATACTACAAAATCAACATCACCATCCCTCTCATGTCTCCAGACCTTCAGATCCTTGTTCCCAGTTTCCTAGTGGATGGCATCACCAGAATGACTTCCCACAGGCGCTTAATCTCCCAATATTTCTATGAGTTTTAATTTTATTTTCCAGCCAACTTGTTACCACTGTTTTCCTTGCAGATGCAAGCAAGCTTTCTCAACCTTTTTTATGTTTCTATTTAGCCAAGAATCATCAAGCTTAGTTAATCCTACGTCTGAATTATCCCTTAGATCCATCATTTCTTCCTCTTTTTCTCTGCTACTGTTTTGGTTCAGGTTCACTTCTTTTTCAAATGAAATATTGCAATTAGTTATTTAATTAGTCTCCCTTCCTTCAAGGTCTCTATTAAACCACCCTTTAATATCTACTCAGCGATTCTTCTAGAGCCAGGATGACCTACTTAAAAAGAAAACAAAATGAAATGTAGTGACTCCCTATTTCCTGTAAGATTAAGTTTAAATGCCTTAGCAGCACCTTTACGATTTGGCCGTAGCCTGCCTTCTACAAGTTTTTGGCAAGCTCTTCTATTTCTCCTCTAAAGTAATGCTCCCTGGCGTTCAGCAGTAAGAAGCTATTTTCTTTTTTTCCCCTTTCTTTATTGACAAGTGAAAATTGTGTATAATTATGGTGTACAGTATAAGGCTATGAGATATGTATACATTGTGGAATGGCTAAATCAAGCTATTTACCATATGCATTATCTCACATACTTGTTTTTTGTGTATGGTGAGAATGCTTAAAATCTACTCTCTTAGCATGGTCTCACTTAAATGTGGAGTGTAAAAAAGTTGAACTCATAAAAACAGAGTAAAATGGTGGATACCTGGGGGGTGGGGGTGGGTGGAGTAGAGAGATGTTTGTCTATGAATGTAAAATTTTAGTTAGAGAATAATAAGTTTTTTTTTCATTCTTACATTTGACACGTCCTTTCTCTGCTCTGTGCTTTGGCACTGTCTGCCCCGAAACAGAGTCTTGCTCTGTCGCCAGGCTGGAGTGCAGTGGTGCAATCTTGGCTCACTGCAACCTCTGTTTCCCTGATTCAAGCAATTCTCCTGCCTCTGCCTCCCTAGTTGCTGGGACTACAGGCATGTGCCACCACGCCCAGCTAATTTTTTTTTTTTTTTTTTTTTTGTATTTTTAGTAGAGACAGGGTGTCACCATGTTGGCCAGGATGATCTGATCTCTTGACCTCTTTATCCTCCTGCCTTGGCCTCCCAAAGTGCTAGGATTTCAGGCGAGAGCTACTGTCCCCGGCCCTGTTCTTTATTCTTGGAAGAACTCCTCTGGCCCATGCACTAGCTGTTAAAGTACCAAGCCTCTTTTATCTACCACATCTAAGGATCATCTCTTCTGTTATACCTTCTCTACCTTTCAACTTTGACTATGATTGCTGGAATGTTACACATAGTGCTGGTTGCATCACACTGTGATGGCTTAATTGATGCCTCCAGTAGACTGTGAACTTCTCGAGAGCCAGGACCATGTGCCATTGATGTTTGCATTTCTTTATTCCACTCAATATTCTTGTAGTCTCACTATACAGCTATTTTGTTAATAAGACAAAAGAAATTGGAGTTGTTAGTCTTGAACAGCTCTGGGGACTTTGCTAAGGAACCTTCCTGTTTTTTTCCAGATTTATATTCTCTTTTAGACATTGCCCTACTCCCTTCCTAAGTAAAAAGCAAGGACTGAGGGAATAAGAATATTTAAGACAGTGTTAATGATGATTACAGCTGAAACCTGCTTTGATTCTTTACCCACACTGAGATGTTCCAGAGAGGCTTCCTGACTGTCAGCACCACTTGAAGCCTTTCCCATTATATCACTGAAGGCAAATAATTCATTGCATTTGGAAGCTAAGCTGTTTAATAACAAAGGATGAGCATAATTTTAGCTAACTTGAGTTCAATCACTTACTTTATTTGCCATATATTTAGGCAGTCACAGCAGCACTTTCAAAAATATATGCTTGCTTTCTTTCCTTTTCAACATTTCAATTCATGTTACATTGTTTGGAGTTCAATATATATTGATGCTATCCTTAATATAAATTTAAAAAATTATTTTATTGTGGTATGAGCACTTAATGTGAGTTCTACCCTCTTAACAAATTTTTAAACTGTAAAATACAATATTGACTATAAGTACAAATGTTGCAAAGCAGATCTCTAGAATTTATTTCAACCTGATTAACTAAAACTTTATGCTCATTTTCTCCCCATTTTCTTCTCCCCCGCTTTCCCCCACAGCATGCTTTTTTTTTTAATTGTTTGCTTTATGTTTGTGGTTATATTGAAGGGAGATTTTCTTTCAAGAATGCTTTATGCTCTTAAATCCGATTATAAATTAATAATTTACATAAAATATTATGTAGTGAGATTCAGAGGTAAAAATATCTGGTGATGACAACAGCTAAGACGACTATTGAACAGTGTTCCAGGTACTGTCCTTAGTAATTTGAATGGAGTGCCCTATTTAATCCTCACAACAGCCCTGTGAAGAAGATTGATATTATTCTTCTATTCCCTAGAAGAGAGAAACAGTGAAGCTTAAACAAGTTAAGTAACTTGCCCACATCACACAGCTGTTAAAGATCAGAACCTGGACTGGGATTCAGGCAGTCTGACTCCAGAGTGCACTCCCATAATTACTACAGCTGTGGATAACATAATTTAGAACTAAACAATTTTTATTCTACCTGAAAATCAGAGGTTTGTCTGTCAGAGGAGTCTTAGCAACTTTTTGAATAGATTGATTCTTCCTTCTTGAAACCATATTCACTACTTCCACAAGTTTTACTTTCATTTCCCCCTATGCTACTGGTAAATTGAGCTGTAAATCCCTCTTTTCCTCCTTCTTTGGGATAATTTCGTTACTGCTTCATTAGCCAGTGCATCATGAAAGCATCTCAATACAGCCCTTTGCTGATGCTGAGATATAAGCACTAAGCCACTACTAAATGCATTCCTGTATTTATTCTTTTTGCCACACAAACAATGGGAAACTGTCTAGATAATTCCAGGCAAAAGCCAGAGAAGAGGATACACATGTATTTGTTTTATACTGAGGCATAAATGTAGGAACTGTGATAAGGGCAATGCTTATGTAACTAGGCAAGTGCAGATTCAGATGTTTAATCAATTAGATTTTATTCACGCACACACACACACACAGTCTCCCAAATCCAAAGGTATGTACTATTTTTACTGATTAATGTTAGTTTTAAATTTTACATTATAGCTACTCTGTGTTACAGAAAAATAGTATCTTTTGAAATGCAGTACCTTCAGAAAATGAGTGGGAAAGCTGTAGTTGTTTTTATTAGTTTTATAACTATAATGAAAAATACTAACTCTGGAGCTGCTAAGGATAATCCTTTTGATGTGAGAGTAAATATTTTTCCATAATGGAATGGCTTTATTGTCAGGATAGATTGGAAATGTATTGCTTTTTTCTTAAGAAAAGTTATATATTCCTATGCATAATCCTCCTCTCCCAAGGAATATTTTTCCTTTCAACTTTATCCTATTAGAAATTAATATTTAGTCCTTATTAAAAATTACTTGTGCTAAAGCAACGATTTTGCTGTTATTAGTCATTTCTACTGTTTGAATGTGGTCCATTTCTGCGATACTATTTTGGTATGAAGAAAATCTGTAAACAGGAAAGAGTTTGGGTACATAGGGGAAAGGAGAGATACCAAAGCAAGGGTTGAGCAAAAGTGAAAGGGAAGTACTTACAACTAAAAAAAAGTTGGCAGCGAAGATAACCTTCTGTCAATTTCCTATATTTTCCCCAAGACCACTAATGGCCGTCTGATAGCCCCATTTGACTCCACAGCAGGGTGTTTGCTTATTGTGGGGAGCAGACACTTTAAAAGGACTGACTGCATACACGAGGCTGGTCCGTGTTTCTCTTAGATGTGACCTTGCCCTGACAATAGTCCAGAGACTGATTCTCCATTGGTCAGTGTTATCTATTCTTCCTTCATCTCTGCACACAATGGCCCTCTGCATCTTTCCATGAGGGCATTGCTATTGCCTTGGGGATCACAGCAGATGCAACTGTACTCGAGCTAGCAGCCTCAAAGAGTTCACAGTTTTTTTTGTTAGCCTACCCAGAGTTTCAGTTTTGGCTTTTCAGGGTGCTGTCATGGGATACAAACGCATGATGAAGTTGCGTTTTATCTCTGATGCAATGAATTTTCATGGAGACAAACTTGCAGGGTTTTTAAGCTCAGCATTATTAGGAAGATGACAGCTTCAGCTGGTATTCTTTCTGTGGTGAGAATAGTCCAGCCACACTCATGTTACCTCAATTTGAACAGGCAAATAGGAGACTGCTTCTTGGCTTGAAAAGAAGGTTTACAAGATCTAAGAGCTTTTGTTCTAGTTGAGATGACGAAGGTTCTCTGCATCTATGTCCCTGGGGGAGCCCATTTTTTTCCACATTCCAAGCACTTGGCTGTGTAATCCTGTGCAAAACTTCTCCCAGGCAAGATCTCCATATGTATTATTTGGTTGCTTTCTCTAATTCTCCTCAAACATCAGCTTAGTATTCACAATAATAGCTACATTTATTGAGCCCTTTCCAAATGCCAGCCACTGTTCTAAAGGTTTTACCTGTTTAGCTCACTCAATCCTCACAAACTTATGAAGTAGATATCATATTGCCTACATTTTACAGATTCAGGAAACAGAGGCAGAGGGAAGTTAACTAACTTGACCAGGGGCACACAGCTTGGCAGTGTCAGAGCTGGGAGGGAATTCCAGGGAGTCTGGCTCTAGAATTTATGGTCTTGCTCTCCAGGGATTGAGAGCGCATCCTTTCAGTAACAAGTGGTTGAGTAAAATGCTATTTTCAGGTCACATTTGTATCCTAACAAGAGTCCCACACAGCTAAGTCTAGGGAAGTGTCCCTGGAACACAGCTATAATTCCTAATGGGCCTGAATTTTAAAAAGCTTTCCAGGAATGACCATTCATTTTAAGAACAGTGTGGAAGGAGACTGGAGGGTCCAATGAAGCTGCTGAGTAGTAATCAGGCTGGTATCTGAGACAAGACTCAGAACTGGTTCTCCAGGGGCATGGCAATATAAGTCTATTGTGAAATGTGGCTTTTTAATGGGTAGCTGGGGACTCCATTCAACAGCCTTACCTTAAAACAGCAAGTCCGCATATTGAATGGTTTACTGGTCTTGGCTATTTTAGTTCCCGTGGGTCCTTAGTTCTGTTAGCTCCTGTCCTTGATTCTTCCATGTCAGGATAAGAAGTTACTGCTTTAACTACAGGCCAGTGTGGTCATTGTGGCCACTGGTTCTTCTGTATCTCTGTGCAGTTCGAAATACAATTCTTTCCTAAGAAATAATTTTGCGGTCCTAGGAGAACAGTGTCTGCATGTGACTCTCACAATCCACCCTGAAGTGACCTCTCAGTCATTGACCACATGTTGTTGGTTTCTCTAGAACTGACAATTACTTAAAGTCACGTTCCTAGATCACATGTTAAGCCCTGCAAGGTAAAAAATTATGTCTTATTCAATATATTCATTGCTTATTATAGGTGATAGTAAACATGTTATTTTGTTTTGACCGGTTAAAATATACCAGAGTCTCTTTGCAAGACTAACTTTTCTAATATGACTGTAATATGGATAACGAAATAGTCTAAAGGGTGTCAGTTGACATATGTCTGAGAATCACAGTTTATTTCATATTTATATATTTCTTCTAACAAAATGGGATACATGTGCAGAATATGCAGGTTTGTTACACAAGCATACATGTGCCATGGTGTTTTGCCGCACCTATTGACCCGTTCTCTAAGTTCCCTCCCCTCACCTCTCCACCCCTCAACAGGCTCTGGTGTGTGCTGTTTGCCTCTCTGTGTCCAGAGAATCATACAGTTTTAAAGCTTAGGGTAATTTTGAAATAGAAAAAGAACATAATGATTTATAAAATTTGATTTCAAAAATGTTTGAATTTTTGTGCTAAGAAGTAATTACTTTGGTTTATATTTGAATTTACTTTGCTTTATTCATGCTGGGTGGCCTTTTCTTCCATTAACCAGTGGTTTTATATAATTTTCAGGTCATATTTAGTAGTTTTTCCACCCACATCTCCCTTCTTCCATTGTTATACAAAAATATAAGTGGTGTTTTATCACATATTAAAAAATATTGGCCAGATGCTGATGGTGCTTTTAAAACGTAATTATTTAATTCTGAGACTCTGGGAGAGGGGGCTTAGATCTCTGCTTTGGGTGTTCTTCTCAGATGCGGTGCTTTTAAAAAAAAGTGTAATTATTTAATCCTGAGACTCAGAGAAGGCTTAGATCTATGCATTGGGTGTTATTCTCAGATGCAGAGATGTAAATGCCATTTTTCTCTTCTGTTTTCAGGTCACATGTGCCAATTTAACGAACGGTGGAAAGTCAGAACTTCTGAAATCAGGAAGCAGCAAATCCACACTAAAGCACATATGGACAGAAAGCAGCAAAGACTTGTCTATCAGCCGACTCCTGTCACAGACTTTTCGTGGCAAAGAGAATGATACAGATTTGGACCTGAGATATGACACCCCAGAACCTTATTCTGAGCAAGACCTCTGGGACTGGCTGAGGAACTCCACAGACCTTCAAGAGCCTCGGCCCAGGGCCAAGAGAAGGCCCATTGTTAAAACGGGCAAGTTTAAGAAAATGTTTGGATGGGGCGATTTTCATTCCAACATCAAAACAGTGAAGCTGAACCTGTTGATAACTGGGAAAATTGTAGATCATGGCAATGGGACATTTAGTGTTTATTTCAGGCATAATTCAACTGGTCAAGGGAATGTATCTGTCAGCTTGGTACCCCCTACAAAAATCGTGGAATTTGACTTGGCACAACAAACCGTGATTGATGCCAAAGATTCCAAGTCTTTTAATTGTCGCATTGAATATGAAAAGGTTGACAAGGCTACCAAGAACACACTCTGCAACTATGACCCTTCAAAAACCTGTTACCAGGAGCAAACCCAAAGTCATGTATCCTGGCTCTGCTCCAAGCCCTTTAAGGTGATCTGTATTTACATTTCCTTTTATAGTACAGATTATAAACTGGTACAGAAAGTGTGCCCTGACTACAACTACCACAGTGACACACCTTACTTTCCCTCGGGATGAAGGTGAACATGGGGGTGAGACTGAAGCCTGAGGAATTAAAGGTCATATGACAGGGCTGTTACCTCAAAGAAGAAGGTCACATCTGTTGCCTGGAATGTGTCTACACTGCTGCTCTTGTCAACTGGCTGCAAAATACACTAGTGGAAAACACTCTGATGTAATTTCTGCCCAGTCAGCTTCATCCCTCAGTATAATTGTAAATCATCACAGATTTTGAATTCACACCTGAAGACATGCTCTCACATATAGAGGTACACAAACACACCGTCATGCACATTTCAGCTTGCGTCTATCATGATTCCTGTTGAGAGGGCTTTCATTGTCTGACTCATAATGGTTCAGGATCAACTATCATCAAACGGAAGGATTAACTAGACAGAGAATGTTTCTAACAGTTGCTGTTATGGAAATCTCTTTTAAAGTCTTGAGTACATGCTAATCAATAATCTCCACTCATGCATTCCTACTGCTTGGAGTAGCTGTACTGGTAAATACTACTGTAGGAGTATCTGCTTGTTAAAATGGAAAAATGTGTCTTTAGAGCTCAGTATTCTTTATTTTACAAACACAACAAAATGTAGTAACTTTTTTCCAGCATACAGTAGGCACATTCAAAGTGGTCCAAGATGGCTCTTTTTTCTTTGAAAGGGGCCTGTTCTCAGTAAAGATGAGCAAACATTTGGAATTTACATGTGGGCAGACATTGGGATAACAACTTTCATCACCAATCATTGGACTTTTGTGAAGTTGACACCAGCTAAGGCTGCTTAAAATAAGTTCTGATCATTATATAAGAAGGGAAATGCCTGGCAGACACCATGTAAGTTATAAGTGTCTGTCTTATCTTTACTACACATATTGTAACAAATTCAATATCCTAGTCTTCATTTGTATGAATGGTTTGTATTGTACATAGTTTAACCAAGTGTTATTTGAGCTGCTTATTAATATTAACTTGTACTTGTCTCTCTGCTTGTTATTGGTTAAGAAAAAAGGATATGAGGAATTCATTTTATCAATGTAGCTGTGAAGGCCATTAAAAAGACAAACTTAATGTACAGAGCATTTATTCAGATCAAGTATTGTTGAAAGCTATACATATACAACATTACAGTCTGTCTGTATTTAGATATTTTATTTCTGGAAAAAATGAAATGTACATAAAAATAAAACACTTAAAGTTGAGTTTCAATATGTACTTGTGTAAGATGGTGATTTAAATGGTTCTGACAAGAAGAATGTGCTGGAATACAGTCCTGGCTTTGCATCTCATATCTCTAAATTTGTACAGAACTATCTAAACTGCTGTTAGTTGCCCAGTCAAAACAACTTAAGAGTTTCAATCTGAAGCCTGGGGAATTTGTGGCATATAGCATTGCATACATTTTTGGTTTGGTGTCATGCTAGTTATTCAAGAATACCAAAAATCAATGAACATCAGGAGATAATTGAGGTCTCCTAAATTAATTATATATAGTTGAATTATTTCCTGACCAGTCTTTATTTAGCAGAAGAACGGAAGTGAAAGCATTCTTTTTGCTTTAGCAGAGTCAAGATGCCTGAAGATTGTGGCTGAATTTTCCTGATTATACTGTAATGACTCAACTCAACTGAAGAAATTGTGATAACATTGGAGGGCTTCAATGCTCAATTTACCTATAGCAGATTGGATCAACTTTATATATATATAGAGAGAGAGAGAGAGCGAGAGAGAGAGAAAGAGAGAGCATTGTTTGTTTATGGACATTAACTTTATTTTAAAAAATAATTGCTGTACACAATCTCAGCAAAATAACCAGATGAATAGTTGCTGTACACAATCTCAGCAAAATAACCAGATGAAGAAATATGGGAGGTGACCAATTTTTAAAGCCACGAGTTGGGAATCGGAATTTGAATTGTTTCAAAGGTTAACAAACTATGTCAAATTAAGAACACAAATTCATTATCATCTTCCCCTTATGGTACTTAGAAATAAGTCTGTTTTCATACAGAAAATAATGAAAGTACTGCAAGAGAAACAAAACCAGAGTTCTAAAGTGAGAACTCAATGACCGATTTGATTAACGACAGTCAACTGCAAATTGAGCACTCATTACTCTGTTAAATGTCCATTTCTTGAAATGCTCCAAAATATCTAGACCATTTATATCAATATAGTTATTAATTAATTAATTTACCATGGAATTTAGAAGCTAATGTTAGAACGGCGTCTCTTTGGCACAACAGGCAGTAAGACCTTAATGAGTCCTGGCTGCTGAACATACTTGCCGTAGATAAATCTTGTCATTCTGGAGTTTACTTATCAAAAGTGATCACTTAGGAATTAGTTGGCTCTTAGCAAACATGAGAGTAAGTAAGAAAGGAAAAAATATATCTTTAAAGGATCCTTCGATTAGCGGACTATGAGTCTCATTGTATGGTCTGATCTGTCATTTTGTAATACAAAATTCAAAGTAAGATAAAAATGTACTTCAGTCTCCAACCCTCTATCTTGCATTCTAACCTCCCAATGAAATGTAGCTTATACAGTTTTATAAACACACAGAACACAGCTAACTAACATTCATAGACTGAAATGTTTTACTGAGATTTTCTTTAGAAGAAAAACAAAATAAGAAGAAAAGATGTAGCAAACTTCCAACAAGCATTTTAATTTTAAAAAATCCAAACCTTCAGGACCCTTATTCTGGGCCGGTACACATTCATCCCAAACTTCTATATCAACAACACCTCTATCTGTAATAGAGAAAAATTATTATGATATAGAACTTTGATTCAAAGAAATGTATTTGCACCCATTAAATTCTTCCTTTCTTTGACAAGGAAATGGGTGAAGGAAGATGATCAATGTCAAAGAAAGATCAAAGGCTCAGAGGAAAACTATTAGACCAACTTGTTGCTTAAACAAACTGGTTAAGTTTTAACTGTGTTAGAAAATGCTTTTGTTATTTGGAAAATAAACTTTAAGCAACACTAAGAAAATAACATTCTCTAGAATCTTAAATGTTATTTTACATCTTTGCTGAAGTATAGAAAAAAAAATCTTCCAGGTGGAAGTGGTTAGTATCTGATGCAAACATGGGTTTGTCATCTCCTATTGTTCGTTTCAAAAACATTTTAGTAAAATCAACATTATTATAAAGTAATGATTGTTGTAGCTTCTTGCCTCATGGAAGAAAAATGATACAAATTACTGGTTTATTTCTTTATAAAACAAAAAAAATGAATTGTCATGTTCTCAGTTGGGCATTTTTGGGTCCATGGCTCTTGAGAGAATTTCTCTGAATGAGTGGAAGGGGCATACCTGGTAATGTCACACAGTAAAGTTCTGGAAGTGATTACCTTGCAAGTAATTGAGATACTTGTTAAATTTAAAAGTGTGGACTGGGAATCTTCAAGTTCCTACATTTCAGCAATAAATTGTAAGCCATATTTTTGCACAGAATAGATTAAAAAATCATGAGAAGCCTGAGAAAGTGTTTTCTTTTCACTTTTTTCCCACTGCTTTATATGTAAGAAGCAGCCTAACGAATAAACAGCTCTTTGGAAAAGCAATGTCCATCTTCACCATCAGCTTTGAATGCCCAGTTTTAGCCTGAAAGAAATTCTAATGGCCGTATTTACAAACCATTGGAAGACGTGGTTGATATACCAGTTTTAGAACTTTATTTACCTGTTCAACTATCAATCTATTTATTTTACATTTATTTCTTTCATGTTTTTCAAATAAAATGCAAGTTAGTATATCGATTCAAATATTTAAAAATAAACAATTTGCATAAAAATTATGACCACTTATCGAATCTCTAGACGATAAAAATTGAGTACAGGCTGAATACAAAAATTGACTATAGGCTGAATCAAATCCTGAAAAACTTATTGCAAGGTCAGAGTTTTCTCAGGAGTCCCATGCATATGAAAGAATAATTGCGGGGGTTGGGTACATAAGACAAAAAGTCTAAAATTGCAGTGTATCATTAAGTTTTATATACAATAATATCAGAAATATTTTACTTAACAAATTTCTAATTTCTGTTTACTAGGATGGGAAAGACAGAAACCTCCTAATAAAAGTTTTAGTTAGGATTTGCTCCATGAGCAAGGTCTAGAGAAACAGCCTTAAGGTAGGGGAGTACTAGCGCCAAGCAGCTAGCCAGGTGTCCCATGCCTGACCAAAAGTACTTTCATAATTCTGCATCAGTGATAACATGCCTTTTATCACTGATGGTTTGCAGGATAACTGTAAAGCTCCCAGATGTGATGGCTGTGGAAGGCCTAGAGACTTTCTGTTGGTGGCTGGAGTAGCTGTTGCCATCAGAGGCCAGGTGTTGTTGCCCAAAATTCTAGCTACTGAATTAGACATACAACTCTGTTCACATCCTCACCCAAAAGTCTCTGGCTTTTTATTTCCTGATCTTAGGAGTTCAAAGGGACAGATAGAATGCAATTCTTCTACTCAAACACAAGAGTAAACTTGGCCCTTGTGATTGTGATAATTTAAAGAAACAATGCAAGAAAGTTGTTAGAATGCAGCTATTGTTGAATTTTTTTTTTTTTTTTTTTTTTTTTTTTTTTTTTTGAGATGGAGTCTTGCTCTTTCACCCAGGCTAGAGTGCAGTGGTGTGATCTCGGCTCGCTGCAACCTCCGCCTCCCAGGTTCAAGCGATTCTTCTGCCTCAGCCTCCCAAGTAGCTGGGATTACAGGCATGCACCACCACATCTGGCTAATTTATGTATTTTTAGCAGACATGGGGTTTCACCATCTTGGCTAGGCTGGTCTTGAACTCCTGACCTCCTGATCCATCGCGGCCTCCCAAAGTGATAAGCATTTTTTTTTAAAGAAAAAGTCTACCATTGTTTCCATTACTGCCAAAATTTACCATGTCAATTTTCTGAAGTCCAGTTTTATTACCAAAATCAATTTGTTTTGTATTTTATAGCAATTTTTGATAGAAAGCATGGCCAAATGACATTGCCTAAGCAGTTTAAAAATATTTCATAAACTTTGTAAGAGAGGTAAACAATTGCTATTCTCTTTTATTAACCCCCTTAACCCAAAAGAGAAAGGGGTACAAGTCCATGATAATAATGGCTAATATTTGTCGAACACATAAGGGTGGGCCATTTACTGTGCTAGGCATTTCTATCTATTCCCTCACTTAAGCATCATGACTCTGTGAGGAAGGTGCTCTCATGCCGGTGTTACAAGAGGAGACTGATGCTTAGAAACATGAAGTAACCTCCCTGAAGTAGCACAGCTCTTAAGTGATAAATCAGGGAGTCAAAACCCATCTCTAGACTCCAGAAACTGACTTTTTAAACTGTTACTCCTCTGTGTTATTCTATTTTCAAATTGCATTGAAAACACTTCTACCCAAAATTGGCACATTTAATGTAAACATAAGCATGGTATCATTACATCGAAAAGAGATGAATAATTCATTTAATTCATTTATTTTTCTTCGGCTTTTTGCTATTTTTCTTATTTGCTCAGGTCCCCCTCATAATCCTGTGGCGAATTCCAGCCCTGGTAGCTCTCAGGCAGAAACCAGCTATACAATGTAGTTGCCTCTGCCAATACACTGCTGTGGTAGCTAGCATTGTTCCCCAAACTACTTTTTATAAAATCATTTTTGATTTAGGGCCAGAGTTGTTTCTGAGCTTGATACATATGAAAGTTGCAGGTCAGGGATAAATGGAGCTATAACGTAATTCAGAATTACTCAAGATTCCTTCACAGGAATCTCATTTCAGGGAAATACTACTGCATGCTTAGGAAACTTTCAGCAACGTGACTTAAGTTTTCCTCAAAAATGACTTAGATAATTTTAGTGTGGTTTTTTTTCAACTGTATTTAGTTCATATCATAGTGAGTCTTTCTGCCCTTCTGCTACAGGCTTTGAATTGGGTATTCTCACGGAGTCAAAACAAAAACACATGAGGGTATTTTCTGTAAAAAGCTTAAGTGAGTTGAGGATACTCGAAAAGGTTGCTCAAATCCTGTCTTCTGATATGTTTCATTTTCCTTGCTTTCAAGGTTTTATTCTTAAACACACACACACACACCAAAAATGGTAACAATTTCCTTATTTTACTTTCTCAAGTTTGTTAGAAACCCAGCTCTATACACAAAACAGGAATTGGAATACACTGAATGCTTGTGGCTGCTGTGCCCTGGTACTCTATGACAATGACACTTATACTCACTTACTTTTAGTAACTTATTCATGTTTTGCTCATGTATAAAATTAACATTCTTTAAGAGAACCATAAGTGTGAAGGCAACTTGTACTCCATTATGTTAACAGAATCATGTTCAAATTCTAGTATGTTATAAATAATCTGTGAACTCAATGTATGAACTCTGTTATTAACTGAACCTGGTCACCTTTTCATTTTTCCCCTAATTTTGGAAAAAAGTGAATTTTATTATTAAAACGACACATGTTCAAGTCTAAACTATTTCACTCTCTATAAATTACAAAACACTAGAAGTGTAGTTGAGCTTAAAATGATCTTCGTTTTCTTTGGTTCACAGGATTTTTGTTTGTTTTCATCAGGTATTTGTGAGGTATTACTCTTGCAGTTACTTTTAGTGGAGACTTTTGCAGTATGTGCCCCCAATCCCCATACACACATTTACCTATTCGTACCATGTGGGCTTCCCCCAACTTAGGCAACTACAGCTTCCCACATTCAGGCCTCTGCTGTAGCAGGGCCAAAAAACAAATAAGGACATTGGAAATTCTTGGCAAATTTATTTTGAAAATTTGGCAGAGCTAATGATCTTGTCATAAAACGTTTTTTTGTTTGTTGCTTTGTTTTCTTTCCACTTGAGTTATGTATATCAAAAGGAATGCCTTGAAGCATGAGGATATAAATTCTGCATCATATCTAATAGAGTTTCTTGGAAAAAGTTAAGGTCATGCAGAGCCAGTTCCTCCTCACTCATTCCACCAACTCAAAATAGGTGTTCTGTATTCACACTGTGAGGAAAAGGAATTCACTAGTGGAGGCAAGATTATAAATGCTGGGGTGGCCCTGGGAAAGGGCCTTGACCTCTTGGGGCTTCGGGATCTGACAGCAGGGGGATACTTCCTCCCGGAATGGAATATGGGGAAACAGCAAGTCTTGCAGCAGAGTTGAGATGGCTGTATGCAGCAGCTAGGCCATTGGGAAAGGGGTGTCAAAAGTCTCATGAGAGCAGCAGGAAGTTTTCTGTTGTAGCAGAGTGGCATAAACTTGATGGAGCCCAGAGTACCAAAGAGGCCTTGAGATTGGAACAAGAAGTATGCAGGAGCCATCTACCAGACCTGACTACTGCAGACTAGACAGGATGTGAGTTTCTGGGAGGCCAGTGTGGGCTCATAGTGATTGAGAATTGGGTACCAGCTTCTGCCAACACCATGGCATTTTATATGCCCTGTGAAAGTTGTATGCAACCTTTGGAACAGGTTCGAATAATCCCTAGATAGATTGAAAATGACTTCGATTGGCTGAGATTTTGTGTGTTCTCCATGTGGCAGAATTTGGGTTTAAGACAAAAAGTTAAGCTACAGAAAGGTAAAATTACTTTTTTTACAGTTGATTATGTGACTAATTAACATCAACTAGATGTTATTTTATTCATCTGATGAAATTTAGTGGTATATATTTTGGGAAAAGTAGAATGGTAGCACACTGTGAAACAGAGGTTTTAATATAGAGACACCTATATTGAAGGACAAGATAGCCTATTAAAATGTAGAGAGGATTTTGCGACCTTTATGATGCTTCCCATCCAATAGAAATTCAACATTTTAATATTGGCTTACATAATTTTCATAAATAATGGTTTTAGATTCAAAGGACAATTACAGAAGCATGAAGGAGATGGGTCAAGGGTAAATACGTTTGTAAATCACACCTTCAACATTCTTCCCCCCTTCGCCTTCTGGAATGGAATTTTAATACTTTGTGGGTAAGTGTAGAACTTAGTTTCAAACACCGACATACTGAAAGGAACAGAAGATTTTTTACACTTTGTGGATAAGTGTAGAACTCAGTTTCAAACACTGACATACTGAAAGAAACAGAAGTTTTAGGAAATCTTACACACCTGTGCTATGGAGATGCATTGCACTGGGAATGGGACTCAACCTAACTCATCAGCTGCACATCTAACACTCTTCTGTTATACCAAACTATACTTTCTCCACTCTCTCTGAGAGGTCCTACTTGTATAATTGTAACATAATCTTTCTATATTAGGGTCATGGTCTACACATATGTCCCAAATTCCTCAATTTCCACAGACATAGTAAAATTTCCATTGCCTGGTAAATTTTGTTTTCTTTGGATCACAAGATTTTTGTTTTGTTTTCATCAGGTATTTATGAGGTTTTCCTCACAAATATACATTGCCATAGTAAATTTCCATGCTTGGGCCTCTGAAATAGGACATGAAGGAGGCTAAGAAGGAGACAGAACTCAGCTATTTGTGTAATTTTCTATCTTAGCATTCATGTATTCATTTGACATATTTACTGAATGTCTACATGTGTCATGTGCCAGGTTAGGTACTGAGTATATAGCAGTGAACAACATAGACAAAGTCCCTGACTGACTTCGTAGAGCTTAGAATCCAGTGAGACAAGACAGCACTCACTAAATAAACAGTACATCTGGTGGTAATGAGGGTTACGAAGACAAAAGAGAGGTATGATGTAGTGGTTTATTCATTTCTTTTTTTTTTTTTTTTAATTGATGGTTTGGAAAGGTGGCTTTTCTATTCTGTGGTAACATTTGAAGGAAGTGAAGGAGCTAGTCATAAGGATATCTAGTACAAAAGCATTCCAAAAAACAGAGCATAGCAATTCTAAGTGTCTGAGGTAGGGGCTCACTTAGTGTGGTTTTGGTGAAAGGCAAAAGGACCAGAGTAGCTGGAGCGGAGTGAACACTGGAGAGAATCTTAGAAAATAAGCTAAGAAAGGGAGCAGAACGTTGGCTTTACTTATGAATGTAAAATAAATCTTCAGGACTAGTGCTATTACCTGCCTTACCTTTATGGACCACTCTGTACTGTGGAAAATGGATTGTAAGTGGGAAGGGTGGCTGCATTGAGGCAAGATGTGAAGCTAGCATAACACAGAGGAGAGATCATGAAGGCTCAGACTTAGACCATTGCGGTAGCAGTGTTGGCAATGAGGAATGATTAGATTCTCCATATAGGACAAAAGTGGAGCCTAGGATTTACTGGCTGAATTGGTTATGATGTGTGAAAGAGAGAGTTAATGATGCCTTATTTATTTTTTATATTCAGGTTACAAACAAAGATAGATGCTTTATAAAAGCAAACATTTGAAAATCTGCTTTGACATTAGTAGACAGTTACAGATGTGCATGCTCCTTCTGATCTCTATTACACTTGATCTATCTCTTTGGAATCCATAGAAGGGAAAAATTAATTTTATATTTTGAATACTCTATATCTTCTTTGGGTCCATTCTGATAGTCACTTAATTGCTCTTAGAAGCATTATGAGATTTACACAGTTATTTTCTTTAGATGCCACTATTTAAACATATATGAAGAACTCATTCAACAAGTGTAAAACTTGCTTAATATTGATCCATTGTTGAAAATTTGAGAGAAAATTTACTATTATGTAAATTGAAAGGGACAAGTAAATAAAAAAAGAACATGTAAATTTCTTTATGTTCCATTTTAAACCATTATTTCTTATTCATATCTAAGTAGATCTACATATAACCTGCCAATAAGGCAGAGGTTCTGAATTTGGCTTTCAGGGAGACCATGAAACTTCCCAAATTGTGCATATATTCCTTTTTCTTGGAAGAGAGATTCTATTTTCCAACATATTTACAAAAGGGTTTTTAAAAGTTAAAAATGTTAAGAACAACTAAATTGAATGGTTAAGGAATTAGAAAATCATTGGTGGGACTGAAGCTCCTCACTGATTAGCTAAATTAATAAAGGAAAATTTTGAAAGATTTTTGGAAGATTACTTTAAAATTATCTATTTTACACTTAACCATCTGCAATTTAAAAAATTATTTTTGAGGTGGCTGGACGGTTGTAATTTTTGTTTATTTTTAAACTTCTGAATAAAAGTTCAATGAACAAAACAATAATTAAACTTAAAATATTACATCATCCTAAATTGTCTAGAAACATACTTGGGGCTTACCTTAAAATCAGGTGTTGTCACCACAATTACTTGTTAATCTACAAAACCTTTTCAAAGTCTTGAGCACTAACACTGTACTTGTACTCAGGTTTCCCTGAAATGTGCAATTAAACTGAAAACCAGGAAAGAAGCTACAAATCATAGGATGGAAAGGCTATAATAATCTGTTTGTCTAGAAAAAATTAATTGATTATGTAATTGGGTATGCCATTGTACACTGGCTAACACATTTAATTCATATGGATGTACTTCAGTGGGACAATTGATTCAAAAGTATTGTGCTTGAAGATTAAATATGTAGAACTGATATTTACTTAGAAATGTAAATACATGTGGTGGTTGAATAGTCAGCTATAGCCATCAGTTGATGCTGACTCTCCTTGTATTATTGTTTAAAAACAAAACAAAATAATAACAAGTGTAATTGTTTCATTTCATATGTGGAAATTGATATTAATATTTATAGGCCTCTGGGATAGCATTTAGTATACTGCTGTAGAATAATAGTTTGGTAGTTATAACAGTTAAGTGTCTTAAATATTATATGTATCCCTTAATATATTTCTGCTGATAAGGGATCCTGGGGATGATGTAGTTATCAATGCCAAATAAAGACTACTGCAGGAATTAATAATTGAAACACTTATTAACTGTATTTGTATCTTTTTTACAATGATGTGATTTAATTTGATGATAACATTCAATGATATTGACTGTTTCCAGCATATTTGAATGGCATAAACCTGACTTTCAAATTTGTGGTCAGCTCATTTTGACTTACATCTTTCTAGTTGTAAAAGGTGTGTTAGTCTTGAAAACAAAATGAAAATAAATGTATAAAAGATACAAAGTTGTCTTTAACTCGAATATTTATATGCCTAAAATTCCTGAGTTAGCAATGAACTTTAAGTTATCGAGTGTTCTTTTCCGGCACTGCTGTAGCAGACACTGATACCGTCCTGTCTATGTCACTACTTTCCTTATCACTGCAGTCCACGTTAGCTCAATTTCCAACTGCCAGCATGTGGATTTCTTTTCCTGAAGGCTTTCTTTGTCCGCTGGAGCCTGCTCTGCTACCTGTACAGTAGGACAGAAGTGCTCAGGAAATAATGCTGTTTGGTACCCAAGAACAGGCTTCCACAAGTTACCTGAGAAGTCCTCATCCAATGATCTCAAGAGGGATAACTTTGATGCGTGTATTGTATACGGATTCACCAAACCCCACGGTGGTAACTTGCTTGATGGAACACACTTTACTAAACTACTTTTTTCTGCTTCAAATCTTCACTTCCTTACTTCTTCATTATTGATGCCTCATATAATCACCTTTAATATAAATTACTTTCATTCAAACCTTTGTCTCAGGAAATGCTTCTAGGGGAATGGACACTAAGATATATATAGATTGAAAAAAATTTATTTGATCATGATATTTGCTCTCAATCACAAATATAAAATGATATCTTTTGTGAATGTAGATTTTAAAAATCACATTTATCGAGGTATAATTTACACACAATAAAGTACAATCATTTTAGTTGTACAGTTCAATAAATTTGATACAACTATGTAATTTCCTTCATTATAATCAAGATATGGAACATCTCTCTCTAAAACATTCCCTCATGCCCCTTTGTAGTGAATCCCCATGACCCCCACTATCGATTCCTCACTATTGATTAGGTTTCTTATTCTAGAATTTTATATAGAAGGAATCAGAGTATATACTCTTTTTTTCTGGCTTCTTTAACTCTGCATTATGTTTTTGAGATTCATTCATTATGTTTTTCATGAATCAATAGGTTTTACTTATTGCTAAGTAGTATTCCATTGCATAGAAATGCTACAATTTGTGTATGCACTTATTTGTTGATGGGCATTTAGGTTGCTTTCAGCTTTTGGCTATTATGAATAAAACTGCTTTGAATATTTGTGAACAAGCCTTTGTGTGGACCTATGTTTCATTTCTTTTGGGTAAATACCTAAGAAGGGAATTCTGGGTTGTATAATAAGGGTATGTTTACCTGTAAGAAATATTTAACTGGTTTAAAAGTCGTTTTATACATTTTATATTCCCACCAATGGTCTATGTGAATTAGAGTTGCCCCAGGGCTTTCCCAACAATAGGTACTGTCAGTCTTTTAAAATCTTAGCTATTCCAGTGTGTATGTAATAGTGTCTCATTGTGATTTTAATTTGTATTTTACTCCTGATTGGTGAAGCTAGGTATCTTTCAGATGTTTTTTGGTAATGTATAGACTTTCCATTTGTGAAGTGTCTATTAAACTCAATAATTTCAAAATTATTGAGTTTAAAATTTTAAAATTATTGAGTTGTAGATGTTCTTCATATATTCTGGATAACAGTCCCTTGTCAGATATATATATTGCAAATAATTTCTTTTAGTCTTAGCTTGCCTTTTTATTAATAGTGTTTTTTGAAGAACAGAGTGTAATTTGTCATTATTTAAATAATTAGTACTCTCTTGATGTCCTAGAGAAGCAAAGATCTAAGCAATCTTTGTCTACTCTTAATTTTTTTCCCAGAAATTTTAGAGTTCTAGATTCTTTGTTTTGGTCTATGATGTATTTAAAGGTAGGTTTTGTGTGAGGTGTGAGGTTTTTTCAAATGAGCATAGTTTTTTCCAGCAACATTTGTTGACAAGATTGTCTTTTCCTCACTGAATTATATTGACAATATTGTAAAAAAAATGATTAAACATATATATGGGGTCTACTTTTCCACACTACTTGGTTCCATTGATTTCTATCTATACATTTTGATATGTTGTGATTTCATTTTTCTTCACTGCAGTATATTTTCCAAGTTTCATTGTGATATTTTTGACTCATCATATCTTTAGAAATATGTTGTTTAATTTCCTAATATTTGTAGATTTTTCAGATGTGCTTTTGTTATTGATATTTAACCTTATTGTGGTTAAAGAATATACTCTAGGTGATTTCAGTCTCTCTAGATTTACTGAGATTTATTTTATGGGCTAGCATATGGTCTGTTTATTTTAGTGGGTGGCTTGTTTATATGCCTTTGAGAAGAATGTGTGCTCTGCTGTTGTTTGTTATAGCGTAGTGTAATGTCAATTATGTTAAGTTGGCTAACAATGTTTAGCTATTCCATAGCCTTACAAATTTTGTGTATATTTAATTTTTTGTTACCAAGGGAAGAGTATTAATATCTGAAACTATCCACATTAGTTTTATCTATTTCTTCCCTCATTTCTGAATATTTTTGGCTTCACGTAGTTTGAAGATTTATTATGGGCATATACACAAATAGGATGTTACATCCTCTTGACAAATTAAGACTTTTTGTTATGAAATGTTCTTCTTTACTCTTGGTAATATTCCTCAATCTTAAGTACATCATTTAAAAATGTTATATAGCCAGTTCATCTTTATTTGATTAGTGTTTTTATAGTGTACCTCAAAAAATCCTTTTACTATTTAGCTACCCATGCCTTTATTTTTACATTGTGTCTCTTATAGACAGCATATAGTTGAGTATAGTGGATGCCGTGCTCTGTCACTCATATGCTCCTTCAGTAAAAGACTTCCAGCCCAAGCTTTTGAGAATGCTGTCAGCAGATAGGCTTTAGCTTTCAGTTTCTTCGTGAATTGCTTATGCTCCAGAGGGCTGCCTCATCATGTCTTCAGAAATTACATTTCTGGCTCCAGTTGATATATCAGAAAAGATAAGGCTAATCTGAGTTTTTTTGTTCGTTGTAGAAGACCCAT
The DNA here is from genome assembly GCF_000001405.40 of Homo sapiens. Taxonomy (NCBI): domain Eukaryota; kingdom Metazoa; phylum Chordata; class Mammalia; order Primates; family Hominidae; genus Homo; species Homo sapiens. The sequence continues at coordinate 8,765,717 of NC_000007.14, forward strand.
TTTTAAAAAATCACCTTTACACTTCACCTTTATTCTGATGCTTTCATTAAATTATATAGAAAATCAAATAATTATATGCAAATGTTTAAGAATGTTAAGAGACATTTAAGCTACTAAGTTTCCTTTTCTGTGTTAATCAATGAAATGTGGCCTTTGCCTGAGTTTCATGTCCTTTGGAGCTAGGAATGGATGATGTATGTTAATCTAGAAAGGATCATATCTTTTATAAAATAAACCAATTTTAACTTCTTTTGAAAGGATTGATTTAGATGAGACAGGATAAAAATAAAATGCCAGGACTGGTTGGCAAAATGAGTCGGTATATTCTCATCAGTAGCCTCAATGACAAATGCATTTATTTTATTTTTCTACCCTCTGCAAGTGTCCTACAGAAGTACTTATATAGCATATAAGAGTGATCAGTTTCCAATTTGATAACTAAATGGAAACCATAGAAACATTTATTGAATGCACGTTAGGTCCCAATTACTATCCTAGGCACTTTACACATTCTCTATTTCAATCCTGGAAGTAAACCTGTGAGAGCTATAGATGCAATCACTCATGTTTTATTGGTAGTGAAACTGAGATTCATAGAAGTTAAGAGAGTAGACATTGACAGTCTGATTCCAGACTGGGTGCTCCTTTTGTGCTTTCATTTTGGTCTTAATTTTTGGACATAATTAAACAGAAGTTTTGGTACTAATTTTTTAGTAGTCTGGGAAATATGCTAATATATCTCTGAGTATATATTTTATTTTTTGTTGGTAAAACTATATAAAGAAATTTAAGAACTCTAACATTTATTTATATTTGAAGATGATATGAATATTTCATTTCAGATAATGTACATTAAATATTTCACTCTGATGACCTAGATACATTAACATTGTACAGTAGCATTTGAATATTAACATTTAAAAATGCACTCACTTTTCAATTATACCCTTATTTTGAATTATGGGGTCATGATTAAATATTTAACCAAGAACTCAAAACAATGGCAGAGGTACATAGCTACAGTTTTGATTCGACATAGCTACAGTTGTGATTTGAGGGTTTCTCCCTCAAGGTGACTATTTGCTTCTAGCATCTGCCTAAATATGTAGATGCCTATATGCCTATAATATAGGCATATAAGCATGGATTAGTGTTGATTAATTTTTTTAGGGAACTTAAAAAAATCTTTTTACTATTAACTTATTTAAACCTTTATGTGAGAAAAGAAATTTGTCTATTCATAAGAAAAAGAATGTGCACATAGCATAGTGACATTAGTAGGGCATGATGTGTGAAATAATGTAGACATCTTTAATGCTGTGAAAACCAGGTAAACTATTATTTTTAGTAATTTTTAAATTTTGAGTGAATAAATTGCATAGGAAGACATATTTTAGAGAACATATTGATTTTCGTATAAAACCACTAGTTCATGATATACGACAGATTCAACTGGCAAGCCTAATGCATGGTTATAATTTCTTCTTAATATTCCATTTTTCAACCACTGCTTAGCTTTACCTTACCCAAAATATATTTGTCTTTTTCTGCGTGTTACTGATTTCTCACTCTGTTAGTATTACCAGTATTTGAGGAGATCAAATAATATTTTAAATATTAGGCTCATTATTGCAGTCAATTTTTTTTAAAAAATTACATAAAAAGCAATTATTGAGCCCCTACAATGCTCTAGACATCATAATAGGTGCTGAGAACACCAAACTAATTTTTTAAAAGAAATTCCACATTGTAGGAGGTAAAAACAATTTGTCTCATGAGAGATATAATTATATTATACCATATCATACCAACATGATATGATATAGAAGATAAATTGCTTTGGTGGCCCAGTTGAAGAAATAAAATATCTTGCCTGTAGATAGAATGAGGTGTATTATGGTTTAGATGCTCCTTCTAGTTTGAATGCAAGTAATTTATTTGAAAGGTAGATAAGTGAGACTAGGAAGGACAGCCAATAAAGGGGCTTTAATAATCATAGGTAAGCAAGGGTAATATTTATACATGGGATTGGACACAGAATAAAAATAAGCTGATAATTCTCTGAAAGCCATAACATTAACTGGGAAACTTAAATAAAGGATCTAAGCTTGATTATAAGATGAAGAACAAATAATTTGGGGGGGCCCAGACCGATGCTATTTCTTTTTTCTTTTTTGAGACAGAGTCTCACTCTGTCACCCAGGCTGGAGTGCAGTGGTATGATCTCAGCTTACTGCAACCTCTGCCTCCCGGGTTCAAGCAATTCTCTGCCTCAGCCTCCCGAGTAGCTGGGATTACAGGCGTGCGCCACCAAGCCTGGCTAATTTTTTTTTTGTATTTTTAGTAGAGACAGGGGTTCACCTTCTTGGCCAGGCTGGTCTTGAACTCCTGACCTTTTGATCCACCCACCTCAGCCTCCCAAAGTACTGGGATTACAGGCGTGAGCCACCACACCCAGCCAACTGATGCTATTTCTATAGAGAAAAATGATTGTATGAGCTCTTTGCTGACATATATTTTTCACAATTTTCTTAATTAGTCCAAAGCACCTTGAATGCTAAACTTGAAAATATAAGACCAGTGTGAAGCTAACATTTTCCACTAAGTATATCTCACCAGTGGGCATGTTCTGTGAAGAAAGTAGACAGTTTTGAGTGTTCTTTTTTCCTTAGGATTTGATAAGAATTTGTAACATAGATTGTTGGAGTTGAAAAGTGAGCCCTCAATAATAGCAACATTCTTTTCTATCCATTCTACACAATGTCACAAATAAAGAGTAAATTTGCAGGCCAAAATATCAACTTGCTTATTGATAGAGACTCTGTACGAGGATGTAATTTATTGTAAGAGCCAAATGGGTCTGAAATCCACACCCAAGGACTGGGCTGACTTACCCAACAGTTGGGGAAATATGCTTTTCATGTGGATCACCTTCCCATGGAAGATGGAGTAAGGTGAGAGGAATTTCTACTTTTGGGGGCCAGCTTGTTCTGGGTGGAGCTGAGTTTAACATGCACGGTTATCCTCCTCACATTTGTCAGATATACCACTGTGTTCCCGAGTGGCAGAGATAGTGAAGGAGTAGAGAGAGGCCAAGAGTGTGTGTAGAACAGATTCTCCTTCATAAAAATCAGAATTTGTGTTGGAGAGGTGGCAGGAGAGGGATATTTCCCCTTTTTAAGAGATTATGTAAAAAGATTAGAAAAAAACAGAAAAAATTGATTTAATATTTTTCCTGTTAGAAAAATTTGGGTTTGTTGTTGTTTAGGACAAAATGAGGAAAATTCATTATAACTACTCATAATGATAAAGATATAGAAAATTATAGCATCAGAGTATCCCTTAAATAAAAATTTTCTATTTGTTTAAAATCTGATTATTAACAGTTTGGGCATCACCTTTGTTCTAAACAATAAGTGTAAAGACCAGTTGTAATAACAAACTTAACTAAAATTTAACTTTGCTTCAAATTAGCTTTAACAGTATCACTATATGTTTTAATTTAATATAGCCTACATCATCTTCCAAATTTTTACTCTATAGAATATCTAAGCAGCGAGATGCTCACATTTGAAAAATGGCACAGTCACATTAGTTGGGAAAATATTGAGCTCGTAAAGCTTTGAAGGTCCCAGACTATGACTATGGGGTTTCTTAATTTGAATATAAATTGTGAATAACCTAGAATTTTAAAAACTTGACTACTGTCCTTTCTTTCACAGACTAATTAATAGGACCATTTTTTTTCTGTTTAAAATTCTTTAATGTGTGTTATTTTATTTTGTTCTCAAAGCTATCTTCTCAGGCTGGCATTAAAATCGGAATATGAGAGATGAAAAAACTGAGATGTTAAGCTACATCATGGGTTCAAGGCAGAGGACTAGAGAGCTCGAGTCAAACTGGAGTCTTCTGACTTCCATTCTGTCAGCCTTTCCATTGTGGTGTTTTTATTAAGTACAACGTAAAGTCTGTCTTCATAGAAGGTCAATGCAGTCAATTAAAAAGGGAAACAAAAAAAAAAACATAAGCATTTGATGTAATAATAATGAAAGGAAGCTGACATTATTCAAAATAAATTTTCTCTTACTGAATTGATGAGTAGTTTGGAGGAAGGCAAAAAGGATTGAATTACAGTGTTTTGTGCCAAAGGGTTTTTTTGACCCTGAACCCAGTTTATTTTTCTGACTTTGAGATAAGATGCTGAGGTGGCAATCAAGTTTTCTAGAAAAGGTCTAACATGATATGAACAGAAGAATTTCTCACTTTCTCATATTAGAAAACTTTCCTTTTCACTTGATATTTGAAGATGAAGGGCTCATTGATACATGTTTTCACTAACCCTTAGCTTAAAACTACTCTATAAAAGATTGTGAAGGAAATAAATATGAACCTAATCTTGATTTCTGAAAAGCTATTTCCTGTGAAACAAGAATGGGATAAATTGGTAATGCAACCTTTGTAAACATGATTTTATATTTTTTATGCTAAGGACTATACTCATAGGAGCTTCATCTTCTACTCATTTGCATGATATTTTATGGGTCAAACATCCTCTTCAGCTCAAGCGAGGCTAGTGAAACATTTAGTCTGGAGGAAATTTTTATTTTTGAATAAGCTTTGTGTATCAGCTTATGGTAAAGGATTCTACTGTTTTTGGTCTTTTCATTTTTTTTAAGAGTGTTTTTGTTCAGGATTGCTGTTTACTAGTAGTTGAAAATTGTATGGAAATGCATAGGATTTAGGTCTGTTTTTGAGATGATTTATGTGCAAGTAAATCCTGTAAACCATCACCCTAAAGCATATTCATGGCTTCAAATATCTCTCTGTTTCCATTGCTCTTCTGCAGGCAGGAAGCGTCTCATTTAGGATTCATGTCCTCTGGGAGGGAGAGAAAGTAGTTAGTATGCATTTTTTAGGATATTCTCTTAAAGATTGCTCCCATTATTAAAATGTTTTTTGAAACCAAAATACAGATAATTTTGTCAGCATTCAACTTTTTACTTTAGTTCACTGAGAAGGACAGTTCCTGCACTCTGAAATGTGTTGACTGGACTCCAGGATAAGCAGATATAAAACCAGATCAGTTTATGTTGAGAAATTGAATGTAGAATTGGAAAGCAGAAGGTTGTTGGGAAAGATGCTCTATACAGATTTACTTTTTAAGCTGTTTTGGTTTCACCTAGTGCAAATCATTTTACCTCTCCAGTCTCAGATTCCTAATCTGTGAAATAGATGTAATAATACACACCTCCGAGGGTTATAAGGATTAAGTAAGATGAAATTTATAAAGTAACGTAGCATGGAGCTTTATACATAGTGGATAGTCTATGAATTCTAGTTGCTATTATTGATTTATTATAAAATATCTTTTAACCTGAGAATCCAAATGAAATGTTAAAAATCACACCACACCACCACCACCACATTATTATTTATTTTAGGTTACTATAGAAGCAAGAAAAATAGGCTCCTGAAGGCCCTTGAGTCAAAGCTATTTTAATGACTTTGTTCTTTTCACTACCTATGTTGATTTGTATGTAAATATATCTTCATTCTAAACCAATAGTTCTTAACTATCTCAACCAACAGTTATCAAAGTTAAAAAAAAAAAAGAATACTCAGTCTCCTTTTCTGTGACACTTAAACCAGAATCTCAAGGTAGAGCCCGTGTATTTGTAGTTTTTAAGAGCTTTTCAAGTCAGATGCGGCCATTGATGAGAATATCTGGCCTACCATGCATCTAACCCCAAGACTGATGCATCATTTTTATAAATTGCAATAAGACAATCAAATTAGGTTAAGTATATTGGTTAAGGTAGGCATCTTAGGCTGTGATGCTTAATTACACTTCCTGAATCTTTTACTTTCTGGGTTATAGGCAGCATTAGAAACTTACAAGAAAGTCAAGTTTAGCGGAATCTGTGTAATAGGCTGCTGAGCAGTGAAAAAAAAAAGTAAGTAGATATGGGAATTTTATTTGGAGAAAAAATGAAAAATGCTAGGTTATTGATTATTGATAGGCCCTCCATTTTACCATTATTTTAAGAAGAAACCATGACTGACTCTTAATTAACACTCATCTCAGAAAATTTTTACAGTTGAGAATGCGCAAGATCTGGGACATTCATATGGCTGCTTTCTTGTACTATAAATCACCTGTCTAGAGGCTTGTTTAGGGCTTGGTTTATTTATACAGAATGAAAAAAGGAAGAGTTCCATTATAAGATCAATTTGGAATTGACTAGGCACCCAAATTCAATGATGCAGAATCAAAGTGTCCTGATGATGCAAAGCCAACTTTGCCTCTGAAGCCCTGGATTTAAGCAGTGTTTGTGATGCTAGATCATATTAACATCCCCCAGGCAGTTGGCAGTGGTAATGTTCACTTAGGGCATCAATCCTTATGCCCATGTTGGAGTTATAAATCTGGGCATTCAAAGGACTCTTGCAACAGTAATCATGTGGATAAGTGATTTTTTTTTTATTTCCATGTGGTTTAGATAGCTCTCATTTTGTATAAAACTAGTATATTCTTGATGACTAGAAGAATACATTTCTCTTTGTAAGTACATATATATTATAGCGAATGTATACACTGACACATCTAGACATCATGTGTAGATAGTATGTACCTCTTTGTTTCTAAAATATATATAATATATATTGCTACATTTCCCTATTCCTTCCTCGAAGAATGTACATGGTCAAAACTTTAGTAAACATATACTATGCTATAATGTATCTATGAACTGAGTAATGAAGCCACACTGACTATTTGCTTTGCCAGAATCTGTCCAGCAATTATTTTAATCCATAATTTTGGTCCAGTGAGAAATTGTTAGTACATACAGCAAGAATGTGACATCATCTAGGATAGTAGATAGATTGATATGTGGACTACCGGAAGTGAATGAGAAACGTACAAATGAAAATGTTTTCCAACATTGTAAAACACAGTATTTTTTATCAGAATATTTATGCGGTTTCTCTTATGTACAATGTGCTACGCTACTTAGAGAACACAGGTTTTTAGAAAATCTAAAATTATTAGTCTTCAGCTTTTAAAATGTCATATTTTGCTTTATAATTTTATATGCTGTAAGTAAAATATTTAATTGGTATATATGGTAGATTTTTGTGCCAGAGATTGTTCAAATAAACTTATGGAATTCTTTTTTTATTTATTTACTTATTTTCAACGTTTATTTCAGAGTCAGGAGGCACATGTGTTAAGTTTGTTACCTGGGTGTATTGTGTGATGCTGAGGTTTGGGGTATGAATTATCCTGTCACCTAGGTACTGAGCATAGTGCCAAACAGTTTTTCAACCTTGCCCGCTCCCTTCCTCCCCACCTTTTAGTAGTCCTCAGTGTCTATTCTGGCCATCTTTATGTTTACGAGCACCTGAAGTTTAGCTCCCCCTTGTAATTGAGAACATGTGATATTTTATTCTTTTGTTTCTGCATTAGTTTACTTAAGATAATGTCCTCCAGCTGCATCCGTGTTGCTCCAAAGGATATGATTTCATTCTTTTTATGGCTGTGTAGTATTCCATGGTGTATATGTACCATATTTTCTTTATGCGATCCATTGTTGATGGGTACCTAGGTTAATTTCATTCATTTGCTGTTGGGAATAGCGCTGTAATGAATAGGCAAGTGCATGTCTTTTTGGTAGAACAGTTTGTTTTCTTTTGGATATATACCCAGTAATGGGATAGCTGGGTCAAATGGTAGTTTCTGTTCTCAGCTCTTTGAGAAATCTCCAGACTCCTTGCTATAGTGGCTGAACTAATTTGTATTCCCACCCCAACAGTGTAAATATATTCCCTTTTCTCCACAGCCCAACCAACATCTGTTGTTTGTTGACTTTTTAGTAATAGCCATTCTGACTCATGTAATATGACATCTCATTGTGGTTTTGATTAGCATTTCTCTTATAATTAGCAATGATGAGCATTTTTTGATATATTTGTTGGCCACTTGTATATCTTCTTTTGAGAGTGTCTATTCATGGGTTTTGCCCATTTTTTAATGGAGTTAGTTCTTTTTTCCTTGTTCAATTGTTTAAGTTCCATATAGATTCTGGACATTAGGCATTTGTTGGATGCATAGTTTGTGGATATTTTCTCCCTTTCTGCAGGGTATCTGTTTACTCTGTTGATAGTTTCTTTTTCTGTGCAGAAGCTCTTTAAAGGTTCTACTTGTCAATTTTTGTTTTTATTGTAATAGTTTTTGAGGACTTAGTCATAAATTATTTCCTGAGGCCCATGTCTAGAATGGTGTTTCTGAGGTTTTCTTCTAGGATTTTTATAGCTTGAGGTCTTACATTTAAATCTTTAATCTATCTTGAGTTAATTTTCATATATGGTGAAAGGTAGGGGTCTTGTTTCATTTTTCTGCATATGTCTAGCCAGCTATCCTGAGCATCATTTATTGAATGGGGAGTTCTTTCTGCATTGCCTACTTTTGTTGACTTTGTTGAAGATTAGATGTCTGTAGGTGTGAGGCTTTATTTCTGGGTTCTCTAATCTGATCTATTGGCCTATGTGTCTGTTTTTGTACAAGTGCCATGGTGTTTTGGTTATTGTATCCTTATAGTATAGCTGGAAGTAGGGTAATGTGATGCTTCCAGCCTTGTTCTTTTTGCTCAGGGTTGCTTTGGCTATTCAGACTCCTTTTTGGTTCCATATGAATTTTAGAATAGTTTTTTTTTTTTTCTCTCATTCTGTGAAAAGTGACATTGGTAGTTTGATAGGAATAGCATTGATTCTGTAAATTGCTTTGGGCAGTATGGCCATTTTCATGATATTGATTCTTCTAATCCAAGAGCATGGAAAGTTTTTCCATTTTTTTGTGTACTCCATGATTTCTTTTAGCAGTGTTTTTAAATTCTCCTTGTAGAGATCTTTCACCTCCTTGGCTAGATGTATTCCTTGTTATTTAACTTTTCTGTGTGTGGCTATTGTAAATGGGACTGCATTCTTAATTTGGCTCTCACCTTGAATGTTATTGGTGTATAGAATTACTACTGACTGTTATATATTGATCTTGTATCCTGAAAGTTTGCTGAAGTCATTTATCAATTCCAGAATCCTTATGGCTGTCTTTAGAGTTTCCTAGGTATAGAAAAATATCATCTCTGAAGGGATATAGTTTGACTTCCTTTTTTTCTATTTGCATGCTTTTAAATTCTTTCTCTTGACTGATTGCTCTGGCTAGCAATTTCAGTAGTATGTTAAATAGGAGTTGTGAGGATGGGTGTTCTTGTCTTCCAGTTCTCAAGTGAAATTCTTCCAGTTTTTGCCCATTCAGTATGATGTTGGCTGTGGGTTTGTCGTAGATATATGTTCCTTCAATGCCTAGTTTATCGAGGGTTTTTATCATGAAGTGATGTTGGATTTTATCAAAAGCTCTTTCTGCATCTATTGAGATGATCATATGTTTTCTGTTTTTAGTTTATGTGGTTTTGTTCTGTTTTTGTGGTAAATCACATTCATTGATTTGCATATGTTGAACCAACCTCTCATCCCAAAAATGAAGCTAACTTGAACATGGTGAATTAATTTTTTGATGTTTTTGATGTCAAATTCAGTGTGCTAGTATTTTGTTGAGGGTTTTTGCATCTATATTCATCAGGAATATTGCTCGGTAGTTTTCATTTTTTGTTTTGTCTCTGGAAGGTTTTGGTATCAGGGTGATGCTGGCTTCACAGGATGAGTTGGGGAGTAGTCTTTCCTCATCAATTCTTTGAAACAGTTTCAGTTAAACTGCACTAGCCCTTCTTTGTATGGCTAGTAGAATTTGGCTGTGAGTCCATCTGGTCTGGGGTCTTGGTTTTCTTTTTTCTTTTTTTTTTTTTTTTTTTTTTGATTGTTAGGTTTTCTTTTATTACTGATTTAATTCAGAACTTGATATTTGTATATTTAGTATTTTAATTTTTTATTTGATCTTGGGAGATTCTATGTTTCCAGGAATTATTTATTTACTCCCTATTTTTTAGTTTGTATGTATACAGGTGTTCATTTTCATAATAGTCTCCAAAAATCATTTGTATTTCTGTGGGATCATTTGTAATGTCACTTTTGCCATTTCTGATTGTGCTGATATAGATCTCCTTTTCTTTGTTAATCTAGTAGCCATCTATTGATCTTGTTTATCGTTATAAGAGACCAACTTTTGGTTTCATTAATTCTTTGTATGGATTTTTGGGTCTTAATTTCATTCAGTTCCACTCTGAGTTTAGTTATTTATTTTCTTCTGTTAGCTTTGGAGTTAGTATGTTCTTGCTTTTCTAGTTCCTCTAGGTGTGATGTTAGATCATTAATTTGAGAACTTCTACCATTTTGAGGCAGGTATTTAGTGCTATAAACTTTTCTCCTAATACTGCTTGTTTTGTGTCAAGATATTTTGGTGTGTTGTGTCTCTATTTTCATTTATTTCAAATAATTTTTGATTGCTTTCTTGATTTGTTTGCCCGAAAGTTATTCCACAAGTGGCTTCATTTCCATGTAATTGTGTGGTTTTGAGAGATCTTCTTTGTATTGATTTCTGTTTTTATTCCACTGAGGTCTGAGAGTATGATTGGTGTTATTTGGATTCTTTTAAATTTATTGAGACTTGCTTTATGACAGAGCATGTGGTTGATCTTGGAGTATGTTTCATGTGCACCAGAGAAGAATGTATATTCTGTGGTTGATAGATGGAGAACTCTGTAGATGGCTATTAGTTTAAGTGTCAAGTGTCAAGTTTAAGTCCAGAATTTTGTTGTTAATTTTCTGCCTTGATGGTCTGTCTAATGCTGTCAGTATGACGTTGAAGTTCCCCGCTACATTGTGTGGCTTTCTAAGTCTTTTCAGAAGTCTAGAAGTACTTGTTTTAGGAATCTGGGTGCTTCTATGTAGAATGTGTATATACTTAGTATAGTTAAGTCATCTTGTTGAATTGAACCTTTATCATTATGTAATGTCATTCTTTATCCTTTTTTTTACTATTGTTGGTTTAAAGTCTGTTTAATTTGATATAAGGTTAGTGACCCCTGCTTTTTTTGTTTTTCATTTGCATAAAACACAGGATTAAAATACCTTCTAATCTTGGATTGACAATCTACCTTGAACTAAAAGATATGTACACCACCTGATTTCCTCTTTCCTTATTCTTTATATCTGACTAAGCCATTTCCTTTGACATATTGTTTTATATTTTTGGATCCCTTACTGTTTATGTGACTTCACTTCACTAGACTGCCCACTCTTCTGATGTTTTACCACAATCCAGTAGAATCTACTGTAATATTGAGAAGATATTTTAGATGCTCAGTTTCAACTAAACCAATTATGCCATCTAATATTGCTCTAGTTAAATTGTAGTTACCTTGCTCTTAATTTCAATTATTATTATTATTTTGAGACAGAGTCTCACTCTGTCACCCAGACTGGAGTGCAGTGGTGCTATCTTGGCTCATGGCAACATCCACTTCCCAGGTTTAAGAGATTCTCCTGCCTCAGCCTCTTGAGTAGCTGGGATTACAGGTGCATGCCACCATGCCCAGGTAATTTTTGTATTTTTAATGGAGACGGGGTTTCACCATGTTGGCCAGGCTGGTCTCCAACTCCTGACCTCAGGTGATCTGCCTGGCTCAGCTTCCTGAAGTGCTGGGATTATAGGCATGAGCCACAGCACCTGGCTTTTAATTTCTTTAAAAAGTAAGACCTTTTTTTTTTAAAAAAAATTAAAGTATATGTGCTTATATATAATTGTATCCTAAAGATATTAAATATATTTCATTCATTTCAAAGATATATTCACATTAATAGAATGGATTGTATTAAACAGTGAGATTTTGTCCAAGAAGATTGACAGCTTAGTTTTGTTATACGAAATTTTTGGAATTTTTTTCATAAACATTTATGAATAATGTTTAAAAAACTTGGAAGAAAAGTAATACACATGGCAACTTTCCTCTTTCCTTAATGACTTTCAAAACAAAAGAAAATGCTTATAAAAGGAAACACTTGTGGCCTAATTTTATTTTTTAAAATTAAATTCTTATTACTTAAAAAAATTGGTATTATCTCATGAAAAGTCAGTAAGAGTCAGACAATCTAAGTATTTTTGTACATTTGTTTGTTTTTAATTCTAAATTATTTCCTAAAATGCTCATAGAGGGGTATTAATAAATGTTAATTAAATTGCTATAATTTTTACCTACTTTATTCATCATTGTCATCTGTTGCTGCTCTTGCAGCAGAATAAGGAAATTGGTATAAACCATTCGAAGTTCAGAAGTCCGTCTTGAATGCCTTTTAAAATGTTCATAATTCATCTAATAATTTATCTTCCAGTTATGATCAAAATTATATACAAATATTTGTTTACAGGACCTTTATTACACCCTTTAACATACAAAAAGATCATGCAAAATAAAAAAAATGCCCACTAACAGAATTGTTAAATAAATTGTAGTATATCTATGCTGTGGCATAGTATATGCTTTTTAAATTCATATTTTCGAAGGCTATTAAATGGCATGCAAAAGTCTTGTAATATAATCTGAAACATTCACTATTGCAGGCTCTTTGTATAACGTGATTCTGGTTGTTGTGATTTGGTGATTTAAGCACTGTGCTTATGGCATTGTGTGTTTCAATACATTCAGAAGGAAATACATCAAATATTAAAAGAGATCATTGCTGGCTTGTGTTACTAAAAGTAATTAAAAATTTGTTATACTTTTCTATATATTTTCCATTTTTACTGTAAATATGTATTATATTTTTGTTTGAAAGATGTTACAGAAAGAAAACTGTGGCGCTCAGTAAAGATAACAATGGACCCCAAAAGATCATCATTTCAAAGCACAATTTTTTGTTAGTCTCTGGAGGAATACAGCCTGTCAGTTAACGACTCCATAACTGAGAGACCATATCATCCCAGTCAAACAGAGGATGATGAAAGATACTCAGAAACCTCCACTGAGCTTATGCCAAACACAAAGGCTTTGTGTCAGCTCTGTTATGCTCAAGTTTAACAGCCTTGGTGGCAGCAAATATTTGGTTCATATAAAACAAGAATAAAGCTGATGTAGTAAAGTTTTAAACATCATAATGTGAAAAATAAGATAACCCTTTTGGGAGCAATTGGCAATAATATCAAGAGCTTTAAAAAATGCTTATATTTCTGGGCTAATTTAACATCTGAGGGTAAGTCCTAAGGAAATAATTTCAAATATTGAGCAAATTTTAGGTACGAATATGTTTAGACATTTTTTAAATGACAAAATATTAGGTGCTAAATATCTATTAGAAGAATAAATATAGGATATTTACTTGATAAACTGTTGTGGAGATATTAAAAATAAAATATTGAAAATTCTTAAAATATGTGTGGTGAACAAGCAGGATGTATCAATGAATCTACAGAAAGGATTTTAATAAGTTTGCATAAAGGGGCAATGGACAGAAAAAAGAATGAAATGAAATATGCCAAAATGATCAGTGTGGTTCTGTTCGGTGGTAGACCAATAGAGTTATTTGTTCCTTTATTTTTCTCTATATGCCTAATTTTCTTTTCTGACCATTCTTTCATAAGACAAAATAAACGTGACTAAAAAAAGACGGTGTTGGAAAATTTTTGTCTGTATAATTTTAAAATAAAAATGGGACACTTAAAGTAAGCTCTCAAATGGTCTATACCACCTTGACTATAACTCAGTTATTTTACTGGCTCCCCATCCATCAGTATCAAGGCAGATAGAGATCTGTCTCTAAAAAAGCCTCCATCTTTCAGAAGTCCACACCTGAATTTCACCCAAGAACCCTGAATCACCATTTGTCTGGGGGTGCTATGGACAGTGGTATGAGGAGGGATTGAAATAAAACTCTACTGAACAATAAAAAATTGTGTTTGAAAATAAGTTTTATTGATAATTTTTCACTAAATTCTCACATGCAGGTATGGGGAAAAATCACCCCCATCCTTATATTAGAATCTCTGCATAAGAAGTACCAAGATGGGAAAGAGTGACCTGATGGGAACGTAGGGTTCTGCGAAGACAATGTGCAATTGCACTTTCCTTGTAGTGGGAAAGCCAAAGGAATTGTGAGAGCTGAGATAGAGAGTATTCAATTATTGTTTGTTTACTTTGCTGTGTAGTAAACCTCATCTATTTACTCAAATCTCCAGTAAAAGTCAGTTACAGACATAGCGTTATACCAGTGGCTGTTTTGGGGAATGAAAAAATCAGTATTCCTTGCAGTGGGAAGTGATTCAGGGAAGGAAAGGGACAACATATTTAGGTAGCAAGACAAACTGAGCTAAATAAGAGAAAAGAACTTGAAGCCAGTAATGACTAGGAGAGATGCAAGCCCCCAAGAATTTAAGGAGAGATTGGGAGAGATGTTTCCTCCCATTTGGTTGACAAAGCTAGTTTTATTTGTATTTCAAAGGGCAAGATGATGCCAGGTGGCATTAATTTATGGTTGAAAAAGGCAGAATTTTTTATATGAACTCGGGAACTCAATAATGAATCCAGTGATGTTGCATAAAATCAGAATTACCAAGCTCCTTTGCCTTTGTCAATTTTTTCTTTTGCTTCTAACAGTTGGAAGAGGGTTCTAACATCTCAGATATAAGACAATTTATTTTCTAAAGTTAATTCATTCACCTAAAAATATGTATACTGTCTACTATATGCCAGGCATTGTTACAGGCACTGGTGATACATTGACTAGTAAACATACTAAATGCCCTACCTTCATAAGACTTATATTACTCTAAAATTAAAACCTCAAATTGAAAAAGTTAACACTGAAATATAAATAGAGAAATATAAATATAAATGGACAAATTCATTACATTTAAGCACCCATTCAACTGCATCCTAGAAGAATAGTCATTTTTTGGTAACATTACAGATCTTTTACTAGGTCCAGAAAGATAAGAACAATGTATTTATGTAGCTTAGAGGTATGTTGGATCCTTGCTACATTAATACTGAGAGTTTTAGACTTTTAGGGCCAAAATACAGCCCTATACATCCTTCTAGCCCAGTTAATCTGCAGAGTGACTGGATTGAGAATAGTTATCTAGCAAGAATTTATTCCACTGTCTGGCTTTAAAAAATGGAAATGGATGTGGGTAATAAATGAGCTGTGGAGTTAATGTGCTATGCTTTGAATATTTGTGTCCCCAGTAAAGTTCACCTGTTGAAGTCCTAATCCCCCAGGTAATAGTATTAGAAGGTAGGCCTTTGGGAGGTGATATAGTTTAGGAGGACTACTTAATGGATTGGTGACCTTAGAAAAGAGGCCCGAGAGAGACCTCTCAGCTCTTCCACTATATAAAGACAAAAATAAGACACCAACTATGAACTAGGAAACAGGCCATTGCCAGACATCAAACCTATTGGCACCTTGATCTTGGACTTTCCAGGCTCTAGGACTGTCAGAAATAAACTTAGTTTGTTATACACTGTCCAGTTTATCATACCTTGTTATTTTAACTGAAATGGAAGAAGAGAGCACAAATGCTTGTTAAAATGAACCTCATGAAAATTTGAGATTTTTCCTTCAACATTACTGATTTTATTTATTCCTAAGCCAAAATGGCCAGACCATATGGTTAGAAGACTCTTGACATCATGCTGAGGGTTGGCACTCCCTGAATCACTGCAGTGTACTTCAATAGCAACTGAAGTGAAACAAACATCACAAAAGCACACAGGCAAAATCCAGCAAAATACCATAGGAATTGTCCTTTGTTATTACCATTTGGTCACAAATACTTAAATGTGGCTTTTATTAGGGACATGCTGTAGAACAGTAGTTTCTTGTGATACTTGTGGAAAAAGGATTCAATGGTCAAATGAATTTCATAAACGATTTATTTCCTGGAGGTTCTCAAAACCTAGTCAATCTAATAAAGTCCCTAAGACATCCAACGTAAAGAAATCCCTTGGCCTTTGTTTACTCAAAGTTTTTCTAAAGTTTTTTTTTTTGAAAATGAACTAAGTTTTTATATTTTGGTTTTTTTGGTTTCTAGAAACATCTATTATCATCCCACAAATGTACTTTAAAAATGTTACTGTAATGTGTTTTAAATTTTAAATTTTGAGTGAAAATATAATTACATTAAGAAGAGAATTTACTTGAAGTTCATGAATGGTGCATTTAATCATATTTGGTAGGCATCAATAAACCTGAAAAATATTTTTGAAGTCTTTATGAATAGTTTTTTTTCACTGAACGTCTAAACAATTTTAAAATAGCAAATAGTTTCCTAGGCCATACATAGATGATGGCAATTTGTTGCACAAATTTGCACCGGTAGATAATCGGATTTTTATCACTCATTTCAAGCTGATTATGCTCTTCGAAGATGTTCTGCTTTTCCTCGACTTTGCATCCAAGGCACACATTAGCTGGGCAATTGCTTGCAGTTTTTGTTTTTCATTCTCTAGCTTTTAATGCCATTTGAAGATCCAAAAACGTTCAAGAAGCAGCAAAGCAAGAAAGTACTATCCTGCTAGCTAAAAGAAAATAAAACCATTTTCAAGGTATGTTTACTCCTCCAATTTCATGGATGCTAAAATCCACGAATGGGCTCCATCTCAAGGCCATCTTGAGCAGAATCACACTGCTTTGCATCTAATGTTAGATTCCTCCACCTAGGAGTATTTTTCCTGGGAGAGTATTTCTTATTAAAGATGAGCAGCAGCATTTCCCAAGATGAGCAAAACTTTGTAATGGCTTGGTTTTTAGACATCTGATGGGATATGCTAATGCAACCAAAAGTGCCTCTGTGAAAGAATAACAGCATCCTATGAGCAAAATAAAACCTTGCTATGCCTTTTTACTTTTGCTGTTAATTAAAATTATCAGGCTAATGAATAGAATTCCTGTCCTGTATATAATTGTTATCTTTCCTTGTTAAAATATCACTAAACACTTAAACACTATTTATATTTCATTTGTGAAGAGAGACCACTTATTCTAAAGCTCAGATAAGTGACTGGATTGTAAAGGAAATTAATGTCAGGACTCTGAGCCTAAGCTAAGCCTGATCATCTCCCCTGTGACCTGCACATACACATCCAGATGGCTGGTTCCTGCCTTAACTGATGACGCTGTC
The DNA here is from genome assembly GCF_000001405.40 of Homo sapiens. Classification (NCBI taxonomy): domain Eukaryota; kingdom Metazoa; phylum Chordata; class Mammalia; order Primates; family Hominidae; genus Homo; species Homo sapiens. The sequence goes on from NC_000007.14 coordinate 8,782,845, forward strand.
TTGTGAAATTCCTTCTCCTGACTCATCCTGGCTCAAAAGCTCCCCCACTGAGTACCTTGTGACCCCCACTCCTGCCCACCAGAGAACAACCCCCCTTTTTCCTTTACCTACCCAAATCCTATAAAACGGTCCCACCCCATCTCCCTTCGCTGACTCTTTTTGGACTCAGCCCACCTGCACCCAGGTGATTAAAAGCTTTATTGCTCACACAAAGCCTGTTTGGTGGTCTCTTCACAAGGATGCGCGTGAAAATTAACATCAATAATATGCTTTGGTATCTTTAAAATTAATTCAATAAAAGAAGTTAGCTTCAAAGTAATATCCAACCAGCTTTTAGTTAAGTTATAATCCTATTAAATAGAAGACTTAAACTGAACTTCTTAGAGGTATCAGCTATCAAAATCAAGTAGAAATTAGTTAAATAAATAGCTATTAAATTGACATATATTACTCATATTATGGGTTATGCACTCTGATAGATGTTAGGGAGATAGACAGCACAGTCATGGTCCCTTTCTTAAAGAGGTTACATTAGAGTAGAGAAAAACGTGCAACAGATATGCAATCATGCCATGCTCAGTGTTAGAGAGTAGGGAGGAAGTGGCAATTCACGAATGCTTCCAGAGGAAGTGAATCTGAATTGAGCTTTTATAAGTGACTGATAGTTAGACTTGGTGAGCTGAGGGGATTAGACATTCCAGGTAGAATGCACAGTATTTGCAATGGTACAGGGTGAAAAGGAGCTTGCTGAGTTCTGACATCTGGGATTAGTTAGAATAAAGTCAGAGTTAGTTTAGTTATATGCCGTGCTAAGGAGTTTATATTTTATCCTGTAGTCAATGAGGGTCATTGACACATCTTACTCAGGGATTTCAGAGATCAGACCTTATTCAAGCACATATTTATGATTATGATGGGCAGCATTCAAAATATCAGATTGTAGTGGTGGTGGTGTCGTGTGCATGTGTGTGCGAGAGAGGAGAGAGACCAAGAACTCAGCTATGGAAAGATTTATAGGGCTCAGTTGTTTAGCAGTGGTGGTGGCAGAGAGTGGCGGTTGGGGTGTGAAGGGCACCCTACACTGCTGGCAGGTCAAAGTAAAATTCCTTTTTGTGATTAGGAATAATTCACCATATGGAGCCAAAGGTAAGAGTTCTTCTCTTGTTCAAGGAAATAGTGATTTTTCTTCTGATGAAACCAGAAGGGGAATACTTCTGGGTTTCAGGTTTTAGGCTGGATGGTAAAGATGTCTCTTTTCCTGATCCTGTGACTCTGTCTTCCTTAATAAGATTAATTTACTTCATCAATCTTTTATCTCCTTTATGTCTGAAAGAAATTTTTTCATAATGTAAAGTACAATTTTCCAAAGTAAAAGCTACAGCTGATTATAAAATCCAAACTAAATCTGCATTGTGCTGAGAGTGTATCAGCTTCATCAAATGCTCAGACATTTATCCACAATTCAACCTTCATAGAGCTATCAGTTTCTTTCCTTTTAAAACAAGTTTGTGAATTATATATATATATTTTGTATATATATTTATTTATATATGTAAAATCTTTAGTGACCCTTCATTTCATATATGATGCAACATCATTTCCTGACATGTGAGAGTAGTTTATTTTTCAAAAATAATTAACACTATTTGAGCCCCAACTTTTCTTAGTACCTGCCATGATTTTTTTAATACAAAGGGTCCTTTAGAGATAAGCAAATTAACCCAGTCTACTAAGTTAAGAGTAAAGGAGATTGAGTGTGTGTGTGTGTGTTTTCTTCTTTTGGAAAGGTAAGGAGCCGGTCATTAAATTCAAGGGTAGGAAGATAGGCTAGGCATTATAAAGCTACAAGAATCAGGAATTGAAAAGTCTTTGTGCTTTTTCTTTCTCCAGGTCTGCCCTGCTATAATCTCTTAACCCTATTCCTCTCTATATGCCTGTTTTAATTCTCTTCTGTAAAGTCTGGTTCTGTTTAGATATAAACTGAAGGTCTTAGTCACAGATTTATACAAGCTTTCCAGTAAAGACCACAAATAACAATCCTACTACTGGCTAGCTACTTACAGGGAAAGAAGACATTATATAAAATAGATACTTGAACATGTATGTTTGTTGCATCACAATTCACAATTGCAAAGATACAGAATCAGCGTTAAGTGTCCATCAACTGATAAGTGAATAAAGAAAATGTGGTATCTATATACCATGGAATACTATCCAGCCATTAAAAATAAAAAAGTAAGTATTTTGCAGTAACTTGGATGAGACTGAAGGCTATTACTCTAAGTGAAGTAACTCAGAAGCAAAAAACCAAATACCACATATTCTCACTTATAAATGGGAGCTAAGCTATGGGTGTGCAAAGGCATTCAGAGTGGTATAATGGATATTGGAGACTCAGAAGGGGGAAGATGAGAGGCAGATGATGAAAAACCACCTAGTGGGTAAAATGTGTACTATTCAGGTGCTGGGTACACTGAAACTCCAGACTTCACCACTACACAATTCATCCATGTTACCAAAAACCTCTTGTACCCCTAAAGCAATTAAAGTGTAAAAAATAAAATTAAAAAAGAAAAAAAAAGCAAATACCTAATGGCTCCAACACAATTCCAAAATGACAGGAAAGAAATCCTAATTGGCTCATCTTAGGCCACATATTAGCCCATTTCAGTGGGTTAAAAGCAGGGGGCTAGGTAGCTTGGGCCAGTGCCCACTCGCTGGGGATGTAGAGAGGAATAGAGAGATGCTCCAAGGAGGAAATCTGGGGGCAGGAAGAAAAAATTGGCACTCTGAATCACCAGCTGAGCCATATTCCTGAATCTGCTGCTACTCTCCCACTTCTTTTCCTCAGAGCATCTCACAAATTTCAACTTAACCTAAGTTCTAACTCTTTAATTTAGATGCTAATGAGCAGTGAAATGACCCAACTATGGACATGAATAAAGAAAAGGTAGAATGAAGGTCTAAGGGGAAACTCATGAAAAAGATAATGAAACCTTGAATAATCTAGCATTACCTGGCATACGTGTGACCTACTGTCTGTGGGGCAAGAGGACTCACTTGTCTTCCTAAACTAGTGGTATGGTTACAAGGACCTGAATTTTCTCCTGCCAATGTAGCACAAGCTGAATTAGTTCTATGAATCTTTCCTGGAAACTGCTTGGTACTTAACCTCTCCTCACCTTCTGCTAGCAATTCTGAAGTGGGTATTTGTCTTGTTTCTATTTGTGCTGTTTTAGTCCTCTCTTTTCAGAAACTGCACCCTTAGTACATTACTTTGCTTCCTTAATAATGAGAATATCAATGTCCCTAGAAGCAAAACACGTAAATTTAACCCTTCTTGCCTTTTTTGTGTGGAAAAAAAGCTTTCTGGAGTTTTTTTCTCCACTTTAGTGTGTGTGTAAGGATGAGCGTTGATAGTTGCAGGAACATATTGTCTTCCCTGTGGGTGATCCAGGATTATAACTAGGGGCGAAGGATAATGGTCTTCTTGTCCACACGGCTTCTAGCTTTGGGTGAAGTAGCAGTAGAGCTGATGGGAAGGCACTACCATTCTGATGTTGGAGTAATGGCTCAGCAATGGAAATATTCAAACTAGCTTTCAAAGGATTTATATAATTATGGTTTGACATATGGCCTCATCTCAGGAGCTATCTTCCCTAAATGATGCCCCCTCCGTTGAACATCTGTTTTGGTTTGAAACTGGCAGAAAAATAAAAAAACACCAAAAATTTAAAAAAAGACCATTTACAAAATTAAACCTATGTTTTTTCAAGCCCTTGATGCCAAGGTTTCCACAGAGGTATGACTAAAGCACAGATGAATACCAGAATAAGGCTCAGTGGCCCATTCCCTTTGAACTAAAACAGTTTCATAATCTTGAGTGATTTATAATCTATATGGAAGGTGGACCATTATCTTTCACATGTCAATTCATTGACTTCCTTATTTCCAATGACTTCCTTTTCCTCTTCACCTTAACAACCTACTTTCTTCTTCATGCCTTGCCCCTATAAGTGCCCCATCCTGTAACTGCTAATTCAAGGATCTAACTTCCTGACCCAATTCTCCTCTATTTTCAGCATACTTGTTCAGTAGTTCTCATTATGCCCATCCATAGATCTTTTTGGCTCCTCCTATTCTGCCAACTCATTTTCCAGTTCATCATGTTTCCCTTCTATTCGCAACCCTTATATTCAGTTTAAACTTTAAGTTATATTACATCAATAAAGTCACTATTATCATAAATTCCTTTTCACTTTCTTTTTGTCACATCTCTATGGCAGAATCCCATTCCTAGATGAAGCCAACTGTCTGCTTTACTTGTACTGGTGCCCAGGTAGCACAAAGGTCTTTGAGAAAATATTATAATATAACATACTTTTTCTTCTAAAAATCATAACATGACTTCAGACAAACTCTTAGTATTGTTGGCAATCATGGTTCGTACCTCTGGGCAATCTTCCCACTATGCACATTGATATTTCAAAGTTTCTATACTCTTCTCAGATGTCTAATATATACATTCCCACTCAATTCCTCAATGTCAGCGTATTATCTTATTTTCTATTTATAGAGGGAAAAAAAGAGAAATAGACAAAAGAATAACCAATTCCCAAATGTCGCTGTACTTCTACCCATCGTCCTCTCCCTCTTACAGTGGAAGAACTGGTCCTTCATGTCCTCCTGGCCAAGACTAAAGTGACTCCATCTGTTTTCTCAGAAACTGTAGGCTATTGCTTGTCTTCTTACCTTTTCCTTTTAATTACATCCAATACCCCCATCTACTGGACTATTTGCAGTGACAATTGAGCATGTTCAAATCACTTCTACCAAAACAAAACCAAAAAACAACAGCAAATAACTTTTGTAGCACATTTCTCAAAGAAATTGTCCATGCTCAATTAGTATTTGAATAAACAAAGACATTATTTGAAAATATTTGGCTTATCAAAATATTTCATTTTGAGAAGGACTTTCACTGCGTAAAAGCTTTAAATCTAAATGTATATTTATTGAATTTCTACTGTATTGAGTATTAGGGAGATAGTATATACAGGAGAGTTCTCTCTATTTATCGATGGGCTTACTGTCTAGTAGGGAAGACTGGCAAGTAAACATTAACAACACAACTTTATTTATGCTATATAAATGTATATGTATGGACTATGGAAGCATACACAAAAGCAACTGAAAATTTAAAATGAAAATACAACATAATTTTTACTGAGGTAGGGTAAAATTAAGACAAATGTGCTTTTAACTTAAAATGAGAAATGTTCTCCTTTTAAACTTTTATCTTAGGTTCAGGAGTACATGTGCAGGTTTGTTATATGGGTAAATTGCATGTCATGAGGGTTTGGTGTACAGATTAGTTCATCACCCAGGTAATAAGCATAATACCCAATAGGCAGTTTTCCTATTCTTCTCCCTTCTTCCATCCTCCACCCTCAAGTAGGACCTGGTGTCTCTTGTTTCCTCCTTTGTGTGCATGTGTTTTCAGTGTTTAGCTCCCACTTATAGGTAAGAACATGGAGTATTTAGTTTTCTGTTCCTGCATTAGTTCCCTTAGAAAAATGGCCTCCAGCTCCATTCATGTTGCTGCAGAGGACAAGATCTTGTACTTTAGCATGGCTGCATAGTATTCCATAGTGTATATATACCACATTTTCTTTTTCTAGTCTACCATTGGTGGGCACTTAGGTTGATTCCACATCTTTGCTATGATGAATAGTGCTGCCATGAACATATGCATGCAAATGTCTTTATGGTAGACCCATTTCTATTATTTTGAGTATATACCCAATAATGAGATTGCTGAGTTGATGGGTAGTTCTATTTTTAGTTCAAGAACTCTCCAAACTACTTTCCACAGGGGCTGAACAAATTTATATTCCCACCAACAATGTAGAAGCATTTTCTTTCCTCTGCAGCCTTGCCAATATCTGTTATTTTAAAACTTTTTAATAATATCCATTCTGACTGGTATGAGATGGTATCTCATTGTGATTTTGATTTGCATTTCTCTGATGATTAGTGAGGTTGAGTATTTTTTCATATATTTGTTGGCTGCTTGTATGTCTTCTTTTGAGAAGTTTATGTTCTTTACCTGCTTTTTAATGGGGCTATTTGTTTTTTTATTCTTGTTGATTTGTTTATTTTCCTTGTGGATTCCAGATGTTACTCCTTTTGTCAGGTGCATAGTTTGTAAATATTTTCTCCCATTCCGTAGGTTGTCTGTTCATAGTTTCTTTTGCTGTTCAGAAGGTCTTTAGTTTAATTCCACCCTGATTGTCAATTTTTATTTTTGTTGAATTTCCTTTTGAGGACTTAGTCATACATTATTTCCCTACACCAATGACCAGAAGAATATTTCCCAGGTTTTTTCTAGGATTTTTATAGTTTTTGTTTATAAATTTAATTCTTCAACTAATTTTGAGTTCTTTTTTGTATATGGTGAGAGGTTGGGGTCCAGTTTCATTCTTCATAACCATACCTCATATGGTTAGCCAATGAGGAATCCTTTTCCTATTGCTTATTCTTGTTTACTCTGTCAAAGATCAGTTGGTTGTACATGTGTGGCTTTATTTCTGGGTTGTCTATTCTGTTCTATTGTCTATGTGTCCATTTTTGTATCAGTACCATGCTGTGTTGGTTACTGTAGCCTTATAGTATTTTAAAGTCTTGTAATGTGATGCCTTCACCTTTGTTCTTTTTTCTTAGGATTTCCTTGGCCATTTTGGCTCTATTTTAGTTCTATATGAATGTTAGAATAGTTTTTACTAATTACTTGAAGAATATCTTTGGTAGTTTGGTAGGAATAGCATTGATTCTATAAATTGCTTTGGATAGTATGGTCATTTTAACATTATTGATTCTTTCTACCCATAAGCATGGAATGTTTTTGCATTTGTTTGTGTCATCTCTGATTTATTTGAGCAGTGTTTTATAATACTTGTTATAGAGATATTTTACCTCTCTGGTTAGTGATATTCCTACTAGGTATCTTATTCTTTTCTTGGTATTGTGAATAGGATTACATTCTCATTGTGTATAGGATTTTGTGAATGGGCTATTGTGACTAGGATTTGGGTCTCAATTTGTACTTTGTTGGTGCATAGAAATGCTACTGATATTCTTACATTGATTTTGTATACTGAAGCTTTGCTGAAGTTGTTTTTCAGATCTAGGAGCTTTTCGGCAGAGACTATGGGGTTTTCTAGGTATAGAATCATATCGTCTGCAAACAGATAGTTTGACTTCTTCACTTTTTATTTGGATGCCTTTTCTTTCTTTCTCTTACCTGATTGCTCTGGCTAGGACTTCCAGTACTATGTTGAATAGGAGAGGTGAGAGTGGGCATCATTTTCTTGTACCATTTCCCAAGGGGAATACTTCAAGCCTTCGCCCATTCAGTATGATGTTGGCTTTGGATTTGTCATAGATGGCTGTTATTGTTTTAAGGTATATTACTTCAATGCCCAGTTTATAGGTAGTTTTTAATATTAAGGGATGTTAAAATTTTTCAAAAGTCTTTTCTGTGTCTATTGAGATGATCATGTGGTTTTTGCTTAAGTGATGAATCACATTTATTGATTTGTGTATGTTGAACCAACCTTGCATCTCAGGAATAAAGCCAACTTGGTAGATTAGCTTTTTGTTGTGCTGTTGGATTTGGTTTGGTATATTTTGTTGAAGATTTTTTTGCATCTATGTTCATCAAGGATGTTGGCCTGAAGTGATCTTTCTGTGGGTGTCTCTGCCAGGTTTTGGTATCAGGATGATGCTGGATTAATAGAATGAGTTAGGGAGGAGTACTTCCTCCCTAAGAGAATAGTTTTTAAGAATAGTTTCAGTAGAAATGGTACCAGCTCTTCTTTTTACATCTGACAGAGTTTGACTGTTGTATTGGAACTGTAGCATAGTGTGTATTTATGTCTACAAATTTTATATAAATTTTGCGAGGTCATTTTAGTCAAGACTTGCACAAGTATTTATTAAAATTTATTATAAATTAATGAATAATAGATTTTAATACTTGTGCAAGTCCCGACTCAAATTAAAGGATCTTAGATTTTACTCTAAAATCTTCTAATTACCCATCAAATCTTTCCAATATTTAAATTCGGTCTATTTTTTTCAAGTGACCACTCTTTCTTTCTTCTATAATGAGTTCCTGGTGTTGACTTACAGTTCATAATGTTTTTGTTTCAGTTTACCAACTCTGGGAAACTCTCTGTATCAGAATAAATCTCCCAGAAAGAACACTTAGCAACATTATATTTTAAAAAATCATCTGTTTGAAGCCACACGAGAATTGATGACATGAATACCCAATACGTGGGTAAAGTAAAATAAATACTAAAATATTAAAATAACAGTGATATATTGTGGAATTTATGCATGCATAGACATGGATATATGTGTGTGTGTGTGTGTGTGAGAGAGAGAGAGAGAGAGAAAGAGAAAGAGAGAGGAGAGAGAGAGAGAGAGAGAGAAGCAGTAATATTTAAACCCTAAGTTATAATTACATGAAATGTAAATGGACTAAATACTCAAATTGAAAGAAAAATATTGCCAGAGTAAACAAAAAATTAAAATCATTTCTATATTACTTACAAACGGGGCAGCTTAATTATAAAGCTGTAAAAAGATTGAAAGCAAAATGCTGTAAAAGATACTAACCAAAATGGCTGATAAAGTTATCCAATATCATACAAAGTAGATTTTTAAACTGAGACATTCTAGAGATAAGGATAATTTACAGCGAAAATGGGTTAACATACAGGTATCTCAGTCCATTTTGTTGCTATAACAGAATACTGGAGGCTGGATAATTTGTAAAGAAAAGAAGTTTATTTGGCTTATGATTCTGGTGACTAGAAATTCCAAGAGCATGGGTGCTGGCGTCTGCTTGGCTTCTGGTGATGGTCATGTGCTGTGTCACAACATGGCAGAGAAGTAGAACAGCAAGTGGGTGTGTATAAAGAGAGGCACAGAAGAATCTGGGCTCACTTTATAACAACCTGTTATTTGAGGAACTGGTATATTTTCAAGAGAGTGAGAGAACTCACTCACTCCCATAAACTTACTCATTCCCACAAGATGACATTAATTTATTCATGAGGGCATTGCCCCCATGATCCAAACACCTTCCGCTAGGCCCTGTCTCCAAACACGGCTACATTGGGAATTAAATTTCAGCATGAGTTTCAGTGAGGACAAATCAGAGCTAAATCATAAGCAATAGAACAGACACATAATTCTATATACACAACTCTATATTCATATGTACCTAGTAACATAGCTTGAAGGCATGTGAAGCTATAACTTGTACATCTACAGGGAAAGTTAATCAAATCCACCATCATTTGACTTGAATGAATTTCTCTCAATAAATGATAGAACAGACAAAAATTAAGTGTGTAGAAGATTTAAAAATACAATAACAAGTGGTTATATAGATACATTAAGTTTTAAAAACTAATGCTTGAATAATTAAATCCCAATAAAATAAAAAATATTTTAATTGAAAGATAATGAAAAGATACCATTTAAAAACCTGTGGCTTAAAGCAAATCAGTACTTAGAGAGAAGCTTATGGCCCTAAATAAATATCTTAGAAACAAGATTAAAAATAAGTATTGCTCTCAATAAGTGGTTAGAAGAACAGTTCAGTAAATCTAAAGAAATTAAAAGGAATACAATAGTAAAGAAAGTAGCAAAGATCAATGAAATAGTAAGCAGGAATAAAATAGAGAGGGTAAGCAAAGCCAATAAATAGTTCTTTACCAAGATTAATAAAATTAATAAACTTTTAGTAAGATGGTTGGAGAGACAGAAGCAGAGGGAGAGAGAAAAAGGCAGTATGAATTATAAATTTCAGTAATGAGAGAAGTAATAAAATTAGATATTCTACAGACTTTCAAAGTCTAATAAAATAATATTAACGACCCTCTGTTATTGAGTTTAAAAATGTAAGGGTAATGGGCAAACTTAGAAAATATTCAAAACTAACAAAATAATAAATAGCAAACATATTAAGAAGCTTTAGGCATAATTTTAAAAGTTCCCACAAAGGAAACATTTAGACTCAAATAGCTTTACTGGTGAAATAATTCTTTCAGCAATTTTTAGAAATAAATAACCTCAGTCCCTTACAAACTCTTTAAACAGAGAAAAGGGAAACACCAAATATCAGCATAATCTTGATGATAAAATCTGACAGGTACCTTATGAGAAAGAAAAATTATAGACCAAATTCATTATAAAAATACATGTTAAAACCTTTAACATGACATTAGCAAACCAAATCCAATGGCATATGAAATGAATAGCCTATCCAGGAATGTACACTTTTGATAATTAATGAATTTGATAGATTCAATATATTAAGAGCGTAATAGATGTTAAAACGCTTTGTCCAATTTTACTTTTGTAAAATTAGAAATAGAAAAGAACTTCCTTAGTCTCATAAAGAGTATATACATAAAAGATAAGAAGAAAATATATTTAATTGTGGGATCCTGATAAGTTTTTCTGTGAGTTGGGGAAGAAGGCATTACATGTTATACAAACTCAATAAAATGGACGGATCTATCTGTATATTCTTGCATTGGAAGTCTCCATATTGTACAAATGTTAGTTCTACTGAAATTGGTGCAAGGTTGTATGGAATATTAATCAATGAAGGGCAATTCATAGAGTTCAAAAATATTGCAATATTCTGGTTTAGGTACTTTCATCTAGAATATGTAATAGTCTCCTACAAGTCCATTTAAAAAGACAGAAAATCTAACAAAACTACTTTACACTTGAGGTGGTACAATACAAAAGAGAATATTCAAATGGCTAAAATAACATACAAAAAGGTGCTTAACCTCATTAGACCTTGGAGGAATGCAAATTAAATCCATGAGCTACAACCGCACATCCACAAGAATGGCTAAAACTACATGCTGGTTATTACTCATGATTGGGAAGATTGTAGAGCAAACGAAACTCATACATTGGTGGTTAAAGTGTAAATTGGTACAACAACCTTGCAGAACTGTTTGATAATATCTGGTAAAGCTGCACCTATACAAAACCTATGACTCAATATTATCATCACTGGCTCTTTAACCATCAGAAATGCATACATGCATTCATTAAAAAAAAGTCCACAGCATTAATAGTAATAGAGAAAAGCTGTAATCTACCCCAATGTTCATTAAAAGGTATAATGGATGAATATATTGTGATATATTAGTATAATGAAATACTATATGGCCATGAATATAAAAATATTTCTACATGAAATAATAGCAAGAATAAATCTCATGAGCATAATGTTTAGTGAAAGAAGTCTGATACAAAAGCACACAAAGTGGTACTATTCCATTTATATAAAGTTCAATCCCTGGCAGGATAAATCCCTTGTGTAAAGAGTCTGGCTACGAGTTACTATTGTGGGAAGGAGTAGTGTCTGAGAGGGGCATGGAGGAGTCTCTGAATTGATAGTAGAAATCTATATCGTGGGTGGGCAGAGTTAGATGGATCTATTCCATTGAACAGTATTTGTGATATATGTGCTTTTCTATATAAATGTTGAACTTGAATATAAACCTTTGAAATCTCTATGATTTGGAATTATTAGAGATATGGGATGTTCATATGAGAAAAAGAGAAACCTGTTATTTTTTAAGCTTGAGAATGTTTTCCATCAAAAACAGGATGGTATAACAAAAGGGAATAGACTTTGGGATCAGGCAATTTTGAATTCTAATTTTAAATTTATTGCCTACCAGCTTTATGAAACTGAACACCAGAACACATCACCTAATTGATTTGAATAGGTAAAACATGCCTTATAAGAATACATACTGTGTCAATAGACCCGTGTTTGTTGGTTGGTTAGCATTTTTTGCGTGTTTAGTGCTGTTTAAGGAGTAAAGCCAGTGTCCTCTCAGAATGACCCAGAGCCAATAGATGTGGGTTTGATGGTTACTACATTTCTGCTTTTACTCACTTGGAAAAGTCCAATTTAGAAAAAAATATAAGGTGCTTTTTTACACACAATTCATAATTACTTTGCTTTGCAATCCTTGCTCTTTCATGGTTAGTTCCTAGGCACGTCAAAACAGCAAAAATAAACAGACTAATTTTCCTATACTGAGGACTCACTCAGGAAACTCATTTATCTCTTCTGTGCCAAAAGTAAATATCTTCACGGTCTCCCTGCTTTGCCTTTTAGGTGACTCAGAACACCTGGTTGCCAATTGCTAGCTGATGATAATTAGCTTTCAATTATCACCAGTTACATTTTCACCTGTTCAATTTGCAAATTCCTGAATTTTTTGGCTTGTTCCATTAACAAGTTCTGATCTCGTCTGTCTTCAGTGCACCTGGCAATGTGAGAGTGAGGAAACAGTTCTTTCACTGGGGAATTCCCCTTTCATCTGCCATTCTGTCCAGTTTTATCCATCTGGTGTTAAACCGGGACATGCTCCGCAGAGACCCATGGAAAGACCTATGTTGTTAGTCTCTTATGCTTCCAGTGCTGTCTTGATTTCTGAAAGTGTTTCTATGGCTTTTCTCACTTTATTCACAACCAGCCAAATAATCCTTTATTTCTGTAAATTAGCGTTAAGAGATGACCAAAACAATATCCAGGCAATGTAACAAATAAGTGTATTTTTTAACAATGGAGGGGCCTCTTAATAAAATTCAACAATGACTTAAGACTCAATAGATCTGGAAATGAAGTGAAGTTAGTGGAGATAATGCAGTAAGATTTTGAGCAGGAATAGGAAAATATTCTAGTGAAATTTGTTGGTAGTTACATTTGAAGACATTCATTCGTATCAATTAAACAGAAGATATTCACTATCTGATACGTGGTCTTGGAATAAACATAAATTAAAATGGAATCCTATAAATATTATGTTAACACCATGCACAAGGCAATATTGCATTATAAGATAATATTAAACTTAGTGTTAAGTGGACACATCATATTGACTTATACCTTAAAGGACATATAATTCACTAAATCATTCACATATTTTGGGGTATTTGTGTTGCCTCTGTTTCTTACATTATTAAGAGTAACACTGCAATGAACATCCTTCTATTTTTATGCCTTTTAGTATATTTATGGAAAATTATTTGTCAAAGGGTATATAACTCATAAAGAATTTTAAAATAACATTGAAAAAACAAAACAAGGTTGCTTAAATTTTTCACTATTTTCTATTTAAAATCGTTGCTTAAATTATAAAACAACAAAACTAGGACATTAAAAGTACTATAAAGAGAAAAAACCTCCAGCACCTTTCTCTAACTTTGTATTTAATTTTGCGTATCTTCTTATTTTTACCAACATATATCATTTTAACCATGGTTTACAATAAATACTATGTTTTTAATTTAGTAATGTTTAATGTTTTTCTGTTCCCACACTTTTTATTACTATTAGGGGGTGCAAACTTAATTGCGATTTTTGCCATCAGTTTTAATGGCAAAAACCATAATTACATTTGTACCAATCTAATATAATGATGCAAATTAGTTCACTAAAATTGTGTATTATAATTTACTAAATCATTCCTGTAGTTTGGGGGTTTTTGTGTTGCCTCTGTTTCTTAAATTATCATGAGTTACACTGCAAGGAACATCCTTCTGTGTTTATTCCTTTTAGAATATTTATGGGAAATTATGTGTCAAAGGGTATGAACCATTTCTTATGCACCTTGGTATAATACCAAACTGCCTTTGCAAATATTATTAATTCGTGTTTTCGAATTCCAAATCTATATTACTAAAATGATAATGTTAACTATTTTTACATTTTTTTCAACACGGATATCTTTTTACCTTTTTATATTACAAATTAAATAATGCTTAATGAAGGGAACTTACAAAATAGGAATATTACAAAGAAAAACAAAACCAAAGTTAACATGATTCTATGACCTGAAAAATTCCTTAGCATTTCAAATATGTTTTAAATTTTTATAGAAAATATTTAAAAACTGAATTAAAATGGTGATATTTTAAAACAATTAATAATATCCATTTCATAGTTTAATCTTCCTAATTACATTTTGAATTTTTTTGGATGTAAGCATCATGCCTTACGTTTATTTTGAATCTGCACAGTACAAATCATAGTTCTGTCATATGAAATATATTCAAATACTTGAAAAATTGGTGAAGTCCACTATGTTCCCAGAAGGAGGCATGCACATTTTACAAAATCCAATTTACTTGAACTAAAAACTTATTTTAATATATTAAGTTTTTGCTATCTCATAAATATGATTTAATTTTATATTTATTCATTTACTCAGGGGATTTCTTGAGTGGCAAGCAAAACACCAAGAAAGATGTGGTTATTCTAAGATAGGCCATAGGCTGCATAGAAAAGACTTTATTGAAAGAGTAAAACTTGATCTGAATATTAAAAGATGCTGATAGACAGTAAATAGGTGTTTATTAGGCTTAAGTGGATAAGAGAAGTATTTCAGAAAGAAGACACAGCCATCAAAGCCTCAACCATGTGAGGGAACCATGACACTGACAACAGCTTGATGTGAGGAAGAAGTGTTAAGAGCTTGTAGAAGTAGGCAGAAGCCAGACCAGAGAGGACATGATGTATCAAGCTAAGGATAGTTACCAAAGGTATTACAACACAGGTACTGACTTTGTAATTGGAAAATTTCTAATGATATATAATTAAATAGACATTTATTACGTCAAAGCCAAAATTTCCTAAATCCCAGGGAACATGTTTCATGAAACTAGTCAGTATAAACTGATGTCTGTGGAAGTAACTTCTTAAATACAAAATTAGAGAATCATTGTTTCACGCATATGTTCACAATCTAAGCAATGCAGACAGTATATTTAAGGGTCATCTCCCTCGTATGGTAAATGCATGAAAAGGCAACTTTAAGACTTCATCTCAACTAGAATTTAACCCTCAAATCTCAACTATTAATACCATCATATCTCTTAAAACAGTAGGTTCTAACTATGCAGATACATATACTAGATGACAATTTACTCCCATACAAACCTTTTCTCCTTAAAACTAGCATTCTGATTTTTAAAAATGGCAGTAAATATTAATGAAGCATGAGAAAAGGTAGATGGGGATGATAGCTAAGCTGAGCCACCAAAGATGGCCAGAGACCAAGAATATATTCAATGCATGCTCAACAATTTTAAGTGAAGTAGGCATGTCAGACCAAAGGATATGGCTCTGAGTGTACATCGAAATATACACAAGTGATATCGTTGGACCCACAACAAGCAGTAGTGCTCAGTCTGAATGTTCAAGAGGAATTCAACATATTTCATTTGTAGTTGAGCATTTCTTTAGTATTACAAATAGTATTTCTGGAGCCTCTGTATGGTCCCTCAATTAAGATTTGATGCATTTTAGTTCAGCTGCCTGGGAATGTGCCAGGCATTATGGGGCAGTGCTGCAACTTTCTCAGACTTCTGCAAGAAACTAGTGTAGGATGTAGAAGAGTTTATAGTAATTATTAAACTATTTGTATTGGCTTTAATTTCTGGGCCTGGATAAGAAAATATGGTTGTAATTGTTTCAATTACTTAATTCCCATTCCATGTTTTTTTCTGACTTTAGAATGTTCATTCCAATGATGTCTGATTGCAGAACTTTAGTCTGTGGATTTTTATGCACTCTTACACCACTGAAGTTTTTGCTATAAATACTGAAAAATGTAGTCAGCAAGAAAGCGCTTATGGAAACTTTAAAGATCTGACATATACCAGTGAGTATGCTATCTCTATTTGGATAGTCAGTAACTGCTTGCGTTGATAAGCCACTTAAAAACTGCCACCTTCAGTGGTTCACTGATTCTGTGATTTATATTTCTGCAATTTGGTATATATCATATAAATATCTTCTAAAAATTATACTCTTGTACGTTTGGTTTGCCTGGGGCTTTTAGGAGGTATGATATATTTTTTGATATCTTCACTTATTCACCTGAGAGTTAAATGTGTTATTTGTCACTCTCAATGTTATCACACTCCTTCTAGGTAAAATAATTATGAAAGTCGGAAAATTTCTATTGTTTACATGAGGAGAAAATTCCCAGAAAATCTAGGTATTTTCCTCACTTCTGTGAATTCACATTTCTTGATAACTGATGAGTTTATATAAACTACTTGTACTTGCTGCCCTCTTAAAAAATGGCCCTAGGACTGAGATGGCATCTACACGTATAATAGCAGAGAATGAAGGATTAAAATCATAGTATTTCCATACTGTGAATTACAACTTACCTATTGCAAATGTTTTAGAATATTGAGTGAAGTCTCACTTTCATTTGCTTCTTTGTGATATGTGAATGTTTGCAATGCTCCAATTAAAACAAAAGCTACATTTCCCAGCTTTTCTTTATCCCAAAGGGTAAATATATAACTTTGGTTGTTGAATTATGAGAAGAAGTTGCCAGGTGGGAGCAGTTTCAGCTAGCACCTCCCATCTGTTTTCTCCTTTCATTTCGTGTAATAGAGACACATGTGTGACAGTGGAGCAACCATTTTGCCTCCACAAGATGGCAAGAATAAGAGTGGTGTCACTTTCTAAAGAGACTATATTTATCTTGAGCACCATGAGCCTGCCGTGTCAGAATTACACCATCTATGTCTGATCTTGTTGTGTGAAAAAATAATCTCTTTTTGCTTAAACCACTACAGCTTGGGTTTTCTCTTACTTGTAGCCAAGTTAATATCCTAACTCATATACCAGACAAAAAATGTTTACTACATGTACTAAATTTAATACATTTATAATATAACGCTAAGTTTTTTAAAAAAGAAATGTGAACTTTTGCTTCTGGAATAACTGCTGTGGAATTACTCTCTCCAGACAAACAACCAGAAAAATGAAACTACGATAAAACCACCATTTCAGATGTTGGACAGCCAGCAGAGCAGGACTGAGATCCCTGAGAGAAGGCAAACGCATAGTGTGGGCCATATGCTTGACCAGACATATTGCCTGGAGGCAATTTCTGGATGGCCATGCAAAAAAGGAAAATCCATGAAGAGTCTGTAAGTCTTCCTGATTTGAGGAGAAGGGTGTTGTCTAATCAGAAATGAAGAGGTATACGAAGACATAAATATGGCCCAAAATGGGGAAAAAGATCAATAAGTATAAACAGTTGTAAAAAAATTACTAAAATGATGAACAAGAACATTAAAAAAGTCATTATGGTCAATATGCACAAAAATTTCAGAACTGAAAATATAGATAAAAAAGCAAGTTAGAACTTCTAGAGATGAAAAATACAATGTCTAAAATAAAAATTTTATGGGGTTAACAGTTTACACACTGCATGATAAAAGACCAGTGAACATTAAAATGAAGCATCAAAAACTAACCAAAGTGAAATACGGAGAGTAAAAATACTGAACAACAAACAGAACCTCAGTGACCTATGAGACACTATCATGTTTATTTAACATATGTGAAATTGAGAACTAGAAATACCATTTGACCCAGCCATCCCATTACTGGGTATATACCCAAAGGACTATAAATCATGCTGCTATAAAGACACATGCACACGTATGCTTATTGCGGCATTATTCACAATAGCAAAGACTTGGAACCAACCCAAATGTCCAACAATGATAGACTGAATTAAGAAAATGTGACACATATACACCATGGAATACTGTGCAGCTGTGAAAAATGATGAGTTCATGTCCTTTGTAGGGACATGGATGAAATTGGAAATCATCATTCTCAGTAAACTATCGCAAGAACAAAAAACCAAACACCGCATATTCTCACTCCTAGGTCGGA
The DNA here is from genome assembly GCF_000001405.40 of Homo sapiens. Classification (NCBI taxonomy): domain Eukaryota; kingdom Metazoa; phylum Chordata; class Mammalia; order Primates; family Hominidae; genus Homo; species Homo sapiens. The sequence continues at coordinate 8,800,678 of NC_000007.14, forward strand.
AATGAACAATGAGAACACATGGACACAGGAAGGGGAACATCACACTCTGGGGACTGTTGTGGGGTGGGGGAAGCGGGGAGGGATAATTTTAGGAGATATACCTAATGCTAGATGACGAGTTAGTGGGTGCAGCGCACCAGCATGGCACATGTATACATATGTAACTAACTTGCACATCGTGCACATGTACCCTAAAACTGAAAGTATAATAAAAAAAAATATGTGAAATTGGAGTCACAGAAGGAAGGTAGCCAGGAAAAAAAGTATTTTAATAAATAAGGGCCTGAAACATTCAAAATTTGATGAAAAAAGTATGACAGACCCAGGAAATTTAATAATCGCAAACATTATGCACACATACAGTATATTAAAATCAAATAGCTGAAAACCAGTAATAAAGATAAAATGTTAAAAAGCAGCCAGAGCAAAGAGATACACATATTGCAAAGGAGTGAGTACAGTCATGAGTTGCTTAATAACAGAAGACATTCTGAGAAATGCGTCATTAGGTGATTTCATCATTGTGCGAACACCGTATGGTGTACTTACACAAACATAACTGGCATAGCCTACTACACACCTGGGCTATATGGTTTATCCTATTGCTTCTAGACTTCAAACCTTCACAATACATTACTGTATTGAATACTGTAGGAAATTGTAAAATAATAGTATTTGTGTATCTAAACATGGAAAAGTCCAGTAAAAATACAGTGTTATAATCTTATGAAAGACCACTGTTGTATATGGAGTTTATCATTGACCAAAACATTTTTATCATCAGAAACTATGCAAGACCTATGACAATGGAATGACACGATATTAAGAGATTAAATTAGAAAATCAATGTTATCATTTGAATAGATGCAGAAAAACTTTTGACAAAACATTTATTCAGGATAAAAATTCAAAATTAGAAAAAAAACATTTTCAACTTGATAAAAGGTATCAATAAAGCTTGCAATTGATATCATACTTAACAGTAAAATTCTGTATGCTTCTTCCTTCTCCCCTAATATTGGTAACAAAACAAGGATGTCCACTCTCATCACTGCAATGCACCATGATACATAATATTTTGGTGACTGCATTGGTTCAGTAAGAGAATAAAAATAAATACAAGGAAAGAAAAAAGTAAATTTCTCTTTATTGAGACAACATGATTGTTGTAATCACTCTGCAGAAGCAGGATAGGTCCCTCACCCAAAATTTGTTTTAGTTGTTGAGACAGATGACCCCACATATGTACCAAAAATGTATAAAAGGACTTAGCACTAACAGAATGAGGCTTTCTAGGGATAGCACAATGAAAATGACTTGAGGCTGGGAGTGGTGGCTCATGCCTGTAATCCCAGCACTTTTGGAGGCTGAGGAAGGTGGATCACCTGAGGTCAGGAGTTCGAGACCAGCCTGGGCAACATGGTGAAACTGTCTATACTAAAAATACAAAAAGTAGTCAGGCGTGGTGGTATGCACCTGTAATCTCAGCTATTCAGGAGGCTGAGGCAGGAGAATCTCTTGAACCTGAGAGGTTGAGGTTGCAGTGAGCCGAGATCGTGCCACTGCACTCCAGCCTGGGCAACAGAATGTGTCTCAAAAAAAAAAAAAAAAAAAAAAAAAAAGAGAAGAAGAAGAAGAGGAAGAGAAAGAAAAGAAAACGGCTTGAGAAAGCAAACGAAATAGATTGAGTTGGGGTTTTATGGTGGTTAGTAAGAGTGAGTTGAGAGTTTCTGCATCCCTGCTGACAATAAAGGATTAGAAATAGAAGATAAAATGGAATCTAGTATTTCCCAGATAAAAGGAATCTGAGCTTTCTTATCAGTTTGCCCAGATGTTGGGCAGAAGAAGTGAAAGGGGTAGGGCTTAAAAGCCATCAGTTGTCAAATATCAAAAATAGAGTCAGAATTTTTATTACAATTGTACGCACAGAAAATTCTAAGGAATTTCTTAGAATTAATCAAAACGAGACATCACAGAAAGGTCAATATAAAAAATCAGTCTATATGCTGAAAATGAACAACAGGTAACTAAGTTAAAAATATCATTTTTACTAGGCTCCAAAAGCATGAAACATTTAATGTTCATTTTAATGTTTGTGCAAATTCTGTACAATTAAATCTGTAAAATATTTAGCACTATTTGTAAAATACTTAAATGGAGACATATATCATGTTCATTGAACAGATGACTCATCAAGATACCAATTATCCACAAACTGATCAACGGATTCAACGTAATTCCATTCTTAGTCTGTTTATGCTGCTATGACAAAATACCTGAGACTGGGTAATTCATAAAAAACAAATGTATTTTGGTAGGTTTGGTGGTCTGGTTAGGGCTATATGCTCCCGAGGGGAGAAACACCATGTCCGCATGTGGCAGAAGGCAGAAGAGCGAATTAGCTTGCAGAACACTGCATGAAGCCTCTTTTATAAAAGCTTAAATTCCATTAAGGAGGGAGTCCTCGTGCCCTAATCACCTCTTAAAAAGCTCCACCTTGAGAAATAGAAATGCTTTTACACTGTTGGTGGGAGTGTAAATTAGTTCAACCATTGTGGAAGACAGTGTGGCCATTCCTCAAGGTTCTAGAATCAGAAATACCATTTGACCCAACAATCCCATTATTGAGTATATACCCAAAGGATTATAAATCACTCTACTATAAAGACACACGAATACGTATGTTTATTGCAATACTATTCACAATAGCAAAGACTTGGAACCAACAGAAATGCCCATCAACGATAGACTGGATGAAGAAAATGTGGCACGTATACACCATGGAATACTATGCAGCCATAAAAAAGATGAGTTCGTGTCCTTTGCAGGGACATGGATGAAGCTGAAAACCATTCTCCGCAAACTAACACAGAAACAGAAAATCAGACACCACATGTTCTCACTCAAAAGTGGGAGTTGAACAATGAGAACACCTGGACACAGGAAGGGGAAGATCGCATACCAGGGCCTGTCAGGGGGTGGGAGGCTAGTGGAGGGTTAGCATTAAGAGAAATACCTAATGTAGATTACAGGTTGATGGGTGCAGCAAACCACCATGGCACGTGTATACCTATGTAACAAACCTGCGCGTTCTGCACATGTATCCCAGACTTAAAATAATAATAATAATAATAATAATAATAATAATAATAATAATAATAAAGAACAGCTTAAAAAAAAGCTCCACCTCTTGATACTATCAGATTGGCAATATTGAATACTGAATTCTTCAAGGAACACATTCAAGCCATAGCAACATCCCAATATGCTTTTGTAAAAATTGAGAAGTTGAGTTAAAAATGTATATGAGAAAGGCAAATGTTCTAGAGTATCCAAAAACAATTTGACAAAGAAAAAATTTGGAGGACTCGCAATTTCTGATTTCAAGACTTAGTGCAAAGCTATAATAATAAAGACAGATTTCTTACAATGTTAAATATATAGATTGATGGAATATAATTATAAATCCAGTATATGATCAATTGATTTTTGAGAAATATGTCAATATTGTTCGATAGGGAAAACTAAGTTTTCCAAACATGGCACTGAAATAATTTGATATCCATGTTAAAAGAAAATTTTATATAATAAAAGTTATATAAATATTAACTCAATATGTATTATAGAACTAAACCAAAAAAAATCTGTAACTCTAAGTCCTATAGAAGACTATAGAGGAGATAAATTTTGCAGACAGTAAATTTTTAGATAGGATACAACACAAATGTTAAGAAGAAAACAGTGTTAAATTATACTCCAACAAAATTAAAACCACAGACTGAGAATATTTGTAATACATTTGATAAAAGATGTGCATCCAGAATATATAAAGACCCTCTAACAACTCAAAGACAAAAACTCAATTAAAAATGGGCAAATATTTGATCAGACACTTCATCAGAGAAAATATATGAAGACCAACATGCACATGAAAGATGTTCAACATCTTTAGTCCTATGCAAATGGAAATTGCCACATAATCCCACTGTACACATGTTAGAATGGCTAAAATTAAAAAGATTAAACACCAAGTTGAAGCTCTCATATGTTGCTTTTGGGAAGATAAGTAGTATAATCTCTTTGAAAATCAATTTATCATTTTTTAATTAAACACACACTTACATACCTTAGGCAATTCCAATTCTGATTATATACCAAAGAGTACTGAAACACATGTCTGGATATACTCATTCTAGCTTTACTCACAATAACCCCAAACTGGAAAACCCAACCCCCAAGGTTTTTCAACAGGAGAATGAATGCACAAGTTTTGCCCTACTCATATAATGGGATGTTACTTTAAAAATACTAATACGTGGAAAAATCATGGGTAAATATCACAGTATTATTCTATGCAAAAGAAGCCATGTACACTGTTTATACTGCATGATTTTATTTATATGAAAATCTAGAAAAAACAAATCACATCTATGATGACTGAAAGATCAGGTTGTCAAGAGCTTGATGTGTAAGAGTAATGACTGGGAAGAGTTATAAGGAAACCTTTTTTGAGTGTTGAAATGTTCTGTATCTTGAGTGTGGTGGTGGTTAGCCTGGCAAACATATTTGCAAAATTATCAAACTCTATGCTTAAAATCAGTGCAGTCTCTTGTATATAAATTATAACAAGTATATTAAAAGGCATAATAAAATATACGTACATATATTTACAGATGCACTATAACATTTATACTGCAATATAAAATATGACCCCAAAAGATTAGAAAGTTATATAACCATATTTTAATAATAATTACCCATATGTTTTCTTCTCAGTATTAACCTTTATTTTCTTTATTTCCCAAATGAACTCATGTTGTGTTTATAAACAAACAAAAACAAGAGAAAGCAAAGAGTTTCAGGGCTGAAATTAGCAACATGGATCTAAGCTATTTCCTCTGGTCTTGTATATAGACGTCATGGTTATTTCTTAAAAAAAGGAACTTATTTTCTTCATCCTTAGCAAAATATTATCAATTTTAAAATGTCTAAATGACAATATTAGTTTTCGACTGAAATATAAGTGACTTTTATTTAACAAAATAGTGTTTAGAAATTCCTACATTTATATATCCTAAACCCAGTATCTAGCGTTCCAAGAAAATCATCTATAGAGAATATATTTTAGTTCATTTCACACTGTTAATTATGTAACACACTGTAACCATTACCTTTTACCAACTACAATTACTCTTCTAATGAAAAGTGATGAATTTAACAAGAAATTATTAGATCTGTTTTATCTAAGCATGAACAAGTGGTTGATAGGAAATGCTTCCTAATAAATATTTAATTCCTTTTACCACTCCCTCCTTCAATTTTATAATTGAATTACATGCTTCAGCTCAGTTAAATAAATAATAATTTTACACATCTAGTGTACAAAATACCATAATGTGCAGCACTGGCTATAAATAATCTTGATTTCAGACCAGTGAAGATAGTGGCTTCTAGACTGCTTCTGTCATTTGCTTTTACTTCATCCAGCATGTAAAGGCAAACATTTGGAAGTTATTTTTGTTCTTTTAAAATTTTTCTTCTTCCTAATTTTTCTGTCTCCCAAATGGTTTTCAAATATATCACTTTCTATGTAAACCATTATCTCTGAGCTCCTAATCTGCTGCTTCCTTTTCTTCGCTCCCATTTTTCTTCCAGTTCTATATCAGAAAACCCTTCAGAAATGCTTAAATTCTGGTTTCAATCTTGTAGTGGCCTCCAATTGCCTTTTAGGACAAGGTGCAAGTATCTTAGAATAGTGTAAGAAGTCCATTGGGATTTGTTTCTCGCTACTTCTCAGTGTCATTTTCCCCATGCCAAAGTATATCAGAAGCATAATTTTTATCCTAAGAATACTGTAAAACAATCTGTATATTTTAACCCATCTTCCTTATCTACTTTTCATTTTTTTGATTTCTATAATGTTTACAAACAGAGCCTTCAAAGAACCTTAAAAGAATGCATAATGAAGAAGAGTGTAATGGACATGACAAATACACTACTCATATCTCCTCACTCTTTTCAATGGGCACTAGAAATGGAGAGAACTAGTAACCACTGGGGCAGCCCTCAACAAATTAAGGAGAGAAATTGATATATAAATACCACAGGCCCTTGTTCCTAGTTTTGGTAAGAACCCTTTATTTGCAGTGGCAATTTGCTGGATAGCTGACTCTTTGTTCCCTTCCCTTCCCGCCCCCTCTCCCTAACTCATTTCTTCAGATCCTCTCCAAAATAAACTGCTTGCACTAAAATCTTTGTCTAACGTCTGCTTCTTGGAGAACACATAATGAGACATGAGTATAATGTCACTGTTTCATTAAACTGTTTTTGCATGTCATCATCTATTAATGTTCATTTAATCAGAATATCTTAGGAGTTGCAAAGTAAACGATGATACCCCCATATGAGCACATAAACTTATATACAGTTTGTGTATAAAGATACAGATTTTGAACATATAAACTTCCTTGATATCCAAATAAATGAAAGTAATTTGAAGGCTAAACAATGAGATAAAATAAACCAAAGAAGATGACATAAAACCAGCCTCAATCTATGGGTATTATTTGACCTACAGCATTCTTCCATTAGCCTTGGGAAAAAAAAAATCCCTGAGTCAAAGCTACTATCAAAATATCACTTAAATCTATGTATTATTCTTATGGTCGGGAAATACAACTTTAGACCTTTCTTACTTTTTTTGTTTTTTAAAATTAATTTCTGCCATTTATTTTACAATAAAATTTTATTTTAACACAATATAGTAAATCAAAAGGCAAAAGAAAATAAAAAGCGTAGCACTCGTAATTTCTCCCTGAAAGACAACACTATGAAAAATCTGGCATACCTTTCCATACAATTTTCCATATGTACTGATATAAACAAATGTAGGATATCGCTGTTCATATTTTTATGAACACTTTCCCATTGAATATATTTGGAAATATTGCTGTGTCATTAAATATTCTCATAAAATTATTGAATAGATTTGGAAATATTTGTCATAAAATATTGTCATAACATTATTTTGGTGGTTATAGTTACTCGCTTTAAAATGTTTCATTTTGTTTTGTTTTGGTTTGCTATTATAAGTGGCATTTTTATAAATCTTTAAAGTTAAATTTTATAGAGTGATACAGATAACAGAGCCCACCCATGGTAATCATATACTGTAATCATATGGCTTGCAGAATCTTGGGAAATTTTACTGGGCAAATGATGCCAACTGGCATCAGAGAATCAAGTAATTCATTGATGTCTCAAACCAACTTCAAATTTGTCTCTGCTCAAATTTTATTTTATCAAAGATCCTTCTCCTATATAAGCACTTTCCCTAACTTTCACTTTAATTTCATCACTAATCATCCTCTTATTCTGCTTCCTTTCCCCCACATAACACACATCATAACCTTATTTATTACGTAGTTACTCATTTTTGTGTGTTTCTTGTCGGTATCCCTAATAGACTTTAAGAATCATGGGGATTCTGGCTATTGCCTTCCATTTACTGTAAGAACCAACATCCCATAATAGTTAATAGTTTATATCTTTTCTTCAGATTGGAGACTTTTGTCCAAAGGTAGATCAGTTGCTAATTTTCCTGTGAGTTCTTGGACTATTTTGACATGTATCATCTGTTCATTTGCACTAGAAATTTATTTAATATTATTTAATAATATGAAACAGGGTGCTTTAAACGCAAAGACAGAAAGGACTGACCTAAAATCTACCTGAGTTCTTCTCAGAGCCCAGTATCAAAGTTAAGATGTACCAAGCATGTCCAACCCGGGGCCCATGGGACTCATGTGGCCCAGGATGGCTATGAATGTGACCCAACACAAATTCATAAACTTTCTTAAACCAGTATGAGATTTTTTTTTTTTTTTTTTTAGCTTAGCAGCTATCGTTAGTGTTAGTGTTTCTATGCATGGCCCAAGCCGATTTTTCTTCTTCCAATGTGGCCCAGGGAAGTCAAAAGATTGGACACCCCTGGGTAACCATTACAACTATTGCAAAAGTAAATGTGAACACTCACTTGATAGGTATGTATTATCTATAATACGTTAATGTCTATAAAAATCATTATCTACATATTTTACATACTATATTTTTGTGTTATTTTCAATTTCCATGGGTACATAGTAGGTGTATGTATTTATGGGATACGTGAAATATTTTTATAGAGGCATACAATGCTTAATAATCACACCAGGGAAAATGATGGATATTCACCCATCACCTCCAGCTTTTATCCTTTCTTTGTATTACAAACAATCAATTATACTTTTAGTTATTTTAACATATACAATAAATTATTGTTGACTACACTCACCCTGTTATGCTATCAAATACTAGATCTTACTCATTCTATGTTTTTGTACCCACATTAACCATCTCCAATTCCTTTCCCCACCCAATACCCTTCCTAGTATCTGGCAACTATCATTCTATTTTCTATGTCTCCATGAGTTCAATTGTTGTAATTTTTAGTCATAAAGAATGAGTTCTTGTCATTTACAACAACATTGTCTATATTATTCCCATAGAATATCTTTCTAATAGAAATGAAAGTGCATGAGAATTTTAAGGATGTTGCACATTCATTACTTTTACTTAGATTTTGTCATATTAAACATTTTCATGTGACTTGGAGTAGGGGAATAAAAATGTTTTCATTTACTCATATTTTGTTTGCTCATTAAAAACATGCATTTCTCTTTATTTGCTGCTTTTGGGGGTAACACTAGGTGCTTTCAGAGGAGAACTTTCCCTTTCCATCGCTGAGCTTAGCCAACAGTGTACCAGAGGCCAGGGTATTTCATCACGAGTTGCTGCTGATTAGCACAGGTCTTGACACATGAGTTTTGAGTATTATCTTAGCTCTATAATCACAAATGTTATTGAGCAAGAAATTATTCATCTCTATTTAGAAAGAGCTTTGGTAGTTGACTCTATGACCTCTAGAGTTGAGTCAATATACCAAGCAGATTTATTAGAAATACTGTAATATATATTCTAAAAAAGGAAGAAGTTCCTCAATAAAAATTAGCTTGACATCAATGCCACCAAAATTCTCCCTTTTACCAGAGAAAGAGATTTTCAAAGTTTATATATCATCAAGGAAGAAAAATAAATCTTATGAATACATTTATATGTTTTAAAAACTAACAAAGATAATTACTTTATCATGCTTGTTACTCTGTAGAAATGAATTTTGGTATCGTTTTAAACACTATACTTAAGATGAATGCCTCTGATCACCCAGCCTCAATAAATATAAAAAAGAAAGAAACACAAAGACATGAATAATTTGTTACAAATTGAGTAATGTACATTTGAGCCCCCCAAATGGTATAAAAACACATTTAAAAGATACACCAGAGTCTAGAAAAATATATTTGCAATGCATAGGATTCTCAAAAAATCAAGACCTAGAATATATGAAAATTCTTATATTCAGCGAGACAACTCCAAAGAGAAATGAGAAAAAGTTACAAAAAGACACTTCAAAGTAAACTAAACCTGTTTGTTCAATAAAGGGCACAAAGTTCCAATGAGAAGGAATAAGTTCCAGTGATCTATTACCATATTATTGACTTTCATCATCATGCTATTTATTATACACTCAAAAATTGCTGAGTAGATTGAAAACATTCTCATTAAAAATGATAAGTATATGATGTGACAAATATATTAACTTCATTTAATCATTTCACTATATATGCATATCAAAATATCACACTGTATACCATATATACAATGAAAAATTAAAATTAAACCAGTATGAGATTAATATAAATTTGTGCAACCTTAATGGAAAACAATTTAGCAATATCTAATATAAATGAAAGTACAGATAACAAGCAATCCAGTAATTCTAACTCCTAGTCATACATTCTAGAGAAACTCTTTCAAAAGGAGCCTGCCAAGTACTGGACAAATGAATGGGTCTAATCCATGAGTCCACTCAGATTTGTCTGATCTCTGAGTGTAGTTACCAGACAAATCAACCCAGACCAAAGGAATTATGAGAATTAAAAATATTGTTTCAAGTCATTAAAGTTTGGAGTAATTTGTTTTACATAAGGCTAGCTGGTATTTTTTCCCATAAATGTCTATGCTGTATATGAATATAAATAATATAGTAAAAAGAAAAATGGGATATGATTTATGCAACAATATTATAGAATAATATTTCCATATGAGGCAAGATATGCCTTTGTTTTTTTTTTTCTCTTTGGATAGAGAAAACCAAAAAAATAAGTAGAGAGAGAAGCTTATTTCCCTTATAATTACAAGAAAGGAGCTGAGCCTGTTGTGTCCTGAGACTGAGTTCTCCTGCCCCAAATGATCTTTGGGGACCTTGGTATTTTACGGTCACAAAGAGAATTTGCTTTGTCTTCACCCATTGAGAGGGGCTGTTTCTGAGAGTTGAAGAGGCTGAAGTGTCCAGATCTAAAAGGAAAAGAAAATTGTGCAGTTTAGGTTAGTCCAAGAAACAGGCACTGAACAAAGGACTTGAGTGCCAGAGATTCGTTTGGGAAGTGCAGGAAATACCAATGAGGAAGAGGGGAAATGATGCTGGGACAGAAAGAAGAAAATAGAACATATATTATCCAGCCTGCTCCCACAGGGGTGACTGCAGCTGAATCCTGTGCAGAAACTACAAAGTGGTGCAAAACATCCGACTCACAATAATTACCACACCTACCCTCATCCTCTGAGTGGTGGGGGAGCTGGGGTACTTACACCAACTCCGATAAGTTGAGCCCTATTCTAGTGGAAGGGTGGTGTTAATTCTCTGGAATTTCCAGGCTGCTATGTAGGAGAAAGTTCTTCCCTGCTTCCGGGAGAAAAAAAAATCCCTCATGCATGGGGTTCACTGGAGAACGTGAAAGGTCTGAGAGATATGGGCAGAGCCTTTGTCTGCCCCAAGGATCTTCCCCAAAATTGAGCAAAGGAGAGGGGTAGTTGATGTGGGAGTTTCGGAGCCTGGCCTACTTGCCCAGAGGTTGGGAAATGGGGCTTGAGATGGCTCCAGGTTGCCATGATTATTGTGAACCAAAACCTTTTGTGCAGGGTAGAGGCTGATTCAGAGTTTGCTATACTTGGCCTTTCAGACCACCTGGCTCTCACAGCTTCTCATGCTTCACAAAGTAGGCTCTATGGCAAAGCAAAGAAGAAGGAACAGCAGTTTCAGCCCTGTAAATGGAAGACATGTGTATTGTTAGGGAATAGGATGTCCCATTGTCAGATATAATTAAGGTAAAGTTTTGGCCTCAATGTTAAGTGGGACATAAAGACAGGGTAAGTTAGAAAAACAACACTGTATAAGGCTTCTTGTACCCAATTATATAAAACAAATATCTGCAATGGATGACAATATATCTTATATTATTGTATTAATATATATGCAATATAATTTTAATCTAGTTTCTGTATTCCATTATAAGGGTGTATCATAATTTATGTAACCAGTCTCCTATTGTTGGACTTCTGATGTATTTTGAATAAAATTGAGATGGTCGTCCTTGACTTTTATCCATGTGAGGCTGAAAATTTTCTAAGGAGAAATTTCTTACTGTGGAATTCCGGATCAAAAGGTGTGCACAGTTGAAGAGTTTTAAAATATATTCCATGATAGTCTTTCAGATGTATATATTTATTCATATATATCTCCACAATCTACTTGGGGTTTTATAGATGCACAAGCAGCATTTCAGAGTATGTCTTTTAACTACATACAACCATTCCTAACTTCCCTGTCTTAATCTTCTTTTACGTCACAATTTAACAGAAAGTCATCAGTTATCAGGACAGGTATATCAAATGGTACCACATTGTTCTTAATGAGACTAGTTGAGATTCTTCTCACTTTTGAGATATATTTGGAAACTGGAAGATTTTTTTCTTTGATGTTTATCTAAACCCATTTGGTAAATTTGCTAGCTTTTGTCTAATATTCAATTCAGGTTTGATTTGGTGTCAAGGAGTTACCAAAATTTGAGTTCTTTGACTCATGTTTTTCAGTTTTGTTATTATATTATTTTGTTTGCATGATGAAAAACTGATAAGCAAAAGTCCATGTATATTTTAAATACCACTTATTTGATTTACAACACTTGAAACTCCCCGTAAGTAAAAGGAAGATGAGAGAGGTTGAATTTTTGATAAGATTAGAGTACCATCAGGAAGTAATATTAAAATTGGCTTTCAGAATATAGGAAAGCATTTGTCCAGTTATCTTTAATTGATCTGCTATAAAAATGAGAGTACAAATTGTAGATGAAATTGCAGTGCATTACAAATCAAAGAAGAGGATAAAATAAAGCAATAAGATAGGATGTGGATTTTTAGTTCTTTTTTCATCTCAGTACTCATGGGCTACTTGGTATTTTTCAATAGTGCTGGTAAAGGTACAATGTTCAATAACTTAAAATGAACCTGGACTTTAAAATGAAATGAAAAAGCAAGTTCTCATAATTTCAGTTACTTTTTATTCAAGAAGGGGGTTTCTGTGACAGACTGCTTGTTACCGCATTGTCTGACAGCCTGGAGAAACTACTCACTCAGGCAGCATGGGTGAAGGGCTAATTATGTCAAAGAGGGGAGAGAGGGGAATAGGAATTAATGAGCCTGAATCTCCCCAGTGCTATGCTACTCCCTTACTCCCTGTTACTAAGTTAGGCTTGGAAAGATGTGAGTTTCTTTTGTAGCCAGAAGTGCTCAGGGAAGCAGTCAAGAGCATGGAATTGGGCATCACACAAACTGAATCTCATCTGTTTCTTACTATCTGAATTACAAGTTATTTAATCTCCTTGAGCCTCAGTTTCCTTGTCTATAAAATGGGAAAGATAATGTCAATCTCATTGGGTTATTGTGAAGATTAGCAAAGATGAAAATCTATGCATTGTCCAAGTTTGTATGTGACATACATTAAGCATCAAAGGATAGCTATATAATTTTTACTTGCTGTTTTGGCTATTATTCCTACTATTACATTATAATTATTTAATGGTTTACTTTGGTTGGGGGTTAAGTCATTTAGTAGAAACTAAGGAAGCACTTTATAAGATTCAACTTTCCTACAAGTCACACTTAAAAATGAGTTGCAAGTGATTCTTTTACTATAATCAATAGAATAGGCTTTGTTAGATCTGTTGAAGGGGCATTCTAAGATTCTAACTCTGCATAATTATTAAGAAAATTAATACACAAATGTGAGCATTTATATAATTTATTCATATGAATAACAACAATACAAATACTACAGTGGTTAGCAAAACTGGATGATGATCAACATCACTTGGGCAGCTTTTACATCATAACAGAAATAGAGGTCCTATCCGAGACCTTCTGAATTAGTGTTTCCAGCTCTATTATTTATCTGTAAGACAGGGAGCACTTGTGATGGTCTGACCCATGCAGCAACTCTTCCCATATTTGAGGGTTAACTTTCAGAAATGCACTGAAAGGTAAACGAGCTCTTCCCCTTCAGTTTTCTAATAATATAGTCCTTAGAGTTATTCTAGTCTAGTCTTCTTCATGTGCAAGTATCCTGGCACTCCTGACTCATCCAACAGAGAGACTATCTATCACTCCGTGGATGCATCTAATTTCGTTAACAGAAATCCCTTCTCATGAAGTTAAATATGCCGCCTTGTAACATTTGCAGAAATTTAGGGAGATAGTTCTCTGAGTGCTTCTGTGTTTAAATTTGAAACTATATTGTTTAAAAACCAAAGATTTGTATAAAATGCTGGGAAATAAAATTCAGCTGTGATGTGTGGGAGAGGAACGTGACAGAAGTTCAATGGCTTGTTTATCCACTGAGTTTTCTTCATCCAAACCATTGTTGCTCTCTTCAGACCAAGTTTGCAAAATTAAATGCCAACAAAAACTAAGCAGGTAACATATATGAGTGACATAGGTGGAGACTATCATATAATGGTGTTGTTCTTAATTACCTAAATTGAATTCTTTCTGAATCATTTTGTTCGTAGGTTATATATGGAGTGATAATTCACTTTTCAGAAGGTATATGTATTCCTCCAGTTTAGTTGAAAGTGGTGGTCCTCTTGGTAGAAGTTTTCTTTTTTTAAATTTTGATAGAGACGTGGGTCCAAGAAATATTTCATATTCCCTTTAAGAAAACTGACGGTGCAAGTGTAATGATAAACGTGGCTGACACTGGGCTTCACTATCTGGAGGCAGCAGGGAGTAGAGAGGATGATGATGAATGGAAGAATTCATTTATTATCTGAGGAGAATACCATTTCTTAGTTGACTGCTGCCATATAGGAATAAAGATGCAATGTTCCTGGATCTGATTTTTTAAAAAAGATATCTCCATATGTCTAAGAGCTGGAAATTAATACAAAATTTAAAAATATATTGTTGTCTGTACAATCAGGCCAACAAAGACACATCTGTGGGATAAGATGTGGCCCATCTTATACTTTCCTTCAACCTCACTTTAGACCTTTAATTTTTTCTAACATAAATGTAATCATGGATATTTACCATCAATCCTCAGTGATGCCATGCATTATTTTTTCATGTGTATTCAAGAATAAGATTTTTAATTTTAAATTCTATAAAACTTTTTGCCTATAATTTTCTTTCTTTTTTTTTTTATTGATACGGAGTCTCGCTCTATCGCCCAGGTTGGCATGCGGTGGTGCAATCTCGGCTCACTGCAATCTCTGCCTCCCAGGTTCACGCCATTCTCCTGCCTCAGCCTCCCGAGTAGCTGGGACTACAGGCGCCCGCCACCATGCGGGCTAATTTTTTTGCATTATTAGTAGAGACAGGTTTCACCATGTTAGCCAGGATGGTCTTGATCTCCTGACCTCATGATCCGCCCGCCTCGGCCTCCCAAAGTGCTGGCATTACAGGCATGAACCACCACGCCCGGCCTTACCTATAATTTTCTAACATTTAGATACAAGTCACTAGAAGAATATCTAGAGTCACAGACTATTAGAGTTGGAAATGTTCTTGAAATTTTCATCTATTAATTTTGTAGATGAAGAAACTGAGAGGAAAACGGAGTTGCTAAAATTCATGCATCTAGTTAGTGGTAGAGTCAAGGTTTGAACCCAGAATTCCTCAGTATTTCTCTAATGCTGTTTTAGCATTATCGTGGTGCCTCTGATTTGCTTGTTAGTTTATTATATAAGGCCTGGGAAATAAGGCTCAATTTTCTTACGCAAATTTTTCTGCCCGTCTGTTCCATAAGGAAAAAGACATGTATTTGGCACTTTAGATAGTAGCAAACTAAAAATGACCTCTTAAATGTATTTGGCACTTTAGATTGTAGCAAATTAAAAATGACCTCCTAAATGTATGCTTTGTTATGTAGGATACTTCAACATAACAGACTAAGTGACAGCAGAATTAAAATTGTCCAACTCCCTGCTGTACATTATCCATTTATAAACTACTAGTTTTGTGCTTGATTGATTATATTAGTCAGATTTGTTTCAGCATTGGATAAAGCCTCAGAAGTAGGGAAGGAAGGCACATACTGTGCTACTCTTATGAGTCTTAATTGTCTCCTGCAATTCATGAAAAGTGAGCTTTCCTTGAATCTTGTTTTGGTATTTTTATTTTGACTTTGTTCAGCACATTTATTAACACTAGTAAATTTCAGGTTGTTTTCCAATAGAACTCAGATGTTCGAACACAACCATATTTAGGAAATAGCAATTGATAATGCAGCTATTTAGCTTCTGTTCAGAATCTGCTATTTCTTAGTGCCGAAAGATGCAGCCCAAATCCCATTTGCAGTGTTTATTACCTCTCAGAATCTGTGAGCAAGCATCTTTCCTGGTCCTTTTACTAGTCTGTCTTGTCTATTGGCTATCCATTTTCCATTGTTGTCCCAGGTTGGCTGCCAATGGTATATTTCTCAGCCACTTAATAACTTTACTTAGACAGATTTATAAGAAGCCAAGTGCTGTCAAGTCCCTGAGATGTATAGATTGAAGCATGCTTCCTCTCCTCCACCCATTCCAACTTTACAGTATAAGTCTGTCTCCTTAATAGCACTCTGGTCTTAATAGAGTGTGTCTCTCAGGGTCCGGCATCTGCTGCATTGTTGGAGCATGGCTGATGCTCATCTCTTCTGAGCTGGACGGCAGTTAAATAGGAGCAATTTATTTCTGCTGTTGTCAATATCACATTTCGTGAACCTGAAACTCATTACATTTTTTTAAAATTACCTTGCTTGGCTTTGTAAGGGCATTTTGTATTTGCCACAGATCTTTCTTTTAGATTTGGAAAGAACTGAAACTTTTTGTTACACTTCTGATTGGTATAATAGGGTGCCATTTAGGCTAAGTGTAGGCAGGAGAAGAAAAGCACACCTTTTGACTGCAGAAACTGCGCTTGACTTGCTTAATAACAAGGATAGTGGTTGTGGAGCATCTAGTTCACAGTGCAATAGAGAGAAAAGACAGCTTCTGGCATCAAGAAGTTTCTAGAAATACATAGAGACTGGAAAATTTCTCTCAAAAGGAAATTAAGAAACATATCTGAGGAAGAGCTATTGGTATTATAAAGGACATAGCTGGGTGGGCATTATAATGCTGAATCCAGATAAAACTGTTTTTTTCCTAAGCACATCTCATGTTGCAGTTGTGCCCTCTATCATTTCTATCTGTATGTTCCTGTAAAGCAGAGGATGACAAACTGCAGCTCACCACCTGTTTTTGTATGGCATGAGAGGTACGATTTTTGCAGTTTTATATAGTTGAAAAAAATCAAAAGAATAATCTTTCTGACACATGAACATTATGTGAAATTCAAATTTCAGTGTCTACAAATAAAGTTTTACTGGAACACAGCTTCACTCTTGCTTACATATAAGGTCTGTGGCTGCTTTCATGCTACAACAACTGTTTATCCCACAAAGCCTAAAATATATACTATCCAGATTTTTCCAGAAAAACTGCCAGTCCCCGGTCTAGAGCAAAGTGCTAGGCAATCAGGCATATTTCTTTTCCTTTCACCTCCCCATTCTGCTACTTAGAGAAAACACTGATAACAGAAGTTGCAAAGTCAGGGCTGGCTCGTGGCCCAGATGGAGGTGCATAAATGAAATGATTTATAGGATACAGCAAAGTTTCTTCTACCTACCAATATCTTACTATGTCCTGTCAAGATACAATTCTATCCTTGTCTGACGTAAGTCATTCCTTTGAGGTCAATTATCCAAAAGTGGTGGGGAGGAGCATTATTTATAGAAGACTACAAAAAATATTTTAGAGTAGAAAAAGTCCATACTGAGACTTAAACCTGAGATCTAATTAGGAATTACCAGTGACTCAGCCATATGCCCTTAAGCACTGCATTTAAGCTTTTGCAGAATGTTTTCATCTGTAAGGATGATAAACCACCTGCTCTCTAATGTCTGTTTTAACTTCTTATTTTGTACTTCCCAATGTGTGGGAGGGAGGCTTAGGGCATAATTTGGATTTCTCCCATTAGGATGATTGAATTTACTAAATAAATGATGTGCTACTAAGAAAAGATGCAGAGATTCTGTCCCTTCATGCACATTATTGGTCGCCATATCAACAACACCTATAACAAATGAGATGGTTAATAATATGATTTGAATTAATGAATAAATGATTGCATGAATGAAATAGCCTTGTTACGAACTGGGTATCACGTCACTAAATTTCCCTTTTTTACTGGATTCTATCTTTGTGATTTGTCTTTTTATGACCTTACCTTACACTTGTACGTTGGGAATGAACTTGACCTTTTGCTATCCTTCTCAATATCATGGCATAGATTTTCATATTGCCTTCTGCTGGATTGGCTTACCCAGGGCAAACATATCAGTCAGATCTGCTGGTATGCTAGACCCTTAGTAGAACTTCCCCTGCCAGACTGGCTGAATTCCCACAAGTGGGAGCTAGAAACCTTAGGGAGCTGAGAAGCAGCCATAGAATGCCAAGTCAGAGGAGATAGCATCTAGATTTTTGGATGAAGCCCAATTAGAGGACTGTCAGTAGCAAACTAATACTTCTAAAACTTGCCCAGAATGAACGCTCCATTGTATGTCAATATATAATGTATATGTTGGCTCTGTGGGTTTTTGCCCTTACAAGCTCCTGTAGCTCTAGCATTTCTATGTTCAGAAGGGTCCTTATTTCTAAACAGTAGCTAAACATATGTTTAAGGAAGCAAAATACAGTCTTTTTAAGTAGGAAAGTCATAATTTTGTTTTGGACTTCAAGAAATAAAGAATTTAGAAATGGTGGTTACATGGGAATGTTTGCCTTGAGAGAGGAGCTATTGTAAAGGAGCATCCTTTATTATAGTTTTGTTTCCTTTTCATCACTTCTGTAGTGGTAATACCTTCTAATATCTGCTTTCCAAGATGAAGACAGATAGGAAAAGTTGTATGTGTTGATCTAACACTTGAATTCACTCTATTAAGGGAATTTAATAGAGATTTTTTTAGCCAAGGAACTGTAGCATCTCAAATATGATGCAGGAAATATTAAAATATGTTTAAAGGACATTCATATTTACTTTTCTTGCCTGTGGTTTAGGAGGCAAATGGCTATGAAAAGATGACACTTATAAGAGTAGAATGGGACAAAAACAATAAGCAAAAATAATATATAAATATTCTGTTTTCTAAATTGAGTACCATTAATATAATCTGTATGTGTGTGCTTCTGTCTTTTGCCAAAAGTTACCTCTGATTGCTTATTAGACCGATCAAGTAGCTAACTACTTTTATATAATCATTCTTTACCTTGTGAAATGTTGGTGTGAAATTCAATGGTTATAAAATATGAAGAACATCTTTGAGTCTTCCTATAACTAACAGTCCCAGTTCCTAGAATGCGTTTGTGTGAGGTTGAGGTGTAGATGAAGACGGTGGAATGGTATCGCATCAGATAGCTATTTGGCTATTTACTTTGATTTTCTCTATCTACATTGAAATAATTGCTCTATGTACCCTCACAAATGTAAAAACCAGATTAAGAAGACCTAGTTACATTCCTAGGTCAATCCTTGATAAGTATTATTTTAAAGACTTCTATAGGAGAAATTTCTAAACTTTTCCCATAACATTTCTGTTATTTTTAAGTAACTTTTCCTTTCCCACATTTAAAATTCTGGTTCATTGCCTACATCAAGTGGTTATAGCAAAGGTGAAGTGAACAATCATAGTACTGTCATTGATTTTGATATAATCATGCTGACATAATTATGTTTTTTATGGACACATTAATACCATAGTCAATGATAAATAATAAAACCTTGCAAAAAGAACAACGGATTATGATCATGACTAGTTTTTATTGAGAACGTCAATATGTCAGGAATGGTTCTAAGTACTTTGTAAGTTATAATGTTTATTTTCAAAATAATTTTGTGAGTAGGCACTCTTCATTGTTTTATAGATATGTTATAGATGAGGAAATTGAAGTACTGAGTTTTAGGCAACTTGCCCAAAGTGACACAGTCATTAGGTAATGGAGCCAGAATTTGAACCCAGACAGTCTGACATCAGAGTCTGTGTGCCATCTGATTAGTTTTTTAGACATATTTCTGAACTTATTATATTTGTCACAAAAATATTATTGATTTACTAGACTCAACTTCCAAGTTGCGTTTTGCAAAATCGTTCCTTGGAAAGAAGTTCCAAGACGTTTTAACTCATATGGGGCATTCCTTGGCTGAATATGATCGGGAAGTAATGGTTTTAATAAACAAACCAGTTTCTGTGATGCAGGCCTTCTCAGAGCACTTACTCTGTAATGCACATGGTAGTGCTTCAAAACTGGGAAAGAATATGCAGTATTTGCCTCTCCTGCAAACACTAGTACTTTAGACAGTGCATATATAGAACATTTCCATCCTCACAGATATTTCCGATAGGCAGCAATGCTGTTGACTTTTGTGTCTGCATTTGTGTCTAGATAGAAATAATGGTTACATGGGTTATTAAACCACATAGGCAGACACTGGTAACACTGAAAGTGAATCACCTAGAGATTAAAACAATTTTGACTTAGTTTTTCTACTGAAAATGAATCTTTTGATTACAATAGAATTTTAGTACATATGAATCACAAATCCCTTACATCTATAGAACAATTACGTTTATAGTACTTGGAGTTCAGAGTTTAAATAAATATAAGCAGTAAAATAAAATGGGGGAAAGCATTGAAGAAAGGATAGATTAGTAATTGATCTTGAGAGCAAGAAGCTGCATTCAGGGATTCCCCTTCCTTTGTACTGGATACAAAAATCAAATGTAATTGTAAGATACAAATGGCATACTTATGCCTCTAACTTTAGAGCAAAAACGATTGTGATACTTAGCTTGATACAACTAATGATATAAGACAGACCCTCCCATCAAAGTAGCATTAATGGAGGTGTGGGAATCAAAAAATAGATTATACTTAGGGTTACTTTTAGATACTTAGGAATATTGAAAGCAATTATCTTAGAGATCAGGTAGGTGAGGTAAATACATAAAGAGAGAGGGCATGGAAGTAGGGCAGTATATTAGTCTGTTCTCATGTTGCTAATAAAGACATACCTGAGACTGGGTAAATTTATAAAGGAAAGAGGTTTAATTGACTCACAGTTCCACATGGCTGGGGAGACCTCATAATTATGGCTGAAGGCAGTGGAGGAGCAAAGGAACGTCTTACATGATGGCAGGCAAGAGAGTGTGTGCAGGGGAACTGTCCTTCATGAAACCATCAGATCTCATGAGATATATTCACTATCATGAGAATAGCATGGGAAAAACCTGCCCCCATGATTCAATTACCTCTCACTGGGTCTCCCATGACAGGTAGAGATTAGGAGAGCTACAATTTAAGATGAGATTTGGGTGGCGACAAACCCAAACCATAGTATTCCACTCCTGGCCCCTCCCAAATCTCATGTCCTCACCTTACAAAAACAATCATGTCTTCCCAACAGTCCCCCAAAACCTTAGCTCATTTCAGTATTAACTCAAAAGTCCACAGTCCAAAGTATCCTCTGAGACAAAACCAGTCCCTTCTGCCTATGAACCTATAAAATTAAAAGCAAGTTAGCTACTTCCTAGATTCAATGGGGATACAGGCATTGGGTAAATACACTCATTCCAAATGGGAGAAATTGCTAAAACAAAGGGCTACAGCCCCCATGCAAGTCTAAAATCCAATACGGCAGTCATTAAACCTCAAAGTTCCAAAAGAATCTGCTTTGACTCATGTCTCACATCCAGAGCATGCTTATGAGAGAGGTGGGCTCCCATAGCCTTGGGCAGCTCCACTCCTATGGTTTTGCAGGGTACAGCCCTGCTTCCAGCTGCTTTTACGGGGTGGTGTTGAGTGTCTGCAGCTTTCCCAGAACGGTGCAAGCTGTCAGTGGATCTACCATTCTGGGGTCTGGAGGATGGTGGCCCTCTTCTCACAGCTCTACTAGGCAGTTCCTCAGTGAGGACTAAGCCTACATTTCCCTTCTGCAGTGCCTTATCAGAGGTTCTCCATGAGGGTCCTACCCCTGCAACAAATTTCTGCCTGGGCATTCAGGTGTTTCTGTACATCCTCTGAAATCTAGGTGGAGATTCCCAAACCTCAATTCTTGACTTCAGTGCACCTGCAGACTCAACTCCACATGGAAGCTGCCAAGGCTTGGGGCTTGCACCTTCTGAAGCAATGTCCTGAGCTATATCTTGGGCCCTTTTAGCCAAGGATAGAACACCTGGGATGCAGGGCACCAAGTCCCTAGGCTGCACAGAGCAGTGGGGGCCCTGGGCCTGGACCAGGAAGCCATTTTTTCATCCTAGGCCTCCAGGCTTGTGATGGGGGGGGCCTGCCGTGAAGTTCTCTGACATGCCCTGGAGACAATTTCTTCATTTTCTTGGTGATTAACATTCAGTTCCTTGTTACTTAAGCAAATTTCTGCAGCATGCTTGAATTTCTTCCCAGAACATGGGTTTTTCTTTTCTTTTTTACTGCATTGTCAGGCTGCAAATTTTCCCAAAATTTCTTCCACCAGATACCTTAAATCATCTCTCTCGAGTTCAAAGTTCCACAGATCTCTAGGGCAGGTGCATAGTGCCACCAGCCTCTTTGTTAAAGAATAACAAGAGTCACCTTTGCTCCAGTTCCCAACGGGTTCCTCATTTCCATCTGAAACCACCTCAGCCTGGACTTTATTGTCCATAACACTATCAGCATTTTGGTCAAAGCCATTCAACAAGTCTCTAGGAAGTTCCAAATGTTCCCACATCTTCTTATCTTTGTCTGAGCCCTCCAAACTCTTCCAGCCTCTGCCTGTTACCCAGTTCCAAAGTTTCTTCCACATTTTCAGGTATCTTTACAGCAGTGCCTCACTCCTGGTGCCAATTTAGTGTATTAGTCTTTTCTCATGCTGCTAATAAAGACATACCTGAGACTAGGTAATTTATAAAGGAAAGAGGTTTAATGGACTCACAGTTCCACATGGCTGGGGAGGCCTCACAATCATGGCATGGCAGAGGCAAATGAGGAGCAATGTCACGTCTTACATGGGGGCAGGCAAGAGAGTGTGTGCAGGGGAGCTGCCCTTCATAAAACCATCAAATCTTTTGAGACTTATTCACTATCATAAGCATAGGAATAGCATAGGAAAAACTCGTCCCCATGATTCAATTACCTTCCACTGGGTCCCTCCCACAACACATGGGGATTATGGGAGCTACAATTCAAGGTGAGATTTGGGTGGGGACACAGCCAAACCACATCAGGGAAGGATTGGGCAGTGGGGTGAGGGTGTGGATATAAGATAACAGGGAATTTTTCCCAAACCAATACTTCTGTCACTGGCTACCAATGTGTGACATCTGAATCCTAATTGCTCCATAGTAAATGGAAATCAAAATTCCACATTCACTAAAGTGAATAGAAAAACTATTCTAAGTTAGGGAGCAACATATGTATTTACATTGTTATACTTGTATAACCAGAAAGCAAGACATTGCCACCATCTGGAGGGAGCTGTTATTAATTGCAGGTTCACCGTCTCAGAGATGAAACCAGTTTCTGAAGTTTCCTAAACGCATACCTAGAAAAATCTGTGATATTTGGTGGTGTTGAATATTACTCACATTGAAGGAATTTTAAAATGTTGTGAAGGTAAGTTCTCCTACATATAAGCAAAATTATGATACACTTGAGGGCAGGGACAATGTTTTATTTTTAAATTATTCCTATATGTATCCAAGTAATGCATGTATATTACTTAGAAAGGAAAGTACCTACTTAGCTCAGTCATCAATATTTCCAAGACTCCTACAAACTTTTGTCACTTTATATATCTAAGTAATGTGCTTATACATCTTATTCATCAGATTTAGATGTTAAATTTACTTCCTATTAGAAAAGTTAAAGATAGCTGTGTCTGCTTCTCTTCCCTCCAGTTGTTTAAATCAATACTCAACATTCACATTATTATAGTTGTGTAAATATTGTTTCCTGCTCAAATATATATAGTTTGTAATTTTTGGTTCAGTTTTCCTGTAATTAATAATGGCTGTTTCTCCTTTGCTTACGTTTCTATATCATTTTACCAAAATTGTCATTAAAATTATAAAATATTTTATAAAAATTCAAATATATTAAAATTATCTCCCCTCCTTTTTTCTTGGAAATATTCCTTTGGAGTTTATCATCTTTTTGCTCCAGTGTGAGCTTGGGTGCTCCCTAGTTTCTGAAAAGTTGTCCTCTGGGACTTCCCTGTTAACACCCTTCTGGATGGAGCTCCTGTGTCCTGTGTCAGGGTTTTCCTCTTTGCTGGTGTATACCTTCATTTAGTACGGGCTGCACATCTTTCTTTAGTTTCTCTAAAAGAGGACATGGGATTTTGTATGTTTAAAATGATTTTTATTTTATTCCCAATAACTGTGCCTGCATGAACAATTATAAGTGAGATAATGGGTTGTTATTCAGAAGCATGATCCTATTTGGTCTGTCAAATTTTGTATATAGTTTTTGTTCCAATGAAATCCTTTAGAATACTTTATCATTCATCTTCTGGAATTTTATAGTGATGAGACCTAAAATAAGTTTGTTTTCATTTATTGTGCCAAATGCCAGACAATAACTCACATTTTTTCCCCCTTCACTTCTGGGAAACTTTCTTCTTTGAATATTATTTTAGAGATACATTGCTTTTTTTCCTTTTCCTTCACAAAATCCTGAGAGGCTGAACCTTTTGGATTGTTATTCTTGTTTTCTTACCTATTTTTGTCTGGTCTCCATTTTTTTTCAACTTTCTGGGCGATTTTCTCAATTTTTATTCCCAGCATTTTTATTATTTAATTATTTCTGCTGTTGTTTCTGGATCCTTTATAAGTTTTTACTGAAGTATAAAATATATAAATCATAAGTGTAACAGTTCAAAGAATAATCACAAAGACAGCATGTTACCACTACCAAGTCAAGAAATGAAATGCCCCTTATCTCCCTTTCAATCTCTACCCCTTCCCCCATTCTCAAAGGTAATCACCATCCTAACTTCTAATACCATAGGCTAGCTTTGCTTGTTTTAAACTTCATAGTAATAGAGTCACTTCCTTCTTACTCTTTTGAGTCTGGTTTATTTTATCTAATTTACATTTATAAACATATTATGTTATATTTGTATGTTTATAATTATAAATTTCATTTGTATTTACATATTTTATTGTTTGTAAATTGCACATTGTTATTCCATCTAGCAGGGGTTGGTTCATTTTCATTGCTTTATAATATTACTCCATAGTGTACAAATATAATTTATATATTCATTCTACAGTTGATAAACTCGGGGTTTCCAGGGTTGTGTATTATGAATAATGCTGCTATCAATATTTTTGCTTATGCATTTTTGTACATGTATGATGCACTTCTAAGAGTGGCATTGCCGGGTTTAAATGTGTAAGTCTACATTTTGCGAATACTACCCATGAGTTTCCAAAATTCTTGCAGAAGTCTCCACTTCCTTCTATAGTTTATGAGACTTCTAGATGCTCCATATTCTTTTAACATGTATTATTGGCAGTCCTTTAAACTTTAGCCTATTTGTAGGTGTGTGATGCCGTTTTTAAATGCTTTAAATTTTCAATTCCCAGATGACTGATGAAATTGAAAACCTCTTCATACATTTATTGGCCATTTGGGTATCTTCTTTCTTGACATGAGCCATTTTTTCTATCTTTTCTCATTTTTCTATTAGATTATATGTCTTTTTCATATTGATATGCCAGTATTTTTATATACTCTCATTATGACTCTTTTATCCATTAAATGTATTACAGTTATATTCTCTGATTTCTTTTATTCTCTCCTAATGGATTCTTTGGTTGAACAGAAATTCTTAATTTTAATGCAGTTAATAAATCATTTAGTTATTTATTTCTACTTTAGTGCTATTTCATCTTAGAAAATTTCAACTATTCTAAATTCATGGAGATTTTTTGTCTTCCAGAAGTTCTTTGATTTTATATTTCCTATTTAGAATATCAACACACATGCAATTGATTTTCGTGTAAGGTATGAGTTAGCAGACCACCTTTGTTATTTTTGTGTTATATATTTACAGTGAAACATGATTATCAAAAAGAACATTCATTCTGCACTGCACTGTAGCATCAGATATATAACAAATTATATGTCTCCATTTGTGCACGACTGTTCTAGACTCCCGTATTCCTCCAAACCATGCATCTATCCTTGTGTCAGCACCTCAATACTTTAATTATTGTACACTATTTTAAGTCTTGACATCTAACTGTGTAACTTCTCTTTAAGATAATGCTGACTATTCTTGGCAGTTTGCATTTCTACATAAATTTTAGAATTGACATTTCCCCAAACCTTGATGTTTGATTTGGGTTATTTCAAACCTATATGTCAACTTGGGGAAACTTAACAGTATGTAATCTCCCAGTTCATAAATATGTGTATCTCCACATTTACTGGTGACTACCTTAGTTTCTTTGATTAATGTTTTGTAGATCTACTATGTTGAGATCTTATCTTGCACATTTATTATAAGATTTATTGCCTAATGGTTATTTTTTTCAATTCTTTTATTTTGGTAACATACACACAACATAGAATTTACCACATTACCCATTTTAAGTGTACAGTTTAGTTGTAGTAAATACATTCCTAACGTTAGGCAATCATCAGCACCATGTATCTCTTGAACTATTTTAGCTTATAAAACTCAAACTCTATATTCATTAAACTATAATTCCCCATTCTTTCTTCCTTACATCAGCTGGCAATCAACATACTACTTTCTGTCTCTATAATTTTGTCTATTCGAAGTACCTCGTGTAAGTGCAATCGTATAACTTTGTCTTTTCGAGACTGGCTTATTTCACTTAGCATAACATCCTCAAGGTTGGTTACTTCTATTTTTTCTAAATGAACCAAAATATTCTAAATTTTCTAGTGCTGTTATTAGAAGTTGATCATTTTATTCCTTTGTTTGGATTGAGAAATGAGAGATACCTCCCTCCTTCCATCCCACTCATCTTCTCAACAAATCTTACTTCTTATAAATAACTGCTTTTAAGGGCCAGAAACCTCTAAGTTGTCTAAGAACAAACAGAATCGTCTAAGAATAAAACAGAATAAGGCAAGGACATGAAACTCTTGTGGGGCCTCTAGTCCTCCTGCTTCAATAGATATCTCAGCTTGTAGATATCAGGTTCATCCAAGGAAGCTGGTTACAAAAGCTTGGCCTAACTTTATTTCAAGGGCTGTTATTGTTCTTCTTTTCCTTCTCTCTTCCTTCTAACTCTTCATCTCTTGCTTTACTGCTCTCTTTCTACATCCTGTCTGTCTCTGTCTGTGTCTCTTATCTTCAAACTCAGCTTGTTTAGTTGAAAATAGTTAATGCACATGTTTGGAACTTATTTCTTCTGCCTTAACGATACTTCTGAAGTTCAGACAATAATTCCAAAAGGGCACAATAATGATAATAAAAGACATGAGTGAGTCCAAACATACTTTAAAAATGTACTTTTTATTTCCATTGCATGAAACAAAAAATGAAATGCATGTGTAATGGAATATATAATTTATATAAGAATGTCATGCTATATATATTTGCACTAAAATCAGTGTTTAAAGGCCAAGCAAAATATAAAATCAACTAAGAACTCTCCCAAAGTCTGACTTTCCAGCAGGAATCCAGGACAATCTCCTTATTTTCTGTGGCTCCACATGGATCCACAGTTCAATGCCACACCATTTATGAGCAAATAATCTTTCAATTACTGCACTGTAAAATTTTTAAGGTGTTGACCATAAAAATTGCTAGTAGAATTATTCAATTTAAAGAACATATCTGGTGATGATAGGTCCAAGTGGCTTATTTTCTACTGTATTGTAAATATTTTCACAACCATATTTCCCTTTAAATTTGTTTTCTTACATATGTTTTCAGCTCATAATTCGTCCTCATCCTTAATTCCATCTAAAATAACAGTTTGTTTTCCAAATTACTGGTTTTTATCATTTTGCTAAACAGTTTTATTGCTTCTCTATAACATTTTGAAAATTTGGTTTTAGCCTTTAATTTTTAGGCTTTATTGAGTTGTAATAGACAAAAACTTCATTTATTTACAGTGTACAACATGATGTTTTGATAAATGTATACAATATGAAATGATCACCACAACCAAGCCAAATAACATATTCATCACTTCACATAGTTATATTTTTCTTTCTTTCTGTGGTGAGAACATTTATGGAAAAGATTGTTCTTTCCCCATTGTGCATTTTTGGCATCTTTGTTAAAGAACAGTTGCCCATAAATATGTACATTTCTTGGTGCTCTCTGTATGCTCCATTTATGTACATGTATTTTTTTATGCCCGTACCATGTTGTTTTGATTGTCAAAATTTTGTATTATATTATATCTTAAAGTCAGGTGTTGTGAAGACTCCACATTGTTCATTGTGTTTGAGATTGCTTTGGCTGTTCAGGATCTTTTGTTATTCCATATGAGTTTTTTGATTGTTTTTTCTATTTCTGTAAAAAATGCCACTGGAGTTTTGATAAGGTTTGCATTAATTATTTTGTCACTGTAGGTAGTATGGACATCTTACCAATATTAATTCTTCCAATCCATGAATATGGAATGTCTTTCCATTTAATTGTGTCTTCTTCAATTTCTTTCAACATTTTAATTTTCAGTGTATGGATGTTTCACCTAATAGGTTAAATTTATTCCACGATTTATCTTACTGCTGTTGTAAATGAGATTGCTTTCTTGATTTCTTTTTTGGATAGCTCATTGTTAGGATATAGAAACCGTACTAATTTTTGTACATCATTTTGTATTCGGTAACTTTACTGAATTGTTTATTAGTCTTAACGGATTTTTGGTAAAGGCTTTAAGGTTTCCTATATATAAAATCATGTCATCTACAAACAGTTTGGGATAATTTTACTTCTTCTTTGCCTATTAGAATGCCTTTTATTTATTTTTTTTCTTACTTCCTCCGGCTAGGACCTTCGGACTATCTTGAGTAGAAGTGGCTCCTTGTCTTGTTCCTGATCTTAGAAGAAAAGCTTTCAGCTTTTCACCACTGAATATGATAATAGCCATGGACTTACCATATATGGCCTTTATTATGTTGAGTTACATTCCTCTATACCTAATTCATTAAAATGTTTACCACAAAGGCACATTGGATTTTGTCAAATGCTTTTTCTGTATCTGTTTAGATAATCGTAAAATTTTTGTCCTTTTTTTCCGTTAATGAAGTATGTCACATTTACTGATTTACATATGTAAAATATTCTTGCATCCCAAGGATAAATCCTGCTTGATTATATTATCCTTTTAATGTGCTGTTAAATCAGTTTGCTAGTATTTTGTTGAGGATTTTTGCATATTTGCTATTTGCATATTTGCATATAGCCTGTAATTTTTTTCTTTACTGTCCTAGTCTGGCTTTAGTATCTGAATAATACTGGCCTTGTAAAATAAGTTTGACAGTGTTTGAGAAGGATTAGCAGTAATTCTTTTTAGAATTTAGTAATTTTTTTAGAAACCACTATAGTCCCTTTTTATAGCTGCTGCACTATTTTATATTCTCACCAACAGCAAACAAAGCTTCTAGTTACTCCACATCCTCATCAACATTTTCTGTCTTTTGATAGTAGCCATCCAAATGAGCGTGAAGTGGTATCTCATTGTAGTTTTGATTTGCATTTACCTAATGATTATCAATAGTGAGTATTTTTTAATGTGCCTTTGGCATTTGTGTATATTCTTTGGAGAAATGGCTATGCAACTCCTTTGCCTATATTTGAATTGAGTTTTTGTTGTTCTTTTTGAGTTGTAGATGCTCCCTATATATTCTGGATATTAATCCCTTATCAGGTATATGGTTTGCAAATATTTTCTACCATTCTGCGTATTGCCTTTTTAGTCTATTGAGTCTTTCAGTGCACAAATTGACTTAAAGTTTTGTTAAGTCCAGTTTGTCACTTTTTTTGTTGTGCTATGGTGTCATATTCAAGTAATCATTGCCAATGTCAATGTCATGAAGATTTTGCCCTATGTTTTCTTCCAAGATTGTTGTAATTTTTGCTCTGATATTTAGGCGTTTATTTTGAATTAATTTTTGTAAATGGTCTTATCTAAAGGTCTAAATTAATTCTTTTGCATGTGGATATACGATTTCTGAGCAGCGTTCATCGAAAAGACTTTTCCCATTGAATGTTATTGACACGCTTCTCAAAAATCACTTAACTATATATGTGAGGGTTTATTTATGGGCTATCTATTCATTCTATAGGTCTATATGTCTATATGCCAGTAGCACTCTCTTTTGATTACTGCATCTTTGTCGTAAGTTTTGAAATTAAGAAAGTGGGAGTCCTCCATCTTTGTTCTTCATTTTTAAGATTGTTTTGCCTATTTGGGTTCCACTGAAATTTCCTAAGAATTTTAGCATGAGTTATTTTTATTTCTTCAAATTAATCATTGATTTTGTGATAGGGATTACACTGAATATGTAGGTTGCTTTGGTTAGTATTTACTCTTAATATAAAGCCTTCCAGTCCTTGAATGTGTAATATATTTCTATTATTTATGTCTTCATTAACTTCTTTTAGCAGTGTTAGTTGTTATTGTTCAAGATTTTAGTTATTTTGTTAAATGAATGCCTAAGGATTTTACTCTTTATGATACTAATGTAAATAAGATAGTTTTCTTAATTTTCTTTTCAGGTTTTTATATGTAGTATAAAAATACAACAGATTTTTGCAGTTCACTTT
The DNA here is from genome assembly GCF_000001405.40 of Homo sapiens. Lineage (NCBI taxonomy): Eukaryota > Metazoa > Chordata > Mammalia > Primates > Hominidae > Homo > Homo sapiens. The sequence goes on from NC_000007.14 coordinate 8,830,990, forward strand.
GTATCCTGCTGTTTTGATTAATTCATTTAGTTCTAAGAGTTTTTGTGTGAAGTCTTTAGGGTTTTCTACATATAAGATTGCATCATCTGCAAACAGATCATTTAACTTTTTTCCAATTTGGATGCATTTTATGTCTTTTTCTTGCCTACTTGCTCTGGCTAGAACTTCCAATACTTACAGCCTTTCACCTTTGAGAATGATTTCAGTGTGCATTTTTTTCATATATGTATTTTATTATGTTGAGGTAGTTCTCTTCTATTTCGACTTTGAGAGTTTTTACCAAGAAAGAGCATTCAATTCTGTCAAATGCTTTTCCTGCATTAGTTGGGATAATGACACGTTTTTTTCCCCTTAATTCTGTTAATGTGATGTATTACACTGAGGAATTTTCACGTTAGACCATCCCTGTGTTCCATGAATAAATCTCCATTTGGGTATGGTGTGGAATCCTTTCAATATGCTGCTGAATTTGGTTTGTTAGTATTTTGTTGAGGATTTTTACATCAATGTTCACAAGATTTAGTGGTTTGCAGGTTTTTTTTTTTCAGTGTTCATACATGACTCATGGCTTTGGTATCAGGGTAATGTTAACTTCATAGAATGTGGTTGGAAGTTCTCTCTCATTTTGGAAGGATTAGTGTCCTCAAATGTTTGCTAGAATTTACCAGCAAAGCCATCGGGTCCAAGGGCTTCCCCCTACACCCGCCCCCCGCTGGAGATTTTTGATTACTGATTCAACCTTCTCACTAGTTATAGGTCTATTCAGTTTTCTATTTCTTTATAATTTAGTCTTGGTAGCTTTTGTGTTTCTGGAAATTTGCCAATTTTATCTAGTTTATTCAATTTGTTGAAATATAATTGTTCATACCACTCACTTATAATCCTCTTTGTTTCTGTATTGTTGTTAGTAATGTCTCCACTTGATTTCTGATTTTAGTGATTTGAGTCTTCTATTTTTTTCTTAGTATATTTAACTAAAGGTATGTTAATCTTTTGATCTTTTCAAAGCACCAACTTTCTTAAAAATGAGACTGTATTTTACTGATGGCATAAGGGAGAGATATTAACACGGCTTTTTGATAAGTGAAGAGGAAACCAGGGGTCCCAATAGGTCCTTATGTAGATTTTCAACCAAATGTCTCATTTTCAACTCTATCCTTCACCAATCCACTGGGATTTTAATATTGCTAATATGAATTGAATGCTTTTACAATGGAGCTATGGAAATAGACAAATTAATGTTTCGAGTACACCAAATTTCCATAGAACTCAACTGTGTCCTTTTTGTCTTTGTATTTTCATCACCTAAGCTCAATGCCTAGTATAGGTTGAAGTTATTTTGTTGATTGAATAAATTTAACAAACTAGAAATAGTTTTTTAAAAAATTAAAAAAGTTTTACAGAATAATTAAAATTGTATATTTATATAAGCACTTGTATTTCACCCCACATAATAAATATTGTTAGGTAAATTGTAGGGACTATTTAATAATATATATTTCACTGTATAAATTATGAGTCTTCACTACCATAAACAAAAAATTTACTGAGAATGCCAAATTAAAGTTCTGGGCTTTGTCAAAAATAATGTAGGCAAATTATGGAAAAACAGTGCAGACAAATTCTTGGCAGTTTTAGTGAATCAAAAACATAGCCTACGAATCCATTATGTGACTACTACCTAATAGAGCTATCAGAGGGACTGCAAATGGAGGAAGCAGAGCCAGGAATATAACAAGTTACTACTCTAATACTGAGCAGAAGCACGTCAATATTACTGCACAGTCCAGAGCAGAAGTTCAACGGGGTCCCACGTTTTGGTTTGTCAGCTGTAATTTTTGTAACAGAGGTAGTTGACATCATTATATTTGTTTTCTTATTTCCTTAAATATCATTGAAGCAAGGATATTAAAATACTTTTAGCCCTGGAAAGAGTAACATTCTACCTAGGTTGAAATCTTATTCTAGCCTGATGCCACGTTAGGTAGAACTGGGGTAAAGTATTAGAATGTGAACGCTAGATAATTGATACAACTTGAGCTAGGCACTAGGGAGGCATTGGACTGTGGTGAAAAGGACACAGGTTCTGAAATTAGTCACACCTGAGCTTAAACACTGCATGGGCCACTTACTAATTGTATGAGCTTGGCCATTTTAGTGTTAGCATTGAGATGGGATTGTGATATTCACTTAAGAACAATGTTCGTGAAATCAACACAGCACATAGTTCGCTTTAGCTTCTTCTCTTACTACTCAGTTCACCCCTAATGTATTCTCCTGCCACACAAAATTCTAATATTTATTCAATATTTCAAGTATTATTTTACCTGTAGATTAATTTTTTTTCCTTCCCTGCATGTAACTTTGCCTGGTTAACTCTTACTATTTCTTGAGGTCTCAATTAAATGTCACTCTCTCTGAGAAACTTCCATAAGCATCCAGACGGATCAGTGCCCGTTCGCTCTGTATTCTCACAGAACCACAATCAAGCCACTTATCCCATGTATTAAAACTGCCTATTAACTTGTCTATCTTTTTTACTACGTTACATGATAGTAGTGACTATGTCTTTTTTATTGCTAAATCTCCAGTGCCTGTTACTAAGAGGGAAGTCTATAAAACATACTGAGCGAATGACTAAATGTTTACTGGGGATTCAGCCATAAACATCGCACAACTGATAAGTACAATTTTTGGTTTAATGGATATAGCTTTCCAGAGATGGAAGAATACATTAAATAAGTAATTACAAAATGGGTCACTGAGTTACAGTTATTATAGGTGCTACAAAGAAAAGTAACAATAGAAATAAAAGCATGTAACATGGGATCTTCACCAAATTATGACTGGAAAATTGTGAGTCTGTGATGGTTTATTCTGTGTGTCAACTCAGCTAACACACAGTACCCAAACATTTGTCCCAGTGCTGCTCTAGGTGTTGCTGTGACGATATTGTTTTTTAGATGAGATCAATATTTAAATCAGTAGACTTTGAGTAAAACAGATTAACCTCCACATATGGGCAAACCCCAATTAGTCAGTTGAAGAGCTTGAGAGGGAAAAAAAACCCAAAACTGGGGTTTTTTTTTTTCCTCTATGTCCATTAAAGCTATACCCATTAAAGAAGGAATTCTACCTCCAGATTGGCTTTCAACTTAAGACCACAACATCAACTCTTTCCTGGGTCTCTAATCTGCCGACCTGCTCTGCCAAATTTGGACTTGCCAGGTCCTACAATCTTATGAGCCAATTCTTTAAAATAAATCTCTTTCTCTTTATATATACATGCATCCTTTTGGTTCTATTTCTCTGGGACATGCTAATATATAGCCATAGAAAGACAACATTGAGGAAGTGATGCTTAGTTTGAGCTTTGAAAAAAGAGAAGGAATAGTTGAATGAAGAGGGAATGGAAATAACATTCCAGTAGAAGGAAGAACATGATCAAAGGCCTTCAGGTGATAAGATACTGCATATTCAAAGAATAAATGCAGAGAGTATTGACGAACGTGCCATGAGACAAGTCAAGTGAGATAGACGAAATCGTACAGAACTTGGCCATTTTATGTGAAGGAAATTCACAGACCACCATTTTTTTTGTATTTAACTTTATAAATGATAAAATTAGATCTACATAGCGGTATTAATTATATTTTAAATTGTTCATAATTTAAATAGTAGTTTAGTAGTACTTTTTCCTTCTATTAATGCATTGATCAAGAGCAAACTGTTATCTGCTTTTTATTATCCAAACTCAGAGACAATCTGGAAAAAATAATAGAAACAAATCCCACGTGGCTCAAATGGATGTTTGAAAATGTGAGAAAAGATCAAATATCTGCTACATTGAATCAAAACTTCAGTAAAACATTAGCAGAGGTTGAGTGAGCCTGACAAAAGTTCACAAAACAATTCACTTAAGATAATGAAGAAGGAAGTTCAAGTGTGAGGGAGGCAGAAAGAGATTCAGATTATTTAATATTGCTTAGTTATTGTGCTTTAAAAAATACCATTTGGCCTTCTAAAATGTCAGTGCACATTTTTGTAAATTTCACTGCACGTCTATTCATTGTATCGCTTCTTTTAGACCTTTGAATGCTATTGTGCACGTTCTTGGGATTGTCAAATATTTTTGAAACCATACACGTATTAGTGTCATAGAAAAAAGTGGATGAGTAAAAGAAAAAAATACATAAATCTTGAAAAAGCTTTATGATAGATGCTTTTTAAATAATTTGCATTTAAAAAATCAGAATAGATTTTTAAAGGAAGGGATATAGTAGTAAATGAACACATTGTTTCCCATTCTTAAGTCCATTTTTTGTAATTAAGAAATTGAGCATAATGGTGGGAGAATAAATTTTTAGAATATAAACCAGGCCAGGCGCCCAGATTACATGGCTCATGCCTGTAATCCCAGCACTTTGGGAAGCTGAGGTAGGCAGATCACGAGGTCAGGAGTTCGAGACCAGACTGGCCAACATGGTGAAACCCCGTCTCTACTAAAAATACTAAAATTAGTCGGGCACGGTGACACGTACTTGTAAGTCCCAGCTACTCTGGAGGCTAAGACAGAAGAATCACTTGAACCTGGGAGGTAGAGGTTACAGTGAGTCAGGATCGCGCCACTGCACTCCAGCCTGGGCGACAGAGTGAGACTCCATTTCTAAATAAATAATCAAAAAAGATATAAGCTACTTTTCCCCTAAGAATTTAGCGAATAACCTTTCAGGAAATATATTAAATTCTGCATTATACACACACATATACATTATAATGTATTGACTGATATAGTTATGAAGGCGAAGCTCAGCAATGTGCTGTCTGCAAGCTGGTGTCCCAGAAAAGTTGCTGGTGTAGTTTGAAGGCATCAGAGCCAGAAAGCTGATAGTCAGATTCTAGTGAGAATAAGAAGGCCTGAGGATAAGGAGCACCAAGGGTAGAAGAGTGATGTTACATCTCAAGCAATTAGGCAGAGGTTGAATTCAACCTTATTTGGTCCTTTTGTCCTATTCAGGACACTGGGGAGGGCCCTCTGTTTTACTCAGTTTATCAATTCAAATGTTAATCTCTTCTGAAAATACTCTCACAGACACACAAAAATATGTTTAGCCAGCTATCTGGGCATCCTGTAGCCAAGTTAATTTGACACATAAAGTTAACCATTACACTAATATGTAAATGCTATATTTTCTAAGAAATGAAAATAGTGCACGTGCTCCTGAAACCATGAAGTTCTTTGAAAAGTCAGCTCTACCTTGAAAATTTTTCCATGTTCCCCTTATCTGCTTTACCAACTTATTTTAGCTTTACACTGTTGTTGAGGTTTTTGCTGCCTGAATGTTCACGTCTTTGTGTTTCTTAAATGGCTGTATGTATCTGTTTTATGTCAGCTAACATTGTGACAGCCAATTGTCCTTTTGTCATAATCTTTTTTTGTTTTTAGTCCACTCTGAACAATTTGTTGTTGTTGTTGTTGCTTTAGATGATGGAGAAGAGGGTAGATTAGGGAATGCCAAACATCCATGATACTATTAATTACCATACCTTTAAAAATCTGTTTAGAGCCACTGCAGCAAGAAAGAAAAGAGAAGCACTGAAACTTCAGCTGTCATCAACTGGCTACCTTCTGCCAGGAGAATATAAAACCTACTAAAGGGATTTTTGTTCTCGGAGAGAATGTTGCTGTGATGGTAATGAGATGCTAACTTCTAAGTTCAGCTATCAGATGACATAATTTACAGTGCACATATCTCATCAAAAGCATTCAAAATGACCAAAAGATCACTTGTGGGAATAAAAGTTATGTAACATCTGGGCAGGTGGCAGGCAATATTTGTTCAACGGTCTGGCAATTGGCTTACTTCACTAAGGACTGTGTGGTTCTTGGGTCTCTTCTGTTTAATATCATTCATTGGTCCTTCACTTTCATAGCCACTTCCAGGTTACATTTCAAAAAGAATTTTATTTAGTAGGATGCATAGTTACACGTATTGAGGAAATGTAAAATTAGATTACCGCAGACATAACTAAATCTCATACTAGGGAAAGTTTTTAGACTTACAGACTTCAATCATTAGGAAATAAAGGATATCTTATTGCTTCAACCCTGAGACCACTTTTAGTCTAATCCACTCTACACCCCCATATCGCCAATAGATTTCTTGACTGTATTGTTACCACATATCTAATTTCAACTAGTGACAAGATTCTTAACTTACAGCCTGGTACTCCTTCTACTATTTCATACTGTCTTTACTGCCCTCCAGGAGAGGATGCAGAAACAAGAAACAATTTGACTCGAACTCACCAAGATAAATCATTACCACTTTTCTTTGCTTCCATTTGTGCTATATACCCAAAGGCTTGGGAAGTTAAAAACATGAGCTTTAGTAGTGAAAGTTCTTGCCAGCGTTGTTTGCCAAGCAACCACATAAAAATACTGAACCCTTGTTTTCTTAGTAACATTTCCTTTCTTCACTGAGAAATGGATAAGTTGCAAGTATTGATTAATTGCATTATAGAACAAACAATTACTGAGAAGCAATTTGATTTTAAAAATTAAGCTACTTGAGGGGAAACTTTTATTAAACCTCATGAACTAATATATCAGCCAGAATGTCCAGACAGTACAGGTTGATTTTTGTTATTCTTGGGCAGCCAGCCTTTGGTATTGGATATAAGATATCATACTCACAGAAGATTAGTGAGTGGCAATTTTTAAATTATAGTAGTTCTTTGCCACATGAAGAGTGTTTAAAAAAATGTTTTTTTGTTCAAATAGCATTGCTCCCTGAAAATGACAAGAATGAAAGAACTAGCTATCCTTTAATTTCAAACAGTGTTATCTCAAGCAACAGTAGTTCAATGATTTTGTTCTTCTTTCTAATGACCTAAGCCCAGGGTAAATGATTTATAATGTTTGCTTCACAGTCACAACAGTAAAATCATATCGTGAAATGATCTCTTCATTTTTCATGATAGATTACTTTGAATAAAATTGCATTTAGGCAATATCCAATATTTACTAGCCTCTTCCAGATATATCTAAATTACAACAAACAGTAGGCTCTTTTTCGCTGCAAATTGCTGTATTTCCGAAACAGAAATTTCTTTTCTTTCTTTCTTATAACCCTTATTCAGATAGTAAAGCTAATTCTAGAAATGGTGATGTCATCTGAATATTATAGTCGATCTCTGAAAAGTAGTTATGCAATAGACCTATAATGTAGGAATACAATAGCTTTTTTAATTTAGCCAAATATACACTTACATGTGCATATTACACGTAAATATATACACACACACACACACACACACACACATATATATATGTACTCTTAGAAATGATCTTGAAACCAAATTTATCTTATAGCCCTAGAGCACTGTAGTTCTAACTAGTAATTAATTTTTAAAGATAGCTTTATGAATTAAAACAGAATTTTAAAAATTTTGTATTTGTATTGATTTAGGGGTACAAGTGTAGTTATATTACATGCATAGTGGTGAAGTCCAGACTTTTAGTGCACCCATCAGACTAACAGTGTACGTTGTAGCCAATAGGTAGTGTTTCATCCCTCAATCCTCTTCCCTTCCCTTTCAAAGTTTCTGATGTCTGTTTATTTCACTCTATATGTCCATGTGTGCCCATTGTTTATCTCCCACTTATAAGTGAGGACACATGGTTTTTGACTTTCTGCTTCTGTATTATTTTACCTAGGAAAATGGTCTCTAGTTCCATCTATGTTGCTACAAAAGACATGGTTTCATTCTTTTTATGGCTGTGTAGCATTCCATGGTGTGTATGTCCCACATTTTCGTTATGCAATTCACTATTGATGGGCACCTAGGTTAATTTCATGACTTTACTATTGTGAATAGTGCTGCAATGAATATATGAGTTTATGTGTCTTCTTGATATAATGATATTTTCCTTTGGGTAGATACCCGGTAGTGTGGTTGCTGGATCAAAGGGTATTTCTATTTTTAGTTCTATGAGAAATTTCCATACTGTTTTCCATAAAAGTCGTACTCATTTATAGTCCCACCAACAGTTTATACTAATTCCCTTTTCTCTGCATTCTTGCCAACATCTATTGTTTCTTGACTTTTTAGTAATAGCCATTCTGACTGGTATGAGATTGTATCTCATTGTGGTTTTGATTTAAATTTCTCTGAGGATTAGTGATGTTGAGCATTCTTTCGTATGTTTGTTGGCTGCTTGTATATCTTCCTGTGAAAGATACCTGTTCATGTCTTCTGACTGCTTTTTAATGGGGTTATTTGGTGTTATTCTTGTTGAGTTGTTTGAGTTCCTTGTAAATTCTGGATATTGGCTCTTTGTCTAATTCATTATTTACAATTATTCTCTCCCACTTTGTAGGTTGCCTGTTTTTAGATTACTTCTTTTGCTGTGCAAAAGTTTTTCAATTAATTAATTCCCATTTGTCTATTTTTGTTTTGGTTGCATTTTCTTTTGAGCATGTACTCATAAATTCTTTACCTTGACCAGTGTCCAGAAGAGTTTTTTTAATAGGTTTTCTACTAGGATTTTTATAGTTTCAGGTCTCATATTTAAGTCTTTAATCCATCTTGGGCTATTTTTTATGGTAAGAGATAGGGGTTCAGTTTCATTGTTCTGCATATGGCTCTCCAGTTTTTTCAGCACTGTTTATTGAATTGGAATCCTTTCTCCAGTGTATGTTTTTGTCGATTTTGTCAAAGATCACTTGGTTGTGGGTGTGAAGCTTTATTTCTGGCATCTCTATTATGCTTCATTGATCTATGTATCTATTTCTATACCAGTACTATGCTGTTTTGGTTACCATAGCCTTCTAGTATAGTTTGAAGTCATGTATTATAAAGCGTCTGGCTTTATTCTTTTTACTTAGGATTGCTTTGGCTATTCAGGCTCTGTTTTGGTTGCACATTAATTTTAGGGTTATTTTTTCTAATGCTGTGGAGAATGATATTGGTAATTTGATAAGAATTGCATTAAATATGTAGATCGTTTTGGGCAATTTGGTCATATTAATATTAATTCTTCTGTTCTATGAGTTTGGCATGTTTTTCCATTTGAAATAAGACAATATCTTATTTGGAGTCTTTCTGTCTGAATTCCAAAATTCATTTACTCTCCTGTATAGCTAAGGGGATTTGAATTGTGTTATGTGAGTGTAAATTAATACTAATTTTAAATAGTAATCTTCAATTATTTTCATAGATGAATATGGTGTACAAAATAAGATATGTGAAGACTGAGCTAGTGTGAAAGTCTCTAGATAAACTGAGAAGATTTTGAGATACTTGTTAATAAATTGCAGTTTATTTGTTGTATAATAAGAGTTTAATGGGTTTCAGGATTTCATTTCTGGATTATTAGTGTTCTATAGGTAAGTTTCATGCAATAAGTATTTGTTTTGTTTCTGAACACACATCAATTTGAGCACCTTACCAAATCTCGCAGCATTGACTTGTTGAGCACTTGGTATAATGAACTAAGTTGCAGGTCATATTTATGCCAGATACAAACTTGTAATTAATTAGTACATAAAATTTTACCTTGAAATATTTTATAAGTAGAATATAAAATCCTGACCTGCAAGGAAAAAATATATATAATGAATGGCAAGAAGGACAATCAATAAGAACTAAGAGAACATTAAAAAATAGTGAGATCATTAGCTCAAGCCCCTCAGACAGTCTTGGTCTCGGTCTAAAGTGATATGGGATTGGAGAGCATTATTATTCTGTAATCATACTTTATGTTTAAGAACTTATTGACACTTTAAAACTGTGAGCTGTTTTGCATGATTTACATGCTAACCAATGATATGAACAGATGAGGGAGGAGGTCATTCATACCTAAGTGTAGGAGCACATTTATTTTGAATATACATTTTATTTTTCCTTTGAGTGGGCTAATTTCTTTTTAGAGAAATGTCACCAAGGATGGAATGAAAAGAAGGAAAAAGAAAAGAAAAACATGTAGACAGAGCAAATATACATAAGAAAATTGAATTAATTAGGGAAAAACAAATTTTATCCCTTGCTGTAGGATTTAATATGACTTGGAGAGTATATCATCTCCGTGAGACCAACTTGAAAAATAAACGAATGGTATTCTAGTTTGAATGTAAAAAGAAGATTAAGTGTCCTGAATATAATAATAAACTCAGAAAAATAATGAAATTCACTCAGATACTAATGTGCAAACACCAGGAGGGCTCTAGGAAAAATATAACAATAAAAATCTTGTTTCATATTAATTGCATCATTTGACAAACTGAACATTGAGTTGCTTATGTCCAGCAGCCCTTACATAGGCAAGATCACAGATGTACTCTGAGATGTTAAAATGCTAGAAATCCATCTTCCCAGGAGGATTTTTGCCAATTAGTTTAGGACTAAAGAATCCTGCCAGGCATGTGGCTGCCCAGCAAGCTAGAGGATCAGAAACAGGAAAAAAGAAATATTTTATAAGAGAGAGCTAAAAAAAACAGCAACTCAGCTGGTAGCACAAAACTATGCTTAAAAGTAACTTTAGGATTAGGAAGCTTTCATAGTGGATTGCATTATAATTTTAGAAGTCTTTTTGGGAAGATTTGCTGTATTTCTGGCATCAAAAAATTGTGTAAAGATTAAATGATGTGCTTATTCATTATGATAGCCTGCACTTAATAAAGAACCTAATTAATTGCTTTTGCAGATATTGCAGAGTAATTGACGGGATCATGATGAGCCAATTTTATCACCTTAGAAATATGTTGGATATTTGGACCTCTGTAACAATTGATTAGATGGACTTTTACTTTTTAAGTCTTTATTTGGAGATGAAGCATCACCATATATGGAGGAAAAACTATACTCAGTAAAATAAAAATCTAAAACATAAATATAACTTTCAAATTATTGAGCAGCTCTAACTCATTGCCAGAACTAAGGTATGGACTTTCTCCTTGAGTTAATTAGCTACATTTTTTCTCCTTACTCGAGTTAGCTACATGGCTTATAAAGAAAAAGAGAAATACATTTTCTGCTCATTCTTTTTTTGTTCTTTATTTCTAAACTATTTAGCCATAATTTATTCCAAGATATCTTGAAATAAATATGTTTGTTTGGTAGAGGCTTGCATTCTATGAAAACCTACAAGAAGATATCTCTTCTGAGTTTCAGTAGTTTGCTTGCCTTTATTCGCCTTTAGTCAATTTTCAATTTGTGTTTTCATGATACAATTAAAAAATATTGAATGGCAGGAAGACATAACTGAAAGACAAAGCTAGAAAAATTTAGGATGCAAAAACTCACTCTGTGACCATAAATGAATGTGCACATCAAAATAAATATGCTCCTTCATACTCTTCACTGTTTTTCTTAAGAAAAACTCTAGTCTTTAGGCCTGGGTAATATTATACTCCTCTAGATTTCCTATTACTTTTTTGGGGTAAGGAGTAGGTAAGATGTTTGACATATTCCCAAACATTCAGAATACTGCTGCAGACCTTGCAAATATTCAAATAGTACTTATTGGCTATAAGCCAATTATAGAAAAATGACCACCTACTTGGTGCTAGACCAATGCTGATCAAGCAAGAAATCACTGTGAGAATATATAAAAGAAAATTTTCATAGTACACAAATCAGCTTTATACAATCAAGGCTCAGAACATTTAAGTGTTTGGGTATGAATTACTCAGGGCCCAACCAGAGACATAGAATCAGTTGGAGATATTAATAGATTTATTGCAAATAACTGCCTTACAGGATTGTGGAGGCTGGCTACATCAGTCTGACATCCGTAGAGCGGGCTGTCAGAAAGGGCAGACTTGCAAGCTCAAGTATGGACTGAAGCTGCTGTCCACAGGCACAATTTCTACTGCTTCAGGGAAGCCTCAGCTCTGTTCTCACAGCCTTTCAACAGGTTGAATTAGGCCCCCACAAATTATCTAGTATAATTTCCTTTATCTCTAGTTAATAATAGACTTTAATCATATCTACAAAATAACTCAAGAGCAACACCTAGATTAGTGTTTGGTTGAATAACTGGGAACTGTTACCTTGCTAAGTAGACACATAAAACTGCCTAATGCGTGGTAATTCCCAGAGGACTGGCATAGAAAAAGATAGCTTTGGATTTAGTAAGATTTGGGCACTAACTGAAACTTTAACTATTATTAGCTATGGGATCTTGAGTAAATAACAAAATATTTATGTAGTTATTTCTAAAATTTGACATTCTTATTAATGAAGTATGTGATATCATCATTATCAGAATGAGGCTAGGTGTAACACACTTACTGGCACTTAGTACTCCACGAGTGTTAGTTCTTCCTGTCCTTAAAAAATCACATCTTATGGTTAGTACAGTAATGTTTCTAAATAGCAATGCTTTGTACAATTTAAGAAAGTAAAAAAAAAAAAAAAAAGAAGTGAAAGCTGTGACAGAAAGATCGCAAAATATATTGCAGTTTAAGATATATTAACAGGGTTGTTGGAATGAGGCCTAAATTTGAGTATTATCTTAATTAGTGAACAACTGTGACAACCTGGCGTGCCACTTGATCATTTTAAGCCTCGGCTGACTCACTTATAAAATGCAGGATGTAAATACTTGCTCTACCCACCTTATAGGAAAATTATTACATAATTAGCTACATCTTTTCTCCTTACCTGAGTTAGCTAAGTGGCTTATAAAAAAGTACTTGCTCTACCCATCTTATAGGAAAATTATGAAAAACAAATAAAAAATGCATATGAACTCCAAAAATTACACAAATTATTATGTTGGTCATTAATTCTGATCCACCCTCTGTTGAGTAAATTATAAGGATCTCTTGAGTGCTTCCTTCAAATATTTAGAATACCAAAGGGTTTTTTTAAAAAAAAAACATTACAAATGGGGGAAAATCCAAAATCTCTCAGCTATTTATTAATATAAAAACTAATTTCTTAGGACTAAGAGAAAAATAACAAGTAATTAACTAAGATATTATAGAGTTCTCCTAGGCTTTATGAAAATTATTTTAAAACATTTATTTAAAAAATGCACAGCTAAGTAAGCTTAAAACTCTGTTATGACACAGAACTCATTCTGTTCAGGTTATGGAACTTTGAAGTTATCAGCAATTTACTTCTGTGTTAGTATAAAGAGCAATCTCCCTGTACTTTATGAACAGGAAATCTTTATGGAGTTTCTGTGTGTATTTAATCCAGTTATCAACTGCTGAGTAACAAAGTATCTCAAAACCTAGTTGCATCAAAAAAAATTTATTTCTTAATGCTCATGAATTCTGTGTGATAGGAATTCAGATAAGGCATAGTGGTGATAATTTGTTTCTTTTCTAAAGTATTTGGGGCCTGAGATGGGAAGAATAGAATGTTTGGGTAACTTGCTGTGGGCTGGAAAGATGTGAAGGCTTGGGGGCAGGCTTGAGATGTTTCTAAGACAGGGTTCAGCTGTAACTGCAACACATAACTTTTCCATGTGGCTTTGGTTTTCTTACACCATGGTTGACACAAAAATAATTGGGCTTCTTATATACTGGCTCAGAGCATCAAAAGTGACCAATTTCAGGGATTAAGGCAGAAGCTGAGCACCCTTTGTGACCCAGTCTCAGAAGAAACGAAGTATCACTTCAACCACATCTATTGGTCAAAACAGTCACAAGCTTACCCAGATTGAAGGTGATGAGACATAGTACCCAAATCTTACCAGGTAGGAAATAAGTTTTAGCCATTTAAATTTAGTTCTATGATACATTTCAAATCAAATTTTGCATATGGAGTAGATATTTGAGATATTGGTTGAGGTTAATTTTTCATGATAGACCTCCAATTTTTCCAACTCCTTTTGTTGAACAGATTATTATTTCTCCCAGTACTACATAATGTAGTCCCTGACTGAATGTGCAACTTGCATACCAGTTAAAGCCAGAGGAGACCTGTAAACTGTTTAAAGTTAAAAAGCATTTCCAGACCCACACACAGATCCATTAGCAAAGAGTCAAAACTTAACTGCCTCAACGGGTTTAAGCACAACCCCTTACCAATTATTGGCTGACCACTAAGCTATGTTGATCCAGGTATAACACTAGGAAATCAGGCTTAAAATTAAAAATACCACACACCACTGGAGAGATACGCTTTACTGTGTTACTCTAAGCAAATACACACACACACACACACACACACACACACACACCCCAAAACAGCAACAGAGAGATTGGCATCCAGAGTTGCTACAATGTACCGTCTAAAACGTCCAGTTTTCAACAAAAGTATGAGACATGCTGCTATGGCTTGAGTGTCCCCACCAAAGCTCATGTTGGAATGTAATTGTCAAGATAATAATATTGGAAGGTGATTAGATCATGGTGGCTTTGGCCTAATGAATGGATTAAAGCCATTATCATGAGAGGGGGTTTGTTATTGCTGGAATGAGCTCCTGATAAAAGGATGAGTATAGTCCCTCCCTCTTTTGCTCTCTGTCTGGCATGCTCTTTCCCTCTCTTCTACACTCCCTTGCCTTGTGATGCCTTCCCCAATGGAATGACCCTTGCTAAATGGTGGCACCGTGCTTTGTGCTCTGCTGCAATGACAGAAAACCACAAATGGGGTAATTTATAAAGAAAAGCCAAGATCTTTGCTACTGCTTAACAAGAATGGCCTTTAGTCCAGTTTTCAATACTTTGATCTTTATTTCCATCTCAGGAACCCCAAAAGTGGGCCTGTTGCTATGCTAAATACCTGAAAATGTGGAAGCAGTTTTAGAACTGGGTAATGAGTAAAGGCTGAAAGAATTTAAAGGGTAAGGCTAGAAAAAGTCTATATTGCTGTGAATGGAGCATAAATGATGATTTTGATGAGGACTTAGAAGAAAAGGAGAGCTGTAGGGAAAAATCTAAATCTTCTTAGAGATTACCTAAGTGGTAATGATGAGAATGCTTGTAGAAATATAGACAATAAAGACCATTCTGATAGTATTAGATGGAAACAAGAAGCAAGGTACTGGAAACCAGAGTAAAGGCCATTTTTGTTCCACAGTAGTAAAGACCTTGGCTGAATTGGGGGCAGATTTCTCATGAATGGTTTAGCACTGTCCCCTTGGTGCTGTCCTCTCAATAGTGATAGTGAATTATTATGAGAACTTGTCATCTAAAAATGTGTGGCACCTCCCTATCTTTCCTATTCCTGCTCTGGTCATGTGACATGCCTGTTCCCCTTTACTTTCTGCCATGATTGTAAGTTTCCTGAGGCCTCTGCAGAAGCCAAGCAGATGCCAGCATCAAGCTTCCTCCACAACCTGCAGAACTATATGCTAATTAAGCTGCTATTCTTTATATACTACCCAGTCTCAGGCATTTCTTTATAGCAATGTGAGAATAAACTAATACAGATATTGAGCTATTATTTTCTATTTTATCTTGAGTTAGTTTGGGTAAGTTGTATTTTACAAATAATTTGTTTTTTATGTTGTCAATTTATTGGCATAAATTTGTTTTTAAAAATCCATTTAATATCAGTAAGATCTATAGGAATATTACAACTTACTTTTCTCACATTGATAGTTGGTGTTTCTCTTTTTTTCCACTTGGTTAGTCTTGCCAGTGGTTTATCAATGTTATTTTTTTTCAAAAACCAACTTTCAGCTTTTTAATTTTCTGTTTTCTATTTCATTAATTTATTTTCTTATTTCCTTCCTTCCTTCCATTTAATTTGCTCTGGTTCTTCTCATTTTTTAAGTTAGAAATGTAGGAAAGTTCAAATACTTCATGGTATAAATTTTTGTCCACATGAGGCTATAGTTTCATTATCTAAATTTTTATATATTGTGTTTTTATTATCATTCAGTTTGAAAATTTTTTAAATTTCTCTTGTGATTTTTTCTTTGAAACAAAATTTTTTAAAGAGTATTTTAAATTTTCTAGACATTTTGGAACTCTCGATACTCAATATTTGTTTCTACTTTAATCCCATTGAAGTATTTTTCATTATTTTTGTGTGCTTTGTTATTAAATGCATACGTGTTTAGAATGTAAATGCATACAGGTTTAGAATGTTTATTCTCTAGATGATTTGTTCCTTTTAACAATATGTAATGTTTCACTTAATATTTTGTAACCTTGTTTACCTTGAAGTCTACTTTGTCCAATGTTAAGATATTTCAGTTTTTTTATGATTACTGTTTGCATGGGATAACTTTTTCTATAATATATTTCTATCTTTGTTTTTATATTTAAAATTTATTTTCTTATAAAATATAGCATGTAACTTTATAACTTTATAATTTTCTTAACTTTAATTTTCTCAACTTTTATAATTTCTTAACTTTAATTTTCTTAACTTATACTGTAAACTTATAATATAACTTTATAATTTTCTTATAAAAGATAGCATATAACTTTATAATAAACTGATTTTCTGTGGAATCTAGTAGTCTACAAAATGAAGAGGTTACTTCTGATTCACTAAAAATGAATATTTCAGAAATATTGTTCTAGTGTTTCTTTTTATTCTTGAGATGAATCAGAAATGAAAAAAATGATTTGAGAAGTATATTTAACAGAAAGCTGGGAGAAGTCAAGTGTCAGAAAAACTATGTCAAATTTGCTGGAAATAGTGATAAAAGTTTATGGTCAAAGATGTGGGATTTTTGGACAAATATAATTCTCCCAAACCCATGAAACTACCCATAATAGTTTGGGAAGTTGGACTTCTATTAATTAGAAAGTAAATATAGTATGTGGTATTTTTATTCTCTGATTTCCTAAACAGGCATTTATTATTATATTGTTTCATGAAAAAAATCGATACTTTTTAAAGGTTAAACAGTAGTGAGAAAAATTAGCTGTCATATTCACAAGTTCTTTATCTTAGGAACTGAGAATTATTATAAAGTATTTTATTTGTTATTTATTTTCTCCAAATAGTCTTGGTGAACTAAGAGTATTCAAAAATTAATTCTAGTTAAGTTTTTAAAGGCTCAATTATTAGACAAATATCAAACATGATATGATTTCTGATTATTCTTCTCATTAATTTTCTTACTTTACAAGGCATATATAACTGTAAATTCATTTAAAAATATAAAGGAAGGGCAGTAGTAAGAAGACTCAGGTCATAAAGTTCAATCTATTCAGCATTAAGAGAAAACTCTTGCTTAATTTACCAAATTGAACATTAATTAAATAAAATGAAAAGTTTAGTTTCCTATACAAAGTTTTTTTTTTCCTAACTGTAAACACCATTTGGTGTTTTATTTATCACAGTATTTCAGATCTAAAGCATGAAATGCCACACACTAACTTGTTATTTATTTGCAATCTGGGACCACTTACATTGAGTTGCACCTGTGAGGTTGTCTAGTACATAGTAATGTGAATTTTATTTTATCAATGCACACAACCAAGCACACATACTCAAATGGATAACTAGGTTCCCTTTGTTGCCATTTGTTGGTAGTTGGATAACACCTTGGAACATAAATAATAGCAGTTCATATGACAGAAAGCACTTTGAATGGAAGAATAAGTTTTAGAGGTATTTACCTATTTTTGGATTGAAGGTCCATAAGCTAAACTACATAATTTCTCAACCAAAGATATTTAAAAAAAAAATAAAGAAAAGCTTTGGTTTAGTAATAAAGAAGGAGAAATTCAAAGAATATGTTAAAGAATGTCATTTATAGGCTTACATTATTTGGGTTATTTTTTAATAGATGCACAGAATTGTTTGGAGATTTGGCTAAATTTTAAAAAATGGTCTAATTTCTTGCAAATCCCATATAGCACAACAATAGCCAAACTCTTCAACAACTCAATTTTCTGCATTCTAATACCTCTAGAAATCTTATTTAGAAGTATAGCTATTTAATTCCTATGTGTAGTTTTTGTCATTTTGTCCAATGACTATATTTTCCCAAAATAATTCTTCTTGCCAGTTCCAAAACTGAGCATCTTTGCATAGACAGACACCAACATAAATACATAATTATTGAGCTATGTTAGAAGAGGTATATGCTTCATATAACAATTATTACTTGGCTAATCTTCAAACAGAGTGTCTTATCACCACTTAAAATGGTGGCAGTTAATAGAACCTAATGTTAACCTCAACAATTACAAACGAATTTTTCCTTTAAAAACGACTAAGTAGTTAAATACCCGAGGATGGTGCGATGAGTGGTACATACTTTCCCCCTTGATTTTCAGTGGGAAGTGAAAATTTGATTTGTTAATCAAACCTAAACGCCTGAAATAACAGAATCAGAGCATGAACAAATTGCCCATTTGCTAATGAGCAAATCAAATCACCATGTATTAGTGCTCTCAATACATTGTAATATGTACAGTGCCATTCTAGGAGAATGGAAGACTGGAGAAGAAATAGTAAGGAAAGGAAGAAGAGAACACCTGGATTTCTGGCAAATAGATAAGTGCAGTTCTTATAGTACCAAATCAGCACCATTACTTTTATAAACGATTTTCAAAAGATTCCTACTTTGCAAATTCTGTCTCCTAATAGATTCTTACACTGTGATTTAAAAAATTCACCCATAGTTAGCAATTTTCTTTCAGATGTAGACCGATTTGTAGACAGGAAATGATATATAAACATACGCTAGCCCTTTTGAACTAAGAGGTTTTTGCATTTCTTTGGCTAGCCTTGGTGATGCTGGTTTCTCCTTATCTTTCATGCATATTTTGTTTGCAATTCTATTAAGACCACAAGTCAAATAGGTAGTAATTATTTCCAATCATATTTTGAGTAGTATCTGCTGCATTGCTTTTGCTCGATAATATTTTAAAATAATACAACAAACAGCTAGAATCATATAATAAATTCAGGTGATTAAAAGAGATCACTGTTTTGGGAATATGGAGAAATAATTACTTTTTCAACATAATTTAAGCTCAAGTAGATTTTCAGATCTAAATTCTGTGATACAAAATGGCATTATTCTCATTTAGCCAATTGTAAAGTAAGGCTTACAAAATATAAATAACTTGCCTAAAATCCTACCACCTGAAAAATGGAGAGGTCATTCAATCCCATTTTTGTCTGACTTCAAAGGTTATATCACCTCCAGCAGAGCATGATTTGATGGAAAAGACATGTGAATATGCACTTGTCATTAGACAGGTGGAATCTGTAATTTCCCCCCCACCAAAAAAAAGATTTTGTGATGATTTATTTGTCTCTATCACCTGCATTTTATTTTCTTTGAGGATATAGCCAGTAATGTTGTTGATGATAGAATTTTCATGAACAATAACAAATATATAGACAAAACCCAACTTATGACAAATCTTTTATTTGCTTATGTGATATTTACTTATAACACTTGACTTTTAGAATACCCTGTCATCTGTTGGATTATGTTTTCTATGTGACCTTCAGTATCTTAAAATTTTAGTATATTAAAAACAGTACATATCTTGGAATTAGTTATAAATAGGTTTACTGTTTATATTTTAGTAACACTATGATATAAATAATTAGTTTAATTTTTGAGCCTTAGTTTACTCATCTTTAAAATGGGATTATTTCTGCTCTTTCCTCAAGGAGAATAACAAGACAGAGGATAAAATGATGAAGAAAGTATAACACTTTTCAATTTGCCACAGAAAATATGCTCAGTAAATACTGGCTGTCCATTTCATTTTGCTTCCAGAAAATATACTTTTAGTTTTTTCACAGCTATTCAAAAGCAAAGGACATTTGCTATTCTTTACTCATAAAATACCTGGGAAAAAGTACTGAGTCTCTGACAATTAGGAGACAGGCATTATTGGGTGATCTATTTTAAGGAAATCGCAGGGGATGAAAAACCAGAACTGAGTCTGATTTCTGCTTTTTCAGTAATAGCTGTGTAGGCCTATATAAATTACTTAATCTTTTCTTAGGCTCAGCATTCTCACCGATGAAATAAGTCTAAACCCAATACTTACTCAATAAAAGATGAAATTAATTCAATGTCACACATGTTAAAAATGGCCAATAAGGAAGGCCACTGAGAAGTCCAGACAGATGTAACCAAATCCTTTCCCAAGAGTCATAGACAGGCAGATACATAGGAAGTATCTCCATAGTCTCATTTTAATCCAGGGGTTACCAATGCGGTTTACATGTACTCATTATACTAGATGTAAGAATAACAAGTTGCTATGGGTATATGTAATGTAACAACATGGATAGGGCAGAAAAAATATCCACAAACTAATATAAGGCCTCTGAAAATAAAATAGTTGGGGGGTATATCAAGTAGTGAGGAAAAATGATCTATATAACTGCAAAGGCTTCAAGAGCAGTTATGTGCAACAACAAAATAAAACAGATGCATATAGTAAAACCTCTAGTTATTTAATAACCATCCAACCTACAAATATAAACTCTCTGCTTCCCAGAGTTATAGTTTAGGAGGGAAAGAAATATTTCATATATTCTCCTAAGAAGGTGAGAGATTTTTGTGATCATTTGAACCAAAGAACAGAGAAAATAGTGCTTCATCCTACTTAAAGAGGTCAGGTAAAACTTCCAGGACAGGTGACATTTGTGCCAGTAGGATGTGTCCTAATCTGATAGACTGCTGTAAGACCATCCTTGACATACCTGACAAACTCCTCTTCCACTGTGATTTGTTTATCCAGCTAAGCTACTTAAATATGGCCTCAAATTTTATCTGTCTTTATACATCCCTTTGAATCTTTGTAATCTGTTTCATCTTTGGGACGGTAAAGCATTTACAAAATATGCTTGGGATTTTTGGACTAAAAATCATTTGTAAGAAAAAAATACACCATCATAAACTTACTGTTTTGTGTTCTTTAAATTCTACTTGCTATTAAATGACTTCAACCACCTTAATTTATTCTTGAGAAAATAGATGTTTTTTCGATTTGAAGATCAAAAGGAAAGCTGTGACATGCTTTATTGTTTTGTCTGTTAATTTTTAGGTTAAAAAATAAAGTTAAATAGAGTTGGCATCAAAGTACTAGCTCTTTTGCAAATTGACATAGAACCATCAAACTTGATTGTATAAGCATTTTTTGTTTTCTTCTTCTGAGACTGGGTCTCGCTCTGTCACCCAGGCTGGAGTGCAGTGGCACAATCTTGGCTCAGCACAACCTGTGCCTCCTGCTCTGGAGCCATTCTCCCGCCTCAGCCTCCCAAGTAGCTGGGACTGCAGGCCTGCACCACCATGCCCGGCTAATTTTTGCATTTTTTTGTAGAGACGAGTTTTTGCCATGTTGCCCAGGCTGGTCTCGAACTCCTGGGCTCAAGTGATCTGCCTGCCTAGGCCTCCCAAAGTGCTGGGATTACAGGCATGAGCCATTGTGTCTGGCAATCAATGTAACTTTAAGTGTCAAAATTCTATTTATAGAACCTATAGAACCAAAAGTGAACCTATAGGATTTGCCATAGCCAGATGCAACACCAGTTTATTACATATTTAGCAGCAGTATCTAAATAAACAGATTAATGGAATTAAATGAAGAACATAGTACTTATATAGAAGAGAAAACACCTAAAATTCACAATATAGCCCCTGCATTGTACCTCATGAACGAAGAACTCAGAGGTATGAATTAGTCAATCCAATCTCATGTTGGTTCTGGGTACCATTTAGTGAAAATAAAAACTGTCTGGGTTTTATTTTATATGTAACTGTAGAGTCAACAACATGCATTTTCTTTTTAAAAAATCTGACATATTAAGAATTTTTTTCTATATAAAATACTTTCTCACTTTCTATTTCCACTTTGACTCCCAACAATCTTGTAACCAAGGTTTAGACTAATTTTCTAGATAAAGGACACCGAGTCTTAAAGTTAAGTGGGCTGGGCATGGTGGCTTATGCCTGTAATCCCTGTACTTTGGGAGGCTGAGACGAGTGGATCAACTGAAGTCACAAGTTTGAGATGAGCCTAGCCAACATGGTGAAACCCTGTATCTACTAAAAATACAAAAATTAGCCAGGTGTGGTGGTGCGTTCTTGTAATCCCACCTACTCAGGTGGCTGAGGTAGGAGAATTGCTTAAACCCCGGAGGCAGAAGTTGCAGTGAAGTGAGACCATGCCATTGTACTCAAGCCTGGGCAACAGGGCAAGATTCCATCAAAAAAAAAAAAAAAAAAAAAAAAAGAGTTAAGTGTTTCTCTGCCATATAATGCCATATGCATGTATCAAACATATATATCCACCTATAGGAAATAGCTGTCATTGCTATAACAATGAAAGCAGACATTGTCCCTGTTCTGGTGGAGCTTATATTTGAACGTGTTCCTGTGGTGAGGGGATAAAAATAAACAAATGAAAAAAGCAGTGTAGTTTCATGGAATGATAAATGCTGTGGAAAGGCAGGGTCTGTGTTGAATTGGTGGTCAAGGAAGTCCTTTTTGAGGAAGTGACATTTGAACTAGGAACTGAATAATGAGGAGTCAGCCAAGTGAAGATCTGGGCAGAAATGTTCCAGGTAGAAATTTGTATATGATGAGACATCACAGCATTTCCCCCCCCCGCCCCTGTCGCCCAGGCTGGAGTGCAGTGGCACGACCTCAGCTCGCTGCAACCTCTGTGCCTCCTGGGTTCAAGTGATTCTTCTGCCTCAGCCTCCTGAGTAGCTGGGAATACAGGTGCGTACCACCCCATGCCTGGCTAATTTTTGTATTTTTAGTAGAGATGGGGTTTCACCATGTTGGCCCGGCTGGTCTCGAACTCCTGACCTCGTGATCCGCCCGCCTTGGCCTCCCAAAATGCTGGGATTATAGGCGTGAGCTACCACGTCTGGCCCATCACAGCATTTTTATATGAAGTAAACCAGGATTTAGAGAAAAAGCTCTGCTTGAGGCACAGCCTTTTAAAAATGTGTTTGTACAGTTATTTTTTAAACACATGTTCTTTAGTATTCAAGAGTGTCCTTGTAACTCTGGCAATAATTCTAAGGATAAAGTTAGGTCCAGGCTGTGCTTTCATTCTTTATTTTTTATTTTTTTAAAAACTTATTTTCTGGCAGTTGTAATACACCATGAATATTAAATTAAAATCAATTGCACACTTACTTATCCCACTCTAGGGATAAAAAGCATAAGCTAACTTTGAATTAACTTCCACTTTAAAAACATGACTTCATTTCAAAAGCTTAAGGTGCTTTCTGAGAAAGCTTGATAGCTCCATGCCTCTTCATTGGGAGTTTTATGCAGTTATTTTGGGTAGAAGGAGGAAAAAGGAACAGTATAAAATAAATATGTAAAGTAAGGTGTATGTCAAGCAGACATACGATCAACTCTGCTTTTTTGCCTGGATACTTTATTACTACTGGACTATATAGTAGATGACAACTGGATGTTCTCCAAATCTGTATGTTTTCTCACTCCCACCAATAAAGCATCTATGTTCCAAACCAGGGACAATCTTACTACTCTCCCAGTTAATGATCACTTCAGGGGCTGACTGCTAGAAAGAAGGTATGCTTTTGACATTCCAGAAGATCCACATGTTTGGGCAAATAAGAGACCATTGCTGTGGCTAATTCTGAGACCCAGGATCTGGGCTGGCCATGGAGTGGTCAGCCTCAGTTTGAGCAGAGAAATGCAGCCTGGGTTAATTATGATTGTGATATAGTGTTACTTACAATGGTATCTATGGTTGTGTGGAAGATTATTGAAAAAGGGGAACTACAATCAATGACTTAGGGAAGAGCCAACTGAAAGGCGAGGACATGCTATCAATACCAAGGTAAATGGGGCAGTGGCAACTTACAGCACAAAGTGGTTTGCTGTATGATTTTTGTAGGTCAGTATGGATATTTGAAATAGGGACATAAGGAATCATTAGCAAACTGGTGATATTGAGGGTTATGAAAATGGTTGGCATTATTTAGGGAGAAGGTATGAAGCTGGAAAGATACTGAAGAGCTGTATACTAATATTTAAACATAAGGTAAAAAAAGAAGGACTTGGGTATAAACTGTGAGAAAAATCAGAGATATAAAGCTAGAAGATTTTGATGTTATGGAAGCCAAGGAGAAGAGCATTTCAAGGAGTAAGAGGTCAGTTGTGTTCCTTAATGCTGAGAGATGAGAAAGACGAGTACAGAAATGCCTCTGTCAGGTTTACCATCATTTACATTTAACAAAACGCAGGTTATTAGTGATCTCCCCTAAAGCAGTCCTGGCACACTGGTGGGAAGGGAAAAACCAGAGAAGGGTGGATTGAGATTGGTGAATGGGAGTTGAGGAAATGGTGACCGGCTGTATATTCAAGAAGCTTTTTCAGCAAGTTAGGATGTAAATCTGAAGTGGAAATCTTGATTCGTAGTTTAAGTGGGACCCCAGAAATTGAATGTCTTGCTTGGGAGATGGGAGATGGCAGAGATTTCACAATATGTTAACAGTTTTGGGCCAAATCCATTAGAGAAGGATATAGGTGGGAACAGGAGTGGGAGGCCAGTTGGAGTATGGCCTTTAATTTGAGGAGAACAATCCATTCCTCTTTAGTTGGATTAGAGGAAAATATGAAGAGATAAAAGAAAGGAAATGGCAGGGAGTTGAGAAGGTTCCCTTCTCTGAAACACGGCTGGTCGGGAAGGGACGGAAAGCAATTAAGTACATGGAGCTAGTTCAGATGCAGCATTTTGAAACCATCAGAATTCTGCTCCAGTGGCTTCCCCCTATGGCCTTCTTCTGAGCCAGGTCACACTCCATTTACTGATTAAGTGCAGAGGATGCAGCAGTGGCAAGGAGGACCACATCTAGACTAGAGCAGATATTCTTTCTTTTTGCTAGGGAATGTGAAGGTTTTCAAAGCATTCCAAATTGGCCCAAGGGTAAATACGCGAAGTGAAAAAAAAAAAAAACCCATCATATATTGATTACCATCTATGGGTCAGCCATTTCAATTACTTTACTTTTCTGATTTCCTGTGAAAGGAGGATTCCACTTTAATTTAGGAAACTGAGACATTAAGAAACTAACTCAAAGTCATATAAATAGAAAGAAGCAGAGCAGGATTATTCCTCTTCCTACAAGAGAAGAGGGATAAATGTGAACCAACCAAAATGCCTTTCTCTCCCAAGTTATATATAGCAAATTATACAATACTTCATAGCTCTGAAAACCTGAGGCTTCTGTGTTAGATTTATATAAAACATTATTTTTGTTCACAAGTGATTTAAAAGTGCCTCCATACAAAAGGGTGCTCATAATTAGAACTTACATATTGTAATACATATCTCTTCTTTACAAAATCAATTCAGTTGGGAAATGTTTAAACATCTAAGCACTAACAAGCATAAATGAATAATAGGTGAATGATGGAGGCATTGTGTTGCTGTATCTGTATTCAGATATTTTAAAAACCACCTTACCCATAATTATAAGAAACGATGACCAAATCTCTGCTCTTTCCCAAATACCAATAATTAGATTTCAACACCCACTTTAAGTGATTGATCTGCCTAAAGAAGAAAGCATTAAATAAAATGTTTATATATAGAACCTAACCGTTTTGTCTGGCATTTGGTAAACATTTGTTAATATTGGTTGGTTGAATGAACAAATGAATGGAAATAGAATGTAGTGTTTCAGTAACTATTGTTACCAAATAGTACCCATGGCATCTCCGGAAAGTGAGAAGTTTACTTTTAAAGATTAGTTTAATCTATGCAAGTTCATCATTTGATTGTGACTATTGTTTTTTCAATTTCTGTAGCACTTAAGAACAGAATAACATTACTGTGATTACAACTGAAATTAAGTGGATAAAAGGTTTCTGAATGGGTAAAGGAAGGTCTATAAATTAATCTACTATTTTTCACCTTTTCCTTCAAGTACGAATGATTCATAGCACTTCCATATCTGTGACATTTTCATTATTAAAAGTTTATTTAATTATCAGTATGATGCCCCTTTCTCTTAAGAAAATCGTATTTTACACTGGCCATTGTTTGTGAATGGAGTTATCAATGTCCTTCAATCCACTTGGAAACCTGAACATCAGTTCCATTAAGCTGATGGAGTTTGCTATTGACAGGTTAAATAGAATACATCTTCCCAGGGCTCTGGCAACTTTTCCATATACTCAATTGAAATCTTTTGTGCTAGTAATGGAATATATAAAGTGGATTTCTTGTTGTTTCCATTTCTTCTAGGTTCTGGAGTGATGATAAATTCAATCACAGTGCCCACTATTTAGTTTTTTTAGATTAATTTATTTAGCTGCTATTTCATTGTAAATGCGTGACAAGAAATACAATAATCACCCCTTGTAAATTAACAACTGGATGCATAGACTAACCCCATTTATTATTTTCTGTTAATGTTGGTTGTTTCCAGTTTGTCAAAGTACATTAAAAACATATTATGATATTATGTGAATGCTGAAATTTACATATTTGAATACATGTACCTATTTTTGTCTTCCATCCCAGATTGAAATCCATTATTTTAGACTGATGTTTTATTCCTCTTGTGCTTGTAACTGAATTCTTCATCAGAATAGATAGTAACTATTTTATGAGAAAATTAGAATTTCTCCAAACAGAAGAGGATTTCCCCTCCTAGTTAAGTTGGTTGTCATGCTTAAATAGCATATTTTGCTTTGTTATTTCCAATTGTTTTTGAATTGGAAAATACTCACCATGCTACTGCATTATTATAAGTTACACACACAATAAAAATCCTAAGATTTTTTACTTTGCTAACTTCTCATCAGAAAGTATTTTTTTCTTTGCCAGATCTCCTTCCTCACTATGTTGTTTGTTAACTGGTAACCTGGCATAGGATTCTATCCAAGGAATGGTTTTCTTAATAACCCTTAGTGTTAATACTAGATTTCCATTTAGGAATTACCAAGACACCTAAAAACTCTCAATAAATTAGGTATTGATGGGACGTATCTCAAAATAATAAGACCTATCTATGACAAACCCACAGCCAATATCATACTGAATGGGCAAAAACTGGAAGCATTCCCTTTGAAAACTGGCACAAGACAGGGATGCCCTCTCTCACCACTCCTATTCAACATAGTGTTGGAAGTTCTGGCCAGGGCAATTAGGCAGGAGAAGGAAATAAAGAGTATTCAATTAGGAAAAGAAGTCAAGTTGTCCCTGTTTGCAGATGACATGATTGTATATCTAGAAAACCCCATTGTCTCAGCCCCATATCTCCTTAAGCTGATAAGCAACTTCAGCAAAGTCTCAGGATACAAAATCCATGTATAAAAATCACAAGCATTCTTATACACCAATAACAGACAAACAGAGAGCCAAATCATGAGTGAACTCCCATTCACAATTGCTTCAAAGAGAATAAAATACCTAGGAATCCAACTTACAAGGGATGTGAAGGACCTCTTCAAGGAGAACTACAAACCACTGCTCAAGGAAATAAAAGAGGATACAAACAAATGGAAGAACGTTCCATGCTCATGGGTAGGAAGAATCAATATCATGAAAATGGCCATACTGCCCAAGGTAATTTATAGATTCAATGCCATCCCCATCAAGCTACCAATGACTTTCTTCACAGAATTGGAAAAAACTACTTTAAAGTTCATATGGAACCAAAAAAGAGCCTGCATAGCCAAGTCAATCCCAAGCCAAAAGAACAAAGCTGGAGGCATCACACTACCTGACTTCAAACTGTACTACAAGGCTACAGTAACCAAAACAGCATGGTACTGGTACCAAAACAGAGATATAGACCAATGGAACAGAGCAGAGCCCACAGAAATAATACCGCACATCTACAACCATCTGATCTTTGACAAACCTGAGAAAAACAAGCAATGGGGAAAGGATTCCCTATTTAATAAATGGTGCTGGGAAAACTGCCTAGCCATATGTAGAAAGCTGAAACTGGATCCCTTCCTTACACCTTATACAAAAATCAATTCAAGATGGATTAAAGACTTAAACGTTAGACCTAAAACCATAAAAACCCTAGAAGAAAACCTAGGCATTACCATTCAGGACATAGGCATGGGCAAGGACTTCATGTCTAAAACACCAAAAGCAATGGCAACAAAAGCCAAAATTGACAAATGGGATCTAATTAAACTAAAGAGCTTCTGCACAGCAAAAGAAATTACCATCAGAGTGAACAGGCAACCTACAAAATGGAGAAAATTTTCGCAACCTATTCATCTGACAAAGGGCTAATATCCAGAATCTACAATGAACTCAAACAAATTTACAAGAAAAAAACAAACAACCCCATCAAAAAGTGGGCGAAGGACATGAACAGACACTTCTCAAAAGAAGACATTTATGCAGCCAAAAAACACATGAAAAAATGCTCACCATCACTGGCCATCAGAGAAATGCAAATCAAAACCACAATGAGATACCATCTCACACCAGTTAGAATGGCAATCATTAAAAAGTCAGGAAACAACAGGTGCTGGAGAGGATGTGGAGAAATAGGAACACTTTTACACTGTTGGTGGGACTGTAAACTAGTTCAACCCTTGTGGGAGTCAGTGTGGCGATTCCTCAAGGATCTAGAACTAGAAATACCATTTGACCCAGCCATCCCATTACTGGGTATATACCCAAAGGACTATAAATCATGCTGCTATAAAGACACATGCACACGTATGTTTATTGCGGCACTATTCACAATAGCAAAGACTTGGAACCAACCCAAATGTCCAACAATGAGAGACTGGATTAAGAAAATGTGGCACATATACACCATGGAATACTATGCAGCCATAAAAAATGATGAGTTCATGTCCTTTGTAGGGACATGGATGAAATTGGAAATCATCATTCTCAGTAAACTATCGCAAGAACAAAAAAACCAAACACCGCATATTCTCACTCATAGGTGGGAATTGAACAATGAGAACATATGGACACAGGAAGGGGAACATCACACTCCGGGGACTGTTGTGGGGTGGGGGGAGGGGGAGGGATAGCTTTAGGAGACATACCTAATGCTAAATGACGAGTTAATGGGTGCAGCACACCAGCATGGCGCATGTATACATATGTAACGAACCTGCACATTGTGCACATGTACCCTAAAACTTAAAGTACAATAATAATAATAATAATAAAAAGGAATTACGAAGACACCATGTATTCTAATTATACTCTGTCAGCTGCAGCAAAACTTTCTATGTATTTTCAAGGAAGATGTTGGTGTATTTTTCTCTTTTGTAGAAAGATATGACAGAATGAAAATCAGATAACAACCCTAGATTATAAATATAAGTTTATTTTCTAAGACATTTGAAAATCTAAACTGTGTCAAGAGATTTTTTTTAAAAGGGTCTATTGCTCTGTAGCACAAGAATGGCATTTGTTTTTCATTTGAAAATCTTATAATAGATTCTTTCACATACAGACACAAGTAGAAAGAGTAAGACAATGAAGCTCTGCGTACACCATTTTTGGCAACAATTTTCTGACATTATAGGTGACAAATCTCGGTAAGTTAATGATTGTGGGTTCACAAGTATCTAAAAAGTTACCTGATTGTCTTTATGCCCAAAAAAGTCAAAGTTGTTTTTTCCAGGTTGTTTTCTTAATAGAGCACTTTATAAGAAAGCCTGGCACCTTATCAGACTTAAGTTATATCACTATTTATATTAAAAAAATCACATCTTTATTGAACAGCAAATTCTCTATGAAAGAATTATAAAATACATGTTAGGCTTCATTCCTACCCTCAGGAATCTTATCTATTTGAGAAAAAATGTAGAGATATTACATATATTAATACAAGCTAGAATTGAGTTGATATCTATAACTAGAGAAGAACTATTAGCATATTAATTAGGATCATATTTGCACTTCCATTGTCATGAAAAATATCTGTGTTTTAATTTAGATCTCCATGTTATATTATTCTCATTACTGCCTCTCAGTAAAAGGTAATCAGCTTGAAATTTATATGCGTGTGTAAACAATACAGGCTTGTATTTGGCAGAAGGAACCCATCCTGGTCAATATTTCACAGCATGACACTTCAACATAACAAGGTTGTACTTAGATAAGAGAATTATGCTTTACAATATAGCTATTAAAAAGAGAACCAATGAATAAATTTGCTTATAGCCCCTTCATGTATTTGGACATTAACCTGAGTTTATTTTGTATGCAATAATATGATATACAGATACACTCATATATGCTACATATGGATGCACTCACAATGAAGAAACAAAGGTGGTCTTAATATTAAGTGCATGGATTGGTCAGGCTTGGTGGCTCACACCTGTAACCCAGCACTTTGGGACAATGAAGCGGGTGGATCATTTGAGGTCAGGAGCTCAAGACCAGCCTGACCAACGTATTGAAACCCTGTCTCTCCTAAAAATACAAAAAACTTAGCTGGGCATGGTGGCGCATGCCTGTAGTGCCAGCTACTTGAGAGGCTGAGGCAGGAGAATCGCTTGAACTTGGGAGGCGGAGTTTGCAACGAGCCAAGATTGCACCACTACACTCCAGTCTGGGCGACAGAGCAAGACTCTGTCAAAAAAAAAAAGGGGGGGCATGGATTGGTGTCTGGCTTCTGATAACTGAAGAATATCTCACAACATAAATATATTTTGCAATGCAAACTATGGAGTGGTAAGGGCATATATGATGATTGGAAAGATAGTATAAGGCAACCATATGCAGAGGACAAAATTTGCTCAGAAATGGGAAAGAAAGACATCAATGGAGAATGCAAGGAGGCAGGGAATCAAAGTATCGTGAGAGTTTTGGAGTAGTTATAGCCATAGAGCACTGGAAATCTAGAACTAGATTTTCATACTTTAACCATGAAATATTTGGAAGCCTTGAAATTCTTTATAAAGTCTTCAAACATGATTTAAAAACATCAGTGATGGGTAATAGTAGAGTGGCTAACTTGTCTCATACTCTATGTAACTGGGCATGCTTATCCATATTGAACTTAAAACAATAGCTTAGATGGGTTCATCTTTTATTTGATAATTATGTATTTAATAAGTATTCCCTCATAATTTTCCAATTAAAAAGGTGTTCTTTTGACCGTGACTAATCAGCAATTACAAATTTTGGCCATTTGACAGCAAACTTGGGAAACATCACTAGTTTACTTCACAATAAAAGTAAGAATTTTATTGGCCTGAGCTTTTTGTAATCCTAGGAAAAAAGAAATATGTGGATTCAGCATAGCATCTAGCACATAAATACTTGTTGAACTGAAATATTCAGCAGAAAAGCAAGTCTGATTTGATAGTGGAATTTAGCTCTCAGAGGGATTAGAGTCCATTATTTTGGGGAAGATTCTCTGTATTAAAGCAAACGTAAAGGTGGGTTTGCTTATTCAGCAGAGTATACAGTGTTAACCAACTGTTTTGCTTCAATACACTTATTAAAGCTCCAATTATTGTGGAGAGTCTTTTTTTGATTAATGTTGCTATTTCTATTTGATGGCTTTGCCTTAAGGTTCTATTTTTGTGGAACATAATGCAGTTTAAGCTTGTTAGATCGATCAATTCCCATATCAGATAGTCACAAACATTTACACACATCTCTTAATCTGAAAGTTACATGATAATATACTTCAGATGCTCTTACTCATCTGATTAGTAACTCATACAAATCAGCCACCCATGTTTCTGAAACTATTTTCATAAACATATGTGAATATGAAAAATGATACTGCAGCATATAGCATATGAAGAAGTTATGTGGTAGGCAGGTTAATGTATTATTGAATTCCACACGAAGTCTTTCATGATTTTTTAAGGGACTAAAGATGCTGCATAGTAAACATCCTCAAAACAGATTATTTTATAGTGCAAAATTATATCATATATAATACATGATTTTGAGATCCAAAGATAATATCAACACAACCAAATACAGACAAAAAAAGGTCTTTTACAATCTATATGTATTTATTCAGTGAGTGCTTCTGTGAAGTGGGAGGGGCACTAATGTTTGTAGAGATACATTTTGATGTCTAAGCAGCCAGACTTTTCAGATGGATGATCTTATTTGGCTCAGGGCTGAGGAAGATGTCAGAAATCCTAAGGGGATCTTTGAGCACTATTGATACTGGCTAATATAAATCAGTATAAATACCTGTAATTAATGTAAAAATTGACTGATTAAAAGCAAAAAAGTAGCCAACTACAAATGATCAGCTACTGTTGCCTAGAAACTTTGTCAATATATGAAGTATGTATTGTAGCATATTAATCAAATGAGTCAGATTGCCAATAAGTAAAGCATTACCATATTTCACAAGGGATATAAAAGATGGACCTAAGACTTTATATCATCCAGGAGGAAAACAAAAATTTAGTATGTCCTTTAGGTGTTGACCTTGGGAAACCAAGTGTCACTATTATTTTCTGTCAGTGTCCCATGTTTCAGTTGGTAGTATATGTGAGACAGCAAAGAAAAAGATACTCTTCTGGAAGATTCGCATGACTTGAAAGAACAATATTCATCTTGATTCTAAGTCCTACTGGCTATTTCCTCACACAATGGGGATTTTGAAAATATCAGGACTAAGTAACACAGAAGAACTTGGTAGGGGCTCAAAAGTGATAGTGGCTTGCATTAATCAGAGCTCCATGATTCTTTGTCCATAATACACAAATGACACTCCAGAGGAGAGGCAGATATACTGTGTAACTGAGCTGGCATTAGGAGAGTCATGGAGTCTCATGTTTCATAATCATAGTACTCTAGTCTGAAAAAAATTAACTTTTTATTCTCATAATGTCCAGTAATAGAAAATATAAGTCAGTAGACATATTAACATAGTTTTCTTAATTGTCATACCACTTGAACTATCTATGGCTCTTTTCTTTGACTAATCTGCATATAATAAATTTATTATGATCAAAGTAGATAAAGGCCACACTAAATGCAGATACTATTTTATCAGTCATTATTTACGTATGTTTATCTAGATATACACACACCTAAATGCATTTTTCATATTTGTGAATATATATAATATGCAGTTATGTCAACTTCAATTATCCTTAAGTTGAACAAATGTCTAATGCAATGATAAAAAAATTCATAAATTATTTAAGTGTGTTTAAAGCTATCATCAAAATGAAGATTTAAGTAGAAAGTTGTAATATTGAGTTCTTAAATATATATATGTCATAAAACTAATATATATGTATATATGTAATTATAATTTGTCTCACTTTCACATTACGATGTCTGAGTCAAATATTTTCTTGAAGCAACCAGGGCTTTGGTCTGAATCTTAAGCTCTAATTCTAAGTGTATCATTAATTTATTGGATGCCCATTACAAATAATTTTAAACATTAACTAAATTATTTGGGAAAACAATTTTTGCCTCTCCTGCATCAATAGTTTTTCCATCTGAATGAGTATTCACATTAGTAATGAAACATGCTGTTATTTTCCCTATAACAACTGAAATAATCTTCAGATTATACATTTCCTTCCACCTGATATTCTATTCTAATTCCCCTAACTTAAAAAGTTCTCTAACAATTTATCTATTTTTAAAATCTTCAATTATTTTTTTCCTATTCTCTCTTGAATCTGTGCATATCTGCCTTTATGTTCAAGCAGTCATGGAAACAACTATTGTCATGGTCACAATGACTCGCATTTTGAAATGAAACGGTTAATTCTCAGTCCTTATTTACTTATCAGTTGCATTGATATAACTGATCACTGTTTCCCTTGAAAGTTTTTTCACTTAAATTCCCATCTCTTCTTGGTCTTTCTGTTTTGTCACCTTGTTCTTAGTCTCTATTCCTTAGTCTTTCTTTTCTGCTCAACCCTTATATGTTGGGTCATTGGGCCTCTTTCCTAACGGCACTCCCTACATTCCTTTTAGATTCATGGCTTTAAATACCATTGTGGCAGCCAAGGTCAAGTCGAGAGATAGGACCGTGTAGCATTTTGAACAGAGGAAGTTTAATGTAAATAATTATCATGTACAATATATAATTGCCTACTGTGGAGATAAGAGAACTGTAAAGAATACAGGAATGCAACTATAAAGAGTACCCACTATCTCTAGGGCTAAGCAGGACTTCTTTCCCCCAGGTGTGAGGTACAAATCTTGTTGGAAAGTGTATGGCTATGGCCAGCTGGATGGCATAGAAGTCACTGAAACATTGTACTTTGGAACATATTGGGCAGCTACCTGAGATGATATTGGGTGAAACTGCATTGAGCCCTCTGGAAAACCACCTTTTGGGGTGCAAGGGGAAGCTAGCCAATGGTAGCTACTCTGTGCTCCTGTCTGCCTCATTGAAGGGGCCTTCTAAGAGAAACACACTACCTAATAACAAGAGCCATTACTTCTTCAGTGTTCCTCCAGAACCTTCTATTTAGCTTTACCTAGAACCAGCTAGAAAAGAAAAAATGAGCTGTATTACAGCAGGGTAAAGAAAGGTAGATTTGAAGCTGAGAAGTAATAAGTTCAATAACTGATACAACGATCTCTATGCAGATGAGTCTGTAAGTAATAAATACATATTTATACATCTCTATATTTTTTATAAGTCTGTGTCTCTACATATGCTCATGTGTATTTATATATCTATGCCTATTTGCCTGCTTGACATCTTCACTTGACATAATAGCTACCATGAACTTTTAAAAAATATCAGGCCATGTCATTCTTCTTTCAAAACTTTTCAATATTTTCTCTTCTCACAGGAAGAACCATGGTCTTTAAAATGGCCTCAAGACTCAACAAGATGATCTGCTAGAGACGCAATGACCTTCCCGCTGATCTTTGAACAACACAAACATGCTTCTACCTCAGGACCTTCGCACCTGTTCTCCTTACAGACACTGAGGTTCACCCTTCCCCTTTCTTCCATATTTGAGTAAATGTCATCATCCCTCACCCTCTTAAATAAGTTCTCAATAGCGCTTACCCACCCTGATAAACTTCTCCTCTTTTCTATCTTAGATGTTGCCATATGGATTATCAATATCAATTTATTTATGTGTTTTAGTCATTTTCTGCCTCTGGCACTAAAAGTTACATTCCTTAAAGGCAAAATTTTTGATATGTGTTGTTCTGTGTTGTGTCCCCAATGTCTGTCCCAAAGGAAACATTCAATAAATACTACTTAAATAAATGAATTATTTGATAAGATGTCAAACATATCGCTTGTTAAACTGAAAGCAATATTTATATTTCAGAAAAAATGCATTAATTATAATTTTTAAATCTTTTCATAAAATGAAGCTAATTTTTTGTTTAAATATATTACTCTTTTCTTCCTCCCTATACTTGATACAAGTATATATGGAGAAAATTCCGCTTTTTCGATGTTGCTTGTTATTGTAATATTTGTACTTTTTCCCAGAATAAAACTGTATTTATTTTTCTTGGTGTTTCTGACCAGGCTTAATGTCAAACAAATTATAGTCATGAATAAACAGATGTGTTAAAATTTAAGAAACAACATTGGGTGTATCTTAAAAAGGACTGTTTTGTAGAAATAAATACACTGTGCTCAAATTGCAATAATTATGGAAGGTGATTAAATACATTTGTTATCAAGTACGTATGAAGAACATAAGCATAATATTTCATGTTATATCATATTAAAATTTAAATGTATTTAAATACTTATCTCTGTTTTAGAATTTTCTGGAATAACTTAGATGCCACAGATATTTATAAATGGCACCAAATTAGAAACACTATTTCTTTGCCATTTTGAATGTTTCTTCATAGAAAGCAGAGAAATTCAAGTCATTACACTGACCACACATAAATTCTAGCACACCCTAACATTGTAGTCAATGATGATGCTATTTCTTCCACTGTAAGAAAAACATTTTAAAAAGTAAGATCTAAAGCGCCGTTTAGTTCTATTGTCTTCTGCATCCTCAGATGAAAATACACATGTGTCTATTCACTAGCAATACGGCCAAGAATCCATAGTTCTGTTAAAATACTCTCAGCTTTTACGGAGTTGGTACAACAGGAGCACTTCACACATCATTGGAAAGCCAAGAGAACCAGTTCCAGATTGTCATCACCAACTCTAAAGCATTGCTCACAGGATTGCTTGCTTAGCACTAATGTTATTTTCTTTGAGAGAGTTTCATGGACCAGTTTATTATTAACCTTACCTTCTGTGTTAGCATAACACTATATGTAGTCCTCTATTGACACTGCTCATTTTGTATAATAATTATAGCATAGTCTTCTGGCCTATATTTACACAAAAAGTTCTTAGTGAAATTATATAAATATATATATATTTATATGAGTTTATGGGCATATTCTCATAGGAACAAACATTTTATTTCTAAATTTTTCCAAATGTTTTCCTAAAACACTTTAAATTTTCATGTCTAGATAATATTCAGTATTTATGCAACAAAATTAAATAGATAGTTTTGCAATTTTTTGGATTCTATCCTTTATGTTACAGCTAACACAAATATTTGTTATATAAAAGAATAACATTCTAAATAGTGACTACGTATCTTTGTACATCTTTATTATCCATATTTTATAAAACAAATGCTAGTGTTTAAAAGACTATTAGTAAAGGCTAACCAATAACATGCTTACCCAAAAGTGAGTTATCTATCAATCTGTACTTATATGCATCTCACTGATTATAAATTTGCATTTTATAAAGTACCATGTGTTTTCTTCACCAAATAACGTGTCTAATTCATATATACAGCCTCATGTACTTGATTAATACAGAAGAGTCATTTAATGCTAATTTAATTCATACAAAAACCAATTTATTTGGATTTTTGGTTCTAGAAGTGGAAAAGTAGCTTTTTAACCAAACTAATTCTCCTACAGGTACAAATTATAATATTTGTAAAATATTAAAATGAATATTTGCAAACACTAAAAAGTGGCTAAAACACATAGAAACTGGAGGGGATCAAACCCTTGAAATCAAGGGACTCCCTTGGTTGAGATATATTCTTATATGTCTTTCTCCCTGAGACTGTTCCTAATATTGTGTGGCATAGGGCAGCTGGAACTCAAGCAGAAAGCTTAAAGTTTAGAAATATGAACTTCAGAGTTACAAAAGCAGCTATAAATGAGAAGAAAACATTCGGAAAGGGAAGATATCATGGAGGGAGCCCAAACATCTGTGATATTCCCCCTCCGAGAAATTCTACACACAGCCAGGGGACTCAAAAAGTCCAAGGAACAATAGCAGCTGAATAGCAGAAAATTTGAGCATGGATTTGAGAATCTTCTCACTCCAAAGTAAATATAATTTGCAGTTCGAATTTTCCCATATATGAAGCATTTGGTAGTAAGTAAACACCTTAGGTTTTCATCAAAACCTGAGAATGACCACACTTAAGGATTAGTGACCAAATTCCCTGTGATTAAAACCAAGACCAAAACAGACCTTTTCTTAAAGAGTATAAAAGCCAGATCAGTCATTAACTGAACTCACTCCCAGAAGAAAAATCCGTACTCAAAGAACCCAAACTTCTTATAGTGTATTATTCACAATATCTAGTATACAATGAAAAAGTTAAACCAATATTTCATGCAAAGACATGGGCAAGAGTGGCTCAAGGTCAAGTGAAAAGGTAGTCAATGGAATCATACCACAAGATGACCTCAATATTAGAACCAGAACATTGGAACTAAAAGAACTGCGAAGTAGTTATTGTAACTATGCTGAAGGACTTAAATGAAAGTCATAGTGGGTAAAAATATGGATCGTATCAGAGGAATGGGAACTACAAAAATGGAAATTCAAAAATTAATAACTACAATTTCTGAAATGAAAAGTTCAACGGATACACTTAACAATAAATTTAAGATTACAAAAGAATGGGTCAGTAAAAATGAAGAGAGTAATATAAATTATCCCATCAAAAGAAAATAGAGATAAAGGATGAAATTTTTAAAAGAACACTACCCTACTCACCTATGGGACAATATCAAGTGGCGTAATAAATGTATAATTGGATTTCCAGAAAGATAGAGAGGAGAAAGGATAGGGAAAACATCTTCCAAAAAAAAAATCGTTGAAAATTTGCAAATTTTGATGAAAAACATCGTTACAAATCCAAGGATATTAGAAAAGATGAAGCATAATAAATACATAGAAAATGACATATAGGTTAGAATTTTACATTCAGCAAAAATAATCTTCAAAATTAAGAGAGAGGTGAAGACTTTTTCAGAGAAACAAAAAACTAAGAATTTTTCATCAGCAGACCTATATGGTATAAGAGACACTGAAAGAGTTCTTTGGGCTAAAGAAAATGACATCAGATAAAAATTTAGAGCTACGTGAAGTTATGATGTCACCAAAATTGGTAAATATGTGAGCAAATGTAAGAGGCTGTTTACCCCTTCTCTTTAATTCTGAA
Source organism: Homo sapiens (assembly GCF_000001405.40). Classification (NCBI taxonomy): domain Eukaryota; kingdom Metazoa; phylum Chordata; class Mammalia; order Primates; family Hominidae; genus Homo; species Homo sapiens. Next base: position 8,869,325 of record NC_000007.14, read on the forward strand.
CTAAAAAATTATGACCATTTATAATATATATGTAATTAAAATATATGATCCAATAGCACGAAAATTTAGGTGCTACAAATAAAATCATATTACTTCAAAATTCTTACATTTTATATAAATGATACAATATTCTAATTAGTTATAACTTGAAGATAGATATTGTATGTCCTATAGCAACTACCAAAAATAACATAAAAAGTATGAAAAAAGCTAATAAAGAAATTTAATTATCAAAAGATATTCAATTAACTCAACATAAATCAGAAAAAGAGAACCAAAATTGAGATATAAATAGAAGAAAAATTGCAAAATAATAAACCTAAATCTAACCATATTAATAATTATGTGAAATTTCAATAGACTAAACACTTTAATTAAAAGGCAAAGATTATTAGAGTAGACCAGAGGTTGACAAATTATGGCCCATGGGCTAGCTACCTGTTTTGGTAAATAAAATTTTATGGAATACTATTATTCACATTCACTAACACATTGTTTATGGTTGCTTTTGTGCTCTGATGATAGAATCGAGTATTTGGAACATATGATTCCCAAAGCCTGAAGGGAGCATAAGATGATTTTCTGAGATGATGGAAATAGTATGTATTTTAATCGGGTTGATTGTTGTAACAGTGTATTCACACATCAACTCTGAGTTTTGACTCAGAGTTAAAATTAAAATCTATACATTTTTGTTTATATAAATTTTTATCAAAAATAAAAAACGCAATAAAAATCACTGGGAAAATTATTTATTCCTGAAATTCTAAATGCACAACATTTGGGAAAACTACTTTTAGCCATGCATTTTGTTTTTGGTTTTTTGAATCAGATAAAATGTTAATTCTTAGTTTGTGTATTGGTGTAAAGAAGATGATAAATTGTCCTTCAACAAATTACATCAATTATTGGTATTTTATTCTTTAGAAAAATGTTGCTGCTAATAGTTTTATTTGCTGACTTCCTGGTAATATAAGCCAAATGAATAGGGCTGGTATATGTCATTAATCTATTGGCCCTTTTCATTGAGTCCATGTTTGGTTTTGTAGTTCAATGTACATGAACTGTTAGGCTTCCAGAGAGCTTTCAGGATATACATTGGTTTCATTGCTAAGGAGGTATTTTATCTTTGTCTCTGAATTTCTATAGTAGTTTTGGAAAATGTTATTTAAACGTTGTAAATTTGTGAGTAAATGGTAGAATGCTATGAACTATATAGGACTTAATGATATCTATAATGAGTTACTAATAAGACTTGTTACAAAATTACAACAATGATGTACTATGAAAAACAGTAATTACAATTGTAATAAGAGTTGGGAAATGATTTGAATTAAATCAATATGGAACATGTAAAATCTCCAAAAGTATTTGTGCATGAGAAAGACAAAGAACATATAGTTGGCTATCAATACTTAAGGTAATTCATTACATTAAAGACTTCCCAAAAGGTAGAATTGGCAAAACTCTCAAAATAAATGGAAATGCTATGAAAGTGAGATTTACAAAACTCCTGGATTATGTAACATTTTTATGCATAAAACTCACTATTTCTATGTAATTTAAACTATACTTCAGTGTTCTTTCAACCAGATCCAGCCTCTTTGGATAACTGGGGCATATGTACAAAAGTGGGTATATGCCAAAATTTACCTGCTTCCTTCAAGTTAACTTTGTGTTGCAGATCAAACTTTAGTTCTAGTTTTAAGTTAAACATTGAGAAAGAAGCACGGCTGACAGGTGGGGGGCATGTGGACCTGCTATGTTCCCTGCATAACTGGCTCAGTGTATACTTTTGCTGTTCTTCTTTATGATTACATGCAGCTCTATGCCATAAAAAGAAAGGCAACCCACTGTTTAAAATGCATTTAGGGGATATGAAGGTCACAATTGAAGTGTGAATTTATTTTAGTTGGTTTGAGTTTCAATTCTAAATGCTTTTACTTTACTGTGTAAAATCTCTCTTGCTGTTTTGAAAATTGCACCTGAACAGAGAAAGGTCTCATTTAATTCAATATTACTTTACTTTTATATAGATTCTTTCTTTAAAATCATGTTCCAAAAGGCTGAGTTAAATAATATTGCTTCAAAGGGAAATTAAAAAGTATGGTTGGGGAGGAAAAAAGGCAATGTCTACCAAAATGGTGAAATACTAAGATAAATAATTTTAATATTATTATACACATAGCCAGGTCTTCAGATAAATCTACCATATTGTTGGCAAGTACAAGAAGAGCCATAGCTGAAGACCTCCCTGCAGTGTTGGTATAGATTTTATTTCCCCTTTTTTCTTCCCCAATTTTTCAGGTCCTTTCTCTTAGAGTGCCCGATTTACAAAATGAAAATACAAGATACCAACTTAAATTTGAATTTCAGGTAAACAGTGAATTTGTTTTAAATAAGTATGTTCTGAGCAATATTTAAAACACACTAATATATGTCCTGTATTTTACTTGCATCCCTTTCTCACACTCAAACCCCCAGTGGGGAACTAAGTGGTGGTCTTTCTGATGATCAAGGGCTAGAAGAGAGACCAAAGTAAAATCTTGCGTAAGATCCTGGTCTTTAAATATAGCTCATGGTGTAATCACGATTTGGCAAAGGGGCAAATATATATACTGGAGGATAATGATGGCTCTGGATTCTAGAACTTTTTCTACATGACAGATTCTCTAGAGAGAGGTTGCAATTATATGAAATATTGCCCAATATGTACATATTTGTCATTAACTGCCAAAATCCATAGCTCCTTGGTACTAGCTTGACTCTCCTTGTATAAATATTTGCTCTCCTTCTGTAGACCCCAAACCACCAAATCCAACCATGCGTTCTGGTCCGCAGAACCCCCAGTCACTATAAAACCCCATCTGTGTTGTTTTTTTCTTTCATGAAATACATTATCATCAACAATGTCTTTTTTCTGCAAATCTACTTTTTCAGATTTTTTGTGTTTTAAATAAGAAGTGTCTGGTTGCCAATACATTTCACTGGAGTTAAAAAATATTACATCCCTTTAGCCACTCATCAAACTAAAGTTGATAAGGTATCGTAGTTATTCAGACTGATGATACTTTTCTACTTTCATATGGGGTGATTAATTCAATAGAGAATGTACTTTTCTTAACAAGTAGGCTTATCATGCAAGGCAGATTTATCCATCCTATTAGAGGATTAATAGTACTGTGAATATATCAGGAACTCAAAATGCAGAACTTTTTTCTAGAATATTTTATCTACTCTTGATAAAACCTACTTAATTCTACTATATCCCGTACTATATTTACCTTACAACAGGATTTAATCTCTAAATGTATTAAAAATTTTTACCTTTTGAATTTGTTTAACATCAAGAAGGATCAAAACAATATGTATGGTGATAATATTTACAAAACCTGATTATTTCCAAAAACCTAACGTCAGCTCACAGATAGTTATGGAGAAGAGAAATGCTGAACCCCACCAAATACAGTTAATACAATCTGAAGCTTTATAATTAGGAATAAGAGAATGAATAAAAGTGTAATCATCCTAAATATTGGTATCTGGCAAGCAAGCTTTTCAGAATTCATTAAGGAGTTTCAGGGATACTCCATAATAGGTTGTGAATAATAGGATTAATACAGCCATGGGCAGTGTTAGGTCAGCTGGCAGTAGATCAATCCACAACACATAAAATATTAAAAGGGTTATAGATTAGCAATTAGATGGCTTCACAAACAAGGAACAGTTCCTTGAGCATATCTAAAGGTTAACAGATGAAATGTCAGTTTTCTCAGTTTATGACCCAGTAGCATCTAAAGATGAGAGAAGAGATGGGACTTAGACTGTGATTATGATTGACATAATCAAACCGAACCATCCTTTCAGTATCAACATCTGGATTTCAAAGGGAACAGATTTTAGTATTAGGTGAGGGAAACACTTGTGAAATACAATGAAGTAGTTTGAAGGACAAAGTTTGGGGTGTTAGAATTCTCAAGAGACATGTCATAGCCAGTGATTCAGATCTTATGTTCAGTATTTAGCTTCCAAGTATTTGTGAGATGCCCTGGGAGAGGTAAGTGAATTCTCCATTTCTGTGGATGAAAATCAATGCTGTACATTATGACAACCATGTTCTATTGAAATTTCACTTGACACAAAGTTTATCAATATTATATAGCTATCTGAGTCTTGATTTTATTGTTTTCCACGAAGACATTGCCAAATGGTAGTATTATACTGCTTTTGATTATGCTTTGTATGAAGAAAGCATAGTATATAAGAACCTGCCCATATTTAAGATATGAGTTTTTGTAATTTACAACTTCATGACTAAGGAGTTTGCACCAAAGAGCTACTAAACTGTTTCCAGGGAAGAGTTTTTGAATGCCCTCATAAAATGATATAAAAATCAATGTGAAAACCTGGAAAATAAAGCTACTAAATCCCATTAAATCAGAGTATATAGACTGGACCTCATATTTCTGGCATGTTAACACCTTTGTTCTGACCCTCAGTTCCTCTGTAGTTTTTGACCTTCATGAATAGGCAACGTGGCACAGAAAAGAGAAAAGTTTAGTATTTAAGAGCCATGTTTTACAATGGTCCTTTCTTCATGTATAAGTTTCTCCATGGCTTTCTGAGCTCTATTGATTTCAATTGGAATTGAGCTCACAAATTTCCATACACAGTCGACTCACATATTCATGGGTATACTCCCATATATAATTTACTACATCTAATTGGTAAGGGAATGCAGATTATGGGTAAGGTAAGTCAGTACAACATAAAGTCTCACAGTCTTAGAGTTCAAGTTCTTTAAACCAGTTAATAAACATCTGCTAAGTCAACCTTTGTCGCTTTGATGTACAATGCTGCCAACCCTTATGGTTGGCAATTGGTTGTCTGAAATTGTCTGAGAGTCATATGCTCAGTTTAAAAGAATGTATTCCCACAACAAAAACAAAAAATTGACAATGGGATTGAACTGGAATAAAGAGCTTCTGCACAGCAAAAGAAACTATCAACAGAGTAAACAGACAACCAACCAAATGGGAAAAAATAGTTGCAAACTATGCATCCAACAAAGGTCTAATATCCAGAATCTATAAGGAACTTGAATTTAAAAGCAAAAAATTATGCCATTAAAAAGTGGCAAAGGACATGAACAGACACTTTTTAAAAAGAAGACATACATGTAGCCAACAAACTTATGAAAAAATGAATAACATCACTAATCAGAGAAATGCAAGTCAAAACCACCATGAGATACCATTTCACACAAGTCAGAATGGCTATTATTAAAAAGTCAAAAAATAATATGCTGGTGAGGTTGCAGAGAAAAGGGAACACATACATTGCTGGTGGCAATGTAAATTAGTTCAGCTACTGTGGAAAGCAGTTAGCGATTTCTTAAAGAACACAAAGCAGAATTATCATTCAACTCAGAGCAATCCCATTATTGGGTACACACCCCCCAAAATCTAAATTGTTCTACCATAAAGACACATGCACTTCTGCGATCATCGCAGCACTGCTCACAATAGCAAAGACATGGAATCAACCTAAATGCCCATTAAGAGTAGGCTTGATAAAAAAAAAAAAATGTACATATATGACATGGGATACTATGCAACCATAACAAAGAATGAAATCATGTCCTTTGCGGAAACATGGAGGGAACTGAAGGCCTTTATCCTAAGTGAATAGGATAAATACAGGAACAAAAAATGAAATACCACATTTCTCACTTATAAGTGGAAGCTAAACATTGAGTACGTATGGACACAAAGAAGAGAACAGCAGACACTGGCGTCTACTTAAAGGTGGAGGGTGAAGATTTAAAAACCTGTTAGGTACTATGCTTATCACCTGAGTGATGAAACAATCTGTAAACTAAACCCTGTGACACGCAATTTACCTATATAACAAACGTGCATATGTAACCCTGAACCTAACATAAAATTAAATTTTAAAAAGGATGTATTTTCAGACTTCTGTGGAACCTTGGTGTGACGATTTTTACCAAAATGTTTGGCTTTCCAAAAAGAAAAATTGACGGTGGGTTTGACTCAAGTTTAAAAATTCATTCTTACATACATTCTGTTAGAAATCTGCCAATCGGGGATTTTCTGACACTATTTCTTTATGAACATTAATATAAGGCCTCAATAATGCTTAGAAATTATATATGTATATGTGTAGAGCAACCAATTAACATAATTATATTTCCTGGTTTTCAAAAAATGTTCAAAGTTACCATATAATCACTAATTTCCTTGCTTCTTATAAGTGATTGATTAGGAGTATTCCATATAGATATTTTGCATTATCTCTATAAAATGTTCACTCTATAGACTATCAAATGCTCTCTGTATTGCTGTAAGTAAAGTAAGTATTTTTAAGTCCACAGAATGCTAATTCAAGAAATCCCAAAACAATTTAAAATACTAATCCTTAAAATGCTTTTAGTCATGGTTCTCCAGAGACATAAAACCAACACAATACACAGAGAGAAATATAAAAAGGGATTTATTGGAATTGGGTCATTTGATTATGGAGGCTGAGAAGTCCCAAGACAGAAGGACTAGAAACCAAGAAAGCTGATAACGTGACTCAGTCCAAGTCCAAAAACCTCAGAACCAAGGAAGCCAATGGTATTATTCTCAGTCTGAGGCAAAGGCCCAGAGTCAGGGGGTGTGACCACGGGGCAGACTGCTGGTGTGAATCTTGGGGTCTGACATCCAGGGGTAAAAGAAGAAGGGTGTCCTGGCTCTGGGAGAGAGAGAAAATTCACCCTCCCTCAGCCTTTTTGTTCCATCTAGGCCCCCAGTGGATTGGATGGGGCCTGCCCACATTATGGGCAGAACTTTCCCACTCAGTCCAATGACTCAACACACCAATCTCCTCTGGAAACAACCTCAAAGACACAACTGGGGCAGCCCAATCATTTTAATCAAAAGCAAACCCATCTGGGTTTCCCTTTCAGCAGAAGAGGACAGGCTCAGTGCCTACTGAAGCATAGAGAATAAATAATACTTTACCAACTATCTGAGTGTCCGTTAATCCAGGAAAGTTGACACCGGAAAGCAAACATCACCCAAGAGCAGACATTGAATTCACAGTAGTTTTCAGGTTTAATTCAAGTACAGTTACACAGAACATACCTTGGTGGTTTTAAATACATTTCTTTTTCTTTTTTTTAAATTATACTTTAAGTTCTAGGGTACATGTGCACAACGTGCAGGTTTGTTACATATGTATACATGTGCCATGTTGGTGTGCTGCACCCATTAACTCATCATTTACATTAGGTATATCTCCTAATGCTATCCCTCCCCTCTACCCCCACCTCATGACAGGCCCTGGTGTGTGATATTCCCCTTCCTGTGTCCAAGTGTTCTCATTGTTCAATTCACACCTATGAGTGAGAACATGCAGTGTTTGGTTTTTTGTCCTTGTCATAGTTTGCTGAAAATGATGGTTTCCAGCTTAATCCATGTCCCCACAAAGGACACGAACTGATCCTTTTTTATGGCTGCATAGTATTCCATGGTGTATATGTGCCACATTTTCTTAATCCACTCTATCATTGATGGACATTTGAGTTGGTTCCAAATATTTGCTATTGTGAATAGTGCCACAATAAACATACGTGTGCATGTGTTTTTATAGCAGCATGATTTATAATCCTTTGGGTATATACCCAGTAATGGGATGGCTGGGTCAAATGGTATTTCTAGTTCTAGATCCGTGAGGAATCGCCACACTGTCTTCCACAATGGTTGAACAAGTTTACAGTCCCACCAACAGTGTAAAAGTGTTCCTATTTCTTCACATCCTCTCCAGCACCTGTTGTTTCCTGACTTTTTAATGATTGCCATTCTAACTGGTGTGAGATGGTATCTCATTGTGGTTTTGATTTGCATTTCTCTGATGGCCAGTGATAATGAGCATTTTTTCATGTATCTGTTGGCTGCATAAATGTCTTCTTTTGAGAAGTGTCTGTTCATATCCTTTGCCCACGTTTTGATGGGATTATTTTTTTCCTTGTAAATTTGTTTGAGTTCTTTGTAGATTGTGGATATTAGCCCTTTGTCAGATGAGTAGACTGCAAACATTTTCTCCCATTCTGTAGGTTGCCTGTTCACTCTGATGGTAGTTTCTTTTGCTGTGCAGAAGCTCTTTAGTTTAATTAGATCCCATTTGTCAATTTTGGCTTTTGTTACCATTGCTTTTGGTGTTTTAGACATGAAGTCCTTGCCCGTGCCTATGTCCTGAATGGTATTGCCTAGGTTTTCTTCTAGGGTTTTTATGGTTTTAGGTGTAATATTTAAGTCTTTAATCCATCTTGAATTAACGTTTGTATAAGGTGTAAGCAAGGGATCCAGTTTCAGCTTTCTACATATGGCTAGCCAGTTTTCCCAGCACCATTTATTAAATAGGGAATCCTTTCCCCATTTCTTGTTTTGGTCAGTTTTGTCAAAGCTCAGATGGTTGTAGATGTCTGGTATTTTTGAGGGCTCTGTTCTGTTCCATTGGTCTATATCTCTCCTTTGGTACCAGTACCATGCTGTTTTGGTTACTGTAGCCTTGTAGTATAGTTTGAAGTCAGGTAGCGTGATACCTCCAGCTTTGTTCTTTTGGCCTAGGATTGACTTGGCAATGCGGCCTCTTTTTTGGTCCCATATGAACCAAAGTACTTTAAAGTTTGGTTCCAACTTTAAAGTACTTTTTTCCAATTCTGTGAAGAAAGTTATTGGTAGCTTGATGGGATGGCATTGAATCTATAAATTACCTTAGGCAGTATGGCCATTTTCAAGATATTGATCCTTCCTATCCATGAGCATGGAATGTTCATTCATTTGTTTGTGTCTTCTTTTATTTCATTGAGCAGTGGTTTGTAGTTCTCCTTGAAGAGGTCCTTCACATCCCTTGTTAAGTTGGATTCCTAGGTATTTTATTCTCTTTGAAGCAATTGTGAATGGGAGTTCACTCATGATTTGGCTTTCTGTCTGCTGTTGGTGTATAAGAATGCTTGTGATTTTTGCCCATTGATTTTGTATCCTGAGACTTCTCTGAAGTTGCTTATCAGCTTAAGGAGATTTTGGGCTGAGACAATGGGGTTTTCTAGATATACAATCATGTCATCTGCAAACGGGGACAATTTGACTTCCTCTTTTCCTAATTGAATACCATTTATTTCTTTCCCCTGCCTGATTGCCCTGGCCAGAACTTCCAACACTATGTTGAATAGGAGTGGTGAGAGAAGGCATCCCTGTCTTGTGCCGGTTTTCAAAGGGAATGCTTCCAGTTTTTGCCCATTCAGTATGATATTGGCTGTGGGTTTGTCATAAATAGGAAAGTGAACAACCTGCTCCTGAATGACCACTGGGCACATAACAAAATGAAGGCAGAAATAAAGATGTTCTTTGAAACCAATGAGAACAAAGACAAAACATACCAGAATCTCTGGGACACATTTAAAATAGCGTGTAGAGGGAAATTTATAGCACTACATACCCACAAGAGAAAGCAGGAAAGATCTAAAAATGACACCCTAACATCACAGTTAAAAGAACTAGAGAAGCAAGAGAAAATACATTCAAAAGCTAGCAGAAGGCAAGAAATAACTAAGATCAGAGCAGAACTGAAGGAGATAGAGACCCAAAAAACCCTTCAAAAAAAAAACATCAATGAATCCAGGAGGTGATTTTTTGAAAAGATCAACAAAATTGACAGACCGCTACCAGACTAATAAAGAAAAGAGAGAAGAATCAAATAGACGCAATAAAAAATGATAAAGGGAATATCACCACCAATCCCATAGAAATACAAACTACCATCAGAGAGTACTATAAACACCTCTACACAAACTAGAAAATCTAGAAGAAATGGATAAATTCCTCGACACATACACCCTCCCAAGACTAAACCAGGAAGAAGTTGAATCCCTGAATAGACCAATAAGAGGTTCTGAAATTGAGGCAATAATTAATAGCTTACCAACCAAAAAAAGTCCAGGACCAGATGGATTCACAGTCAAATTCTACCAGAGGTAAAAGCAGGAGCTGGTACCATTCCTTCTGAAACTATTCCAATCAATAGAAAAAGAGGGAATCCTCCCTAACTCATTTTTATGTGTCCAGCATTATCCTGATACCAAAATCTGGCAGAGACACAACAAAAAAAGACAATTTTAGACCAATATCCCTGATGAACATCTATGCAGAAATCCTCAATAAAATACTGGCAAACCGAATCCAGCAGCACATCAAAAAGCTTATCCACCATGATCAAGTGGGCTTCATCCCTGGGATGCAAGGCTGGTTCAACATATGCAAATCAATAAACGTAATCCAGCATATAAACAGAACCAACGACAAAAACCACGTGATTATCTCAAGAGATGCAGAAAAGGCCTTTGACAAAATTCAACAGCCCTTCATGCTAAAAACTCTCAACAAATTAGGTACTGATGGGATGTATCTCAAAATAATTCATTTATTTTTCTGTTTATATCTTCTAATTTATAAATGACATACAACTTAATTTTATCTTATTGTATTTATCATATCTTGAGACATTAAGTTTACATTTTACTTATTAGAATTGGTGCACTTAAAATGTTAATTTCCCTTGTCATTTAGAATATATATTTAAAATTTTATTATATTTCTGTGTGATTTTATATTTTATTCAGTTTTATTTAAAACTATTTTTTAGTTAAGGCAGTCTTTAAAATACCAATAGTTGTTCTTTTGTTCCTATTCTAAAATTAATGTCTGGTTTTATTGTACTACAGTGGGACAATATAGAATACATAATTATATTAATTCGATTTTTAAGATTTTCTTTAATAGGGTGGTAAGTTTTTAACAATAAGAGGTTAATTATTTTTGGCTTTCATATATAACGTATCAGTTTTATTATCAGCTTAGAAATGCTGTAAAGGTAGTTCTCACCCTAAGTCAGTGAGCATATTACAAAAGAAATTCCATGGAAGTGATTTACAATTCATCAAAATTTCCACTTATCTAATATGACTGGCGTGTCAGAAAATGTTTCTCAGAGGAGAAGCTTCATAATTAAGTTGTATATGATGAACTGATATAGTCAGTACCAGAAGCAGGGAATGTGTAAGCCTGGCAGTAAGAGAGCACGTTAAAAACCACCTAGGATAGAGTGCACCTAAGAGAGAAAAGGTCTAGTATGATTCCAGGTTTCTGAGTTGAATGACTGAGTAACTGGTGCTGCTTCTTATCAAGGTGCAAATACAGAGATTGTGAGAAGGAAGATATCAAGTTTGGTATCAGCCGTATAACCATGCAGTCATACCATTATTTACACATTTCAAAGCAATTTCAATGTAACATCCCATTTTGTACTTACAACAAAATAGTGAATGAAATAAGGCAGCTAACATTTCCATTTTATGAATGAAGAAATTAAGTGACTTGCTGAAGGTCACAAAGCAACTCAAGAATGGACTCAGAAATCAAATTCTGGTTTCGATTTATGAATTCAGGGTTTTTTTCTGCTATTGTACTAGAAATCCATATTGTAACTATTAGCATCCCCTGTACATATTGATTGTATAAATTATTTTGAAATGAAGCAGATGCTCATTCGTCACCTGCTACATATATTCATCTCTCTCTCTCTGTAAAAACATTGACTTCCTGACAATATTAATGACATAACTTCTTTTAATACATTTTTAATGTACTAAAAATTCCTCATTTTCAACTTTAGGAGAGACTAAACATGATAGCAAGAAAAAAGTAAAGTTTTTACATCATGACACTAGTTCTGGAGAAAAATTATTTCTAAAGGCAATAATTTACTTGAGCTGGTGAAATGAAAACCATTCCTTTCATTACAAATAGCTTAAATCTGTAGTCTCATAACTACCCCCTAGCCATGAACTTCAAAGCTCTGCCACAGCAGTCCTGGAACAGGTTTCTTATTTTTTCATTTGAACTTCTTAATCAATCTTCTTCACTACCTACTATTCACGCTTTGGAAGCCGAAGAAAATAGAAATCTGAGTTTTAGCTGAATCAGATATAAACAAAAGCTAGGAACCAAAGTGAAATCTGCCATTCAGTTCAGGTCTATTTTAACTCTGGAAAACCCTCTGAGCTCTCTCTTCTTTATAACGAACCAAATTGAATCAGTCACCTGCACATGCTAAGAAGTTTGTACTGTAAAAAATTGATTTGTGAAATACAGCAGCAACTTAATAAGAAACACAAGAAAATAGGTAGTGGAGCAACAAACTGGATGGTTGCATTAACTTCATTCTACTTAGTTCATGTATGTATGGTTTAAAGAAAATACACACTTGAGATAGAGCCTAACTTCTTGCAGTGGTTTGTGTTCATTTGACTTACTTCCATGAGGAGTAATGCATAGGATCTAGGATTGCAAAGAGGGAAGAAAGTTGCATGGGGTGAAATCAGTTACTAACTTGAGATGTGAGACAGAGCACATTTTTCAAAACTGGCTACAGCAATACTGCTTGTCTTTCATATTCTTCCAGATGCTTGTCAAACCCCATCAAGAGTTGGAGACAATGTTTCTTCTCCTTAAACCTGGGTGGGGGTTTGTGAGTGCCTTTATGAATACAGTGATGGGGAAGTACATTTTAAGGCTACATCACAAAAAGAGAATTGAGTCTCCACATAGCTTCCTCTCTCTTGGGAAATTCATCTGGGGAGCTCTAAGATCAGATGTAACCAGTGGGGATTCCTGAGCTAGACAGACTACAATTAGAGGCCACATAAGAAAAAAGGAGAGATTCCGGAAGACCTCCAGCTGTTAAAGCCCTTAGCTGTTTGAGTCTTCGCAGCATCAGCTGCCAGACATGTGAGTGAACAAGTCTTAAGATGATTCCACTGGAGCCTTCAAGCTGTCCCAGCTGATACTGAGTGGAACCTACAAGCTGCCTCTAAGCCTTGATCAAATTGCAGATTTGCAAGGAGACTGAATGTTGTCACTGTTTTAAGCCACTAAATGTTAAGTGATTAGTTACACAGCATTTGATACAATAAAAAAATTTATGTATATTTTAAATTGCATGCTATCAATAAATTCAGTCCTCCATTATTTAGGAAATAGTTTACACTTTATTTATACACTTAAATCTTTGTCATATCTCTTCTGCCCATCTACTGGATGTTGCATCCCTAATAATGCTACACTGGAAATAAAATTAACATTAGATAATATGTTTGTCATTAGGATCTTTAAAAAGATAGTTCGGGAGAGAAAACGGGGAGAAAAATTTGCATAATTAGGACACTGTGATATATTCAGGAAGTATACAAAAATAGTATTTCTCCTCAACAGCATTTTCAATGAGAATATATAGGGTAAAATTTTTTCACAGTGGCCATAAAATTAATATGGATTCCAGAAATAAACTTAGTTGACATTTGTTATAGTGAAAACTTTTTGGATATAATACCAAAGACATGATCCATGAAAACAATAACTGATAAACTGAACTTTATTAAAATTAAAAAGCTTCTGCACTGCAAAAGACACTGTCAAGAACCTGAGAAGACAAGCCACAGACTGGGAAAACATATTGGCAAAAGACACATCTGATTAGGGACTGTATCCAGAATACAGAAAAAACTCTTAAAAGTGAATAAACAAATGACCTTATCAAAAAATGGGCCAAATACCTGAAAAAATGTTTCACCAAAGAAGATATACAGTTGGAAAATAAGCATATAAAAAGATATTCCACATCTTATGTCACCATATGTTTTAATTTAATTCAAATTAAAATAATGAGATATCACTACATACCTATTAGAATGGCCAAAAGCTGGAACACTGACACACCCAGTGCTAGTAAGAATGTGGAGTAACAGGAACTCACATTCATTGCTGGGGGGAAGGCAAACTAGTGCAGCCACTTTTAAAGACAGTTTAGACATTATGCAAATTAAACATACTTTTACTGCACAATCCAGGAATCACATTTTTGGCATTTACCCAAAAGAATTGAAAACTTCTGCCCACACACAAAAAACATGCACATGGATGTTTATAGCAATTATATATTCATAATTGCCCAAACTTGGAAGCAACCAAGATGTCTTTCAGTAGGTGAACGAATAAACTGTGTACATACAGACAGTGGAATATTATTCAGCAATGAAAAGAAATGAGCTATGAAGCCATGAAAAGATGTGGAAGACCCTTAAATGCATATTACTAAGTGGAAGAAGCCAGTTTGAAAAGCCTACATTACTGCATGAGTCCAATTATATGACATTCTGAGAAAGGCAAAACTATGGAGACAGTAAAAAGATTAATGTTTGCCGGGGGTTGGAGGTAAGGAGGAATTAATGGGTAGAGATTTTTTTGAGAGGAGTGAAGCTATTCTGTATCATACTACATTGGTGGATACCTGTCATTATACATTCATCCATACCCACTGAAGGTACAACACCAAGAGTATACCCTAATCTAAATAATGAACTTTGGATGATTATGAAGTGACATTGTAAGTTTATCAACTTAATAAATGTACTCTTAGTGGGGGATGTTGATAAAGGGAAAAACTGCATGGACAGGGGCAGGGACTGTATGGGAAATCTCTGTACTTTCCTGTTACTTTTTCTGTGAAACTAAAACTAATAAAAATCATCTTAAAAAATATTGGCACACATGAGATTAGTAAAATATGGTAGGTATATCAATTTTGAAAGGGTAGGAGTGATTAAAGACTATATTAGACTTTAATGTTAACTTTATAATTTTTTTTTTTGAGATGGAGTCTTGCTCTGTTGCCCAGGCTGGAGTGTAGTGGCGTGATCTCGGCTCGCTGCAACATCCACCTCCCAGGTTCAAATTATTCTCCCACCTCAGCCTCCCGAGTAGCTGGGACTATAGGGACGTGCCACCACACCCAGCTGATTTTTGTATTTTTAGTAGAGATGGGGTTTCAGCATGTTGGCCAGGCTGGTTTCAAACTCCTGGCCTCAGGTTATCTGCCCGACTCGGCCTCCCAAAATGCTGAGATTACAGGTGTGAGCCACCACAGCTGGCCATATAAATTTGTTTTATTCAAACAATATTTTAATGCTTTTGGTTTAGAAAATTACTACTTGTGAAAATATTTATAGTCTTTTTAATTGCTTCTTACATAATATATTTTCATAATGTATTTATTTTAGGTTAGTACATAAGTCTTTCATTTCCCCCCATGTGGTAAGTACAAAACATCTCATTGTTCCTATCACAGAAAACACACTAGTAGAACAGGAAGATGTTTTATTTGATATGTTAGGTTCTAAAAATACAGTTAAATATAAAATCCAATGAGTCTGTAGTTCTGATATGCTAAAAATACATAAAATCACTTTGGATACTATTAGGTTTTCTTCATTGCTGATGGTGAGGGAATTAAGAGTACAGTTAAGGTGCAGATTTTTATGTAAGTTGTGGATTTTGATATTGTTTTATGAGAAAGAATAGTGTATTAAAGAGTTTAATAGATCTTACATTTTCAACCACCATTAATCTTTAAATTTTATGATTTAACTTTTGAATCCTCAGTTAAGCGTTGTGATTTCTTTGATAATATTTCATTAGATTTTAAAATTTAACATTAATCAAATTACATATAATTAAATCCAGTGTTATTGGAGAAGAATCATGACATGCCAGGGAGATGAGGAAGGAGTATATTCAGTACATATTTTTTAATACAAAAAAAGAACACTGGTTATTAATTGCTTCATATAAGTGTACTGAAAAGTGTCAATTTCTAGAATGCATAGGCCATATTCCTTGCTTAAATTTATCTGCAACTATCCTGAGTTCATATGCAACTATTTTAAAATTAATGCATATGTATAATAAATTTTATTGATGAATGATAAATTTAGGTAAAATTTAATACACTTATGTACACAAATATAGAGCTAAATTTGCCTTTTTAAAAATTATGATGCTATGGTATGATTCTCATATTTATGTCTCTATGTGATATATAGTCACTACATTATCTTGTGTTCCTTAAATACTAATTACAGCTTGTTTATAGCCAAAATTCTTTCTTCTACAAGATAGAGAATGAAATAATATAGTATGGTTTCTTTCCTATCTTATTCTCATTTCCTGACAAGTAAATAGTGTTATCAACTTCAGTTTCAGGTCTTTAGTTATGATGATTTCTCTTCATGTAATAAAATATCATTTTTGTGAGTTTCTTTCCTTTATTCTGCTGTCACTGACCTGGCCCACAAAAATACAATTTCATAGAGCATTTCTTAGACAGTACTTTCAGAAATGTCATTGCACCACTAGAGAATTGGCATTTTCTTTGCCAAGATGTCATTCCTAATAATACAGTGTCTTAGGAAGTGAAGCTGGGAGAAATAGCTAGCAGGGTGGTGAAGGATGGGTTGCCACATCTATAAATAACAGTGATTTGCAGGATGATGATCTCACCAATAGGGCTCATCTCCTCTCTTCCTCTACATTAGGATATTCAGCAGCACCAGGGTGAGGCTGTCAAGGACCCCAGTGGGGACTGAGAGAGATGATGGAAGCTGTTTTGCATTTTAGTCATTCCTGATTGAACTCTAGCTCTCCTCATTGCAGAAGGTAAGGCAGCAGGATGTTCTATACAGACAAACAGAACTTATCTTTCCATGCTGCTAAGTGCAGTTCCTCTCTCTCCTAGAGTTATATTCACTCTGTTATTCAACCTAAAATTCCTTTAAGGGGACATGGTTAGGTAATGTTGGTGGAAAAATCAGGGCCCGTATTCAGGTGGGAATTTAGTGACTTACTCTGCGGTTGCTACTGCCAAGCTCTGGGGGAAATTTCTTCAGTCATTGTACCAGAGAAGATGCAGTGAGTGTATTTAGGTTTTTACTAGACAAAATTGTCTAAAAGATAGTGTCCATGTTCCTTTGAATCACACTGCACATAACCTGTAATAGCACCACAATCATGGTCATATAAAATTTTCTACAGAGATGAAGCTGCACATGGAAATATATCTTAAAGCAGATTCCACTATAGACTAAGGAACAGGGACCTGCTTCAATAAAAGCATCTTCTTCCAGGGACCAAAATATGTCATTTCAGAAGACTTTGTGGTACTAAAAAAGTTAAACTAACAAACAACAAAAGTGTTTTACTAGTTAAAAAAACTGAAAACTACAGGTGCAATGCAATAGGCATTACTAACATCAATATCCAATTCACTCCTACTGTCTGAAACAGAGTGACACAGACCATGCTTTTCTCACACTAGCAGAACTCAAGGTATTTTCATATTTGCGTGGTCTCAACTTTTCCAAAATTGTCTTCCTTCATTCACCCATTTGTCTTTTCTGCTCCAATTATGCAGAGCTAAGTACTGGTAAAGGAGCACACACCTGTGTCCATATTCCCTTACTTAAAAAGATCCTGGCAGTGCTCTGTCCAATTGTATAATAATTCCACTAGTTCTTTAACATCTGCTTCATGACAAACTTTTTCAATCATGCCTTCTGTGATTGCCTATAGCCCAGTTTGATAAATTCTTATAAATTTTTGTGGGTTATGTTATTTGAACATCAAAAATCAAATCAGAGTTTTGACCATATTAAACAAGTTTAGTGAACAATGAGAGAGGAGATAGTTCTGTCTCACCAAACTGTTCTCCACGACTGTCAGGGGAGATGATGATGACAATTGTAGTATAGAGTAGTATCTTCCAGTCACTTTAAATTTTTTGCATGTATGAAAACATTTATGTGAAAACCTTGTGAAATATATACTCACATTATTAGTATCTCACAAGTGTAGAAATTGAGGCAATGAGGTAGTGAGCTACTTGCCAAAGGTCATAGAGTTAGCAGGTGCCAGGGCCTGTGTTTGAATCCATGCCTAACTGTCATACTGTACTTAGCAGTCAGAGGGCACAGGCTTTTAAAAATCTTATCACTTAATGGCTGATAATCCAGCACGTAAAAATCAGAATTAAAGAACACTTAAAAGACACTTAAATTCATTTCAGAAAGAAATGGGTCAGGAAAACTTAGGACAGACATGGTAAGAAGAAAATATAGGGTAGACATGTTTACTGTCTTCAAGTATTACATAGGCTGTGAAATACGGGGGATTAACTTATCTTAAATTGCCCCAGGACTAGAATTAAAATCATTAGGCACATATTTTCACCAAAAATATAAAGAAGCTATTTCTACCTGTCAGAACTGTCTAAAAATAATTTCAAAAAAGCTTTGTGAGAGAGAACATTTCCCATAGCTGAAAGTTTCCCCACTTTGGGCTAGTTGACATCTTTTGGCAAGAGTTTTGTCGGTGGGTATCAAATATCAGAAACTAGTTAGAACACACAGATTGTAAGAACCTGCACATTCCATGAATTATCAGAAGACTGTCCTCTGACTGCTGGGACTGGGAGGCAATTTAATACCATGGGTAGATCAGGGACAGAAGGCAAAAATGTGAAGGAGGAAAATAGGAAATAAAAATGGAAATGGAGTGGGTGGGTGATGACTGGGAGAAGAGCAAAAAAGATAAACCGTCATCTAGTGAGGCCCCACTGGGCAGAGTCGCTAAGGCAGGGAGAGTTGAGCCCCTGTACAGCCTTTCTCCCACCTTTCCAATGTTCACACGTTTAACAGTGGTTTAGGGTTGGTTTAGCTCTGCTGTTATGTTTTTCCTTTGAGACAGCTTTTTCCTCTTTAGTTAGGAAGGCAGAGCTCTGACTCTGTTGTGGAGCAAAAGCTATTAAAAGAAAATTGTGGTATATAAAATGGAGACACATTTTTGATCGTATTTCAAAGGATTTGAAGGGAAAGACAAGAAAATCAATAAATGCATGGATTCTTTTACACTTTAAAAAGACAATTCTTTCCTTTCTAAAGTCTGTTTCTGGGTGTTCCTGCTGTGAAATCAGGCCATAACACAAAGATTTGATGGAAATTTACTTGGTAAAAGGATAAAATAGTAAACAGAAGAGTGAAGGTTTCAGTTGCTTCCCACCCTTTCTACTTTTTGACAAGTGATAATGCCTTCATTGGGAACCATGTAGTTTTCAACGTGTTTATTTGGTTAGAGGAAGGTTGACATTCATTTTTAAATCTAAAGTATAAAACAAAGTCCTTTTTATTAATCATAATTCCCAATATTTTACAGATTTAAATTATCTATGACCCGGGGAATTCTTTCTCATTGTTATTTTGGCTAACAAGAACATAAATAACAGTTACATAATACCATAAAGAGAAAATCACCATAATAAAATCTCTGGCAATTTGTGAACATAGGTCTCCATTTGAGATTCTTGATGATTTATTGTAAACAACAAACTATTTTAAAAATTTAAAAAATAATAATTTTTGATTTGAGGAGATTTTTTCCAAACCAAATCCTTCTCCTTTCATTAAGTAGAAAAATGGAAACTCTGCCCCTGTAATTACTCCATGTAATTGGAAATTTTGTCCTGATTCATCTAAATCATTTGGTTCTTGCTAGGAGTATTAGATGGTATTAACTTCTCTTTCTCTGTGATGCATAGCATTTTTAAACATTTTTATTTTGAGATACTGTGGGTGTGCATATACTTATAAGAAATAATAGAAAGAAATCCCATGTACACCTTTCTCAGTTTCTCCCACCAGTAGCATCTTGCAAATCCATAGTAAAATAACCAAGATATTGACATTAACACAGTCAAGACACAAAACAGTTTCCTTACCAGGACAATCTCTCGGATGGTCATTTTATAGCCATACCCATTTTTCTCCTGCTTCCACCCATCCTTTAAGCCCTGACAACCACTATTTCTTCATTTCTATCATTTAGTCATTTCAAAAATGTTGTATAATTTGGATCATATAGTGCCTTAATCTGTTCATGCTGTCATAACAAAATGCCATAGACTGGGTGGCTTAACAGAAATTTATCTTCTCACAGTTCTGGAGGCTAAGTTCAAAATCAAGCTGTTGGCCAATTTAGTTTCAGGTGAAGGCTCCTCTCCTGTCTTGCAGATAACTGCCTTCTTGCTGTGTTCTCACATGGCCGAAAGAAAAAGCCAGCAAGCATTCTGGTGTTTCTTCTTATAAGGGCACTAATGCCATTATGAGGGTCCCACCCTCATGACCTTATCTAACTTTAACCACCAAAGGTGCCTTCTCCAAACACCATCACCTTAGGGATTAGAGCTTCCACATATTAATTTGTGGGGGATACAAATATTAGTCCAGAACATACAGCATGGAGTGTTTTGATAGTGGCTTTTTTTTCCCACTTATCATAATTTTCTAATTTATCCAAGTTGTTGTGTGTATTTATAGTTCATTACTTTTTATCACTGAGTATTATTGTCTAATATGAATGTGCCATAGGTTGTTTAACCATTCACTTACTGAAGGCCATCTGGGCTGGTTCCAGTTTTTGGCTATTACAAATAAGCTGCTATAAACATTTGTGTACAGAGTGTGTGTGTGTACGTGTGTGTGTGTGTGTGTGTGAGAGAGAGAGAGAGAGAGAGAGAGAGAAAGAGAGATTTCTTTTCCCTGGGATAAATGCCTAGGAGTACAATTGTTGGGTCATATAAAAGTTGCATGTTTAGTTTTTAAGAAATGATCAGCTCCCTCTCCCTCTCTTTCCACGGTCTCCCTCTCCCTCTCTTTCCACGGTCTCCCTCTGATGCCGAGCCGAAGCTGGACTGTACTGCTGCCATCTCGGCTCACTGCAACCTCCCTGCCTGATTCTCCTGCCTCAGCCTGCCCAGTGCCTGCGATTGCAGGCGCGCGCCGCCACGCCTGACTGGTTTTCTATTTTTTTGGTGGAGACGGGGATTCGCTGTGTTGGCCGGGCCGGTCTCCAGCTCCTAACCGCGAGTGATCCGCCAGCCTCCGCCTCCCGAGGTGCCAGGATTGCAGATGGAGTCTGGTTCACTCAGTGCTCAATGGTGCCCAGGCTGGAGTGCAGAGGCGTCATCTCGGCTCGCTACAACCTCCACCTCCCAGCTGCCTGCCTTGGCCTCCCAAAGTGACGAGATTGCAGCCTCTGCCCGGCTGCCACCCCGTCTGGGAAGTGAGGAGCATCTCCGCCTGGCCGCCCATCATCTGGGATGTGAGGAGCCCCTCTGCCTGGCTGCCCAGTCTGGAAAGTGAGGAGCGTCTCTGCCCGGCCGCCATCCCATCTGGGAAGTGAGGAGCGTCTCTGCCCGGCCGCCCATCGTCTGAGATGTGGGGAGCGCCTCTGACCGGCTGCGACCCCATCTGGGAGGTGAAGAGCGTCTCTGCCCGGCCGCCCCGTCTGAGAAGTGAGGAGCCCCTCCGCCCGGCAGCCACCCCGTCTGGGAAGTGAGGAGCATCTCCGCCCGGCAGCCGCCCCGTCCGGGAGGTGAGGGGCGCCTCTGCCCGGCCGCCCCTACTGGGAAGTGAGGAGCCCCTCTGCCCGGCCACCACCCCGTCTGGGAGGTGTACCCAACAGCTCATTGAGAACGGGCCAGGATGACGATGGCGGTTTTGTGGAATAGAAATGGGGGAGGGGTGGGGAAAAGATTGAGAAATCGGATGGTTGCCCTGTCTGTGTAGAAGGAAGGAGACATGGGAGACTTTTCATTTTGTTCTGTACTAAGAAAGATTCTTCTGCCTTGGGATCCTGTTGATCTGTGACCTTGCCCCCAACTCTGTGCTCTCTGAAACATGTGCTGTGTCCACTCAGGGTTAAATGGATTAAGGGCGGTGCAAGATGTGCTTTGTTAAACAGATGCTTGAAGGCAGCATGCTCGTTAAGAGTCATCACCACTCCCTAATCTCAAGTACCCAGGGACACAAAAGCTGCGGAAGGCCGCAGGGTCCTCTGCCTAGGAAAACCAGAGACCTTTGTTCACTTGTTAATCTGCTGACCTTCCCTCCACTATTGTCATATGACCCTGCCAAATCCCCCTCTGTGAGAAACACCCAAGAATGATCAATAAAAAAAAAAAAAAAAAGAAATGATCAAACTCTTCCAGAGAGGCTGTACCTTCTTACAGTCACACCAGTGATTTTTCCCATTTTCTAATTGGAATTATTATTGAGTTTTAGAATTTATTTATATATTCTATATTCTCATCCTTCATTTGTTACGTAATTTTCAAATATTTTCCTCCAGTCAGTATCTTGCATATTCCTAACAGGACATTTAGCAGAGCAAAAGTTGTGAATCAATAATGTTTTAATTTGTCAAATTTTCCTTTTACAGAATATGCTCTTGGTGTCAAGGATGAGAACTCTTTGCCTGATTCTAGATCCAAGTGATTTTCTCAGATATTTTTTCTTTAAGCTTTATAGTTGACATTTTACACTTAAGTCTGTGATCCATTTTGAGTTACATTTATATAAAGTGAGTCTTTTGTTTCACTTTTTTGACTATCAGTATCCAAGTGTCCCAACACTATTTATTGAAAAGCCTCCTTCATTGAATTGTGTTACCTTCCCTCTCTCTCTTAAATGACAGGAAATTCCAAATGAAGCATGGAGTTTAGCTACCCATTCCAAACTAAAGTTTTCGTTTTTAGTCAAACTTCTTCCACATCTCATATGTCATCTTATGCCTTTGTACCCAGGCACAAATATGGTACACAAAGTTGATGACCATTCTTTTTTCCTTTTTTTTTTTTTTTGAGTTGGAGGAGTCTCACTCCTTGCCCTGGCTGGAGTGCAGTAGCATGATCTCGGCTTACTGCAACCTCTGTCTCCCAGGTTCAAGCAATTCTCCTTCCTCAGCCTCCTGAGTAGAGTAGCTGGGACTACAGGTGCGCACCACCGTGCCCGGCTAATTTTCGTATTCTTAGTAGAGACAGGGGTTTCAATGTGTTGGCCAGGTTGGTCTCAAACTCCTGACCTCAGGTGACCTACCTGCCTTGGCCTCCCAAAGAGCTGAGATTACAGGCGTGAGCCACCACACCCAGCCCCATTCTCTTATTTTTCTAAACAATCATCTAAACCTTCACTTATCTTATTATTGAGAACATTAACAACTTTTACATTTGCATATATCTTTTATATTGTTAAGGAACCAGAATAACTTACGCTGTTAAAGAAAAAAAGGAAAATGTTGGCTGCTCCAAGCCAAATGGCAGGTGATTAGTATATTACTATCATTTCCTAGTACTGCCAAACAAAATTATGTTTGGAGACTGGCCTGAGAGATGAAGTCTGTCCCCTGCTGCAATGACTTTTTACAGGTTCAGATCCTTTCCCAGACTCTGGTGAAATTTAACGGGTGGCAGGGGATGATCTTTCTCAATGCCAACCTAGCCAATGGGCCTCCATGCTATGGATCCCAAAGTTGAAGACTCAATTTCAGCAATTTCAATTAATTCACAAAATCACTTACTTTGGTTTATACTAAACCTGAGAGAGAAAAATCAGGCCTGGTTTGTGCATCTGCTCCCAATTGTTCTTGGAAACACTTCCTCCTCTACTCAATCAACTCAATTCTCTCCCGAGTTCACCCAATGTGTTGATAAATTATTTCTTAAATTCTGAAAACAAAGATCTTCTGACTACTCACTCCCAATCAATTCTTCCAAGAAACTTTACTCTTACTGATACCAAGATGATTTATTCCTAATCAATACGTGTAATTCATGGCTCCACTCTTACCAGATAAAGAAACATTTAATCTTTGGTGGATATATCAAATAAGAGCTGTATTAATCTCTAAGTAGGGTATATAATGGACCAGCTTCTCATACTTGGTCTTGGAATCAGTCTTTTCAATATCTCTTGGGACCAGTGTATTATTGATATTTGCAGAATATTTTGTTTTCCTAAAACTTGAATAGGGGAAATAAAACATTTCTAAAGAAATGTGAAAGTAGGAAACTAAAATGACTGTCTCAAGATCATGCCAAAAGTTCTGGTACATGTTTATTTACTGTTCATTTTAAAACTGTTTCACAGACAAGGACCTGAGAAATGCCAACTACATTCCAGAAATTGTTATTCAAATTGAAACCTTTAAGGAGATTCTTAAATGTATCTTATCTTGGATTTTATATTTTAAAACTTTTTATTTCCAGAGTAAGAGCAAAAAAGAAACTATGTACTTGTATATCACAAGTAAACAATTTCGGGTCCCTGGGGTTTGTTATTACTTGGAAGCTCACTTGTTTGCCTTGTGAATTATCTATGCTTCCTCTTCAAAATCACTGAAATACATTTCCTTATAGAAACCCAATAATCTTGAGATAGAATGGTGTAATGTATCATCCAAAACACAAAATCACTTACCTTGGTTCATACTGAACCTGAGAAAGAAAAATCAGACCTGGTTTGTAAATAGGAATAAAATTTCCCTACATTTTTAATGGAAGATATCTGAGGTGTCAGAGTAGAGAAAAAAATGGCTTTTGCTTCCTAGAATGGCAAGTCAATGTCATAATAGTATTACCATCTTTGTGAGTTGCTCCTTTTTCATAGTCTCATCTTCAAAAAAAAAACTCAAGAATAAAGCAAAACTTTTTTGGGTGAAAATATATTAATTTTCTAGTCTGCATACTGGCTGTTATCTGTATAATTACTGGTTTGACTTAACCTCGGTATACAGGAAATTCTTTAAAATGGTTTTTTTGTTAAATTTTGACAGCTGCTTTCATTTTGACAGACATCTAGTGAAGTGTTTCCTATGCAGTATGACAGTGCCAGCCATGACGTTAATTGCATCTTTTGTTGGAAAATGCCACATGTAACATTTCAAACAGAATCCAAACACCAGGATGACTATTCATTTATTTTGCTTTGCAGTAGAGTTCTAAAATATTAGACTTCATTTTGTCTTTCTCAGTTTTCTAATTGACTACTTCAACTATGTGCACTGATCATATTAGCCAGCACTATCAGTTAACTAGATAGTCTAATCAAGGATGTCTTTTATCAACAACATGCCATACTCAGTCCTTTTAAGAACATGTTAGAGTTTTAATTGGTTTTTAAGTGTAAAGTTAATTTGAGAAACAAGTCAGTATCTTTTCTAGAAAATCATAAAATGTGAAATATAACTTCAGACTTAGAGACATTGATATGAATGTGCATAAAGTAATGTAAAGTAATTTAACAGTAATTAAGTTTCTTAGGGTTTCTGTTGCTACTTTGGACAGGAAGATCTTTCTTAGCATACATTGCAGAAGTGTTATCGCTATGCACTGTATGCTTTCTTATATGTGTTTATTCATATATTGATTTAAGAAATACTACAGAATCTATTCAATGCCAGGTACAATAGTGAGAAAAATAATAAATGGTTGCTGCCTTCATGAGCGTTGCTTTACATCAAAATATTGTTTTAAAATAATACGTAGTATCATCGAAAGGCCCATGTTTTCTTGCACCTGGAATCAGCTTTGCCATTGGATATATAACAACCCCTTATCTACAATCATAAGGTCCAATTTTGCCTTATAAGCAATACAATAATTTTTACCACAATTTTATTCATCACAGGGTCAAGTTGTGTTTAACTATTTACCTTCTTGAGAGACTTAAAATCCACAGCCATATTTACAATACCACAAATTCTAACCTTAGGAAATTAAAACATCCCTGCTTGTTTTCTGATTTATTACTGCCATGACAATGCAAAGAAAATTAAAAATGAATCTGAAAGTGTGCCAGATCATTTAGACTCACTACAGGAAATATTTTCACTGAACTAATCATTATTTTTTGGGTTTGGTGGTAATGATCAGTTGCTGTTTTGTGACATCTATTTCCATATTGATAAAGTCAATTTGTTTATCAGATTTGTGCTCCTACTGGTGCAATTTTAAAAAATTGACCACCAGCAACTGGTGTCATCCAATGCGCTTGGAAGCATTAGTCAAAATATGAACATCCAAACTTCATTATTGATGGAGCCACTGGAGAAAAAGACATTTAGAAATGACTGAGAGTATATTGATTATCATATGTTATTATGATATTGAAGGGACTAACTGTTCTCAATTTGCTGTTTAGGCTGTTGGGACATCAATAGAGTTATCAGCACTGAATCAGATGATGCATTATTCATTTGCTTTCAGCCTTGACCCATTACTTAAATATAAGTTTGAGATTTTCTAACCACCTCTTATGTTTTATCTTAACATTTGCCTTGAGTGAACGTCTGCTCTTATAGATTTATTTTAATGGCTTTCAAATCTAGATCACTCTCCTAAACACAATTTTCAATAATTTGCTCTATATCTTTATACTATTTCTTTTTTATTATATCTTTGAGATTTAACTGAGGTGCTAATCCCAAATTCTGTTAAATGTCTCTTGTTTCCTAAATTGATTTTCTATCATTTAGCTAATTCAAAATATTGGTAGTGGCTAACCTCTACTTCTTGTCCTAACCTCTACTTCTAATTTACCAAAATGGGCACTTTTTTTATATTGGTGTTCTATTTTTTATTTCTAATGCCACCTAAGTCAGCCCATATATATTTTTTGGGTGTGTACAACACACATTTGCCTATTTCCATAGCCTTCCAACATACACTTTCTCAGAGTTCTCTTTGAAAATTATAGGATCATTCTTATTCCTACATTGCTAGCAAACCCTTAGTAGCTCATCACCCCAAGCTCCCAAGCCTAACATCAAGGCCCTCTCCATACTTGTTTTCCTGCTTCCACACATGCCCACTTCCAAACTACTCTCCTCATACACCCAAGAGGGACAAGTTAAACATGCAAATCAGAGCAGGTCCCGACACTGCTTATGGTAACAGTGTATAAGCTTTCCATTGCTGCTAGAATAAAATCCAACTTCTTTTCCTCGGGGTTGTTCATGGTCTGGCCTGACTACTTGCCTGTCTTTCCAGATTCTATTTGTGCCACTCTACTCTTTGTTATGTTCTGGAAACAGTGTTCTTGATAATTAAAAAATACTTTATACACTGTGTCCTCTTAAGTAGATGGTTTCTCAACCAAGATGGCTGAGAAAATAATGTGCCAGGCTGACTTAAAAAAGGGAAAAGAGAATTATATGAGGAATAATTGCTATAATTCATGCCATATTACCACTAATAAGGAAAACCAAAGAAGTCTTTATCACTAGTACACACCTACTTAGTGTCATTAGTATATGTTTATTTTATCTTAAAAGTCTGAGAATGTTTGTTATTTTTGACATAATTCATTAGTTTCTATAACTGTATAGATGTCAATGTACAACTTTACACACATTAACACAGTCAAGCTGAAAACATTACAATAACATACAATTTGTTTCTATACTCTGAGTTGTGTTTCTCCAAAAAAATACTTCACAAATTTTAGCAGACTTTAATATTATTTTGAGTTTGTTTCAATCTTGAAATGTTTATCTTACTCAAGATAATCTTGAAATGTTTATCTTACATTTTTGGCATTTTTTTCTTAGTATTACTTATTGGTCTGGTTCACTATCGCCACCAGAATACAAGTCTCATTACATACACTCATAGGCATCTATAGATTATGTGGGAGACAGGAAGATGAGCGAGGAAGGCTGAGCTGCTACAGCTCAGTTGAGAGACTTCACGAACACTAACAGCTGAATTCTCTTGTATATTCCTATTGGTCCGTTAACTGAATTCTTTTATCTCCTCTTCTTTCACAAATGGGAAGACTCTTAAGAGATCTTCTGAGTTGAAATAGAATCAAGAGACAATAGGTTTTGAAGCTATATTAAATTGCAAGACTGAAGAAAATCTTTATGTAAGAAATAAATTGGCCTTCCCTTCAGAAGATTGTGTGTGTGTGTGTGTGTGTGTGTGTGTGTGTGTTTTGTCTTTGCTTGTTTTATTAACTGACAGTTGTTATAGGTAATCTATGTGTTACATGAATTTAGTGGAGAGTTCACCATTTATATGTGGGTTAAAGACTGAAATTAAAGGCCTGGTTAACAATGCCCTTATGTATTAAGGAAGGTCATAAGGAGGATATGTAATTATTCCCTTAATTTTTTTAGGATCAACCCCTCCAACTTTCAAAATTCTCTACTTCACCTGTTCATTAATTTTTATAATTGGAACACTGAAAATTTTACAGAGGGCTGTTTTTACGCTCTTCTGAGTAGTATTTATGGATGATTTAGAGACAGGGGATTAAATCCACATGAAATCATCACGTTTCCCTAGATGTCAGCATGAAATTACTACTTTCCCCTGCAAATTTCCATGAAATTACAAAAATTATTGCATCTTTGTCTCTGGATATCTTGCTTGAAAATATAAATGACACCGAGTTAACCTTTATTTTAGTTCAGTTCCTGGTATAGATACTTATTTGTGAATTTGTTAATTAAGCAATAGGAGAAAAATGTATACATTTTATATAGGAAAATTTTAAAGTTGAGTCATATTAAATGCCTAAATTCAGTGATCAGAATCCTACTATTTCCAGTGAGTGACAGCCTGTAGCATAGGCAAGTTGCCTATTTTTGCCAGTTTCACAATAGTATTTGCTGTCACCAAATATCTCATGTAATATGAATTTTCATCAAGATTGACTAAATTGGTGAATTAATTGTAATGAAGTATACTTTTGTCTATGGAAATAGCCTTTTGAGTATGATTTAAAATATATACTCTGATCTCACACACATACACACACTCAACTACATCTTATGTACCATACTTCCAACAATTTTAAAGTTGCTATAAGATCTTTAAATATAATTTTGCCCTCATTTTGTTGGGATTATATACTGCAGACTTTTAATGTACTGTTTGGATATGTGACTTAAACATTCCCTTTTTGCAAGAGAGTGGTTTCTTGCAAACCATATACCAGGCTTGATATATGATTTGCCTGGGGCAATTTAATGTGAGTAAAGGAGCTTTGTACCATATCCAAATGTTTTCTGGGCCATTGTAAGGCTTTCTTATGGTGTCTTTTACTTCTGCCATAGAACTTGTAAGTTTCTAGATAGGGGCTGCTTCTTTATTCCAGACTACCTCTGTCCTGAAACAGAAACAAAGTAACTTGAGTTACAGCCAATCCACAATGAATATGTGAAATAAGTGAAAAAATAACCCAAATAATGAACCCAAATAATAAACCCAAATAATGAACATATGGAGTTTATGTTGTTTTTTAGCCCTTCTTCCCCTCTCTTGCTCCCACCTTTTGGAGTCCCCAGTTTCTAATTCCTGTCTTTATGTTTTCGTGTACCCAGGATTTATCTACCACTTGTAAGTAGAATATGCAATATTCTATGGTTTTCTATGTCTGCATTAATTCGCTCAGGATACTGGCCTCTAGCTACATCCATGTCGCTGCAAAGGACATGATTTCATTCTTTTTATGGCTGCCTAGTATTCCATGGCATACATGTCCCATGCTTTCATTATCCAATCCCCCATTATTGAGCATTCTAGGTTAATTCCATGTCTTTTCTACTGTGAATAGTGCTGTCATAAACATATGAGTGCAGGTGTCTTTTTGGTAGAATTTTTCTTTGGGTATATACCCAGTAAAGAAATTGCTGAGTTGAAGGATAGTTCTATTTTCAGTTATTTGAAAAATTTTCTAAACCCTTTCGACAGGGGCTGAATAACTTACATTCACACCAATAGAGTATAAGCATTTCATTTTCTCTGCAGCCTTGCCAACATCTGTTGTTTTTAAACCTTTTAACAATAGCCATTCTGCCTGGTGTGAGATAGTATTTCATTGTGGTTTTGATTTGCAGTTCTTTGATGATTAGTGATGTTGGGCATTTTTTCATATGTTTGTTGGTTTGTTGCATGTCTTCTTTTGAGCAGTAGCTGTTCATGTCTTTTGCTGGTTTTTAATCAGGCTATTTTATTCTTGTAGGTTTATGTTGCTTATAGATTGTGGATATTAGTCTTTTGTTGGATGCATGGCTTAATTTTCTTTTACTTTGTAGGTTTTCTGTTTTCTCTGTTGGTAATATTCTTACTTTGCAGAAGCTCTTTAGTTTTAATTATGTCCCAATTGTCAATTTTTGGGTTTTGTTGCATTTCTTTTGGAGGACTTAGTCATAGATTATTTGCCTAGACCAAAGTCCAGAAGAATATTTTCCAGGTTTTGTTCTATGATATAGTTTTACGTCTTATATTTAAGTATTTAATTGATTTACTTTTTGTATATGGTGAGAAGTAGGGCTCCAGTTTCATTCTTCTGCATATGGTTAACTAGTTTTACTAGCACCACATATTGAATAGGTAGTCCTCTTCCCATTGATTATTTTTGTCAACTTTTTAAAAGGTCAGTTGGTTATAGGTATGTGGCTTTATTCCTATGTTCTGTATTCTGTTCTATCGGTCTATGTGTCCATTTGTGTATCAGTACCATGCTATTTTGATTATTGTAGCTTTGTAGTATAGTTTGAAGTTGGGTAATGTGATGCTTCTGGCTATTTTCTTTTTGTTTAGGGTTTTGTCTATTCAGGCTCTTTTTTTGGTTCCATATGAATTTTAGAATTTTTTTTTCCTAATTCTGTGAAGAATAACATTAGTAATTTAATAGGAATAGTATTGAATCTGTAGATTTCTTTGTGTACTATGTATATTTTAATGATATTGTTCATGAGCATGGAATGTTTTCCCAATTGCTTGTGTCATCTGTGATTTTCTTCAGCAGTGTTTTGCAGTTCTCCTGCTGCATCATGCAAACTCTAGAAAGTAGTATTTTCCTTTCCATGTAGTAAAAAATATTTTAACTTTTCATAAAGATTTATAAGTAAATTTTTATAGGAAAAATTTAATTCTCTTAAACCATGCACATCCTTCTGGAACCTAAATGTTAATTTTGATTTAAACTCACTAACTTTTCAGTAAACTGTGCATAACCGTCTAACTTCATTTGGTCTAAAATAACTATATAAGGTTGTAAAGCCAGAAGTACTGATGGGATACAATGATGGGTAGCTAGTAACTTGAAGGATCTACTGTTCAAAGTATTAATTCTTTACCAGACTGTTTTTGTAAGGTACACAAATAGAATTTCTCTTTTCATAGTAGATATACAATTTTTTCCATGAAAATAAAATTAAGAAAAGTTTTGTAGTTTTGCAGGTCTTCATAATTGTATAGGTTTGGTAACCTTTGTGATTTATAAGGTGATGTGATCCAAAAACCTCAATAGCTGTGTGTGTACTGGACTTTTGCCCCTGGTATTGGGATACATATAGAAAGAGCTTCAAGGGACCTTGAACATCAACTAAACAATCATCTTTTAACAAAAAAGAAATAAGGGTCAGCCTTTCCTATTTCCCAAAATTCTATGTCAGGTGTCTATTTTTTATAGTGTTTTGTGTATCTTTTATCATAGCAGTATATTAAAATTGGTTTTTACTTGCCTGCTTTTCACTATAATGAAAGCTCACTAATTGCTTAGTAAGTAGATTGTTAGCATTGAATTCCCAGAACATATAAGGCATTTTAAAATCTAGAATTATAATAACATATAACATTTACTGAACATTTACTATGTTTCAGGAAATCTAAGTTTTATGTATGTTATATAACAAGATATATATCTGTGTATATATGTATAACATTTCCATATATACACATACGTACAACATCTATATCTGTCATACATACACACACACAACATATACCTATATACATGTGTATAAATGTAGACATCTCTTCATGTAAAACTTGTCAATTCTGTGAGGAATGGGCTATTTATTATCCCCTGCTTACAGAAGAGGAAATTAAGAGTCAGCAAGGTGAAGCAACTTGTCCAAATTTACAGTGAAGTTAGTAAGTGGATTCAAGATCCAAACGTAGCATTTTAATTATAC
The DNA here is from genome assembly GCF_000001405.40 of Homo sapiens. Lineage (NCBI taxonomy): Eukaryota > Metazoa > Chordata > Mammalia > Primates > Hominidae > Homo > Homo sapiens. The sequence continues at coordinate 8,901,097 of NC_000007.14, forward strand.
AGCCTTCATTTTTAGCCATTATATTTCATTGCCTATTATAGAGTAGATGTTCCATAGATGTTGAAAGTAGATTAAATACATCTAACTGAGGGAATGAACATGTAAAACACAATGACAATATAATTCAACATGCTAAGTTATATAAAATCTGTAAGCAAAAGGTATGCTATACTATTTGTATACTAGGTACACAAGAACGGGTCAGAGAAGGCTTCATAGAACATTAACATTTCAAACTAATATTTAAAGTAATATTTTAAAGAAATATCGTGTTCAAATGAAATATAAGAAATTTTATTTTATCTTTGTCAGTAGAATGCCCACTTAGGTTTTTCTTCTGCCTTACCAATTTAGTAATTAGTAAAATACACTGCAAATCATTCTTAATACACATTTGACGCAGATCCTACCTGTGTTTTCCCATATATGTTTAGCTATACTTTTCTTATGAAAAATGAATGAAAACCAGAATGAATAATAACCTACCTCCTCTGATGGCTCAGAGTAAAGTATCCTGGTCTTTGTATCATTTGTTAAGTTCCCCATTCATGAATTATCAGCATTTGGTTTAACTGACTGGGGTTTCAGAAAAGGATGCCCCTTCTTTTTTTGGCTGAAACTAAGCAATTTGATGCACTGGTACTTATATGCACTTTAAATTTTCAAGATTTAAAATAATCTGGTGTGATAATGGAATCTTATATGTTTACCTATGAAATAATTACTTTTAAAGCAATGCTTCCTAAATGATTGTCTTTTTTTTGTAAAACTTAAGATTTTTATAAGGCAACAAAATATATTGATTTTATTTTTAAAAGACATTACCAAGGTTCCTAAATTTTTAATTTCTGTGATAGTCAATGTTTGTCCTGCCTTACCCACTCCCTCCTAGCTCTCCCACTAATTTGAAATTAAAAGTGTGGAATAACATGCCTCATTCTAGTCATGAGAAAAACCTCAGACAAACTGGGAGATTTTCTGTATAATGCCTAACCTAGTACTCCTCAAAACTATCAAGGTTATCAAAACAAGGAAAGTCTTTGAAACACTATCAGAATTAAGATACACCTAAGGAGACATGACAGCCATATAATGTAATGTGGTCTCGTGGATGCATCCTGGAACAGGAAGATAACATTGAGCAAAAATGGAGAAAATCTGAATACAATGTGGACATTTATTAAGAGGCATGTATCAAATATTGGTTCAATAATTATAATAAATATACCATACTCACATAAGATGTTAATCATAGGAGTATCTGGATATGGGGAATTCATAAACCCTCTTTACAACTATTTTGTAAATCTAAAGTTATTCTAAAATAACAAGTTTGTTTAAAAAATATACAATGGTGTGCTTATTCATGTTAGCAGCTCCACCAGGAAATCCTGAAAGACTGAAATCTTTTGATGTTTGCTTACAAGTGATAAAATCGGGGCATTTTATAAAGGTATTTGTTATAGAAAATTAGGGAGCAACTTTAGTGAATTCATTTGAATATAGACATTGAGCGTACTCTGCTACCAAATATTCACATGCAAATTCACTCAAATGAAAAGCTCTTTTCCATATACTGATTTTTCAGTGTTATAATGGAAATGTGAAGAAAATCTGCGTTCAACAAACTTCCTGAGGAAGTCTTCAGATTTAAACTGAACCCTGACTTGTCCTCTGTGTCCCCACAGTGTCACTTGACACATCATGGGGGACAGGCTAACATTTAACTAAAGAAAGGTAAGTAATTGTACTCCCTTCTGAAGCAATTGTATTTTGGGTATGTAGGTAGTGTTTCTATTACATGGCAGGCACAACACAAAGTTTTATTTAAAATGCATGCAATATCGGTGGCTTAGAATCTCTTGATATAGTGTCTTTCCCTGAGGACAAGGCTTTAACCACATCCGTCTCTAAAAAAATATTTAGGCCAAACTTTCATCTTAGTATAGAGAAAAAGTAGTACATTCATCGCCCCTGCTTGATGCATACCTGGATATGATTAATGTAGACATGCTCTCAGGACTAGGATGACTATTCACAGAAGTTGGGACTGTCAAGCTCTGAGTTGAGTCAATCCTTATGCTTCACAGTTGTAGTTTCTATTCCTCACCAAAATTTTAACATTTTCTGTTTGGATATTCTTCTTTGCCCAGTTAAAAAGTTATCATCCTCTTATTAATCCTTGTCCTCATCCCCAAGCCTTTCCCCTGTGCCCTGCAGAAATTCTCTTCCAATTGAGAGCAATTTACAAAATTCTTTAAGTTAACATGAACAGTTTCTTCCATTCTTTTTTGATTGAATCCAGGATCTTCTGGGGTCACTACTTCCCTTGCAGACCTGTTAGTCACTTTTTTACATTTTCATATAACATGTGTCCCCAAGGGTCAGAAGTGATCTACGTTTTTTCCTAAAATTAAAAATGACTATTTGAAAGGCCACTGAAAATAAAATGTTAATATTTATGTGTTTTCTAGACCAATTCTCTTCAGACGCCTCATTTCTTTCACTACAAATATATTCAGTATTTTTTCTTGAGCAAGGTACTTGATCAGTCCTGCTTTAGGTGCAGCAAATTCTGTTTCAGTAAAGATTCTACTTGTATTGGTTATCTTTGCCTACGTGTACATTTACTCAAGAACTTACAGGCTTAATACAACATATATTTATTATCTCACAGATTCTGTGGACTATAAATCTGGTCATTGTTTAACTGGTTCCTTTGCCTCAGAGTCTCTGGCAAAGATGTAATCAATGTGTCAGTTAGGTCTCCAGTCTCATTTGAAGATCTGATTGGGGAATAATCCACACTTCTAAGCTCATGTTGTTAGCAGGATTCAGTTCCTGGTGGACTGTGAACAGAGGACCTGATTTCTTGCTGCTGGTTGGTCAGAGACCACCCTGAGTGATTCTCACTTCGTTTCACCAGAATTGCAGAGTTGGAAGTGAGAGGGAAGGAGGGAGGGAGGGAGCATGAGACAGTGAGAGAACAAGAGAGCAAGCTAAAGTCAGTCTTCTGGAATATAATTACAGAAGCGACATCCCATCAACTTTTCCGTATTCTACTTGTTAGAAATGAGTCAATAAATTCAGCCTACACTCAAAATAATGGGATGACAGGAAGAGATGAGTATCATGAAGTGGGGATTTGAAAGCTGCTTGCCACAAACAGTCCGGAAAAAAAAAAAAATCACGCACTGAAACTTTTCCTTTATGTGCCTCATACTTTTTCCCTCTAGGCCTCTGCCTGCATTTTCCTGTGCTGGAAACATGCTTCAACAGCTGCCTCTCCTCACTCTATTATCAGCATGTTTCCTCATCTTTAAAATACAGATCAGGTGTGATGGCTAATTTTATGTGTCAATTTGACTGTGCCATGGGATGCTTCAATTAAACATTATTTCTGGGTGTGTCCATGAAAGTACTCTGAATGAAATGAACATTTGAATCAGTGGGAATCATCCAATCCACTGAAAGCAGAATAGAGCAAAAAGGAGGATGGATGAAAACTTAGCCGCTTTTGCTTCCTGCCTTGAGCTGGAACTTTAATCTTTTCTGCTCTTGGACTGGAATTTATATCATCGGATTCTCTGATTCTCAGGCCTTCAAATCTTAAAGTAGAATTATACCACTGGCTTACCTGGGTCTTCAGTTTGCAGATGGCAAATTATGCAATTCCTCAGGCTCCATAATCATGTGAGCCAATTTTTTATTTTATAATATATCCTATTGGTTCTGTTTCTCTGAAGAATCATAATACATAATCGATCACCAGGGTCCTCCCTCTGGTAATGTTACCTTTTTCATGCAAAACTTTATCACCAAATATAAGGTAAGAGAGATATTTTTAAAAAAATGTTTATAATAGAAGGCTGAAACTTGAAGAGACTGAAGATAATATCTAGTTTCTTTTTATAGGCATAGACTAGGTAAATTTACTTTCCTAGTGCTGTATAATTTTTCAGACAAAAAACAGTTTCTTGGTCCTGAGATTCTGATAATCTTACCACTTCTCTAAACTGGGTGATATGTTATTTGTCATTATTAAAATTATCAAAGGACTGTTTGAATTCATAGTAATGGGTTTATTTTTCTCTGAATAGTAGCTATACCTGAATACATGCTAATGAGTATATCAACTTGAAGTTACATGTTATTTTAGTATGGAGAAAGGTACATAAACAAATCCTTTTCCCCATAGATGACCCAGGATAACTTGTTAGGGTAGAAATAATTTTAAAAGGGGGAAACTATTTTCTAGATTTCTTATGTAGGAAGTTTGTTAAATTTACCAAATTTGCCTTACAGGATGTGAAACAAGTGGCAATTCACATCAGTAACTGAGGCATTAAAAAATGAGGCTCATTTCAATTCAGTGTAGATTGGCCCTAATCACTAAATGTTGGTTAATTTAAAATATTCCTGATGTCTTTAAGCTGCACACCATTTTAGAGACTTTGAGTGTGAACCTATATGTATTAATTTATAAACACACACATACAGAGCACTTAGATATTCAGAAAATAACTGAAGACAATGAACTAAGTTTTTTAAACTCATTAGTAACTGATACAGAAAAGGTACCATTGAATGAGAGTATACACAGCTACTAGAGCTTGCAACTTCAAGTTACATCTCTACATGGTGCACAAGGTTATTGAAGTCTGTATCTACAAATAAAATGACAAATGCTAACTTTTCTCCTTCATTTATAATGTTGAAGTGATAGAGGAACATAATTGCCTGCGTGATTGTAGGCCATATACCAGAAGACCAAAGATTTTAGCACAAAGTTTTCTCTCTCATTTAAACACTGATTCATGATTTGATCATACTGATGTCATCTAAACTTAGTTGACCACACACACAAAAAGGTTTCCATTCTTTTCTTGACCTGCCACACTGGCCAATTACTATGACATTGATAGACAGTTGAAAACTGATCTTTGCAGGACAAATAGCTAATGCATGTGGGGCTTAAAACCTAAGTGACAGGCTGATAGGTGTAGCCATGAACTATGGCATGCATATACCTATGTAACAAACCTGCACATTCTTCACATGTATCCTGCAACTTAAAAAAAAATAACTTAAAATTCTAGCATCCAAAAAAAACGACCTTGAATACTTCCAAATCAGATTTTTGAACCACCTTCTTGTACCAAATTTCCTTCTCATTTAAATGGAGAGAGTATTGTACATTGACACTTATTAATTAAGGTGAGTGGAGGGCACTTAAGTGGCTACACCACAGAGCATGACTATCATGAAGCACAGCCATGGCCTATTGTGTCAGTCATCGCTGCGACTGTGCTTAACGTGCTTAATGTAGATGTGGAATTATTTGATGGAATTATGATGAAAAAATATCAAGCCTTATGGGAGACGCTGGGTAATGATAATGAGCCAAGTGTTGTAGTCCATTGGTGCTGGCTGCCTGATTTGTCCAGATGGGCTTCTGCCTGGAGGGTTAGCATTAGCCTTTTGACAACATCTCCATTAATTCTCACTTTACAAAGAGTGATGGCATGGAAACCCGTCTCAGTTCTTGTGCTTATGAGATGTGTGACAGTAAGGCATGCCTGCCATTTCAGGGAATGGTAGGGACAACACTTAAAATGTGTGCTCCTGAAAAACAGTCAAATGAGAAGGCACAAACATCTTCAGAACTTGAAAATAATTTTTTAAAGTGCCTTTATTAAACTCAGCATGGGAGACAATCTGAACCGAGATCTTCATCAATCAGATTAACTACTTTCCAAGATGAAAACAGACGAGGCACAGTGTGAGGCTGAGCAGATATTTATCAAAAGCCATATTAATAACCACTTTCAGCTTTTTCTTGACAGTTTCATCTGAGGTTCCATGTTTAACATTTGAGTATCATATGTTTTTGTCAGAATGAGGCTGCTAAGAGCATCAATTAATTAATTCTTTTGAAGTACAGTTCAGAAAGGTAATAAAGTAACTGTCTCTAAGGCCAAACCAGTAATGGTAAGCAACATTCTGGAGCTACACAATTTGTTACTTGGAAGAGAAATTAAAAGCAAAATGTCTTCTTGAACTCACCTGAGAATAAATACAGATATATTTTGCAAAGTGGCAATAAGGTATATATGCATTTATATATGTATAGCCACAAATATATATTTGGTATACATAATTGCCTACTTGGCTGAAATATTTCTCATTTACATTCTAGTGTATACTTTAGCAGAATAAAAATGGACTCTTCAATTTGCTTTATTTAAATGGCCTGTAAATAGGGCAAAATTAAACCTGGAAAAATAATGAGGAAATTTTTATATTATTAAGATTATCAACCACACTTTAGTGTTTCAGAAAATTAATTTGGTGGGTTAAAAAAATTTCTCAGCTCATGAAAATTAACACTTGAAGTAATGCAACTCAGAGTGTAGAAAACATTTGTACCTTGTCACAGCCAGATGTGAGTTACATATATTTAGGGACCCCTTCTGCCATCTCCACTTTATGCAGGGACCATCACAGACATGGCTAATGTAGTTCTCACTTCAATGATGTAATATTAGCAACTGGCAAACAACTAAATCTTAGTAATCTCAGAGATACTTTTGTGTACATAAGGTGTCAAGCCAAAGTGCAAAATAAAAATAAGACAGGTGTGTGCTGATGTAGGCTCATTTTACATGGGATATTTCTTCAGTCTGGAGGCATGTTCCTTATGAATAATTTAGAATGAGCTTTCTGTTACTTGAAGCTTTATATCATCCACGTTTACAGTGACTCAGCCTTATGACAAAAATCTGTCGCATAAGTTCCTGGATGAGATGGTCTATTTTGTAGAACTCTTTGACTAATAAACAGATACTAATTCAAAGTGGCATGACTTGGAGTGTGAGCTACCTTTGGAGGTAGATGGCCTGCCAGGCAATAGCAATATAAGGAGCCTTCTCACTCTGATGACCTGTGAGTGACAACTCTCAATTATTATGTTCCTGCATCAGAGGCTTGGATCACAACTTTCTTGCTATTGTGACGTGGGTTCACATATTTCTTTTCCATTTTCTTCCATTTCCTATCCCTTTTCTAAGACAGGTTATTTTTTCTTCTAATTGATTAAAAAAAGGTAGTGATGTTTTATCAATTCATACTCAATATTAATACTTCTAGTATAGAAGTATTAGGAGTTTCATGGTCTCATCTTTTTTTGTCAGCTAGGATTTCAGAGGTTTTTGAACTGATATCTTTATGGGAGCCTGGCACCATGGTCTCAATAATTGTCCCCCTAAAATTCATATGTTGAAATTTACTCCACAGTGTGATATTATTAAGAGGTGGAATCTTAAGGAAGTAATAAGGTCCAGAAGGCGCCGACCTCATGAATAGAGTTAGTGATCTTGTAAAAGAGGCTTGAGGGAACACTTTTGCTCCCTTGCATGTGAGGACGCAAAGTAGGTGCACTGGACATGATCGATATGGTGACTTACTGGTGTACTTCCAGCCTCTATAACTGTAAACAATAAATTTATATTGTTTATAAATTACCTAGACTAAAGCATTTTATTATTATGACCCAAACAGATGAAGACAGCTGGCATCTCAGTTCTGCAGGTATGTTTAAGTGGAGTAATAATAATACATTGAGTGGAAAAAAAAAGGGATTAGGTCAAACATCAGTGGTAAGTCATAGGAGTTCGAGTCATTGAACAGTACATTTTCAAACCTCAATTGTCAGATTTTTTTAAATCACTCCTTCAAAATAGATGTTTGTAATGGTAAAACATTCCGTCATTTTGTACTTTTAAAGTGCATTCACATATGACATCCAATTTTCTTCTCATACCAAACCAAGATAAGATAGTTTTTGAACACATGAACGAGGAGTTTCTCACAGTGGAAGAGGTGCCTGGGAAAGACTGGGCTGCCTAGACCACCTGCAAGTGACACAGTTGACCTTATTTTAATTATAGAGCCACCACATCTGTGATGACAATATGAGCTGAAAGAATGAGTCATAAAAAGAGATGAGTGACAGTGGAGAAAGGTGAGATTCTTCACCTTCCCCAGGAGGGGGACTTTCAAACACATGAAATTCAAGACAGTGAAACTAAGGCATTCTAATTATATGCATAATTGAGTCCAGCTGATTTTTCCTTTCCCTGCTACCATCCTTCCCCTCCTCCCTCTTTGTGGTATGTTGTATTAAATTGACATTTTTGAGTTTGTTAAAATACAGACACACACACACACACACACACACACACACACACACACACACACACACATATATACACATTATATATCTATATAAATTTATGTTAACTTAGAATTGTTATAAGTCATTCTACTGCCTTGATTTATGCTCTTTAGATTTCCTTTTAAATTCTATCATTTGCTTCATGCATTTCTTTAGAGTTTATGTTATGTTTTATATAATGTTTTTAATTTTATATGTTTTAATGTTATTCTTTATATTAAAGTAGGAATTAAAGTAGGAACTATTTTTTATTTATTCAGTACTTACTATACACTAGCAATTACACACTAATAATGCATAAACTAAGTTCAATGTAAAAATCATTTCTAAACCACATGGACTGGCCTATTTGCTATTCTAAGTATGAGATCGTGCATTGCTTCTGATGGTTTTCATCACCTGAGTTATTTTACTGGATTTTTCTGTTCATGTCTGATGCTAATTTTTCTATTGAAATATTTTTGTACATTACATAAAAAGAACACTATAAAGTTATCTATATTCATATGTATATTAAACTTTTGCCTTTTTAAACATTTACTGATGTAATTCTATGTGCTAGTTATTGTACTTTTTACAAGTATAAGCCAGTATAACCTTCTTGGTATTCCTATTTGATAGTATTGCAATATTCATTTTAAGTTGAAGAAATTTAAAAGTGAGGAAAACTTTGTTGAAAGTCACATGGCTAGTAGCAGATATATAGCTTTAATATTAGCCTATCTTATTTTAAACCCATGTACTTAACTCCATTTTATGCTACCTTCCTATCTATGCGATAATTATTTCCCTCAGGCTTTTACTTTTAACTTTAGTTTCTTTCTCCTTAAAAATTGTTTAATATTTATGTAGTGAACCACATCTATATTTTCCTTTAGGGTGTATATGCTTTTGCTGTTATGCTTAGAGAGTCTTTACCTGCTTCAATATTATATAAATATCACTTAAATGTTCCTCTAGTTTCCTGTTCTAATATTAAAAAATATTAATTACAGATCCTTTCACAAAGCTTTTGAAAGGCAAAGTCTTTCAGTAAAAAATGTGCACAAATTTCCGTATATAGAAAATTTTTCCTACAACTTCAGGAAGTTTATACAATCTCTGAACCCTGTGCATTGAGGTCAAAAGGGCCATATTCTAGTATGTTTTGAAAATTCTTAATTCTTTTGAAATGAATTTCGTATGAGTATAATGCACTGAATCATGTGCTCCCAACATTCATATGGTGAAGTCCTAACATCCATTATCTCAGAATGTGATAATGGATGCATTTGGAGATAGGTCCTTTAAAGAGGTAATTAAGGTAAAATGAGATCATTAGGGTAGGCCCTAATACAACATAACTGGCGTTCTTATAAGAATAGATTAGGACACAGGCATCCCGAGAAAAGACCCTGTGAAGACACAGGGAGAAGATAGCTGGCCATCTACAAGCCCAGGAAGGAGGACTCAGAAGAAATCAACCCTGCTGACATTCTGATCTTGAATGGCTAGTATCCAGAATTGTCAGAAAATAAATTTCTAATGTTTAAACCACCAAGTCTGTGGTACTTTGCCCCGGCAAAATAGCCCTTGTAAACTAATACAATGAGATAGGGATATAATTTTTGTAGCTTGCTAGATTCATTTTTATTTTTGGCAAATGAGTTTATCATTTCAACACCATTTATTCAGTAACTTCTTATGTACTTACTGAGAATACCACTTAAATCATATTTTAAATTCATACTGTGCCCAAGTGTAAGATGTGAGTCTTGATATATAGGATGTATATGCATGCATACATGCATGCGCAGGCTGGCTTCTGTTTCCATCTTAATTCATATGGTAAGAGCATATGCCCTTAACTATTCCTATTTTTAAAAAATAAGTTACAGTAAAGAAAAACAAATACATCACACACATACTTGGAAGTGGTACATAATTTCAAAGAAAGATTGCCAGTGAGGCTAATTGTGACTCAGTGATAAATGACAACAGAGCAGATTTGTATTAATGTTATTATTTTTCTTTGATTTTCCTTTACAGTTTGCATTTTTTAAATCTCAGAATTATTTTGCTGTTATCAATAATGCCTGATTTATAAAAGTTTGTTTCAAATCCGATTACTGTTTTATAACGCATTTCAAGTGATAACTGAACATGCATTAAATCTAAGAATATTTGAATTAAATTTAAATAGAGTAATAAAGGTTATGTTCAATAAAAACCATACCTGAGAAAGCATACACAAAATAAACTTAAGCAGATAGATGACATCAAATAACTTGCCTTTTCATTCTAATTAACAGAATTATCTGTTACTAAATATATATGTTTGACATATAAAGAAATATTTAAGGCATACTTTGGCTGTCTGACCTACCCCAAAGCCACTAATAAATGTTTTGGTTCTCAATATTTATTAAAATGTTTTTTATTTAACATTTTTAGAAGTCAATATACTTATATCAGAAAAAGCCTTATCAATGTGGATGCCATATATATGTATATATAGACACAACAAAATGTTGAACAAAGTTATATTGCCCAATTCTCATGCTAGCATAGTCTTTATTGAGTGAGAGAAGGGCCAATATCCTATTTTTTGTTTGTGAATGATTATTTGGACATTGTAGAAAGATCTCTTGTATTCTCTTGTCAAGGAAAAAATGACATATGACAAGAGGCAATGAAAATAAACAGTGTTTAATGAAAATTTACTATAATGGAAGAATTGTAAAAATGAGTCAGATACACACAACCACGCATCAGCATGGTCAGAAGATCTGGCTTTGGATTATTATGTGCTAGTTAAGAGACATTAAGTAAGTTTCTTAATCTAATTTTTACCTTTTGATTTCTCATCTGTAAAATGGACTTTATACTAGTGCCTGTACAAAAAACTGTTAGGAGAAAAGTGAGGTAGTGTACGTAAGATACTTAGCTCCTAGTATTTCAGAAAGCCAGCTCTTCTGCTGACTTTAGAACCATTATCTTCATATTACAATGATGTCATTTGGAGTTGGCAGTGAATATTTGTGTTATGAGAAACAGTATATATATATGTATATATATAGTGCTGTGTGAGGTAAAAAGCACTAGATTTGGAGTTAGCCGCATGTGGTTGAATCTAGGTTCTTGTACATAGAAAATGTGACCTTGGGTATATTAACTCCTGAAAGATTGAATTCTTCAACTGTAAAATGGGGATAAAAACAATTGTGCCTTTCAGGGTAAGAATTGCTCTGCATAATGACAAACATTGAAGTCTGAAAAATTAGTCCTTCATTTCCTTTAAATTATAGGGGATCATTTAGGTTAGTCACTTCAGCTCAATTCTTTGCCCACATTGATAGGAATTTACTGAACTGATACTGTTCAGGTTTGGAGGACTTGAAGCCATTTATAAAGCTATTGGTTGAACAACTGCTCAGCTACCACATATTCATTAGAAAGGCCACAGTCGCCAGCCCATCACCCTCATGGTGAGCTGACCAGTCAAACACCAAGAGGGATAATGCTTTGGTCTTTATACTTTACAACGGGATTTATCAGGTGAACCTTGTAAATTTCTATGCAGTGAGTATAGTAAACAAATACTCAAGTAAGTGAAGGGCCTAAGGTTACAGCCAGGCCATAAACACAGTTCTCCCAGTGTCTTAGAATGTATTTGAGTTCCCACAGCCTGGGCTTAAAGAGCTTGTTCTTTGAGTGAGAAACATTTCTATTAAGGGAAATGAAGATATTTAGAAGTTCTAATGCTAATAGCACTTGCTTTTACTACCACCTCTGTGGTCTCCCTTCAGGTATCCCTCCCCCATGCTTGAACCATTGATATGCCATAGAATATTGAACCTGTATTTTTTTGGAAAATTTAATCAAGTTATAGCCATTCCTCCTTGGCCTTTGACTTGAATATATTAATAAGGCATGACCTCGCATTAAGGCAGCGTGTCTTCAACTATAAGGCAGGATTTCTATGAGATTAAAGAGCTCATAAGAACCATTGCACAGCCTTGTAGAAGTTGTAGGTATGAGCGCTGATGTTTCCTAGAGAAAGGAGTTGTCTGTAGCTCATTCTTTGACCAGTTTTGATCTAGAATTGAAAACTGGCAGGCCAACTTCGTTGCTTGGCAGTGGAAATAACTGGTATACAAATAATTATTTAGTCTTTTATCATTTCAAATGTTTGCTTTTTTTTATTAATAGTATTCATAGTAGTACTAGTAGTACTTTTACTAGTATTTTTGTGGAGCTCCTTAATTTAAAAAAGTTTAGAATAACTTCATTAGCAGAATAAAACCAAGTTATTTATGCAAAGACGTTCTCTAGGTTTTATGTATTTGTGAGGAAGGTCACTTTTTTAAACATCTGCTTAAGTAGGGAGCGTGCCTGGGAATGAATGGGGTAGGGCTGCTTTGGCAGAGCAGGAGTGGTCAGATTACATATCATTCTTATCTCTGTCCTCATGGTGGAAGATATAACCCGAGAGCCATGTGGCTTTGTGGGGCCTGAGGCAAGACTGGCACTCATCAATCATTTCAAGCTTCACTGGCTTTGATGCAATCTAGACAGCAGAACATAATTTTGCATTTTTTAAACATGGACCATAATTAGATAATTTTGTTTGTATTTATCATAATCTTGCTAGATTCCATTAGGCCTCAGGGCATAGTAAGATCTGAAAATGCCAATTGTTTTAAATCATTTAAAAAACAGCAATAAACAAAGTCACACTTTCTACTAATAAATGCACTATTAACAATTTCAATTTAGACTATTCTTGAAGGAGTGAGTAACGCTGGCCAAGTTTACAGGAAAACATAATTATGAAAACATGAGAAAATACTGTGCTCCCAACAGCCTGATATACAAATTCAGCAAACAAGCTGAAATCGTTTAGCCAATTTATAATACCATTACTGGCATCCAAATCCAAGCCTATAATGATGCAGTATTTATCAATTTACTCAATTATTTTCTCTGAGCTAGAGAATTTGAAGTCAGACATTAAGCTCATCTGTAGCCCAGAATTCTCTGTAAGACCAAGGGAAATCAGAGAAAAATCCAAGTCCTGTGGCATCACTCATAATTTAAGAATAGCTTCATATTTCGATAATATTTTAAATCTTTAAAAAATTGCTGTATTTTGGGCGTTTCCATTTTACTAAACATTAAATGTGATGCTAGATTTTTATCTTATATAATATTTCATTGTATGGAGATGTGATAGTTTTATTTATGACCTATGGCTGGAAATTTAGATGGATTGTAAATGACTGCTATTTTGAAGAATTCTGAAGTAAACATCTTTTTCAATAAATGTATAAATTTCTGATGATTTCCTTAGGATAGGTTTCTAGCATTAAAATTAGGGTAAAAAAATGTTAGACATGTTTGTGTTGTTGAATGATAAAATACATTTTTAAATTGCATACCTTTTCTAGATGGACAGAATGATAGACAATTTTTTCTTCAAAAGTTCTTCTGTTCACAATTAACTAAAATCAGGAATGAAAGTGGGGATATTACTACAGACCTCACAAAAAAAAAAGAATTCTATGAACAATTGCATGCCAATAAATTAGATCAACTAACATGGACAAATTGTCAGAGACACACAAATAACCTAAACTAACTCAAGAAGAATTAGAAAATCTTTACAGAACTGTAACAAACAGAGATTGTATTAATCAAAAAAAACTCAACAAAAGTTCAGGGCCAGTTTCACCAGTGAATTCTACCAAATATTTAAAGAATTAACATCACTCCTCTTCCAAAAAAGAGAGGCGGGAACACCTCCTAATTCAGTCATTGAGGAATTACCTTGAGGCTAACACCAATTGAAGACGTAATATAAAAAGAAAGTTGCCGGGCGCGGTGGCTCACGCCTGTAATCCCAGCACTTTGGGAGGCCGAGACGGGTGGATCACGAGGTCAGGAGATCGAGACCATCCTGGAAAAAACAGTGAAACCCCGTCTCCACTGAAAATACAAAAAAATTAGCCGGGCGTAGTGGCGGACGCCTGTAGTCCCAGCTACTCGGGAGGCTGAGGCAGGAGAATGGCGTGAACCCGGGAGGCGGAGCTTGCAGTGAGCCGAGATGACGCCACTGCACTCCAGCCTGGGCGACAGAGCGAGACTCCGTCTCAAAAAAATAAAATACAATAAAATAAAATAAAAAAGAAAGTTACAGACATATTCCTTATGAATATAGATGCAAACATCCTCAACTAAATACTAAAAATGTAATGTAACAGTGTTTGAATAGATTATATACCATGAAGTAGGATTTATCCCAGGAACAGAAGCATGGTTTAACATAAGAAAATCAGTCAATGTAATGTACCAAATTACTAGTATGAAAGGGAAAAAGCAGCTCATAATGATCTCGATGCAGAAAAAAAAAAGACTTAAGAGAAGCCAACACCCCTTCTTGATAGAACACTCAACAAGATCAGGAATACAAGGAAACTCTTATAAGGAAACAGGACGAAGAGTATTTACAAAAAAAAAAAAAAAAAAAAAAAAAAAAAAAAAAAAAAAAAAAAAAAACAGCTAACATTACACTGAATGACAAGAGATGGAAAGCTTTCCCTCTAAGATTAGAAAAAAGACAATTATGTCCAGTTTCTCCACTGCTATTCATCATTGTTCTGAATATTCTATCAAGAGAAATTAGACAAAGAAAATAAATAAAAGGCATCCAAATTGGGGGAGGAAGAAGTAAAACTATATATATATTTACAGATTATATGTGTACACAGGAAACCCCAAAAAATCCACAGAAAGCTAACAGAGCTAATGAATGAATTTAGCAAAGTATCACAGTACAATATCAACACACAAAAATCAGTTGTGCTTTTATGCATCTACAATCAATAAAAAAGGAAATTAAGAAAGACATTTTATTTACAATAGCATCTAATAGAATAAAAATACCTAAAAACAAATTCAACCAAGCAAGTGAAACACTTGTCACTAAGAACTACAAAACATTGATGAAATAAATGAAAGAAGTCTTAAATTAATGAAAAGACATTCCATGTTTAAGGGTAAGACGACCTAATATGCCTAAGTTGTCAATACTACCCAAAGTGATCTACGTCTTCAATGCAATCCTTATCAAAACTCCAACAGCCTTTTTTGTGTAAATGGAAATGCTCATTCTTAAATTCATATGGAATTGCAAGGGGCCCCAAATACCAAAAGAGTATTAAAAACAAGAACAAAGTTGGAATACTCACACTTCCCATTTCAAAATTTGCTAGAAAGCTGCAATAACCAAAACATTGTGGGACAGGCATATGTCTATATACTGATTTATAAAGATGCACAGGCCAAAGAAATAGAATTGCGAGTCCAGAAATAAACCTATACATCTATGGTCAATTGACTTTTAACAAGGGTGGCAAATCCATTGAAATGAGGAAAGATTATCATCAAATGGTGTTGAAACTGGATTTCTACAGACAAATCAATTGGACCCCTTAAACTGTATAAAAACCACTAACTAAAAATAGATTAATGACTTACAAATGAGAACTAAAACCGAAAAACTTTTAGAAAAACATAAGGGTAAGTCTTCATGTCCTTGATTTGGCAACAGATTCTTAGATATGACATCAGAAGCATAAACAACAAAAGAAAAAATAGATAAACTTCAAAGAGAGACATTTTTTGTGCATTAAAGGGGATTATCAACAAAACAAAAAGACAACCCGAATGGAAGAAAATATTTGCAAAGCATATATCTTGTAAGGGTTTAATAACCAGAATATGTTGAATTGTAGACATTCTTTACAACAATTCTTTACAACAATTCAACAACAATTTAAAAAACTGACACAGGACTTTAATACAATAAGCCCATGAAAGGAAACTCAACAATACTAGTCATTAGGGAAATGCAAATTGAAACCACAATGAGATACTGCTTCACACCTAGATAAAAAGAAGTATACAATAATAAATGCTAGATAAATGGAAGTATACAAAGTAGAATGAGGGTCATGGCAATGAAAAATAAGATATTAATATTTTAAATGAAAAAAATCAGTAAGACTTGTCAACCAATTTGACAGAAAGTGAGACAACAGAGTTAAAACAAGTTTGAGGTTTTGACTTCAGTATCTGGCAAATGAATTGTGCTACTATGGACTGAATGAGTCCCCTTCAAAATACCCATGTTGAAACCTAATCCCCAATGTGTTGGTATTTGAAGGGGGGCCTTTGGGAAATGCTTAGGTCACAAGGGTGGAAACTTCTCCATGAATGGTTTAGTGCCATTGTAAGAAGTGCCCATTTAAGAAAAGGCCAGAGAGCTTCCTAGCACCCTTTCAACACGTGAGGAAACAGCAAATTGTCCACTAGATTCTAAATCTGGGTATTTTGATCTTGGACTTCCCAACTCCAGAACTCTGAGAAATAAATTTGTTGTTTATACGCCATCCAGTCTATGATAGTTTGCTATAACAGCCTGAACAGACTAAGATAGACGCTCCTGATGAAAATTGGAAACATGATTAAAAATTTGACCAAGAATAAGTCCTTGAAGAGGACTCAATATTGGAAACAATCAGATGTTGGGGAAGTAGGAGAAACCAAGGCCACCCGCTAGTAACTATAGAGAACAATGAGCAGGAAAATCAAGAAATGACTGTTGGTTTTAGAGACAGAACATCAAGAGCCTTTGAGAAACTCCTTTTGGTGTTGTAGTGAGGATGGAAGCCACGTATTAAAGAATATAGAGGTATTTTGCTCTGTAATTTTCTAGCTCTGTGAATACTATCAATGTTTCATTCATTCTTGCCAGCTTAACCTTTGGCATTATTCTCAGGACTCCTTCCCTTTCTGCTACTCTCCACAATCAGTTCAATAATTTCTATTGATTTTACTCACTAAATATCTGTTAAATATATCCATCACTCCCCTTTCCCATTCCCAAAACACTTCTTCCAAGTCAGGTCTGTCAGTGTCTCCGTACTAAGCCACTGCAATAACACCACTCAATCCATTCTCTGCATAACAGTATGTATCTGATTTTGGTAATATGCCACTGAATATCTTAAAAGGATGATATTTAATTTAAGGATAAAGACAAAATTCTTTGATATGGCTCCCTTAGAACTAAACTATTTGGGTCCCACATATCTTTCCAGACTCATTTAGTTATTTTCTTCCCCAGACATTACAGTCCAGTCACACTTGCTTCCTTAGAGTTCTCCAAATATACTTGTCTCTGTTACCTACTAGACTGGAATGCTAATTGGGAGGGAAGATATTTTCACTATAATTTCTCCCTTTTTACCTCTTCTAACACGTGGGATATAGTAAAGTCATAGGTTTTCAATAAAAGCTTGTGGAGAAAATGCACTTGACATGGTATATTTCCTCTCACTTTGGTGACAGTGCCCAGAATCATTGAATGATAGATTAGAAAGACATTCAAGGTCAGTAAAACATACTCTCAAAGTGCCTTTTATGAGCAGAAAGCAGTATTTTTGGATAATTCAGATGAACACAAACTGCTGATTGTTAAATATTTAAATCAGAGCTTCCTGTTGAAAAGCATGATTTGAAATGAGGCATTATCTGAGGGTATTTACTCTCCTGAGGAGATAAACTAGGAAACCACTTAGTAGCTCATACTACCTCTTGACCTGCAGTATTTGTATTTACATTTCCATGTTAGTTCCTGTTTATAATCTCCAGGTCAAACATTGGTCTCATCAGCCTGCATGAATTTTGCTATTATCATGATATAAACGCACATTGTCAATGAAATAATTTTAAGGCTTGTTGATATTTGTATTTCTGGAAACTAATGGATATAGATTTCAAGTCAACGTAAATTTTAAAGAATATTGATTCATTTTCTAGTTGTAATCTAATTTAGATTAACTGTTTAGTATTATATGTAATTTTTATAACAAAGTGTTTTCCTTGTACATGTTCATCAGTTGGGTTTCTTTACCCTTGCTGCCTGTCGTGCTCCCCTCTGCTACAGTTGTAGGCTGCAATTCTGCTGATGCATCAGAGGGAATATAGACTTTTGCATTTCTGCAAAACAGGATTGATTATGTTTCCCTAGCAACGCCTATTTCAGTGACTAGCACTTATCTTCTTAGTTGGGTGAGCTGAAATTTCCTTGCATCTCACATGTAGTTCATCAGCTCCAAAAAATATCAGGAGTACAGTGATTAAGGGCGCCAAGTAACACCACTCTCTTTTGCTTCTTTCCAAGGGTAGTAAGTAGTTTCTTCAGTTATTATATTAATCGCCAAGTAATCTCATTTCACTATCTTTTGTTTTCCAGTTTTCCCAGTCCTTTAATGCTATATTTTAAATCGCTTTATATAGCTTCAATGACTATAAAAGGATGGCCTATGCTGGCTAGTTGTCTGTTGGCTTGCTCCTCAATTCTACGCGGTATCCTCTCCTCTGTATTGCAGAGAGCTAGAGGTTAAAGAGATTTCCCTGACAGTAGAATTCCGATTAATTTCTTCAAATGGGAAGCACAAACCAAGATATTGAAAACTGGAAACAAAGGAGAAACAATTTATATCTATTACTGTTTCAATCAACAGTAGCTGAGCAGTGCGCAAGAGTGGGCACCTGACTGCATGGGCAGCATGGTTTTAACAGTATGAGAGGTAATAGCATCAGTCAACCTGGACTCAGCACTCATTGTCTCTGAACACATAGCAGTAGGTGTTGTTCTCCTAGGCTTCTGCAGTGACAGTAGTTGTTTGTGGGTCCTGTAAAGACACCATGGCTGTTATTCTTACAGCAGATACATCAGCAGAAATGTCCTGGACTCTCAGATACATTATTCCTTTTTTTAAGTCTAGGAGTTGCATCACCTTTCTACGTTTACTATTTTCTGAGCATCCTAATTTTAGTCTTATTTCCTAGACTTTTCAATACTTTGGTAACTAATTATCTGTGTTAAATTCACTTTGTATGAAATACTGTTTTTGTGAGGGTTCTCTAGAGGCACAGGACTAATAGGATAGATATACATATGAAAGGTAGTTTATTAAGGAGTATTGACTCACATGGTCACAAGGTAAAATCCCACAAGAGGCCCTCTGCAAGCTGAGGCACAAGGAAGCCAGTTCGAGTCCCAAAACCTCAGAAGTAGGGAGTTGACAGTGCAGCCTTTAGTCTGTGGCCAAGGCCCAAGAGCCCCTGGAAAACCACTGGTGTAGGTCCAAGAGTCCAAAAGCTGAAGAACTTGGAGTCTGATGATCAAGGGCAAGAAGCATCCAGCAAGGGAGAGAGATGAAGGCTCTAAGACTCAGCCAGTCAAGTCCTTCCACGTTCTTCTGCCTGCTTTTATTCTAGTCGTGATTGCAGCTGATTAGAGGATGCCCACCCAGATTGAGTGTGGGCTGCCTCTCCTAGTCAATGACTCATATTGTTAATCTCCTTTGGCGATAAGCTCACAGACACACTCAGGAACAATACTTTGCCTCTTTTAATCCAATCAAGTTGACATTCAATATTAACCAACACAAATACCTTGAAACAATTACCTTTTTAAAAAATAACTAGACACTATATACATTTTATACATTTTTAAATACTATATATACTTATGTCTAGATTTTGTAATTATAAATTAATCATGTTGATGAATGTATCATTGTATTATACATTTTTAAAACTTCATATTTCCGTGATGCCTCAACATTCTCACAAACAGGCTGTGAACACTCTGCTCAGGTGACCAGAGGCACTAGTGTGATAAGACTGGTGTCTGTTCCATAAGCACTCTTTTTTGCCCTCGCTTGACTATGATCTGGTAACATTCATACACACTAATGAAATCCCTTCATGCCTTTTGCCTGACTCCCAGTATAGGCACTTTTTCAGGGGTCCACCTGCTTGGTTGAGCCCACTCCCTGGGAGCTCTTTGTATATGACCTCCTGTGTGGTATGCTATGCCTCCCTCTTGTAGTACCTATAATAAATCTTTTAACTTCAAATGCCTCTCTGAATGTAATTTCTGATGTCATGTTGTAATGATCTACAAAGATACTACAAGGGAGACTTACTTCCCCACTTACAATACAATCATTAGTTCTTTATTTCATATTACTGTATAACATTACATAGTATGTTATAAATTACATTGTATTACATTGTATGAATAAACCCCAGCTTCCTTATCCATTCTAACATTTAGATTATTGTCATTTTCTAGGTATTAGGAAAATGTTACTTCTACGAATATTCTTATGCGTCTTTCAACATTCTTACATATATTTCAGTATCTCTATTATATGTATATATTAGAATAAATATACAACTTGGTATACAACTTGACTTGAAAAATTGGTTTTATAGAATATTAATGTATTAATTCTTAGCAGATACTACCAAAAGATTTGCTTACTGGATGTACCAATTCATATTCTCACCAAAACTGTATGACGGTCTCATTTCTTTCACATTCTTTCCAATACTTGGTATTTGTTTTACAATCTACTTTTAGTGCCTTAAAACAAAAACATGACTTTTTCTTAGAAATGAGCAATTTAGCCAAGACTTGGTGAGATAATTGTCTTTGTCCACCCACCATTTACATCAACTTGAAACCTGATGACTGGACTTATCTGAATTTTCATTAACATATGTTTGGTGGTAGATACTGGTCATTGGCACACATATAAGGCCTTTGTACGTGTAGCTTTCTCACAGCATGATGCCTAGATTCCTGGGGAAAGCACAGGCATGCAGAAACACACACAGAAATAGAGAGGGAGGGGAGGGGAAAAATGGCAAAGGATGTGTATCACTAATTATGACTTAGATGTCAATTTTACTGTATATGAGTTGTTAGAAGCAAATTGCTAGATGTGGAGATTACAACATCTTTGTAAGAGTTTATTTAAAATATCCTTACCATTTCTCACTTATGATTGTTGATAAAGTCAACAATCAAAATACAAACCAAAATGTTTTCTGGTAACCCCAATATCTGGATTTGAGGGTCTCAACCTCATTGTGTACTTTGACTTTTAGTGCTGGCCTTTTTTTCTGCTGTAAGTCATAATTTTTAAATAAATACTCGTCTTACATAGAATAATTGCGGTGGATGGCTCTGAATCATAGTGATAGTTCTCATTATTTACAGTAGTTATGTTCTATGAAGTCACTGCAAACACTGAAACAGTGGATATTGAATCAATTATCCCAAGGAAAACACAAAGTTAGGTTTGTGGGATCTCTAGTCGTAACATTCTCATTTAAATCAATCTTGTTTTATGTGTGTTTGTTTTAAAACATCTTATTTAGCATACATTGTTGATTCATTCATATTAAACTCATGGCCAACAGCACTATACAACTTATGTGTAAATGTAGCTTATCTAATGTGTGCATTTTCTCCATAAGGCAAATAGATTTCTCGTACTTAGGAAGACCGGACAGCACTTCAGCACCATGCCTTGGGCTCATTTTAAAAAATGAAATCAACAAAAAATAAAAAGGAAAAAAGTGACACTAAGTAGAACACAAAAAAGACTTATAAGAGCTGCAACAAGAAGGCAGAACAGTATCTTGTTCAATCTCAGCTGGGAACATTAAGTCTTGGGAAACAACTTTTTCACCACTTTGTGCATGCCCATAAATGGCTTCAAAAGCACTGAAAGTATTGATTTGGGATGCCTACTAAATTTCAGTGAGTAAGCAAACTTGCAAATAGTCTTCAAATAATGAAGATCAACTGTATCTTTCCAGAACATAATTTTTCTCCTGGCAGACAAATTATCTTTGCACCATCAGTAACTGAGGTGATTCTACGCTCTCCGTTAAGAGCATTTAGCAACGTTCTTCTTTGGTGAATTTTACACTTTGATTTGTGTCTCATCAACACCATATTTCCAAAGTCTCTTTTTAGATTTTTAGTCTCTTTGCAGCCATCTTTTAAACACTCTGTGTATGTGTGCCTTAGGAATCCCCAAATGCTCTTAGAGAGAATTAAGAAATATTGGACTTTCATGTTTGTTTTTTCTCTCTAATCTCAGCTCCTATCTTTCTTGCTTCATTGGTAGCCTCAGACTCCAACTTTTGACTTTTTAACCCAGTAAGACATTCCCATGCTCCAAACCACAACTTTCTGTTTGAAATCTATGCTCTCCAATGCAGATTTAAAAAAAAAAAAAAAAAATGTCCTGAGGGAAAAAAGCAGTGTTGAATACAGGGCTCTCTTTAATACGTTTTCTTTTTTTACTTTAGGGCCTTAATCTCCTGAGTACTGAATGCCTTAGTTGTTCCTCTATGCTGCTTAAGAAATGTTTTTGTATTTTTCAATATTTGTATTTGTTATTGGTGAGAAGGTCAGTCTGATACAAGTTACCACTTTTTTTGCTGATAGCACATCTGTTAATTATTTCCTAAATAATGGACATTGAGTTCTCTTACCAAATTATTTAAACATATTTTTAACACTTATGTGCCAAGCACTTCGTATGCTGCAATGAATAAAGCACATTTGATGGCTCTTCTCAAGGTGCTTATCATATAGAAAAATGTAGAAAAAAGTTAACATCTTAAGTGCAATAAGAGCAAAAATTCATTGTGTTACAGAAACATTTGGAGAGAACTTAACTGAGACATGTGAGTTTACGGGAAAAATAGTAAAAGCAGTGTTCAATTGTAGTTTTGAAGATTAAATAGAAGTTATTCACACAAGAGGTAGGGGAATTTGAAAGAAAAAGACACATTTTGGTAATAGAAAAAAGTTCACTAAATATTATTGAAGAAAGAAAATCTGTTCTTTAAAGAAAAATATGCCAAAAGAATAGTATTGGATGAGGTTAGAGAGAAAAGATGAGAACAGCAACGCATAAGAAGCCTGTAAGTTCTGTTAAAAGGCCTAAGTTCTGTCCTAATATGAAACCAATTCATTTAGGAGTATAAGTGTGTGCAACATTATTATAACTT
The DNA here is from genome assembly GCF_000001405.40 of Homo sapiens. Lineage (NCBI taxonomy): Eukaryota > Metazoa > Chordata > Mammalia > Primates > Hominidae > Homo > Homo sapiens. The sequence continues at coordinate 8,924,270 of NC_000007.14, forward strand.
TTGCATTTTGAAATAATCATTCTGGTTTCATTGTTAAGAATATATAAGAAGATGTAAGATTAAAGGTGGAAGACCAGGAAGAAGCATAAAAAAGTGGCCCAGGTGAGTGCAGAGGGTGGATTAAAGTATTTATTTTACACAAAATATCTTAAAAACTCATTATAAAGCATTTGATCAAACCAGACATATATGAACACAGAGATTATGAGTCTTCCTTCTCTCAGGCTTACTCCCCAGAAGTAACTCCCACAACTACTATCAATAGCTTGGTGAATACCATGATGTAATTTTAAAATATATATATTCATACACAAAATATATTGAAACTTATTTTCCCCAGGAACCCGTTATAAAGAGTAATTTCTTCATATCCATTGTTCCTGGGAATGAGAATTGTTTAGGAAAAAATATTTAGAAGACTAATATGAGGAAAGGTGGGAGCAAGAGAGGGTGAGAGAATGAGAGAAGAGCAAGTGACAGATAAGAAAATTGGGCAAAAAAACCCCCAAAATGTTCCATAGAGGTTATAAAATTATTTTGCTACACTGTGTGTAATGTTTTCCCCTTTATTTCCCCACAATATCTTGAGTAAAGTTACCTAAAGCTTTATGGAATGGATTTTGGTGGAAACTTACAAGTTTTGTATCCTGACTCAAGCTTCATCTGAGCCTGAAATAGGATAGCCATAGGGTGATTTCTCAGATAGTATGGAATAAATAGGTAGATATTGCTTATCTGTACATATCTGTATCTGTATTTATACATATATAATATTTGCACATGCATGGCCTTTTATGTTAGTCAATTTGGGCTGCTATAGCAAAATCTTAGATTGAGTCATTTATAAAAACTTTACTGCTCACAGTTCTCAAGGCTGTGGAGTCCAAGATCAAGGCAATGTCTGGTTTGACAATGTCCAATGTCTGGTGAAGGCCTGGTCTTCATGGATGGTGCCCTCTGTATGTCTTCGCATGGTGGATGGGGCAAACACACTCTCTCTAACCTCTTATATAAGGACATAAATCTCATTCAGGAGGATGGAGCCCTAATGACTATCACTTCCCAAATCCTGCACCTCTACCACATTGGGGATTAAGTTTCAACATGTAAACTCCGGAGGAATGCTAATGTTCAGGCCAAAGCACATATACATATGTAACATAAATTATATATATATTATAGATATACATTATATGATGTTTGTGTGTATATATGTATCATGTTATAAATAATTGTACAACCTGTTTTCATTATATATGGCAGCTATCTTTTTATATTCATGTGTGTGTGTGTGAACATATAATTCACTGAAGTGTTTCAAAAGAGTAGTTCTTAGGATTCCATGCTTTTACCGTAATTAGCCAATTGCCTTTTTGACTATTGTGGTTGCTCTTATTTAGAGAAATGTCTGATCAGCACTCCCATTGAACATTCCTGGAGGGAAATCTTTTTTGCGCATTCATATTAAAGTTCTGAAGGGCAAATTCACTTGTGCGAGACTCACAACGTATCAGCAAGTTTCTTTGTAAGTTTTGTTATGTATATTAATTCGGTGTTCAGAAAATCTTTACCTGTGTTCCCATCAGAGACATTTGAGTGTCAAGCCTTTTCCAGTCTGGACATTTTGATTTCGGTAAACATGTTCCCTTCCGGCCTCAGCAGAGTTGCTTCAGAGGCAATTTGTACTGCCTGGATTTCAATGTCTCGTTGCTACATCTTTTTTTCACCTAGAGCATTGTGATAAAGGCTCCTCTTATTGCTAGTTTTGTCCTTGTGATACTTACTTACCTGGTATGACAAGACATTCTACTGTTGGCTTTGCATATTCCTGATTCTCTGTTCACCTAAAGGCACCTTAGTTTATATTAGTTAACCCAGTTCTAACACTTTTTTGACCACCCAAGTGAAATATAATTTCCCATACTGGATTGGGGACACATCTTCACTAGAACCAGTTTATCACTGTCATTCCAAAAAAATTCTAGAGTAGACATTAGTGTACAATATCAGAATTAGTCTATAAAAATTTACAAACATACTCAATAACACTCTTAAAATCTAAGGTTTAGTGGAGAATTGTAATTACAAGAAACAATTTCCCAAAATTGTAAATATAGTGAAGCATTTATGTGAATCATGTCTAACAATCTTGGACTTTTTAGTAATACTTAAGACAAACATTTAAAACATAATTCTCTTGTCATATTTGTGAGTGTTTGAAAACATTTAGCTTAAGATTTACAAACATTTAGCTTAAGATTTCAGCTATATTATCCAAAACTCTACCTATTTAAGGTAACAAATTTGGCCCTTAAAAGGACTCTATTTATACCCATTATTAAATATAATTTTTAGGAAATGTGTTCATTGTTACGATTTTTTGGTTGACATTATACATTTAGTAATTTATTTCAGAATCTTTTACTCCATATTATGCCTTTTTTACTAAAGGAATGCATTGCCCTAATTTGTTAATCTACAAAATGCTGAAAGAATTTGTCGAAAAATGATGAAGTCATAGTAAGAACATGCGATGGCTTCTATTGGGAAGTCACTGGTTATTGAACGATCAATGAGGATCTTTTGATCTTACAACTCCTTTTCCATTTATTATTTGAGACCGTCTCACTCTGTCACCCAAACTGGAGAGCAGTGGCACAATCGTAGCTCACGGTAACCTTGAACTTCTGGGCTCCAGCGATCCTCTAGCCTCAGCCTCCCGAGAATCTAGGACTACAGCTACATGCCACCAAGCCTGGCTTACTATTTTTTTTGTTTGTGGAACTGAAGTTTCATTATGTTGCCCAGAATGACAACTCCTTTCTTTAGCATTGCCGTAACCATGATGTCTTATGGATCACATGAAGATTTAGGTCAAAACTCTATTTGAATCAGTATTAAAAACTTACTGAAGTTTTCAGTTAATTATGTCTAAAAATTATATCTGAATTAATTTATGGAATAATGCAAGTGAATAAAAATGTTTAACATTTCAATTCTTTCAGTCAATATTAGAATATATTAAATATGTTAATCAGGACATTAGACATTAAAATGTTTACCACTCAAAAATTTAACTATAAGAAATCTTGAATGTCCATGAGCATATCTGTCCTGTTCACCACTGTGTCTTCAGTCCCTAGAACAATACTTTACCCTAAATAAAAATGGGTACAATGAAGTGGTATGAAAGACTGAATTCATTAGGATTAGCCTAGATAACTGCCCATCATTTGCATTTACATAATTTCTTTTAACCTTCATAATAATTCCCCAGTAGTTACTGCTATTTCCATTTTCTAGGGAGAAAATGTTAGTAGTGCTTACAAATTATAATTTATCAAATTCTCATTTATGTAAAAATAAACTTACTAGTATAAATATGACTAGTTGGAGGAGTTGCTAATGCGTATTGCATGCTTACAATATGCTAGGGACTGTTCGAGTTTTACAATTAATCTTCATGCCAACTTTAACATAGATACTATTTTTCTCCAATTTAGTTATGAGTTAATATTTTTAGATCTTACATATATGATGTAGAATACATTTTTGAAAGAATGATATTTTCTTAAAATTATATGTAGTTATTAAAAAGTCAAAGTAGCCCCAAAATGTGCAAAGAAAAAACAAAAAAAGAAAATCTCTCTGAAGTACAATCATTGGTAACAATTGGGTAACATTGTTCCAGGCTTATCTTTGTTAAAATTATATCTGACAGCCTTTATATTTTAAAACCTGGGTTGTATTATACATGATTTTAATATAAACTGTTAAATAAAATGTATTTTACGAAAGGAACATAAAAGTCACAGGATTTCTGATAAATTTCTGATAAATATTTCTTTATAACAAATGATATATGCACCTAAAGAAATATATCAACTTACAAAAGCAATATTATGGAGACCCTTATATGTGTTTCTTTCAACATTATGTGTGCATTTTAGGCTATATTAAATTGACGAATTTTTTTTCTCTATATTATGTAGTTATATTTTTATTTTTATATTGTCAAGATATATACCAGTTATTTACAGGTATGGAAACTTCATCCCCCACATTTACTATTAGTTTTATAGTTACACAGTTGAGTATTAGTTATGTAATAGATGGTTACATGTGTTCAAGATCTATTATCATGACATATGAATTCCTGGATTCTTCAGTTTGATTAGTCTGTTAGTCTGATGTAGTTTATCATCAAATAGAAGTTTCATATTTGCTGTATTTCCAGTGTTGAAGCTTGCTGTAAAATATTTTATTCTGGTAAGAAAGTGCCTACATGTAAGTTTCTTGTTGCTCTTTCTTTTCTCAGAATTTGAAAGATATTACTCTGTGTTCTGAAGTTGAGTGTTACTAAAGCAGCAGCTAAACAGAATAGCATGTTCTTACAGCATGTTTGCATATGATTTGCTTTTGCCCTTTTAAAACCTCGGGTTCAAAATCTTCAGTTTCAGAAATGTTCTTCAACTAAAATTTTACTTATTTTGGCTCATTTTTTTGTGCTTCGTTTTATTCTTCCCAGGGTCACATATTGGGTCCTTTATTTTTTTATATAAAATATACTCTTTGTAATGTCTTATAAATGTGTGCTTTTATATGACATTCAATTGGATATGGAGGGGAAGTTCGTAGGTAGACTTAATTGCTGGATTATAAATATTAGGATATGCACTTGATGATGTAAGTATTGGTTTGGGTAAACATGAGGTTTGTTTTATGAAGAATAAGATTCATTCTGAATGTAATAAACCAAGTTGAGAACAATGTTTTTCGTCTTCTTTGTTGGGTGATTTCTTATATTTTAAACATTTATTAAACGTGTATAGGAGCTGTTGAGTTCACTTTAACCACTAAATTTTCCAAAGATTTATTTCTACTATGTAGGATTTGAAAGGTAGAGGAAAAACTTAGAAAATTGAGCCATCATTGTGATCCGTGCTTATTTTGGCAGTACTTTCATGGGATAAATATTTTCATTTTATTTTTTATCTTGTGCTCCCAATGAGCTAAGCAATGGGTCATTTTACAGCATTTCAGGTAAGGGATGCTTGTTTTCTCATCCTTCTGCCATAAGTCTTTATGATATCTTAATATTATCTGGTAATATTTAGCAAATTTCAATTTTAGTAGCATTTGCATTCTCTGTTCAAGTCAATTTCTAATAGATTACATTCTCCAGAGCTGCCCTGATTCCCGTGGCTTCTTAACACCAAATGCTAAACTCTTTCTTCAATTCTGTGAACCACAGAGTATCCTACAAATATCTTCACTTTTTGGCTTAGTTTCTATTATTTACAACCGAAAGACCACTTGTAAGTAAGAGAATAAAAATATTCTTCCCATTTAAGAAAATTCATGATCTCAGGCAAAAAATAAAAAAAAAAAAATCGATGCTTGCAAGGTTATATTCAATTATGTCTTGAAATATTTGTGATCATTTAATTTAATCCTATAAAAAATCTCAACTTGATCCTTACTGTTTCTCAGTGGATTCTTGTAATAAGTTTTCTTTCTATTAAAAAATTTTAGTTGTAAATATTTTTAATATGAAGAGAATATTGATTTAAAAGTGAAGTAGATGATAAAATATAGCAGAAGTAGATGTTTTATAAAACATACTTGGGAAAGGCAAAGAAGCTCCCATCTTGTCTTTGAGATACCGGGACACAGATTTGCATAAAAGAGGCACCCTCAAGGACATGTGGTGTCTTATCACATCGAAATGGGCTAGAAAAGGAAGTTCATAGGCAGAGTATTAGGAAGAAGACTGGAAATATAAAATGATTACATATGAAACTACTTTGTGGCTCTACTTAACCAAGGCAATGCAAATATTGTACAGAGTTTGCCGTGCCTCTAACATCCAAATGACTCTTTCTCCAGAGGCAGCAGAGACCTAAAATTATTCATTTAGTTGCAAAAGGAATTAGAAGATTCACTATTCGGGCTGCAGACTATTAAGTCAATTTGCTGTTTTGTATATTACTTTTATACTTAAAGGACTTTTATGTAAAGTGAAATCGAAAGATCAACTAAGTATTTGTTGAGAAACCCACATATTCTGTATTTCTGTAACAGTATCAATTACATTTTTATAACAAGAGTTTTCATTCTATCCTTTGATTCAGAAGAGTTGCTAAACTATTTGAACCTGATAATCTGATCCAATGAAAATTATAAAGGAGACTTGGGACGAAGTTACCAGCAGAGGATAAGACTAAACACCTCATTTGGGATCCAAGTAAAGATTTGTGAAAATTGTAGTCACAGTATAAAGGTCCAGCAAAAATAAAACATCTCATATCAATGGCCAACCTACAGACCTTTAAGAGTGATACTACAGTAATACATATGTAACAAAACACTCCAGTGTCCTAATTAGCTACGTTTTTAAAGGGAAATCTATTTGATAGTAGTAAAATCACAGCAAGAAATAAGAACTAGCTATATGCAGAAGAGTTTGGTGATAGGAATTTGGAGGGGGGACAAAAGTTATCCTATGTTCAAGTCCCAATACCAGTACCTCAGAAGGTGATTTTGTTTGTCAATAGGACTTTTAAAAAAAGTAATTGAGATTAAATGAGATTATATAGGTAGGCCCTAATTCATGCGACTATATTTGCAAATAAGGCATTGAAAGAGATGACTAAGTTAAAATGAGGCCCAGAGGGTGCGGTATTAATCCAGCATGACTGGTGTCACCAGGCATTCCTGAATACAGAGAAAAGGACAGAAAAGGCCACATGAGGACATAGCCAGAAAACAGGCATTAGCTAGACAAGAAAAAAGGCTCCAGGAGAAAAAAAACCTGCTGACACCTTGATCTTGGACTTCCAGCCTCCAAAACCATGAGAAATAAATTTCTGCTATTTCAGCTGCCCAGTCTGTGGAATTTCATTATGGCAGCCCTAGTAAACTAATTCTCATCTTCCCAAAGTTCTCTTTTATACACTGTTTTTACCCCTTTCGTATGAAGTAATTATTTTCTCTTCACCTGGGGGCCATAGTACAATTAAAATACTATTTATGATGTAATTTTTCAAGTCTCCAAGTGTCCAATGTGGAGCAGGCATTATGCCTTTAATTTAACCCAGCCCTTAATTCTATATGCTGTAGAGTCTAATGCTTTGATTTTTGTAGTGTGCTGAAAGTTCAAGTGCATCCTGTTGAAATTCTCAGCAGCAGAGAATAAATTTAGCAAAATAAAAATGTTTTACTGAATTAAATTCATGGTACTTGCACAGCCTGAGAACACACTCCCAAAGATCTCAATAATATTTCACTGTTTTGTTAGGCTACGAACTTTCCCAGTATGAACTTTTGACCAGATTATTCTAATGCCTGTATTGATCAAAAACATTAAATATTATGTCTTTCTCGCTCAATTAAGTGAAATGTAGGCGCATAAAAAGTAGCTGAATCCAGTATTGGAGAATTTGTTTTTATCTATTTTACAAAATTACGGGTACTTTGTACTTCCAAAGTCTGATACTGTACATTAACAATTGATCATTTCATATGAAAAAAATCCCTTATGTCAAGACAAACTCTGGTAATTTTTTTCATCTTTGCAATTAAGTCACCAGAATTCTAGTTTCCTGTGGCATTCGCCATCCTGCATTCCAAACATTTCGAAGCATACAACTAGATAATTAAAAAGCTGTTACCCTTTCAATTGCCAACCACCATTTGTGGCAATTCTGCCCATTATCAGGCTGGTATATTTTGGGGGCATGTAAATCGGTATGGATTGAATGAAGGTTGCCAGACGCTGGTTTTTACTGTTTAGGAACATACACAAAACGTCACCAGCCTGGCATCTAACAGGATAAAACATATGAGTAATGTTGCACGCCTCACTTGTGTCGGGTACATGCTATGAGACTTTCCAATACCATCACATTTTCCCCTTCCCAAAACCTTCTGAAGTAGATATTTTAATCCTCAGTTTAGAGAAGAAATTGAGGCTTTGATTAGACTAAAGTATTTATCAAATGGTTATCTACCGCTATCTCAAGAGCAGTTCCTCTAGAGTCATTTAGACCAACTGAGTCATGTCTGTCTCTTGCAAATACTTGGTAATCCACTGTGCTTGCACTGTTCTTTGTGACATTTGTGGTCACTGTGAGCACTGAGATAAAAGTTTCAATAGCAAGTGGCCATACTACAGAAGAAATTCTTATATAATGAGGCATTTGGCCAGAAAAAGTGTCAGACGGACCATGAGTCAGCAGTTTTTTCCCCCCATCACACAATCAGAGTTCACTCAATTGGGTTCCTCTTAAAATTGTGTCCTCACTGACATTATTACACAATTTCCAAGTAAAAACAGTTATGTTGAGTTATGTGATGTTTTCTGAAGAAATTGACTGAATTTTATAAATCTGACTAACACATAGGGGAAATGCCTATGTTATGGTTTAGGGTTTATAAAAACAGTATTTAGAACCCCTATGCTAGGCACTATGCTAAGTGATTTCACAGTTATTAGGGCAGAGGGGCAGAATAGGTTAAGTTGTTTAATAAGTAAGTCTTACAGAAGAGTGGATTATAATGCGTAAATTCACCATATCATTGCTTTACTGGCACATTCCTTTCTTATTCTCTTTTACAACTCAAAAGAGAATCATACAAGATTCAGTTGCTTGCCATTCCTTTTTGACTAGACAAAAAGCAAAGAAATAAAGGAAGGCATTTGCTGGTGCTAAGAAAGCCTCCTTTAGGAAAGCTGAAAGGGGCTGTAATTAGTTCCCAAATACCATCTTGAATTCACTGTGCATTATTTTTCACACACAAAATTGAGCATTGGAGACCAAAGGACATGGAATGTAAAATGATGCCGCTAAACTCCATTTAGAAGTAGTTGTAATGCAATTTCCAGTTGCTGGATTGATTTTATCTGCTAATCTTGAAAAGAAATTGAACCCTGAAATATCACTAATATTTCCTAACTCTTGTTACAAATTGACAGTGATTGATTTTGAGTAATTATCCTGAAAAATAGATTAAAAATATTCTTCTAGATTATAGGGCAGTCTAGTTCATGTTTTTAATTAGTCCCTTTTTTGAAAGTATGATGGTATAACATTTGAATAGCACAGTGGATTTCTTAAATAACAACTTGACTTTACTATGAAAAAAACTATATAAATTAAGAGCCAAGTTTTTAGTAAAAATCCCATTTGTGGATTAAATTCTTCTGGAAGAAAGCAACATAGAATTAAAATAGCTAGGGTATCAAAATCAGGGGGCCTGACATATTCTTGGTTTAGCCGTTAGTTACCTTCGTGAAGGCAGATGACCTTTTTGGCCCTGATTTCCTGAATCTGTAAAGTGAAGGAATTCAAGGAGAAGATGCTCTCCAAGGCCCTTTCCTCTTCTAACAGCCTGTTTTTATGTATTATATAATTCCATCTTACTTAAATTAATGGTCCATTTTCCATGCAGGCCTCTAAAGTAACATTGGAGAGTGATTAAGGGAAAGTGTAAAGAAAGACTAGCTCATATAGAGGAAATAATTCCTTTATGTTTCATTGCTTATAGAAAGATGCTCTCAAGAGTAGTGCTTCTTAAGCTTAATTTGCATTCACATTGCCTGGAGATCTTGTTAAAATGCTGAGTCTGATGAAGTTTGGAGAGAGGCCTGAGAATATGCATTGTTAGCACACTCCTGAGTGATGTCCTTCCTGCTGGTTCCAGAAAGATACAAAAATGTAATAAAGCTAAATTGAGAAAAATATTTCTTCTGGAGAGAAGGAAAAGAGATGCAATTAGTGACATGGACACAGAACTCTTAATAGTGTTAGTAATGTTTTATTTTTATTTTTTAAGCTGTGGGGTGGTTATGTGACCAGTGTCTTAAATGAAGCAGAAAAAATACACCAATTAGCAATTATTTTAAATACATACAAATATTTAGTTGACAGCACTGTTGTATTTGAACTATTTTTTTTAAGGCATTGTTGAGAGCCTTCACTTTCTGCACATGTTGAGAAGTTAGAATTTGATGTATCTATAATAATTTTTTTGACATCTATTTAGTCAAAACTAACTGTATGCAGTGTATTGGAGCCTCCAGCTCCATCCATGTTGTTGCAAAGGATAATGTCATTTTTTATGGCTGTGCAGTATTCCCTGGTGTATGTGTTCCACGTTTTTCATCCAGTGTGTTAATGGGCAGCTAGGTTGATTCCATGTCTTTGCGATTGTGAATAGTGCTGCAATGAACATGTGTGCGTGTGTCTCTATGATAGAATAATTTTCATTTCTTTGGGTTTATACCCAATAATGGGATTGCTGGGCTGAATGGCGATTTCTCAAAAAACTTTAAACAACTACCAAACTGCCTTCCATGAAGCTGAGCTAATTTACATTCCCCACCAGCAGTATATATGCATTCCTTTTTCTCTGTAGCCTCACCAGCATCTGTTATTTAAAAATACATTTTTTTTAAAGCATGACAGCAGGTGTTAAAACTTTCTATGGAGGAAAACAAAGCAGGAAAAGAGGATGCAACATTTTGGGAGATTAGTTGTACTTTCTCAGGGAAGAAAGGCCTCACTGAAAATTTGACATGTGATCAAGGACCTAAGGAAGGTGGAGAATGAGCTCTGCAGTTTTATGGGTTGTTCTGAGCTTTGAAGTACAAATGCCCTTATGCATGTGGTAAGTTCGAAGAACAGGAGAGTCAATGTATCTGGAACACAGCAAGAAAAAACGAGGCAAACATACTTCTTAGAAGCTCAGTATGCCATATTAAGGATTTTGGGTTTATACTGAATGAATTGAGCAGCATGGGACATTTTGAGTAGAGGCATCATGTGCTATGATTTTTATTTTGAAATGGCCACAGTGGCTCTTCTGTTGAGAATGTACACCAGGAAAGAAAGGTAAGAGTCAGGGAGATAAAGTAGAGCAGATACTGGCAAACTCCAGTACTAGGATCTAATCTGGACTGCCTGTTCTGGTAAATGAAGCCTTACTGGGACATGGACATGCTCATTTAATTGCATAGTGTTGATGGCGGTTTTCACATTGTGGCAGAATTAAGTAGTTGAAACAAAGATCCTGTGGCCTATTGTATCTAAAACAACTGTAGATCTAACTCTAAATACAGAAAACAGTTTGCACATCTCTGAATTAGAAGGCTATAATCCAACTGAGACATAGTGGAGGCCTGTATCCAGTTAGTAGTGGAAGTGATTAGAAATATTTAGATGCTGCATATATTGAAAGTAGAGCCAACAAACATGCCGAAAGGAAAAGGGGCTAAAAGAATGATCAACTTCACCTGAGCAATGGGAAAGAACCGTCATTTACTTAGTTGAAAGATTGTGGGAAGAGCACATTTAGAGATTCAGATCATGAGTTTGGTCTTCAGACACCTAACACATCCAACAAATAGGTACAGTAGACAGTTGCACATTTAAGTCTAGAGTTCAGCAAGAAGACCTTAGCTACTAACGTAAATTTGGGAGGTTTTGGCATGTAGGTGGTATTACACAGCATGGATGAGATCACAGGGCAGTGATGCTGGAGAAAGAGGTTCAGAGGTTACACCTGAGGCTTTTCAGATTTTGGAGGTCACGCAGATATGGTAAAATCAGCAAAAGGCAATGATAAAGAGCAGCTAAATGAGAAAGACCAGGACACATGAAATCTTTGATGCCTCAATAAACAAGGTCAGTCAAGTTAAGTGCTGCAGCTCTTGTAGGTAAGATTGAGAAGAATTTACCGGCCAGCTTACAACAATGTGGAGATCATCGATAACCTTGAGGAACATCTTAGTGGCATATGGGGTAAAAATCCTGATTGGAATGAATTCAGGAGAAAATGAAGAAACTGTAGATGGTTCATAAAGAAAATTGGAAGTTTTTCTCTGAAGGAGAGAATAGAAGGTAGCAAAAGGAGGTGGTATTGAGAATTCTTTAAATTTCTTTTTCACATAGGAGAAATAGCAGGATGCTTGTATGCTATTGAACAATTTGGTCAGGAGGGGAAAAGGATAATACCCAAAAGAAAAAAAAATTAAAAGTGCTGTGTTTGAGCAAGTGCACGAGTGGAAGTGATGTCCTTCAATGAGAACACAGGTTGTTCAATCAAAGCAAGAGAAGTAAAAGCAGAATATATAGGCAATGTAGAAACAGGTGAGTAGATAGGAGTGTAGCAGCTGGGGACAGTCTTCTGATTACTTTTTAAAAATTTTTCTTCTTTGTTTTTAGCATAAGAAGCAAAGTCAAACTGAGGGGAAAGAGGTCTTGGAGGTATGAGAGGAGACTAGAGGGTACGCAATATCCATTAAGAGAGGAGGCAAGTGAATAGGGGAATATAGAATTTCTGCGTAATACCTTGGGCTAAGAGTCACAACAAAGCATACATTAATATACAATGAAAATATTCTAAATATTCAACAAGAGGATAATAGAAAAGGATTCTAGAACTTTCAGTAAATGAACTACTGTGAAGTTATCAATTTTCTAGATATGCTTAACATAGGAAAATCTCCATGTGGAATAATATAACTACAATTCTTTATATTCTATGTTGTTACCAGGAAGTGCAGGAATCCTCAATTCTTAGTCTTACTTGGAGAAAGTTCTGCCAAGTGATTTAACCAAAAAAGAGAATTTATTGAAGGAAAGTAGAGTGCAGAGAGTTTGCTTAAAGCAACAGTATAACTCTGAAAAGATGAGTCAGAGCCAGGTACTTAAAGGGAGTGGGCCAGCTGCAGCCCCTGAGAGTTCCGCATTGGGTTTTTATGATGTCAAAATCTTGAAGTTCTTACTTGTGTCTTAAAACTGTTTCTCGATCTAGTTTTTCCACTCCTACATTAAGTCTCCTTCCTTTCCCCCATGGACTTCTCAATCCAGGCTTGTGGGACCCTCCCTTACCACTATTAGGGTGCATGTGTGGGTCTCCTGTCAGATACAACTAGCACCTGCATTATCCCTTATAACTTTGCCTTTTGCCTCTTGTTCGGCATGTAGCTAGCTCCATTCTGACAGGTTAAGTGCAGAGTGAATGACTATGGGGCATCTTACTGGGCATTCCTTTCTGCATGGATATTTTCCCTCCTCTTTATTCATGCATATAGTATGCAGGTTTCAGGTGATCTCTGGGCTGCGAGATTTTTCCAGACCTCCCCTTTCTCAAGGGCTTTCCTCTCCTGCTCATGTCTGGTTCTCTGCCTACTCCAACATTATGCAATTTCACAAGTGACAGACATGAAGACTCCAAAATCACAATCCTGGGAATTGATAAGCCTAGGTTACAAATCCAGTTTGACTGATTTCAAACTGATTTCCAGACCACTTGAGTTTTAAGCATGTTTAAAACCTCCGAAATTTTTTGAAAAGGTATTACATGGATAAGTATCCTATGTTTTCTAACTGAACAATTGTTTCAACTGTAATGTCTAAGTTCAAAAACATTACATTTCTAACGTTCCAGGTCAATCACCCTGAACAGTTTTTGGGCAAACTATTTCTGTCATTCAACACCTTAATTTTGTAAAAACTTTAGCCAGCTCTCTTAGTTTTTGAAGTGCTCTAATGAAATCTTCATGTAAATCTCCAAAATCACTAACATGCTAATTCATTCTTGAAAATAGTAGTAAGTTTTAGAATTACAGAAGCTTCTTTGAAGAAAATGGTCTAAAATAACTAAAAGGAATATGTTACTAGATAGAATTATCCAAGTTCTTAACATTTTGAATAAAAAATTAGAACAAAATTCACAAAGTAGCAAAAGATAAAAGCAAAGGAGGATAAACACAGCAACAAAAGAACTGAGTAAAGAAAGCACAAACTTATTCAAGATAATTCAGAAGGGGAGAAAGCGCAAGAAAACAGCTCTAAGAGCTCCCGACTGCATTGCTCCTCAGGGTTTTTATAAAGCCAAAAGAACTGGCAACAGGTGCCCTTTAGAGGCCTCCAAATGGTTACACCCTATGACCAATCAGAGGCTGAAGTGGATGCTTGGCTCACATTCAATTAGAGGCTGAAGTGGAAACTTCTGTCTCCTTATCACAGGCACGAGGTTGTGGCCTGTATGCGACCATTCTTGCCAAGAACTGGCTGCACCTGCTGTTGTTTAGTTTATCCCTTAACCCCCATTTATACGAATTCCCTATTCTGCCTCAGAATGAATTTCTGGCATAAATGAATCAAGAAACAAAACCCAAATTTGGTACAGTTTGCTCCTCTATGATAATCTCTTCAGGCAAACATAGTTTAAGTTTCAGATTGTATCCAAAGACTTTTTAGGTTTTTTCCACATGTGAGACTTACCCCTGATCTCTAACAGCTGACAATTAGATGATCTTACCTTGTCCCATGACCATTAATATTTTCTTATACGTTAATGACTTCCAAATTTATATCTTCTATCCAGTTCTCTTCTTTTGCGCTCCAGTCAGGCACATTTATCTGTCTTGTTGACGTCTCCCTTAGGTTAATTCAAGCATAATATAGTCAAAACAGATCATCTGAGAGTTTTGCCACATCTGCAAGAATAACGATCATACTCAGTAATCAGACTGCTGGCATTCCGGAGAATGTTGACATCACTCTTAAGGAAGGCCTAGTTATTTTGAAGGGGCCCTGAGAAACTCTGTTGAGGGACTTTAATTATGTGAATATAGAACTCGGTCTCTTTGGTGGATGGGGGGAAGAAAGGTAGAGGCTCCAGCTTGACAAATGGCAGGGAAATAGAAAGAAACTGGCTACAGTGCACACTATCTGTGGCCATCCACAGAGCTTGATCAACGTGTTACAGTGAGCTTCCATTACAAGAAGAGATCTGTGCATGCTTACTTTCCCATCAATGTCATTTTTCAGGAGAATGGGTCTCTTGTTGAAATTCAAAATTTCTTAGTGAAAAATGCATCCACAAGGTTCAGGTGAGGCTGGGTGTTGCTTGTTTAATATCTCAAACCCAGAAAAATGAGTTAATTCTGGAAGAAAATGACATTGAACTTATATCAAAGTCTGTTGCTTTGATTCAGCAAGCCACAACAGTTAAAAACAGAAATCAGGAAAATTGTGGATGGTATCTACATCTTTGAAAAAGGAACAGTTTAGCCCCCTGAGAAGTAAAGCCTAAAAGTTGTCCAGCTTAGGAAACAAAATGCTGATTCCTCAAATCCATTTATGACGTTTTAAAGATTTAACAAAAACCCTCTACTGAAAAAGAAAACAAACAACAACAACAACAAAAACACACACACAAAAAACCAAGCAACCAACTAATCAGACTATCTGAATTACAGCTCTCCCCTCAAGTTATTTCCCATTTTTATAATGTCACCATCATTTGCTCGAGCCAAGAACCATCTTTAATTCCTCTCTTTCTCTGAAACCATATGTACTCAATGAACAAGTTTTCCAGGACTTTTTCCAAAATACATGTAAATTCAGTCCTTTGCTCCCTTGCAGTTCTCTAGTCCAAGCTCCAATCATCTTCAGCTTGTTTTATTATAACAGTCTTCTAAATAGTCTGAATATTTTTCCAGTTCCTCTAATTAATCCACAAAAAAAATTTTTTTTGAAAGATCATTCAGATAACATCACTTTCCCATTTAAAACCTCTCAATGCTTATTGTCATGTTAATATAAAATGGAAGCTCACTATTCTGGTCTATAAGATACTACATGATTTGGATTCTGTCTGGATTTCTACCTATCACTCTACCCCCTGGCTTTTTCTTCAGTTGCACTGTTCTTTGTGTTCTTGGAAGACACTAAGATTTTCCAGCCTTAGATTCTTTGTATCCACTCTCACCACTGCCTAGACCACTTCCCATGGTTCTTATATTTCAGATCTCCTATGAAATGTCACACACTGGGAGAGTTGTTTCTTGACCATTCTATCTAGGATAGATTTTCCACCTCTGAATGTATGTTTTCTCTACCAAAACATCTGCTTATTTCTCCTATGGAACCTAACACAATCTTTAGGTATTTTTTTATCCATGTGTTTCTTTATTTTGTGTCTAATTTTTCATAGGTTTTTTACTGCAACGCCAGTGCCTATCACCTATCGCGTTCTTAATTTTTGAATGAATGGATAAATGAATAAATGAATTAATGTACCATTTTCACTCATCGCAGAAGTGATAGTTCATTTTCATAGTTTATAAATTCATTAGTTTCCACGCACAGTCAATTGATATTTAGATTACAGGCGATAATTGTCTTCTTAACACTTCTTGACTCCCCATTTTTAGGTTGTAAGGATTCTGTTTTGGTCAACTTCTACAGCTATTTGGTACATCATCTTTTTTCTTTTGCCTTCTTTCTTTATAATTCGAATGGATATGTATAAGGAAACTATTTCGCTGAATACCTCCAGCTCTTTCTCATTTTCAGTCAAGCCCAAACCTAGGGGTGGATATTTTCCCTATTTTAACCACCTCTGACCAGTTTTAACATTGCATAAATCAAAATACAAATTTACAAAACACAGGATCTCTACATAAATCTGTAGAAGGTAGTAAAAATACGTTTTTAAAAAATGAATTTGAATCAGAGGGAAAAGTGTTTAATCATAAAAGCTCATCCCAAGTGGCTGAAATCACAGCATGAGACAGAATTTATTAAGGCAATACATAGCCAGCTGAAAATTATCAGATCCTTTTTTTTTTTTTTTTTGAGACGGAGTCTCGCTCTGTCGCCCAGGCTGGAGTGCAGTGGCGCCATCTCAGCTCACTGCAAGCTCCGCCTTCCGGGTTCACGCCATTCTCCTGCCTCAGCCTCCTGAGTAGCTGGGACTACAGGCGCCCGCCACCGCACCCGGCTAATTTTTTGTATTTTAGTAGAGACGGGGTTTCACCGTGTTAGCCAGGATGGTCTCGATCTCCTGACCTCATGATCTACACCACAGCCACTCATTAATTTTAGAGAATGCCACTTCCAAACTTTTGGTGATCTTTAACCTAAATTCCAGAATCTCACAGAAAGATGTAACTGGAGATTATATAATGTCATACCTCAAACATCTGCAATAGAAATTATTAAATTGTCTTTGGAGATTCAGTGAATTTATACTTATATAATAAGTTATCCTTTTTTGTCACAGAGAGCATTAGCAATGCATCTTTTAGATTCTGTTTTACAGTCTGCTTGGCCAAATGGACATAGCCAGAGCCCACTCTTGCTGGTTTCTATACTGGCCCATATTAACCCAGCTAATGCTTCAACAGAGTAGAAAGCACATTTACTTTCACTGTCTAATTTAATGTTCTTTATCCATCAACATGTACTAAAGAATGTTTAATGGAGAGACAGAGCATGGTTAACTAGATAGACCTAACTTTTTACTGAGGTATGCCTTATAGAGGCTGACACATGTTTTAAAGATGTAGAACAAGGAAAGGAATGTCACAAAAAGTATCAAGTACAAGTACCCTCGCATCTATCTTATTGGTTGAGGGGGATTGAAGAGTACATGAGGTAAAGAGAAAGACCTATGTCTTTCTAAGTACTTCTAAGAAAATCAGAAAGTCAACATAGCTAATAATCAGAATGTGGGCGAAATATTACTGAGATAAGGGAAGGAGGAGGCGGCCCTGATCAAGCAGTTTGTTCTTAGGAAAATGAGAAGTCACTGAGAGTATAATAAGGATAATAATCTTTTTGAAACAGTTCTCAATACTGTCCCACTCACTGATTTTCTTTTTTAAACATCTTGGCTCCAGGGAATGGAAGAGCAAATTGTAAACTCAGAAAACTGAAAGTAGAAGTAGCCATTCCCGTTGCCAGAAGGGAGCTGGTAGGCAAAGACAGAAAGTGAAGTAGAAAACTTTCCTGTTGGTCCTCTCCTTTATTTTACCTCAGTCAGCAACATCATAATTCTAGCAATGGAAACAACCAGGTAATTTTTCAGGAGGGTGTTTCTGACTTTCCTAGCTGCATATTAGGAAAATTTAAGTTTCCTGAGAGGGAATGCCAGTGTAACCCAGGTGGTATGTAAAGCAGTAGCATAAACAGTTGACAAAGGGAAGATTCCCAATTTTCCACAGGTCTTCTAGTTTTCCTTTAAGCTTCGAGAAGGTCGTGGAAGATAATTGGGATATGATCGGGCTTGCCACCTCACGCCAAGGTCTATACAGTTAGGTAAAAGAGCCCCATAGAGAAAGGGAAAAAAGAAGTTCAATTAGGCCTCTGACAGTATCTGCAGAGCCACGAGGCTGCAGAGAAGGTTCCCAGCTGAGTGTCTGAAGGCACTGAATGCTCCCACAGCAGAGTAATATCCTACCTAGCAACACCAGGTAAGAGCCAAACCAGGTGAGCCAGACCAGGTAAAAGCATTTATAAGAGCCAGATAAAATGAAAAACAGGCCACAGGTTTCCCTTGCAATAGACATCAGCAGCTGTTGACAGTTAGTGCAAGGGGTTTTACACTGGGGCCCAGGAGATTTCACAAAAACTTTCAAAAAAATTAATGTCAGAGGAATGAATAATGCAATCTCTGCAGAGCGTGTAGTACAAGAAAAGGGGTCAGGTGCAGTGGCTCATGCCTTTAATCCCATCAATTTGGGAGGCAGAGGTGGGCAGATCATGTGAGGCCAGGAGTTCAAGACCAGCCTGGCCAACATAGAGAAACCTCCATCTCTATGA
Source organism: Homo sapiens (assembly GCF_000001405.40). Taxonomy (NCBI): domain Eukaryota; kingdom Metazoa; phylum Chordata; class Mammalia; order Primates; family Hominidae; genus Homo; species Homo sapiens. Next base: position 8,942,893 of record NC_000007.14, read on the forward strand.
AAACTACAAAAAAATTAGCCACGTGTGGTGACTCATGCCTGTAATCCAAGCAACTTGGGAGGCTGAGGCAGGAGAATCTGAGCTGGGAGTTGGAGGTTGCAGTGAGCCAAGATCCATCCCACCATTGCACTCCAGCCTGAGTGACAGAGGGAGACTCTCAATTGAAAAAGAAAAAAAAAAAAGAAAAAGAAAAAGGAGGCATAGGACAGAACTCCGAGTTTTGGAGGAAGGTTCCAAAAGAAAATAACATTCTGAGTAAGGAATGTTCGATTGCATTGACTGAAAATTTCCACTGGACTTGAAATTGGAAAACATTAGTGACCTAAATATAGACAGATTTTGTGAAGAGGAGAACTGAAGAGAGAGTGAAGTAGCTGTTGAGTAAATGAGAGAGTAAAGGATAGATGAGGAATAGAGGCAACAACTATAGGCCTTTCAAGAAATTCAACAGTGAATGGGAGAGAAAGTAGGTGATTCTTGAAGTAGAGTGAGAGAAGGTTGTCTTTTGTTTGTTAAATAATTTCTTTGTTTGTTTTGAGGAAGAGTCCTGAGCATATTTAGTTGTATGAGGGAAGGAATCAGAACACAGAGAGAATAGATAATACTCCATGTGGGCCCCCCAAAAAAAAGAGCAGCAGGAAAGGCATTGTGGCTTCCATTTTACAAATAAGAAAACTAAGACTTAGATTTAGTGGTTTGCTGAAGGTCAGGAACTGTTGATGTATTTGAACAAGAAGAAAGCCTTTTTTGTTTATGTGTTCCAATTCTTCTTTCAATGTATTTAATATCCTCATTTGCATTAGGACACTGCTGGATGTTGAGATTGGTTAAATGACCTGTAACATTTCATCTCATTGCATTGAATTCACAGACTACTAAGAATTGTGGAGTCCCTGAGTGATCAGTACATGAGGTTCTTGTGAGATCACTGCATGTGAGGTAGCTGGGTTTGTAACTCCTACTACTGTTTGTGAATTTTTTGGTGCTGGTTACTGCAACTTCCACCTCCCAGCTCAAGTGATTCTCCTGCCTCCGCCTCCCAAGTTTCTTGGATTACAGGCATAAGTCACCACACTCGGCTAATTTTTTTGTATTTTTAGTAGAGATGGGGGTTTCTCTATGTTGGCCAGGCTGGTTTTGAACTTCTGGCCTCATGTGATCCACTTGCCTCAGCCTCCTGAAGCGATGGGATTACAGGCATGAGCCACTGCACCCAGCCCCTTTTCTTGTACTACACACTCTGCAGAGATTGCATTATTCACTCCTCTGACATTTTTTTGAAAGTTTTGTGAAATCTCCTGCGCCCCAGTGTAAGTCCCTTTGCACTAACTGTCAACAGCTGCTGATGTCTATTGCCAGGGAAACCTGTGGCCTGTTTTTCACTTTATCTGGCTCTTATAAATACTCTTACATAGTCTGGGTCTTACCTGGTCTGGCTAGGTAGGACACTATTTTGCTATGGGAGAATTCAGTGCCTTCAGACACCCAGCTAGGCACCTTCTCTGCAGCCTCATGGCCCTGCAAATACTGTCAGAGCTACTGCTTTGCCCTTTGTAATCTTGAGACAGAAAAACGGGGAAAGCTCAAACAATGGAAAAACAATGAGAACACTTCTAGTCTTGGACAATGGGTAGAGGAAACAGTGTTTCCAGTTCTTAGTGCTTGGTCAGCTGAAAAGCAAGAATTTCATCCCTTTTCATAAGTTTTGGGAAAACTACAATGTGGTTTTTGCTAAATGTAAGGAAAGGAGAATGCTGATTGATATTATTTTATCTATATTAATATAAACAGCTAAAAGTGGATAACCTTTATGAATCCTGGCTATGTGCTAGGCACACAAGTATGATAGCACTAAATACCTCATTGAATCCTTACAGAGCTCTGAGACAGGATATGCTCTCTCCATATTAGGAATAAGTAATAACTAACTTCAACTCCTCACTCTACCACTTATAAGTGATGTGACTTTTGGCTAATATGTTATTCAGTTTTATGTTGCTATAAAGAAATGCCTGAGACAGGGTAATTTATAAAGCAAAGAAATTTATTTGGCCCACAGTTCTGCAGGCTGTACAAGGATGGTGTCAGCATCTGTCCAGCTTTTGGTGAGCCTCAGGAAGCTTTTAGTCATGGCAGAAGGAAAGGGAAGCCAGCATGAGACATGGCGAGAGATGGAGCAAGAGAGATGGGGTGGGGGTGGTGGGTCTCAGACTCTTTTTAACCATCAGATCTCATGGTAACTCATTACTGTGAGAAGGCACCAAGCCATCCACTAGGGATTTGCCTCCATGACCCAAACATTTCCCACCAGGGTCCACCTACATCCAACAATGGGATCGCATTTCAACATGGGATTTGGAGGGGACAAACATCTAAACCATCTCAGCCAGTTATTCAACCTCTTGAGCTTCAGTATCCTTATCCATTACATTTAAATGAGAATGACAATAATAATACTTTCAACATAGGGTGATTTTTGAGAAGCAAATGAGTTACCATTTTTTCAAAGAAACTTACAGTGAGAATATCTAAGTTTGTGTAATATAAGATAATTATCTGATTTTAAAACAAATTCTGCTCCACCAGCTCAGAACTATACATCAGTTTCTTGACTCCCCTGTTGGAACAAATAATGCATTTTTCCAGAGCAAAATAAACAAGTATAATTATTTGGGTTCTATAATTCAGATAAGTCATAGAGCTTCTGGACTACCTTAAAGAACAAGTGATCATGCATTACAGTAGAATCTGGAATATATTTTTGATTAGAAATGTTTACAAGTGTCAAGGAAATATTTTTTGTGAGATGAGTTGGAGATGGCTTGTTGTTTACATATAGAAAACGGGAAGAAATTTGATACCTTCCAATGAGTTATCAGTCAGATAGGTTCTGTAGTTACTTGGCTCAGGTTATTTTTATTTACTTGGTTCCGTTTAATTGACGCTTAATACACCTGCTAGAAATATCACCAACGAACCACAGCAGAAGAGTTTAGGTGAGAAAAGCAGTTAAAATTCCCCTCTCTAGTCTCCACTAGATCATATGGAAAGCAAGTGATTTCTGAATAACTGAATTCATTTGAACTTGTATTAGATTATCAGGCAGTTTTGTTTTGTTTTTGACTGCTAAAAACACTACTTTCCATAAAATCCAGATACCTCCCTACCTCAGCCAACTTGTATCTTTTACTATTGATTTTGTCCTTACCAGTTGAATTCTTATACTTGAAAATGCTTCAAAAAATAAAAGTGCACTATAAAAGATAATATTTATTTATAGTATGGTGTTATTTTCTATGTTTCAGAACTCTGCTAGGTTAAGAAATACTGAGTTCACTCCAAATTATTTAATGAGTAGGAATCAGTTACAGGAATTATCTAATCTTGAGAAATAAGATGGTTTTCTGGCATTTAAAATATCTGCTTAGACTGATGTTATAAAGGTTGAGAAAAAGAAGAAAATGATGAAAAACTGATCAATGAAATATGTTTTTATCTTCTGGAAAGACCCTCAAATGTCCAACATTTCCAGTAATTCCTAATAATTTCTAACTGTCTGATCTCACAGTATAGAGATGAGTAAACATATCATTTTTAAAATTGACATATTGAATAATCTCATTAAAATACCACAAAATATAAACCTTATACATCATTCTACAGGTAAAAGAACACATAAACAATTTTAGTGACATACTCATATTCATAATTACCAGAAATATGTATATTTTAAATTTCCGCATGTATATCTTTTATTTGAGCAAGATACATTAAGTTCTTAACAATTTACTGTGTCTATGTCTATAAAGAAGATGAGGGCAGGGTGCTGCTACCTTCTGTTTCTGCTTCTGATTTCCTTTCTACCCTGCTCTATCCCCAAGAATCTGAGATTAGCCACATCAATGCATTTCTTTGCCCTCTGTTTCTATTTGGATTTGTTCAACAGGCTGCATCAACAGAAGATCAGAGGGAGAGAGAGAAGTGATGTAGGAGTATGTTTTTCCTTTTGCTGTCTCCATGCCAGATTGAGGTCAGGTGATTTTGTCCCTCTAGAAAAGGCTGTAACTTCTGTCAGGAGGCCCTGTTCCTGCAGCTATTCTCTTCAGGTTCCAGTAATAATTTGCATCCCTTCACCTGAGGCCCAGATAAAATACTGATTTCTCTTGCTATTATTAGTCTCAGTATATTGCATTATCTATGGATGAGGTCTTTAAACCTTGGCCTACTTTGAAAATAATTCCTTTAATAAAATTTCCTCAAATTACACCTACTTGAGTGCTCTGTTCCCTGACTGAATCTCTTAAAGAGTGGGGAATGGATTCCTCAGAGTACTGAGTTTTAAAGCAGTCACTTTCAATGGCAGCATCGTCTCTTACTTGCCTTGTTGCAATAATCTCTTATTGGTCTCCCTTCTTCTAACCTTGACTCATCAAAGTGGATCTTCAACACTGCTGCCAGAATAATCTTGTTAAAATGTAAGGAAGATCAGTTCATTTCTCTGCTCAAAGGTCTTAGAGGATTTTAAATCTAAATATCCAAGATATTTCCATATCCTTGGAGCCCTAACAATCTGCCCCCACCTGGCTCCCTTACAGCTCTGCTCTGGTCTCCTCTGCTAGTTACCCCTTAGCTGTTCCACTGCTCTGGATGGCGATGTTTCTTGAACACACCAGACATTCTCCCTGTTGAGGATCTTAACACTTGCTCTTCCTGCGGCCTGGAATGCTCTTCCATATGGCTTTTTCCTTCACTGACTTCAGATCTATCTATGCTATGATTTCAGCTTCCAAAGTAGTCTTTTCCTAAACGCTCTATTTAATGAAACAACATCCTCTCCTGGGCTCCTTTACACAGTTTTTATTTTATTTTTTCTCTAAAGTACCTATCACCAACTAACATATTTATTTTGTGCTATTTCTCTTTAAAGAATGTAAATTGCATAAAAACTGATTTATTTCTGTTTGCCCCTACAATCTATATCTGCAGAACACCTGGCTCTTAGTAGGCACCTACTATATACTGACTGAAAGAATGAAGAAATGAATGCATATAACTCACTAGAGTTAAGCAACATTTTACTCAGCTCACATTTACTTTAGCTGTAGTATGTTGATGATTAAATTAATTAAATCAATTATTTAGTAAATAGCATTGATACAGTTCTATGCTGAAAATTTAATTGCTCCCTGATATTTCCATCTTTTTAATATACACAAATAGATTGCAAGTCTTAATTTACCCTTAAAACAATATTTGTTACATAAGTAAAATGAATCAGTAAACAGATTTTTGAACTAGCTCTACTAGTAATTTACACTAGATAACATAAGGCAAAGTCATTTTAATTTCTTTGTGCTCCAGTTTCCCCACCTATAAAATTAGGGATAGAATTAGATGATTCTTAAGGTCCATTCTTCTTCTGAAATTCTGAGAGGTGATTGTTACATAAAATGTCTTCTAAATATGTTTATATATTTTAAAATATCATCTAAAATTATAGTGTAATCGATGCTAAGTACAAAGAGTAAGTGACATCTTCAGGAAACACACAGGCCTTATTATTTGTCTTTTCATTTTCTTTGCTAACAATATATCAGAAAGTCTCTTTCTGGAGGATAAAAACAGATAAAATTATCAAGAGACTAGTGATCATAGATAACACATTGATTGAAATAAAAGCATAATTTTGAGTTGACTGTTTTTCACTAATGTGTTAAGAAGCAGATGAAGTATGTCTGAATTCCAGATTATATTGCAATGAATATTTTTGGTTTTTATATGTCTGGAACTTTACGGAAGATTATCTCTACAGAGGATCATCTCACAAATTTCCAAATTCAAAAAATGACTTTACATTGATCTCAAATGAGTACTTTAAATTGAAATGAACCTTTTATATTTGACATATTTTTTGCTTATAAAATTGACACTGCACTCCCAGAAAATTCATGTAAAATTTATAGGAGTCTCTAGATCGTTCTTATCTGTTTATCGATCTGAAGATACGAAGCGACAAATTTCTGAATTTTCGTCAGCACTTGTATCGTGCCAACACAGCAAAAATCAGATGCTATTTATCATTTTTGAATTTTCACCACCGGAAATGTCATTAATTTTAATGATAAAATCCTGTTATACTTTGCATAGAGTTGACCTTTTGAGCTCTCAGAAAAAATGTATCATATAACCATAAGATGGTATTATTGTTACTTGGAAATGAAATAGATTTCTTATCTTTTCGTAATAGTATGATGGACAAAAATGTGTGTCTTTTGTCATTTTTTACTTTCTACATATTAAGTGCAATATTCATTTTGAAAATAAGTACTTCTTGTATATTTACATGTATATTTTATTTTAAACTACTGGAAAGTAAAAACAAATACACACAATTATTTACATACCTCTAGCAGGCATCTAGAAAGTGTTTTATTACATTTATTGTTTCATCATCTCAATTATTTTCAATAAAATCTGAACTAAAATTATTACTTATTAATAAACTCAAGCCCATAAATATCTTTTATCCCCCTACAAAGTGGTTTTTTATCCTGCATCAATTTATCTTGATTATGAAACAAACAAATTCTCAAATGAGTAAAAAATGTAGTGTCTGCTTGTCACACATTTGGACAGTGAAAGATTCTTTTGTTTGGAAAACAAAAGAACTCACAATTTCTGGCTTCTTATAGCTTGATGATATTTGTTTCCATCATGCCATTTTACTTATTGTACAATACATAGTAGAATGCTTTTTATTGGCTTCAAACATAGGCTTAGAACAGGCATCGTTCAAAGAAAAGGGTCTCTACATGCATCACAATTTCTTCCTTGCCACTGCCGTTTCGTATATAGTTAGGTGATACATCCATCCTCATTAGGAACCACTCCTCTTTACGCACAGACTATTCCTGACAATCAACCAAGCCAGTTCTTCTCTTGGATTTAAAATATCCTCATAACATTTATTCTCACTGCTTTGCTTTTTGTGGTCCCTAACTAGTACAATCATTTTTTTAAAGAATAATACCTCCTATATTTATTCGTGCCAATAGAATGAAACAGACTTCATGGGTAGAAGGATGCAAGCAATACACAAGGCAACAATAAGAGAGGCACTGCCAAGTACTGGATTTAAAAAAGTAGAACTCACAAAGAGCAGCCCTTAAAGAGTATGTTTAATCATTGCTAGAAGTGTAAAGTATAACTACCTTATATGACTGGTCGCCCACCATTTAATATTTATAAAGCACATTTCTACTTTTCATGAAGTTTAATATTTTATGATTATTATATCTATAATTCCACAAGAACCCCTCAGAGAAAGCATATTACAAGTTAAAAATTATCTGATAGGGCAAGTGTAACACGTTTATATGACAGCTTATGTGATAGAATGAATTAAAATAACTCACTGGGAGATGGTGATATGGGTTGCATTCTGGTTCCTACCATTTACTACATTTGTAACAGAGCAAGTTCCATGGTTCCTATGTTCTTTAGTTTTTATTCCTGGTAATGAAGGACATGACTGTCCTGTTCTACCTTTTGCACTATTTTGGAGTTTATTGATAACGTGTAGGAGGATACTTTCAAAAGAGAAAATGTTCTTAAAATATTACATTTAAACATCCTAAACTCTGTATTCCTTGCTATATACCTATGTAGAATCTACTTGACCTATGAAATTGGTCCTAACTTGGCCTTTTCCTCATTGTTGCAACCATTTAGGTACAATTCTGTTAAATTTAATCTTCAAAAAATTAGCCTTTATCTCTATAATTTGATCGTTTTTATTCTAAGAGTTTACAAATGTGATTCTACCTCTCTTACTCAGAATCACCTCCCTTTTTTAAGGTATTTTACAGTGGGCAGTCTTTTATTCATCACCTGAAACTGAGCTAAACATTGATGCTATATTTTGGACATGAATGCTGTATTTCCCACTATAAATCTTTAACCTTTCACACTTTGTGGTTAATAGATGGACTTGGCAATCTCACTTCTGGGTATAAACCCAAAGGAAATGAAATTAGTATCTGAAAGAGATATCTGCACTCCCATGTTTGTGCAGCACTTCTAACAATAGCTAAAATTTGGAAGCAACTTAAATGTCCATCAACGGATGAATCAATAAAGAAAATCTGATACTTATGCACCCTTCAGCCATAAAAGAATGAGATTCTGTTATTTGCAACAACATGGATGGAACTGCAGGTCATTACACTAAGTAAAATAAACCAGGCGCAGAAAAACATCACGTGTTCTCACTTATTCGTGGGATCTAAAAATCAAAACAATCAAACACATGGAGATAGAGAGTAGAAGGATGTCTACCAGAGGCTGGGAAGAGTAGTGAGGTAGGGGTGGGGAAATGGGGTGCTCTGGGGGAGGTGGAGATGGTTAATCGGTACAAAAAATTAGTTAGAAAGAATGAATAAGATCTAGTTCTTGCAAAACTTAAAAACAGATTTACCATATGGCCCAGCGGTCTCATTACTGGGTATATATCCAAATGAAGATAATTTTCCCACCAAAAGGACCCATGAATTTATATATTTATCTCAGTGTTATTCACAACAGCAAAGACATGGAATCAACCTAGGTGCCCATCAACAATGGACTGGATAAATAAGATGTTATATATCCAGTTCGCTGTTGATTGGATATCAACAAAGGATATGTAGGATATCAACAAAGGAGATATATATCTATAGATATCTACAGATATAGATAAATATGGATAGATATATAGATAGATAGATATAGATATCTATAGATAGAGATCTTGCCACTCCACTCAAGTCTGTGTGACAGAGCAAGGTTCCTTCTCCCAAAAAAAAAAAAAAGAAAAAAAAAAAGAATAAAATCATATCCTTCGTAGCATCATGGATGCAGCTGGAGGCCATTATCCTAAGCAAATTAATGCAGGAACAGAAAACCAAATACCATATATTCTCATTTATAAGTGAGAGCTAAACATTGGGTAGACATAGACATAAAGATGGCAACGGTAAACACTGGGGACTACTAGAGGCAGGAGGGAGGGAGGGAAGGAAGAGGGCAAGGTTCGAAAAACTATTAGGTACTATGCTCACTGCCTGGGAGACAGGAACAATCATGCCCCTAACCTCAGCATCACACAATATACCCATGTAACAAACCTGCACATGTACTTCTGATTCACTAAAGTTGAAAATTATTTACAAGAAAGAAATTTGATAAGAGAAAAGATTGTGTGTGTCTTCATCTCTTACACCCATACACATAAATCACAACTATGGTTGGTGATGGAGGTGTTAATTAATTTGACTGTGTTAATCATTATACATTGTACATGTATACCAAATTATCACATTGTACAGCTTGGATATATACAATTTTTATTGATCAATTAAGTATTTTAATATTTTACTTAGGATGACCTGTGTTTGAAACTTTGCTTTACTGTTTATGAGCTGTGTAATCACATGCAGGATGTTAAATCCGAAGCTTCAAAATGGGAAGAATAATAAAACATACCTAATGTAACCTTTAAGAGTAGTAAATGAGAGAACTGATTTGAGTGATAACTCTAGTTGTCCTGTGTGGGCTGGCCTCAGGTCATTTAAACTCCTTCTCTATTGCAACACCATGGTCTCAGTGAATTGATTTTGTGTAGTGGGCAGGAAGAAGCCATTAGGTGAGTACATCATGCTGCTGCCCACCTGACCCAGCAGGGAACCAGTCTCTCGCAGAGCCCCATATTTCTTGGCATCCTCAAGTTAGGTGGGAGCTGTTGTATGTGGTCACAGCATAGTACCTGCCAGTTCTGCCTCTCCTCCTCCATCTCCTACCTGATGCCACTTGCGGAAGTCTCACAACTGGTCCTCCTGACAGTGTGTGTAGTGAGAAAGCAAAGATCAGCATCTGGCGTGGTCTCCACCAGTTGTCTGGGCACCCAAGGAGAAAGCCAAGGGCTGGGCCCAGCATGGACTCCACTGGTACTACTAGCACCTGAGCAGAACTGATTTCCCTCCACAAGACAGTTTGAGTTGACTCCCCTCAAACTCAATGTTTTACTGTGCCACGAGGAACCAAGCAGCTCTGTTTAGGCCAAAATCCCAAAGTCTCAAGGATGAGTTTCATAGTTCTAGGTCCTCAGATCATGCCCAGAATTTTACCAAGTGTTATGGAATCACTTCCATCAGTTTTTGGTTTTCTCTTCTTTTATCCCAAGAGCTGAAACCCAGAAGAGAAAAGATGTTAAGTCATGCCTATTCAATTTTCTCCAGACCCCTCAGCTAAAAACAGGCAAACAAAGAGTAGTAAATAAGATTATGTAAAGGGCTTGCTTCATGTTTGGCACTCCATCAGTTGGGTCTATCATTATCAATGTATCGCACATTCTAGTTCCTTTTGCTGCCATTCCTGACTTTGCAAAATTTATGCTAGATTTTCCATTATCTTTCTTTTCCTTCCACAAAAAATAAAGTTGCTCTTCTTTATTACAAGCGTATAAACATGTGGAAAGCTCCTCCTCGTGAGCCTCTACAGTCTTAGGCATTCCCTTCCTTTATTGATTTTTTTTTGTCAGATTTTGTGCCAACTGTCTCATGCCACCTTCAAAAATCCTGAAATGATAGTGTAATCAACAAACAATAACAACATTACACATACCTGGCTGTCAGTTTCAAGATACTCACACTCAATGGCATCATATCTTAACAGACACATATTCCCAAATAGTCATTTCTAAAACTTGTGATCCACTACCCTTTAAGCCCAATGTTCATTCCCCATACTATATATATTTAATTCTTTTTTTTTTACTCAAATCATCCACAAATGGGCCATTTCCCTCATTGTGATAGCCCCTATTCTGTTCACCAATAATAGATGCAATTTTGTTTACTGGACTATTACTTATTACTACTCAGTGCTTTATTTTCTCATTTACATAAAAAAGATGGAAAATAGTACATAAAGTTTTTATTTGGATTAAATGAGTAAATAAAAAAATAGTGTACATATAGATTACTTGGAAGAAAGAGCCATATGGTAGTTCATGTATGTTTGTATATTTCCTATAATATTTAACACTAAATAAATTTTCTGGCCATGTATACTATATATCATTTGGCATACAGAGGCCAGATACCTAATATATTTATGTATATTCATAAAATGTATACACACACACACAGTATCCATACTTTTAGTTCAATGTTTTATTTAAGTATTAGTATCCTCAAAAGAACTCTGACAGGTAAACATTATAATCTTCATTTTACATATAAAGAAACTATGGCTTTAAGAAGTTATAATTTCTTTGGAACCACTCAGCTAAATAGCGCAGAACAAGATTCCAAATATATGCTCTTCTCTTGTAAGCAAATGCTGCTCACACCACTTCGTCTAATTATCAGACACTGTTTTATTCAATGATGAGGGTTTGTGATTTAGAGTAGCCATGTCCCATGTCCAAGCCTGAGATATCTTTGTCAACTATTTCAACTGGATGAGATAGGACATCATTTCATCACTTTAAAGGGAAACTTGAGTTGAACATGCCACTTTCATTCTCCTCTGTGAAAACATGAGTGACTTTCTCCACATTAAATCTGGGAATCAAACATCTTTGAAACATCCTCACCCCACCCCACCTCCAAGCATTATCAGCTTTCAGTAAGTAAGTTTTCCCCTTCATGAATTAAAAATAATAAAGATGCTCTTTGAGAATGCAAGAATTCCTTCATTTCAGTCATAGATGTGTTTCAACAAAATTGGTGAAGTGTAATTATCTAATTATATTCCAGCCTAAGATTGGCACCAGTTTTAGAAGTAGTTTCAAATAATCACAAATGAATTGGAAAACTTGATGAGCCAATTATTCTCTGTCCATGACACTCTCAGTATTTTTAAGTGAGTGTGTTTCTGTAGGTTGTCCATAAATTATTTTCATCTTTGTATTAAACAGAGTCAGTTTCTTAAATATTTCTGAAATATGCTCTATAATGTGTTTCAGGTAGAAAGTTCTTGCATTCCAAGCTGCCCATTTCCTTAAACTTAATATTCACTTTAATCCTGTGGATTCAGTGTTCTGTAAAATGAATTTACTTCAAATGAAGAAGGTTTTTCTATAAACATCCACGTGCATCATTTTAGTTCTCTAGTGAATCTGGTTTTATTGCTCTAAGCAAATATTCCTTGATTCCATTTGTAAAATATTTCTGAAGAAACAAAGATGGCTTTGAACATATTTTCATTTTTCCCATTTTACTGAGATTATGTTTCCTTTGAACAGTCCTCAGATGAATTTCACCTTTCCTTTTTGTCTATTTCAAAGAAAGGGAGCCTTTGAAGAGTGTTTTTTTTTTTAATTTAATATAGCTAAAGCTTCTCTTACACGCAAATGAAATTTCCATTTAATATTTTGGGTTTTTACTGAGAATAGGCTATGCTCAGTGGAGAAAAGAAAACAAACTTATTTTCAACTATTCCTATTTTCTATGGAGACCCAAGTCCCAGTCACCACTTTTGCCGCTCTGAACACAACAGGGATGCAGCAGGCCCCAATTCCAGCACAGTTTGCTGTGAGTATGGGGACCCTAAGTGTGCATACAGCTGGTACCATATACCTTTTCACTTTCATGAGTTATGAGTTTAGGAGATGACCATGGGGGACGTGAGAAGGCAAGATGTATTTCACCCCCTTATGTACTTCCAAATATACCTAACAAGAGACACAAAGAGAATGCTTCTTCTCCTTCACTTCGGTGGTTACCAAAAGCATGAATGTGCCTATTTTAATTTTAATGAAAGAAACAGAAAATGTAGAAATTATTTCTATGGGATGCAATATTCATGCTATAGCTGCCATAGACTTTCTGGGAATCCTTTTTGCTTTTCTTCTTTGAGTTGTTGCAGGATCGCTAGAGCCCAGGAGATTGAGGCTGCACTGAGCTGATATTGTACCACTGCACTCTACCCTAGGCAACAAAGACAGACACTGTCTCTAAAAATAAATAAAATATTATTCAAGTTACATATAAGTGTGAATTTTTGTTCAGTGGCAATTCCATTTAGAGTACTTTTTATGTACCAGCAAAAAATATATAAACTATGTTTGATTTTAGAAATTAAAATATGATAGGCTATTTAATTTTATCTGAAAAATTACAACTTGCATGGAAACAGACATTATAAAGAGGACCCTGGAGACTAAGTTACAGGACACATACTAATTAATTTTAAAACTCAGTTAAATGATGACAGCACTTCACATAAACACATAACAATATAAAGTGAGAACTGTAACTGTTCTTTCTTTCAATATTTAAATAAATCAAAGTTTGCATTTATAGAAATAAAGTAACAGAAAACAGAAGTTACAGATCTGTGATACTGGCCAGAGAGGAGAGATGAAAAACAGACTAGGTACCATTTTAAAGTCTTGGACTGTGTAGTAGGCATCTTCCTACTCCCATCCATTCTTCCTGCTTCCTATTACTAAATAAATAAGTTAAGATACTCTCACCATACATTTTCTTGCCAAGCAAACTTTGTGTTTTACTACTTATACTAAAATGAATAAATCCTGAAATTTTTTCACTATTAAAAGTTCTAGATGTGTCCTGATCTACCTTTTTAATAATTTTGACTTACTACTTACTCTACCAAAAAAAATTCTCAGATGGTTCTATTTGTTATTCCCCAATACCTTCCTCTCATTTCAGCTTTGTTTATGCCAGACATGTAGTGTTGTAATGCACATTAAGTCCTCCTTACCACATATCTTCAATCAAAACCCAATCTCTTCTTCAAGTATATGTTCAAATTCAGCCTCAAACATAAAAAGCCTTCTTTTTTTTTTTTTTCACACCAATTATCATGAGCTTTTAATTAATCTCTCAAGCAGGGAATAACCATCAGCACATTAATTAATTGGCTTTTTCCTTATATTTGAATATTATCAAATTTTAACATTCATTTTATTTATTTATTTATTTATTTATTTATTTTTACTTTTCTTTTTTTTTATTATACTTTAAGTTTTAGGGTACATGTGCACATTGTGCAGGTTAGTTACATATGTATACATGTGCCATGCTGGTGCACTGCACCCACTAACTCGTCATCTAGCATTAGGTATATCTCCCAATGCTATCCCTCCCCCCTCCCCCCACCCCACCACAGTCCCCAGAGTGTGATATTCCCCTTCCTGTGTCCATGTGATCTCATTGTTCAATTCCCACCTATGAGTGAGAATACGCGGTGTTTGGTTTTTTGTTCTTGCGATAGTTTACTGAGAATGATGGTTTCCAGTTTCATCCATGTCCCTACAAAGGACATTAACTCATCATTTTTTATGGCTGCATAGTATTCCATGGTGTATATGTGCCACATTTTCTTAATCCAGTCTCTCATTGTTGGACATCTGGGTTGGTTCCAAGTCTTTGCTATTGTGAATAATGCCGCAATAAACATACGTGTGCATGTGTCTTTATAGCAGCATGATTTATAGTCCTTTGGGTATATACCCAGTAATGGGATGGCTGGGTCAAATGGTATTTCTAGTTCTAGATCCCTGAGGAATCCCCACACTGACTTCCACAATGGTTGAACTAGTTCACAGTCCCACCAACAGTGTAAAAGTGTTCCTATTTCTCCACATCCTCTCCAGCACCTGTTGTTTCCTGACTTTTTAATGATCGCCATTCTAACTGGTGTGAGATGATATCTCATAGTGGTTTTGATTTGCATTTCTCTGATGGCCAGTGATGATGAGCATTTTTTCATGTGTTTTTTGGCTGCATAAATGTCTTCTATTGAGAAGTGTCTGTTCATGTCCTTTGCCCACTTTTTGATGGGGTTGTTTGTTTTTTTCTTGTAAATTTGTTTGAGTTCTTTGTAGATTCTGGATATTAGCCCTTTGTCAGATGAGTAGGTTGCAAAAATTTTCTTCGCAACATAAAAAGCCTTCTTGATTGACTTGGCCAGTTCATAATTCTGAGCACTTGTTTTGTACCATTTCTAGCACTTTCCCTGTATAACCTAGTATATTTTGGTTTATATATTTACTCAACTGCACTGTTAATTTTATGGAAAGGAGTACCATCAAGATTTTAACACCTCTAAATTCCCCTCAGTATTAAAGTCATATTCTATAGAAAAAATGTGGATGAAACAATGGATTGTTCTTGAATGCCTCTGAATAGCTTGATTCCATGACTCTCATCATAAATGAAGGTCTCAAAATTTTATACTTACAATGTTTATGGTCTTGGCTACTATCAAAATCCATTTATATTCAAACTTTCCAAAGAAATTAGCCGTAGACGAATATTCCTGGGGCTCCTGCTTTCCCTTCTTAGTTTGCATCTTCAGTCACACTTCACACTACCTTTAGCTATTTTTTAATCACCCTTTATCACCTCAGTTTGTTTCTCCATCAACAAACCTTTGTTACATTCCTGTATTTACATGAAAGAAATGTCCAATTTCCTCAACCTACTTTCTTGGTCTTATAATCACTTTATTAGGCAGTTCAGCTTCTTCCCAACCTCTTATCCTTTCAGCCTAATTGGTCTATTCCTTTTCACAATTCAACTATTTTTACAAAATAAACATTTCCCATTAAACAAAGAGGAAGACATGGATGTTCTTTATACTGTTATTATTTAACATTGTGCTGAGTTACTAGCTAATGCAATTCATAAAGAGAAACAAAAAGGAGATATGGAAATTAGTCAAATATAAAATAATAATTACCTGCAAATAATAAAGATTTTTTATCTGGAAAACTCAAGATAATCAACAGAATTTTTATAAAAAGCAAGAGAATTTAGTAAAGTAGGCACAGAGCACGATCAATTGCCTTCATATATTGAAAGAAGGAGCTACAAGATCTAATAAAATAAACAACAATTTTTATAATAGCAACAGACAGAGGAAATACCTAGGACTAAAAAAGGAGTGATCAATACCTAAATGAAGAAAACTGTAAATCACTATGGAGATTCAAGAAAAGATATTTTAACAAATGGAAAGTACAGCATGTTCTTGCAGAGGAAGACGAACAATCATAAAGATACCTCTTTACACTAAATTGACCTACAAAGAAAACAGAGCAGTATTAGTGAGAGGTGATTTAAGTGCCTCGGTTTAGTGAAACTAGCAGACTTGAATTTGAATTCACTAGCTGTATGACTGTGGAGAGTTTACTTAACCTCTCTGGGTCTCATTTCCCCATCTAATAAAGGAAAGAATCTACCTCATTGTGAAAATGAAAGGAAATTGGAATTTTGTTTATGAAAATACTGAACACATCACCCAACCCTTGGTGCATTCGAAAAATACTAGTTTAACATGATCCCATTAAAAAATACCAGTAGGATAAATTTGTACAACTAAAAAGCCTGATTTAAAAATATATTTAGAACAATTGGACATATTTCCCTGAATCAGTGCTGTACCCCTGCTCATCTATAGCTTCATCTTGCTCATCTATAGCCTCAGCCAAACTTATCTTCCTATAGAACTGGCCACAGTGCTACCTCTGTTAGGTAGCTTTATTCGCCACTGACTACCACCAAGTCATAGAAGGCCTATTAATTCCTATGCTCTTCATTTGACACTTAAATTATTTTTTTTGCTATTCTCAGGCATGCCTTCATATGACAGTAGTTCAATTCCCCACCTACATATTGAGTCTAGGTGTCTTATATGTATCTGAATATTTCTTGGTACAAGTTATAGTGTCTGTATAGGCATTAGTTATTTAGAGTAGGAACTTTTATCCTACTTAATTTTAGTTGTCTCCTTTATTTATTTTCAGATGTCTCATACATGCCAGCAGAGTTGATCCCAACCTAATTACGCCCCAGGATTAAATTTTGTCACTTTGTTCCAGGTGTTCTAAAATGTGCTGGATAAAATTGGGTCTAGGAAGTTGGATATATAGCTTATTAGTCTATAGCTGAAACAAGCATGCATATTCTGGGAAATTGGTGCTTATTTTGGCTTAATCTCATGATCTTATGCAAAATATAAGCATCCTTAATAAAGCCAGGCTTGAGCCAGGCTCCAGGTTGCCTGATATAGTCTGGAAGTTAGAAAATTGAGGAGAAAAGGTAGAAACTGGCTCTAATAACAGATACGATGCTTAGTTGCCAGGAAGAGCAAAGATGATGTGAAAATAGAGACAGGAAAGCCTAAGCAAAATTCTTTGAGCTGTGGAGTTGAAGGCAACTCAGTCTCCTGTCAAGATAATGAAGCAGGAGAATACAAAAGCAAAGATCAATGTGTGTGTTATCTCCTGTTAGATTTTAGTCTTGAGAAGTCCTGTAAATATTCTTTCTTTTTTTTTTGGTATATTTTATTGAATCTGGATGGTTTTTAAAGTACTGTAGGTCTATAAATTAAATAGGAATTACCAAAGAAAACAGAGCGGTATCAGTGAGAGGTGATTTAAGTGCCTGGGCTTAGTGAAACTAGCAGACTTGAATTTGAATTCACTAGCTGTGTGACTGTGGAGAATTTACTTAACCTCTCTGGGTCTCATTTTCCCATCTAATAAAGGAAAGAATCTACCTCATTGTGAAAATGAAAGGAAATTGGAATTTGTTTATGAAAATACTGAACACATCACCCAACCCTTGGTGCCTTCGAAAAATACTAGTTTAAAAATGCAACCTTCATTCTTCTAAGGTTCAAAAATACTCTAGTTCTTTTAGATACCTAATTTCTGATAAATCCTAAGAGCAGATGCCTTGCTTTTACTTGGCCATAAAATTAATCAGAAATAGGCTGGGTGCGGCGGCTCACGCCTGTAATCCCAGCACTTTGGGAGGCCGAGGCGGACGGATCAAGAGGTCAGGAGATCGAGACCATCCTGGCTAATGCGGTGATACCCCCTCTTTACTAAAAATACAAAATATTAGCCGGGCTTGGTGGTAGGCGCCTGTAGTCCCAGCTACTCCGGAGGCTGAGGCAGGAGAATGGCATGAACCCAGGAGGCGGAGCTTGCAGTGAGTGGAGATCGCGCCACTGCACTCCAGCCCAGGGGACAGAGCGAGACTCTGTCTCAAAAAAAAAAAAAAAAAAAAAATTAGAAATAGTCTGTCATTTCTCAGAGGATTATGTACAGTAGTTAATTTATTTCAGCGTCAGGAGAAATGTTAATGTCCCAGTATATAATTCGGGTTTTCGCCAGAATTGAAATTTATGGATTATCACACCTTCTGAATTAAATTTAGAAAATTTTTATTTTTCTTTTTCTCGTGGCAATGAAATAATGACAAACATTTTTCGGGGTGGCACCTAAAGCAAAACAAATATGATCCTAAAACCTTCCTCCCTTTCAAAATCTTGTATGATCTTACTTCAGGCCATCCTCCAAGTTTCTCAATTACAGTCCAGACAGTCTTGCAAATGTGGTGTCTGCGGGAGGTCACAAGAGCTTTTTGCAAACCATGCCCCACTTCTATAAAAAGGGAGTAATTAATATGTGGCTGTCAAAATGTGGTGAGGATTAATTGGGTGTTTATAAAAGTCTTTAAAGGTACAAAATGCTGTAAAGGCTGTTTCTTTGCTTTTTAAATTAATCATAAAACGTGGAGATTTTCCAGGAAAAGTATTAAAAATATTAGAATTTCATTGCTCACTTTCAGGAGATAATTAAAATATGTAGCATTTTTATTATATAATTTCTTGATAAGAATCATAGCTCTTTTAATTAGAGAATTTAGGAGAGGTTAAAATGAAGTTTTCATTGATCCTCAATGATCACATAGCAGAGGTATTTTTTGATGAAAGTTATTGTAAATGAAAAACGAAGAATCCATGAATCTATGCGCATTAACATCCTTTTTATCAAATGAGCTTTGATTGTCTGAAAGAGCGGCCATTCTTTTCCTCATTTCTAACCCATGACACACTATTTCTAACACTGCTCTCCTTTGGACACCTTATTAGTTTTCATGTAACACAAAATTCTTAGCAAGTTTAATTATTTGTTTTCCCACTGCATACAGAAGCTCTTAGAGCTAAGCACAAGCAGAACAGGAAAAATTGTATTTGATGGCACAAAAGGTGGGGAGAACAGAAATACTGTGGATGTCAGTGCACTAGGTGTTGGTTGTGCTGCTGTGTTCAATGGCTTGTCTGAGAAAGCACGGATGTTAGTAAAATTCTTTAGTGGCATATCCATCAACAGTAATTGAGAATAAAACATGTGAAAGCTGTAGCACTTGAAGAGTTTATTTTGAATATGGAAAGTCTTTTTGCTTTATGATATTACATACTATGAGACTTCGTTGCACATAAAATATGCTGAGGAAGAACTCTGTATTTCATTACATAAGTATGGAAATAACAAAGTATTTTTAGAGCATTCCTAGGGTAGCCCAAACCTAAACATAGAAACTATCCATGAATAGTTTCTCTCCAGTTCTATGGAGCCAAGGATTCACTAATTAGCCAGGCAGAAAGGGAAGAAAGAAAGAGAAAGTGTATGTGTGTTTGTCTATGTGTGTGTTTAGTGTGTGGTGTACATATTTATGTCATGCAGGAGGTATTGTGAGATAGTGGTGGATGGTATTGGGTTCATGGAAAGGCAGTATTGCACATGGATATAGACCTTTGGGTTAGATTTTGGGTTGAGGTGACTTTATAGCCCAGATTCACCACTCATATAGTTGGGTGAGTGGACAAAATCTCTGAAATAATTTATTTTGTAAAATGGCAGTAATAGAGGTGCATGTTATGTAGATTACTTATTAGGAAGCCTTGTGTAAATTCATGTTAAAATGCTTAGCAGGGTGTCTAGTAAGCAGAGTAAACACTTCAAAAATATTAGCTATTATTCTTATATTTATTATTGACACAATATTTCTACTGATAGTCTTGGAAACAATAATAAAGTTTTATTCAAGCAGCATAGAACAAAATCCACCTCCCATCTGCCCTCACCATCCTTCCCACACGAACATCTAAGCAGTTAAACCAGTGATTCTTCCCTTTTTCCAAGCCTAACACACCAACGATAGGTATAGCACCCACATATTATTAATTGTATTCACCAACTAGTAATATGGGGAGAGATTCTCAGGGGTGAGTAGGAGGAGGAGTGGATCATAGAGACCTGTCTATGATATATAGAGGAGTCTATGATATATAGAGGAGTCTCTTCAGCTTTCTGATACACACTTGTTCCTTGCTGAGTCTCTAAGCACAATATAAAATGAGGAGTTTGGAAGAGTAAGGAAAAATCTCAGGACTAAACCCAAGGCCATTTTTTTTTAAGTTGATAATTCTTTTAAAAAACTTTTTGGACGTTCAAAAATTCTGGCATCTCTGTGTCACTGTTTTATATGCTTACTGAGTATACGAAAGAAAACCATACTGGTGCTATTAGTGGAACAGAATTCTAGATTCAAGATCTGCTTCCATGAGCAATTTTCAGAGATCACATAATTACAGAATTATATGTATATTGCCTGTTAAGAGACAGGCAGTGCTCAAGGTAAAAGGGCTGACCCTGGAGCCAGATATTCTCTTCAAATCCAGCATCTATCTCCCCCTTACTGCATTGGCTTCTTGAGCAAGTTAATCTCTGTGCCTCCATTTACTCATTGTAAAACAAAGGTAAAAATAATTACCTACTACCTCATGGGATTCAGTAAAAATTAAATGAGATAAAATATGTAAAAAGTATAGAGTGGCTTCTAGCATAAAATTGCTCAGAAATATGTTATTATTATGTTTTCCTATGGAAAGGGCATTCTCAAGTACTAAATTAACTGTTAATAATAATTGAATTGAATTGAATAATGACACTATATGTATTTGAGTGACCTTTAATTTCCTTATATCAGTTATACTTACGGTTAGAGGAGAAACCAGAATGAAGCTATTAGTTGTGCAATTGTGCTTAGTGGGGAAACAGTAACTTCAGCTAATAATAATCTTCTACAGTTTTGTAGGCTTTAGAGATCACAGATTTCTATGTATTATGCTTGACAATTTGCAAAGTGCTTCACAACTATTGCATCATCTATCCCTGGCAATAATCAAACAATTATGTTTATTTTCTTTAAAAAAATAGGATTCAAAGTGGTTGTCATGCAACCCTAGTCAAACACGATTGCTGGTTACCATAAGTCTAATAAACAAAAAGGGCCAAAAACATATAGCATCCTGCTCTTTATCCCTCCTTTTCTCTCTGCCTTTTTCCCCTTTCCCTTTCTTCTTTTTGTTCTTTTTTTCCTTTCTTCTATCCTTGCAAAATATGGGCTAAACTTAAGCATGTGTCAGGTACTGTGCAAAGTGCTGGATCTAGAGTGGTGCAATGAAGACATATCATTGCCTTCTCTGCAGATCACATTTTGATGGGCGAGTCATAGCGTGTAAGCAAGAAAACAAATCTGTTACATTAATGACTATGTATTGTGAAATGATGAAGAAACAAAGGCAGCAGTGTGATAGAAAGAAAATGAGTTGGGAGTGGGGGCTACTTTTAGGCAAGATGGTCACAATACACTTCTCTGAGGAAGTGGCATTCCTGAAAGTTGAAGGAAGCGGAGAGCCTGTCAAGGGAGGAGGCAGGTGAGGTGCGTAAATATATTACAGTCAGTCTGGCATAAGTTGTTTCAGATCCCTATTGTCTTGCAGGTTGAAGTACTTGAATTGAGTCTGGAGTACAATTCCTCCAGGGAGCTAAGAGATTTTCAGGGTTGTGATCATCGGTGTAACCCTGATCATCAGTCTTACCCTAGCAAAGGGCTGGGACTGTGCTTCATGGTTCTATAAGGGCTACCACAAAGTTTCCTCTTCTGTATGCACCATAGCTATGACAAGCGGGGCCCACTCTGTATTAATTCATTTCTCTCCAAATGTGTCTCCAAAGGCCCTTTCTTGTAACTGCTATATTCAATGTGCAGTTTAAGTATTCCTTAAACTTCATCACAAGGTAATTATTTTTTGTTTTTGCTGCTTTTTTCTCTATAGCTTGTTGGACCAACAAGAAGATTCTAATTCTACACTGAAACCTACAGTTCTCATTCTAGTCTGATATAGAAGATAAAAGTCTTTTGAAAAAGAACAGTGGCCTAGACAGTATTAGAAAGAAATCTTATCCCCAAAAGGATGCAGCGTAAATAGAGCAGCACATGGCCAGCTGTCAGAGGAAATCTCTTTGGCTTTATACTCCCCACAAGAGTGCAGTGAGCAGGTCCTTTTAGTATGTCTACCAGGATACTAATAAGATGCTAAATGAAAACATCTTTTAAATATCTGTATCTGCCAATAAATTCCCAAGCTTATAAATCCAGTTGATATGACATTTTGTTGTCATGTTACTTACACTCAGTATTTATTTTGCACTGCCTGAAACAAACTCTTTAGCATCAGGTGCAGAATGCTGAAAGATGCTACTACATTACATTTAAGTTTTTCTGCAGCATCTTTGGCATTTCCCGTGAGACATCATCATGTACGTAGCTTTGAATGCAGAGTGATGTAATAAAGCAGGATGAAATATGGCTGCAGAATACAATGATGGCACCACGGCAGGCCTCTTCAGCTTTTTTTATATTGAAGATTCAGCAGGACTATTAAAGTGTAATGGCACAGAACATCTTGTTAAAAAACAAAAAGCCACAGCCTTGTATGATATTCTTGTTTATGGATGATATTTATTACTTTTGTATTCTTATTGTGTGCTTCGAAGTCAATTGAAATGCAAGTGCTAATGAAACCTCCACCATAACACATTTATTTTTCCCTACCCCAAATGAGTCTACAAGATGTAAATGACTTACATATATCAACTGCTCAGGTTTTATTGTTTTGGGTTAATTTATTTGCTGTAATATTCTTAATGAAAGTAATGACTCTTATACTAGTTTGTATATTCACATACTACAGTTTTATTAAATCACGCTGGGAAAGTTCACAATGAAGGTCCTAAAATAAAGTTCCATGTTTTGTCAAATATATAAGTGCAATCCACTTACCAAATATCAACACTACATATTTTGTTATTCATTGTTTCCTAATTTCACCTCACCAAAATTTTAAGGTTAGGGCGGTCCAGGATATAACATATTAGTCATATGTTCGTATTGCATAATTTTTAAAAAGAATACTCATCAGAGTTATCTACTTTACTACCTGAAGTTTATTGCACATTATATTGATTATGATGACCTAAAACAATCACTTTAAACTTTTATTCTCAATGTTTACATTTCTGTGAACATACGTACTTTAGACAAAAGCAAACATTTTCATAGGATTATGGACATTCCAGATGGAGTGAAACAGAAGCTTTCAATATACAGTTAATTCTAAACTATGTCCTAGAAAAACAACAAACAAATCAATAAATAAGACCACTGT
The DNA here is from genome assembly GCF_000001405.40 of Homo sapiens. NCBI lineage: Eukaryota > Metazoa > Chordata > Mammalia > Primates > Hominidae > Homo > Homo sapiens. The sequence goes on from NC_000007.14 coordinate 8,966,275, forward strand.
GTAATATAGTTTTAGAAATAAACCTAAAAATTTTTGTATGTTCATTCCATGTTATATACTGGATGCCTGGTACTGGCATGACACCTAGGAAGCTCTCCCAACATTTTGCTGAATGAGCAATCTACTAATATTTAACCTCTTGTAGCCAACAATTTTTTTTTTTTTTTTGAGACGGAGTCTTGCTCTGTTGCCAGGCTGGAGTGCAGTGGCGTGATCTTGGCTCACTGCAACCTCTGCCTCCCGGGTTCAAGCAATTCTCCTGCCTCAGCCTCCTGAGTAGTTGGGACTACAGGTGCACGCCACTATGCCCAGCTAATTTTTGTATTTTTAGTAGAGATGGGGTTTCACCAGGTTGGCCAGGATGGTCTCGATCTCTTGACCTCGTGATCCACCTACCTTGGCCTCCCAAAGTGCGGGATTACAGGCATGAGCCACTGTGCCCAGCCTGTAGCCAACAATCTTAATCTGTCCAAAAATTAGCCTTTATTCCTACTTCTTTCTCTAGTCATTTTTTGGTCATTTTTTTTATTAGAAGATATTACTTATTTTGCAGACTAGTCTTAAAATTTTGAGATAACAGTCAAATCAATCTCCCTCTATGACCCAGTTTAATCAAGTATACCTTCACAAGTCGTTTCTAAATATGTTCCCTCTTCTTCATCACCACTGCATATTTCAGCCCTATGCTTTTATGCTTTGTACTGCAATAATATTTCAATTGGCCTTGCTGATATCTTCCACCTCCAATTGATCCCTATATGGCAATCTATTTCTCTTCCTAGCCTATAACTGATTGTGTAGCTTCACTGCTTGAAAATTATAAAGGCTCCAAAACAGTAAAAGTTTTTCATAATCCCAATTCCCTAGTATAACATGTAAGTCTGAGATCTAATGCCAACCTACCTTTTTTAGACACTTCCCCTCCCCTTTCTTCATTGATCTTATGCTATAACTAATCTTGAAGTCTCAGTATCCCCAGAATCCATTGCCTCTGATCCTTCTCTCAATTTAGATTGCCTTCCTGAACCTTTAGATCCACTTCTATAGCTTTATCTCCATATAGCCTTCTCTGAATAAAAACCAGTGAAAAGTATTTGTTTATTTCTCACAACCACTCTCCCCCCAGTTATCTGTCTGAATCTTCTTTAGAGCCATTGAAGTATTTACAACTAACAGTAAAATATTTGCATACTTAAAAATATTTGCCTTCTATGTTAAAACCCCTTGAAGGTCACTATCTTGTTTGTTTCTTCTTTATGTTCCTGTATGATGCTTAGTACAAAACTGTTAACATTTTTAGTGTTCAAGAAACATTTGTTGAATTAAATTGAATCACCATAAAATACATTACACGCTTAAAAACTTCAATTCTCCATCTAATGTCTGCCAAATAACCCTTAGCTCCTTTAATCTCGACTCAAAGCCTTATTTTCCAACTTACAAGTTATTTTATTTGCTCTTACTTGAAGCAGAAGAATAAAGAAAGTGGGGAGATGAGGAAGAGAAATGCAAGATGTAGGTTCTATGAAGGCACCCAGAAAAGTTAAATCATGCATGTGATCTAAAGAAAAAAATCTGAGAGCCGCAGTCCTCAGAAGGCTTGTGCATGCTTCTTGAAGTAGCAAGTGGTTTTATCCATTATATGAAAAGCATTTATCACATGGTCAGCCTTTCCATTTTTAAAGAAAATATGTTTTTGAGTTTACAAAGCCACTTTCTTCTGGTACTGATTTTCTATCCGTATGGCAGCAATTTTAAGCTCATCTCTGAGTGACAGCTAATGTTGCATCAGTGCGAACTGGTGAATGATGGCTTCCAAAGAAATAGCCAAGAAACCCTTCAAGGTATCAAAAAGCTTCTGGTGAATAATCTGGTTTTGATTTAGAACCTGTAAGAAAAGGGCTTTTTAAAGATGTCATGAGTTTCACTGTCCTTTTCCTTCTGTATCTCCCCATTCAGCCTCCGGTATTTATAGCACAGTAATGGTTACATTCTTTGTGCTCAGGGCAGATTTTCATTTTCATTTCTTTTATAAAATTAGTTATTCACATGGCAGAGAAAACTTTTTAAAGTTAGACTTCACATTTTGATCTTCAACATAGTTTGAAACTGATACTTTTTTTGTTGGTTTGTTTTTATTTTCTAGATGACAGCACTAAGAATTGATGGAATCTTTTTTGCAAACTCTGAAGAGAATCTGGGATGACTGCCAGTTACAGAAATGGAGGTGGGAGGTGATCTTTAAGTGTGAAGATATACCTCTCATTTTAGTGTGCTGAATGTCTATTTAACCACATGATCAGAAAATTCTTCCTTATACTCAATGAGATCTTCTTTGGAGTGAGATGAGCATATTTTTGTCTGACACTCTATGGAGTTAAAGTCAGACATTTTCTAATAATAATTACCATCTATTTAATGTTTTTATATGCAGAACCTATGGTAAGTATCTTACATACTCTTCTGATAAATATGCATTGGTATTCTGAATTTACAGATGAAAACATTTAGGTTAAGTTGCCCAAACTTACATGAGCAGAACCTGGATTGTATATATGTATCAAGGTCCATAGTACTTTGAAACCCATGCTTTTAATCACTCCTCTCTGCTCACTCTTGACAATAAATTTTCAAGTGTTTAAACTGCAATGATGTAAGCAACTGCCTCTTACTGCTCTTTTAGTTTTGCCCCTGGGAGCATTGGCCGCCTTAGTTTCTGGAATATGACAATATTCTTCTCCAAGTAGTGATACAAAATACTATCTGTTGGATTTTTTCCTAATAGTGCTGACAGTTAATTGTACCTATAGCACACATCATTAGTATATGGGTTTCACTACCATAAGGCTTTAGCCTGGTTGTTGTTGTTGTTGTTTTCCTCTCCAATTGTAAATGCCAGCTTCTAGGCTTAGTTTTTATTTTCAAGACTCTTTTTGCTTAGATTCCCATTTCGGAAGCATAATGGGATTGTTCATTTTTAATAAAGTGCTCTGTAAAGTGAAAGTTGAGAGCTAGATGGAGATTTTGTGTGACAGTAAGTCTCTGGTTTCAAATTGCTTGAATTTTGCATTATCACATTTTCTCTTTTTGGTTAATTAGTCTTATCTTGATCATACTACTTAGATACTTGGAAGATTTTTTTAAGCTTCTCATTCTAATTTTTATTTTTAGAAGAAACCTGACTGCAACTTTAGAAACATAATTGTAAATCATGTTAAGGGATATACAAAGCCACTGCATTCCTTTTATAATAAGGATTTATTTGCGATATGAACTATGGGCAATCAGTTGCTACTAAGACATAGCCTTAGCCTACATTCTAGACTAGTATATAAAAATTTGCATCATTGTTCTAAGAATTCAACGTAAAAGGGTCATAAGAGTTCCAAAAATGAATTACATAATTTCAGATAAAGAAGAACTTCCCAATAATTCCTGGAGATTTCCTCAGAAAAGGTAGCATGCTTTTTGTTTTCATTTTCCCATAAAAATATATTAATTTTATAATTAACATGAATTTTGCTTTTAGAATAGAGCAGGTAGAATCTGTAGACATGGTAGAACAGATCAAAGTGGAAAGTATATATTCTACACATTTTAAATACAAAACATACATTTCACCTTGAAAAATAAAACATCTGAGATCTACTACTGATTTTTCTGCCATGATAATCAAAAAGGAAAGAGAGTGAGAAAGGTAAGGAGGTTATAGAGGAAAGAATGAGAAAAGGTCGGCAGGGAGGAAGAAAGCAAAGCCAAATATTTTGGCTATACTTATTAACCACAACTAAAAACTAGTGTGGGTAGATGAAGCATAGGAATATGCACAGTTTCACACAATATCTCAGCATTTCCTCCTCTTCTTTAGTTGTTATTGTCTACATATAACATTCATATTTATATTTGCAGGCTTTTCATAGTTGATCATTCTTGTGGGTATGTGCATCCAGTCCTCTTCAATAATGTTGAGAGAGTTGGATAATTCTCATTCCAAACAGCTCTTGGTCATTTAACTCTTAATGTTCTTCATTCCAGAAAACAGACCGATTCTATTCTAGGAAATATTAGCTTTCTCTCAGGTGGCTAACAATTTTATAAGAACCAATTTTATCATGTCATTGTACGATTTTGTGCAAATGAGTTAGCTTGTAAATGACAGGCAGTAACATTATAGTGTTTTCAATGCTATTCAGATTGTGAAGAGCCAGAAATATCATAGAGCTAGTCTGCCATTGAAATAGTAAAATAAATATTTTTATTGAAATGCATTAAATGGTTGGAGAGTCATAGGCTGAAATAAAATAGAAAGGGACACTCAGAGATAAATTTGATGGGAGATCTCAGAGCTACTTCCTACATAATCATAGTGCAAGGAATGGGGATCCAGTGATAGAATTTATAGCAATGGTTTAGCCTTAAATGACTATAATAAAGAAAGTATGGAGGCTGAACATTTTATCACTTTAGAAAGGATACTTGAGACTGCTTCAACTGCTTGAATATAATTCAGCCTCTTCGATTACAAATATGACCCAATCAAATCCCAAAGACCTGAAACAGTGGGGGTCAGTTCCCTTTTTTCTGTGCTTAGAGAGTGATGTGCAAACATGAAGCACATATTTACTTCAACATGTTTGTGTGGAGAACTGTGGTTGTAGGCACTCTTTTCAATTGCAACTGTGTTGCGGAAAAAGAAAATAAAGGGAAAAGGATCAAAGCATAGAATGAAGCCTAAACATATTTGTAGATGTCCTATTGATGGAGAATGGTATTTATCTTTGAAACAAGAAGCTTTGTTTAAATCCATAACATTCTTTTTACTAAGAAACAATAGTCCTTTGTTAATAACATGTGATAATCATACAAACAGTTCAAACATTATCAATAAAATAATAATAATGTTATTGTTGGTTTCTGGATTTCTGCTGTTGTGAAACAGGAATAGTAAAAATGTAAGCTTGTTGACTATTTGTTTTTTCCATAAGTAGTTAGTGAAAAGAAATCTTGGTAGGTGCCAGTGAAATAATGGCAAGTATTGAGATAACTTCCAGTTTTGCTAAAAGGAAAAAATACAGTACTTATTTGGAAACTCTTATTAAAAGCTTCAAACAAAATGTAAATCTTTGAATTTATCAATAAAATCTGTTAATAAGACATTGGTATTAACTCATAACGATATTGGTTCATAAAATCCCCATAATTAGGATGTCTAATTTTTTGAGACTACCAAAGCTTCAAAGGCCTTTAGACCTCTTAAAAAGAATATTTTACTTCATTTATATTAAATCAGTATTTAATAAATTAAATAATTATTTAGATTTTAGACAATTTCAACATTTAAAAAATACTACTAATGTGCTTAAAATCTTGCAAAACTTAAAAAGTGATCACTACTAAACCAATAGTCTTAACAATTGAATGTTATCACACATACCTACTTGAGGTGACATCATAGAATATTCAATCTTCTGCCAGTCGCAGAGTTTTATAGTTTCGGGTCTTACATTTAAGTCTTAAGATGAATTTTGAGTAGATTTTTGTGTATTGTGTAAGATAGGGTGCAATTTCATATTTTTCAACTTGTATATCCACTTTTCCCAGTACCATCTATTGAAAATAATATCTTTTCTTCATTCTGTATTCTTGGCACTTTTGTGTAAGATTAGTTGGCCATATATGTAGAAATTTATTTCTCTGTTTTCTATTCTGTTCAATAGGTCTATGTTTCTGTTTTTATGCCAGTACTATACAGTTTTGATTATGATACCTTTGCAATATAATTTGAAATCAGGAAGTGCAACTGGTCCACTTTTGTTTTTCTTTTTCAAGATTGCTTTGGCTATTCAGGATTTTTTTTGTGGTTCTACTTGAATTTTAGAATTTTTTCTCTATTTCTGTGAAAATATAATTGCAATTTTGGATTACTTTTAATCTGCAGATCACTTTGGGCAATATGGATATTTAAAAAATATTACTTCTTCCAATTCAAAAACACAGGATATCTTTAAATTTGTTTGTGTCTTCCTCAATTTATTTCATCAACATTTTATAATGTTTAGTGTACAGATCTTTTACCTTCTTGGTTAAAATTATTTCTAAGTATTTTATTATTTGTTATGCTATTATAAATGAGATGGTTTTTTAATTTCATTTTTTGATAATTTATTTTTAGTGTATTGAGCACAATTGGCTTTTGTACGTAGATTTTATATCCTTAGGTGTTAATGATTTCGTTTATTCTAACATCTTTTTGGTGGAGTCTTTAAGGTTTTCTGTATATAAGAGCAGACCATCTGAAAACAGAGACAGTTTTCTTCTTCCTTTTTGATTTGGATGCCTTTTATTTTTCTTGCCTAATACACCTGGCTAGGACTTCCAGTACTATTTTGAATACAAGTGACTAGAGTGGACATCCTTGCCTTGTTCTTGATCTTACAGAAAAAACCTTTCCATCTCTCACCAGAGGATAACGTTAGCTGTAAGCTTGTCATGGCCAATAAATATGGCCTTTATTATATTCAGGTACATTCTTTTTATATTTAGCTTGTTGAGCATTTTCATCATGCAAGGGTGTGTTACATTTTGCCAAATACTTTTCCTGTATCTATTAAGATGATCATATGACTTATCATTCATTTTGTTAATGTGGTGTGTCATATTTATGATTCATGTATGTTGAACTATCCTTCTGTTTTAGGGATAAATTCTACTTGACTGTGATCTGTGACCCTTTTAATGTGCTGTTTGATGTGTTGATTTTAACTATCTATCTATCTATACATATATATATGTTAATCATGGATATTGGCTGTAATTTGCTTTAAGAATTTGTTCTGCTTTTGATATCATGGGAATGCTGGCCTTAATAGGGTGAGTTTCAAGGTGTTCCTTCCTCTTTGATTTTTTTTTGAAAGAGTTTGGGAATAATTGGCATTAATTCTTCAAATGTTTGGTAGAATTTACCAGTGAAGCCACATGGTCTTGGGCTTTTGTTTGTTGAGTGGTTTTTGATCAATGAGTTAATCTCCTCATTTATTGTTGGTCTATTTAGATGTTCTATTTCTTCTTGATTCAATTGGTATAAATTGTATGTTTCTACGAATTTATTCATTTCTTCTAGTTTATCTAATTCATTGGCATAAAAGTGTTCATAGTAGTCTAATGATGTATTTGTATTTCTGTGGTGTCAGTTGTAATGTCTCAACTTTCATTTATAATTTTATGTATTTAATCTTCTGTCTTTCCTAGTTAGTCTAACTAAAGGTTTTGTTTACCTTTCCAAAAAAAAAAAAAATCAATTCTCTGTTTTCTGTTTTTTTTTTTTTTCTATTCTGTATTTCCTTTATTTCTTCCTGATCTTTATTAACATCTTTCCTCGGGCTGACTTTGGGTTTAGTTTGTTCTTCTTATTCAATTTTCTTGAGGCATAACGATAATTTGTTTGAGATTTAAAAAAATTTTTTCTTTTCTGGAGACAGAGTCTCACTCTGCCAAGCTGGAATGCAGTGATGCAATCACAGCTTACTGCAGCCTAGACCCCCTGAGATTAAGCAATCCTCCTGCCTGAGCCTCCTAGGTAGCTAGGGCTACAGGCATATTCCACAACACCTGGCTAATATATATGTGTATATATTATATATACACACACATATATATATACACGTATATATACATATATACACATATATATATAATTTATATATATATAATTTATTCACAAATAATAGAAAGCTAAGAGAGTTCATTACCACTAAACCTGAGCTACAAAATCTAATAAAGGATTTCCTTCAAGTTGAAATGGAAGGATGCTAAATAACAATATGAATTCATATGAACGTAGTATCATAATTAGTGAATTAGCCAAAGAGCAAGATATTTTTCTTTATTTGTATTTTTTAAAACATTGGCCTAAATATACGTATTCCATCCCCCAAACACATTGTTCTGACCCAGATGTCAATTCATGAAAACTTGCTGTCATAAAAATTTAGTAGTCAAGTCAAAATATTTATTATTTACTCCTTGGTATTTACCCAAATGAATTGAAAACTTATTTTTACATAAAAACCTGTACAGAGATGTTTGTCAGCTTTATTTATGATTGTCAAAATTTGGACACAAAAAAGATATCCTTCAATAGGTTAATAGATAAATAAGTTGTGGTTCATCCAGCCAACCAATATTATTCAGTGTTTTAATAAAATGCACTATCAAGCCAGCTATGAAAAGACATGTGGAAAACTTAAATGCATATTAAGTGAAAAAAGCCAATCTGGAAGGGCATATGCTATATAATTCCAACTATTATATGACATTCTAGTAAAGGCTAAACTTTGGAGTCAGTAAAAATATCAGTGGCTCCCAGGAGTTATGGAGGACGAGAGTTGTTTTTTTTTTTTTTGAGATGGAGTCTCGCTGTGTCACCCAGGCTGGAGTGCAGAGGCGCAATTTCAGCTCACTGAAACCTTAACTTGGAAGATTTAAGAAAACCAGTTAGTGTTCTAAAACAATTTCAAAAAGTTACTCTTTTAAAAATGTAATTGCATAAAGCTGAATCTTACTTTACTACTTTTCATTTTGTAGCAAACTATATTTCTCTGGTATTCTTGGAAGACGAAATTCTCAGTATGTATTTGTGTGCCACCAACTCTTGCCCAAAACATTCTGCTTTGTTGAAAAAGGCTCTTCATTTTGAGCGAGAGGGTAAAAGTAAGTGGAATCAACTGGTAGGCATGTAAAGAGAGGTTCATTTGTGGACTATACTCACATACATTATAAGATGCTTTTGGTATTAATAGTTTGATTTCAGTGCCTTTGTGGGTGGTTTAAGATGTAATACTCTATATTCCTGGGTGATATAGAAAAAAAAGAATTATACTTTTTGTGGTATTTTTTAAAATAAATGGACAGAGTTGTGAGATAATGGGAAAAAATTGAGGTATCATTTTTTCTAATCTAATGCTAATGAGAAACTCCTGGGCCAACAACGTCCTTTACTGAATGATTATCTTCATTTGGACTGAATATGGACTTAGCAAATCTTGGGGACAAGCCTAAAGAGTTGTAGACTTTCTGATGCGCTGTTTATTTGTTTCCTGGTCTCTCAAAACCACAGATAATCATACTTTTTAAAAAAGCAAGAATTTCTAAAAATCATCTTTTCACTCTCACTCCCAGGTTCCCCAAATCACTGAGAAATATTTGAGGATTTTGTTGCCCAGTTTAAAATTACTAGTCATGTCATGTTAGCACAATAGCAATAGGCACTAGTTATGTAGCCTGCTTGTGTTAACAATAAAAGGTCAGGATTTAAGAAAAAATATATGTCTCCAATCAATGGCCCTGGTGTTTTTCTGATTAAAAGCAAAGAAGGCTTTACACAGAAGCCAAATGAAGTCATTGAAAGTTGAAAATAAACAATTACAAACATTGTGTTTTTCCTTTCTCTTATCATTTTATTTTCAGTTAATAAAGAGCATAATCTATTTGTACCTGCTTTTGCCTTAGGAGCTGGAAGAAGATAATGAAAATATTTTACTATCTGTTTTCAAATTATAAGCTGTGTTTCCAAAGAAAGTAAAAACTCATGTATATTATCACATTATTGTTCTCAGGGGATTGCAGTCACCATAGTGATTGTAATTACATGGCTTCATTAACTTTATATATTCTACCTGTTATGGGGGGGTTCACATTAAGAAAATTTGCATATGCAGGAAATGAATGTCATTTGCAGAGAGCTAATGTCATTAAAATTTAGGCAGTCCCTATCATGCAAAGGGGTTTCCATTGGGATATGCTTTTCAGTATGCCCTGTATAGTCATCGTACAGAAATCTATTTCCAAAGCTCTAAAAGTAAAACCTTTAGAGGAAAATATTAGAAATCAACAACTATTTTAACAAATCTGGTTTATGCTGGAATTGAATTACTGACACAAATGCTATTAAAACACACCAGTATAACATGGTTCTGAAAAAAATGTAAATATTTTGAATATTTGCAGTGTTCTTGCACAGCATGTGCGTATGTGTGTGTGTGTGTTTGCATGCTTTCTTGTACTACTTGATTGTGTGACCCATATTTTTTAAATGTGTATTGTTGTTTGTTGGCACTTTCTATAGTTATTGACCAATTTAATCTGTTAACCTTCACTATAATTGTTTAAAATTTCAATATAATGTCAAGTGAAGAAATAATAAACAAACAGGAGACATAAATAAAAGAAAAAAAGGAAATGAACTTTTAAAATACTAAATTCAGAATTAAGGCCCCTACGATGAATGCATTTTAGAAATTTTGAAAGGCAGGATAATTTTTAAAAGGGTTTCATATATCTTTGTGTTTGGAGCACATGTACTTAAACTTTTGGTAACATCAGAATGCTGAGTAGTCTAGAGAGGAAACTATAAGGTGAGAGCAGGTGAGGGGCTGCCCATCGTTACCAAGGAAATGAATACCCATACTCTCATACGCTTGCCCTAGCACACTTCAAGGCTGTATCAGAAGTTCTTGTCTTTCTAATTTCTGTTTGCCATACTAGGATCAATATCAACTATTGAGAACAATGTCATTAACAGCAGTAAAGCACTCATCGTATAAATAGGGAAATGGGTGTGATATTTGCCATATGGCAGAGGCTATCAAAATTCCTAAGGAACACTCTTGAAAACCAGATTCAAAGCAACTCATAATTTATTTTTAGCTATTAAAATTCACAGTAGTTCACAATAATAAAGAAATTACCCATTTTCTGGTATAAAATTACATCCTAGGGAATTACATTACACACGTAAATTATGGTGGGCTGTTTTCAATCTGTATCTTTTTAGGTTAATTAATTCTTCAAGAAAGGTGATGTATGTAAGTATTGAGTGAAAAAAATCACTTTATACAGGCAATTCACATAGATCTCAAAGTTGAAAGCAACAGAGTTAACAATGACAGAGTTCAGAGGTAACGGGAAAAAAATCAATTTTTAATCAAATTATTCCTATAACTTCTGAAATTTTCTCTATCTGATTAAGAAGTTTATAACATTTATGTTAAATAATTTAGAAGAATGAATACATTGAGTGAATAAATTAAAATACGTTTTTCCTTTTCTGCTAGCCAGACAATTTTGCTCTCTTTTTGACTGTAATATATAGGACGGACTTTCCTAGGGTAAAGGTAACCACCTTTTGGATCAAAATGACATCCTGATTTGTTGGCAGAACATCATGTAAGTTAATTTATGACCACTTCTAAATGAAAATGACCCAAATCAATTGACCTCTTATTAAATGGGTTGTGTACCTATTATTAATTTTGGACACTGCAATCAATGCCTGTTTAGATTTGTTGGAAAAAAATAACACATAGCCTTTTTTGGTTAGTTTGTTGTTGTTTGAAAATACAACAGAAGTTTATGGACTTATGCCCCTAAATCTATCAACAATTATTTATTTTGTATTTTGGAAGCAAGATAACTCTTTAAATAATTATATATTTATTATAACTGTGACTCTTAAAAATATTCAGTTCAATCAACAAATGTTTTTGAGCATCTACTGTTCTAATCCAGTGTTTGGCAACCATGGCTGTTTCCTGAATCAGTTAGTAAAGTTTACAAAATTACATACGCATAGGTACTCCTTCAAACTTATTATATCAGAGTTTGTGGCGCGAGATTAGTTCTTGTATATTTTTTAAAGCTTCAGAGAGTATCCTATGTTTAATAATAATTGAGGACCACTTTTCTAGGCATTATAAAGCATATAGAAAACACACGGCCAGGCCCGGTGGCTCACGCCTGTAATTTCAGCACTTTGGGAGGCCGAGGCGGGCGGATCAGGAGGTCAGGGAATCGAGACCACGGTGAAACCCCGTCTCTACTAAAAATACAAAACATTAGCCGGGCGTGGTGGCTGGCGCCTGCAGTCCCAGCTACTCCGGAGGCTGAGGCAGAAGAATGGCGTGAACCCGGGAGGCGGAGCTTGCAGTGAGCCGAGATTGCGCCACTGCACTCCAGCCTGGGCGACAGAGCTAGACTCCTTCTCAAAAAAAAAAACAAACAAACAAAAACAAAAAACAAAAAAAAAGAAAACACACATGTGAATGACAAATATTTCACAATCTCTTGACTTTGATAAAATAATTTTTTAACAAAAACTCCTAAAACAACAAAATTTTATCAACTACAGTCCTCATTTGCACGTTAGATTTCTAGGAGTGTTCATCCTATATATCTGCTACTTTGTATCTTTTGTACCATATTTCCCCATTTCCTCACCACCAGCCCTGCCCCCGATAACCACTGTTTTATTCTATTTTTGCTGTGTTTGGACCCTTTTAAAAGCTTCTACCTATAAGTGAGATCATGATGCAATATTGTTCTGCCTCTGTCTTACTTCACTTAGCATAATGTCTTCCAGGTCCATCAGTGTTGTGGCAAATGGTAGGATGTCCTTTTATTTTTACAGCTAAGTAGTATTCCATTGTGTTTAAAAATAAATAATATATACATATATTTATAATATATTATATATACATGTATATATAATGTATATGTAATATATAAATATAATATGTAATATGTATATAACACGTATATATAATCTATTACATATACATTATATATACACATCACATATTTCATGTATATATGCACATATAATATGTATATATGATATGTGTATATAACCTAACATAATAATGTATATATAATAATGTATATATAATATAAATACATACATACATATATTTATATATCTTATGTTAAGAAGGAAGTTAAATACAAAAAATTAGAAAATTACACTTAGAGCCACTTTGTGAGAAGATTAGTTGAGTAATAAAGAAAAAATACAGTTCTGAGTGAGATAATTTAGTACAGTACTCACAAATTTCTGTGTGTCTTAATCTCTTGGAAACCTTGCATATGCAGATGCAGGTCAGCAGTGAAGGAATAAAGACTCTTTTCACCTAGAGGATAGCCCTGAACAACCAGGGAAGATGGGAACACTCTTCACTTGCTACGTCCCTAGATAGACAAAGATGGAGAATGGAGCTCAGAGGAGAGGCCTTGCCCAGAGTTATACATTTGAGAACTGGAAACTTATAGAATGCTACTTGAAAACTACAGAAATGCATGGTATTACCAATGGAGTGTATGCAAACAGAGAAAAGAATGTTCAAGATGAATCACTAAATATGTGAAACATTTCATTTCGAGATTAAGTGGAGGGAAATTAACTAACAAAGGAGATTAAAAAAGGGTGGCCAGGGAGGTGGAAACAAAACCAGGAAGATAGGACTTTCCAGAAGATTAATGAGGAGAGCTATTTTCTTTAAGGAAGTGACTGTGTCTAAGGCTGATGATTTTAAGTCAGGTACACATAGAAAATTGTCCATTAAATCTTGCACTATGAAAATTAGTGGTGACCTTGCAATTTTGGCCAAGTGATGGGCACAAAACCTAGATTGGAATGGGTTACGAATACATAGTAAATGAGGAAATGACAGCAATGTAATACACCCTTTTGGGATCTTTGACCGTTAAGAATGTTAAAGAATTAAAGTGGTTGTCACTAGGCTTGCTATGCTGCTTTCTTTTACTGCCCCTTTGGAAAAATTAGTAAAAAAGTTGTTGGTAGATATATTAGAAAAAAAAATCCCTGTTTGATTACATGCAGTTATAAACCAGAGATATATTAGTATATTAGGGAGTAGAATACAGACTACATTTCAGCTTCTGTGTCCGTATTCAGCCAGGTTTCTTTGAATCGTACAGTCCTGAATTGCGTATGAAAATAAAAATTTGTTTAAGATGTTGTGATAAAATAAAAATAAATATTTGGTCTTTGTCTCCAGTTCCTGTCATACAAGTCCTAAAAACCTTGGACTCCCCAGAGTTATGAGAGTGTCTTCTGTATTGCTAATGAAATAACTAGTGGCTAGGGATCGGTAGATAGTTCAATTCGATTTCTGAGTAGTTGGACATCCAGTTGTTGTCTGTAGATAATTGGAGAACTGGTGTCAGGAGGAAAAAGACACCTCTCATGTGATGTTAGACATGTGGGTAAAAACAGTTCAGATGGCTACACATGATGTTGTCCTCAGCGTCTGTACCAGTTTCATAATCTCTAAGTATCATGTCAACTAGTTGATTAAAATGAATCTTGGTGTTTTGTGTTCCAGCATAGGGAATTGGTTTTGGAAATATTCAAGGCAGTTCAGGTGTCTGGAAATACCTACCTAGAAACAGACTCACATGTTGATTGTTTACTAGTGAAAGTGTAAATTTGCTACTACTAGTTGGGGGAGCAAAAGTAATTGCAGAAATCAAGAGAATAGAAAGTGAGTTAATTTCAGTTTTGAGGTACTGACAGAGCTATCTGTCACTAGATAATTTTTGCAGGATCAGACACATTATTTTCGTCATCATATTTCCAACACTTAGCACAGTGCCTGGACAGCTTAGGAATTCATTAAAATGTTTGTTTAATTGTACTGAAATTCCAAAAGGATAATTTAATAGCTAACAGTTACATAAGTGTAGATGAGAAGCCATATAATGGGATGGATGTCGAGAATGGTGGTTAATAGACAGAGGCTGGTTTTGAAGTTGGTAAAAGTGGGTAAGCCACAGTGAAAGCTACTTTTTTGGAAAACAGAATTGTGTCAAGTGTTGTGCTTTCCTTGAACCTCCCTGTATCCCAAGTGGTCCTTCCTTGTGTCCTGTCTTAGGGGGAAAGCACTGAGGGAGAATTTATTTGGAGGAATATACTAGACTGTTCCCTTTTTCAATAAGTTGATAGTATGATAGACCAAACCAAACAAACAACAACAAGAAGCCATATCCTGAGGGGAGTAGGTCATGCACATTAGAGGTTTTGATTGGTAGTACATCAGATAGGTTTGACACTTAGCCAGTAAATGGCTTAGTAAGCTACAAACAGACATCCATGTGGGTAGGACTGCACAGGAATTATGGTTAAAAAAAAAAAGGCAGACAAGGATCTTGACAGGTGAGTTGAATGCTGAAGCAGCAGGCAAGCAGGTATTTGCCATTAACGTGATTTCACAAGAAATAGAAACATGGCTGCATTAAGAACAGAAGGAAAGGCAGGACCAATGAGAGTATGATGGGAAAAAATTCGTAATCTCAGTAAATTGCAGTTCATCAAGGCAGGGACTCAGACATTAAGAGAAAAGCCAGTCACAATGTGACTATGGTCAAGGTAGACTTGTTTCATATTTGTAATTGGAGCTTTCAACTGGCCTAGAACTCTAGTTACCGCACGAACTGGGAAAATTGAAGAAGCTGATAAGTACACAGCTTGGCTTGCCATGGCAGCTGTATTTCCCCTGCTGTAATGTTATGTCACTTTATTGACTAAATTGCTTAATTTAGCACTTATATGTAGCCTTCATTTTTATTCAGCTTTATAAAAAATTTTTTTTCTCTTCCAGAAAAAATAATTTCTACAGGATTGGCATTATTTTATATGTATTTTTTTTGTATTCCCACTTACTAGTACAGTGTTAACCGATTTAACAAGTCTTCAATAAGTACTTGTACAATTGACATGTTAACTTTTTCATGTCAGGAAATAATTTAGAAATTGGACTTTTCTAAATTAAGGGGATGAAGTCAAAGGTAGTTATGTTATTTTTAAAGGAAATGAATGCATTGGAATATGCTGAATCTCACAAATAATATGTGCATTTTTCTATGAAAATGAGTTTAACAGAAATTTTATAACTATTTCTGCATCTTTCTTGTACTACTTGGTTGCTGCCATCTTGATTGTTTTAGGATGTTTTGTGAAATCTGTATCTTTATATTTTGTGAAAAGGGAATAAAGCTTCTCTAAATTGATTTGATGCACTGAAGAAATTGTATGGGCAATCTCCCTTTGTTATATTAAATTACCCAAGACATAGAGTAGCTTAAAAATATTCTCTTACAAATGCTACTATTCAGAAAAGTACAGTAATATGGCATTACCAGATGTCTTTTTAATGTCTTTCTATTGAAAAATGCAATTTTTAAGGAAAATTAAGTACTTCTATTGTATAAACTTCATCAACAATCAAATGACCATAATCCGATTTGTTCTTCAGGGCCTTCCTTATCACACACAGGTCCTCCCAGAAACTCAAAATGAAAATGGTGGCACTGTAGGAATCTACAACCAGAGCCAGCATCTATTATGATATATTTAGTTCCCACACAATGCATTTTCCTTATTAACATTAATTATGTGGTAAAGGAAATTGGATGATTCATAAAAGCAGAAAGCATTTGGCTTGACCACATTTTATAGCAGTTCAAATAAGAATTCTTAATGCTGTTTAACAAATGTCTTTTCCACTCTTCATTAAAGCCCCTTGTTGCCATCCAATCTTGATTTTAGAAATTAAAGCTAACAACCAGATTGAGAGAATCAGGAGAGTGACAGCATGGGGCAAAGTCTCAAAGCCACAACTAACAGCATGGAGCAAAGTGAACCTCAAGCTATTGCAGCTCTCAAAGAAGGCTGGGAAGGGGAGGAATGCATTTGCAGGGCAACTCAATTATAGCAACCCTCAGCCATAGGAAGTACTTGTGAATGTTGACATGAAAGCTTTTTCCCTTAATGTTTTAATTAAATACCTAGAAGCCAACGCTTCTTCTCAGTTAGTGTCAGAACACTGCTTCTTGGTGGATAAATGTTTACAACACAAGCTCAGCTGAGGATTTCTACAAGCATGACTCTAAGAACTAAGAAGGCTTTTGCTGAGGCACTTGAGATCAAGAAAGCAGTAGTGATTATAAACTAGCAGCACAATAGCAGGATGGTTTAATCCACCCAAATGTCAGTTTTTGGTTTGCAAGTTGGCAATCCCACCTTCATCTTCAGACAAAAGGGCACTGGTTAGTCATCTGTTTAATTCTTTAGCTTCAGTGTGTCATTTGGATATTGAAGGAAAATCTCTTGTTTCAGTCTGCCATTTCTGACAGCCTCCCTCTAGACCCCATTAATAAGCCTTTTAGAGAACAGAATGCAAAGTAGGCAGCAGGCAGTCCACAATCAAAATGGAGATAGAATAGACAGTAGAAATATATTCCCTTTGTGAAGATGGTGCTTAGGTGACCTTTGTTGAAGAGATTTCTTTTTTTAATTTAAACTGTGTCTTTCAAGATATTAAAGCAGCATTTGCGGTGTGGTAGATGTGGGAGGTCATTTGGAATTTGGGAGTTTATGATAGGATACAGAAAAACTCAAGTGATATTTACAAAATGTGCAAACAATGGCACAGACAGGAAGCCAGGCTGGCCTTGGGCATGCCTAGGGAATATCCTTCAGAAAACAAATATGCCACTCTTTAATGTTGGTTTGAATCTCATTATAAAATTGCAAGTGAAATGAGACACACTTTGCCTCTGAAATCGTGATTCCAGAAGCAAAGCAACTGTTCTCTAATAAAGCAGCCCTGTTAAGATTTTTAGGATTTTAATGTGCTTTGAAAGCACATAATTTGTTAGATTATGGACTCTTTCTATTGAATCCCATTTTCCACTTTTAATTCATTAATAATTTTAAATTGAGAGTGTGTGTGTGAGCAACATTGTTTAATGTACCTCAATTTTGAGTTGAGTGTGTGTGTGTATGTGTGTGTACATTCTGAGCAGCATTGTTTAATGTATCTCAATTTTCAGTTGAGTGTGTGTACATTCTGAGCAACTTTGCTTAATGTATCACATGCAGATTGATGTATCAAGTCTCTAGAGAAGTGTCATTCCAAATAACCTTTTCACAGGCATTGCCTGGTCCAAAGAAACATTTCAAAATGCAGTTTCCAGAGATGTAAGTTTGCCTAGGGATGGAGATCTTTAAAGAGACCAAAACAACTACAGGATCTTGTAGGAAAGTTCTTTATTAAACGAGCAAGATCTTTTAGAGACCGAGTTTGGATCTGAATCTGTGTTGTACTGATTTCAATGCAATGCCAAGTGTTCTGTTGTAATCAAAGACTGAAAAGCAAGAACACAAAAGAAATGGAGATATCAATTACCAGAGAGATCACTTTTATTTATAGAGTAGCACTAGGGAAGTTACTTATTTTTTATGTATTTAGTCCTTTAATAAAACACTAATAAAGCTTTTATGTACTTCTATATCTCAGTAAACCATCAGGCATGCCTTTTAAAATATACAAAGTGAACATAGCTGTTTTCTGCTAGGAATTTGTTTCTGAACTGTCCTTTTATTAGAATGTACGTAAATCTGAATTCACATAGGTAAAACAGTAAAAATATGCTAAGAGTACTTGAAAAATGTACACACAAAACGGGCACTTAAGTAAGCTACATCATGTATATAATGCTTACTAAATATGGAAGATTAGATTACATTTATAAAAGAGATTGACAACACACACCCGTGTGTGTGTGTGTGAATGTGTTGTGAGAGATCAATTTATTTTCAAAAGAAATAATTAAGGTGTTAACAGCCTTAGGCTCACCAAGGTTTCCATGGACTATCTAGTATTGCTACCTGTTTAACTTTCCTGTAACCAGCGGTGGTAATTGGTGTGTTTATTGGGGATATTCCCTTGGCTAAACCCTACTGAAGCATCTGTTCCTTGTAAAATAGTGTCTGAGCTAATCAGCCTGGGAAGTCATCTAGCCCTGTCCTATCACATTTTCATAGATTTTATGTGAACATTTTGTTGGTAACTCTTATTATAATTTTTTGTTATATTATTTATATCTGGGTCTATAGGGTTTTGAAAGCCTACTTTCATTAGAAGGGGTCCTCTGAAGGACTATTCATTGATGCAGAAGACAGTTAATTGCTCTGTCCATTTTAATGGAACTCATGAAAAACATCCTGCATACTTACTGTGTGCTACATAATTTCTGTGAGAAATAATTAATTTTTAAAGTTTTTAAAACATAAATGATAACTTGTATTACATTTAACAAAAGCATTATTTTGCCTTCAGTGATGTCCTTTGTAGAAATATGAATTTCAAAATACATCTTGCATCTGGATGTCTAAATCCATACAGAAGAGGTGGGAAATAACATCCATCTTTTGATATCTCACAGTTTACTCAGGATATTCCCACGCCTCCTTGGAGTCCTTAAGTAACAGGGAGAAAAAGGTGGCTTATTAGTAAGCTGTCACTCCCTATAAATCACAGGCACTGCCAATGAAGTGAACTCTGCATCTCCCAGTGCAAGAAGGCTGATAGCAGAGGAGGCAAGCAATGAGAATCTCATACTACCGATGTGTTTACACAGAGCAGCAACTGATCAGGGAGAGAAACAACAGGTGTACAGTATCACAAAATTTTCTAAATTTGTAAGTGTAGAGTTATATATTTATTAACTCACCGTTAACAATAACACAAACCTTTCTTAACATATTATTGTTATACAGTTATACGTTGCTTAACAACAGGGGTATGATCATAGAAATGCATCAGGCAATTTAACCATTGTGTGAACATCATAGAGCGTAGTTACACAAACATAGACGGCACAACCTCCTACACACCTAGGCTATGTGGTATAGCCAATTCCTCCTATGCTACAAACCTGTACAGGCTGTTACTATACTGGACACTCTAGGCAACTGTAACACAAAGGTAAGTATTTGTGTATCTAAACATAGAAAAGGTATAATCAAAATATGGTATAAAAGATTAAAAATGGTACACCTGTATGGGGCACATACCTTGAATGGAGCTTGTAGGACTGAAAGTTGCTCTGGGTGTGTCAGTGAGTGGTGATTGAATGTGAAGACCTAGGATATTCTGTACACTATGAACTTGTAAACAGTGTACACTTAGATTGCACTGAATTTATAAAAATTGGTTTTCTTTCTACAACAATAAATTAACCTTAGCTTACTGTAAATTTTTACTTTAAAACTTTTTATTTTTTTTAACTTTTTGATTCTTTTGTAATAACAGCTTAAAACACAAATACACTGTACAGCTGTCTGAAATATTTTCTTTATAGCCTAAGCTTTTTTCTATTTAGAAAATTTTTAAACTTTTTTTCTACTTTGTAAGCTTAAATAAACTAACACACAAACACACACACTAGGTTAAGCCTACACAGGGTCAGGACCCTCAATCTCTCTATCTTCCACCTCTACATCTTGTCCCACTGGAAGATCTTCAGGGGCAATAACACACATGGAGCTCTCATCTCCTGTGATAATAATTCCTTCTTCTGAATATCTCCTGAAGGATCTTGCCTGAGGCAATTTCACAGTGTTCTTTTGAGCAGAAGGAGTACACTCTAAAATAATAATAAAAGTATAGTATAGTAAGTGTATAAACCCATAACATTGTCATTTATTACCAAGTGGTATGTGATGCACACAATTGTATATGCTATACTTTTACATGATTGGCAGTGCAGTATGTTTGTTGACACCAGCGTCACACAAACACATGAGTAATGTGTTGTACTACAACATATAGATAGCTGCAATGTCCTTAAGTGCTAGGAATTTTTCAGCTCCATTATTATTTTATGGGATCATTATCTTATTATTTGAGTTTCATCCTTGACCAAAACATCTGTATGTGGTGCATGACTGTATATGGAACATTTGGGGTCTTATAGCATGGTCTTCAAATTAAGGTACATGTAGCTATGTAGGTAATGAACCACTTTTGGGGTGGGGTAACTGGGCACAGGTGGAATTGAGGATATTATTTTCCACGTATACCCTTTCCAAAACAGATCCGACTTAGCAAAGGATTAGTGTGGCTTTCCTAACCCCAACTCCCTTTTGAGAATCCTGCTACAATGTTACAGAAGGAAGTGGAAACGATCACCAACTCATTCCAAATTCCATTACGACATGGTTCCAAGGTATAAAAATCTCCGCTCGGCAGGGTGGCTCACACCTGTAATCCTAGCACTTTGGGAGGCCCAGGCAGGTGGATCACGAGGTGAGGAGTTCGAGACCAGCCTGACTAATACTGTGAAACCCCATCTCTTCTAAAAATACACAAATTAGCCAGACGTGGTGGTGGGCACCTGTCGTCCCAACTACTTGGGAGGCTGAGGCAGAAGGATCGCTTGAACCTGGGAGGCGGAGGTTACAGTGAGCCTAGATCGCACCACTGGACTCCAGCCTGGGCAACAGAGTGAGATTCTGTCTCAAAAAAAAAAAAAAAAAAAAAAAAAAAATCTCCAGGGCACCAAAAAAAGAAAAAAATCAAGAAATTAACTGCCTTTTCTACTTGTCTCTGCACTCCTGCCTCCTTCACCAGCCCATTACCTGTCCATCTATCTACCTCCCACCTATCTATATATCTATTTAACTATGTCTGTCCATCTATCAATCTCCCACCTGTAAATACCTATATATCTGTGTCTACCCATATTTTTACCTACCTATCCCTTATAATTAAAAATCAAAACTGAGATAGGTTTTGTGGTGAAACTTTATAACATAAAACTTGAAAAGTAAAGTCATCTTTTTTCTTATACGAAGTTACACTGAATTTGAGAAAGATATGACTAGCTTTGTCATTTGTATTTTTAGATATATATTTTCTATAAATTGAATATTCTAAATCTGCACTTGCAAAGTTTTAATAAAATCATACCTATTGTACACATGCAATATAATTATGGGTGTAATTACATTCTTTGCAACTATGAAAGTTAAGATAAAAACTTTAGGTGTCATTATAAGCATGTACGAACAGAAACAGTTTTTCAAAATACTTTTAGGGGTACTGAAGCAAAGATTTGAACATGGATTTTATAGGCTTCACTGTCTGACCCTTGAAATAATCTAAGTCAGGTATCTAAAAACCCCTGCCCAGAGACCAAATCTAGCCATTGTCTATTTGTTGTTGGTTTTAGGGATAGAAGCTAAGAGTGGTTTTTGCATTAAAAAAAATTACATATTAAATGGTTTTGGAGACTCGGTAGCTTCCTCAATATTTAAATACTTCTATTTTAGTAATCTTTGGGCCAAGTGACGAAAATAAGGATGCAGTTCTAATCCCAGAGGAGGTAAGAGGGAGAAAAGGAAGGTAAGAGGAAAAAAAAAAAAGGCAGAAGAAGTATGAGATCCTGGAGCAATTCTAAGAAAGTTTCAGCAAAGATGATGGGGAGTTCTCAAGCCAAATGAGTTCTCAGTGGAGTCCACTGTCTCCAAGAATGCGTCGGCCCTGGTATCCTGCCTCAATCAGTCGTGGCAGGAAAAGCCGGCAGGATGTGTGGTCTCATCATGAAATGAGTGACAGATTTCATAGCACAGTGCCTGGAGTTGTTGATCACTTACACACTTCCTGCTGTTTCTGATCTAAGAGACGTATGTTCATGACAGCCATACTTTGTAACAACAGAATAAACTCTAAGTTTTATTTTTTCTAAAATAATGTCTGAAATTGAATACTAATATGCTTATCTCTCATCATGTTACTCTCCGTTTTATGTCGACTTTGAGATCCCTCTCAACCTGGAGGAAATAAGATATATCACTATATTTGTTTCTAATAGTTTTAATAATATTTAGGGTTAGATTGAGCAGGGAGAAAAAGGACCTCATATATGCATGCACATAATACATATGCAAATACATAATATATGCATATGTTGTATATAATATGTAATATATGGTATATTAATCATGATATATAGTATATATGTTTATATGTTACAAAATCAATAATTTGAAAGCTCTGTAACTATTAATGCAATTTATAATTAAAACACTCCCAAAATACATCTCTGGGCTTAGAAGATTTCACTGGAAGGAATGTATTTTATTAAATGATTAAATAATTATTAATAATTATACACAATTTCTTTCAGAAAATAGAAGAAGAACCACTTCCAATTCATTTTATGATGGTACTGTTGTTCTGAGAACAAAACCAGACTATGTGGTACAAAAAAAGAAAAGTACAGAAAAATATTCCCTATGGCATAAATGCAAAAATCCTTAAAATATATTAGCAAATAGAATTCAACAATAAATAAAAATAATTATAAACCAAGGCCAATAAGGTTTATATTATGCAAGCCTCAGAGCTTTAAAATTAATCCTGTGATCCATCATATGAAGAAGCCAAAGAAGAAAAATCATAAAATTAATCAATGCACAAAAAAATTTAACAAAATTTAATATGTATCAATGATTAAAAATCCCAGAAAGCTCAGAATAGAGAAACTTCCTCAACTTGAAAATAGCATCCCAAAAACCTTGAGGGCAACATACTGAATGGTAAACAACTGAATGCTTTTCTTCTAAGATCAGGGACAAGGCAAGGATGTCCACCCTCACCACTCTTTTCTAACAGTATTGTAAATATAGCCAGTGAAATAAGTCCAGCAGTACTGTAAATTCTAACCAGTGAAATAAGTCTAATAGTACTGTAAATTATAGCCAGTGAAATAAGTCAAGAAAAAGAGAAAAAGGGTATTCCCATTGGAAAAGTAGAAATAAAATGTTCCCAATTTTCAGATGACATCTTTGCCTATGTAGGTAATCTCAAGGACTACAAAAAAGAAAAAATTCTAGAACTAATAAGTTAGTCTAGCAAGGTTATAGGATACAAAATCAACATACAAAAGTCAATTATACCTCCGTATACTTTTAATGAACAGGTAAGCACAAATTAAAAATATAATATTTATAATTGCTCATGCAAAAGAAAAACTTAGGTATAAATCTAACAAAACGTACAGGACTAATATGGTTAAAACTGCAAAATGTTGAAGGAAAAAAAAGAAGATCATAAATAGAGTGCTGCTTATTCATGGTTGGAAAACAATATAGTAAACAGTATTCTAATTTTCCTCAAATTGATATTCGATTTAACACAATTCCTATCAAAATACCAGCAAAATGTTTTGTAGATGTAGATGTGATTATCTAAGAATTTTGTACAAGAGGAAAAGGACTTAATTGCTAAAACTATTTTTGAAAATTAAGAGTTAAATGAGAAAATTCAGTTGACCTTTATTTTAAGAATTATTATGTAGCTACATTAATCAAGACAAGGTAGTGGTACAGGGATAGACACATAAATCAGTGGAACAGAATACAGAACTCAGAAATAAACCCACAAAAATATGGCTAATTGATTTTTAACAAAATCATAAAAGCAATTCAATGGAGGAAAGAAAGGCTTTTATAAGAAGGAAAAAAAAAAAGGAACCTCATCTGAAGCTATCAGCTTATACCAAGATTAACAAAAAATTAATCATGGGCTTAATCGTAAACTATAAAACTTTTAGAAAAACACATAGGAGAAAAGCTTTAGGATCTGAGTTTAGGCAAATAATTATTAAGCTTGAAACCAAAAGTATGGTCCATAAAAAGAAAGATGGGCAAATCTTTTGTTCTTTGAAAGACATTGTTAAGAGGCTGAATATATAAGCTGAGGACAGAAAATATTTGCAAACCACATTCAACAAAGGACTATATCTAAAACATATAAAGAAATCTCAAGACTTAATAGTAAAAAAATATATAATTAGAGAACGAGCAAAAACATGAAGAGACATTTCACTGAAGGTACAGGTGGAAAACAAGCACATGAAAACATTCGACATCATTAGCCATCAGGGAAATGCAAATTAAAACCACAATGCAATATTACTACACATCTATTAGAATGACTAAAATAAAAATTAGTAATGACACCAAATGCTGGCCAGTATTGGAGCAAATGGATTACTCATTTATTGCTTATGATGTTGTGAGACTGCTAAAAGGGTACAGCCACTCTGGAAAATAGTTTACCATATTCCTCCCATGGAGTTACTAAAAATGAGAGAAGTCATTGATATGTGTGACAACTTGGATGAATCTCCAGAGAATTATAGTGAGTGAAAAAAAGCCTATCCTAAAAGGTGTCATACTGTATAAGCCCATTAATATTATTCTTGAAATTATAAAATCATACAAATGGAGAACAGAATGGTGGTTGTCACCTCTTGAAAAGAGGTTGGGGGTAGGAGGTAAGTAAGCATAGCTATTAAAGAACAACATGAGTGGTACTGTGGTGATGAAGATGTTCTGTATTTTTATTTTATTAATATCTAATCACTATAATTTTGCAAGACATTACCACCGGGGGCAACAGAGTAAAGGGTACACAGAATATTTCTGTGTATATTTTTTACAATCGCATGTGTCTACAATTATCTCAAATAAAAAAAGGTTTGATTTAAAGAGTGGCTTAAATACTACATAAGTAAAAATTCTGTTTCTCTTTAAAGTTTTATTTTTAGAAATCTACTCTGTTCCATTTAGTTGCATGCATAAAGACGAGCTATTCATAAGGTTTTATAATAAAATCTCAAATTTTCAAATAACAGTATAATCATATTGTGGCTTGGCTTGATCACAAACAACGAAAACTTCTACATAGTTTTTGAAATACAAAATCTTCACATTTTTATCATCCTTGAACATGATTACTGTGGGGTTTGTTTTTGTTTTTGTTTTGAGACGGATTCTTGCATCTTGCTCTGTCATCCCAGCTGGAGTGCAATGGTACAGTCTCGGCTCACTGCAACCTCTGCCTCCCGGGTTTAAGCAATTCTACTGTCTCAGCCTCCTGAGTAGCTGGGATCACAGGCATGCACCACCATGCCTGGGTAATTTTTGTATTTTTAGTAGAGGCAAAATTTTACAATGTTGGTCAGGCTGGTCTCGAACTCCTGACCTCGTGATCTGCCCACCTCGGCCTCCCAAAGTGCTGGTATTACAGGCGTGAGCCACCGCTCCCGGCCAAACATGATTACTATGATTTTAAATGGAAACAAATGATTCATGAAATACCGTTTAATTACTACTACTAATAAAATAGCTTTAGCGTATAAATCTTTGAGTCAAATGTGTATGTACTTTTTAATCTCCTTTTAATATCAAACCTATTTATGGAACACTTGTCCCATTTAAATGTATGTTTTCTGTTGATCAGTTTGACTTACTTACCTACCGAGGTCAGACTTTGGATATTATAGGTATTCTCCTGAAAGTATCCCTCCACTATTTTCTCAGCACACCGGGCTGTATGGTTTCATTCCATCTATGTTTTGCTGTTGGCTAATTCATACCCATAGCCTCTTGTTCAAAGCTAAAGATGAACTATAGGTCCTTTAGCAACTACAATAGAGAATACACTTGCTTTAAGAAATGCTTACCATAATACTAACATTGTATTATAGGAAATTGTATTTAGACTTCTAAGGAAAACATCTGTAGCATTATTTACAACACTCTCTCCCGAGCCCTTGACATTACAAAACTGGCTCCTTCTACACAGACCTTTCTGCTCCTCCTGGATGCCTTTGGAAAACTGCCAAACAATGGTAATAGTCATTGTCATGGGAAGGCTTTTATGTTCAAAACATACACCTCTGTTAGAAAGTGAACTATATTTGGGGAGAAAAAAAAACATGAATGAGAAAGCAGAGGATGATTCAAGTTATACTCACTTTAAAAAAATGAATGTGAGGGAATTATTTTCCAGACTGTCTGAGGAGAGAAGAAAAAAGCAACCTACATTACCATAGAAAGGTTTAGCTAGAAATTTTAAATAACTCCTTGTTTTATAGGTTTGAAAGCAATCATACTCTTTACTAGAGATCATAATTTTCTTTAACTAAAATCCTAAAATCCAGTAGCAGAAAATTCTTATTTTTATAGTTATCTTTCAAGTTATAGTCATTTTTCTCAATTTCAGTGCTACAGATGGTTTGGGCCAGATAGTTCTCAGTGAGGGGTCAGAGGGAACCATGTAAATTGTCAGATATTCAGTAGCATCCCTGGCCTTTATCCCCTAAATAGCAGTAGGACTCTCTCAGCTTCTTTAACAAAAAAAAAAAAATGTCTCCAGACATTGTCAAATGAGCCTTGCAGGAGGAGTGGGGAGTCACCCCAGTTGGGAACCACTGCTGTAAATCATTGGCCTATCATATGGTAGAATGGAGAGGTCAATGTGTAAGATTTTAGGAGTCTTATTTTCCATCCTCAACAGTGACTATTTCATCTATATACTATTCCAACATCCAGCTTTGTTTCTCTGCCTTATCCCTCTTACAGCTGATGGTCTTCCTTATACTTTGGTCAAATTTCCCTAGTCAGTCTCCTTTCCCATCCCAAAATGATTCTTCCCTCCCTTCATTTCTTTCTTCATTTCTCTCACTTACTTTTATTCTTCCTACATTCTTAATTAACTTTCATTCATTCTTGATTAAAAAATTATCACTCTTCAGGGACATTTTGCTTCTTTTTGATCACATGCACATTCTCTGTTTGCTGTTATACTAAATGTGTCAATCCTGGTCTAAAAGCAGGACAGTCTGTCCAGCTGGGTTCTGGGCTATATCTGCCATCGCATTCTTCATTGCACCTCCCTTATCCTTTCTTTCTTTTGCATCTTTCATGTCTGCCTTACCAACAAATTATTCCCAGCAGCATGAAAACCTTTTCATTTTATTAAAAAACTAAATAAAATGAAATCAAAGTAGTGTGATTTTCTATCCTCCTTCAGGATTTATCCCAAATTATGCTTTCCTGGATAGTAGAACTTCTCAACACATCAGTTCATACTTTTCATCGTCTATTTAGACACATCCGTATTTACTTTCAATCTATTTATTCTTTAACCCATTGTAAGTTGTCCCCATAGCAACTATTTCACTAAAACTGCTCTCATCACGGTACCCAATAAATTTCAGTTTGTAAAACACTATGGGCACTCACACTTCTTTATTCTGAACTTACTTGACTCCCCAACTGATGTCAACACAATTGCTCAGTCTTTTTACCTTAAAACCTTTTATTTTCTTATGTTCTCTGGCAGCTGTCTCTTCTGCTTTTCTTTTTCCTTCTCAATATTCTTCCTCATTCTTTTTATTTTCTCTTCATTCTTTGTTAGTGCCCTTTTTTTGAAACTGATGTCTAAAGATTGGGGCCCAATTCTGATTGATATTTCACCTTATTACTTTCAGAGTACCCTATACTTTTTGCATATAATGTATCAGCTTTTGCCATTCATTTTTAGGATTAAAATCCTCCCTTACCCTCAAGATAGAAACTCCTTGATGACTGAGACCATGTTTGTTTGTTTGTTTTTCAGAATCTGTAGCATTTCCTGGCATACCACAGGCATCCAATAAATTAGTGAATTATCTAATGAATGAACTTGATCTGACGTGAAGCACCCTACTCCTAGCTCAATTCCCTACTGACCGGCTCCTAATTTCAGAATTTCTCCAATTTTTGCTATTTTTCTTATAGTGACAATTTCTTCTGCCCAAGGAGAGAAGGAACGAGTCCAGAAAAGAATGTGTAATCGTGAAAAATGAAATCTCACCTACTTTTTAGTTTTGTCCAGGTCTTTATCTGTTCATACATGTTTAAGAGAATAGATGTAAGAGAATAGAGGAGCAAGCAGAGAGACTTCTATCCTTGGCACTACCTCCTGAGTGTTGCTAGGATCAAAATATTACTGGATAATTGTTTTCATATAGAATCATACCTCTATATTCTGTTCCATATATTATCTTTTTAGTAATCCCATCTTTTCACAGAAAGGTGTAATATGTTTGATGTGAATCTAAAATTTCTACTGAATATAAGTGCGCGCGCGCGCGCACACACACACACACACACACACACACATTTCTCTACTCTTTTGAAGAGATCAGTCAATGGGCAGAGTTTATAGTAGGATTCTATAAAAATCATGGGAAATTTGAAGAGGATGCCCAGTTACTTACAGCTCTGGCTTTTTCTTTTCCAATGGGATCCAACCAAACATTTATTCTGTCGTTATGGCTAAGATTTCAAATCACTCAAATTAAATAATCATTTTCTTTTCTACAGCATGACAATCGAGGCTATTGTTTGATGATCCCACAATAGTTTAGTGATAATGACTGGTTGAGCAGGTGGGCTTGAGATGTCTGGGGCAGAGGCCACTCTAGAGCAAGAAGAGACCTAGCCTTAAGATAAATATGAAATCTCTTTCTGCTCTGCCTTCAAATTAATATCACCTTGTTTTGCTTCTGGCTGCTCAGAATTGAAATGTAGTTGAGTGATGAGATACACTTGTTATTTATAATGATCATTTTATAACTTACTGGAAAGGTGTATTTCTTTTCTGATCAGCCCTTTCTGAGTAAATTTGAATCCACTGCTAACGTAAAATCTAACTCTGCACATTCCAGACCCTAGCCATTAGTTTTATTATGCATCAGAATATCTTAGGAAGCTCTGAAATATAGCAAGTCCCTAGTCCCAGTGATTCTGATTTCTTTGCTTCAGTATGAAATCCACAATATAGAATTAATTATTCACAAGTATCCCATGTTAATTTAATGTGTAACTAGTGTTGAGGGTGTTTTTCAAAGAGTGGTTCAGGGAACACCTGTACCATATTCGCCAAAAGCACCTCTCCAAACCTGCTGAATCAAAAAAAAAAAAAAAAAAAAAGGACCCCAGATTATTCCTTTCCAATTGAACCTTGACACCCTCTGCTTTATGTGGCTTTAGTTAAATAAATTTTCAGTTGGCTGTTAATAGTGGTAAAACTTTGCTTCTGTTGCATCAAATAGCTGTCCATCTTCTGCCTTATTTATATTGTCTCTAGACCTACAGAAATTAATCCTACAGCACTACGTCTTTCAACTATATCCTGTGTTACTGGAAATTACTGGAGTCAGAGACATTTTCTGATAGCAAAATGCAGAGATTAAGCATAAAGGCAAACCAAGGAAAACAACAAAAATGCAGAGGAAGTAGAAGTAGACTATATCCTTTATTCTAGTTTCATGAACTGAGTTTAATTGGACTAGTATTTACCTCATAGTTCAGAAATAATTCATACTTCTAAGCTGTGTCACTAAGCTGAAGTAGTAACTGAAATTGGTGGGAATTTACATACCATATAGTGTTGGCACAATATGCAGACACATACACATGGGACACAGTACAATCTTAACCATCTTTCAGGATAGGAGTAGAGGATATACTCACATTTGTCTGGATCAGTCTTTGGAGCAGGGCTCACTTTCTCTTTGCTACCCTTCCATCTACTTTTCTTTATTATGATTTCCTTTTAAACTAGTGGTACTTAATCCTGGTTGACTATTACAATTAGCTGAACAATACCAAAAAACAAAATTTGGTGCCTGAGTTCCATCTCTGTATATTCTAATTTAATTGTTCCACGAAGTGCCTGAGCATCTCTGTCTTTTTAAAAGTTCCATAGATGATTTTCCTGTGCAGCCAATATTAAGAACCATTGAGTAAAGAGTTCTTGTGGGCTGTGGAAATTTATTTTGTTTTGCAACAAGAGAACATAAGGGAATCACTGAACATATCTCATTTCAATTATTATAATAAATTGATTCAAATGTATATAGTTACATGGATGAGAAACAGCACACCTTTATAAAAGAGGTTATTTGACATTGGTACAGCCCTTCCCCAACATCAGATCTTTTCTTTCTTGGTAACATGCCAGAGATAAATGAAATCTGATTTCAGGGTAACAATGACTTTTTTAGGCTCAAAATTTACTTTGATTCTCCAAATGTGAGAAATATATTCTTATATTAAAATGTCAAGTTAACCAATAAATAAAAAGGCTAGAAAAGATGTAAGAAACATGTCAAGAATGTGAAATGGTTTCTGCTCTCAAAGAGTCTATCTAAGGATGCCAGGTATAGATATAAGACAGTGTTACAGTAAATAATAGTTAAAATATTTAGAGAAGATCACAGTATTTGTTTCCTAAAGAAGAGATGAGATATGCTGTAAGAACACACAGAATGAAAACACATTGTAAGCTAGGACAGTGAGTGTTTAATAAAAAAGATTTGTGAAAAGAAAAGTTGTGATCCATGAGCAGATTTTGAGGTCCTTCTTTGGTACAGGGAAGCAGCAGGCAGGACACAGCAGATGACAGAGAAGCAGTGTGAAATTCAAAAGCTAAGCAGTTCTAGGAACACCCAGAAAATAAATGAGTAGCTCATTTTCAAAAAGATAAGAATTTAAAACTGCAACTTGAGATCTGTTCAAAGCATATATTAGAGTCAGTATAGAAGCCTTTAAATAGGCAAATACGTCGAAAATTACTTCTAATTAAAAGGGACATTTGAAGGACTTTTAAAATCTTAAATGTAGAACAAACAAACAAACAAAACAAAACTGAAGGCTTTTATGGGCTCATTGATTGCAGTCACTCATCTTTCCTTGCACTGATATAAAACATACCAAGGATTCTGGCAACATAAGCCCTCGAAAATTATATCAAAGCTGAATGCCTAGTTTATTGTCAGTCTAAAGAAAATGTTATTATATTGTATATTTAAAGGTTATAGAACACTCAGTGAAGTTTGTGATTTTTTTCTCACATGAATGTGGTTATGGAAGCAATATGCAGGCAGATGTTTAATATAAACTATCCTTCACATTTCAGAATAAACAACATATGGAACAAGTAGCCATTTTACTTGATGTGCTGAAGTTGAAAACAGTTCAGAACAGATCTGCTTTGATTTACCTTATCACTGTTATAACACTATGCCAACCAAGACGTTCCAGCAGATTACAATTAATATGGGCACATATTGTTAAATTCTTTAACTTTAAAGCTGCTTTTAAGGTATACTACTTTGTTCAATGATATGGCAATGAGAGATATATTCACAGCTAGTGGAATTAAAAAAAAACTTCTAATTAGTAAAGTGATATATGGGAGTTTTCTATTCTGAATAAAAGAGAAATATATTCTAACCTGGGAAATGTTGGAATGAGAAAATATTATAAATAGGATTGATCTCTTTAATTGCTCAGATCTTGTCCAGAGAAGTAAATTGAGCTCAACTAATCCATTCTGTTCCTTTTTTAGCATATTTATGGAAAATCGGGTAATTAAATGATGAAAAGAGGGAAAAAATAACTGATGAATGCATTTTATAGTCACATATTTTATTTTTAGATAGAACTTCCAGTATCATTTTATTGCAATAAAAAGCCTTTCATATCAACCAAAGGAAATTTAACATTTAAGTTGCATGTTAAAAATAATATATATTGTTTTTTCCCAAATTCAAATTTAGTATATTTAGCCAACAAGAATGCTAACTATTTTGTATGAACATGTTGGCAGGGAGTGGGTGGGTTTCATGTATTGGAATGCATTTACATTGAAATGTTTCTTTCCCACACCACCTTTGTGCTCTAAATTCAAAGTTCATGAAAATATAATTTTTCAACATAAAAATTTTTCAGCGATAGAAGGAAGCCAGGAATCCAGCAAATTCAATAGTTTTTCCTAAAATGGCTCTGACAGATGAACACCCAGCCTCTGCTTTTACAAATTTTTATCACACTGCTAATACGGACAGTTTCCTGAATACCTCTCTAGGCACCTTGTCTTATTATTCAACAAATCTTAATTTAGTCATTTGACAAATGTGACGAAAGAAAAAAAATGTGTGTATTCTGTTCGCTTGCTTGCTTATTTGTTTCTCTTATCAAATAGAAACAAAACTGCTAAATCAAGGCAGTTCCATTTGTTCACCCTTTTTTTTTTTTTCATCTCCTCCTCAGCTGCATCACATATAAGCACAACGGGTTCTTGTTCTCATCTTAGGGATCTGCGTACGCAACCCTAATTTACCCAGACAGAAAGCAATTCCTCAGAGGCAGATCCAGTTAAACAGGTTGCCTGTAGTCGACAAATTTCAGGCAGAAATTGTGGGAGTACAGCGTTTCTAGGCACAGGCGGGCTTATCAATACCAAAGCCTAGCTTGACTGCAAGAAGTTTTATTTCTCTTCTCTGCTACCTGTCTATATGAAAAGGCATTTTCCTGCTTGGAAAATAGTTGCTAAGAGAAAAAGTCCAGGCTTCCTTATCAGAGAGGTGGAAGCTCAAATCTGCTGCTCATATTTATTGATTTTTGGCCATGCACAAGTTATGTTCAACCTCAGTTTTCTTGTGGGGAAGAACAACAATGCTCTAAGGGACAATTGTTCAATCTGTGGTGGATATCATTATCTACACTTGTATAAGAGAATGCACTGCTCTACCTCACTCACAATCTAAATATTCTGACTTGGGATGTAAAGAGCTTCCTTCTCATCAAGAAAAGACTATGAACTAGGCTATGAATTTGGAGTCCCCTACAACTTCTTCACATGCATAAATCGGTTTCCCTTTATATTACTTGTTATTTATAGAAGTTCTTCATTTTAGACAATATGAATAAATACCTATGAAAAAAAAGTCTGTGGCATACATATTGTTTTTAAAGAAACAATTTATGCATCTTTACTAACTATATGACAATCTCTATATTTCTTAGTTCTTATGTAAAAAGATATTTATTTTTATTTTTTATTAACTCAGTCTTACTATAGAATATCTACACAGAAATATACAAATCAAAAAAAAAAAAAACCACTAAAAAAAGGGACCCTTAAAAATTCAGTGACTCTCTACTAGGTCTTACAGTGGTAAGGGGATTGAGATGTGACTGTTCAGTACTTTCTAATTGACCAAACATAAACAAACATTTATATGTAAATAATGTTTTCAGAAACAGGTAATTAATTTCCATATAAATACTTTATTATACCATTCTAGAAAAAGAATTAAGTATATTCTTATGATTAGTCAACTGATTTTTGGGATTAAGAAAGAAACTTAGATGGTCATAAAGATAAGAAAATTGGTTGATTTTTAATTATCTTATATTACATTTTGAAATGTTGTCTCATGTATTTCGATTGTTATGAGCTTTAAATCCATTTCTTCTGGGTTCTTATTTCAGGATTATTTTCTTATTAACTAAATACATTAAATGACAGAAAATATACCTTTTAAACATAGTAAGGAATATTCTTATTAATGCCACATCAGATGCATACCATAAATTTCACTAATTCAGAGAACCATTTTCGTAGGTGTTCGCTGTTTTAATTTTATGCTTACAGGTTTCAGAAAAAGACTGTCAGACTAGATGAAATTCATTTATAAGAAAAATGCAACATTCAACTGTTATGAAAGGCTATATATCATGCCGTTTCTGGTATGTGGAGTAATTTGAGTATACTTGGAACTTTAAAAAAAGAGATACACTAAAATACCAAAACAACTTTTACAGATAAAATATTAGAATCAAAGATAATATACTCAGAATTATTTTTAGTCAGACTTTATTTATTACTGACCAAAACTGTGTTTCTGTAATGAGAAGGCTTAACGCAACCAGATTCATATACATTAAATATAAAATAAAATATTAGGACAAAAAACAGTCTCAGAAATTGCCTGTTTTTTGGGAGGATAAAGTATCAGACTGATCATATACTATTTTAGATTAAAAGCTTTATTCTGTATATTGTGGTATCCCAAACTTGTCTAATCCCCACCCCATAGTAGATACTGCATAAAATTTGGCTGAATTTTAATTCAGTGAGTGAATGACCGGCTTTAATTCAGTGAGTGACTGACTGGTTTGAAATTCCATAGGAAACCACCACAGTGCAATATCCTGGAGTATTCCGGGCTTTGTGTCTAGGACAGATCCCTCTGTGACAATATTGGAAAGTACTTTCCAGCCAGGAAAATACTGGTTATATTTGGTGAATAATCTCAAAAATTAGCCAGGATTTGGGGACCAGTTGAGACAAAAATACACAAATGGAGAAAGGCTTATAATTCTCCCAATTTTGATATCAGCTAGCTATCATTAAAATGTTAGTGCCAATAATTCAATTACACAAATTCATGTGTCTAAGTATTTCCTATGCCCTATGTATCTACACAATTAAATACTAATAATACAGAACATTATATCTAAATTAAAGCTCTCTGTTTCTCTGTCTCAGCTATGCACTGTGTAATTTTAAACAAATTTCTGGGCCTCTGTGGCTTCATCTGTTAATATGGTATAATGGGATGAATAAAGCCTACAATGTAAAAAAAATGATGTTTTATTTCTCATCCTCCTTACCTACCATTAGTCATAAGATCTGTGGCAATTACTCTCTGATATTTGTTTTCTTAACTCGTACAATGGAAATTACAATAAAAATTATAGTAAGTTTCTACTCATCCTTCATAAATCAATTCAGTTGTTACCATTTTGTGAATAGTAACTCCATTGTCACTCCACTCTCCACCCAGGAAAATTTAAACATCCATACATATTTTTATAAGAGCACTTTAACACTGGTTTATAATTGTTCATTTGCTTTTTTCCTTCCCCACTAGATGGTGAACTCCTAGAAAGAAAACATTATGTTCTTTATCACTTTATCCCAATAGTGTGTGATACGTGATATGAGTTCAGTAAATGTTGACTAATGAATGACTGAACAAATACCCTGTCCATTCATTCTTCACTAAATATTTATTTATGCTTATTATAGGTGAGATTTTAATTTCATAATGTTAATTAATTAAATCAAATTTTCGTTTCTCAAGACTTAAGTCATACGTGTCTCCAAGTTGGCTTCCCAAAGCATCTTCAATATGACTTACATCATTAGCACAAAGAATGAGAGACACAATAGGCATGCTGTCTAGAAATAAATCATTCACTTGTTGTTATATGTTCTTATATTCTACAAACTGATGCATTCATTGTGATTAAATGGTACATTGTCCATATAATTAAAATTCTCTTTCTCATAGATTAATGTAATTGCCCATTTCTCAGAATAATATATATATATATGTTTTTCCTACTTATGTTTTGACTATGTTATTTACATCAAGAGCTCAGTGGCAAATGGCCTAAAGTATAAACTAGTTTGTTTTTACATAGTATCGATGCACCTTGTGGAATCAACAAGTTGATCAGAGCACCAAACAATAGCTCAAATAATTTTTTAAAAAATTATTAATAATTTTAAGTTAATATGCATGCATGGAAAATTGGATATACCTTGGTGGAGCTTGCCTTTCTTACATTTATTGGAAATTGGGATGTTTATATGTGTGCATAGAAAAAATCTGGAAACTTATGCTATGAAATATTAAGATTAGTTATCTCTGGTGTGATTTGGGATGATTTTTACTTTTTTCTTAAGTGTTTTCTTTACTCCATGACTTACTTTTACAATAAATATATATCATGTATATAATCAGACAAAACAACAGTTATTTCTCATTTAGAAAAATAATTAAAATCATCATGGGGATGGTGCAAAAATAAAAATTTAAGATTAGTGACACAAAATAGGGAGCTTAAAATGGAGTTATTTTTGGCCAGATGTGGTGGCTCACGCCTGTAATCCCAGCACTTTGGGAGGCTGAGGCGGCGGGTCACGAGGTCAGGAATTTGAGACCAGCCTCACCAACATGGTGAAACCCATCTCTACTAAAAATACAAAAATTATCTGGGCATGGTGGTGCGTGCCTGTAATCCCAACTCGGGAGGTTGAGGCAGGAGAATCCCTTGAACTCGGGAGGTAAAGGTTACAGTGATAGCACCACTGTATTCCAGCCTGGGCAAGAGTGAGACCATCTCAAAACAAAAAAAAAAAGGAGTTATTTTTACGTATAAAATTTCCACACTTTAAAGCATTATTTAAAAGGTGATTTACCGAAATTAAACTTGAAAAATTAAGTTAGTAAATCTTCCTTAAAATTATGTCCTCAAGGTTATTACCCAAGGCCTTGAAGCCTCTAAGCCAACAAAGATTTATTACCTTATATGGCAGATCAAGGTCTGAGCAGGGTTTTTCCAGCTTTTGACCAGATAGCTTTATTGTTTTAGCAGATCTTGGCTCAGCAATTTCTTCTGCTCTCAGTCAATACTCCTTTCCACCATCTGCAAGCCTTCATCAAGCTGATCCTAAATGTACCAAACAACTTCCTTCCCCTTAATTGCTGCCCAGTGTTCTTTGCTTTTAAATTGTAGATCAGGCCCACTTCCTTGATTTAATACCACTAATTTTCTAAACCTACCATTTAATTCTTGATTCATCACATTCAGCCCACACTTGAATTTTCATAAACACGTTTATCTGAATGTTTTATTTATGTCTTAGCCTCATCGAAAAGGTAAGCTTTGAGTCAGATCTAATCCGAGTTTTACCACTTACCTTGAGAGTGGTGTAATTATACAAACTCCAGAGTCCCTTTTCTAAAAAAATAAATAAATAAAACAGTTAATAGGTTTGGTGTAGGAACAGGCAAGTACCTCTGAGATAGTAAGTTGTCAACATAGAGTACCTATTGCTATGACAAGATTCTAGTCTGAATTTTGGTTAAGGCCAGTCTTATTCTGAAATACCTGTTAGATATTATCAACTAATTACTTATTCCAAACCAAGCTAAATTTTATCCAAAACATTCTTGTTTTTACTCTTTTAGTCATTAGACTGAAAAGTTTAGTGATATCCAGTATCATACCATTCCTCATACAGTCAGCTGAATACTTTCTCTCTCTTGTTTCAAATTTATGGACTTATGGCCTCATGCTTTAATTGTAATTGTTTGCTTTTTGTGATGTTTGCTTTCAAATATTTTTTTCTTTCAAATCTGTTTTTATGATATTTTCCATATCAAACCCCCCTGAAAGTACTCTCAGGTGAAATTATTTTTTCTTATGTATAAGTAGCTCTGCAAACTGATTATCTGTCTAATCTGTTCTCATAGCCTCAGGCCTCTCCACCAATGCTGAAGAAACCTCCACTTCCCCAGTGCAGCCTTGGTCATACAGCATCCTCTGCTTCAAATTATTTCCTCACAAGTTTGAACTTATCCCAAGTCCACCATTCTTCAAGGTAAAATGTTATCTTTATCATGAAGACTTATTAGATACATTTGTCCTTATGTGATATTCTGCTCTGAACGCCTAAAGCCCTTTCTGCCAGCCCCTACCTCCGGACATTTTACTGGGTACAGAGTCTGTCTCTGTCTTTCCCCCCTCACCTTTCTATTTCCCAAGGCAGGCCCCTTACCACAAGGAAGGACACTTTGTACATCAATATCTTACCCACTGCATCTAACCATACAAACTGTTCAAAACAGATGCCCAATGGATATTCAGAATTTCCAGTTTATATAATGTATAAAGTCAAAGAAATATTAGAGTACATTCAACATTATCTTATGACTGAGGAAACAGAGTTTGACTTATTCAAAGTCACAGAGTTCATTGGTAGCATAAGTGACATTGAAACACCCATCTTAAATGGTTAAGAACATACATTCTAACTATGTATTTTACATTCATTATGAATACACTACGAGTATTTGTTGGTTATACAATTTGTCGCTCTGTAGATTGAGATGCTTTAATTTTAACAGGTTAGGGTAAAAACAAATCTTACAGATCTCTCAAGCTATTAAACACACATGCATTCACCTTGCCACTTTCTGAAATATAATTTGTGATATTATATATTTTTTAAATTTTGGTTTGTGTCATTCTCCCAACATATTAGGTACACCCTCATCTTAGGGCCTTTGCACCTGCCTTTGCACCTGTCTGGTACACTCTTGCCCTGAACACATCCTTTAGTTGATATTCAGATATTACCCTCCCATGCAGCCTTCTATGTCTGGTCTATTTAAAAATGCATCTTTTCTACCCAATAGTTAGTATCTTTGTCTCTAGCTTTATTTATTTCCAAATAATTAATACTGTATGATATGCCATTTATTTTATAAATTTATTTGTGTATTGTTTCTCCTATCTAGAATGTAAGTTCTAGGAAGATGAAGATTATATTGTTGAATTTGTTTATTATTCTATCCTCAATGTCGGGAACACAATAGGAGCTTAAAACATATTATGTTGAAGGACACGATGCCAAGAGATAGTTCTATTCCATAATATACACAATTCACTTTTACTTTTATAAACATATTTTTTGCTTCTTTAAATAGAAAAACAAATGGTATTTCTAATTTTAGAAGCAGTGCCTTCTGACGTTTAAGGGTTTTCATTATCATATTTGCTTGCCCACATATTAAATAAAAGACTACCAAATATGACAAGAAGAATAAAGATATAGACATTCTGAACCCACTTAATTAAAAATTGAGCCTTCTTATTTTATCTCGCTAGGTGTGAAAGTTTGAGTTGAACTTGATTCATTAAAAAGGTATTTTCTTGAGAAACCTCCAGAAAGTCTTTTAACTGCAAACTCAAATTCAAGTTGGTAGCAGTTTTTGAAATCTAGTTTTTTCCTATGACTTTCTGCAAAGTCAGTTTTCAAAGAGAAAAAAAATATTTATTATAGTGCACTTCCATCGCAAGTCGCTGTAAGCTAATTAAATTCTAAAAATGACTATCTTTTAATTTTGAAACTTAAACCTAGAGAGAGAGGCAATTGGTATTGTGGTCAATTATTTAACTCTTTGCCTAATCTCCACCCTGCCAGCTCTGTATAATATATGTTTGCATATGTTTCACTAATATTTTGTAGCTCCTCCTAGTAGTATTAATAGTTTACAGTTAGGAGATATAGAGAAAAATTTCTCTCAGATTGAGGGGTGGGGAAGCATATGCTTTGTATACTCTGCAAACTCCTATAGTGGGATAACCTAAATATGTTATATTTATGAACAAGTCTGGCATTTGTATTTATGCAGAAAAATGCATCCTTGGTTGCAGAAATAGTCATCATGAGAATAGAAACTTTCATGTTTTTCTAAATATGATGTTTACTCCACCCTTCACCCAAAATTTCAGAATAAATTGGAACAGAAAATTTGATCATTGCCCTTTGGAATGGTCACACACACACACACACACACACACACACAAAGTTGTTAATGTTATTTGGGGGTCAGGGAAAATAAAATGCAGACAGCAGATGGGTGGGCTGTGTGTGTAGGTGTATATATGTATGTGTGTGTATATAGACTATATTTCTGCAGATACCATTTTCCCATTTTGTTGCTAATTTGGGGAACCTAAAGGGCACTAAAAGCTCATTTTCTTTGCTCATTTATTCTCTAAAGTAACCTAGTTTATGTATTCCTCAACTTGAACAAGACAGAGAACACAGTTATACATTTGTTGGCTTAAATTTTTTCATTCTTAATTCAATAAATACTCATTAACATCTATTTGAGCTAAACATCAGGGCAGATTCTGAGGAAATGAAATAGAAAGTTATTCTTTTTTTCCTCTCTTAATCAGGGAAATAAATATATAAACAAGCACAATAATTTGATAAGTATTCTAACTATACATTCAAGTGCTATTGACACAAAGAATAAATGTTTAATTTTAACTGAGAAGGTAAAATGACCCTTTTGGTAAGACAGTATTTGAGCTGGCCCTAAATAATGAGTAGGAAAGTAGCCTAATGTAGGCAGTAAGGAAGAGCATTCCAGAAAGAATATTCCAAGCTAAAAATGTGCTATGGCAGGCAGAGAAAAATAGAAGTTGTTTCAAATGATAGGAGATCATGGTACGTAGGGTGGAAAAGGAGGTTGAGTTTGAGGAGATGTGATTGTAAAGTTTGTCTCTTCAACAAGGACCTTTATCTCATGCTAATTAGTAGGAATCATATTTGGTAAATAACATATTTTTATTGCTATTTATAAAACAGAATAAAGCAAGGTGATAGGCTTCTAAAGATAATGAAAATTTATTCTCCATACATATTTTGGAGCAAATAATATTTAGATATAAGCATTTTTACTACATATGTCCTGATTTGTCATAAATATAGCTGAGAAATAATTGAGTTTCATAGTGAACAGTGCTAAAAAATTAATTTTATTAAATTTTGTATTAAATATATTTTGTTTATAATCTATGTATTTTGTTTATAATATATTCTAATGGAAAGTAGTTGGAAAAAAGTAGTCTGTCTAGTAATTGAAGTTCCATCTGCTTTGCGGATCAAATGATTTTGTTATTATTCAAATAAACATTCTCTACATTTATAAGTATAATCCCAGGCCATGCATGGTGGCTCACACGTATAATCCTAGCACTTTGGGAGGCTGAGGCAGGTGGATAACCTGAGTTTAGGAGTTCGAGACAAGGCTGGCCAACATGGTGAAACCCCGTCTTTACTAAAATTTAAAAAATTAGCCAGGCGTGGTAGCAGGCACCTGCAATTCCAGCTACTTGGGAGGCTGAGGCAGGAGAATTGCTTGAACCCGGAAAGAGGAGGTTTTAGTGAGCTGAGATCGAGATTGCACCATTGCACTCCAGCCTGGGCAACAAGAGAGGAAACTCAGTATAAAATAATAATAATAATAATAATAATAATCATCATCATCATCCCATGCATGAATTTCATTTTGTTCCATATTCATTTTCTATTATATTGGTAAAGTATTTATCTCTTAAATCTATTGTAGTTGCAGATGGAAATAACTTAAGATGAGTGGATTAATACTCTGTGCCTCAATCTAGTTCTTCAGTTTAGGACTACAGGGCTTTGAAAAGAAACCTTGTATTGCCCACAAATGTTTTATTTAACTCCTTGATTTTCTGCGTCCCTACTAGTTTTGATGATTATGAAATATATGAATAAAATGAACACTGATTAAAAACGGCTTCTGACCCACTTCAAGGCAGAGGTCCTCTCTTCTCCAAAAATAAGTATAGCTTCACCAAATTCTTTGCTGAAACAATTTAAAAATATTCTTTTGATAGGTCTCAACCAACCAAACGCAAAGATCTATATCAAACCAGTATCAGTTTATCACTGTTTAGTACTTTGGCTTATTATTATTTCTTCACACATCATTGTTTTCAGGATTATGATGAAAGCCTAAATTTATTAAGCAAAAAGTTTATTTCAATAATTGCGGACTTTACTTTTGACAAACATTTAAAATTATTTGGTTTGTTGTAAATTAAGTTGGCAGACCATGAATGGCTTTTATGTCCTTTGATCTCAGAAACCTCAGTAAAAACTACAGTTTTATGATAGCTTTATTGAGACAAAATACATATATAATTCAGTTTTTTGAATTCAATGATTTTTAATGTAGTCACAGAGACATGCAGCCATCATTTCTATCCAGTATTAGAACATTATCATCACCCAAAAAGGGTTGCATCCATTAACATCACTTCCAATTCTCCCCTCCCCTAGTTCCTGGGTAGCCACTTATATACTTTCTGTCTCTAAGAATTTCTCTATTCTGGACATTTTATATAAATGGAATCATATGATATGTAATATATCTGTGAATAGCTTCTTTCAATCAATATAATATTTTCATGTCCATGAAACAGTATCAGTATCATGTATCAGTGACTCATTCCTTTTTATTGCTGAGTAATATTCCAATGTGTGGATAAAGCGCATTTTGCTTATCCATTGATCATATGATAGGAAGTTAGGTTATTTTAAATTTTGGACTATTATGAATAATGTTGCTATGAATGTATTTACGTATACTTTTTGTGTGAATATATGTTCTCTTTTTTTTTGGGTATGTACCTAGGAATGGGAATTTTGACTTATATAATAACACTATGTGTAGCATTTTGAGGAACTGACAAGCTGTTTCCAAAGTGGCTGCACCTTTTTAAAAATCACATGAGCCATGAATGAGGGTTCTAATTTCTGCACATCCTCACCAACATTGAATGCTGTCTGTATTTTATATTATGGTCATTGTAATGAGGGTTAAGTGGTGTCTCATTATGGTTTTGATTTGCATTTTATGATGGCTAAAAATGTTGAGTATCTTTTAATGTCCTGATTGGCTATTTCTATACATTCATTGGTGAAATCTCTATTTGGATCCTTTGCCTATTTCTTAAACTGAGTTATTTGTCTTTTCTGTTCAGTTGTACATTTTTATTATATATTCTAGATACAAGTCCTTTATCAGATATATTATTTGCAAGAATATGTTTAAGTAATAGATGGCATATTTTAAAGTACAAACATTTTTATATTGAATGATGTCCATTTTATCTATTTTTTTATTTGTCACATGTGATTTTGGTGTTGTGTTTATCAAATCATTGCCCAATCCAAGCATAAGAAGATTTTTCACTCATATTTTCTTCTCACAGTTTTATAGATTTAAATCTTAAGTTTAGCTCTTTGGCACATTTTGAGATAACTTTTGTATATGGTGTGAGGTAGGGATGAAACTTCAATCTTTTATAGTGAATATCTGGTTTCCCTAATGTCATTTATTGAAAGACTATTCCTTCCCTATTGGATTATTTCTGTGCCATTGTCAAAAAGCAGTTAGGCATAAATGCATCTTTCTGGAATATTGTTCTATTTCATTTATTTATATATCTATTTTTATGAATAGTACCACACTTTCTTCATTAGTAGCTTAATGGTTAGTTTCAAAATCAGGAAATGCACATTTGTTCTGCTTTCTAAATTGATTTTTAGATTGTTCTGCATCTTTTACATTTTTATATAAATTTTAAAATTAGTTTGCCAATTTCTCAAAAACATCAGTGTTGGATTTTGATAGGGGTGGTATTGAGCCTCCAGATCAATTTGGTGAATATTGCTATTTTAACAATAGTATGACTTCCCATTAATGAACATGATACATCTTTCCATATCTTTGGTCTTCTTTATTTCAACAAGACGTTTTTAGTATGTAATGTATAAGTTTTGAATTCCAATTGTTGAATTTGTTAAGTGTTTTATACTTTTTTAGTTATTGTAAATGCAATTTTGTTTTTGATTTCATTTACTAACTGTCCTTTGCAAAATATAAGCGTTTTTGCACATTGATTTTGTATCCTACAGTCTTGCTGCTTTTATTTATTAGTTCTCATATATATTTTGTGGTTCCTCAGATTTATATTTCTACCAATATTCTATTTACATTCACTTAGATAATCCCTGAAAAATCTTTAAGCTTTCTGTACAGCTCTTCTCTCCTTGTGAGTCCTTAACAGAATTACCCACAATGCTCCTTTCACCACAATACAGATATTCCCCGCATGTATTTCAAAACTGTCAGTGTCCACCTATTACCTAATTCCAAAGCCACTTTT
This sequence comes from Homo sapiens, assembly GCF_000001405.40. Taxonomy (NCBI): domain Eukaryota; kingdom Metazoa; phylum Chordata; class Mammalia; order Primates; family Hominidae; genus Homo; species Homo sapiens. The sequence goes on from NC_000007.14 coordinate 9,010,244, forward strand.
ATATTTTCAGGTATTTGTTACAGCAACAGTCTCACTCCTCTCTACCAATTTTGTCATAGTTTATTTGTGTTGCTATAACAAAATAAGTGACACTGGGTAATTTATAAATAACAAAAATTTATTTCTCACAGTTATGGAGGCTAAGCAGTCCAATATCAAGATGCCAGCAGGCTCAGTGTCTGGTAAGGGCTGATTCCTGCTTCCAAAATGGCACCTTGTTACTGCATCCTCTAGAGTGGACAAACACTATAACCTCCCAGGAAGAAACAGATAGAAGGGACTGACGGGGTAACTTGCCCAATCAATCTCTTTTATAAGGTGTTAATTCATTCATGATGGCAGGGTCTTTAATGGCCTATGGCCTAATCACCTTCTAAAGGCCTGACTTTTTAATATGGTTATATTGAGGATAAAATTTCAACATAAAATTGCAGGAGACATACACAATAAAACCATAGTAATCATATCGGTCTACAGTTTTCTTGTAACATTTCTGGTTTCGTCATGAGGTAAATTCTGACCTCATAAAATAAGCTTGGAGTTATTTACTTCTTTTGTATTTTGGGGGAGAGTTTGAGAGAGATTGCCATTCTCCTTTAAATGTTGAGTAGAATTCACAAGAGAAGCCATTTGATCTTGGGTTTTATTGTTGTTGGGAGGTATTTGATTACTAGATTTAGACTCTTTACTAGTTATAGTTCTGACAGAATTTGTTTCTTCTTAATTTAGTCTTGATAAGTTGTATTTTTCTAGAAATGTATTTATTTCTGTTAGTTATCCAATTTGTAGGCAAATGATGATTCATCGTAAGAGTCACAGTCTCTTATAAACCTTTTAATTTCTGTAACTCAAATTTTGGTACCTCCTGTTTGTTTTCTTATTTTATTTATTTGTGTTTTCTTTCTTTTTTCATAATTAATCTGGCTAATAGTTTTTCAATTTTGTTAATCTTTTCAAAAAACCAAAGCTTAGTTTCCTTGATTTTCTGTTTTTTAAAATTATCTGTTCATTTCTATTCTCATCTTGATTCTTTCCTTCCTTCTTGTAACTTTGAGCTTAGCTTTTTCTATTTCCTTGACATATAAAATGTTTTTCTTAAAAATTGAGATTGTTCCTCTTTTTAAAAGTTATCATTTATCACTATAAATTTCCCTCTTAGTTCTGTTTTTGCTGCATTGATATGTCATGTTTTCATTTGCATTTCTCTCACAGTATTTTCTAATTTCCATTTTAATTTGTTATTTGATTCATTGGTTATTTAAGAGTGTGCCTCTTTATTTTTTACATATTAGTGAATTTTATACTTTTCCTTCTGCCACTAATTTCTCATTTAGTTCCACTGTGATCAGAAAATATCCTTGGTATGATTTTAATCTTAAATTTTTAAAGAACTGTTTTGTGACCTAACATGGGATCTATCCTGAATGATGTTCTGTGTGCATTTGACCAATATGTGTATTCTGCTCTTTGGTGAAATGTTCTGTATATGTCCATAGATAGCATTGTTCAAGAATTTTTTTTTCTGATATTCTGTCTGAAGTCTATTTATTTTTGATAGGTTTTGAAACTCCCAACTATTTTTTGTGGTCACTCTTGTTGTCTATTCCTTCATTTAGTTCCTTCAGTGTTTGCTTCATATATTTGAGTGTTCTGATGCTGGGTGCATATGTACCTATAATTGCTATATCTCCCTGATAGATTGACCTTTTTCATCATTATATAATGTTCTTCTTTATTTGGTTTGACATTTCTTGAGTTAAAGTTTATTTTGTCTAATATAAATATAGCCACCCTCACTTTTTTGGTTACCGTTTACATGGAATGTTATTTTTCACCCTTTTACTTGCAGCTTATATATGTTCTTAAATCTATAAGAAATTCTGTTGGCAGCATGTAATTTGATCTCATTTTTTTTAATCCTTTCAGCCACTTTCTGTTTTTTAATTGGAGAGTTTCATCTATTTACATTTAAAGTAATTATTGATAGTGAAGGTGTTACTGTTAATTGTCTTATAGAATTTTTGTCCCTCTTTTTCTCTCTTGCTCTCTTATTTGTGATTATTGTCTTTTTAGTGTCACGTAGTAATCTCTCTCATTTCTTTTGTATATCTCCCATACATATTTTCTTTGTTGCTACTGTGAAATTTACATAAAACAGCATATAGTTATAACACTTTGTTTTAAGCTGGTAACAACTTCATTTACAAATATTCCTTTTACACACTTTATGTTATTGTTATAAAAATTACATCTGCTTATATTGTGTATCAATTAAAATATCTTTATAACTATTTTTTATTCCTTGTGATTTTAATTTCATACCAGAATAAAAAGTAATTTATGCACCACTATCAAAATAATACAGTACTCTGTATTTTTCTATATAATTACTTTTACCAAGAAACTTTTTATTTTTATATGTTTTTGTGTCACTTTTTATTGTTCTGTTGTTTGAACTTGAAGAATTCTTTTTAGCATTTCTTGTAAGGCAGGTCTACTGGTAATGAACTTCCTTAACTTCGTTTATCTTAGAAAGTCTTTATTTCTCTTCATTTTTGAAGGATACTTTTGCAGATATAGTATTCTTCATTGGTAATTTTTTTTCCAGCACTGTGAATGTATCATCTCATTCCATTCTGGCCTACAAGCATTCTGCCGAAAAATCCACTGACAGTCTTAAGGAAGTTCTCTTTGCATATAATGAGTCTCTTATCTCTTGCTGTTTTCAAAATTCTCTGCCTTTTATTTTTGACAATTTAATTATATTTTTTTAAGGTATGGATTTCTTTGGGTTTATCCTAGTTAGAGACTATCGCACTTCTTGAATCTGGATGCCCATGTCCTTTTCCAGATTTTAGAAGATTTCAACCATTCTTCGAATCAGATTTCTTTTCTTCTCTTTACTCCTGCTGGGATAACTTCATGCATATATTAGTTCTCCCAATAGAGACCCATAAATCTCTAAGTCTTCCTTTACTGCTTTTATTCTTTTTTTATTATGTTACTCTGATTGGATAATTTCAAAGGACCTGTCTCTGAGTTTACTTCATCTTCCTTCTGCTTGATCAAGTCTACTATCAAACCCCTATACTGAATGTTTTAGTTATTACATTTTTCAGCTCCAAAATATCTGTTTAATTTTTTATAGTTTCTTTTTTATGATATTCTGATTTTGTTTATGAACAATTTTCTTGAGCTCATAGAACATCTTTATGATAGCTATGTTGAATTCTTTGTCAGATAATTCTTACACCTCTGTCCCTTTAGAGTCAATTTCCAGAGACTAATTTGTATCTTTGGTCCATGTTTCCCTGTTTTTCTTGTGTGCATCATAACTTTCTGTTGATATCTATATATTTTAAAATATAGGCACCTTTCTCTATTTTTATAGACCTCTTACTATCTTTATAGACTGACTTAGAAGAACCTCCACAATCAGCCTAGCTAATGATTCTGGGGATTCCTGATAAATTTTTTGGGGGGGTTATACAACTTCCCTGGGCTTGTGTGTGTAATTTCTGTGTTAGAGAGTATTGTCAATTTCTTTTTCAGCAGCTTGTAGTCTGTTCCTGTATTCGATGTCTGCCTGTAGCACTGCAAATTCTCTGAGTCTACAGCATCAAGCCGCCCATTTCTCCTTTGTTCTTAGTAGCCATCAATAATTTCAAATATGTTGGCTTCCTATAAGTATCCAAATTAGGTGGAACAGATATCAGTCCCTTAGGAAGCCCTCTAAAGAGCCAAAATGCCAGTCATACTCTACTCCTCTCCATTCCTGGCAAGGAAGAAGCCTCAAATTATGTCCCTTCTCCTTATTACACTGAGTTGTGCTCGACACAGGAAGCCAATTCCTGCTCATCTTTGTTTTCAGCGGCCCCCAGGTATCCAAACTATGCGAGTTCCATCAGCATTCTGAATGAGGTGAGACAAAAACCTGTGCCCTGGGAAGCCCTTTTACAATCCAGAACGTTTGATAATAACTCAACTCGTCTTTCCCCCTGAGGTTTAAGTTATGAGCCAGTGTTTTCTCTCCCAGAACTGAGCTATGAAGGCTTAGGAAGGGGGCTGTTGAATATAAAGTAAAATTTCTCTTCTTAAGCATTACGTGGCTGTTCTGGGTGTTGTGCTCACTTGGCATACAATAACTTCTTAACTGGATTCCAGAATTTTCACATAGGTATTTTGTTGTGCATACCATTAATTTAAATTTGTGATTCTGTGGAGAAATTAGGGCCATCTTGCTGATGTTATTCTCTCCTCCTTTTTACGTACGCATTTGAGAGTATAAATTTTCCTCTGAACACTGCTTTGCTGTATTCTATACTGTTTGGTATATTCACTTTTTAAATTAGACATCTTTAAGTATTTTCTTATTTTCCCATTATTTCTTCTTTGAAACATTATGTGTGTTGTTTCATTCTGACATATTTGAGAAATTTCCAATTTCCCATTGTTGATTTTCAATTTCATTCTAGTTTGGTTGGAGAACGTATAATATATGATTTAAGAATTTGTATGGCTTTCCATATAGTCTCACTTGGAGAATTTTCCTTGCGTACTTGAGAATAAAGTGTACACTTCTGCTGCTGAATGAAGTGTTCTTGATATATCTGTTAGGTATATTTGGTTTATAGTATATTTCAAGACTTATTTTCTTGTTCATTCTCTATTTTTCCTAACAATTATTGAATGTAAAGAATTAAAGTTTCCAACTATCATTATTGAATAATTTATTTTCCTTTTTAATTATGTCACATTTTCTTTCATATATTTTTGTGGTATATTGCTAGGTGCATACATGATTATAGTTGTAATTTTTCTGATTATTTAACTCTCATAATTCAGAAATGTCCTTTGTGCCCGATAGCCCTTTCTTTGTGTGTGTGATGTTACTATAACCACTCCAGCTCTTTTTATCACTGTATGAATGGGTATGTATTTTTCATCCTTCTGTAGTCAACTTATTTTTTATTTGAATCTAAAATGTGTCTCTTCAAGAAACTGTGTAAATAAATTTTTTTTCATTCTTCCAATCTTTGACTTTTAATTGAGGTATTTAATCTATTTTACATTAAATATACTTATTTATAAGGTAAGATTTATGCCTAGAATTTATTTTTTATGCGTCACTTAATTTTAATTCTCTATAGTCACCATTGTTTCCTTATATTAAATGGTATTTTCTAGTGTATGATTTTCTTGTTTCTTTTACTAATATTTTCAAAAATTATTTTTTAATATTATTATATATTTATATTATTTTCTTATATTTCTAATTATATATAATATATAATTATATATCCTATTGAAATTAGATTGTATTAATATGAGTTACATTGTTTTCAATTACAATATTAATTTTAATGGCCAGGGCAAACCAATTATTTAAGAAAATAATTTTTAAAAATATTAGTAAAAGAAACAAGAAAACTAATGATACACTAGAAAATATTATTTAATACAAGATAAGGAAACAATGAGACTATAGAGAATTAAAATTAATAAGTGACACATAAAAATAGCAAATTCTGGGCATAAATATTACCTTATAACTATATTTAATTAATATATTTATAATTAAATATATATATTATATATAATTATATATTATAATTAATACATTCTAATTTCAGTAGTATGTATAATATATACTATATAGAGATTAGCCTGAGGAATAGAAATATATGTATATGTTCATATACATATATACTATATTCTGGGAGAGAACACACTGGCTCATAACTTATACTATATAGTATATATAGTATATATATATGTATATATACACACACACATATATATATATAGCTCTGATATAGATACATTTTCTCCACCCTCCCTTGTGCTATTTATTGTCAAACAAATTATATCTTTGTAAATCATAATCCCATAAGCATAGTTTTAAAATTACCTTTTATGCAATTGTCTTTGAAATTATGTAGAAGACTTTAAAATTATATTTATGCTGTATTTTACATTTACCTTTGTAATTATCTTTTTCAATGCTTTTTATTCCTTCAAGTGGGTTCAGTTACTGTTTATTTTTATTTTATTATTTGTATTTTATTTTATCCTGAAGAACCCCCTTTAGCATTTCTTAAGTGGCAGCTCTGCTTAACAAAGCTCATTCTCATTTTTTTTTTCTTTTCTGAGAATATCTTAATTTCTCTTTCATTTTTGAAGCACTTCTTTCCTTCATAAAGAATCCTTGTTTGACATTATTTTCCTTCAGCCCTTTAAATATGTCATTTGACTGCCTTTTCCCCCACCATTATTTCTGATAAGACATCAGCTGTTAATTGTACTGGGGAACCACATATTAATACATGATGAGGGTATTCTCTTACTTTTTTCATGTTCCTCTTTTTTAATTAGGCTTTTGACAGTTTGACTATGATGTATCTAGATACTGATATATTTAAGTTTATTCTGCTTGGATTTTGTTGAGGTTTTTGTATGTTGGGAAAAAGCTGAGTGTTAGGAGGGAAACTGAGGCAGGGCTTGCATAATGACCTCTGGAAATGTGTCTAGACTTGCTGGCGCCTTGCTTCTAGCCTTCCTAGGCTCCTATTCCCATTATCTCAAGTAGCAGAACATGCTCCATATAAATGCTAAACCGTCACAGCTGTGGATCATGCGCCTGCCCTTTATGACCTCCATATTCTCACCACCTGTTTCTTTGTTGGATCACCAATAAATACCGTGGGCTCCCAGAGCTTGGGGCTTTCGCGGCCTCCATATGGTAGCGATAGCTCTCCGCTGTCCCACTTTTTTTCTACTCTCACTCTCCTTTTTTCAATCTTTTGACTTCGCTGGACTTTGGCACCCCCACGACCTGGTGTTGGGTTTGATCACCCCAACATTCCTGGCTGCCCAATAGTGGGCGGCAAAGACCCCAGTGAAAGAACGCTAGAGCAGATGAAAGCGGAGAATGCATTTTCAAAGGACGCTCGACCTCTAAAAGAAGTTCGGTGGGAAAGCTGAGCGCTTGGAAGAAGGGGGCGGGGGGAAAGGGGACAAAGTAAAAGCAAGCAAACTTTCTGCTTATCTAAATTTCTTAAGGCATTTACTATGAAGAGGGGGAGTGAAAGTTAGTACTCAGAATTTATCACTCTTCAGTGCAGTAAAACAGTTTCGTCCATAATTCTCAGAACAAGGGACTCTATGGAGTTGGATGAATGGGGGAGAACTGGCAGGGTTTTGTTACCAGTATAAACAATCGTGTAGCCCGAAAGCACAGACCACTGACAACCCGTAGCCTTCCTGTCAAATAATCGTTAACCCAGTAACCCGTGGATGGCCCAAATGCATTCCATCGGTAGAGGCAACTGCTTTGCTAACAGAAGAAAGTAGAAAAACAACTTTTAGAAGAAACCTCATTGTGAGTACACCTCACCAGAGCTATCCTAAGTGAAAGAGCAAAAAAAGTAGCTTACCCAATCCTAAAGTATGTGGCTATTCTGTTCAAAAAGGTGATTTAACATTAACCGCTGAAAACTCCCTTAACCCAGCAGGTTTCCTAACGGGATTTAAATCTTAATTACCACACAAAAGTCCGACCAGACCTAGGAGGAACTCCCTTCAGGACAGGACTATAGAAGTTTCCAGGTGATTGAGGGGGAAAAAACAAAACAGGTATTCAGTAATTGATAGGCTTTTGTGAAAGTAGTTAGAAAAATGGCCCAACAATTGGTCTGCTCAAAGGTGTGAGCTGTTTACACTCCGCCAAGCCTTAAAGTACACACAGAATCAAAACTTTCAATCCTGACTCAAGAGCTTGCCTACACCCTGTCAAACGAATTTGCATTAAGAACCGTTTATGGGAATGCATCTTGACGGGGAAGCTGGGTTGTTAGGAAATACTCAGGAACCCAGCCCAGCTCTAGAAATCACCCCTGAGCACAAAGGCAATGTCGGGCACGCTGGTAAAGGACCACTAATATCCAGCCCAGACCCATTTCTTTGTGGTCAAGAAAGGCAGGAAAAACGGGTGCAGGACTGCTACATAGGTGAGCGTAACTAATCCGATAAGCAGAGGTCCATGGGTGGTTACGCACCCTGGAAAGGAATAAGCATTAGCAACATATAGGACACTCTAGGACTTAATACTCATGGGACAATGACTAGGGGTGCTGGCAACTTTTTTTTTTTTTTTCAAATGGGAAACGTTCCCTCCAAGGCAAAGACACCCCTAAGATGAATTCTGGAGAATTTGGCCCAAAGCGTATATACCTTTTTCCCTGTCCAACTCGAAGCAAATTAAAATAGACCTAGATAAATTCTCAGATAACCCTGATGGTTATACTGATGTTTTACAGGGGTTAGGATAATCCTTTGATCTGACATGGAGAGAGATAATGTTACTGCTAGATCAGACACTAACCCCAAATTAGACAAGTGCCGCCATAGCTGCAGCCTGGGAGTCCAGCGATCTCTGGTATCTCAGGTCAATGATAAGATGATAACAGAGGAAAGAGAACAATTCCCTACAGGCCAGGAGGCAGTTCCCAGTGTAGACCCTCATTGGGACGCAGAAGCAGAACATGGAGATTGGTGCCGCAGACATGTAACTTGCTTGCTAGGACTAAGGAAAACTAGGAAGCCTATAAATTATTCAATGATGTCCACTATAACACAGGGAGAGAAAGAAAATCCTACCGCCTCTGGAGAGATGAAGGGGAGGCATTGAGAAAGCATACCTCTTGTTCACCTGACTCTATTGAAGGCCAACTAAATCTTAAATGGTGTTTATCTCTCGGTCAGCTGCAGATCTTTTGTAATAGAGATGAGGAGCAGGCTGAATGGGACAAACAGGATTTAAAAAACACTGCTTTAGTTACGGCCCTCAGGCAAGTGAACTTTGGAGGCTCTGGAAAAGGAAAAGGCTGGGAAAATCGAATGCCTAATAGGGCTTGCTTCCAGTGCGGTCTGCAAAGACACTTTAAAAAAGATTGTCCGAATAGAAATAAGCTGCCGCTTCGTCCATGCCGCTTATGTCAAGGGAGTCACTGGAAGACCCACTGCCCCAGGGGACAAAGGTCCTTTGAGTCAGAAGCCACTAATCAGATGATATAGCAGCAGGACTGAGGGTGCCCGAGCCAAGCGCCAGCCCATGCCATCACCCTCATGGAGCCCCGGGTATGTTTGATCATTGAAGGCCAGGAGGTTAACTGTCTCGTGGACAGTGGCGCAGCCTTCTCAGTCTTACTGTCCTGTCCCGGACAACTGTCCTCCAGATCTGTCACTATCTTGAGGGGTCCTAGGACGGGCAGTCACTAGATACTTCTCCCAGCCACTAAGTTGTGACTGGCGAACTTGACTTTCCACATGCCTTTCTAATTATGCGTGAAAGCACCACTCCTTTGTTAGGGAGAGACATCCTAGCTAAAGCAGGGGCCATTATACACTAGAATTAGGAGAAGGAAAAAGGGTAAATATACATACAGACTCTGAGTATGCTTACCTAGTCCTCCATGCCCACGCAGCAATATGGAGAGAAAGGGAATTCCTAACTTCTGAGGGAACACCTATCACACATCAGGAAGCCATTAATTCTCCTTACCTCTGAGTCTACTTCCTCCGATCCCTGCCTAAAGATAATTCTATGCGGGAAAAGGATTTGCTTGTCTCTCCAGGTGACAATCAGTTGCCTATGTGGGTGCCCACCAAACATCTGAAGATCTATCATGGGCCACAGCATTTAGTGGAACCACCTGTACAGTGTGAATTGAAGGTTTGAGAAGCCTCGATTTGCTTTCTCTATGCCTTCTGTTAATCAGAAAAGGCCTGTTTATCATTATCGGTGGCCTCCCGGCTACAGCCACAGAAGTTTTTGCTTCTGTTTCGGTACATTTACTAACGGGCGGCGGTGGAGGGTATGCTTGTTTTTGCAAGAGATGAACGAACCTTGTGGATGCCTCAAGATGAGTACAACCATGGAACGGGAGACTGGAGGGGGACCCATGGATCCCAACCATGGACCAGGTTTCCCGAGTACGAGCCATGAGACAGTTGAATGTGAATACGAAGATGGAATGAGGACCGACCTGAGTCACAATGCTTAATGGACCAATGCTTCCTGACTCATCTCTCTACCCTGAATACAAGAGACCCTAACAGTTACGCAGGAATATCATCGCCCCTATTCAGCATGAAGTTACAGAAGACGGACCTTCATCCTTCTGCAACCCCTAGGATTAAGGGTCCCCTTGTAAAAGGGAAAGGGGGGAGGTATGTAGGAAGCATTCAAACCAGAGTGACTCCAGTTTGAATTGAATAAGGGCTAAGAAAGAAAGAAGGTGGGTCACTGACCAGCAATTAAGAGCTGCACAGCATGCAATTGCCTTGCTCAATTAAGAGGCCACCTCTTAAGCTAGTAATGATAGTAATATCATCTTTTACAAAAAAGGGGGGGCATGTTGGGGTAAAAAGCTGAGTTATGAGGGGGAAACTGAGGTAGGGCTTGCATAATGTCCTCTGGAATGTGTCTAGCCCTCCTAGCCCTCCTAGGCTCCTAGCCCTCCTAGGCTCCTAGCCCTCCTAGGCTCCTAGCCCTCCTAGGCTCCTAGCCCTCCTAGGCTCCTAGCCCTCCTAGGCTCCTAGCCCTCCTAGGCTCCTATTCCCATTATCTCAAGTAGCACAACATGTTCCATATAAATGCTAAACCATCACAGCTGTAGATAATGTGCCTGCCCTTTTGACCTCCACATTCTCACCACCTGTTTCTTTGTTCGATTACCAATAAATACCGTGGACTCCCAGAGTTCAGGGCCTTCGCAGCCTACATATGATAGTTATGGCCCTCTGCTGTCCTACCTTTTTCTCACTGTCTTTGTCTCAATCCTTTGACTCCACCAGACATTGTCACCCCCATGACCTGGTGTTGGGTCTGATCACCACAACACTTATGTGCAAATTTATGTTTATATCATTTAAGACATTTCAGCCGTTGTTTCTTTGAATATGTGTCCTGCTCCCTTCTCCTTACTACTACTGGCACTTCCTGAAGTGTACCACCATATGTACCATATCCATTAGGCACATGGTGGTGCACTTGACCTGAGGCTCTGCTTTTTTTTATTCATAAGTTTTTCTTTGTATTCCTCAGGCTAATCTCTATTGTACTATTGCCATATTTGCTATTTATTTTTACTATATCAAATCTGCTGTTAGCCCAACTGGGAAATTTTTTATAGCAGTTTCTGTACCTTACAATTCCAGAATTGCTATTTTAACCTATCTTGTAATTTCTATTTTATTGATCTCTAGACAGATTATTCTTTAAACAGTTTTCTTGATTTATCTAAACATTTAACATAGCTGATTTAAATTGCTTGTCTACTTAATCCAATATCTAGACTTCTTCAGTGACCAGTTTTTTTTACTCCCGCGGAATGAATCATACTTCTGTTTCTTTGTTTCACAATTTTTTGTTGTTAGCACTGGATATTTAAAACAACTTAATGTGACAACTCTGGAAATCAGATTTTTTACTTCCTCTCCAAGTTGCTGTTTGCCTGAAGATTTTCCTGAAATAATTCCATAAAGTCTGTCATGTGTGGCCAACTAATACACCTGCTCAATTCAGTAGTTTTCCACTTGGGTTTCTATAACAATACCTGAGGGTAATTTATTATAAACAATTTATTGCTCACTGTGGAGGCTAGAAAATCCAAGATCTAGATAGCATCTAGAATCAAAGATAGCACCTTCTAGATGTGTCATCACATGGAAAAATGGGTGAAAATACGTCTCTTAGACCTGTTTTATTTTTGGGACAGGGTCTCACTCTGTCACCCAAGCTGGAGTGCAGTGGTGCAATCTTGGCTCACTGCAACCTCCGCTTCCCAGGTTCAAGTGATTCTCCTGCCTCAGCCTCCAGAGTAGCTGGAATTATCAGTGCCCACCACCACGCCTGACTAAATTTTTGTATTTTTAATAGAGACGGGGTTTCACTATGTTGGCCAGGCTGGTCTCGAACCCCTGACCTTGTGATCCACCTGCCTTGGCCTCCCACAGTGCTGGGATTATAGGCGTGAGCCACCACACCTGGCATCTTAGACCTCTTTTATAAGGGCACACATTTCATTCATGAGGACACAGCTCTTATAATCTAATCAACTTCCAAAGGCCCCAATTCTTAATACCATTACTTTAGGGAATAGGTTTAACATATATGAATTTTCAGTGGACATATATTTACACCATAGCTGTAGTCATCCCAATGATTGAACTAATCCTTAGAACTTGTAAATCCATTGGCCTTTGCTGCAGAGACATTCACACACATACTAATATATATATATACACACACAACAAGCATACATATGTTGGAGAACACTTTTAACACTTTGACAGTTTTACAACCCTGTCTAAACATTCATCTCCTTGTGAAGAGCCTCAAAGTCAACAGAAGGATGGGAGATTATGATCTTCTGAGGTCTTTTATGAGCATGTGTGCAATTCTGTACTCTTGTGTGACCTTGTACAGCTCCAGGAATATATTAGAGCTTTGCAAAGCCTCACATGGACAGTTCATTTTCCAGACCATGTTTGATGTTTTTGGTTAGCCTCTTATTCAACCGATTTTACCATTTCAGGCTTCTGTGTTAAATAATTGCCCTTGATTTTTTTTTCAACAATAATCTGGGTGTGAAGTTTTTTTTTTTTTTTTTTTTTTTTTTTTTTTTTTTTTTAGTGAATCCTGAGTCAGGTCAAATAGTCATTCTGTGAATGAGGCTTTCCTAGGAAGCTGACATAGGTCAACTACTGAAAAGTTTTGTGAGGTGTCACTTATTGAAAGTTCCAAACACACTATGTCCTCTCGGCTGAGAGAAATACTAGCTGCTAGGTTTCTAGTATTTAGTTAACTTGGTTGCAGTTCTACTGATAACCAAGGTATCCGTGGAGCTTGGAGGGAAGGGAACCACTTAAATGCCAGCAAACTTTGTTATACCGAGATTCAGCTGTTCTTTTTTTTTTTCTTTTTTGCTTTTCTTTTTTTAAATCTTCTAGGACTGTTGTAAGACATTGGTAAATTTCCAAAGTTTGACAAAGCTCATATAGACAATACTTGGCAGTATTTTTGTTGCTGTTATGGAAAAGCGAATTGTTAACTCCATTCTGAAAATGCTTCTCAACTTTATACTTTAACAGAATCTTTCAACTAATATATCCCCTATACTGTTTTAAATACAATGTATTTTCTGTATAATTCCTAAAGTATATGCTATTTTAAGGCAATTTATTCCAACCATTATATGCTAGTGATATCTGTTACAGTAAAGTGAGAGAGGACAAGATATAAATCATTGATATATCTGTTTCAGCATGGAATCTAAGAAATATCAACTATGCTTCATTGGTTTGAGTATTCCAGTTCTCCAGCAATAAGAAAAAGGCTGTTAATACTGAACAACTGTTTCCATCTCCTCTTGGAATGATAATTTAAAAAATGTGCTCCCAAAGTGAAAAGCACTACTTTTTAAAGATTGCATTGTGAGACTGAAATGAGTTGTTACACCAAAATTAATAGCATGAAAGAAATGCATACATGTTTTTTAGAAGGAAGTAGGAGAGCACATATTGAGAGTTGAGGACAACATACACTCCACCAGAATTCAGGCCTGGCGCCAGAAAAATGAATTTCATCATTTGCTGCAGCTGTGTGCCACACATATCACCTCGACTGTTTCTCATTGGATTATTTCTCGGCAATCTTTAAAAAAAATTATCAATATTTAACCAAACAGACGACATCCATTTTCTCAATTCTGTCTCCTAATTACTTTCACCCTTAATAAATGGCACACAAAAATGCCTTAAGGCTATAAATCTGTAAGCACTAGATGATGTAGTAGTTCTGAATAATCTAATGTACTGGGCAGTGACTGCATTAAGGAATCGGAAAAAGATTAGGGCACAGATTGGAGGGCTTTATATCCATGTCTATCTGCATAATTATTAAATATTCTACTCATGAACTTCAAGGGACTTCTAAAAATTTAAATTAATGATTCATATCTTAAATGTAGTTGCTTTGTAATAATATAGCTAAAGCAGATGAAGAGAGAGCCTAAAAATAGGGACTTTTGTCTACATGGCTATAGGCAAATAAGCATTATTGTTTTTCTTGTTATCAAGAATAATAGCAGTTTGGGTGTAGAGTAAATTTTGAGTTAAATGTAACTGACTTCAATACAGTAAAATTTGAACAAAAATGGCTAAAAACACGAGAAAAATGGGGAGTGCTCAAGAAATATTTAGCAAACACCTATCACATGGAGGATGAAGGAGAATGGCATGATTCCTATCTTTGGGGGATAAATTTGGAGTAGAATACAACATATAAATTTGCCCCTCCAAGGTAGTCTCATTTGAAGACAACTTGATATAACCAATGGGTTATACATGTGACAATTATTGCATTCTTCTTCCTCCCTTAATGTTCCACCTGCGATTCACTTCCTGTCAACTGTACACTGTCCAGGGATGGACATAAAGTACTTTAAAATAAGCAAATAAGTAGTGACATGGATGGAACTGGAGGCTATTAAGAGCAATAACTCAAACAGAGTAAAAAGCCACACGTTCTCATTAACAAGTAGGAGCTAAACAATAGGTACACATGGACATACAGAATGGAATAATAGACATTGGAGACTCCAATTAGGAGTGTAGGAAGGGGGGCTGAGAGATGAAATATTACCTATTGGGTGCAATATACACTATTTCAGTCATGGGTACATTAAAAGCCCAGACTTTACCACTATGCAATATATCCACTGTATTAGTCTGTTCTCACACTGCTGATAAAGACATACCCAAGACTGGGTAATTCATAAAGAAAAAGAGGTTTCATGGACTCAGAGCTCCATGTGGCTGTGGAGGCCTCACAATCATGGTGGAAGGTGAGAGGCCACGTCTTACATGGAGGCAGCCAAGAAAGAATGAGAGCCAAGTGAAAGAGGAAAGCTCTTATAAAATCATCAGATCTCTTGAGACTCACTACCACGAGAACAGTATGGGGGGAACCACCCTCATGATTCCATATCTTGCACCACATACCCCCCCACAACACATGGGAATTATAGAAGCTACAATTCGGATGAGATTTGGATAGGAACACAGCCAAACCATATCATCCGCTAACACAACCACACTTGTAATTCTAAATATATAAAAATAATTTTTAAAATGAATATCAAGTATTACAAAATACCAACAAAACTACAGAATAAAAATTATTTATAGATTTAGAAAATAAGTGATAAATCTGATAAAGTATATTAAATCCTGAAAGTAGATATCAGATTGCAGAAAGAAGGGTGTGAATTTTAAAAAACACTGCAGAGATCATATAGAATGATTATTTTGGAAAACTTAACTGACAGATAAAGAATATGATATTTTGGGTAAGTTAAAGGGGTTAATAAAAGACAATCCAGGCAGCCTAAGCTATAAAGAGTGCAGCCATGCACCCTCTGCAAATCAATACATCAGATAATGGTAGGTAGTTGGGGATTTTTTGACTATTATGAGTTAAAAGATAAGAAATTTTAAGTTGCTTTATTGTGGACAGTTAGATCAATAGGTGCAGGTCATGTAAAAATACACTTGAATCTATTCTCGTATGAACTTAAAACTATTCAAAAATATAACGTGGCATTGCGAGAGAATGTTGCTTTCAGAAGGAGATAACATGACCTCAGGATCAGGTCATGACATTAACTGCAGTACAACTTTAATGCAACTTTCCTAGGCCTCAGATTTCTCCCTTGTGAAATTAAGATTGTTTAAAAATGAGTAATTATAATCCATGTGAAATCTCTCAGCAAAATTACTGACATATAGCAGGCAATTTGATAAACGTAGGCAATTGATACTTTGCCTCTTGCAAAGATTTTCAGTGAAAGTGCCAACTTGAGCTGTGTTGTTATGGATGGTAGAGAAGAGATTAAGGTGGACGACGTAAAATGGTCGCTTCAAACTTTAATATCTTATGACTCCTTTAGATGAAGTATCTAACATCCCAGAGACTTGCACACTGGCAAAAGACAGAGCTAACACTGGAACAAAGAACTATTGATCCGGAATGCATGCTCCTTTCGAATCATCATATCTAGGCTGTATACAAAGATGTTGTTCAGAGCAGATTGACAGTGAATTCTTTCAACAAAAAAGATCACAGTAGCTTAATTGATGAGCAAAGTTAGTCACCTTACTAGAAGGAACATTTTTGTTGAACTAAAACTGGAAAAATTGTTGTATTTTTAAAACGAATATTTTTTTTTGAAAATAAAGATCATGGATGTTATATAGTTCTTTCCAAAACTTAATAGTTTAATTATATGAACCTTTTTTCAGATTTATTAGGGATTTGGGACAGAAAAACATTTTTAAAAGGAGCAGGATTGAATGATGCTTTTGTTTCCATCTTCCTCCTCCTGCATATATATTATATATATATATACACACATGTACATATACACACACACACAAATACATATACACATATCTATACATGTATGTGTATGTGTACATGTGTGTGTGCATGTGTGTGTTAAATTTTAATTTACTGTTTTATGTAGTTTTCCAAAATTTGTAAGTCAGAAAGCTGGCTGGTTATGATAATTCTTGGGTATTTGATGATCTTTAGGTCCTTCAGTTATTGAGTATAATAATATGCCTTCATCCCGAGGATGAGGTCTTACGTTAAATGGCTTTGCAGCATTATCAGCTAGGGATTTTATGAACCTTCTTCTGAAAAATAGATTTAGAGCTTTCACCTAATAATTCAAATATAAAAGCACACAATCTTCAAGGAAAGATTTTTAAAATGCAAATACCCCACAGCAGTGGATCATGCAAAAAATGGACTACTCTGCAATGTTTGAATCCTTCTGCAAAGCAAAGCAGATTTCAGCCTGTGGGCTTTGATTTTTACCCTTCAACCATAGAACCCAGTCTACAATTACTTGTTACATGTGATATCTAGTTTCCAGTCACTAGTTAGGGATGGAAGTGATCAAAAAGAGAAATAATGCACATGGAGAAAAGAAGAGAGTTCAGGACAAAGAATCACCAGCATTTTGATGTTTAATAAAGGAGGAGATAGAAAAGGAAATGGACAAAAGGGTGAATATGACAGTTTGTTAATAAGGTGAAAGTGAGCAGCTGTCAAATGCTGATGAAAGATCAAATTGTACCAGGATTGAAATACATATATTGAATGGTAAAATGCACAGAAGTGTTGACAACATCAGAGTGGTTAGGTGGTAGGTAGTAGGAACTAGGAACTGATTTGGAAGTGAAGCCTGAAAAATAGTTACGGAAGTAAAGGCACCCGGTTAGGCGAATTTAATTCACGAAATTTGACTAGACAAGTTGATAGAGAAAAGACTGGAAAAACGACAGAGGGTTTAAAGAGGGTATTTTGTTTTGCTAAATGTTATTGGGAAAGGCAAGACCACATTTAAATAAGGATAGAAAACATTTTCATATGAAGAGAAAGATTGAAGAACGAGCAAAGAAAGTCTATAAGACACTTCAGTCAACACATCTTTAAGAAAATTTATAAGGCTTTTTGCTTTGCAGTGGAACAAGATTCCTGAAAAGATGGGAAAAAAAACTTACCACACATTAGAAAAAGTTAGTGAGAAATGGAGGAAAACTCTTAAAAAGACAGAAGAAGATTGGTGTCGGAGTTAAGGAAGAAACCAACTGATGACTTTAATTTCTCTGAACTATGACATGGACACAGTGTATTAACACAGAAGGAGTGTGAAGGAGAGCTTGAAGGTTTGAGGAGAGAAGCAAACATCTTAGATGGTTGATGAAAAACTATGAAAGCACATGATTTCTAGAACAAGGCGGCCTGGCAGCTTTGAGGTTTCATATGTGAATTTGTTTGTGGTTGGTGGTCATGAATTGATTGTGAAAACAATCTGTCCAGTTGTGGTTCTTCTGACCAACATTGCATTCGGAAGTGTGAGACGGAGCTGTGGGAGCAGAACGCAAGTGTCAGAGGATTAAGGGGTCTGTAAGACAGTAGCAGTTCTGATGGACCAGGAAATGCACAGTGAATAGGAAGGACATAAAGCCAGGAGGAGGCTGCATGATTCATAACTGGAGACCAAAATAAATTTAAGACCTTCTATGAATTTCAACATTTTTTTGTGTAAAGGATGGGAAGCTGCAGTCAGAGAGGGATAGGAGACTTGTTGATTTCAGGAGTGGAGCTGAGTAATATGTGCACTGTACTTTATTCAAAGTTGTCACAAGAATATCGTTAAAGATGAATAGGAAGAATTATCAATAGTTGAGGCTTTAGAAAGTTCAAGTCCCCTAGGATACTGGAAGAAGATGATGAAAAAATATGAAGCCAGATACTACAGAAACGAAAATGAATAACCAAGAGATAGGTGCAAAAAGATAATGAAAAGAGGGGAAGATGATGTAGTTGGGTAGTATAAACCTTGAAGGAGGAGCAGCATTGTTTTTCTAAGTTTATTTTTAATATAGAAAACAATTTCCTGGAAGGCATGTGGGAGTGAACAAGGAACTGACCTCACCTTCTGATCATAAAATGTGTGGAAAAAAATGGATGCATTTGAAACTGGAAGGAAATATTGATACAACGCTAACCAAACTACTTAGTTCTGCAGGGAGGATGGTTGATTTAAGAAATTGGTGTTAAGTAGATAAATGCAAAGCCACACACATAAAATATATTTCCTCTTATATCTGTCTGTAATTGCTGTGACCATTATATTTACCACTTATCGAGTATGTATTATGTGTCAGACATATTGCACATATTAAATCATTTAACTCTCACAAGAGAACTTGGAGGTGGTTCTTTTTATATTTTCAGAGAAGGGATATAAACCTCAGAATTTAAGTAGTTCTCCAGAGTCACTCAACAAGTACATATTATTCTAAGGCCCAAACTTAGGTGTGTTGAACATAATTCAACCTGAAGCCAACTTAACCATTCTGAGAATCAGTTTCCTCATCTGTAAAATTGGGACAAATTAACACCATCATCAGGGGGTAATATAAAAAGACAAATTATTTAGAACTCTGAGAAGCACACATTAAATGGGGAATATATGTTAGCAGAAATATAAACTGTCTCAATCAATTTTTAAAATTTGTACCTGGTTGCGTAAGACACAGGCTAAGACTTTCATTTTGGAAGCAAAAAAATACAATACACACTTACTTCTGATAAGTAGAAAGATAGCCTTAAAACAATAGCTAAGTTGAGAGAAAGGGGAAATAACACCTGCCATCCAAATTTATTTTTAAAATGTATTGGAAAGAACTGTCAAATTAAGAGATCAGTAATTTCAAGATTCTTTCATAATGGAAGCTTTTACTCTGTTAAAATACTGATGAGGAAGCATCACATTTTATAAATACAGCTGGGCCATCTGTGCAACCTAGGAAAAAAATTGACCAGCATTAATGGCATCCTTGCATCTGCCACATTCATGAGTGTGAAGGTAGTAGGGCAAGAGCAAAAATGGGTGGACCTGGCTGACAATGATTAAGTAAAATGCTGGAGTAATAGAGTATGATTGAGTATAACCACAATGAATCACTATGCCTGAATAGACTTTCATATCACTGAAGAGGACAACGTACACTTTGACATGGATGAGAGCCGACTGCCTTTGAGGAGAAAGGCGGGGGCGCACCTTACGTGACTCGTAAAGTGACTGTGTGCCAAGTGAAAGATGAGTTGAGGCTAGCGGGAGGATGCAATAACTAGGTTGCACTTGATGAAAATAAATAATGCTGAATGGGAGCAATTATTAGCAATTACGTTTCTGTTAACACAAATTCCATTGTTTGAAATTTAATTAAGGTTTTTCTGGAGGCAATAGAATTGTATTTGAACCATGGAGCCCTCCTCCATGTTTCTGATGCAGCTTTTATGAGCCCAGATAGCAGTGAGCTGAGATCATGTTAGGAGAGGTGTATATGTCCCAGTTAATCTTATATGACACCTGTTATTTTATTACTGTTTCATCAGCTTTGCTGTAGGCCTGTGATACAGAAGCTTTCTTCACATGTCAAATACGTCCTGCCTTTGTTACACTTGACAAGCTGGATGTCATAAAGTCACAGCTCTCAGTATTCTAGGAATGGTAAAGCAAAAAAAAAAAAAAAAATTCCTGCAATATCCAGATGATTGTCTAAAACTTAGTGACTGAGAATTGGGATGTAAATGGGGAGGGTACTACCCCAAAGTGGAGCAACCTCTTCTAGCCTGTCCCCCACTCATCCTCTTTAGCTGACCAATGAAAAGACAGTGAATGGGAGAGCAGAAGAAATAAGGGTAGGATATTCTGTCAATGCAGAGCTGGCTGCGGCTGCTCCAGTGGTAGTTTTTTACCTGCTGAGGTACTTTACGAATCTAAAGTTGTTCAGAACCAAGGCAATATTCTGGGTCTCCAACTAACAGGCATTTCAACTTTCTAATACACATTCTTTTTTTATTTCATAGAAAAAGAAAAATATCAATTCTCAGTTGTCTTATTGCCTTTTTTTCCTGTCAGGTTTCTGGAAAACTAAAATGGGAAAAAGCTGCACAGATGCCTGCTTTTTTTTATGATAAATGAACAAAGCAAAGATGGCAAGAAAGTTCTACCTTGTAGTGAGTATTTGACCAAGAAAGATTTTGGTTATGTACTTCTTGAGTAGTCTAGGCATCAAAAGTCACGTATTAAAGTGTTGACAAAGAAAATACCATGCAGCCTCAGCTGCAATTACACTAACAGAGACAACATTTAGACCAAAAGGTGTAAAGTACGGAGCCTGACAGCTGTGTACTTATGGGAAAGGAGTAAACAGAACTGTCCTGGAAAATTATTGGTCATTTTAGTCATGCTGCATACCAAAGTCTAAAATAACAAAAGTAATTAAATTTATTTATTTATTTTTGCCCTTGGCCTTTGGAAAGCAGCCAATGAGCACCTTTCTGAAGTTAATCTTTTGACCGTGTCTTTTAAAAGACTTAACTCTAAAATTATGGCCTGCACTGGAAATACTAGGCCCTGTTTCCTAGATGATGAGATGACAGATCTATGTGAAAATCTTTGGAAATGTGAGAACAGAAGACACTTTTCTTTCCACTTTTGAAAGAAATTAACTCGTTTGTTATTGTTGAACATGTCTCCGAAAGCTACATATGGCTTACAAGTTTAGAGGCAAGAGTCCTCAAAAAAATAGACATCAAACAAAAACCGCTGTAAAGAGAGCCACAGTGGTTTTGCATCAGCTATAAGACTTATTCAAATGCATAATGATACCTTTTAGAGGCATTTCTTACAAATGACCTCATAAGTAAAGCCCCATGTAAAAATATTACAGAAAATGTCATGAAGGGAAGTGACAGATTTTATGAATTGCCTGTGGGAAAAATGAAGTATCGTTTTGTTATGAAGTAATTGAGGGTGCTCAGAAAAACATAAAATCATTTGTATTGAGAAAGATCCAGAGATGTTTTAAAGGTATCTTTTTAAAATGAACATAAATCATAACAATAGGACAATCTGTCAATGGAATCTAAAATTATAATTTTAGGTAAAGGAAATTAAGCATCAGAAGGCAGAGCAGGTGCTAGTGTGTGTGTGTGTGTGTGTGTCAAAAATTACATTAAAACTTCCAATACATGAGGAAATAGTCATCCAAATCCAAATGGCATTACTTTGTTAGTATTAGTTTCCTCTGTCACTGCCTTTTTTGTAAAACTCGAAACCTATTTCCTATTGGATATAATCAGTTACTAATAAGAATTAGGAATTGTTATTGTTATTCAAGGTGAGAAACCATTAGAAAGTTATTTTATTTTCTTATGAAATAAAATGAGCCCCTCATCAGTTTCCTGAATTCCTATATTCATGGAAGTGTTAGAGATTTTAAGTGCCTATCCATTTACTTTCTTCTGCAGAGTGCTAGTCGTTATCAATATGTAACTTTAACAAAAGGCTTACTGTATACCAAATACGCTAAACAAAAAAAAAAAAAACTTCACATGCATTTTTTTCATTTTAGTCTCTCAACAGCCCCAAGACTATACACTATTTTGTACTTATTTTGCAGATATAGAATCCGATGCTTAGAAATGGTGAGTTATTTGCCTGAAGCTTTGTAACAACTCAGGTATGCGATTCCAGAGCTCATGTTTTTGATCACTATAATTTTCTTCCAAATATAATGGACCCTAAGTTTTTTTGTTTTTCATTTATTTGTATTAAGCAGAGCTTTCCCTTCACTACTGTTGGGTCATGGTTAGGAACCATATCTACCTCTTGGTTCCATAAGAAGGGTTCACATTTGACCTGGCTCTTTTCTCTTGATTTTTCCAGTAGTAGCTACTGAGTGCTCCAGTAGACACTTTCTTCTAAGAGGCCATCTGCCTGTATATTCGAAGAGAGGAAACAGGGAACCCTCTCTGCCCACTGTCACCAAACACAAAGTGGGGAGAAATACATATTCTTTTCTAAAAATTTGGCAAGGCTCTCCCCTTAGGACTAACTAGCCTATTATTTTTACTCTTGCCTTGTGCCTTTTTTTTCTCCAAGGGCGCTCGGAGTCACTGCAAGTGTTTCGACCCTGTCATCCTCATGGATTTCGCTTTTTCCTGGGAGCAGATGTTCTGGAACATCTTGGTTGTGTCCCTGTACTGTGATTCTGCCCTGGCTATGGCACACTAACCATTGCTACAAATGCTAGGTCTTCCATGACCGAGTTTTTCTTGGCAGCCACAGCAACACCCATATCACATATGCTGACACAACTGTCAGTTTCTAAAGTTTAGTCAGTGATCATCAGGGATGATCTGTCATATTTTCTTTCAACACAAAACTTCTAGGGAAGCTTATTTGGACAGTAGAGGCTGACAATATTTTATGTCTTACAGAAACGTTAGATGTCTCTTGTGAGAAACAAGTTTGGCACAAGTAAATCTGCAAAAACTTTATTATTTGGCCACCATTCTTATTACTAACTTCTCACGCCTCAGTATAACTTCATACTAGTACCTTTTCCCTGAAGGAATGAGAAAGAGTTCAGAAGTGTATTATATTCTATTTAAATTTAAATATAAGTCAATCATATCAAATTAAAATATATCCGTATTCATAACCAGAATTGCCACTTACATTCAGGCTTGAAAGCTTCTATAAAGCTCCAATATTTTTCTTTGCACAAGTTTCAATTCTAATGCCTCAATTTTAATTAAAATAGAAAATGTTAAATGCTTAAGCCGTAGATATGACAAAAGTATGAAAAGACTCTACCTATATATCTTTCTATATACATATACAAATATAAACCACAGCCATATGTATGTATGGTTCTTTTGTGCATATGCCTATATATAAATGTGTATGTATATCAGAATTATATAAACATGCATATATAAAAATATATACATTTTGAAAACACATATTATATACATTGAGTAGCATACAAAGTCATATGTTCCTCTTTGTCTCCCTTCCCTCATTTCAGAGATGAAAGCTCAATATTTGTAGAGTCTTTAAGCAAATTATCAACTCAGTTTTCACTTTTGTTGACTCTGTTTTGGGGGTTTTAACATATTGTTAGCCAATGCAAAATATATGGGAATTGGAATAACTTCATAATTAAATAAATTGCAATGCTTGTAATCTATACAATAAGTCGTGTTTTCCAGTCTGTGGTGCCCTTTCCATTCTCTGCATGATATTCCTGTCTAAAAGGCACTAATAGAGACATTCTGATCTTGAAAAGAAAAGTAAGGAAAATCAACATCTAAAACTCAGAAAAGTCCTGGGTAGTAAAAGGTCTTTGTTCTGCAGAGTGTTCTCCCACAGAGGAACAGAATTTTCTTTTAGCTTTTGCATTTGACTCCCAGGCTCTGAAATATAATAATCAAAGCTCTTTGTTACCTTATGTTGAATCTCCTGTACATGAAATCTTATTAGGCAAAAAAAAAAAAAAAAAAAAAAATTCTTGCCCCTAAATAATTTTATGAAAGCTTGAACATTTGCCAGTTAAAAATATCTTTTTGTATTATGATGTTATAAGCAACTGCTGATAGGCCACTGGGATAATTAGAGAAGACTAAAGGATATCTAATGAGTTTTGCAGGGTGCATTTCAGAATGTATTATATATTATCATGTGCTTCTGACAATTTTATCTTTCTCTCCCTAGATGGCAAGATATCCCGGTGTTGTAATGCTTAAATTAGAGATCCAAGGCAATTATGAAACCAAGAAAAAAATTTTTTTTTTTCAAACTTTTTGTTAGGAGGGGTGAAGGCTTCTTCCTCTGTCAGGCTTCTCTGGGGCCTTAGATTCTTCCTCAGGGAAAGATCAGTATAAACCAATCAATAGCTCATCTTAAGGGAAGATGAATTTTACCTTCTCAGGGAATGAAAATGACCTTATAGTTAAATGAAAAGAAACATAAGCAATGCTCTTGGAAGTCTTTCTGTATTTATTATGTTCCTTGATTATCTGCCCCAGCTTCTGTGAGGATGGAGGCAGGCATTTCAAGCTAGATCACTCAGCCTAGATCCTTCTCCTGTAGATCCTTGAACAACTCAAACAAAACTAAAAACGTGATACTCTCCAGCAAAAGCTTTGACGAAAAATCTGCTGAGTGAACTCTGCGGGGAGATGCTGAGCTAGGAGCAAAGCAATAGGAAAGTTGTGGAAGACATTTGTGGTTGTCCCACACTATCATCGGTAGGAACAAGCAAAGGAAAAGGAGGGCTTCTTGTTACTTTCTTGGAGTAAAAAGATAGTACTGTTTTTGCTTTTCTTTCTCTTTTAGTCCCCACTATCATTCAAGAAGTAGTCAAGCAGTTTGTCATGGAGCATGAACTCTGGAGGAGTTCGAACATTTGTGTGAAATTTCAATCTAGGGGTGATAAGAACAGAATGAGAAAG
The DNA here is from genome assembly GCF_000001405.40 of Homo sapiens. Lineage (NCBI taxonomy): Eukaryota > Metazoa > Chordata > Mammalia > Primates > Hominidae > Homo > Homo sapiens. The sequence continues at coordinate 9,035,196 of NC_000007.14, forward strand.
GTTAGCTGGCGGTAGGGAAAAAGTGGATACACACTATTGTGATCAATTCCTTGTAGCTCATGTAAAAGACACCTGTTTCTGGAATAGCAGTCCAGGTAAAATTGTAGCATCAATATCCATAAGCTTTAGTAGCTTCAAGTGCAGAAATGAAACATCACTCTCAAGCAGGTAGCATCTCTAGGAGCTGCATGCCTTAGGGCACAGATGAGCAAACTATGACCCAGAGGCGAAATTTGGGAAGCTGTCTGTTGTGTTCAGTAGAGTTTTATTGGAACACAGCCCCACTCATTCTTTCTGTACTGTCTCTGGCATCATGTAGAACATTGCCTACTTTCATAGTTGGCTATGAGGCTTTTGTACTGCAAGGACAAAGTTGAGTAGTTGTGTCAGAAACCTTATGACCCATAAAACCTAAAATATTTAATTATGCTGTTTACAGAAAAGGTTGTCAGATGACTGCCTTGAAAGTCATGGTAGTCTCATGCTCTCTGTTGTATCAAGTAAACCAGAAGCAACCCCACGGCAGACAAGGCTGTAATGGGAACAGTCAGGTGGTAGGGAATCAATCCAAGATGGATTCACTTTGGAAATACCTTTTACAATTGTCAGCCACTACTATCTTCCTTATTCTTCAAGAAAAGCCATTTCATTTATTTCCAGTAAGGAACAGTCCATATTCTTTGCTTTCTAAATTTAATTTTTGCTGAGCCTGCTTGTGATAGTAACCCACAGCAGTGCATTCATTGGTGTAAGGACCTGGTTTGACATGGTTCCAGAACATGTAAGAGGGCAGAATAATTGCTGAACCTATGCTCTTAGCTCAATGGCAGCTCAGGGATTCTGTTTCAGGGAAGATTGATCGGAAGGTTTTGTTTTAAAACTGCATTTGCATAGCAAGAACAATGCATGCCTTTTTATTAAATGATGCACGTCAACATGTTTAGCACATTTTTATTTCTAAAATTAATCTTATTTACATTCTCTGTATAATTTTCCCTGGCAAAGTGACATTGGTAATGACGGAGATTATGAGGGAGTTAAATATAGTCTAAGACACCTCTTTGGAAATACCCTTGTGCTAATTATACTCGAAACTGCTTGAACAATTTCCTTCTACTGCTCTGCACAGAATTGCACTGGCTTCAAACTCAAGATATTTAGAGTATAAAAAAGGTACCTGACAACAATTTATATCTGTAGGCTCATTCACAGTTGTCAAAGTACTTTCATATAAGCCACACTGCTGGCCTGCATGCTGCAGTGGATGTAAGATAGCAAAATTAATGTTAATTCTGCTTAATGTGCATGGAATCAGAGACTCGGAGAAGTTGCATGAATTTCCTAAGAAAAAGGACAGAGTGAAAATTGTAAGCCAAGTCTTTTTTTTAATGTGTTCTGTTTAAGGTTAAAGGCAATGAACAATACAGACCAAACAACAAACACCAACATGTATAGCTCTGCTCACCACAGCTGCACGTGACTTCTGGAGTGGATGGAGAAAATGTAGGTTACACATCAATAGCATCTGCTATAGCATATTATACTTCAATTAAACAATTTTTTATTTGTTCCCAAACACGGAAAAAACCAACAAAGCATTATACTATCCAAAATAAATAAGTTAATACATCATCTCATTTCCCTGTGACTGAATGCTTTGCCGCATGACCTGCCAAGTTTCCCAGTCCGCTGAGGACTCTAGGTGGATTTTTCTCTGTTGTCTCTAGTCTTCCATGAACCACAGTGCTGATGCAAAGCCCAGAAGTTATCATCCTGCTGGCCATGTGTTCATCAGAATTCTTACCCTTCACTGGATCTGTTAGTGATGGGCAATAACTAACCTCAAAGTAGAGAGAGATAAACCCAGAGCTTTTTAGTAGGCCTAGCTTTTAAATGTGAATAGTTAGGAAGCTCTCTTTCTCCCTCTCCTTCTATCTTCTTACATATCTAGACTCATCTATATATATGAATATAGTTAGGAAATTGTAAAATAATACTATTTAAATTGGATATGCCTCTTTTTCCTCAATGTGGAAAAATAGAACAAGTTAATTTCTATTTTATTCTCAAATTTTAAAGCAGGATTTATGCAATATTTTAGCCAGAAAACAATAAAATTTATGAGGGAAAGGTATTGTTACAGGGGGAAAAAAGTATTTTACAAGTTAAAAATTGTCTAATGCCACAATTACCCTCCACAACCCCCTTCCCGTGCATTCCTCCACGTACCTACAAATCTCACACCACTCCTATGTGTGCAAATGGTGTGGTAGAGTTCACAGTGATAGGGGAGAGAAATTGAAGATCAAGCCTTACTTAATTCTTAGCTCATTTGGACATGATAACACGGGGAGTGGAAAGAACTGATGGTCAAGAGACCCGATCATACTTCACCATTAGGTAAATAAGCTACATAGACATGGGCAATGTCGCTTACCAACTACAGGGCTTTGTTTTCCTCTTTTGTGAAATGAGAGGCCTTTATAATAGTTCTAAGTTCTCTTCCAATTCTCTGCAGTTGAATTCAAGTAAGATAGTCTCGTGGATAGTGTCTTATTCTTCTATTTCCTTTCTCCTTCACCATCTTTTCACTCTTTAGAAGGGCTAGTTAACTATCTGGGATTCTAGGTGGTTTGTGAGTAGCAGAATACCTGGAAAAGAAGTGCTTAATGTATTCATCAAAAATGTAGGCTCCTTCCTTTCTTCTTTTTCTTTGCATTGTCTGCGTCCATAGTGGAATATAATTACTGCACTTCCAGACATCAAATATGCATTTCAGGCAGTAAGAAAGAGACAGGAGAAAAATGAGAGCAGATGCTTGCTCAGGAGACAGGGACTTAAGCTTCCATCTTATTGACCAGAATTAGATCGCATGAACCCTTTCACCCCTGTAAGCTGCATGAGCACAAGGAAGTCGAATAATCCATTTTCGACTCCTCTGGTTTAAGGAAGCAAGGGGGAAAGGGATTGAAAGGGGTAATGAGAATGAGCTAACCCACAGGAAACCTGCCCTGGCTGGTATTTTGGAAAGGGTGACATCTTAACAGGACAAAGACATTATTTTGAGAATCAGTGAGAAAAATTCTTGTCTTTTCATCTTATCTCATCTTTCTTAATCAAAGAAAGTTCCCTTAAAAAATGCATTGTAGAAGAACACCAATTGTAGGTAATACATCTAAAGGATGAATTCAAGATAAAGGGTAATTTTCTGTTGCTAGTAGAAGTCTCATAAGTGGCTAGGCTAGATAATAATCTTTCAAAGGTGTTTTTACTAAGACAGTACTATCTTGGCAGATGAATGAATCCATCCACTTTCAAATGTTCTAATTATTGGGCACATAAAAATACAATAGCAATGTTATTCCAACTCTTCCCTGATTATCAAACTTATTCAGATCTATTTAGAGATACAATATAACACATTATTTTCATTACCATTAATCAACTTTTATCTGTGAATGGTGTGGCATGCTAAAGTGGATAGTTTACATCAGTTACAATAGTCAGCTCAAAAGAGGCTGGTAGTTTGAATTAAGAATGATTTACAAATTTATAAAAATAATTACATTTGCAATATTATGTTTAAAAATTATGCATTGTTTTTCGGTGAAACAAAATTCTGTATTACCATTCTTACTGGTTAAAATATTGGCCGAACCTGGCTATTGCTGGGAAAAAGAAAATGTATGAATTTCTATTTCTCAGAGAGCTACTCTTTGTGTATTTTCTCTTTCAGACATTGGATCCTGTGTGATGAAGGAATAAATTCTGTCTGAGATTTATAAATTACTTGAATGTAGACTGCTTTATTTCTCTCCTTTACATTGTATATTGGGTCAATCTCTCAATTCTGAGTAGAAAAAAAAAAAACTTATTCTGACAAATCTGAGTATCTCTTCAATGGGAAAGGAATACTGCTCATTCTGAGAAGAAAGAAACAAATGTCATTAAAAGCAACACAGTGAAGTTGTTGGCCTTTTAAAAAATATAAATTTTTATATAAAAGCAATACATCTTAAAGTATCCTTGCTTTGGTTAAAAAATAAAAACCGAAAACAGTGGAAGTGCTGCAAGCTGTGGTGGTTGCTAAAATGTGGCAACAAGTACAATGTCATAATTTCTAAATAGCTGAAATCAATCAAGGAAGTGAAATGTGAAGTTTGACATTTTTAATAAATTATACTATTTACCTTAATGCAAGTGACATAATTGAGGTAAATTAGAGGAAAGGAGCAACTGAACTGTAGCTAATTCATGTTTTAGACAGTGTTCAGTTTCCTTTAAAATGTATTCAAAATTTTTTAGCCTTCTGGATGGATAGAAGTTGGAGTCTTTATAAAATAGAGCTTATCTAGCTACTGAATTATAAAATTATTTCAAAATCTATATACTCATGACAATAACAAAGCATATGTACTTTAGATGAAAAATATTAACACATCAAAATTGTAATTGTGGACAAAAATGTCTTGAAAAAATTGCTATATGCTGAAATTCTCAGAATAGAAAGTGTATAATATACTCTCCCTGATGTTAATATTTTTCTGAAATAACAATTTTATTCATCAGGCAGGTAAACATCCATCTCCTTTTTTACATCTAAACAATATAGTTCAGGATTTCCTAAGGTTCTGAAGTTAATAAATGATGGAACCAGGACTGGAACCCCAGGTCTTACGTCACTTGTCTTGCTTTGAGTTCTTCGTATCAAGCCAATGGGCATCACATTGATCGCCATGTTAGCAGCAATGATAATAAAGATATTTCCATTTCATTAAATGTTCAAATTTGTACCAGGTACAGAGTAAAAAGTATCAAGCTACATTGTATCCTTTTTCTGTGGTGAAATTGAATTCTTCTAAAGAATCCAGCAAAATTTCTGCCTACTAAATGGCTTAATCTTCATTGAAGTGGTTTCTTTCTATAAATCATGAGCTGTTATCAGTCTATTGTAAAATATATTGCTACAATTATAGGTGACTTAAACTAACTTCTACTGAGCAGATGAATTATAATATAGGACAAAACCAAATTCAACGGCTATGAATGCCCTCGTAATCCCCTGTTCCCTTAGAGGACTAGGTAGACAGGATACTGGTAAGATTTGTAGGTGGATTCTCCTATAGGAAATTAGTGAGGTATGTTTACACTATGTGTCATGAAGCTACCTGGCCCTTCCCCATGCTGGAGTGCCAAATGTGCGAGCTCTGGGGTCTTATAGACACTGTTAGATTGGAGGCAAAATGAAGCAGGAAAGCAGGAGGGTTTTTTTGGTGAGGCTGGACTATGAGAAATTTGAAGTCTTTTGGAAAGAGTAGTACACCTGAAGTTTATTATAATAGGATAGCAAATGGCAAAAGGGAAATACAAATAATTTTATTTAATTAGAAAATGACTATTATCTTTATATAACCTAATTATGTTTAAGTTATTTTCTGGTAGATGGGTGCATTTCTTTGTTTTAATAAGCATTGCATGCATTAATACGTAAAATAATTTAAAAAGCAAATTAGATCAGGTAAGTGACCCAAAAGTTACCAATTGGATTACTTACATAGAGCAGGCTAAATCCCATGATTTTATTCTTAAGTTATTTTTCAAAAGGTATATGAATTTTTTAAATAAGCAATTTGATATCAGAACATGTTGCAGGTGACATCACATTTGAGTAAATAAATTCTATTAGATCTCATTTTGAACTGTGATTTCAGGATCATTTTTTCTAATCAATTAAATTTAAATTACTAGCATTTTAAGGGGCAGGGATATTTTTTCCTCTTATTTCGTGACCACCATTTTATTTCAGTATCTTCTTGATGTGCATTTTATTTCAATTAATCAGAATGACTATATGAAGTTCCTACTCTTGTATAACCCCTCCAACCACAGCACATACGTATAAAACTTAATCTATTTCTCTACCTCATTTATCTACCAGGCATTTAACATAGACATGTGAATAACATATAGGTCATATAGGTAACTTGATCAATAGTGATATCAAAACTGAGATTCGAGATTGAAGTGAAGTTTCTTTGGTTTTGCACATAAATCTTAAAATCATTGTATAAATTAAAGTAGATTTTCATTGTGTTCTATATGGCTAAACTGTCATCAAATTTACCTGTACAAATTGATTTCAGGGGGAAAATGGGGCAATTTTCTTCGTAAACTGAAAAATGTGAAAACTTGATGGGACTACAAGTTTTTCCATCTCATTATAAGTATTTTTAAGATTATCTTCAGACATCCACTTCTTGCAGCATAGTAGACTACATATCTTAACAAATGTCATAATAAAAATAACTGAAATATAAGCAATGATTAAAAAATTAGAGCCCCTAAATTACTTACAAATGGATCTTTAATGTCAATGCAATTGCAACAAGAAACTCAGAGTTTGATTGTACAACTTAACGAACTTATTCTGTAAATTATTTAGAAGAGAAGGAGGCAAGTATAGTTAAAGTGGTGGAAATTTCTGTATCAAAATTATAGCAATTTGCTATAATTTTTATACAAATTGCTTTAGCAATTTATTTATGAAATAATTAAAATTGTGTAATAAGGGCATAGAAATAGATACCTAGATCTGTGAAACAAAATTCAGACATATATCCACATGTATGTAGAAATAAACATATGGCAGAACTGACATTGTAGATAAGCAAATGAATTTCTTTTTTTATAAGTTTGGCTTGTACAAAGTGTTAGGAAGAAAATATAGAAATTTATATCCCTACCCCATTTCACAACCAATATTCTGTTTCAATGGATTAAAACTTAAATGTGAAACCAATTTATTAAGGAAAGATTGAATGTGAATTTCTTCTTGAACCTAGGCAGAGAATATTTTAGCTAAATAGAAAGTCTGAACTGAAAAACTGAATATAAAAATATTGAATTGATTAAAGTTAAGAGCTGTTCAGCAAAAGGCATGATAAATCAAAAGCCATATTTGAAATATGCATATTTGATGAATAAATGTCCAAAATATAATTTCTACAAATTTGAAAAGATTACTTTTAATAACTTCATTATAGGTTTATTCTTTCAATTTTTTATTAAGTACACATGAAAATGAACAATAAACAGCTGCAATGACGTCCATCCTTATTAGTAATAAGGGAAAAGCAGTTAAGTACAACTTAGATATAACTTTATATCTATCAGATTGGCTACTTACAAAAAGTCATTCAGCAGGAAGTTTGGCTGAGGATTTAGGGAATCTGAAAGGCTCATCCATTGCTGGTAGAAATCTAATCATGCATAAACACTTTAAAAAAATACTTTCATGAAATTATATTTTACAACATATATAACGTAGATTATTATCTAAATTAAATTTGAGCAATTCCATTCATACAGTTTACAAATTTAAGTATATACTTCTGTAATTGCTATGAAAATCAAAATATAGAATATGTCTATTACTCAAGAATATTCCCTCATGCTCCTTTGCAGTACATCTCTTCTCCCAATATATGCCACAACTGGCAACCAATGATCTGCTTGAAGGTACTCCTTACTTTACTAGGATTTCATGTAATTGTAATCATACAGAATATTGACTTTTGTTCCTCATGTCTTTCACATAGCATAATTCTTTCAAGATTAATTCATGTTGTTGTATATAACATTCCCTTTTATTGCTGAGTGGTATTCTAGTGTATAGATGAAGGAAAATGTGTTTATTAACTAGTTGATAGGTAATTTTAGGCAATTGGGAATAAAACTTATGTGAACATGCTAACGTTTAATTTCAGCTGTTACACTTTAGTCTGAACCATTATGAGTTAGTTTTATATGATGTGAGGGTAAGCATTGAGGTATATCTTTTCACATGTAGATATCTGATTGCATCAACTCAGTCTTCTGAAAATTGAATCCATTTCCTATTGAAATTCCGTGACACATTTGTCATTAATTGATCATGTATATGGGTATTTTTCTGGAGTGTCTATTTTTTGTTGATCTACATGCCTAGTCTTACACCAGCAACACACTGTCTTGATCACTGTAGCATTTACAGTAATTTTTGAAATGGGAAATTTATGTATTTTAACTTTTTTCACATTTCAAAATTGTTTTGTTTGTTCTAGGTCTTTATATTTCCATATCAATTCAGAATTTAGCCTGTTAATTTGTGTCAAAAAGTCTGCTGGGATATTTTTAGGAATTTTGTTTAATACGTAGATTAATTTGGAGAACTGTCATCTTAACAATGTTGAGTCTTCTGCTTCATGAACATGGTATAGCTTTCCATTTACTTAAGGCTTATTTGTTTATTTTCTGCAATGTTATACAGTTCTCCTTGTGAATATATTAGACATCTCTTGTTAAGTTTATCCCAATACATTTTATGTGTTTGGATCTATTGTTAAAGGTGTGACCTTTTTATTTAAATTTCAAATTGTTGATTGCTAGTTTGGAGAAATAGAGTTGAATTGTGCATATTGTTCTCATAACATGTGATCTTGCTATATTTACTTAATAGTTCTCAGTTTTCTTTCTTTGCCAATTTCTTGTGATTTTATGAATCAGTGAATACAGTTTTGCTGCTTCCATTCATATACGTATGTGTGTATATATGTGTATATATATACACCCATGTTTTTTTCTCCCCTTCGTATTAACGCAGTGAATAATTGAATAACAGTGATGCAAGCATACTATTTTGTTCTTGATCTTTGGTAGAAAACATTCAGTTTGACAATTAAGTATGATGTCATCTGCATGTTGTGGAAGTTCCTTTGTATGCCTAGTTTTCTGAAAGTTTTTTTTTCCTTAATTAAGAATACATAATTTTATTTAAAACAATTCTGTCAATTTGTATTATAATATGAATTTTCTTTTTAGTGTATTAATGGTAAAAATTATGTTCATTGATTTTTAAATATAAAACCAATTTGTGTTATCTGGAATAAAACCCTCTTGGGCATGCTGTGCTATCCTTTTTATGGATATCTGAATTCAATTTGCTAATATTTCTATTTTATAAATCAATTTTCACCTGTTATTTTCTTCTCAGAAAAATGTTTCACAATATCTCCCATAGTGCAGATATATTGGCAAAAAATTATCTCTATTACATTGGTGCAAAAGTAATTGCAGTTCTTGCCATTGAAGGTAATGGTAAATTACTTTTGCAACAACCTCAATTTTCCTATGTTTAAAATTCACTTTTGTTTCTAAAAGATATTTTCATAGGTAATAGCATTCTATGTTTATGAGGTTTTCTATCAACACTTTAAAGATTTTTTTGTCTTCTGGCTCATGATTTCTAAAAAGTCTTATTTATTATTTCTCTCTCACATGTAACATGCTTTTTTTTCTAGTTTCCTTATCACTGTGCTTCAGCCTTTTGAGTATGACACTTATGTGGTTTTATCTAGGTTGCTTCTCCTTGGAACTTACTAAAGTTTTTGGATCTGTGTGTTCATAGTTTTCATAAAAATTTAGTGAATTTTCTGCCATTTTTTTCAAATATTTTTCTCTTTCCTTATTTCTGGTATTCCAAATACATGTAAATTGGAATATTTAATGTTTCAGACATAATCTAGACTATCTTTATTTTCAGGCTTTTTTCCCTCTATGCTTCATTTTATATTATTTATATTGGTGTATATATATATATTCAGATTCATTAGTTTTCCTGCAAGACATAATTGGCTTTTGGTCTCATCCAGTATTTTTCATTTAGATATTGTATTTTTAAAATTTTTAAAAATTAATAAACTTTACTTTTGTAGAACACTATTTGGTTTACAGAAAATCAGAGCATAGAACACAGGGAAATTCCAAACACCCCTTTTCCCTGCAATGCAAGAAGTTTTCTCTTATTAACATTTGCATTAATGTGATATATTTGTTACAATTGGTGAAAAGATATTTACACATTATTATCTAAGGTCTAGTTTACATTAAGGCTGAATCTTTGTGTTGCATAGTTTTATGGGTTTTGACACATGCATAATGTCATGTATTTACAATTAAAATATTGCACAGAATAGTTTCATCATCCTAAAAATCCTTTCTGTTCCACTTATTTACTCGTTCTTCCTTCTTTCTTCCAAATACAGGCAACCACACATCTTTTAACTGTCTCTTTATAATTTTGTCTTTTCTAGAATGTCATATAGTAAAGTAGCCTTTTCAGACTTGCTTCTTTCACTTAATATATATCTGAGATTCCTCCATTTCCTTTTGTAGCTTGATAGCTCATTTCTTTTCATCACTAAAGTTAATATATTTTTTCAGTTTTAGAAGTTCTGGTTAGGCCATTTTTATGCACTTCATCTTCTCATTAATTTGGTTATAATCTCCCTTTACATTTTGACTATATTTGTAAGATTTATAATAAGCTTTTAATTGTCTACTTATTTTGTTAACTATTATTTCTAGATCCATTTCTATTGATGATTTTTTTTCCTGCTTATAGGTCATATTTCCTAAATTTCACTAGGCTGGCAATTTTTTTGTTATATCCTAGACATTTTGAATTTGATACTGTCGTGTGCTCTATTTTATTTCCTTAAAGATTGTTGGATTTTGTCCTGGTACAGTTAAGTAATTGGCGTATCAACTTGACATTTTTGAGGCTTGATATTTAGTTTTCTATAATGGGTCTAGAAGAACCTTTCTTATAAGACTAATTTAGGACCACTGGTAGGGTATGACCAGTCTGTGCATTCTAAACAATGACAGCTCTGGCAAGCAAGAACACAAATTAATCTCAGATTTTTTTTTTTTTTTTTTTTTTTTTTTCTCCCTTCGACAGAGTTTTGCTCTGTCGCCAGGCTGGAGTGCAGTGGTGCAATCTTGGCTCACTGCAACCTCTGCCTCCCGGGTTCAAGCGATTCTCCTGGCTCAGCCTCCCAAGTAGCTGGGACTACAGGCACACGCCACCACATCCAGCTAACTTTTTTTTTTTTTTTTTTACTTTTAGTAGAGATTGAGTTTCACCATGTTGACCCGGATGGTCTCGATCTCTTGACCTCGTGATCTGCCCGCCTCAACCTTTCAAATTGCTGGGATTACAGACGGGACCACCACACCCGGCCTAATCTCAGTTTTTATAATGATTGTGCGTTGTTTGGTCTGCTGTTTTCTCGTAGTTCTTAACCTTGACCTCAGGTAATTTCCTCTCTCATTTAGACTCAAAGGAATCAAAAAGACATATATCCTTATCTCTGAAATTCTGAGTCTACTCTAAAAATTCCAGCTGTTTGACTCTCTAAACTTGATCTACATCTCATCAACTCACTAAGATTGTTGTGCTCTGTTTTTCTTCCTCCTTCCACTGCTGTGACCTGGAATATTCCTGCAGTCAACAACTATGGCTCGCTTAATTTGTTTCCCTTCCCTCAGAGATTGTAGTATTCTGTTACCTGTTGTCAGTTGATTGAAAATTGATACTTATATATTTTCTCTGGTTTTATAGTTGCTTATGACAGATGAATAATTCCTGTGGTAGTTCATTTTTCATTGTCAAAACAAGATTTGTAAAAACATAAAACCATGTAATTCATTTGGATATATATTATGATCTAAACATTACACACTTAGGTAAATGAATTTGTACACATGAGCATGTTCATATCTTTGTTGATTTTTATTTTAATATAGAGAAATTCTAAAGCCATTAGAATGAATAAATTGTAATACAGTCACGTGATGGAATATTGCAGTTATATATTTACAAAGAAATGATAGTTACATGTAATATAGGTAAATATCAGGTATAATGTCTTATAAAAACAAAAATTTGGGCATGGTGGCTCACTCCTGTAATCCCAACACTTTGGAAGGCTGAAGTGGAAGAACTGCTTGATTCCAGGAGTATGAGACCAGCCTGGGCAAAACAGTGAGACTGTCTCTATTTTTAAAAAATTGAAAATTAGCCATGTATGGTAGTGTGCATCTATTGTCTCAGCTACTTGGGATGCTGCGGCAGAAGGATTGCTTGAGCCTGGGAGATCGGGACTGCAGTGAGCTGTGATCACACCACTGCACTCCATCCTGAGCAACAAAGACTGCCAAAAAGAAAAAAAAAAAAAATTCACAGGCCAAGCATGATGGTTCAATCCTGAAATCTCAGCACTTTTGGAGGCTGAGGTGGGCAGATCACTTGAGGTCACGAGTTTGAGACCAGCCTAGCCAACACGGTGAAACACCATCTCTACCAAAAAATACAAAAATTAGCTGGGTGGTGTTGTGGCATATAGCTGTAGTCCCAGCTACTTGAGAGGCTAAAATGGGAGGATCGTTTGAACCCGGGAGTGGAGGTTGCAGTGAGCTAAGATCATGCCACTACACACCAGCTTGGGTGACAGAGTGAGACCCTGTCTCAAACAACAACAACAAAAAAATCACAGAAGAATACAGGTTGGTTCCACTTAACAAAATTTCATAAACTTATAAAAAACAAAAAATATTTTAAGGTTATAAATGTATTTATTAAAGCTAGAAATAAGAACAAAGGGATGAAGATTCTTTTATAATTTTGATTACCTCCGAGAAGAGAGAAAAGAGCAAAGGATCTGGTGGGAGGGGGGGTGGGGGGCACATAGAGCCTCAGGTAATTGTGTTTGATTTCTTTAAATTGGAAGGTGAGTACTTAAATATTCTTCATATTCTTATTCTTTATACTCTACACAAATTTTAAGATATTACTTGTACATATTTACTAATGCTTTAATGAACAAATTAGAACCATAACATGTTGGGTTGAAGGGGTAGTATTGACAATAATAATCATGTGCTGAACATTTGCTATGTTTTGGGCGCTGTACTGGGAGCTAGGGATTCAAAAGTGAATAATTCTTGACCTCTTCCCTTAAGCAGCTCAATGCTTATTGTGAAATATAAAAACTGAATAGACTTCAAATATATAGATAATAGTAATATCAATAAGTATGATTATATGACACCTTATTTAGGAAATATGTCAGTTTCTTTACTTACACTCCTTTATATTATCTTTACACTTACCTGCACTTTAGGTAATAACTTCCTGCAGAATGAGAACCTAAATCTAAATTATTTGTCTGCATTGATGCAAAACATGAGCAATCAACTGGGGATCTGAGCCAACATGTTTCTGAGATTGAGGCCTAACCCACCTCCACAAATCCATCCCTCACAGGGAGAAATTGAGACAGGTGAGCTCATAAGTTGGCAACTCAGTTTACTTTGCTTTTTTCTATCCCGTTGTCTTGATTCTGTTCTCCTTTTACAGGAGATGGCAAAAAAGTTCTATTGAATGAGTGAACAGTGAAATAGGGAACTGGTGATACTTTTGATTTGCCTTATTTACTCATAAAGATAGGCTCCAAAATGAGACCCCCTTTCAGGAAAGAGATAAGGAAGTTTGAAATATCTCTCACTCTCTAACAAAATTAGTCTTTTAAAAAGTTATCTTAAAACTAGAGACATGTTTGCAATCTTTGAGAGGCTTTTTCCTCCCATTCCTTTTAACATTATATATAGTACAAATTCTGTATATAATTCCTCTTTGAATGTCTAGGATCCACAAAGAATATCTAATAATTGTCATCATAATATTATGGTCCTGACTAAGGGTATGCAGATGCTTAATTAGTGACTTTTATCCTGTCTTTGCAGTTTGCTGCTAATGGCCTCAAGTAAATGGGGGAGAAAGTTGCTGAAGTGTCTCAAATGCAAATGAGAAAAGCAGTACGAATCTGTCATTGTCCATATTTATACAGTTCACATTATAAGTATTTGAATTAAAGAAGCCATTTACATTTAAATTTTCAAAGGCTGTGGAAAGAAAACATTATTTATTCTACTTTTAGAAGACCTTGCCACCATATAGTTACCTTCTAATTATCTACTATGAATGTGAACTGTTTCCATAACTGTGGTATGAAACAAAACCAGCACAACTATTTTAGCAAATATCATAGAGGTAAAATTAACATTTGAAAATATGAGCTTGCATTCAAAATTCAAACTCCCTTAAAAAAGGCAGCACACATTTCCCTCATTTCAGCTATGCTGGAATGAAGCAAATATTATCAGCCAAACAAATTACCAACTCTACTGTGATTAGGAAAACCCAGTATTAAGGATGTAAGAAGATACAGATTGCTTCCAATTCTGGGAAGATGTCATAGGCATACTTTTCTCTATTGCTCCCATAAATACCAGCACATAACATAGCAGATATAATACAACCATGAAAGATAAAGAGATGAGGCAGGCTGGGTAGAGACATCAGGACACAAGGAGTGACATGGTGGTACATTCCTTGGCTTTCCTTATATATCTAAGATTGGAACTCAAGCCAGCAACTCAAACACTAATGGACACAGTTTTTGGTTTTTTTGTTTTTAAGTCCTAACAAAAGCTGCTCTCTCTAGTCAAGGAGAGGAAGAGAGGAAGCCTAGTCATGCAGTAAATGTTTAGACTGTAAACTGCTCTACTCCAAATACCACTGTAAAAACTGTTGCCATCACCCCCACCCATGCCTGCAAAGATCTAATGGAGGAGGTCTCAACTTCCAGAGAGTAATGAACTGGCTACTTCTTCCCCTTCCTGTGGATGGTGTCAGAAAAGACTGAGTAGGGAGCTGAGACTTTCATTTTCACTGAGCAGTAACAAGATCTCCATTACACTCAAGGAATCTCAGCAAAGACCATGGTGGGAGCAGGGACATAGGCTCCAGCCAGCAGTAATAAGACACCCCTTTTTCTCTCTGCCAGGGGGATACCAGAGGACAACTAGAAGAAAGGCAGAATTCTCATCAATCCCAGGAGTAACAAGACCACCCTCACCACTGTGTCTGTGGAAACCACTTGGGCGTAATAATGAAGCCTTTCTGTCCCTCCCAGCCAGGACACTATCAACAGAAGCCTAGAGAGGAGTCAGAATTTCTACCCTCATCTATTACTGGGATATTTTGGTGGTCCAGGCTGGGTGGATAATGGGCTCAACTGAAACCCAGTGGGGACCTGAATTTTACCTTTTCCTAACAGTAATGAGTTGGTGCCCTACCCCTGCCACTATTACAGCAGTGTCAGAGAAAATCAGCTAGAAACATAAGTTTTTACGTAAGATCTAGAATCTTGTAAAATAATAAATAGTATGGGTTTAAATTGATATCACTCATTATACCAAGAACCAGGAAGACCTCAAACTGAATGAAAAAAAATAATAAATTCTATGATCAAGATGACAGAGATATTATAATTATCTGAGATTTTAAAGCAGCCATCATAAAAGTGCTTCAATGAGCATTTACAAACATACTTGAATCAAAAGAAAAAATAAAGTTTTAGCAAAGAAATAAAGGCTTGACAAATAGAGAAGATATAAAGAAGAAAAAAAGGAATTCGAGAATCAAAAAATGTAGCAACCAAAATAAAAATTAAAACCAAAAACCCTCAATTATAGATGCCTATGCAAATTGAAAGAGACAGAGGAAAGAATCAGTGAACTGGAAGACAGAAAGAATAAATTACCCAGTCTGAACAATAGAGAAAAAAAGACAAAAATTGAACAGAGCCTTATAGCTCTGTGGGGCTATAATAAAAAATGTAACATTTTGTGTCATAATAATCCTGGGAGGAGAGAAGAATGAGGGAAGACTGAAAAAAGTACTCAAGGAAACAGTGCCTAATAAGTTATCAAATTTGGCAAAAGGCATAAATTTACAAATTCAGGAACCTAAGTGAACTCCAAATGCAATAGAGCCAAGAAAATATGCCAAGATACATCATAGTCAAGTATCTGGAAACTAAAGACAAAGAAAATACCATGAAATCACTGAGAGAAATATCATCATACTTATGAAAGAAAAAAAATACACCTGACAAAGAATTCCTCTTCAGAAACTTGGATGCCAGAAAAAAGTGGGACAGCATTTTCAACTGTTGAAAAGTGAGGAACTGCAACCCCAAATCCTATATCCAGTGAAAATGTCCTTCAGAAATTAAAGAGTGATCTGTTTAAGCAGATTTTTAATGTGTTTTAAAATCTTCCTCAGATAATTCTAACATCTTTTTCATATTGGTGGTGGAATTTTCTTTTCTCATTCAGACATTTTCAGATACAGAAAACCTAAGAAAATCTGTCATCAGTAGAAGACCTACCCTAAGAGTAGCTTAGGATTACATGATAAGAGAAATTTTAAATTGGGCCTAAAAACAAAAGCAAGATTTAAGTTTCAAATATTATAGACTTCTTTTTTGAGAATATTGGAACAACAACAACAACAAAATGATAGCCTCTTATCAGAGACTCAAACACCTTCCAACTCACTATTCAACATTCTCTGGGCATGGGTTTGTTATTCTCAACCCAATACGATTGGTAGTGCTAGCTCTGGTTGTCACATGCAAGTTTCAGGCAACTATACAGAGAAAGGGTGTAGATAGGCACACCTTGGAAGAATTATACATTTCTACTTCCGTATCACTGAGCTGATATGACCACACTTAGCTGCAAGACAGGCTGGCTACTATGGTCTGGGTTAGCAGCAATGTGTTTAGCTACAGTTATCTTTTAAGGAATAAAAGAAGAATAAAAATTTGGAAAGAGTATTTTTTGCCATAATTCTTACTCAAGCATAGATGGTTTCACCTTCTATTTATAGGTAAAATTTAAAAATGTAGCACATAGAAATAAATAGCATATTCTTCTGAATAATTATATTACCTTTAGAAAGATGCAATGTTGTGTCAAGATGTCAATTGAGATTGCTAATTAATTATAGTCGTGTAACCAGGTGAAAACAAAAGATTAGAATTGAAATGTGTAAAATATTGGTATTATACCATTATAGATGACATGTAATTTTTAAGATGTGCTAGATATTGTCTACTGACACTTGGAATCCATATTCTACTGTCTTCTATGTGCTTTGTTGTGTTGTAGAGATTAGAATGCTTAAAGCATAAGGCTAGATTTATCAGACTTCCTTATAATTAAGGTTCTGGGTACAAGTTTCATTGATCCAATTAGATATTGCTCACAATAGGTTGGAAAGCAGAAGTGAGGTGAACATATCTTCCTGCATTTGTAAAAAAATTTCGTTATATATATTTGATGTATAAAGCATGATTTTTTAATGTACATATATATGAGAAATGACTACTAAAATCAAGCTAATTAACATCCATTTATTCACATAATTCCCTTTTTTATTATTTTGTGGTAAGGGCACCTGAAATCTGTTCTATTGGCATATTTTCAAAATAAAACATTGTTACTAACTATAGTCATCATACTGTAAATTAAACCTGTAGATTATTCATGCTACACTATGGAAACTTTGTAAGCTTTGACCAACATCTCCCCATCCTCACCCTTCTCTCTACTGGTGAATACCCTTATAATCTCTATTACTATGTATTGAATTTTTAAAGACTCCACTTATAAGTGAGATCATGCACAACCTTTCTTTCTGTGTCTGGATTATTTCACTTAGCAAAATGTCATCTCGGATCATTCATATTGCTGCAAATGACAAAATCTCCTTTTAAAGCTGAATAATATTCCCTGTATGTATTTACCTCAATTTCTTTATTCATCTGTTGATGGACATTAGGGTTGTTTTCACAGCTTGCCTGTTGTGAAAAATGCTGCAGTAAACATGGGAGCATAGCTATTTCAATGCAATCCTGATTTCACTTCCTTTGATTATATACTGAGAAGTAGGATATGTATGCGTCATATGATGGTTTTATTTTTAGTTTTTTGAGGAACCTCCATTTGTTTTTCATAATGCCCGTAACCAGTTTACACTCTCATCAACAGTGTACAAGGGTTTCCATTTCTCCATACTCTCACCAACACTAATCTTTTATATTGTTAAGAGCCATCCTAACAGGTGCAAAGTGAAATCTCATTGTGCTCTTGATTCGTACTTCCCTGATTATTGATGACAAACAACTTTTCATTCACCCGGTGGCCAGTGTGTGCTTTCTTTTGGGAAATGGCTATTCAGATCTTCTGCACATTTTTAGAGATTGGTATTAATTTAAGGGGTACTAGAGTGATTTTTGTTATGTGACTGTTTTGCATGGTTATGAAGTATAGGCTTTTAGTATAACCGTCACCCACATTTGCCCATTTTTTAAACATGTTGATTATGTGATAATTTAGCTATTGAGTTGCACTTGTTTCTTTTATATTTTGGGTATTAGCTTGTTATTGTAACCGAGGAGCTTAGCTTCAAAATGCATTTTAAAACATTTTTTCTCTTTTCTCTCTTTTCTCAAGGTGTAACTTTACTAGATAAATCATTTCATTTCTCTCCTTATTTTTAAAATATGGCCTTGAAATATACTTTCTTTGAAATACCACATCCTTCCCTTTCTCTTCATACACCCCATTGTCCCATGTACATTTTTCTAACTGTATGCTTTGTGTCTAGTTGTGACCTTATGTTCTGGTGGATAATCTTGAGATAAACCAGATGTGTAGACCCAAACGCAAAATTCAAGAGATTACCTTAAGGTGGTTAGTCTGCAACTTAGTCATTGTTAAGATGACACTAGTCCATGCTGAGAGCCACAAGAACAAGATTCATAGTCCTTGTACCCAACAGCCTGCATGCCTCCCATTCCAAGTTCCCTGTTTTTTTTTCCTGTTTTAAATTATACTATAAGTTCTAGGGTATATGGGCACAACGTGCAGGTTTGTTACATATGTATACATGCGCCAAGTTCCTAGGGTACATGTGCACAACGTGCAGGTTTGTTACATATGTATACATGTGCCATGTTGGTATGCTGCACCCATTAACTCGTTATTTACATTAGGTATATCTCCTAATGCTATCCCTCCCCACTTCCCGCCACCCCATGACAGGCCCCAGTGTGTGATATTCCCTTTCCTGTGTCCAAGTGTTCTCATTGTTCAGTTCCCACCTATAAGTGAGAATATGAGGTGTTTGGTTTCTTGTCCCTGTGATAGTTTGCTGGGAATGATGGTTTCCAGCTTCATCCATGTCCCTACAAAGGACATGAACTCATCCTTTTTTATGGCTGCATAGTATTCCATGGTGTATATGTGCCACATTTTCTTAATCCAGTCTATCATTGATGGACATTTGGGTTGGTTCCAAGTCTTTGCTATTGTGAATGGTGCCGCAATAAACATACGTGTGCATGTGTCTTCATAGCAGCATGATTTATAATCCTTTGGGTATATACCCAGTAATGGGATGGCTGGGTCAAATGGTATTTCTAGTTCAAGATCCTTGAGGAATCGCCACACTGTCTTCTACAATGGTTGAACTAGTTTACAGTCCCACCAACAGTGTAAAAGTATTCCTATTTCTCCACATCCTCTCCAGCACCTGTTGTTTCCTGACTTTTTAATGATTGCCATTCTAACTGGTGTGATATGGTATCTCATTGTGGTTTTGATTTGCATTTCTCTGATGGCCATTTTTTCATGTATCTGTTGATGAGCATTTTTTCACGTATCTGTTGGCTGCATAAATGTCTTCTTTTGAGAAGTGTCTGTTCATATCCTTTGCCCACTTGATGGGGTTGTTTTTTTCTTGTAAGTTTGTTTGAGTTCTTTGTAGATTTTTGATATTAGCCCTCTGTCAGTTGAGTAGATTGCAAAAATCTTCTCCCAAGTTCCCTTTTTTATGCCCATCTCCCAGCATAGAGTTTGAAACAGTTTCTCTAGGTATGAGACTGGCTGTTTCCCCAATGGCAGCTTGGAATAAAACCACTTTCCTTTCACTGTATCTTGTGCTTCTTATTGGCTTTGCAAGAGGCAAGCAGCCAGGCCTACATTCAGTAACATTAGATATATGATTTGCAAATATTTTCTCCCAATTTGTAGGCTGCTTTTTCACTTTTGTTAATTTTTTATTTCACTGTGCAGTCACTTTTTAAGTATGATACAGTCCTATATGTTTATTTTTGCTTTTGTTGCCTGAGGTTTTTGTGTGATATCGAAAATATAATTGCCAAGGCCAATGTCAAAGAATTTTTTCAATATGTTTTCTTCTGGGAGTTTTATGACTTCAGGTTTTATGGTTAAGTCTTGAATCCATTTTTAGCTGACTTTTATGCATATTATTACATAATTTAATTTTGTACTTGTGCATAGCCAGTTTTCTCAACATCATTAATTTTCCCATTGTGCGTTATTGGTGTCTTTGTCAAAAATTAGTTGACCACGTATGTGTGGGATTATTTCTGGGCTCTCTATCATGTTTTATTGGTGTTTGTGTCTGTTTTCATGCCAGTACCATGCTGTTTTAATTAATATATCTTTTTAACATAATTTGAAATCAGGAAATATGTTGCTTCCAACTTTGTTCTCCTTTCTCAAGATTGCTTTAGCCAATCTGGGTCTTTTGTAGTTTTATACAAATTATAGAATTTTTTCAATTTCTGTTAAAAATGCCATTGATATTTTGATAGTGGTTGCATTGAATCTGTATATTCGGCCAGACACAGTGGCTCACACCTGTAATCCTAGCACTTTGGGAGGCTGAGGTGGATGGATCACAAGGTCAGGAGTTTGAGACCAGCCTGGCCAACATGATGAAACCCTGTCTCTACTAAAAATACAAAAAATTAGCTGGGCATGGTGGTGCACTCCTGTAATCCCAGCTACTTGGGAGGCTGAGGCAGGAGAATTGCTTGAACCGAGGAGGTGGAGGTTGCAATGAGAGGAGATGGTGCCATTGCACTCCAGCCTGGGTGACAGAGTAAGACTCCATCTCAATAAATAAATAAATAAAATAAGAATCTGTATATTACATTAAGTAGTATAGACATTTTAACCATATTAATTCTTCTAATCCATGAACATAGGTTATCTTTGCATTTATTCTTCAAATTATTTATCAATGTTTCATAGTTTTAAGGGTACAGGTCTTCCACTTCCTTGGTTAAAGCTATTATTTTTATTTTTTGAATACCTTAATATTTATTGAATTTTATTCTTTTTCATGCTGTAGTAAATAGGATTGTTTTCTTTATTTGCTTTTTGGATAGGTCATTATTGGTGTAAAATAATATAAGTAATTTTTTTGTTAATTTTGTATCCTGCATCATTCCTGAATTTGTTTATTAGTTCTAACAGTTTGTGTGTTTGTGTATGTATAGAGTCTTTAAGGTTGTCTAGATATAGGATTATGTCTTCTGCAATCAACGATACATTTACTTCTTCCTTTCCAAATTAAATGCATTTTATTTTTATTTTTTGTCCAATTGTTCTGCCTAGTTCTCTCAGTACTATATTGAAAAGAAGTTGTGAGAATAGGCATCCTTGTTTTTTTCTTTTCTGTTTATTTTTGAGACAGAGTCTCGCTCTGTCACCCAGTCCAGAGAGCAGTGCTGCAACCTCAGCTCCCTGCAACCTCCACCTCCCAGGCTCAAATGATGCTCTCGCCTCAGCCTCTGGAGTAGCTGAGATTACAGGCATGTACCATCCTGCCCACCTAATTTTCATACTTTTAGTAAGGACAGGGTTTCATCATGTTGGCCAGGCTGGTCTCAAAATCCTGACTTCAAGTGATCTACCTGCCTCAGCCTCCCACAGTGCTGGGATTACAGGCATCCTTGTTTTATTCTTAATTTTAGAAGAAAAGTTCGTTGTTTCTCCCATTGATTATGATGTTAGCTGTGGGCTTTTCATAAGTAGACTTATTATGTTGAGGAAGTTTCTTTCTATACTTATTTTGTTGAGAGATTTTGTCATGAACGAATGTTCAGCTTTTTCACATGCTTTTTCTGCATCTATTGAAACAATTTGTCCTTCTTTCCTTCCTTCCTTCTCTTCCTTCCTTTTTTCTTTCTTCAGGGTCTCACTCTATCACCCAGGCTGAAGTGCAGTGGCACAATCTTGGCAAACTGCAACCTCCACCTTTTGGGCTAAAGTGACATTACCACCTCAGCCTCCCTAGTAGCTGGGAATACGGACACATGCCACCATGCCTAGGTAATTTTTGTAATTTTTGTAGAGACAGGGTTTTACCCTGTTGCCCAGGCTGGTCTCAAATGCCTGGGCTCAAGCAATCCATCTGCATTGACATCCCAGAGTGCTGCAATTACAGACATGAGCCACCATGCCTGGCCTATCATGTGCTTTATATCCTTCATTCTGTTCATGTTGTGTAACAAATGTATTGATTATGTATGTTAAATCAACTTTGTATCCTAGGGATAAATCTTTCTTCCATTATAGTGTATTGTCTTTATGATGCATTAGTGGATTCGGTTTGCAAGAATTTTTGCATCTATATTTCTCATAAACACTGGCCTTAAGTTTTATTTTTTTTGTGTGTGGCGTCTTTATATGGCTTTAGTATCAGAATTTTGCTGGCCTTATATAACGAAGTATTAGACGGAGTTTGGAAGTATTTGGCCTTACATAAAAAAGTTTGGAAATATTCCCTTTTGCAATTTTTTGGAAGAGTTTAAGAAGGACTCCTATTAATTCTCCTTGAATTTTTGGTATAATTCAGCCATAAAGCCATCTGGTCATGGGTTTTTTGTTGAGAGGTTTTTGATTGCTACTACAAACTCCTAATTTGTGTTGATTCAGTCTTGGTAGGTTATACATGTCTAGGAATATCTTTCTTCTAGGTTACCCTTTTTTTGTGTATCATTGTTCATAACAATCTCATAATTTTTTCCCTGAGGCATCCATTATATTATCTCTATTTCGTTTCTGATTTTGACAGTTCTCTATTTCTTAGTCTAGGCAAGGGCTTGTTGATTTTGTTTATATTCTCAAGAAATCAACTAAGTTTTGTTTTTTTTTCTTTTTTCTTATAATTTTAATTCCCAAATATTGTTTATTAAACATAATTGTATACATTTATGGGAAACATCGTGATGTTTTGCTATATGTATACAATATGGAATGTTTAAATCAATCTAACAATCTACAACCTCGCTTACCTTTTTTAATGGTGATACATTTAAAATTTACTTTCTTAATTATTTTGAAATATATGATTATTATTGACCCTAGTTAACCTGCTGTGCAGCAGATCAAAAAACTGATTACTACTTTTTTTCTGAAACTTTGTAACCATCAATCAATAATGCTCCTTTTCCTCTCTCTCCACTCCCACTCCAGCCTCTGGTAAGCATCATTGTACTTTCTACTTGATTGGCTTTAAGTTTATCAGATTCTACATGTAAGTGTGATTGTGCAGTATTTTTCTGGCTGTGCCTATCTTATTTCTCTTAGCATAATGTCCTCCAGGTATATGTATTTTGTATATATACCTCTCTTCATATGCATAGCTTACAAATATTTCATTTTGTGGGTTTTCTCTTCACTCTGGTGATTCTTTTTGTTTTTTGAAATGGAGCCTCACTCTGTCACCCAGGCTGGAGTTCAGTGGCATGATCTCGGCTGACTGCAACCTCTGCCTCCTGGGTTCAAATGATTCTTCCACCTCAGCCTCCCGAGTAGCTGGAATTACAGGAAACCGCCATCATGCCAGGTTAATTTTTGTATTTTTGTAGAGACAGGATTTCACCATGTTGGCCAGGGTGGTCTTGAACTCCTGACTTCAGGTGATCTGCCTGCCTTGGCCTCCCAAAGTGCTAGGATTACACACGTGAGCCACCGCTCCTGGCCTATTTTGTGAAACTTTTATAACTATTATTGTTTTAGTTACCAAGGAGCTTACATAAAATGTATAATAGTTTTAGTGGTCTATTTTCAGCTGATAACTGCTTAAATTTACTTGCATACAAGAACTCTACACATGTTTTTTCTCCTCCTCTGACACATTATATTCTATCAATTTCCCAAATTATATCTACTTATATTAAGTATCCATTAACACAATTATTTATAACTGTTTTAATGCTTTGTCTCTTTTATAGTGGAATTATAGTTGCTGAGAAAATTGTGACATTAGGTATGTGGTCAAACCCTTTGTCCAGCACTGTTACAGTAATATAGTATTTTCAATATTTGTATATATTTACCAATGAGTTTCCTACCTTCTTAAGCTCTCCTAGTCCTTATTTATTATACTTTTGTTTCAAGTTGAAAAGTTCCATTTACATTTATTTTAAGTCAAGTCTAGTGGTGATAATTTTTCTTAGTTTTTTTTGTCAAAGAGATTATTTCTTTCCTTCATTTGTGAAGGACATGTTATCTGGATATAGTAGTTTCGTTGGCAGGTTTATTTTCTGCAAGCACTTTGAATATATTATCTGTCTCCCTCCGGCCTATAAAGTTTCTGCTGAAAAATCTGCTGACAGTCTTATAGAAATTCTCTTATATATAACAAATCTCTTTTTCTCTTGCTGCTTCCAAAAATCTCTCTTTGGCTCTAACTTTTAACAATTTTATTATAATGTATCTTAATATGGGTCTTTTGGGATTCATTTCATTCATGTTCTATGACTTCCTGAATCTGAATATTTCCCCCTAGCTTGGAAAGTTTCCAGCTGTTACTTATTTGAATAACTTTTTGGCTCCTTTCTGTCTCACTCTTCTTCTTTGCTCCCATAATGTGTATATTGGTCTGCTTGGTGATCTTTAAGTTTCTTAAGCTACCTTCACTTTTTTCTTTTTTGTTGTTGTTGTATCTAATTGTATGATTTCCAATGACCTATCTTTGAGTTCTTTGTTCTACTTGATATACTCTGCTGTTGAACACCTCCGTTTAATTTTTTAGTTTGGCTATTGTATTCTTCAGTTCTATGATTTCTGTGTGGCCCATTTTGTATTTTCTTTGTCTTTCTTCAAAAACTCACATTTTTCATATATTGTTCTCCTGATCTCAGTGAGCACTTTTTTTTTTTGAGAGTCTCATTGTCACCCAGGCTATAATGCAGTAGCACAATCATGACTCACTGCAGCCTCAAGCTCCTAGGATCAAGCAATCCTCCCACCTCATCCTCCTGAGTACTTAGCATCTTAATGACTATCATTTTGAATTTTCAGCCAGGTAAATCATTGAGTGTTCATTTCTGGAAATTTACCTTATTTTCTTTGTAACATATCTTTCTTTTTCTTTATTTTTATTGGCTGTGTAGTTTGCCATACATTAGATAAAGTGGTCACTTCTCCCAGTCTTGTCAGACTGGCCTCATATAGAAGATGAACTCACCAATCAGCCTGGCCAGAGATTCTGGGTGCCTCTCAAATCCTTGTGCTTGTTTAAACCACTGTCTTAGTTCTCTGTGGTCCCAGGATGTTCCAAATCTCGTTGGTGTCCCCAAGACAGGAGAGATAGAAACTAGTCTCTAAGTAGCATCTGGAAAAGTTGGGGTGCTAAATGTGTGGTCTAATTCCCTTCTCTCCTCAGGGATAAGCTGGAAGCTGGCTTTTGTATCTAGCTCACTCCATAGTAAACAGGGTAAAAGATCTGTGGCAAATGTGTGCACTCTCATTCAGAATGGAAACCCATTCCAACTATTGCCTCGCTCTTGGTCACTTCTATAGTACTGGAAGATTCTGGGTCTTATCAGTCAGAGACAAGTAGGTTAGCTGTCTGCTTGGTTCTATCTCTGGAACAAGCTGGCAGAGGAACTTTGGAAGTACCCATATGCCTATACAGGGCGTCAGAGGACTACTAGTTACCCTCCACCTCCACTCAATAAGCTCCTAGATGCAGGCTAATCCAGATACATATGGATAGTTGCTGAGAAAATTGTGACATTAGGTATGTGGTCAAACCCTTTACGGTTACAAACTGGCTGCTGGGTGTTTTTGCCTGCTTCTTTGGTGCTAATGTAGGAGAAATGGTCACTGGTGGTCCCCCCACAACTGTTGAAAACTACTTTTGTGTTTTCTGTGATTGTGGAGTACTCATTAACGCCAACCCCTGTCACTCCCAGAGCTGGATGATTCGGGAGTCAGTCTCCCTAGTGGGAACTTCAAAAGGCAGGGTGCTCTATGTGCTGAGCAACTCCTTCCAGGGAGAAGCCAGAGAATTGGTTTTATCATTGTAGTGAGCTGGGAGAAGCAGGTGCATGAAGTTTGCACACACCTGTTCAGGCTCCCGGGGATCTTATGAATTCCCTGTACTCCAGATGACATCTGCTTAGAGGCCTGACCTTAGACAGTAGCTGACAAAATGTTCAGTTAAACCTCTTTCAAGATAAACTGGGAGCTGGGTATTGCCTATTTGTGCTTTACTGAGCCCAGGGATATTGCAGCAGGGCATGTTCACACACACATTGAAAGTCACCTCTTTAGTTCCAGGGACCTTGTAATTGCTGAACCCCTTCTGTTTCCAGGGCTATGAGACCTAGGAGCCAGTCCCTCATGTAGGAGCTGTGAAAACTGGGATTGCTGTGTATGTGTTCTAAACCCTTCACTCTTCAGGAAAAAAATGAGAGTTGAGGATTCCTTTCCAATTGTAAGATTCTTTACCAGGGTGGGTTTTGTTGCATAAGTGGGTCTCAGCTTTTCCTGTTTTGTTGTTGTTGTTGTTGTTTGTTTTGAGACAGGGTCTGTTGCCTAGGCTGAAGTGCGGTGGTGCCATTATGACTCACTATAGCCTCAACTTTCCCAGGCTCAAGTTATCCTTCCACCTCAGCCTCCTGAAAAGCTGGGACTATAGGCATGCCCCACCATGCCTGGTTAATTTTTATTTTTTTTTGTAGTGACAGGGTCTTCCTAAGTTGCCCAGGCTGGTCTCAGACTCTTGGTCTGAAGCAGTCTTCCCACCTCAGCCTCCCAAAGTGCTGGGATTACAAGTATGAGCCACCACACCTGGACTCCTACCTGTTTTCAATGTGAATATTTCTTAGTGATACCATGTGTAGGAGTCTCTCAAGTATTCTCTGAATTTCTCTCAGAGGGAATTCATCCATGTGTAGCCATTTATTTGCTGTGTCTGTGGGAGGAGAAAAAGCCAGAAACTTCCTATTTTGCCATCTTACTGACTTTTTTTTCAGGCAATGAAGATATCTTCCACAAAGCTTGTTAAATCTTTTTCCTTAACTAATTACAATCACATATGCACACACATACACACACGCTGACACACTAACATTTTGCTAAGGTCTTGAGATGGCCTGTTAAATTCTTGATGACAGAGAATGAGTTGGGTCATCTATGGAAAAGGGCAGTTAAACGAAAGAGATGACCAGATAGCCCTTAATCATAGTTTCTATTCACTGTCTTACTCGAGATACTTCAGAATCTACAAATGGTCTCAAAGGGAGCTCCAATCTCCAGGATGCTTTTTGAGATGGATTTGTTTTTTTTTTTTAAAGTCCTGATTTTGCCTTCTTCCCACTCTAACATTTTATTATTTGACTACCTGAAATAAAAATTATCTTTCTATAAGCATAATTGCATACTGAAGTAATTTTAAAAAGGCACATTTAAGTTTTAGAATAGAAAACAGAAAAAAATATTTCTACCTCCCTTTTTGGTACAAAGATGAGAAGGTGTCTAAATATTATTGTCTCTGAAATTATTCATTAAATGATCTTCATATTTTAAGTTCAATTCGCATATTCCTTTATCATTAAGGGAAGGATTAGAAATGCCGCCCCTCCCCTCCTCTCTCCACCTTCAACCCACGAATTCCTCACTTTCTCATTTTCTGATTGCATATTATGAACCACACACTGTGTGAGGTACTGTAGACATAAAAAAACAAAAGTCCTGCCCTGAAGGGGCCCATATTTTAATGGGGATGCAGATGTGTAAGTGGATTAATTTTAAAACTATATCTTAAGTGTTGTAATGGAGATACTGCTGAGTCATTTGGATGCCATAAGGGATAAAGGGTTTAACTCTTCCAGAGGAATTATAGAAGAAAAAAATTCATAAATTTCACTTCATTAAAGTCAGAGTAATGGTGCCTACTAAGTATCATACAGTAGACCATAATTTTTGCTCACCTGATTACTATCTATTCTTGTATTTGCTAGGTAGGAGTATTAGACAGGATCAAGTCAGGAAAGCAGAAAGCACTCTAGGTATGATAGAAAGGGGAGGGAGGGAGAGAGAGAGGGAGAGAAAGAAAGAGATTTCACCCAACTGCAGCAGAATACAAATTCTTTTCAGGTAACACAGCTAGGGAATAGAGAAAGCTATATTTGACTCCAAGTCTTTCCAAAACCTCTTTCTATGAATGAATTTAAATAGTGAGAAGGCTCAGAATAAAGAGTTAAGTTTATTGGATTAAGTGAGAATAAATAGGCTTTGGAAACTCTGATCCTTACTTACTATATGACTTTTTCTCAGATCACTGCTGACCTCCAAAACTACATGGGGAGGAAGTAGAAGCAGAGGGGCATCTCTTTTATAGGGACATCTGTGGACTGTTTTTATGACCCTGAAACATTTGTAGGACTTTTTTACAGACACATGTTCCCCAGAAGAGGATTTGCCATTCTGACAAATCTCCATCCAAGGAATGGGAAATTCATTATCCCTTCCACTAGAATTAAACTGTGAAATTATTTATGTAGGAAGAAGTAGTAGTAGAAAAGTTATGTTTGTCTTCTTCACTATAAGAAAAAAATGCAAAATCAGGAAAAATGTATCTAAACTATTACTTTTACAAAGGCAAAAACAGCCTGTTTGCTATCTAATCAGTCCTGTTGATAAAACTCAGGCTGTACTGTTCTCTTCAGAGAGAGGCAAATGGGGGGAGTTATAAGATTTGCGCCCTACTGCTGTTAGTAGAATGAACAAGACAGAGTAAAAGCCACAAGTGGAATTGTGCTAGTATTTCCTCTATAATTAACCCAACACTTAGGTAGCCTTTAAAGTGAAAGGAGCCCTCCAAATGATGGAGGCACACAGGAGGTAATTATGTGCTTTCAATAAATGCCTGAAAGCTCACAATTTCTTTGGGGAGATACAATCTCTGGAAAGGCTTGCATTGTCACTCCAATTTCATTTATTTATTTTAACAAATTGTATGTTCTGTGGAGGAACTTTATTTCCCAAAAAGATGAACGTATAATAAACCAGTTCTTTATTTTAAAACTTATGGTGAGAGAAATTTCAATTTTAGATAATTCCATTGTCTATAAAGAGTCTCTATTAAATTAGCTTAAGTTCCAAAAGATAATGCCACATTATTATTGTAGGTAGCCATTATAATTCTCAAATTTCTATTGTTACATTCTGCAAGACAGTGGTAAGCAAACCACAACGTCTAGGCCAAATCTGGCCTCCCAATTGTTTTATAAATAAAATTTTATTTAAACGTAACCACTCCCATTCATTTGCTTGTCTCTGGTTGTTTTTGCAATACAACAGTAGGGTTAGGTAGATAATACAGGCTGTGTGTCACATGATGAAGCCAAAAACATTTGCTCTCTGGCTCTTTACAGAATGAATTTGCTTATATTTCTTCTAGGATGTCAATTTGTCTGCTTAATTCACAGAAGGACAAATTTTAACATAACTTACTTCTATGGCCTGAATGTTTGCGTACACTGAAAATTGATTTGTTGAAATCGATCCCCAATTTGATAGTATTAGGAGGTAGGGCTTTGGAGATGTGATTAGATCATGAGGGTGTAACCTTTATTAATGGGATTAGTGCTTTTATATGGGGTTGAAGAGACCCGAGCTCCCCTTCCACCTTGTGAGGATGCAGAAAGAAGATACATTCTGTGAACTGGAAAGCCGGCCCTCACTAGACACCAAATATGCCAGTATTTTGATCTTGGGCTTCCCAGCCTTCAGAACTTACAGCAGTCCAGAAAGATTAAGACACCCACCTGAAATGTTAATTTTGTCCTAAAATAATCTTGCATTTAAGATCTGAAATATGACCTAAGTATTATCTGAGGAGTCAATGCTGATTTATTGGTGGTGGATACTGTGATTCTGTATTAAGAATGGATCTGAAGCCACATAAGATAACTGTGATTACTTAGTGCTATTTTCAATGGCTGTGAGAAGACAACCTTGTGACCAGAATTTGAAACCCTGCATAAACAAAACTCAACATGTTTTGAAGGCCTTTACACTCTTCCTCTCAGGTTTTAGAAGTATTTCAACTGATGACAGCTTTCAGATAAAATACTCTTATTTTATTTTGAAACTAACGTTTACCAGTTTTGGAAATTTTAGTCTGGCTAGGAAGGAAAGGAGTAACATTGTGAATAGGACACCAGCCTTAGGCTAGTCCAAGTCTATAATATCAAAAGGCTAGTACATTATGTTATAGTATATGTTATAATCACGTAGCCAGCTCTCCCCTTGAGAAATAGGAGCAGGCATTATCACGTGGCCTTATTCCATTAAAGGTCATGTAATATAGCTGGGGAAATATAAGTAAAAACAAAGTCATCCCCCAAGCCAGGAAACCTCTTCACAAAGGCAGAACAAATATTAAGCATTATTATTGAATTAGCATTAAACCAGAATATGACATAAATCACAAGCAATCCACTGAAGATAATGAAAAGGCAAATCTCACCTTATGTAGACAAGCAGATACAACCCATAAAATACATGTTCTCAAGATAAACAATAACGAATCCTCAAGTAAGAAGGCTTCACAGCATGTGATTCATCCTAAATTCATTTGGTAATTAGGTTGACAGTCTGTGTTAGCAAATTGGCTTGAAAAATAAACTTCTCAAATGTTTAAGATGGGAGTAGATGTATAACTTGGAGTAAGAGGCCCCACATAATTAGGCACCTATCCTCCCATAGGAACTGGAGAATGGGAGTGCTATTTTCCTTGATTACATTTTAAAGAGATGATCTTATATATTATATAAAAAATGGTAAGGATTCTACTAAGAAACTGTTAGAACTAACAAACACATTAAGGTTGCAAGCTAGAAAATCAGCACACAGAAACAGTTGTGTTTCTTTTTTTAATTTGTATTTTTAGTTCTGGGGTACACAGGCAGGTGTGCAGGTTTGTTACATAGGTAAACATGTGCCATGGTGGTTTGCTGCACCTAACAACCCATCACCTAGGGAGTAAGTCCAGCACGCATTAACTATTTTTCCTAATGATCTCCACTCAAGCTACCCTCTGACAGGCCCCAGTATGTGTTGCTGCCCTCCCTGTGTCCATGAGTTCTCCTTGTTCAGTTCCCACTTATAAATGAGAGCATGTGGTGTTTGGTTTTCTGTTTCTGTGTTAGTTTGCTGAGGATAATGGCTTCCAGCTTCATCCATGTCCCTGCAAAGGACATGATCTCATTTCTTTTTATGGCTGCATAGTATTCCATGGTGTAGATGTGCCACATTTTCTTTATCCAGTCTACCATTGATAAGAATTTGGGTTGGTTCCAAGTCTTTGCTATTGTAAATAGTGCTGCAATAAACATACGTTGTGTGTGTGTCTTTATGGTAGAATGATTTATAATCCTTTGGGTATATACCCAGTAATGAGATTGCTGGGTCAAATGGTATTTCTGGTTCTAGATCCTTGAGGAATCACCACACTGTTTTTCACAATGGTTGAGCTAATTTACACTCCCACCAACAGTGTAAAAGTGGTCCTATTTGTCCACATCCTCCCCAGGATCTGTTTTTTGACTTTTTAATAATTGCCATTCTAACTGGTGTGACATGGTACCTCATTGTGGTTTTGATTTTATTGGTATATAGGAATGCTTGTGATTTTTGCACATTGATTTTGTATCCTGAGACTTTGCTGAAGTTGCTTATCAGCTTAAGGAGATTTTGGGCTGAGATGATGGGGTTTTCTAAATATACAATCATGTCATCTGCAAACAGACAATTTGACTTCCTCTCTTCCTATTTGAATACCCTCTCTTTTTCTTGCCTCATTGCCCTGGCCAGAACTTCCAACACTATGTTGAATAGGAGTGGTGAAAGAGGGCATCAGCAGTTTTCAAAGGGAATGCTTCCAGTTTTTGCCCATTTGGTATGATATTGGCAGTAGGTTTGTCATAAATAGCTCTTATTTTGAGATATGTTCCATCAATACCCAGTTTATTGAGAGTTTTTAGCATGAAGGGCTGTTTAATTTTGTCAAAGGTCTTTTCTGCATCTATTGATATAATCATGTGGTTTTGTCATTGGTTCTGTTTATGCGATGGATTACGTTTAGTGATTTGCAAATGTTGAACCAGCCTTGCATCCCAGGGATGAAGCTGACTTGATCATGGTGGATAAGCTTTTTGATGTGCTGCTGGATTTGGTTTGCCAGTATTTTATTGAGGATTTTCGCATCGATGTTCATCAGGGATATTCTTTTTTTGTTGTGTCTCTGCCAGGTTTTGGTATCAAGTTGCTGCTGGCTTCATACAATGAGTTAGGGAGGATTCCTTCTTTTTCTATTGTTTGGAATAATTTCAGAGGGAATGGTACCAGCTCCTCTTTGTACCTCTGGTAGAATTCGGCTGCTAATCCATCTGGTCCTGGGCTTTTTTTGGTTGGTAGGCTATTAATCACTGCCTCAATTTCAGAACTTGTTATTGGTCTATTCAGGGATTTGACTTCTTCCTGTTTTAGTCTTGGGAGGGTTTATGTGTCCAGGAATTTATCCAATCTATATTTTCTAGTTTATTTGCATAGAGGTGTTCATGGTATTCTCTGATGGTAGTTTGTATTTCTGTGGGATCACTGGTGATATCCCCTTTATCATTTTTTATTGTATCTATTTGATTCTTCTCTCTCTTCTTCTTTGTCTGGCTAATGGTCTATCTACTTTGTCAATCTTTTAAAAAAAAATCAGCTCCTGGATTCCTTGATTATTGGAAGGGTTTTTTTATGTCTATGTCCTTCACTTCTGCTCTGATTATAGTAATTTCTTCTGCTAGCTTTTGAATTTGATTGCTCTTGCTTCTCTAGTTCTTTTAATTGTGATGTTAGAGTGTCAATTCAAATCTTTTCTGCTTTCTCCTGTGGGCATTTAGTGCTATAAATTTCACTCTAAACACTGCTTTAGCTGTGTCCCAGAGATTCTGGCACATTGTGTCTTCGTTCTCATTGATTTCAAAGAACATATTTACTTCTGCCTTAATTCAGTTATTTACCCAGTAGTCACTCAGGAGCAGGTTGTTCCGTTTCCATGTAGTTGTGCGGTTTTGAGTGAGTTTCTTAATCCTTAGTTCCAATTTGACTTCACTGTGGTCTGAGAGACTTATGATTTCTGTTTTTTGTTTGTTTGTTTTTTGTTTTTTGTTGTTGTTGTTGTTTTTTGCATTTGCTGAGGAGTGTTTTACTTCCAATTGTGTGGCCAATTTTAGTATAAGTGTGATGTGGTGCTGAGAAGAATGTATATTCTGTTGTTTTGCGGTGGAGAGTTCTGTAGATGTCTATCAGGTCCTCTTGGTCCAGTGCTGGGTTCAAGTTCTGAATAACGTTGTTAATTTTCTGTCTTGTAGATCTGTCTAATATTGACAGTGAGGTATTAAAAATCTCCCACTATTATTTTGTTGGAGTCTAAGTCTCTTTGTAGGTTTCTAAGCACTTGCTTTATGAATCTGGGTGCTCCTCTGTTGAGTGCATATATATTTAGGATATTTAGCTGCTCTTGTTACATTGACTCCTTTACCATTATGTAATGCCCTTCTTTGTCTTTTCTCGTCTTTGTTGGTTTAAAGCCTGTTTTATCAGAGACTAGGATTGCAACCGTTGCTTTTTTAATTTTTTTATTATTCTTTGTTTTCCATTTGCCTTCCATCCCTTTATTTTGAACCTATATTTGTCTTTGCACATTGCATAGCAATTCTATAAGCTACTCATCATAATCCCCATTTAATAGATTCAAAAAGTGAGACTTGGAAAGATTAAATACTTATTTTAATATTACACAGCTAGTAAATAGCAGAACAGAACTTAAAGTTGATTTGACTCAAGTCTGCACAGTCTGCTATCTCAATTTTTTTTTAAACCTATGTTACCTCTTTACCTGCTAGCCAATCCACCACTCCATCTACCCTTTCACTACCCTGTAACTTATACCAATAGACTGTTAACCATCCTGTCTGAGAGGATACATCATGTAAGAAAGTTAGCATAAGCTTTGGACTCACGAGTCTATGTCTGAAACATACCTTTGCTCTTTGGTAGTTGGATTAAGTAGGCAAGTTATTTAACTTCTCTTAGCCTTAGTTTCTTCATATAATAAAATGATGATGAAAAAAACCACATCATAGGAAGTGCCTGTAAACTTCCTGGTACATAATGAGCACTCAATTAAGCTATAATATTCAATTTACAATTAAAGCATTAAAATGTTAAAAATACAGCTATTACTATCAATAAAGATATTGGCAATGATTTTTTCTTTTAGTATTTAAGTAGTTGCATTGATTGCCAAAGCCTGAACTAGTGAAGGAGTGTGCTCGCATAGAAGCTATTTCCTCAGCCGGGCGCGGCGGCTCATGCCTATAATCCCAGCACTTTGGGAGGCCTAAGTGGGCAGATCACAAGGTCAGGAGTTTGGGACCAGCATGGACAACATGATGAAACCCTGTCTCTGAGAAAAATACAAAAATTAGCTAGACATGGTGGCGGGTGCCTGTAATCCCAGCTACTCGGGAGGCTGAGGCAGGAGAATTGCTTGAAACCATGAGGCGGAGGTTGCAGTGAGCCAAGATCCCGCCGCTGCACTCCAGCCTGGGTAACAGAGCGAGACTCCATTTCAAAAAATATAAAAATAAAAATAAAGAGAAAAATAATTTACTTCCAGAATGAAGATGAGCAGAATACTGAAGTTAGGATACTTGCAAGAAGTAGAAGATATAGAGTTCAGAATCTAGAGAACTGAGCTATTAAGAAAAAAATCCAGAAGTTTAAACAGAAAAAGAGAGAAAATAATTACAGAGTTCTAAAGAATGAAATTATTATAATCAAATAAAAGACCTGAGCCCAGAAAGCTGAAGTGCTTCTTTGAACATTGGTGTTTGGAAGAACATTTAAACAATCAATAAGTTTATTCCTTTCGAAAATCTCTGTAGGAAATAACCATAAATTTAAAATATTTTTTAAATCCTAAGGTTTCTATCAAATAGTCATAAATAATATTAAAAAGAGGAGCCAACTAAATGATTACTAATAACTATTGAAATATGTTATATACAATTTATAGTAAAGTATGCAGGTATTAAATATTTTAAATGGATATTTTGAGAATGTGTATACGGTTAAATTTTAATATTAAAATGCATTTATTTATAAAAGTATAAACACATACATGAGAAGTGTATATCTCCTTTTCAAATATATATGAAGAAAATAAGACTGTTATCAATGATTTACTTTCACGGTAGAATCGTGAACAATTTTTTCACTCTTTTCTACTGTGTGTGTGTGTATGCATGTGCATGATGTCCAAATTACCATAAGAAACATGCACTTTATAAAGGAAAATAATCTTTATTTAGAAAGGATCTGCCCTAGGCTGGTGTGCACAAGCCTCCTATGCTCCTTTTTTTCCTCTTACAAGATCAGCTAATGTTTACCACTGTGGCACAAAAGGATGCAAATATTTACTTCTTAAACAGTAGGAAGGCCTCTCAAGATGCTCACTGGTTGTAGGTTCTCTTAGAGTTAGCTGATTAAGATTTGCGCACCCATAAAAAATGTAGAAATTAAAGAAGAGGCCTGAAAATGTATTCATAATTAGAAAGAGGACCAGGGTTGTGTTTGGGACATGATTAACTGGTAATCAGTAAAGAACAAACTGATTATTAGCTGTTGAATTCTTGTTGTTCTTAGGGGATTCCACTCAGTGGTCTAATTAAATTGAGCTTGAAGTCTTCACATCTCTATTCAGTGGCAATTTCGTTATAATATTCACTTCTTTGCATGAGATTTGCCTTCCCCCTCTTTAATCATATGTTTTGCATTTGTGTAACACCTTCCTTGATTAGTTTCTCTACAGGATTAGCTCTTGATAACTGCATGGTTTATGAAAGCAAATGTCACATATAAGACAATCTGGATATTAAAGTTTATTGTCAGTCTGGGAATTTTTTAAAAGGAAAATCGAACAAGATATGCACTTGTTTTAATTAAAATCGCTTTCTTTGCTTTCTGAATTGTTTGTTTGGCTCTCAATATTTTATAGAGATAACATTTCAGAAAAAAATTCAATGACTCCAGGGAAATAGAAAAATGTTTTACATTTTCAACTGAAACTCAAGAGAATTTTTGTTAATTACATTATTTCCATCATACAGTTTGCCATCCAGATAGCAGTAAAACTTTTAGGCTCTAGGCTACTGCTTATATCATTAGAAATGTCAGTGCCGGAACATACGGATTACAGGAGCTCCAGATGTGTATCTTTCACATAAGAATTTGGTGACAAAGCATTGGTGTTGGCTATATAATTCCTGATAACCTAACTCAAGTACCAATTTTAAATTAATACTCTCCATCATAAGCTTAGGTAGGCAAAGTGGGCTGATTCTAAACATATGGAACAGCATAATAATTATGACTTATTATAAGAGAGATAAGCAAACCTGTTATAGATTTTAGATACCGCTAAGTTTTCTGTGTTTGATTAGCAATAAACGAAATAATCTGGTACATTTTCCAGTGCCAGATCCTTATTTAAAGCCACAATCTTAAATTTATCCCATGTTTAAACTTCCAAGAAATAATATATCTTCACAATGCTTTCTATAAGCTGGTAAGTAGGCCATTAAGAAAAAAAACTCAGAACCACTTTTAAAATTGTTTGGATTTTCAGCATTTCAGTATATATGTAGAGTTTATCCATCAACAACAGTAACACACACACACACACACATATATATTTAATAACATTCAACACATCATACAATGTATATTTCAAAACAGTTTTGCTTGACTAGGTTACAGTTTTGTTTATGGATATTTTGGTAATAATTTTTACTCGAAATGGACTATTGAAAATAATTGAAAACATAGCTAAATTTTATGCAAAAGACTATATACTCAATATATTTACACAAACGTAAAGATGTAAGTGAATATTGATGATTCAGAAGTGACTTTAATTTGTAGAACATATGCTATTGTAGAAAAATATGAAAACAGTTCCAGATATTTGTTGTAACAGGGTTTGATTTTTGGATTATGTATCCATTATTTAAGTTTATAATAATAACTCGAGACATAGGGCAAAATTATTTAATATATTCTAAATTAAACAGTAAGATATATATTATAGCAAGACTATTATTTGCATCCAGACAGAAACTTTAGCAGTATTTCTCATGTCTATATTTCCAGCACACAGTTCTATGATTACAAAGAATAATCATGGGGCACAGAAGCAAAAATTCTGGAAGATATTTTAATCTATCTTAAAATTTATTCTTGCTACTTAATCAAAGTTGACTCTTAACTGGGGGGCATAACCCTATGTCTCTTGCCTATGTCCAATCTCAAGAAGTATTTATATTTCCTGGACCACTTCTCCAAAACACCCTCTCATCAGCCCTCATTATTGAATCTAGCACCAATTCTTCCAGCAAAGAGTATGAGTTTGAAAAGTAGAAGCTAAGGTTAAAGAACAAGTTGTCTAAAACCGTATAAAGTGATTTATGTTACAAAGAGATTTCTTTACCAGCTGTTTGAACCTGGACAATTTACATAAGTGACTTCTAGTTCCAGCAAAACAATTAAAGCAACGTTAAGTAACTTCTGGGGTGCTTAATCAAAAAATGAATTAAATTACTACATATAAGAGGTGTCAAATAAGTAGCTTTTACTAAATAAGTAGCTATCATTATCATTTTTATGATCTTAGTTATCTTTGTCATCATCATTGCTTTTGGTTTTTCCTAGATCTGGAATGCCTAGTTCCATAGTTGCATGAAATTTTCTATTTTTCAAAAAGAAGCACACAGCTACCCTTTCTTGACATATACACAAATATCTCCAGGATTTGTTTGTTTTTTAGAGACAGGATCTCACTCTGCTGCCTAGGTTGGAGTGCAGTGGTACAATCACATCTCATTGCATCCTCAAACTCTTGGCCTCAAGTAATTCTCCTACCTCAGCCTCCCAGTGCTGGGATTACAGGATTGGGCCACTGCACCCGACGGCCAGGAATTTTTTTGTTTTAAGATTTTTTTTTTCTTTCCCACCTGTATAACAGAAATAGAATTCTAAGAGCGCGCTCACCCGCGCTCGCGCTCTCGCTCTGTCTCTCTCTCTCTCTCTCTCTCTCTCTCTCTCTCTCTCCCTCTCTCTCTCCCTCTCCCTCCTCTCTCTCTCTCTCTCTCCCTGAAACAGGGCCTTGTTTGGTCAAACAGGCTGGAGTGCAGTGGCATGATCACAGCTCATTGTAGCCTCAACAATCCTGGGTGCAGGTGATCCTCCCTCCTGCCTCAGCTTCTCCAATAACTAGGATAACAGGCGGACACCACTATGCCCAGCTAATTTTTTTTTTATTATTTAGTAGTGACAAAGTCTCACTGTGTGGCCTGGACTGATCTCAAACTCCTAGCCTCAAGCAATTCTTTCACCTCAGCCTCTCGAAGTGCTGATATTATAGATGTGAGGCAGTGGACCTGGCCCTATTCTAATAATTTTAATAGTTGTTACACACTTTCTTGAAAAATATTTTAATTATGTCTCCAGTGTTTATGGCACTAGAGAATGTTTTATCTATGTCAGTAAATTGTGAATTTTTATGAGTATGGCTACCTACTATTTTAATTCTTTTAAATTTCTCCTAATTACCTAGCTGTTTACTATGGGAAATATTTGAAACTTGTCAAATATTGCATCGTTAAATATTGAACCTTGTTAAATACTATGATAGCTAATAATTTCTGTGGTTATGTGTGCCCTGATAAATATGTGCACAGAGAATAGTCAATGCAACCACTCGATGTGTCTAGAGTTGATAACTTTTT
Organism: Homo sapiens; assembly: GCF_000001405.40. Classification (NCBI taxonomy): domain Eukaryota; kingdom Metazoa; phylum Chordata; class Mammalia; order Primates; family Hominidae; genus Homo; species Homo sapiens. Next base: position 9,073,952 of record NC_000007.14, read on the forward strand.
TTTTTAGATATTCTTTAAAATCTCTTTTTAAAACTTTAAGTTCAGGGTACATGTTCAGGATGTGCAGATTAGTTACATAGGTAAAGGTGTATCATGGGAGTTTGTTGTACAGATTATTTTATCACCCAGGTATTAAATCTAGCACTCCTTAGTTATTTTGCCTGGATTTCTCCCTCCTTCCACCCTTCACCCTCCACCCTCTGGTAGGCTCCAGTGTGTGTTGTTCCCCTCTATGTGTCCATGTGTGCCCATCACTTAGCTCCCACTTATAAGTGAGAACATGCCATATTTGATTTTCTGTTCCTGCGTTAGTTTGCTAAGGATAATGGTTTTCAGCTCCATTCATGTCACTGCAAAGGACATGATCCCATTCTTTTATATGGTTGCATCTTATTCCATGTTGTATATGTACCACATTTTCTTTATCCAGTCTATGATTGATGGTCATTTAGGTTGATTCCATGCATTTACTATTGTGAATAGTGCTGCAATGAACATATGCATGCGTGTTTCTATATAATAGAATGATTTATATTTCTTTGGATATATATCCAGTAATGGGATTGCTGGGTCAAATGGTATTTCTATATGTAGGTCTTTGAGGAATTACCACACTGTCTTCCACAATGGTTGAACTAATTTACACTCCCACCAACAGTGTAAAAGCATTCCTATTTCTCCACATCCTCTCCAGCATCTGTAGTTTCCTGACTTTTTAATAATAGCCATTCTGACTGATGTGAGATATGTTATCTCACTGTGGTTTTGATTTTCATTTATCTAATGGTCAGCGATGTTGAGCTTTTTTTTTACGATTGTTGACTGCATGTATGTCTTCTATTGAGAAATGTCTGCTCATGTCATTTTCCCACTTTTTAAAGGGTTTTTTTTTCTTGTAAATTTCTTTAAGCTCCTTATACATGCTGGATATTAGACCTTTGCCAGATGCATAGGTTGCAAAAATTTCCTCACATTCTGTGAGTTGTCTGTTTACCCTGTTGACAGTGTCTTTTGCTGTTCAGAAGCTCTTTAGTTTAATTAGATCTCATTTGTCAATTTTGGCTTTTGTTGCAATTGCTTTTTGAATCTTCGTCATGAAATCTTCGCCCATGCCTATGTCCTGAATGGTATTGCCTAGGTTGTCTTTCAGGGTTCTTATAGTTTTGGGTTTTACATTTAAGTATTTAATCCATCTTGAGTTAATTTTTGTATGTGGTATAAGGAAGGGGTCCAGTTTCAATTTTCTGCAAATGGCTAGCCAGTTATCCCAGCACCATTTATTGAATAGGGAGTCCTTTCCTCATTGCTTGTTTTTGTCAAGTTTGTCCAAGATCAGATAGTTGTAGGTGTGCAGTTTTATTTCTGGGTTCTCTATTCTGTTGCATTGGTCTATGTGTCTATTCTTGTACCAGTGCCATGGTGTTTTGCTTACTGTAATCCTGTAATATATTTTGACGTCAGGTAGTGTGATACCTCCAGCTTTGTTCTTTTTGCCTAGAATTGCCTTGGCTATTTGGGCTCTTTTATGGTTCCATATGAATTTAAAATAGTTTTTTTTTCTAGTTCTGTAAAGAATATCAATGGTAGTTTGATAGAAATAGCATCAAATCTATAAATTACTTTGGGTAATATGGCCATTTTAATGATACTGATTTTTCCTATCCATGAGCATGGAATGTTTTTCCATTTGTTTAGGTCATTTCTGATTCCATTGAGCAGTGATTTGTAGTTATCCTTTTATTGATCTTTCCCCTCCCTTGACAGCTATATTCCTAGGTATTTTATTCTTTCTGTGACAATTATAAATGGAAGTTCATAAGCTCATTCATGATTTGGCTCTCAGCTTGACTGTTGTTGGTATATAGGAATGCTAGCAATTTTTGCACATTGATTTTGTATCCTGAGACTCTGCTGAAGTTGCTTATCAGCTTAAGAAGCTATTGGGCTGAGATGATGAGGTTTTCTAGATATAGGATTATGTCATCTGCAAACAGGGTTAGTTGGACTTCCTCTTTTCCTATCTGAATGCCCTTTCTTTCTCTTGCCTGATTGCTCTAGCCAGACCTTCTAATACTATGTTGAATAGAAGTGCTGAGAGAGGGCATCCTTGGGGATGACATGTTTGAGAGCAATTATCAAATATATCCAGAGATGAAAGCACAGCTTAGTAAGAACATGAAATGCCCTCTCTAGTTTAATTTTAATCGTGGCATTTCAACTTAACACATAGCTTGTTTCTTCAGGATTTACTACATCTTTGAATTATTGATTACAAAATCTACTTTGAAATATTATACCACTTATCATATAATGCAACATTCTGCTTAGCTTTCCCCATTCTTTGTGCCAATGTTTCATGTATTTTACTAAATGCTGTAATTCCTAAAATGCATTGTTATTTAAAAATTAAATTAAAATTTCATTTCCTTTACTATGCTTTAATTTTTCTAATTTGTATTGACATGTCTATAAGTTTACTTATCCTTTTTCATTGTTTCCAATTTTGGCAAGCAAATGAAATAAACTTTTGAATGTAGATATTTTATTTTTCAGTTTTACACTTTTTACTTGATTTTTTATATGTAGTCTCCATTTCACACCTTGCACATCTCATCTCTTTACTTATGTCTTTCCTCATAAAATATTTAACTTACGTATACTTTTTTTTAGTTCTTAGACGCTAATTCCAAAAATGGAATCATCTGAAGGTATCTTCTTTCTTGACTGTTTTTCATCTTGTTTGAGTTACAGTCATCTGTCATACATATTTTCTTATCATGTCATACATATTTTCTTATCATATTGGGGGCATTATGCATAAAAAGAACGTTGGAGATCTAAGTGAATTTTCATTTTGTTTTGCTTATTATCCAGGGAGTTGTAAAGATGAGTTACTTATAGTTCAGATTTGCCCTTACCTGAAGTTGAGTTAAAACTGGGCCAAAATTTAAATTAGATTGAATTTATCTGTGATTTGTCCAACCTGCAATTCCCATACTTCTGCCATTTGTCTTTGTCTGTTTGAGCTGGGAATAGGTTGGGCACACTGTTTCAGATTATTTTGGTTTACTTTTGAATTCCATTCTGGCAGGGCTCCAGAACCCAAGTACTGCAACAGTATGCAGGGGCATGTAATTTTCTCAGTTTTCTAGTTCTTTCCTCAAACCATTTCCCCCCCCAACAACAAAAGTAGCGTAAGGATAGAACAAGAAGTGTTAGGCTGAGAAATGTATTGTATTTGGAGCTCTTTCTCCTTCTAGTATATTTTATCAGTTCACACTCTTGCATAAACGTCAGCTGATTTTTTCTGTCTCTGAAAATTCTCTCTCTCTTCCAATGGAAGGACTGCCCCTTCATCCATCTGTACTCAGACTATGTGATGGACCCAAGTTTGGAAGTTGCCATAGCTCTCAGCTCACTTTTAAAGTACTAGTTTCTCAATGGAATTTACCTTGTATCCTCTGCTCTTTGATAGTATCACAAAATATATGGTTTTAATTTTATCTAGTATTTTTAGGGGTGAAGGTATTTTGTACCTTTTCATATGTTCATCGACAGCAGAGTCTGAACAAATGTAATTCTAATGTCATTTAAAATGAGAATGTCACCCTTTAATTTTACGTTTTTTGTTTGTTTGTTTGTTTGTTTTTTCCTAAAGGAAAGCAGAGGAGAAAGGGAGCCAGAAGACAAGCGCTTAGGCTTTCTGAACTCTCACATGAGGGCTCAGGACACATGTCATAAAGTTAGCCAATTTACTCTTTGCTTGAGAATTTGAATATCAGAAGAGTCTAGGGTCGAGAGGCACAAATACTTTTGGTATTTGTGGTGACTTCCAGTGTACAATGGCAATGGCATCATGGTGACATCCAGTGTCCAGTAGCTGTGATGTCTCATGTGGACTGATTCTGTGATGTGACTGCAGTAGAAATTCTTGGAGCTTAGCTTCTCTAAATTCCCGCCTATTTCCCTAATCTAGTTTTCCCAACTGCAATCTACACTGCCAATAGTTTTTTTTTTTTTCCATTTCATTTAGAATAAGATTTTTAGTTTTGTTTGTGTATTTATTTTGATTTGAGTGACTAAAAATGTCTTTTCTCCTTAAATAATGCCTATTTTTTAAATTTAAATTCTGTAAAATTAAATAAAATAGCATACTTAAATTGCATAACATGTACTGTCACAGAATGAGTACTCTGCCAAACTTATTTCCCTTTTTCCTCACAGATCTATATGCTATTATTCTATTTCTTTTGTATCTACATCAGAGCTAACCACACTGTTGAATACAGTTGCTTTTTCATATATACTTGTCAAATGAAAGAGTAAATAGGGTACTGAGGATGATATACTGAACTCATCTTGCCTCTAAGTAGGTATTTTCCTACTCTTCCAAATGACAGCATACAGGTAAAATTTAGGACTGTGAAGAGTATAAAATGTTACAGATATGGTAATATATTGATATTATCACTGATCAGTTTGGAAATTATATATTCATATAGATATATTAATTGATTTATGTAATTTGTTTCTACCCACCCATTTAAAATAACTTGAAATAGCTCTTGTGAATCAGAGAACATGTCTGAGTCTCACATATAAATGAGTAAAGCAATGTTCTTTGAGCAGAAATTTTGTGGACATGTTTAATTTTTTTTTAATTTTGTAGAACAAGTGGTTAAAATAAATTATCCGTAATTTAAATTTTTACCAAATCTTATGTAAGGGAATATTTAAGAACACATGAATTAGAGCGCTAGTTGTCATTATGAAGAAAAAATTCACTCTCATATCATTAGACTTTTCATTAATTTTTAGACTATTAACTAAAATTATTACTCACATTTCAGTACAGTCTTATCTAATATAACATCCCATGTCAAACAGAATATTGCCTCACTTGGCTTTCTAAGAATGCTGGTGTCTACAGGTCTTCTGTATTAATTTTTTAAAAAGGAAACAAGCTGCATTCTAAAGATACTGCGTTCAGGAGTTTTAATGATTTATTATGTATAAGTCAAAGAGAAATTAAAGCTATTTTTCAGCCAGTTATGACAGTGAGAGGGGAAAACACTCAGTTTTGCTTTGCAGTTTTTCCAGATCCCAAGTTTGTCTGTGTTTAAGTAGGTATAGTCATAGTTTCTAGACAAATAAAGAAAAATGAGAACACGTACAGCTATTGGTCTTATAAGACAAGTAGTATTCCATCATCACGAAGGTCCCTGGGAAACCATTTAAACAGCTTTATTGGTTTTCCCTTGTTGGTGCATTTAGTACAAACAGCTCCCAAGAAACACCTCTGTACTTAAGCTAGGATTCTTTGACAGCTACTGAAAAAACTACCAACCCATGAGTTGCTTTTACTTTTCTTTTTGATTATGCAGATCAAAACTAACACTGAGGTTGTAATATAAAGTTTAAAAGTACAAGAAGTTTGAAGCAATTTTTAAATTGACTTTATATTTAGAGAAGTTTTAGGTTCACAGCAAAATTAAGTGGTAAGCAGAGTTTCCATATATCCCGTCTCCACACATACATAACCTACCCCATTACCAGTATCTCTGGGCTGAGCAGTACACTTGTTGCAATTGATGTGAACCCACATTGACGTATCTTTATCATATAAAGTCAATACTTTATATTAGGTCTCACTTTTGGTGATGTACATATGGATTTAGACAAATATATAATGACAAGTTTCCGCCATTATAGTGCATACAGAATAGTTTCACTGCCTTAAAAGTTTGTGTTCCACCAATTCATCCCTCACTTCCTGTAAGTCCCTCGCAATCACTCATCTTTTTATATCTCAATAGTTTTTTCTTTCCCAGAATGTCATACAGTTGGACTTACACAGTGTGTAAGTTTTTTGTGGACACTTTCACATAATAATATGCATTTAAGTTTTCTCCATGTCTTTTTGCAGCTTGGCATCTCATTTCTTTTTAGTGCTGAATAAAATTCCATTGTCTGGATGTACCAAAGTTATTTTATCCATTCATCTTCTGAAGCATATCTTGCTTGCTTCTAAGTTTTGACAATTATGAATAAAGATGCTATAAACATCTGTGTGCAGCATTTTGTGTGTATTTAAGTTTTCAATTCATTTGGGAACCAAAGAACATGATTTCTGGATTGTATGGTAAGAGCATGCTTAGTGTTATAAGAAACTGCCAAACGGTTTTCCAAAGTGGTTGTACCATTTTGCATTCCCACCAGCAATAAATGAGAATTTCTATTGCTCTGTCTACATCTTAATGAGCATTTGGTATTGAGTGCTCTGGGTTTTGGCCATTTTAATTGGTATGTAATGGTATCTTATTGTTTTTATTGGCAAGTCCCTAATAATATATGATGGTAGGCATCATTTTACAGCTTGTCATCTGTAGATCTTTGCTGAGGTGTCTGTTTAGATCTTTCACCTATTTTTAAGTTGGATTGTTTCTTTTCTTACTGTTAAGCTTTAAGAGTTCTTTGTATATTTTGGTTAATAGTCCTTCACTGGGTATGACTTTTATAAATATTTTGATCTCAGTCTATGGTTTCTGTGACTTGTCTTCCAATTATTTTAAAATTTGAAGCAAATTTTAGTTTACAATTTGATTATGATAAATTTCAAATATATATGAAAGTCAAAAGCAAGGGAAAGCCCATGTATATCTAACATCAACTTATGTTTCATCTATGCACCCTCATATTCTACCCTCCTCCTTACTCTGTGGGATTACTTTGAAAATGCCAGGCTTAACTTAATGTCAGCTGTAAAAATTTCAGAATTTATCTCTACATAAGAACTTTTTTTTGAAACAATCATTATATAATTACAGCTTACAAAAACTTGACTAAATTCTTCATATCATCAAGTATCTAGTCCGCAGTTCTCTCATAAGTATTTTTTGTTTGCTTAACTTTTTAAAAATATTTGATTATTTCAAGTTGGTACTCAAAGTTCAAACATACAATTTAATAAACATGTCTTAAAAGATTATCTTAATGTATTAGTTCCTGCAGTTTTTCCTGTCCTCTTGCAATGTATTTGTTGAAAACAACTTGGCCATTTGTATTTCTTGTATTTAGATCTAGAAGCTCTATCTGATTCAGGTTTGATTTCTTTTTTAAACAACAGTACTTCGGATATAGTTGGGTGCTGGTTAATAAAGAGTACCAAAATTTCTAATTACCTCTCCTTGTCGTAATGTAATTTTCCATTTTTCATCATAAATTAATGAAATGGTGACACTATCTTATTTTTAAGATAGACTATGTGTGTAGAGAGAAACTTGACTTCATCAATCATGTTGTTACTCTGACACACATTCGTATAGGAAATAATAATAGAATGATTATTTCCTCTTTGATGTGTTTTCAGAATACTTCACTGGGTTTGAAACATCTCTGAAATGTGACCATTAGTAGGTTCTTGTTTGGTTTTGTCTATATGATCATTAAAATGGCAATATATTTAACATGTTTCAACTCACTGCAGTGATTCTTTCAATGAATATTTAATTTTTTTCTGTTTTGGTCATAAGGGATTTCTTCAAGTTGGCTCCTGAGTCTTTTTGACTGAATCCTAGTATTTTTGGAAGCTGCTTTGGTTTCTGCTATGAAAAAATGAGCAGGCTTACCTTACATATTTCATGCCTGGAATCAACCATCTATCCAAGGAACTCTGGTTACTTTTAATGGAATATGGTATTGAGACGCCAGTGTTATTACACCAATGCTCATTGTTACTAGGTTGGTCATTGTGTTTAGGATTTTTCAACAGAAAAAAACTAAGAAATAGGTATTATTGTTATTTTAAGACAAAATAATTAAATTCACATTTAGGAATTTTTCATTATGTTTTTGATTTGATATTTATATTTTTTCTCTTGAGTTGAAATATTTCCCAATGACTCTAAAATTATTACTTACATATTTTATTATTTATTTTGAGACAAAGCCTCCCTCTGTCACTTAGGCTGGAGTGCAGTGGGGCAATCTCAGCTCACAGCAACCTCTGCCTCCCAGGTTCAAGAAATTCTCCTGCCTCAGCCTCCCAATTAGCTGGGATTACAGGTGCCCACCACCATGCCCAGCTAATTTTTGTATTTTTAGTAGAGACAGCGTTTTACCACGTTGGCCAGGTTGGTCTCAAACTCCTGATCTCAAGTCATCTTCCCGCCTTGGCCTCCTGAAGTGCTGGGATTGTAGCCATGACATTACTTACATATTTTAACACAGACACATATTTTTCACACACAAATAAATTAGAATGACTGTACCAATATTATTACAACTTCAACATATATTTATTATCTAACAATTTCCATGGGTCAAGAGCCTAGGCATGGCATGGGTGGTTCGTCTATGCTCAGAGTGTAACAGGCTGTAAAAAATGTTAGCTTGCCTGCATTCTTATCTGGAGAGCCACTCACTTCTAAGCTCTTCAGGTATCTAACAGATTCTTTATCTTTCAGCTGTATGGAAAAGGGCCCCAGCTTTCTTCTGGCTGCTGCCTGAAGGCTTCCTGACATTCCTTTTGAATTCATAAAGAGTAAAAGCAGAGTCTTTAACTTCAGGGAGAGCCCCGTCCTTTTTTTTTTTTTTTTTTTTTTAAGAGATTTCACTTAGGTCAGGTCTTCTCAGGATAATCTTCTATTTGATTGATCTGAGACCTTAATTACATCTGCAAAATCCTTTCACTTTTGCCATATTCTATCCGTAGAAGCAAGCCATAGTTTCCACCCACATTAAAGGAAAATGAATTATTCAGGATAATAGTACTAGGGAGAGAGGATCATTGGGGCCACTTTAGGACTCTATTTGCCCCAGGGATAATAATATCTAAAAAAAATAGAATTCTTGTTATAATTAAATAATGTAGCATAAGTAAGCACTTGTCAGAGCCTGTACCCAAAATACAGTTCAGTTATGAAAAATAATATTAGACGATGTGGGGGTTGGGCAAGGGTGGAAGCAGGGGTCTGATGGTGAAGAAGGAATTAAAGATAAATATAACACCTCCTGGAACTTTGACTCAAATTTCAGAAAGAGAGATACAGAAGATTTAATGTAAAACAGATCAGAATGTATGAGATAATAGATGGCAGCACACAAGACATTTACACCCTTCAAAAATAGTAAGTCAAAATTAATAACAGACCTAAATATAAAATGCAAAATAAAATTCCTAGATGATAAGCAGAGAAAATTTTTGGTATTGTGATGAAGTTTTAGAAATAACACCAAAGGCAAGATCCATGATGAATTAGACTTCGTTAAAATTAAAAAATTATGCTCTGTAAAAGAAACTGTCAAGAGAATGAAAAGATAAGGCATAGACGGGAAGAAAATATTTACAGAAGATATACCTGGTAAAGGACAATTACCCAAAATATACAAAGATCACCTAAATCTCAACAATACGAAAACATCCCTATTAAAATACGGGCCAAACACCTTAACAGACACTTCACCAAAAAAGATAGAGAGATGTAAAATAAGCATAGGAAAAATTGCTCTACACCATATATCATCAGAGAAATCCAAATTAAAACAAACAATGAAATATCACTACGTGCCTATTAGAATGGCCAAAAACCCAGAACCGTGACAACATGGAATGCTCGCAAGGATGTAGGGCAACAGGAGTTCTTATTCGTTGCTGCTGGGAATGCAAAATGGTACAGCTACTTTGGAAAACAGTTTGGCAGTTTGTCACAAACTAAACATACTCGTATATGTAATTCCGAAATCATGCTTATTACTATTTACCCAAATGAGTTAAAAATTTAAATACACTAATTGGTGTGGCAGTGTCCAGGGCTGATGTCCCCCGTGGAGGCAGGGGGAAGCTGCATATGATGTTCTTGTGTTTCAGAAAAGCACAGAGCAAGGTTTTGTAGAGAAGATTGAGAAGTACTGGATAACAGTACAATCAAGTGCTTTTTATAGATGTTTGAACTTGTTCCTGCCCATGCCCTGTGGGGTACTTAGCTCTAATCTGATTAAGCATTTTTATGGATGACTCAAATATAGACATAGCAGGTGGTTTCACGAAGCAGGCGCAGACGATCTTGCAGATGATCCTGCTACCACCAGGGACAGAGCTGGTCTGGAGGCTGCTACAGCTCTACAGACATTTGCCGCTGCAGCTGCCGACCAAGGGCATCCAGGAGCATTATAAGCATGCTGTCAGGCAGAGTTTCCAGCTTCATTCAGATGAAGACAACCCTGATATATATATATCTATCTGAGAACCCAGAGAGTGAGCTATGATAAAGACATTGAAGTTCAGAAACCTCTCTTCTGGAGCTTAGCAGCAGCAGTGGCAATTTTGAAAGATCCCCTGGCATTGTTGGGAGAAAGAGCTGTTGGGAGGAGATGCTGACCTTGCTCAGAAGGCCCTTCTTGCCAGAGTCTTGTTTCCAGCATCACTTACGTTTGCACTTCTAGTTGGTTATGACGTGAAATTTGGGGAAAATGTGGTATTTTTTTTCTTTGTGTTTTTAAAGTTTTTCTTTTCTTTTCTCTGAAAGTGATTCATTGATTCTGGAGGTCTCTTTACCATTTTTTGAGTCCCAGAGCTGGTGTCCCCTCGGGTGGTAGCCTGTACAAGGGAAAAAGCATAGATAGATTTTAGAACCAGAAAGATCTGGAGCTGAATCCCAGCTCAGTGGCTTTTCAAGGGTATTGTCTTTGAACTCACCTTCCTCCTTTGTGAGAATAAAATAAGGTGGAGTTGAAGCACCTCACACAGAATATGGCACAGGGTAGTGCCTGTAAGTGTCCTCTCTGAGGATGCTGTCCTGCCCTGCCCCTTCCTGTGCTCCCACAGTGTTCTGCACATCTCTGCTCCAGCATGCACTGTATTGGGTCTTAGTTATTTGTTTGTAAGCTTGTCCTGTTCCTGCTTATAGCCCCTGAGTCCTCACAGTTGTCACACACTAAGCAGTCTGACAAGGAGCTGCTCTTCCTGACCACTGTATCTCCATGCCCAAGGAGGTAGAAGCCCTGGGCCTTTCCTTCCAGGAGTTAACAGTGTCCTTGAAGTGGTGCGATACATAATGTGTGAACCAAGGAAGGACGCCAGAGCAGCTGTAGTGGACACTGGCCTTTTCAGTCTTCTGTGCACCTGCGATCTGTCTCAACTGGATCTTCCTTGCCTTGCCACCATGGTGGAAGAATGGAAGGGAAAGAGAGTAGGAATGTGGGCTCAGGGAGAACTGGACAGAGCAGCCAGAAGATACAGAGAGAAGCCTCAGTAGGACTTGAGTATTCCCCAGAGGCACTCAGCCACAGGGATGATCTAGCATGTGTTTGTATCCTTGCAATTATGTGACTTAAGGTGACTCAGAGACATCTATATGTGTGTATGTACTCCACTGACTAACAATGAAGTAAATATATGAATTTGTGGGAAATAACGTATATACACACAAAAGTCTGCACAGATAATTATAACATCTTTATTCATAATTGTCAAAACATAGAAGTAACCAAGATAAGATGCGTTTCCATAGATGAATATTTTAAGTTAAAATAACTCAGGTACATCCACACAATGGAATTTTATTCAGCACTAAAAAGAGATACCAAGCCATGAAAAAAACATGGAGAAACCTTAAATATGTATTATCATGTGAAATAATCCAATCATAAAAAGATACATACTATGTAAGTCCAACTACATGACACTCTGGAAAAGATAAAATTGAGACATTACAATGATTGGTGTTGCTAGAACTTAGTGCGGAGGGAGGAATAAATAGGTGAAGTACAGAAGATTTTCACAGTAAAACTATTCTCTATATTACAGTGGTGTATGTGTAATTATATATTTGTCTATACTTACAGAATGTAGAACACCAAAAGTGAATTCTAATGTAAACTAGACTCAGGTGATAATTTCGTGTCAATGCGGGTTCATCAAATGTAATAAGTGTGCCACTCTCGTAGGGGATATTAATAATAAGGAAGGTTATGTGTGTCAGGACAGTGTTATATGGGAAATCTCTGTACTTCTGCTTAATTTTGCTGTGAACCTAAAAGTTCTCTAAAAAAAAGTCTATTTTTAAAATTGATTATGTTAGCATGACATATCTTTAAAGAAAGCTTGAATAACCATATTAATTTCAGACAGAGCAGATTTCAAATTAAGGAAAGTTATTAGGGATAGAGGGGATATTACATAAAGATCAAAGGGATGATTCTCCAAGAATACCTGACAACCCTTAATAGGTGTGAATGTAAAAACAGGTTCAAAATTCATGAGACAACATATAGAACTGCAAGAAGAAATAGATAAATCTGGAGTTTCACACCTCTTTATCAATAATTGACAAATTTAACAGGCAAATAATCAGTAAGGATATAGTGAAGTGAATGACACCATTAATCAATTAGATCTGTTTGACATTTATATAATACCTCATTCCCAAACAGCAGAATACACATTTTTCTCAAACCTATATGCAACATTCTCCAAGACAGATCATATTCTGGGCCATAAAACACCTCTTAACACACTTAAAGTATAAAAATTATACAAAATATGTTCTCAGATCACAGTGGAATCAAATTAAAAATTAATAACTGAAAATATCTGAAAAATCCCAAATATCGGGAGATTAAACAACACACATTTAAAGATCATGTGGGTCAAAGAAGAATTCTAAAGAGAAATTAAAAATATTTTGAAATAAAAGTAAAACACAACTTAAAATTTATGGAATACAGAAAAACAGTGCTTACAGGGAAATTTATAGAATTGAATACATATATTAGGAAACAATGATCTAAAATCAATAACCCAAGCTTCTACTTTAGGAAACTAGAAATAAGAGTCAATTAAATTCAAACTAAGCAGAAAAAAATTAAAAATTGTGGCACGTATCAATGAAATTGAAAACAGAAAATTAATAGAGAAAAATCAAGGAAATAAAGAAGTAAAATTGCTAAACCTGTAGCCAGGCTGTATTAGTTTGCTGGGGATGGTATAACAAAACAGCAAAGCCTGATAGCTTAAACAATAGATATTTATTTTCTCATAGTTGTGGAGGCTAGAGGTCCAGGATCAAAGAGTAGGCAATTTTAGTTCCTCCTGAGGCCTTTCTCCTCGACTTGCACATAGCTGCCTTCTTGCTGTGTGCTCACACAAATGTTCCTTGTTGTGTGCAGAACCCTGTTGTCTCTTTATGTGTCCAAATTTTCCCTTCTTATAGGGACTTGCATTAGATTAAATCAGGGTCTGTCCTGATGGCCTCATTTCAACATAGTCACCTCTTCAGAGCTGTCTTTCCAATTGTAGTCACATGCTGAGGTACTAGGAATTAGAACTTTAACATATGAATTTTGGGGGCACAATTCAGCCCATAACAAAGCCTAACCAAAAAGAAAAAATAGGGAAAACACACATTTGTAATATCAGAGATAAAATAGCAGCCATCACCACTGTTCTAATAAGTATTAAGAGAATTTTAAAGAAATAAAGGAACAACTCCCTACTCTCAAATTTGTTAATATAGACTAAATGTACCAATTTCTTGAAAACACAAACTACCAAAAATAATACGAGGATAAATAATTTGAAAAGGGCTATATGTGTTAGAAGAATTATTGTTGTCAAAGGCTGCGAAGGGTATTGGGGAGGTGGGGGAGAAGTGGGAATGGTTAACAGGTACAAAAATATCATTAGAGTGAATAAGATCTAGCATTTGATAGCACCACTGAGTGATTACAGTCATCAATCATTTATTGTACATTTAAAAATAACTAAAAGTATAATTGGAATGTTTGTAACACAAAGCAATAATAAATGCTTGAGGTGACAGATACTGCATTTACCCTAATGTGCCTATTACACATTATATTCCTGTATAAAAAAAATTTGAATCAGTGATAATAACCTTCCAAAAATGGAAATCACCAGGCTTGGATGGTTTCACTAGTGAATTCCACTGAACATTAAAAAAAGATTATGATTGTGTAATCTTTTTTTCCAGAAAATTAGAAGCAGAAGGAACACTTCCTAACTAATTCTGTGAAGCCAGAATTACCCTAATACCAAAACCAGACAAAAACAACAAAAAAAAGAAAAATTATAGAGGGATCTGTTAGATGAACACAAAGAAAAAATTTTTCAACCAAACATTAGCAAGTGAAACTGAAAATGTATAAAAAGAATTATATAACACTACCAAGTAGTATTTATTTCAGGTTTTTCAAGGATGGTTCAACATTAAAATAATAAAGAGGTAAACCAACAACAATTACATAGAAAGCGCTAAAATAGAAAGGACAATTTTTCAATGGAAAATTGCTAAACAAGCAAGATAGTAAATTCTGATAGATTTGGCTAGTCTTCTTCTGCGACCTTAAGGAAAAAAAAGGGGCTTATTTTAGTCCATTCAGGTTTCTATAGAAATATACCATAAACTTGGTGGCTTACAAACAATAAATATTTATTTCTCACAGTTCTGGAGGCTGGGAAATCCAAAGTTGAGGTGCCACAGAATCTGTGTCTGGTGAAGGCCTGCTTCCCAATCAAAGGCCATTTCTCACTGTAACCTCCCATACAGGAAGAGTGAGGGAGCTTTCTGGGGTCTTTTTTATTAGGACATGTATGTATCCCATTCATAAAGGCTCAAGACTTCATCATCTCTGAAAAGCCATACCTCCTAATACTATCATCTTCAGAGTTAGGATTTCAATATATGAATTTTGGGGAGACATTTCAGGGCAGGTATCCTTAATTAAATTTAAGAATGTAACTATCGCAAGGACAAAAAACCAAACACCACATGTTCTCACTCATAGGTGGGAATTGAACAATGAGAACACATGGACACAGGAAGGGGAACACCAAACACCGGGGACTGTTGTGGGGTGGAGGGTTGGGGGAGTGGGGAGGGATATCAGTAGGAGATATACCTAATACTAAATGACGAGTTAATGGGTGGAGCACACCAACATGGCACATGTATACATATGTAACAAACCTGCACATTGTGCACATGTACCCTAAAACTTAAAGTATAATAATAATAAAATTAAAAAAAAAAGAATGTAAGGCAAATGCATGATAGCCTGTAGGGGCTTCTAGAATCAACTTTAAGAAAAACAGTTTGACTGTAGTTGTCAAAAAGCACCAAGAACAGTAAGTTCACTCATAGTAACACTCATAGTGCAGTGTAAAATGGGGAACTGTATTTTAGGAAATATAAACAGGAGGAAATTCATACAGAAGGTATCACTGAATCAGGAAATTTGGATATGATCTGTATTAATTCCAGTGATATTTGTATCTTCCTGGTACATATTTTGTGGAAGAAATAAGCTTATTTTAAAAAACTGGCCTGGGATAGAAAATTATACAGATCTTGCCCAGTTCCTGTCCTATCCCAAAGACTGTTTACTTCTTTATTGTGAGCAAAGTAGCTTTCCAGTAGAGTCTTATTTTTTTAATGGAGGCCTATTATTAGTAGCCAAATTCTAAATTATTGAAGCACATTTTACATTAAGGAAACTATTCTTTTCATTGGAAAGAATTTCATACTTATATCAAGAAATCTTACTTCAGACTTTCTGGCCAAGATGGATAACTAGAAGCAGCTAGTGTGTGCAGCTCTCATGGAGAGAAGGGAGAGTAGTGACTAAACACTAGCTCTTCAACTGGAACATCCAGATGGACACATTGGGATTCATCAAGGAAACAACTTGATTCACAGAGAATAGAGACGAGTGAGACAGGACAACTGCCCATCTGTGAGTGGCATGGAGCCAGGTTTCCCCACTGTGGAAAAACAGAGTCCCCAGGGACCGACACTTTTGCAACCTGGGGCTCAGGAGGTCCCCCATAAGCCCTCACAACAGAGGCCTGCAGACCTACATGGAGAGCTATGTGGGCAGAGACGTTGCTTAATCACAGACAGAGTCCTTGGAGCCTTGGATCCCCCAGAGCTCCAGCATCAGCAGCTGCAGTTCCGGTAACAGGGGAGGCTAGGCTCCCTTGCATGCCCCCAGAAAAGGGTCCAAATCCACGGAGCTGAGCAGTAAAGGACTACAGGCCTTACCTACTACATCTCACAGGATAAGGCCCACTTGCCTGAAACCCTAGCCAGGTCACCCCAGTTCTGCCTGAATTCTCAGGCCAGAACCACCTCTACTTCCTTGGGACAGCAGAGAGAAAGCAGGCAGGCCACAATTTTGGCTGCTCCATAGCCCTCACTCCTGTTGCCCTCAGGCTCAGGAAGGTTTGTGGTAATTAGGAACTAATGTGGACTCCAAGCACAGTGCAGCTGCCTTACAGAAAAGTGGCCAGACTCTCTTCCACATGAGTCCCCACCTCTGCTACTCTTCATGGCCTCTCAGTGCCTCTCAACCTGGTCTCCCAGCACAACCACCCTGACCCTGGACAAAACACTTCAGTCAGTGGCCACTCTGCATTTCTCTGAGGAGGAAATTGCAGAGAAATCCCGCCGCTTCTCTGCCATTGCAGCTGCAGTGCTACCGCCCCTACTGTCCTTGGGCTGGGGAAGGAAGAAAGGGCCTGGCATCTTCAGCACACCACAGCCATAGTATGATAGAGGAGCCCAGTCTTTATTCCCTATGAGCCACCCCCAACTCTTCACCAAGTAGGGGCCCTGGCTTGCAATTGCAGAAGAGCTTTCCCATCCCTGGGTGAGCATACCTACTGGTAGTGGCTCCGTGATTCCCTGGGGAGGGGCTCCCAGAGGTAACCAACCAACCCTGTGCTACTGCTATGGCCACAGTTCTGCTTCTGCTGCCCTCAAACTGGGGAAGAAACAAAGAGCCTGAGGGCTTTACTCACGCTTCTAGCACTACACAGTCACCATATAAAGAGGAGCCCAGTCTCTCTTCCTTGTGAACCCTTGACCCCCAACTCTTCACCAAGTGGGGCCCCCAGCTTGGGCCAGCAGCACAGTGGCCCCACCCCTAGCTGAACATTCCAGTAGCAGCTGCTCCGCGTTTCTCTGAGGTGGAGCTCTCAGAGCAACTGAAAGCCCCTCTGCCACTGCTGCTGTAGTGGGACTGCCCTTGCTCCTGTTGGACTGGGGAAGAAGCAAAGACCCATAGTGCTTTAACCACACATCTAGCAAACCACAGCCACCCTAAGGAGAAGAGGCCAGTCTATCTCACAGAAGAATCCCCTGCCCTCCTTGCTTATAAAGCAGGGGCCCCTGGCTTGGGCTTACAATGCAATGACGGTATCATGGGCCGATTGCACTGATTGGTAGCAGCTCTGTATTTCTCTGGGGTGAAGCCCCAAGAGACAAGTGAAAGGCCTTCTGCCACAGCCATTGCCAAGGTCTTTCATTAAAGCTGGGAGAGAACATAAAGCCTGAGCCCACCTTAGGGCTGCAGAGTGCAGCCAAGGAGTGTCAAGTAGAGATCTGCACCCAGCACTTGAGTGGGAGAGGAGCCCACACTTTCAGAGCACTGTGACGGAGCATGGTTGCAATTGTGAGGAAATAGGAGTCAGGTGACTGAGCAAGAGCCTTTAACTACTGGCTATTACACTCGGGCACCATCTACTGGATTACATCCGAAACTTCAACACCAAAAATATTTTGCTGATATACCCCCCTGTGAAACCAAGAACAAGAATTGAGTTAAAAATAAAGAGCCACATAAAACCTTGATCTTCTGAAAACATCCAGAAAAGAATTCAACTGACTGCATTCAAATTAATACCACAGTTAAACATCAACCCACAGAGATGAGAAAGAACATCAACCTACGAAGATAAGAAAAAGCCAGGACAAGAACTCTGGCAACTCAAAAATCAGGGTGTCTTTTTTCCTCCAAATGATCACATTAGTTCCCCAGCAAGGGTTCTTAACTCGGCTGAAACGTCTGAAATGGCAGAAATAGATTTCAGACTATGGAGAGGTCTGAATGAGAAAGATCATTGAGATTCAGGAGAAAGTCAAAACCTAATCCGAGGAATCTAAGGATTACAGTAAAATGATTTAGGAGCTGAAAGATAAAATGACCATTATAAGAAAAAACAAACTGATTTGATAGAGCTGAAAAATACACTAGAAAAATTCCATCATGAAATCACAAGTATTAATAACAGAATAAGCCAAACTGAGGAAAGAATCTCAGAGCCGAAGACTGACTCTCCAAACTAACTTAGACAAAAATAAAGAAAAAAAAATAAATTAGCAAAACCTCTGATAAATATTGCATTATGTAAAGAGCCCAAATCTATGACTCATTAGTGTCCCTAAAAGACAGGCGGGTAGAGCAGTCAACTTGGAAAACATATGTTAGTATATTTTCCATGAAAATTTCCCCAACCTTGTTAGAGAGGCCAACTTACAAATTCAGGAAATACAGAGAACACATTTGAGGTAGTACACAAGAAGACCATCTGTAAGACATAATCATCAGATTCTCCAAGGTGAAAATGAAAGAAAAAATAATGTTAAAAAGCAGGTAGGAGGGGCAGTTCATCTGAAAAAGGAACCCCATGAGTGGACTTTTCAGCAGAAACCCTATAAGCCAAAAGGCATTAGAGACCTATATTCAAGATTCTAAAAGAAAATAATTTCCAAGCCAGAATTTTATATTCAGCCAAACTGTTTCATAAGAAAAAGAGAAATAAAAATCCTATTCAGACAAGTAAATTATAAGGGAATTTATTACCACCAGACCTGGCTTACAAGAGGTCCTGAAAGGAGTGCTAAATATGGAAAGGAAACACTGTTACCAGTCACAACAAAAACAAACTTAATTACACAGACCGTTGACACTATAAGGCAACCACACAAACAAGCCTGCGTAAAAGTCAGCCAACAACACAATGACAGGATCAAATCCACATATGTCAATGTTAACCTTGAATGTAAATAGGCTAAATGTCCCAGTTAAAAGGCACAGAGTGTAAAGCTGGATAAAGAAGCCAGATCCAACAGCATGATGTCTTCAAAAGACCTTTCTCTCCTGCAATAACACCCATAGGCTTAAAATGAAGGGATGGAGAAAAATTTACCAAGCAAATGGAAATCAGAAAAAAGCAGGGGTTGCAATCCCAATGTCAGACAGAACAGACTTTATACCAACAAAGATAAAAAAAAAACAACAACAAAGATGTGCATTACATAATGGTAAAAGGGTTCAATTCAACAAGAAGACCTAACTATCCTAAATATATATGCACCCAACACAAGAGCACCCAGATTCATGGAGCAAGTTCTTAGAGATCTATGAAGAGACTTACTTCCACACGATAATAGTGGGAGACTTCAATACTGACAGTATTAGACAGAACATCAAGGCAGAAAGCTAACAAAGATATTCAGGATCTGATGTCCACACTTCACCAAATAGACCAAAGAGACAACTACACAACTCTTGACCCCCAAACATTAGAATACACATTCTTATCTGTATATGGCACACACTCTAAAATTGATCATACAACAGGCCATACAACAATCCTCAGCAAATTCAAAAAAAAAAAATACCAACCACATTTTCACAACACAGTGCAATAAAAAATTAAAAATCAATGCTAAGAAAATTGCTCAAAATGATATAATTACAGGGAAATTAAACAACCTGCTCCTGAAAGACTTTTGGGTAAATGATGAAATTAAGGCAGAAATAAAGACATTCTTTGAAACTAGAGAAGAAAGACAACATATCAGAGTCTCTGGAACACAGCTAAGGCAGTGTTAAGAGGGAAGTTTATAGCACTAAATGCCCACATCAAGAAGTCAGAAAGATCTCAGATTAACAACCTAATATCACATCCAGAGGAACTCAGGAAATAAAGGCAAAACAATTCCAAATCTAGCAGAAGACCAGAAATAACACAAATCCAGCCAGGAGCAGTGGCTCACGCTTGAAATCGTGACTCGGCCTTTGGGGGAGGCCGAGGCGGGCAGATCACTTGAGGTCAGGAGTTCAAGACCAGCCAACTACAACAAAAAGTAACCCAAATCAGGGCTGAACTGAAGGAAATAGAAACACACACACACACGATCAATTAATCCCTGAGTTGGTATAATGAAAGAATTAACGTAAATAGACTAGCTAGACTAATAAAAAGAGAAAGAATATTCAAATAAACATAATCAGAAATGACAACAGAGCATGACCACTGACCCCACAGAAATACAAAAAACCCTCAGAGACTATTATTAAGTTGGTGCAAAAGTAATTGCGATTTTCGCCATTACTTTCAACGGCAAAAACCAGAGTAACTTTTGCACCAACCTACAACTCTATGCACACAAGCTAAGAAATCTTGAAGAAATAAACCAACTCCTGGAAACACAACCTCCCAAGATTGAACCAGACAGAAATTGAATCCCTGAACAGACCGATAACAAGTTCCAGAATTGAATCGGTAATAATAAGCCTATTAATAAGAAAAAGCACAGAACCAGATGGATTCACAGCTACATTCTATTAGATGTATAGAGAAGAGCTGATACCATTCCCAAATGAATAAAAATTACTCTACCGTAAAGACACATACCTACATGTGTTGATCACAGCATTGTTCACAATAGCAAGACATGTAATCAACCTAAATGCCCATCAGCGGTAGACTGGATACAGATATTGTGGTACTCATACATCATGGAATACCACCCAAGCAAAAAAAACAAAAACACAAGACCGTATTCTCTGCAGCAAACATGGGTGGAGCTGGAGGCCATTATTCTAAGCAAACTAATTCAGGAACAGAAAACCAAATACTGCATGTTCTCACTTATAGGTGGGTGGTAAACATTAAGAAAACATGGACACAAAGAAGAGAACAACAGCCACTGGGCCTACTTGAAGGTAGAGGAAGTGGGAGGAGGGAGAGGATGAAGAAAAAAAAATCAACTGCATATTGGGCACCATGCTTATTACCTGGGTGATGAAATAATCTGTACACCAAACTCCCATGACACAGAATTTACCTACATAATAAAACTGTGTGTGCACTTCTGAATGTAAAATAAAAGTTTTAAAAAAGAAATCTTATTTCAGTGATTGGACCATTTGACCATTAGCAATGACATATTACCATTTCAACTGGTTACACTAATGCTATAATAGCAACATTGACTACTCAGGGTAAAAGACAAAATTCAGGCCATCAGTAATGGCCAATAAAACATTAACACTGTACCAGAAAGTTTCTTCTTTTATGTGAAGAGACATAATTTGATTATCCTGAAAAATTGTTTACATAATTGTAATCAAATGTTATCTCGTACAGATACACACATTTTCAAATATAACAATGTATATACTTTTAAAGAGCATAAACTTATTTTTAGGGTTAGATGTCTAGAGTTTTAGTAGGAATCCCTTGAACAACCACAGTCCAATCACTAATTTTAAGTGATAAACAACTGTGATCCAGAAAGGTCAAATAGCTTGTGCAAGAGGACTGAGATGGTGAGTGGCCGGGCCAGTGTCATCACCAAAGTCTTCAGCCTTTGAAGAAATGACATTGATACCTGAACTCCTAATGCTCCTCTTACAATGTCCTGGGAGAAAGGCACACATTTTTTTAAATTCATTATTTTTTTAGTCTGCTACTAATGTGTACAGTGGTCAAACAGGATTTGACTAAACTCATTAATATTTTACAGGTCAGGGTATTAGTAACTGATAGCTAGTGAAGTAACACATTGTTTCAATTTGTCCATTCCAACTGATGATGTTTGCTTTGATCACTTGACCTAGGTGGTATTTTCCAGAGTAAAGTTATTCTTATTCCCTTTGTAATTAATAATTATTCTATCAGGAGATACGTTAAAACTTTAAAAATACACTGTTTCTCATGAAACTTTTAATTTTTTCATATATTAATTTACATCAGAAAAGACACATAGTTTTCTGTCAATGAGTTAACTCCATATCATTGTATCATTACTTAATTTGCTCCTTAAAATGGTCCTGGTTGGGCCAGTGGGAATCCCTTTAACTAGTTTCTATGTCTTTTCTAGGCATCTGCATCATTATTTTAGAGAGCTCCCTTGCTTTCTGGCCCAAGATATCCAGAATCATCTTGTAGTTTTTCTGGCCCAGCCATTAAGCCAGCATTTATCTGAGGATACTAGACGGTTTTTTTATTTTTAGTGGAGAATAATATTTAGAAGTTATAATCTGTGTTGGGTATGCTCATTGCTGTTGAGACATTATTTTTCCCCAGCCTTTTCAATGGACAGGGCTAAGGAATATATGTATGTACAAACACAAGTAATGTAAAATAGTTACATATTTAATTATAGTACAATATATTACAGTGGAAACTTATGTGTATCTTTGTTTCTGTATCCATCTGTATGTTTTGAAAACCATGAATTCATAATGAAGCCTCCGATTCCAGACTATTACCATACTTTCTTATAATATTTTCCTTTTCCATATTTATAATTTCTTCTGTAACAGTATGAAAATTAGTTCACATTGTTTTCTAAACATACCTTTATATTCTAAACATATATATGTTTGTGTGTGTGTGTGTGTGTGTATATATTTATTTCATGAGTCCTTACATGCATTATCATACTCCTATTGCTGCCATTGCTACCAGCTTCCCCCAACATGGTTGCCCTCCTCACACTGCTCAGAAGTCTGTTGCTCTTTCACCACTGCCTTCCTCACCACACTCTGGCAATGATACCATGCACCTGAACTTCACCCCTCCTATCTTTTCCCTTCTCAGCCACTTCGTGTACTCACACCTCGCTCCAGGATACCCTTCTCTAAGGATGCCCTCCTTACCCTGATCAAGATCTGATACTCTTGCTAGATTGCTTCCCGTGCTGATGCTTTCCTCACCTTGCTGAATCTCTGGCATGTCTCACTAGATGGTGCCTCTAGTTAACACCCTGTTTTTCCTCCCATCAGGCTCTGACACCTTGAACTGGACTGCCTTTCTCTATGCATTTTTTTCTTACTGTGCCTGAGCTCTGACAAAACACACTTGGCTACTCCTTCACCTGCACATTCTCTACTCAAGCTCTGACATTCCATTTTGGACTATCCCTCTCCTTACCTTAATTTGGCTCTGACATCTCATATACCTGCAGGGGCTCTGACACCTTATGCTAGGAAGTAAGAAGTCCTTTGCAGTCTCTGAGGGCAATATCCCCTTGAAGCCTGCTCTGAAACCCGAAGAAAAGGATAAACAGCTGATTCTGTGTCATTTCCTTTAGCTTTAGAGATGTCTGAGGATTTGATCCTTGGCCAATTATTCTTACAACACATACTCATAAAATCATTTAAAAAATTCCATACTAAATTCAAGGGAGATAGGAACCTTATCAAAATATCTATTGAACCAGACACTGTCAACATTGTTTATTAAATAAGGAAAAACCAGCTTTGATGACACACAACTGCATTTGTAGATGGAAGCTCGTCATGGACTCCCAGTCATATATATTGGAAGGGCTATGTGATTATCTTGTTATTAAAGGCTAAAGGGACCCTAGAGCTTATTGGCTTGCCTGAGCTGAGGTGCTCTGCACATATTCAACCTAATTCCTTAGCATAAAATGACTGGGACACCAGAAGCTGAGTCTAGGGATCACATATTTCCACTATAGTCTGGCTGTGGATATTATGTAGGCTATTCTTTTCTTTTAAGCTTTAGCTAACTAAACTTGGTGCTTGCTAAAGGCTATTACATTTAATAAATTTAATTATTGGTAGAAATCCAAGCCCGTGGCTGCTAGTAGAGCAGAGTGGAAGTTGTAGCACTCTTGGCCCATTAAAGAATACATAGCTAAGCGAGTCTGGGTTTAGAAGAAAGGCTGTAAAATCACTATACTATATAGTGTGTGCTTCTGTGAGTCATCCAACATAGGCAAAAATGTTGATCCAGTCTTCTGAAGTCTTTGAAAAAGGTTGGTTGTGGGAGTAGAAGAGACAATTCTGGGAATCTATCCAAGGTTAGCTTCCAGGCAGGGGATCAGACCTTTGAGTCAGCATCAAAGAAGAGACAAGTGTTTTCTGTTAGGAGGTAAAGGATATAAATTAGACTGAATGTATATATGTGCTCTTCTTAATTGGTTATGGAAGTACCACTCCTTTTTTGGATTATCTACATCTCCAGATTTTAAACAAAATGAAAGAAAGGAAAAAGCCTAAGAAGTAGATGCCAAACTACCGGGCACGGTGGCTCACACCTGTAATCTCAGCACTTTGGGAGGCTGAGGCACGCAGATCACCTGAGGTCGAGGGTTCAAGACCAGCCTGACCAACATGCAGAAACCCTTTCTCTACTAAAAATACAAAATTAGCCAGGTGTGGTGGCACATGCCTGTAATCCTAGCTACTCGGGAGGCTGAGGCAGGAGAATCACTTGAACCCAGAAGGTGGAAGTTGGAGTGAGCTGAGATCGCGCCACTGTACTCCAGCCTGGGGAACGAGAGCGAAACTCCGTCTCAAAAACAAATAAATAAATAAAAGAAGTAGATGCCAGATGATATAAGAATGAATACTTAAGTAAACACAAATATTTTTCACTTTATGTTCATAATTTACAAGTGCAAACTAGCTATCTGCACAGAAACACTAAGCAAACTAGTTTTTAATTATAATCTTTTAATTTTGTGATAATTATTGATTTGTATGCAGGTGAAAGAAATAATTCTGAAAGATTCTGTGAATCATTTACTCGAGTTCCTCCAATGATAACATCTTACAAAACTATGGTACCTTATTACTACCAGGATATTGTCATTGTTGCTGTCAAGATACAGAACATTTCTATCACAACAAGCATCCTCACATTAACGTTTTATAATCACACCTACTTTTCTCCTACCTCACCTCCTCTTTATCCTTGGCAACTGCTAATTTGTTCTCCATCGTCATAATTTTTTAAATTTCAAGAATAATATAAATAAATTCATATACTATATAACCTTTTGGGATTATTTCTGCATTCCTCAAAATTATCTGGAGACTCATCCAGTTTTTTGTGTGTAACAGTATTTTTTTAATGCTGAATAGTATTCCATGGTATGGCTATACCACACTTTGTATAACCATTCACCTACTGAAAACATCTGATGATTGTTTCTAGTGTTTGACTATTATAAGTAAATCTACTATAAACATTAGTGTCAGGTTTTCTATACATTAGTGTAGAAGTTTTTATTTTCCTGGATAAATGCCCAGGAGTTCAATTACTGAGTCAGGAGGTAGGTGGATGTTTAGTTTTTTAAGTAATTGTCAAACTGTTTTGCAGAGAATCGGGACCATTTCTTTCATATCCTCACTAGCAACAAAGTGAAATAAATTCTGCACATTCCGAATAGCATTTGGTGTTGTTAATATATTTCATTTTAGCAATTCTGATATGTGTGTAGTAATACCTTACAGTGATTTTATTTCCATTTTTGTAATGGATAATTATTTTGAAAATGTGTTCTTAGCTGAAATGTGTCTTCGTATAATTTGCCTATTCTCTAATTGGATTTTTTTCACTGTTGAATTCTGAAAGGTTTTTTGGTTGCTAATATTTTCTCACTACTCAATATGTATGCTATTTTTTTTTCTTGTATTATTGCACTAGCTATGACTTCAAGTGCAATTCTGAATAAAGGGTGATGAGGAGACATCCTTGCCTTACTCTGGAATGTAGGGAGAAAACATGCAATTTCTTACTGTTAAGCATGAAGACAGTTTTAGGCTTTTTGCAGATGTTCTTTGTCAAGTTTAGGAAGTTTCTCGCTATTTACAGTTTGAGAACTTTTTTTCTTTACCTTTAATGAGTTTTTAAAGTGTCAAATACTCTTAATGTACTATAGCCTGTTGGTGTGCCAAATACATTATTTTCAAATGTTGAAACATCATTGCATAGCTACTGTAAATCTCTTTTGGTCATGGTGTAGAATTATTTTTATACATTGTTGGAACTGATTTCGTAATATTTAGTTGAGAATTTTTGCATCTGTGTTTATGATAGCTATTGTCTGTAGTTTCCGTACCTTGTAAAATCTTCAACTGTTTTTGTATTAGATTAATTCTATATTTACAGAATTATTTAAGAAGTGTTCCCTCTTACACTTTTCGGAAGAGACTGTTATATATAAAAACATATATTTATATATATATATATATCCATGAAACTTGCACCTCAGTCACAATAATGAACACATACATCACTGAAAAACTTTCTTCATGCTCCTTTGTAATTACTGCATCCTACCTTTTCCCCTCTTCCAGCACTTTCTGTCACTATTCATTTTGAACTTTCTAGAACTTTAAATGGGTTGATAAAATATGCTTTTCATTCTAACATCTTTGACTCAGCACAGATTTTGAAATTCATTTTTATTATAGCATGTAATAATAGTTAATTCCTTTTTGTTACTGAGTAGTATTTCACACAAGAATATATATTAGTTTGTTCACTAACTTGTTCATGGACATTTGGATTATTTCTACGTCTTAGCTATTAAAAATTAAGCTGGTAGAAACATGCATGTATCAGCCTTTGTAACACTTTCTTTTCTCTCATGTAAATATTTAGTTGCAGAATGATTGCATCATATTCAAAGTGTATACTTAACTTTCAAGAAATTGCCACACCGTTTTCCAAAGTAGTTTGCCATTTTAAGCATCCATCAGCATTGTTGAAAGTTTTAGTTGCTCCATATGGTTACTAACACTTGGTATAATCAGTCAGTAATTTTCATTTCAGCCATTTTACTAGCTGTGTAATGGCATCTATATATGGTTTTAATCTGCATTTCCCTAATGACTAAAATGTTGAGCATCATTTTTCTGTTTATTTGCCATTCTTACATCTTTTTTGGTCAATGGTTGTTAAGATATTTGTCTCATTTTTAAAACACCGTTATCAGATATATGATTTGCAACTATATTGTCCTAGTCTGTAGGTTGTATTTTTCTTTTTTAAACTGTGCCTTTGAAAGTGCAGAAGATTTTGGTTTTGATAAAATCCAGTTTAA
Organism: Homo sapiens; assembly: GCF_000001405.40. Classification (NCBI taxonomy): domain Eukaryota; kingdom Metazoa; phylum Chordata; class Mammalia; order Primates; family Hominidae; genus Homo; species Homo sapiens. Next base: position 9,100,912 of record NC_000007.14, read on the forward strand.
CAATTTATTCTTTCATAAATCATATTTTTGAAATCATATCTAAGAAGATTTTGTGTAACCAAAGGTCATAAAGCCTTTCTTCTAGCAGTCCTCTATAAGTATTGTAGTTTTGCATTTTAAAATTTTTCATGATCAAACTTAAGGGAATTTTTATATGTAGTCAAAAAAACTTTTTTTTGTTTTGCCTATAGACATCTAATTATTTTAACATCATTTGTTAAAAAAAAAAAGACTGTCTTTCTTCCACTGAATTGTGTTTGTATCTTTGTCATAAATCAATTCTCCACAAATGTTTCTCTCTTACTGGATTCTCTACTAAGCTCTATTGATTTATTTTTCCTACCTTTGAGTCAAATACCACCTGTCTTCATTACTACAGCTTTATAATAAGTCTTGAAGTCAGATAATAATCTTGATTTTATTCTATAGATAGAAATTAGAGCCAGACACTATGGCTCACCTTGTAATCCTAGCACTTTGGGAGGCCGGGGCAGGCGGATCACTTGAGCTCCGGAGTTTGAGACAAGCCTGACCAACATTGTGAAACTCTGTGTCTACTAAAAATACAAAAGTTATTTGGACATGGTGGTGCATGCCTGTAACCTCAGCTACTCTGGTGGCTGAGGCATGAAAATCGCTTGAACCGAGGAAGTGGAGGTTGCCATGAGCCGAGATCACGCCACTGCACTCCAGCCTGGGTGACAGAACGAGGTGCTGTCACCACCAACAACAATAACAATAAGGACGACAGAAATTAGGAAGTACTTCAACTTTGTTCCTCTTGTAAAATATTATTTTTTGTTATTTTGGGACCTTTGTATTACCATGTGAATTTTAAAATTGGCTAATCAATTTCTGAAAACAACCTTTCAGTTTTCATTTAATATACACATTAATTTAGGAAAAACTGATATCTTAAATTCACAATTCATAAACATTTCTCTGTTTATGTCTCCTTTGCATTTCTCCTTTTCTTAGGCCTTCATTAATTTCTCTCATAATTGTTTTACAGTTTTTGATTTGCTGGTCTTGCACATCTTTTTGCATTTTATATTTTAATGTTATTGTAAGGGTGTTTTTAAATTTCAATTTCAGATTGGCCATTAGTGGAATATAGAAATGCAGCTTCTTTTACTATTTTGATTTTGTATCCTGCAATATTGCTAAATTTGTTTAGTATTTCTAGGATTCTTTTATATTCTATTTGGTTTTCTATGTAGATTATCACATCATCTGCAAACTAAGATAGTATTACTTTTTATTTTCCAATTTGAATTCTATTTACATATTTTTCTTGCCTGTGTGCACTGCATATACCTCTTCTAGTTGAATGTATGTGATAATAGCAGACATCCTTGTCTTGTTCCTCATCTTAGGGATAAAGTGTGTGACTTAATACCTTTAAATATGATGTTAGCTGTAGGATTTTCATGGAAGTTCTTCATTAGGTTGAGGATTTCCCCTTTTGGCTATATCTTTCATCAGAAATGGATGTTGGATTTTTGTAAAAGTTTTTTCCTGAGTATATTGAGATGGTAATACTTTTTTGTTGTTAATATGTTTAATTGCATTGATATTTTAATTTTAAACTAGGTTTGCATTCCAGTGATAAATTCTGATCCTTCTAATGTATCATTAGATTCAATTTGCTAAAGTTTTGATTAAAATTTTTGCATTTATTAATGAAGGCTATTAGTTTGTATGTTTCATTATCTTGTAACATCTTTTTGACTATCAGTGTATTGCTGCCTTCATAGAATGAGTTGGAGAATGTTCTCTGCTTTGCAATTTTCTGGAAGAGATTGTGTAAAATTGACATGAATACTTCCTTAAATGTTTGGTAGAACTCACCCATATAGTTATCTGGCCTGGGATTCTCTTTTTCAGTAGGTTTTTAACTACATATTCAATTTCTTTAAATGATATGGAATTACTCATGATATCTATTTCTTCTTAAGTGAAACTTCATAGTTTTTATTTTTCAAGGAACATTTTCATTTCATTGAAACTATGAAATTTAAAGCCATAAAGCCATTTATAAAATTTCTTTATTATCCTGTGAATATTTATAGAACCTGTACTGATACCACATCACCTACCTCATTCCTGATATTAGTAATTTGTTTCTTCTTTGTTTCCTGGTGAGTTTGGCAAAAGGCTTGTTGATTTGGGGTTTAATCCAAGAAACTTTTATTGATTTTTCCATGCTGTTTTTCTGTTTTATATTTTATGATTTTCATGTTTATTTTTATAATTTTATTCATTCTCCTTGCTTTGGGTTTATTTTGCTGATCTTTTCCCAGTTTTTTAAGTTGAAGTTGTTTATTTGAGGATTTTATTCTTTTTTTATATTCGCATTTAGTACTATACATTCCCACCATGTACTACTTAGTGGCAAATGACATGTTTTGATATGCTGTGTTTTTACTGTTATTCAGTTCAAAATATTTTAATTTGTATTCTGATTTTTTCTGTTACCCATTAGTTATTTAAAATTATTTGTGTGGTTCCAAACATTTGACAATATTCCAAATGTCTTTCTGTAATCAATCTCCAATTTAATTTCATTGTGGTTAGAGAACATTCTTTGTAACAGTTGAATTCTTTTAAACTTATTAAAACATTTTATTGCTCAGAAGATGGTCTATTGTACTAAATGTTCCAGGTGCACTTAAAAAGAATGTACATTCTGCTATCGATGGGAGGAGTGGTCAAAAAAATTTTAATTACATCAAGGTGATTTAATGTGTTTTTTTTTTTATAATTTTACTGATTGTCTACATTTTCTGTTATTTATTGAAAGAGAAATATTGGGATCTCTGGCTATAATGGTGGACTTTTCTATTTCTCCTTACATTTCTATCAATTTTTGCTTTATGTATTTTGAAGTTAATTTATTAAGATAATAAACATTTGGTAACATTATGTACTTTTGCTAAATTGATGAATCTACTTTTACTGACACGGTTATAGCCATTGAAATTTTGTTTTTAGTGGTATTAACATGGTCTATTTTGTCTATTATTTTAATCCTATTTTTGTCTTTATAAAGTTTGTTACTTATGACCCGCATATAGTTGTGACGTGTGATTTTATTCAATCTGAAAATCTCCTTTTAATGGAAGTATTTATACCACAGCAGTTTAGTGCGATTATTGATATAGGTAAATTGCACTTGCCATTTTGCTGTCTGTTTTTTGTCTCATCTTTTGTTGTTTATTATTTTACACATTTATTAAAGTTTTTCTCCTTTTTTGATTATTTTATGATTAAATTTTATTCCCTTTGTTGTCCTATTAACATTTTTTTATTTTGTTATTTTAGTGATTAGGGTTTAGCGTGAACATCTTTAAATTATCACAGTCTGCCCTTAAGTGATATTATATCACTTCACATGTAGCATAAAAGCCTTTTAAAATTTAGTATTAGAATAACCATGTTTCTTAGATAATTTGGGCTACTTAACAAAGTACCATGGGCCACATAGCTTATAAACAATGTAAATTTATTTTTCACAGTTCTGGAGACTGGGACATCCACGATCAAGTCACTGGTAGATTTAGTGTCTGGTGAGAGTCTATTTCCTGATCCAAAGGTGGTGTCTTTTAGTTGTGTCCTCACATAGTCAAAGGGGTAAGGCTTCTTTCTGGGGCCTCTTTTGTTCGAACACTAATTCTATTCATGAGGAATCTACCTTCATGACCTAACTACCTCCCAAAAGACCCCTACTTCTCATACCATCACTTTGGCGAAAAGGTTTCAACATATGAATTTTGGGTGAACACAAACTACATAAATATAAAGTATTTTTGTGTGTGTGGAGCATTGGTGAAGAGTGTTAAAGCAATGCAAAATGATGAGTATGACTTTGCAACTGCCTTTAAATATGTTATACTGTTGCTTCTGCTTAGAACCATGAGCAGAACCACAAAGTTATATTAACTTGGTTCTTCCGGTACAAGAATTCTAGAAATAGATTGTCTAAACAATGTCTTCAAAATGTCACAAACCTTATAGAAAATACTACATTTGATTAGAGAATTTTATTGATAAGATCTCAGAGTTTTATGGAAAGGCATTATCTTACAAGGTTTTATGATCCATTATTATATGCTATTTTACATGCAAAATGTAAATATTTGTCTCTTGAAAAAAATTTCCAGGTCCAAACTTGTTTTGAACACACTGATTGTTTCCAATCTTACAGAGTCTCAGTAGAGATTCTCAGTACAGATTTAAACATTTTCAGTAAACAGATCCTGTGAACAAACCTTTTAATTAACTGTTTTCAGAACTTATATGACTATATTGCTATATATCTTCTGTTTTTCTTACCTGTATTTCTTATCCATCCTTCTCTACTCTGCTCTCTGCCTTGAAAGACTGACCTGTATGTGTTGCAGCAACAGATTTCTTAGCCCTCTAACTTTACTGTGGGTTTGACTTACACCAATAAGAAGAAAGAAAGACATTCAGGTACTTGTTCCTTCAGTTTCAATTCTACTTGGTTATCCCTATTTTTGTCCCTGATAGAAAATCACATCTCCTAAACACAGCCTTTCACATATGACTCTTTCTTTTCATGTTCAGGTTAGGTTCTCCTCCTTTTCTCCCTTTATCTTAGTAACAGGTAATAACCCTGGGTTACTGTACTTTCCCTTTTGGCTTATTTATAATCTGTCCGTACCTTGGAAATAGCAAAGCTGTTCCTCAAATGTCCTTCCTGCTGAGGTTTTCTTTTTTTTCTTTTTTTTTTTTTCCAGAGAAACTATTAAAATCTATTAGAACCCTAGTGTTCCAGAGACTGTAATTTAGGACACTTGAGTGCTATAAAGGGCCATGGAATATTATTCAGTGGGCATGGTATTTAGTTTCAGTTGTAATAAAAAAAAATGGTTTTGAAAAGTTTATTGAATCATTTGACCTCTTTAGGATTTATTTTCAACATCCGTACAATAAATTCATCATATTAGGTGATTCCTAGAGTTCTTTTAAACTTGAATATACTTGAGATACTATTTTCTTAGCCATCATACAAGGTACTCTATCAGAGCATTAATAAATTTACAATAGGTTGAGGTAGAGCAAAATGGTGGAACAGACTCCACCAATCATTTCTCCCACAAGGATACCAATTCAACAACTATTTACACTACAAAAGCACCTTAATAAGAACCAAAAATCAGGTGAGCACCACAGTACCTGGTTTTAACTTCATATCTCTGGAAGAGGCACTGAAGAGGAAAAAAAAAGCCATAAATCACTGACAGCACCCTTCCCTGGCAGTGGGTGGCATGCTGCAGAGTGAGTTCTGTGCACTAGGCAGAGGACTGGCTCAGTGCTGCCCTATTATAGCAAAAAAACAAAACCGGACCAAAGTCAGGTGACTCCCACCCATTGAGGGAACATTTAAGCCAGCCATAGTCAGAGGATAATCCCAATCTCAACATTCAAATTTGAGATCTCACAAGGGCTAAAGTGCTTTGCAGCCCTAAATAATTTTGAAAGGAAATCTAGGCCACAAGGACTGTAAAACCTGGGTGAATCCTAGTGCAGATGTAGGCCCAGAGCCAGAAGACGGGGGAACATGAGACCTATTGAGACACCAGCAAGGGCAGCTACAGGAGTGCTGGCATCACCCTTCCCCTAACCCCAGGCTGCACAGCTCATGACTCCAAAAAAGACGCCTCTCTTCTGATTGAGGAGAGGAGAAAAAAGACTGTGGAGGACTTTGTTGTGCCTGTTGGACACCAGCTCTGTCACAGCAGAATAGGTCAATGGTCAGAGATGTAAGGCCCCTTTTCTAGGCTCTAGCTTCTGGATGACATTTCTAGACACTCACTAGGACAGAAAGGAAACTGCTGCCTTGAAGGGTGGGACCCAGTCCTGGCAGGATTCATTACCTGCTAAACTGAAGAGACTTTGGGCCCTGAATAACCAGCGCTGATACCCAGGTACTACATCAAGGGCCTTGGGTAAGACTCTGAGATTTGCTGGCTTCAGGTGAGACTCAGTGCATTACCAGCTGTGGTGGCTAGAGGGTGAGACTCCTGCTTTGAAAAAGCAGAGGGAAAAGTAAAGGGGACTTTGCCTTGGACCTTAGGTACCAGCTTGGTCGCAGAAGTGGAGAGCACCAAGCAGGCTCTGGGGGCCTCAGTTTTGGGACTTGACTCTCAAATGGCATTTCTGGACTTGCCCTGGCTCAGAGGGGAGCCCGCTGCCCTGAAGGGTGAATCCTAGCCAGGCAGCATTCACCACAAACTTACTGAAGAGCCCTTGGGGCTTAGGGGTACACTGGCTATAGTCTGGCCATACTTTCCATGGGCCTGTGATGGTAGTGGCCATTGGATGAGGCTCCTCTGGCTTTGGAAAGGTAAAGGAAGAGTGAGAAGGACTGTGTCTTGTGGTTCAAATGCCAGCTCAGCTGCAGTACAATAGAACACCAGATAGACTTCTAAGGATTTTTACTCTAGTCCCGGGCTCCCAGACGGCACCTTTGGACCCATTTGGGGTCTGGGGCAAATCACCACCCTGAAAGAAAAAACACAAGTCTGACTGACTTTGCCACCTGGTGTTTTTAGAGGGCCAGGCCTTGAGAGAACACAGGTGGTAGCTAGGGATTGGTTACAGCAGGCCTTGGACGAGACCCTGTGCAGTACTGACTTTAGGTCTGATCTAGCACAGTCATAACGATGATAGCCATGGGGTGCCTGAGCCACTCCACCCCTAGTTTCAGGTGGCTCAGAATAGAGACAGAGACTCCATTTGTTTGGGAGAAAGTAAGAGAAGAGAACAAGTGTTTTCCTGGTAATCCAGAGAATTCTTCTGGACCTTGTCCAAGATAATCAAGGTGGTACTTCTGTAAGTCTGCAAAAAGCACAGTATTACTAAGTTTGGGGTACTCCTAAAGTAGATTCAGCTTAGATCACAACACCCAAAGTCTTTTGAATATTTGGAAAACCTTCCCAAGAAGAAAGGGTACAAACAGCCCAGAGTGAGAAAACTACAATAAATACCTAATATTTAATGCCCAGACACAGGCAAACATCTTCATGTATCAAGAGGATCCAGGAAAACATGACCTCACCAAATAAACTAAATAAGGCACAAGGGACCAGTGCTAGAGAAACAGAGGTATATGATTTTTTGGATAAAGTATTCAAAATAGTTGTTTTCAGGAAACTCAATAAAATTCAAGATAACACGGTGAATGAATTCAGAATTTTATTAGATATATTTAATAAAGAGATTGAAGTAATTAAGAATCAAGAATAAATTCTGGAGCCAAAAAATGTGATTGGCATAATGAAGAATGCATTAGAATCCTTTAACAGCAGAACTGATCAAGCAGAAGAAAGAATTAGTGAGCTTGAAGACAGGCTATTTGAAAAGATACACTCAGAAGAGACAATTGAAAAATGAGTAAAAAGACTACCGCCTAAGTACTCTCAAAACCTAGCACTCTAAAATCAACCTACAGGATCTAGAAAATAGCCTCAAAGAGGCACATATAAAAGTTATTGGCCTTAAAGAGGAGGTAGAGGAAGAGATAGCAGCAGAAAGTTTATTCAAAGGGATAATAACAGAACTTCCCAAACCTAGAGAAATACATAAATATCCAAGTACAAGAAGGTTATAGAACACAGGGCAGATTTAACCCAAAGAAGACTCTACCTCAAGGCATTTAATAATCAAACTTCCAAAGGTCAAGGATAAAGAAAATATTCTAAAAACAGCAAGAAAAAAGAAACAAGTATGATATAATAGAACTCCCATAGGTCTGGCAGCAGACTTTTCAGTGGAAAACTTACAGACCAGGAGAGAGTGGCATGACACATTTAAAGTGCTGAAGGAAAAAAAAAACTTTTACCCTAGAATAGTATTAGATTGTTGCAATAGTTAGTGTGATTTAAGGTTTGTGTAAAATTTATTGCATTAAAAGGAATGGCAAAAACTGCAATAACTTTTGCACCAACATAATAGATCTGATGAAATTATCCTTCAAACATGAAGGAGAAATAGACTTTTCCAGACAAACAAAAGCCGAGGGATTTTATCAAAACCAGACATTTTCTGCAAAAATTTCCAGAGAGAGTTCTTCAATCAGAAAGAAGAGAATGTTAATGAGCAATAAGTAATTACCTGAAGCTACAAAACTCACTGGTAATAGTAAGTACACAGAAAAACATGGAATATTATAACACTGGGATTAAGGTGTATAAACTACTCTTATCCTAAGACTAAATGATACATCATTCAAAAATAAAAACTTCACCAATTTTTGAAGACATCAACAATATAATAAGATATAAAAAAATAAAAAAGTGAGAGGGTGAAAGTAATATGGGGAGTTTTTATTACTTTAATTTTTGCTTGTTTCTTTATGAAAAAGAGTTAAGTTATCAGCTTAAAATTATGGGTCATATGATAATATTTGCTAACCTCATGGTAACCTCAAACCAAAACCTACCAGAGATACACAAAAAATTAAAAGGAAGAAACTAAATCATATCACCAGAGAAAATCACCTTCACAAAATAAAGAGGACAAGAAGGAAAAGAAGAGGGAACAGAGGACCACAAAACAACCAAAAAAACAACAAAATGGAAGGAGCCAAGTCCTCAGTTATCAATAACAACATTGAATGTATGGATTAATCTCTCTAATCAGAAGACATAGAATGTTTGAATGGACAAGAAAATAAGAACCAATGATCTGTTGCCTCCAAGAGACACACTTTACCTATGAAGGCACACAGAGACTGAAAATCAAGGGATGAAAAAATGTATATTTCATGCCAATGGAAACCAAAAAGGAATGCAAGTAACTATACTTAAATTAGACAAAATAGATTTCAAGGCAAAAACTATAAGAGGAGACAAAGTAGGTTACTATATAATGACAAAGGGGTAAATTTAGCAAGATGATATGATTTTTTTAAACATAGGTGCACCTAACACTGGAGCAGCCAGATATATAAAGTAAATATTATTAGAGCTAAAGAGAGAGATAGGCCTCAATAGGTAGAGAATTCAACACCCCACTTTTAGCATTGGACAGATCTTCCAGACACAAAATCAACAAAGGAACATTGGATTTAACCTGCACTATAGACCAAATGGATGTAATAGATATTTACAGAACATTTCATCCAAGAGCTACAGAATACACATTTTTTTCTTCTCAGCACATAGATTATTCTCAAGGATATACCATATGTTAGGCCACAAAAGAAGTCTAAAACATTCAAAAGCAAATTGAAATAATATCAAGCATCTTCTCTGATGACAATGTAATAAAACTAGAAATTAATAACAAAAGGAATTCTGGACATTATGCAAATACATGGAAATTTAACAGTATGACCAAACTGACCAAAGTAGGTCAATAAAGAAATTAAAAAGAAAATTTAAAAAAAGCTTCTTGAAACAAATGACAGTGCAAACACAACATACTGAAACCTATGGGATACAGCAAAAGCGGTACTAAGAAGAAAGTGTATTGTCATTAGTTCCTACATAAAAAAATAAAAAAAAAACTTCAAATAAGCAACCTAATGTTGCATCTTAAAGAGCTAGAAAAGCAAGAGCAAATCAAACCAAAATTAGTAGAATAAAATAAATAACAAAGATTAGAGCAGAAATAAATGAAATTACAATGAAGAAAATAATACAAAAATGGATGAAAGAAAAAGTTGTTTTTTTGAGAAGTTAAACCAAAGTGACAAAACTTTAGCCAGAATAACTAAGAAAAAATGAGAGAAGGTCCAAATAAATAAAATCACAGATGATAAAGGAGACCTTACAACTGATAAGTGTAGAAATTGAAAGGATCATTAGTGGCTACTATGAGCAACTACGTGACAATAGGTTAGAACATGTAGAAAAGTGGATAAATTACTAGACACGTACAATCTACCAACATTGAACCATGAACAAATTAAAAAACGGAATAGACCACTAAGTAATGAAATCAAAGCTGTAGTAAAAATTTCAGTTGGGGCTGGGCACGGTGGCTCATGCCTGTAATCCCAGCACTTTGGGAGGCCGAGGCAGTGGGTCACGAGGTCAGGAGATCAAGACCATCCTGGCTAACATGGTGAAACCCTGTCTCTACTAAAAATACAAAAAATTAGCCCGACGTGGTGGGTGGCTGTAGTCCCAGCTACTTGGGAGGCTGAGTCAGGAGAATGATGTGAACCCAAGAGGCGGAGCTGGCAGTGAGCCAAGATTGTGCCACTGAACTCCAGCCAGGGCAACAGAGCAAGACTCCATCTGAAAAAAAAAAAAAAAAATCTTGGCCGGGCATGGTGGCTCACACCTGTAATCCCAGCACTTTGGAACTCCAAGGCAGGTGGATCATGAGGTCAGAAGATCAAGACCATACTGACCAACATGGTGAAACCCCATCTCTACTAAAAATACAAAAATTAGCTGTGTGTGGTGGTGCATGCCTGTAATCCCAGCTACTCAGGATGCTGAGGCAGGAGAATCACTTGAACCAGGGAGTCAGAGGTTGCAGTGAGCCAAGATCATGCCACTGCACTCCAGCCTGGGCAACAGAGCAAGACTCCGTCTCAAAAAAACAAAACAAAACAAAACAAAACAAAATCCTCTTAGTCATGAAAAGCCAAGCACTTGATGGCTTCACAGCTGAAGTCTGTGAAACATTTTAGGAAGAAGTAATACCAATTTTACTTAAACTATTCCAAAAAGCAGAGGAGTATGGAGTACTTTCATACTCCTTCTACAAGGCCAGTAATACCCTGATATCAAAACCAGATGAAGACACATTCAAAAAAGGAAATTATAGGCCAGTATCTCTGATGAATATTGATGCAAAAATCCTCAACAAATACTAGCAAACTGAATATGGCAATACATTAAAAAGATCATTCATCATGACCAAGTGTGATTTATTCATGGAATGCAAGGATGGTTCAACATATGCACATCAAACAATGTGATATATCATATGAGCAGAATGAAGGACAAAGCCCATTTGATCATTTCAATTGATTCTGAAAAGTATTTGATAAAAATCAATATTCCCCTATAATAAGAAGCCGACAACAACATTATAGAAGGAACATATCTCCTCAACATAATAAAAGTCATATATGACAGACCACAGCTAGGATCATACTAAATGGCAAAAAACTGAAAATCTTTCCACTAAGTTCTGGAACATGACAAGGGTTCCCACATTCACTACTGTTATTCAACATAGCACTGGAAGCCCTAGCTAGAGCAGTCAGGCAAGAGAAAGAAATAAAATGTATCCAAATTGGAAAGACAGAAGTAAAAATATTCTTGTTTGTAGATGATATGATCTTATATTTACAAAAGCCTAAAAGCTTCACACATAAAACCCTTTTAGAACTGATAAACTAATTCAGTAAAGTTGCAGGATATAATATCAACATATGAAAAGCAGTAGCATTTCTTTATGCTACAGCAGACAGTCTGAAAAAGAAATAACAATGTAATCCCATTTAAAATAGCCACAAATAAAAGTAAATACCTAAGAATTACTAAGAATTAAATACCAAAAATGCAAAGGTCTCTATAATAAAAACTATCAAACAATAATAAAAGAAATTGAAGAGGACATCAAAAAAAATGAAAAGATATTCAATGTTCATGGATTAGAAGAATCAATATTGTTAAAATATCTATACTACCCAAAGCAATCTACACATTCAATGAAATCCCTATAAAAATACCAATGACATTCTTCACAGAAATAAAAAATAACAATCCTTCTATGTATATGGAACAACACAAGACCCAGAATAGTCAAAGTTATCCTAAGCAAAAAATAAAATGAGAGGAATCACTTTACCTGACTTCAAATTATACTACAGAGCTATAGGAGCCAAAACAGCATGGTACTGGCATAAAAACAGATACACAGACCAATGAAACAGAATAGAGAACCCAGAAACAAATCCACACATTTACCTCAAATTCATTTTCAACAAATGTTCCAAGAACGTATACTGGTGGAAAGACAGTCTCTTCAATAATGGTGCTGGGAAAACCGAATATCCATATGAAGAAAAATGAAGATATATACAAAATAGCCATATGCAAAAATCAATCCAAAATCGACCAAAGACTTAAATCTAAGACCTCAAACTATGAAACTACCACAAGAAAACATCAGGGAATCTCTCTCACAAATTAGTCTGGTCAAAAGTTTCTTGAGCACTACCCTACAAGCACAGGCAACCATAGCAAAAGTGAGCAAATGGGATCACATCAAGTTAAAAATCTTCTGGGGAGGCTGAGGCAGGAGAACGGCGTGATCCCGGGAGGTGGAGCTTGCAGTGAGCCGAGAGAAGAGGTTGTGCCACTGCACTCCAGCCTGGGTGACAAACTGAGACTCCGTCTCAAAAAAAAAAAAAAAAAAAAAAAAAAAACCTTCTGCACAGCACTCCCATGTTTGTTGAAGCACCGTTCAAAATAGCCAAAATTTGGACGCAACCTGTGTCCATCAACAGATGAATGAATAAAGTTGTACTCATACACAATGGAGTACTATTCAGTATTGCATGTTCTCATTTATTTGTGGAATCTAAAAATCAAAACAACTGAATTCATGGAGTAAGAGAGTAGAAGGATGGTAACCAGAGGCTGGGAAGGGAAGTGAGGCAGTGTGGGGAGAGGTGTGAGAGTGGTTATTGAGTACAAAACATAGTTACAAACAATAACGCCTAGTATTTTATAGCACAACAGAGTGACTATAGACAATAATAATTTAATTGTACATTTTAAAATAAAAAAACTATAATTGGATTGTTTGTAACACAAAGGATAAATGCTTGAGGGGATGGATATCCCATTTTCCATTACGCGATTATTAAGCATTGCATGCCTGTATCAAAACATCTCATGTACTCCATAAATATATACACCCACTATATATCAACAAAAATCCAAACAAAGTTTTTGAAAGATTAAAAAAATTATATCCTATTTTTCAATAAGAATTTGCATTATTTTAGTTATAATACAGGTAGAAGCCTCAGAAAACCAAATTCAACCTATTATTTCAACTAAAGAAATAATAAAGAAAAGCTATCAAATTATTTACTTTTGAAAAACAAAACTGTGTTATACATAAAGTCTTACTCATTGAAATTCATTGTGGTATGGGCATGGTGGCTCACACCTGTAATCCCAGTGCTTTGGGAGGCCAAGGCAGGTGGATCACCTGAGGTCGGAAGTTCGAGACCAGCCTGACCAACATGTAGAAACCCCGTCTCTACTAAAAATACAAAGTTAGCTGGGCTTGGTGTCATATGCCTGTAATTCCAGCTACTCAGGAGGCTGAGGCAGCAGAATCTCTTGAACCCAGGAGGCGGAGGTTGCCGTGAGCCGAGATTGCACCGTTGCACTCCAGCCTGGGCAACAAGAGCAAAACTCCATCTCAAAAAAAAAAAAGAAAAGAAAAAAAGAATTCAGTGTGTACTCAATCAACTTGGTAGACATTAATTCGAATTTATATATAAGCTGTTACTAATTTAGTGAACTAACATGGTATGTTTATGGTTCAAGAAGCTCAGCTAAAGATAAAATTGATTTTAAAAATTCAGAAATCCATAAAATACACCCATATGCACACACGCATAAACATATATAAATACTTCTTAACAACTGATAGAACAGGGATAACCAATAACTAAAACAATTACACTTGGTTAATCTCAGCCCAATTATGTTGAACCTGTGTGGCATGTTATTGATATTAGTTAACATCTTTTGGATGTTTAACTGATTACATGTATTCCTATGTCTTCAACTTAAGATTATTTTGTGAGATGATTTTCTATCTTTGGGATTATTATTTTACGTTAGTTAAATAATAATTATTAAGATGATTGGAGCCCTTTTAGGTTGCTTGTAGTTAAGTCTAGCTTCCTTAAAGCTCTCTGTGGTTTATATATTATGTTTTCTCAAGGCCATAACAGCAAAATTTAATAGTTTAGAATTAGTAAACCAGAGGCAAGAACCTTGGTAGTAAAGTAGAAAATTAAAGGAGAGCTATCTAGTAAACGGACTGTGATAAAAGTCATAGAATCTTTACTATAGATTCTATACTATACTATACTATTCTATACTATAGTAAATAGAACGCTGCTTACTATAACTGACAAATTACTTTTGAATTATTATTTAAATTATGCCATTCTTAAATATAGTCACATATACCTATTAAACACCATCTGGTAGTTTGGGGGTGGGGGGGAAATAACTACCAAACTTCTTTATATTTTTTAATTAGCATTTAGTCTGAGTTATACTTATGACTTCATTTGTATTAAATATTTATAGAGCACAGCTATTGCTGCTGGATATTTACAGCATTGGACATCATAAATTGAATTTCAAAGAGAAAGGAAAATTCTCCTGTCCTTTCTTTGATACTGATACAACATTAGCATTGCCTTATGGTGAGGGATATTAACTACTTTTCTTGTCTCAAAAATGAATCCCAAAGTCACATTTGAGTTTTTCATATTTTTCTGTTTCCTTGGCTTTTCTAAATTCTCTTTTATAAATCCTCTCTAATAGCATTACTTAAAGGGCAGTGTATTATAGTGAATAAAACCACATACACAGGAGTCAGCTTCCTGGATTTGATTCCAACTCTACATCAATGAGCAGATAGTTAGTGACTATCTCTCTACTTTGATTTCCTTAGATGCAAATGAGAATAGTAAGTTTCCTATTAGGAATGCACACGCGCACACTCACACACTCACACACACATACAAACACACACGTGCGCGTGCACCCTGGTAGCCTTCCCTGACATATAGTGAGCACTACATAGGCATTTGCTATTAATTCCGCCTTCTTTTATCATTCACTTATTCACATTTTCTTTTCACTATGCCTTCTTGCTAATCTGCTTAGTATTCTAAGTTTTTACTCACAGCTTTTTGACTCCATATTTTACCCAAGTTCCTATTAGAAAAAAATATTTTTAATTCTGTTTAGCTATAAATTTTTTCCTAAAATGTAAATGTTTCCCTTCAGACTAAAACATAAGGTATTTCATAAGATCTAACATGTCTAAAATAACAAATACTAAATATTGTTAACTATCATTTATTTGTCCTTATTCTATACAACCAAAATAGCTAGACAGGAAAATGATCAATTTGTACACATGTCTGTAAGGCAAATGGTTTGGCAGCCATCATTTTCTTCATTTTTGTCTAAATATTTTGTTTGTTTTAATTGTGAGAAGGGCTTTATAATTCACATTTTCTTGACTACTAGTTCTGATTACATTGCAGTAGATAAGGTAAACAAGAAAGTGTCCAGCAAATCGTTCAAAACTGTGCTCATCATATTTCCAGCCCACACATTTCCTGGTGTTTGAATGTTGTCTTCATTTTCTTGAACACAGTTTTATATTGGAAGTAATGAACCTACTTTGTGAAATGTAAGGACATATCCTTTTTTGTTCTAAGCTTACCAGAAAGTTTATTTATATATAAATGGATAACATTTTATAACTTCTCTCTACAAATTAATGACATCAAATGGGTTATTTAAAATTTGAAGCGGGATAGCAACGATTTGTCCCATGGAAACCTATGCATGATTAATATGAATGCAGTGAATATCAATAACATGAAGAAGAATTGGGGCTGAGGAAATATTGGGACTGTTTGGATATAATCTTTTAGTGTTGTATACTGGCTCTGAGACACTACCAATGAGAGCAACATAATTTTCAAAAACACTTCAATTATCTTGGTGATCTTCACAGCTCACTTGAATCTATCAAAAGAGTATTTCCTTTCCCTCTTAAAAATTTGTGAGCTTGTATGCTTTTAGTTCAGTCTTCTGTTTCTGGATGCCAAGGCCTTCTCTTAGAAGGGCATATTGCTACTCTTTTGTATGTTGCTCAGATAGTCCTGTGTCTGCTTTTATTGCTCAGTAATTCAATTAATCCTAATTGTTCTCAACTTTATGATCACCCTCTCCCATGGGAAGTTTCCTATTATAATAATATATTGGATGATTTAAATTTTTTTCATTGACTCTGTAGTAAGACCAATTTAAGGTATTTTATTGAAATGCAAATTTCATACTTTTAAAATTTTATGTACGTGAATACATACGATTAATTGAAAGACGTAGGAAGGGGGGGAACATCAGGACAATTTACATTATCTTCTTTTCTGAACCATTTTCAACAGACAGGGCCTTCTACATATGCAAATACACTCTCATTATATTGATTTTTTTAAAACTCAAGACAAATGGAAACCGGGAAGACAAAAGTCATTAGCACAATTGTTCCAGGCACAATAAAAAATTTATTGTATTTGTTTTTAATCCTTCCTCTTTGTTACTCTCTTCTGATCCACAACCAAAAATGCAGGACAGGGTATATGGAACTCAAAATTTAGTCTCTGATAGTTCAGTTTTGTTTCTAAGGATTGGAAGATCACTTCAAAATTAAAACATTACTCTCGCCTCTACTGCTGCTGCAATAATTTCAGGGAAGATGAGAGACTGTGTGGATTCCAGACAATGAACATAATTCATAGCCTGCTCTAAAGCTCTGTAGGACACTTTCTTTTAAATGTGTAAGACATTAACATATCAGTCATTTTAAAGACTCATAGAGAATGAAAGACTTACCAGATAGTTTTTGATGTGTGAAATTTAGGGAAATGGGAGGTGAGAT
Organism: Homo sapiens; assembly: GCF_000001405.40. Taxonomy (NCBI): domain Eukaryota; kingdom Metazoa; phylum Chordata; class Mammalia; order Primates; family Hominidae; genus Homo; species Homo sapiens. Next base: position 9,117,628 of record NC_000007.14, read on the forward strand.
ATGTAGACGGCAATGGACACAAGTGTGTGTATTACCTGGTGATGTCACAGCACTATAAGGGGAGAGGAGACAAAGGATAAGAAAGGACCTATGAAGAACTTAAAAGGTCAGTAAAAGGAAAAAGAAACAAGAATATCATTATTTTTAATTGTTTGTGTAAAAAGACAAATTTGGGGACTTTTTTCTTAACGGTAACAGCTGGAGATGGTAATGAATTCACAGACCAAGAGTAGGCCTACACTCACACAAATGGGTAGTTCTTTTATTAATGTAGGAATGTAGAAAACTTGCCAGTGTTTAAGATGTAAGTTCCCATGTGTCTCTTTCCATTTTCATTATATGCCTATTTCAGTAAATAATTGGGTAAAAAGCATGTTTTCTTAAAAAATACACTAAAATGGTTTCAGATGGTGATCATGTTTTTCCTTATTGGATATAAAATAACAGATACACACTTTAACTATTCCACAAAAATTACAGTTTCCCAAACCAAAAATAGTACACTTAATATATATGTGTTTTATCTTCATTGCCCCTTTTCCTTAAAATGTTTAGACTGACAGCTCTTATTAATAGGTAAGTTGATTACGGGTATCTTCTTTTCATTCAATTGAATGGCCTACTGCAGTTTTTGAATGAAGGAGATATTCCTACATTTTTAAAATTAGAATATAGAAACTCAAGACGTGAAATTGACCATATCATGCATAGTTCACACTTGAGTTTTGGGTATATTTTTATTTTTGTATTCATTTAGCATTTGAACTGTTGTGTGGTTTATGCTTCTTGTATATAAAAATCATTTGCCCTTGTGGCCAAATGAAGTTATGCAAAAACAAAGTATTATGCAAGTAATTCTAGTCCCCACCCAAACAAAGATAAATAATTTCCCTAATTGTGAATGGGAAAAATGACAAAATTAATTTGCATGAAGTAAAACAGTTTACAAATAGCAATTATGTTACCCTTAAAATAAATATATTTTTTTCTATATTGCAAATTTTCTTCTGGAGGACTCAGTTTAAAAAATAAAAAATCATTAAAAGAGCTTTCATAGTGTAAAGGGCAAGTGGGAATCAGAGTGGAGGCTTGACTATAAGCTTCATGAAGGAGAGGAGTTGATCGCTCTCATTTACTATTTTATTCCCAGTGCCCAGAGCAATGCCTAGCTGAAAGTAGTTGACAAATAATTATTAATATAGCAATAACCTGTTATTGATACCAGTTGGCTGGGGGAAGTCCTTGAATGTCAGGGGGACCCCACCCCAGCCAGTGTCCAGGCTCTTGTCACCATCTCGAAAATGAATTAAAGGATGGGTTGGCAAATACTGAAAGTACAGAGATTGTAAAGTGAAAAGTACACATTCAAGAAACGAGAGGGCGGGTGTACTCGAGAGAGTTGCACAGTGGAGTTTGGGGTTTCTACTTTTATGGGTTTTTTTAACCAAGGGGTGGAATATTCACGAAGGTTCCTGGAAAAAGGTAGAGGTGTCTTGGAATTGTGGTGCCACCCATTTTTACACCAAATATGGGTGTGCCTGGAACTGTCATGGTGCTAGTGAATGTGTGATTTAATATGTTAATGAGCATATAATGACGTCCTAGATGAAACCTAGGTCAAATCCATGCCATGTTGGGTCCAGTCAGTCTTAGCCAGCTTGGGCCATACCCTGGTTTTTCAGGGTCTCATCAGCTCCTAGCTTCTATGACTATTTCAACAGTTTCCTTTCACTAGTTACATGAAACTGCTGCCTGGAATTTTCTATTCTCCTGCAACCAACTTATATTATTCCTATCTCATTATCACTTAAACTTATCTTATATATGCTTTGTATCTTATTGGGATTTATTTCGTGTGGGGAAAAGCAGAGATATTTCCATGTATAGGCAAAATCTATATTGAAGAGACAAAAGTTAAGCATTCCATTTAGCTGTTAAAATCATATCCAAATTATTGCATTATTGATTAAACTGTGACTTAATACCCAAAACAAATTAAATGGGGGATATGCTAGGCACAGCTTAAAATGTTAATTTTATTTGCTTATTCATATCATTGAAATCGCCTCATTAAAATATGTTTAAAAATTACATTTATATATGTTTTATCTTTAAAAGCATGAAAAAGAGGCTCAGAGTGGATCTTGTTGCTGAGCTTGTTTCAGAGAAACTTCTTTAAAGCTTCAATATAATAGAATTGTTTGTAAAAATTTCACATATTTTTTCATATTAACAAAATAAAAATAACAAATGTAGGTTTCTTGCTAAAAATATGAAGGAAAATTCCCATTTCCCAGTTATCCTTATCTTGTTTTCCAAAAATTGTCAATCTCTTTTTTCAAAATTTTCCTACAAATATGCATGCCATCACTGAGTATAAGGTAATGATTGATGAGCACACTGAATAAAAAGCATCTTGCTTTTATAGTTCTTTCATTACATTAAGAATATTCACATTGATAAAGCATGATACTCATTACCCATTTGGTTTAGTTTTAATTTGCACAAGTCAGAGTCATTTAATTTAGACCATTAAAATTAATATTGAAAAAGTAAAAAAGCCTTTTACATTTTTGTTTCCTATTTCTCGCAAGGTAAATAATTTTTCAATCTGATAAAATTATACTCAATTCAAAAGTATACATTTATATGAAAATAAATAGGGTTTGTGTTTCTTTAAGGTAAAATGTTCATGATTATAATCAAGATATTTTTGCTTTACAGAATGTTGTCTAAACTCTAGATTTTTTTTTCTTAATGCAAATAGGCTATTTTCCTTCATGAGCTATGTAGATATTTTTGCTAACCCATCTGGTTTAGAAGCCACAGCTTGAATTTTAATGAGGCAATATTATTTACTGTACTTGTTCATGCAAATTTTTCAGTGTTTGCACTGTGTTGGTAATCCTCTCTGTGAATGGGTCAAATTACCTCTGGCTTTCTTGGGAACTTGGAAATAAGTTTTGGTGCTGGATCAGACAGTGAAGTTCAGGGTTGTGAGAGCTTAGTATTTACAAATCCAAAGTGATCCACCCTAGATTTTAAACCAGGAGTCAGATTTGTTTGCTCACTGTGTTACTTCCTGTAGGTATAGTCAGATGACCTTCCACTGAAGCTCTGTTATTTTTTTTCAGGCTCTTGGGACATCGTTACATATAAAGAAGCAGAAATATATTAACTAGCACATTTCTGAGTTTTAAAGAGTTAATTCAAACACATAATGACAACAAAACTATTGCACTGAACATTTATAATGTTATTGTGAAATGTGTTACATTAGTTGAACTCACCTCTTTGTAGGGCTATCTTGATGATTTTGGGGTTATATTAGGTCATATTGAGATAAAATCATAGCCTGAATATTTAAGCTTTATATTTTTCCTTAAATGTAAGAGTTGGGAGAATATTTTCGAACATTTACATTGCATGCCTTGATAGTCTATCTTTTAGAAAAGGGTACTATAGTGTTTTTATATTGACGCTGTTTCCATTCAGTTAATTTTTTGTTTTGTTGGAGAGGCAAAAAGTTTGGCTTTGACTGGAGATTATTAAGAAATGAATATTTCAGATGGTTACCCACAAGCTCTCTTTTTCTTAGGTACTTCTTTTCTGCAAATGAATAACCACACAAAGTTTAAGTCATTAAAATTTCAGAGTAAATTTACAGAATGATATAGATTTTCAGAGGTCTTAATTAGAGTTCATGGAACTTTAGAAAATTGAGAAATGCCCTCTCTTGACACTTTGTCTACTGAGTTATTTGGTTTTCTGATTTAAATATGTGTTTAATTAGTTATTATTAGTATGCAATAGCCTACAGAGAATTGAAGTGATTCTGATTGTGAGACAACTTGACACTTTTCAGGGAGAGTGAAATTAAGGGTTATTGATTTACGGGCTCTAGCCTCTTCTAAAGCGCTCACCTCCCATGATAACTCTCTGGAAATTACCAGTCTCTGGAAACACTGAGATCAGACACAGCAGAAACCACATATCCCATTCTTAGGAGTTTGCAGCTCTGTGACACACCATAGATATTTTGTCTAGTTTCCCATATGTAATCCACTTAGTCTTACGTGAATAAATGGGCAGGAAGTTAACATGAGGAGCTGAACGTAAAAGCTAGTGAGTGAACCAGTACAAAAAGTAGAGGTTTCTATCTGTACATCTTTTGGTCTCTGACAGGTGCTCTTTGCTTATAAAGGTGATGCTCCTCTGGCAACAGACCCAGAAGTGACCAGAGACTTCCAAGCCAAGGTGAAACCCATGCTTTTTTGCTAGTTAGGGGAGTGTCCTTTTACCTGCTCCCCAATATTTGGGAAAGATATTTCAAATATGACTATTTAAGGAATAGAAACACATACTGATGAGTTAGCTGAATGAGCTCCTTGGCTCCAAATACTTAAAATCCATTTCATAATGTAGGGTTAAGAGTCTAGAAATATTTTTCACAGAGTCCCACACTATATTTTTGAAATTGAGGCTGCTCTTTGAAGGATGCAATGTAATGGTGGCATTTTGGATTAATAATATTCCATCTCCTAGAATAGAGCTTATATATTAAACTGTTCTTGTGAGGAAAGATTACTTTGGCATTTAAATTTGCTGCTTGATTTTACCTTTTTTGAAAAAGAATAGAATTCCCTTTAGTTGTGACTTTGGATCTTCCTGCTAGGGTTTTACAAATCTGACAATAGAAGTTCTGGCTCATAAGCTTAGAAGGTTTTTCAAGTTATAAGTCGAAGGATACACACAGAGATGCACATAATGAGAACTCACCCTCATGTACACTAGCGGTACAACCCCCTTTCTCCTTTCTCTGCCAAAGTCACAGAATACAAGATTCTGTTCTTAAATACTTTAAACCAAATTGTCTTTTAGGGTAGGCAGGATAAATGGGAGTCAAACAGAAGCACAACAGCCTAAAAAAGTTTTGCTGAACTCAATCCACAATCCATCAGTCCGATCTTGGCTTCAAACTTTTAGGGATATAAATGTATTAGCAATGATATTTTTCCCACAAGAAATATAACTTATACTATAAGGTAAGGAGCTTCATTTTAAATCTCTAGTCATGATCACTGGGGAAGACTTGTCAAAAACCTTTCTTTTTCTTATTAGCAACTACCAGGCAGCAGATAGTGTCAGTTTCCTCAGAGCATTTTTATAGAAGGGGTCATTTTTTTGTGGAGAAGCAAGTCACTTCACTTAGAAAGTTGTGACCGGGCCCAAAATTTCCTATGACGTGTACTTTCTCATTAAGGAAAAAGACGGCCAGGAAAAGTCTCTACTGCTCGTTAATGAAAACACATATTAGAAAAACCTAATAAGTCAATTTTCAATCAATAGCGAATAACTGTTAATTTCTCATGTGATTATAAATATTTGTATTTGAGGCTACATAAGATTTTGTTTGATAATTTGCTTATTATTTTTCAGATTATAGGACCATAGACATGACTGTCTGATCCTTTTCCATTTAAGTATATACATTAGAGGTTAAAAGATGAGAGGCACGGCTGGAGGAGGAAGAGGCTCAAAAGACTGCAGGGGATCTTGTTAGAATGTGTCAAATATTTCACAGATATTTACTTCAAAAACATATACAGATGGCCTATATGATCTAAAACTCTGTTTTTTAAATTAAGATTTCTTTTTCAGGAACCAATCAATTATACCATAATTCTAAATGAAGTGACTTGCTTCTCCAAATTCAAACTCAAAATTTACCATTTAGAATCCAAATTAAATTAACCCCATTATCTTCTGGCTAAAACATCCAGCATTTCAGCTACAAAATACATGTTGAATGAATATATTTTCTTGTTACTTTTGGTTGACTAGAGTTCAGGGTTTTTTTTTTTTTTTTTTAATCTTTAAGATACATACCTTATACTGAATTCTGATTATATGAATATTTATACATAATATAAAACATTATAGGAAAATGTCATTTAAAATTGCTAATATGCTTGCTTCAGTGTTAAGCAAGTCAATCAACTCTCTTGGCCTCAGTTTCTTGTATGTAGAGCAATCTTCTCTGTTGAAATTATTCTCTGGAAAATCTGACATTTCTTGATGGTTTTTACCTATTCAGTCAAGAATAAAAGTCTATTTTTTTCTCATCTTAAAAGAAAGTAAAAGAATAATCACAAGGAAAAATGTTAATAGTGATAAGAATGGAGCATGGGTTATTACTTGCCTTTAATAATTTGACAACAGGTAAAAGCCTTTGGGTTACGGTTCCATTTTTTTCAAATTAAACCAAATTCTCAGTCACAGCCAGAAATGGAATGCTGTTGTAATTTTTTGTGGGGGCAATAGAAAACAAATTTGTGAGAGTTCAGTTAATTTCCCTGCCCCATAAATTAGGTAAAAGTTACAGTTTTATTATGTTTAGGTAAAGAGTCTCTGAGTGAATCATGTTTTCGTTTTATAAGAGACAATGTCCAAAATTGATTCAGCGTATGCTCTGCCTTACAAAACTCCCTAGGGATGCATTGTATACAAACAATGCCTTTGAGGAAAAACTAGTTTACAAAAGGCAAAAGACTACTCCAGAAGTAGATGGCTTTCAAAGACACTGCGTCAAAGATGGTTGAGTACATAACTAGCTTTTTTGAAATATTGGAATCTATACAAGAATTTCTACAGAATTACATGTAGGGCTATTTCATTAACTTCTTGAGAGAACAAAGAAAATTCTTTGTTTTACACACCCCACAACTTTATTGTTATAAAATGCTACCACTAATTGGAATAAATTCTTACCTTCCCCATCGTAAGTCAGTGCTGCTCAAAATTTCTTTCTGATAATGTGGCAAGAGTAGCCTCACTTTCATCTATTAATGTCATCTCTTGTGTGCCTGCAAAATTTGCCAGAACTGATTAGAGAAGATATTAAATGATAATTGGACATTTAGTGCTCGTCAAACAGAAAGTGACAGATGGGGCACTAATTAAATTATAGTTTTGACATTATTTACAATGGTTTATGACTCTTCAGTGATGACCTTCATACATCTCTTCTCCATATTTTTTCCTTTGGTGGGAAGGAAGGATAGGATGTTGATTGGTAGAAACAAAAATTGTATTTTAAAAACACTGAGCAAAGCAGAGATGTTTAAAGTATGAAATTTCTAAACCTATCTATTAAGATAAAACATTGATCTGTGCTGAAATGAATAATCATGAAGCAAAAAATTCATTATGAAACTAATGGAGTGGAGAGAAAATATCTAGGAAATCATAAAGAATACACAAAGATCAAAACACAACAAACCTATTTCTAGGAAGGCTAAATACCTTTATTTTAATTTGAATTAAAAAATATAATTTTGATATCATAAATGAGAATGCAGTGCTTTTTGATAATGTCTTTTTGTGTGTTAATTCAAGCTTGCATTACTAGTTACCTCTACCAGCTAAATGAAGAAGCTTGTTAAAATGGAAGGGGGAGGGGGGAATTAAAAGAAATTCTAAGCCATAGTTGCTAAACCAGAACTGCATTTTCCTTTTCAATTAAAAGAAAAAACATAGTGTTGATTACTTTCTAACTTTAGTTTCTTTAATTTTACTCCAGTGTTTAGTAGTTGTCTAAAAAAAAAAAAATTTAAAGACTTGGATGCTTAGCTTTAGATTCCCATATTGAACCCACTGTCTAGTGATTATCTATAGTTTAAATTTAACATTAAGTTGTTTTGTATAATGTCTGTTCCCTGTAATTTTCAAGGTACACTTTCTGCTGACATATATGTACTGCTTTAGTTACTATTAATAAGTTTTAAGTCTGATGACTCATTAGAACCCATTTCCTCTCCTACCCCTGCTATACAATGAGCAAATCAGGAGGGAAGATGATTTGTTCTGACTGATGTAAATCAGGTATAGAAAGGATGGTAAATGAATATATAATTTGTTTAGATTATTCTGCCTAAATGATTTGTTCTTACTGTTGTAAATCAGGTATAGAAAGGATGGTAAATGAATATATAATTTGTTTAGATTATTCTTCCTAAATACATTATGTAATTTAGATATGATAACCAACTAGCCCATTCAATATAAGGGACTAAATGGAATGGACACAGTCATGAGGTTCCAGTTGTGCCTGGCTATCTCTGTGAATTTGGCGAAGTATGTCACTGTATTACTCAATGAAATGCAAAAGTATTTACTTAATACAACTGAACAATAGCATTTAGAAAATTTTCTGGTTAATAGTAGGATACTTAGCTATTCAAAATCTTTATGATGTTTCATGTTTGTTGCATGTTTGTTGTTAAGTAGTAAAAGGCTAAATACGCAGGCTGCAGATACGAGTGTTAAGGATGTTTGTGTATGTTAATGCCTTTTTTAACATACATACATACATTTATTTATTTATTTATTTATTTATTTATTTATTTATTTATTTATTTTGAGATAGAGTCTTGCTTTGTTGCCCAGGCTGGACTGCAGTGGCACGATCTCAGGCCACTGTAACCTCTGCCTCCCAGGCTCAAGCAATTCTTGTGCCACAGCCTCCCGAGTAGCTGGGATTACAGGACTGTGCCACCCTGCCTGGCTAATTTTTGTATTTTTGGTAGACACAGGGTTTCACCATGTTGGCTAGACTGGTCTTGAAGTTCTGCCCTCAAGTGATCTGCCCACCTCAGCCTCCCTAAGTACTGAGAATACAGGCATAAGCCACCACACCCAACCTGTTAATGCCTTTTTATTAAGCATTCTTTTACTGCTATTGCTCTATCTCTTGCTAAATATAAGCAGCATGATGTACTCTGCTCTCCTGTTCTTTTAACTCCATTGAGCTTCTTCTTTTCTTCATTTCTTCTTTCCTTTCCTTTCCTTTTCCCTTTCCCTTTCCTTTTGTTTTCTTCCTTTCCTTCATTTCCTTCCTTCCTTCTCTCTGTCTTTCTGTTTCTTTTCTATTTATTATTGTATATGATTTTTCTGTCACTTCATGACAGGGATATTTCTGAGAAATCGATCCTTAGGCAATTACCTTGTTGTGCAAACATCATAGAATGTACTTACATAAAACTGAATAATATAGGCTACAACATAACTAGTCTAGGTGGTATAGTTTAGTGGTCCTAGACTATAAGCCTGTGCTAAATACTATAGGCAATTTTTACACAATGGTAAATATTGGCACATCTAAATAATAAAAAAGAAGGCAGTAAAAATATGGTATAAAAATGGTACATCTCTGTAGGGTCCTTACCACAAATGGAGCTTGCAAGACTGGAAGTTGTTCTGGGTGAGTAAGGAGTAGTAAATTTGAAATGATAGGACATTACCATACACTACAGTAGACTTTATAAACACTATATATTTGGCTATACAAAATTTATAAAAAATATTTTTTCTTTATTCAATAATACATTAACTTTAGCTTATTGTAATATTTTTACTTTATATAATATTTTTTAACTTTTGGACTCTTATAATAACAGCTAGCTTAAAATACAAACACACTATACAGCTGTACAAAAGTATTTACTTTCTTTATATTATATTCTTATTCTATAAACTTTCTCCTATTTTTAAATTTTTACTTTTAAAACTTTTGAATAAGACCCCCAAACACAGAAAACAAAAGCAAAAATAGACAAATGGAATTACAACAAACTTAAAAGCTTCTTCACAGTAGAGGAAACAATCAATACAGTGAAGAGACAACCTATGGAATGGGAGAAAGTATTTGCAAGCTATGCATCTGTAAGGAGTTAATACCTAAAATACATAAGAAACTCAAACAACTGAATTGCAAAAAAGCAAATAATTCAATTAACAAATGAGCAAAAGACCTGAACACGTACCTCTTGAAAGAAGACATAAAAATGGTCAACAGATACATAAAAAATCCTCAACATTACTAATCATTGGGAAAATGCAAATCAAAACTACAATGAGATATCACCTCACCCCATTTAGAATGGCTATTATCAAAAAGACAATAAATGCAGACAGGATGTGGAAAAAGATCTCTTATGCACTGTTGGTGGGAATGTAAATTATCACAGTCATTACGGAAAACAGTGTGGACGTTCCTCAAAAAATTAAAAATAGAGCTACCATATGATCCAACAGTTTCATTACTGAGTATATGTCCTAAGGAAATGAAATCAGTATGTTAAGGAAATATCTGCACTCTTATGTTTTTTATTGCAGCACCTTTCCATCCACAATAGCCAAGATACGGAATCAACTTAAATGCCCATGTACAGATGAATGGGTAAGGAAAATGTGTTGTGCGTGCACACACACACGCACACACACACACATACACACACAATGGAATACTATTCAGCCTTACAACAGAATGAAACTCCTTTATTCGTGGCAACATGAATGAACCTGAAGGACATTATGTAAAGTGAAATAAGCCAGGCACAGAAAGACTAACAATGAATGTTCTCACTCATATGGGAATCTAATTGATTTCATAGAAATGGGGAGTAGGATGATTAACAGAGGCAGGTGCAGTGTGGGGAGCAAGGAATGAGAGAGATTGGTCAATGAGTAAAACATTACGTTAGACAGGAAAAATAAATTCTGGTGTTCTATTTCAGAGTAAAGTGAAAATAACAGTGTTGTGTATATTTCAAGATCGCTCCGGGAAAAGATTTTGAGTGTTGTCACCAGAAAGAAATAATAAATGTTTAAAGTGATAGACATGAGATTTCATCTCATGCAAAGTACACATGCACTGAAATGTCACACTGTACTCCTGATACAGTTTGAATGGTTTTCCTCTCCAAATCTCATGTTGAAAGGTAATCCCCAATTTTGAAGAGGGCATCTGGTGGGAGGGGTTTGGGTCATGAAGGCCGATCCCTCATCTCATTGGGTTGGTGCTGTCCTCATGATAGATTGAATGCTCACTACATCTGGTAATTTAAAGTGTGTGGCACCTACTCCTTTGTTATTTGGCTTCCACTCTTGCTATGTGATGTGCCTGCTCCCATTTCACCTTCCACCATGAGTACAAGCTTCCTGAGGCCTTCCCAGAAGCCATGCATGCTTCCAGTACAGCCTGCAGAACTGTGAGCCAATTAAATCTCTTTTCTTTAAAGTTACTCAGTCTGGGGTATTTCTTTGTAGTTAGCCAAATGGACAAATACAACTCCATAACTAAGTGTATTTATTATGTGTCAATTCTAAATTTAAATATTAATAATTTTTGATAAAAACTAAGATACAAAATCACTCATTAGTTTACACAAAGTCAGGGTCATCGATAGCTCTGTCTTCCACATCTATATCTTGTCCCACTGAAAGGTGTTCAGGGGCAATAACATGCATGGAGCTGTCATTTCCTGTGATAACAATATCTTCTTCTGGAATACCTCCTGAAGGACTTGCCTGAGGCTGTTTTACAGTGAACTTTTTAGAAACATAAGTAGAGGTACACTCTAACAATAAAAAGTATAGTATAGTAAATACATAAACCAGTAACATAGCTGTTTGTTTTTAATATCAAGTATTATATACCGTATATAATTGTATATGGAATACTTTTACAGAACTGACCATGGAGCAGTTTTGTTCACACCAGCATCATCACGTGAGGAAAATGTTGTGCTATGACATTACATTACAATGGCTATGATGTCATTAGACAAAAGGAATATTTCAGCTTAATTGCAATCTTATGCGACCACCATCATATATGTGGTCGATTGACTAAAAACATCATTATGCAGCACATAACCATACATTTAACATATACAGAATGTTTATATATATATATGTATATATAGAAATACATGGTGAGGTGACTACTACAGTTGAATAAATTAACATATCCATTGTCTCAGTTACCATTTATGTGAGTGTGTGCACATAAATGTTCATACACTCATATCTTACCACATAAGATCACCTAAAATCTACTCTCTTAGCAAATGTCTGTACATAATGCAGTATTATTAACTAGAGTCATCATGTGGTACATTGGATCTATAAACTTATTCTAGATAACTGTTTACCGTTTTAGATATCTCTTTACCCTTTTATCTGTATCTTCTGATTTCCCCTCCCTCCCACTCCTGATAACCATCTTTCTATTCCTTGTTTTTGTATAGTTGATTTCTTTCTCTTTTTTATCTTCCACACATAAGTGAGATCATGCAGTATTTTTCTTTCTCTCTCTGACTTATTTCATTGAACATACGTCCTCTAGGTTCATCTATGTTCTTGCAAATGGCAAGATCTCCTTTTTTTTCTTGAAGGTAAATAGTATTCCATTGTGTATATACAGCACACTTTCTTTATTCATATGGACCATCATGTAGATTATTTTCATATCTTTTCCATTGTGAATAATATTGCAATGATCATAGGAATGCAAATATCTTTACTTTCATGTTTCTCTTCAGATTGTACACATCTTTCACTTTTTATTTCAGTACAGATTTTAAATAAAGATGTTATCCTAGTTTGTTATATATTAGAAGCATTTCCTATTAGTTTTCTATTGCTACTGTAAAAATATTACCATGTTTTATTACCCTAAAGCAAAACAAATATATTGTCTTACACTCCTGCAGATTGGAAGTCTCATGCAGGTCTCATTGGAAGACTCAAGGTGTCAGCAGGTCTGCATCCCATTCTGGAAGCTGCAGGGTGATATCTGTTTACTTGCCTTTCCCAGCTTCAGGAGGCCAAACACATTCCTTGGCTTGTGGCCCCCTTCTTTAATCTTCAAAGGCAGAAATTTGAATCTCTTTGGCCATTTTCTGTAGTCACATCTCCCTCTGACTCTTGCATTCTGCCTCATTCTTTCATATTCAAGTATTCTCATGATTATAATTTGCCCACCTGGATAATCCAGGATAATCTCTGTGTTATAATGTAAGCAATCTTAGATGAATCTCATCTGCAATCTAATTCCCTTTTGCCATGTAAAATAACATTCACAGCTTCTGGGGATTAGGATGTGGAGCATATTTGGGCTTAGAAGAGTGGAGCATTATTGTGCCTAACACATTCTTAAGTAAATTTTTCTTTCTTCCCCTTGAGTGTGAATAAGCTAAGGAAATATTGCCTGGTAGAGATGCTCTGGTGACTTCTTTTGCTGAATAGATAAGAATGGTTTTATTTTTTATTTTTAATTGAACAAATAGTAATTGTATATATTTATGTGTTACAATGTAATGTTTTGATATATGTATACATTCTGGAATGATCAAATCAATAGGCAATACATTATTGATTATTGAGACATATAAATGACCAACAGATAGAAGAAAAAATGCTCATCATCTCTAATCACTGGATAAAATACAATTGAAAACCATAATAAGATATGGCCTTATAGCTGTTAGGTTGGCTGACAATTATTATTTGTCAATTAAAAATATTATGTCTCAATAATCAATCATAACTTAGTTAATATAGTTATTATTAACTATAGTCACCAAGCTGTACAATAGATCACCAGACCCAGTCTCCCATCTAACTGAAATTTTGTACCCTTTGACCAAAGTCTTCCTTTTCCTTACCTGCCCTCTTTACATACAACCCCCCCCCACAACCTCTGGTAACTATCATTCTACTCTCTACATCTATGAGTTAGACATTTTTAGATTCCACATATAAGTGACATCATGTGGCATTTTTCTTTATGTGTGTTGCTTATTTCACTTAGTTCAATGTCCTCTAAGTCCATCCATGTTGTCACAAATTACAGAATTTCCTACTTTTTAATGGCTGAATATTATTCCATTATGCGTTCTATCATAGACTACATTTTTTAACCCATCTGTTGACCTCTTCAGTTGTTTCCATATCTTGGCTATTGTGAATAATACTGCAATAAGCACAGGAGTACAAACATCTCTTCAACATACTAATTTTAATTCCTTTGGATATACACCCAGAAGTGGCATTGCTGGATCATATGATAATTCTATTTTTTATTTTTTGAAGAACCTCCATACTGTTTTCCAAAATAACTACTAATTTACAATATCGTCAACAATGTACAAGATTCCTTTTTCTCCACAACCTTGCCAACAGTTATTATCTTTCATCATTTTGATAACAGCCAATGTAACAACTATGAGGTGATATCTCATTGTGGTTTTAGTTGTTTTTAATTCAATGATTGGAGATGTTGAGCATTTTTTTCTTATATCTGTTGGTCCTTTATATGTCTTCCTTTGAGAAATGTTTATTCAGGTCTATTCAGGACACCTATTCTGTTAATGCTGCTGGGATAACTGGCTAGCCACATGCAGAACACTGAAACTAGACCTCTTCCTTTTACCATATGCAAAAATAAACTCAAGGTGGATTAAAGACTCACATGTAAAACCTAAAACTATAAAAACCCTAAAAGAAATGTAGGAAATATCATTCTGGGCATAGGCTTAGGCAAAGATTTTATGACAAAGACTCCAAAAGCAACTGAAATAAAAATTAGGTTGGGCTTAATTAAATGGAAAGAGTTTCTGCACAGCAGAAGAAGCTATCAACAGAGTAAACAGCCCACAAAAAGATGAGAGAAAATATTTGCAAACTATGTATCTGACAAAGATCTAATATCCAGAATCTAAAAGGAATGGAAACATATCAACAAGCAAAAAACAAACTCATTAAGAAACGGACAAAGGACATGAACTTTTCAAAAGAACACATACAAGTGGTCAAAAAAACATGAAAAAATGCTCAACATTACTAATCATTAGAGAAATGCAAATTAAAACCACAATGAGATACCGTCTCAAACCACTCAGAATGGCTATGATTAAAAGGTAAATATATAATAGATATTGACAAGATTGCAGAGAATAGCAACACTTATATGCTGCTGGTAAGAGGATAAATTAGTTCAGCCTGTGGAAAGCAGTTTAGACATTTCTCAATAAGCTTAAAATAGAACTACCATTTGACCCAGCAATCCCATTATTGGATATTTACCCAAATGGAAAATAAGTTGCTCTACCATAAAGGCACATGCATACATAAGTTTATCGTACCACTTTTGGCAACCACTGAGGAGATAGAGAAAGAAAATGTGCACCACGGAATACTACTCTGCCATTCAAAAGAATGAAGTCATGTTCTTTCCAGCAATATGTATGCAGCCGGAGGCCATTATTCTAAGCAAATTAACACAGGAACAAAAAACCAAGTACAGCATGCTCTCACTTATTACTGGGAGCTAAATGTTGAGTACACATGAACTCAACGAGGGAAACAATAGATACGGGGCCTACTTGAGGGTTGAAGATGGGAGGAGTGTGAAGATTGAAAAACTACCTATCGAGTACTATGCTCACTACCTCCGTGATGAAAACATTTGTATATCAAACCCCTACACAATTTACTCACGTAACCAACTTGCACATGTACAACCTGAACCTAAAATAAAGGTTGGAAGAAAAATAAATATGACAAATGAAAATAAAAAGAAAGAAATGGTAAAAGAGATTCTTTAGCCTGAAGAGAATTAATACCCAACCAAAATCTGAATCTACTGAAAGGAATGAAAAGAGCTAGTAGTTGTAAATGTGTAGATAAATATGAAAGACTTTTTAGAATTTCTTAATTTCTTTTCTTTTTTTTTTTTTTCTTTTCTTTGACATGGAGTCTCGCTATGTCACCAGGCTAGAGTGCAGTGGCACGATCTTGGCTCACTGCAACCTTTGCCTCCTGGATTCAAGTGATTCTCCTGCCTCAGCCTCCTGAGTAGCTGGGACTACAGGCGTGCACCACCACACCCAGCGAATTTTTGTATTTTTAGTAGAGACAAGGTTTCACCATTTTGGCCAGGATGGTCTTGATATCTTGACCTCATGATCCGCCCCGCTTGGCCTCCCAAAGTGCTGGGATTACAGGCATGAGCCACCACCCCTGGCTGAATTTCATATCTTTATTTCTTTAATAGAGAACTGACCTTCTTAAGCAAAAAAAAATTACTTAATATCATAATCCTTCTGGAGTTTATAACACATACCGAAATAAAAGCAAATAACAAAATAACAAAAATAGAGATTTAATGAAATTATGCAGTGATAAATTTCTTACACTTTACCTGAAGTACTACAACACAAATTATTTCCAGACTGTGACATTTTAAGAATGCATACTGTAATCGCAAAATCAAGTACTTAAAAAACATAAAAAACCAATAGAAGAAATAGAATGGAATAATTTAAATTATTTGATTAACCTGAAGGAAGATACAAAAGGAAAGAAAAAAAATAAATGGAAATAAAATATCAAGATGATAGTCAAACCCCAATTAAAAGGGAAATTGTCACACTGGTGGAGGGAGGAGTCATAGGTATGCTATCTACAGGAAATGTACTTCAGATTCAAATACAGGCAGATTGAATATAAAAGTTAGAAAAATATACGGTAATCAAAATATATACATAAAATATAGTGTGTCTGTAAAAAGATAAGAAAAAGCAGGCCTCGGGACAAAAAATATTATAGAGATATAATTGGAAATTTCGTAATGATGAGAAAGTGAATTCATGAGGAAGAAACGGGAAGTAAAAACTGACAAAACTAAGAGATTAGCCAAATTTATAGTTATAGTAGGAAGCTTTAGTACCCATTTCTCATGTGTAACCCTGCACGTAGATTGGTACCCCATCCCGTAAGTAATTCAGATCTACTTCATTTTTACAGTGTACAGTTCAAACAACAAACCTGTTAACTACCCCTTCTGAAATAGATATTGTATTATCCTTTAAAGAAGGGAGCTCTTTTCCTATATCTACTTTTTCATTTCTGGAAAGCTTAGCTGAGGAGTTGCCTGTGACCCACTGAGCAAAATCATCTCTATTTGCTTGAGATCTGAGAATCAAACTTTCCTACATAGACTGAATATCCTGGGATTTGAGAAATCCGATACTCTTCATAAGGCACTGAGAATATACCCTAACATTTGTGTGTGTGTGTCTGCATGCATGTGTTAAAGTGTATTGTAAAAGGTTAATAATATATAGAATGTGGCAGTTAATAATTTACAGACTTTTTAGAGGAAAATTTACCTTGTCTCAAAGTTTTCCTTAAAGCCCAATAGTGTTCAGAATTCAGTTTTATCAGCAGGAATGAAAATTAACAATCATGGAAGGAAAGTAAATCTTTTTATTAGGTAAAACACATACAATGCAAAAACAATTGCTAATGCCTTCTCTGATAGATACAGTAACAGTCACAAAGGCTGCAGAGCACTGCTAAAGTATTTATTTGACATTTATTAAACAGAGTTTAATGGCAGTGACACTTTAGTCTAATTCATCAATTTAATAGTTTTCATGAAAATGCTTCATTTACTTAGATGCTCTATGTATCTTTCCTATTCCTACTAATCATTTTTATTCATTTGCTATTGAAGTAGGTTGCCTTGAAATAGTGCATTAGAATCAGAAGAATATAGCTTCATAAAGCATTATCATTAAAAACCTATCTAGATTAAGAAGTAGCAAGTAATTATAATTTTACAGGATTATTTTTTCATTTGTCTCAATGACAGTAAATCATTAGGCCTGAGAAACCATCTGTATGGATCCATAGATACATGCCAGAGGTCATCTTTGGAAACATAATCATACATTATTATGATGTCCCAGTTTAAAAAGGGTTTTCTTCTTAAAAAAAAAAATCTTTAGTAGTGATCTCTTCTAATGAACATGATAAATCTGATAATCTTCAAGGGAGTTTTAGTTTCAAATTTCTTTGCCAAATCAGTAGAACCCCTAGGGTGAAATAATGAGTAGACAAATAATCTTGTTCTGCCCCTTAGGGTAGATATTTTGTACTGATGATATTTCTAGTGCTGACCTTCCACATTCAAGTGTCTAAGTTTATAGGTAATTAATCAGTATTCCCTGGCACTTTGAAGATTTGAGCCTAAGTGGATATTTGCTTTCTGCTAACTGGTTTCTAGTGTTTTAACTGCCTGGTTGTACAGCAGTTGAAGGCATCTGATACCTGTATTTCCTTAGCCCATAAGGACCTCTAGAATGGCTATACAGAGAAGAGATAATTTTTTAAATATGGATTTAACTGATATAAACATTACATGGTAAAAGGAAAAAAAAGTTGCATTATTAATTTCTAGCAACTTTTTTTTGAAGTTGTTCTAGTACAGTTCATCTGGTCTGAGGAAGTACTGCTCTGTAATTATTCTAGATGAATTGCTTCATTCAGTTATTCATTGAGGTTAGTGGCTTCAGAGAAGGCCAACTAGCTGGATATGAAGTGCCATCAGTTTACAGTCTTGACCAATAAGCCTCCCTGTAGAAACTGAAATTGTCAGTATGCTGGATTTCTCAGACTTAAATTGATAATGATGATTACTACATTCTCAATGTCGCATAGATTAGAATAGCAGTTTACTTAATTAATACCTCAGGTAGAACAGACATCAAGTGGTCCAATGGTGTTACTCTCTTTTAAAAAGAAATTTTCATGCGAAGCTGAAATATCAGAATTTGAAAACAGAGCAGGGGGAATTGTTTATGGGATATGAACATTGAATATTATCAGACTTACGTATAAATTGACATTAGTCTCAACAACACAGATAGATATGCTAGGCAGATGTAATATGTTTATAACACCTCTTGGAGAAATTTCTTTTCTGAATCATGTTTGGGTGAGTTTTTCCAGTATTCAATGGCCTGTTGATAAATGATTAACAGTTGGCTCTTTAAGGAAAACCATGCTAATTTGTAGGTTTGTCAGTTTTTGTGGTATAAATATTACCATTATGACTAAGTTGAAGCCACCAATATCACTAAAGATGCGGCTGGGATACATACAATCCAGTTCTCAAAAGTCACCACCAGCTGATTCTGTCACACCACTGCAATGCCTACCTTTCAGATATTACTTATTTGCCTGCTACTGAAAAGCTATTATGTTCTTTGGATGTTATCTTTAAGTGTGTAAGTATATAAATATAAGTATGTAAATATATAAATATAAACATGTCTGATTATAATATCTTAATATTTAGTAATTTAAAATGAATTTTTATATCTTTTCTTCTGGCCTCTCACATTCTTAACTGATTTTGTGGCTTAATTTTCAGAAGTAATTTTTATTTCTAAGTTCTTAGGGAGCTTCATGGTTATTGCTTCATGTATTTTCAACTCCAGACTTTCTAAACTGTTTTTCTTATGCTATCTGCATCAGAATCTCTGAGAAAAGAGGACTTAGCATCAGCATTTTAACACATTCCTTTGGAAAGACATTGTTAAGCTTTGATAATTTCTGTTCTAAAAGACCTGCCTTTCCATTAAAGATAAAATTATTTTAATATTGACCTTCAATATTGACAAAACGTAATCGAAATAGAAGTGGGAAAACAAGAAGTAAGAAATGATGAGAAGTTAGTTTTATGATCTCATGAAAATATAATCTTGATGGACTTGACTTTGGAATAAGAACTAACTTCTGGAAGAAGGCTTTCTTTTCTCTAGTTTTGTCTATTTTGTCTATTCTAATTTTTCTATCTATTAAGTAGATTATTTTTGGTGGTATTTCTCAGTCCTCACGTATAGCAGCATTCCCTGGTGAGGTTAAATTTGTATTTAATTTCGCATGATGCTAATAAGCAGCTAGAATTGTGGAACATTCCAGCAGGGAGCCCAAATTTTCTTGGTTTATGATACCCAAAGTAATTTTTTCCTGTAATTCCTAGATCAATAAAACAAACAAAACACCTAAGGGTCCTGTTTGAGTATCAGCTTGCAGTATGTTAATATATATTTATGTCTTAAACTTATCAGCAGTTTGAAAATTAATATTTATAAATTCAAAGAAGAAAATACTTCTGTTTCTTTCTTAACCAAAATTATTTACTTATGGGATGTGTGCAGTTTCTTGCGGGCAATGCACCACTTCTCAAAACTTGAATTCAGATTGAAGACCTTCACCCTCCTCTTTTTTTTTTTTTTTTTTTGGAGACAAGAGTCTCGCTCTGTCACCCAGGCTGGAGTGCAGTGGCACAATCTTGGCTCACTGCAAGCTCTGCCTCCCAGGTTCATGCCATTCTCTTGCCTCAGCCTCCCGAGTAGCTGGGACTACAGGGGCCTGCCACCACGCCTGGCTAATTTTTTGTATTTTTAATAGAGATGAGGTTTCACCATGTTAGTCAGGATGGTCTCGATCTCCTGACCTCGTGATCCGCCCGCCTCGGCCTCCCAACCTGCTTTCTTACTCTACGTTAATTTTCTCAGTGTGCTTGCCTTTTAAGGCAGCAAAAAGTAAAACCCAAGCTTTGAAAATATATAATGTCATTGAAAGAAATACACTGTGATCCTTTTTTGGTAGTGTCTATGCATCTCTAGAAAAGTTAGAATATGTAGGAGTACCTCTGTTAGCTTTCTGCAGTTTCCCAGGTGACTTGCTACACACTTTCAGAGCCAGGAACTTATAAAACAAATCTTATATAAATGAGAAAAACAATTTTAAAGTCTCTAAATAGAGTGATTAAAAAAACAATAAAAATCTAACAAGAGTCAGGCTTGCTCATTAAGTTATGATTTTATCAACTTTTCAATAATGATGAAGGAAGTGATGATGATGAATGGATAATGATGATGATAGTGATAAAAATAATGAAATAATTATGCACCAGTCACGAACGCATATGTAAATGCATTTCTAAGTAAGTGCATTTTGTACAATAACCTAATTATTTTTTGTAACAAATCTAAGAAATAGATACTATTATTATGCCCAGTTTGTAGGTAGAGAAAACGGAGGCTTAGAATGTTAGTGATTCCTCCAGCTAGTAAGTGATACAACTGGTTAGGGAAAGTGATTGGCTTGGATTAAGAGGCTGTAAATTCTTCTTGAAAGGAATCTGCCATGATCATAAGGAATGGAACGGTGGGGAGTCTATGGCCTCAGTGAAGGCAGGCAGATAAAAACGTAAAGCAATGAGAAAACCAAGGATTCCTGGCATCACTGGCACATGTCTTATAGGACTGGTGAGGAGGACAATTGTAAAATCTAGGTAGTTTGGAGGAGTGAGAGCCCAGGGGTGTGTGTGTGTGTGTGTGTGTGTGTGTGTGTGTGTGTGGTGTGTGTGTGTGTGTTGTGTGCATGCAAACACGTAAACATTCAGAATTCCCAGGTATCATTTGGCTAGGGTCGTGTCCTATTACAAATGACAATTAGACAAAAAAGCAAAACAAGCAAAATGAAACATTAGAGACAAAAAGATGGCTAAAGTAATATAATAAAAGTAAAGATAAGGGAGAAGACAGAGACATGGCAGTAGCTTCTGCTACCTTGTACCTTCTTAAACCTATTTATCACTATTGCCCTTTACTTGAAATATTAAAATTCTTAAACATCTGCATTTCTCTTAAGGTAGCTCCTGTTTCAAACATGCTGTGCAATTTAAAAATAAAATCTGGGCCCGGCATGGTGGCTCACGCCTGTAATCCCAGCACTTTGGGAGGCTGAGGCCAGGGAGATCACTTGAGGTGAGGAGTTTGAGACCAACCTGGCCAACATGGCAAAACCCCGTCTCTACTAAAAATACAAAAATTAGCTGGGTATGGTGGTGCATGCCTGTAATCCCAGGTACTCAGGAGGCTGAGGCAGGAGAATTGCTTGAACCTGGGAGGTGGAGTTTGCAGTGAGCCGAGATCGTGCCACTGCACTCCAGCCTGGGCAACAGAGTGAGACTCTGTCTCTAAATAAATAAATAAATAAACAAACAAACAAATAAATATAAAGTTTGGACAAAAGACTTCTTAAAATATTTTCTTCTTAGGAGCTGTGTGTTACGTCATCATGTGAGGCTGGGTTTTGAGAAAAAAGGCAGAGTTTTTGAGTTGGATGTATATTATTGAAAGCCTGTAATGACAAGTGCTAATTTGTATTTATGAAGAAACGTTAGGAAATAAAATGTCATGTAATGTCAGAAACATAAGAGCATATTTTAATTAAATCTTTGAAGACCTTCCAGAGAATTTAAGTCTTCTCTATCTGGCATTAGGCTGGAAAAGGATAAGAAGCAGTTGGATGTTTTCAACTCTTTCCTCTATTTAGTCCCTACCTTCCTTATTCCAGAATACTTTATTTTAGTCATTTGGTACTCAGGACATATGCTATTAGGCTGGATTTTTTTTTCCTTTATAGAGACAGGGCCCTGCTCTGTTACTCTGGCTGGAGTGCAATGATGCCATCACGGCTAACTGCAGCTTCCAACTCCTGGGCTCAAGTGATCCTCCCATTTTAGCTTCCCAAATACCTGAGACTACAGGTGCGTATCACCATGCTCAGCTAATTTTTTAATTCTTTTGTAGAGACAGAGTCTTACTATGTTGCCTAGACTGGTCTTGAACTCCTGGATTCAAACGTTCTTCTCACATCAGCCTCCAAAAGTGCTAAGATTACAGACACGAGCCACCACACCCAGCCAGAATTGATTCATTTCTAAGAACCGTGACATGTTTATTCTGATACTTCCCTGTATTTACTCTGATGCTTCACCCTGTTGGTGGGTGACCTTTTGCATTTCTCTACTCCATAATTTAAGTGAGCACAGTTCTTGGCACAAAACAGTCAATGAATAAATATGTGTTGGATGAATTGATAACAACACTACCATATAGATTTCAATTATTGTCTATATAATTTACTTGATGTATTTTAAGTTGTAGCTGTCTAACTGAGCATCTTCAGGTCAGATTTACTCTGCGCAGGGAAAATTATTTAATGACAATTGAGAGAATCATCTAACTGGTGTCCCTGCTTCCAATGTATCAGCCTCTCTGAACTTCATGCTGCCGTTATCTCCAGCACCAAGTCCTAAGTTACTCATCGGTTTCACACTCCAGCTACTACTTATTTTGTTGTTTTCTCACTCTGGAAATCTCTTCTCACCTCCTTTAATTCTTCCCCTTTCAGACTCATGCTCTCACCCCTTAAATTCTTCTTCCTCCTGGAAAGTCAATGTAGACATGCTCTTTTTTTTTTAATTATACTTTAAGTTTTAGGGTACATGTGCACAACATGCAGGTTTGTTACATATGTATACATGTGCCATGTTGGTGTGTTGCACCCATTAACTCGTCATTTAACATTAGGTGTATCTTCTAATGCTATCCCTCCCCCATCCCCCCACCCCACAACAGGCCCCGGTGTGTGATGTTCCCCTTCCTGTGCCCATGTGTTCTCATTGTTCAATTCCCACTTATAAGTGAGAACATACGGTGTTTGGTTTTTTGTCCTTGCAATAATTTGCTGAGAATGATGGTTTCCAGCTTCATCCCTGTCCCTACAAAGGACATGAACTCATCCTTTTTTATGGCTGCATAGTATTCCATGGTGTATATGTGCCACATTTTCTTAATCCAGTCTGTCATTGTTGGACATTTGGGTTGGTTCCAAGTCTTTGCTGTTGTGAATAGTGCCCCAATAAAAATACATGTGCATGTGTCTTTATAGCAGCATGTTTTATAATCCTTTGGGTATATACCCAGTAATGGGATGGCTGGGTCAAATGGTATTTCTAGTTCTAGATCCCTGAGGAATCACCACACTGACTTCCACAATGGTTGAACTAGTTTACAGTCCCACCAACAGTGTAAAAGTGTTCGTATTTCTCCACATCCTCTCCAGCACCTGTTGTTTCCTGACTTTTTAAATGATCACCATTCTAACTGGTGTGAGATGGTATCTCATTGTGGTTTTGATTTGCATTTCTCTGATGGCCAGTGATGATGAGCATTTTTTCATGTGTCTTTTGGCTGCATAAATGTCTTCTTTTGAGAAGTGTCTGTTCATATCATTTGCCCACTTTTTGATGGGGTTTGATTTTTTCTTGTAAATTTGTTTGAGTTCATTGTAGATTCTGGATATTAGCCCTTTGTCAGATGAGTAGGTTGCAAAAATTTTCTCCCATTTTGTAGGTTGCCTGTTCACTGTGCTGGTAGTTTCTTTTGCTGTGCAGAAGCTCTTTAGTTTAATTAGATCCCATTTGTCAATTTTGGCTTTTGTTGCTATTGCTTTTGGTGTTTTAGACATGAAGTCCTTGCCCATGCCTATGTCCTGAATGGTAGTGCCTAGGTTTTCTTCTAGGGTTTTTCTGGTTTTAGGTCTAACATTTAAGTCTTTAATCCATTTTGAATTAATTTTTGCATAAGGTGTAAGGAAGGGATCCAGTTTCAGCTTTCTGCTCTCTTTCTCTCAACTGCCACTGATATGCGCAGTTTTAATCACCCCTTTTTGTATTAAGAGGTCTTTGCATTTATTTTTTGCATAGCATTTTTGCCTTTTGCTATGAATTTTGTATGAGAGTTAAAATGTTTGTCAACTAAGTGAATGGATGTTCTATCGTTCATTCTCAAGTAGAGTTTGTTAAAGTATAATTCGTCATGTAATGCTCAACTCCATTTCACTTACTAGGTTATGGATATATAACTATGTTACATTGTTACTGTTTGGGGTAACTCTTTGTGGGATAAATCGCTCTCTCCTAACTGGAGAAAAAGTATGAGAATATGACACACACTACAGTGCTAGATTCTACGTTTCTCTCTCCAGTCAAAATTACCTTTTTAGTGTTCTCCACTACTTTATTGTTTTGTTTTTCTTGCATGTATGTGTGTATAAATGTTTGCAAACACACACACACTATACACACTATACATATATACATATAAACACATACTCATATGCACACAGAAATGCAAAAAAAACAAATTTATAATTTTAAAATAAACATACATAGATGTTTCTCAACTTAAATTGGGGTTGTGTCTTGGTAAGTTGAAAATATAAATTGAAATTGCATTTAATACACTTAAACTACCAACATCATGGTTTAGCCTAGCTTACCTTAAACGTGCTCAGAACAATGACTTTAGCCTACAGTGAAGCAAAATCATCTAACACAAACCCTATTTTATAATAATGTGCTGAATAGCTTCTGAAATGTATTAAATACTGCATTGACAGTGAAAAACAGGATGGTAGTATGAGTACTGACCATTAACATACATAGCAGAAAGCACACTAGGTCTGAAGAATGCTTGAAGACTTGAAGTAAAATTAATTGCTGGATGATGGGGTTGCAACAGAGAATGAGTACCCAGATTCTTTCTCTTCTGATGAGGGTTGGGAATACCAGGTAGAAGGTGCTGAGGAATGCAACACTCACCGATGGTTTAGCAGGCATAATGTTCCTTAGGAAGATATCAAGTATTCCGTGTTTCCTCTTCTGATGATCTGGCTGACTAGGAGCTGTGGCTCGCTGCTACTGCAAAGCATCTTGAGAGAGTATTGTACCACTTACTGCTAGCCCAGGAAAAAATAAAAATTCAAAATATGGTTTTCCCTGAATGCTATCACTTTCATACAATTGAAAAGTGGAGAAATCATAAATGAAACCATTATAATTACGTTCATTCAGAGAAATGCATCATTAGGCAATTTCATTGTGTGAACATCATAGAATATACTTAAGCCTAAATGATACAGCCTACTACATACCTAGGCTGTGTTGTATAGCCTATTGCTCCTAGTCTACAAGTTCATACAGCATATTACTATTCTGAATATTGTAGGCAATTTTAACACAATGGTATGTGTTTGTGTGTCTAAACATAGAAAAGATATAGTAAAATATGACATAAAAGATGAAAAATGGTATACCTGTATAGGGCACTTACCATGAATGGAGCTTACAGGATTGGAAATTGCTTTGGATGAGTCAATTGCTCAGTGAATGAGTGGTGAGTGAATATGAAGGCCTAGGACATTACACTACTGTAGACTTTATAAATACTGTACACTTAGGTTGCACTCAATTTATTTTAAAATATTTTCCTTAATAAATTAATTTTAGATTACTGTAATTTTCTTCTAAAGTTTATAACTTTTTAATTTTTTTAACTTTTTGACTCTTGTAATAACATTAAAATACACATTGTATAGCTGCCCTACAATAGTGTTTCTTTATATCCTTATTTTGTGAGCTTTTTTCTATTTCTAATTTTTAAAAATGTTTTTAAAAATTAAAATTTCTAAAAAATTTAAAAAATTAAAAATAAAAAAAAATTTTTAAATGTTTTTTTAAAATGTTATGTTTTTACTTTTTAAACCTTTTTGTTAAAAACTACACAGAAACATACACCTTAGCCTAGACCTACCCAGTCAGGATTATCAATATCACTGTCTGCCACCCTCACACCTTGTCCCATCGAAAGGTTTTCATGGGCAATAACATACATGGAGCTGTTATCTCCTGTGATAACAATGCCTTCTCCTGGAATGCCTCCTAAGGAACTTGCCTGGGGCCATTTGGAGTTAACTTTATAAATATATATATATATAAACATATATATAAATATATATATAAATATATATATATAAATATATATATAACTTGAAGGAATACACTAAAATGATAAAAAGTATAGTGTAGTAAATACATAAATCAGTAGCATAGTAATTTATTATTATCATAAAGTAATTGTACTGGACCTAATTGTCTCTGCTATACTTTTACACGACTGGCAGTGCAGCAGATTTGTTTACACCAGCATCACCACAAACACTTGAGTAATGAATTGCACTAAGGTGTTAGGAAGTCTAGGAGGTCACTAGTTAATAGGAATTTCTCAGTTCCATGACGATCTTATGGAACCACCTTTGTATATGTGGTTTGTGATTGTCTGAAACACCATTATGAGGCACATCAGTGTAGAATTTTAAATGTAAGCAATCTCCCAGATTATTTTTTATCTTCTTTGTTCTCTTTTGATCTTACCCCTGCTCCTGGAAAATCACTGTGCAAATGCTTTTTCTCATGTTGGGTGATATTTATAAAATCAGCAGGCTAACTGAGCCTCTTGAATGTATGGAATTTCTTTTTTTTTTTAATGTAGTTGTAGAGATAGTGCTTTGCAAATAAGAGGAAATTGGCAAAGGAAGTTCAATATATTGCTATATGAGACCCAAGGGGTAAAATGTGTTTTAATGTAGATTGAAGTCAATTGTATTTCTTGATGTGTCTTTCCACACATTCCTTTTGTGTATGATAATGTCACTGTTGGGCAGTGGAGGCAGAGAGGGGAAGTGAATAGGTAATGATGCTAATTTACCTTGTCCAGGAGTGGGGCAAAAATGCCCTTCTGCTTTTACTAAGTTAGAGGGAGAAAGTGATGTGGGAGTTTGCTTTAGAAATGCACGGCAAAAGAAAAATTGATCTTTGTCTGTGTTTGTCCTCTTTTGTTGATGTGGGAACACTATTGAACGACTTTTGGCAACTACTAATCAATTGCTATCTTCCTCCTAACAATCTTTTCTATCATTGTTTGATAGTCTTTTATCTCTTTTCTCAGTATATTCTTATATTAGTACTATTCATTTACTCAGACATTTTATTGAGTGCTTACCTGTGGTCCACACTGTACTAGGCATAACAAGGAGTAAATATAAGTACAGAAGAAGAAAAAATTTAAAGGTTTTTGCTGTAAAAACATAATCAGTTATCCTATACTCAAAGACCTGTTGCTCATGAAGTATGTAATTAATATGTATGTTGTCACCTAAATAGAAATGTTATGCACAGGTCTATTATAAACTTATCTTGCATTATTTATCAGCTTTTTTATAAATTGTTTCTAATTTATTTAAAATAAAATATAAACATTCAACATTTTTAAGATAAAACAATATTTTTACCACATTGATTTCATTATTAATTTATTTCTTTAAATGTTGCATTAAAATAAACTTCTTATCCTGTTTTAGAAAGAGTCAGTCATTCAATAAGCATGCCTTTGTAATTGTGATGGGGATAAAATAATTATAAGTGTTTTCGCTACTCCTACTCCCAGAACCTAAGGTGATTTTAAGATTTCCTCTCATCTCCTGGTACTTATAGAGTCATGGGGGAATCTGAAAGCAGCTCTGGCAGTGACTCATGTAACAAACTGAACCAGTAGAAAAGAACAGGCATAAATCTGTGTTGGTTAAAATTTGAGGACAAGAGTTTAGAAAACAAGAGAATTAGGAACATAGAAAGGAGAGAGTTGAAGACAGCTATTGAACATACTCTGAAGAAATAGGTGAGTGAAGAATGTTAGGATATTTTTAGAATGCCATGAAATGTGTTGACCCTGATCCTTCTGCATTTCACCCTTCCCTCAACACTTCCTCAGAAGGTATCAGAAAACAAATACGCATTTCAGTTACTTTCATTGAATTTCAGAAGAAATTAAGATGGCTAGTTACTAGGTAGAACAACAACAGATTAAGGTTATTTGGATGCCAAAAATTGGGAAAGCATACTAGGGATGTGATACGAGTGATACAGCATGAAACTGTAGCTTTCTGAGGCTACTTATTTAGTAGTCAAAGGATGAACTTTTTATTTCTCACTTAAATGTTAAAGAAAAAAACAACAAACATTCATAAGAATACTTTTATTTTAAATAAGTATAAGAGATAAAAAATGTCCTGCAAAATTTCTGACTTAATTGTCTGGGTGTGGCGCAAACATTTATTTTTGCAAATGTCACCAGGCAATTCTAGTAAGCATCTTTGAACCACTACTGTGCACCCTGACAGCCTCCATGTCTGGGAGAATTTCTGGTAAAGGTGATGTGATGACAATGATAGTGACTGTTCTGGCTTTTCAAATGGCAGTGGGAGAGGTTTGCCCATTAAAAAAAAATAAATATATGCACTCTAAAACAAATATTGGATCTAATGTTTTTAGTGAGTTTTCATTTGCCTTTTAATTAATTATATTTTACCTGTGTTTTTCTTTTAATTGCAAGGTCTAAACATTCTTTATAGTTTCTGTCTTTAATGGCGTTTTTAATGACATCATCTTCCAAAATTATATAGCTATTCATTTATACGTCTTGTGATGTTTTCAATATACTATCAGTATCTTTCTGTTAATTAGGAGAGGGAAATAGCGCAGAGGAGTGAGTCCCAGTTATCACTGGGTTTTGATATTCCCTATGCTAGTTTCATAAAATTAACTTGTATGCTTTCCAAATATTTATATTTACTAGAGCAGTTTAAAAAAATTTTTTTTTCTTAAAAGAATGAATAAATTCTTTAGTAAGCCAACTGTACTGGCCTTTTGTGCTATGTATTTATAAACATTTTATAAAATTTTGACTCTTATGGTGTTCAAATATTCTGCATTTTCAATAATGAATTTAACTATATTTTTTTCATAAATTTCCATTACATATATATTTTTAAAAGGTTAATTTTTATGCATATTTTTACAACTTCTTAATCCATTCCAAATATAAATTCACAGCTGCTTTTTTACTTTTTTATGTTATATACCCTTACTTTCTTTCTTTTTCTAATTTTCTTTTCAGCAGCTTTTCCATTTTATTGATCTTTTCAAAGAACTAGCTATTTGAATTATCTTCTTTAAAACATTGCATTTTAACCTATATGCAAATTATTACATCCTTAATGTATAACACTTGTGTCTTTATAGCATTTTTAAATTTTATCAAAGTCTTAATAGAGATTATTTTCAAATTTATAAATTTTTGATTAGGTTGTTTTAGTGGGTTTTTTTTGTTTTTTGTTTTTTTTTGTAAATGGAATTTTGTTATGCTGTCCAGGCTTCATTCGAGCTCCTGGGCTCAACCTCTCCTTTCGGCTGGAACTATGAGCATGTGCCACTGTGCCTGGCTCTAGTGTTTTTTGATTGCTTAGTTGTGTGTATGTGTGTTTGTGTTTATGGCAACCTTAAAGATTTTTATTATTACCCAAGTGTGTTTTGAATTTTTATATATTTCAATTTGTGCATATATGAGCATGCATATACAAATGTATTAATTTAATGATTTGACGCAGCATAATTTGAGTTACAATTATATTGTCCCCAAACAATGAAGACCACAAAATTAAAGATCACAATGATGAATTCTTCCTTTTCATATTTGTATTTCTGGAAAATACTTGATATAACATGATTTAATATTTTTCTTGTTTATACTTGTATACATATTATTCTTGCCACCATATCATGCTCTTTCCTTCCGTTCATCAGTCACCACTGTCATTTACCATTTCTTAGTTAACAACATGACACTCACGCCAAACCACTCCACTTAAATCCAGTACTCACAACTATTTTGTTATATAAAACATTTGTGTGTTTATAAATGCACCCCCAAAACCACAGTTAAAACCAGTAAGCGGCTTTCTGTGCATAGTTTTTGAATGCTGGGAACATAGAAAATGTATAGTTCAGTCTTTGCTTTGAAATTGAGAATGCTCAGAGTCAGAGATTTTGATTTACCCACTTAATATTACACAGCTGGATGGTCATCAGACAAGAATAAACTCTCATTTTCAGATATTTAGCCTGTCATGAAGAATTATAGATGAATAAATAAATTATATATGTATATATTTGGTAGCATGTAAAATTGAGATATTCCACAGAGTTCCCAGGGATATCGTATTAGTGCTAAAGAACAAACTAGAAATAAAACTTCAAGTAAAATAGTGACCTTTTTTATACTAAAGTGCTATGATTATTATGTTTCTAATCAAATTCAATTCAAATTGTCCTCAGATTCTTTTTTGCCTGCTGTCATCTTGCAATTACGTTGCCTTTTTTTTTTCTGTGTTTAGTCTCTTTGAATGCAAGTTTTATCTAATTAATACTTTTATTGTCCAATCAGAACACTCTTAACATTTTGGTATTTCATCAATAAAATGTCACAGCTCTATCTTGGAGGTTCAAGTCTTTAACTTCTAACAATGGGAGACTCAATTGTGAACTTAGTTTCTCTAAGTACAAAGGTTTTAAGTAAGACCATGTCAATGAATATATTAGAAGATACACATGCATGCACATGTATGTATGCATGCATATATGTATATGTATGCATATGCTATGCTAAAAACATAAGATGTTTAAATGTTAGCTGTGTCTGTGCACATATTTAAAATTAAGATGAAGGTGATATAAAAAAATACATCAGATACTTGTTAAAAATGGCAAAGAAAACTTTATTCAAGACTATTGTAATAGCAGAGAAAGACTACCCTGTAACAAAAGATGAAAAAAAAAAAAGTCAACACTTTGGTGACCTAATAAAAGGTGCCATAAGATGTTATAGGGAGGTTGGCCAATATGATTAGTCCACCTGTGTTTGCTAATCGGTGCTTATCAAAGAAAAGTTTCTATACTCCCACAGAAAGGAGGAGAAGGGGTTCCTGTCTTTCTTAAAGAGGACATTTCAAAGGAATGGCTCCAGGGTCCTTGAGAAAAGACATTCCTGGAATGTGAAGATTTACATCTCAAAGGGAAATAATTTATAATTGCAAGTTTTCTATTGTAGATGCACCAAGAAAAGGGAAGTTAGAGGTCCATTTTCAGGAAGAAGACTGTCTAAAGTTTAGTCCAGAGGAGGGGAAAGTTAAGGCCTTTTTGGTCAACTAATCTATTCATTAAATAACCTCTTATTGCTTTATCAGAAGAGCCAGCATAAAATATATTTGATCACACTTTCTGTTATTTAGTATTTAATTGGATACTTCTAAGTCTCTCTGTCTCTCTCCCCTTTTGGTGTTTATGCTTGCTTTTCAGACTTATCATGGAAAGGAGAGAAGGAGAGATCTTTTTATAACCAGGGAGGCTTCATAGTGTAGAATGTTTAAAAGGAGAAGGAAGTGTGAAGACAAGTTCCACATTAATTTTTCAACGCATTAAATGTCAGTTGTATTAATTTATATTTTCTTGAACATTGAAATAGGTTTTCATTAACACTGCACATGAAGTTTAGAATGGTCTATTCATATAATTTCCAGTATTACTATCAGAGTTTTTAGCAATATGGCAAACCATAACTTTCTTTAGTACAGTAGTCTCACCTTAATGATCAGAGAATACGTTCTAAGACCCCCAGCAGATATCTAAAAACTGTGGCTAATATCAAACCCTCCATATACTGTTTTCTTTTTTCTTTTTCTTTTTTCTTTTTTGATCCAGTAACAGAGAGGGTTACTAAGTGAGTAACAGGTGGGCAGCATGTGCAGCATGGATCTCCTGGACAATGGGATGATTCACATCCTGGGTGAAACTGAGCAAGATGCTGAGAGATTTCATCATGCTACTCAAAACAGCATGCAATTTAAAGTTTAGGAATTGTTTATTTCTGGAGTTTTTCATTTAATATTTTTAGACTGTGGTTGACTGTGGGTAACTTAAACTGCTACAAGTGAAACCACGAATAAGTGGTGGACTTTTGAGGAGTCTCAGTCACATGACTCGTTTTTCACGACATGTCTCCAAGCACCAAAATAAGCTTGTAAAGTCACATTCTCTAGCTTTCCAAAAACTGTGCAGATACACAATTTGCTAGGCAATAATAGACTCTCTCTCCAAATTGCTAAAGTTATTTACAATTGAAAATCTGACACAAATACAGATTAAGGAGAAACTAACAGAATTCAATTTCACAAAATAATTTATTTCTTGATTCTCAGCCAGTTAGTAGTCATGTAAAACCTATCTATGATAAGAAAACAGGATTGAATAGGGCTATAACCAGGAAGGTTAAACTTGGATAATTGCACAATTGCATTAAAACCATCTATCAAGTCTAAATGCCTACCATTATTTTGGTGGATTCTGATTTCTTTTTTAATTCATCATTTTCAAATGCAAAATAATTGTAGGATTCCAAACTTTTGAATTTAGAAAATGTCAAAAGAAACTAAAATGCTTTGTATAATGTTAATAGGTGATTTCTTTCCAAATTATGTGGTGATTTGTTTCTTTAACTTAGTTCAGAACACTTTTGATAACTAACTAAATTCCCTTAAAACAAAAGCTTAAAACAAAAGAATGAACTTCTTTTATTCATTAGATTATCTTGATGGTTCTTGGTAGATAAAATTTATTTTACCTACGGGAACCCTTTCTCACAGTTTGCCTGGCAAAGCTCTACTTTTTCCCTAGTTTACTGACATGATTATTACTAGTGTCTCTTTCACATTCAAATGTGTACCAGCTTGGATGATAAATTATGTAATCACTAGATTACAAATCCTATTAGTCAGTATTCTACAGAGAAATAGAACTAGAGGGATGGATAGATAGGTAGATAGATAGATGTATAGATAGATAGAGA
The DNA here is from genome assembly GCF_000001405.40 of Homo sapiens. Lineage (NCBI taxonomy): Eukaryota > Metazoa > Chordata > Mammalia > Primates > Hominidae > Homo > Homo sapiens. Next base: position 9,150,762 of record NC_000007.14, read on the forward strand.
TAGAGATATATAGAGAATTAGAGTTTTATTTCAAGGAATTGGCTTTTGCAATGATTGTATGGGGCTAACAAATTTGAAATCTGTAGAAACTTCAGGCTGCAAACTCTGGAGAAAGACGTGATACTGTATTCTTTAGGAATAATTTCTTCTTTCTCAGATAAATGTTTTGCTTTTAAGACCATTCAACTGATTGGATAAAGATCACCCTCATCATCAAAAATAATATTTAATTGAAGTCAACTGATTATAGATGTGAATTACATCCACAAATGCCTTCATGACAACACTTTGAGTAAGTGTTTAATTGAATAGCTGGGTACAGTAGCCTAACCAAATTGACACATAAAACTAACCATCACATTAATCAATACAAAAAGTAGGAAAATTTTTCACTAGGTTATTAGCAAAGGGGAAAGATGTTTAGGTTCACTTAATTGACTTATGTAATTAACCAAAATCTTTCTATCCCTCTATAAAGCATACTAATTGATGCCCATAGCACACTTAACAGTCACAGTTAAAAGTTTATTCTCTTGCCCTCAAACTTCTGCTCTTATCAGTTGAATGATATGTATACCATAAATCAGTTGTGTTTCACCCAAATTATGTATTTATCCCTTTAGCTCAAATGTTAGCAATTTTCAGTGCATAAATTTGGCTCTTACCACATGTCCATTCAGCATATATTCATATTTCAAACTGGCTATATTTTGATATCATTGAAACAGATGCCTTACTTACAATGTTATGGAATGGGATGAAATCACCTTTGCAAAAATTATAACAGAGATAATTGTGACAGTGAAAGAGATGTGACCTGACACCATCTTGCTTTAAACCTCCAAACTGTTCTTGTTCATTCCTGGGCATAGACCAAACTAACTTTGGAGGAACTTCGTTTATAGTTTAAGTTTGAAACAAAGATGATAACAGCTCCTTCCGAAAATAAACTCCATTTCTGCTTGGGGACTAGACTGCCTTTGCAGGACTCACAAATTAGCTACAAGATTGAAATTATGGTTTAGAAGTCATGCAGCTGGAGGCTGGAAGATTCTAAATCTCCCAAATTGCTCCTGAGGGATAACATCACCATTGTAAAACTTAAGATCAGTCCTTAAGATATTTTGCAGACCCTGCACTGCATGGATCAGCTGGCACCATCCAGATTGATAAACAGCCTCCCAGGAACTGGCTCAGCAGAAGAGAACAGCTTCAACTCCCTGTGATGTAATCTTTGACCTGACCAATCAGCACTTCCTACTTTCTGACCCCCCACCCACCAAATTATCCCTAAAAACCCTATCTTTGAGTTTTCAAGGAGACTGATTTATTATTTTGAGTAATAACACAACTCTGGTCTCCTGTACAGCCAGCTCTGCCTAAATTAAACTCTTTCTCTACTGCAATTCCCTTGTCTTAATAAATTGGCTCTGTCTAGGCATCAGGCAAGGAGAACCTTTTGGGCACTTACAGGGATAGATAATTTACATTGCATGCCCATGCAAAATTGAAGATCCATTAGTGTTTCACCCCATGCAGGCTGCTTTAACAAAAATACCACTAACTTCGTGGCTTATAAAACACAAACATTTGTTTCTCACAGTTCTGGAAGCTAAGAAGTCCAAGATCATGGTGCTGATGGATTTGGCGTCTGGTGAGGGCCCATTTTCTAATTCATAGATGGTACCTTCTCACTGTGTCCTCATGTAACAGAAAAAAATGAGCAATCTCTCTGGGGTTTCCGAAGACATTAGTGTGAAAGTTCCACCCTCATGACCTAATCACCTCCCAAAGGTTCTAGCTCCCAATACATCACCTTAGGGGTTAGAATTTTAATACATAAATTTTAGGGGGACACAAAGATTTGGACAATAGCAATTACATGTTTCTCTTCCTTGTCCAGAGTTACTTCATCTTTCTTACCCCATTTACCCTACAGAGTTTTGAACTTTCTCCCCATAGCATAATCTTCCAGAAATATTTGTTTCTGATTTATAAGTTGCCTGTATCTTTTTAGGAAAATAAAATGTCACTAGGTATCCTCCCTCTAAACATACCTCTCTCTAGAAAAACAGCTCAGCTCAGTGTGTATTTATAACTACTCCAATAAATCCCCATGTTTCATAATTCAATTACTTACCATATTCACTAAAAAAAAAAAAAAAAAAAAAGAACTTTTTTTTGCAGAGCTAGAAAAATTCCTGTCAAGGAAATAAGATTTTCTTCTTATAGTTATGGGCATACTACTTTTTTCATAGAAATATTGTTGAGTTCTAGAGATAATATATGCAAAATACCTATTTCAATGATTGGTACATAATAGTTGCTCAAGAGAAATACTATTATTGACTTCAACATGTTGCATTCGTGGCGAGCTTTTACTTTTTTTAGAATGTGTACTTGAAAATAACATGTATTTTATAAATCCAATAGGACCTGAAACAAAATTTTACATTAGATGTTTAATTCAATTCTCTGTGCTTTGTTCTGTACTACTTTTTATCTCAACACATCTTTTTTAACAAAAGATGAAATAATGTATTAAAATGTCATATTTGCTCAAATATCCATTTCAATTTTTTAATGTCATATTCTATGTTTTTACCTTTTCAAGGGTAAGACTTTCTTCTAGCCTTTTATGTTACAAACATTTTGAAACATACAAAAATTTCAAAGGATAGCATGAGCATCTATGTACTAAAAACCTTGATTTTTTTCCATTTGACAATAAATTCACACATCATGACACTTCACACCATAATACTCCGTGTATTTCTTCTAAGAATAAGACCATGCTTTACATACTCACAATTCTGCTTTACTCCTAAAAAATTACTAGTATTTTCCAACCTCATGTAACTTAGAATGTATATTTCCCAAATTTCCCTTAAAATACTTTTTATATTTTATCACCTGATGAAGCATTAGAATTTGAAAATGCTGGAACTGACCATATAAATAGGGTTGAGTTTTTCATGTAGAGTTTTTTATGTTGCCATATTTAAACTGATAATACAAAACCAGTATTTCAATATATCAATCTCCAATAAGAGGTATGATAGTGTTTCAGCTACTTGCAACCATTTGCTAATTTTGTTTGATAAATTTAGAATTCAAACAAGGCAGTTAGTTATTTAATCAGTACTTAAAAATAAGCAACTCTATGCAGAACAAGTGCCAAATAGTATGAGTATGAGACTGGTTGACTCCAAAGCCAGAAATATTTCTTGCCCTTAGAATTGTCCCTGCACGGGTCTTCCTTCTTAATAACTTGAAGGATTCCACTTTGTTTTATCCCAACTACCACTATCTTAGTTTAATCTTTGTTTTTATTTGACTTATAATTCTGGTTCTATTGTTATATGACAATAACCCCCTGCCCTCAAAACAGTGGCTTAAAATAATATCATCATGTCTTTTGCTCACAAATCTGAAGATACAGGTCTTAGCTAGGCAATTCTTTCTTGGGGTCTCATTTAGTTTTAGTCAGATGGTGGCTGATGTTTTTTTCAAAGGCTTCCTGACTTGCACTTCTGGTGACTGGGCCGGGAAAATTCAAATAACTGAGGATCTTTGATCATCTCTTTCTTTTTCTTTGTGGGCACACTTTGGGTCTCTTGACATGGTGGCTGTAGGCTAGCCAGACTTGTTCAATGTGTCCTATTTTATAGAGAAAGCACATGAGAAAACAGCTCTCCATTTGTGTCATCAGAGGAGTAGCACACTTCTCAGGAGAGCAGTAACTCTTTTCAGCTCCTGTATTCTCTGTCCCTGGAATAATCAGTTTGGAGGAAGGGAAAGCATGAGTGAGACAGAATTTTTGTCATCCAGACATTCCCTTGTGTTGCCCCCGAGGGACAAAATCAAAGTTTCTTAGAATATAAGGAAGATAGGAGATCAGGCACTTATACTAATTTTACATCCAGCTTCTTAAGTAGTTTCACCCATGCATCTTTCTTTGAATTCATAGCTCACACGGAATTGCACGAACAGAGCACAAACAGACCAAGGAAAACAACTATTCCATCTGCATCAGTCAGACACATCTGTGAGCACATGATTTTAGGAATGTATCTCAGTTTGGATTATAATGTTAGTTAAAAAAAAAAAAAAAACAGAATAAGTGTATCCTACTGAAAGGCTTGCACTACTGGAGAGACTGGCCCTGTCCTCATCAGCAACCACTGTAACCCCCCCCAAACTCTCCCAGTCTTCTGTAGTGTCAGGCCACCTCAAGCAAGATTGGGTTTCATTTTTTTTCTCTTTTTTTTTCCAGCTTTATTGAGATATAATTGGCAAAAGTTGTATATATTTATGATGTATCACATAAAATGATATACAGCTATACACATTGTGAAATAAATCAAGCTAATTAACATATCCATCACCTCACATACTTACCATTTTTTATGTGGTAAGACTACTTAAAATCTCTTCTCAGTAATTTTCAAGTATGTAATAGATTAACTATAGTCATAACACTATACAGTAGATCTCCAGAATTTATTCATCCTATGTAATTGAAACTGTGCCTTTTGACCAACATCTCCCGATTTCCCCACAATACCTAGCCTCTGCAAACTACCATTCTACTCTATGCTTCTAGGAGTTCAACTTTTTTTTAGATTCCACGTATGAGTGACATCATGGAGTACATTTCATCCTAAGCCTGGCTTATTTCACTTAGCATAATGCTCTCCAAGTCCATCCATGTTTTTGCAAGTGACAGAACTTCCTTCTTAAAATAGTTTTTAACTTACAAAGCTTACAAGTAGAAGGCCAAGGTATTTTCACAAGGGATGTGCAAACTACTCTTTACAAGAAGGTGAAAGTCTTCCAAGGAGGATATGAAGAAAAGATGGCACAAAAGGGCCAAAGTCTTCCTCTTTTATAGCAGACTTTAATTTTCACACCACTGCTTCAAAGGAGTAGCGTGGATCACTTCAGTGTCTTAGCCACTCCTCCCAAGTACTTGGGCATCACCTACAAACAAGCTCCTGCTAGAAAGCTATGTGGAGAAGTGACAAGAGCAAAATCTCCAGTCAGATGTTGCAAGAATTAAAAACAGTTTACAGTTAGAATTGAAGATTTATCTGCATAAGGTAGTAGTAGTGAGAATTTTGGATGTTAATTCTCCCACTATTTATGTTCCTGAGTTTCATTACATTGAAACCTCTTCAACTGAGTTGAAAAATAGTGAGAAAAGTGGTACCTACCACAGAGGGCTGTAAAGTCCATGAAATGAGATAATCTATAAGTTATTTTAGCTCAGTGCCTGACATACAATAATGCTCAATATATATTTACTATTTCATTATTATTACAGGGTGACTTTTAGAAATACAATCTTTTTCAACAATAAATATAATGGTGAATGCTAAAATCAGAAATTTAGCACCCATTAGAGCTTAAAGGCGTAGAAATGGTACAGTGATACCAATAAAATGGTCGAGTTAGATATTCAAGGGTAGGTTTAAAGAGAAACAAGATGCATTTAATGGAAATGAAGGAATTAATAAGAGCTGATCACTTATTAATCTAAGTGATCTAAGAGCTGATCTACTTTTAACGTAAGCTCATCCTAAGTTTTGACAACTGTGACAGGCAATTCTTTGATAAAAAGATTGGAAACTACCGAATGTGGAGCTTGCCTCCCCATACCCCCCATCTCTTTTCTCTTTTTTTTTCTTTTCTTTTTTCAAATGGAGTCTTGCTCTGTCGCCTAGGCTGGAGTGAGGTGGCATTATCTCGGCTCCCTGCAACCTCCGCCTCCCTGGTTCAAACGATTCTCCTGTCTCAGCCTCCCGAGTAACTGGGGTTACAGGTGCTCGCCACCATGCCTGGCTAATTTTTACATTTTTAGTAGAAATGGGCTTTCACCATATTGGTCAGGCTGGTCTTGAACTCCTGACCTCAGGTGATCCTGTTGGGACTACAGGCATGAGCCACCATGCCCCACCACCTCCTATCTGTATATCCATCTTTACCCTTTGCTTTACAGCTCAGGTTATGTGTTCTATTTTCACAGCTTATTAAACTCCCCAGAAACTGTCTCAGTAAGGCAAATTGTTTTAATTTATCCAAAAAAAAAAACAAGGGAAAACAGAAAAAAAGTTTGTTTTTGTCGTCTTTGTAAGTATTTTCTTTGGTTCATAACCAGAACACGCAGGACAGCTTCTGACCATAATGCGTGATCTGACATTCATTCGTACACTGATATACTCTAGCAGAGAAAGACAGAAAAAAATGAGGCCAGGTTCTGCAAATGATTCAGTCACAAAAAGAAGAGAAATGTAGCTTTTAATGCACAAAGTTTATAAGTGGAATGGATCTTTTTCACAAAACTCATCTACTGAATAATAATGTGTTGGTATTATAAAAATGAATCATAGTTTTATAAATGTCATCTAATCTTACAGATAGAGCCTAGAAAGATTTTAAGCCCTTTGACTTGCTGTTTGATAATCCAAAATTAATTGTGATGATTATCACTAAAAATAATCATTCACACATATTTTGATATCTTATATGTACAGTAGACACTAAAACTACTCCCTCTTGTTCTCCCAGTTTCTCAGGTCATTAAGCAATACTAGTCTCTATCATTAAACTTGAACACAATCAAAGTTAACATTGGAATTTAGTTTGCTCACCCCTTCTTTCCCATGCATGGCTTAACCAAAGCCCACTTTTATTGCAAGCCTAAAATCAAAATTGGCGATTATTAGATTAAGACAATCTATAGTTTGCCTTGTGAGATTTGCCAACTTCCAAATCCCATACTTTTTCTTTGACTTCCATTAATCTATGCATGATGGTCCTAGCCCTTGAGATAGTCTTTTCTAGGCCGAGCGCAGTGGCTCATGCCTGTAATCCCAGCAATTTGGGAGGCTGAGGCGGGTGTTTCACCTGAGGTCAGGAGTTTAAGACCAGCCTGGCCAAAATGGTGAAACCCTGTCTCTACTAAAACTACAAAACTTAGCCAGGTATGGTGGTGCACACCTGTAATCTCAGCTACTTGGGAGGCTGAGGCAAGAGAATCACATGCACCCAGGAGGCAGAGGTTGCAGTGAGCTTAGATCACACCACTGCACTCAAGCCTATGAGACAGAGCGAGACTCTGTCCCCCCACCCTGCCCACCCCCCCCCAAAAAAAGATGGCCTTTTCTTTCATTGAGACAGCAATGAAAAAACTTATATAAGTAAATAACATACAGCTTTTTCTGCAATATCTTCCAATTTGATAGTTCTTCGAATTCTACAGAAAACATAGAGCCATTACTATCTCAGGCAGACAGTGCAGTCAGATCAAATGCTTGTGTTGCACTTTGAATTTCAAGGGAATACAATATATGTTATCACTTCTTTAAAACACAGTGTTTTAGAATCCCTTAAAAATCTTTCTACCACATAATCCAAACGAGTGTCATCTCTAACTTTTATTTTCTGAAGTTTAGTTTTTCCTTACAATTGTCTTTGATGAAACAACCTGTCTACTTGACAACCTTGGTGGAAAAAGAGAAAATAGATAAAATAAGAACTAACATACTATCATTTGTAACAACGTGGATAGAAAAGGAGTTCATTATGTTAAATGAAATAAGCCAGGCACAAAAAGGCAAATATTGCATAGGTTCACTCACATGTGGGGGCTAAAAAAGTGTATCTCATAGAGAGTAGAATGGTGGTTGCCAGAGTCTGGGAAGTGTAGCGGGGAGAAGGAATAAAGAGAAGTTGGTTAATGGGTATAAAATTACAGTTTGTACTTACTCAAAGAGTAAGTTTTACTGTTCAATAGTACAGTAGGATGACTATAATTAACAATAATTTATTGTATAATTTAAAATAGAAGAAAATTAGAATGTTTTCAACAGAAAGAAAAGATAAATGAGGTGACAGAAATCCCAATTACCCCGATTTGATTGCTATGCATATATGTATATATATATCTCACAAATACCCTCCAAAATATGTACAACTTTTATGTACCAATTAAAACAAGAAAACAAAAACTTCAAAAGCAAAAGAATTATACGGATACTTACAATTATTAGAATATTTACTGATTCACTGTTGAGAATGAGGTATTTATTTGGCTTGCTTGTATTTATTAAAAAGTAATAGCATATATATAGAAAATAGCACAATTCAGAATTTATGTTGCTTATTATGAACACTGAAATAAAATAATTACTACCAAAATACACGAGTAGAATTGCAATATTACTTTACCATTTATACAGCCTATTTGAATTATGCATAATTTTACTTGGTTGTACGTTAAATCTATCACAAAGAAAGCAAAAAAAAAAAAGAAAGAAAAAGAAACAATGAAAAGAGCTAATAATGGCAAAGAGTAGAAAGGAGGAAAACCAATTGACTAGTATGGAATTTAGGATTTGATAGCTTAGAGTAAGACCTTCCAATGTTAATGAAGTCAGATAATATTTATAATTCAAACCACAACTATAAACCATGGTTCTCATACTTCCTAGGAGCTTCAGCAATCATCATCAACAAGATATAAGAAACAGACTAAAATTATAACTTAACAAGGTTAAGATGTATTTAGATGTGTTTTCTTCTAAAAAGATTCTTTAGGAAATGGTGAAACAGAACTTAGGAAGGTATAGAAAGGCTATGAAGGAGAAAAGAGAAGTTGGTTAGTGTAAATCTGCATTCCACACAAACTACCTTCTACTTAGGCACTGTGGTGTCTCCCCTTTAATGAAGTTTCTGGAGTTCTACTTGCTTTTTACCTGAATACTTTGCCACTATATTTAATTTTCTAATTCATCCTATGTTATTTCAATATTTTGTGCTTTTATTTTTAAATTTCTTGTGGGTACCTGGTAGGTGTGTATATTTAGGGGGTACATGAAATATTTTGATACAGGCATGCAATGTAGTATAAGCACATCATGGAAAATGGAGTATCTATCTTCTTAAGCATTTATCCTTTGAGTTAAAAACCAATTACAGTCTTTATTTCATAATGTACAATTAAGTTATTATTGACTATAGTTGCCCTGTTATGCTATTAAATAGTATGTCTTGCTCATTCTTTCTAACTGTTTTTTTTTTTTTTTTACCCATTAACTAAACCGACCTCCTCTGCAGCCTTCCACTACCCTTCTCAGCTTCTGGTAACCATCCTTCTACACTCTGTGGCCATTAGTTCAATTGTTTTGGATTTTAGGTTTCACAAATAAGTGAGAACATGTGATGTTTGTCCTCCCATGCCTGGCTTATTTCACTTAACATAATAATCTCCAGTTCCATTCATGTTGTTGCAAATGACAGGGTGTCCTTTTTTTACGGCTGAATAGTACTCCAATGCATACATGTACCACATTTTCTTTATCCATTCAGCTGTTGATGGACACTTATGTGGCTTCCAAATCTTAGCTATTGTGAACAGTGCTTCAACAAACACAGGGGTGCAGGTATCTTTTTGATATACTGACAGATATACTGATATATCCAGCAGTGGGGATTGCTGAATCATATGGTAGTTTTTAGTTTTTTGAGGAACCTCCAAGCTGTCCTCCATAGTGGTTGTACTAATTTACATTTCCACCAACAGTGTACCAGGGCTCCCTTTTCTCCACAACCTTGCCAGGATTTATTATTGCCTTTTTTTTTTTTTTTGATAGAAGCCATTTAAACGAGTGAGATCATATCTCATTGTAGTTTTGTTTTTCCCTCATGACCATAGATGCTGAATACCTTTTCATATGCCTGTTGGCCATCTGTATGTCCTCTTTTGAGAAATGTCTGTTTAAATCTTTTGTACATATTTTGATCGGATTATTAGATTTATTCCTATAGACTTGTTTGTGCTCCTTATATATTTTGGTTATGAATCCTTTGTCAGATTCATAGTTTACAAATACTTTCTCCCATTCTGTGGGTTGTCTCTTCACTTTGTTGGTTATATCCTTTGCTGTGCAGAAGGTTTTTCACTTGATGGGATTCCATTTGTCCATTTTTTGCTTTGGTTGCATGTGCTTGTGGGGTATCGCTCAAGAAATTTTTGCCCAGACCAATGTCCTGGAGATTTTCCCCAATATTTTCTTGTAGTAGTTTCACAGTTTGAGGTCTTAATTATAAATCTATAATCCGTTTTGATTTGATTTTGTATATGGCAAGAGATAAGGGTCTAGTTTCATTTTTTTTTTTTTTTGCATATAGATATCTTGTTTTCCTAGCACCATTATTGAGAGACTGTCTTTTTTCCAGTGTATGTTCTTGGCACCCTTGTTAAAAGTGAGTTTACTGGGTGTGGATTTGTTTCTTTGTTCTCTATTGTCTTACATTGGTCTGTGTGTCTGTTTTTATGAAAGTACACTGTATTTTGGTTACTACAGCTGTGTAGTATAATTTGAAGTCAAATAATGTAATTCTTCCAGTTTTGTTCTTGTTGCTTAGGATAGCTTTGGTTATTCTGGGCCTTTCGTGGTTGCATATAAATTTTAGAGTTTTTTTTTTTTCTGTTTCTGTTAATAATGTCATTGGTATTTTGATAGGGATTTCACTGAATTTGTAGATTGCTTTGGATAGTATGGACATTTTAAAAATATTGATTCTTCCAATCCATGAAATCGGAAGCTCTTTCCATTTTTTTGGTGTCTTCTTCAATTTCCGTAATTACTGTTTTGTAGTTGTCATTATAGGGGCCTTTTGCTTTTTTCATTATGTTAATTCTTACATATTTAATTGTGGCTATTGTAAATGGGATTTTTATTTCTTTTACAGATTGTTCACTGTTGGCATACAGAAATGCTACTAATTTTTGTATGTTAATCTTGTATCCTGCAACTTTTTTGACTTTGTTCATCAGTTCCAATAGTTGTTTGTGGAGTCTTTAGGTTTTTCCAAATATAAGATTATAACAGCTGAAAACAAGGATAATTTGACGTCTTCCTTTCCAATTTGGATGCCCTTTATGTCCTTCTCTTTTCTGATTGCTCTAGCTAGGACTTGCAGTACTATGTCAAATAACAGTGGTGAGAGTGGGCATCCCCGTCATGTTCTAAATCTCAGAGGAAAGGCTTTCAGTTTTTCCCATTTGGTAAGATACTAGCTGTGGGTCTACCATACATGGCTTTTATTATGCTGAAGGCATTCCTTCTATCCTCTGTTCTATGGGTGTTTTTATTATGAAGTGATGTTAGATTTTATCAAATGCTATTTCAACATCAGTTGAAATGATCATATGTTTTTCATCCTTCATTCTGTTCATATGAAGTATCACATTGATTGATTATTGAACCATCAATATCTTACATATATTGAGCCATCCTTGCATCCTGAGGATAAACCCCAATTGGTCATTATGAATGATCTTTCCAATGCATTGTTCAACTCGGTTTGCTAGCATTTTGTTGAGGATTTTTATATCAATATTTATCAGAGATATTGACCTGTAGTTTTCTTTTTTGGATGTATCTTATGCTGGGTTTCATATCAGAGTAACTGGCCTTGTAGAATTAGATTAGAAGTATTCCCTCCTCCTTTAGTTTTCAGAATAGTTTGAGTAGGACTGGTGTTACTTCTTAAATGTTTGGTAAAATTCATCAGTGAAGCCACGGGGTCCCAGGCTTTTCTTTACTGGGAGAATTTTTATTATGGCTTCTATCTCATTTCTTGTTGTTGGTCTGTTCAGGTTTTGTATTTCTTCCTGGGTTAATTTGTATGTGTCTAGGAATTTTTCCATTTCTTCTAGATTTTTCCAATTTATTGGCATATAGCTGCTCAGAGTAGCCACTAATGATCCTTTGGATTACTGCAATATCAGTTGTAATATCTCCTTTTTCATTCCTGATTTTATTTATGTGGATCTTCCTTCTTTTTTAAAAAATATCTGGCTAAAGGTTTGTACAGAATTTTTATTAACTTTTCAAAAAAAAAACTTTTTGTTTTATTGACCTTTTGTATTTTATTTCAATTTCATTTATTTCTTTTCTGATCTTTATTATTTATTTTCTTCTACTAATTTTTAGTTCAGTTTGCTCCTGCTTTTCTAGTTCTTTAAGATGGATCATTAGATTGTTTAAAGTTTTCCTATTTATTTTTTATGTAGGCAGTTATAGCTATAAAAGTCCCTCTTAGTACTGCTTTTGCTGTATTCCGTAAGTTTGATATGTTGTGGTTCCATCATTATTTGTTTCTACAAATTTTCAACTTTCTTCTCAAATTCTACACTGACCCACTGGTCATTCAGGAGCATAGGGTTTAATTTCCATGTATTTATATAGTTTTCATAATTCTTTCTTATTATTTTCTAGTTTTATTCCATTGTGGTCAGAGAAGAAGCTTGATATAACTTCAATTTTCAAAAATGATTTATGACTTGTTTTGTGACCTAACATGTGGTATATCCTTGAGAATGTTCCACATGCTGAGGAAAAAAAAAAGCGTATTCTGCAACCACTGTATGAAATGTTCTGCAAATACATATTATATCCATTTGTTCAATAGTGCAGATTAAGTCCAATGTGTCTTTGTTGATTTTCTGCTTGGAAGATGTGTCCAGTGCTGAAAGTGGGATTTTGAAGTTGCCAGTTATTTTTGTATTGGGGCCGATCTCTCTCTCTCTCTTTTATTATCATTATTATTATTATTATTATTACACTTTAAGTTCTGGAATGCATGTGCAGAACATGAAGGTTTGTTACATAGGTATACACGTGCCATGGTGGTTTGCTGTACTCATCAAACCGTCATCCACATTAGGTATTTCTCCTAATGCTATCCTTTCCCTAGCCCCTCACCTCCCAACAGGCCCCAGTGTGTGATGTTCCCCTCCCTGTGTCCATCTGTTCTCATTGTTCAACTCCAACCCATGAGTGAGAACATGCAGTGTTTGGTTTTCTGCTCCTCTGTTAGTTTGCTGAGAATGATGGTTTACAGCTTCATCCATGTCCCTGCAAAGGACATGAACTCATCCTTTTTCAAGTATTCATAGTATTCCATGGTGTATATGTGCCACATTTTCTTTATCCAGTCTATCATTGATATGCATTTGGGTTGGTTCCAAGTCTTCACTAATGTGAACAGTGCTGCAATAAACATACTTGTGCATGGCTATTTATAGTAGAAAGATTTATAATCCTTTGGGTATGTACCCAGTAATGGGATTGCTGAGTCAAATGGCATTTCTGGTTCTAGATTCTTGAAGAATTGCCACACTGTCTTCCACAATAATTGAACTAATTTACAGTCCCACCAACAGTGTAAAAGCATTCCTATTTCTCCACATCCTCTCCAGCATCTGTGGTTTCCTGACATTTTAGTGATCACCATTATAACTGGCATGAGATGGTATCTCAATTGTGGTTTTGATTTGCATTTCTCTAATGACCAGTAATGATGAGTTTTTATTTAATATGTTTGTTGGCCACATAAATGTCTTCTTTTGAGAAGTGTATATTCATATCCTTCGCCCACTTTTGGATGGGGTTGTTTTTTTCTTGTAAATTTGTTTAAGCTCCTTGTAGATTCTGGATATTAGCCCTTTGACAGATGGATAGATTGCAAACATTTTCTCCCATTCTGTAGGTTGCCTGTTCACTCTGATAGGTTTTTTTTTGCTGTGCAGAAGCTCTTTAGTTTCATTAGATCCCATTTGCCAATTTTGGCTTTTGCTGTCACTGCTTTGGTGTGTTACTCATGAAGTCTTTGCCCATGCCTATATCCTGAATGGTACTGACCTAGGTTTTCCTCTAAGGTTTTTATGGTTTTAAATGTTACATTTAAGTCTTTAATCTATCTTGAGTTAATTTTTGTATAAAGTGTAAGGAAAGGGTCTGGTTTCAGTTTTCTGCATCTGGCTAGCCAGTTTTCACAACACCATTTATTAAACAGGGAATCCTTTCCCCATTTCTTGTTTTTGTCAGGTTTGTCAAAGATCAGACGTTTTTAGATATGTGGTGTCATTTCTGAGGCCTCTGTTCTGTTCCATTGGTCTATATATCTGTTTTGGTACCAGTACCACGCTGTATTGGTTACTGTATCCTTGTAGTATTAGTTTGAAGTCAGTTAGCATGATGCCTCCAGCTGTGTTCTTTTTGCTTAGGATTTTCTTGGCTATATGGGCTCTTTTTTAGTTCCATATGAAATTTAAAGTAGTTTTTTTATAATTCTGTGAAGAAAGTCAATGGGAGTTTGATGGGGATAGCACTGAATCTATAAATTACTTTGGGCAGTATGGCCATTTTCACGATAGTGATTCTTCCTATCCGTGAGCATAGAATGTTTTTCTATTTGTGTTCTCTCCTATTTCCTTGAGCAGTGATTTGTAGTTCACCTTGAAGAGGTCCTGCACATCCCTTGTTAGCTGTACTCCTGGGTATTTTAACCTCTTTGTGGCTATTGTGAATGGGAGTTCACTCGTGATTTGGCTCTCTGTCTATTGTTCATGTATAGGAATGCTTCTGATTTTTGCACATTGATTTTGTATCCTGAGACTTTGCTGAAGTTGGTAATCAGCTTAAAGAGATTTGGGGCTGAGATGATGAGGTATTCTATACAATCATGTCATCTGCAAATAGAGACAATTTGACTTCCTCTCTTCCTATTTGAATACCCTTTATTTCTTTCTCTTGCCTGATTGCCCTGGCTAGAACTTCCAACACTATGTTGAATAGGAGTGGTGAGAGAGGGCATCCTTGTCTTGTGCTGGTTCTCAAAGGGAATGCTTCCAGCTTTTGCCCATTCAGTATAATATTGGCTGTGGGATTTTCATAATTAACTCTTACTATTTTGAGATACATTCCATCAATACCTAGTTTACTGAAAGTTTTTATCATGAAGGGGTGTTGGATTTTATTTAAGGCCTATTCTGCATCTGTTGAAATAATCATGTGATTTCTGTCATTCGTTCTATTTATGTGATGGAATATGTTTATTGATTTGCATATGTTGAACAGCCTTGCATGCCAGAGATGAAGCCGTCTTGGTCATAGTGGATAAGCTTTTTGATGTGCTGCTGGATTCGGTTTGCCAGTATTTTATTGGGGATTTTCACATCAAAGTTCATCAGGGATAGTGGCCTGAAATTTTCTTTTTTGTGTGTGTCTATGCAAGGTTTTGGTATCAGGATGATGATGGTGGCTTCATAAAATGAGTTAGGGAGGTGTCCCTCTTTTTCTATTGTTTGGGATACTTTCAGAAGGAATGGTAACAGCTCCTCTTTGTACCTCTGGTAGAATTTGGCTGTGAATCCATCTGGTCCTGGGCTTTGTTTTTTGGTTGGTAGGCTATTAATTACTGCCTCGATTTCAGAACTTGTTATTGGTCTATTTAGGGATTTAACTTCTTCCTGGTTTAGTCTTGAGAGGGTGTATGTGTCCAGGAATTTATCCATTTCTCCTGGATTTTCTAACTTATTTGCATAGAGGTGTTTATAGTATTCTCTTACAGTAGTTTGTATTTCTCTGAGATCAGTGGTGATATTAACTTTTATCACTTTTTACTGTCTATTTGATTCTTCTCTCTTTTCTTCTTCATTAGTCTGGCTAGCAGTCTATCTATTTTGTTGATCTTTTCAAAAAACCAGCTCCTGGATTCATTGATTTTGTGAAGGCTTTTTCATGTCTCTATCTCCGTTAGTTCTGCTCTGATGTTAGTTTTTTCTTGTCTTCTGCTAGCTTTTGAATTTGTTTGCTCTTACTTCTCTACTTCTTTTTATTGTGATGTTAGGGTATCGATTTTAGATCTTTCCTGCTGTCTCCTGTGGGCATTTAGTGCTATAAATTTCAATCTAAACACTGCTTTAGCTGTGTCTCAGAGATTCTGGTACATTGTGTCTTTTTTCTCATTGGTTTGAAATAACTTATTTATTTCTGCCTTAATTTTGTTATTTACCCAGTAGTCATTCAGGAGCAGATGGTTCAGTTTCCATGTAGTTGTGCGATTTTGAGTGAGTTTCTTAATCCTGAGTTTTAATTTGATTGCTCTGTGTTCTGAGAGACTGTTTGTTATAATTTCCATTCTTTTACATTTGGTAAGGAGTGTTTTACTTCGAATTATGTGGTCAATTTTAGAATAGGTGCAATGTGGTGCTGAGAAGAATGGATATTTTGTTAGTTTGGGGTGGAGAGTTCTGTAGATGTCTATTAGGTCTGCTTGGTCCAGAGTTGAGTTCAAGTCCTGAATATCCTTATTAATTTTCTGTCTAATATTGACAGTGGGGTGTTAAAGTCTCCTACTACTATTGCATGGGAGTCTAAGTGTCTTTGTAAGTCACTAAGAACTTGCTTTGTGAATCTGGGTGCTCCTGTATTGGGTGCATATATATTTAGGATAGTTAGCTCCTCTTGTTGCATTGATCCCTTTGCCATTATGTAATGCCCTTCTTTGTCCTTTTTGATCTTTGTTGGTTTAAAGTCTGTCTTATCAGAGACTAGGATTGCAACCCCTGCTTTTTTTTTTTCTTTCCATTTGCTTGGCATATATTTCTTCATCCCTTTATTTTGAGCCTATGTGTGTCTTTGCCCATGAGACATGTCTCCTGAATACAGCATACCAATGGGTCTTTACTCTTTATCCAATTTGCCAGTATATGTCTTTTATTTGGGGCATTTAGCCCATTTGCATTTAAGGTTAATATTGTTATGTGTGAGTTTGTTCCTCTCATTATGATACTAGCTGGTTATTTTTCCTGTTACTTGAGGCAGTTTCTTCATAGTGTCAATGGTCTTTACAATTTGGCATGTTTTTGCAGTGGCTGGTACTGGTTTTTCCTTTCCATATTTAGTGCTCCCTTCAGGAGCTTTTGTAAGGAAGGCCGGGTGGTGACAAAATTTCTCAGCATTTGCTTGTCTGTAAAGCATTTCATTTCTCCTTTGCTTATGAAGCTTAAGTTGGCTGGATATGAAATTCTGGGTTGAAAATTATTTAAGAATGTTGAATATTGGCCCCACTCTCTTCTGGTTTCTAGGGTTTCTGCAGAGAGATGTGCTGTTAGTCTAATGGGCTTCCCTTTGTGGGTAACCCAACCTTTCTCTCTGGCTGCCCTTAACATTTTTTCCTTCATTTCAATCTTGGTGAATCTGACAATTATGTGTCTTGGTGTTGCTCTTCTAGAGGAGTATCTTTGTGGTGTTCTCTGTATTTCCTGAATTTGAATGTCAGCCTGTCTTGCTAGGTTGGGGAAGTTCTCCTGAATAATGTCATGAAGAGTGTTTTCCAACTTGGTTCTCTTCTCCCGCCGCTTTCAGGTACACCAATCAAATGTAGGTTTGGTCTTTTCATATAGTCCCATATTTCTTGGAGGCTTTGTGCAATCCTTTTCTTTTTTCTCTAATCTTTTCTTCACACTTTGTTCCATTAAGTTGATCTTCAATCTCTGATATCCTTTCTTCTGCTTGATAGATTGGGCTATCGATACTTGTGTATGCTTTACTAAGTTCTTGTGCTGTGTTTTTCAGCTCCATCAGGTCATTTATGTTCTTCTCTAAACTGGTTATTCCAGTTAGAAATTCCTCTAACCCTTTTTCTAAGCTTTTTTCAAGGTTCTTAGCTTCCTTGCATTGGGTTAGAAAATGCTCCTTTGGCTCAGAGGAATTTGTTGTTACCCACCTCCTGAAGTTTACTTCTGTCAATTTGTCAAACTCATTTTCCATCCGCTTTTGTTCTCTTGCTGGCCAGAAGCTGTGATCCTTTGGAGGAGAAGAGGCGTTCTGGTTTTTGGAATTTTCAGCCTATTTGCACTGGTTTTTCCTCATCTTTGTGGAATTACCTACCTTTGGTCTTGGATGTTGGTGACCTTCAGATGGGGTTTCTGTGTGGACATCCTTTTTGTTGATGTTGATGCTATTCCTTTCTGTTTGTTTGTTTTCCTTCTAACAGTCAGGCCCCTCTGCTGCAGGTCTGCTGGAGTTTGCTGGAGTTCTACTCGAGACCTCATTTTTGTGGGTATCACCAGTGGAGGATACAGAATAGCAAAGATTGCTGCCTGTTCCTTCCTCTGGAAGCTTCGTCCCAGAGGGCACTCACCAGATTACAGTCACAGCTCTCCTGTATGAGGCATCTGTTGACCCCTGCTGGGAGGTGTCTCCCAGTCAGGAGGCAGGGAGGTTAGGGACCCATTTGAGGTGGCCATCTGTCCCTTAGCAGAGCTCAAGCTCTGTGCTGGGTGATCTGCTGCTCTCTTCAGAGCTGACAGCCAGGAACGCTTGAGTCTGCTGAAGCTGCGCCCACTGCCGCCCCTTCCCCCAGGTGCCCTGTCCCAGGGAAATGGGAGTTTTATCTATAAGCCTCTGACTGGGGCTGCTGCCTTTCTTTCAGAGATGCCTTGCCAAGAGAGGAGGAATCTAGAGAGGTAGTCTGGCTACAGCAGCTTTGCCAAGCTGCAGTGGGCTTTGCCCAGTTTGAATTTCTTCCTGGTGGCTTCGTTTACACTGTGAGGGGAAAACTGCCTACTCAAGCCTCAGTAATGGCGGACGCCCCTCCCCACACCAAGCTCAAGCATCCCAGGTTGACTTGCTGTGCCTGGTAGCGAGAACTGCTGTGCTGACAGCAAGAATTGCAAGCCAGTGGATCTTAGTTTGCTGGGCTCTGTAGGGGTGGGTTCCACTGAGCAAGACCACTTGGCTCCCTGGCTTCCACCCCATTTCCAGGGGAGTGAATGGCTCTGTCTCACTGGTGTTCCACGTGTCACTGGGGTATGAAAAAACAAAAAAAAACTGCAGCTAGTTCAGTATCTGCACAAACAGCCGCCTGTTTTGTGCTTGAAAGCCAGGGCCCTGGTGGCATAGGCACCCGAGGGAATCTCCTGGTCTGTGGGTTGAGAAGACCATGGGAAAAGCATAGAATCTGGGCCAGAATGCACTGTTCCTCATGGCACAGTCCCTCATGGCTTCCCTTGGCTAGGGGAGGGAGTTCCCCGACCCCCTGTGCGTCCTGGGTGAGGTGTCACAACACCCTGCTTCGGTTTCCCCTTTGTGGGCTGCACCCACTGTCTAAGCAGTCCCGGTGAGAGGAGCTGGCTATCTCAGTTGGAAATGCAATAATTAAACACCTTCTGTGCTGATCTCTCTGGGAGCTGCAAACCAGAGCTGTTCCAATTCGAACATCTTGCAGC
Source organism: Homo sapiens (assembly GCF_000001405.40). Taxonomy (NCBI): domain Eukaryota; kingdom Metazoa; phylum Chordata; class Mammalia; order Primates; family Hominidae; genus Homo; species Homo sapiens. Next base: position 9,169,852 of record NC_000007.14, read on the forward strand.
CACACCAAGCCAACTATCCTCTCTCTTTAGCTCTAATAATATTTGCTTTAGGTATCTGGGTACTCCAGTGTTGGGTGCATATATATTTAAATTGTTATATCCTCTTGCTGAATTGACCCCATTAACATTATGTAGTGACCTTCTTTGTGTCTTATAGTTTTTGTGTTGAAATCTATTTTTTCTGACATAGGTATAGTGACTCCTGTTCTTTTTTTGGTTTCCATTGGCACATAGTATATCTTTTCTTATGTCTTTATTTTCAGTACATATTTGTCTTTATAGGTGAAGTGTGTTTCTTGTAGGCAACAGATCAGTGGGCCTTGTTTATTCATCCACTCATTCAGTCTGTGTCTTTTGACTGGAGAGTTTAGTCTATTTACATACAATGTTATTACTACTTACATCTGCTATTTTGTTATTTGTTTTCTGATTGTTTCATGGTATTCTCCTTCTTTCTTTCCTTCCTGTTATCTTTCATTGAACATAATTTTCTCTGGTGATATAATTTAGTTTCTTGCTTTTTTTGTGTGTGTATCCATTGTACGATTTTTGGTTTGAAGTTACCATGGTGCTTGCAAATACTATCTTATAACCCATTATTTTAACCTCACAACAACTGAACACTGTTTGTGTAAATAAACAAACCAAAAAAAAGGAAACTAATAAAAGCTCTCTGCTTTAATTTCTTGCTTCTAAATTTATTTTTGTTTCTATTTATATCTTATTGTACTGTGTTTTGAAAAGTTGTTGTTGTAGTTATTTTTTATTGGTTTATCATTTAGTAGAAATGATATAAGTTTAGTGACTCAATCTTTTTTGTTTGCATTGGCACATATAATATATTTTTATTTTTTTTTATTTTCAGTACATGTGTGTCTTTATAGGTGAGGTATGTTTCTTGTAGGCAACAGATCACTTTATATGGAAAATGCAATTTTCCCCCAAACTAATATAATTACTTTCTGTTCATGGTTTACAAAATGACCAATATTTCCCTTCTATCCCTTTGTACAATATGTGTATCTAGCAAAAAAGTTCTTAGCTCTGGCTATGGGCACACAGAAACTTCTGATAGATGATTGCATTCACATGTTTATTTACCTTCCCCAGAATAAATTGTGGGACTGGAGTACCTGTATTAATCACAGGACAGATAATCAGGAAGCTCTGATCCTCTTGAGCTTCACATTTATGAGCAAAAAACGAACAGAGTGGTTTTCTAATAAAATTTTTGGTGAATCTAAAGATATGGCTCCCATCACTAACATTGTAAAAGGAAATAAACCTCATACCTATATCCAGGAAAATTTCCACTCTGTTGAACTGGGGCTCACTCAGAGAGCAGTCAAAAGTGTAGTACTGGCAGCAAAAGCCTTCCTTTCTCGAACTCACAGCCCAGAAGCTGAGTTTTGAAGAAAGAATGGGTTCTACATCATTTAGTAGAAATGATAAACCCATCAAAAATAGTAACTACAACAACTTATTATTTTTTATTGGTTTACCATTTAATAGAAATTATGAACTAATTTCTACCCAGTTTTTTAATAGAAATGGTGAACTCATTTCTACTAACTGTGGTTAGTGTTATAATAGTATGTGTACTTACTATTACCAGTGAGTTTTCTAGCTTCAGGTGATTACTTATTGCTTACTAATGTTTTTTCATTCTGATTAAAATACTCCCTTTAGCATTTCTTATAGGACAGAACTAGTTTTGATGAAGTCCTTCAGTGTTTGTTTGTCAGCTAATGTCTTTATTTCTCCTTCATGTTTGAAGAATGTTTTTTTGTATATGCTGATCTAGGGTAAAAGCTTTTTTTTTTTTTTTCTTTTTGTCAGCTCTTTATGTCATGTCACTCTCTTCTGGCTTTTGAGTTTCCACTGAAAACTCTGCTGCTAGATGTATTGGTTCTCCATTCTATGTTATTTTTTTTTTCTTGCTGCTTTTCAGATCCTTTCCTCATACTTGACCTTTGGGAGTTTGACTACTAAATGCCTTGAGGTAATCTTTGAGTTAAATCTGTTTGGTGTTCTATAACCTTCTTGTACTTTTATATTGATACCTTTCTCTAGGTTTGGGAATTTCTGTATTTTTATTCCTTTGAATAAACTTTCTAACCCTATCCTACCTGCTCTTTAAGGCCAATAACTTGCCCTTTTGAGGCTATTTTCTAGGTCCTGTAGGTGTGCTTCACTTTTTAAAATTCATTTTCCATTTCCTCTGTGTAATTTCAAATAGCATGTCTGCAAGCTCATTAATTGTTTCTTCTGCTTGATTCATTGTGCTAAGGATTCCAATGCATTCTTCAGTATACCAATTGCATTTTTCAGCTACAGAATTTCTGCTTGATTCTTTTTAGTTATTTCAACCTCTGTCAAATTTATTGGATAAAATTCTGAATTCCTTCTCTGCGTTATTCTGAATTTCTTTGAGTTGTCTCAACATATCTATTTTGAATTCTCTGTCTGCAAAGTCACATATCTCTGCTTCTCCAGGATTGGTTGCTAGTGCCTTATTTAGTTTATTTGGTAAAGTCATGTTTTTCTGGTTGGTATTGATGCTGATAGATGTTCTTCAGTATCTGGGCATTGAAGAATTAGGTATTTATTGTAGTCTTCACTGTCTGTGATTATTTCTTTCTGTCCTTCTTGGGAAGGCTTTTCAGATATTTGAAAGGATTTGGGTATTGTGATCTAAGGTATATTGCTTTAGGAGGCATCTGAAGGCCAGTGACACTGTGGTTCTTGAAGACTTGTAGATGGTCTTGAACAAGATTAGGGAAAATTATCTGGCTTACCATGCAGAGACTCTTGTTGTCTTCCCTTACTTTCTCCCAAGCAAACAGTATCTCTCTCCCTCTGTTCTGAGCCGTCTAAAGCTGGGGTTGGAATGACACAAGCACCCCTGTGGTCACCACCACTATGACATGCTAGGTGAGACCTGAAGCCAGCACAGCCCTGGGTCTCACCAACGACCTGCTGTAACCACTCCCTGGCTTACTGCCTATGTTTGGTCAAGACCCTAGGACTCTACAATAAGCTGGTGGCAAAGCCATTCATGTCTATGTTCTTCCCTTCAGCATAGTGAGGTCCCCCAAGTACTGGGTGGGTTGAGAGATGCTGTCTTGGAGTCAGGGACTAGGATACAAAACCTTAGAGGTCTACGTGGTGTTCTATTGTACTGTGGCTAACTGGCACTGAAATCACAAAACACAGTCCTTCCCTCTCATCCTTCCCCTTTCCAAAGGCAGAAGAGTCTCATTCTGTAGCCACCACCACCCCAGGCCACACGGACTACTGCTAGGCTACTGCTGATGTTTCCTTAAGGCTCAAGGTCTTTTCAGTCAACTGGTGGTGAATGCTGCCTGCCCTAGATCTCACCCTTTAAGGGCTTTGGGCTCCCCTCTGGCCCAGGGCTGGTCCAGAAATGCCATCCAAGGGTCAAGTCCTGTAATTAGGGACCTCAAAGGCCCACTTGGTGCTCTATACCTCTATGGCCACGATCCGACCTTAGGTGCAAGGCAAAGTCCCCTTTACTTTTTTCTCTGCTTTTCTCAAGCAGAAGGAGTTTTGTCCCATAGCCATCACATTTGGTAATGAGCTGAGTCTCATCTGAAGCCAGCAAATCTCAGAGGTTGACCCAGAACCTTTTGTGTAGTACCTAGGTATCACTGCTAATTATTCAGGGCTCAAGGGATCTTCAGTTAGCAGGTGATAAATGTTGCCAGGACTGTTTCCTTTCCTTCAAGGCAGTGGGTTCTCTCCTGGCTCCCGGCATGTCTAGAAATGTCATCTGGGAGACAGGACTTAGAACAGGGTCCTTAGAACACAACTTTGACTGGTGCCCTATCCTGCCTTGACTGAGCTGGTATCCAAGATGCAAGACACAGTCCTCCCCACTCTTCTCTCTCCTATTCTCAAGTGGAAGAAAGGAGTCTCTTTCGTAAAGCCTGGGGTTAGGAGTAGGGTTTTGTCAGCACCTTTTTGGCTGCCCCAGCTGGTGTCTCAGCTTGTTGTATACCACTCCATTCCACTGTCTCTTGGCCTAGTTCAGCACTAGGGCTCACCTCAGAGTTGCAGTCTTTATGGCTTAGACTGCCTTTCATGTTTACTTGGAGACACAGCACTGTAGGTCTTGGTGGAAGGTTTGCAGCAACTCAAGTTCAGACGACTGCTGGGATCTGCAATTCCCCTCCGGCTAGAGCTGGTTTAAATGCTCCCTCCATGGGCAGGTGTCACCTAAGTTTGGTGTGGTTTTCCCATCTGCTCCAACAGAACAGCACTGAGTTCAATGCCTAACAATTTCTGTGCTCTCCCTCTCCCAGTGCCCAGGGATGCTCTCTGTGCTAGGCAGCTGCTACCAGTGGTTAAAAGAGGGCTGGCATCAGTGATTCAGGACTGTTTTTCCTATCTCTTTAGTGTCTCAGCAATATGAAGTTAAAATCGGGTACTATGAGTGCTCACCTAATTTTTCGTTCTTATGAAGGTGTATTTTTCTGCGTAGGTAGTTGAGTTGGTATCCTCGTGGATGAGGGGATGATCAGTGAAGCCTTCTATTCTGCCATGTTGCTCTGCCTCTGAATCTATTTTCATAGATTTTGCTCTCAAATTGTTTAGCTCAGTGATCACTACATTATTCTTTCTAAAGTCTGCCTTAGCCACATGTCTTTGCTTCTGAAACCTATAATTGTTTCACATTGCCTGTTAACATAAAGACTTCTCAGACAGTCATCTTCCTTCATTTGAGCTCCTACTTCTCAGTCCCAGTATTCAACATGAGCCTTACCCAACAGAAGCCTACTCCAGTGGTTTCCAAAATGTGACTAGCAGCTTAACACCATCTGGAAATTTTTTGGAAATGAAAATTCCAAGATCCGACTTCAGACCTACTGTGTCAGAAACTCTGGGAATGGTGCCTAGTAATCAGTGTTTAACAATTCCAGGTGATTTTGATGGGTGCTTAAGCACACTAAAGTTTGAGAATCATTGCTCTAACCCCTGAATGTACAACATATGCTCTGATTTAAGTAATTTCTTCAGCCTATTTCATTAACTCTCCCCATATTATCACCAAGTGCAATATTTCCTAAACTTTGTTGATTTTTCATACATTTTTCAAGTCCCCATTAACCTGTATTGTAATTTTCTTTAAATGTTTTCTAAATCTGCACATATTTTATGCTAATTTACATTAAATTTATTTAAAAATGAAGTATATCAATAACAATAAAATCAGTAGTTCTGGCAATAAATAAAAAGTAATTATAAAACTAAATATAACAACCAGGGATTATAGATATCAAAGTGGGATATAGAAGGGTGAGTGTAGTTATCAAGGTGTTAAACAAAGGACTTTTGTTTTGATAGAACTATTCTGTATCTTGACTATGGTGGTAAATATGCAAATCTACACATATGTTAACATTGTATAGAACTAAATACACATATGCACACACACACAAGTAAAACCAGGAAAATCTCAATAAAATAGGTGGGTTATATCAATATCAGTATTCTGATTTTGATATTCTGGTATATTTTTGCAAGATATTACCACTGGAGAAAACTGGGAAAAAAGGTACACAGGATCTCTGTATTATTAATATTGAAATATTACACTATTTCAGAAACAATACAGATATGTCAGCAGCACCAATGTTAAGTGAAAACATATGGACCAGATAATTATTGGGCTGTCAATCTACAGAAATTGTAAAGGTTCAAACGAGGGATGATCTCTGGGTAGACAAAAGGAGGTTATGTAGGTGAATCCAACACATGCATATATATAGGTACACAACTCATCAGAATTTTTGTGGTGGGAGAGAAAAATCAAATCTGATTAAGGTAGAAGGTATAATTGGTAATGAACAGTACTTTTGCTAATTATCTTTACTGTCCTCCCCTGAAGTATAGTGAACAGAGACCAAGTGAGCCAATATCTTGTGTCATATGGCTATAGAACAATAAAAAGTGAAAATAAAGTAACATGTATTCCGTTTTGTTCATTCCCTTGACGATTTAAAATCTGATAGGAACACATTCATTGATTCCTGGCCTTTGGAAGGTTTATGGATATGTAGAGTGTGGAGTGTTAGGCAACTATGCAAAGCAAAGGACCTCTGTGTGTTTCCTGCATTTGGCTGCCTGTGAGAATTTTCTAAGGGAGCCCCCACAAACGCTGCCAGGAAAGAAAGCAGCATAGATTTTTGTAATTAAAAGAGCCCCTTGTTTTAGGAAGCATGTCAATGAAGCCCTTGGTTTAAATTCTATTTAAACAACTACCTTGTAATTTGGAATGCTTATCAGGAACTATGTGTCATTAAGAAGCACAATGTGACTTTGTAAAGGATCCATTTTAGAAATTACATTCCATTCTCTACTTGTCTTTTCCGGGAGAAGACCCGAATGTTTAGGAGGGAAGTTACTTTACTTCTTGAATTCTGCTCCTGTGTTTATTATTAGGTGTGAGTAAAAGTTTCATTCTTTTTTTTTTTAAATACATTAAAACATTCCTAGATCTACCAATTAAAATAGCAATTCTAACTTTTCAAACCAATATTTACTAATTGTTAGAAAGACAATTGGTTTAACAGAATTAGGAACTTAGAGAAATGCTGTATTAATTTATTATATTTTTCAAGTTTAAATAAAACTTGATAAATGTGACAGATGACTATTATTTGCATACACACACGGACACATATAATCAGATCTATATCTATGCTTTTGTCCTGATCTTCTAAATTAGCTTCACTTGTCTGTGTTTCTCTTCCTTAGTCAAGATTAACAAATAGTATTAACCTTTCATGCAACCCCTTTCTAAAATAACACAGAAAACTGGGCAAAACCATATTTTTCCAACCACAGTCATTTCTGTCACATTTTTGACCCAGATAACAAATTCTATTTCTGACTCTTTACCTAATCCCTATTTCAGTATAATCATGTATTGAAAACCAGAATTTAGTATGTATATTCAGTAGTATTGAATATATATATATATGTGTGTGTGTATACAAATATAAAATTATATATATACATATTTTTAAGACTTTTGTGAGACAACAGAAATAAAATAATAGGCAACATAGAAAAACTATTGTATTTGCCATTAAAATAGCCTCCAGACTTAGAAACAGGTCAAACGTCCCCATTTATAACAATAGTTAGTAATAGGGAGAAATAGTAATAGGGAGATGAAAGAGACAGATCATCAAGTCTTCCTTCACCTTTGGCTATATTCCTAGTGCAATGTCTTGATGCTACATAGGAACTAGCTCCTCTGCTCAACTTTTTAAATTCTGATATGACAGAAATACAACAATTGTTAAAATATCCCAAGAACATTAGTTTTATAAACATGGATTCTACTATTCTCTAAAAAAGTTATTTAACTAAATCATAAACCCTAAGAAATTATTTTGAAGGCCTGTTATTAAATATATGTGTGTGTGTGTGTGTATATATATAGAGAGAGAGAGAAATGCCTCTTGCTGATTCTATTGCAAATAGTCATATTTTATTTCCTCATTCAGAATAACTTCTTTAGAAATTTTCAAAGATGTCTTTGGTACTTCCGGTACAACAAATATATCAGCTGCAGATAAAATACACAGAGCAAGAGGAAAAAACAAGGCATTTATTATACAGTTTGAGTAATTTGATAAAATTAATAACTACTTTACTATCCTCTGAGCTGTATGAAAAGCCTAAGGGCAAACACATACAGTAGCAATGAGTGTGTGTCTTGATTAACTCAACAACACTTGCTATAATATAATTATGTGGTTTTTTTTCTGTAGTTACTTCCACTCTAGATGGATTATTCCATCTACAGTGGATGCTTTTCATTTCTAACTGAAGTGAGTTGTAGGTATAGTACATGTATTTATGCAATTAGTTAATATGGGTCACACTGGATTAGTGTGGGTCCTGATCCAGTGTCTCATGTCCTGATAACAAGAGAAACACAGAGGCATTCAGAGGGAAGATGATCATGTACAAATTGTACATGTACAAAGTGGGGAGATGCCATGTGAGGATCGAGGCAGAGATAGGAGTATCTATATTATGTTAGAGTCTACAAGCCAAGAAGCATCAAAGATTGGGAGGATACACCAGAAGCTGCAAGATAAGCATGGAATGGAGACTCCCTCAGAGCATCCAGAACTGCACTTGTTAAAAACATGATTTCAGACTTCTAGCCTCCAAAACTGTGAAAGAATAAATGTCTTATTGTTTAAGCTACTCAGTATATGGTATTTTGTTATGGTAGCCCAAGAAAATTAATAAAGGTAGTAAAAGAGACTTTGTAAATGAAATTAAGAGTCTTGACATGGTGATATTATTCTGGATTATCTGGGTGGGATCAATGTAATCACAATGGTCTTTGTAATTAAAAAAGAATCACATGGAAAGAAGGAAGCAGGAGAGTCACAGAGGGAGATGTGATGATGAAAACGGAGGTTTGGAGTGACATGAGCAATAGTCCCTTAAAGCCTCCAGATAGAATGCAGCTTTACTGACGCCATGATTTTAGCTTAGTTGGATCCACTTTGAACTTTGTAAGATCATATACTTGTACTGGTTTAAGTCACTAATTTGTGGCTATTTGTTACAACAGCAAAATAAAGCAAATATAGATTTCTAGACTCATTCTTAGCCCTATCCTCTTTACCTATCCATGAATGTAACCCATTCAATTTTTATTGCCCAAGAATTATTGAATAACATAATTGGTATTTTGTCAATGCTACTATGTTGGATATGAAATGATAATTTCAAATCTGAACTTCACTCAGAGGGAAGCAGAGAAGCTAGAAATACATTAAGACCTCACTTAACGTTGTCAGTAGGTTCTTGAGAAACTGTAACTTTAAGGGAAACAACATATAAAGAAACCATAACTGATATAAGCTTAACCCTAGTTTAAACTAGACTCTAGTTTAAGACCAACATACTTCTAATATTGGTGATATTTAGAATCACCAATACTTCTAGATGAAGACCAAAGTACTTCTAATATTAAACTTTGAAATAAATGTAAGCCATACATACAAGTAAGACAAATTAATAAAAACAAGTAACATAATTATTTACCTGCTTATTCCAGTTCAAGGTTGCAGATGGTGGAGGGCTATCCCCGCAGCTCAGGGTGCTGGGTGGGAACCCATCCTTGACAGGATGCCACACTGCAGGGCACACTCCCACATCAGCCAAATGATTTTGCTTGCAGAGCAGAGGATCAAATGTATAAGCAGTGGTAATGTGTCCTTCCCTATTCCTTTGTGAAGCTACTTATTTTCTTAACCATTCATCCAATAACAAACTAACTTATTAATTACAGTATCTACTGTATGTCAGACATGGTGGGATGTACTGGGAAAACAAAGACAATTAGTGCACATTTCTTCCTCTAGTCAAGGGTTCACAGTGTAGTTGTGGCAGAAGGTGGTAGTTTGCAGAGAGACTTTAAACCACACGTATGAAAGTACGTGGTGAGTAACATGATGGAGACAGTCCCATGAGTACTGAGCAGGACAGGGTAAGTTCATTTAACCTAAATGCAGTGGAAAGTGGTGAAGACATCTTGCAGGAATATTCAGCAGTTGAGCTATATTCTAAAATATAGATAGATGTTAGCCAAATGTCAAGTCAAAGAAAGAGCAATACATCAAAAGCTAAATTAGAAGAAGCCTGGCACAGTAGGAGAACTGCAAGCAGTTTAGTATAACTGAAATTTGGGATCCATGAGGAGCAAGGTAAAAGAAGAACCTAGATTTGTAAGCAGAAAGCAGAATATGAAGGCTCTTGCATGTTATAGTATGGCTTTCTGAAGCAAATGAGAGACTGTTGTATGATTTAAAGCAGAGAAAAGACATATAGATTTATGTCCTAGAAAAATTTGTTTAGCTGATTTTAACTTACATTGTCTGGGTCAATGTAGCCCCAGTTTATCTCAGTACCCTCAGCTCATGAAGCTTTCCTTATTATCCTAATCTCCATCTAGCATTGTTTATTGCAAAGCTCCTGAATTGCATCAAGCTCCTTATTGCTTTAAGACGTGTATCCATATGTTTTTCTCTTCTTACAAGACTCTAATCTCATTTCTTCTCTTACACCTTTGCCTGAGTAGCTCCTACTAATCACTTGTCTTAGTCTCAAAGCCCCAGATTGTCCATGTTCGTGTGTTCATTCAGCTGAAGTATTGGTGTGAGCCAGACACTTTGCTGAACTTTAGCTTGTAGGAAATTAAAGGAATAAAGACAAGTTGATATGTATTTACAACTCAGGATAAGTGCTCTGAAGAAAAAGAACAGGTTAGATACAGCCACTGTGAAGAAGTGATATCTGAACTGATACTGGGGATGAAAGGAAGCCATCCATGTGAAGATGGTGAATGCAAGTCCAGGTTGTCTCTTCCTAAAGTTTGTCAAATCAAAAATTGCACTGGATAGAGGTAAACAATGAAGGAAGACTTTTTTCAAGGCTATTGAAATAGGGTAGAGAAACCAGAGCACAGTCTCAACTCAATTTTCACATAAACAAAGGGCAGAGAAATTTTTAAGATGTGGATGAGGGAGGGAGATCTTAGGCCATCTGTGTTTGATAATCGGCTTTACCCAAATGAAAAGTACACTTTCTCATATCTTCAGGGCAGGAGGTAGTTTTACAACTACAGCAAGGTCCCCAGAGAACTTAAGCTCCTACCATTTCACCGAAACTGGGAGATAGAGGCCCTATCTTCCTTGATTATATTTCAAAAAATTGGCTCCCAGGTACTTGAGAAAGACATTCCTGGGTTGTGAAACTGGCAGAAGGCTTTTAAAAAGATTTAAATCTCAAAGGATCAGACTAATTTATAATTAGAAGTTTTCTTTAAGTAAGTGCTCTAAGGAAAGGGAGGTCATGGACCTCTCTAATTAGGCTATCTGGATTCTGTGGAGGCTGAAGTGAGAGGGAGGTCAGGGCTTCATAGGCAAGAAGAAGCCTATCTGAAGTTTGGTTAAGTTGAAGGAAACATTAGGTTGTCGTGGTCAGCTCTTACTATGAACTTAAGTAATGTGGTAGTGGTAGCGTACGTGTGTGTGTATATTTCCCAGCAGCCTAAAACTTCTCTGAGGACAGAGACTGTGTAGGATTTATTCATCATCTTAGCTCCAGTACAAGGCCTAATATGCAATATGCACTTAACTTAGATTTATTTGTTTTTGTTATGTTGTTGAATTAAGACATAAAGGTATTGGGTAGGGGATGGCTTTGGCGGAAGCAAGACAGGATTAAAAAGGCTAATTTAAAAAAATGTTGCATTATTCTTATAAGAGAATGAAGGATGATAGTAGAGTGAATATGTAGTGAAGATAATTAATTTAAGAGATATTTAGGTATGGAACCTAATCACCGATTTGCAGTTTGTGAAGGAGACATTGGAGTAACTGGCCCTCAGATTTCTGCCTGAGGAAGCTGGCTGGATGTCAGTGACAACATGATATGAGAAAAATGGAAGAGAAAAGCTGGTTGGCCCTGCTATGGAGATAAAAACTAGATTAATGAAAATAAACAATCTTCACAGTTGATGAGAATCATCAAGGTTTCTGGTTTTATGTGTCAAGAACTGAAGAGTTGTCTGGAATAATCTCATTATTATTTTCCTTTTGCTTGCATTTAACTCATGAAATTGTTAATCTTTTACTTTTAAACTGCCTGAGTCATTTCCAGCAAAGTGCTTAAGTCATACAGAGCATATGGTTGAGCTTTTTCTTTTAATCAATTCTATAGAGTTTTTTTCATTTTCGTAGATGAACTCATACTGTTTGCATTTATGAAATAATAAATGCAACATGTTTTGCACTAATATAGTTCTCTTATTTTGTGTTTTCTCTTTTTAAAGTTTTTTTTTTTGCCATTTTCTTTGTTTCATTTTCCTATATCTTATGTAGGATTGCTTTTTTCCACCTTTCTGAATGCCTCAGTAGTTTCAAAAATATAATTCTAGTTTTGCTAATTGTGTTGTACACCATTTAGAATAAAATGCTTAAGTTTTTGTTTGCAACTTACCAAATGTGAAACAAAGAAGGCAGGATGACAGTGGGATAAAGCATTTAAACTCTTTGCCTTTGTGTCTGGGCACAATGTAACCTATCTACTTCTTAGCTACTCAACTTAAGGCAGATCATTAAGCTCTCTGTGACTCAACTCCCTTATCTGTAAAATGGGGAATGGGGATAATAACAGTATCTAATGCCTCATTAGTGTTTGCTACAATTCCCCCAAACTGCCCCTGGGTTTTATATGTGGTTATAACAGCATTATAGCACAAGATGACTTTTACTACTTTCTCACATTTTTAAATTGTTTCGTACATCTAATTTATGCAATAATACTTTATCTTCTTGTGTTAATTGAATTGAATATTCACTAACCAACAAATATTAAACATATTACCTTTACTTTTACAATAACACTGTTAGATACCACTATCCCTAATTTACAGATAAGAATACCGAGATTCAGTGTTTGAGTTAGTTGTGGATAATTATACAACTAATATGTGAAAGATTCAATAATAAAACAAAGATCTACCTGGTACTAAACTTTTGCTCATTCCCTACTTTCATCTTTGTATTTACTTAGAAAATTACTGGTAGCTAGTCAATCTCGAAAGGCTTGAATCTTGCCCGCATATGCATATTTTAAACTTACTGAAAGTAAAATTTTGTCACAAACTCTTCTGGTTATGCACCTCTTTGCCTTAGTACAGTGTTAAATCTGGAGGAAAACGATCAATAAATTCCCCCCAAATAAAGTGGCAGAATATTTATTTGTGACAATAATTTATTATAAAGGTTAATGACGTTTTTTACTATCTGGAAGGAGAAAGGTCCTGACGAATAACATCCAAAAGAAATGCTGTGCAGACATTTTTATTTCCTACACGTTTTAAACTTGAATTTAAGTTTTCCTCAAACAGTTTTTAGAAAGGTCCAATTTGGCATCCAGCACAAGGTTATCTGAGAAATAATTAAGTGAGGTGGTAAACTTGCCAAAATATCAGTGTTCCCAAGAATTTTATTCCTGACTTAGCAAATAGTCTTTTATTTGTGACTATTCACTTTTTTTCTCTATCTTATATCTAAATATTGTTTCCAAGGGAGAGCCAGTATGACTACAAGTAAGTAATATGCAGATTAGTGACTTCTCTTTCCTACTCATCAAATCTCCTACTAAAATGAGATTCAAGGATTATTTTTATTTTTAAAATAAACTAAACCCTGGTTATTTGCAGCAACCAAGACAATAACACAAATCTCATTGTATGTAATATGAAATCTTAAAATCTCATCTTATTAATTGGAAACTGAAATCACTTGAAGAAGAGATTTAAGGATTAATTTTTAAATCAGTTTTTAATCTTCTTTTTCATTTTTTATCAGTGCAATAAAAATTGATAATAAAAATACAGTCCTCAACCTTTCATCACTTTTCTTTTTTTCATTATATTTAATTCTAAAGATTCAAAGGTTCTATATGCCAGAAAAACAAATCAGAATACAAAAATGTATGGCCACTTTCAAAACATATCAAGTTCAAAGACAGTTTTATTTACGCAAACAATTGTGCAATGGTGCTTTTTGATAGATATTGCATTGTTTATGGAATAAAATATCTTAGTTTGAAACTGGATTTGGCCTAGTTTGTGCATTTGTAAAATGTATGAGTTAAACTACACATTTGATAATGACACTTCAAACTGTTAAATTGCTATTATATTAGAAAAATAGCCTGCAGAAAATGCATCTATATTTATTCCAATGTATCCAATTTATCTCTGTCTGGCTAATGCTGTTAGAAAATGTGTAACTGAAGTATGTGGAAATCAATTAACATAAATTCAAGCACTTCTTGAACTTGATATGTCTAAGTAAACTTAGAACCTGGTAATGTGAAAATACCACATTGACAGTATTGACAAAACCAACTACTCGCAGTTCTGAAATGAATGCAGTTGTTTGCAACAGGACGGCTGTAAAAAGAGAGAAACCTGTTACCCAAACCATTTCAAGCATCTCCTACTATGATTATCTGCCTGTCCATGAGAACCAGGCCATTGACAAAAAATCTAATTAAGGTGTTGCTTTTCCAATTAAAGTTATTGCTTTAAATGGCCTCATGGTACCATCAGTTCCTTGAAAGAGAAATAAGCAGAACATGGAGGCCAGTAAGTAAAGAAACATGCCCTTCAGGCTCAAAAAATATTTCTGGAGGTGATCTTTGACTGTTGGTGCCTGCACATGGACCTGAGGAAGAAAAAAGATCTTTCAAAGAGTACTTGAAGAAATCACAAGCCTGGCCTGTAAAAGACTATGACAACTTAAACTTAAAGCTCCCCCTTGGACTCCAATTTGCTCCAATATGAGTCAGTCTGAGAAAAATGTGCAGGCCTATGCAGGGCACATAGTGAAATGTCAACTTCTGCTATATCCACTGAGGATAAAAAGTAGGGGAAAATCCCTCAGAAGTCAAAACATCGGGGATTTGGGGGGAAAAAAAAGGTAGAGATTTCCATTCCTCTTGAAGAGCTGAACCAGAAGCTACCAGATCATTTTACCAAAGACCTCATTCGGTTCTCAGAACAGGAGTTTTCTTAGTCACCATATGATAGGATTTTATCTTTCCTTTTTGATCAGTTCTTTCTGTATTTGTCATTTTCCTCTTTCCGAATGTGAATTATTATTCTGCTAATCTTATTCCTACTGTATATGATTATACCTTAATATGGTGAGAGACAAATTGCTCTCATTTTATAATTTTCCAGTTAATGAGAGCCACATCTACACCTGAGGGCTAGGACTGTGCGTCACCTTGAAGTTCAAGGTAGGTGTAGTCTCTGAGCAGGCTTGGCTGGTCCTCTCTTTGGTAAGGTTCAGTTTAGAGAGGATGAGTGTGTTCTGTTTTTGCATAAAAGCTTGAACTTGGGTATTTGAATATTCAAGGGTAGACTGTAGCAGAGACAGCAGGTTGTAGCCCCAATGTTTTCTCCTATTTTTGTTTATAGTAAGAGAACCTTGAATATTAGCTGGTTGCCAAGAATGAATGCTATTTTCCAGTATCATTTGCAGCCAGATGTAACCAATAGACTAAGCTCTTATGAATAGAATAGGAGGGAAAATGTGCTTATGATATGTAGGTAAAAGGAGGTAGACTGACTCCCTTCCTTTTCCATTCTAATGCAATGCTCTAGTATTGAGAGCTCTACAAGTCAGGAATATACACCTACAGATGGCCTCATGGACAAGAGTTTACCTACAAACTCTGAACTGGTAAGATAATTTTCAATATCATTAACTCAATTTCACTTTTTTAACTTCATTTTTTTTGTACACACTTAAAATGTATAATATAATCTTCTGACATACACATTAATAGTCAAATGATTAATACAGTCAAATTAGCAATATTCATCACCTTTCATAGTAATCATTTTTGATAAGAATACCTAACTTCTACTCATTTAGCAAATTTTTATATACAACACAATATTATTAACCATAGGCCTTATGCTATACATTATATCTCTAGACTTATTTGTCCTACCTAAATGCATATTCAGACTGTCCACATATAAGTGAGATAACACAGTATGTGTCTTTGTGTTTCTGGCTTATTTCACTTAGTCTAATGTCCTCTAGGCTCATCCATGTTGTTGCAAATGGCAGTATAGTTCTCTTCTTCTTTTAAGGCTGAAAAATATTCCATTGTATATATGCACCACAGTTTCTTTATCCACTTATTTGTCAGGGAACACATATTGTTCCTATATCTTGACTAGTAAGAATAATAACCTGATTTCACAGTTGATCTCTACTTACAAGAAAGTGTATATCCCATTAATAAGCTAAGTAAAGGAAGGATGAGTGGAAAGTATGAAAGAAATGTTGCAAGAAGAGAAAATAGGAATTGTGCAGTCTGGGAATTAAAATAATTTATGGCCCATTTGAGTGTGTTTGGAGTAAGTTGTCATGACAACATAAAAAATTAAAACAAATCTAGTCTGGCTAAGTTAGAGAGTCAAAGATAGGTTGCCTTTTCAGGAGGGGCATTGTAATTGCTTTTAGTTGAAGAAATAGCGGGGTGTTAGAATTTACTCCCAGTGCCAAAGAAATAAGAAAAGAAGTGAGATGTTTGTAGGTAAGAGGACAATCTACAATGGATTACAAAAAGTTGCAATCCCTGGGGACCACAGAAAGTTTTTCTTTTCTTTTTTTTCCTTTTTTTAAAATTATTTTTATTTATTATTATTATTATTATTATTATTATACTTTAAGTTCTAGGGTACATGTGCACAACGTCCAGGTTTGTTACATATGTATACATGTGCCATGTTAGTGTGCTGTACCCATTAACTTGTCATTTACATTAGGTGTATCTCCCAATGCTATCCCTCCCTCCTTCTCCCACCCCATGACAGGCCCGGTTTGTGATGTTCCCCACCCTATGTCCAAGTGTTCTCATTGTTCAATTCCCACCTGTGAGTGAGAACATGTGGTGTTTGGTTGAATCAGCAAAGAATGAAACATTATTTTTGCCTTTAGAATCTCACAGAGGCATACATTTAAACAAATACATACAATGTAATGTCTTAAGTGCTGATGTGGTTCTCAGAAACCCACTCAGGTTGTTCATAAGAAACAGACAGAATTTCTCAAGAATGAGTATGTGTTTGTATGTGCATGGGTTCACTGAGACTGGGAAATTGGAAAAGTCGAGTGAACCCAGAAGGATAAAGTAGGCAAAGAACTGTGAAAGTCCAAAAGCTAAGCGTGAAGTTTCACACCTCTAAATAGCTGAGTACCATATGTGTTAAAGGAGTAGAAAATATGCGAACAAACATTTTAGATGACCATGGATGTACCTGGTCTCAGTAAACACGCTTCTTGAAGTGGTACTTTATATATAGTTTCTTCAACTATCCAACTATTTACATATTCTCTGAGTTGTTGTAATTTGGCATCTACTCCTATTATTCTACTAAAACCATTCTCTTGTAGGTCAGCCATAACTTGCGCAACCCTATTATCAATAAACATTTCAAAATATTTTGTCATATTGTGAAATATTCTTTTCTTTCGTCTTTTGTGATTTTGCATCTTTCAAGACCTTTTTTATTTCTCTGACATATTCTTGTTCTGTCTTGTTGAATATTCTCCTTTATCTTTCCTCACCTCCACAATGACTCCTGAACACTGTAAGTGTTCAATATTTTTTTTTACTTCTATTTTTACTTATGTGAGGCTGGGTAGCTAGTGTCTTTCAAGTAGTTTGTCTGTTTCATCTAAGTTGCCAAATAATTGGCATGAAGTTGTATGTAATCCTTTATTATTATACTGATAATATATTTAGGATATATTATAACTCCTCTGTCATTTGTCACATTGATCCTATTTATTTTCTCTCCTTCTTTTCCTGGATAGAAATTTGGCTAGAACTTCCCTCAACTAATGAGGGAAGGGATTGGTGTATAAATATCCTTCCTTCTCCATTCTCAAGGACAATTTTGAAGTGTTTCTGTGTAGTATTCAGTTTCCTCACACACTTGAATCCAGTTGCTCAATCCTCTTAATTAACATTAAATTGGCCTTTCTTCTCTGTTCTTACTTTCTCTACTACTTCATTGGTGCTTATATCATGATTGGCTTCTGTGAAACCCAAACTAAGACAGAACTTCAAAACCAGTATCAAGTGAATGGCACTCAGGTTTAAATATTATTAAGTAAAAATGAAAAAAAAAATCCCCAAATATCAAAATTAGCAAAACAATGCTACACAATCTTTACTATGTTTTATACAGAAGGGTCCAAGAATGACATAGTCATTTCCCCTAATAATTAACCTTTGGTCCTATTGAAATATGACATATTAGGCAGAAATAATAATCGGATTATTTTAGTCTCACAAACTAGGATTCTGTTATGTACTAACATGTGAAAAGTTAGTGATTTTTGCTTTAAAAAATACTTCATACCACCATGGTGATTGTCTCTTAGTTATATATTTTCTATGGAAATTTGTGGTATATAGAATTTAATTATTATATAATTTACATTTTTCTAAATATTGGCTTCTTTATTTTACTTCTGAGGACACTGGCTCATGGAAGTTTTGTACCTTATTCACATTTATTTGTATTCTATCCATAAATGACATACAACATTAAGAATACAGCTGAGTTGAGACTCATAAGTTCTAATTTCCAAGTCAAATTCTCCCTATATCATTGCACAGTATTTCTCTTCTACTGGTGAGAGTAATTTAAGATTTTGTCTCATTCAAAGAATAAGTCCACATATAGTCTACTCTGAGACCATGAGAATTGATACTTTGGTTACATGTTTCGAACATAGTGGTGGAAGCTTAAGAATGTGTATTTGAGGCCAGGCACGGTGGCTCAAGCCTGTAATCCCAGCACTTTGGGAGGTTCAGGTGGGTGGATAACGAGGTCAGGAGATCGAGACCATCCTGGCTAACACAGTGAAATCCTATCTCTACAAAAAATACAAAAAAACTTCAGCCGGGCGTGTTGGCGGGGGCCTCTTGTCCCAGCTACTTGGGAGGCTGAGGCAGGAGAATGGCCTGAACCCGGGAGGCGGAGCTTGCAGTGAGCCGAGATGGCGCCACTGCACTCCAGCCTGGGTGACACAGCGAGACTCTGTCTCAAAGAAAAAAAAAAAAAAAAAAAAAAAGAATGTGTATTTGAATTCCAACAAATAACCTACATTAGTAAAACATGGTCACTTGGTTCATCTAAGTCTGCTTCTTCAGTTTTATTTTTCCTTTCAATCAAGAAAAGGTAAATTTCAGAATTCAAAACACATCATGATTAATTAAATGGGTAAGAATAGGGCAAAGTGAATAAAATAATTGAGTAGCAAGGTGAGAAGAATTTATTTGTAGAAAACATTACCAAGAAACTATGTTGTGTTTGTTTGGGGAAACAGATATAAAGCTAATTGGAAAATAACCAACTAGAAATCTTCATTTTTCTTTTGACTGTAATGCATAACACTGGTTCCCTCGGGCTATGGGCTTCTACAGATTTCCACATTTTTATTAAGATGTTAGGAGAAAAAGACTTAATTAAGCTGAATATTTACAGATGACTATAGTTTACTATTTAAAAATACTTATCAAAATTTATTTAAATATTTGCTTATAACTTATAGGAATTTATCTTCTGTTTAATTCTGGATTTGTTTTATACTCTATTTTTGAGGGAGACAATGTGGACTTTATTTTAGGGAGGACAATGTTGATTTTAAATTTAGGTCCAAAATGTTTTTGACAACTTGTATGAATTATTTATATGTTTGAAGTGAGATGGGCCAATTTTCCAATGATAGTCTCAAGAGGAAACAGAACATAGTTCTAGAACACAGTGAGCTGTTCCAGGTTACCAGTGGCCTGATCTATTTACAGCAGAAACTCTTAGCTTTTCTTTCCTCAGAATGCATTCAAAACCAAAGCAGCTTGAAAGAACAAATTCATCTCCATAAACCGTGGTTTATAAGTAGGCTAAAATCACCCAGTCGGATGTTGTATTCTTTAAGCAGAGAAGCCAAGAATATGACCACGTAAATTTGCTACTCTTGAAGATTACAACAACACACCAAAAGGAAAGGACAGAGTTGGGGTCTGCTCCTTTACTCACCGTTCCGATGAATGTACCTTGGGATCCTGGCTGAGATTCCCAATATGAAGCGGGGTAGTTGTCTGGGGTAAATACCCCGGGTTTGTAGTCTCTCGCTAAGAAAATTAAGGACATAGACACCCAAGAGGACTGAGTTTAGGCGTGGAGGTTTAATAGGAAGAAGAAAGAGAAAGGAGAACAGCTCTCTCCCTGTGTGAGAGAGAGGGGCTCCCAAAAGGAAAAATCCAGCCTGCAGCAGACAGCACCAGATTTTATAGGCAGGCTTAAGGAGACAGTGTGTGGTTAACATAGGGCCCACAAATTGGTTCGACCAAGTGTGACATTTACATAGCGTGAAGGGATGGGTGGTCGCCCCACCCTAATCTTATTATGCAAATTGGGTCTTTGCCCGGCCTGCACCGTATTGTCTTCTCCTTACTGTACACATGGTTTGGCAAAGAGAAGAGAAGACGGAGCTGCGATTTTGAACATGCCTAATCGCAGGTAGCCTTTTCCTATTGGCACAACTGCCGGCATTCATGTGTGAAAGCTTCCAGCTTGCTAGTCTATGTCTGCAGCTTGATTTCATAGGCTGCTGTTTGTTAGAAAATAAAATGATTTTGGGGTTGTTTTTCACTAAAAGGAAAACCTTACCGAGGACTCCCCTACCCTCACTATCAGCCTAAATGATTTCTCCTTAACTCATAAAAAATTGTGGACCACAGTTTATTTATTCACTCATTGCAAATTTATTCATTTCTTTATTCAAAGTAGTATTCATTTATTTATTCATTTAGTCATTCATTTCATTATTCATTTCTTGATTCACAGTAGTATTCATGATGGAATATTACTCCATGATAAAAAAAAGAATGAATTAATGGTATTTGCAGCAACCTGGATGGAACTGGAGGCTATTATTCTAAATGAAGTAACTCAGGAATGGAAAACCAAATATTGCGTGCTCTAACTTGTAAGTGGGAGCTAAGCTATGAGGAGGCAGAGGTGTAAGAATGATACAGTGGATTCTCAGAACTCAGGGGGAAACTGTGGGAAAAGTGTGAGGGATAAAAAACTACAGATTCGGTTCAGTGTATACTGACTGCTTGGGTGGTGAGCGCACCAAAATCTCACAAATCACCACTAAAGAACTTACTCATGTAACCAAATACCACCTGTTCCCCCAAAACCTATGGAAATAATTTTTTTTAATTGAGCGTCTAATACATGCTCCTTTTGTTATTTTCTATATCTATAAAGATAGAAAGTAAGAAAAGACATGGGTAAGGAGATAACTTATGGAAATAAATAATTGCAATGAAATGTGAATTTCCTCACAAAAGAATAGAAAAGTAGAAATAATTTCTCTAGATCGAAATGTGTTTACGGAATATTTTAACCATATTCAATTTATAGGCCTGTTTGTTTCTTATTCAAATAATAAATCATAAAAAGACAAGATAAATTATAGTATCAATTTGGCATCTGATAATTCCAAGGAATTGTTATTAATATTTCTAGGTAGAATAATGCTATTATGACTATGTAAAAAATTCCATATAATTTTCAGATTTATAGTATGTGCTTTAAAATCAGAGAGAACAAATTTTATGGATGAAGGAAAAATGGTAATATATTGATAATTATGAAATCGGCTAGAGGTGTTAGTGGATATGTGAGAGTTTATGAAACCATGCTATTTTTGTGTATATTAACATTTTAATAAAATTTCTCAAAGTAGAATGCATGAAATAACTTAGTATGCTCATAGTCACTTTAGTAATAATGGAAGAATGGGATAATGAGTGAATTGAAATAATTGATATGATTTTGTTAGTAACTTTCTAGGTTGTCTGAAATCTTTTTTGACCTGGAAAAGAGTGCCTTTACTTTTGCTCAGTGTTTATTATCAGCTGAGAGCTGAATTCATGCTCATCGGTGGTATGACAATATATTAAGTTCTCTGGAGAGTTAACCAAGAAAAAAAACTGATTTGACAGGGATGTCTAAAGGTAGGCAACTTTGCAGAATGAAAGATAGCAGAATCAACAAGTGAATGCTCCAAGTAGAGATGGTTTTCAGTGTGAACGGTGCTTTTTGAAAAGCTCAAGTATGAAGATGACGGTGTAATATTTTTACGGCCCTGTTTGTCATCTAATTCCTAGAAGACCTTGCTCATGTTTGGGCCTGTGTGTGTGGATATTTTTAACCACGTGGAAGCATCATTCCCTGAAGAAGGTATAACCTAGATTGTTTTAAATTGTTTCCTACAGTGTTTATATTGGCTTAAGAGGTAGGAAATATTCTGTGAAATGACCTGAAGGTTTTTGGCCCTAGATTTAGAAGAGGTGGTGGGAGTCAGATGGTAAAGAAAAAGTTATCAATGCTGAATTGATGAGTGTGTTTCCCAAACAGTTGGAAAGGTAGCGTAGGAACTCTTATTTCTTCTTCTATGCATATCGTTTATAATAAAGTGACTGAAATGTGAACAAAGAGGTTTCCTAAAGTAAATTATGTCTATGTTCATCAATAATATATATCCTTAAGCTATAACTTTTGTGAGAAAATAGTTTAGAATTGGTTTTGGCCTTGTCCCCTGAAGCTATGTATCTAAACTATTTCTCAATAAAGGACTCGTGAAATCAGAAACACCCTAATAGTTTGGATTTTGAGCAGTAAATTCTTCATTTTCAAAGGCGACATGGCTTCTTAGAGGTAGAGTAGTGACAAGGCAGGAAAACTGGAGTGTAATTGGCTGTAACTGGCACCCATATGAGCTGTTAAATTTTTCTTTACAGCCAAATGCGGTACTTAAAATTATGAGAAATACTGTCCTTAAACTGAAAACACAGAAGTTTTAAAAAATCATTTATTATTCTTAAAAATTAAAGTTACATTAATAGGAGTAAACACTATGTATCTACACACACACGTAACTTTCCCTATTGCAACTAACATTGACTATATAATGTGTGATATTTATTAAATTTTAAAAATGTTGTATTTTTTATAACATAGATCAGCTGTGCCTATTTTGAATGTCATATAGAGTAAAAGACAATGCGCTCTTTTGTGTTTAGCTAATTTCGTTTAGCATAATGCTTGAAGCCTTTGTCCATGTTGCTGCATGTATTAATTATTAATTCTTTCTTAGTACTGAGTACAATTTTATTATATAAATATACCTAAAATTAATACCCATTTCTTATTGAAAAACCTTGAATTTTTTTTCTAACTTTTACCTGCTAAGAATGAAGCTCCTATCAATATTGCTATACAGTTGTTTTGTAAAAATAGGTTTTCATTTATCTTGGGTAAATTTTTTTTTTTTTTTTTTTTTTTTTTTTTGCCTTCTGGTTACTCACATGCAGAGTAAATTCTTAGGATTTGTACTGGGCATATTCATATATGTTTTGAGGATGAAATGGGTCTTCAAGGGGCAACATTCATAAAAATGTATGGATAACAGCAAATGGTTATCACAATGTTTTCAGACATGTCATAGAGACTGGCTTAGTCTGCATGTATAAATTCAGCAAAGTTGACATCTAGATTCATCTGATAATCACTCAAACAACATATCTTGACTTGCTGTGAATCATCAGCATGCTTTTAAACTTTTAGACACTTAAGCTGGGCCCAGTAGAAATGCAGGCTATTAAGGTTGTTGCAAAAAAGCCTTTGAAGTGGGTTTTATTAAACCACAAGTGAACGAAATAATGTCAAACTGAAAATGTTCTTTGATTAGATGATTCAGTGTTGTACGTTTAGCCAGATTGTTGTAAAACTATTCTCTTACTCCATTTGAATAGAGCCAACTGGACATGATCAGGATATTCTCAAGGGACAGATTTTTATTTTTAATTTTTGGTATTGTGGGCTTCACACAGAGTAAATACATTCAGCAAAATTATTTTAGATATGAGATTGAAAACATACGTTTCTATTTATAGACTGAAGAACATATATGTAACCTGTATTCCCATTCCACTGAAACAAAAATATATACCAATGTATTTTATGATAAAATCTCATAACATGTTCACCTCTTTTTAATAATCTTTTAAGATAGGTGTGGTGGCTCATGCCTGTAATCCCAGCACTTTGGGAGGCTGAGGCTAGAGGACTGCTTCAGTCCAGGAGTTTGAGACCAGCCTGGGCAACATGGTGAAATCCCATCTCTATGAAAAAAAAAAGTATATTTTTTATTTTCTAAAAAATGAAAAAAGTAAATAAAAGAATCTTTTAAGCCTAGAGGTGAAGAATGGGCAGACTTTCCACAATTGTAGATTTAATTAGATATTTTCATTCCTCATTCCTCTAACACCCACTCTAATCCCTTATATCCTTCATAATGGTCAGCCTATGATATGAAGAGTATTAAATACTTTTTGAAGCAATTGTTGATGACATTCATTGCAAATAATAAATTCATGAGCCCTTTTCAATTCTCTTTTCCTTTCACAATTTTCCTTTTTAATCTCTTAATTATTCCCTTCCTATTTTAATTGTTGGTAACTTACTTGTGCTAGTGATAGTTGTACTAAAAAATAAATGAGTTGTACTCATTTATTTTAAAACTGAGGCATTATGGCGCCAGTATAAGATAGTAGTGAGGGTCTCAAGATCTAGAGTATGACTGCTGGTTTTCATCCTGTCTGTTTTGAGGTCATGAAATCTCTCTATGCTTCAGTGTTCCTCTCCAATCTATTATCAATAGCACCTAATCTATAAATTTTCCTGAGGAAAGGTAAAATAATATGTATAAAAATCTTGCACCATTTTTAGCATATAAGAATCACTCAGTATATACCAGCTGTAATGCTATTATTACTGCTTGCTGAGAAAAACTAGATTCAGAATATTAGGACTACTTTAGGTACTTGAGTTATTTCACTACTGTTTTAAAGATACCTGGGGTAAGAAGTAAAAAAAGTCAGGTACATTCTAACAGCATGTCTCAGATGCCTGAAAAGATAAAGTATTTTTCCCTACATTTACAAAGTCTCTTTCACTGACCAGTGTCTGGGATTTCAGGACTCTATGTCCAGCCCTTCAAATAGGTACAATAACATTGACAACCTCTGACTGTGAGTAGTGTTAGTTGGTCCCTCCCTCCAAGAGTTGCCCTCTTGTGGGAGGATTTTTGAGGAGAGGCATACACCAAAGGTTTAGCTCAATATTTACCATTATCTCAATTTCTACATCTTCTCATGTCTTATTGAGTTGGTAAGTGCACAGCTTGAAATTTTTGAAAGAAAGCACAATATAATGTAGGTATTTTATAAATACATTAGAGATTGGTGTAAAGTTGGAACACATTTGGTAACAGAGACAGGCAAATGTCTCATACCCAAGCAGCTAAGTAAAGCATGCAACATGGCAGTCAGTGTGAGAAGCTAGAACTAAGTCCTAGTGCTGGTGTTACTAGAAGCAATATGCCCACTCTCCTTTAGCGCAGCCTCAAGTTAAATTTTACAGTGTGCTTTCTCACAATAACAATGGACTTTATAATAAGTTGGTATAATTTCAAATCTTACTATAGTATTATATAATAATGATGATAGTACTGATAAAAATGGCATACACTAAATATATACCAAATATGCTGATACTGTGCTAGCTGATGCTGTGCCATGGGTTATGTAGGAACTATATTATGAAATTCTCACAATGAATTTCTTTTCAATGCCAGGCATAATAATACCCACTTTCTCATGTGACAAAACGGGCAGAACGAAATTTAGAAGCTTGCCCAAAGAACATGTGGTAGGCAAATGCTAGAACTAAGCTCCAAACCTAGAAAGAATTACTTCATTGAGCCAACACAGGATAAATATCTTTCGTGAATAATATATGATATTTATGTTCTGAACCAATATAATAGATTGCATTGCTTAAATCAAATGAACATTATTAACTGGCCTGCAACTATCTACTCTCATAAACATTGCACACTCACATGCACATATACACAGAGGCAAACAGGAACACACACGCATGTGTGTATGTATGTATGTTTTAAGTGCACAATGCGTTTTAGATTACAGATAACACATATAATTTCTAAAGTGTAACTTCAAATGATTTCTACCTATACAATTCAGTAAATAGCACTTTTCATGTTCAAAATGGCAAATGCTGCACATGGATATGCACCGTGTTTTTAGCTCCGGAAGCATTTTGGATTGGTTTCACATAGGCTTCTCTGACATTCTTCATTTTGCTACATTATCATTTCTTCCATTTTGGTCCTAGAAAAGCATTTAAAAGCTTAGAGGTCAATGTAACAAATCATCCAGTTGTTTATAGTACACATCAGTTGAGTTCCTAGATGTTTGAACAAAGACATTCTCTTAGATATGAAAATGTGAAAGAAAAAATCTCTCTTTTACTTTCTTTCACTGAGTTCACGAGTGTCAAGAGGTAAGGTATAAACACATGTACTTGTAATACGTTTAAACTGAAGTAAAAATTATCAGTTGATTCTGACTGCAAAGAAAATCACTTATTGCTCATGAACGTTTACATATTTGTGACTGAACTTTTTTTTTCCCCTAGAAATCTCTTAATCAAGTGATTCTTCCGTAAGTGTTTACATAGAGCTTGGGTTAATTCTCACAGGTCAAAAAAAATTGCAGATTGAAACATCACTATTATTAATTCAAGACTACAAATTACTTCATTTTTCTTTCCAATTTATGCCTGCTGTGTATATAATTCTACCATCCTAGATTTGTTACAAATAGAAGATTTCATTCAACCACTGGAGAAAATACTCAATTTGAAAAGACTAGTTCTTTTCGTAACTTTTTATACCTCAATAGTTCAATTGTATCATTTCCAGCAATGCCTGTGAGTTTGTCTGAAGCAATTTTTTTTCACAAATGGTGATGAAGGTGCATGATGGAAAGAGTTATAGAGCTCAGAAAATAATTCCCATGTTAACCTTTTTGTCTGTGTCTGTAAAAATAGTTTTTCATGCAATCTGTTTCCCCTATGGCTGGGCCAAATATTTGTGTACATTAAGTTCCAAACTGTGTTTTTAAGTCAAATAGGAGATATTTGAAAATTTTCCATAGAAATAATGGCAGATAGCATTATAGTTCCCCAGGTCATCACTGATAAAGATAAGATTGAGATTTGAGAGAAACAGAGTCAATTGAAAGGGAGAAAAAGCAAGATATTTCTATTTCTAGCAATGTAATCTTCTAGATAGTCTGGAAAATCCTTCCAATATAAAATACTAGATGGCAGAAAACCAATAACCATTTTTGTAAATACTTAGCTAACTTCCCCCCAAAACTAAGGAGAAATCCCAGTAACACACCCTCTCTTCCTGCAGAGAAAGGATAAAAACCTAAATGCTAAGCAAACTCAGAAGCTAAATCTACCTAAGGATACTAAATGACATTTGAGAGCTGACATTCGTAATATGTAAGCACTATTTTACAAAGGCAGAGACTTTGACTGAACTGGGTCCTGAAAACCCCTGATGAATTATGAGCAGTACAATGTGAAAGTGCGAATGGCCAGCCAGGCCAGGAAGGCCAGAAGACACTCATGGAGCTCAGAAAAGCAGTCGTTAACAAACTTTTGTAGAAATATTTCAATACTTTCACCATAGTGTGGCAGAATATATTATCATGGTGAATATTAGTCATGCTGATATCAGGAAACTGGGGTCTGAACTTTTTAAAAATCTCACAAGAAAATGCAAGAAAAGGCCATTGGGCTGCTCAAGACAAGGAATTAGAAATGAGAACCACATGCAAAGCCACGGACTATAAACTCAGATAAAGGATGAACTAGAAAAATCTGCCTGCCAATAATGGGAGTAATAAGAAAATAAAGTAATAAAATTAAAAGCAAAAATTATTGAAAGAGAAAGAAATACATAGGGAAATAAATAAGAAATTCAAAAGTTGGTTCATTGAAGAGCTGAGAAAATAGGAAGACTAGTCAAAGAAAAAGAAAAACACCAATTACCAATATCAGGAATGAATAAAAGGGAACATGATCACTACCAACAGAAACTAAAACCTAGTAAGAAAATAATATGTACTACTTTATGGAAATTAATTTCATGATTTAGGCCGGCCATCAAAAATATGAGATACCTTGAAATACACCTAAAAAAGATATTTGCCAAATATTGGAATGGAAAGTTAAAATCTTTATTAATTGAAATTTTAAGCAGATCTAAATAATTCAAGAGAATTATAATGTTCTTGGAGAAGTAAATATGTATAGAGTCAACATAATTTTACTCAAAATACCAGTGGGATTTACTTAGAGAAATAGAAAAGCTGATTTAAATTTATACAAAAAGGCAAAAAAAAAGTAGGAAACCTAAAAGTCGAATCAAGAAAGATGAAGGACTTGAATTATATGATTTTAAGAGTTATTATAAAGCACTAGAAATCAGAAAAAAAGATATTGACAGAGTTTGTACAGATCAAAGGAGCAGCAATAGACCCACATGTATATATGGTCAATTGATTTTAGAGAAAGATGGAAAAGCAAAAGCAATTCAATGAAGAAAGATAGTTTCCTCAACAAGTGATGCTATAATATTTGGGGATTGGGCATCACATACAAAAAAGAGAATGCTGATTCATTTCTTAAACTATACATAAAAATGAAATCAACATTTTTCAAATAATTGTTCATAGACATCAATATAAAATCTAAGACTAGAAAATTTCTGAACTAAAACATAGGAAAAAAATTGCTGTAACCTTGAGTTAGTTCATGATGTTTTTGATATAAGACCAAAATATCATTCATGGAACAAAAAGTTGATAAATTGGACTTTCTGAAAATTGAAATTATTTTGTAACATAATAAAATTATTGTATACATAAAACTCTATAAATTTAGTTACTAAAATAATTTCATATCTATACCATATAATATTTAAAAGTTTAAAAATTTTAATATTCATTATTTTCAGCATGTTTTGAGGGACTGATATTATGTGTATACAATAATGCCCCAAATCCTTCATACTTCTTGAACAAGTCAGAAATTTAAGGTTTATATTTTAAACAAATGATAGCCAAGGCCATAAAACACCATTGGCACCTTAATAAAACCTCAATTATTAGAAAACAGGTAATTAAAACATGGGCAAAAGACTTGAATAGACATTTTACCAAAAACAATATATTTATAGAAAATAAGCACATGAAAAAAAATCAACGTATTTAGTTACAAGGAAATGTAAATTAAATCCGGAATGGGACACCACTAAACAGCTATTAAAATGTCTCTAAGAAGCAAAACAACTTACTATGCCACATGCTGGCAACACTGTGGAACTGGAATTCTCATTACAGTTTTAAGAAATTTCATTAAGATGTAGCTTTGATGCAGTTTTCTTCCTGTTTCTTCTGATTGTGTTCTGTTGAGCTTTCTGATCTATGGGTTTATATTTTTCATTAGATTTGGAAAATTTTGAGTCATTATTTCTTCAAATAACTTTTCTGTTTGCTTCATTTTCTTCTCTACTTCAGGTATTTACATTACATATATATTAGGATTTTGGAAGTTGTCCCATAGCTTATTAATAAACTGTTTTTTTTTTAATTTTTAAATTTTTAAAAAAATATTTTGTGTCTTATTTTGAGTAATTTCTATTGCTGTATTAAGATCATTTTTTTCTGCAAATGTCTAAGCTGTTGAAAATGCTTGTCCAGTTCATTTTCCATCTCTAGAGTGGCTTTTGCATCTCTCATGTCTTTCTTTAAAAAACTTGTTTTCCTCTGTATTCTTGAATATAGATTATAGTTACAACTCTTGTAAAAGTTTCTTATCCACTTATTCCATAATTGGTGTAATTTCTGAGTCAGTTTTCATTGATCTTACTCATTATAGGTTATATTTTTCTGCTTCTTTGCATGCCTTGTACTTGTGGAATTACACATTCTAAATTTTAAGTGTCTTTTGTTGTTGTTGCTGGATAATCTTGATTAGTTCTCTTTTGGTTAATATTCTTAAGTTTTGTTCTGGGACACAATTGATTTACTTTGAAACAGTTTAATTTTTAATAGGTGGAATGGGCCAGGAAGTTTAAATAAAGAGGGAGAGAAGATATTTTATCCAGATGGCATAAGCCTTAAAAGAGAAACCTATATGTAAACAAAAGTGAAGAATAACTGTGTATTACTGGTCTTTGAGTATTACTGAAATAATGACTCCATTTTCCAAATGTAAGTATATAGGTCTTGGAAGAATACAGTAGAACCTATCTGAACACAATCTAGTGAAAGCAGCCACCTATAGGACCAAGTTTCATTCAAGGCAAATAAATGGAGGGAAAATTTGAAGAGACTGATATTTTTAAAGGGCCATTAAGTATGAATATAATGTAAATAAGTAAGATGAATAAACATTGAAAATGAAAAAGAATAACAACGGAAATAAAAATCAAATTACATATTCTTTAGCTTTTACAAAGTATTAAAAACGAAATTTTTCTGTTTGTATATTCATTTTATCAATTTTTAAATGATTTTAAATATTTTATAAGGTCATCTTTTGATATATTTAGGATGTAAACATGCATATTACTTATTTTTAAATTTTACCACATTATACAAGCAATTGTTCACATATACCAAATATTAATATTTAATGACTTATTTTGAAAACAGAATCAAGCATTATACATACCATGTATACTTTGAAATCCTTGGATATTCTCAAGAGATTTTGGGCTAAGGTAGTTTAGCTAAGAAAGAAAACATTAAACGGAAAACATTGCATCTGGTGTATTATACTTGCATCAACCAGTTTCCAATGAAGCACATATATTACATATTTGGGGAGCTGTGGTAAAGTAACAAGACAATAAATAAATGAAGCATCTGAGATGAACTCCTAAAAAGATAAAAGGACTATTAAAAAATAGTTCTGTTTTAAGTGAATGAATGATTAAATATGTCAGAATTTAATCATTAATTAATGATTAAATTTGTCAGAAGTGCTATTAACACAGATCCTTTTAACTTTGTTTCTCAATAAAGAATTTCCCTAGGAGAATGCCCTACAAGGCCCCCGATAGCAACTTTGCCCACAGTGTTCTAATTAACTATACCAGAGGGTCTGCTTCGCTGTCTAGTTAATGCTTTCTATCTGGTCCTTTGCTGGCCATCATGTATCATTGTTCAGCGAATGACAGCAGTCAGGTTATTAAAGGTGTAGATATTAAATTAACAACAGTGGTAAACATTGTAGCCATACTTCACATCTCAGCAGAACCAATGAAGTGGATGACACTGAATCCATGCTGATATGCTGCAATGACAGATGGGCGTCATTTAACACAATACATCAGTGGGCAACCCACGTACCACAGCTGTCCTCCACTAAATGAATTAGATCAGGGTAATTAATCTAAGGCAGAAAGACTTACTAAAGTGAGTCCTAAGCAGAATTAGAGAAGAATGAAATCTCTTGCTAAAAAATTGAAAAGGATTTATGCGTTAACAGTTTTAGTTCTGATAACAAATGTTCTAGAAGGTATTTTGTTTCTTAAAATACATATAAATCTTCCCTTTTGTTGAGAAACAAACTCACCATCTGGGGCTAAAATAGGTGGTGCCTGTTCCTTTATTCCTGTACTAAAAATAGATGCTGCCAAGAAATGAAACTCATCCTGGGATATTTGGATCAGTCCTTTAAGCTAAAACAAAGCTCATTATCTGTTATCAGATATGCTTGCTCCAGATACAAGTATCCCAACACTAATTGTTACATAGATAATAATTCAGATGTCAAATTCTCATTTTAGATAGGTTTTATACAGAGATGGATGGATAGATAGAGAGAGGGGGATAGGTAGATAAATAGATAGATAATTTTTTTCTACCTGATTTCAGACCAAAGTATCTGGGTTTACAAGGTTGGCCTTGCCATAAACAAAGCATGCATTCTTAACAATTTGGAAAATTTTTCTTAAATATCTTGTTTTAAGAATATACTCATGGAATATTTTAAAAATATATTTAGTAATTTGTCATTCCTTTTGCTCATTTTCATAATTAACATGTAAGACCAAGATACTTATAATACAAACTATTTGTTTCTAAAATGGCTATTTTAAGTCTTTTTATGATCTTAAAGTACTGATTTATGGTGTATATCTTTAAAAAAGGAAATGCTCTGGATGTTATATTTAAAAATTGCCAATAAATCAAAGCCATGATTTGAACAAGTCAGAAACTATATTTAAAATAATCAAGGAAATAAATGTTTCTAACGTTTAGCATTAAAACAGTATGTGCCTAATTGTACTTATCTTTTTTAATGTTAAAAATCACAAAGCTGAGACATAATTTTCTAATTCATGAATATCTTATGAATGTAATTTCTAATGTTTCACTATACAAAGTTCTGATACCTTTCTATGAAACATATTTATTACGATGGTAGCAACTGATCAAACAGCATGTCATCTGCTCAATTGTTACAGTTCCCCTCTAGTTTTTGCTTTCTTTATATCCTCCTTTCCAGGGGCTCTTTTCTTCTGCCTATCATGCCCAGATGGAAAAACCTGCTGCTAATTACTGCCATTGAAATTTTTAACACAGCAGGAGATATCCAAACACCAATCGTTCTTTTTTAAAAGAATTTGCTAGCTTCTTGTTAAGTTAGCAACTCTTAGTTGGAGGTCTATACCAGTCACATCAAAAGTATTGTATGTTTATTGTAGAAGCATAGCAAGTTGCAGCTGGCAGAAGCTACCACATGCATGGTATTTGATTTTTAAACTTCATTATCTTGATCGTCTGTGATTAGAGTAAATTGTGGACTAACTGCTGGTCACATTTAAGTATTAAAATTGAAAACATAAAAGAACAGAAAAACATAAACACACCTCAATATGCAAGGATATTCACCTCTCTACTTAGATTCCTAAAATTAAAAAAAGTCTAAGTATGTCAAATTGCATAACTATTATAATCAAATTTCTATCTATTTTAAATAAACAATTAAATTAAAAAGAACTAAGATATTTAATTTACCTCCATTGAATGAGAATTGTTAGCTGTAAATTCAGCTTGCAGTGGCCTCTCTATCTTAACCAAATAATACATCTGTATTATTTCCAGAATATCAATAAAGCTAAAATCACCGAGTTTATTTCTTTTCTACTGTGGACAACTGGGCCACGATATTATGAGTTCTTAATTTTGAATGGCCACTGAGCAGGAATAATTCAAAGACAAATTTCAGCTGTTGCTAGAGATAGTTTCATTATTTTCAGAAGCTCTTTATCCATAACATTCTCTAGTGTCTTCATATAGTTTAAGTTTTACCCTCTGATTTATGAGCAACAATAAAATACTGCTATAAACTAATTTTATTGCTATAACCTGTGATATGACAATATGGAGCGACAGCAGTATCATCCTGTCCTTCACATACAAAGCTGACATTACTGAGTCACCAATATTATGGTGTATTTTTAAGTCACATTCACATATTCATATCCTGACCTTTTTGTTTAAGAGCTTGTCTACTTTTTACTTTGAGAAAATTATTTTAATTATCTGAATATGTGCTTTTTCTTTAAAATTGGAAGAATAACCTTGCATTGTTTTGAGGTTCAAATGAAAGGAAGAAAACATATTTCTATAGTTTAATGCTTTAATTTTTTTTTTTTTTTTTTTTTTTTTTTTTTTTTTTTTTTTTTTTTTTTTTGTGACGGAGTGGAGTCTCCCTCGATCGCCCAGGCTGGAGTGCAGTGGCGCAATCTTGTCTCACTGCAAGCTCCGCCTCCCGGGTTCACGTCATTCTCCTGCCTCAGCCTCCCAAGTAGCTGGGACTACAGGCCACCACGCCTGGCTAATATTTTGTATTTTTAGTAGAGACAGAGTTTCACTGTGTTAGCCAGGATGGTCTTGATCTCCTGACCTTGTGATCCGCCCACCTCGGCCTCCCAAAGTGCTGGGATTACAGGCGTGAGCCACCATGCCCAGACGCTTTAATTGTTTGTAACAGAAGACACACAAATATTTTCTACTGCTCAAAGTACGAGGAGTGGTGCAACATATTTATTAATTAGTTTTGGCATGATAAAACACACACGGATTTACCAGAAGACAAGGATTTCTTTGAGCAAACCTGCTTTCCTTGGTGACCAAAATTGTAGACTTCTTCAAAGATGGTCTTGCCAACTGAATAAATCAAACTTGTCCCTATACTAACTAAAACCAAAATTAAATCCTTTTGAAAGTGATTGTTATATATCATGGCACAATTTCAAGGACCATTGATTGGATTTCAGATTGAAATGATTTAGACACGTTTTTTCTTTATGGATAACAGCCATTAAAATGGTACTTAAGCATAAAAGTTGAAGAATGGAATCTCATTATGATGATTTTCAATATGAAATAATTCATGATTTAGCAGGTAAATCTTGAACTTCGAATTATTAAAATATAAAAAGGACTATTTGGGGGCTTTAATTATTTTTTAATTGACAAATAGCATGTATTTATCCTGCATACAACAGATGTTTTGAAATACATATACACATTATGGAATGACTAAATTTAGCTAATTAACAAATGCATGATCTCATAGAGTTATCATTTTTGTGGTGAGAACACTTAACATCCACTCTGTTAGAATTTTTCAAGGAAACAACACAATGTAATTACTGGTCCCTCCTTCAGTTCAGTAGGAACTTACTAAACAAGAATGAGGTGCTAGTTGCAGGTATTTGATGTTTGCACGTACTCGAAATTATCACTTTTTGAGGCCACAGGTGATACAGATATTGTAAAGAGGTAAACAAACTTAGAGGTGTTATTTAGAGGTAAACAAACTTAGACTTGCATACTGCCCATATGATCGTGGGCAAGATACTTAGGTGTATTTGGTCTAGTTTCCTCATGCAGGAAATGGAAGTGATACCAAAGTTGCAAGACCACTGTCAAGATTAAATGGCAACATAATCAATGTAACACAGGCAGCAGGATGCCTGACACATAACAGAGGCTCAATAGTTGTTATTATTACCTTTAAACACAAAACCAAAACAAGGGTAAAGTTACTAAGGAGGAAAAGCTTTTGGATTTCTTTGTGCCTACGTTATCAATGATTCACTTCATAATTCACATACCTACACTTCAAAAAGGCAGAGAGAACCAGTCTCTGGGAACTGTCTTATTATACAATGTGGGGAGAGATTCTTTGTAGGAAGTCACTGAAGCTTCTAGACTAAATGAATGATGTCATCATTAACTAAGATAAGGAATTGTAACTAAGGACTAATCTGCTTAGGCTGAGCAAACTTAACATGCCTTGCTTGCTTTTAGTCCCTGGCTTCTAGTTAATCTTAAAACCCACATCAGCTAAGTCACATAGCTAACCCTTATGTTTTGTTGACTTTATAGAGTCAATAAAAAGCCCCTTGAAAAGACTGGCCTCGTAACTACCATGGTTCTCTGACAAGGTTTCTGTCCTTGGTGTAAGCAAAAAAATGTCACTTTCTGACAGGCCCAGGAACCTAAAGATGTTTTAGGGCCACGAGAAGAAAGAAACACCAATTTATATAGGAATTACAGGCACAGTCTATTAGCAAATCTTTGGCTTGGTTAGCCCTAAGCCTTTTACATGTCTAGTTAGAGGTTCCTTCTGAAAAGGTTCCAACAAAGCTAATTTTAAGAGAGTCTGTATGGCCAATCATTATCCTTATTGCACTTCATGCAAATAATCAGTTCAAGTCTAATAAGACTAAAACTTATTTTACAAGTAAATTGGTCCTACTATGATATGTCTTTGACAGGTATGGGAGTCTGGAGAGAGAAAAATTATGTTTTAGAAGAAAACTATAGTACACCTGTTATTAGAGTCTAGCCTTGTGACTTCTTTTGAGTTTTTATTATTTGCCTACAACTTGGACTGAATCCTAAACTTTTTCCTGAATACAAATCTCCAAACTAATGTTTCTCAATTTTTCTTCGATTTTCTGACTTGCATTCAATAAATTGATACTATCTTGTTCCTGAGGTGCTGCAAGCTGAAGCTCATATGCAAAAGATTAGATGCAAAAGATTATTAGATTGCCAGTGACTACTTTAACTAAAAATGTTTAGAATCTAACATCTAGACACCTCAAGTAACTGCCCTTCAGACTCTAAAGAAACTGGTTTAAAATCAACTTCATACTCACCGGACAGGAGTCTATGAGATGCTGCTGGTGACTCATTCCTCATTCAAAGTGAAAAGAGTAAAACTATGGATCTACCATTCTTGGACAAAGTGGGCTCCTCAAGAGTTGTCTGACTTTATGACTCTACAACAAGAAATGGGGACCACAGCATAGAAGAACATCACAATCCTGGTCATTGTCTTACTCGCTTTTACTTACTTCCTTCTAGTTGACCTTGGAGTCCATATAGTTAGAAGTTACATAGCTAAGCCTAGAGGTAACATTTCTGACTTATGGGTCACCATAGTAATAATTGCTTCAGTTATTTTTCAAGAACTTCAGAGTCAGTTTTTGTTCAAGCCTGCTGAGCCCACTAATTCTTCAACTGGGCCTATATAAATGTCCAGTGGTGGACTGTTAATGTCAGAAGGCGAAAAATTTCACTGTCAGATCATGCAAATAATGCCAGTTTGTGAACATGCATCCTACGAAGAACCTTAAAACTTGACTCTGTTTGCATAGAACACCAATTGCCTCACTTTTCCTTATCCCCAAAACCTTTCCTTACGCCTCAGAAAACCTTACTCTTCTGTATTATAAATATCACTAGAACCCCATCTTTGAGGAGGCAGGTTTGAGACCTGTTCTCCTGCCTCCTTGTTTGACTGCCACATGAATAAACTCTTTATTGCAAAACTTGTCATCTCAGTGATTGGCATACAACATGTTGGGCAGAATGGGTCCAGTTCGGTATCAGAATGTCAGAAAAAAAAAATCTTGTTTGGAGGGGTACAGAGGAGCCCAGTTTTAGTAATGCAAAATATAGGACATTTAGATAGAAATATTCAACAGTCATTTGTGAATGAAGCTAGGGGATATTAGAATATGTGGAAGCTTATGGCTTAGAAATAGATAAAATCATTCAGAAAAGTAACCTATAGAACAAAGAGAAATAAAGACCAAATCAGAAATTTGGAGTATTTGATTATAAAAGGTGAAAATAATGTGTGTGTGTGTGTGTGTGTGTTTTGATGAGAAGGATGACTAAAACATAATCATGAAGAGGAAGAGGAACTGGTCTCCTGGGACTGAGGAAGTAAGCAGAATTGATAAGACAAGTATAACATTTAAGTTAGAGAAGAAAATCTCAGAATTTCTACCTAGGGTATTAAGAGACAACCGCATCTAAGAAGCTGAGGAATTGTTATTGAGATTAAGGGACTAAAAAGGGAAAAGAAACGGAGCAGGAGATTACACTAACCAGGTTACACACTGAAGGCTCTCCACTGGGAGACAGGGTGAAGTGAGTTGGGGTTGAATGTAATAGATTTAATTCATTGAAGGAAATAAGACAATGTGCTGTATCTTTTCTAACAATTTTAATGGGAAAATGGAAGTTATAAAAACAAAAAGATGTGATCTATCAAAACTGAGGTATGTGTCACTCCCATGATTTGTCACTCAATTTGGTCCTGAATGAAAAGAGAATCACTTAACTTGTTGGTTTATGACATACCCACGAGATTTGTGAAGGAAAATTTGATTTTTAAGGTATAAATCATTTTAAATCTGTCAGAATATAATCTTTAATTACTACTAAAATCTTCACTTTAATCACACTAAATTATCATCCCTGCAATTTTGATAAAAGAAAAAATTATAAATATAACAAATTATTATTAAACTAATGTATGAGAGAATTAAAAGCACCATTTAGTTAAGTACTTTAATTACTTGGGTTTTGCAACATAATCATTTTTGCTTATGTGTTTACTTGGTCTTGTTGAGAAGGAGGAATAGGATTATGAAAGGCAGATGTTTGGTTAAGGCAGAATTGATGACTTAGTGTCCATCCTCTCCTTCTGCACACATCGCATCTCTCACAACAATGCATTTCTGAATCAACAACAATTTTCTGGTGATAATTGACTGAAAGGAATGAGCTATTGGTTCTGAAATCAGTGGCACATGGATTTACCTCTAGTCCTGAAAATATTATTTATTCTTATGTACAATGTATTACCCTTCCTTTATCCAAATTTTAATAATCATTCTTTATGTAGTTATGATTCACATTTAAATTTCACCTTTACAGGAACTGTGTACTGTGCTCCTAGGTACGAAAATGTAAGGTTTTAGGAATGCTTACCAAATTGAAATAAAATTTCTAATATTGATAGTCTCCAACTTACCAAGTTTTGACTTAAAATTTTTTGACTTTATGATGGTGTGAAAGTGATATGCATTCAGTAAAAACGGTATTTCAAATTTTGAATTTTGATCATTTTCAAGGCTAGCAATAAGCAGTTTCATACTCTCTCGTGATGCTGAGCAGTGCCAGTGAAAGGCAGCTCCCAGTCAGCCACACAATCAAGAAGGTAAACAGCCAATACTCTACAATAAAGGGTACTGTATTGCCAGATGATTTTGCCAAATGGTAGGCTAATGTAAGTGTTTGAGCATGTTTAAGGTGGGCTAGGTTAAGCTATGATGTTCCTGTGGTGTTATGTGTATTAAATGAATTTTTGACTTAAAATATTTTCAATTTACAATAGGTTTATTGGGATGTAATCTCACTGTAAGATAAGGAGCATCTCTATATATACTGGAAAAAGTCCTCAGGATATGTTTTTAGGTTTCTAGAAATGAATATTCTTATTGAAGAATAAAATAACTGTAATTTGGGGATGCATTTACTTGAATGGTATGTTTTACAATCTACTGTTTGTATGTGTATTACCATTTTAGTTCAGAAGCAGGTCAGTGATAAGTTAAAACAACTTTCTCTTTTCAAACTTGCCCTTTTTAAGAATATGAAATAAAGAAAATAGAAAAATCATTTGAGTTTAATGGCTAAGAGGAGGCAGACTTTCATGTTCCTTGAATATATACAAGGATTCTTTAATATCAGTTAATGTAAGAAAGGCCTACATAATGCAAAGTAAAAGACAATCTTTATAATAAATGTACATATATACATATGTAAGTGTATACATAGACACATGTATATACACATACGTGCATATATATGTATGCCTGTGTGTATATGTGTGTGTATTCCTTGTAGAAGCAAGAAGATATCTAAAGGAGTGTGTATTTTCTTACATTATGAAAGTAGCTGATGCGATGATCCAACTTGCTCCGCCTTTCTCTGACGAGAACACAGACTATGAGAGATCAGGATAAGCTTCCTAAATAAATATATGTAGCTCATCAATGAAAGTGCTGTAGTGCATGCTCAATCTACGCAACAGTTTCTGGCATCACCAGTCTTGCACAGTAATGGAGGGTAAGCCTAGAGAAGTAGGCGTAAGGTTGACTTCTCAACAAAGCTTATGGAAACTTGTGCAATATTATAGCTGTGAGAGCTATAGCAGTTGTTACTAGATTTCAGCAAAACTAATGTTTAACATTTAGAACATTTCAATCACCATTATTCACTGATTCAATGAATGTGTTTTTAACTCTAGCTAAACTAGTAGATATTAATAAGTATATGTCTATTATGTGATATAAACGCTTGGATGTCCAAAAGGCCTTAATTTACATCTCATCCTAATTGATTGCCAGCTCTGTTATCTTACCACGTAATTTTGCCGTGTTTTCCCTAAGTTCTCTGATTGTCAAATGTGTTTGGTTTATGTAATGCTACTAACATAAATCCTAGCACATAGTAGGCTCTCTATAAAAGTTAACTGGTATGTGTCTCTACCCTTTCCTTAAGTGACAGTAAAGATGCGAATTACCCTTCTTTAATCCTAAAAATTGCAGTTTCAAATAGAAATTGAGCTTAGAATATTATTGATGATGATAATGGTATCTATGGTTATTAGAAATGTGGAGCATATAAACCTTAAAGAATGTATAGGCAATTCCAATTTTCTATTTTTAACTATTATACTAAAAATTAGTCCCACTAGAAACCACTCTGTTAACCTCTGACCTATCTCATTCTGATTATTCTTTTGATTGGACCTCTTCATAATAGGTATAATCTGATTCCTTATTGCTGTTTTACGGCAAATGACTTAGATAAACCTTACTAAAACTTTTTTGGTCAAAGGGTATTATGCCTCCATTCAGATATAATGGCAGAGAATGTGTCTTCTAGGTCTTTTGCAGCTCTAACTAGGAAAATCCTGTAGAAGTATTTAAATATGTCTGACATACCCTTTTATAAGCATCTCTTAATGGAAAACTTAGTTCTGACAGCTTTGTTATTGAATACTTGTTGGTGAAAATTAAATAAGAATGTATTGGGTACCTTGCGCATGCTTGAAAATCTGCTAAATTCTTAAAC
The DNA here is from genome assembly GCF_000001405.40 of Homo sapiens. Lineage (NCBI taxonomy): Eukaryota > Metazoa > Chordata > Mammalia > Primates > Hominidae > Homo > Homo sapiens. Next base: position 9,210,010 of record NC_000007.14, read on the forward strand.
TTGAGTGTCTCTCAGTCTACAATTATTTTATTTTTAATTTCCAAAATGTTAACTTATTTACTACCTTAGCATAATTAAGGTAGAGAAGCAATGCTTACAGAGTGTATACTGTGCCTAAAGATTTTCACTCCCTGAAAGAGAACATTGATAGAAAATTAGTGCACCTGGGGAATCGCACACACACAAAGATCTATAATGTAAGTATTTAATTCTTTTCTTCTAAGGTATCCTAAAAGCACTATATTTTTACAGAGAGATTAACTTGTTTGAAGACAGGAGCTATTAATCTTCCCCATAACAGGCTGCTGAATCATTCTCATTCATTCTGTCAATGTCATTTTACAACTAAGTTTCAGACAATTTTTGCAAGAATAAAACGTATAAGCATTTGAAAATGCTGATATTCTCAGCTGAGTGTTCCTAATTATGTCTTTAGTTTATATCTGCTTAAGGTTTTTATGTTGAAATAATCCCCTCTTCAGTTTCTTCCTTTTTCGGTATATCATACTTGGCTGGTGCTAGAATGATGACATTCTTTGGCTGTTGTCTCTACTTACCCTCTATAATGGGATGTTTCAATGGGATATGTTGAAATTAGTGATGAAAAAGATGGACAAAATTATCTCTCTTTAATCACTGTTTTAAATTACAAGCAGTTGCTTTAAGAGATAAAAAATTCCTTTGAAACACAAAGCAAAGATTCCTTTTGAATAAGCAAAGGGATACCATTATTTTACCAAGCTCCATAGACAAGATGTTTCCTCATAAATATTCTTCATAATGGTTCCCAAATGTATTTCTCATTTCTATCTTTTTGGCTGTGCAGAATTTTCTATATTTTATGATTTTTAATGAACAAAGTCATTTTTCCATTTGGAATGTTAAATTCATAATTTCACAAATTGAGGAATAATTAATCACATTGAAAATAAAATGAGAATCCACTATGGGCTTGTACTAAATTGTAGGTTGTTGTGACAACTTTACTTGTTTAAATAAATTTTTATTTTAAAATAGATTTACAGCTAAATGAAGATAATAAAGAGAATTCTAATATATCCATCACCCAAATTTTTCTATTATTAACATCTTACATTTCTATATTAGATTTATCACAAATAATGAACCACTTTGAGATATTGTTATTAGCTAAAGTATAGACTTTATTCATTTGTCTCTAGTTTTGACCTAATATCCTTTATCTGTTCCAGAATCCCGTTCAGGTTCTCATGTCACATTGAGTTGTCATGTCTCCTTAGGCTCTTCTAGACAGCAGCTTTTTCTTGGACTTCCTTTGTTTTGATGACTTAGACGGTGCTGAGGAAAACTGATTAGATACTCCATAGGATGTCCTTCAACTGAGATTATTCTGATGTTTTTCTCATGGGTAAATAGGACTTATTAGTGTTTGGGAAAAAAATCTGTGGGGGTACACTCCCATTACTCTCAAAATGACTTATCCCTGTTGATGTGAATCTTAATCACCTGGCTGGGTAGTGTTTGTCAAGTTTTTCCACTGGAAAATTACTCTTTTACTTTTTCTCCATACCACAATGTTTGGAACAAGATCAGTATGTTCAGCAGACATTTATGGAGTGGGGAATTATGCTCTACTTCCTTGAGGGTGTAGTATCTACAAAAATTATTTATTTGTTTTTGTTCAGAAATTTGTCTATTCTTTCACAATTTATTTGTTTCCTCAAGCATTTATTTACATCAGTATAGACTTGTGAATATTTATTTTATAGTTTAGGTTATAAACCAATACCACTTATTATTATTATTATTTGCTAAAATTATTCCAACTTTTAACCATCGGGAGTTCTTTCAGTTGACTCCCATGTCTCTGACATATCCCAATCTTTGTGTTTTTCCTGAGTATTTCCTCACTTTATAATAATATGAAATGCTTCAGACTCTTATATATTCTCTGTTCTAATCTTATAATCAGCCATTTCTTCAAGGAGACCTTATTTTTGTTATTTGAGAATGGTATTAGAAATCAACTTCAGGGTGCTAGATGTGCCTATTGCTATTGGGGTGTCATTGCTTCTAGGCCTCTGACAGAGAAAGAACATACATGAGTGTATTTAACTAGTGTATATATCCATAGCTACAAATATTATATATATGTGTATACACACATATATACTGTATCTGCAAGTACATATATATATACACAGTATATATACTGTATATATACTGTATCTCCAACAGTATTCCATTACCATATACGTCATCCTGGCTTTCACTCCTTGCTTGCTTGTAACCTCCCATTCCAATAATGCATAACTTGACTTCCCCCACTCCTTGTTCAAATTCAGTATACATGTATATTTCTTTTGGAATTTTTAACCATAACTCAACGGACAATGACTTCATAAATTATAACACAGACCAAATTTTCCATGAGGAAAAACTTTTTCATTGTTACATTGTCAATGTATAATTTATTCCCTGGAACATTAAAAGTACTCAAAGAATAATTGAGAATGAATAAAGCAAGTCATGCTTATAATTTAGACTAGAATCACAGCTGTAAGAATGTAAAATTGGGGAATTTATATCTATTGTGGAGCAAATCAGAAGGTTTTAAATATATTCTATATAGCACTAATAAAATAAATGACATGGATGACTTTCAAAAGAAGTATTTTGGCATTAGAAGGATGACGATGCCACTAAGAAATTCCTTCATAATTTTATGGAATGTTTTATAATTAATATCACTATAATCATGCAATTAATAATTATAACTGATAATCATGTTACTGTGATATTTTAGTTTATGTTTAGAGTTATAAGGTTAGCACAGAAAGCTGTATATTACCTTACAGGAATTTTTTCTGCCCTACAAGGTAACATTATTCTGTATCACAACTTATTTTGTTTGATCTGTGAGATGGGTAGAGTAAGCATAATATTCTCACTTTAAGGGTGAGAATATTGATAAGCAGTGAGATAAGCTTGCTTCTGTAATTGAGATACATTGCAAATTCTCAACTATGAAAGAATGCAAATAAAATTTGAAAAAATAAAACTTGATTTTACTAGATAGCTAGTAGGTAAATTAAATGATCCTAAGTGTTTTTATAATGGATATTCATACATTTTTGCTACTAGCTTTTGTTCCATTAAGTATGTTAATTTTAAATAATAATTTTGCTATTTCAATAAAAATAATGACCTCATTGAACTTAAAAGAACAAGTAAAAACAGAATAAGCGATATTTCATAAATTTCAAAGAATTTTTCCTATGGATTTGTTTGTTTTAGTAGACACATATGATTGATAAGTCATTCTCTAATGGAAATGTTCTGATAAGAAAATTTAGCTAAATGTCTTGAGATTTTCTTTCCAGATATTCACAAATGGAAATGTAGACATTACCTATGTAAAAAGCATTACTATCTTCATTATTTCTAAATAACACCAAATTACATGCAAATATGACTTAAATTTAATAGATTTAAGTACTTTGTTATTTAAGGATCTAGAGTCACAGATGTATATTTTAGTGAGTATATATGTGTTGAAATTATGTCTAAAATTATTTTACTACAAATATTAGATATTTAAAACCACAGTACTCTATACCTACTCAATATTCGTTAAGTGTTTACTATGCCAAGGTGGTTTCCTAAAGCAAGGAAGAGAGCCACTGAGGAACTATATACCAAGTATTATAACATAAGGTGAGACTTTGGTGATCATTACATTCTTCTTCTTAAGTATAATTGCTATGAACTATTATTTTAATTGTGACAGTAAGTGCAGTATACTCAAAGACTCAAAGGAACTGGACCCTAGTAACAAACCAACTTCCACTGCTTAGTAGCTCTGTGATCTTGAACAAAGTGCTTCACATCTCTGAGCTTGTATTCTTATTCAATAAAATATGATAATTCTATAGGGCTTACAGGCTTTTAAAAAATTTTAATGAGTGTGTGAATAGACTTAAAAGGCTAAATCCATATTTGACTAGGGAGATATTCCATCAATGTATCAGTGTATCAAGTTGTTAGTTACTATAGTTACTTGATAGTCAATAGTTTATTTTTACCCTATTTAATACTGGATAGATAGGTAGATAGATAGATATAGCATACATTTTATAAAACACAGACTAAATACCACATATGAATCTCTTTTCTATTTAAGAACAAACAGTGCCTACATATGTGCATCTCATTATATTTTATCTGTAGCTAAGATATAATCACAATCCTGAAATTTGTGTTTCCATTCCCTTACTTTCTCTGTATTGCTTTGTTCTCTCCAGTTTTTTGTAGTGTGGGGTGGAGGACGTCCTATAATCTTCCAAATATATCTCAGGTTTTAGTGGGACTGTGACCATCATAAGTATTTCTCCTTGCATAGCTTTTTTTTTTTTTTTTTTTACCCTCAGGTGAGACAGAAGGGTTATAGGGGGCTTTGGTGAAAGTAACACCTTTATCCACACCCCAAGGAAAGTGTCTGATAAAGTATTTCTACTGAAGAGTAGGTCTTTGTTATGGAAGAAGCTCTGGGTATATTTCACAATGATTACTTTTTCTCTCTCCCTGTCAGAAACATTATGGAATCTTTCATGGCTCTTCACTGTAAGAACCTGCTGGGATTACTGAAGAAGTAAAAACATGAAGATTTGAGCTTTCCTCTATGACTGGGGTCTTTGGGCTTTTCTCTCAATTTACTCAGCCTCTAGCAATTTGTCAAAAGTACAATTGGAATATTCTTTCCAGTTTATGATGTCAGCAGCTTCTGGTTAGATAAGCAGGTCTTGGCTGTGACCTACTGGATTTGCTTTATTCTTCAGTTTTTAGAACGGTCGCTTGTACCCAAGCCCAGTCTTCTGATTGTTCTACCAAAAGTCACTGCTGTTCAGGTTTTCAGCTTTTTCTTGTGATAACAGGAGCAATGACTTCCATTTCCTTTATATGGCAGAGCTGAAAGGGGAAGTTAATATCTTCACCTTTGAAAAATTGTTTCATTGGATACCCAGTTTTACCTTAATATATGTTTTTATCTCATCTTTTGGAAGATATAATTATATTTTATTTTTCTACTATTGTGGTTGAGATCTGTTGTTAGTGTATTTGCAGCCCCTTTTTGGTTATCTGTCCTTTCTTCCTAGCAGTTTATATGATCTCATTTTGTCTTGGACATTTCTCAATTTCAGCACAATGTGTCTAGACATGGATTTGTTTTTTTGCTTTGGACACACTGGGCTTCCTAAAGCCTGTATATTCGTGATTGTCCATACATTTAGAAGTGTCAGAATCATTATTTCTTCAAACATTGCCTTGTCACTTTTCTCTTCTTCTGGAAATGTGATGAGATACGTATTACCCATTTTTTTTAATCCTCCATATTTCTTGTTTTTCACACTTTTTAAGTTGTTATATTTCTGCACTAAAAAAATTTTTTATTTTTATTTTCCAGTTGACAAATTCTCTGCTTAGTTGAACCTAAATCTGAATTTAAAACAATATATTGAGCTTTGATTTCAACAATTACATCCTTTATTTTTGTAACTCTTATTTTTTGCATATTTGTCTGTTTATTCTTGTCCATCCAGACTTCATTATAATTAGCTCTTTTGTTTCTCTAAAAATACGTTACATAGGCTTGATATTCTGAATCTTGCCATTCTTATATTTTCTGTCTTTGGTGACATAAATCTTCCTTTATTTTTCATTTGTCTCTAATAATTGTCTTTATGGTAAAATGTCTTCCTGTATCTTTTGTGGCATTTGATTTAAAATAATTATTTTAATCGCTATGTGTTTTGGAGGCCCAAACTGTGGAATCTTTCCTTTACTTAAAAACTAGGTTTGCTCCTAAAGATAGCTGGGAAATGCTGCTTATCAAGGTTATTTTATTAACTCTCAAGAGACCAGCCTTAGGGTAGGAACTCTAGACCCTTCTGATTTGCTGTTAAATCGATGATCAATATACATGACAGGGGTGATGCTATTTGCATATTTCCACAGAGTAAACTTCCCTTCTTGGCTACCTCTTGGTTTCCAGCTCTGACTAAAATAATCTTTTAGTGGCTGCGGATGGATCTATCCACAAGCATGTGTCATCCTGGGTTCTAATTATTCCATAGTAGGAGAAATAGTAAAATCTTAGTCTACAATATTGATAGAAGCAGAAGTTGTAATTTCCTAACACTTGGTATAAATTAGTTTGAACTATGATTTAGACTTATGTCTGAATTGAAGTCTTTCTATTAGAATACAAGACCTTCTCAATCAGGACAACTTATACACCTATTTACATACCTATTCCTTACTGGTTCCATATATAGTGGAATTGCATAACTTGTTGATAATTATTCTCAGGTGTTAATTATTCTTATTGTTTCTAGCTATGTCAGAAATGATGGACTCAGAGATTTCCTCTGCCAGGCCTTAAAGATTTTCTTTGACATTAAAGGCACTGTATAATTACCTCTCAGATTTCGCACTCTGTAGTTCTTTTAGTGTCTAGGTATTAACATGATGAAATTGTTGATCACTACACACTCATCTCAAGGATATTTTTCTTCTATAAGATAAAGAGCACTATGCAAGACTAGGTAAAGAGATAATAAAAAAAGAACTCAAAAGTAGACCATGTAATATGCTTGCCAGATAAAAAATATAGGATAAAGAGAATTTCAGAATTTTCTGGATTATATTAGTCTAATATGTTGTGAACTTTCATAATTTACCTTAACATCCTTTTACTTTTTCAAATAAAATTCAATTTTTAAAAGGTATTTTCATGACAGTATGCATTAAGCATAAGCATATACAGGCTTTGTGAAATTAAATATTGATTTTCTAAAAAATTATATTTTACTCAGATTTGTAATTCAGAAAAACGAATATGTTCAGTATTTGAACATATAGTAGAAAACCCAACAAGTTATATATAATAAGTTGTCTTTTCTAACTTGTGCCTTATTTGTATTCCTTGCTTGATATCTGCTGAAAAGCTCTTGTACCTGTCCTACAGCATAAACATCTAATTTTAACATGGATTAATGTTTCAAATCTACAATTCATTAGGTACTCTAATTTCAGGAATAGTTCTTTATACCATGAAGTACTATTATAGGCAACATATGAAAGGGCAAGCTGCATGAATGGTAGTTTTTTAGGCAAAATAGGAGGTTTTTTTTCCCCCTGAGAATTGGATAAACCAGTTGAAGAAAGTTTAAGAAAAAAAAAAAAAAGAGCTTGATTTTTTAGAAATTTTATTGGCCTAATAAATCAAAACCCCTTAGGGAAGAAATTATCTCTATTCTCTTTTTCTCTTTCTTGTCCCCCTTTTTGGATGTCTTCCCAGTGCCATAGTGCAAACAGAGTAGGCACTAAATAAATATTTGTTTGTATAGTGAATTTAAAATGTGGGTGTTTAAGACTGAGATGGATTGTAGCTACTGTTACCTTCTCTAGAGAGGTTGAATAACTCACACTAGTTGAAAAATAAACTCCTTTTTAATTAGTAACACTAGTAGAAGGTTTAAAATTCTATTGAAGGTGTGAGTATGTGTGCGTGTGTGTTGTGTTGGATGCAGCAGAATATGTATGCCCTTACATTGCCAAATAATATTCACAAGTCTTTTATCACACACAAACCCACAGACCCATACGCCCTTATAGCCTTAAGTGTGCAGTTTGGTTGAAAGATCTAAATCACTCTTTATTCTAATATAATGAGACTATTAATTCAAATTTTGAGGAAATGTCACAGGGAAATACTTAAATAATAGAGGATCAAGAGAATATGATGTAGGAAATGGACAGAGAAGGTTTATGGGAAGTTGAAAATTATGCAGATAGTTGAAAAACAAATAATGTTCATGGGAGGGTGAAAAAAAGGCTTTAGAACAAAAAATGTCTGATGTTTATTTTCAGAAATTCTATAATACACAATCTCACTATTCACCCAAACTTGCAAACACTTGAATATCTTAAGTGAATGGTTTTGAGGGAAAAAAAATGACTGAGTTCAATATCTAGATAGTTGTGGAGTAAAAAAGATGAGTATAGCCTTAGAATATGGGGGGCAGGGGTGAGGGTAAGGATGCTAAGGACCCAGCAAATGCAAACAGCTATAATTGGAAGGGATCTAATGTTAGAAAATGTGAGAAGTTCATTGGAATTTGAGGAGTTTATTTATGCCCTATATTGTGCAAGATTGAGTATATTGAATTAAATCTCAAAGATCATTCTGAGTCCCAAAGAAAGGTGAGTTAAAATGCAAACTTAATTAAATGCATACTTACACATTCTTGACAATGTGGAGGATTCAAAATAGAAGATTCCTGCTTTTCGGGAGCTTCAGATTTATATTAGAGGGACACGCAAAATCCACAGTTGTTCTGAAGATCAAATAAACAGAACCTGGATTTAGTCCCTAAAATGTGAAAGCACTATAAGGAAATTTTGCTACATAGATACTCTTTGACTTATGATGACGGGATATCTCAATAAACCCATCATAAGTTGAAAATATAATAAATGAAAAATGCATTTACTACCAAATAAACTCATTGCAAAGTTAAAAAAAAAAACTGTAACTCGAGCAATAGTAAGTCCAGATGCCCCTCAACTTAGATGAAGTTGGTTTCCAATGAACTCATCGTGAAGTCAAAAAATTATAAATTGAACAATCATAAGTTGGGGACCATCTGTATGAATAACTGAGTGGCTTAAAGGAAAGTACACTGATGGATTAGTCCTACAGTCTAGTGGGGAACCAGCTTATGTGGCAGAATTCTCTATTTATCAGTATTTTCCTGTGAACTTCTATCCTTTATTTTCTTTCCTGAAGGTAATGCTTTTATCAGACCAGAATCTAATATTCCCTTTTAAATAAGACCACCTTAAGAACTTCTTTTACATCAAAGGTGAAATTGGGACTTAAAATGTCTATCATTTAAGTTTTTGTTGAAAGGATATTCTGTATCCAAATGAGAAACATATTGCCAGAATATAAATAATTCTCGAATTAATTTGAAAATATATTCAGAGCCAATAAATAAGCATGTTAATTCACAGGTTTCTAGGAACACAGAGGGATAATACCTTAACATCAATATATATTACATCAACATTGGTAAAATACAGATAAAGTGGTGCTAAAAGGGATATTTTTACCATTAAGTGCTTATAATAAAAGGAAAACAGGATCTAAAGTCAATAATCTTAGCATCCACCTAAAGAATGCAGAAGAAACGCAAATCAAGCAAAGTATGTAGGGCTAAAGAAATAATGAAGGTAAGAGTGAAAATCATGTAATTAAAAAGTAGAAAAATATCCAGAAATTGAAATCAAAAGTTGATTCTTTGGAAAGATCAAAATAGCAATAGACATTTATCTAATCTGATGTTAAGAAAAACAAAAAATACGACAACATATTACCAAAATTAAAAATCAGAGAAGGGACATTACTAAAGTCTCTAAATAAAATAATTAGAAGAAAATATTATGCACAACTTTATGTCAAAAATCAAATAAATGAAATATGAAATTTATAAATAGAAAACAGTTTACTCAAGAATAAATAAAACCTGGATATACCAACAACAACTAAAAAGACTGAATTAGTAATAATAAAAAAATAAATCTTTCCATGAAGAAACACCCACGCTCAAATACCTTTACTGGGGATTTTAGCAAACATGTAAAAAGAAGAAATAAAGAAGAACGTTGTAATGATGTTACAACATAAAGCAAATAAACAGTACACTGTTCATTTGCTCAATTTTCAGCCTCAATTTGATTAGAAATATAAATTGAACAAGACAACAGTTTGCTTATCATATTAAAAAATTAAAAAAATTAATGAGGCCTCTGTATCCTAAAATATGATGTCATAAGTACTGCAAAGGCTGTAGATCATGACCTAAACAATTTTGATTGTATATCTAAATCTCAGGAAATGAAAAAAAAATCTAAAAAGTCTTTTTACCTCTTCAAAGCCACAAAAATGTGAATAAAATTTATTGCATAGGCCTCTAGTTATTAAAATACATTGACATTGACATAGTAGGTAAAGAAAATAGATTTTAAAAAGTAAGTAAACATATAAAACTCCTTCAAATTTCTATTTGTTTAGAAAATTTAAAACATACTCCTAAATAACTAATGGGTTGAAGAAGAAATTATAATGGAAATTAAATTTAGATTTGATTGACAGTCAAAATACTGCATGCCAAATCTTATAAAGTGAAATTAATGTGAATATTTATAGTTCAATATTTATATTATAAAAATATTTTATATTAATTCATGAATTGTGTTCAGATTAAGATGCTTTTAAAAAATGATACACAGAATAAACCTAAAGAAGATAGGTATAAAGGTATAATAAAGATAAAGCAGGACTTAATGAACGAGAAAATAAGCCAGGCATGGTGGCTCATGCTTGTAATCCCAGCACTTTGGGAGGCCGAGGCAGGAGGATTACCTGAAGTCAGGAGTTCAAGATCAGCCTGGCCAACATGGGGAAACCCCGTCTCTACTAAGAAAAATACAAAAATTAGCCAGGCATGGTGGCACATACCTGTAATCTCGGCTACTCGGGGGATGAGGAAGGAGAATTACTTGAGCCTGGGAGACAGAGGTTGCAGTGAGCCAAGATTACACCACTGCACTCCAGCCTTACCAACAGAGCAAGACTCTGTCTCAAAAAAAAAAAAAAAAAAAAAAAAAAAAAAAAAAAAAAAAAACAGAGAGAGAGAAAATAAAGTTAATAAGTAAGAAAGCATGAATATATTAAAAATTTGAAAGGAGACATAAATCCAAATTTACTTTACAGTAAAAATTATGTGAAAATACTATCACAATTTGATGTAAAAAAATTAAAAATCTTACACAAAATAATAATTGGGCTAGGTTTGAAATTTCATGTGTTTGAATCCTCAACATACACTCTTCATTACATATTGTAGTTTTATATCATATTTTAATACATTTTCTTCCAGATCTTTACATCCATCTATATCTATGTATTGTCTACATCTAGAAAACAGTACACAAATATCTTGCCAGTCTGTAGTCTATGTGTAGGTGCATGTACATGCCCATAGTTATATATAATATAAACACGAATAAGTCCCACATAAAATTGTGCTCTGGTATTTCAAAGCAGAGAATAATCACCCATGAATTTAAGATGGGAGTAAATATTTGGTGAGAATTAGAAAAAAAATGAAAAAGCATTTATCCTTAGGGGAAAAATACTTACGGAAAAGTACATCTCAAATTGATAGAATGAGCATGGGCAAGATAATGGTAACTTCTGAGTTAATATGAGCTAGTAGCATTTGTTTCCTTAAGAAGACTAGCTATTTGGATGTATATTTGGCGATATTAAAAAAATACCTTCTAGTATGTTTCAGAACATTGGATAATGTGCAGTAACAACCACAATAATATGTGTTATTTCTAATGCCTTATTGGGTATTGGGAAACCATTATTGAAAAATTTCTCACCTATTTACACATCTTGGCATTAACAGCACATACTCCAGAATTATATTTTCAATAATATATGTTAAGGCATCCTTGGAAAAGGAGAGACAGAGTTTTTCTCTGGAGCAAATTTATTTACATTCTCTGAGAGTAAACAGGGAGATATCCCTCTCCCTGGAGGACATTAGAGTGTAGTAAAGATTTCTTTTCCTGGAGATATATGATACATTTAAACATAATAAAGTTCATGTCTCCCTGCAGAGAGGAGAAAGGACAGGCTTGCCATCGTCTCCCGTAGATCAGGGTTTCCTAATCTCGGGTTTCCTCCCCTACAGTGCACACCCATAGCATATGTAGGCAACACTCAAGTCTCATCACATCACCCTGTGGGAATTAGGACTCAGGGAAATGACACCAATAACTACCATTTCTGTACCTAATAAACTGTCTATATTTATTTATATTTATTGTCTCCTTGCCAGCTGAGTCTATGGAAGTGTGGTAAGCCAACCTAGTAGTTGCCACCATGCTACTACTTAGAAATGGCTTCACTCATTGACATTAGGGTAATTTTTCCAAATTCTGGAATAGTTGGAAAATGAATTAGTTGATGTGAAAGTCAGGAGAAAATACAGATAAACGTCTACCAGATATAATTTGCTAACAAAAATACACTGTATATTTGTTACCTTTATATGCAATTAACTTTCATTTTCAATTTAGTTCTTCACAAAAAATGGATGTACTAGCAATCACCAGATCTTATCCCTCAACCTATAGAAGGTACAGGTATTTTAAAATTATTAAAATACATCAGAGATTTATGTTACACATGAAGCTTATGGCTTAATTTTCCTACAGGATATTGGATAGATTTAAAATTATAAGACAAAATCATACAAAAACACAGAAAATATAGTGGATTATTCTGGATTTATGGTTATAAACAGGCATATCTCATTTTACTGCACTCCACTTTATTATGCTTCACAGATACTGCATTTTTTACAAATTGAAGATCTGTGACAATGCTATGTCAAGCAAGCCTACTGGTGCCATTTTCCCAGAGTATGTGTTCACTTTGTGTCACTGTGTCATGTGTTAGTAAGTCTCACAATATTTAAAACTTTTTCATTATTATTATATCTCTTATGGTGATCTGTGTTCAGTTGTCTTTGATGTTACTATTATAATTGTTTGGGGTACCATGAATCACGCCCATATAAGATGGTGAACTTAATCAATAAATGTGTGTGTTCTGACTGTTCCATCTACCAGCTGTTCCCGATCTCTCTCCTTCTTTTAGGGCTTCCCTATCCCCTGAGGCAAAACTGTTAAAATTAGACGAATTAATAATACTAATTTTAATAGTCTCTAGGTGTTCAAGTGAAAAGAAAAAGAGTCACATGTATCTCACTGTAAGTCAAAAGTTGGAAATAATTAAGCTTAGTGAGAAAGATATGTTAAAAGCTGAAACAGGCCAAAAGCTAGACCACTTGCACCAGTTAGCCAAACTGTAAGTGCAAAGGAAAGTTATCCAAGGAAATTAAAAGTGCTACTCCAGTGAACACACGAATGATAAGAAAGTGAAAATACGAAAAAGAAGGTGGCTGATATGGAGAAACTTTGAGTGGTGTAGATAGAAGATCCAACCAGCAACATTTCATTTTGCCAAAGCCTAATCCAGTGCAAGGCCCTAACTCTCTTCAATTCTATAAAGGCTGAGATAAGTGAAGAAGCTGTGTATACATTCCACTGCATATATATTTCAATGCATATACATGCATTACTATTCACAATAGCCAGGATATGGAATCCACCTAAATGCCGAGCTACAGATTCCATGGATGTGCATTCTATATCTGCACACCCATGTTTATTGTATTACTGTTCCATAGCCAAGATATGGAATCCACATAAATGCCCATCTACAGATATGGGCATTTAAATGGATTCCATGTCTTGGCTATTGTGAATAGTAATACAATAAACATGGGTGTGCAGATGTCTCTTTGACATAGTGATTTCATTTTATTTGGGTATGTATCCTGAAGTAAGATTGCTGGATCACATGGTAGTTCTATTTTTATTCTTTTGAGGAAGCTCCATACTGTATTTCATAATGGATGTACTAATTTACATTCCCATCAACAGTGTATGAGTTCCATTTTCTCCACATCCTCAACAATATTTGTTATTGTTTGTCTTTTAGATAATAGCCATTTTAACTGAGGTAGGGTGATATCTCATGGTTTTTTCTGCATCTCTCTGATGAGTAGTGATGTTGAACTTTTTCATATATCTTTTGTCCATTTGTATGTCTTCTTTTGATAAATGTTTGTTCAGGCCTTTTGCCCATTTTAAATTTGATTTCTTTCTTTCTACTGAGTTGTTTGAGCTCCTTATGTATTCTGGATATTAATTCCTTGTCTGATGTATAGTTTTCAAGTACTTTCTCCCTTTCTGCAGGTTGTCTCTTCACTTTATTAATTGTTTCCTTCGTTTGTTGTGCAGAAGCTTTTTCGTTTGATATAATCCCATTTTGTCTGTTTTTGCTTTGGTTGCCTGTGTTTTTGAGGTCTTATTCAAAAAGTCCTTGCCCGATCCAATTTTATGAAGCATTTTCCCTGTTTTCTTCTATTAGTTTCATGGTTTCAGCTATCACATTTATGTTTTTAAGTCCAGTGTTGAGACCTACTGCTCAGAAAAAAATATTTATTTCAAAATATTACTGCTTATTGACAGTGCACCTAGTCAACCAAGCGCTCTGATGGAAATGAATGAGAAAATTAAAGCTGTTTTTTCATGCCTGCTAACACAACATCCATTCTGTAGCCCATTGCTAAAGGAGTAAATTTGAATGCCAAATATTATTTATTTAAGAAATACATTTCATAATGCTATAGCTGCCATAGATAGTGATTGTTCTGGATGAGCCTGGGCTAAGTAAATTGAAAATATTTTGTGAAGGATTTACTATTCTAGATGCCTTTAAGAACATTTGTGATTTATAGGAAGATTTTGAAATAACAACATCAAAAGGATTTAGAAAGAAGTTTATTCCAACCCTCATGGATGACTTTGAGGGATTCAAAACATCAGTGGAGGAAGTCACTGCAGATACGGTGGAAATAGCAGGATAGTTAGAAGTATTATAGAGTCTGAAGGGGTGACTAAAAATTGCTGCAATCTCATGATGAAACTTGAGTGGAAGAGGATTTGCTTTTATAGATGAGCAAAGAAAGCAGTTTCTTGAGATGGTCTCTATTTCTGGTAAAGATACTGTGAACATTGTTTAGATGAAAACAAAGTATTTAGAATATTACATAAACTTAGTTAATAAAGCAGGGGAAGGTTTTGAGAGGGTTGACTCCAATTTCAAAAGAACTGTTGGAAAAAATGCTATCAAAAAACATCACATGATACAAAGAAATCGCTCTTATAAAGAAAACCAATCAACCTGGCAAACTTTGTTATTTTAAGAAATTGCCACAGCCACTCCAACCTTTAGCAAACACTACCCTGATCAGTCAGCATAAATCAATGTTGAAGCAAGACCCTCTGTCAATATAACGCTTGTGACTTATTGAAGGCTCAGATGATCTTTTGCATGTTTTAATAATATAATATTTTAAAATGAAGTATGTACATTTTTAAGACATAATGCTATTGCACACTTAATAAACTACAGTATAGTGCAAAAATAGCTTTTAGATGCACTGGGAAATCAGAAAGTTTGTGTAACTTGCTTTATTATATTTACCTTATTGCAGTGGTCTGGAACCAAACTTGTAGTATCTCTGACATATGTGTGCATTTAATTGTTTTATTGTCTTGTGATATTTTCAAAATACCTAATGAAAATTATGTTGCTAGTGACTCATTTTATTATTTTGTGAATGAGACTGAAATCTTTAAAAATCAATTATTTTATAAATGTCATAATTTTTGGATTTCCATATACTTTTTACCCAGACCAAAATTTAAAAGTCTATGATGAGGTGAATATGGTAAGTATTGCTCTCTTGTTTGGCTAAATAATTACATATCACACATTTTTGTAGAATTCAAATATTTGTCCTTCAGTTCTGACTTCTTAAAGATTGTCAAAAGATTTCTATTTGGGTAGAGGAGAGAATGAAGAAGTAAGACTTTAGAAGGGCACACCTGAAAAAGTGTTATAACAAAATAGTTTAATCTTTGATAAAATTATAAGTATAAATAACAATGCATGTGGATTATATATATGCATTACAACAATGTATGTGGATATTTTACGTATGTACATCTGATGTAATCCATTTTATCAGAAATCATGTACTTAATTGCAATTGTATCACTGTGTCACAAGTGGAAGAAAACTGATTGTGAAGTGTATTAAGTATGATGTAAAACAGAAAATAAATCTTTTATATATCTCTGTTTATATAAAATATTTATTTTATGAAATGTAAGTGGTATGAGTTAGAAATTCTAAATGATAATTATGCATTTGCAATCAGGAAAACCTTTACACATATTAAAAGTTGACCTTATGTCACTTTGCCTTTATCTAAAGGAAGACTGCATGTTATTTATCACCAACAAATACATTAATTCATCAAGAGTAGGTGCTAAAGCTAACTTCTATTCCTTTTAATGAGAACACATTCTTCTTCATAAATACTAAGATAACATATTTAAAATATCCCAAATCTGACTCTTTTATGTGTGAATGGGTTCCAAATTTATATTATTGTGTTACTAAGGGTAGTAAGTTTTAGGTGCAAATGGTATTATTACTTTATGCAGATGTTCATTCTTCAAACCATACAATAAATAAATGTGTACAATAATATGTGCAGTTGGTTTTGTGCTTCACAAAACTTCCTGTAAGTAAAGCCCTCCTTTCGCATTGCTAAAGAATCTGGTCCACCAGACCTTTCTTGAAGTTTATTGGCGTAAGCAGGAAATAGTTTGACAAGCCGGTCTAGGGACAAATGCAGAACTCTGCTTGGCACACAATAAGTGCTCAACAATTATTTGTTGAATCGGTGAATAATTATGTGTTAATTATGCTTTGTGGCACAACTCAGAAGCTCTAGGCATTGTTTATATCATTGTTTCTAAGGATAATAATTAGTTCCTTACTATTAATTTATCAATTTTGAGTCCAGTATAATCCTAACTAAAGCTAATCTTTCAGTAAGTGACAAAATGACGTCACGATATATAAAAACTCCACTGAAACTGAAAGCATGTCAGCATTGATAAGTTACAAAAGGAAGCTGTTATCAATGGATATTTTTACCTATGGCTTGGCTTATCTGACTCACTGAATTCAGTAGTCTTTGGAGGATGCGAATAGCTGTGGTAAATATTTTGTGCATCATGGACACATTTGGGGAGGCAGTTGGGGTTCTTGATTGATGAACATGAAATGGCATTTGATGTTCTTAATAATCTGGTTTCTGCCTACATGCATCTGTTCTACTTATATTACTATGATACCATATTGGTGCATTCACTCAAACAAATCTTATATGTCATGTATCTGTACTTTGAACATGTCTTCTTTCTCTCATCTTCATGAATACCTACTTATCATAAAATCCAGTTCCTGTGTCTGCTTCAGCTATAAAAAGCCTTCACTGATCCTATTTTCCAAAAGAAGTAACCCTTTTCTTGTCTTTGTGGCATTTTTATGTTTAATATATATTCTTATTATATTCATCAAACTATATGATATGCATTTGCTTTGATACTATTTTTTTTCCTCAGACTGAGAGCTTATTGGCTTTTTTATGATTGAAGTATAAGAAACTACCTTTTTTATCTAGATCAATTTCATGTGGTTTAATCTATTAGTCCCATGATTACAAACCCAATTATTATAAATATATAAGTAATATTGTATATAACATAACTAGTAATGATATTACTACTATCATATTTTTTCAAACATCATTTATTGATGGCTTGCTTCCACCTGTAATGAATAAATAGAGGCCAAATTAACCCTGCCTCTTGAAACTGGAAACCAAAACTGGAAACAGTGTATGAAAACCTGGTTTTTAATACACCTGACATCGTGCATTAGTGGACAATGAGCCCTGAGAGATGGGAAACAAGTGAGTTCTACAGCTACCGCAGTTGACTACCTTGAGAGCTTCCAGCCCTATGGCAGGTGCAAGGAAGCCTGGAAGTTCTTAAGCCTTGAGAACTCTGAGTTCTGAACACGTAGTTGGGAGTTGGAGGAGAGCAAGAGGCTAATATTCACATGTCAGAGTACTGGTGAAGTT
The DNA here is from genome assembly GCF_000001405.40 of Homo sapiens. Lineage (NCBI taxonomy): Eukaryota > Metazoa > Chordata > Mammalia > Primates > Hominidae > Homo > Homo sapiens. Next base: position 9,227,766 of record NC_000007.14, read on the forward strand.
TAAGAGTTTCACAGGGAACTTGGGAGGCCTATTGAGTATTCCATGAATATTCTGCAGAGTAGTGATCAACATATACATGTGACTTATGTGAGGAAACTACCTAAGGCTGTGAAATAAATCACCTCAAAAGGATTAGACAGAAGAGTACCTGGAGCTCACACTGGGCAGAAAATAGTGTCTGTGCCTATTTCCACCAGCTAGACAGGAGAAGCTCATAGTTGACAGAGCACTGGGTAGATTATGCAGAAGTATCTTGCATTTAAGTGATAAATAATTAGGCTTTGCCTTAAATATTGCTTCTGTCTTGTCTAATATATCTTAACAGAAAGACTAGAAAAAAAGAAATGGCTTTCAGTAACTTAACTGTATTTCCCTAAAAGCACAAGAATATTTAGGGAAATAAGAGAAAATTCCACATAGAGATTGGGAAGGGTAGTGAGAAGGAAGGGATAGGGAGAGGTGGGTTGAAGCCTGAAAAATTACATCTAGATAGGAGCAATAAGGTCAAGCATTCTGCACCACAGTAAGATGACTATAGTTAACAATAATATATTATTAGTTTCAAATAGCTATTTGAGTATTTGTTTGAGTTGGAAACATTCAATATTCTCCTGTATATATGAAACATTCAATGTTCTCAAAGGACCCATAAAAATAGAACAAAGTGATATAAAACAGATGATCAATTAAACAAAAATAAAATTATCTGAAACAGGAGAGCATTGGCGGAACATTCAACGTTCTCCTGTATATAAGAAACAGGAGAACATTGGCTGTTTCCAACTCAAATAAATACTGTTTGTGATGATGAATATTCTAATTACACTGATCTGATCACTATGTATTTTAGGTATCGAAATAACACTATGTACTCCATGAACATGTACAACTACTATTTGTCAATTAAAATAAATTTTAAAAAGAAAATGTCAGGACCTTAAAAGGTGAAATTTATAATGTCCAATCAAACATTACCAGGAATGCAAACAGGCAAGACTATATGATTTAGGAGAAAAATTAACTAACTTCAAAAGACCCATAACTTTCATGAAAGAGATGTTAGAATCAGGATATTAAAGGATATCAAAACTGTTACTGTAACTGTATTCCAGATGTTCAAGAAGTTAAGTAGAGACGTGGAAGGTGTAAAAATAACTTAAAACATCTAGAGATGAAAACTGGAATATGTGAGATGAGAAAAAGACCAAATAGGATTAATGGGAGATTAGACATTTTAGATGAGTGAACTTGAAGGCAGCAACTGATGACAAAATGAAACCCTGAGAGAAAAAAAAGAACTTTAAAAAATGAAACAAGCATCAATGATATGAAAGAATCATGTATCATTTCCTCTGAGTGAAACAAAATTAAAACTATCAGAAAAAGTTAAACAAAAGTGTATAAATTTGGGTTAAAATATTTACATCCAAATAACTTATTGGTCTAAAAAGTGTTATAATATAAACTGAGAAAAATAGTTAGAAATAAAATAATCAGATGCAGATAAGATGGTACCTGTAGTAAGAGTACAGTTTTAAATGTTTATATTAGAAAATAAAGTGAACAAACATTTATTTTAGCAATATCCTTAAGAAGTTAAAGAATAAAAAATAAACCCAAATAAATTGAAGAAAACAAAAAAATAGATTTAGGAGCAGAAATAAAAATAGAACAAAGTGATATTAAACAGATGATCAATTAAACAAAAATAAAATTATTTGAATAATAGAATTTATGTATTTATTATTTATTAATTCACCAAACATTTATTGCGTATCTCTCAATATAAATCATGGGCCCAAGAAGACACAGAGGGCAAACTCAGATTGGGGTGGAAGAGAGTTTTTGTGAAAGCAAAATTTGCAAAGGTGTTGGCAGAATTTAGAAAATAAATCAAATCAGTAAGAAATAGCCTAAGACCCTGGGTCTAGTAATAGAGGGACCCAAAGTATTAAGAGAGATTGGTGATGTCATACCAGCGTGGAAAGCTCCTGTGACTTGAACTGAGGCTTTTAGTGGAGCGATGCAGTCAACTAATCCTGGAGACTTGGCACTGAGGAAGTCTTCCATACCCTCCTGAAAACCTACAGCACAGAATGTAGTCAATTTGCAGTAGGAGCTCCGCAGTCCCCAGCCGGCTCCCGAGCATCTAGTTCATTACACTGCAGAAAGTGAAATAAACTACTTTTATCTTTTTAATGCTCACCATGTCCTCCAAGGGTTTACATACAGAGAACAAGAAACATCCCTTCACATTTTAACTAAAGGCTGCACTCAGTAATGAATTTCCAAATTCTGAAATTTACAGTCTTTTAAAATTGGCCCATACAGAAAAAAGCACTGTAGTTCCTCAGCCGTAACCAAACACCAATAATCAATAGTAAATTTGAAGACTTGGTCTCTGAGGAGCCCTGCGCTGGGAGTATGCTTGAAGAATGGGTATCCACCTCTAAGAAATTATGGAAGTTACAAGGTAATTAATACCTGAGATCCAGTGAGCCTGGGTTTGGAGTGAATGGCTGAAAAATCTTGAAACAAATGATTATGTACTTTACTAATGTATCTGTTCCAGATAAAACTAAAGTTTATAAGTTATCTATTAACTTCTGAAGCAAGATATACTGGTAGTTATTCTCTTATTTTGGCTTCCATACTAGTGACACGATCTGGAGTGGGATATGAATAAAACCTAGAGGGATGGTTTTATTGGTTTATATCTATGAATTTGGTGGAGTCCTGTTGCCTTATTTTTTAAGTTGCTGTTGATTTCTATTAACTCCTGTGCCAAGTGAAATATTAAAACCAATAAATAACAGTAGTTCACTAAGTCACCTGACAACATTAATAAGTATTAAATACTATTAAATTAATAATTTATATAATAAATATTTATTATTGAATTAATTTCATTATATAAAATAATATATCCAGAGGAATATAATGTGAATAAATGCATTCTTTTAATTCTATAGATACCTTACCTATACAATGAAACTTATAATTTTATTGCTTTAATATTTTTATTAAAATTATCTTATTTTTAAATCCCATGGAATGAAACTGAAATGATACATAAAATAAATGGTAAAAAATAAATATCTAAAATTATCTATAATCTAAAAATAACTTACATTATTATGACCCAAAGCACATTTTCTGGATATATTTTTGCTTTATTTTCCCATTTTCTCATAATTCTTTTTTATTTCTCAGGGATAAGTTAGATTAAGTTACTGATCACTGAAAATACAATGCATATAGAAGAGTAATAATTAAGATATATTTATATGAAGTATGGAATTTGATTACCCATTATTGTTTGTTGATTTAAATTCGACAAATAGTGGAATACTTCTCAATTATATATAAATATAAAAATATAGAATTTTCTTGTAATTTGACATGCTCAAATCTTGAAACCCTCAAATAAGAGTCACTACAATAATAAATTTGGAAGACACAGAAATACCCAGAAATCATAACTAGCAGTTGGTAGCAGCCTACTATTAAAAGATTTAGCACCAAGAAGAAAGAATTAAAGAACACAAAAGGGCTGGAAAGTAAGGCTTACTTTTATCATTAGTCAACTTCACAACTATTACCATTTTTACCAGCTCATTCTTAGTAGAATTTCTTTCTTAACATAAGCAGTAATATTTTCCATCAGATTATGTTGATAACTCCGAATTCCACATTCTTTTGCTACAAAGATGCTTCTCTGAGGGAATGAATATCCAAGTAAATAAATAAATAAACAAATAAATGAAAGGCTATTTTGACTTTAGGGATAAAAGATATTTTAAAACATGTGAGGTCATAATTAGTTAATTGATGCTGGCAACTGATTCAGGCAGCTATGAACTGAGATCATTTCAAAAGCCCTACCCAGGGGCTCATCTCACATACACAAGAGACCGAGGACATGAACTAAAAGAAAGCTACAGTGTTCCTTCTCTTCTGGCTTAGTCTTAGCATTTTGTGGGAGCTGCTTACAGAATCAGGAATCAAAAGAAAGACGATTTGGGAGCTTATTTTGTAGAGAGGGATGGTTTAGTAGAAGCTTAGAAAGGGATACACTGGCCTTGTGTTAAGCCCTACAGCACAGGCATCACTAATTATTTATATCCTGCTGTTAAGCGTAAAACAGGCTTGACTGCCCTTACAACAGCTGCAGTCTCACCACGTGTGCAGCACCATGAACTTTATGTGTGAGCTCTCCTGAAGAGCTATCGGGGCACGGGGCACTACAAGCAGGTAGCATCGTTGTCAGAAAAGCCTTCTGAAGAGTCCTGGTGCATTGGCAGCAATTAATGCAGGTGGTATTTTAGACAAGGGAGCTAATGAGTTTTAATATGCATGCAGGTGAGGGAGTGCTGAATCAGGAGAGCCATTAATGAACCTATGACAGCCTAATTAGCTACAATTTAAAATCTATGGAATCTAATCAGAAGAGCTGAACGCTGCTGCAAATCTGTGTATGAATGAGTCTTTCTAAATACTCCAATCTGTTGCTTAGTCACTGATTGATAGTAATTGCTTTTTTTCCTCTATTGTGCATAGGAAAATGCCCAATTTTGCTCTGATAAGGGAGGACACAACACTGAAGTTAAATGCCTAAGATGTTTAGCTCCTTAAGTTTAATCAGTGAGTGTTTAAAAAAATCAAAGTAAAATTAATTTGAACTCTGAATATAGATGATTTAAAATATACTACCAACTTCTTATATATTGGGTTGGCAAAGACAACATAGCTATTAACACCCGACAGCATATCTGAAAAGCAAGCAAAGATGCTGAAACATGCAAATGCATAAAATGCATTTATTAATCCGTAATTTGTTTTAAAAAGCTTTATTTATGTCATCAGAGATAACAGGGCTACATATTTTATTGAATACTTGAGATAATGAAACAGCTTTTTGAGGTTAACACAATCTATTAAGCATCGAATTTTTATGTGGCTGAACTAGTTTGTTTCAGAAAATGGGAATAATTTTATAAAGGTGTGAGGTGATACTATTTTGTAGTGGCCATTTGGTAATAACTGACGTATAAAAGGCACAAGCAGTTTTTCTACTCTGACATTTCACCCTTGTCTAACACAATTCATCTGAGAACCTTAAAGAACTGTGTAGGCTCTGATTTATTGAGTCTTATAACACCACGGGTAGACAGGTCAGTATGACTATACTCGTTTTACAGTCAGCTCACCTGAGCTCCATTTGCTGAAGGTCACAAGTGAGTCAATAGAAGAACTATAAAAAGAGAGTCAGGAAAGTCCAGAGTGTTACTTCTTTACTTTTTCCATTTGATAAATGGTGCATCTCTCAATTCTGACATTTCACATAAAACTCTATGCATCTAATTTTTGAATATAAACAGAAAACATCTTAAAATACAGATGTTCTAATCATGAATTATTTTAAAAATACTGATATTTGGTTTATAAGTATGGTATTATCAGTTTTGAACCAAACTAAGAGAACTGCCACATTTCCTTATTGGTGTCAGTAGGAGCAATTGTAAAGTGTTGTTTCTGTTAGCTTAATCACCAGGTACTCAGGTTGAAACCTAAAGAAAAGATGAAGATATTTTCTTTAGTTAGAAATTTCTAAAATAGAAGAAAGAAAGAAGAGAGAGAGGGAGAGAAGGGAGAGGTGAGGAGATGGATGGGAGAAAGAGAGAGAGACAGAGAGGACAGAAAATGTACATATAAATATACCCACCAAAAGAACTTCAGATGAGATGGCTTATTAAATAGAAGCTGATGACATAGAAAAGATACATAAGATGTATATTGTTTTATAAATTTGTTTTTTAGTGGAACACACACATAAACACAAGGGAAAGATGAGAACGTGAAAGGACACAGACAACTCAAACAGTATATCAAAATAGTTTTAGATTATGTACTGATATTTCTGCAATTCATTTTTCCATGTAAAAAATGTACTGCAAGAGTAATTTTATGAAATTTGATGTTCACATGAAATTTACCTGATCCCTGGCCCAATGGAATTTTTTTCAAGTTTGATGATATTATGGTAAAATCATGTTAGTATTGACCCTTATGCATTAATATATGAGCCAAGTAATCTCTAAAGTAAATATTTTTGAAAGTGCTGCTCATGTGACAGTGTTTACAAAAGTGTCCCTTGTCTTTGAAACATCCAAGAACAAGGCTATCAAACTTCAGTATGTTGATGAATAAACTTTATTCTACCTAAGATATATCTGATTCTTAAATTCATAAAATGTGATCATTGTTTCCTTAAATTAGTTAGCAACAATAAATAATCCCCACATTTGGTTTTGTTTTCATATGCTATGACATAATATCAGTTAGTTGGAAAATGTTCTATTATGTCTTTTGATTGATATTTTCCTATTATTGTTTTTGTGCATATTAGCTGAAAATAATTTGTCTTAATTAGTAGCTTCCCTAATTATTTTATATTATTAAATATTATCATATATGTACCACTGTATTTGGTCTATCTAAATTTGATAGGTAAAACTGCCATATGCATTTCAGTAGCTGGCAAGTTGGAATTGAGAGATATTATTTAAAATACTAAATGTAAAATTTTTGGTACATGTTCAATTTGCATTACTCCAATAAAAACAAATTCAAAACATTTTACACCATCACTTTGTTTAAAGATAGCATTTTAGTCACAATAATACTAGACCTCAATTTATAATAAAATAGAAATATACATTAAATTAGTATAGTATAGAGATGAAATTATTTCCATTTAAAACTTCAATGCCATTTCTTTTTCTTCCCTTTGCTTTCAAGAATAACCCAATGTTTATTATGTTTTCTTTACAAAAGTCAACTTAGCTGTGTGTCTTTGGTATAGTTACTGAATCTCTTTAGCAACAATTTCATAACCTATAGTAAGAATGTTATAATGTGACCTTCTTCAACATGTAATAGGAGGAGTAATTAACATTAAGTACCATAAAATATGTGCGTATAAGAGCTCAACACAAAATGAATGATTTTTGGTGTTTCTAAAATTAGACTGTTTTATAAATAGTAGGTCCTCAGGAAAAAAAAAAAGATGCTATTTCTGCTTCAAGGTGACTATAATCTTTGTTGAAATTAATAGAGTACTTGAATCAGAATTTTAAATAATTTTTTTAAATTGGTACTTGGTGGTGGCAGATCACTCTACATTGAAAATGTTTCATTTAGTAGACCAACTTTCCTAGGCTCTATTTAATTTTGGAAGCTATAATGATTTAAATATAAGTAACGAATAGAATCATTAGATTTATGAATCAATTATTTGTATTAAGATCTTTATTGATATAGATTAACCTACTTGATGAGTATGTCAGTAAGTTCACGTATGTTTGAAGGTGAACGTTTGGTTATATTAGAATTTTCAAATCCTTTCATATTTTATTGCAAACTATTTTACAGCATGATTTTATTCTCATTCGGAATATTTAAGATGTTGATATGAGTTATGTTTTATCAGCATGTACAATTGTAAGTTTTGTGGAAGTACAGACTATACCTACTATAGTGCCAGTCATTCAATTAATCATTCAATACATGAAAGGCAGAAATTCAATGGATGAATGCATATATTCGCTTAGGAAATATTAATTGTCTTCTTACTCTGTGCCCGGTACTGTGCTAGATAGTGAGTGTATACAGATAAGCAAAATAAACATGGTGGATCCCCTCATGGAGGTGATAAATGATAAAGTATTAATTTTGAAAAATGCTATGAAAGTCAAGTTCATATTTCATTAGGGAACTTAATTTGAATTGAAGCATCAGGGAAAGCCTTCTTAGAACAATATGCAACTGAGCTGGGTAAAAGAATATCTAGGAATGAAAGCTCTCTTAGAACAACGTGCAACTGATCTGGGTAAAAGCATATCTAGGAATGAAGCTCATAAAGAGTGGGCCAGGGGAAGCATTCTATGTAAATGAATTCCACATGGGAATATCACGAAGGTGGAAAGATCTCAGTCAAAGCACGAAAAGAAGGTCATTATGGCAGAAGAGAAAGGTAGAGAGAAATAGAAGATTGATGAGTTAGATAGCAGATCATGCAGCAACTTGTTGGCCATGTTAAGGATTTTAGACGTGCTCTAAGTGGAATGAAAAATCTTGAAGGAATTTAAAGATGGGGTTTCATCATTGTGTTTAGATTTAAAAAGTGTCTGCTCTATAGAGAATGGTTTGGCAAGAGACAGAAAAGCAGTTTAGGGTCCAACTAGAACACACACCGATATTAGTCTAGGTTAGAGGTATTGCTGGATTGGAATACAGCGGTAGCAGAAAAATTGGGAAAGTAGAGACTTCAGTATATTTTGATGGTGTCACCTAAAAGGCTGAAGAAAATGTTCCTGTTCTAGATGAGGAAGAAAGATAAGTCTAGAGGACTCCCAGCCCTTAACCATGTAATAGTGAAGTACTATATAACTAGAAAGTGAACACTGAAAAAGAGAAGACAACACTTTTTTTATTGGAGGATACATGCACGCATAATAGGTCATATTTAAGACCATAGAAATGGATGAGTTCTTACAGGGAGAAAAACTAAGGTGAGAAGAAAGTTGATATCCAGATGTATGGAACAATGCACAGTAAAAAATGATGCTAAGACTCCAGGAAAGATGAGGTCTATAACATTTCCATTGTATTTTGGTAAGATCAGTAATTACTCCAACAAGAACAATTTCAGTGATAGGGTAGCAAAGGTTCAAGTGAGATTTCCGACAATGAAGAGTAAATAAGGGTGTTTCCTTTGAAACATGCAAGAATACAGATTATTTTTACTACCTTTTCTCCCAGTGTAATCTCACTAAAAGTCTCATAAAGCTAAATATGCACACACACACACACACACACACACCCCGCTGTACATTAAAAACAAGCTCATAACACGAACCTCCAGCAATGAAGCTTCCTAGACAAATATTTTGAAATATGAATCAAAATAAGGGAGAAAACAGAAAGCTGATACATACCTTCTTGGAGTTTCACCACGAAATAGATTTCTTTAAAAATACTTGCCATAATATTGGAAAACCTATCCAAAGTGTTTTTTTTTTTATTAGAACAGTGAAAAAAGTAATAGGCAGTTCACAGAAAAATAGGGATATTCCTAATCATTTGAAAGACAAAAAGGAGAGTCATTCTTTCAGGAGAAGGGAACATATAGTCTATATTGATGCTGCCTACCATACCTACTACTTTTCAAGAAATAGTTTTACCCAGGCAAATGTGAATAAAAATTTTAAGGAACACTATGCATAGATACTGCCTAGGAAATACAAGGAAAAAGATTAAAAAAGTAATGTTATAGGAGCAACATCATGAAAAAATAGAAAAAGAGAGCTCTCCTTGCCAGTAAATACAAGGAAAAAGACAAAGAAAGTAATGTTATAGGAACAACAGCATAAAGAAATAGAAGAAGAGATAGCTTTCCTTGCCCACAAAAGAATTAAAACTTTAGGTAATTTTAAATATCTCAAGAAAGAAGAACAATAATTTTTTAAAAAGGAATTAGAAATCAATAAAAGAAGATAAGAAAAACTGCCAGTGCTAATGAGAAAAATGTTGATGAGAAATATATCAATATACAGAGATAAGAAACACAGAAATAAAATTCCACTAAATATGACTATAAATTATGATGCTTTATGGCAGATAAGCTACAGGACATGGCAACAAAACCAAAACAGATTAAATTTTTAAATACCTGCATAGGAAATTATAGATTATAGATTTTTAAAAAATCAAGATACACATCATTTAGGAAAACAAGAGGATAATAAATATAATAGAAAAAGTAACCAAAGATATAATATTAGAAAAATTTACTGAAATAAAAATTTGACGGTGTGTATCATAAGTGCAAAATGTTTCCTTGGAAAATACTTATATAAATGTTAAAAAAGAATATATATCATAATGAATTTAAGGTCTTAAATAATTATAAAAATATCATGTGGAAACCATGATCAGGAAAACATATTATTTAGAGGAAAACCCACTTGATTTGCCATGTATTTATAGCCATATTAAATGCAGGATATACTAGGACACTAACTCCAAGCTTTTAAGGGGAAGAAAGTCTCGGCCAGGTGAGGTGGCTCACATCTATAATCCCATCACTTTGGGAGGCCGAGACAGGCAGACTGCCTGAGGTCAGGAGTTCAAGACCAGCCTGGCCAACATGGAGAAACCCCATCTCTACTAAAAATACAAAAATAGCTGGGCATGGTGCCATGTGCCTGTAATCCCTGCTACTCAGTAGGCTGAGGCAGGAGAAACCCTTGAACCTGGGAGGCGGAGGTTGCAGTGAGCCAAGATAGCACCATTGCACTCAAGCCTGGGCAACAAGAGCAAAACTACGTCTCAAAAAAAAAAACCTGTGAAGCACAAAATTTATAGCAGAAAGGCAATATATGATTGCATATATATATATATATACACACACTATACATAACATATATATTACATAGATGCAATACATGATTTATATGAAAAGAAGTGGATTTGTACTATATGTAAAAATTGGGGCCGGGAGCAGTGGCTCATGCTTGTAATCCCAGTAATTTTGGAGGTCAAGGTGGGAGGATCGTTTGAGCCCAGGAGTTCCAGACCTGCCTGGGCAATATAGTGTGACCTCATCTCTACAAAAAATTCAAAGATTAGCTGAGTGTGGTGGTGCATGCCTGTAGCCCCACCTACTCTGGGGGTTGAGGCAAGAGGATTGCTTGAGCCCAGGAAGTGGAGGTTGCAGTGGGTCAAGATAGCATCATTGCACTCCAGCTTGGATGGCAGAGCAAGACCCCGTTTCAAAACAAAATCTAAAAACAAAAAAAAAAGTTCAATCTATCTTCTTAAATTTAACTTTAAAGGAGTTATTTTTTCTTAATAAACTGGCAAAAAAAAATCTATTAGACTTTATAAATATGCCAGCTTTTTAAAAAAGAAAACATTAAGTTAGGTGATAGATATGATACTTAGCTTGATTGCGGTAATCATTTCACATCATATACGTATATCAAAACTCCATGTAGTACACCTTACATTTATATAATTTTTATCAATTATATGTCAAAAAAGCCTGGAGAAAAAGGAGACAATGTGTCAAATGAACTCATGTTGTCAAACTGACAAGGTACATATAAAACTTGCGTATTTTCAATCTGCAAGTCTGTATTATGAGTTATTTGAAATTAAATTCACTAAATTTGAAGGGTATCTTTAGGTGGTGGAATGATGGTTGTTCTTTGTACACCTATTAGTTTCTGAAATTATTCATAAGAAACATTAAATTTAAAAAAACACATAAGGTAATTTTGTGAAAGAATAAATAGGAAGCAAGCGCATGAAGAAAGGATGTCAGAACTGTATTGTGAGCCTTCTCTGTGAAGGGATAGAGAAAATGAGCAATAAATGAGAGTTGTCTCATTCAGCTCAGGCTGCTATAACAAAATACCTGAGGTTGGGTGGCTTTAAAAAACAGAAATTTGTTTCTGACAGTGATGGAGGCTGGAAGTCCAAGATCAGGGTGTCAGCTTGACAGTCAGGCTCTTGATGAGGGCTTTTTTCATGGTTGTGTCCTCATGTGGTCTTTCTTGATTGCGCACAAAAATAGAGTGATGTTTTGTTTTCCCTTCTTTTTATAAAGACATCAATCCCATCATTAAGGGACCCACCCTCATGAGCTAATCTAACCTAAATTATCTCCCAAACCCCCTACCTCCTAGTACATCCTACTGGGGATTAGGGTTTCAATGTATGAATTCTGGGGGGACATAAACATGCAGTCCATAACAGTAGTTTTAAGTTAGGATTACAGGAAGTGTATTTTAATACTAACAGAGAAGGGTAGAGATTCAGGATACTTGGCACAAAATCAGTCCTCCAAATATACTGCTTCAATTGAATTAAAATTGTTGTAAACAATTTGTTATGCTAGTTATATAATATTTCTGATTCAAAAGAAACAAGAACAAAAATATTTTATCTTGAAAATCTTTCATTAAAGAGTAAAAAAGAAAATTTTAATGCATATCATTGGTGTTTAATACATATCGTATATATTATTAATATGCTTCCCATATAATACAATATATACTGCTTAAACTTATAATGGTTTTATTAGATAATTGTTTGTTGTCATTTCTCAGGCATTTGTCAAATCTAAGAAAAAGCAGTCAGGAAATAAAGATTAGAAAAAAATTCCAATTATCTGGTGAGAATGAAAACAAAGGCAGAAATGTTACTTGATTGAAAGAATTCCTTGATATGAAGTCAAAAGCAAGAGGAGAAAACAACAACATAAGAAACACAGCATAATACATGAAGTCAATTTTAAGGTTGGTATTTCAGGAAAGAAAGGAAACAACAGGATCTAATCAGTTGCTCTTGCTTGAGGCTATTGCTTTATTATAAATATGCATTTGTGGCCCAGTGAACAGTGAGCTATTCTTTCAAATACACCAAATACCAATAAATTTATATAAATAGTATACTTCATACCAATCATATGAGTGTTTTCTCAGACATAAATATTGGAAGCAAAGTCAGTGCTTAAATATGTCATTTTGGCAAGTGATTTCATGTAGTACCATTAATTTTGCTAGAAAATTAAAATGTTCTATTATTCGAATACTACCAAATAATCTTTGCTGATGTTTTCCAACATGTGGATATTCACTGTAGGCAGCAGTTTTTTGTAAATAATTCAGTAGAAGAAATAAAAAAAGAAAACAGTGGAGATGTTTATGTGGCATACTGACTTGAAGTCAGAAAGCTACCTAAAATCTGAGTTAGGAAAAGCAGCGTCAATTGTAATGACAAAACCAATATCAAGATGAACAGACAAAATTTATGTATTTGTTTGTTTATTTATTTATTAATTTATTTAGAGACCGAGTCTCACTCTGTTGCCCAGGCTGGAGTGCAGTGGCACGATCTCAGTTCACTGCAATCTCCGCCTCCCGGGCTCAAGTGATTCTCTTGCCTCAGCCTCCCGAGTAGTTGGGATTACAGGCACCCACCACCATGCCTGGCTAATTTTTGTATTTTTAGTAGAGACAGAGTTTCATCATGTTGGCCAGGCTGGCCTCAAACTCCTGACCTCAGCTGATCCACCCACCTCGGCTTCCCAAAGTGTTGGGATTACAGGTGTGAGCCACCCTGCCTGGCCTATATTTATTTTTTAAAAAGTATTGCACTTACATGAAACAACATGTATCCTAAGGCCCAATTTATTTTATTTTTTTATTTTTTTATTTTTTGAGACAGAGTTTTGCTCTTGTCTCCCAGGCTGGAGTGCAGTGGCAAGATCTCGGCTCACTGCAACCTCCCCCTCCCAGGTGCAAGAGATTCTCCTGCCTCAGCCTATGAAGTAGCTGAGATTACAGGTGCCCAACACCACGCCCATTTACTTTTTATATTTTTAGTAGAGACGGGGTTTCGCCATGTTGGTCAGGCTGGTCTTGAACTCCTGACTTCAGGTGGTCCGCCTGCCTTGGCCTCCCAAAGTGCTGGGATTACAGGCGTGAGCCACCACACTCAGCCCCTAATGCCCAATTTGAAGATGATTTTAGACATACTCAACACTCAGACCAACATCAGCACAAAATCCAAGAATATTTCAGTGTGAGAAATATTTGTCATTAAAGATCAAATTATCAAATAGTCAATTCATGCTTTGTACATTTTAAGTCTTTATTTAAAAAATTTAAATATTAAATATTTGTTCTATTTTTCAATTTTAAGTGATATGGAGGAAATTGATGTTTCTGTTAATGTTCCATTCTTTTGATATTTTCTATCTTAAATGTTTATATAAGATAAAGTTTAATTTTATCTGATACAGAAATATAAAATATTATAACATATTGGCTTATAATAGTGAATTATGCATTTATTGTTATATATTTACAGTAACCTCTGAAATATTTAATATGTACCTAACACATGGGAAAATTTTAAAAAATACAGTAACTATTATTATGGTGACTCATTATTATTTAAAAACACATACATAAAGAACATCTCTTCAAATAAAAAGTCCTTGTGACCTCCTTTGGCAAAATATTTTTAACCAAAATGGAAAGTTTCTGCCAATACTGTTGATAGACATCCATTCAACTCTTACAGGCAATGTGCACCATCTTCTCTTCCCTTAAATCTGTTTAGACTGGTATCTCTTCTCATAGCTGTGAATGCTATGGTTATCTAAGCGTTAACATTTGCCCTTGATCATTCTCAATTGCCTGTCAAGAGCAAATGGGGAACAGTAGAATTAACAGATCACTTACTCACTCTGCCCTATTTGTTTGGTGGGCTCTTTAAGGATTGAGGAAAAAAATTTAAAACCACTCAAGGCAGGATACTTAAAAAAATGCTTTGAATATAATAGAGCCTTTAATTAAAAGCATTTACTCATAACTTGTTTTTAAAAATCCTCTCATGATGTCTACCTTTAACACGTCTGTCTATTACGTGAAGTTCTTTGACTAATGTTGAACACAAATCCCAGAAAGGAGAGGCAACTAAAGTAACATTGACATTCACTGACCATGTCAGATGAGACCAGGAATCTAATTTCTGGTCTCAGCCCTTCTTTCACTACTTATTGCCTTGTTACCTTCTACATTTTCTTAAGAGAAGATCACATATTTAGTGATCAGAATCAGACAAGGACACAGATGTTCTTATAAATCAACAAGGATACCTTAACTCATTAGTGGAGCTCAGTTGATAGTATTAATACTTTTTTTTCAGTTGGCACATTTTAATCTGACAATATCAGAATTGGTTTGTAAATCAGACCTACGAAAATAAATTGCCAATTTTAAAAATCGTCATTTCTTCAGAATTTCTGAAGTCAGAAGCCATGGATACCAGAAGAAATTTGTTTAAAAGTATCAAACTTTTCAAAGACTCAGCGCCTTCAGCTAACAAAAATGAAACCAAAGACATACAAGGCAGCCGCTGCATGGACTTTCATTCCTTTTTTATTTTTGCTGTGCTTGGATGTGAAGATATCCTGTGTGACTGAGCCGTCTCATACTGAAGAGTCAGCACTGCTGTTGCTATTGAAAGAGCTATATTGAGAACTTTATTATGCTCATCTGAAAAGCAAAATCAGTGACTATGAACAACTTACAGGACAGCTGAAAGTAGTTAAATCATTTACTTGTAATACTCCCAAGATCTTAAAATGCTACAATATATAAAATACATTCAGTCACCACAGCACTTTTACACTCAGACAAACCCCTTGGAATCTACGGGAACTTTTCATTTAATCTCTTTCTCCCTATTCTGTTGTAAGACAAAAGTAGTCACAAGTAGACAGTTTCTGACTTTTTGCTTTGAGCTAGAGGTTTAAATTCATAGAGTGTTTCAGACCCAGAAAAAACAAGCAGCATTTTTAACAAGAGGACGTTTCATAATATATTGTTTATTTAGAATCTTAAAAGCCCCCACTTTACTCTGAAGGTCTTGGTCCATGTGTTCAAGTCCTAGCTGGATCGTTTATTACCTGTATGCTTGTAAAATTACTTCTCATCAACTGATTCCATTTCAGTGTCTAGAAGATGAGAGCAAAATAGCTATATCTAGTTTAGCTACTTACCAGCATTGTTCTGCACTTCAAAGGTGAAATCACAAGAGAAAGAGTTTGCATGATGATGGTTAAAGGTTCTAGAGTCAGAGACATGGGTTTGAATCCTGGATGTAATACCAGCTGCTGAATTTTGCTTGGGCGAGATTTTCTACTTTTTTTCCCAAAACCTTTCTTTTCCCACAAAAATGCAGAAAAAATTGAGTTTACCTCATAAAGCCATATTGATATTTAAATGACATCACAAATTTAAAGCTACAGGCCTACATGCATACCTGTGTTTCATGCATGTCCCTCACACCTGTTTAGGCACTGCAGACCAAACCAGTAAAGGAAGGCTGTGATTAAATCACTACCTTGGTTTCACTACATAGTTCAAGAGAAGTCTGTCACCAGTCACCCCAGGACTATTGGCTTGAACTTATCCCAGTACTCCTGTGCTGGACTCAAACAGTTATTCTCTGTGTCACATCTTTGTTTATGAGGGATACTACCAGAACTCCCACTCACCCAAATCAATCATCATTTTCATCCTCTTCATCATCATTTTCAATACCCTTGATGCTCTGAATATTCACTAATTAGAGCCAATTCTCGGGTCTTCTATATCTTTGCAAACTTTCCCAATGTGACTTCTTCAAGGTACCATCTACCATTAAGGTTTTAATAAGGTGGTGATAGTGTTTGTTTCTACAATTTCATTTCCAAACCACTTCTCTTTTCTTCTTGTTTTGGAAACCACCCCCAACCCCAATTCCTCATCCGTATCATAATATCTGCTCTACTGACTCTACCGTAATTTCATTACCCATAGCTCTGCACATCTATTCTTATGAAGCTACATTTCCACAACCCATCTCAATAGGCACGTTCTTGCATTTATCCTCAATCCCCTTGCCCTGCTCTCCCTTTCTTATACTCCCTGAATTAGTCTATGTGTTATCTGCACCTGTGCAGGTGCAGTAAGCTACACACGAACTTAAAAGTATGCTGACTGGTCTCATTTAAAAACAATTACCCTACATCTCAAGAAGGCACCCAGTAGTGTCTCATATACCCACTAAATTTTTCTGTTTGCTCTTTCATCCCCAAAAATGGTCATTTCAGACATTCTTCTAGATCATTAAATCTCCATCTGATTTATTCATCTATATACCAGTCACACATGCAATGCACTTGAGCACACACACACATTTTCTGCCAATAAGTTGGTTTTCAGCTTTCTTCTGGAAACAGATGATTTACTATGTAAACTCCCTCATCTTTATGTTTCCAAATCTATCACCCTTCCAATATCTTTATTCAGATGTTTTTTCTTCCCACTATTTATGTTGGATAAAATTTTTACTCTTATAAAAAAAGTATTCACCTTCTCATAGACTTCTTCCATTGCTACAATTAAACTTTAACAGCATTATAGGCTGATAACCTCAATTTTATCTTCCGGCCTGGTCTATGCTGTGGGAATAGCTCACTTGGAATTGGATAACTTTGCCTCTGATAGGTATTGTCAGAGTCCAAAGCATATAACTGCAATTGTCTTGTGGAATTCTGTTCTTGGCTGTCTAATAGGCCAGGGTGGCTCCATCCTGGGCATGCAGTCATACGGGGCCTTGCATTTAAAAGTTGCCTATACATGGGCAAGGACTTCATGTCTAAAACACCAATAGCAATGGCAAAAAAAGCCAAAATTGACAAATGGGATCCAATTAAACTAAAGAGCTTCTGCACAGCAAAAGAAACTACCATCAGAGTGAACAGGCAACCTACAAAATGGGAGAAAATTTTTGCAATCTACTCATCTGACAAAGGGCTAATATCCAGAATCTACAAAGAACTCAAACAAATTTACAAGAAAAAAACAAACAACCCCATCAAAAAGTGGGCAAAGGATATGAACAGACACTTCTCAAAAGAAGACATTTATGCAGCCAACAGGCACATGAAAAAATGCTCATCATCACTGGCCATCAGAGAAATGCAAATCAAAACCACAATGAGATACCATCTCACACCAGTTAGAATGGCAATCATTAAAAAGTCAGGAAACAACAGGTGCTGGAGAGGATGTGGAGAAATAGGAACACTTTTACACTGTTGGTGGGACTGTAAACTAGTTCAACCATTGTGGAAGTCAGTGCGGCGATTCCTCAGGGATCTAGAACTAGAAATGCCATTTGACCCAGCCGTCGCATTACTGGGTATATACCCAAAGGATTATAAATCATGCTGCTATAAAGACACATGCACACGTATGTCTATTGCAGCACTATTCACAATAGCAAAGACTTGGAACCAACCCAAATGTCCATCAGCGATAGACTGGATTGAGAAAATGTGGCACATATACACCATGGAATACTATGCAGCCATAAAAAATGATGAGTTCATGTCCTTTGCAGGGACATGGATTAAGCTGGAAACCATCATTCCCAGCAAACTATCGCAAGGACAAAAAAACCAAACACCACATGTTCTCACTCATAGGTGGGAATTGAACAGTGAGAACACTTGGACACAGGAAGGGGAACATCACACACTGGGGCCTGTCGTGGGGTTGGGGGATGGGGGAGGGATAGCATTAGGAGATACACCTAATGTTAAATGACAAGTTAATGGGTGCAGCACACCAACATGGCGCATGTATACGTATGTAACAAAACTGCACGTTGTGCATATGTACCCTAGAACTTAAAGTATAATAAAAAAAAGTTGCCTATATTTGGTTTAATGTTTTGCTATCACCATGTTGAAATCATTACTAATTTATAAATAAGCGCTCTACATACTCATTTTACACTGGGATCCCCAAGATAAGTAGCTAGTCCATCTTAGGCACCTCAAATTTAATATTGTCAAGCAGATGACTTGATTTTCACCAGCCTACCAAATTCGCTTGCTATTTATCCTATTTTTATTATTGCCAATGATACCTTTTAAACTGTTCAGTTGAAAATCTAGAAGTCAGAATTGATTTTTTTTCTTTTTCCACCATTTTATATGACCAAAAGTTCTATCTGCTATTGCATCTGCATTTTATCCTATTTTTCTACACAATATACCCAATTTCTGCAGACCAACCAATAGATAAATTGGATGAATTGAATATTGCAAGTCTTCTAACTTGACTCCCTTTTCCTCTCTTAAACGTCTGTAAGCCATTCGCTGCAAAGTAGCTAAAAACATTCATGCAAAACAAAATCAGATAATATTATTCCCCTGTTTAAATTTTTCTGGTGTTTTCCCCTCAAACTTAAATTAAAATCAAATCTCTTTTTATTGCCATGCATAATTTGTCATTGCCTATATCTCTGCCTCCATGGAATTCTATTCTTATTGTCTCTCGCTGTATATCAGCCAGAAGGGCTACTTTTCTATTTTGTGAATATAGCTACCTTGTTTTTTGCATAGGGCATTTATTCTTATTTTGTTGGTGTGAAAATTCTGTCTCAAATATATGCGTCATAGCTGTCGATAACCTGTCCTTCACATCTCACTTAAACTGATACTCCTTGAAAGATATCTTCCCTGACGCACAGTCTAAATTAGCACATATTCAACTACTCACTGTGTCAGTATGTTGTTCCTTTTTAAAACTATCTTGCTCATGTTTGTATTTATTTATTTGACTCTTTTCATAAGAATGTACACTCCATGAGAACAAAGACCAAATATGTGTAGTGTATGAATGCCTGGGATAATGTTTGCTAAATACATTGCAATTAACGTACTTAGCACACTGCTTGCCATATTTTAAATGCTCAGCAAATGGCATATATTATTATATTAAAATTATTTATAGAAGAGTTTCTTAAGTTAAAAACATATATTCAAATAAATGTTTTATATGAAAACTATAGTAGTGCTAAGGCTTCTGAAATTAATATTTATTAGTAGTAGGTAAGGCTTTCTTGTTCTTTTGTTTAAGGTCCTATGCTATAATTTTAACAGGGGAACAAATTTTGCTGTTTTTAGAAAAAAGACGTCATTTGTTTAATAAAGTAAAAATTTAAAATGAAAATGCTAATCAAAAATATTATTGGCAGAAGTACTTTCAGAGTAGCAGAGTAAGGTAAGGGCCTCCCAAAATTTGCTACTCCATTAAAGCAAGACCACTGCTAAATGCATCAAAATAAACTTTTTCAGAATCCTGAAAATTAACCAGGCTTATAAGTGTTCCTGGAGTGTTTATGCAAGGACTACAGCTGATTTTTTTTAAAATGGTAAAATTTGTGGTGTTTAACTTGCCCTCATCTCCTCACCCTCTCATAAGAAATATCCTCAAAAGCTAGCCGATTCACAACAATGCTTGTGAAAACCAATAGCCTAGCATCCACTAGGGCATATGCACCGTGTGACTAGAGGTCGCCAGAATGTATAAAACTCAGAGAATTTTCACTATTCGAGCTATCTGGCTTTATTTTACATGATTCAGATCAAGCTTTTTGAGAAGGGCACACTCCACAATATAATTGTTAAAAAATAAAATCATGGAGATTATTTAAATTTTCAGCTGCCTGAGATGGCAATACCAGTGGGTGCAAACGAGAGGTTGACTAAATAAGTTAAAAGGAAAGGATATGTACAGAGATTTCACAGGGTACTTTTAAAAGGTCTGACATATTTCTGGGAATGTTGAAGCCCACACCCACATGCCTGGCTGTGTGCCTTGGCTGGAAAGGCCTGAAGAGGCCCTAACATCTCAGCTCTGGCTGACTTTGAGGCACCACATAAGTAGGAAGTGAAGGCTAAGGTAGAAGTGTAAACTACTGGAGCATTTGAGTCATGCCACAGCACATGCACAGATCCTGTGGACAAAGGCTCAAAGACTTATTAGTTCAAGGCATTTAAAGAACTTCTGTCCAATCACGAGCTAATCACTAAGCCAACCAGCCAAGACTTCAGAGACCACATATAAGAGAAAATACAGGCTTTACGGAGTCAGTCCATAAAAGTCACTAACCAAATAGCAATACACCTAGGGGCAAGATCTGATTTCCAGAGTTGCCACGTTATATTTTTTTAAATGCTCAGTCCAGCAAAAATAAATAAATAAATAACAGGAAAAGTAGTCAATAGTAACTGTCCCCGAGTAAACCCAGTTACTGGAATTACTAGACAGACCTCAAATCAGCTATTATAAATATTTCTGAAGAACTAAAATAAACCATATTTAAAGAAATCAAGAAAAATGTGATAATGACATCTTACAAAAAGGAAAAAATTAATATATTGAAATTATTCAGAAAAGTAATTCTGGAGCTGAAAATTATAATAAATGAGACCAAAAAACCTCACTGTAGGAGCTGAACAGATTTGAACTGGAAGAAGAAAGAGTCCACACACTTTCCATAAGTCAATTGATACTATACAATCTGAGGAACAGAAAGAAAAATAAAGAAGATAAATGAACAAAGTTTCAGAGACTTATGGGACATCATCAAGCACGCAGATACATTCGTGTCTGGGATTTCCAAAGGAGAGGAAAAAGAGAAAGATGTATAAAGAATATTTAAGAAATAATGGCTGATAGCTCCACAAATTTGATGAAAAAGATTAATCTACACATCCAAGAATGCAATGAACTCCAGTTATGATTCCCATAATTGGTAAAACAACCTTTTAGAAAATAAAAAATAAATAAATTCCTAGATAAACAAAAAACAAAAAAGCCTTCATATCTAGTAGACCTGCCCTGCAAGATTATTAAAGGTCTTTCAGGCTAAAATGAAGAATGCTAGACAATAATTTACACATAAACAAATTGAGAGACTGATACAAGTAAGATTATAGGTAAATATAAAGACAGCACAATTATATGTTTGGTTGTAAGCATTTCCTTTTTCTAATTTAAAAGAAAAGTGCATAAAATAATTATAAAACTGCATTGAAGGGCTTATAATGTATAAAGACATAATTTGTATGACCATAACAGCATAAAAATATGTGAGTGGGAATGGTGCTATAGTGAAACAAATTTGTTAATACTATTGAAAATAAATTAATAGTAATCAGAAATGGATGTTTGAAGTTGCTAACCGAAATCCTCAGTGGGAAAAATACTGAGAAACAGAAAGGGAATAAAATGTTACACTAAAATATTTAACAAAAAAGAAAGTAGAAATAAAGGAATGGAGAAGAAAATAAAACAAAGGTGTAAAGGAAACAACTAGAAAAAAATGGCGGATGTAAAATCTAATTAATTAACTACATTAGTAAGTGATCCAAACACTTCAATCAAAAGGCAGAGATTGGCAGAATGGATAAAAAGCCATAATCTAACTATATGGTGTCTACAAAAGGCACACTTTAGATTCAAAGACAAAAGATTGAAAGATGGAAAATATATAGCATGCAAATAGTAAACTAAAGAGAAATGGGATTATAACACTAACATCAGGTGAGAAAGACTTAATGGCATTAATTGTTCTAGAGACAAAGACAGAAATTTTTAAAGGAAAAAAAGAGTGAATCTATCAGGAAACCATAACAAAAAAGGAAATAAACAGCAACCTTACTGGAAAGGAAGGAGCAAAATTACCTTTCTTCAGAGGTGACATTATCTTATATACAGAAATTCTGAAGGACCATACCATAAAAACTCGTACAACTAACAAATGAGTTTAACAAGTTTGTGAAATACAAGATAAATATACATTATTATTAACTATAGTAACCTCCCACCCCTGATAACCACCATGATAACCTGATAACCACCAATTTATTCTTACTGTGAGTTTGACTTTTGTTTTTGTTTTTTTTTTTTTTAAGATTCCACATTAAAGTGGGGTCATGAAGTATTTATCTTCCTGTGTCTGGTTTATTTAAATTAGTATAATGTCCTCAATGTATCCTATACACAAAATTTTCTAGAAGAGTGAATCTCAAGTATTTTCACCACAAAAAATAAAAAAGAGAAGGGAACTATGAGAAGTTGTGGAAATTTTAATTAGCTTGATTGTGGTAATCATTTCACAATGAATACATGCATCAAAACATCATATTTTATACCTAAATATATAGCTTTTTTATTTGTCAATTATATGTCAATAAGATTGGGAAAAAATAACATAGGTAAAAACAAATACACAAAAATTAATTGTACATCTTTTCACAAGCAAGGAAGAAACTGAAGAAGAAATTAAGACATATTTTCAATAGAATAAAGGGGGCCGGGGCCAAGATGGTCTACGAGAAGCAGCAGCGATCAGAGGCTCCCATCGAAAAGAACCATATCAGCACGGGAACCCTGCACCAGCAACCGAGGTATCCAGGTTCTGTCATCAGAATTGACTAAGCAGCTGGCATGACCCACAGAGAGGAAGGAAGAGCAGTGTGGTGCGACAACCCACCTGAGAGCCACACTGGGCACGGAAGCCCCCACCCCCCAGCCAAGGAAGGCAGTGATTGAGTGTGCTACCCAGCCTGAGAAAACAGGCTTTTTCCATGGAACTGTGCAACTCATGAATCAGAAGTTCCCACTTGTGAGTCCATGTCACTGAGGCCTAGGGTCCCAACAGCCACGCAGCTAGAATCTGCTTAAGTCTGTGGAGCTCCCAGGGGGAGGGGCGACTAGCATCACAGCTGCAGCTGCCTGTTGTCTGAGCCATTTGAGCCTCTTCAGGGAGGGGCGACAGCCAACACTGGAACTGATAGTTGCCTAACACACTAAGCTCCCAGGGAAGGGGGAAGATGACAGCCATCCCTGTTGCTCCAGGCTATGCTTTTCCCCTGCTGGAGCCAGAGAGGCTGACGGCTTGGTCCCAAGAGGTCTTCCCCACAGCCCAACACACCAGCTGTGGCAGACTGTGGCTGGAGTGCCTCTTCAGTCCTGATCCTGACCCATCCCTCCTCACTGGATGGGGTTTCCCTGCAGGAACTCCAACAACTCCAACCAGGGGCTCAGAAACAGAATGCTGATCTCCCTGGGCCTGAGCCCTAGAGGGAGGGGCGGCCACAGTCTCTGTGGACCAGCAGGCCTAGTCTTTCTGCCTGCTAGTTCTGAGGAATCCAGGTCACCCAGGCAAGTGGGTTTCCCCCGCAGAGAAGCATACCACCTCCACCAAGGGACAGTCGAAGTGCTTGGTTAAATGTGTCCTCCTCCCTGTGCCACCCAACTGGGTGAGACCATCCAACAGGGGTTGTCAGACGCCTATTCAGGTGTGTTCCTACTGGCATCAGGTCGGTGCCCTCGAGGCCAGAGATCCCAGAGGAAGGAGCAGTCACCCATCTTTGCTGTTCTCCAGCCTCCTCGAGTGACATCTCCAGGTACAGGAGTGAACCAGATGAATAGGGCCTTAAGTGAACACCCAGCAAACTGCAGCAGCCCTACAGAAGAGGGACCTGACCATTGAAAGAAAAACAAACAAGCAGAAAGCAATAACAACAGCATCAACGAAAAAAGTCCCCACAAAATCCCCATCCAAGGATCAGCAGCCTCAAAGATCGATACTAGACAAACTCATGAAGATGAGAAAGAATTAATGAAAAAAAGCTGAAAACTCAAAAGGCCAAAGTGCCTTTTCTCCTCCAAATGATCCCAACACCTCTCCAGCAAGGGTGCAGAATTGGACAGAGGATGAGATGGACAAATTGACAGAAGTAGGCTTCAGTAGGTGGGTAATGACAAACTCCCCTGAGCTAAAGGAGCATGTTCTAACCCAATGCAAAGAAGCTAAGAACCTTGATAAAAGGTTACAGGAGCTGCTAACTAGAATAACTACTTCAGAGAGGAACATAAATGACCTGATGGAGCTGAAAAACAGCACCAGAACTTTGTGAAGCATGCACAAGTATCAATAGCTGAATCAACCAAGCAGAAGAAAGGATATCAGTGTTTGAAGACCATCTTGCTGAAATAAAGTACGCAGGCAAGATTAGAGAAAAAAAGACTCAAAAGGAATGAACAAAACCTCTGAGAAACATGGGACTAGGTAAAAAGACTGAACCTGCAATTGTTTGGAGTACCTGAAACAGATGGGGAGAATGGAACCAAGTTGGAAAACACACTTCAGGGTATTATCCAGGAGAACTTGCCCAACCTAGAAAGACAGGCCAACATTCAAATTCAGGAAATACAGAGAACACCACTAAGATACTCCATGAGAAGATCAAACCCAAGACACATAATCATCAGAATCTCCAAGGTCAAAATGAAGAAATAAATGTTAAGGGCAGCGAGAGAAAGGCCAGGTCACCTACAAAGGGAAGCCCATCAGACTAACAGCGAACCTCTCAGCAGACACCCTACAAACCAGAAGAGAGTGGGGGCCAATATTCAACATTCTTAAAGAAAAGAATTTTCAACCCCGAGCTTCAAATCTATCCAAACTAAGCTTCAGAAGTGAAAGATAAATAGAATCCTTTCAAGACAAGCAAATGCTGAGGAATTTTGTCACCACCAGGACTGCCTTGCAAGAGCTATTGAAGAAAACACTAAATATGGAAAGGAAAAACCAGTACTAGCCACTTCAAAAACACTAAACTATAAAGACCAATGACACGATGAAGAAACTGCATCAACTACTGTGCAAAAAAAAAAACCAAATAACGTCATGATGACGGGATTAAATTCACACACAACATTACTAACCTTAAATGTAAATGGGTTATATGCCCCAAATAAAAGACACAGACCGGAAAATTGAATAAAGAGTCAAGACCTATTGATTGGTGTGATGTATTGAGGAGACACATCTCACATGCAAAGATACACATAGGCTCAAAATAAAGGGGTGGAGCAAAATTTACCAAACAAATGGAAAGCAAAAAAAAAAAAAAAAAAAAAAAAAAGCAGGGGTTGCAATCCTAGTCTCTGACAAAACAGACTTTAACCCAACAAAGATCGGAAAAGACAAAGAAAGGCATTACATAATGATAAAGGGATCAATTCAACAAGAAGAGCTAACTATCCTAAATATATATGCACCTAATACAGGCGAAACCATATTCATAAAACAAGTTCTTACAGATCTACAAACTTAGACTCCCACACAATAACAGTGGGAGATTTTAATGCCCTACTGTCAATATTAGACAGATCAACAAGACAGAAAATTAAAAAATAGATATTCAGGACTTGAACTCAGGTCTGGATCAAGCAGACCTAATAGACATCTACAGAACTCCCACCCCAAAACAATGGCATATGCATTTTTCTCATGGCACTTATTCTAAAACTGACCACACAGCTGGAAGTAAAACACTCCTCAGCAAATGCAAAAGGACTGAAATCATAACAAACAGTCTCTCAGACCACAGTGCAATCAAATTAGACTCAGGATTAGGAAACTCACTCAAAACCACATGACTACATGGAAGTTAAACAACCTGCTCCTGAATGGCTCCTGGGTAAATAATGAAATTAAGGCAGAAATCAAGAATTTATTTGAAACCAATGAGAGTAGAGACAACGTACCAGAATCTCTGGGACACAGCTAAAGGAGTGCTGAGAGGGAAATTTATAGCAGTAAATGCCAACATCAGGAAACTAGAAAAATCTCAAATCGATACCCTAACATCACAATTAAAAGAGCTAGAGAAACAAGAGCAAACAAATCCAAAAGCTAGCAGAAGACAAGAAATAACTAAGATCAGAGCAGACTGAAAGAGATAGAGACACAAAAAACTCTTCAAAAAATCAATGAATCCAGGAGCTGATGTTTTGAAAAAATTAACAAAATAGACTGCTAGCTAGGCTAATAAAGAAGAAAAGAGATAAGATTCAAATAGACACAATATAAAATGATAAAGGGAATATCACACTGACCCCACAGAAATACAAACTACCATCAAAGATTACTATAAACAACTCTATGCAAATAAACTAGAAAATCTAGAAGAAATTGATAAATTCTTAGGCACATACACCCTCTCAAGACTAAACCAGGAGGAAGATGAATTTTTGAATAAACCACTAACAAGTTCTGAAATTGAGGCAGTAATTAATAGACTACCAACCAAAAAAAGCCCAGGACCAGACAGATTCACAGTCGATTTCTACCAGAGGTACAAAGAGGAGCTGGTATCACTCCTTCTTAAACTATTTCAAACAGTTAAAAGGAGGGACTCCTCCATAACTCACTTTATGAGGCCAGCATCATCCTGATAGCAAAACCTGGCCAAGACATAACAAAAAAAAGAAAACTTAAGGCCAATATCCCTGATGAACATCGATGCAAAAATCCTCAATAAAATACTGGCAAAGCAAATCCAGCGGCACATCTAAAAGCTTATCCACCACAATCAAGTTGGTTTCATCCCAAGGATGGGAGGCTGGTTCAATATACCCAAATCAATAAACGTAGTCCATTATATAGACAGAACCAATGACAAAAACCATATGATCATCTCAATAGATGCAGAAAAGGCCTTTGATAAAATTCAACATCCATTCATGTTAAAAACTTTTAATAAACTAGGTATTTATGGAACCTATCTCAAAATAATAAGAGCTATTTATGACAAACCCACAGCCAATATCAAACTGAATGCAAAAAAGCTGGAAGTATTCCCTTTGAAAACTTGCACAAGACAAGGATGCCCTCTCTCACCACTTCTATTCAACATGGTATTGGAAGTTTTGGCCAGGGCAATCAGGCAAGAGAAAGAAATAAAGGGTATTCAAATAGGAAGAGAGGAAGTCAAATTGTCTCTGTTTGCAGACAACGTGATTCAATATTTAGAAAACCCAATCTTCTCTGCCCAAAAACTCCTCAAGCTGATAAGCAAATTATGCAGTCTCAGGATACAAAATCAATGTGCAAAAATCACAAGCATTCCTATACACCAACAATAAACAAGCATAGAACCAAATCATGAATAAGCTCTCATTCACAACTGCGACAAAAAGAATAAAATACCTAGGAATACAGCTAACAAGGGATGAGAAGGACCTCTTCAAGGAGAACTGCAAACGACTGCTCAAGGAAATAAGAGAGGACACAAACAAATGGGAAAACATTCCATCCTCATTGACAGGAAGAATCAATATCGTGAAAATGGCCACACTTCTCAAAGTAATTTATAGATGCAATGCTATTCCCATCAAACTACGATTGACATTCTTCACAGAATTAGACAAAAATTATTTAAATTTAATATGGAACCAAAAAAGAGCCCGTATAGCCAAGACAATCCTAAGCAAAAAGAATAAAGCTGGAGGCATCACACTACCTGACTTCAAACTGTAATACAAGGCTACAGTAACCAAAACCGCATGGTACTGGTACCAAAACAGACATACAGACCACTGGAACAGAACAGAGACCTCAGAAATGACACTACATATCTACAACCATCTGATCTTTAACAAATCTGACAAAAACAAGCAATGGGGAAAGGATTCCCTATTTAATAAACAGTACTGGGAAAACTGGCGAGCCATATGCAGAAAACTGAAACAGTACCCATTCCTCACACTTTATATAAAAATGAACTTAAAATGGATTAAAGACTTAAATGTAAAACCCAAAACTGTAACAACCCTAGAAGAAAGCCTATGTAATAAGATTCAGGATATAGGCATGGGCAAATACTTCATGATGAAAATGCCAAAAGCAACTGCGACAAAAGCCAAAATTGACAAATGGGATCTAATTAAACTAAAGAGCTTCTGCACAGCAAAAACAATACAAAACAAAACAAAAAGTATCATCAGAGTGAACAAGCAACCTACAAAATTAGAGATAATTTTTGCAATCTACCCATTTGATAAAGGTCTAATATCCAGAATTTACAAGGAACTTTAACAAATTTACAAGAAAAAAAAACCTCATCAAAAGGTGGACAAAAGATATGAAAAGACACTTCTTAAAAGAAGACATTTATGTGGCCAAGAAATATATGAAAAAAGCTCAAGATCACTAATCATTAGATAAATGCAAATGAAAACAACAATGAGATATCATTTCACACCTGTCAGAATGGCAATTATTAAAAAGTCAAGAAACAATAGATGCTCATGAGGCTGTGGAGAAATAGGAAGGCTTTCACACCGTTGGTGGGAATGTAAATTAGTTCAACCATTGTGGAAGACAGTATGGTGATTCCTCAAGGATCTAGAACCAGAAATACCATTTAACCCAGTAATCCCATTACTGGGTATGTACCCAAAGGAATATAAATCATTCTACTATAAAGACACATGCATACGTATGTTTGTTGCAGCATTATTTACATTAGCAAAGGCATGGAACCCACCCAAATATCCATCAATGATAAACTGGATAAAGAAAATGTGGCACATATACACCATGGAATACTATACAGCCATAAAAAGGAATGAGATCATGTCCTTTGCAGGGACAGGAAAGAAGCTGGAAGCCATCATTCTCAGCAAACTAACACAGGAACAGAAAACCAAACACCACATGTTCTCACTCATAAGTGGAAGTTGAACAATGAGAACACATGGACACAGGGAGTAAAACAACACATACCAGGGCCAGATGGGGGTGGGAGGTGAAGGGAGGGAGAGCATTAGGACAAATAGCTAATGCATATGGGGCTTAAAACTTAGATGACAGGTTGGTAGGTGCAGCAAATCACCACGGCACACGTATACCTATGTAACAAACCTACACATTCTGCACTTTTATCCGGGAACTTAATGTAAAATAAAATTTGAAAAAGAATAAACTATTTGGTAATAAATTTAACAACAAGTTGCAAAACGTACACTAAAAACTACAAAGTGTTGTTGAATGAAATTATGGAAGACCACAATGAATAGAAAGAAATGTGCTTATGGAGTGGAAGATTCAGTATTACTGAGAGGGTAATACTTTGCAATTTGATCTACTCGCTCAATCTAGTCCCTATCGAAAACCCAGTTACTCTGTTTTTTTTTGTTTGTTTGTGTTCAGAATAGATAAGCTGATCCTGAAGTTCATATGCAAGTGCAAGGAAATAAGAAGTCAAAATAATATTGAAAAAGAACAAACTTAAAGCATTCACACATCCTAACTACAAAACTTGCTAAAATCTATGGTAGTCAAGAGAGTGTGGTACTAAAATAAAGATAATTATGTGTATCATTGGAATAGAATGGAGAGTCCACAAATTAATTCTTACATTTATGATTAACAGATTTTAAACATGAGTGCCAAGAAAATTTAATGAGAAAAAAATAGTGTTGTCAACTTCATGGTGTCAGGAAAACTGGATGTCCATATGAGAAGAAAATAAAGTTAGGCCTCTATTTTACAGCACAAATAAAAATTGATTAAAAATTTATCATAGATTTAAATGTAAGAGTTATACCTATAAAACTTAGAAGAGGCCGGGCGCGGTGGCTCACGCCTGTAATCCCAGCACTTTGGGAGGCCGAGGCGGGTGGATCATGAGGTCAGGAGATCGAGACCATCCTGGCTAACAAGGTGAAACCCCGTCTCTACTAAAAATACAAAAAAAAATTAGCCGGGCGCGGTGGCGGGCGCCTGTAGTCCCAGCTACTCGGGAGGCTGAGGCAGGAGAGTGGCGTGAACCCGGGAAGCGGAGCTTGCAGTGAGCCGAGATTGCGCCACTGCAGTCCGCAGTCCCGCCTGGGCGACAGAGCGAGACTCCGTCTCAAAAAAAAAAAAAAAAAAAAAAAAAAAAAAACTTAGAAGAAAACAGGAATAAATCTTTGTGGCCTTAGATTTGTCAATGCTTTCTTATAGATAGCACCAAATATACAAGAAACCAAAGAAAAAATATACAATTTGTACTTTATCAAAATTAAAACCTTATACTTTAAAAGACATCAATAAAACAGAAAGTCAGCTCACAGAATGGAAAGCCATATTTACACATCATATATGATAATATATTTGTATTCAAAATATATAAATTACATTTACAACTCAAAATAAAAAGTCAATTACCCAATAAAAACATGGTCAATTTGAGTACATGTTTTTTCAAATAATTTATAAAAATGGCCAATAAGTACTCTAAAAGATGTTTGAAATCATTACTCATTAAAGAAATGAAATTCTAAACCATAAAGATTTTTGACTATGTTTTAATACCTTTATGATGGTTACTAACATTAAAAAAGAAAATAACAAGTGTGGTCAAGAATGTGAAATTATTGCTATTCCCATATATTGGTGGTGGGATTGTAGAAAAATACAGCCAATTCAGAATACTGTTTGTTCTTATAAAGTTAAACATAAAATTACCATACAACTTAGTAATTCTACTCTTATGTGTATAACCAAAAAATGAAACACAAATATTGAAACAAAACCTAATATATTCATGTTAGTAGCAAAATTCACAATCACCAAAAGTAGAAATAGCACAAAAGTTCATCAACTAATCAACGGTTATATAAAATGTCAATGTTTTTACAGTGTAATTTTGGGGGGCATTAAAAATGAATGCAGTGCTGTTACACATAAAAACACGAATGACATTGTTTATCCTAAATAAAGTAGCCACAAAAGGCCACATAGTGTATGATTCCATTTATAAAAGTAACCTAAAATAGGTAAATTCAGAGTGTCACAAAGTAGATTAATGGCTGTCAGGACTTGGAGAAGACCGGTTGCATAATAACTGATTATTAGTTTTGGATTTCTTTTTGCGGTGATAATATTCTAAAGTTAGGGAGTTGTGATGGTTGCTATGTGAATAAACTGAAAACCACCTAAGTGTTCACTCTAGTTTACTGCTGTTAAGACTGTATCACTATTTTTGAAAGTTTTGTGAATAGCAGTTTGAAAACCTTTGACTATATTATTATTGGAAGGAAAGCATCTAAAATAATTATATCTATTTTCATTTGTAAAATATGCCCTAAAATAGTTAATTCATACTTGGTTATTTTGGTACTATATGTTTAATATCTGAATCAAAAGAAACCATATTACTTTCTGCTATGTTAAAATATGGCAAGTTTCAGTATGAATTACTAAATTAAGCAATGGTGTACTGTTGCCAGCTTACATTGGCTTGTGAGAGCCAATTGTTACATTTTCAGGAGTTTTGTGAGCCATCTGATATCCCTGCAGCTTGCAATTGGCCATGGTGGTAGTATTTATTCCAAAGAAACCAACACAGATTACCAACAGGGGAGCCTTGCCCAGGGAGTTTGAAGTTAACCATTTACTTGTACAGCACTGATTTTACTTGCTAAAGACAAGGTTAAGAAAATGAAAAGGCAAACCTTAGACAAGGAGAAAATACTTACAAAACATGTATCTAATGAAGACCTTTGTCCACAGCATACACAACTCATTTCCAATAAGCTAATAATCCAATAGAATGTTCTAAAAATTAGTTCATTCTAAATGATATATCCATTTGACAGCAAATTTATGAACACATCTTATCTACATGGCATTATAGAAAACACTTTCACACACATTATCATGTGAATCCTGAAGAAAGGGAAATGAAAACAGTACCGAAAACAGAGGAGGGGTGGTGAAGAGACAGAGACACACACACACACACACAGAGAGAGAGAGAGAGAGAGAGAGAGAGAGAGAGAGGAAAAAAGGAAAGATGAATCCCCATGATAGATATGGTTTGGTTTTGTTTTATTATTATTTTTTAATTATACTTTAAGTTCTGGGATACATGTGCGGACCATGCAGGTTTGTTACGTAGGTATACATGTACCATGGTGGTTTGCTGCACCCATCAGCCCATCATCTTCATCCGGTGTTTCTCCTAATGCAATCCCTTCCCTAGCCCCACACCCCCAGACAGGCCCCAGTGTGTGATATTCCCCTCCCTGTGTGCATATGTTCTCATTGTTCAGTTGCCACTTACGCGTGAGAACATGTGGGGTTTGGTTTTCTGTTCATGTGTTAGTTTGTTGAGAATGATAGTTTCCAGCTTCATCCATTTCCCTGCAAAGGACACGAACTCATCCTTTTTTATGGCTGCATAGTATTCCACGGCATATATGTGCCAGATATTCTTTATCCAGTCTATCATTGATGGGCATTTGGGTTGGTTCCAAGTCTTTGCTATTGTGAACAGTGCTGCAATAAATATATGTGTGCATGTGTCTTTATTGTAGAATGATTTATAATCCTTTGGGTATATACCCAGTAATGGAATGGCTGGGTCAAATAGTATTTCTGATTCTAGATCCTTGAGGAATCGCCACACTGTCTTCCACAATGGTTGAACTAATTTACACTCCCACCAACAGTGTAAAAGTGTTCCTATTTCTCCACATCCTCTCCAGCATCTGTTGTTCCCTGATATTTTTCTGATCACCATTCTAACTGGCGTGAGATTGCATCTCCTTGTGGTTTTGATTTGCATTTATTTAATGATCAGTGATGATTAGCTTTTTTTTCATATGTTGTTGTGTTCTTTTGAGAAGTATCTGTTCATATCCTTTGCCCACTTTTTCATGGGGTTATTTGTTTGTTTCTTGGAAATTTGTTAAAGTTCCTTGTAGATTCTGGACATTTGCACTTTGACAAATGGACAGATTGCAAAATTTTTTTCCCATTCTGTAGGTTGCCTGTTCACTCTGCTGATAGTTTGTTTTGCTGTGCAGAAGCTCTTTAGTTTAATTAGATCCAATTTGTCAATTTTGGCTTTGGTCGCCATTGCTTTTGGTGTTTTAGTCATGAAGTCTTTGCCCATGGCTATGTCCTGAATGGTATTGCCTAGGTTTTCTTCTAGGGTTTTTATGGTTTTAGGTTTTACATTTAAGTCTTTAATCCATCTTGAGTTAATTTTTGTATAAGGTGTAAGAAAGGGGTCCAGTTTCAGTTTTGTGCATATGGCTAGCCAGTTTTTCCAACACCATTTATTAAATAGAGAATCTTTTCCCCATTGCTTGTTTTTGTCAGGTTCGTCAAAGATCAAATTGTTGTAGATGTGTGGCGCTATTTCTGAGTCCTCTGTGGTTCCGTTTTTTAAGGAAATTATCATCCAGGTGTAGTAAGTAACTTGCCCATCCAGTCTCTCAACTTTCTGCCTCCTTGAATTCTTGCTATAAAAGCATAGATTCAAAGTAATTGTGAAATAGTAGTTTTCCAATTTTGAAATTAGTGTTCATTATATTTACATACCTGGATTGAAGACCAAGAGAAGAAAAAATATGTTGAAAATTTGGAGATTGTCTGTAATAAAAACTGGGAAAGATTTTTTTTTTTTTTTTTTTTTTTTTTTTTTGAGACAGAGTTTCGCTCTGTCACCCAGGCTGGAGTGCAGTGGCAGGATCTCAGCTCACGGCAAGCTCCGCCTCCTGGGTTCACGCCATTCTCCTGCCTCAGCCTCCCGAGTAGCTGGGACTACAGGCACCCGCCACCATGCCAGGATAATTTTTTTTTTTTTTGTAGTTTTAGCAGAGACGGAGTTTAACTGTGTTAGCTAGGATGGTCTCAATCTCCTGACCTCGTGATCCGCCCATCTTGGCCTCCCAAAGTGCTGGGATTACAGGCGTGAGCCACCGTGCCTGGCCGGAAAGATCTTTGAATGTTGTTAACAGGCATGGCTCATAGTCTTTACAGAGAGGCTATGGAATATTTCACTGAATACATTGCTTACAATGAAGAAATAAATGTAAGATTTGTAAGAATACTAAATTAATGAATAGGTTGGTAGTAAATTTTTCTTAATTTTTCTTCTTTAGTTTTGACAGTATTTTTTCTTAGTTTAGTTTTAAATTCCAAACTTTTGAACTAATTCAACTTCAGAATGGAATTTCCATCAAGTTGGTAAAACATGTTGCAGTCATTCAAGAGCTTTTAGATTTAAATTTTCTAACCTTGAGCAGATTCCAAATTTGCTTTTCAGCCAGAAAAGTCCTCTTAAATAAGACAGACCTGCAAAAATATTATCAACTGCAAATTCAGTCTAGATGTAATTCACCTGTTCTATTCTTCACCGGACATTTCACCGCGGAAATTAATTGCCAAAGTGTATTTCTAGCACTCTTCTTACTTTTTGAAAATTCCCAAACAATTCCTGATATAGAAAAGACAGCATTCCGTTTTCTCTTTCAAATTTTAATGAAAAAAATTTACCAGGAGTAGCCAGTATGTAAGAAGTATAAGTATTAAAAATAGACATGTAATGTTTTGCATAATTTTGTTTGCCCCGATTTTATAATTGTTGCTATAATAACCTCAAAATATAAATACGCATCTATTCTGAAAAGGTAGAACAATTTAAGTAGTCATTCACTTCTCTTCCAGATTTTAGTAGCAAAAGCTTACTTGATCTTTAAAAAAAGTATGCTCAGTAATGTATATTCTACATAATTGCTATTACTATCTTCTTTTCACTTTGTTCAGTATTAACATTTGAAAATCTTTTAAAATTGGACTAATAATTTCGATGGCTGTATTAGTCTGTTCTCACACTGCTAATGAAGACATACCCAAGACTGGGTAATTTATATAGGAAAGAGGTTTAATGGACTCACAGTTCCACATGGCTGGGGAGGCCTCACAATCATGGCAAAAGATGAAGGAAGAGCACAAGGACTTCTTACATGGCAGCAGGCAAGAGAGGCTTTTGCTTGGGATCTCCCCTTTATAAAACCATCATATCTTGTGAGACTTATTCTATAACACAACATCAGCACAGAAAAGACCCACCCTCATGATTCAATTACCTACCATTGGGTCCCCTCCCACAACCTGTGGGAATTATGGGTGCTACAATTCAAGATGAGGTTTGGGTGGGGACACAGCCAAACCATATTAATGGTGTGTATCTCAAACTATATATTGTCTATCAACAAAAAGGCAAGATTATTCAAGATATAAGCAGTATACTATAGAGAACATGGGCATGGTATTGGAATACCTTGCTGTTCAACACCTACTGGCTGTATGGCTGTGGACAGATTTATCTGGCCTTCTTTTCCTCATTTTAAAAATGAGAATAGATAAGATAACACATCTTAAAGTCTTTGGTATAATCAGGTATTATAGAAAATGTGTTGCATTTGCTAAACAATAAACCAATCTGCAAGTGCCAGTTGATATTATCATTTATATTGTGTCGGGAAAAAATAAGATAGAAAAATCGGAAATTTCCTAGGTATTTCTTATGACCACTCCACATAATTACTATCCTTACAGACAGATTTTTCCTCTTTGTAGCAAAAGGATACATCTGGTTTGATTCCAACAACACTTTAAATAAATTTATAAGTTCTTAGCCATTTCTAATTATGTAGTTCTTTCGAAATTATATCTGCATCCAGTGGTGTTTACAAAGAATAATTTTGATTAATGGTATCAGCACGTCCTATATAAAATACGTTTCCAGTTTTGTTATGTATATACTATGCAATTTGTGAAAATAAGCAGCTTATCTAAAACTTTTTGGTATTTATTTCTAACTGAACTAAAGGTTCTTGTCTAATTTTGCATATTAAAAATCAATGAAAGAATCACATAATATTGACTATTTTCATAGGAAGTAAACAATTACTGAAAACTGGGTATTCAAATAAGTTATCTTCATCACCAGGTTTTTTTCATTGGTCTGAAATTTGCTTTCTTATGGAAAAACAAAAGGAAAACTTCCTTACCAGTCTGGATATATACGTTATATGTCATTTTTTCCAGTTTCTCATAGAAATATAAGAAAAATCTTACATGAGGATAAATTTTTAAAATATTAACTAATACACATCCCGTCAATATAAATAGTCACAGTGTTTATGTTCAGCTTGATATAATGACCAGGAGGCAAAATTCTGATTTTACTTTAACATATTCACTTTTCTTTGGTGCATATGTTATCCTCAGTATGGTTAATGCTTCAAGATAGAATTTTATTTTTGACACTTTAGTGGTGTTTTCCATTTTAATTTTCGCTTTTTTACTGTATGTCAGTGCGTATTTGAAAATTAGAGCATATTAATCAAAATGCATTTATATCGTCATGGTTTTAAATTTTGCATTCTCAACATAGATTAGAATTCACTAGTACATATTTACTATAATCCCCTCTAAACTAATGTGAAAATCTCATTCTAAATATCATAAGGTCAAGGATTTGATCACCCGGTTAAAAAGATGCATACACTAAGGTTCATCTGTGTTAGATCTTCTAGGCAACGACTTTGTTGTTGTCTGTAAATGACTTTTGCCCAGTCAGAAATAAAATCAGAACCAGCAAGATCAGAATAAAGCAATAGGAGATCATTGACCTAGAACTTGGCTCCCAATTCCAAAGACCGCAAGGTCTGGGTTTCTTCATGTGAAGGAGTTGGTCACCATGTGGTGCTATTGCTACACAGCAGGCCTGGGTATCCTTGCAAAATGAACACTAACATTCTGCTTGCAGAAAAGCGTTGGTAGAAATATGAAACATTTATTTTTTGTGTAACCCATCTGTGATAGCAAAGAAAATATAACAAACCAATGAGAATATCATCAACAATAAATGGAATTACCCTTCTAATGTTAATGTTCCTGAATTCTTCAAGATTTAACTTGACAACATCTTCAAAAATTTAAATAAATTTAAAACGAAAACACACTAGTTTTGCACACACATTCTCTTCATCTTCCTTTCTCTCTTTCACTCAGTTGCGTGCACGCACATGCATGCCTACACAGCCATTTAATTGCTAGAATATATTGCCTCACTAAGTGTTTTGTGATACGGATCCAGGAAAGCCTCATGAACTCTCAAGAGGAAGACAACTGAATCAATGGCAATGAGAATACATAAGTAATAAACTGGGGATGCAAGTTAGATAAATTAAGAATTACCTCTCATATAAGATTGAACACAATGTTTACTAGAAGTCAGATAATACCATTCTTGCCAATCTAGATATTTCCTTTTAGGAACTTATAGTCTAGTGTCATATACAACTTACTGTCCCAAGTGAGTTCATAGTCTAGTCTAATATTAATGAAATTATTTTTGTATTATCAAAATAAGAGTTCAGTTGTTGGACTAAAACTATTTGGTCATAAATGGCAATCTGGTGACAATAATTTTTAATTCTTTGTTGTGTGATTATAAATAGCAAATTTTTAGAGGCTTTCAAAGTTTTGTTATGATTTCTCAAAAATATTTTGTCTATATAATAACAAAAATGATAAATCCTTCAATGTGTACTCTAATTTTTGGTAAAGAAAATAAAAATCCTTTTATGTTCTTGGCCACTTTAGCTTTAACTTAAGAGAAAAAAATCATAAATAATACAAAGAAACAGACAAAAAAATATTATGTTCAAGCTCATTTGAACATCCTTACCATTTTTTATCCTTTCACTACATCCAGCTTCTGATAAAAATTCTTGTTTTCTTATGCAAAATAAGAAATAATTTTTATAGCACTAGTTTTTGTATTTAGTAAATGAAGGTGTGCATCATTAGACTACAGCATCACACTCAGGAGAAAGCAACTACACATCTGTAGCATGATGCTAAGATATGGAAAAAAATACTTCACTTTCTTACATAAAATAAACATACCAAGGAAGTCAGGTGAACCTTCATGGTTATTTCTTTGTCTCAGGGTCTATGATGGAGGCCCTATATTGTCTATGAACGCATCTAAATTACACTGTTTTAAAGGAACAGATATATAGGAGATAGCTGCAAGAGGAAAAGTAATGGTCCTGGAGGAGTAGGTGACATTTTTGTCCTTTATTAATCCTCTGGAGTGGGCAGGATGGGTCTCTTTCAGTAAGGAGACATCATATGTATGTCCACTTCCACGTGTTTTCAGCTTAATTATAAATGCAACCCCCCAAAACACAAGTGCTATATATTACATTATGTATGATTACCATTTATTTCACCTATGTAAAAACCTCTAGAAATAAACTTATTTTCTATGTATAAATAAAGCTTATTAATTTAAGATGCCCCCTCCCACTACCCTGCACATTTGATCTATCTATTCAGCTTTTTTTATTTTTTAGTTCAGCCAGATGTTGGACATACAGATGTGAGAGTCAATGCCCAGTCAAAAGAAAAACTGAAGATCCACAGCAGCATCTTCCCCAACACAGCCAGGAAAACACTTCAAATGTCCTTCTATGGCTTTGTGTCTGTTTGTGTGTGCATTTTAACAATGAAGATACCCCAATGACGGAAAAGATGACACTGAAAATTATTGAATATGAGGAGATCTGAACAAGAATAATTCATGGAGGATTGCTAGAGTCATCGTGTGTGGATAAACAGAATGAGTACTGCATATACACAAAAATGCTGTATTTCTTCAGTAAACAACTTGCATACCTGCAGCAGTGCTGAATGAGAAATAACAGCTAAGTGTTTTTTCTTTTCCTGCCTTTATAGTTACAGTATTCCCTACAGATTTCCCATCCAGATGCTCTTCTGTCTACAATCTGACTGTGTGCAAAATCCAAGATGATATGCTGCGATAATTTTTAGTGTTAACATGGAGGATCTATAGGCCTGGATATATATATATATATATATATATATATATATATATATATATATATGTATGATATATATATGTATGTCAAATGCATGGTGTCCATTTACATTCTCATTGATCTTGAACTATTTCTTAAGCTCTGTGTCTTATATTTAAATGGGGGAAAGTAGTATTTAACTCCCTTTCAGAGTTTCTCTGAGAATCACTACAGATTTCATGCAAATTATCTAAAAAAAACCATAGTTTTCAATAAATGTTAATCATAATGGAATTCCACATTAAAAAACTTAAATTACACATTGATGAACAAATATTAATTGAATATTATGTTTACTTATTATTATTCCCTCAGGAAACAGGAATGTATGTAAAGTATTCCTGACCCAAATTAGGAATTCCTCCATACATGCAATCAGACTTTCTTAAGATCCTCAACCAATTAAATAGTTAGCTTGTAACACAAACTGACAGTCTTAGATTTTTCCCATTCAAAAAAACTAGTCTCCTTATTCTCATGATACTCTCCACTGCACAGATAATTTGAACAGATGCAAATTCATACTAAACATTTTTATCTTTTATATTAAAATATATGACTATTATTTTTAATAAATTCAAAACCCAAATTCAGTTTTCAAACACAGAAGTGTAAAAAAGCTCAAAATTATATTTATAATATTGAGTATGATGTATTGCCATTTTACATATATGTATATGTTTATACATATATATACAACCATTTAGCATAAAGCCGATGTTTCCGTAGAAGCATGAAAGTGTAAACAGTTTTGAAAATTTACAGGTTGTGATGATAATTGTGCAAGCTCTAGTTGTGTGATTATTATAGTAAAATATATAAAAGGCTATTGGTGTCTGTTTATGCTGGATTTTATGTTTCTATCTGGAATGCTAAACTCCCACTTGAAGGCACACAAAATGAAACAGCAGTTCAAAATAAAGCTTATGGTAAAAACTTTTAAGATGTTATATCATTTTGGAGTAATAGAATTTTCTCACTAGTATATCTATGCTGTTCCAAAATAAAGATGCATCTGTATGCATCTTTGAAACATGCATACACAACACTGTACGATGTTTTATTTGAGTGCAAGTGGAAGACGAATGTTGCATAATGTTATGACATATTTTCCATGACATAGAATGGCCTCTCTTCATTTGCGTGTATGTGTGTGTGTGTGTGTGTATACATTTATGTAAGTTTCTTTGTATTTTATCTTGTGTTAGAATTGTGTTAGTTGACCTCAATTCTTTATTTCCTCTTGGACAGGGCAATATGTAAGGTGTATAGATTATTTTCTCTTCTTCTAATAGCTTCTTTTAGTACTTTGAACAACACACTTAAATCTTAGAAATACAACAGCAACTACTGACTGCCAAGAAAGATGAGGAAATTAGTATCCTTAACATGCCTTTATATTTTAATTTCTCTCTACTTTCAGGCCAGGCAGGGTGCAGTCTACACACAGCACATAACCTGAGCAACAGACATTAATGATTTTTTTTCAGAATTGTGTTTCTGTATCACTTTATTCTTATTGCAACCAACCATCTTTATATTAATATATAATTTTTAAAATAAATTTTATTTTTAATACATTGTTTTGTTCCCAGAACTACAAAAACTGTTTTCCCTCAATATTATATCTATGTGTATTCAATATTCAATGACTTTTGTAATAGTGTAACTGCCTTATTCCTGAGCTTATATTTATTAATCTCTTAGTGGTTGGATTCCAGCCACAAGTAGTAGCAGTAGGTTTTGCTTGTTAAATCTGAGGCTTTAAACATTTCATAACCTTTTAAGATACATATTCAGACATGAAGGACAATTGAGCTGGGTATCATATTTTTGTGGGCTACAAATTCCATCATAAGTCATTTTCATTGCCTTCTCATACTGAATGCTATAAACTCCAAAATATTCATCATTCATTTAATATATTTTTATTATTTTCTTACTTTACTTACTTGCTATTCCCATTTTTGCTTTTTATTTTAGATATCCAATTTAGTGTATTTTATTTATTTTTGGATGGCGCATATTACCTAAAAGCTTTTCAACTTTTCTTATGGAAAAGTTTTTCATAATGGAGACTTCATCTTCTGTTGCATGTTATTGTTTTCTTTAGAAGGGGGAGGATCCTATAAATTTAGGTATTACATAATATGTGGCTGTATTTTTAAAGAGCTATATTTTATGAACTTTTAAAATACTTATATTGATGTCTTCTTTTTCTTTATAAGCACCATGAGATTCTTTTCTTTTAGCAGAAGAGTAGCAATACACCTATTAAAATTTTTAGAATTAATTATATGTTGACAGACTAGATTTGCAGGATGAAAACAAGAGAAGAGTTTACTCTGATGTTTATGGCTGCACCTGTGGAAAAAGGCTATTTTCAGTGTTTCAGATAATATAGCACCCTCTCACTCATTCTGCAAGATGATGAGCATTCATAAACAGAATAAATATTGTTGCTAATGTCATGTTTGTGGTAGTGTGGTAAGAGCAAAAATGAAATCCAGGTCTCATGACTAGCAGGCCAACATATTCACCAGAAGATTATTAAGTTTATTTACTCCAATGAGTGAAGATAAGTAGTAAGTTAGAAAAAGGTTTTCATTCTATAGAAAGCTGGTGTTACTAAACTTCTCTAACTATATTTTAGGTCTCAAAGATAATGTAAAAACTCTTAACACCTATTTTTTGTCTAGCATTAGTATTCACATGTTGTACTTTAATTGGTAGACTTATAACAGTAATAATCAAATGAGGAACTGAAATTAAAATAAAATCAAAACATGAAGACAAAGGAGACTTTGACACTGTATATATAATGTTTTATTTTTAAATTTTAGCAAATAATATGCACTTATATATGTGAAGATTTTATCTATCCATCTAACTATATATTTATAGAGTAGTCAATGAATACTTTTGTAGTGTTCATTTTACTAGCAGTAGAAGGCTCAAGGATGTGAGAGACAAACTGTGCAGAGTTTGCAAGAAGCAATTTCTAAAAGGTACAAAGGTCTAGAAATGGAAACATCTTTGATGTGTCTAAAGACATCTGGATTCCAATGTGGCTGAAACCAAGTAAACAAGGGGAGATGAGATGGAAGATGAAGTCAAATGGTGAGAGGGAGCCTGTTCATTCAGCTTTGTATAAGTCATACTAAGTACTTGGGTTTTATACTGAGTGAGCTGAAAAATACTGGACTGTTTTAAACAGAGAAGTGATATATGATCTAGCTTAAATTTTAAAGGAAACATTAGGTTTGTACTGAAGAAATATCCTGGAGTATAAGGGTATCTTAAGTTTTAACAAGGGATTGGAGGTAGAGGTGAGGATAAATAATTATATTTTGGCTACAATTTTGATATAGAAACAACAAAATATCCTAATGAAAAATATTTGAAATGAGAATCAAAAAAATGAGAGAGAAGTAAAAGGTGACCTTAAGTTAATTTGTATGAACAATTAGAAGAATGGAGCTGACATTTACTGAGATGGGGTAAACTGTGAGAACTGGTTTGTT
Source organism: Homo sapiens (assembly GCF_000001405.40). Taxonomy (NCBI): domain Eukaryota; kingdom Metazoa; phylum Chordata; class Mammalia; order Primates; family Hominidae; genus Homo; species Homo sapiens. The sequence goes on from NC_000007.14 coordinate 9,270,307, forward strand.
GAGAGAGGATTAAGAAATCCTTTTGGAAGTAGTTAATTCAGCTAATTGACTAAAATAAGGTAAAAAACTAAAGCTGGAGATTTAGGATCATAGGTAAAATAAAGCTATTTAAAGTTATAAGTTTGGATGTGTTTGCTTTGGGAAGTAGTAGACAGAGAAAACACTGATCTTCAAGATTGACTTTAGAGCACTCAAAGACTCAGAGCTCAGAAAAATAGTGAAGACCCATCAAAGGAGGTAGCCTGTAAAATAAGGCAAGAAACAAATGTAATTAATATTATGTCCTGCAAGCCATGCTAACAAAGTATTTTAAGAAGGAAGGACCGATCAATCATGTCAAATGCCCTATAAACCAAGTAAGAAGAAATCTAAGAGTTGAGCATTTTATTTTACATAAGGTAAGACACTGTTTACCTTTACCATGATCTATTTCAATTCAGGGGTGGGCCTCAAAGCCTAATCAGAGTAGGATCAATAAGAAGCAGGAATGTATTCTTCTTAGACCAGAATGGCAGGAAGAACATAGTAGTTGAATATCTCCAAACTTTCTGAGGGGAATTCAACTGGCAAAAACTGAAAATTAACTAAAATTTCAAGGTAAACATCTTCATAAAACAAGAAGATCAGTTGGGTGACTATTGAAAAAGTCCAGGTTAAGAGATTTTTGTAGTTGGAATCTGAGTGATAGCAAAGGAGATGATAAGTGGTTGGATCCTTGATACACTGTTTAAGAGGAACCAACAGGAGTACTTGCAAGATTAGATGTAGGCTTTGAGAGAAAAAGAGGATCTAAGACAACTCTAATTTTGTTTAAACACAGCATCTTGAATGATGCAGATGTCTTAACTGAAATGGTAGTGATTTTTTTGAAGTGCAAGTCAAGTTGTGGCACAAAGCTGCTTAGAATCTTTCAATGGTTTTGTCAATTCAGAGTCAAATACAATGTCCTTATTATGGTATATAACATAAAAACTGGCCTAACTGGACTCATCTCCAGCATCTCCAGTAATATTAACATCCTCAAATTCTTATTCTGCAATTAGCTGCATATAGCCTTATGCTATCTCTTATAATTTAATACAATAACCTTTTTATCTGCATGCTTTCATTATATAAATGGATTGTAATATACCTAAAATTAGAGATTCTACCCTTACCAAAACTTAGAAATAGTCTAAACATATACATAGAAGCTGTTCATATAAACTTTTTAAGTAAATCAAAATATATAATAAAAACTGTTGCTTCCTATAGACTTGGCATAGTATATTACGGAAACAATTGTCTTGAATTTCTGAGTGTTTTGGAAATGTTATGATGTCTACCTGAGTATTTAATATGACAGCTAGAGACTACGTTCTAGTGTGACAGAAGTATATTGTTCAATATATCATTTTTTTCAGACCATAAAATAAGTTTTACATTTTAGATTTTACTTCTGACATACAAGGTAGGTGGTAAACTAACCTAATAATAATAATAATAATGATTTATGTTTCCAGTGTTATATGTCACATGCTTATAGCATAAGCAGCAGTGTTATCGGTTTCAATACAAAATGGTGTGAACCAAAAAGAGACTTCAGAAATATTTCCATGGGAAACCTAAGCGATTCACCCTTCATGGGACAAAAAGCTAATTGTGGAAGATTGCTATAAAAAAAAATCCACAAATTTCCATCAAAATCTATTGCAAATCACTTAGAGATTTGTATTTCTATAAAAGAGCTACAAAGGGATGATAGATGAGATGGTTTCTCCTGGAATGACAAAGGATCAAGAATCTTATGTAGAATAGTCAGAGGTTTTAAACACAAAATCTTGAAGGATTCTGCTAAGAGTGTAAAAAGCAGGTGTTTGTTCTAAAGCTAGACTACCAGAATAATGAAAAATTCCAGTATAAAAATTCATGAAAGGAAAACTCATAACTGTGTCATAAAAAGATAATTATTATCTCAGATATAAGCCAGATGCTCTCCTGTGGATTGCATATTAATATTCACAGATAGAAGGTTCTGTTTAGACAGAAGCGTTCCATTTGATGGGTTATATATGCAGTAAGCAGAGAAACTGGCTTAGGGGTGATAATAACTGCAGAAGACAGAATCATGAGTTCAGACTTTTGGATATTGTTAGTACTATTTGGTTTTAGCATTTGCTTTTTATTTTCAGGCATTAATGGGTCAATCACAGTTTTGCGACTTTTGTAAATTATATTTTTGTGGAAGTCATTTTCCCCTGTAAGGTTCCTGCTGTTTCTATGAATTATATGAATAACATGTATGTATGTTTTGTACGGTTTTTCAGTGTCAATTGGATAAAGGATACTATGTGATCTGAATCTTATAATTAAAGTTAAATAAACAATTACTATTTTGGAATTAGGTAGACTCTTAAAGAAACCAAATTCTACCCAATTAAATAGCATTTTATGTTTCTTAATATGAGGCCTGAGATAGTATTAAGTAACAGTTGCTCCAGATCAAGGCAACTGATCGGTGATCCTAGGCAAATTAACTCATCAAAAATGAAGAAGCTCCCAATACTGACCAACCAGATGAATATGACTCAGTCAACATCAAAATCAATGAGGTGAAAACAGTCTGCTTTCAGTGAAAATCAATGGTGGTGAAAATGAACTTCCTTGAACTTGACTTTTACAGATTTGGAGCCTGCCTTGAATAACAGAAGGGTATTCCAGTGATAATAGATTCCTGCCTCTTTCTAGTCAGTTTCTAATCCTTTAGAATTTAACAGTAATTCCATGTCATAGTATTTGGGATCTCCTACTGTAAAATTCAACTAAAGCCAGAAATTTCAAGTATGAGCAACAAAGCCATCACCTAAGAGCTCTGCAGAATGAAATCTAAATGGGTAGATTGGGCACATCATGAATGGGCACTTAGATGAATAGCTTACCTGCCATTTAACAAAACTCCACAATTACCTCCACTCACATTTAGCTCTGGAAAAATACAGCGGCATATATTTTTGTAAGGTAGCTCAAAACAGATTGTTAGATAATTTGCACGTGTAATAATGTTCTGGTACCCTAGCTTTTCCCCAAAACAAAACAACTTTGCCCTATTTATTAACAGTCCTGAATTTCAATCTAGATTCTTGGGGAAGGCTTGTGATGAAAAGGGTGCTCAGTGTCCATTACTTGGTCTTGCAGCTTGGTCTGTTAGCAACTTCTGCCACTTAGTCAACTTTCTCTTTTTCCTCCCTAAAGTCAACCAGTGCAATTCCTAATACTAAAACCATGTTATCTACATATCATGAGACTTATGGTTCTTTCCAAAGGTGTAAATGACATACTTCCAGATAAGATTTTGAATTTTCCTAAAATATCATCTCGAATAATGTTTGGGTCAAAACATAGCAGATCCCCAAATAATGTAACTCTTTATTGAAGTTTTTTGGAAATTGCGGCTTGTAATTTATATTCCTCTGAAAGAAGGGTCAGAATACTTTTACTGTAAAGGGATAGACAGGAAATATTTTAGGTTTTGTGGGCTACATGGCCTGTTTCAAAATGCTCACCTGTGCTGCAGTAGCGTGAAGGTAGCAATAGACAATACATTAAAGAATGAGCATGGCTGTGTTCTAATAAAAATTTATAATTTTCATGTGTCCAAAAGATATTCTTATTTGACTTTAAATCATGTGAAATTTTAAAATCCATTAGGTTGTAGGTAGTACAAAAAGAGGTGCTGGGCCAGATTTGGCTGCAGACTGTATTCTACTAACCCCAGCTCTAAGGCATACATATGAAGTATTGCTATATATTTGTGGGTATACACATTGTTGGTCCTTGTTACAAATGAATGAAACATTCAAACCTCTTATAGATGTTCTTTTTCTCTCATATTTTCCTATTAAAATGTTTAGCACTCCATATGACTTATTATTCCATAATTAACTAGCATTGCTAGTTTAGATTTTCTTCATTGAGAATATTGGTTAAATTCTATCCCATATTAATCACAATACATGTTGAATATTCAGGATTAAACAAAATAGTCCAGGGATAAAACTCATGGAGATAATCATTAAAGGCATTTTTCGAGCCTTCCCAAGGGAGTGACTTTCCCCTGACAAACGATGAGTTCCTCAGCTAGATAGGATGGGTTAGGGCCCAAAGCAGTCCAAGAAGAAGAATTTGTTAAGAATGGTGTATCGTTAAGCAGAGCAGAATTAGAGGTTAATGGTAGAGAATACCCAGAGGACAGAAACAATAAGTTGGAACTAAACTCTTGCTTTTAGCTGCATGTAAGAGGAAATTGAACTCACGCTGGTGTGAATGACTGAAATGATTTATTTCCTAAGCTAACTGAAAAAAAGTCCTGAATCAGGTATAGTCAAATCAGCCCTCTGCTGTGTGCTTTTTTAGACATGCTATGCTATGATAATCACTATGCACCTGAAACAATATTCAAAGGTTCTTCAAGTTACTTTGTCTAAAGAGAGGAAAAATCTTTCCTGTAAATAACCAACAAAATCTTCCTGTGTTTCTCAAACCCAAACTCGATTAGAAGTCTATTTCTCTACCAATTCAGTAAACATGGGGCACTATACAGTTATTGGCTTAGGCATGGACTTTCTTTTTTTTTTTTTTTTTTGAGACGGAGTCTCGCTCAGTCGCCCAGGCTGGAGTGCAGTGGCGCGATCTCAGCTCACTTCTAGCTCCGCCTCCCGGGTTCACACCCTTCTCCTGCCTCAGCCTCCCGAGTAGCTGGGACTACAGGCGCCCGCCACCGCGCCTGGCTAATTTTTTTGTATTTTTAGTAGAAACGGGGTTTCATCGTGTTAGCCAGGATGGTCTCGATTTCCTGACCTCGTGATCCACCCGCCTCAGCCTCCCAAATTGCAGGGATTACAGGCGTGAGCCACCGCACCCGGCCAGGCATGGACTTTCTGAGCAAACCACTAGCGAGGGTATGACTGCCCTTTGGATTTGGAAGTGAGATCAGCAGCAGCTCCTAAGAACACGGACTGTGCAGTGACTGTATCATTACCTGAAGCCGAACTGGAGTATGAATATTAAGGGGTCAGCAAGTGGCAGCCATGACAAAATTCCGAGTTTTTTCCTATAAAGTGAGCAGCAGGATGGCATCACAAAATATCATGCAAGGAATGATTGTATATTTGTTTTTTGTTTTGTTTTGTTTTGTTTTGTTTTTTTGCATTTTACTTTTTTTTCTTTGCTAGTAGTACAAAGTCATACTTTAATGATCAAGGCCAGGCATGGTGGCTCAGGCCTATAACCCCAGCACTTTGGGAGCTGAGGTAGGAGTATCACTTAAGTCCAGGAGTTTAAGACCACCCTGGGCAACATAGAGAGACCTCATCACTCCAAGAAAAGAAAAAAATAAATTAGCCAGGCATAGTGGTGCACACCTGTGGTCCCAGCTACTAGAGATGGTGAGGTTGGAGGATGGCTTGAGCCGAGGAGTTCAAGGCTTCTGTGAGCCATGATTGTGTCACTGTACGCCAGCCTAGGCTACCAAGTGAGACCCTGTCTCAAAAAAAAAAAAAAAATTAGATTTCAATTTTTTATTTTTAAAATTTTAAACAACTTTATTAAGAGAGAATTCACATATCATACAATTCACACATTTAAAGTGGACAATTCAATAGTTTTTAGTCTCTTCACAGATATGTTCCACAATTAATTGTTTCATCACAACAGAATATTTTCATCAGCTCAGAAAGAAACTTCCTTTACTTCCTACACTTTAGCTATTTCCATTTTTTCTTCCCTTTTCTCCAGTCTTAAGCAAATATTAATCTAATTTCTACCTTTATTGATTTCTCAACTCTCAGCATTTCATATAAAAGGATTCATATACTATGTGGCCTTTCGTGATTGGCCTTTTTCACTTAGGATAACGTTTTCAAGGTTCGTCTAAATTGTAGCATATGTCAGTGCTTCATAGCTTTGTTGTTTTTGTTGTTGTTGTTGTTGAAACAGTGTCTCACTCTGTCACCCAGGGTGGAGTGCAGTGGTGCAATCTTGGCTCACTGCAACCTCCGCCTACTGGGGTTCAGGCAATTCTCATGGCTCAGCCTCCAGAGTAGTTGGAATTACAGGCATGTGCCACCCCACCCAGCTAATTTTGCATTTTTAGTAGAGAGAGGGTTTTCCCATGTTGGCCAGAGTGGTTCTTGAACTCCTGGCCTCAAGTGATCCACCCGCCTCGGCCTCCCAAAATGCTGGGATTACAGGCGTGAGCTACTACTGCACCCAGCCACTTCATATCTTTATTGGCCAAAAATATTTCATTGTATGAATACTCATTGTATAGATTTTGTTTATCCATTGGTCTGTTAATGGACATTTAGGCTATTTTGACATTTTGAAAACTGTGAATAGTGCTTCTAGGAACATTTCTATATAACTTTTTGTTAGACTTAAATAACTGTTTTCAATTATCTTAGGTATATACACAGTAGTGGAATTGCTGGTTCATTGGGTTTAATCGTTTGAGAAACTGCCTGACGGTTTTTCAAAGTGGCTATACCATTTACATTCTCACTAGCAGCATACAAGAGTTTTGATTTCTTCACATGCTCTGCAGTATGTGTTGTTATCTGAATTTGATTCTAGCCATCCTAGTGAGTATAAAGTGATATCTCATTGTGTTTTTAATGTTATTTCCCTGATGACTAATAATATTAAACATTATTAGCAATTTGTATATATTCCTTGGAGAAATGTTTATTTTGCCCATTTTATAATTTGGTTATTTTACTTCTCAATGTTAGTTTGTAAGAGTTCTTTATATAGTGTAATTAGATGTATAATTTGCAAATATTAGATGTACAGTTTGCAAATATTTTCCCAAATTTTATGGTTCATCTCATTTTCTTCATGGTTTATTCTGAAGCACAGTTATTTTTAATTTTTGATGAAGTTCAAATTATTTATTTATTTTACTGTTCATGCTTTTGGCATCATATTTCATGTTTGAGTTTTATAAAAATACATTTATACCCACATTTACTATGTCTTATTTCTTTTACCCATCATTCTTGTTATTGAACTATACCCAATAGTGCCTTACTAAACTCAAGGTATATAGTAGGAATTAGAAAGATTTCTAACAGGTTAAATTTATGCATATGAGTTTAAACATTAATATATCTATCAGTGGGCTTACTCTTCAAAACATTAAAAAAGAAGTTAAACAGATGTTAGTATCTCAATAGAGGACATTATGGGCAAAAGACTTATTAGGGGCTAATCAAGCCGCCCATCTGCAAAGAATAAATAGACACCACACCTAGTTTAAAGTAATAAAATGTATAACAAGTGCTAATTCACACACCTGGTCACCCTGTCACTCCTGCTTACATAATTGGCTTTGTACTTTTAAATTTCCCTATGGGAAAAGTAATAGAAAACTTTTGGTGAGTTAAATAATTGGATGGCATCACTGAGAAACATATCATAGTACTTTATAAATAGTAGAGACTTTACAAATATTTGTCCAAGAATGATATTTCAAAGTTGCTACATGGATTTAGGCAGATGAAGCTGAAACCTGACCAACTGAATACATTAATTCATCCATATCATGGGCCAACTGCTGCAGAAATGAAGTAATAAATTAAGGTAGTTTTTGATGCAAACAAGGATTACAATTTTAAAACTGCATTTTAAGTATCAATTTAATAAATAATCATTATAAATCAGTCACTTAAATTATAAAGACACTGACAAAAGCTGTTTGATGTTTACATACCTACCAAAACTCTTATTCAAAATTCTAGAATGATGAAATGTTAGAAGGCAAAGGAATTTCTTGTGATAACCCTGCAGACACAACATGGCCTCTAGCCCAAATTTGGTTCTAATGTCAAGGCTGCTGATAACAACACACAGAGCAAGAGAGTATGGAAATGTTAATTACTTCCATGATTGAGACTTCTGAGGTGATCGAGGCAGACTTCCCAGGAAGGTCCAAAATGGCTTGAGAGAGCAGGGAAAGGCAACTGGCTCAGCATTTTTATTGTGGCTGTGGATGCCATTGAGCTGTGAGTTCCATGAAGGGCCAAGGGCTTGAGTGTTTTAAATCTCCTCCTTGAATCAAGGAGAAAGCACCCAGGCTTTTTTTATCAGCTTGCCCAGATGTAGGCCAAAAAAGAAAGCAGTGGGTCTTAAAAGCTTTAGCAGTTGAACAAAAAAATGGAGTCAGGCTCTTTGTGATGGAGTTCTAGTTAAATTAAGGAGGAGTATGTAGAAATTAGGAATGTGCAGATGCTGGAATCAAACTTATTTGTTTTATTCCCTTCTCTCCCACGTGCTAGATATCTGACCTTGGGAAAATTACATCATGTTTTTGTATCTCAGGATCCCCATCTGTATAATTTTTATAATTAGAGTATTTATTTTTTAGAATTTCTTTAGGAGTAAATATTTGCAAATTATCCAACTATCTGAGTTGTTACAAGTACTGGAAAAAAAAAAAAAGCGTTGTTTTTTTCCAAAGCCCATGAAGGCTAAGTTATTTGCCCAGGGAATATGGTGGCAGAGTTAGGCTAAAAATTAAATGTTGGATATTCCAGTCTATGTTATTGTTACTACACTGTGAAACTATTCTCCAATCCCCAGAATTAGTCTCAAACTCACTACTCTCCTCAGAGCAAAAACATACCACCTATGTGTGAATCTAAATCATTTTGCCTGGGCTACTTTACTCATCTTTGTGACTTCAAATAATACTTTCTGCTGAAGAAATCTAAATCTGTATTTTTACCCCATACCTCTCTACTAAACTCCTAAACCGTATATAAAATTGCCTATTGTAATTACCATTTTTATATTTTTTCTACCTCACAGGCTTCAATCTTAATATGTCAAAAAACAGAATTTATTATCTCTATTCCTTTTTCATTGCCTCTGAATCTGTATTTCTGCCTTGTCACGCAAGCCAGAAATCTGGGAATTCTCCTAGAAAACTCTCATTTATTGTTAACGATATGGATATTGCTTAGATTATTTCTTCATAAACTCTGTATTAATTTTTAAAATTGTATTCTAATTCAGCTTTCAAACCCACATCTGCCTTTTATTCAAAGCTAATCAAAATAATAATAGCTATTATTTACTAAGATTAGTTGTGTCTTTCTTAAGGTTTTATTTTTTAAACACTTTACCTCATGTAACCCTCTCAATATCTCCATGAGTTGGGTACTATAAATGTCTACATATGACATATGAAAACAAATCCAATACAACCTATTAGGCCATATGACAAGAGTTACAGATAAGTCCGACTGTAGAGCTAGGATTTAAACCAACTGCACCTCATTTCTGCAACAGTCGACATAACATTCTGCTTCTCCTTGTATATTCCCTCCACTTACCAATCTAAAGTTTCACAGTTTTTATACAATCACACAGAAACCTCTTTATATGATTGATACTTAAGGCCCTCTAAGCTGTGACCTCTGTTTGATTCTCAGGCTTATTTTTAGCCTATTCACAGATTATGTTTAGTTATATTGAACTCTTTCATATCTTCATTTCTTGGCCTTTGCTTCCTCCAACCCCAACGTGATGGCTGCCTTGAGGGCCAGCTACATAATTTGTGGGAATCGGTGCCAAATAAAAATTCAAGGCCCCTTGTTCAAAAAGCAAGAAAAGAGTGCTGTTAGTAGTATTAAAATATAAAGCTTTTTTCTTTCTTCTATGGTATTTTTCTAGACAAGTTTCTTTTATTTTCTATTTAATTTCATTCTAAAACAATTTAAATTAAAAACTTTTAGCAAGACTTTTCTTCATTCATCTTTACATTGCATAATGTCAGTTTTAAAGGTAAAAGAGCAGTATGTCAAATCATCAAAAGTATACAGTTCACATTTTGTAGCTCATATGTGCATTATGTATTTCTTTCTTACCAAAACAGAGGAAATGCTTCACAAAAGTAATTCAACTGCTTTCATTTTACCTCTTGATATGCAAACAATCTACCAACACTCTACCTTTGACTTGGTGATGAATAGGAAAGGTCTGAAAGGAAAAGGATGTATGATTTGCCCTGTCTTTTGTTTCCTCTTTATGTCATCATTTTCAACATAAATGATTGGAAGTAGCTTCAGTAATAAAGGAAGTAGCTTAAGTAATAAAGGATACAGGGTTCTTTGGTCATTTGTGTTTCTTGAAGCATGATTAATAATTTTCTTTCTGCTTTTGAATGAAGTTTTGGTTTGGAAAGAAAACAAGACAACAATGTCATATGCTTACTTCTTTATTCAGAGTCTTGCTAAATTCTGATCATGGGTTCACTAGAATGCAGTATTCATGGGGCATTGTGAACTTCATGTGAAAATTGGGGTGCAAGGAACAGTGGGCCTGGTTAGTATGAATATCCTTGACATATGTGCTCTATTGTCACTTTGGATTTCACTTACAAAATATAAGTTCAAAGATATAATTATTAAGAATTTTAAGATGGTCACAGCAGATCATTAAACCAAGGGCAAGGCCCTTGAAATTGGCTCTGGCTGCCTGGTTAAGATCTACTTCTTTTTGAAGACTCAACTTAGCTCAAACTTTATTTTGTCTTGGAGCAGTCCCTGAATTCCCATTTGTAAAATTAACCACAATCTCTCTGATCCCAAACTGTACCGTAAGTAGTCATCTGTCTTAGCATCCATCATTAATATGTTAGGTCTACTAGCCACTCTTCCTACAAGATTTTAAGACCTTGACAGTGGAAAACTTGCTTTATTTATAGTTGTAATTTTCCTCTCAGCAGAAAATGTGTTGAATAAATAAATAAACTGATATCTAACTGTAGCTATAGTGATATGGTTTGGCTGGTGAGAGGCAATTGAATCATGGTGCAGGTCTTTCCCATGCTGCTTTTGTGATAGTGAATAAGTCTCATGAGATCTGATGGTTTTACAAAGAGGAGTTACCCTGCACACACTCTCTTTTTGCCTGCCACCATGTAAGATGTGCCTTTTGCCATCTGCCATAATTGTGAGTCCTCTCCAGCCAAGTGGAACTGTGAGTCCACTGAAACTCTTTTTATTTATAAATAACCCAGTCTTGAGTATGTCTTTATCGGCAGCATAAAAATGGACCAATATATATAGTGATTTGTATCTCAAGTCCAAATTCTTAAATCTATAACTTTTTTTCTATATTAATCTTTAATACTAAGCAATATTATGCTTTGAGGCTAAGTTATTAGACATTCACAAAAATGTTATGAAGAACTTATGATATATGCTGTGGACTGAATGTGCCCTCCCAATATTCTCATGTTGAAGCTACTACTCCCAGAGTTATGTTATTTGGCTGTGGGGTCTTTGGGAGATAATTAGGTATACACAGGGTTTTAAGAATGGGGCCCTCATGATGAGATGAGTGTTTTTACTAAAAGAAGAAGCAATGAGAGCATGCACCCCCAACCCTGCCCACAAAGTCAAGACACCACAGGAAGATAGCCATCTGCCATCTACAAACCAGGAGGGGTGCTCTTACCAGGAATTGATTCTGCTGGCTCCTTTATCTTTGACTTTCCAGCCTCCAGAACTGTGGGAAATAAATTCCTGTTGTTTAAGCCACTTAGTCTATGGTATTTTGTTATGGCAGACTGAGTTCATTAATACATATATAAACTTCAGTTATGGAATGAGTTAGATAATAAGTAAATATCATTGACATACTATCTGTATCAGTCAGTTCTTGCACTGCTGTAAAGAAATATCTGAGACTGGGTAATTTATAAAGAAAAGAGGCTTAATTGTCTCACAGTTCTGCAGGCTGTATAGGAAGCAGGATGCTGGCAACTACTCAGCTTCTGAGAAGGCCTCAGGAAACGAACAATCATGGTGGAAGGCAAAGGGGGAGCCAGGTCTTCACATGGCCAGAGCAGGAGGAAGATAGAGATGGGGGGATGTGCCACACACTTTTAAACAACGAGATCTCATGAAAACTTACTATCATGAGAACAGCACCAAGGAAATGATGCTAAACCATTCATGAGAAACTGCTCCCATGATCCGGTCACCTCCCACCAGCCCTTACCTCCAACACTAAGCATGATAATTGAAGATGAGGTTTGGGCAGGACACATATTCAAACCATATCACTCTTTGATTCTTACTTTATTGTCTTATTCTGTTTAAATACCAAATTATTTTCGTTAAGTTAAACAGTAATTATCTGCTATTCTCCCATTTTGTTACTCAGTAGACATACATAAATAGTAGCGACAAAGTGCTATTTTGAAAGAGTCATAAAATTTGTCAAGATTGTATACACACTCACATCCACATCCACATTCACCACCCTTCCCACACACATGTTTAAATTCCATGGGTTTTAGTGATGATCAATATGATAAATAATGTGTGGGTTTAAAAAATCTTCAAATGTAAAAATAATCAAATAAATTTATTTAATTCTCAACAAGAGTTTTATAATTCAAAATATCTTTACTTGGGTGCACAGCACGGAATTTATATGTATGTAAATGTATATCTAAGCAAATGTATGTATGTATAAATTATATATATATACGCAAATATGCATAGGCATACATACAAATCTATCTATCTCTCTACTGATTGATCGAGAAAGAATTCCATAGTATTCGTTATTGTTTAATGTAATTATTTTGGTGGAATTATTGATTTTTTAATTAATTAGAAACATATACAATAAGATATTTTTGACAAATCTTATAGAGAGTGGCCCAAAGAGTATATTTTAAGAAGAGATTCTGCTTTATCTTTGTGCCTAGAACTTTAAGTTTACTAGAGTTTCATCATGTTACAATTCATTTAGGTTCATAGATATAGCAAAGAACATGTATCTGTGAAGATAAATACAGAGATAAATGTAAACATATGTAAACAAATTTTCTGTCAGGTAAATGTTTCTCTGTTTAAACCTGAAGATGAATGATTTTGAAACATAACTCACTCATTCTGCCTAAAAAGCCTGGTCCACTTTGAATGACACTTGTTTTTCACACACAGTTTTACATTTGCTGCCTAAGTGTAAATATGTAATCTCTTAACAGATTGGATATATTTTTCATCCAAAATACTTCTTTAGTGGGAAACTCTATTCAGAGTAAAAGAAAATCTCACCATATTGTGGGAACACATTTCTAAATACCGTGTCAGACAAATATTTTCAAAACACATCATGCTGTTAGTTTAAAATTAGGCCTGGCCTACAAAACTGTAGGAAAGTACAGCTCTTATCATTCAGCTCAGTGCAATCTGCCCCAAATTTCAGATTCAGTTAGGCCAATCGCCTGGCAGTTCCAGCCAAAAGCTTCCCACCTTCCACCTCTGACACAGAACAAGTCTCTCTGCTCAAATAGAACTTGTTAGGTTCTCCTAAGGTCACACTGAAATTCTTATCAAAAATTAGATGTGCATACTTTAATGAGAGTGACCAGTAATTGAAGCCATTTTCTCAAGGTGGTGCTACCAAGTTACTAAAGGAATTAGATACCGGAATTATCAATGACTTCTCTGACCTGAAAAGGAAGTTGAGGATTGATTTACTTATTTTCATATGACAGAGAAATAAGTCTTTCTGTTGAGAGGGATAAGTGATAAATATTTATATACTTCTACTACCATCTTATAGATATGCAGAAGTGTTATTTGTATTGTTCTACTGACATAATGAAATAAAGCTGGGACATTAAATTCGAATCACTGAAAAGAATGACCAAGAATTTGGTATGGCAAACTTGGATGGAATCTTGGCAAAAGAAACAAGTATCTTATCACATAAGCAGACTGATACCAGGAAGCTGTAAGTCAAGGACCTTGACACTTACGATGCCTTTTCCAATCCCCTTTTGATGATGCCAGAGTGGAAGACCCTCCTACTGCAGCATTTTCTCTTAGTTGTGTAGATGCCAGCAGTAACTTCAGCATGTTGCGAAGTGTCCTCAGCTGTAGAACAGGATCTTGCTGAATGGCTGCACGTGCAGATATGCAATGAAATCTTGTTGAATGAATTTACTCACATTTGGCAAGACCAGCAATCCCAGGCTATATCTTTTTTAAAAAATATAGGTTGACAATTTTATCAAGCTATGTGTCAAACTAATAATATTTTATATTTTTCTATAAATAATTAATATCAAAATGAAAATGAATCAATTAAAAATCCTAAGTAATGTTTGGCTATTCCTTAAAGTATGATTAAATTTTATTTGATAAACTTTTAGTGTTCAGTCTTTCTAATTTATTGCAGTATGAATACAAAAATTATCAATTTTCTATGCTGCATTAACATGGATGTTTTCTTACATCTGTCTGCACTAAGAAGGTGTAAATGGTGTATAAAATAACAGTCAGTAACATTCTAAACATTAAACCTGTCTGAGAGAATTAAAATGTAATAATGCTAAATATTAGAGCAGTACATGAATACTGAAATATAGTAAACATACACGAAAAACAATGGCCTGGTAAGATGATGATGCGTATTATTAGCATGAAATAACAAATCCTTATGTGATTACTACTCAAATCTTTTGGAAAATTATAGATCTCCAAAGGTATTTTTAGTTTATTTCAGTAGAAAGATATCTTCACACCCACACAAAATTTTTCATGTATCTAAATGTTTTGTGAAATTATATGGTGCAATGAAATTACAATGCTAAAATCTTAGGTTCATGTTTTAATGGAAATAACAGCAAAATAGAAAACATTTGCGGAAAAATGCTAATTTTATATAAAGTTATGAGTCATATCTCAAGAAAGTCTATGGATTTAAAATATTTATATGTGTCAAACATGTATTCAAATCAGTTTACTCATTGAAAAATTAATATTCACTAAACTACCATATTTTTTCCAACAGAACAAATTAATATCCTTGATCAGAATAATTATCTGATAGTGTAGTATAGTCTTAGTATACTGTATTGCATCTCAAAGAATAATATAATATGGTATCACATAATTTTGCATAATATTTATCTTTTGTTATAAGTTTACCAACTGGTGAACAAGGGAAACTTGCTTGAAAAAAGATTTCTTAAGATAATAGTATGGAAATGATAATATGTCCACAACTTAAGCCACCAGCTTTGCACCATGGTTTTCTTCTTTTAAAAATAAAACTATCCGGCGTTTGCTTTAAATTATTCTGAGGGCAAATGCTCTTTTCATGAAAGCCAGCTGTGCCGAGTCAATGAAAATATGTGTCATATCACAGTTTACTGAAGGGACAAAGCCAAAAACAAAACCTTTTGCTGAACTAATTAATTGTGAATCAAAGCTTCATCAGAGACTATTCTCTGTTGCTGTAAGAAAATCTTCTAAGTACATGGAATAGTTTAACAGCATGACATTTTTAAATATATATATATATGGCATATGTATATATTTGGCATATATATATATATATATATATATGAGAGAGAGAGAGAGGTGAAAGCAAATACAGCACTGACAAACTATAATCTACTGAAAAATGGTCATTTTTAATACCTGAAATACTGCAAATTAAGAGCTTGTATTTGTGTAGATTATAGTCTAGTTGCAAATCAGTCCCAATGGCCTTGAGTGGTTACATCATTAAGAGTACATATTCATATTGGCGGGTAAGCACTACTTCCTTGGATTTAAGAAGTCATTTCAGCAAAAATTCAATTTCAGGCAATCTAAGGCAGGTTCTGTAAGTGAGGCATCATGGGAAAATACAATATCAAGGTTGCTGTGTTACAAAGCTTCAGGGGGCACCATTTATATACATTATTAATGTGACTCTTTAATCATAATATATAATTTTCTCTGAATAAAGTCCCCTGAGGCAGTGCACTACACACTCTAGGTAGTCATATGTAGTGGCCTTTTTCAACAAAAACAACAATTGCTTAGAAAGGACACTATGGGAATGCAGGGATGGGGAAAGAAAAACTTGACACTTCTGGGAAGAGTCAAAGTTTTAGAGAGGAGGTAATCCTTTTGCTTGGCGTTGAACCATAACAAGGGATTTTTTTTTCCTAGGGTGAGATGGGAAAGATATATTCCGGCAGAAAGGACATGTGCAAAGGCAAGAAAGCTGAAGTTGTATGTTCAGAAAGTGACAAGAGATTAAGCATGGCTCTGGTAGGGAAGAGTGGGTAGGGATTGATATTGGTATATATAGGTAAGGGTTAATATTGAGGGATTTTGTGGAATATAATTGGGAGAATGACGCCATCATTTTTGTAGTCTGGGAAAAATATCAGTCTGGCCACAGTGTTAAAATAGAATGGAGAAACTAGATAGAGTGAAACAAATCAGGAGTTTTGCCATAGTTGAAGCAATAAACGATAAGGACGGTAGCCTTGTCTGTCTTTTTCATCATTATATTCCCAGTGACAAGAATAGTGCTTGGAACAGAGAGTTGAACTAATGTGCAGACAGGAGGAGGGATCCAAGATGTATCTAGAAAAATAGAGCTGACAGGACTTGAAGTTCCAATGGATTGGTTCAGAACACTGCAAACTACATTTTATGCCAAGCAATATTAAGTTAAGTGCGACTGATATTTGGCCCAAAGTCCAGCCGTTGTTTCTGGTCAAATTACAGTGGCCCAAACACCCAAACTGTTCAAACTTAGTCACTTTCCACAAATGTTTACCATGTATTTCTGAGTGTATCCAACTTGAGCCAGCGTTTACTGATTGACATACCCTTTTGTGTTCACCTCTTCTGAACTCTGTATCAAACTACTTCATGTTGGTAATTTGAAATCGCCCATATGGGACCATTTACACAATGAAAATTGGCAAATGCTACAAACTAGGGTTTTGTTTTTTCCCCGAAATTCAGTTTTTAGACATTTATCAACATATCATTTACTACATGAAATCTGTGCTTCTCCTTTCCTGACCTTCCTTCTGCAATTACTCAGCAATTTCCACAAATTATGAAGCCTCAGCAACCATACATTCAGAGCTCTTATCGTCCAGTATTCCAAAGCCACCAACTTCAGAGTATCACAGCAGTGCAGGAATCTGGCTCAAAAAATATGCTTTTCTTTGATGTTTAATTTTTTAATTTTTAATTTTTATGGAGGTAAATTGTACATACTTATGGGGCAATGTGATATTTTAACACCAGCATATAATTTGTAATGATCAAATCTGGGCAATTGGGATATCCATTATCACAAACATTTATCATCACTTTGTGTTGGAAATATTTCACATCTTCCCTTCTAGTTATTTTAAAATATGCAATAAGTTACTGTTAAATATAGTTGATCTATTGTGTTACTGAACACTAGATCTTATACCTTCTGTCTAACAGTATTTTTGTACCCATTGATCAACCCGTTTTTATCCTTTCTCTCTGCTACATTTCCTAGCGTCTAGTAACAACCATTCTATTCACTATTTCCATGACACCATTTATTTTTGGTTCCCACATCTGAGTTACAACATGTGATATTTGTCTTTCTGTGCTTGTCTTACTTCACTTAACACATTACCGTCCAGTGCAATCCATGTTGTTGCAAATGGCAGAATTTTATTCTTTTTTATAGTGAAATAATATTCCATTGTTTATACATTGCACATTTTCTTTGTCTATTCATCTGTTGATAAAAACTTAGGTTGATTCCGTATCTTTGCTATCATGAATAATGCTACAATAAACGCTAGAGTGCAGATATCTCTTCAATGTAGGTATTTCCTTTCTTTTAAATATGTACCCAGCAGCAGGAATGCTGGTTTATATGGTGGTTCTACATTTAGTTTTTTGGTGAACCTCCATACTGTTTTCCATAATGGTTGTACCAATTTATAATTTTACCAACAGTGTATGAGTTTCTTTTTCTCCACATCCTTGCTAGCATCTGTTGTTTTTGTCTTTTTTGATAAACTGGATATGCATATATCATATGCATTTAGCCATTCTAATTGGCGTAAGATGATTGTGTTTTTGATTTGCATATCCCTGATGATTAGTGATGTTGAGCATTTTTTTCACATACCTCTTGGCCATTTGTATATCTTCTTTTTGAGAAATATATATTCAGATCTTTTGTCCAATATTCATCAGTTTATTTTTTTGGGCTACTGAATTGTTTGAGTTACTTATATATTTTGGTTATTAATCCTTGCCAGATGATTAGTTTGTAGATATTTTCTCTCATTCTATAGATTGTCTCTTCAATGTGTTGATTGTTTCATTTGCTGTGTAGAAGCCTTTTAGCGTGATGTGATTATTTTGTCAATTTTTGTTTGGTTGCCTGTTCCTTTGAGGTTTTACTCAAGAAATCTTAGTCTAGACCAATGTCTTGAAGTGTTTCCCCAATGTTTTCTTTCATTAGTTTTATAGTTTTGGGCCTTACATTTAAATTTTTAATCCATTTTGAGTTCACTTTTGTATATGTTGAGAGATAGGGGCCAAGTTTCATTCTTCTGTATATGCATATCCAGTTTTCCCAGCATCATTTAATGAAGAGACTCTTCCCAATGTATTTTCTTAGTGCCTTTGTTGAAAATGGGTTGGCAATTAATGTGTGGATTTATTTCTAGGATCTCTGTTCATTTGTCCATGTGTCTGTTTTTATGGCAGTACCATGATGTTTTTGTTACTATAGCTTTGCAGTAAAATTTGAAGTCAGGTAATGTGATTCCTCTAGCTTTATTCTTTTTGCTCAGAGTTGCCTTGGTTATTCTGGATCTTTTGTAATGTCATATATATTTTAGGGTCGTGTTTTCTGTTTCGGTGAAGAATGTCTTTGGCATATTGGAGGGATGGCATTGAATCTGTATACGACCTTTGGTATAGACATTTTAAAACTGTTGATCCAACCCATGGGTATAGGATATATTTCCACTTTTTAAGTTCTCTTCAATTATTTTTCATCACTGTTTTATAGTTTTTATTGTAGAGATTTTTTCCTAAGTATTTTTTGTAGCTATTGTAAATAAGATTGCTTCCTTGATTATTGTTTTCAGATTGTTTGCTGTTAGCATATAAAAATGCTACTAATTTTTGTATGTTGATTTTCTATCATACAATTTTACTAAACTTATTAGTTCTAATGATTTTTTGTCAGCCTTTAGATTTTTCTAAATATAAGATTATATTATCTATTAATGAGGACAGTTTGATTTATTCCCTTCCCATTTGGATTCCATTTATTTCTCTTATCTAAGTGCTCTGGCTGGGATTTGAAAGTCCTTGGCCTAGTTTCATTCTTCTGTATATGCATACCCAGTTTTCTCAGGGCCACTGAATAGCTGGTGAAAGCAGGAATTTTTGTCTTATCCAGGTTTTAGAGAAAGGCTTTCCACTTTTTTTACATTTAATATGAAACTTGCTGTGGTTTGTTATACATGGTCTTTATTGTGTTGGAGTATGTTCCTTTTATACCTAGTTTGTTGAGAGTTTTTACCATGAAGAAATACTGAAATTTGTTGGATATTTTCTCTGCACCTATTGAAATGATCATGTGGTTTTTGTCCTTTATTCTATCAATGTCGTGTATCACTTTTGCTTCTCTGTATACGTGGAAACATTTTTGCATCCCTGGGGTGATCCCACTTGATCATGATGAATGATCTTTTGAATGTGTTGTTAAACTCAGTTTGCTAGTATTTTGTTGAAGATTTTTGCATCCGTGTTCATTAGTAATTTGCCTGTAGTTTTATTTTCTTAGTCTTTGTCTGGTTTTGAAATCAGGGGAATGCTTTCCTTGATAGAACGAGTTTGAAAGTATTCCCTCCTTGATTTATTGAAATAGTTTGAATAGAATTAATATCTATTCTCACTGATATATATATATATATATATTTTTCAGAACGCAGCAGTGAAGCCATCAGGTCAGGTCCCAGCTATCCTTTGAAGGGAGACTATTATTGCCTCTATCTCATTAGTTGTTATTGGTCCATTGATGCTTTAACTTTCTTCATGTTTCAATCATCATAGGTTGTATGTGTCTAGGAATATACTTATTTATTTTAAATTTTCCAGCTTATTGGCATATAGTTGCTTATAAAGGTCTTTAATGATCATGTGCATTTCTGTGGTATCAGTCTGCCTTTTCATCTCTGATTTTATTTATTTGAGTCTTCTTTTTTTTTGTTAGCCTAGCTAAAGGTTTGTCAATTTTATTTTTCTTTTCAAAAAGTCAACTTTTATTGTGTTTTGCCTTGTATTTTTTAAGAGAATTTCATTCATTTCTGTTCTGATCGTTATTAGTTTTTTTCTTCCACTAATTTTGTGTGTGGCTTGTTCTTTGTTCAGTCTTTAAGTCTTTAAGGTATAGTGTTAAGTTGTTTATTTAAAGCCTTCCCACATTTTGTGTAGGAGTTTTTTGTTATAAACTTCCCATCTTTCTTTGCTTTTGTATCATAGCTTACACTCCCAAGTTCTACTTGTTCCAGAGTTTTCTAAAATAACTCATATTAGGTACTGCATGAGTCTTTATACCTCGTCCTTCAAACCATAATGACTCACATTTTATCCTAGTGGCTTAGAGATAGGCAGACATCATGAAGGTCCCTCTTGTCCTTCTTTCTCAGACTCTGCTACTCAACATTTACACTCTGCAACCACCACCACCACCACCACCACTTTCCATAGAAGCAACAACAAATCATGTCAAACACACACACTCAAAAAGCATTTTTTTAAAAATAAAGCTGATGTAATAGAAGGGTGACAGCTCCACCTCAGCCAGCTAAGTGCCTACTCATGTTGTTATTATGAGGATTCCTGTATGTTATAAACTACAGTGATGACCACAGTATGGGCTTATACATACTAAGTATTTAATATAGCATCATATACTATAAGCCTTAATGAGAATTATTTCAAAATTATTAATGTGTGAGCTATTTTACCTGCCTGATAATGTAAACTCTACTCCTCTGAGGTGGATAAAATATAAAATGAAATCTAAAAATTATAATAAATTTAAATTCTGCAAAATTAAGCCTTGACACAAACTAGGTGATATCCTTGGAAAAGAAGCAAAATCTTGAAATAAAAGTAATTTACTTTTACTTCTGGGTGCCTTTTACTGTTTCGAGAGCTCTTCTTGCTCATCTTTGAAAAGTTGAGAAAAATTTACTCTTCTAACACAGATTTTGTGAAATTTAGGAATAAATGCATGTTTAAAAATGCCATAAATACCATACATATGTTATTATTGCAAAATTCTTTGCAAGAATTTAGTCAAGAAAAAATATTGTTTTAGAAAATGAAACATACAGCTTTCACACCTCACCTTAGGCTTTCCCAATGTATTTGACTTTTAAAAAGATTATACCATCCCCTAATATGCTCATTTTGCATTAAACAAAAAAAGTACCTTCTTGCTGGAACTGCCTATTCACGTCAGTCTGAATGTAACAGTGTCTGGTTTATCAACAGTCTGGTTAATTTTATTTGACCAATGCAAAGAGCTATCAAAATAGTCCAATGTACATTAAATTTACATTAACTGCTTTACTACTACAAACAGTCAAATGAAAACTTCCCTCAATACTCAGACAGTTTACGATGTTTAAAATCACTACACAGGGTTACATTCACAACAGATCTAGGGTGGAATAATTTTCTTTTTATCACTTAATGGAGAAGTTCTCAAATGAGTTTGATTCCTCTGTTTTGAAGTACAAGTAATATTACCCTCCTCAATTATTTCTGTGAAGGTTTTGAAGAAAAGTTTCAAAAACTTAAAGCATATCACGCATACTAGTTGCTGCATATACATAGGCAACTTTTACCACAGAATGACAAAAACATATCAAATCTGTACACATAGTACTAATGTTTGTAATCTATATTCTATTGTTATAGGTTTCTAATGTAAATTTCTGATTTACTAGATAAAGATCATTAACAAATTTTCTTTTGTTTGTTCTTTTTACTATTGGAGTTCAACAGAAGAAACATGATCTTTTATGAATGTCTGAGATGTTGAACAAATATGAAATTTAATCTAGCCACATTCATAAAAACTTCATCATATTTTTCTGTCAGTTGAATAATTTTATGCTAATTAGATTTATGCCAACACCATCTAAAATTTTTTGTTAAATGTTTTCACATTGTATATGTGAAATAAACCTGTATCTGGGAAAGGAAGTAATTGAAAAAAATCTCTAGATTATGCTCAAAATATTTGTGATTACATAGAATTTTTACCAGTGAGTTTTTGTCTGAGATAAAACACAATTCCTAATGTGGGTTTGATAAATGAAAACATGAAAAATGGTACCATTCAATGATTAATATAAGTAGTATCTTTCATCATTGGAATTGGTATTGCTTCTGAGATCACTATACAAATAAATTTTGAAATGATATAGTTCAACAGACCAATAAAAATAGTTTCTTCTTGTATTATTGTCTTCAATGGTAGCAGTGATTATAAAAATTAAAGATTGAGACCAGAAAAAATTTAATCTACACTAACAGTGATTAAGAGTATGGAATGCACATTTCTATGGTATAAGAAAGATTGTATCCCAATATTGGACAATTATGTGTATATATTTCTATGATGATTTAAATAGAGTTTTATCTTGAAATCCTAGGAGGTATTTCCCAGTCCCAAGGTTTAATACACTAGAGATGGAATTTCACCTACCATTACACAATATCCTTCTTATTGTCTCTTTGAAACAAAATAGTTCTGTTTCCTGAGCTAAAGTCATGTAGTGTTCTAAAAACATATTCAAGAAATAAAATGTGGATTCTATTTAAGCAAATATAAATAATATAAAACTATTTTATTTCAAATAAACATTAAAATTTTAAGAGAATTATAATATTAAAAAATTTATTCCTACATATATCAAATACACTGTAATTTTTTTTGTCTAGTCTGAGGGTACTTCTAGACCTTGGGGTTGCCAAAATAATGATGAATATTTTACTATAATTGAAACAAAGTGCTGACTTGAGAGCATTTTATAGAATACCATATATCATGGGTTTACCATATTTTGTGATTTGGGCATGTAATTTTTCTTTATTTTGGAACACTACGAAAAGTGAATCATACCATTGAATTTGGAGAAAAGCATAATGTAATGGTTGAGATGGAGCTATAATGTCTGAACTTCAAGTGATTCTCCTGGGCTCAAGTGATCCTCCATCTCCAGCGTCCTGAATAGCTACCACTACAGGTGGTTGCCACCACAACCGTCTAATTTTTTTAAACTCTTTTTTTTTTTTAAGAGATAGAGTCTTGCTTTGTTGCCCAGGCTGGTCTTGGAGAATGCATTTTGCTCTTTAAAAGATCCCTAACATGAGGTGTGTTTAGGTTGAAGTGGGTATGTGCATGCTATTTAAGATTATAATAGTGAAAGGATGTTGGGTGCCAAATTAGGCATAAAGTTAAAAGAGATCTCCAACACCTACAACAATATTGAAATTCAGAAGTAGAAAAATCAAAGCTCTGCTCATGCATGTCAGGGAATGTATAACATATTAATAGAATCCATGTCAATACTAATATTTAAGTTTACATTACCATTATTGACTTAACCTAATGCCAATGTCACAGTGTTGTTATTTTATGTAGTAAATGCTTTAGAAGTGGTTCATGGCTGGCAGTGATTGGAAGAAGATAATATTGCCTAAAAGTAAAAATCTATATTCCATTGTGAAATCTCAGCTAATACACCACTTTGATCCATTATTTAAGATCATTCTATAAAGAAATATGAAAAATAGCAATAATTTTATAATTTTGTTATATGTAGTAGGATACATCAACTAGAAAATATTTAATGAATTTTACAACTTTGTACTTCTGTTGCTTTGTTAGATACAATTTTCACAGCAGTTTTGAGTTTTATTTTTTGTTATAAGTAACTTATTACAAATGACAGCCACTACTATGGATTAAGCTTTTCTGATTCTTCCATAAAATGTTGTTTGAAAACAATTTCATATCCTTTGTGTTGGGAATAGAATTAAAGATTTAATAAAAATCCTATAGAGAATGCTAGATAGCAGATAATATTTATCTTTATATATATACACATGCATTTGTTTTTCATTCTTAGTTACTAGGATTATTTCGCTATTGAGAGATTAAAAAAATAGTAGGTACTATTTATTTGAGGGCTACCATATTCCAAGGGCTTTATGTGCATTTTCTTGTCACAACATCTCTGCACGCTAGTTTCATTTGACACACTTATAGATGAGCAAACAAGCTCAATGATATTAAGCAACTTGACCAGGCTTAGCTTCTAAAAGGGTTCATGCTTGTATTAGTCTGTTCTCAGTCTGCTAATAAAGACATATCCGAGAATGGGCAATTTATAAAAGAAAGAGGTTTAATTAACTCAACAGTTTCACATGGCTAGGGAGGCCTCACAATCATGCTGGAAAACGAAGGAAGGCCATAGGGACATCTTACCCAGCAACAGGCAAGAGAGCATATGCAGGGGAACTCCCCTTTATGAAACCATCACATCTCCGTGACACTTATTCACTATCACGAGAACAGCACAGAAAAGACCCGCCCCATGATTCATTTACCTCCCACCGGGTCCCTCCCACAACAGCGGGGAATTATGGGAGCTACAATTCGAGACTTGGGCGGGGGCACAGGAATGCCATATCAATGCTATTTCCAGATAGCATGTTCTCTTTCTAAAAGACGGTGCCAATCAAGATCCTGGCAAGAAATATATGGCACATTCAAATAGGTAATTTGAGGACAGCTTAATGAAGAGATTATTTACATATATGTGGATGGGTTTAGGACAACAACAAGACATGAGTCAATAACCTCAGCCTCATAATGCAGGAATGAGATGTATAGTAAGAGGTACCACATAGTAGCTATAGGCATTAAAAGAGGAAAGCAGCAAACCCATGGTCACTTGACTGGGAGACAACTGAGGAAATAAAGACCCAGAGCTTCATCTTCTATTGTCCTCAGCACTTTTGCTGGTGCCTCATATTTCCAAGCTGGAGCATACAACAGCCCACTAATGTAGTCCAATGGTGGGCATAAGATATTTTGGAGACAATCGCTAGACAATTTTTTAATTAGAAGGTAGTCTGTTCTTACAACATATGCAAATTACTAGCCATACTAATTTTGGCTTTTCAGACAGGGAATAAAATGCTAATTAAATCTAAATCTCATATAAAGTGGTGTGTTTGCTAGAACTGAAAATGCATTATAATGATTGGGGAAAAAATGCAGTTTTTTTGTATGACAGATTTGAAGTCATACTCTGAGGAAATCAAAGTTGTGATTTCTCCTTCTCATTACTTGCTTTTTCATCCATTTCTCACTTTATTTATCCAGAAACTGTCAATCCCAGAATTTATCATTATGTTGGGATGAGGTAGTGAAGACACAATACTTGCTTTGTCGCCCAGGATAGAGTGCAGTAGCACCACCATAGTCTCAAACTCCTACACTCAAGAGATCCTTCCACCTCAGCCTGTAGAGTAGCTGAGATTATTTACAGGCGCGAGCCACTGGGGCCAGGCTAATTGCATTACGAATATGTTTTTATTTCAGGAAAAGTTAAAGACCTGGTTTGATGGGGATGAACAGGAAGCAATCAAGCTAGAATGCTCATTCTTTCATGTACTACGTTGCACAATTGTCAGAGGGTCCTAGCAGAAGAGACTCCATCTTGAATAAAGACTGGATGAGGCCAAACCTGCCGGGATACATTCTCAGAGGGGTTAGGCACTCTTGGTCACAAGATGTTTATGGTTGAGTGAAGGAGTTAATTATGTTAACTAAATAAATAAAGACTCAGAACTTATGGAAACTTCTTGATATTTTATGAACAAGAAGCATTTAATAATCAAAGTTTTGTTAAAAATAATATTACACTCACAAAGTCTTGCTAACCTCAATAGCTACCCAGGAAAATAACAATACTAATAGCCTGTCACAAGCTGAGAACAAGCTTTTATAATGAGGTACAATATTATCAGCCTTAATACCCTATATAAACAAGCATTATCTTTAAGGTAGAGGCCTTCCTTTTCTTGCTTTCTGGGGATGCCTTACTCTGTAGTAGAGTGATTTCTAATAAACGATGTTAACTTTACTGTAGTCTGCAACTCACACACGCAAGATCCAAGAACCCGCTCTTGGAGTCTGGAAGAAGACCCCTTTTTCGGTAATACAATGAAAACCCTTAGACTTACTCCTACTTTCCAGAATTATTCATGAATCTGATAGATTACGACGTGATTTTACCACACTGTTGCAGCTGTACACTATGTGACTATTTGTATGAGAAGTTATCAGGTTGCACAAGTACACCGATGTACTACCTGATAGACCTAGTTGCATATTTGCAGGAAAAAACACAAATCCGAAATATATATATATATATGTATTTGTTTAAGATATAGGAAAAATCTCTTTGACCTATGAAAAGATTCGACAAGAAACAAAAAGTAGTAGGACTTTTCTTGAATACTGAGAAAAATATCTTTGAAAATATTTTTGTCCTGAAAAAGGGTAGGTAAAAGTTTAGAAAAAATATATATAATTGTTTTAATAAAAGTGCAAATAGCTATTCCTTCTATAAATTAGCACAAGAAAGCAGGTCGAGGTATATAATAAATGAATGAATGTCTGTCATAAAAAGAAGAAAAATTAAGAGTAGAATTTAATAGAATTAAAATATGCATGTAAAAGGTAAAAGTAGAAATATAGGGAAAAATCAAGTTTATGATGTGGAGGAGAAACACGAGAAGTTCTCAGGTAATAGATTAAAAAATGAAAGAAGTGTTAAAAATTGAAACAAAAAATTACAATTAAAACTAAATGAAGAAATAGAAATACAGTCTAACATTTATAAGTGTGCATATAAAGTACTTTCCTAATATAAAAAATATTGAAGATGTACTGAAAAAATATGACTAAGTTAAAAAGTCCTAAGTCAAGGGCCCTAAGCAGAATAATGTATTCAATGTTTAAACTGTTTAAATAAAGATTTAGTTATAACCTGTAAACTTAATGTTAACATTTATAAATATGGGTGAAAAATATTCATATTGACTACAAAATATATATGCTCACCTAGCTCCTGTAACATAATAAAAAATAAGATGCTACAGTCTAGAAGTTTTGAAAGGACAAAGATTTAACTAAAGAATTCTAAAGGCCGGGCACGGTGGCTCACACTTGTAATCCCAGCACTTTGGGAGGCTGAGGCGGGCCAATCACGAGGTCAGAAGATCGAGACCATCCTGCATAACACGGTGAAACCCCGTCTCTACTAAAAATACAAAAATTAGCCTGGCGTGGTGGTGGGCGCCTGTAGTCCCAGCTACTCAGGAGGCTGAGACAGGAGAATGGCGTGAACCCGGGAGGCGGAGCTTGCAGTGAGCTGAGATCACGCCGCTGCACTCCAGCGTGGGTAACAGAGTGAGACTCTATCTCATAAAAAAAAAGAATTCTAAACTCAGATAAATTTTCATACACAAAGACAATCAACAATAATACAAAAAATGCAAAATTCAGGAAACTAATTTTATTCTAATTACAAAAGTTATACTTTTAAAATATATATTGTTATTTAACAGTAATTAACAGTTCAGAACTCAAAAATATTGTTATTTAACTGTTACTTAACAGTCCAGATCTAAAAAAGATCATGCTGTAGATGCAGTTGTAAGATTTGATATCAATTAGCACAAGCTTAAATATTTTTAATGTTTAAGAATATGGCAAAAATTACTTATACATTCTAAATACTGTAAATTCTATAAAATATGGTAAAAGAATAACTGAAGAAAATGTTTGCAAGCTTAAATATAACTATATAATAAAAATCTATTCCATATCCCAAATAAAAATTTCAAATTTCAGATATTTAATAGGTGGTATTTAGATAGATATATAGAACCTGAATTCCTATTAAACCTAGACAAGTGTACAAATCACTGTTTTATTCCAAAAGTGTAAATTTTGATACATAGATCATAAACATAAATAAACCATTAGGAATGAATAAAAATAGGTTTAGTTTCCCAATAATTACAGAAGACAAAAGCAAACAATATGTAATTTATGTGACTAACAAAACAAAACCACAGGAAACAATGAATAACATAAAATAAAGACATAAATAGGGGAAAGCTGTCAACTCAAAACATAAAAGTTATTACAACTTTTAACATCCTCTATTTAAAGGAAAGGATGTTCTGATTAAAAGCAAAGTTTGAATTGATACTACTATTAAAAGGAAGTTTTTATTTTAAAAATAAAATGAAATCAGTAAAGAATAGAATATAGTCTTTAATAATGCTGGAGCAGAGTGGATCCCCACAAAGTGTCATGGAGCCTCAGAGAAGGATATCTTATATGATTCTATCATCCTTATTATTTTAACTGATGACAAAACATTGGCATATGTGTGTGTCTAAATGTACAATTTGAGGACTATAGCTAAATAAAATTGTATTGTATTAGATTTTTGTTAAATAAGATTTTAGCTGTTCTATTTGTTTTACCATAGTAACCACTTAAATGTTTATACGTAACCCACATCATATTGTAAACCTCAAATATACACAACAAAATTTATTTTTGAAAGTCACAAAATAAAACAAATTAAATTTATGAAAAAATAAAAAATGGCCAAACACACAAAATTAGGAGGCAGGTTTGACAATAAATAATAGAAAGAAGTGTTTATTGAGGCAAATGGGATAATTTTATATTGATGAGAATTTAAATCCATAACAAAGTAAAAATAGTTATTAATCTCCCTTTACCTATAAACTCAGAATATATATTGAAATTTTATATGAATAAATTGATTAAAACATATTTTATTGACACTTAAATGCAGTACCATTAATCTATAAATTCATAGACTAGTTAATAGTCAGATAATAAATAATTTCAAAGTAGGTAAACATCATAACTCTAACAAGATTAGCCTAAAAGAGAGAGAAGAAATGAATCTATTCCCCATGAGTGTGGTTTCCGTGATGCTCGGAAAACCAAGTAAAAGTTACCTCCTTTTATTCAATAACTTTAATTCTAGGTATCGATAGAAAGGCAATCATTAAAAATGTAGAGAACTTAAGAGACACAGATTTACAAAGTTGTCTCTTTCAGCATTTTTTACATGGCAGAAATTGGAAGCAGTATACAAATATAACATTAGCAGAATTAAATAAATTATGATATACATGCACAATAAGAAAATTATTCATTAAAATTATACATAGAAACAAAAATATTTAATAGCCTGATTCCACATTAAAAATAATATTTCACCAGGCGTGGTGGTTCACACCTCTAATCCTGTCACTTTTCGAGGCCAAGGCAAATGGATCACTTGAGGTCAGGAGTTGGAGACAAGCCTGGCCAACATGGTGAAACTCTGTCTCTACCAAAAAATACAAAAATTACCCGAGCTTGGTGGTGTGCACCTGTAGTCCCAGCTACACTGGAGGCTGAGGTGGGAGAATCATTTGAACCAGGGAGGCAGAGTTTAAAGTGGGCCGAGATTGTGCCACTACACCCTAGCCTGGGTGACACAGTGACACACTGCCTCAAAAAATAAAAATAAAAATAAAAACAATAAAAAATAATAATAATATTAAGTAAAAAATCAGGATGTAACAGCATAATCTCACCTAAAGACAAATTTATATTACTTTTTTAAAGATTTAGACAGAAAAGGCATTATACTAGCATGTTATATTGATATTACCCAAATGTTGGGATTTTAACATCTGTACTTTCTTACACTATTTCCTAATTTTCTATAATGAATGGATCTTTCTTTGATAATCAAAAAGAAAATTGAAAGCAATGGGGGTAATCTCCTTTATTTAAATAAAATAATAATATAGACATAGAGATCATATAGGCATATAGATGTTTATGTTCATATAGACATGTAGATATTTAAATATGATTTGCTACAAATGAAATTTAAGGAAAAGCCTCACCATTGTGAGTATAACATTTGTTCCTGAAAATCACTCATACAGAGATGAAAAACCCAGTTTATTGGGGAGTGATCATATATAATTAAATGTTCACACACACACACACACACACACACATATAATTGGTATTTATGATCTCAAGTCTCATCTGTAGTTGGCTTTTTTAATCCATCATATTTTAAATTAAATACAAATAAGTTCTTAACAAATAGTTGAACCAATCACTTCTGTTTGGTTTAACAGCCATACATACTAAGCATATTTTTTATTTGTTTGTTTTTCAGGTTAGGGACAGTATTTTTCTTATTATAATCTGACTCTTCAATTATTATAGTAATTATCAATCTCTCAGTTATTATTTTATAAAACTTTATTGAATAAATGAATTAGTAAATTTAACACATTGATAAATTGGTATCATTCATTATTCACTAAAATTTATAGATATTAAAAAAGAAAAATCTCAGATATAATCATTAAATCGGTAGGATCATATGTGTAATGGTGGCACGGAGTATATGAATGTATCTTTTTATGATGTGTTTTCCAAAGTAGGCCTGAAACAAAGAATAAGTTGCTTATCTATTACTTTTAATTTCTAATATAAAGTATACACACACTTAAATTTCAATAGAGAATTTCAGATTACATGTATTATTCTACCAATTTACCTTTCCAATTTCTTCCTGTTTTGTCCATAACTAAAGATATGGGTGATGTTTACAACTGAGAATTCTATATGAATCTCACTTTTTCTAACTAAAGCCATAAAAGATACATTCATATAAAATGTTACATAATAATCGAGACAGTTTGATTGCATATTCTTTTCAAATTCCATATGCACGCACACTTTCTATTACTGCTAATGAGAGCTTTGCATGTGTTTTGATGGTGACTAGCATTTGGTAATTTTAGGAAAATGCACATATTGTTAAGTTCTCTTTTTCTCTTCTTTTTTGGTCCTCTGTTGGTTGTTGAGGGAACAAATTCATGGAATATTACAATCTGCAGCCTTCCAAAAGGATCCTTTCAGTGCTTTTAAAATTTAATTATATAACACATGATGGGTTTAAATCACCTCCTCTCGTAATGTAACCCATTAAAAAACAGTTTAGTAACTCGTTTTTATTGTGTGAAGATGATCAATGGTGTATCATTATCTGTTTCAAATCTGGAATATCATTAAAGACATTGGCAGCACTCAACATTGAAAACTTAAGAATTACTTTTAATACATCTCTTTTGAAAACCAATACTGTGGACTTTTTCATTAGGAAAGAAAAGAATGTTTTCAAATGTGGTTGCAAACAAAAGAAAACAAAATTTTATGGAAACCTTTACCCAGTTCTCAGCACTGGCTGCTCATCAGAATAATTTGGGAAAATTACTTAAAGAAAATATGAATACCTGTCTGGCCTGTGTATCTAATCAATTAAATCCACATCTGAGTCCTACTTTGCATGAGTAGACTCCAACTCATGAGCTCTTAGCAATCTAGCTCACAAGACTGTGGTGAGAAATTACATATTAATTTACCCATGTAGAGGGTAACATTATGATAACTGTTCACGATAAGCAAATACTGTAAGTCTTCAATGTCATAATAGGTTCTCAGAAACTGTAACTTGAAGCAAAATGACATATAATGAAGCCAATTTCCCATAGGTGAATTGGTATTAACAAAAGTTAAGTTCTTACAATATATTCTGGTCATAAAAACATCACCAAACTTCCAAACAGAGACTTCAAATGCTTCTAATATTAAACTTCGAAATAAATAAGAGATATACATATATTAAAGAAAGCAGGGAAGATGATTATTTACCCAAATTTTGTTGAGTCAGTGAGTGACAGTGGTCATAGTGGTGGTAGATTAAATAAAATAGCAAATGTTTGCAAAGCTAAAATTGTCAGGAGCAGCTCCTACTACCACACAGTCCAAAACCAAACATGAACAAATATGGCCCATAGAACATTGTCCTACCACATTGTTTGTTGTTCCACATCAGTATAATTATCCTATACTCTCTGAATTTTTATCCAACAATAATTTGTATTCATTCATTCATTCCTTTTCTAATCCATTTATTTCAGCTCTGAGTCCCAGATACCTAGAGTCTATTCCAGCAGCTCAGGGCATAGAGCGGGAAACACCCTGGACAGGATGAAATCCCATGGCAGGCCACACTCACACCTACCCACTTTCACTCAGAAGAAACCATGTAGACAGGCCAACGAACTTAAGGGACACATCTTGGAGATATGAGAGGAAACTAAAATACCTGGAGAAAACCCATGAAGACATGGGGAGCACGTTACCAACTCCACACAGACGGCGGCCTCAGCAGGAATCAACTATTTTTCTCATCAATGTCACAATATTGAATGAAATGATGCTATTCAAAGACCTGCTGTCTCCCTGTATATGACTTTGGCATTCTTGCAATTCACAGATTGTACATGGGGACTGAAAGCAAATAACTGACTCTTTTCACACATGAAGGGGGATTCAAGCTAACAGCTAATATACATATCTATGTAACATGAGAAAAATGCACTTGGTCTAGAATGAAACATGGGCTGATTCTTTAAGACAATAAATAAATAAAATAAACAGTGAAAAAGTTTCCTTTCCTTCTATATTTGTGAAATTACCATTTCTATGCCTAGAATGGAGGATGCAGAAGAATATTTATTTGAAAACCTTGTTTCTCGCCTCTCTTTTCAAGTCTTTAATTAGCCATTTTAATATTTTTTTCATAAAAGCCTTGCAACTATTTCAGTTTATCCTTTTCACTCACAAGGAAAGAATTGCTATTCATCAATCCCAATTTAAAGCTAAAATTGTGTGTATTGGTTAAATTCATTATGATTGGCAAATGCTTTCTTTCTCCTTTCTACTGTATTTTCAGTGGACGTATCAGGTATAAAACATAAATTTCCCTGCTTTTAAGAACACATAGGGTTAGAAGCAGCGTTGATGGGAGTTGTCAGTCTGTGCTCATAAACTGCTTATTGACCTTTAATTTTGATATGGATAAAGTTTCTTGTCATGTTCATAGGTTTGTGAAAGTACAAATTAAAGTTCTATATGCATCTATAAGATGTGGCTTCTCACACTGTTAAATTTAACTCTTTTTTATTTAGAACTGATTCAATTTATATTCCTATAATCAGAGATGATTAATTCTTATTTCTAACTACTCACAATCTGTAGCACAGTTGACTAAGACTTAAAAATCTTAATTATTGCTTAATTTCTAGTAAAAATGTTATTGAGGAAAACTGGTTATTGTTATTAAGAATTCATTCTGGAAAAGGTAAGAATTATTAGGAGTTCTGTTCATGGAGGAATTAAACTGCAACACTTCGAGCATCATCATTGTGCCTCAGGAAATTTGCTTTCTCTTTGTGTTCTTTCCCATCTTTATTATAATCCATACTATGATATCGAATAGCATTTTTTTCTTCAACCCACTCTTGATTGACACCTCGATTGAGAAATGGTCACTTCATACTCTCATTTCTGGCTCTGATTCCTGATTCCATTTCTTGTATGTTACATTTGCTCCCAGCTCCAAACATACATCTATTTTTGAGCTTTGTTATTGTCCTAATAGGTTAACATTTCTCTTTCAAGACTTAAGAATGTTTCTATTCTTCAAATGTAATTATTTTGTAATTATAATATTGTAGTATAATATTATATATCAGCAACTAACATGTATATCTATCCTGTTGTGGTTAGAATGAAAACATGTATAGCATTTTTATTCTGTTAAGATCACAATATTTGTATTATAGTTACCAGTCCTTAAAATATGGTTGTAAGTACACCTAGTGTAGAGAGGCTTATTATTAACAGATTAAAATCTTTCCTTATTTTATTCTCCAGAAGCCCCAAAGCAAAGTAACTTACTTACAAAGCATATATGTGAAATCATTTTTACCTTTTAGTTTTACTTATCAAGTGCTGGGGTAAGAGCAAGCAAACAAGCAAATAAACTCCATAGCAGCATTATAGATCTATATGCTAATATTTGAAAATTAAATTTATAAATATCTGCAACACAGAAACAACAACAATAACAAATTATTTTTTGAGACAAATACATGTGAAATAGCATCTAAGAGTGAGAGCAGACCCCTCAGCAAAGTAGGAAGTGGGGACCCAAAGAATAGTCCACCATGCATAGCTCTAAATCTAAGTGGAGGAAATTAAAGGTTAGATTAGATAATCATACTCTTAAGTATCTTTAAATATCTGTTTGTAGACTTTAATAAAAAACAAAAATGCATTTGAAGTCCTTACTTCTGCTTGCAAAAAAAGTATTGTTCATAAATTAAGGCACTGTTACCATACTAGCGTATCACTTCTGGGAATTTTTATTTCTAACTGATATTTATACTATTTACACTAATAATTACTCATACTTCATAAAGAGGGTGCTATCGTCATGTTTTCACCTTTTAATTTGATTGTGCTAATCATATAAAATTAGAGAATAAATCTGTTAATGATAACAGGTGTGCTTGTTAGCATGCTTAATGGATATTTTGATTAGTTCATATCCAAAGTATGCAAACATTTTTGATTACCTGTTTATAGTACAGCTTTATAGCAAAACTCCAAGATGAAGTCAAAGGATTTGTGAATTGCAATTTGCAAAAAAATTCCTCAAGTTAAAGCAATACCTCTAAGAAAAAGAAAACAAAATATCTGCAGGCAGTGCCATACAGAGTTTAAATTTGAAGATTTTATCTATCTACGAAATCTGTCAGTGAGCTCAGTTAGCAGCCACACATAAGAATTTGAAAACTTAATGTTTTATCTTGTTTTCATAATAATGATATTCACAAAGCTCTGTATGTTTAACTTAAATTTGAGTGATGATTTCAACAGTATATTCAGAATCACATAATTAGGTAATAACATTAATTCATGTTGGCAGTCAAAGTTCTATAATGATCAACTTTTCACTATTTATATAAATAAATACTAATGGATAATAAATGCCCTATTATTGAATTTATTCTATTTTCTTTATATAATACATTTCAGACATTAATGTTTCTAAGCAACGTTTGCTCTTTAGAAATACTTGTGTTTATTGTTTATGTGGTTATGAAATAGTCTTTAGAGAGATGTGACAGGCTCACTGTTATTATAAAGTTGCATTTATTGATATGTCAAGCAACAAAAGCTTTGCTTATTCTAAAACATCAATCCATTATTATTGAAAAGTTATGTTTTTTCTTCTCTCTCAACAGTAACATATTAATTGAAAGAATAATGTAAAAATATATCACAAATGCTAAAAATGCTACATTGAACTTGACCAAGAAAGAAACTTATAATTCTACAGATAATACTCTTGACTGAAATTTTACTTCATCCTAAATAATGCATAAATATTTAAATTTTATAAAACCTATATGAGATTGACTGTTATAACATCTAGTTTTAGATTTCATTTGATGATGTGAAAATTGATGTTCAAGGACATTGCCCAATGAAACAAGACTAATAAAGAGCAAAAATATTTTTGCAACCCTACTTATGTCAATACTCACTTTGTGAGATAAAAAACTTCTCTCTCACTTAAATTTCATTTACATATACTTTCTCACATGTAAAATAAGGATAAATCCATCAATCTCATATATGCAAAATTAGCAGAAATGTGGCTAGCCATGAGTTGCCACATGTTTCATGGCATAAACAGTGAGTTGAAGCCATCATTACTATTATCATCTTCCCTAGGAGAATTTCCATGTTAGTGGATGTATATGAAGCCCTAAAGAGGCCAAAGCTATGATGGCAAATTTTTGGGAATTTCTTAGTGCAAAAGGATGTGTTGACTATTAATCTTGCAATATTCCTAAAGTCATGCAATGTTTTAAATAATATCTTGTGTTTTCATAACCATGATAACATATGTGCTTCTAAATCAAAAGTGGTTTTTTTTGTTTGTCAAAAGCTCTGGTTTTTATGCTTTCACATAGAAGTTTGAACAGTAAATGAATGTTGTTATTGTTGAGTTTTTTGTCCTCTAAGATCCACTATAGAAAAGTGATAATGTGCTTACCAGTATAAACACATATTTGAATCCTACTCATGTAAAGAAATCTGCTCTCAAAAGAGAATAGTAAACAAAACATCAAGCAAACGAATACATTTTAAAAAAAGTCCTGGGTCTCTTTATAAGTAGCTCGAAACTACTTGAAAGACCACTGTGGACTGGGATTTCTACCTGAGAGACCTTTCCACTTGTTACTTAGATTTTTCTCATCTTACAGCTTTCCAGGCTCACAGCACCCGGTGATTCAGGATCCATCCTCAGAAATCACAGGATGTGCTGTGCTCTTCATGTCATCTACTTGCTGACTGGCCGGAGAGCAATCTTGTAATAGCAATAATCTTTAGACCCATATTAATCTCTCACCCTCAAAAAATCCCATTAAGTTAAGTACTAATGAGGGAAAGTTCCTCATACAAGGCAAGGTACTTTCTCGATAATAAAACATAAGACTTTTCTGTCTAAAAGTCATTGCTATTGTCTTAAATTATAGTTTTATCTATTCTTTAAAGATTTAAAGTCCGGGTGTGGTGGCTCACGACTGTAATCCCAGCACTTTGGGAGGCTGAGGCGGGCGGATCACCTAAGGTCAGGTGTTCGAGACCATCCTGACCAACATGGAGAAATTCCGTCTCTACTAAAAATACAAAATTAGCTGGGCATGGTGGCCCATGCCTGTAATACCAGCTACTCGGGAGGCTGAGGCAGGAGAATCGCTTGAACCCCGGAGGCAGAGGTTGCGGTGAGCCAAGATCGAGCCATTGCACTCCAGCCTGGGCAACAAGAGTGAAACTCTGTCTCAAAAAAAAAAAAAAGATTTAAAAAGAATAATAAAAGAGAAGGGAAAACTATTTTGGGGAAGATCTACACACACACACACACACACACACACACACACACTTGTGTATTTTTGGTGGTTTTATAGAAAAACAAGTGGTAGAACATAGGAATTCAAAACCCAGTTGTGTGGTGGAGTGTTGACAAAGCTACATACTTAACCAGACTTGTTGCCCTGACAATTACCTTATATGACTCATCTCTTCTTCCCTTTTATAATTCCTCCCACTACTCTCCCCATCTCAGGCTTATGTAAATTCCATATCTGCCTTTTGCAAACTCATAACTCCCAGGTGCGGAGATCCCATAATCCCAGACAATGAAATATATCACTAGAGTGTTTGTTTCCCTAGAGCAACAGGGGGAAGACATTGGACCAGTTTTTGGCCTTCGGGGCAGGATTGCTGAAACTCTTTATAGAATAGTGATTCTATAAACAACAGAATCAGTATTATTTATAGAGCCTAATTTTTTAATACTGTTTGTGAGGTGTTACATTTTATTCATTCATTTCTGTATAAATAAAAATGTATACAATAATGCTTTAGATCGAATATATCATCAGGGAGTTTGCATTCTGGTAAGCAGATAACAGCGTGATATAAATTGCACATGGCTGATTGTAATACATAATAGTAAAACTAGAAATAATATACTATATCCAGTTCAGGAAATTTATAATAAAATTATGTGAGTTGGCTTTTAAAATTAAACTCTATTGATACCATTTTCATTGAAAAAAAGTGTGGTCCCATTTTAAACAATAAACTAAAAAATTAACTTTTTAAAAATAAATACTTTATACGTTAGAAATTGCAAAGTCTTGAAAAAATGTTCTGCCCAACTATTATTCTTTTCAATACCATCAAGTAAATTAGTTAAGAACTATATAAATATATTTTCATTATCTTTTTAATTATCTAAACTTTTGTTTTTAAATTAGTTCAAAGAAAGCTATGTAGATATACTGAATTAAAAAAAAATGAGAGCAATGAAAACTCTTATGGTCACCCATGTGTCCACATAAGAACAAAAGAGTAAAAACAAAGGGAACATTTTAAATGATGATTTCCTATACCAAGAGTGGTTTTTAAAAATTAAATAAATGAAAGTCTCAACTGTTGAAAGTCACTTAAAATGAAGAGGGAATTAAAATAAGCCAAAATTTTTACTTGTACTGTTTCCTTTTCATGTTATCTCTGCCTTTATTATTAAATTACCCATGTTTTTCAGTCATTTCAACTATTCCAATCATTATGCGTATCATTAATACATATGGTATAGTTTAAAAATTCACTAAATTTTCACGAATATTAAAATATCATGCAAATAAGAGTATCTGATTTACCTGAAATTATTTCTATTTTAAAAGAAAAGTTATATTGGATATTCATAAATGAATATATGTGTATTTACATGAATGCATATAAACATACCATTGTGTGTAAACTCATACTCCATTATACTTTACAATGCTTTACAATAACTTTTCTTACTTGTTCCTCACAGTAGCATATTGACCTTTCTCCATGTGTAAAATAATAATAACCTAAACACTAAAAGCAAAGAGAAGTGAAAGGCTTTCCTAGGTAACAATTATCTGACTCTGAACAGTTTTGCTATTCAGCGGAACAATCTTATTTAAATAAGGCATTTAATGAGTTATTTTACAACACTATAAACAACTTATCTACTCTTATATAATTTTTTGTTTTGTTGTTATTCATCTGAATGGTTAATCAGTCTGAATAACTTCTATAATGTTTTCACTATAAAAGTGTAAACCCCTTCTGTTGCTGACTCAAGTTATCATGACAGCACTTCATAAATGTACTGTTAAATATTTTAGGAGAAAGTACAAATTATTATTGCATTAAAATACGGTATTAGATGCATTTTTGTTGACATTTATTTAATAATGTTAAGTAAATTATATATTATATATATATATATTTAGTCATTCACCACATGATGACATTTTGGTTAAAGGTGAATAGCCTACATGATAGTGGTCCTATAAAATTATAATAGAGCTGAATAGTTCCTATCACCTAGCAAAGTCATAGACGTTGTAGCATCACAGTGTAATGCTTTACTCACATGTGTGTGGTGATGCTGTCGTAAATACACCCACAGTGATGCTAGTCCTATAAAAGTGTAGCACATATAATTATGCACACTACCTAATACTTGATGATGATAAGTGGCCCTGTTACTGGTTTATGTATTTACTATATCTTTTATCATTGTTTTAGAATATGCTCCTTCTACTTTAAAGGAAGTTAACTGTAAAACAACTTCAGGCATGTCCTTCAGGAGGTGTTTCAAAGAAAAAGGATTGTCATCATAGGAGATGACATCTCCATGCATGCTATTGCCTATGAAGAACTTCCAGTGGGACAAGAAAGATGCAGAGGTGGAAGACAATGATGATGATTCTTTGTGTAGGCCTAGGGCAGTGTGTATGTTTCTGTCTTAGTTTTTAACAAAAAAGTTTAAAAAGTAAGAAAATAATAGACAAAATTTTATAAAATAAGGATACAAAATATTTTTGTACAGCTGTAAAATGTGTTTCTTTTAAGCTAAGTATTAATATAAAAGCTATAAACTTAAAAAAACAATGAAAAGTTAATAAAATCTTTAGAGAGATGTCTATTCAAGTCATTTGCTCATTTTTTAATTGGGTTTCTTCTCTCTTTGTTGTTGAATTCTAAGAGTTCTTTATATATTCTGTAGTCTAGACCCTTATGAGGTATAAGATTTACAAATATTTCACATTCAGTAAGATATCTTTTTTCCTCATCACAGTATCTTTTAATGCACAACAGTATTTAACTTGAAGTCAATCTGTTTTTTGTTGTTGTTTGTTTCATTGCTTGTATATTTGGTCATGTCTAAGAACCCATTACTAAGTCCTAGCTCAGGGCGATTTAGTTTCTATTTTTTAATAATAATGTTTAGCTGTAGCCCTTATATTTAGGTATTCAACCCATTTTAAGTTAATTTTTGTATATGATGGAGGTAGGGGTACATTCTTATTCATGTAGACACCTAATTGTACCATTTCTGTTTGTTGAAAAGACTATTTATTCTTCATTGAATTGTCTTGGCATCCTTGTTGAAAATCGATTGATAATAAATGTATGTTTTTTTCTAGACTCTTATTTTTATTCCATCAACAACATGTCTCTCTTTATGCCAATTTCACAATGTTTTTATTACTGTAATTTTATTGTAAGTTTTAAAACTGGGAAGTGTGCTTGTCCAACCTAGTTCTTTTTCATGATTGCTTTGTCTATTTTGGGGCCCTTTCAATTCCATATGAATTTTATGTCCAGCTTTCCATTTCTATTTCTGTAAAAAGTAAAATAAAATAGGATAATTTAAATTTCGATAGAGATTGATTTGCATCTTTAAATCAACTTGGGGATTATTTCATTCTAAACCATATTACATTTTTAATTTCTTTCAGTAATTTGTTTTTACATTTTTATGAAGGCTTGCACCTCTTTGGATAACATTTTCCTAAGTATGATATGCATATTTAATATATTGTTAATGAAATTATCTAAATTTTATTTTCAGATTGTTTATTGCTGATAACTAGAAATACAACCGATTCTTGAGTAATGAAATTTATCCTGCAAGCATGTTGAAAATGTTTAATAGTTTTTTTTATTCTTAGGATTTTCTATATATAAAGTTATTTCAAATGGGAATAGAGATTATTTTACTTCTTCCTCTCCAATCTCAAGTATTATTATTATTAATATTTTGCCTATTTGTTCTTACTCGAACTCCCAAGGCAATGTTGAATAGAAGTGGTGAAAAGAGGCATTGTTTTCTTGTATCTGAAATTAAGTGGCAATTTTTCAGTCGTTCACTATGGAATATGATAGTAATAGGTTTCTCAAAAATGTCATTTATCATGTTTAGATATATACTTCTATTTCTAGTTTGTTGAATGTATGTATCATGAAAGTGTGTTGGATTTTGTCAAATGCTTCTTTTACGTCAATTAAGATACACATGTGTGAAAGAAAAGTGATGTCAGCAAGATAATGGAAGGAAGCCCTGGACCCTTCTTTCCTCAACAGACACACCAATTCAACAGTGATACGTGGAACAATTCCCTTTATAAGAAATCCATAAACTTGTTGGGAGACTTCTGCATCTGGGCTAGCATGGAACCAGTTACCTTGAAGCTGGTAGGAATACTTCAGATACCCTCACATCTTACCGCTAGCATGATGCCATATAATTAGAAGGAAACTCCTAGTTTCGCCCTATGAAGGAAAAGAAAAGTACTGCACCAAATATCCAATATCCTAATTATCCTGAGGGTTGCCTGAAAAAATGACTTCTACCTCACTTCTGTCAAATTGCTGACAAAACCTGAAGGTCACTGAGAAAAATAACTATGGCTTGAACTATCAAGCTAGCACATTCCATAGCCACACTTGAGGCTCAGCTCAAAGTAAGAAGGTGGGAATACCTCAGCTCCCAGCTTCTCCCTAGGGAGAGAAGGAAAGCCCATACACTCAATGTTCTGATTTTTCTGAAGACTACCTGAGGCACTGGTTTCTGTCTTTCCTGTCTCAGAGCACTGATATGACTTGCTATGCTTTAGTCACCTGGAGGCTACTGAGAGCAAAGATTTACATTTCAATAAGCAAGCTAGAACATGCCTTAGTCCCACTCTCTGGCTTAGTGAAAAGTAGGTGGGGAAAACAAAAACAAAAACAAAACAGATGCCAGCATCTTCCAACAGTGGGAAAGAAAGACTAAACCTACATGCAATGCTAAAATATTACTGTGTGTTGCCCCAGGTACCTGGCTTCTGGTAGGTTTCTCTCAGAGAGCTGAAGGGATCTGGCACAGTCTAGATGCCTGAGTACCACTTAGGAAAAAGATGGGTGTTTGAAAGTGCGTAAATTTTTGAGATGTCCCCAGAATCACTACCTGGCCAGTTGGTGAGAGACTTCCTTTGTATGGGACCAGTTGCTGAAGACTAGAAGTGGCTGTTTTTATAATGCATAGATCCTAAACAAAAATTGTTAAGGAAAATTAAGAAACAGGAAAATATGTTCCAAATAAAGGAATAAGATACAACCTCAGTCCCAGAAATCAACTCTAATAAAATGAAGATATGAGAATTCAAAAAAACCATCATAAAATTGCTCAGTGAAGTCAGGAGAACAATGCAACATCAAAGAAATAATTGAAGCAATAAAATAATATCAATCATCTATAAAAATTACCAAACAGAAGTCATGGAACTCATGAAGACAATGACTAAAGAGAAGAATCTAATCATGTGGTTCAACTGGAGAATAGATTAAGAAGAAGAAAGAATCAGGAAATTTAAAAAAAATAATAATTAAAGAATACCCAGAAAGAGAAATGAAAAGCAAAAAAGACAGTGAAAAAGAGTAAAGAAAGCTTAAAGAACTTATAGAAAACCATGGGGAGGACCGTTATCTACATTGTGAGAGTTCGCAAAGGGAAAGAAAGAGAGAAATGAGAAAAAAGCTTATTTGAAGAAGCAATGACCAGAAATTCCTCAACTCTGAGGAAAGAAATAGACATTCAGATCCAGGAAGGCCAATGAATCTCAGAAAAGATTAACCAAAAGTAATATACCAAGATACA
This sequence comes from Homo sapiens, assembly GCF_000001405.40. Lineage (NCBI taxonomy): Eukaryota > Metazoa > Chordata > Mammalia > Primates > Hominidae > Homo > Homo sapiens. Next base: position 9,312,806 of record NC_000007.14, read on the forward strand.
TTATAATCAAAATGTCAAAAGTTAAAAGACAGAGACCTTTGAAAGCAGAAAGTGTAAAGCAACTTGTAATATATAAAGGTATTTCTGTGAGCCTATAACTTACCAGCAGAAACCTTGCACACTAGAAAGGAGTGTGATGATATAGTCAAAGTGTCAAAGGCACAAAAACTCTGTTAATAAAGAATAGTATACCTGGTAAGGTTGTTCTTCAGTAATAAAGGGGAGACAAAGACTTTCAGAGACAATACATGAAAAGTTCATCACCACTAGATATGCCTTAGGAAAAAAAATTGCTACAGGGAATTCTTTAAGTTGAAATAAAAGGATACTAAACAGCAATAAAAAGCATATAAAAGTATAGCAGTCAAAGGTAAAGGTAAATATATAGAAAATACAGAATATTTTAATACTATAATGGTGGTGGGTAAATCGCTTTTAGTTATAGCATATAATCTAATATATAAAAGTATTAAAATAACTATAAAATACACTAATGAATACTTAATATGAAAAGATGTAAATTATGATATTAATAATATAAAATGGGGGGAGAAGTAAAATTGTGGAGGTTTTGTCTGTGACTGAAGTGAAGTTGTTATCAACAAAATAGGCTGTTATAACTTTAAGTTGTTTTATGTTAGCCCCATGGTGATCATAAAATAACACCTATATAATATACATGAAAGAAAAAAAAGAAAGCATATAAATCCAAAAAATTAATGAAACACAAGAAAGGCAGCAAAAGCAGGAAAGAAAGAGAAGAGAATTACCAGAAATATAGAAAATAATTAATAAAGTAAAAATAAATCCTTGACTATCAATAATTATTTTAAAAATAAATAGATCAAACTCTCCAATCAAAGCAACTGGAGTAGCTGAATTAATTAGAAAAAAGACAATAGCTAAGTTTATGATATATAAGAGACTCACTTTAGTTTTAAATACTCACATAGGCTGAAAATGAAGGATGAAAAAAGATATACCACGCAAATGGTAAATAAAAGATACTGGGAGTATTTATGATATCAGGCTAAATATGTAAAAATTCTAATAAGAGACAAAATAATATATAATAATAAAAAGGTCAATTTAACAAGAACGTATGGCAATTATAAACATATATGCATCTAACATCACAGCAAACAAGTATATGTAGCAAACATTGGCAGAACTTATGGGAGAAATAGTAATACAATAATTGTAGCAGACTTTAATATTCCACTTTCAGTAATGAATAAGACATCCAGAAGTAAAATCAATAAGCAACAGATGTGAATAACACTATAGACCAAAAAGACCTAGCAGACATATACAGAGCACTTCACTCAGCAGAAGCAAAACACACATTCTTCTCAAGCACAACTAGGATAGATTGCATGTTGGGTTACAAAGCAAGTATAAAATTTAAGAAGACTGAAGTTACGCCACCTATCTTTTCTGACCACAATGGAAAAAACCAAGAAATAAACAACAGAAGCAAAATGGGAAATTTCACAAATATGTGGAAATTAAACAACAGAATCTTGAACAGCCAGTAATCAAAGAAAAAATAAAAATTGAAATTGAAAAATGTACTGAGATAAATAAGGCAAAAACATCATACAAAAGCTTTTTCTTTTTCTTATGGTTTTTTTGTAAAATTAAAACCATGGCTGAATTACAAGTGAGACTGAAAAGTTGATTATTAAGGATAATATATGTTTTGTTTTTACTGTGTCTCTTCTTCAAAGACAAATACAATATTCTTCCTGTGACAGGCAACTTTGGCTCAGAGTCACAACCAGTGTTGTGGAAGAATATTGTATTTGTCTTTGAAGAAAAGACACAGTAAAAACAAAACACATATTACCCTTAATAATCAACTTTTCAGTCTCACTTGTAATTCAGCCATGGTTTTAACTTTACAAAAAACCATAAGGCTAGGTCAGAGTGAAGAAAAGGAAAAGCTTATGAGTAGCCTGCTGATTAACCGAGAACAATTCTCCATCTGCCTGTTTCTTGAAGAAACGTGATGGCATGCTGCTCTGGCACACATCATAACTATTCTTAGTGTCAAGATTTATTCAATAATCATCTAGACAGTATCGATAGCATTGCTATGATGACATGCTCAAGTAAACTCTCAAAAATAATAATTAATGGAAATGATTGTAGTAATGGGATTTTGCAATGGACAGGGAAGGAACAAATATGATTTAATAAATTGAATCTATTAACATCTTGTAACAAGAATGTGTTAACTGTTTACTTGTTATTAATGTATTGAGTAAACAGGATAGTTCCTAAAATATTTCTAGGCCCTACTTTGACTTTCTCCTTTAAGGTACTACCTTTAATAGAGAAAAAAAGATATTCATCTATAGAGCCAGAAGAAGGTGTAATACCTTTATTTTAATAAAGTGTAACTTGGTAGTATAGATAAGCATATATTAACAAAGTAAAACATTAAAAACTAAATTAAATTTTATCAAAATACGTTTAGTTTAATTTACATATTTAAATGTATAATTTCACCTAACAAAATACAGAATAATACATATGTTATTTTTTATGTAAAATTATAAAATAAGTATATGTTAAATAGACATCAATAATTAACATACCCATATAATCTTTAAATATGAATGTACGTTTACTTATATATAAATATATGTAATTCTACAATATCATAATGTTAAATATTAGTTATATAAAAGTATATCAAAATGCATTTTGTAATACATGATTTAATATAACATATATAATTAATATGCATTTTATTATGAACATAGACATATTTATTTTGACAGATACGTTTTCATATTTTTTAGTAACGATTGGAATTAGATTAATCAAAGAATGTTTAAATGGTTGCCATTAAGCTTGCTGAGACAGCCTCTTTGCTCTCTCTTTGGCCCAAGGGCCATATACTTCCATTCACGTGGTCTTCAAGTGAGCATTGGATATTTACACTTATATTTACTGGGTAAAGTGATCATGGAAAAACACTTTTTAGTGCTTTATATGAATAAGCTAAGTTTGTATTTAAATGAATAACGGATTTCGCTAATTTTTTTTATGGCAGGTTTGTCCAGTAAACCACTGTCTTCATTGAATATGCTGTATGATATTTTGTGGCATTAAATAACTTTTTTCCATCTCCAAACATTTTACCTCAGAAGATTACTTTTACTGTCTCTGGTTGCAAAAACAATTTGGTTCATATGTTACTATATCAGTCCTTGACATCTTAGCTTCATGCCATTCTTAAATTTAGTCAACAGGTAATTGATATTTTTTACCCAATAATTGATAAAAAATGTATTTTAGGAGGAGTACAGGTATATAGACCCTTTAAATTGGCAATCTAAATAATTCAGAAAAAGTAATGGCATTTTGAGTGATTATGATGCGTCAAATCTCATACTGAGTTCTCCAGGTAACATTTGCAAATTCTTACAACGACGCCTCTGGTTAATATTATTAGAATCCTCTTTCGTAAATGATAAAACTAAGGCACAGGAAGGTAAAGTGCTTGGCCTGAGATAAAATATTTAGATGGTGGCAGAGTAAGGATTCAACTATTAGCAACTGGGTTCCAAAGTTGGTATTTTAATTTTATGCTATGTTGACATGACCATCAATAATATTCCTAATTACAGTATTACTTATAGCACATGTTTACCCTCTTTTTTGAAATCAAATTATGAGAAACTTATTAGATCATGTGCTGAAATGTAGAAAAGAATCTACATTGTCACATCTGCCTCTTAGACAGTTGTTTACATAAGACATAAACTGGAAATATGCTCTCTAATAACTTTTGGAAAAAGTAGACATGGATAAATAAATAAGTCAATGAATCCAAAGCATGGAGACTCAATGCATGACTTTGAAATCAGATTACTTGGTTTGGTTTAGAAGTTAATCTGGCATGTCTTATTCTTCCAGGACTTATGAAGGCTTCTTTTCCTCTGTTCCTATTCTTAAATCATGCTTTCATAGTCTCGGCTACAAATAGTCACTGACATTAATATCTATCATTTAAATCTGTAATTTCCTCCATTTTTTAAAACCAGGATAGCTATCCATTGCTAGTTTTCAAGCAGCTTGTCTGCTCTCTATAATTTTTTAAACATCATGAAGAACAGTTCAATAATTTTAACTTAGGCTTTCTCAGTAGTCTGGGAAATAACTCATTCTGGCCAGGAGACAAATTCATTTAGAGCAGTTACCTGGTTTCATACTATCTCCTCATTTATATCCGGCTTCAATTCCCTCTTTCAATAGCTAGGTCTGAATTTCATCCTGGTGCTCATTCCTTTTGACAGAAAAGATGGAGGCAAAATAGTTGAGTAATTCTACTTTCCATTATCTGCTAACGTGACAACATGAGGGCTGAACAGCAGACCTGATCTTTCCATTATCTTCCTTTATTTTGTTTCTGTGTTACAAATATCAATTCTTTTAGTTTTTTATAATGTCAGTATTTCATTTAATACAGTTTAATAAGTGCTAGGCACCTAATGTTATATGACAGAAAGTCTTCATACCTGATTGAATACATCAGGTATATACATCAGAGAGCATATCTTGAGTAAACATTCTTCAAGTTGAAAAGTTCAATTAAAAGGAAATGCATATTTGAGGACATGTACAGGAGGAAGTGACTGAGTTTACTAGGGAAATCGGGAAGGCTTCAAAGAGGAAGTGACTTTTGAATTGGGACTGGAAAATAGTTTTTCCATGCTTTCCCTATTTTATGTATATTTTGACTTTTTAGAGTCAAAACATATATATATATACACACATTTTTTTGCCTAATTGTTTCCACCTTGGCTATAACTTGTAATAATAATCCCTGTTTATATAATTCTTTTTACCTTATTAGAATCCTTGCTGTCTTCATATGTTTCAGGGCTTCTTGACTTTTTCTCCGTTTCTGTTTAGATCCATGGTTCCTAAGATTAAGGATTCATTCTTAACAACATCCTCAGTGCTCTTGTTCTTTTTTCCATTTGTTAAAGCTATGAACAAAACCTACACCGGAGGAGTGCAAAATGCATACCTCTTATTATGCTGTGAAGAAAATCTCCCTGTTGGGTAGATTGGTGACAATAAATTTATGCACACCACTGTTTCAGTTTGTTAGGGGTGCCTTAACAAAGCACTACAAACTGAGTGGCTTAAACAACAGAAATTCCTCGACTTAAGTTTTATAGCACAGAACTACGAAATTAAGATGTCAACAGGGTTGGTTCCTTCTGCGGACTGTGAGGGAAAAATCTCCAGACCTCTCTCCTTGGCTTTGGCTTGAAGAGGCCTGTCTTCTCCCATTGTGTCTTCATGTCATCTTCCTTTCATGCATATATTTCTCTTTGTCAAAATTTATCTCTTTATGAGAACACCAAGTATATTAGATTAGGGCCCACACTAATGACATTATTTTAACTTGAATATCTGTATAAAGACCCTGTCTCCAACTAAAGTCACATTCTGAGGTACTGGTGGTAAGAGCTACAACATCTTTTGTGGGGGAACATAATTCAACCCATATCAGCAACCTGAATAATTTGCCTGGTAACTGTGTTTATCTGTATTCCAATAATTTCCCACTGCATCAAAAATATTTCAAATATTTCTACTCATTTCAAAATGTAGGGCCCAGCTTCAGAGTCACTATGTCATTTTAGCAGATTCTCTGTATTCATGCCTCAAAGAAAACAGTATTTAAAAACAGTGCTAATCAGGAGGAAAGATCAAATAGACATACATATATGTATCTATCATTAGTCTCTTTCTCCTATAATTTTTATATTAACAATAAAGGATGTGTTTCTTCTGCTACCTAAGAATAACCTATCTAGCTGGGCTCTAAATATAGATTTTTTCACATTTCACAGATTCTGTGTTCTTGATTATAAATCTTTATTTTCAATTTTCATTTTCTACTGCCTTTTCCCCAATAGCAGGTAAACATGCTCTAGTCTCTTTCTTGTTAAAACAAATACTCAACTAGATGTCTTTGGTTGCTTTTATTATTTCACTATCTCTCAGTTGTTACCCAGACAATTTCAACCTGAATTCCATATACATGACTGTCATAACTCCCTAAAATTTTCAGTGACCACTGTGTTTCAGAATCCTGTTCTCAATCTTTCAACAGTGTTCAGTGTATCTTATCACTGCATCATTATTATACTTTTACCTTTTGTCTCTGATCAGACATAGCTGTGGCTTTATTCAAACTTTCTGTTCACTTTATTCTTTAAATTCTTATTTTCTAACTAACCATAAATATTGAAACATTTTTCAGTATTTTTCCTTTGGTCTTTTTTGGCTTATTTAAACTCTCCTACTGATAGTGGTGGTGGGTGATGCATCCTGCACACTCCATGGCTTCAATTGCCTTCAATATGTCAACTGTACTCTGGGCTTTGAACCTTATTAATCCCTCTTCTTGGATATACATTGGAGTATTATCCATGTATTTCATGAGTATCTGAAATTTCACGTGTGCAGAATATTACTTAGCTAATCTGCAAAGCATAAACTTCTTCCCCTATTTCTCATCATGGTAAATGACACCACCATTTACCCCATTGCTCAAGTAGAATTTATTTAAGACTGTATTGGACATAAAATTAGTTGCCTGTCCTTATATCCCTTTAGCATTGCAGGGGAATACACTCCATATGGAGAGGATTTTGACCATTGTGAAACAAGAATGGGGGAAAATTAGGCAAATTCCCTTTCCCCTCACTCTTGTGAAAAAAGTCTTAAGCAGTTTCTTTTTGGAACCCCTTTGGAGAAGTTTTATTAGATCAGTGAATATATCTACAGGGCAAATTCCTGTGTCTCTTGAGAGATCATCTTGAAAGGTAATTAATAGTGTGGCCACTGCAAAGTGGGTATTTCCTAACCTCATTCCCTTTTTTATTGTCCTGCAAATGTACTTCTGAAATAAAGCATCAACAATTTAGTCCTCCTCAGACTGTTTTCAGAAGAACCTGGGATAAGGTATCTTCCTATGCCTTCCTATCAAATTTTGTTCTTTGGCCTCTAAGTAACTGAATCCATCTGCTTCTCTCTTTTTCTACCGATATTACTCTAGTTGAAAACATCACCTTTGCTTGTGAAGGATATTACAATGGATTTCTCACATCTTTCCATGCTTTTAACATTCTCTCTGCAACTATTTCCCAGAATCCAATTAGAATGACCTTAGTAAACTTGAAATTTGATATTGCCACTCCCATCCTAAAACTTGTCAAAGGCTTCCCATTGCAATTAAAATAAAGGGTAAACATCTTTAGAACTGCCTACATCAAGGCTTGCAAAATCTTGTCTCTGCCGTCCTTGCTTTTCTCTTTTTGTACCATTCGATTTTTTCTTACAACTACATTCCATCCATATTGGTCTCTCATAGCTTCCTCCAAGATGGCATATTCTTTTTCTCTTTTTTCTTTCTGGAACACCTCTCTCCCCTTCTCTCCCTCATCATATCACTTCTAACTCTTCCTCTATTGTTTAGATATAACTTTCACAGGGTTACCTTCAATAATATTCCTGTTAAAATTTTCAGTGATGGAAAAAAAAAAGAATTTCCAGTGATAAAGGATTGTTGAATCTCAAGATTTCTTAAGCTCACAGAAGAGTTCTCTTAGTATCTATATCAACCTCTCCTTATTGGCCTTTATAAGTTTGAGTTTAATACTCTCTTGACTATCTATATAGCATTAGAAAAGTATCTTATTGCAGCAATGTCCCAAATTCCTTTCTCTGATTTTCACAAGCTCTAAAATGGCATAGTCACATTCTCAATTGTTCTCACTTCAACCTAATCAAGAGATTTTCTCTTGCTATTAATAGTCAACAGAAGTATTTTGGTTTAGTGCTCTTTCTGCCTTCTGAGAAATTAAATGACTTCTTGCTGAATATTTTAGAATCAGAAAAAAGGTTCATAATCTTCTTTCATCAATTAGAATATTGCATCTATAAAATCAATTTTATGGTGATTTTAAAAACACCTTTACATGTCAATGTGATGGCATCAAGAGACACTGAAACATTTATTAGGATGCCATAAACTTTATAGTTCTTAAAAAGTCAGATAAAGAAAGTGCATATAAAAAAGTTAATATGTTATGAAGCTGACGAAGGAGTACAGCAGCAAGCGAGTGAAAGATTTAAAACAGCTTTGGTTTGGAACTGAAATCCCTAGGTGGCCTAATTCGAGCAGAACATTGCCACAAGGCACAGGACCCCGGCATTGTCAGAACCTACTCAAGTCATCTGCCATTTTGTCAGATGGAGGAGCTTCCCCACCTCGTAGATGAAGCTCATCACAGCCTTGACAACACTGGGTTCCACATCATTAGTTTCCATTTGATTCTATAGCAACAAAATAAGAGAAAATTAATTATAGTAGATGCTGGAAACCAAATAGTGGAATTAAAATCCCAGCATTCTCATTTAATGGCCAGGAAACAAATTACACTATTACAGCAGAACAGCTTTTTTCACCTCCTGTGCTGGTTTCTGTATTTGGTACAAATGTGAAGCTTATACTCTGAAATAAACAACTTTATTAAAAATGAATCGTGGAACATTACTGTGGAGAACTCAGTCAGTGATTCTCTCCAGTATGTGAAGGAAGAAACCACTTATACATTTGTGGGAAAATACTACTTACCTCCCTCTGTTTGCTTAGTAAATGGAGGAACCTTTTTACTTCAAAATCATCTCTTCCATGGACTCAAGCTGGTGAGACAGACTGGCAAACATTGGCATCATCAAATGATTATGCCTTCCATTCCAATTTCACTCTAAGGCTGATTAAAACAGGGAAGTATAAACAGATCCCATTTTAAGTGGAGCTGATCCAAATTGCTGGCTCAGACTAAGGTCAAAATCAGAAATGGCTTGAAAGGGAAAGGCTGTAGGTAAATAACATGACTAAAGAATCTCTTTCAGCACAGACAAATCCTGATTCTTCCAACATAACAATGAAGCTGCAAAAGAATAACTCTTTCAAGAAAGAACTTTATATGAATGCCTGGTTTCATTTCCTACCCATCATTATCTAATAGCATTCTACGTTAAGAAACTGCATTATAAACTTTCTTATCAATTTGAAAACCGGGTGCGCTAAATGGTAAATAATATGCTCCAAATACTTTCAAGCTTGCCATATTTTTGTTCTAGTTTTTTTTTTTTTTTTTTGAGACGGAGTCTCGCTCTGTCGCCCAGGCCGGACTGCGGACTGCAGTGGCGCAATCTCGGCTCACTGCAAGCTCCGCTTCCCGGGTTCACGCCATTCTCCTGCCTCAGCCTCCCGAGTAGCTGGGACTACAGGCACCCGCCACCGCGCCCGGCTAATTTTTTGTATTTTTAGTAGAGACGGGGTTTCACCTTGTTAGCCAGGATGGTCTCGATCTCCTGACCTCATGATCCACCCGCCTCGGCCTCCCAAAGTGCTGGGATTACAGGCGTGAGCCACCGCGCCCGGCCTGTTCTAGTTTTATCTTCAGTAGAAAGTATATCGTTTTCCAAATGCTTAGTCTTGAGTTCTCTCTCTGGAGAGTGGCTATATATTCCAGCTCTGCCCTGCCAGGGCTCCAGGAGAGATGTTCATGGATGTTTACAGTGTGCCTCTCACAGGATACTTCCTTATCCAGGTTGATGTTCTAGTGCCTGCGTGTCTGACCTGTAATCAGGTGTCCCTCTCACAGAAACTTATTTATACTGGCAGATACCCTTGTGGCTCTCGTCTGACCCGTGTCTAGTTTATTCTACTCAGATAACTACTCTCTGGGAGAGCCCTGATTGGGAAGACAGTTAGATTTAAGCATGTCAATCAAATAAGACACAGAGGAAGAAGCACACCGAAACACATGAAATTAGAGAAGCATCTTTTCTATAATACTTGCTTTTTAAAAATTGTATTGTTAATTGACAATTTATAATTGTGTATGTTTATGGGGTACAAAATGATATGATATCTGAGAACAGTGTGAAATAATTCAATCAACCTCAAATATTTGTCATTTTTATGACCTCAAATATTTATTTTTTGTTTTGAGAACATTTGAAATTTACTTTCTTAGTAATATCGAAATGTACAATACACTATTATTAACTGTATTTACCCCCTGTGCAATAGATCTCAATGAAAACTAACTTATTCCTCCTGTTTAACTGAGATTTTTGTACCCTTTGTCTATCATCTCCACATTCCTCCCAAATACCCTGCCTCTGTATCCATCATTTTACTCTCTGAAGAAGTATTTTTTATTACAGTTCCCAGAAGGAGGGCCATGGGGAAGGGGGCAGCCATTCAGAACATGCATGCTCAACCAGAAGGTGAGGAGCAAGAATGGGGAGAAGGAAGGAGGGACCTGAGGCCCAGTGTCTTTGATGGGGTCCTGCGTGTTAACCAAGCAGGTTTCCCTGCATGGAGTTCTATTTGATAAGTTAATAGCAAGCAGGTACAAGTTCCATAGAATCATGATGTCACCAAGAAATGGTCACTATAGCATATTTGTGAGGATGTGGGGCTCGGTGGGGGACTCAAGTAGCTTGTACCAAGCTTCCTGTAGGGAAATGGTCACCAGGAGGTGGTTGTATAAGGCAGACATCTGGATCTACCATCTTGAGGAACTGAGAGGAGATGGAGAGCCAAAAACTGTGTCAAGGATGACTAAGCCCTATTTCCTGCATAAGAAAGTTCAACTTACATTCAAAATGAATGCTGAGGCAAAATAAAATTATAAGACTTCACTACAGGTTTATAGACAGGCAAATAGATAGGAAGGTGTGGCTTTCAGATACTACAATGGAAAGCACCACATAAAAGCCTGAAAAAATATATTCAGTTTCCAAATAGCCTCTTTTGCCATTACCTATCATTTTTGCATTTCTCTTTTTCTTTCTTTCTTTTCTGCTACATCATTTACTTCCCAGATGTGTATCTATCTATTTGTATACAGATTATATAGCTTTATTTTATTGGGATAAATGTATCTACTGCTTTGTGACTTCCTGAAGTTATTTCTGTTGAAGATCAACTATCCAGTGTTTCCTTCTCTTTTTTTTTAACCTCCATCCATGTAATAAAAACCTGTGTAATTTTTTTTGCTGTTGTTGTAAAGACAAGGAGAAGCATAAGAATTACTTCTTGCCTTTCTTATTATTATTGTATCAATATTTACTTCATGAATGACTCTCAGACACGTTTAACTGCACCCAAGACACAGGTGACCTTACTTAATTCACACAAATAGATATTTAAAGCCAACTATTTTCAGGTTAGCTACATAAGTGTTAAGATTATAATGATTATAATCACTATGGTATAGAGTAAAAGACTCAAAAACATTTAAATTGGAGAAATTATGATCAGGTTACCTTGTTACGATAGCATATGGTTTGAGGGAAATGGGTTTGGTGCTGTGTAAAAATTGATGTGTAATGTTCAAAATAGGCATTGTATTCAGAATAGTATATCCATTTAACAAACTGATCTTCACAATAACCTTGCAAAGTATGTGTAGTCATTCTCATATTCAAGACAGATAAGTTAGTAATTTGTCAATTATCAGTTATTAGTCGTTCTTACATTACTGCATCTTTACTAGACAACAATATTGTTGGCAAATTGTTTTATAGGAGAACTTTCTCAGTCTTTCCAAACTAATCATTATTTGTGACTCATGTTTCCACCAAGACATACACAAATGTTAGTAAGCTATAACTGAGGTATGATATTGTAGAGCTATAAATTCAGGTTTGGTCCAATGCCCTTTGATGTTTTACACTGACCCTCTTACTTCCAAGCAGGGATGCAATTTAGGCAGAATAAACACAGATAACCTTACCGGGGAAGACTTAAATATCAGTTATTCCTCTTGGGAACTACACAGATTGTGATTAGATTAATGGTAACCCTAATGAAACCCAGATGATTCAAATGAACTCTGACTATAAGACTCTATAAAAACAGCCAGCCACCACTGAGTGTGATTTGAGGGTAAGTAAGAATGCACTCTTCCCTTCATCCAAACTAAGCTCCAGAAAATCCAGGCTGGTGTTCCTGCCTGACGGAGAACAACACATATTTGCACAGATGGGAATAGAGCCAGGGCAAATATATTCTTAGCAAAACCCTTTAGATCACTTAGAAATGTAGCTCACCTGACCCAGTATCTAAGACATTCTTTCCATGAGGTATTAAATCATTTTGAAAGTCTATCATTAGAAATTTAGCCTTTGATTTTAAATAATGTATACTATTCTACTTCTAAAATAGAAAGAATACTATAAGTAATATCATGACATACCCTTCAATGTGAATGGTAAATACTCCATATGGTCAGTATTTCCCTTTATTGGGAAGAAGGGAGTAGGATCCAGAAGAAAGAGATTGCAGTAGAAAGGCAGTCTTAGGGGGAGTACCAAAGAATGTGTGATTTCACTCATACGAGGAAGCATAGAAAAAGAAAAAGAAATTGGAAAGGGAGGGTGTTATAAATGATTTTTCACTACTTAATCTTATCAAGTATTAGTCTAATCAGATCATCAAAACTTGCTGATGTTTTCAAAAGAACAAAAATAAAATGTTTTCTTATATAAAAATACACTTTACATTAAATTTTAATGGTGGTTTGATAATATTGCTTTTTCCTATTTATAGATTAAGAAACTGAGAAATGTTTTTTCAAGTTCTTTCTTTTTAAAATCGGGTTATTTGTTTCTGTGCTATTGAGTTGGGTGGGTTCCTTTTATTTTTGGAAATTAACCTTTTATCAGATATATGGTGTGCAAATATGTTCTCTCATTTCATAGCTTTTCTTTTCATAATGTTTATTGTTTCCTTTGCCATGCAGAGGCTTTTTAGAATGATGTGGGCCCACTATCTGTCTAGTTTTGCTTTTGTTGCCTGTGCTTTGAATGGATATTTTTCCAAAGAAGACATACAAATGACCAACAGGTATATCAATAGGTGTTCAATATCATTAATTATCAGGGAAATACAAATAAAAATTACAATGAGATATCACTTCACACTTGTTAGGATGACTATTATTGAAAAAGAAGGTGTTGGTTAGGATATGGAGAAATTAGAACCTTGATTGCTGTTGGTGGTAATATAAAATAGTGGAGAAGCAATGGAAAAGAGTATAGAGATTCTAAAAAAATATTTAAAAGGTAGAACTACCATATAATATAGCAATCCCGCCTCTGGATATATATCCAAAAGAATTCAAATCAGAATTTCAAAGAGATATCAGCACTTCTATGTTTATTGTAGCATTATTCACCACATAGCTAAAATATGGAAACAACCCACGTGTCCATTATGAGAGTTCTACTGAAAACTCTCCAATAGCTTTCCATTTCACTCAGAGTAAAAGCCAAGGTCTTTGCCCTATTAGTTGATAATCTGATTGCCTTTTATTTCTATCCTCCTTTCCTACTTCTCCCCTCCACTCTTACCCTACTCCAATTGCTTCACCCCACCTGCATGAACCTTTTTGCTATACTCTAAGTATGCCAAGAACCATTCCATTGCAGAATGTTTGCACTTGTTTCTTTTGCAGACAACACACTTTCTCCAAATATTGACATGCTCACTTCTTCAAGTCCTTCAGGTTCTTGATAAGATGTTATTTTAATACTACATGGTCATACATACATCTGGTTATTTCCTCTCACTATATTTTCAGTTATATCACCTGAACAATATGTATTTGTTACTTGTTCCACTTTGAGCACACACACATGCACATTTCTTGGGGGTAACCAGTAGAATATAAGTGTATGAGGCAGAGCCTTTTCAATTATGATCACCACTTTATCACCAGATACTAAAGTATGACCCCTTCTTAATCATTCCATATATAAAACAAAAATAGAAATTATGATCTATACAAAATAAACAGTTTATTATCATCAACTATTATATGACTAAATAACACAAGAGGAAATTCAAATTACACTGAAATTAGAGACCTTAAAATATAAACCAGTGTTCACCAGTGTATTTTTTTAAATGATAAGATTTCTAATATATATTTTAGGCTAATGCTTCTAATTTCCATAATTAAACTAAACTCAGATTCTGATCTCATATACAACAAATCTGACTTGTCTATGATAACAATCCTGAAATATTTGGAATATAAATATCAATTTCTTCAATTTATACCTTTGGTTAGTGATCATATAATTAAATAAGAAAAGTTAAATTGTTTAATCAAAAAATTTTCCATATTTAGATACAAACATTTGTATGTATTTTATTACTAATCCATATAAAAGATGTAAGAAAACAAATATCTATTAAGCATTCATTCAATTCTCTTAAAAGTTTTGGAAGTTCCATTCTGGAAGCAGAATTGAATAGAATCTGATTTCCATTTGAATCTTGGTTCTTTTTTCCTTTGTATGCTATGGCTCACTCATATAACTTTGAGTTCCAGTTTCTTCATTTGTAAATGAGCATAATAAAAAGCAGAGAAAAATGTATGAAAAGTATTCAATACATAGGTTATATTCAATTAAATATGGCTACCAAACACACTCAGAGTTTAAATCTAATTTGGGCAGGTCAATTTTATCACTTTTCTTAGATTAAAAATAAGTACTAAAGTTAAAACAGTTTGTTCACAGTTTAGAGATAATTAATGAGAAGACACATTCTATGGAAGTGTTTTTACCAAAACAGATAATTGAAAACAATTATAAATATATTGTATCTTTCAGTTTACAAAACTGGAAAGTGGGTTATTGAATAAATGTCTAATTGATTGTAATAATTAGAAACAATATCTAAAATTTCACTTATCTAGGCTTTCATGACATGCCTATTTAATTATATAAAACTTATAATGTGATATTTAGATATAATTTATCTTTCTTAGATTTTGATTTGGAAGAATAGCCATAACACTAGGTTTATCTTAGAATATCTATTTTTGTGGATGCTTCATTACTTTGAACTTCTTTAGCTGTTTAGTTATATAGTCCTTATATAGCTAGCTTTCTCATTATTGTCATCAAAGTTCCTTTTGGTGATAAATACACATGAGATTTCTCTAACAAAACTTTCTGTTTGAATACGTCTTAATTAATTTGAACATGGTACATAGAAACTAGTCTTTGGAATATCTTCAACCCATTCTCAAAGCAATAGCAAAATAAAATGCAGCCTAACCACAAAAATTTTACTTTGAGGAGACCTTTAGATAAGGAATTGACCTACGATGAACACAAATTTTCTCATATACCTTTCTGTGTTGACTAAAAATGTCTTCAGTAAATGCCTAACTTCGCCTATATTAATCACTTAAACTTAACATATTCAAATAAATGTTCTATTATTATTAAATTTCCCAAACAAGTTACTCTAGTACAAATTAAAAAGGCAGAATTTATGCATGACCTGTGGGTCCAACTCATTACTTTTTAGCCATGTTTGCATATTGCTACACTTTTTCTTGGATGTAATTAATTGAATGTTATTCTTATTGCAAGTAAATTTGCCCCTACTCACTGCCCATTTCAAGATGGAATGGTATATGATACTAAAATTGCCGAGGTATTTCAAGAGTTTTCAAAAGTTGCATGGTAGTGAATTATGTTCCTGTTAGGTAGTTAGACAGACATTAGCAGCTGGAAGGGGGCAAAACAGGAGAGCAAAATGCAAAATGGCTGTCACTAAGACAGTCCCTGGCTCATCTGAATTCAGCCCCCAAATAGCCTTAACTCCACCTTAATGCATGGAATCTGTGGTAAAGTTTGTGGCCAGCACATCCTGGAAAAAGAAAAACTAGGGCACAGGTGAAAATCCCCTAAAGTGGCACATGCCCAGTAAGCTAAAACTGTATCAGGTTAACCCTACACTCGTTATGCTATCATTATAATAAAATTTACATGTGGTTTCCTTTCCCCACCCCAGTGGGCTTTTCTGTATGAATTATGGGTAGGAACATGCGCAGTTTAGTTTTAGTTACATAACCATAAACTGCCAATCAAACAACATCATCCTGTCCCTCAGACACAGCCCAAATTTCAACTCCTTCCCATAAACCCCATAAAGGCATCTTGAGTTTTGTAAAGAAGTGCTGATTTCACTTCAGAGAAATCAGCCCACTCTCCCTCTGAGAGTGTATTACTGTGTTTTAATAAACTTTGCTTTAAGCTTGCATTTTGGTTTTTGCAATTCTTTGCTCATTATCACAATAACTGAGATTGCTGGTCCAGAGCTCCAGCTCTGTTGATCTCCTTGATTAAAGGATTCATCTCAACACAGCATTCCCAGTAACATTCTAAGGAAAATAGACTAGTATTTAGGAAGATGGAATTTCTTCATGGCAGAAAGTTAAAAATAAATAGCCTAACATAAATGTGTACTGCAGAAGATGAGTTTGCAATTGTCTTTTTTCTCTTAAAGCAAGATGATCGAGAGAGATTAGGAGTAAAGGAGAAGCACATTAAACTCATAAATACACTTTTTACCAAAAATGAGTGAAGAAAGAGACTTGAACATAGAAAATTAGTCAGTGTCCCTTTATTTCATATTTCACTCTAAGCCTTGAAAGGGAATGAGAGATTCATCAAAAGAACTGTTGTTCCTCCTCCCTGGGCTAAAAATGAGGCCATGGAATCAGTGTTGGACACTAAGAAGAATGTAAAGCAGCTTATACTTTAAGCCACAAGAATAAGCAGAAGAAATTAGCAGCAGCTGCATTTCACATATAACAAAGATTTCACGTAGGCAGAGTTATTATAGCTCCATGCTAAAATACCAGGATGACTAACGGGCTACTCTTCTACCACTGGGACCAGATTAACTCTGTTTGCTGCTTGTTAAGAAATCCTTGATCACATGGAGATGAAGATCGCCACCACAATCCTTGTGATTCGGACCATGTTATGCATTGAAAGTCTTCCCTGAAAATTCATATATTGAAGCCCTACCCCTCAATGTGATGGTATTTGGAGATGGGGATTTGGGGAGTTAGTTAGGTTTAGATGAGTCTTGATGGTGGGTTCTTCATACTGGGATTAGCGCCCTTTTAAGAAGAGAGTAGAGAGCTTGCTCTCCTCCTCAGCCCACCAGTGAGGACACAGCAAGAAGATGGCTGCCTAAAAGCTAGGAAGGAGGCCCTCACCAGGAATTGAATCAGCCAGATGCTTGATCTTAGATTTTGAGGCATACAGGACTGGGAAAAAGGAATATTTGCTCTAATATTTTTCACTTAATATGTTGTACAAGAAAAACAAAAGTTTTTTATGCAGAGTTTCGGTGCATAGGAGAAGTCTAGTACTTTGTTCTATTTCTGATAGATGTAAAAAGAGGGACATTTTCTCTGAAGCAAAACTTGTCAATATCCATGAAAACTGATATGCTTTTCACCTAGTAATTCAATTCGTCTACCAAGAATTTATCCTATAAACCTACACAGATATGAACAAAATAAAACTGATGCAAAATAGGCACTGAACACACAAACAAAAAGAAACAACCTAAATATTCAGTAAGAGGAAACTTAAATAAATTTTAATATTTTATGAAACGAATGCCTTTAAAGGTATAAAATGACATGGAGAATTTTTATTTTATATTTGGGAAGGGAAAGCATATTACATATAGAATACTTAGTATCCGTCTAATGTGCATAGAAATATATCAAACATTTAATAGCCATCTATGTTTCTGTTATGGAAAACTTATAATCTATTTTATACTGAAAAGTTTTCTCAGATGAGTGTGTATTGCACTTATAGACTAAGAGTTTATCCAATTCACATTTTAAAATTGCTAATGTGTAAGTGCCATCTTTTATAAAATTTCTGCCAAAATATAATTAAAAAGAATTTTCAAAATGGCATTTTAAAAGCTAACCATAATTTGCCCTGGAATCCAGAATCCTTTGGGCAACACCTGCTGAATGTTTAGGAAAATACCTAATGGATTCATGGGTCTCTCTCTCTCTCTCTCTCTCTCTCTCAACATCCCTTCCTCTTTTTCTTTTTTCTTTGTATAGTGAGGCTCAGAGAATTGTGGTTGTCTCCTGGGAACACAAGACCATGGATATTCAATGACAAAGAGAGGGAAATAGAGAGACTGGTACTTGGGATGACCAAGGGCTCAACAGCTTGATGATTCATTCAGGTTTATGTAAAAAGCCATCAATAAGAGAACACTGCAGGCTACCATGACAAAAAAAAACTTCAGGAACATAAAATCTAATAGGGAATTTTCAATATAATCATTTAACAAAAACTTACTGATTATATTATATGTGTGAATACTCTACGAGGCAGCAATCAATATATAAAAGTTCCATAGTTTTACAGACTTTAAATTCTAGTCTAGTGGGTTGAGAATAAACCTTATTTAGAAATAAATATATACATTACCAATATTGACTGGAACTATGAAGTAAATCAGCGGAGCATCAGGAAAAGTGAAAACACTTTTAGATTGGATGGTGAGGAAATATTTCTCTGCAGAACATCTACTTGAGCACAATGCTTGAGAATTTTAAGTGACACATAATGCAACATTTTGAGAGAACATTTCAAGTAGAATACCATCAAATGCAAATCTCTAAGACTCGAAAAAAATTGAGTTTAATGATTTAGAGGGAAAGGAAAGCAAATGAAATTTACAGATTAGAAGCTGGATAATATAGGGCATTTGTAGCATGTATTTGTCCATTTTACTAATCTGCTTCTGTTTCTGCTATCTAATAGGACCCTGAATTTCACTGTGGGCATTGAAGTGTTTCATCTGTGTGAAACTTTGGACTGATGATAAATCAGAGATTCACTCTATCAGTAAAAGTTCAAGGGCCCGAAGAGAAATTTTTTCACACAGAGACATCAAAGATAATCACAAACACAAAGTTTAGACAATTAGACTCTATGATGATTGATTTTATGTGTAAACTTGACTGAGCTAAGGGATGCCCAGATTAATAATATTTCTAGGAGAGATTAGCATTTGAATTGGAAGACTGAGTAAAAAATATCACCCTCACCAGTGAGGGCAGGCATCACCCAACCATTGAGGGCCTGAAGAAAACAAATGGTGGAAGAGGAGCAAATTCTGTCTGTTTGAGCTAGGACATTCATGTTCTCCTGCCCTTGAACATCAGTGATCCTGGTTCTCAGACCTTCAGACTCAGACTGGGACTTATACCAACAGGTCCTTTGTTCTGAAGCCTTAGAACTTGGACTGAATTACACCACTGGCTTTCCTGGTTCTGCAGATGTCGGATGACAGATTGGGGGACTTATTCAGCCTCCATAATTATGTAAACCTACAGGTTTATAATACATATATAGATAGGAATATGCATAAATAGAAATAAGTTTATGAATATACATATATTTATTTACATATATAAATAATATAGTAATATTAATATATGTAAATATATAATATATAAATAACATTTATTCTATAATATTAATGTATAAGTATATGTAAATATTACATATCAATATATAATTTGTTATTCTATATTATATCATATTATATAATAATATACAATATCTATATATTATAATATATATTATATTATTATATAATATAATTATATATTAATATATAAATATATGTAAAAATATAGAGAGAATTTATAGAGAGATGTTTATATGTATGTACATACACACTATATGTATATAGAAATTTATTATAAAAATAATAGATATAATGGTAAAAATAATAATTATTACTAATAATTTTAGTTATAATTTTATTGGTTCTTTTTCTCTGGGGAACCCTGGCGAATGCAGATTTTAACACCAAGAGTGGTGCTAGATAGAGTAACAGAATTTTATGAATGATTGTTCTGAATATGTTATAATGGCATTTCTAGTATTGGCTCTCTAATCCGATGGAATGTAAAGATGCTAACGATTCTATTGTATTTCCAGTAGTAAAGAAATCACTGATAGTCCATGGCATGAACTGGTAATAGACATAAGCAAAATATCTGCATTGACTACTCCTACTCAGTTACTGATATGAAGAAAAGAATTAAGTAACTGTATGCGTTTCAAATATTTTTAGAAAACTGAAAAATATGATGACACTGGTTGGTGGATCTTAATGCCACTGGACAAAGTAATGGAAGAAAAGGAGGAGCTCAGGTATTTGAATTTCCAGCTCAAGTGCTGAATAAATAATAATGCAAGAACTTCTAATGTGAAGAATACTTTGTTGCATCTAGCCCCTCCGATAAAGAAGCAGCAGACCGAATACCTGGTAGGTCTCTTTGAATTTTGTCAGTAACACATTCCTCAATTGTGTGTCTTTCTCTGACCCATTTACCAAGTGACCTAAAAAGCTGTTAGTTTTGAGTGGGGCCCCAAACAAGAGAATTTTCAACATGATCAGGCTGCTGTGCAAGGTGCTTGGCCACTTGGGTCATATGATCTATCAGACCCAATAATGCTTGAAGTGTTGTGCCAGGTAGGGATGTTGTTTGGAATCCCTGACAGGCCCTTATAGGTGAATATCAATACAGGTCTTTATCAATTTGGAGCAGTCATTTTGCCATTTATTTATTCATGTATCTATCATTTATTTTTTGTATTGTTTGTTTCTTACTGTTAAGTGTTGAGTGTTCCTTAATTATAAATTCCAAAATAGCCAACCCCACAAACAAAATTTTGAAAAAGTGGAAAGGCTAAAGATGCACATTTTTATTCATTAAGTAAATTGTATCTAAAATTGTAAACTTGGTTTTGTCTTCTTAAATTAATAGATTCTGATTGCTAACCTGATTACCATCTTTAAGGCATTGCTAGGTGTTGCAATATTTTTTTAAAATATGAAATCACTGATTCTCTACCAACACTTTGATCCATGAAAAAGGCTGAAAGGCTGCCATTTTTTAATTCTGCAAAATATCAATCTACTTAGGGAAAACTATAGTTTGTCCATGGAGCGATTATGAATTTAAGAAGTAGTTCAGGACCATGCTTTGATCACAAATTGTGGCAACAGTTAACACCATTATACGTTTTTCTGTCTAGAAGACAGAAATACGTGTTTATTATAGATAAAATAATTTCCCCATTTTACAATTATCAAAAATATAACTCTTATGGTGACAATATTCCCATGAGGTTTATTTCATTTATGGAGATAATTATATTATTTGGACATTTGGATTGTTTTCAGTTGTTTTTCTTTTCCTTTTTAATCGTGGCATTGATTTTGGACAACTATCAGTTATTTTCCTTGTTTGCAATTGTAAATTTAAAAAATACAATGAACATCTAAATAAAAGTTTTCCTGTGTTTATCTTGTTTCTCCATATAGACTGTTGGAAGTAGAATTACCTTGACAAAGAGACAATTAATTTAAGTAATTTGTTACTATAATATAAAATAGACTATTTCAATGACTCTGTCCTATATATTATGTGTCCTTTCTTCTTTCAAATATCACAAGCAATTAATCTCTATGAAGAAACTGAGGATAACAGAGAGAATAAATGTCAAATTTATTGTCACCCGCCAGAAACAGATACTTTGAGCTTCTTTACAAATAAGACCTTCGTGTATGTATTACTTATTCTTCAAATTTGCTTAACCCGTAAATATCAATGTCTATCTCAGAGGCAGTGTGGAAACTGGTTACTAAGATCTGGAGACAAGTTGAGATGGTTTTGAATCTCTGCTCTATCAAATAAAAACACAGCACGATATGGGACTATTCTAATGCTAGAGGATAAGTGGTATTTCCAATGTTCTTTTCTTTTGAATTGCTAGGACTGCAAGCAGAAACAGTCCAAATAGAGAGACAAATGGTACCTTAGAAGACAGACTGCATGGACATGCAAGAAAATTGTTTTCTCTGCATGAGAAAACAATTTCTTGTTTTCTCTTAATTCCCTAGATTCATTTTTCTACCCGCAAGCCGTGGTTCTTGAATTGCTTACCTAAAATTGATGTCTGTATCTGTGTTGATGTCTGAGTTGAATTGATGCCAATATCTGATCAGAACACACAATTATCTTTGTGATAGCTTGCTTAAACTTAGATTATAAGAGATATATGATATCCATATGTGATAATTACTTACATCCATCAATGCTCCACTTTCTAAAAACTAGGTCTGAAAGCCGAGAACAGTCTTCACAGTTTTAGTATGCTTGTTTGGCTGAAGTATGTGAGCCTCCAGGGTCTTCAAAACTGGGTGTAAATCTTGCCAAGAGTGGATTACACAATTTCAGTTCTTAACTGTATTTGTTCTTTTTGGAACATAGAAGTGCAAAGACAAGAAACATTTTTAATTAAAAAGTCTGCTGGACATTTTCAATTCTTCAGAAAAGTTCATGTCAGCTTCTGTTCTATAAATGTTCAAGCCCATTATTTTTCTTTTGGTGGCAGCTGTTCTTTCACCTGTAATTCAGCATATAATTTTAGAAGCATCTGGGGTCCTGTAAGATATGGAGAACCATGATGTGTATAAATAGACGTCTATGTGAGTGTATTTCTTGATGGGCGAATGTTACGAAGATTTGGTTTGTTGTTTTGGTTTTGTATGGTTTGTGATAAATCTATCCTATACACTAATAAGGAGAAACATATAATTAGAATAGTTGCATGTATACCACCAACAGTCTTTTCTGCTCTACATGCTAAACACAAGGATTAATATACCACTACATCTGATGAGGAAAAACATTCATATAAGTTTGGTTCATGTACTATCATGTAAGGCAATTTCTTCATAATGCAATAATAGGCTCCAATTTTCATAAGCAAGGTTAATTTTAGACTGACTATTTTGTTGGTTGGCTGTGGAAGATCCAATAGTTACTAAAACTACATTAAACATTCCCAGTAGTGTGATTGACTTGTGGGAACCTCTCCACTATTCATGAAGTCACAGTTTACTATATTTGGGTGTGTGCTAGAGGGCAAAAAATATACTAGCATTCAAAGTAATGTCACCTTCCTAAACCTGGCTATATATATATATATATATATATTTTTTTTTTATTGTACTTTAAGTTTTAGGGTACATGTACAACGTGCAGGTTTGTTACATATGTATACATGTGCCATGTTGGTGTGTTGCACCCATTAACTCATCATTTAACATTAGGTTTATCTTCTAATGCTATCCCTCCCCCCATCCCCTACCCCACAACAGGCCCTGGTGTGTGATGTTCCCCTTCCTGTGTCCATGTGTTCTCATTGTTCAATTTCCACCTATGATTGACAACATGCAGTGTTTAGTTTTTTGTCCTTGCGATAGTTTGCTGAGAATGATGGTTTCCAGCTTCATCCATGTCCCTACAAAGGACATGAACTCATCATTTTTTATGGTTGCATAGTATTCCATGGTGTATATGGGCCACATTTTCTTAATCCAGTCTATCATTGTTGGACATTTGGGTTGGTCTTTGCTATTGTGAGTAGTGCCGCAATAAACATATGTGTGCATGTGTCTTTATAGCAGCATGATTTATAGTCCTTTGGGTATAAAACCTGGCTATATCTTTTATCCTTAGCTACCCCATGCCTTTATTTTTAGAAACCCCTTACCCACCACCTCAGACTAATTCTAGTCTCTATGCATTGGTTTAATAGGAATTAGCTATGAAATTTGTTTTCAAAATGCCTCTTTTTCAGATGTTTGAACAGTAAAATTGAGGTAGGACCAAAAAACCTGTCATTCTCACAAGCACACTGGGTGATTCAGTCATTAATAGAAATTAAAGTATGAGACAACTCATAATAAGAGAATTTTTGATTTCGATTTTCTTAAAATGGTTAGATCTTAACTGATCAAGCAACTGATTTTCTTGTACTTTTTACAAGAGTAATACTCTTGTACTTTTATTTGTATCCCAGTCTTGTGATTTTAATCCTTTTTAGAACAATCACCAACCTATCATTCTTCCTTTTAGCAGTGTCTGATAGTCTCTGGAATCAATGTCTTTTATGTGTCATATTAGACCACTTGAATATTGAACTTCTGCTTCTGTAATTGAAACCTCTCTTTCCCCAATAACATCACTTCCCTTATTTCCATCTCAAGCAAAGGCTGTTTTCAACCCCTTTCTCTGATCATGAGTATGCAAGTTCTAAAAGGAGTCAGCATTTTTTTGTCTGTTTGTGTCCACTGCCAATCTCAAGCCATTGCACATCTGCTATTATTCACAATCCCTAACATTTTAAGCATAAAGTTATTTTAAAAATTGCTGTATGACAATGATAGGTACTAGATAGGTACTAATAATGACTGAAAAGTGAACATGTTGAGATATCAGTTAATATGCCCATCACCATTATTACACACCTTCCACCAACTTGCTAGAAATAACCACATTCATGTACTTTAGTCAGATATGCACTTATGTAAACATGCTAAGATCTGTTACTATAGAGTAAAATAGACTATTTCAATGACTCTGTCCTATATATCATATGTTCTTTCTTCTTTCAAATATCACAAGCAATTAATCTCTATGAAGAAACTGACAATAATGGAGAGAGTAAATGTCCAATTTATTGCCACCTGCCAGAAACAGATACTTTGAGCTTCTTTACAAATAAGGCATTCAAGTGTGTATTACTTATTCTTCAAATATGTTTAACCCGTAAATATCAATGAGTACCTCAGAGGCAGTAACTGGCCAGTTACTTATTGCTGTGGCTGGTTACTCAATTAAAGACAAAATATGTCTGGTATGATTAAATTTTTATAAATTCAAACTCAGTACATTGTGTTCATCGAGACTATTGCAAAGTGACTGTTTTAGAATGTGCTTTAACAACTTTGCAGGTATCAAAATTAAGATGACTGGTTTTACTTACTCTGAAAAAATCAACCTTTTCTTTCCTTTAAAGATATGATGAGCAGGCCCATCGCGGTGGCTCACGCCTGTAATCCTAACACTTTGGGAGTCCAAGGTGGGTGGATCACGAGGTAAGGAGTTCGAGACGCCAATCACGAGGTAAGGAGTTCGAGACCAGCCTGGCCAACATGGTGAAACTCCATCTCCACTAAAAACACAAAAATTAGCCGGGTGTTGTGTCAAGCGGCTGTAATCCCAGATATTCAGGAGGTTGAGGCAGGAGAATGACTTGAACCTGGGAGGCGGAGCTTGCAGTGAGTCGAGATCACGCCACTGCACTCAAGCCTGGGTGACAGAGCTAGACTCCATCTCAAAAAAAACACACACACACACACATATATATATAACATATATACATATTATATATATAATGTATATATATTATATGTATAATATATATACATATAATAAATATGTATATATATATAATATGTATATATTATATATATATACACACACATAGAGAGAGAGAGAGAGGGAGCAGAAATTATATCTTTCTCTGCTTTTCAAGAACTTTTCTCCCTGTTTTCTTTCTATGTTTAGGATAGAGAGGGTAGTCAAATAAAGTCATCCAGGAATTTGGCAAATATTTTAGGATATGAGGTATTTACTTATTTGATTTAAATAAATTTTGTTTTCTTTAGGTGAAAATCCCTTTATTTCTCTTCTTAGTTCAAATTCTACTTCTTCTATTATTGGCAGCATTCTCTGTGATACCTGATCACAGTTGAATTTATTTATATATACACTTATATATAAAAGTATTAGTTTAAAATATTAAGTGGCTATTAGTGGAATGAGAGGGAAAAGAAGGAGGTTGGGGAGGAGAAATGGGAAGAGAAGCAGAGGCGGAAAAGGAAGACAAAGAGTGAGGAAGGAAACAGCGGGGTTTAGTAACACCTGGTTAATGTACTTTCTCAGTGATCCCAGGTGAACTAGTGAAGAAAAAAATTATCGTTTTCATAATGTACTGCTGTTATAAACTATTTTTATTAAAGGTATGTTCTTCTAGGATGTACTTTACACTCACTGAGATATGTGAGATTAACAGTGGATAGTGAATAACTAAATTTGTAGGAAATTTGCTATGTGCCTGGCACTTCATTATGTTACTTATGCAGTCCTCACAGCAATACAGTAATTTTGGCACTGTCGTCCCTGTTTTATGATAAGAAAACTAATGTCCAGAAAGTTATTGCAATTTGACCAACTAATCTTTGGACTTGAAACCAGATGTAATCTGTTTCCTCCTTATTTCATTTCACTTCATTGCCTCCCTTGGCAGTTAACTTTGCCCTCATTTTTGTGTATCATTACTCATTGAAGAACAATTAATATACAATAGAAAGCAAAAATCTAGTGTGTTCAGTTTGATGAATTACGACCTTTTATACATCTGAGTTACCACCACCTGCAAACAAAATATATACTATTTCTATTACACCAGGAAAATATTCTGGTGTTTTCTAGTCAATGCCGTACTTTTAGGAAGCAGCCTAACTTGGGTTTATGTATTCATAGCTTAATTTTGTCTGTTACTGTACTTTATTTTATATACAAATAGTGTGTTTTCCTTCTGTTTGCTTTCTTTTATTCAACATAATGTTTTTGATATTCATCAATGTTATTTTGTGTTTTAGTAGTTTATACCTTTTATTGCTGAGTTGAACTTCATTGTATGAATATGGCATTCTCCTACTGATGGACAAATATTTGTTTTGATTCTAGTTTGTAGATAAATACACTGTCTACAGTATGGTTTGCAGAGGCATATGGCAGGTTCATGTTTTGCTTTATAATAAACTAACAGTTTTTCAAAGCAGTTGTACCATTTTACACTACCACCCATAAGTTACAATGCATTCAGTTGTTCCACATCTTCACTAATATTTGATACTTTCAGTTTTATTTTTTTCTCATTATTTTAGCTATTCTGGTGAGTGTAAAATTTTCTTTCTGTCTCACTTTAACTTGCACTTTTTTGAGGACTAAAGATATTGATCAAATTTTGCTGCGATTACTTGTCTTTTTCTACATCATCTTGAAGTTTCTATATGAATTTTATGTCCATTATTATTAAATGTTATATTATTTTCATTATTGATTTGTAGGAGATATTTATATGCTCTGGATATGACTCCTTTGATTTATGTCTAGAGATAATTTTATGGCATTTTTCGCTATATCTATATGTACATATGTTATGATACATCAATATGCAATTTTCATAATGGTATATTTTAATGAACAGAAACGTTTAATTTTAAAGAAGTTCAAAACTATTATTATGTTTTAATTTTATTGTTAGTGTTTTTTATCTCTTGTCAAAAAATACTTGTCTACTTCACAATCACAAACATATTTTTTCTATATTTTATACTGAAGGTTTTATAATTTTAGCATTTACATTAGGGCCATAATTCATTATGAATTTTTACAAAAAAAGTAACATGGGAATTATGAGTCTGTTTATTCCATATGGCTATCCAGGTTTTCAGAGCCCTTTGTTAAGAAGTCTTCACTTACAAAATTGTCTTGTACATAGATCAAACATTATTTGTTCTTTTGTGGGCTGGTCTACTTCAGGATTCTCTATTCAGTTGCATTGATCTTTGTCTACCCTTAGGGCAATACCAAACTCTTTTTATTATTGTAGATTTATAGTAAGTTTTGAAACCTAGTAAATCCTACTTTATTCTTTTTCAGGAGTGTCTTGGCTGTCCTATGTCCTTTGCATTTCTATATAAATTTTTATCACCTTGAAGCTGGCCAATATTCACACACACACACACACACACACACAAAACCTTGCTGGCATTTTGATTGAGTTTTCAAATCAGAAATGAATTTTAATTTAAATATATTTGGCAGACTGGATATATTTAAAGCCAAAGGTATGGTGATTCAATATATATATGCATTATGTATGATTGCCATAAACAAATCTTTAAGATTTTGAGTCAGTGCACGAGGTATATCCTTCTCTTTAGATCTTAATTGATTTCAGAACTGTTTTGTGGTTATCTGTATAGAAAATTTCCTCATGTTTTGTTAAATGGATATCCTAGCTGTTTGATGAATTTGGTCCTATTGTCAATGGTATTATTTTATTTTATTTCCACATAGCATTGCTAGTATGTATAAATTGAAAGGATTTTTGCATATTGACAATATATAGTAAAATTTTCTAAATTTTCATTTATGTTTCAGTGGACTTCTTTGTAAAATCTGTAGAATTTTCTGCATACACAGTCATTTAATCTGAGAACAACCAAGATTTTATTTTTTCCTTCAATCTTTATGCCTTTTATTTCTTTTGCATGAATTATCGCCCTGTCAAGAGAGCTGGTGAAAGTAAGCATCCTTCCTTATCCTGATCACAGTGAAAGAGCATTCAGTGTTTCACCATGAAGTATGAGGTTACCTGTAGAAATTTCATAAATAAAATTTAACGTATTGAGAAATTCTCTTACATCCTCAATTTTCTGGATTTTTAAAAAATTTATGAATTGGTATTGAATTTTATCAAATGTATTTTCTATATCTAATGAGATAGTGGCATATTTTTTCCTTATTCTGTTAATGTGATGATACTGATTGATTTTCAATTTAAAGCAAACTTGCATTTCATGACTCATTGTCCGTTCAATTTACTTTGCTAACATTAAATTAATGATATTTTCAGTTATGTTTAAGGTGGGTTGTAATAATCCTTATTTAAAAAATTTAAAAGTGTTTCATCCTCCTCTATTTTCTTAATAAAAGTTTAATCAGATTTATTATTTTATTCTTAAATATTTTATAGAATTCACCAATAAAATTTTGGGCCTTGGAGGATTTCATTACAAATTTAATTTAATAGATATAGGGCTCTAAAGATTTTCTATTTTGTGTCATGTGAGTTTTGATAACTTGTGTTCTACAAAGTAGTCCATCTCATGTTCATTTTCTAACTTATCAGCATAAAGTTGTTTATCATATACTTATAATTATTATTATATTTTTGATATCTATAGGTTCTGTAGTGACTCTCCCCTCCCCCTTTCGCCTTCAGAATATTGGTAGTTTTTTATCTCTCTCTCTCTTTTCTCTTGATGGGTCTTTCTGGAATTTTATTATTCTGTTCAAAAAATAATTTTTTTACCTTTTTTCCAGATTGTCTTTCCATTTAAATATAATAATAATTATTATTTTTTTTTGAGTTGGAGTCTCACTCTGTCGCCCAGGCTGGCGTGCAATTGTGCTATCTTGGCTCTCTGCAACCTCCGCCTCCCAGGTTCAAGCGATTCTCCTGCCTCAGTCTCCTGAATAGCTGGGATTACAGGCACGTGCCACCACGCCTGGTTAATTTTTGTATTTTTAGTAGAGATAGGGTTTCACCATGTTGGTCAGGCTGACTACTTTCTATTCTTATATTTATTATTTTATTTGAGTTTAATTTGTTCTTTTTCTAATGTATTAAGATAGAAGATTAAATAATTTTGTTTGCCTCATTCATTGTTCTAATAGTTTCCTATTTCTCCTGTAGAAATTACCATTAATTGAGTGACTTAAAGCAATTTATTATCCTATAGTTCTAGAGGAAATTATAGGAAAAACCGAAGGTCACAGTGTTTCACTGTGCTAAAATCAAGATACCAGCAAGGTTGCATTTCCTTCTAAAAGCTCTATGAGGAAATCTGTTTCTTTTCCTTTTCCAGACCATTAGAGGCTACTCCCTCTCCAGAGCTTGTGAGCCACAGCCAGCATTGAGTTTATTTCAACCTCTGCTTCCATAGTCACATTTGCTCCTCCCATTCTGTCCTTGCCTCTCTCCTATAAAGACCTTTGTGATTACATTCAGCCACTGGAACAGTGCAGGACGATTTTCTCCTCCCAAGATCTTGGACTAAATCACATCTGCAAAAGTCTCTTTTGCCATGTAAAGTGACGTATTTACAGCTCTCAGGGTTTAGGACATGTCTATTTATAAGCAGCCATTATTCTACCCCATCACAAAATATAAAGCTCTTAATTTCATTCTAAGCATTGTGCTATCTATATCCAATATATCTTGTATATTGTGCTTGAATTTTAATTCACGACAAAATGTATGTGTGTTTTTGATTTTTTATTACTCGCATGAATCCTATTTTAGCCCATAGATTATTTACAATTTTGTTTCCTAATTTCCAAATAGGGACTGTTCCTAATGTAATTTTGTTATTCATTTTTATTTTAATACTATTTTCATCAGACAATATACTCTCCAGAATTTCAGTACTTTGAAATTTATTAAGACTTGTTTTAGGGCTCAATATATATATGATCTGTCTTGATAATTGTTCTATGATTATTTGAAACATGGTGTATTTTGCAGTTGCTGATTATAGTGTTCTATATATTTAAGTCAGATTGATACGTATCAAAACATCACTCTGTATCTCATAAATATAAGTAATTATTTCATGTCAAAGAAAAATAATAGAAAAAATCCTTAAAAAGTTAAACATATATTTTTGATATGACTCACAAATTCCATTCCTAGGCATACACCCCATAGCAATGAAAACATATGTCAACACCAGTATCTATCCTTCCATTTATGTTTTCTTGTTTTCTTCTTCAGGTGCCTTATGGTTTAAAACATACTTATGCCCTTTATAATTTAATCAGCCTTCTCATTATTAAGGTAAGAGTGATGATCTCTTCCAACATTCTACGTCCTAGTAGAATTCAGAATCCAAACTTTGAGTTTACTTTAATCTCAAGCATTGCAAATTATTTGCGTTCAGCCTTTAAAAAGCTATTCAAGTTGGGGACACTGTAGTATATATGTTTTGATTGTTTGCACACTTACTAATTTGGGAGTCAAAACTGACAATAACTAGAGAGTTTTAGTCTAAAAGTGTTTATAAGTTATGTTAAAAATCATATCTATATTATTTCTAAATATCGAATAAAATTGCCTTGGAATTGTATTTTTAAATGTTCTTCTATTATTTAATCCGGCCATCTTAACATAAATATCCACAAATATAATTTTTACCTGTTTTTTAAAAAATATATTTCAGTTCTCTGTATCCACAAGTTCTACATTCACAAATTCAACCAAACTCTAATCAAAAATATTCAGAACCAAACAAACAATAAAAATACCAATACAGTCATTAAAAAATACAAATTAAGGACAATGGTTATAACAACTCTATAATAGTATAATGACTATTTACATAGCATTTACAGTGTATTAGACATTATATGTAATCTAGAGATGATTTGAAGTATACGGGATTGTGTTCATTGGTTATATGCAAATATGACGCCATTTTATATAAGGGACTTGCACACATGCAGATTTGCACACACGGGGGCTCCTAGAACAAAATCCCTGCAGAGTGAGGGATGATTGTACTTATAAGATAATTTTTAACATATGATAAAAGTGTGTATGTGTGTACTTGTGTATATGTGTATAATTATGCACAAAAAAGTAGAATAGCTTACTTTCTATTTTCTACCAGATGAGTTTGTCAGTGTAAAATCTAAGACAGGGACAAAGTTTTCTGGTGGGATCTCTAATCATTTTACAGTAAACAAATTGGAAAAGGGAATTGTGCCAGCCTCAAAAGTTCATAAGACATTTAGACAATTTGCAAAAGCACACTCAAAATACTTTTTATAAATTATACTCCAGATAGCCTTTACATATGCCTATCAAACCTATTGGTTTTAACAGCATTATGCTCACGTTTTTTTTAATGAAATAAAATTCTTCTATAATCACTCTTACAACCTATTTTTGCTTCAAAGTGTAAAATGGTAATCATTCAAAAGCAATAAGAGGCTTTCAAACTACAGTAACATTCAACGATACAGAGTGCTTATCCCACTTTCCTTTATCAGATGTGAATAATCAATTTTAAGACTTAAATATGGGAGCAGGAAGAACTCTTTAAATAAAGGAAATCAAAACAAGCTACTAGAATCATGTCTTGGAACTTTTGAAGCTCAGATAATTAGTTGACTGCTGCTGCCTAATTTCATAATTGTGAAGGCAATGGCACTGATAACAGTTGCAAAACATTCACAACTTAAATTAATTAATTGCTGAAATGCGACTGATAGAATGAGGAAAGTGGTTTGTTTATGCTGTTTTTTTTTTTTTTTTTTTTTTTCTGCCAGGAAACAAGCCAGGGATCTGAGCCTAAATAGAAAAGGAGGACATAAAGACAGTTGAGACAAAATGGTTTTTATTAGGTGGTGGATACATTCTGCTTCTAATATATTCTGTCAAAAAACAAACAAATGAAAACCTCAAACCAGAGAAGGTACAAGTACAGTTGGGAACCCTTAGTGATACCCAAAGATTTAAGAAAACTGTATGGTATCTCTTTCTTGCCCTTGTAAGTTTGTATCTGTCTTAATATAATATTCATACCTTTTGATAAGGCATGCTACTTTGAGGCAGATGTAGGTGGTGAGAAGTGGTAGAGGTGAGAAAATTAGAAAGGAAATACATATCTTCATTTTAAAGGTTATTTTTCTGAGTATAAGATATTTTATTCAAATTAATCATGAAGGATCGAGCAACTTATTGTTTAAAAATTTTTTATAGATATTATACACTTAATGTAGTCTTTGTGCTTCATGATTAAGATATTCTTTAAGGGCTTTGGCGATTCTCAAAAGATCTAATTTCTGTGCAGCAAAGAAAACCTTGATTCAAATAAATATATACATTCTTTTTCTGATTTTCCCTTGAGCTCCCCACAATACCTATGACAAGGAAGACGGAAGATGTATCTGACCAGACCCCTAAAGCCCACCTTAGGTGAGTCTGCAAGTATAACAATGACATTGCCACAGACCCTTTTTCTTATGCAGGGCCCTGTTATTATCTCGTCCACTTAGAACTTAGATATTTATTGTAGGAGAACCTTTAATTCTACATACTTCCTACTTCTTAATCTACCATTTTATTATCATCACTTATAAATGCTGAATCTAATTTATAATTTTCTTTATGTTAGACAAACAAAACTTTGGGGAGCCTGAGAACACCAGTATCCCAAAGCAACATCTGACACGCTTAAGGTATTAAGGAACACTGCTGTAATCATGTGCCTCAACCCCATGGTTCTGGTCAGAGATATCATATTAATCAGAATTAATCCCATACATATATTTGGTTATAACAAAATATGTAAAATAGGCATTATCCCTCTATTCACAGATAATGAAACTGCTGCTAAAGGGGAAAATTGACTTGCTCAAGGTTACGTAATTAGTGTCTTCATTTTATACATAAAAGTGTTGAACTAAATGATTCTAAGTTTTACTCTACTTTCTACATCTAAGAATATTAATTAGTACAGGTTGAGTGCTGTGGCTCACGCCTGTAATCACAGCACTTTGGGAGGCCAAGGCAGGTAGATCACCTGAGGTCAGGAGTTCAAGACCAGCCTGGCCAACATGGTGAAACCCCATCTCTACTAAAAAAATACAAAAATTAGGCTGGGCACAGTGGCTCATGCCTGTAATCTCAGCACTTTGGGGGGCCAAGGCAGGTGGATCACAAGGTCAAGAGATCGAGGCCATCCTGGCCAACATGGTGAAACCCTGTCTCTACTAAAAATACAAAAATTAGCTGGGCGTGGTGATGCACACCTGTAGTCCCAGCTACTTGGGAGGCTGAGGCAGGAGAATTGCTTTAACCTGGGAGGAGGAAGTTGCAGTGAGCCGAGATCATGCCACTGCACTCCAGCCTGGCAACAGAGAAAACTCCATCTCAAATAAATAAATAAATAATAATAATAACTTATGTTTACATTCCCTCAAGAATACTTTCTGATATCATCAGGTTTTGGTTAGTGCACTTTTTATGAGCTGGAGGTATAGGTAAGAAAGCATTCTTTTTGGCAAAGTATGCATATTTTGATTAGGACTGACTTAGCCAGTGCCTACTTTAGTGTTGCCAGTAATTTTTTTAAGTCTTGGTATAAGAACATTACAATTCTAACATAGAGTGAGGCTCCCACTGATCTTATGAAGTCTCTAATATCCCTGCATAGTTCACTTTTTTGCCTTGATGAATCAGATTACCCTTCCAAAAACACAGAGATAACATAAAATGAGTTACTTCACTCTGAGTGAGCTGTCACCCAGAAGGGTCGGCCGTCTAAGTAGGAAAACAATGTATTGGGACTAAGACTGAGAGTCCATTAAAGAATTAATTTGCTTAGGTGGTCATGAGGTGGGAGGGTGGTGAGTGGAAATGAGCCAGAACAGCTCGAAAAATAATAAGATGGGAATTTTGATGTTAGCATCTACGAGAACAAAGAAACCTAGAAATTCCGTTCCTAGAAATTCTCAAATTATTAATAAAACTTTCCTCCTTTAGAAAATTTTCTATCATTAGTCCTCATATTGACTAGTCTTGTGACCTCTGGCTCATGGATGCTGTTAGTATTCCAATATTTTACATGCATTTATTTTTTAAAAAATTACAGTATTCTCCTATTTCTATGTTATGTTACAGTATTCCAAATTTAATTTACTGATGATATTAATTTTACAATTATGTCTATATTTATTTATTAATGTATTTTTTCTGTCTTTTTAATCTAGTATACAATTCAAGCAGGTTTTCAATAAATGTTAGCAACTGACAGAATGTTGTGGTAGGTTTTAATATATTTTAGCATAAGGCTTTTTGAGAGGTAATATATGTATCTCTACATAAAAATCAAACATAATTTATAATTGCTTTTCCTATAGTATTTAAAAATATTTTATTAATAGTTTTATTGAGATATAATTCACATATCGTCAAAGTAAAAGTGTACCAGATGGAGTTAAATAGGCAAGGAAGACTAAAACTATTGAGATAACAGAGAGAGAGATTGAAATAAACCTTTCTGAAACAAAAGAGGGGAAAGTTTTTAAGTGCTGTGGCGAATTTGTTGAAAAGTCCTGGAAGACATGTTGTGTGGGAGGCTGGTCAATGTGATTAGTCCACGTAATGAACTGTTAGAGGGACTATTTGCTAATTGGCACTTATGAAATTTAGGTCCCTACCCTCCTGCAGAGACTGAAAGATAAGGGTGCTATCTTTCTTAATAATTGCATTTCAAAGGGATGATTCCCAGGTCCTTGAGAAAAATATTTCTGGGCTTTGAAACTGTCAAGAAGCTGGGAGAAAATCTACATCTCAAAGGAGTAGAGAAATAATTTATAATTGCAAGTTTGGTAACATAAATGATCTAAGAAAATAAATCAGGAGCCTAGAGTCAGAAGAAAATCTCTGAAGTTTACTAAAATTGAGGGGAACATTAAAGCCATTTTGTTCACCATCTCATAATATTAAATACATAATGGCAAAAAAAGGAAAAGACTCATATGCGATTTTGTTTGTTAAAAATCATGACAACCTGCACGTATATTGGCACATGATAGTACATGTCCATGATATAAGAGCCACATTTCTCCAATCTAAAAAACATACAAAAACAAAAACACAAGGTAGTCACATGTACTTAAAACAACCCTGTGGTATTCCTAAAAGCCCATTGTATGCAAATTGGGACCTCTTGGACTAAAGCTATGCAGCCTGCCAGTCTGTAGGCTCAGGCTGAGTTCACGGCTACACTCTGGGCAGTTGACACAATCTCAGTCTTATGATGATGATGATCAGCATATTAGTTAACTAAGTCCCACCCTAAACATTGACCAGCTTTCAAATGAAGGTTTTTCCTAGGGAGGGAGCATAACTTTTAAGTAATCCCTTTCTTCTCAGCAGAGGTTTATTCCTAGAGAGTGATTCAGCTTTGAGTTTTCGGCAACCAACCCCTGCAGTGGCAGGGAGAATGAGAGACTCATTCAGATGGGAGAATAGTACTGTTGAATCACAGACGTACTGAGATTCCCTCTCAGAGTGGAGTTCTCTAGTAATGCTGTAGCATTGAATGCTCTTTTCCCCCCCGCCGCCCCCGCAAGTCCATTTTGAACAAAAATGGACTTTTCCTTGGATTAGAAGCTATTTTGATAAAAGGAAATGAATTTAAACCCACTTATCTTACAAAGAGACAGCATTTACTCTCAAAAGAGTTCTGTATTTGGAGCTGGAAAACTAGTCTGAATTATTTTGCTTTTTTTTTTTTTTACAAGGGTGTCTATCTGCAGATGTAATAATTATTATTTGCCAATATCATTACTGTAAGAAAATATACTGAAAAAATCCAGACCTAATAAAATAAAAGGTAGCTGAACAGAAAGTCAACCAACCAACTAAACAAATGAGTGAAATGCAAATACAAGAGTCCCCTCATACAACAGAAATAATCAATAGTAAAATCAAATTGACAGAGGTGACTTATTTGCAGTATCACTAAGAACTATAGGGTACCTAGAGAAAGCTAACAAAAAAGTACAGCCCTATATAAAGTTTTATAGACTTTACTGAAAAATATAAAAGAAAACCTAATACATGGAAAGACATCTTGTGTTCCTGGATAGGGTGTGTTTTAATGATACAGATACTTTGTCAAATTACATAAATAAACTGAAGTTTCTATCTCTGCCTTTTATTGCATCAAAAGGAAACATCCAAGTAGAATTTAATTAAATGTGGATGTCAAGCTTCGGACCACTTTATCAAAAATATAAGCATGTACAGACAGAGGGACCATTAGAGAGTTATCCCAACAAGGCAGATGAATTAGAGGTGAAAGATGCTATTCTAATAGCAAATTGAGTGAGAAATGCCATATATGTATCTTGACAAAATGGATAAAGAAAAAACATAGTGATTACAAATGTGTACTCTATTTCCTATATAGACAACTTTATGTGATCTACTCCAGTGTTAATATCCAGGTTAATAATTGTGGGAACAATGCCCATATTAAACATCCAGATAATCTACATATTTTATATAATCCCAATAAAAACATTTTTCAGAAATTTTAGAGAAATCAGCAGTACCATTTGCTGAATAACAATGCTTCTTTTTGTCTGACATGTCCTAACTGAGTCTCTGAGTTTCTCTTCTTCCAAACCAAAGTGCTTCACATGGTCTCATTTTCTCCAGGTGTTATCAGCTCTTGTATCTTGCATGCTGTTTGCAATTCTTCCCGACATTTCAGACATTTTTTGGTCCTGCTCCAGGCCACTTTCATGAAGCCATGTGGAATGGCAGAATAAGAGGGCAGGGTCCCACTCCTGGAGCACAGATCCATAGTGCATGTGGCTGTGTTCAGGCCCAGGTGCCTTTCTGCAGGATTCTGCTTGCAAAATTTCCCAGTAACACCAGAATGCCGCTAGAGTGGCAAATCCCTGAATCCCTACAGAGTTTAATGCCGAGCAAAGGAAAAAGTGTGATTCCTTCCTAGGAGGTATAATACATTATTTCTGGAACATTAAGAAACCCAAACTTCGGAAGTAGGCAAACAAATGGAAAAATGAACAACCTTTCTTTTTTTATTCCCAGATATGGGCAGGACGGTTAATGCATTCCCCTGGTGAAAGGCTTATGATTGATGATCTCTCATTATGGGAAGATAAGTAGAATTATTTTCTGAATGATTCAAGAAGTTGTCTCCAGGCTTGTAGCAACAGTGACTCTCTTCTTTCGCCACATACCCAGTGAGAGGATTGGCAAGGTCTAGGTGTTCATGCCCTCCAGATGCTATCACTACTGTTGTCTGGCTGCATGGTAGGTTTTGACTCCCCTAAATAGCTAAGCAGCCACCTTATCCACAGCCACTGTCACAAGAAAGGCCATGAAAATGGAAAGCAGAGGGCAAGTTTCTTTACTGGAGCAGAAAACTGCAGTGTGTCCAACTGCATGAAACCTCAAGCACACCTCTCCACAGATACTCAAACACAGGGGGGCTTTATGTTTCATCTTTCTGATACTGCTTGAAAAGTTTCCTTAATATGTTGAGTTTCTTTTATACCACAAGACATTTTAGTGTTTGCCTTTGCTCAAGAGTCTGTAACACTTTATTCTAAAATTTATCCTGAGAATATGTTAATTTTCCATTACAACAAATTTAGTGGCTTAAGCCAACACAAATTTGTTATCTCATAGTTTCTTTAGGTGAGAAATTTGGGTATAGCTTAGTTATAGCTTGGTAGAGTTCTCTGCTTCACATCTTACAAGGCCAAAGTTAGTGTTTACTGGGCTGCATTCTTATCTGGAGGCTTGCCTGAGGAAGACTTGTACTCCAAGATCATTCATGTTGTAAGCGAAATTTATCCCCATGGCAGTTTTCTAGCTGAGTGTTAGTCAGGGAGTGCTCTTATCTCCTGAAGGATGCCCATAGTGCCTTGCCACCTGGCCCTCTCCCAGGTCCTTACGTAACATAGCAGCTTATCTCTTCAAAGCCAGCAAGTAAGTTTTTCAATCTGGTCAACTGAGATGGAGTCTTATAAATAAGAATGTGATCATGGGAGTGACATCCCATGACATTTTCCATATTCTATTTGGTAAAGCAAATCACAACTTTCACCCTCACTCAAGTTCCACTCTCATTCAAGTGGACGGGGTTATATGAGGTCATGACTTATCAGGGGATCACCTTGTATGTGTCTGTCAGAGAGGTAAAGATGAAC
Source organism: Homo sapiens (assembly GCF_000001405.40). Lineage (NCBI taxonomy): Eukaryota > Metazoa > Chordata > Mammalia > Primates > Hominidae > Homo > Homo sapiens. The sequence continues at coordinate 9,351,280 of NC_000007.14, forward strand.
AAATTGCTTATGCATTTTTGAAAAAAGAACCAATAAAGGTAACTTGTTCTACTAGATGTCAAAATATGCCATAGAATTTTATCAGTCTACTGTCATATATAAGCAGAAATATAAGAAAAAAGAATAGAGTAGAATCAAGAGACTACAAATTATATATGTGTTGGTATATAGAACTTGGTATATAATAGTATTGAAAAAATTACCATTTATTAAAAAAATTGGAATAATAGCATATTTCAGTGGGAAATAGAGAAAGTAAAGCTTATCTTACATGCAAAAATATGTTAATCTTTGTAGTAAAATGAATAATGCTGATTCAAAAATAAAAATATTTATTTAAGAATAAATTTTCAGAATCAAATGTTTAGCAGCTTACTGTTGCTTGCCATCACTGTGTAAATATTTCCATGTGTACCTATGTTTCATTTTCACTCCTGATTTTTCAATCTGAGCATTCACATCTAGTCCATGCAGAGGACTTTGTCCAGAATACACAGAAGAATATACTTCATTATACCATGTCCTTTGATAAAGAGTTTCTTATTGAACTGGGCATTAATTTGTGGACTACTTTATTTCTACTTTTCTTATATCTTGATTCACTTAAATCTAGTTACTTCTTTCCTACTTCATGACACTGAATTATATGAATTATTTGAATTTTTTTACATAAAATTTTCAATATTCAAGGGAGTTATTAGAATACAAAGCACTGGGAAATAAAGCTGTTTCATAAAGTATTTTTAATACATTGTGGAATTAATCCTAGAAAGAACCAGTCACTCAGTTGATAATCTCATGAACTTCTATTTTCTGCTCTTATCATCGATTCTTTATGAGTGCAATTTATTTTCAAAATAACTATTAAACTCTAATTAAACTATAATTTACCCAACTATAAAGCTCAATAGAATAGCTATCTTTTCCTTTGAAAACACTGGATTTTATAATAATATTCAGTGGAATATACTTCCTACATAAGATCTAGAAAATCTTACTGAGTGTCCTTGAAACAAAGGTATTCTATATTGTGAGAAATACAATATTTCTCACTAGTTTCATGAGGTCACTAAACACTTATTAGTTCCACTGATCACTGTCACTCGGTCAAGCTAATATGAGCCCATGCTTTCCCCCTACAACTCATACACATCCATACTCATTCACTCTCATACACAACTCTGCACTTACACACAGAATCATACACATACAAGCCCTCACAGATGTACACAAAGATTCTCATTGCATTTTGAATTTAGTTGAAAGGGAAACAAAGACATGAAAAATTCTAAGGTAAGGATAGTCTTTATAACTAAAATCCTAACTCTCTAACAGAAGAAATCTAGTTTTGTAAAGGGTACATAAGCAATGAGGTTACAATATTTTAAAAAATACACTAGCTTCGTCTCTGAACATCCCATTATCTATTCGTCTTTTAAACTTCTCGAATTGAAAATAAAGGAAAACAAAGCCACCAAGGGTAAAACCTTACTTGTCATCCATAGACTATACAAATTAGACACAAAAAAATCATTTCAGAAATATCAGAGCTCTCAGAAGTGTTTCATTACAAAAAATATTTATTTGGAAATCAGCAGTGAATTAAATAAATCGTCCTCTCCTGTCACATTGATGAAGGAATTGCATGCTCTGTTTTCATGACAAACACATCATTAGTGTACATACATTTAATCTGATTATTTCATTCAGCACAAGAGACATTACCGTTAGAATTATATAAAAACTCAAATCACACTTGATGTTTCCCAAATATCATGCTTTGTGTGGCCTAATCAAGATTTCATCAAATGTTTTACTAAGCTCTGTCACAGGAATCCAGCTGAAGCAAGATGATCCCTTATTATTAAGCAAAAATAAATTGCATTCATTTTTCCTCTGAATTTAAATGAAACGGTGTATACAATACTTGGGAAATACACAGAGGTCACATGCAATACCACCAACATGCTGCAATACATTGATGTAGCAGGGTAGCTAGAAGAACTGAGGATGTATAAAAATGGGAGGTTAGCAAAAGAAACAGAAGTATTGTGTAAACATCTGCATAACACTAACATGAGAATTTTTGTATTTTTGAATTTTGAGAATTTTTGGATACATACTTTCATGCACGTCCGTGTGAAGAGACCAACAAACAGGCTTTGTGTGAGTAACATGGCTGTTTATTTCACCTGGGTGCAGGCGGGCTGAGTCTGAAAAGAGAGTCAGCGAAGGGAGATAAGGGTGGGGCCGTTTTATATGATTTGGGTAGGTAAAGGAAAATTACAGTCAAAGAGGGTTTGTTCTCTGGCGGGCAGGAGTGGGGGTCACAAGGTGCCCAGTGGAGGTGCTTTTTGAGCCAGGATGAGCCAGGAAAAGGACTTTCACAAGGTAATGTCATCACTTAAGGCAAGGACCGGCCATTTACACTTCTTTTGTGGTGGAATGTCATCAGTTAAGGTGGGGCAGGGCATATTCACTTCTTTTGTGATTCTTCAGTTACTTCAGGCCATCTGGGTGTATACGTGCAAGTTACAGGGGATGCGATGGCTTAGCTTGGGCTCAGAGGCCTGACATTCCTAACTTCTTATATTAATAAGAAAAATAAAACAAAATAGTGTTGAAGTGTTGGGGCAACGAAAATTTTTGGGGGTTGGTATGGAGAGAGAACAGGCAATGTTTCTCAGGACTGCTTCAAGCAGGATTAGGGGCAGCATGGGAACCTAGAGTGGGAGAGATTAAGCCAAAGGCAGGTCTTTTGGTAAGGGGTGATATTGTGGGGATGTTAGAAGAAACATTTGTCGTATAGAATGATTGGTGATGGCCTGGATATGGTTTTGGATGAATTGAGAAACTAAATGGAATAACAGAAGGAGAAAAACAGGTATAAAAGGGCTAAGAAGTGGGACGACTCAGGATATCTGATTAGAGAGTGCCTAAGGAGATTCAGCATAGTCCTGCCAGCAAAGATTATTTATTTACTTCAAGAGTTAAGAGTGGCAGTTTGGGGATAGCACCAGGAGATACCAATTGTGATGGCTTGGAAAAACAGTGTAAACCGGCAGTGTAAACAAGAGCAGGGCATGTGTGAGTAGTTGAGAACGGTGAATAGGAGTATGACTAGACAGAAGACGGTAGGGATGACAAGTCTTTTTGGGGCACAGTCTAAGTTGGTCTGGTGTCTGGAATGAGACTGGGGCCTAATAAAATGGAGCGTCTATACAGGAGCTTAAATGGGCTGTACCTTGCAGCATTCTGAGGACAGGTCTGACTTCTGAGAACGGAAAGTGGTAAAAGTATTGTCCAGTCCTTTTTAAGTTGGTGGCAGAGCTTGGTGAGGTGTGTTTTTAAAAGACCTTTAGTCCATTCTACTTTTCTTGAAGATGGAGGACCGTAAGGGATATAAAGGTTTCGTGAATACTAACAGCCTGAAAAACTGCTTGGCTGATTTGACTAATAAAGGCTGGTCTGTTATCAGACTGTATTGAGGTGGGAAGTCTAAACTGAGGAATTATGTCTGACAGAAGGGAAGAAATGACTGCGGTGGCCTTCTCAGACCCTGTAGGAAAGGCCTGTACCTATCCAGCGAAAGTATCTACCTAGACTAAGAGGTATTTTAGTTATCTGACTCAGGGCATGTTGAGTAAAGCTAATTTGCCAGTCCTGGGTGGGGCAAATCCTCAAGCTTGATGTGTAGGGAAGGGAGGGGGCCTGAATAATCCCTGAGGGGTAGTAGAATAGCAGATGAAACACTGAGAAGTTATTTCCTTGAGGATAGATTTCAACGATGGAAAGGAAATGAGAGGTTCTAAGAGGCGGGCTAGTGGCTTGTGCTATAGCATAACCTGCCTTTGCTGGTGCATGGCGATTAGGCCTGGTGGAACCACCATCAGTAAATCAAGCGTGATCAGGGTGAGGAACAGGGAAGAAGGAAATTTGGGGAAATGGGGTGAATGTCCGGTGGATCAGAGAGATACAGTCATGGGTGTCAGGTGTGGTATCAGGAATAATGTGGGAGGCCGGATTGAAGTCCGGGCCAGGAACAACGGTAATTGTGGGAGACTCAACAAAGAGTGAGTACAGCTGAAGGAGCCGAGAAGCAGAAAGTATATGCATCAGGTATGAGGAAGAAAATAGATTTTGGAAGTTATGAGAACTGTAGAGAGTGAGTTGAGCATAGTTTGTGATTTTGAGGGCCTCTAAAAGTATTAAAGCAGCGGCAGCCGCTGCACGCAGACATGAGGGCTAGGCTAAAACAGTAAGGTCAAGTTGTTTGGACAGAAAGCCTACAGGGTGCGGTCCTGGCTCTTGTGTAAGAATTCTGACCGCGCTAACCATGCCCAGGAAGGAAAGGAGTTGTTGTTTTGTAGAAGGTGCTGGGGTTTGAGAGATCAGTGGGACACGATTGGCAGGGAGAGCACGTGTGTTTTTATGAGAATTATGCCGAGATAGGTAACAGATGAGGAAGAAATTTGGGCTTGATTGAAGTAATGGGGGCTGTCTGTGAAGCCTTGCGGCAGTACAGCCCAGGTAATTTGCTGAGCCTGATGGGTGTCAGGGTCAGTCCAAGTGAAAGCGAAGAGAGGCTGGGATTAAGGGTGCAAAGGAATAGTAAAGAAAGCATGTTTGAGATCCAGAACAGAATAATGGGTTGTAGAGGCAGGTATTGAGGATAGGAGAGTATATGGGTCTGGCACCATGGGGTGGATAGGCAAAACAATTTGGTTGATAAGGCGCAGATCCTGAACTAACTTGTAAGGCTTGTCTGGTTTTAGGACAGGTAAAATGGGGGAATTGTAAGGAGAGTTTATAGGCTTTAAAAGGCCATGCTGTAGCAGGCAAGTGATAACAGGCTTTAATTTTTTTAAAGCATGCTGTGGGATGGGATATTGGTGTTGACCGGGTAAAGGTGATTAGGTTTTAATGAGATGGTAAGGGGTGCATGATCGGTCACCAAGGAGGGAGTAGAGGTATCTTATACTTGTGGGTTAAGGTGGGGGGATACAAGAGGAGGACGCAAAGGAGGCTTTGGATTGGGAAGAACGGCAGCAATGAGATATAGCTGTAGTCCAGGAATAGTCAGGGAAGCAGATAATTTAAAGTATCTCAGCCTAATAAGGGAACTGGGCAGGTGGAGATAACTAAAAAGTAGTGCTTAAAAGAGTATTGTCTAATTTGGCACCAGAGTTGGGGAGTTTTAAGAGGTTTAGAAGCCTGGCCATCAATACCCACAACAGTTATGGAGGCAAGGGAAACAGGCCCTTGAAAAGAAGGTAATGTGGAGTGGGTAGCCTCCGTATTGATTAAGAAGGGGACGGGCTTACCTTCCACTGTGAGAGTTACCTGAACCTTGGCATCCGTGATGTTCTAGGGGACTTCCGAGGCGATCGGGCAGTGTCAGTCTTCAGCCGCTAAGCCGAGAAGATCTGGGAAGAAGTCAATCAGAGAGCCTTGGGCCGGAGTTCCAGGGGCTCTGGGAGTGGCTGCCAGTGAGTTGAACAGTCCGATTTTCAGTGGGGTCCCGCACAGATGGAACGCGGCTTAGGAGGAATCCCGGGCTGCAGGCATTCCTTGGCCTAGTGGCCAGATTTCCGGCATGTGTAGCAAGCTCCTGGGGGAGGAGGTTCTGGAGGAATGCCTGGCTGCTGCGGTTCAGGCGTTTGGAAGTTCTTCTGTGCTGGAGATGTGGCTGGGGTTTGTCTCACAGTGGAGGCAAGGAATTGCAACTTTTTTCTATTACTGTACACCTTGAAGGTGAGGTTAATTAAGTCCTGTTGTGGGGTTTGAGGGCCAGATTCCAATTTTTGGAGTTTTATTTAATGTCGGGAGCAGATTGGCTAATAAAATGTATATTGAGAATAAGACGGCCTTTTGACCTTTTAGGGTCTAGGGCTGTAAAGCGTCTCAGGGTTACTGCCAAATGAGCCATGAACTGGGCTGGATTTTTATATTTGATGAAAAAGAGCCTAAATGCTATCTGATTTGGGATAAAGAAAAAGGAGCGTTAACCTTGACTGTGCCTTTAGCTCCAGCCACCTTTTTAAGAATAAGTTGCTGGGCAGGTGGGGAAGGGCTAGTCATGGAACGAAACTGTAAGCCAGACTGGGTGTGAGGAGGGGAGTTGATAAAAGGATTATAGGGTGGAGGAGTGGAGGCTGAGGAAGAATTGGGACCTAGCTTGGCCTGGTGAGGAGGGGAGAGGTCAGATGGGTCTGTAGAAAAGGAAGATTAGAAAGACTCAGTGACACTTGGGGTTGGGACTGAGGGGACAGGCGGGAGGGAAAGAAGGAAGATTTGGGATGAATTGCACTGGGCACAGAGACTAGGAAGGGACTGATGTGTAAAAGAATGCCTGGACGTCAGGCATCTCAGACCATTTGCCTATTTTACGACAAGAATTATTTAGATCTTGCAGGATGGAAAAACTCAAAGTGCCATTTTCTGCTGTTTGGAACTACTGTTGAGTTTGTATTGGGGTCAAGCGGCACTGCAGAAGAAAATAAGTCATTTAGGTTTTAGGTCAGGTGTGAGTTGAAGAGGTTTTAAATTTTTGAGAACACAGGCCAAGGGAGTAGAAGGAGGAATGGAGGGTGGAAGGTTGCCCATAGTGAAGGAAGCAAGCCTAGAGAAAAGAGAGAGTAGAGAAATGGAGGGAAGGGGTTCGGGGGTTCTTACCTTCCAAAAAAGTGGGAAAAGGGGTTGGGGCGCAGAGATAAGAGGTTGGGGTGTGGAAATAAGGGATGGGGTGCAGAAATAAGGGGTCGGGGCACAGAAATAAGGGGTTGGGGCACAGAAATAAGGGGTCAGGGCACGGAAATAAGGGATTGGGGTGCAGAGATAAGAGGTCGGGGTGTGGAAATAAGGGATTGGGGTGCAGAGATATAAGAGGTTGGGGCACAGAAATAAGGGATTGGGGCGCAGAGATACAAGGTTGGGGTACTTGCCCCTCCTCTAGAAAAGTGGGACATGCCGCTAAGAGTGAAGGAGAAGGGGTTGAGTGGTACTTGCCCCTTCCCCAGAAAAGCAGGACTTGCCGCTAAGGGTGAAGGACCAAGGCAGGCGTCCCTGCATGGTCTGACACCTTTGAAACGTGGGTGAATAATCAGAGAGGCGTCCCTGCAATGATTAAACACCAAGGGAAGACTGCCTTCCCAGTCCGTGACCGGCGCCGGAGTTTTGGGTCCACGGATAAAACGTGTCTCCTTTGTCTCTCCCAGAAAATGAAAGGAATTGAAATTAAGAGAAGGGAGAGATTGAAGAGTGGAAAGGAGAAAGTGGTTGAGGGACAGTGAGAGAAGTTGGAGAAGAGAGTAAGAAGAGGCCGCTTCCCTGATTTAAAATTGAAGAGATGTTCTTTGGGCTGGTCGGTCTGAGGACCTGAGGTCGTAGGTGGATCTTTCTCACGGAGCAAAGAACAGGAGGACAGGGTATTGATCTCCCAAGGGAGGTCCCCCGATCCAAGTCACGGCACCAAATTTCATGCGTGTCCGTGTGAAGAGACCACCAAACAGACTTTGTGTGAGTAACATGGCTGTTTATTTCACCTGGGTGCAGGCGGGCTGAGTCTGAAAAGAGAGTCAGCGAAGGGAAATAAGGGTGGGGCCATTTTATAGGATTTGGGTAGGTAAAGGAAAATTACAGTCAAAGAGGGTTTGTTCTCTGGCGGGCAGGAGTGGGGGTCACAAGGTGCTCAGTGGGGGTGCTTTTTGAGCCAGGATGAGCTAGGAAAAGGACTTTCACAAGGTAATGTCATCACTTAAGGCAAGGACCGGCCATTTACACTTCTTTTGTGGTGGAATGTCATCAGTTAAGGTGGGGCAGGGCATATTCACTTCTTTGGTGATTCTTCAGTTACTTCAGGCCATCTGAGTGTATACGTGAAAGTCACAGGGGATGCGATGGCTTGGCTTGGGCTCAGAGGCCTGACACATACAGTTTTGATTTTATCACATTTCTGCTACAATTGCAAAATAAAGAAACTAGTGGGCCAGTCAATTATCAGTAAAAAATAGGTATTTGATTTTTAAAGGCAAATTGAACTAATTTTTATGATGTGAAACGGCTTGAAAGTGGAAAAATATTATTTTAATATCAAAATATATTATAATTAGGTCAAACAGATAATATGTTAACAAAATAATTCTGAACTCTAGAGGATGATCAGAATTGAAGGGAAGGTCTCTACAAAGTCCTGTAAGTCAGAATTATGGATAAACTTGCAACCCAATTAAGTTGGGACAGTCTCATTTTATTCCTAGTGTCCTGATGTTATTATTAATAGCACTCCCTTTTACTCTCTAAGTATTCTTTTTTAGCTGATAATAAATTATATAGCCACTATATTCTCAATCATAATTAGTAAAGATAAGCCAAAGGAGTGTACCTTCAACTGGCCATGAGAGCAATAGGTCTTCACTATCTTGCCTCAAGATTATGTCACCTCCCCTCTCTTCCTCATATCCCAGAGCAAATACAAATGCTTGATATCCCAGAAAATTATGTAATTCCCTTAAATGGATAGAATTATGCTAACTACTTCTGATGAGTAAGAAGTTGTATGTCCCTAGATGCTTTTATAAGAAGTACAAATGCTATATGGAGAGACATAAGCACCAATAGCAAACTCATAACCTGCCACGTTGGTGGTATCTTGGAATTCAGTTGTCTAGGAAATGTTGAGATATTCCTTGTGATATGAAATACAAGTTTCTGCACCTTCATTCTATCATCGTGAAAAATAATTACACAATCTTAGTATGCCTCTTTGGATGTTGGAGGTAATATTTGTCACATTTGAGGATGAATTTCTTTTTTTTAAAGAGAAAAGCAAGCCATTTATTTTTTTTTCTTTATTTCTTCTTAAAAGAAAAGGATACATGTGCAGAACGTGCAGGTTTGTTACACAGATATACGTGTGCCATGGTGGTTTGCTACACCTATTGACCTATTCTCTAAGTTCTCTCTCATCAACCCTCACCCACCAACAGGTCCTGGTGTGTGCTGTTCCCCTCCCTGTGTCCATGTGTTCTCAATGTTCAACTCCCACTTATGAGTGAGAACATGCGGTCTTTGGTTTTCTGTTCCTTTGTTAGTTTGCTGGGGATGATGGCTTCCAGCTTCATCCATGTACTTGCAAAAGACATGATGTCATTGTTTTTATGGCTGCATAGTATTCCATGGTGTATATGGGCCAAATTTTGTTTATCCAGTCTATCATTGGTGGGCATTTCGGTTGGTTCCATGTCTTTGATGTTGTAAATAGTGCTGCAATAAACATACGTGTGCATGTGTCTTTATAGTAGAATGATTTATATTCCTTTGGATATATATCCAGTAATGGGATTGCTGGGTCATATGGTATTTCTGGTTCTAGATCCTTGAGGTATCGCCACTCTGTCTTCCACAATGATTGAACCAATTTACATTCCCGCCAACTGTGTAAAAGAGTTCTTGAGGATGAATTTCTAATCAGTTTATTGAGTAACATGACAGACTATTTGAGAAGGGCTCAGAGGAAAAGAAGCTCTCCTGCAGATCCATACGTTGGTATAAACAACGCTGCCAGTTGGCCATAATGACCCAGTATACTCAGTGTTGCTTATGGTGTGTGTAGCAAGCAGTCAGTGGTGCTTATGGCATATCTGCCAAGTCTTAATTAGACAAACACTTGGGAACCACTAGGATTTTAGAGCAAAGTGGAGCCCTCTTCTGCTACAAATTATTGTCCAATTGAGAGGCAGCTTTAAGCTCACTACTTGATAGAAACTAAATGTGTATGAAACAAAATGTAGGTATGTGATCTGATCTTCCTGTCATGAACAGAATGATATTTAAACCAAATCACCAAATCTAAAGTGGGTTGTGTTCAGCAGAATTTTGTCACTAAATGGTATTTATAATACTGGCCAAAAACAGTTTTAGAATGCAAAAGTAAATTGTATGCCTGCATGATTTACAGTACCATTGTGCACACTGCTTTTGCTTTGGTGCCTTTTCCTCAAAACACAGCAATAGATAATGAGAAGTAAAAATACAGGACTGGTTTTTTAATGCTTCTTCATAATATCCTAAACTAGCTGTGAGTTAGGTACTCTCATCGCTCACTCCTGCTATGTAATCCTGCCTCTAGATGGTTCCAGTTCTCAATGATTTATGATAACTGTGTATCTTCTCCTTGTTCATTCACCCAGTGAGTATCAACAGCTTTTACCATCCCTCATTTGTCTGTGCATCCTCACCACACCTTTCTAAGCAGCCATTTTTCCAAAGTTTCTTGATCTTAACCATTTGGGTGAGTTGTGTTTTCTGCCCTCACTGATGCTGATCCAAATACATTCCCAATTTATGTTACACAAAAAATCATGCATATTTTCTTTTAATTCTCACTGAACTTAACATAATGCCTGGCTTATGGCAAAAATAAATAAATAAATAAATAAAGTAAATGAGTGAATGAATGAATGAGTTTATTAAGATTATCTAATATAATTGAGAGATGTTATTTTGCTATATGACTAGGAACATGCATAGTGAGATATGCTATTTCAAGAGATTATTAAAATTCCTCATAGAAATAGCCCTTAGCAATAAGGAAAAACCAGATAATTGGTATATTAGCAATCACAAATTACTAAGTGATTTGTATGGTGATGGCCAAAGTAAAAGCAAAATTTTGGGATATTTGATGCTCTAAGAAACATGAGAGAGGAAATAATCAGTGCATTTTAAATACCCTCCATTAATATAACTATCTCTTCAATATATGAGGAATGGAAGATATATAACAAGGTCAATTTGTAAGTTATCACTGAAACTAAATTGCCCAATACAATATCAACTACAATATTAATTGTAGAATGAAGACTAATATGTAGGTATTTTTATTATTCTGTGCCATTTCCAAAAAATAAACTGAGGCTATTTGATACACGTAGCTCATTCACTTTGTAAAATATTAACTAATTGCATCAAAAACAATTGCTACATAATAAAATGCATAGGTAAGTGAAAAATGTATATAGATTCCTCCATTATGTAAAAAAGAGTATGGAAGAGAGAAGTTGAACCCAAATTGAGCATACATCTGAAAATAATGGCAAAGGCACCAATCAGGCCAGACACGTATCTCTGCATTATTTTCTGTCCTACAGCTTTACTCTGGGACTCTGAAAATCGCAGCATAGTTTTAATTATGAAGAAATATTACTCTGTTTTATAGTAGTACATAACACAAGGTATAGATATTTTGTATGAAGGCTGAGCACAGTGTCTCATGCCTGCAATCCCAACACTTTGAGAGGCCAGACCAAGAGGATTGTTTGAGCTCAAGAGTACAAAACTAACCTGGGAAACACAGTGAGACCAAAAAGTGAAGCTAGCTGGGCATGACAACACACAGCTGTGGTCTCAGCTACTTAGGAGACTGAGATGGGAGGAGGACTTGAGCTGGGGAGTGAGCTATCATCATGCCACTGCACTCCAGCTAAGAAGGGGGAATCTATTGGGCTTATTATTTCAGAGATAGTGGGGAGAATTTGGATTTCTGACTCAACTAATAGTTACATAAACTATCAGTAGTTACGTCTGATCTCTGTCATGATCTAAAACTGATCTTATTAGTACGGTTACAGTTATATTATGTAAATGAATTGATTTTACATTTTAATAATTATCCATATTTGAAGTTAAAACAATTTAAAATATTCCAAAAAAATCTGTGATATTTAAAGTGTAACAATGTACTCCATTGTGATTACATTTCTTCTCAAATTTTTATTATCCTCTCCTTTCTGATACCTTTAAAATCATAGAAATAGTTTAGAATTTATGCAGTTGTCTGTCTGAGATGTCTGAGATACTATTAAGCATAATGCTTTGCCTGTGATGTTTTCAATTTTAGACTATTATGTTCAGCTGGGTGTATACAATTTATGATTTTTATGGTAGTTACATATATATTCATGTAGTATGCATTATAAGAAAAGCAAGGAATAAAACTATAGTATCATATAATTACTATCACCACTTCACTAGAATTAGCCTAATGCAAAGGATTTATGCCCAAAATAAAAATGAATGTGGGATGGATAGATTGAGTATTCTTAATTATATCTAGACTATATTCATTTGTTCATTTAAAAAACCCTTTAAAATCCCATTGTATTTCATTTCCCTACATTTAAAAGTTGACTTAAAATGGAAAATATTGGCCATATAGCTATCAATGGCAGATAGATTTTAGTTATGATAGAAGCATTATTTAATATATCATTGTAATATCTTCTATTAAAATTAAGAGTTTCTAAATAACCTGTTGGCATATATTTTCAGGAATCATTCTATCAGTGGGTAAAAGGAGTGACAAAAATAACACTGTAGTAATGACTTGCAGATCATTCCTGAAATGTTTCCAATATTTCAGCCAATTTTTTAAAAACCCTTCTATAGAAAAAGTTTTTGCAACATAACCAACTAGGGACATCAGATTCCTGTTCTCCTCAGAAAAAAAGCTCAAAGTTACTGGTGACTGGACAAGTTTCAAATGGAAAACGGAGGAAGGAGAGCCATAACGTGTCAGAGTCCCCACAGGGAAAAACTGGGGTGCAGAAAATAAAGAAGCAAGAGTTTGGAACTTGGGGCCACATGGAAAGTGTAGGTAGGACTGCTTCTCTGCTCCCATCGCCCTTCTGACAATCTGCTGATTGCTAACTTGTTGGGGAGCCCCTCTGCTCCTGTAAACCAGGGAAGCACATTCAATGACAATTTGGAAACTTCTTGAGGAAAGAGAACCAGGTGGTCAACTCTTGCACGCATGCCCACACTCTCAAGACCTGAACTGGAACAGTGATCACCATACTGGTGTTGCACCTGTGGTAGGACACTGCCCTACCCAGGAATTATCTGCTCTTGAGTTACCACGCCACCAGATCCCCCACAAACATACCTCATAAGTGATATGACTGGAGAGCACAGGGGGCCAATGAGTCCTCAGGGAGCTACGGGACTACTGCAGATATAACACTCAGCTTGGGCAACGCTTAAGGAATAGAGGAGCGCAGCCAGCCAAAGCCCTCCATGGATCAAAAGAAACATTCTGCAGTGCCAGTCGCTTAAGGGGACATCATTGATGCCTGGGAATGGATGTGGAGAAGGGGTCATCTCCTGGCACTCCCACGTCTGTCAACTGCTGCGGACACGGCAGTGGTTCTTCCCAGTGGACAGCAATGAGTGTGCTCTTAGAGAAAGCATTTTTCATGCTTTTCACAGTGGCTCCACCTCTCCCAAAAGTGAGCCTGCACTGCTTGGGCTTACATGAAGGGCAAGGTCCAACTCCCTCTCCCTACACAGAGTGGCAGCATCCTGGTAACAGAGGACAGACAAATCATGGATTTTCCTACTCTGGACCGGGAGAAAAGGTCCTGCCCTGAGCCCGTTTTGGTGGTAGCCATTAGAGGGGTGTATCCACAGCCTGTAGCAACATTGTAGCTGACAACTAATGGACAAAGGCTTTATTAACTAATGGTCATGAATGCTGTGACAGAAGTGTGATAGGGAAGTAGATAGCATTCCTGCTGAATCAGGACAAGGAGCTGCTGTACCCTCCCTGCTCCTTTTCCTGAGACCTCAGTGCACCCCAACATCATCCAACCTGAGGGTGAGTTGGCACTCACTCTTAAGCATTATCTACTGGACTGCAGCCTGAACTACACCACCAAATAAAAACCCTGCTGCTAGAAAGGCTTAGTGCTGGTTCACAAGATAAGCTTCCTGAGATCCCCACATCCTCAGCCCCGCAGGAGAAAGTGTGTCAGCTCAGACATTCGATACACCACTATAATGAGGACCATCTGAAAAAGCCACTACTCAGAAGCCATTTACAACCAGGGAACCCATGCAGAGCCTGGCTCCCTGAAAGCAGCTAGAAACAAAGCCAAACAATTATACAAAGCATGCGTGACAGTTATCCTCTTAAGGGAAAAATGATTTTTAAAAAGTCTCATCCAAATAATAGCTAATTCAAAAAATAAGAAACAATAGCTCCCTCAGATGAGAAAGAATCAGTGCAAGAATTTCAGCAGTACAAAATGCCAGAGTCTTGACACCTCTAAAGAATGACACTAGCTCTCTTGCAATGGATCCTAGCCAAATTGAAAAGTCTGAAATAAGAGATAAAGAATTCAAATTATGGGCTGCAAGGAAACTTAACAAGATCCAAGAGAACATTGAAATGCAGTACAAAAAAAAAAAAAAAAACCAGGAAAATTGTTAAGGTTATGGAAGACAAGATAGCTGTATTTAGAAAAAAAAAATAGAATTTTGGGAATTGAAATTCACTAGTGAATTTTGAAATATAGTTGTAAACTTTAACAACAGATTAGATCAAGAAGAAGAAAGAATTTCAGAGCTTGAAGACTAGTCTTTTGAACTGACCCAATCCAACAAAAATAAAGAAAAAAGAATTGAAAAAAAAAATGAACAAAGCCTTTAAGGGATTATGTAAAGCAGACAAATTTATGACTTATTGGCATTCCTGAAAGATAAGATGGAGTAAGCGATTTAAAAAAATATATTTGAGGGAATAATTCAGAAAAAATATTTCCTAATCTTGCTAGAGAGTTTGACATTCAGATACAAGAGATTCAGAGAACATCTGCAAAATACTACACAAGATGACCATCTTCAAGGCATGCAGTCATCAGACTACACAAGGTCAATGCAAAAAAATTCTTAACAGCAGCTAGAGAACAGGCACAACTTTTCCTATAAAGGAAATCTAGCCAGACAAACATCAGACTTCTCAGCAGAAACCTTAAAAACCAGAAGACATTGGGGTCTGATTTTTAGCCTTATTAAATAAAAACAATGACAGCCAAGAATTTCATATCCTCCTAAACTAAGCTTCATAAGTGAAGGAGAAGTAAAGTATTTCCCAAACACCCAACTGTTAAGAAATTTCATCAACCGATCAGTCCTATAAGAAATGCTCAAAGGATTTGTAAACATGAAAATTAAAGAGTAATATTTGCTACCATAAAAGCACACATAAGTACAAAGCTCACAGATTCCATAAAACAATTACACAATTGAGACTACAAATAGCTAATAAAACTATGGCAGAAGAACACATTACATATCAATATTAACCTTGAACATAAATGGCCAAAATGCTCACTTAAAGCATAGAGTGATAAATTGGGTAGCAAAAATAAGGCCCAACCTTCTGACGTCTTCAAGATTGATCACACATGTAATGACACCCATAGGCTCAACGTAAAGGGATGGAGAAAGATTTACTATGCAAATGGAAAACAAAAAAGAACAAGGTTTGCTGTTCTTGTATCAGATAAAACGGACTTTAAACCAACAAAAGTAAAAAGAGATAAAGAAGGGCATTATGTAATAATAAAGCGTTCAACTCAGCAAGAAGATTTAACTATCTTAAAATATATATGCACTCAACATTGGAGCACCCAGATTTATAAAACAAATACTACTAGACCTATAAAAGAGGTAGACAAACACACAATAATAGTGGGGACTTAAACAATCCACTGACAACACTAGACAGATCATTGAGGCAGAAAACAAAGAAACTCTAGACTTAAACTGGACTCTTGACCAAATGTCTCTCATACTCATCTATGGAATACTTCATCAAACAACCATAATATATATATTTTCTCATCCGTGCACAGAACATTCTCTAAAATTGGTCTCATACTTTGTCATAAAGCAAGTGTTAATGAATTCAAAAAATAACAATAAAATTCCTATTAGGCATCTTCTCAGACTACAGTGTAAGGAAATTAGAAATCAATCACAAGAGGTACTCTCAAAACCACAGAAGTAGATGGAAACTAAACAACTTGCTCCAGAATGACTTTTGCATAAACAACAAAATGAAGGTGAAAAAAAATTTAGAAACAAATGAAAGTAGGGACCCAACATAAAAAAACCTTTGGCATATAACAAAAGCAATGTTGAGAGGAAAGTGTATAGCACTAAAAGTCTACACTGGAAAAATAGAAAGATCTCAAATTAACAAACTAATGTCACACAAACAAAACTGATAGATGGCTAACCAGACTAACCAAGAAAAAAAGAGAGATAATTTAAATAAGTAAAATCAGAAATGACAAAGGTGATATTAAAACTGGTAACACAGAAATACAAAATATCCTCAGAGAACACTCTGAACATCTCTCCACATAAACTAGAAAACATAGAGGAAATTCATAAATCCCTGAAAACATAAACCACCTGTCAATATTGAACCAGGAAGAAATGGAAAGTCTGAACATACCAATAATTAATAATGAAATTGGATCAGTAATAAAAATCTTTTAACCAAAAAAAGGCTGTAACCAGATGGATTCACAGCTGAGTCCTACCAGATATACAAAGTATTGCTGGTACCAATCTTCCTGAAACCATTATAAAAAATTGAAGAGAAGGAATTGCTTACTAACTTATTTTATGAAACCAGTATCACCCCGATACCAAAATCTGGTATGAATACAATAAAAAATGATAACTGCAGGCAATTATCCCTGATGGATATAAATGCAAATATCCTTAACAAAATACTAGCAAACCAAATCTGGTAGCGTTAAAAAAAGTTAATTTACCACGATCAAGTAGGCTTTATTCCTGGGATGCATGGGTGGTTCAACATACACAAAGCAATAAATGTGATTCACCACATAAACAGAATTAAAAGCAAAAACAATATGAACATCTCAATAGATGCAGAAAAAGGTCTTGATAAAATTCAACATGGCATCATGATAAGAACACCCAACAAACTAGGCATTGAAGAACATATCTCAAAATAACGAGAGCCATACATGACAAGCCCACAGTTCACATCATACTGAATGGGCAAAGTTGAAAGCGTTTTCCGTAAGAACTGGAAGAAGACAAGGATGTCTGCTCTTAGCACTCATATTCAGTGTAGTACTGGAAATCCTAACCAGGTAATCAGGCAAGAGAAAAACATAAAAAGGCATTCAAATAAGAAAAGAGAAAGCCAAATTATCTCTGTTCACTGATTATATGGTTTTAAACCTAGTAAACCCCAAAGAATCCTCTAATGGCTCCTAGACCTGATAAAAAAAACTTTATTAAAGTTTCAGGATATCTAATGAATACACAAAAATAAGTGGCATTTCTATACACCAATAACATTCAAGCTGAAAACCAAATCAATATGTTAATCCCATTCACAATAGCCAAAAGATAAAAATAAAATAAAATAAAATACCTAGGAATACATTTAACCATGTAAGTGAAAGATCTCTACAAGGAAAACTGAAAACATTGCTGAAAAAAATTATAGGTGGCATACAGAAATAGCAAAAACATCCTATGATGATGAATTGGAAAAATCAATATTGTTAAAATAACCATACTGCCCAAAGCAATCCACAGATTCAACAATTCCTGTTAAATCACCAATGTTATTTTTTCACAGAATTAGAAAAATCAATTATAAAATTAATATGCAAACAAAAGAGAACCTGAATAGCCCAAACAATTCTAAGCAAAAGTAATAAACCTACAGTCATCACATTATCTGGCTTTAAATTATACTTCAAGGATACAGTAACCAAAATAACATAATATTGGTACAAAAATAGACACATAGACCAATAGCATAGAATACAGAACTCAGAAATATTAATAGAACCACACACCTACAACCAACTGAGCTTTCACAACTTCAACAAAAATAAACAACAATGAAAGGACACCATATTTAATGAATGGTGCTGGGAAAACTAGATAACCATATACAGAAGAATGAAGCTAGATCCTTACCTCTTACCATGTACTAAAAACAGCTCAAGTTGAATTAAATACTTATATGTGAGATCTCAAACTATACAAGTCCTAGAAGAAAATCTAGAAAAAAAAAATCTTCTGAGCATTGGCTTAGACAAAGAATTTATTAGTAAGTTCTAAAAAGCAAAAGCCACAAAATCAGAAAGTGACAAATGGGAGTTAATTAAACTAAAGAACTTCTGCTCAGCAAAAGAACCAAGAAAAACAGTTAACAGATGGCCTACAGAATGGGTGAAAATATTTACAAACTATGCATTCAACAAAGGTCTAATGCCCAGAATCTCTAAGAAACTTAAAGAAATCAACAAGCAAAAAACAAGCAACCCCATTGTATTAGTCTTTTTTTGCACTGCTATAAAGAACTGCCTGAGATTGTGTAATTTATAAAGAAAAGAGGCTTAATTGGCTTATGGTTTTGTGGATTGTATAGGCTTCTGCTTCTCAGGAAGCCTCAGGAAACTTACAATCATGGTGAAAGGCCAAGGGGAAGCTGGAACATCTTGACATGGCTGGCAGGAGAGAGAGCAAAGAGGGAGGTGCTACACACTTTCAAACAACTAGATCTCTTGAGAGCTCTATCATGAGACAGCACTAAGGGGATGATACTAAACTATTAGAAAACATAACCGTGATCCAATCAACTTCCACCAGGTCCCACCTCCAACACTTGGGATCACAACTCAACATGAGATTTGGGTGGGGAAACAGAGCCAAATTATATTGTATCACCCATTAAAAAGTGGACAAAGGACATGAGCAGACACTTTAAAAGAAGACATAAAAGTGGCCAAGAAGCATATAAAAATTTTTCAACCTCACTAATCATTAGAGAAATACAAATCAAAACTACCACGAGATACCATCTCACACGAGTCAGAATGGCTATTATTACAAAGTCAAAAAATAAAAGACATTGGTAAGGTTTTGGAGAAAAGGGAATGCTTATACACTGCTGGTGGGAATGTAAATTAGTTTGCCACTGTGAAAAGCAGTTTGGCAATTTCTTAAAGAACTCAAAGCAGAATTACCATTTGATCCAGCAATCCTATTGTTGGGTATATACACAAGGGAATAAAAATCATTCTACCATAAAGACACATGCACATATAAGCTCACTGCAGCGCAGTATTCATAATAACAAAATCATTGAGTCAACCTAAATACCCACCAACAGTAGACTGGATAAGAATATGTGGTACATATACATTATGCAATACTACGCAGTCATAAAAAAGAACAAGATCACATCCTTTCCAGCAACATGGGTGGAGCTGGAGACCATTAACCTAAGTGAACTAACACAGGATCAGAAAACCAAATACCGCATGTTCTCTTTTATATGGGAACTAAACATTGAGTACATAGGGACACAAAGAAGGGAACAGCAGACACTGGGTCCTACTTGAAGGTGGAGGGAGAAAAGAGGCTAAGGATCAAAAAACTACCCATGAGGTACGATGTTATTGCGTGGGTGGTGAAATAATCTGTATACCAAACCCCTGTGGCACAAAATGTATCTATATTACAAACCTGCACGTGAACCCCTGAACCTAAAATAAAAGTTAAAACAAATTAAATTAAATTAAAATCGAAATGGGCTAGCAGACATTTCTGACCCGAATAGACGTTTCTCAAAAGAAGGCATACCAATGGCCAACAGGTTGATGAAAAAATGCCCAATTTTGCTAATCATCAGGGAATTGCAAATTAAAACTACAATGACATATTAATTCACACCTGTCACAATAGCTATTATTAAAACCACAAGAGAAATTTTGATGAAGATGCAGAGAAAAGGGAATACTTATGTACACTGTTGCTAGGAATGTAGAACCATTATGGAAAACGATATGGACGTTCCTCCAAAAATTTAAAATAGAACTACCATCTGATCCAGCAATCGCAGTACTTGGTGTACGTCCAAAAAAAAATGTAAATCAGTACCTCAAAGAGATATCTGCACTTTCATATTCATTGTAGCATGAATGAATAGCCAAGACATGGAAGCAACCAAAGTGTCTAATAATGGATGGATGGATAAAGAATATGTGGTATAAATAAACAATGGAATACTAGTCAGTCATAAAGAAAAAGGAACTGCTGTCATTTGAGACAACATGGATGAACCTGGGGGAGATTATATTAAATGAAATAAGCCAGTCAAAGAAATACAAATACCACATCGTCTCACTCATATGGAATCTAAAAAATTGAACTCATAGCAGTAGAGAGTAGAATGGTGGTTACAAGAGGCTCGAATAGGGGGACTGGGGAGACGCTGATCAAAGGATGCCAAATTTCAGTTAGATAGAATAAGTTCGAGAGATCTATTGTATAACATAGTGACTATAGTTGATAAAAATAGATTGCTTTCTTGACAAATACTAGGAAAGCAGATTTTAAGTCTTCTTACTACAAAAAAAAATGATAGCTTTGTGATATATCTCATATGTTAATGAGAAAGATTTAACCATTCTACAGTGCATATATATTTCAAACATCATGTTGTACATGATAAATACAAATTTATCCATTAATTTAAACAAAAATCTAAAAATAAAAATAATTTTAAAAACAAACAACAAAAATCCTTTTCTATAAACATCAATACATATTTTGGATTTGTTTTAAATGATAAAGCTTCACAAAGCCTTGGTTTTATCTCTTATTTAAAAATGAACTTTAATTCTAATTATTTCCAGAAACAAATAAACCTGTCACTGTTGGCATTCTAGGAAGAAGAATAACTACCTTACTTTCGTGTTTTTTTGTGTTTTTTTTTTTTTTTTTTTTTTCGTGGAGTCTCGCTCTGTCACCCAGGCTGGAGTGCAGTGGCCTGATCGTGGGTAACTGCAACCTCCACCTCCCAGTTTCAAGGGATTCTCCTGCCTCAGACTCCCAAGTAGCTGAGATTACAGGCACCCACCATTACGCCCAGCTAATTTTTGTATTTTTATAGAGACAGGGTTTCACCATGTTTGCCAGGCTGGTCTCAAACTCCTGACCTCAGGTGATCTACCTGCCTTGACCTCCCAAAGTTCTGGGAGTGAACTCCCAAAGTTCACAGGCGTGAGCCACTGCACCCAGCCTTGTGGGTTTTTTTGAGGTTATCTTCTTATATATTGAGATCTTCCTTAAGAGTCACTCATTCATTCAACAGAATGTATCCATCTATCAAGTCAGTGGAATATTGCTAATGAAAAATAAACCCAGTTTCTATGGCTGTCTTAAATCCTTATCATGTAATACTAAGGTAAATGTTCTCATTTCTTAGAGTGGTAATATTTACAGAGAATCAATAAGTCCCTATATAGGCAGATTTTTAAATTTTGTTATATTTCTGATATTTACTTTTTCTTTATTAAAATGCCACAATAAATAACTGAAAATACATTTAATAGGATATTTGGCTCCTCTCTCTGTAAAGTAGGTGTTAGACTGATCTTAAAAGACAGTCAAGAACCTATAGTTGTTATGTAAGCATTATTAAATCAAAAGCAAAAGTCTTTAAAATTTGATTCCCTGACTTCTTATCTATTCAACCTTATCTCTCATTATTTCCCATTATATGTTCTTGACTCCAATCAGATAATTGTTCTCAAGAAAGTGATAATTCTAGTCTCAGTGAATTTTTTCCTTATTCTTTTCTTTTACCTAAAATGGCTTGCAACCTGGCTATCAAACTATTGGCTTACACAAGACTTCTGGCCTGGTGTTGTTACATCTACATGCTGACTACAGTCATTTTAAGAGCCTCCAAATGCAGGATTAATGTTCACAGAACTACAAATAATTGTCCACTCCCTCTGGAACAGCAAGAAAGGTAGGGTATTTATTCACTAACTACTGTTGCGCTGAGCTCCAGTACATTAAAACCCTCCCACTTCCCCTGTTTCTGGATCGCAGCATCCTCCTCTAGTAAGAAAAACCTCTCGGGCAAAGAACTTCAGGTGCTTGGAAGAAGAAGCTGTCAAGTCGACGTACAAACTTGATGTAAGGTGGCTCCTTACGTGGACTTATCTTAGCTAGGTTTTATATAGTCGCCCTAAGTCCCCAGGTGTATCAAGTCTAATTACTCAAAAAAAGATCTTGGAGTAAAATGAACCATAGTTTTAATTTTGATTCGAATACTTGTGAACTTTGTTCTGATTGTCATATTAATAGAAATATTCATAGTATTACAGTAATGTTATTGGAATGTACTGTGGGAATGTACCCCTCCACAGTACATGATTTGGCCAAGACGGCAATTGTTAGGGGGTTCTTCCGTCTTGTCCCTGGGATTATTCTTCCTCTTCTCCATTTGATTTCCCTGGATGGGAAACTCAAGCCAAAAGCATATCTTGCAGCGCTTTAAGCTAAAATGTGTTTGTGATCTGAACTTTCATAGGAAGTATATATACCCAAATTAAATTTCAAGCAATCGCCTAAGGTAGGAGGGAGAAAGTGCAGTTCTTTTCTTGGCTGAACTGCTGCTAAAGTGACCTTCAATAAACTAGTCAACCTTTTTATTCATTAGTTTCTCCTTTGTCAAAGTAAGTGGCTAAGAATATATTGCTACCAATCATGCATGGCTATAGCGAAGAGAAGTGGAAAAATTAGCACCCTAAGAAATGGAGATATGCCATGAAAATATGCGATGTATGTAGAAATTTTAATAGTCTGCAATGTTTTCTTTGTGTTTGAGCTTGAATGGATGATGCTAAGGCATTTTGTTGGTTTTGGTTTGTTGCTTACTTTAGTCTCCTGCAGGAAGGTTTCACAAAATAGATTAAGTTTTATATCTTTCCACCTAAAGGAAGCAGACAGTTACATGGCTGGTTTCATCTGATGGAGAGATTTATTGTCATGCTGAAGTGAAAATGTAATAAATGTATTTCCTAATTCAACCTTTTCTCAATCTGCATATTTCACATTTCAATCAAATACAAATGACTGTCAAGCAAAGATTTTATGCACTTGAATTTCATCAAAAGGGTAGAAATATAAATATTAAGAAGGTCCTACAATATGTGAAATGGTTCTTATTAAATCTAGGGACCAATTACTTGACTCCTTATTATTACTGTCCATTGAAATTTTTTTTTAAAATATAGAAAATTGTCAATTCTTTCAAAGATGAAATCTAACATGAATCATCTGTAAACAAGGAGAAAAAGTTAATACATGTTTAAAAAAGTTAACACATATTTAGGACACAGATTACATAGGTTCAAATAGCATAAAATTATCACATTATTTCTTTTTTATGTATTTCTCTTACATACCTTCATTCACTGTTGACTGATTCAACAATTAGTATTGTTCAAAACTCAAGTAATTGATTCTCCTTGCAAAGTATGTTCTTATAATGCAGGGTCTGGGCAAGAAGTACAGTGGTGTTAATTGTGTACTTAGAAAGGATGATGTTAGTATACCCAGTGTAGAAAAAAAAGGAAGAATTTATGTATGCAATTATTAATTAAAATGTATTTAAAAATATAATAATATAAATACTGTTACTTACAGAAACATGAATTAAAAATTAGGAATTTTGGTAATTTCTTGAGCTCTGTTAATAGTTGGTTTCTGGTTTCACTTCCTTATTTTATAAGCCAGAGTTCTACAGAGAAATAGGGCCAATAGGATTGATGGATAGATATAAATATATTTATGATGTGGGATTGGCTTATGTGACTAAGGAGGCAGAGAATTTCCATGATATTCTATGTGGAAGCTGGAGGCCCAGGAAAGCCAATTGTATCATTCTGGTCTATGCCCAAAGTTCTGGAACCACGAGTGTTGGGGGAATGTGGCTACAGTCTGAGTCTAAGGCCTGAGAACCAGGATCACTGATGTCCAAGGGCAGGATAGGATAGATGGCCCAGCTCAACAGGTGCCTTTTTGTTCTATTTAGGCCATCAAAGGATGGATGATGCCCATATCTGCATTGATGAGGATGATGTTCTTTACTCAGTCTATAAATTCAGACGCTAATCACGTTTGGAAAGCCCCTACGACATCCGTAGACACATACCCAGAAACAATGCTCTGTTAGGTATATGGGTGTCCCTTAGTCTAATCAAGTTGACACATAAAATTAACTATCACACTTATCCTAAAAATAAAGTTTGAAATTATATAAGCTATAAAAGTTCCTTCTAGCATGAAGATTCCAGGATTCTTCTATATTGTTATTTATTTGCTATAGCAAATTCATGATTATGCTCTTGGAAATTTAGCTTTGATAAGTTTTCAACCTGTCTATATTTATAGAAATGCTAGGATTAGCCAAAATATGCTCCTTTTGTAGGTCTCTCCCAGTCAGATTGTTCAAATCAACATACCTAAGGTATGTTGTTGCTTTCCTCACAGTATAGGTAGATATTTGGAAAGGGTTTCATGTAACAATTGTCTCTTGGGATTTCACCATTTTACTCATCACTCTTATAAATTCTAAAGAAACTGATTTTAAAAAAATTATCCTGAGAAGCTTATGGCCAAAGAGGGTCACTTCCTAACATATATATCACAGCTTCTGTTTTAAGATCTGTTCTTCCTAGTCAATTGCTTTTTAACACTGCCTATGGTAAATATAATTGAGTATTTTCAGAAAAAAAATGACCTAGATTATACTGTGTGTGAAGTTAATTGCTTACATAAAAATACAGTATTCAAAATCATTTCAAATGACAAGTATTATTTTCTCTTATTTGACTTAATTGTGAATACATTTATAAATTCATCAAGTAATTGTAGAATTATTTATTTGAACCGTGTAATCTCTGAAATAAGTGAAATTTCATTTAGAAACACCGTGGATATTAAATTTGTAAGTCTCTTAGAAATCAAGTTTCAAAAATAATCCAAATGAGATTCAGAAAAGCTTAGCAATTTATAATGCGCCACACAAAGTCAATAATTATGACATCTTCTGATTTTCATTTTCAATAAAGCAATGGGACCAAATAAGTGGGGCAAAGTACGCCTAAGAAAAAAAAGATGATAGATTAATAAAAAAATGAGGCAAAAGGTATTATATTAAGCATTGTGTACTTTAAAAAAGGCATCACAAAAATGAGTACTAGAGGATGTTTTTAAAACCTAAAATGAACAAGGACAAGCAAAATGAGAATCAGTTAGGAAAAATATATAACAAAGCAGCATACAGCATCAATTCTTCATTTCCTTTATAGTTTATTAGTTTCAATATAAACACTGAGGGATTTTGAGATGTGAACATAATGAAAATGCTAGTTTGGTGAAGTCAATGAGGAGTTTTTAGCTGTTTTATAATCAAGTTTCTATGTTGTTCTCCAGTTTATTGTTTATTTGATCATTTGTACAACTGGCATTTAGATTAACTAACAGGCAAGCATAATCATACAAAACTAGAGTGTACCAATATGGCTTTAAAACTAGACCAAACTGTCAAGTATGTGAGTATGAAGGGTGTAGAAATACAGACATTATAAATTAAAAGATTATAGGATGCAGTTTTACATTTGACCTCAGGACTAGCAAAACATTAGTAAGGAAAGAGCTCTTAAGATATGTTGAATTTATTCTCTTTAAAATCCAATGTTACCCAGAAAGAGTTGCTAAGAATGTTACAACTCTTAAAAGTTTCAATTTGTTCAATGAGTCTTTATGTATAAAGGTCCCTATACATTAGTCTCACTCTAAACTTAAACAATAAAATATTTTTAAAGTATAATTTTTGATTGAAATATTACGTCAAGTCTGTTAAATTTTGTACATACTACTTGATAAATGTATGAATTCATTGCTTAGGGGTAAACAATATAAACTAGAGCAAAGAAGGAAAAAATGAAATGAGAGGGCTTAGCTTCCTTGTCAACTAGGCAGCCCTGGAGAATGGAGCAAAAGGAAATGGATACTGCTAACTTGGATTCCTGGATTAAATGATGCTTCTTTAAACGTTAGTACATAATTTGAGCCTTATGCTTAAGACTAAGAAGAACACCAAAGGAATGAGGCCTAAAAAACTTCTCAGTTCCCAGTATACCCAGTAGTCAAAGAAGAATGCTTATCTAATATAAATAAGTGAATAAACAAAGTTTCTGCAAAAGTTACTACTCTGTTTTTGACTATAAACAAACCATGAATTGTTATAAATTTAGTAAACAAGCATCATTGCTTAGTTTATCCGTGCTGTTACACAAAGCAATTACATTGTTTTTGCTTTAATTTAGTTCTTTTGAATGCTTTTGAGAATACGTCCCTGTTTGCAGCACCATGAGTTTCCATCTACAATTGTCCAGACTCTTGGTGCACTGTCCATCCGACTAGTTACTACAGACAATTATGATAATGATAGTGGTAACTTACAGTTATGGAATGCTTAGTTGAATGTCCAGCATTATTTTTTTTTATTCATTGTTAGAGAGGATGAAGAATAACCAGAACATTTGGGGCTCCAGCATAATGCTGGTAGAAAAAACGAAATGGTACAAACCACTTTGGACACAATAGTTTGGCAGTTCCTTAAAAGATCAAGCATGTACTTCAAATATGTCCTAGCAATTCAAATTCTTATTACCAAGAGAAAAAAAAACATATGTCCATAAAATATTTGAACATGAGTTTTCATAGCAATTTTATTTACAATATCCCCAAACTTGAAATAACTCAAATGTCCATTGAGAGTTGAATAAACACATCGACAAGGACTGAACAATAAAGAGAATGCACTACTGAGATAAGCAACAAAATGGATGAATCTTAAAAACATCATGGTGAGCAAAAGGTGCCAGGCACAAAAGAACATATACTCTATGATTTCATTAATTTCAAATCATAAAAAACTGTTAGATAGTGACAAAATTTGTCAAAGGCCAGTGATCTTGGAAAGGATTTACTACAAGTATGCATCAGTGAACTCTGAGGTTGATAAGGATATTCTATACCTGCATTTGTTTTATGTTCTGGTTATTCCTTATCCTCTCTAACAATAAACGAAAAATAATGTATACCTTAAAGGCTCTCCACTTAAAACAAGTATATTTATTATATGTTTGAGAAATGAAATAACCACTTATCAAATGTTCTTTTTTAAAAAATAATAAATGTGACTATTTTAATGCAAGATACTGATCAAAACTAATGATTCTGAAATATCTAGGTCATACTAACTGCAATCACATATTATTACTCATCTTCACATAGGAAAAAATATAAAGAAGGTGTAATCATAAGCAGTATTTTTCTCACCATTTCACCATTTTAATGTTCCAAGGAAAGAGATAGATCCACAAATTAAACATGAAAGATATCCTCAAACCTTTGAAAGAGACTTTAATTTATTTAACACTAAGACAGCAATTATTATTGAAAATAGAGAAAAAATTCACAAAATTTTATAAAATGATGTTCTTACAAACTTCCTTTTATCATTTAAAAATCTTTATTATCCCTACTTAATTCTGGATTTTTAAAACCATATCAAGTTCATCCACTTCATTTATGACATTTTGATGCAGAAATGTCATTGGTATACATATCCTAGATTTTCTGTTGTACAATGTCAACAATTTAGTCAACAGTGTTAGATTGCATATTTGTTTCTAAACTTTATACATAATTATCTTAATTCACAATACTAATTTAGAGAGAGCACAATTTTTCTATTGCTAGTGTTTTTCATCACTATATTCTGACTTTTCAAGCAAAAAGTACACAGCAGAGTTGCTATAAAACTTCTCTTGTAGGACTATCTTAAACTAGACTACCCGGGATTCTGAAATGAAAAGCCCTACATTACAGAAATTCAAATTTCAGGACTACCACACATATTTACATAAAAATCATATTATCATTAGTGAATGGATATAGAAATAAAACAACACATAAAGACTGCTCAAAATCTCAGACAACGAATTCAGCATGCCATGGCCTAAATAATTATGTCTCCTCAGGACTTGTATGTTAATATCCTAGGCCACAAGGTGATGGTTTCAGGAGGTGGAGCCTTTGGAAGGTAATTAAGTCATAGGAGCAGTGAGTGGGATTAAGTGCCCTTATAAAAGAGCCCAAAAAAGACCCCTCACTCCTTCCACCGGGTGAAAACACAAGAAGGAGCCATGTGTGAAGCAGGAAATGGGCCCTCACCAGACACCAAATCTGCCTGCACCTTGATCTTGGACTTTCAGTCTCCAGAACTGTGAGAAATAAATTTCCATTGTTTGCAAGCTATTTCATTTTGGGTATTTTGTTATAGAAGCACAATTATTGCTTAATTATCACATTTTAATAACTTATAACTGATATTATCTTCTAGTCACTAATATCCAGGTTACAATAACAATAAAGAAGCACAGAGAAAACTACATGAATATAATGCATATTTACAATGACTAAGTTAGTTAATAAAGGGATATATAACATATATAGTATATCATATTATATATAGAATGGGATTTAAAACTGATTTTAAGGTATAAAGCAAATATAAGGGATAAAAACATCATAGTAAAAGTTTTAAGTTCTTAAAGAAGTTACAGTAATTCTAAATATATACACACAAAGTATCTCAAAATGTATAAATCAAAATGATTATACTTCAAGAAGAAGCAGAGAAATTAGCAATCACAATGTCACAATGAAATGAATTAGACATACCTCCTCCAGCAATTATCTGTTAAAATAGGGAGAATATTAATAAGGATATAGATTTAAATGGCAAAATGAATATGATTGACTTAAAGTATCTTATATAGAAAGTTACATCAAAAATTATAAAATTTAGGTTATTTTCAAGCGTGTGGAACATTTATGAACATTTATATCATAGGCTGTGTATTATATATACCTTTGTTTCTGATGTAAGTTAAATTGGAAAAAATAACAAACATTTTCAAAACGAGTAATTCAGATACTCTCAACTTGAAACATTAAACAGCAAACATTTAAATAACTCACAGGTAAAAGGATAAGAAGAAGAAAAAATATTGAGTAGCAATTTTAATATGAAACAAAGCAGGTTAAAATAATACATACGAAACTATTGGAAATTAAGTTAAATTAGAACCTTTAGTGAGAAGTACTCTTAAGTGCTAATATTTGAAAAGTAAGAACACTAACAATTATTAAATTAAATGTAAAATATGAGTACTTACAGAACCAAAGATAAACCTTGAGAATTCAGAAAAATAATATGATAAAGAGAAAAAAATGATGAATTGTAAAATATAGACCTTAGTAATGTCTGTCATTTTTATTTTGACCATTCTCTCATCTGATGGTATATAAGTCTATCGTGCTATGGACTTAATTTGTTTATAATTGATGATGATTAACTAGGTTGCCACTTTCTAAATACTACTCGACCATCAGTTCTTTGGTAAAATGCCTGTTTAGGTCTTATTCTTCCCTATTGCACATGCACATTTTATCAGTTGGATTGCCTTTTTGTTTTTAAATTATACATATTCTTTTTATTGTGGATAAGTGTTCTTTGGGAGATTTTTATACACATATATGTATAAAACACACACATACATAGGTGTTTTTCATATCACTCGCTTAATGTTATTGAACATAAATTCTTGATTTTATTGCAATCCTGTTTATATTAATAATTATTTTATTTTTATGGTGAGTGCAATTTTAGACATGTTTAAAAATATTTTGCCTGCTATAGGGTCATAAAGATATTCTATCTGTTTTCTTCTCTGATCTTCATTGCTTTACCATTCAGATTTAAGTTTGAAATCTCTCTAAAATTGACTTTTAGGTATGGTGTTATTTGTTAGATGTGAGCTTCTTTTTTCGTATTCAAATATTCTACTTTTGCATCATGATTTACCAAAAGAGTCATTCTTTCTGTTTTTTCCCATTTAACTCTTCTCATTCCAATAACATATTGCTTTAATCTTTTTGACAGTAGGTCTTCATATCTGAGTGTATAAGACTTTCAAGTTTCTTCTGCAAGATTATCCTCTCTATTCTTGGTGCTTTTATTTTCCGATTTACAATTTTTCTTTTATTAATACACGTTATTTTACAGATTTGTTGGGTACATATGAGTGTTTGTGACATGCACAGAATGTCTAAGGATCAACTCAGGGTAATTGTGGTATTCTTCACCTTCAAAATTTATAATTTTTAAAATAATTTCAATTTTTATTTTATGTTCAGGGACCACATATGCACTTTGCTACATGGGTATATTGTATGATACTTAAGTATAGGGTAAAAATGATTGTCTAACCCAGGTAATGAATGTATATAGTACCCAATAGGTAGTTTTTCAGCACTCTCCCTTACCTCTCTCCCCTCTCTAACAGTTCCTCGTGTCTGTTGTTACCATCTTTACGTCCAAGTGTACTCAAAGATTAGCTCCTACTTATAAGTGAGAACTTGCAGTATTTGGTTTTCTGCTACTGCATTAACGCACTTAACGATTCTTAACGATTTTAGCCTCTAGCTTCATGCATGTTGCTGCAAAAGAACACGATTTCATTCTTTTTTTTATGGTTATGAAGTGTTGCATCCTGTATATGTATTACATTTTCTTTATCCAGTCCAATGCTGATGGCACCTAGGTTGATTACATTAGCTTTCTATTGTGAATAGTGCTGTGATAAACATATAAATGCAGGTTTCTTTTTGATAAAATAACTTCTTTTCCTTTGGATAGATATCCAGTAGAGGGATTGCTGGATAAAAGGATAGTTCTATTTTTAGCTTTTTAAGAACTCTCCAAACTACTCTCCACAGTGGCTGACCTAATTTACATTCCCACTACCGATGTGTAAGCATTCCATTTTCCCTGCAGCCTCGCCAGCATCTGTTTTGTTTTGTTTTGTTTTTATCTTTTTAATAGGACCTACTCTGGGCCAGGCTCAGTGGCTCACGCCTGTAATCCCAGCACTTTGGGAAGCTGAGGCGGGTGGATCACTTGGGGTCAGGAGTTAGAGACCAGCCTGGCCAACATGGTGAAACTCCGTCTCTACTACAAATAGAAAAATTAACTGGGCGTGGTGGTGGGCGCCTGTAATCCCAGCTACTTGGGAGGCTGAGGCAGAGAATTGCTTGAACCTGGGAGGTGGAGGTTGCAGTGAGCTGAGATCATGCCACTCCAGCCTGAGAGACAGAGCGAGACTCTGTCTCAAAAAAAAAAAAAAAAAAAAAAAGGAGCCATTCTGACTGGTATGAGATGATATCTGATGTCCTTAGTGCACTTTTTTTTAAGAGTCTTTGTTTTTGTTTTAACTTTTATTTCAGGTTCAGGGGTACATGGGAAGGTTTGTTACATAGATAAACTAGTAAACTAGTGTCGTGGGGGTTTGTTGTACAGATTATTTCATCACTCAGGTATTAAGCCCAGTACAGTTTTTAATGGGGTTGTTTGCTTTTTCTTTTTGGATTGATTAAGTGTTCTATAGATTCTGAATATAGACCATTGCCAGATGCAAAGGTGCTGAGTATTTTCTTTCATTCTGTAGGTTGTCTGTTTATTCTAGTGACAGTTTATGTTGCTGTGCATAAGCTCTTTCTTTTAATTAGGTCTTACTTGTTAATTTTTGTTTTTGTTGCAATTGCTTTTGAGGATTTAGTAATGAATTATTTGCCAAGGCTCATGGCCTTCATGAATGGCTTAATACCACTCCCTTGGTGATAAGGTAGTTCTCACACTATTATTTCATGCAAGAGCTGTTTGTTTAAAAGAAGCCTGGCATCTGATCTTCTCTCTTGCTTCCTCTCTCTGCATGTTATATGCCCACTCCCCCTTTACCTTCTGCCATGATCGAAAACTTCCTTAGTCCTCACCAGAAGAAGAGAAGACGCTGGCACCATGCTTGTACAGCCTGAAGAACAATGAGCTAAGTAAACTTCATGCTAAGTAAACTTCTTTTCTTTATCTATGTCCAGAATGGTATTTCCTAGTTTTCTTCTAAGATTTTTACAGATTGAGGCATTAAATTTAAATTCTTAATCCATCTTGAGTTAATTTTTGTACATGGTGAAAGACATGTGTCCAGTATCATTATTCTGTGTGTGGCTAGTCAGTTATCATACCCAGCACCGTTTATGGAATAGAAAGTCCTTTTTGCCTTGCTTATTTTTGTTAACTTTGAAGAAGATCAGATAGTTGTATGCGTTTGGCTTTATTTCTAAGTTCTCTATTCTTTTCTATTGATCTTTGTGTCTCTTTTTGTACCAGTACCATGTTTTTTTGGTGATTGTAGCTTTATAGTATGGTTTGACATTGGATAATGTGATGCCTCCAACTTTGTTATTTTTTGCCTAGGATTGCTTTGGCTATTTGGGCTTGTTTTTGGTTTCATATAAATTTTAAAATAGTTTTTCCTAATTCTGTAAAAAAATGACATTGGAAGTTTGATAGAAAGAGTCTTAAATCTTTATATTGCTTTGGGCACCATGGCCACTTTAATGATATTGATTTTTCTAACCCAGGTGCAAGTAATGTTTTTCTATTTCTATGTCTATGATTTCTCTCAGCTGTGTTTTATAGTTATCCTTATAGAGAAATACCTATTCCTAGGTATTTTGTTTGCTTGTGGCAATCATGAATGGGACTGCATTCTTGATTTGGCCTGCAGCATGATCATTTCTTGTGTATAAAAATGATACTAATTTTTATACATAACTTTTGTATACTGAAACCTTATTAAAATCAGCTATTGGTTCTAGGATCCTCTTGACAGTGTCTTTAGGGTTTTCTAGGTATATAATCACGTTGTTAGTTAACAGAGATAATTTGACTTATTTTCCTATTTGGAAGGCTTTTGCTTTTGTATCTTGTCTGATTTCTCTGACCAGGATTTCCAGTACTATATTAAATAGGAGTGGTGATAGTGGGCATCTTTGTCTTGTTATTGTTCTTAAGGGGAATGCTTCCAGCATTTACATGTTCAGTATGATGTTAGCTGTGAGACTGTCACAGATGACTCTTATTGCAATTACATTGAGGTATGTTCTTTTGATCCTTAGTTTGCTGAGAATTTTTATCATAAAGGATGTTGAATTTTATTGAAAGCATTTTCTACATCAATTGAGATGATTAAATGGTTTTTGTTTCTAATTCTGTTCATGTACTGAATTACGTTTATTGATTTGTGTGTGTTGAACCAGTCTTGCATCCCAGGAATAAAGCCTACTTGATTGTGGTGAATTAACTTTTTGATATGCTGCTGAATTTCATTTGTTAGTATTCTGTTGAGAATTTTTACATCTATGTTCATCAGGGGTATTGGCCTGTAGCTTTTTTTACATTGTGTCTTTGCCAGATGGTATCCACGTGATGCTGACTTTGTGGAATGAATTAGAGAGGAGGCCTTTAATCTTGATTTTTTTGGAATAATTTCAGTAGATTTTGTACCTATTCTTCTTTGTACATCTGGTGGAATTCAGCTGGAATCCATCTGATCTGGAGCTTTTTATCATTGGTAGATTTTTTATTACTGATTCAATTGCAGAACTCAATATTAGTCTATTCAGGATTTATATTTCTTCCAGATTCAAACTTGGAAGGTTTTGTGGTTCCATGAATTTGTCCATTTCATCTAGACTTTCCAATTTTTGTGTAAGATGGTTTGGATCTGTGTACTCTCCAAATTTCATTTTGAAACACAATCCCCAATATTGGAGGTAAGGCCTAGCAGCAAGTTATGGATCATGGGGGTGGATTTCTCCTGAATGGCTTAGCACCGTTACCTTGGTGATAAGTTACTTCTCACGTTATTAGCTCATGCAACTGGTTGTTTAAAAGGAGATTGGCACCTCATCCTCTCTCTCTTTCTTCTGCTCTTTGCATGTGATACGCTGGCTTCCCCTTTGCCTTCTACCATGATCAAAAACTTCCTTAGGCCTCACAGAAGAAATGCAGAAGGTGACACCATGTTTGTACAGCCTGAAGGACCATGAGTCAAATAAACTTTTTTAAAAATTTATACATTACCCAGCCTTAGATGTTCCTTTATAGCAATGCAAACAGACAGTCTGTATAGAGGTGTCATAATAGTCTCGAATAATCTACTGTATTTCTGTGGGATTAATTGTAGTGTCGCCTTTGTTGTTTCCGATTGTGCTTATTTGCATCTTCTCTTGTTTAATTTGTTAATTTAGCTAATGGTCTATCAATCTTGTTTATCCTTTCATAAAACCAACTTATAGTTTGTTGATCCTTTATATGAATTTTGGGGTCTTATTTTGATTCATTTTAGCTCTGATTTTAGTTATTTCTTTTCTTCTGCTAGCTTTCTGTTCGGTTTGATCTTGTTATAGTTCCTCTAGGCATGATATTAGATCCTTCATTTGGCGTCTTTCTAACTTCTGGGTAGCACTCTCTCTTCTCTTAGCACTTTCTCTTAACACTGCCTTTGCTGTGTCACAGAGATTTTGCTATGTTCTATCTCTGTTCTCCTCTGTTTTGAATAACATTTTTTATTTCTGCTTTCATTTAATGCTTACCAAAAGTCATTCAGGAGCAATTTGTTTAACTTCCATGCAATTGTATGGTTTTGAGTGATCTTCTTGCTGTTGATTTGTATTTTTATTACACTGAGGTCCAAGAGTATGGTTGGTAAAATATTGATTTTTTTTAAATTTATTGAGACTTGCTTTATGGTCAAGCATAAAGCCAATCAGAGTATGTCCAATGCACAGATGAGAAGAATGTATACTTTGCAGTTGATGGGAAGAATACTGCATAGACGTCTGTTAGGTCTAATTGGTCGAATGTTGAATTTAAGATCAGAATTTGTTTGTTAGTTTTCTGTCCTAATGATTTGTCTAATGATGTCCCTGTGGTATTGAAATACGCCACTATTATTGTTTGGCTGTATAATTATTTTCATAGATCTAGAAGTACTTTTTTTTATGAATATGAATGCTCCAATATTAAGTGCATGTATATTTAGGACAGTTAAATCTTGATGAATTGAATCCTTAATCATTATGTAATGCCCTTCTTTGAACTTTTTTCTGTTATTGATTTAAAGTCTGCTTTTTCTGATAAAAGAATAGTGACCCCTTCTGTCTTGTTTTCAATTTGCCTGATAGATCTTTCTCCAACCCTGTACTTTGATCCTATTGGTATCATTATGTGTGAAATGGGTCTTTTAAGGCAGCAGATGAATAAGTGTTTTTGTTGTTGTCTCTGTTATTGTTGTTTTTATCCAGCTTGCTGCTCTGAACCTATTTAGTGAAACATATAAACTGTTTATATTTAAATTAATATTAATATGTGAGAGTTTGCTCCTCTCATGAAGTTATTAGCTGGTTACTTTGTAGTTTCTTTTTTTAACTTTTATTTTAGGTTCAGGGTTACATGTGCAAGTTTGTTATACAGGTAAACTCATGTCACAGAAGTTTATTGTACAGATTACTTCATAACCCAGGCACTAAGCCTAGTACCCAATGTTTTTGAGTTTTTTTCTGTTCTTCTCCCTCCTGCCATCCTCCTCTTTCAATCAGGCCTCAGTGTCTGTTGTTCCCGTCTTTGTCTTCATGAGTTCTCATAATTTCATACCCACTTATAAGGGAGAGCATGTGGTATTTGGTTTTCTGTTCCTTTGTTAATTTGCTAAGGATAATACCCTCCAGCTGCATCCATGTTCCTGCAAAGACATAATCTGATTCTTTTTTATGGCAGTATAGTATTCCATGGTATGTATGTACCACATGTTCTTTATTCAGTCTATCATTGATGGGCATTTAGGTTGATTCCATGTCTTTGCTATTGTGAATAGTACTGCAATGAACATTTGTGTGTGTGTGTCTCTATGGTACAATGATATATATTTATCTGGGTATATACCCAGTAGTGAGATTGTTGGATCTAATGGTAGTTCTGTTTTTAGCGCTTTGAGAAATTTTCATGCTGCTTTCAAAGATCATTCAACTAATTTTCACTCCCACCAACAGTGTGTAAATATTCTGTTTTCTCTGCAACCTCACCAGCATCTGTTATTTTTTGCTTTTTAATAATAGCCATCAGACTTGTATCAGATGGTATCTCATTGTGGTTTTGATTTGCATTTCTCTATTGATCAGTTTTCATGTATTATTTCATCAAATAGGTTTTGAACACTTTTTTTTTCCCTCACATCACCTTCTGGGATACCAATAATATGTAAATTTGACCAATTTATGATGTCCCACTTGTCACTAAGTCTTTATTATTTTTCATTCTTTTTATTTTGAATTTTTGTCTGGCTATATTATTTCAAAAGACCTGTTTTTAAGTTCTGAGATTCTTTATTTGGTTTGATTTGACCTGTTGTGGAAGATTTCAAGTGTATTTTGTGTTTCTTTCAATGAATTTTTTATTTCCAGAATTTTCATTTTTCTATGACATCTATCTCATTGGTAAATTTGTCATTCGTATTCTGAACTGTTTTTCAAATTTCTTTGTACAGTTTTTCAGGATTTTCTTGTATCTCACTGAACTTCTTTAGAATCAATAATTGGATTATCATTCCAGGATTTCACATATTTCCTTTTGATTGGTATCTGTTGCTGAAGAATTATATTTCTTTGGAGGTGTCATATTTTCCTGCTTTTTAATGTTTCCTGTGGATTTATTTTGACATTTGCACATCTGGTATAGCAGTTGCTTCTTCATTTATTTTGTTGAATTGCTTTTTTAGGGGAAGACTTCCCCATGCTATATCTATGGTGTTGGTGGGGTAGGCCCATTGGCTTTGATTCTGGGTGCATGTAGTAGTGTAGCCTCTTTATTCTCTGGCTATAAACAATGTCAGTGGTATCTGTGATTTCCTTGGCAGTGTAGGGGGCAGTAATTTATTGAGGTTCTGGTAAAGTTTTGCTGGAGACAAAGAGGCCTAATGGGCCAGTCTTCAGGCCCGAATAGTGGCAGCCTGCCTGTTCTTGGGTTCCTAGGCGATGTACGCTGGTACCAGTGTTAGTAGGTCCATGAGGGTTGATTCTTTTTTTTTTTTTTTTTTTTGAGACAGAGTCTTGCTCTGTTGCCCAGGCTGGAGTGCAGTGGCACGATCTCAGCTCACTGCAACATCTGCCTCCCAGGTTCAAGCAATTCTCTGACTTAGCCTCCCAAGTAGCTGGGATTGCAGGTGCCCACCACCATGCCTGGCTAATTTTTGTATTTTTAATAGATACAGGGTTTCACCATTTGGCCAGGCTGGTCTTGAACTGCTGACCTCATCATCCACCTGCCTCTACCTCCCAAAGTGCTGGGATTACAGGTGTGAGCCACTGTGCTTAGCCAAGGGTTGATTCTTTAGCCACCAGGTGGCTTGCTCAGATGCCAGTTGCAGCAGTGTTAGACCAGGAGGATGGGTTCTTGTGCCCCTGGGCACCTGGCATGGCATAGGAAATAACAGAACAGTGGTGGCACAAACCTTTGGGTGCCGAGTGGTGCATGCTGGTGTTGATGATGGTTGTGATGGGCTGGGCAGGTGATATGATTTGGCTGTGTCCCCACCCACACCTCATCTTGAATTTTAGTCCCCCTAATCCCCATGTGTCATGGGAGGGGCAGAGTAGACGGTAATTGAATCATGGAAGCAATTACGTCCATGCTGTTCTTGTGACAGTGAGTGAGTTCTCACGATATCTGATGGTTTTATAAGGGACTTTTCTCCCTTGGGCTGGGCACTTCTCCTTCCTGCCATCACGTGAAGAATGATGTGTTTGCTTCCTCTTCTGCCAAGCTTTCGAGTTGCCTGAGGCCTCCCCAGCCATGTGGAACTGTGAGCCAATTAGGTCTTTTTCCTTTATAAATTTCCCAGTCTCAGACAGTCCTTCATAGCAGCATGAGAATGGACTAATACGCAGGACAATCTCCAAGTTCCTAGTTGGCACATTTGAGTAGGTGTTAGTGATGGTGTTGGTAGTTGGCTGGGTGGACATGCCTTCCAGTTCCCAGAAAGAGTGCACAGGTGCCAGAGGTGGTAGAATAAGCAGAGTGATTCCATGATTCCCATGTCCTTGAACAATGTGCTCAGGTTCTAAAGGAGTGATGCTGGGCCAGGCAATTCTGACCTCAGGCACCTGGTGATATGCAGGGATATTGGCTATTGTTGGCAGGGCAGAAAAGTCTGTTGTGGTGGGTGTGGAAAATCTGATTCCAGGGCTCCTGCTAAAGCACAGGAGTCTTGCTGTTGGTATGAATAGAGGTGCTATCAGCAGTCCACTGCAAGCAGCTTTTACGATCTGGGAAGTGCACATTTATTCTCTAGCAGCATCAATGGCCACAACGATGTGTGTGTGGAGCCTGTATTCAGGATGTACAGTAGAGCACAGATACCATACTCCTGATGTCATGGAGGTTGCCCAAATCCTCAAACAGGGAGCTCTCAGGTTCTGCAGTTGCATTTGTTTCGACTCCTGGCTACGGTAGTGGCTACAGAGTTGTGTGGAAAAGGAGAGAAATCACTCCTTCTGTACTCATGCCTGACCAGAAAGACTGTGTTGCCAGTGGGGGCATTGTCACTGTCCACTGACCAGACATGCAGCTCTTAGGCTCTTTTACTCTCAGTGGCGGCGGCAGCCACAGTGCCCCACAGAGGTAAGGACAGAGGAGAGATCCCACCCTTCAGTGTGATCTTTAGCCTAGAGGCCATGCTATCAGTGGAGGTGTTGTTGCCACTCACAGCTCCAGACAAGTAGCCCTCCAGTTCACCTGCCCCAGACCCTGGTGGCAGCAACAGTGGCTGTGGCTTCTGCATTGTGTAGGGGGTGGGATGGGGGGTGTAGAGATGGGGGGTGGGGATGGGGGTAAGGGATCCTGCTTCTAAGAGTGCAAGCCAGAGGACATAGGTTGCTCCACAGTTGTGGGTAGGTCCTTGCTCCCATCCCCAGACAGTCAGGTCTCTGACTGCAAGCCCCAGGATAGAGTCCATGCTGCTAGAGGTGACAGGTGCCAGGAATTTTGAGGAATGTGAGAGTCCAGCATCTCTAGCCAGCCATCTTGCTTCTTCCTCCACCATCTACATTTTTAATCAACTTGCCAACTTTCACAATATTGGGATGTTGATGAGAATTAAATTGATTTTATAGATAAATTTTGGCAATATGGCCTCTTTACATTATTAAGTCTTCCAGTTCATGAACAAAATGGATTCAGATGTTTATTTCTCTAATTTTTTATTAATAATATTTATCAGAATTTCTGTAAGTCATATATTACTTTTATCAGATTTTCTGCCAGTTATGGATACTATCAAAAACACCTAATAATCTGTGGTAATACATAGGAGTATATTTGATATACTGTGACCTTAGTAGGTTTTTTATTTATTATAGAAGTTATCTATAAGCTATACTGGTATTTGTTTGTATACAATGATTTTATATGCAAATAATGACAATTTTATCTGTCATTAAGATTTTACATGTTTCTCTACAGTTTTAATATATCATATATTCTTTTATTATTGGCCCAAAATTTTCTAATATCCATTTTAATTTCTTCTTTGAAACATTAATTTTATAGAGTATATTTTTTTAAATTTTGAATATTTTACTATATTGTGGCTACTATTTATTTTATTGTTCTAGCTTAATCTTATTTTTCATTCTGATCAGTGGACACACTGAATAATTTAAAATATTTAGAAATGTTTATATTTGTTGAGATTTGCTTTATTGCCAGTATATAGTCAATTCTGGAAAATGTCTCATAAGCATTTGAAAATAATATATGTATTCAGTACTGTATTAATTTCTTATTGTCACTGTAGCATATTACCACAAATTTAGTGGATTAAAACAACATGAAATTCTTTTCTTGTAATATGATAGGCCAGTAAGGATGCATTTGGGGAGTGGGGAGGAGTTGTAGGGGACAATCTGTTTCCTTGCCTTTTCTAACTTCTAGAGATTCTTGCATTCCTCAGCTTCTGGCCCCGTCCTCTAGCTTCAGAGCAAGCAGCCTAGAATCGTCGAGTCTCTCTTTCTGCTTCAGTCATTGATATTTTCATGCCTCTGACCCTCCTGCCTGCCTCCTATAAGAACCCTTGTGATTACAGTTGCCCTTCTTGGCTAATTCAGAAATCCTTAATTGAATCACATCTACAAAGTCCTTTTTCCACTTTCACTGCTTCTGGGGACTGAGTTGTGATAATCCCAAAGGCATAATTTTCTCCACCACATGCAGTTTGGGGTGTAGTGTCTTAAGTCAGACGTATTAGCTGTGCTTTTCAAGCATTGTACATTTGCTGAAATTTTGTTATAATTTTGTCCGGGCTCAGTGGCTCACTCTTGTAATCCCGTCAGAGGCATTCAAACCACAGCAACTCCATCTTGGGTGAGGGCTATAAAAATAAGGCTGGAACTTGCTGGGCAGAATTCCCAGAAAGTTAGGCATTCCTAACCTCTAGATGTTTACGTCTAAGGGAACAGATTGATGAGGTTTACTAAACAGACCCAGACTTGAGAGTGTCCTAATATTCTGATATCTTGAGAATAAAGGCCTTTCTAATTTTGCTTTAAAGATAATAATATTGATTCTTGCAAAATACAGTAACTAAGAAAATTAACCTTTTATCACAAGCCCTTGTAGCAGAGCACATCTCCCCATGATGTTTTTTTTATCGTATATATACAAGTATTTTACTTAGGGTGGATGCACTCCTCCTCTTACTTTAGGGAACACCCTACTCTGTCTATGGAGTGGCTGTTCTTTCACCACTTTACTTTTCTTAATAAACTTGCTTTTGTTTTGCACTGAGGACTCTCCCTGAATTTTTTCTTGTGTGAGATCCAAGAACTTGGTCTTGGGGTCTGGATCAGGACCCCTTTCCTGTAACAATCCCAGCACATTGGGAGGACAAGGCAGGCAGATTGCTTTAGTCCAGGAGTTTGACACCAGCATGGGCAACAGGACAAAGCCTCATCTCTTCAAAAAAATAAAAATAAATAAAAATTTGCTGGGTATGGCGGTGCATGCCTGTAATCCGAGCTAGTCTGGGGGGTGAGGCTGAAGGATCTCTTGAGCCTGGAAGGTTGAGGCTGCAGTGAACCCTGATCCCTAATCATACCACTACACTCTAGCCAGGGCAACAGAGCGAGACACTGTCTCAAAATAAATAAATAAATAAATAAATAAATAAATAAATAAATAAATAAAATAATTTTCTATCAATTACTTAGAAAGGTGGGTTAAAATCTCTGATTCTGTTGTTAAAAATCTGTCATTTTTGGCTTTATGTCATTTGAAACTATGTAACTTGTAAAGACCAATTTTATTTTAGGATCGGAGTGACTCATTTTATGGAATATTCCACTTACATCTTGTAATATTTATGTATTTCCCTCTCCTGAGACAATGTGTAGACCTTACAATACTTTAACTTCTTGTACTCTACACCTGGCTTCCATGCTATTGCTGTCATCTATTTTAGTGCTACATATATTTTTACCCACATAGCACATTATAATTGTTTCTAGAACTTCTTATTCCTTTAGATCTACTAGCATATTTTTCATTTCTGGTGTTGCTTAATTCTCCCTGAGATGCAGTTCTTCCTTCTGGCATAATTGTCCTTCTGCCTTGAGAATTTCCAATTGTGTGTTTTTAAAATCTTGGTCTGATAATGATTAAAAAATCTCTTAGTCATTGTTTATCTGAAGATGTCTTAACTTTAACTTCATTTTTGAAAAATATTTTAATGGATTTGGAGTTATATATAGACATTTTTCTTTCAATGTCCTGAAAGTTTTATTGGTTTTATTTCACGCTCCTTCATTCGTGTCAACAATGCGGTCCTTCCTCTCATTATATACTAAAAGATAAAGTGTCTTTTTAAAAATAGTGTCTTATAAGCTTTTTATCTTTGGTTTTCAACTATTTTAAAATGATCTCCTATATGTGGTTTTCATTTTAGTAATACTGATAGATTTTTTCTCTTATTAACTTTGAAAGAAATTCCAATGTCTTTACCTTGTATGTTTTCAATTATTGCCCATGAACTGTTTGTTCTCCTCTTTCTGAGTCTAAAATTACTTGCTTTCTAGATTATTCTTCTGGGTTTCATATGCCTCATGTTGTTTTATATTTTTTCTTTATATGCTTCATTCTGCATATTTTCTAACTGCATTATCTCCTAGAATATTTGATTTTTTCTGCTGTGTCCAGTGGGTTAAAATTATCTCAGGTTATGAATTCTTTGGCACTATTTTTATAGGTTCTACTTGATTATTTGATAGATTATGTTGTTTTTAGACACTCATCCTGTCAACTTTTATTTTCAATATTAATAATAGTTTTATTATAAAATATTACCTAACTACTCAAACCTGTATCATATAAACTTCTTTTTATTGTCTGTCTTATCTTTCGGTGTTTGGAAAATTTTGATTGAATGTTGAATATTACAAACATACACACAAAATGTAGACTCTCTTGATAATGTCAGGATTTTTTATTTACTTTTTTTCCTGTCAGGCAATTAGGTAAAAGAGAACAGTTTGACCAATCAAGAATGAATGTTTTAGTGCTATATTTCAGGCTTTGTGAACACTTAATAGTGACAGTTTACACTTGATAATATGGAATATGACTTCAGGGATTTCCAAGGAAGGAAGATTTCAGATCTTCACCAGAACCTCTCCTCTTTAGACAAATATGACTTCTAAATTTTTTTCTTCTACATAATAAGACTGATAAAAGTTATACAAAACAGCCTTACTTTTGGCTTCTACGCTAACTGGTGAAAACTCTCAATCACTGAAATGTTTTTCCTTCTTTTCAGTAGATGAGCATCTGATGTTGTGATTACTATGGATATTCTCAAATGCATTTAAATAGCTTTTTCTGCATGTTGTACGGGTTTAATATCTATTCTCAGTGGAATGGTTAATATTTAATTATGATGTTAAAGAAGTGTCATAATGTTGTGCAAGAAGTAATCTTTTATTCTACTTAAACGGTGATAGGTGTACACTTCCTATCAAATAGAGAAGGCTCTTTTCCACCATTATGGCATTTCCTACCAGTGAGTGAACAGAGCCACTATTTAGGACATGGGAAAGGAAAACTGTAGTAATATTTTGTAGTATTAAGCCTATAGTAAACACTATTGCTTGGTTGTGCAGGTAAAACAGGAAATATGAATTTTGTAAAGCCTACTAAGGTAATAAAGCTTTTTTAAACATCTTACATGAAATAGACTTTAGTAGGAAAATAAATGACTATTCAGTATCATTTGGAAGCAATTTCAGGAAAACAAGAAGAAAATTAAGTTTAAAAGAGTTGTTATTAATATTGATATAAGTAATCAAATCAAATGCAGACCAAGGGTGAAGCTAGTCTTAGGAATGACTTTAATCTGAATATTAAATGGTGTCAGAACTCTCTGTCTCCTTCTCTCATCTCTCTCTCAGAAGGATTCTGAGAGTCATCCATGTTTGAATCATATGCAAAAAATAAAACCAATCACCGTTGAGAATCAGGGTATCTTACAAAGAAGGCAGCTCACACTGTAGACACATAGCTTGTGTATTCATGGAGATGGAAATATAGTGGATAGATTATACAGGTATGTACAACATCAAAAGCCTTCAATTCATCAAAGCAACCACTGCAATTTGTATGTACTATTATACCAAAGTTGTAATTAAATCAGAATAATATGAAGGCATTATTCAAGTATATTAAGAACGCTTATAAATAATCGTTTGCTATAGGAACTAAAGAAATGACAAAATTAGGTTTTTAAAATAATAAATGCATGAATGAAATTCACTTATTTTTAGGACATCCAGAAACTGATGTAATGATCATTGTCATTTGGCTTTTCATTATTTTTCTACTATAAATCAGTTTATTTACTTTTAAGGCTTCTGATTTTCATTTTCAAAAGATGAAGACAATTTTCATATTGTTATACCTTAAGAGTCATAGAAGAAATCAACAAAGAATCACTTGTAACTTAAGCAAGCTTTGTTACTTGAATTATTACTGTTATGGGAAAATTGTCTTAAAACACACAAGTTGACTGTGTTACAAAATAAGGAGTTTGGACAAAGGTATAGATTGCTTAGGTTAACAGAAAACAGTATGAGCAACAATAGTTCTGAAGCAAATGAAAAACTTTTAAGCAGATATGAATTAGTTACATAGATATGTATAACAATCCACA
Organism: Homo sapiens; assembly: GCF_000001405.40. NCBI lineage: Eukaryota > Metazoa > Chordata > Mammalia > Primates > Hominidae > Homo > Homo sapiens. Next base: position 9,395,217 of record NC_000007.14, read on the forward strand.
AAGCATCTCTTTTACATGAAAGATTGAGGACAAAAATTAGAATAAGAAAACCACAATAAAACCTTTCTGTGTATGTGAAAATACCTTAAAAATTGTGGATGTGGATAAAAACCTTGGATAAATTCTAAACACTGAAAATTAAAGTTGAATATATTATTAGCAGAAGACCTCTAAACCTTAGATAAATAATTCAGACTTAGATACCAAAATATAATGAGTGGTTTCATAAAGTGATTGAAGGTCACATGAATTGTAATATGTAAACATATGAAATTGTATTATGCATAAAGTAAATTTGACAGCTGTAGGTGAGGAAAAAATAAAATATTTAATATATCTTATCTTTGTACTAAATAATAAAATTAATGCCTCCATGAATGTAATATCAAATTTATTTGACTCTGAAAATTTTATATAACATAATAACAATATAGTATCTAAAAGTTTCTCCCTTCGAAAATTTTCTCACCAATGTTATTTTAAAGTAAGCCTCTTTACATAGACTTTGTTTAGTATATATACTGAAGAGTTATGAATCAAAATCAATAAAATAAAAAATGTCAGACTAATAAACATTCTTAGAAAGCATCGTGTTGTAACAATGTTTTGATTTTCTTCTCTTTATCTTTTCATAATTCATTGTTCACTGATCTAATCTACCTCTGCGTCCTTGAGAATTACTCCCAAATAACTGCCCCATTTTAAACAGTAGCAGCATCATTATATACTAAGCCTATCCTCTTTGTACACTTTGAAAGTACTGCACCCAATTCAACTGCATTGGGGGCAATGACTACATTTGTGATTTATGAAGATGATGGTGATGATAATATGGAAGCTTCAAGTTATAGAGTGTTTTGTCATGTTCCAAGCAGCATGCTAAATGATTAACATTCATTATCCATTATCCACAATGAACCTATAAAATGCTACAACTTGAACGTGTTAAGTAACTTGCTCAATATCATTTCACTAGTACTTGGGGAAGTTGAGGCTTCAGTCAGCATTGTCAGTATCTAGAAATGTGTCCTGAAACATTTCATAATTTGCTTCTGATAGTATAATAGTTACTACTAATATATAAACAAATTTAATTCTCCATCAATGAATCTCAAAAAAGCAAGCCCAGGAACATATTAAAAAGAATTGATATTTAATTTTCTAGTATCTCAAGAGAATAAAACAAAGTATATTTTCTAAACATGTAGTGTTACCAAGTGTGTTATATTAGACATTAAAAGGACAGCAATACCAATTATATAAACTTGATAAGCATGTTCAAAAGCACAGTGATAGACTGAATTCATTTTTAAAATATTTCCCTCAGTTGTGCATCCTCAATGGGTCAAATCAGAGCTATCTAATAATTAATTTCTATGAGTTGTATTAGTCTAGAAATATCTACAGAGTATTTTAATTAACCTCGTGAGTTTCAATGAATATTTAAACATCTCTATTCTCATTATATTTTAATTAATAAATTACCCATGTACTTTATCAGTCCATAAAATTTTATGATTAAAATAGTTTCTAGCTGGTGCCATCCACAAAATTACTTGATTGACTTCTCCTGAGCATCTAAATATGGCACGTCGATATGAAATCAGTAGCAAACGCTGGTTCCCTGAGAAACACACTAAACTTGTTATTATTTTTCCACACTAATACTTTGAACGAGACAAAATCAAAATATGTGCCCTTTATTGTTATCATTTACAGAAACTTATTATTCCATGTAAAGTCTATGTTATTCCTTGATGAAAGAATTTATCTTCATAGTTTCTCAATCATATCCAGATCATCTATAAGCCTCTTGGATATGTACATAAAATTTTGCGACACATGAGAGATTCTGGTATAGAATTGTGGTGTGTAAAACAATATTCAACAACAAAAGTAAGAAGAAGGAGGAAAAAATGTAATATGTTTGCATACCAAAATGTAGATCAATGTTTTCCAACATTGCATATACATTTGGCTTCTATTCCTTAAAATACTGACCCCACCACCCCCCACAGCTATTTTCTCAAGTTATAAAAGGGAATTAAATTTCCTCTTTGACACACCTATCAAAACATCAAAGAGTATAGTGTCTTCCACCTGTAGATGATATTTTTCTACATATTTTCTTTATGCACAAAGGTACTAAGCATATTTAAGAGATGCAATAATTTAAAATTTTTACATTTTTTAGAAACCTATATTTGCTTTTGTAGAAACTACTTCAAACTGGAATCTATCACAAAAGGCTTTTATCAGCTCAAGTTTTATGCAAAAGAGTTTTACATCAACGCTTCAAAGACTTTGTATTCTATCCAGCTTGGTAGAAGAGATGAATCAGGACCATGCTACAAATTCCATGAACATAGTCTTTACATTGGACTTTAAAAACTGCCTACAAAAAGAAATTTGTCTAACCCCAGTAACTCTGCATGCGATAGCTATGGATATCAGGAGGGATTATGAATATAAGAAAGTTAAGTTCTTCTACAACTTATTCCATGAAGAATATGAAAGTGCGTGAGCTGTACTATGTTTTCTTAAATGTGTCAATTAAACCTTCCCACTGCAAAACTAGCTAGTAAGTAAGCTTTTCTTTTATGCCTACAGCCTTTCCTTCTTATCCAGAAGTCCAGGAAGAAAAAAATTCTGATAAACTAATATATTTTAAGTGTTAAGTATTTACCTTTTATGGCCTACTTGAAATATAAAAATGTTGTTGTTGTTTATACATATACAATTAAGTGGTGAATTTTTTAATTTTCAAGTTAATTGGAATGTGTGTTATTTGAATTTCAAAAGTAGACTAATAGAATTAGAAAACTCAGGAAATTGCTTTTGTTGACATTTCAAGGAAATAATTCGGCAAGTGCTTGGCTAAAACTGAACCACCTCTGCATGCTCCGTATTGACTGCCACCTACTCCACCTGTGATCCATTCCTAGAAATAGTCATACACCCTAAATTAACCTGAAGGCTTTTCTCTTCCTCATATTCTTGAAAGAAATATCCCTCAGCTTAAAGAGAGGAACAGGATGGTTCTGAGTAATAAAAAAAAATGTTCTACTTACGTATCAATGACTTTGATATTTAAATGTGAATTATGTCTAGAAGCAAGTGTACCTATTACATATGGGAACAAAGTCAGTGTTCAGAGGAAGCTACTTACAGTTTATTTCTAAGATCATGAATTGTCACAAAAATGTAAATGAAAAGAAAAAGAACTTATGATAAAATCATTGTAGCATTACAGTGAATTTTAAGAACAGAGTAAGTTTTTCAAAAGGACATTATATTTAATGCATGGCAGTCATATTTACTTTGTAAAATACTTTTTTATTTTTTTTATAATGAGAAGTTTACTCTACCTCTGGGTCAGAAGTGCATTTTTTCATCCCTAAAATTATTGTATCCCAACTGAATGTACATTTAAAATTGAAACTTTAAATAGTACCAAGTTTCCCTTTTACTACTGCTACTTTAGGGGAAAGGGGTAAGTTTTCACATAGATGAAGTAAAATCATTGTGTTTTTTTCAAATATTCTTTTTTTTTTTTATACTTTAAGTTTTAGGGGGTACATGTGCACATAGTGCAGGTTAGTTACATATGTATACATGTGCCATGCTGGTGCACTGCACCCACTAACTTGTCATCTAGCATTAGGTATATCTCCCAATGCTATCCCTCCCCACTCCCCGCACCCCACCACAGTCCCCAGAGTGTGATATTCCCCTTCCTGTGTCCATGTGATCTCATTGTTCAATTCCCACCTATGAGTGAGAATATGCGGTGTTTGGTTTTTTGTTCTTGCGATAGTTTACTGAGAATGATGATTTCCAATTTCATCTGTGTCCCTACAAAGGACATGAATGCATCATTTTTTATGGCTGCATAGTATTCCATGGTGTATATGTGCCACATTTTCTTAATCCAGTCTATCATTGTTGGACATTTGGGTTGGTTCCAAGTCTTTGCTATTGTGAATAATGCTGCAATAAACATACGTATGCATGTGTCTTTATAGCAGCATGATTTATAGTCCTTTGGGTATATACCCAGTAATGGGATGGCTGGGTCAAATGGTATTTCTAGTTCTAGGTCCCTGAGGAATCACCACACTGACTTCCACAATGGTTGAACTAGTTTACAGTCCCACCAACAGTGTAAAAGTGTTCCTATTTCTCCACATCCTCTCCAGCACCTGTTGTTTCCTGACTTTTTAATGATTGCCATGCTAACTGGTGTGAGATGGTATCTCATTGTGGTTTTGATTTACATTTCTCTGATGGCCAGTGATGATGAGCATTTTTTCATGTGTTTTTTGGCTGCATAAATGTCTTCTTTTGAGAAGTGTCTGTTCATGTCCTTCGCCCACTTTTTGATGGGGTTGTTTGTTTTTTTCTTGTAAATCTGTTTGAGTTCATTGTAGATTCTGGATATTAGCCCTTTGTCAGATGAGTAGGTTGCAAAAATTTTCTCCCATTTTGTAGGTTGCCTGTTCACTCTGATGGTAGTTTCTTTTGCTGTGCAGAAGCTCTTTAGTTTAATTAGATCCCATTTGTCAATTTTGTCTTTTGTTTCCACTGCTTTTGGTGTTTTAGACATGAAGTCCTTGCCCATGCCTATGTCCTGAATGGTAATGCCTAGGTTTTCTTCTAGGGTTTTTATGGTTTTAGGTCTAACGTTTAAGTCTTTAATCCATCTTGAATTGATTTTTGTATAAGGTGTAAGGAAGGGATCCAGTTTCAGCTTTCTACATATGACTAGCCAGTTTTCCCAGCACCATTTATTAAATAGGGAATCCTTTCCCCATTGCTTGTTTTTCTCAGGTTTGTCAAAGATCAGATAGTTGTAGATATGTGGCATTATTTCTGAGGCCTCTGTTCTGTTCCATTGATCTATATCTCTGTTTTGGTATCAGTACCATGCCGTTTTGGTTACTATAGCCTTGTAGTATAGTTTGAAGTCAGGTAGTGTGATGCCTCCAGCTTTGTTCTTTTGGCTTAGGATTGACTTGGCGATGTGGGCTCTTTTTTGGTTCCATATGAACTTTAAAGTAGTTTTTTCCAATTCTGTGAAGAAAGTCATTGGTAGCTTGATGGGGATGGCATTGAATCTGTAAATTACCTTGGGCAGTATGGCCATTTTCACGATATTGATTCTTCTTACCCATGAGCATGGAATGTTCTTCCATTTGTTTGTATCCTCTTTTATTTCCTTGAGCAGTGGTTTGTAGTTCTCCTTGAAGAGGTCCTTCACATCCCTTGTAAGTTGGATTCCTAGGTATTTTATTCTCTTTGAAGCAATTGTGAATGGGAGTTCACTCATGATTTGGCTCTCTGTTTGTCTGTTGTTGGTGTATAAGAATGCTTGTGATTTTTGTACATTGATTTTGTATCCTGAGACTTTGCTGAAGTTGCTTATCAGCTTAAGGAGATTTTGGGCTGAGACAATGGGGTTTTCTAGATATACAATCATGTCATCTGCAAACAGGGACAATTTGACTTCCTCTTTTCCTAATTGAATACCCTTTATTTCCTTCTCCTGCCTAATTGCCCTGGCCAGAACTTCCAACACTATGTTGAATAGGAGTGGTGAGAGAGGGCATCCCTGTCTTGTGCCCGTTTTCAAAGGGAATGCTTCCAGTTTTTGCCCATTCAGTATGATATTGGCTGTGGGTTTGTCATAGATAGCTCTTATTATTTTGAAATACGTCCCATCGATACCTAATTTATTGAGAGTTTTTAGCATGAAGGGTTGTTGAATTTTGTCAAAGGCTTTTTCTGCATCTATTGAGATAATCATGTGGTTTTTGTCTTTGGTTCTGTTTATATGCTGGATTACATTTATTGATTTGCGTATATTGAACCAGCCTTGCATCCCAGAGATGAAGCCCACTTGATCATGGTGGATAAGCTTTTTGATGTGCTGCTGGATTCGTTTTGCCAGTATTTTATTGAGGATTTTTGCATCAATGTTCATCAAGGATATTGGTCTAAAATTCTCTTTTTTGGTTGTGTCTCTGCCTGGCTTTGGTATCAGAATGATGCTGGCCTCATAAAATGAGTTGGGGAGGATTCCCTCTTTTTCTGTTGATTGGAATAGTTTCAGAAGGAATGGTACCAGTTCCTCCTTGTACCTCTGGTAGAATTTGGCTGTGAATCCATCTGGTCCTGGACTCTTTTTGGTTGGTAAACTATTGATTATTGCCACAATTTCAGCTCCTGTTATTGGTCTATTCAGAGATTCAACTTCTTCCTGGTTTAGTCTTCGGAGATTGTATGTGTCGAGGAATTTATCCATTTCTTCTAGATTTTCTAGTTTATTTGCGTAGAGGTGTTTGTAGTATTCTCTGATGGTAGTTTGTATTTCTGTGGGATCGGTGGTAATATCCCCTTTATCATTTTTTATTGTGTCTATTTGATTCTTCTCTCTTTTTTTCTTTATTAGTCTTGCTAGCGGTCTATCAATTTTGTTGATCCTTTCAAAAAACCAGCTCCTGGATTCATTAATTTTTTGAAGGGTTTTTTGTGTCTCTATTTCCTTCAGTTCTGCTCTGATTTTAGTTATTTCTTGCCTTCTGCTAGCTTTTGAATGTGTTTGCTCTTGCTTTTCTAGTTCTTTTAATTGTGATGTTAGGGTATCAATTTTGGATCTTTCCTGCTTTCTGTTGTGGGCATTTAGTGCTATAAATTTCCCTCTACACACTGCTTTGAGTGCATCCCAGAGATTCTGGTATGTTGTGTCTTTGTTATCGTTGGTTTCAAAGAACATCTTTATTTCTGCCTTCATTTCGTTACGTACCCAGTAGTCATTCAGGAGCAGGTTGTTCAGTTTCCATGTAGTTGAGCGGTTTTGAGTGAGATTCTTAATCCTGAGTTCTAGTTTGATTGCACTGTGGTCTGAGAGATAGTTTGTTATAATTTCTGTTCTTTTACATTTGCTGAGGAGAGCTTTACCTCCAAGTGTGTGGTCAATTTTGGAATAGGTGTGGTGTGGTGCTGAAAAAAATGTATATTCTGTTGATTTGGGGTGGAGAGTTCTGTAGATGTCTATTAGGTCCGCTTGGTGCAGAGCTGAGTTCAATTCCTGGGTATCCTTGTTGACTTTCTGTCTCGTTGATCTGTCTAATGTTGACAGTGGGGTGTTAAAGTCTCCCATTATTAATGTGTGGGAGTCTAAGTCTCTTTGTAGGTCACTCAGGACTTGCTTTATGAATCTGGGTGCTCCTGTATTGGGTGCATATATATTTAGGATAGTTAGCTCTTCTTGTTGAATTGATCCCTTTACCATTATGTAATGGCCTTCTTTGTCTCTTTTGATCTTTGTTGGTTTAAAGTCTGTTTTATCAGAGACTAGGATTGCAACCCCTGCCTTTTTTTGTTTTCCATTTGCTTGGTAGATCTTCCTCCATCCCTTTATTTTGAGCTTATGTGTGTCTCTGCACGTGAGATGGGCTTCCTGAATACAACACAGTGATGAGTCTTGACTCTTTATCCAATTTGCCAGTCTGTGTCTTTTAATTGGAGCATTTAGCCCATTTACATTTAAGGTTAGTATTGTTATGTGTGACTTTGATCCTGTCATTATGATGTTAGCTGGTGATTTTGCTCGTTAGTTGATGCAGTTTCTTCCTAGTCTCGATGGTCTTTACATTTTGGCATGATTTTGCAGCGGCTGGTACCGGTTGTTCCTTTCCATGTTTAGTGGTTCCTTCAGGAGCTCTTTTAGGGCAGGCCTGGTGGTGACAAAATCTCTCAGCATTTGCTTGTCTGTAAAGTATTTTATTTCTCCTTCACCTATGAAGCTTAGTTTGGCTGGAAATGAAATTCTGGGTTGAAAATTCTTTTCTTTAAGAATGTTGAATATTGGCCCCTACTCTCTTCTGGCTTGTAGGGTTTCTGCCGAGAGATCCGCTGTTAGTCTGATGGGCTTCCCTTTGTGGATAACCCGACCTTTCTCTCTGGCTGCCCTTAACATTTTTTCCTTCATTTCAACTTTGGTGAATCTGACAATTATGTGTCTTGGAGTTGCTCTTCTCGAGGAGTATCTTTGTGGCGTTCTCTGTATTTCCTGAATCTGAACATTGGCCTGCCTTGCTAGATTGGGGAAGTTCTCCTGGATAATATCCTGCAGAGTGTTTTCCAACTTGGTTCCATTCTCCCCATCACTTTCAGGTACACCAATCAGACGTAGATTTGGTCTTTTCACATAGTCCCATATTTCTTGGAGGCTTCGTTCATTTCTTTTCATTCTTTTCTCTCTAAACTTCCCTTCTCGCTTCATTTCTTTCATTTCATCTTCCATTGCTGATACCCTTTCTTCCAATTGATCGCATCGGCTCCTGAGGCTTCTGCATTCTTCACGTAGTTCTCGAGCCTTGGTTTTCAGCTCCATCAGCTCCTTTAAGCACTTCTCTGTATTGGTTATTCTAGTTATACATTCTTCTAAATTTTTTTCAAAGTTTTCAACTTCTTTGCCTTTGGTTTGAATGTCCTCCCGTAGCTCAGAGTAATTTGATCGTCTGAAGCCTTCTTCTTTCAGCTCGTCAAAGTCATTCTCCATCCAGCTTTGTTCCGTTGCTGGTGAGGAACTGCATTCCTTTGGAGGAGGAGATGTGCTCTGCGTTTTAGAGTTTCCAGTTTTTCTGTTCTGTTTTTTCCCCATCTTTGTGGTTTTATCTACTTTGGTCTTTGATGATGGTGATGTACAGATGGGTTTTTGGTGTGGATGTCCTTTCTGTTTGTTAGTTTTCCTTCTAACAGACAGGACCCTCAGCTGCAGGTCTGTTGGAATACCCTGCCGTGTGAGGTGTCAGTGTGCCCCTGCTGGGGGGTGCCTCCCAGTTAGGCTGCTTGGGGGTCAGGGGTCAGGGACCCACTTGAGGAGGCAGTCTGCCCTTCTCAGATCTCCAGCTGCGTACTGGGAGAACCACTGCTCTCTTCAAAGCTGTCAGACAGGGACATTTAAGTCTGTAGAGGTTACTGCTGTCTTTTTGTTTGTCTATGCCCTGCCCCCAGAGGTGGTGCCTACAGAGGCAGGCAGGCCTCCTTGAGCTGTGGTGGGCTCCACCCAGTTCGAGCTTCCAGGCTGCTTTGTTTACCTAAGCAAGCCTGGGCAATGGCGGGCGCCCCTCCCCCAGCCTCGCTGCCGCCTTGCAGTTTGATCTCAGATTGCCCTGCTAGCAATCAGCGAGACTCCGTGGGCGTAGGACCCTCCGAGCCAGGTGCGGGATATAATCTCGTGGTGCGCTGTTTTTTAAGCCTGTCCGAAAATCGCAATATTCGGGTGGGAGTGACCCGATTTTCCAGGTGCGTCCGTCACCCCTTTCTTTGACGAGGGAACTCCCTGACCACTTGCACGTCCCAAGTGAGGCAATGCCTCGCCCTGCTTCAGCTCGCGCACGGTGCGCGCACCCACTGACCTGCGCCCACTGTCTGGCACTCCCTAGTGAGATGAACCCTGGTACCTCAGATGGAAATGCAGAAATCACCCGTCTTCTGCGTCACTCACGCTGGGAGCTGTAGACCGGAGCTGTTCCTATGCGGCCATCTTGGCTCCTCCGCATATAATTTTTTCCAATTATTTAGACTTTTTAAGCAGTGAGCAGGAACTGGATGGTGGCAGAATTCCTGAGGTGCCCACAGGCAGCCTTGCTTCTGGTTATAGAGGAACTAGGAAGCCCAACTGGAGGACTCAGATCCTTTGTGTGTGTGTCTCAAATATTCTTAAATGATTTTTAAAATGGCATGCATGGCACACACAGAGAAATGACAGAGAAAATGAGTATATTAATGAAATGATAAATCATATCATTTTTCATGTAGTTTATAAATGGTAACATCCCAAAAGATTATAGATTATTTTTACTTGTATTATTTAAATATTTTATTAAACTTAGAGTAGAAAGAATAAAATTTTATCTACATTTTGTTTATTCAATCAACAAAATATGTATGTATTGTTTCACTTTAGATACATACAGTATGTGGAAACTCTAGAACTGGCAATTCTATTGTGACTGTGTGTCAAAGAGTGATCATTTTATGGACGGACCACATGAGGAATGTAGAAGCAAGCACATTATTTTCTTGTCCCTTTCCACACCCCACTTAGGTCAGGTATTCAGAATCTACAACCTATTCCTAGTACATTTACCTGATTACATATTTCCTCTCAAAGCTCCTTAATCTGACTTATCAACTTTCCTAGTAGCATTTTTCCTGATTGCCTCTGGGCCTTTCATTCTTCTGCTATTAACAACAAAATTGCTACTTAAATTTTTTATAATGGTAAGATTAAAATATTCTTTGAGTAGATCCTAAACTCTTGGATCTCAGACTCTTTATAAAGGACACTCAATTGCAAGTGCACACATCCTATGTGGAGATTTGGCCTTATATCCCCATATAGAACCCATAGCTGACTACACCAGTCACAAAACATTTTTGTTCCTCTGGCCAAGAGCCTAAGCCTAACTATAATCCAAAATGCTCTTTAAATTTCTCATCTTTTTGTCTATATTTTTGGTCACTTATGACCTGAATCTGAGAGCACAAGTGGAAATGGCGGTCTACAACAGCTTATTGCGTGTTGGGAAGAAAGAAATTCTTCCTAATAGCAAGCATTCTAGCTTAGTAGCACTTTAGCCACATGGAAGGAAGTAATCCAAAGATGCAAACATCCAAATCAATGCTATGCCAAACAGAACATTTAAAAAAATCTCTCCAAAATATGATAATTACAATACCCTTACCTTAGAGTTTGTTTTAGCATCTCTATAAGCCTAGAATTACATTCTAAGATTCATTCTCTGAGAACTTAAATGGTGGGGAAAGTTTAAAGCATCTCCTAAGCTTGCAGTATGCAATTACAAATTAAAAATGATGCTCCTTATGCTACTGCTAATGTCAATGATATTAATTTAAAAAATGAATGCTATAATTTACATGATTTTATTGTATTCTAACCACTGTAGTAGTCTTTTAAAAACATAAGAAAGACACACACACATATTTATATGTTGTGTGTATATATATATGCACTTTTTTAAATTAAAAATTAATATTTTTAAATTTGGGGAACTGGTACATAAAATGAGTTTATAATATGAGTTTTCCCAGCTTCTGAAACCAATGAAGGTGAATCCAGAATTTGGAACAATGTCTGTGTCATCGTTAAATAAGTGATTTTTTTACTATTACAAATTAAACAATTTGTATTCAGACATAAATGTTCTCCCTTCCAAAGATTGGTCCTAACCTCCACCTTTGTAGATAATATGTATTTCTCCATTAAAGCACAGTTAAAGTGAAAAAAATATCGAGACTTTTTTGAAGCTAACAACATTTATGGGGCCTCACCATATAAGTATCTTCTCATGCCCAAGAGTTACTAGTTATCAAATGGACTGTCTACATAGATCAGTTTTCCTGCTCTACTGTCTACATTTTTGCTGGTAGATGTACTTGCATTAAACTTGAATTTTGTCCAAATTGGATTATCAATTTAGGAAACTGTGGTGTGTACAGTTTGGTGTTTTCAAGGTAAGTTTCTTTAAAATTGTTCTTTAGCATTATTTTCAACAGTTATGTATTGAGCACCTACTAATTGGCAGACTTACAATTTCTAGTGATTAGCACTGAACAGTATAGAAAGGTTTACTCTCCTCATTCTTAATAAAAAATAATTGTTCTAGCAGAGATTAATGTTAGATGGCCATCTAACTTATTCCAATGACCTCAGACACCCATAATGTTAAAGTTTAAAGAAACAATTTGATTTGACTAAATACTGATGCTCTCTGTTAGAGACTTATGTCAATAACTTCTTTTAAGTATATTGTCTAGCCACTTCGAGAATGAAAATATAGTGAGAGCTGATGTCAAAAGCTGTTAAAAGAGTTGGGGACATTGAGTTTTTCAAATGTCAAACACAGGACCAAGAAAAAAATCACAGGGCCAATGTTATATCAAACACAGGGCCAAAAAAAAGAAAATGTTTGATTTTATAGTCAGCAGATTATGGCTGATAGGTATTTGAAGTAGTAATAACCCTTTCTTAACTACTACAAAATTAAATATTCTGTATTTTCTATAAGTTAAACAGCATGGTTTTAGCAAAGCAGTTGCATGGTCCAAAATATAATCAGCCAATCAAAAAAAGTTTGCTTGGACTTTTGTGCATTTTTAAATTCCTTGTTGAAGCCAAATTTAGAAAATTTATAAGCTGCTTGAAGAACTATATTAGTTCTTAGAATGTTCCTGAGATCAGGGCAAGTGTTCCAAAAATGATATTTTTATTACAGCCTAAGAAATTTTAAAAAATTCCAAACTATAGCATGATGTCTAGCATATCTCTAAAATCTAAAACACATCAGTACACCAGCCTTTATATCAGACATGCTGAGAATGTCCTTTGCTGAAGGATGATGGAAAAAAGTCACAAGGTTGCTGAGCGTCCTAAATGGCCAGTGAGAACGCTGGACAAAGATAAATGGAAGAGATAAGAAGGACCCTTTGATAGACCCTGATCTCTCTTTCCACAGCATTTTTGTTATCCCACAATAAACATCTCACCTGTTTTAACTGTCTTGCCTTATGTGCTTATACCTACCCATTTTTGAAGACATTTTTCTGAACATATATGAAAAATACAGTTTTTTCTCCTGAGGATTGCACAGTCAGGTGGGCTAAAGAGCAAGAGCAAAGGAAGGAGCAATTATGTCATCACCACGACAGAGGAAAACCCAAATTTCTACTAACCACAGAGCCCTAAAACGGAAATTATGAGGGCTGTAGCAGAGAAGGTGACTTAAGAACTGAGTCATGAAGAATTACTTGCATTAGTCAGATAAAGAAAGAATGAGCAGACTAAGAACATTCCTAGACAAAGGTTCTGTTTACGAACTCACAAGAATTTGGGAAGCTGTGTATATTATAACTTGAAACACAAAGAATGAGCCAGAACAAGAATGACGAGACCACTTTTGAGTTGCAAAAAAATACAATTTTATTTCAAAATGGATATAGAGAAAGAATTGATGAGCTGTTATGCGGGAGGGGAACAAGATTTCATATATTTCTGGATATTGCTGTGTTAATTTCTGCTTTTTATTCTCACTCAGATCCCGTTGTTAGCATCTAATAATTAGGGCGTTACCTGTCCCTTTATCAAGCTCATTTGTGTTTTCTGAAATGCCTTAAAGTTCACACAACTGATTTTGTAATGGTGTGAATTCTTAGATCATAATAAACATTCAGAGATGTGTTTGAGCAGCCAGTGATGACCCCGCTACAGAATATCTCACTTGAAGGTGAAGTAGGTCACCTATTGTGCTCACTCAAGTAACCAGCCTATTTCCAACATGAAAGATCTAGGGGAGCTGTTGGATATATTCCTGAAGTCAATTCATATTATTGAATATTAAGGAATAAGGCCCATTCAGTATCTTGATTGTCATGTAGCCAAATGAAAAAGAACAAGAGAAATAAAAAGGGGAGGCAATAGAGTGTATGACATTGGAAAGATTTCTGAGTTAGGCCAGAAGAGAATAATATTGCTTCTGATGGCTATTAAACATATATACTATAAACTGAAGAAATGTTCACCCATTAATGTAGTTGATAATATTGGTTGCTGCACGTGCAGGGACAAAGTGTTTTCAATACAGCTTTGATATGTGGTGTGATGGTGAAGGCCAATGATTTCACGTATGTTAAATTTCAAAGTATTTTTTTAACATTGGATAGAAATATTTGGAGAAAATATATAAAAGGTAATAAAAAGGTTTTATAGCTGGTTTCAAGTATAAATGCAACATAGAAAAGTTACAGGAGGAAAACATGATTTTAAAAATTTCTATTTATGTAAAAAAGAACATTGGAAAGCAGTCACACAAAACATTGAAAATGAATATAGTAAAAAGGTTCTGTAATAGCAGAGTTGTAAAAGAAAACATTCAGCTTACAAAAGCAATCACTGACTCTTCAAAAACAATGATTCTTACTTGAACGGCAATTTGAGCCAGCATGAATTTCATAAAGAGGTGATATATGCACAAATAGCCTCTGATGAGAGGAAAGTACACAAATTTGTGTGTGTGTTTTCAGAATTTGGTAGTGGTTTAAAAAATATATTTATCTGTAGAATGTTTATACTTAGCAAAGATAAAATTCACTTGAAATGTATCTAGTATGATAACTGAATTTTAATTTTTATTTAATTTTAATTACACTGTAAAAACATAACCAATGTGTTACGACTGAATTGCATTCCACACAATTCATATTTTGAACTCCTACCACCCAGTACCTCAGAATGTGACTGTATTTAGAGATAGGGCCTTTAAGGAGATAATACAGTAAAATGAGGTCATATGAGTGGGTTCTAATTCAAGATGACTGGTGTCCTTACAAGAAGAGAAGATCAAGACACAGACACACGCAGAGGAAAGACCATGTGAAGGCATGGAGACAAGACAGCCATCTACAAGCCAAGTAAAAAGGCCTTGAAATGAAACTAGCTTCCCAATACTTTGATCCTAGATGTCTGGCCTCTAGTTCTATGAAAACACAAATTTCTGTTATTTAAACTAGCCATCTATGGTACTTTGTTATGGCAGTCCTAGTGAACTAATACACAGGAAAAATGTATTTCTGCTGAATGCAACTGTATTATTTTTATAAGACTAAATTTCACCTTAATGATTGACTATTTAATATCCAAACTAGAATGCAATGTAAGTTTCAAATACATACTGGATTTCAGAACTTTCCTTGGCCAAAGAAATATATAAAATATCTAACAATTTTGTGATAACACATTAAAATCACAGCATTTTCCATATGTTACACATTTACTATTTGAGATAAAATATATTATTATATTAAGTTCACATGTTTTTATCTTTTTAATGTGGCTTTCTTAACCTTTTTCATATGACTACCAGAAAATTTAAAGTCATTTATATTTTTTACATTATATTTATATCAGAATGCTACATTCTAGGCATTAATCTTCCTTTATAATATTAGGAATAAAGAAGAAAACTTAGAAGGGATGAGCTCAAATCACATATTTTTAAGGATAACATGGCTCATAAAATAATATCTCATCACTATTTCCTTCACACATAGATCCAACAAAAGAGATCTCATTTTCTATACAAAATTTCCCCTTAACCATACAAATATCCACTGTTTGCATTTTTTTCTAGCATCTCTTTCTGACATGCATAGTAAAGAGATTTAAATACTAAGTTTCTGATTTTACTGTCTAACTCTAACTTTTTTATTATTTTTTCAGTAGTTTTTTTGGGAACAGGTGGTGTTTGGTTACACGGATAAGTTCTGTAGTGATTTCTGAGATTTTGGTGCACCCATCACCCGAGCAGTGTACACTGTATTCAAGGTATAGTCTTTTATCCCCTCACCCTCATGATTTTTAACCACACAATTGAGCATGGAATATTTTTTGTCCTAAGCTTATTACTAGTTTCCAAATTCAAACAAATAAACTAATATACAAATGAAATTTTACATGTGTGTTTGACAAAATGAAAACTGGAGGCTTTCTTTAATCATTTAAAACACCAGTGTCTCTATGAAATCACTCCCTTATTTTATCTAAAAAATGGATCAAAGTCAAGTAAAACAAAATTTTCTGTTAAGATGAGGGATAAGTAGGAAATGACTATGGTTAAAGAAGATGGCTTCAATTTTAAACAGAGAGAAGTTAACCATTTAAAAATAAACCCCTAGGAACAGGTTTAAAAGTCAGGATGTAAATACAACCTAGTGCTTACTGCATGCCATTTTCGAAGGTTCTGGTTAAAATACAAATATTTGATATTCTCAAGAAATTCCTACTAACTTAATTTTTTTTAACAGGAAGTATCTCAACCAAAATAAAAGAAGGCCTTTAAGTATTGGTTCTTTCTGCAGGGTAATCTAGTAAATTCATTAACTTTTATCTAGTCAGCATCAATAGATAAAGGTATTCAGTGTCTTGTAATCCCTACAACCTTCCCATTAACCCAAAAGAGTCTTTCTCTTCTTGATAAACCTCATACAATGTTCTGTTCTGTTCTGTTCTGAACAAATTGAATGTTTTACATTGATAAATCAGACATAATAGGTTCCTGGTTCACAGATGCATCCTTTCGGTCTTTTATCACATTTTCTGAAGAGATCACCAGAAGTCACTTAGGTAATGATGTAATAATTCACTATTCTGATGTCTTTACCTTTGAAGTTCAGAACTTCACTTTTCTGTCTAAAGACTTAAATTTCTCAAGTAAATACCTTATGTTTTTCAACATTTAATAATAAAATAATGTATTTAAGTTCTAGTTGTATCTCCATAAACAATGTAAAGGAAGAGCTTGCCATGGAAAGTCAGTTTGTTAAAACTCATTAGTCCAGAAATTACTTAGATCCATTCTTGCAACTTACTTTACAAAATTCCCAAATCTTACCTACTGTTATAATCTCAATGGTAGTAATAAGGTTCCATGAACCATAGTGATTCATAGGCTATTTGGCAAATAGTACATTTAAAATTATGAGATTTGAGGGAAAATCTAGTTACAAAAGGAGTCTATGATGACAGACATACTGGCACTTATTAATCTTGCTGAATTAACTTAAATCTGGTTGGGGAAAGCATTGAATATATTTATATACTGTTTAACTTTTCACAAATGTCTCCTTTTTTATTATAATTGTTTTTTAATCACAATCATTTATATGAATACAAATGCCTTTATAGTTATCATCCTTGTTCCGTACTTCTAATGCCAAACAGCCATATTCGTAGTTTAAGAATAGGGGTGAATAAAGTTAATGGAGTAATTGCGCTATGAACAATGATATTTATTTTCAGGGATACAAGATTTGGTAAAACTTGTAGCTTCAATTAAACATGATATTATTTAAATTTTTGTCATTTGTGTGTTATAACACTTGAGAGGTGAGTAAAAATTAAACTTATCTAAAAATAATATGAGATTACCATGTAATGAAGCCCTAGTCAGTAAAGTTTATGGGGCTTTTGCTGTGTGTGCTGTAGGATTATATCTTATAAGGAAAAACAATAATCTCCTAATAAAACAAAAGAGAAAAGAACAAAAAGCAGTTTTGTGGTATGTGCCTCTTATTTTTATTTTTGAAAGATTATATGTAAAAGACAGAAACAAAGTATATATCATATACCCTTCTTTGGACAATGAAAGTATTCTCAAAATTGAAAAAGAAACTCATTTTACTGATAAATTGAACTATAATTTATAAAGCATTAGATGTACTTACTAAAGGAAGCGTATCGTAGAATAATAAAACTCACCATCTCTTCTGAACATTTGAATTTTACATACTCTGACTTTCTTAAAGCAGGACACATCTGTATTTCTATTAATCATTTATTAAGAGTAAAATGATTCCTGTGCTGGTGAAAACAGGAATACCTGAGGGTGATTGTTTGAAGTTTAAGACTTTTCCTGACTTCACTTCTGTGCTCCCATGTCCTCTAGGAAAAGAAGTCATAATTGCTGAAATGATGCCACATTCTGTCAACTTCTCATTCATTAAGAGATTGATACATTATAATACATAAGGATTTTAGGCATAAGATTAAAGCAGAGAAAAGTGATTATCTAATGCTATGTCAGAAGTGAGTGGAGCCTTCTTCAGTCTGATTTCTAAAATAAAAAAGGTGAAATGAAGGATCCTTCAAGGTCAAAATACTCATTGGTTAAAGTGTGATGGATTGGTAGGACTGGCAAATCATTACTAGAGTGAGACAAGTAGTTGGGATCTAAAAGAACAAATTGTTTCACGTGCACTGGGGATGGGAGCAGGTTGGTAGGAATTCATTCCTTTGTGGACAAGTTTTTGGGAAGCTCATGGGAATATTGCGGGTGTCAGCTTTGAGCTGCCATTTAGAAAGGGCATATTTAATTACTGCATAAAACAAAGAAAAAACAAGGGTTTATTCCTAAGTTGAGTCTTCTTCTCCAATCCTTTCTTCCATATTTCCTTAACAGCACAAAGTTGGATCACACAGTGTAAACAACCTCTCTGCCTGGCAGTACTGACCACTAGGAACCTATCACAACAGCACATTCTTTACTTTGCTCCTTTGCTCCTTCTCTGCTCCTTCTTCCCCTGTTCCTCTTCATTTTACTCAGTACTCAATCTCTGCCAGGGGTCATCGTTGATAAATGAAGGTGTCTAGAGATGACTCCTACTCTGTGTAAAGCACCCTAGTTCAGTCTATGGGGTCTTAGTTTGTTCTCAACTTCGAATCACCAAATGCCACATGGTCTGCTCATGTTTTATAACTCTTTCTTCTTTGAGCCCAGAAAGGGTTTTGCAAAATTCCTGTATTCCAGAGAGTTCTCTTATCTATCTAGCTCAAAGTTGTAACGTGGGCTAGTCAGACTTGCTCATTCTGTCAGTATAATCCGTTCTATGACAAAGAAACTAATTCCTTAGTCAGACACTTTGATTTCACCGTTTCCAGTTTTTTACGACTAAAGATTTATTTTGGTCTTCTATTCACATTTCTTTAATCATATCAGTGGGAATTCGGAGAAGAATGGGGTAAATACATTAGCTCAAATTTCCCCCATTGCTTTTAAGATAAAATTCCAATGCATAAACAGGGCTTACAAAGCCTCCCATGGCAGCCTCTGATCTCATTTCCTCCTGTGCTCTACCTCCCAGACTTTGCTTCCCTCAGGCCCTCAAATGTACCAGGTTTGCTCACAACTTGAGGTCTTTGAACCTGTGATCCCTACTACCAACAACCGTATTAATCTCATTCTTTACAGTACCTAAAACCTTAGAACAAAGTTTCGTACAAATAAACTACTCAATGAGTATCTGTTTAATGAATGATCTTTGAATAATATAATTTATAAACTGTTGTATTAAATTCTAAAAAACACCACACAGTAGTTTCCTTAGCATATTTTCCTACTATCACATATGCAGCATATATACTCAAGGTATATTTTACATTTTTAACTAAAATACAGTATGAACTACAGTATAAAATTATTTTATGAAATATTATTTTAAATGAATGAAATGTATGAATGACATGAAACCACATAGGAAAATCTGTTCCATTATCAATTCTCCCAGAGACAGGTACATCTTGGGCTCCCTTCATGGGAAATTAATTACTCATCATAGTAATAGATATTATATATTTTATACAATATATTCATCAAGATGACGGTTCTAAAGTATAACCCTAAGGTTATACTCACTTCACAGGAGCCCTTTTTCACCTCAGCTGGGACATCAATATCAACTTATTTTTTTTCTCTGTATTTCTGTTCTGCTCCCAATTCAATTCCCCACCTCAGCAATTCTAGAAAGGATATACATTAACTGTACACATATTTTAATGATTCTCAATTCTGAATGTTGGTGAGTTGAGCCCCTCAATATTCAAGTATACTTATCTTTGATGAAAAGTATTCAGTTATAATGGATACATATATTTTATACTTGTGGTATTTTTTCACAAGTTCCATTGGAGCAGGAGATTGTAAAAGTACAACTAGTTTAGATTTTTAAGAATTTTTTTCCTACACTAATGTCATTGCACTTTATCCTGTAATAAGGGAATTTTTTAAGGACCAAGGCAAAAATCTTTTATCTCTATAAGCTTGTTTTACAAAGGATCACTCTTACAGATATATAGTCTATAGTTTATTAGATGTACAACTTAGCACATGTATAGTGCATATGTGTGTGTATATATATATATACGTATTAGATGAAGTGCTTTTTAACTATAAAAATCATTTACTCAGCACAATAACTCTATGAGTTAGATATTATTTTTATCCCCATTTTACTGATGAGAAAACAGAGATACATATACAACTCTGGTTAGTTCCATAAATTCCGTAGTTAGATTTGAACCCAGGTAATCTAGTTTCAGAGTCCATGTTCTTTGTCATCATGAAACATTGTCTTTATTGTTTTGTTGATAATGTTTTAAATACAGAAATAAGTTTTCAATAAACTGACAGAACTAACAACACGTTATAATAGTTGGAACTTTGATGTACTTGATGTAATTGATGTACTTGAGAAGTATTTAATGTACTTATAGGTAGCGGTTGATTCTTATTTGATTACAAATTAATTGTACATTTCTTTTTGCCATGGCTACCATGCTCCCATGTTCTGGTTTTTCTTTACCTCTCCAGCTTCACCCTTCAACTTGCTTCAGTTTGCAACCCTACTCTTGACGTACCTCTACAATTGCTTCTATTTGCATCTTGGCTCCGGTCATACCTGCCAGGATGGTATGCTATCCTAATACTGACCTTCAACCCCTGCTGTGACTTCCCTAAACAGTGTGAATTTTTAAGATTTATTCATAAATACATCTACAAAGCATTTACTGACCTTCAAGACTGAGTTGATGACTTTATCTTCTGTGCTCCAAGAGACATATATAGAGTATTATCATAGTGCCTATTGCATTTTATTGTACTTATCTTTTTATACGCCTCTGTCTCTATCAATTTTACTGTGAACAAATATTACATTTTGTATTGCTAGTGTAGTACCTAACACATATTTGTAGGCAATACATTTAGGCTAATGCACCAACAAATGAATAAATGCATGTGTGATGCGTATGTCTTGGACAATGTTACAGAGAGAGCAAAATGTCTTAGTGTACAAAAGCAAAGCACAGGTCATTGATGGTAACTGTCCTTTTTTGGTTGAAAAGAGTTGACCCCAGTGATGTTATTTATGACAGCAGAGCTCAAGCACTTCTATAGACATTTTTATTGGGAAGTTTCTTTCATCAGGGAAATATAACTGATAAGATAATAATTGTTACTTACTTTTAGCATCATAGGCTCACAGAAAATAGGCAGTCCCTTCTATCACTGCTTCAGTAATTACCCTTCCTCCCTACTAGATACTGACACTATCATGAGAAAGGCAGAAATTGGTCTTGTAATTCATGTCAGTTCTTATTTTTTAATAATTCTAGGCAAGAGCAGAAAACTCAGATAATTTTTAATAATAGCAATAGGTACTCAATATATGATAAGATGCAAAAGTACACAGGGGCATTTCATTAACAAAAAATGAAAATAATAACCAATCATTTACATTTCAGATAAATATGAAAATTCTGGCATTTAGATAGTTATTATTGCTAATTTAATTTTAATTAAGAAGCTTGTGAGTTACTATTTAGTGTAAGCTAGTTTTTTATAAAGTACCTGATTTTTAACAATCAACAAAATTCAGAATAGCAGAATGTAATAAGTTAGAATGTTTCCAGTATACTTTACTTAACACCTTTGTTTGTATTAAAAGAACTTTGGAATTTTTATGTTACCATGAAGTCTAAGTCCTTTGTTTTCTGTTTTGTTTTCACCTTAAATTTTACAGAATATCCATTAGGCTAAAATTCCATAGAAAGTTTCTGCATAAGAAATTTGCTATTTAGAAATTATGTAGTTTAATCTGAGTAACTATTGCTTTTATTATAATAAGACTGTTTGAGTTTTCTGAGTCAACTGCAATGTACTATTTTTACATTATTAGTAGAAACAATCTACTAGAAGTTAATTCGGTGGGAAGAAAATTCTATAATAGTTAGAACTTCACACAGGGGTTCTAACTGAATTTAGCTGGAGCAAGAGTAATGCACTCTTTTAGCAGATTTGAATCAGTTCCTTAACTCTAAGGAAGATTGCTTTGCTATTCTGCCCTTGCCTAGGATTATTAAAAAAATGAGAACTGACGTGGATTACAAGACCAACTTCTGCCTTTCTCATGGTAGTGTCAGTAACCAATAGGGAGGAAAGGTAATACTATCTTTTAATCTAGCAGTATGATGAGGGTCCCCTGAAATAAGGACATTTACTATATTTGTTCTTTTTTTAAAACAACCTTTCTTTTTCTTCCAACAAAACTAATCAAGTCAGCTGACCTTGGCTAGTCCCATATCATCTGTTTTGTAAAGAACATACTAGGCCGGGTGCAGTGGCTCACTCCTGTAATCCTAACACTTTGGGAGGCTCAGGCGGGCAGATCACCTGAGGTCAGGAGTTCGAGATCAGCCTGGCCAACATGGTGAAACCTGTCTCTACCAAAAACACAAAAATTAGCCGGGCTTGGTGGCACGTGCCTGTAATCCCAACTACCCAGGAGGCTAAGGCAGGAGAATCACTGGAACCCAGGAGGTGGAGGCTGCAGTGAGCCGAGATCACGTCACTGCACTCCAGCCTGGGCCACAGAGCGATACTCAGTCTCAAAGGAAAACAACCACAACAAAAAAGCATACATACCAATAATATAAACTTACAGAATAAATCTAAATCTTAAGTTCCTTCTAATTCAAATTTTAAGAAACAAATAGGCTCAAACCATTATACTTTTTCCCTTGCTATATACACATTGCTTATTCTAAATATCTTCTATTTTTGAAATTACTTAATTTTGTGTTTCAAAATCCTTAAGTCTTTTTTACAATGGGTGTCCATACTTAGATTTTTTCATTGTTCTTATAGTAGGTAAATTTAGGGAATATACTGAAAGGCATCTAAACTCTTCTGGACATAGTAGAACCTGGAAAGATCACTGTGTTCTCCTTGAGAATAATAGATTAAAAGACATCTTTATAACAGAATTAAGACTGATATAATTAAAAGTTTTGGCAAAATAGCTGTAAGTTTAAGGAGTCTAAAATGGAAAATAACTTTTATATGGTTTATTTAGTAATAAATTACAACCCAATTCAAAGAGCTGTTTTAAAAGGATGTTGGTTAAAGGATGGAATGTTACAAATAGTCCTATCGTAAGGTATATTATATAACACACATATGCACTGTTTTCTGCCAGAAAACCGCATCCTAAATGGGATTGGAGGGATTTTTCATGTGGTTTTACATGACAAATGTTTGTATGTATTATCTATATCTACATATATATACACATCTTTATATATATGAATGTATGTATATATGTGTATATATACACACATATAATATACACACATATACACATTTGTGTGTGTATGTTTTGTTTATAGATATATATATAAACACAATATAGGTATACATATATAAAGATATATATACATATATTTACACAAAATATATAATACAGAAATACATGTAAAATATATATTGTGTATATATATTTATGTATGTGTGTGTATATATATTTACACACATATATACATATATGTGCATTCGGGTTTGTTTTTCTAACAGCTTAATTTAGATATATTTAACATACAATAAGCTGCACTAATTTAAAATATACAAGTTTATAACTTTTAATAAACATATACACCATTAAATCATCTTCACAATCAAGATACAGATTATGTACATGCTCCAAAACTTACCTTTTACCTTTTCTTAGTTCCTCAATTCTTTACCTCCTTGCACACTCATCCATCCAATGAAAATCACTGATCTGCTTTCTTCCACTAGAAAATAGTTTGAATTTTAACAATTTTTACATAAAAGAAATTTAAAGGATAAATTTACTCTTTTCTGCCTGGTTTCTTTCCTTCAGCATAATTCTGAGCTTTATCCATGTTGTTGCAGGTATTGGCTGATCATTTCATGTTATTTACTACCTAAGATTCTGTTGTAAGGACACACCACAATTTCTTTATTCATTCATCTGTTAGAGGACACCTGGGTTGTTTCCAGGTTTTCACTATCATAAATAAAGTTGCTATAAACATTTGTGTATGTATAAGCCTTTGTATGGACATATGCCTTCATTTATCTTGGGCTAAAATCCTAGGAATGAGTTGGTTGGATCATTTGGTACATATGTGTTTAACTTTCTAAGAAACTGTCAAAAGTGTCTAAGAAAGTGTATAATTGTTGCATCATTTTGCACACTCACCTCAAGACATAAGAGCTTTGTTTTTTTCACATTCTTTCTAACTCTTTATGGTCAGTCTTTGTTATTTTTAACATTCTAATAGGTCCATAGTATCATCTCATTTTTGTTTTAATTTGCACTTCCCTAGCAACTATATTGAACATCTCTTACATGCTAATTTGTCATCCATATATCCTCTTTGCTGAAATATCTGATTAAATATTTTAGGCTGGGCACAGTGGCTCATACCTGTAACCCCAGCACTTTGGGAGGTTGAATCGGGATGATTGTTTAAGTCCAGGAGTTCAAGACCAGCCTGGGAAACACAGGGAGAGCTAGTCTTTACAAAGAAAGAGAAAAAAAATCCCCAAGCAAGGTGGCTTATGCCTGTGGTCCCAGCAACTCAAGAGGCTGAGGCAGGAGGGTCGCCTGAGGCTGGGAGTTTCAGGCTGCAATAAGACCTGATTGCATGACTGCATCTGGTGTGGGTGACAATGTACAACCCCATCTCGATAAATAAATAAAGTAAAAATAAAAATAAATAATTTGCCAGGTTTTATTTTATTTTTGTTTATTATTACTGAGTTTTGAATGTTACATATTCTGTATACAAATGTTTACTGATATGTGTTTTGTATTTTTTTTAGTTTACCTTTTTTTCTTTTTTGTGTCTTTAGAAGAGCAGAGTTTTCATATTTGAAGTTTCATTTATCACTTTTGCTTTCTACTATGGATCATGTGTTGGTGTCATCTCTAAGAAATCTGCACCTAATCCAAAGCTATTATCAAAAATGTTAAAAGTCAAAGTTTTATAGTTTTAGAGTTTACATTTTATTTATATTTTCCATTTCCATTTATATTTATATTTAACTGTGTGTAGCTCAAGGTATCAATGAAAGTTTTTTTTAAATTTCACTTATGAATATCCACTTGTTTTAGCATCACTTGTTGAGAATGCTCTTTTCTCCACTGAATTGTCTTTAAACATATGTTGAAATCATTTGCACATATATCCCTAATTTTACATCTGGACTAAATTTCCTATTCTAGTAATCTATTTCTCTACCTTGACACTGATACCACATTATATGAAAACCATGGCAGTAAAAATAAGCCTTGAAAGTAAGTAATGTTATTCCTCCAATTTTATTCTTCAAAGTTATTTTGGCTCTTGTGGTACCTCTGCATCTCTTCTGATTTTAAGAATCAGCTTTACAATTTGAACCGAAAAGCATGCTGGAATATTGATATGCATTGCAGTGAATCTACAGATCAAATTGTGAGAACTCGCATCATTGCAATACTGAATGTTTCTACCCATATATATCATCTATATACCAAATTATATAAATTTTATTTAATTTATCTAAGCAATTATTATTTTATTTCATTGTGCATAGGTCTTGAACACCTTGGTGAGATTTATCCCTAGATAGTTCATACATATTATGTGATAAAGTAAGAAATTGTTTTTGTTTTAATTGATGATTTTTTTGTTGCTAGTATATACAAATACAATTGATTTTTAGAAGGCCCTATGTCCTAAAAATCTATGAAAATTATGAAAATATGAACTCACATATCATTCAAATTGCTTCACAAAATAGATTCAAATAGATTTTCTACATAGACAAGCATATTATATTTGAGTATAGTTTTACTTGTTCCTTTCAAATCTTCTGTACTTTTTTCCAAATTTATATGTCATTGACTTTCAATCTGATCTTGCTATTTCCTTTCTTCTGCTACTTACTGTTTAATTTATTACTTAATTTTCATTTCTGAAGGTAGAAGCTGAGATTATTGTTTGGAGACTTATCTTCTTTTCTAATAATAATTGAAGACTTTAGTGTTATACATTTCCCCACATGCATTGCTTTGGTGGCATCTCACAAAGATTTATATAATATGATATGGTTTGGCTGTGTTCCCACCCAAATCTCATCTTGAATTGTAATCCCCATAATCCCTACATGTAGTGGGAGGGACCTGTTGGGAGGTAATTGAATCATGGGAGAGGTTTTCCCCATGCTGTTCTTGTGATAGTGGGTGAGTTCTCATGAGATCTGATGGTTTTATAAGCATCTGGCTTTTCTCCTGCCAGCACTCATTCTCTCTCTTGCTACCCTGTGAAGAGGTGCCTTCTGCCATGAATGTAAATTTCCTGAGGCTTCCCCAGCCATGTGGAAATGTGAGCCAAAACTTTTTTCTTTATAAATTATTCTGTCTTGGGTATTTCTTCGTAGCAGTGCAATAATGGACTAATACATAATAGGTTTTTGTTTTTGTAGAATTCACAAACTTTCTTATTTTGAATTTGATTTCTTTTTTGCTGTACAATTTTTATGAGAATGCATTATTTAGTTTTCAAATGCTTGGGGATGGTCCAGAAAACATTCACTCATTTATATCTAATGTAATTCATTTGTGATTAGAAAACATACTTTTATAGATTTAAATTCCTTTGAATTCATTAAATTTTATTTTATATACCAGAGCATCATGTATTGTGGTAAATGTTCCATTGCACTTGTTAAGAATGGGTAGTCTGCACAGGTGAAACCAACACTACCATGAAGGCCATAAAGACATCTATCCCACCTCCATTTTCTCTCATCTGCATTATTATTGTTGTTATTATTGTGAGAACACTTAAAATAAGATCCACCCTTTTAGAAAATTTTAAGCGTACAATACAGTATATTTTTTTAAATTTTAGAGACAGGATCTCCTTTTATCACCCAGGCCAAAGTGCAGTGGTATGATCATAGTTCACTATAACTTCAAACTCCTGGCCTCAAGCGATCCTCCTGCCTTGGCCTCTTAAAGCCCTGAGAGTATAGGTGTGAGCCACTGTGCCTGGCTAAGTATTGTTACTATAAGCACTATACTTCTATACTTATCCCCAAACTCATCAAGTTTTATACATTAAATGCTTATAGCTTTTTATATCTCAATCACACTTCAATAAAGAGGCTTACAGTAAAATCAAACCAAAACAAAACAAAGCAAAACAAAAATGAAGAATGTGTAGTCTGTTGATTTTGGTTGGAGTGTTTCATAAACGTCAATTAGGTAAAATTGGTGGATAGTTTTGTCTCAGTGTTACTTGCAATTTTTTCTTAATTGTTCAATCAATAATTGAAGAGAGGGATAATAGTCTCTGACTTAGAGATTTTCTGGTTCTCCTTGCCATTCTTTCAATTTTTGATTCTTTTATTTTAAAAGTTTATTATCAGATGCATTAATGTTAAAGATCATTGTGCCATATTGATGGGTTGACCTTCTTAACATTATATAATGACTTTCATTATTACTGGAATATTCTTTGTTCTAAAATATACTTTATCTGATATTAACTTAACCATCCCAGCTTCCTCTTGATTCATGTTAGCATGGTATTTCTTTCTCATTCTCTTAAATTGTTTTTTATATTTAAAGGGCTTACTATAAGTAACATTTAATTCTTTTATCCAAAATGACATTCTCTGTCTTTTAATTGCAATGTTTAAACATTTACATTTATTTTTAACATGGGCAGAGTTAGATTTAAGCCTATCTTCTTGTTGTTGGTTTGTTATTCATTGCATCCTCTATTTGCTCCCTTTTTCTGTTTTTCTTGCTTTATGTTGTATTTGTTGTTTTTATGACTATATTTATGAGTCTTTGCTGACATCAATTATAAATCTCTATTTTGTTATTTTAGGGACTATTTTACAGCTCATATTATACATGTTTAAATTATCACAGTCTTTCTTAATGTCATGGTATACCACTTACCATTTAGTCGAGAATCTTAAACAATATACTTCAATGTTCTCCCTCCCAGATGGTATTCTATTATTGTTACATATTTTAACCATATTTATTATAATCTGCATATTGCATTATTTCTTTTGTTTATACAGTTGTTTTTTTCCAGTTCTACTGAGATATGATTGAAAATAAAAATTGCATGTATTCAAGGTATACAAGTTGATTTTTTGATGTATGTGTATACCTGCCTCCTTAGCACAGTAGGTAGTCAGTCTCATAATCTGATATATGTATATATTATAAAAATTTTTGTAACAATCTAATTAATATATCCATCACCTCACATAGTTACATTTTTATACTGTATTAGTCCATTTTCATGCTGCTGATAAGACATACCCGACACTGGGAACAAAAAGGGTTTAATTGGACTTATAGTTGCACATGGATGGGAAGGCCTCAGAATCATGGCAGAAGGTGAAAGGCACTTCTTACATGGTGGCAGCAAAAGAAAAATGAGGAAGAAGCAAAAGTGAAAACCCCTGATAAACCCAACAGATCTCGTGAGACTTATTCACTATCACAAGAATAGCATGGGACAAACCAGCCCCATGATTCAATTACCTCCCCGTGGGTCCCTCCCTCAAGATGTGGGAATTCTGTGAGATACAATTTAAGTTGAGATTTGAGTGGGGACACAGCCAAATCATATCATTCTGCCCTTGGCCCCTCCAAATCTCATGTCCTCACATTTCAAAATCAATCATGCCTTCCCAACAGTCACCCAAAGTTTTAACTCATTTCAGCATTAACCCAAAAGTCCACACTCCAAAGTCTCATCTGAGACAAAGCAAGCCCCTTCTGCTTATGAGACTGTAAAATCTAAAACAAGCTAGTTACTTGCTAGAGACAATGGGGGTACAGGTATTTGGTAGATACAGCCATTCCAAATGAGAGAGAATTGCCAAAACAAAGGGGTTACAGGGCCCATGCAAGTCCAAAATCAAGTGGGGCAGTTAAATTTTAAAGCTCCAAAATGATCTCTTTTGACTCCAGGTCTCATATCTAGGTCATGCTGATGCAAGAGGTGGTTTCCCATTGTCTTGGGAAGCTCCGTCCCTGTGACTTTGCAGGGTACAGCCTCTCTCCTGGCTGCTTTCAAAGGCTGGTGTTGACTGTCTGCAGCTTTTCCAGGTGCACACTGCAAGATGCAAGTAGATCTACTATTCTGGGGTCTGGAGGACAGTGGCCCTCTTCTCACAGCTCCACCAGGCAGTGCCCCAGTAGGAACTCTGTGTGGGAGCTCCAACCCCATATTTCCCTTCCACTCTGCCCTAGCAGAGGTTCTCCATGAGGGCCCAGCCCCTGCAGCAAACTTTTTCCTGGGCATCCAGGCATTTTCATACATCTTCTGAAATCTAGGCAGAGGTTCCCAAACCTCAGCTCTTGACTTCTGTGCAGCTGCAGGCTCAACACCATGTGAAAGCTTCCAAGGCTTGGGGCTCCCACCCTCTGAAGCCACACCCAAGATCTGTGTTGCCCCCTGTCAGCCACAGCTGGAAAGGCTGGGACACAGGGCACCAAGTCCCTAGGCTGCACACAGCACAGGGACCTTGGGCCTTGCCCATGAAACCACTTTTTCCTCCTGGGCCTCTGGGCCTGTGATGAGAGAGGCTGCTGTGAAGGTCTCTGATGTGGCCTGGAGACATTTTCTCCATGATCTTGGGGGTTAATATTAGGGTCCTTGCTACTTATTCCAATTTCTGCAGCCAGCTTAAATTCCTCCTCAAAAAAATGGGTTTTTCTCTTCTACTGCATCATCAGGCTGCAGATTTTCTGAACTTTTATGCTCTGTTTTCCTTTTAAAATGGAATGCTTTTACCAGTGCCCAAGTCACCTTTTGAATGTTTTGCTGCTTAGAAATTTCTTCTGCTAGATACCCTAAATCATCTTCCTTAAGTTCAAAGTTCCATAAATCTCTAGGGCACGGCAAAATGCCATCAGTCTCCTTGCTAAAACATAACAAGAGTCACCTCTGCTCCAGTTCCCAACAAGTTCTTCATCTCCATCTGAGAACACCTCAGCCTGGACCTTATTGTTCCTATTACTATCAGCATTTGTGCCAAAGCCATTCAACAAGTGTCTAGGAGGTTCCAAACTTCCCACATTTTCCTGTCTTCTTCTGAGCCCTCCAAACTGTTCCAATCTCTGCCTGTTACCCAGTTCCAAAGTCACTTCCACATTTTCAGGTATCGTTTCAGCAACGCCCCACTCTACTGGTACCAATTTACTATATTAATTCATTTTCACACTGCTGATAGACATATATGAGACTGGGAAGAAAAAGAAGTTTAACTGAACTTACAGTTCCACATGGCTGGGGAGGCCTCAGAATCATGGTGGGAGGGAAAGGGCACTTCTTACATGGTAGTGGCAAGAGAAAAATGAGGAAGAAGCAAAAGCGGAAACCCCTGAAAAACCCATCAGATCTTGTGACATGTTTCCACTATCATGAGAATAGCGTGGGAAAGAGCAAACCCCCATGATTCAATTACCTCCCCTTGGGTCCCTCCCACAACACATGGAAATTCTGGGACATATAATTCAAGTTGAGATTTGGTCGGGGACATAGCCAAACCATATCATATACTATGATGGGAATACTTATGATCTACTCTTAGCAAAATTGAAGTATACATTATTATAAATATAGTTACCATCCTGTGTATTAAGTCTCCAGAACTTTGTCATCTTATAATTGCAAGTTTATACACTTTGTTTCACATCTCTCCACTTCCCCCACCGCTGGAAATCCATCTTCTACTCTCCTTTTCTGTGAGATTGACATTTTTAGATTCTACATTTAAGTGAGATCATGCAGTATTTTTCTTTCAGGGTCTGGCTTATTTCACACACCATAATATCTTCTAGAGCCATTTGTGTTGTCAGAAATGGCAGGATTTCCTTATTTGCTATGGTTGAATAATATTACATCCTATAAATATATGCATGTATATCGTATAATACAGAGACAAAACTTATGACCAAACATCTGACTGTTACTGTGTCTTACTCATGTGTCTTATGCAAACTTCATGCAGAACTGCTGTTTCTTTTTTTTTCACATGATAAATTTAGAGGAATATTGAAATGCTGACCCATGTAATAGCAGTCTTAAAATGACTGTGACAGCTCCAAAAACTAAAAGCTCTTTGTTGTTGTTGTTGTTGTTCAAAGGAAAGCAACAGGTTGCAAGTCCTTGATAAGAAGAAAAAATAAGTGAGAGTGAATTTTTTAACTAGTTTAATTTTGTTTTGCCTTTTTGGCACTTTTTCCTCTTTTCTCTTGAATAAAATCTCCCTGTCATTAAAGATCTAGTTCATATCACATCTCTTACAGATTTGAACTTTATTACAAGTATATATTTGTTGAGCAAATTTCTATTCCACCTGATCTTACTTTAAAACACTTGTATACCACATTATTTTGGTAAACATTAGTTGCATGTTTATTGTTGATGCTAAAGTTGGGCGTATCTCTTGGCTATTCCAAGACAATCTTGGTTAATATCTGTCACCCAATGTAATCTGCACCCACTTTTAAATCTCAAAAATAGTTTTGTTTGGATGATATATTATGCATTAGCCTAGTCTTACCAAATTGTGAACCAAAATTAATACAAAAACATTGAAGGCTTGAATAAAGCAGGAAAAATTTAATACTCAGAGACTATCAAAATTTTATCTCACTCACGTGGAATCTAAAAAAGTTGATATCACAGAACCATAGAGAGGGATGGTGGTTACCAAGGGCTGGGTGTCATGGCAGGTAGAGTTGGTGGAGATGTTGGTCAAAGTGTTATTAGTGGCAAATCTGTAGGGGTCTGCAGCAACTCATTTCTTGCCTCCTTGGAGAAAAGAATTTGGCCAAGGGGCAGAAGTAGGTTTAAGGCATTAGGAGAGACCCAAGCAAGTTTTAGAGCAGAAGTTAGAGTTTATTAAAAAGTTTTAGAGAAATGGGGTTTTCTAGATATACAATCATGTCGTCTGCAAACAGGGACAATTTGACTTCCTCTTTTCCTAATTGAATACCCTTTATTTCCTTCTCCTGCCTAATTGCCCTGGCCAGAACTTCCAACACTATGTTGAATAGGAGTGGTGAGAGAGGGCATCCCTGTCTTGTGCCCGTTTTCAAAGGGAATGCTTCCAGTTTTTGCCCATTCAGTATGATATTGGCTGTGGGTTTGTCATAGATAGCTCTTATTACTTTGAAATACGTCCCATCAATACCTAATTTATTGAGAGTTTTTAGCATGAAGGGTTGTTGAATTTTGTCAAAGGCTTTTTCTGCATCTATTGAGATAATCATGTGGTTTTTGTCTTTGGTTCTGTTTATATGCTGGATTACATTTATTGATTTGCGTATATTGAACCAGCCTTGCATCCCAGGGATGAAGCCCACTTGATCATGGTGGATAAGCTTTTTGATGTGCTGCTGGATTCGTTTTGCCAGTATTTTATTGAGGATTTTTGCATCAATGTTCATCAAGGATATTGGTCTAAAATTCTCTTTTTTGGTTGTGTCTCTGCCCGGCTTTGATATCAGAATGATGCTGGCCTCATAAAATGAGTCGGGGAGGATTCCCTCTTTTTCTATTGATTGGAATAGTTTCAGAAGGAATGGTACCAGTTCCTCCTTGTACCTCTGGTAGAATTTGGCTGTGAATCCATCTGGTCCTGGACTCTTTTTGGTTGGTAAACTATTGATCATTGCCACAATTTCAGCTCCTGTTATTGGTCTATTCAGAGATTCAACTTCTTCCTGGTTTAGTCTTGGGAGAGTGTATGTGTCGAGGAATTTATCCATTTCTGCTAGATTTTCTAGTTTATTTGCGTAGAGGTGTTTGTAGTATTCTCTGATGGTAGTTTGTATTTCTGTGGGATCAGTGGTGATATCCCCTTTATCATTTTTTATTGCGTCTATGTGATTCCTCTCTCTTTTTTTCTTTATTAGTCTTGCTAGCGGTCTATCAAATTTGTTGATCCTTTCAAAAAACCAGCTCCTGGATTCATTAATTTTTTGAAGGGTTTTTTGTGTCTCTATCTAAAAAACCCCATTGTCTCAGCCCAAAGTCTCCTTAAGCTGATAAGCAACTTCAGCAAAGTCTGAGGATACAAAATCAATGTGCA
Source organism: Homo sapiens (assembly GCF_000001405.40). NCBI lineage: Eukaryota > Metazoa > Chordata > Mammalia > Primates > Hominidae > Homo > Homo sapiens. The sequence goes on from NC_000007.14 coordinate 9,428,063, forward strand.
AAAATCATAAGCATTCTTATACATCAACAACAGACAAACAGAGAGCCAAATCATGAGTGAACTCCCATTCACAATTGCTTCAAAGAGAATAAAATACCTAGGAATCCAACTTACAAGGGATGTGAAGGACCTCTTCAAGGAGAACTACAAACCACTGCTCAAGGAAATAAAAGAGGATACAAACAAATGGAAGAACATTCCATGCTCATGGGTAGGAAGAATCAATATCGTGAAAATGGCCATACTGCCCAAGGTAATTTACAGATTCAATGCCATCCCCATCAAGCTACCAATGACTTTCTTCACAGAATTGGAAAAAACTACTTTAAAGTTCATATGCAACCAAAAAAGAGCCCGCATCGCCAAGGCAGTCCTAAGCCAAAAGAACAAAGCTGGAGGCATCACACTACCTGACTTCAAACTATACTACAAGGCTACAGTAACCAAAACAGCATGGTACTGGTACCAAAACAGAAATATAGATCAATGGAACAGAACAGAGCCCTCAGAAATAACGCCGCATATCTGCAACTATCTGATCTTTGACAAACCTGAGAAAAACAAGCAATGGGGAAAGGATTCCCTGTTTAATAAATGGTGCTGGGAAAACTGGCTAGCCATATGTAGAAAGCTGAAACTGGATCCCTTCCTTACACCTTATACAAAAATCAATTCAAGATGGATTAAAGACTTAAACGTTAGACCGAAAACCATAAAAACCCTAGAAGAAAACCTAGGCATTACCATTCAGGACATAGGCATGGGCAAGGACTTCATGTCCAAAACACCAAAAGCAATGGCAACAAAAGACAAAATTGACAAATGGGATGTAATTAAACTAAAGAGCTTCTGCACAGCAAAAGAAACTACCATCAGAGTGAACAGGCAACCTACAAAATGGGAGAAAATTTTCACAACCTACTCATCTGACAAAGGGCTAATATCCAGAATCTACAATGAACTCAAACAAATTTACAAGAAAAAAACAAACAACCCCATCAAAAAGTGGGCAAAGGACATGAACAGACACTTCTCAAAAGCAGACATTTATGCAGCCAAAAAACACATGAAAAAATGCTCATCATCACTGGCCATCAGAGAAATGCAAATCAAAACCACAATGAGATACCATCTCACACCAGTTAGCATGGCAATCATTAAAAAGTCAGGAAACAACAGGTGCTGGAGAGGATGTGGAGAAATAGGAACACTTTTACACTGTTGGTGGGACTGTAAACTAGTTCAACCATTGTGGAAGTCAGTGTGGCGATTCCTCAGGGATCTAGAATTAGAAATACCATTTGACCCAGCCATCCCATTACTGGGTATATACCCAAAGGGCTATAAATCATGCTGCTATAAAGACACATGCACACGTATGTTTATTGCGGCATTATTCACAATAGCAAAGACTTGGAACCAACCCAAATGTCCAACAACGATAGACTGGATTAAGAAAATGTGGCACATATACACCATGGAATACTATGCAGCCATAAAAAATGATGAGTTCATGTCCTTTGTAGGGACACGGATGAAATTGGAAATCATCATTCTCAGTAAACTATCGCAAGAACAAAAAACCAAACACCGCATATGCTCACTCATAGGTGGGAATTGAACAATGAGATCACATGGACACAGGAAGGGGAACATCACACTCTGGGGACTGTGGTGGGGTGGGGGGAGGGGAGAGGGATAGCATTGGGAGATATACCTAATGCTAGATGACGAGTTAGTGGGTGCAGTGCACCAGCATGACACATGTATACATATGTAACTAACCTGCACAATGTGCACATGTACCTTAAAACATAAAGTATAATTAAAAAAAAAATAAGTTTTAGAGCAAAAATGAAAGAAAGCAAAGTACACTTTGAAGAGGGCCAAGCAGGTGACTTGAGAGATCCAAGTGCCCTGTTCAGCCCTTGACTTGGGGTTTCACACAGTGACATGGTTCTGGGGTTTGTGTTTTTCCTTCCTTGATTTTTCCCTTTGAGCAGGCTTTTCATATGTGCAGTGGTCTGCCAGCACTTGGGATTGGTTTCATGTGCAGTGCGTTTACTAAAGTTGTGTGCATGCTCACTTGAAGCATTTTTTTCCTTACCAGTTGTGCATTCCTAGAGAAAGGTCATATATCAGTTAAACTCTGCCATTTTGTCTCTTAGTGTGTGTGTTTGAGCCTGCTTTCCCAACTCCTGAGATCTTATCGGAAAGCTGCTGATCACCAGCTCTGGTGTTTTCTACCTATTGAAAGACTGTCATTCCCTGGCACTGGCTGTGACCAATTATTATTTTAAAGAAACAGTTTAACAAATGCCTGATCATCACCTAATGGTCACCCGACATTCCCTGTGGAGCCCTCTCCTGCCCTGCTCATGCCTGCCTAATTACCTACTCTAACAAAAGGATACAAAAATCTCAGGCAGAAGGAATAAGTTCTAGGAAATCATAGTATAACTGGTGACTATAGTTATAACAGTGTATACTTGAAAAATACTAAGAGAGTAGATGTTAAATGTTCTCACAACAAAAATGATAACTATGTGAGATAATACATATGATAATTCACTAGATTTAGTCATTTTACAATGTATATGTATTTCAAAGCATCATGTTATACACAAAATATACAATTTTATGTTAATTGAAATGTAATAGGCCAGGCGTGGTGGCTTACGCCTGTAATCCTAGCACTTCGAGAGGCCAAGGTGGGTGCATCACCTGAGGTCAGGAGTTCGAGACCAGCCTGACTAACATGGTGAAACCCCATCTCTACTAAAAATACTGAAAAACTAGCCAGGCGCGCTGGCAGGCACCTGTAATCCCAGGATTACTCGGGAGGCTGAGGCAGGAGAATCGCTTGAACCCAGGAGGCAGAGGTTGTAGTGAGCCAAGATCATGCCATCGCACTCCAGCCTGGGGGACAAGAGTGAGACTTTGTCTCAAAAAAAAAAAAAAAAAAAGAAAGAAAAATAATAATAAAAAAATTTAATATATATTTAATATATATATAAGAGACACAGGAAAAAAGTGAAGAATAGGGATTGGAACCCCCTCTCTTTTTCCAACTCAATCTCCTCCTCCTTATCGCTGCCTTCATCATCATCCTTCTTCAATTCCTCTTCTTTTCTTTCTTCCTACTTTTGTTTAAAATTTATTTTAAAAGTGTTTGAATATTGTATTTCTAAAAGGAATACAATGACTTTTTTAAAACAATCTTATTTACTCTTTTTAAATTCAAACTTATAACTGCACAAAAAAAGACATTTCATTTATATTTTGATTTAGTGCTTCAAATTATTTTAACAGTTCATGTAAAACATTTATGTGAAACTTAACTTTTAACAGTTAGTTCAAGTAAAACATTTATGTAAAGCTATAAGAAAGTGCTTGATAAATAAAAATAAAAATAAAAATAAAATCAAAGAAAATTTAATAACCGACAAATATCTTCATGTAATGCTAATATAAACTCTTTAGATGACCTCACTGAGCACATGGGTTTCAAATGAAGCTAAGTGGAATTTCAATTGCCTAGATCTAAAAGTTCTAAAATTCCTATTGGAGAGACTTCTGAATAGTAAATATCATAATTACATGTATGATGTCAAACTATAATGCACATAAATGGCATTAGATGAGTCATAAAAAATGAAATATTATAGCAGATATGAAAAACAAATTTGTTTCAGAAATAAAAGTTTTATTTTTGTTTACCCAGAGTTGTCTGTTATCAGGCTTAAATAAAATGTAGTCACAAATTATTTATAGTAGTACCATCTTTGGTATTGAAATAAATGAACGATTTAAAAACAAGTCCCTTATATTTTATATTGGGTTGTACCTTTTAGAAGTGATATTCCACTTAATGCTTTGGAAAAATAAGTTAGTAGGAATGTAATTTAAATAAATGAATACAAACTATAAGTATTTCATTAAAAAAACTGATATTGCCACTTTTGGTTTTTGGGGTTTTTTTTTCCCTCTTTTCTTCGTGCCTTTACCTGCAAAGACCCCTGTGGTTTAAATAACTAGTGTGTGTACACTAATAAAAATCCCATTAAATTAAATGGCCGGTAGGCATGCAGAATGTCCTGTCGCAATTTCAGAAGACAGTTTGTTACCAGACACCCTGCTATGAACATTTTATTTTATCAGGGTTAAGAAAAACGTTTATAAAATTGTATTTATTTATATTTTAAACGTTTAGAGGATCCTGGAAATGGTGGCTTTATATTATTTTCTCTTCATAGAATGAAATGGTTGAGTGGATTCCACATGAGGCACTATGTAGAATACCCTATAGCAAATGTATATAATCAACACAATTGGTCAGTAATTGTCATTCTCTCAACTATTATTTCTTTCTTCCATTTGTGAGCAATAAAAGTGGCAATTCAGTGCATATTGTGTTATAGGAAAGTGTTTACAGCACACACTGTATCTCTGTTCCAACAGAAATAATTTCATAATTACAGAACTATTTTTTCTTGCAAATATTCTCTGCCTGACTTTCACTCTCTTACTTTTTAAAATATGAGCATGAGTTCATATTTTGTGAAGGTAGAACATCTTGCAACAGATTAAGGTGGCACTTCCAATAATGGCATAACATGAGTAATAAGTAATGGAGAAAAGTTTAAAATCCTGTACAAGGAGAAGAAATGAAAGCATAGGAGTTGGAAAACATCAGTGGAAGAGAAAGGAAGACGATAGAAAATTGGCATTAATTCTCTAATGAAAAAAGGCAAAACGCAGAAAAAAACACAGACACTATAAAATTAAGGAATCAAATCTTGCTTCTGATTGGGAAAAATAAAAATAAAGACAATGGTGAGAGTTTTGCATTATTTAGGACAAGCAAGCAGCAAATATGTTTTAGCCTTTGTGTTATCAGAAGAAAAGAAGCAAAGTTGAATACAGATAAAGCAATCTGGAGAGTGTGAAACAGATGCTCAATGGAAGAAATGAGAATTCAGCTGCAATGAACAGGGAGAGTATTCCTGCTAAATCAAAGACTCTATGCAGGTTACATATTGAAGTCAGCACTAAATGGGAAGTAATCTTCATCATTTCATAAATGACAAGGAAGTCAACACAGACACTAGACCCTCAGGTTGACTAAGGGGTTCTGAAGATTGAAGAGAGGAAACATTGCACTTATGTAAGATTCAAATGGAAAAATGTTTCACACTTAGAGACAAGGTGAGGGATTACAGACTAAGATAACCCAAGAATTCTTAACATCCAGATTAAATATACATAGAGTAATTGGTAAATGAAATCTCATAAGATATTTTATGTGCAAAGAAGACTGATCATATTTTTAGTGTTTCACCAGTATTAAGAAAGGAGAGGGAGGGAATTACCTATGAGTAGAATGTTGCAGGTATTTGTTTCAGAAAAATAGCATATTTAGGCTGGGCGTGGAGGCTCTCGCCTGTAATCCCAGCAATTTGGGAGGCCAATGGGAGCAGATGACTGGAGGTCAGGAGTTCGTGACCAGCCTGGCCAACATGGCAAAACCCCATCTCTACAAAAAATACAAATAACTAGCCAAGTGTGGTGGCATATGCCTGCAGTCCCAGCTACTCAGGAGGCTGGAGTTTGCAAAGAAGTATATCTATATATTTTACACCTTTAAGTGGATAAGCACCATTAGTCATAATACATTAGGGAGCAAGTCAGAGGTCAACTTTATTAAGAGAACCAAGTTCAGAATAGTGAAGAGATTGGTAGGTGTGGCTTTCATAGAAAAATGAGTCTGACAATAATCTGTGCTGTCATAATTAATTCTAGCATTAGCCAGTAGTGAAAACCTGTGTGAGTCCCTTAATTCACTGGATTTGCCATCTTCTCAATGGAAACAAGTTATGATGTTAGGTTACATTATAACTAAAATCTCAACAGTTCTGCAGTCGTCACCACACCCATGCTATATGATGTAAATTATTTTTTGGCTTTAAAGAATTTAGTTTATCAAACCCAGATAGAGAGCTAGGAGGAGAAATTTCTATTTGAACTGTGATTCAAGGCATGTCAGGAACCGCTAAGGAAGTTAATTTGCTCTCCAGAGACCTATTAATATATCAAGTGGATGCCTCTCCCTGATGAAGCATATAAGTTAATTAAGGATGATTGACCCTGTCTGAAGTAGATGGGATATATGAGCTGTTTTAAACCGAGATTCATGCCAGAAGACGTGAAGCAAGTTTAACACTTGGACAAAATGGAAGTCCTTCTACCCACAGAATTTTTTGATAGAGTTAATAAATGCTTATATAATACTGATCAATAGGTACCTTATTTGGTTATTTTAATTATATATTTATATAATTTCTGATACATATATTGTGAAGAACTGATTTTTCAACTCATTATTTTAAAATTTATATTGCAATTTTTGTTTATCAGAAAAGCTCATAAAAGACGGTTTACTTGTCGATGCTTCTTCTATAGTAATGCATTATAGAGTTGAATTGGTTATCTGTGTACTGTAACTGAATACTCTATTACCATCTGGCGGGTGCAGTCCAAATCACAAGCATAAAATCTCTAGGAGAAAAAAAAAATCAAAGGCTTTTGAACTTTTTCAACTTTATGTATCCTTTAAAACCAGAGGAATATAAATATACACACAACTTCAGATGTATGAGATTATCCCAGAGTGTCCAGCCACAAGTATTTTAACTTTTATTCTAAAAACAATATTGTATTGTAAATCCTGGCTGGTCCAAATATGATCTGTGAACCTGCAGTATCAACATTACCTAGGAGCTTCTTAGAAATACAAATTTCAGAAGTATTGAATCTCGTAATCTGTATTTTAATAAGATCTTCATGTGATTTGCATGCACATCAAATTGAAAAGCACTGATAAACACTATAATTATATTTGCCTTTAAATAAATGTAGTGTTCTAATTACTAAACTTCCAATGAAATAATACTAAGAAAATTTACTATCTCTAGGCTGTGATTTTTTAATTCCTACCATACTAGCTATGTTAGTCAGGCTTCTCCAGGCAAAACAGAGCTAATAGGATATAGATAGGTAGGTACATGAATAGATCGATCAATCTTGTTCAACCTCCCGCCTGCAGGCCACAGGTGGCCCACAATGGCTTTGAATGCAGCCCAAAACAAATTCATAAACTTTCTTAAAACATTATAAGATTTTTTACAATGTTTTTTAGCTCATCAGCCATTGTTAGTGTATTTTTTGTATGGTCCAGGACAATTCTTCTTCATCCAATGTGGCTCAGGGAAGCCAAAAGATTGGCCACCCCTGAGATGATAGATAGACAGATGATAGACACAGATAGATGATGATAGATAGATAGATAGATAGATAGATAGATAGATAGATAGATGATAGATAGATAGAAGATAGACAGATAGAAAAAGTGGGACTTTATTATGAGAATTGGCTCATGGAATTCTGAAGGTTGACTAGTCCCACAATATACCACCTGCAAGCTGGAGAACTAGGAAAGCTGGTGGTACAACTCAGTTTGAGAACCAGGGAAACCAATAGTGTAACTCTCATTCCAAGGCCAAAAGGCTGATAAATGGCGGGGAGTGCTGGATTAAGTCCTAGAGTTCAAGAGTTCCTGAGAACCAGGAGCTCTGATGTCCAGGGGCAAGAGAAGATAAATGTCCTAGCTCAAGAAGAGACAGAATTGGCCCTTTCTCAACTATTTTGTTCTATTTGTGTCTGCAATGGATAGGATGATGCCTAACTACATTGGTGAGGGAAGATTTTTCTTTACTTAGTCTACTGCATCAAACACTAATCTTCTCCACAAACACACTCACATACACTACATATATATGTTCATACATACGTACATACATACATCATAGCTAAAAGAAGTAGCAGTGGGACTTTGGCAAGAGAGCTTGATTCTCTTAAGTTTAACAGGTCTAACTATAGGTCTTCCCATCTTTATCTCTTTTCACCCTACTTGCTCACTCTGTTTGAAACCCACTAACCTCCTTGATTTGGGGTTCTTGCTTTAGAGTCTTTGCAGTTTCTCGGCCTGAAATGTTCTTCCATCCTGAAGTTCACATAGCTAGCCTCTTCTTCATTTCCATTGGTTCCCATCTAAAATATTCTGTAATCATTTGGCATCTCACGACTTTATCCCTCAGTCACTGTCCACCCTCACTGTGTTTTAGGAGCCCCTTATAGCATGTATTGTTCTCAGACATTTGATAAATGTATTTGTTTAATTTATTATCATTTGCCTAGCCCAAGCAAAATGTAAGTTTCTTATTGACAGCCAAATTGTTCATATTCTCAGTGCTAACAATAATGCCTCTCATGGGGGTGGAGCCAAGATGGCCAAATAGGAACAGCTCCAGTCTACAGCTCCCAGCATGAGAGATGCAGAAGACGGGTGATTTCTGCATTTCCAACTGAGGTACTGGGTTCATCTCATGGGGGAGTGCCGGAGAGTGGGTGCAGGACAGTGGGTGCAGTGCACCGTGCGTGAGCTGAAGCAGAGCGAGGCATCACCTCACCTGGGAAGTGCAAGGGGTCAGGGAATTCCCTTTCCTAGTCAAAGAGAGGGGTGACAGATGGCACCTGGAAAATCGGGTCACTCCCACCCTAATGCTGCACTCTTCCAACGGGCTTAACAAACGGCACACCAGGAGATTATATCCCGCACATGGCTCGGAAGGCCCTATGCCCACGGAGCCTCGCTCATTGCTAGCACAGCAGCCTGAGATCAAACTGCAAGGCGGCAGCGAGGCTGGGGGAGGGGTGCCCGCCATTGCTCAAAATTGAGTAGGTAAACAAAGCGGCCAGGAACCTCGAACTGGGTGGAACCCACCACAGCTCAAGGAGGCCTGCCTGCCTCTGTAGGCTCCACCTCTGGGGGCAGGGCACAGACAAACAAAAGACAGCAATAACCTCTGCAGTCTTAAATGTCCCTGTCTGACAGCTTTGAAGAGAGTAGTTGTTCCCCCAGCACGCAGCTTGAGATCTGAGAACGGGCAGATTGCCTCCTCAAGTGGGTCCCTGACCACCGAGTAGCCTAACTGGGAGGCACCCCCCAGTAGGGGCAGACTGACACCTCACACAGCCGGGTACTCCTCTGAGACAAAACTTCCAGAGGAATGATCAGGCAGCAGCATTTGTGGTTCACCAATATCTGCTGTTCTGCAGCCACCGCTGCTGATACCCAGGCAAACAGGGTCTGGAGTGGACCTCTAGTAAACTCCAACAGACCTGCAGCTGAGGGTCCTGACTGTTAGAAGGAAAACTAAAAAACAGAAAGGACATCCACACCAAAAACCCATCTGTACGTCACCATCATCAAAGACCAAAGGTAGATAAAACCACAAAGATGGGGAAAAAACAGAGCAGAAAAACTGGAAACTCTAAAAATCAGAGTGCCTCTCCTCCTCCAAAGGAACGCAGCTCCTCACCAGCAACGGAACAAAGCTGGATGGAGAATGACTTTGACGAGTTGAAAGAGGAAGGCTTCAAAAGATCAAACTACTCCAAGCCAAAGGAGAAAGTTCAAACCAATGGCAAAGAAGATAAAAACTTTGAAAAAAAAATTAGACGAATGTCTAACTAGAATAACCAATGCAGAGAAGTCCTTAAAGGAACTGATGGAGCTGAAAATCAAGGCACGAGAACTATGTGACGAAAGCACAAGCCTCAGTAAATGATGCAATCCACTGGAAGAAAGGGTATCAACGATGGAAGATGAAATGAATGAAATGAAGTGTGAAGAGAAGTTTAGAGAGAAAAGAATGAAAAGAAATGAACGAAGCATCCAAGAAATATGGGACTATGTGAAAAGACCAAATCTACGTCTGATTGGTGTACCTGAAAGTGATGGGGAGAATGGAACCAAGTTGGAAAACACTCTGCAGGATATTATCCAGGAGAACTTCCCCAGTCTAGTGAGACAGGCCAACATTCAAATTCAGGAAATACAGAGAAAGCCACAAAGATACTCCTCGAGAAGAGCAACTCCAAGACACATAATTGTCAGATTCACCAAAGTTGAAATGAAGGAAAAAGTGTTAAGGGCAGCCAGAGAGAAAGGTCGGGTTACCCACAAAGGGAAGCCCATCAGACTAACAGCTGATCTCTCGGCAGAAACTCTGCAAGCCAGAAGAGAGTGGGGGCCAATATTCAACATTCTTAAAGAAAAGAATTTTCAACCCAGAATTTCATATCCAGCCAAACTAAGCTTCATAAGTGAAGGAGAAATAAAATACTTTACAGACAAGCAAATGCTGAGAGATTTTGTCACCACCAGGCCTGCCCTAAAAGAGCTCCTGAAGGAAGCACTAAACATGCAAAGGAACAACTGGTACCAGCCACTGCAAAAACATGCCAAATTGTAAAGACCATCAAGGCTAGGAAGAAACTGCATCAACTAAAGAGCGAAATCACCAGCTAACGTCATAATGACAGGATCAAAGTCACACATAACTATACTAACCTTAAATGTAATTAGGCTAAATGCTCCAATTAAAAGACACAGACTGGCAAATTGGATAAAGAGTCAAGACTCATCACTGTGTTGTATTCAGGAAACCCATCTCACGTGCAGAGACACACATAGGCTCAAAATAAAGGGATGGAGGAAGATCTACCAAGCAAATGGAAAACAAAAAAAGGCAGGGGTTGCAATCCTAGTCTCTGATAAAACAGACTTTAAACCAACAAAGATCAAAAGAGACAAAGAAGGCCATTACCTAATGGTAAAGGGATCAATTCAACAAGAAGAGCTAACTATCCTAAATATATATGCACCCAATACAGGAGCACCCAGATTCATAAAGCAAGTCCTTAGTGACCTACAAAGAGACTTAGACTCCCACACAATAATAATGGGAGACTTTAACACCCCACTATCAACATTAGACAGATCAACGAGACAGAAAGTTAACAAGGATATCCAGGAATTGAACTCAGCTCTGCACCAAGCAGACCTAATAGACATCTACAGAACTCTCCACCCCAAATCAACAGAATATACATTCTTTTCGGCACCACACCACACCTATTCCAAAATTGACCACATAGTTGGAAGTAAAACACTTCTCAGCAAATGTAAAAGAACAGAAATTATAACAAACTGTCTCTCAGACCAAAGTGCAAACTAGAACTCAGGATTAAGAAACTCACTCAAAACCACTCAACTACATGGAAACTGAACAACCTGCTCCTGAATGACTACTGGGTACATAACGAAATGAAGGCAGAAATAAAGATGTTCTTTGAAACCAACGAGAACAAAGACACAACATACCAGAATTGCTGGGACACATTCAAGCAGTGTGTAGAGGGAAATTTATAGCACTAAATGCCCACAAGAGAAAGCAGGAAAGATCTGAAATTGACACCCTAACATCACAATTAAACGAACTAGAGAAGCAAGAGCAAACACATTCAAAAGCTAGCAGAAGGCAAGAAATAACTAAGATCAGAGCAGAACTGAAGGAAAAAGAGTCACAAAAAACCCTTCAAAAAATTAATGAATCCAGGAGCTGGTTTTTTGAAAAGATCAACAAAATTGATAGACTGCTAGCAAGACCAATAAAAAAGAAAAGAGAGAAGAATCGAATAGACGCAATAAAAAGTGACAAAGGAGATATCACTACTGATCACACAGAAATACAAACTACCATCAGAGAATACTATAAACGCCTCTATGCAAATAAACTAGAAAATCTAGAAGAAATGGATAAATTCCTTGACACATACACTCTCCCAAGACTAAACCAGGAAAAAGTTGAATCTCTGAATAGAGCAATAAAAGGCTCTGAAATTGAGGCAATAATTAAGAGCTTACCAACCAAAAAAAGTCCAGGACCAGATGGATTCACAGCCGAATTCTACCAGAGGTACAAGGAGGAGCTGGTACCATTCCTTCTGAAACTATTCCAATCAATAGAAAAAGAGGGAGTCCTCCCTAACTCATTTTACGAGGCCAGCATCATCCTGATACCAAAGCCTGGCAGGGACACAACAAAAAAAGAGAATTTTAGACCAATATCCTTGATAAACATTGATGCAAAAATCCTCAATAAAATACTGGCAAACCAAATCCAGCAACACATCAAAAAGCTTATCCACCATGATCAAGTGGGCTTCATCCCTGGGATGCAAGGCTGGTTCAACATATGAAAATCAATAAACATGATCCAGCATATAAACAGAACCAAAGACAAAAACCACATGATTATCTCAATAGATGCAGAAAAGGCCTTTGACAAAATTCAACAACACTTCATGCTAAAAACTCTCAATAAATTAGGTATTGATGGGACGTATCTCAAAATACTAAGAGCTATCTGTGACAAACCCACAGCCAATATCATACTGAATGGACAAAAACTGGAAGCGTTCCCTCTGAAAACTGGCACAAGACAGGGATGCCCTCTCTCACCACTCCTATTTAACATAGTGTTGGAAGTTCTGGCCAGGGCAATCAGGCAGGAGAAGGAAATAAAGGGCATTCAATTAGAAAAACAGGAAGTCAAATTGTCCCTGTTTGCAGATGACATGATTGTATATCTAGAAAACCCCATCATCTCAGCCCAAAATCTCCTTAAGCTGATAAGCAACTTCAGCAAAGTCTCAGGATACAAAATCAATGTGCAAAAATCACAAGCATTCCTATACACCAATAACAGACAAACAGAGAACCAAATCATGAGTGAACTCCCATTCACAATTGCTTCAAAGAGAATAAAATATCTGGGAATCCAACTTACAAGGGATATGAAGGGCCTCTTCAAGGAGAACTACAAACCACTGCTCAATGAAATAAAAGAGGATATAAACAAATGGAAGAACATTCCATGCTCATGGGTAGGAAGAATCAATATCATGAAAATGGCCATACTGCCCAAGGTAATTTATAGATTCAATTCCATCCCCATCAAGCTACCAATGACTTTCTTCACAGAATTGGAAAAAACTACTTTTAAGTTCATATGGAACCAAAAAAGAGCCTGCATAGCCAAGTCAATCCTAAGCCAAAAGAACAAAGCTGGAGGCATCATGCTACCTGACTTCAAACTATACTACAAGGCTACAGTAACCAAAACAGCATGGTACCATTACCAAAACAAAAATATAGACCAATGGAACAGAACAGAGCCCTCAGAAATAATGCTGCATATCTACAACTATCTGATCTTTGACAAATCTGACAAAAACAAGAAATGGGGAAAGGATTCCCTTTTTAATAAATGGTGCTGGGAAAACTGCCTAGCCATATGTAGAAAGCTGAAACTGGATCTTTTCCTTCCACCTTATACAAAAATTAATTCAAGATAGATTAAAGACTTAAATGTTAGACCTATAAAAACCCTAGAAGAAAACCTAGGCAATACCATTCAGGACATAGGCATGGGCAAGGACTTCATGTCTAAAACACCAAAAGCAATGACAACAAAAGCCAAAATTGACAAATGGGATCTAATTAAACTAAAGAGCTTCTGCACAGCAAAGAAACCACCATCAGAGTGAACAGGCAACCTACAGAATGGGAGAAAATTTTTGCAACCTACTTATCTGACAAAGGGCTAATATCCAGAATCTACAATGAACTCAAACAAATTTACAAGAAAAAAACAAACGACCCATCAAAAAATGGGCAAAGGATATGAACAGACACTTCTCAAAAGAAGACATTTATGCAGCCAAAAAACACATGAAAAAATGCTCGTCATCACTGGCCATCAGAGAAATGCAAATCAAAACTACAATGAGATACCATCTGACACCAGTTAGCATGGCGATCATTAAAAAGTCAGGAAACAACAGGTGCTGGAGAGGATGTGGAGAAATAGGAACACTTTTACACTATTGGTGGGACTGCAAACTAGTTCAACCATTCTGGAAGTCGGTGTGGTGATTCCTCAGGGATCTAGAACTAGAAATACCATTTGACCCAGCCATCCCATTACTGGGTATATATCCAAAGGATTATAAATCATGCTGCTATAAAGACACATGCACACGTATGTTTATTGTGGCACTATTCACAATAGCAAAGACTTGGAACCAACCCAAATGTGCAACAACGATAGACTGGATTAAGAAAATGTGGCAGATATACACCATGGAATACTATGCAGCCATAAAAAATGATGAGTTCATGTCCTTTGTAGGGACATGGATGAAGCTGGAAACCATCATTCTCAGCAAACTGTCACAAGGACAAAAAAGCAAACACCACATGTTCTCACTCATAGGTGGGAAATGAGCAATGAGAACACATGGACACAGGAGGGGAGCATCACATACTGGGGACTGTTTTGGGGTGGGGGGAGGGGGAAGGGATAGCATCAGGAGATATACCTAATGCTAAATGACAGGTTAATGGGTGCAGCACACCAACATGGCAATGTATACATATGTAACAAACCTGCATGTTGTGCACATGTATCCTAAAACTTAAAATATAATAATAATAATAATAAACAAACTTCTTACTAAAACCAAAAAAAGTAAAAAAATAAAATAAAATAATGCCTCTCATATATAAGCAATTGATACGTATTTGCTCAGAAAATGATGAAAGCACTTCCCTGCTTCCTTAGCAAATGGAGGCAGAATTTTTCGTGTTTAAAAAATCATTTCTTTTTTTTTTTTTTTAACAATTGCCCATTCTGGTAACTTTCTAATTGGTAGAAAGTTATAAACTGATTTGCAAATTAATTTTATTAGTTTGTTTTGTGTTTTTTTTTTCTGTTTTCCAAATGTACCACTGGTAGTATAAATAGCGGCAAGAAAAGGGGAATTTTATTTCTAGTTGCTATATTTCAAATCTGTCCTATTCTTCAATTGCCAGACACCACCTGAGTCCTACAAGCAGAACAGACTCAGAAAACAGCAATCTTTTCATATTTCCACAATATCATCACTCTCTAGGACACAGAGAAGGGTTGTATTTCCTGGCATTCTTGTCATTAGCTGGCATCATGAGACTGCTTCTGGCCAATGAGTTGGGAGTGAACGTGATGTCTGTCACTTCCAGACTAGAGCACTTAGTTGCTTGTTTGAGATACACCAGAATATTCTCTTCACCCTGACAGAGTAACTACCAGTATTTGAGACAGTAGTTGCCTCTCTCAGCCTGGGTTCCCATATTATTACAACAAACTGAATTCCTTAACTGGAGGAAAAGAAACCTTTTGTTGTTGAAACCACCAAAATGTTGGAGGAGTTTGTTGTTGGGCTTTTACTGACATATAACTCAGCCTGGACTGACTAACCGCAGCACTTACCAACCTATATTGTAATTTGTATATCAAGATGCATGTTTCTGTATCCAGTGTTTATGTTCTAAGTTTCTGGAAACCAGGAAGTAAAACTCACTCGTCTTTGATCTTCATTACAAGTGCTTGGAAGAGAGTGGATCTCAGTAATCACTCCTTGCCACAGTTAGAAGAATAATAATTAAGATGATTAGAGTCAGAGACTTGACACAAGACATAATATTAAAGAAATCTGATTTGTACAATCATGCAAAAAAAATCGGGTGCTAGAAAAGTTTTAGGGTAGGTAGTATAAAATCCATCTTCACTTACTACATAAGGATTATCTCTTACGTAGAGTAGTAGTTCTCCAGAACAGTAGAAAGTAAAGGCTGAAAAAGAAAGAAAAGTATTTTCAGGTAATACCAGCAATTCTGTGGCCTATGTCATTTATCCTATGGCAAATTTTAAAAAGTCTAATAATGCCTGTGGGACTATCTCAGATATAAACTTCATCTGTTCAGAATATCTGAGCAAAAACAGGAAAAGTCAGGACCACAGAACTAGAAGACAAATTTTACTTAGAATATACAGTTTTAGAAAACAATGTGTATCAGTAAATTAAAGCTATAAATAGGCATAATTTATTCATTGAAAAAGAAAAATTTTAACAATTATAGCTCATCAATAATTGAATAAGTTTCTCTGAGAGGTAGGGGACTAATTGTCTGGGTTGATTTAAAAGGTTTTTATGTTCAGTATGTGTTTTGCAGTATAGCATCTAAGATGCCTGCTAAATCTGAGAATGTATGAGTCTATGTTTCAATTTAAATGGCTCAAAGGAATCATGCCTATTTTGGGGTCTCTTCATGAGTTTATAAGAATTAAGATTTCAAATTCTATCCTTTGGATTAAGTCAGGTTGTAGCTAGCTGTACTTGTTTAAGTCTCACCCCTCTACTTTGTACCCAGAGGTGTTCAGTAAGTTTGGTGATTGAATCATGTATAATCATGTAGTAATAATATGATGGGGCATTTAATAAAAATAATGTGTCTCACATTTAAAGAATGATCTTATTCAATTTTAATCATGTACAAATTTCCACACTAGAGTATGTAGAGGCTGAATTTCATTATTTGAAAGTTGCTTCCAAGCATAGGCACTGGGGGCTTTATTCTTCCTCCTTATCTTCTCATTTAAGGATTCTAATCTCAGGCTCCCGAAAGTTTCTTCAGTATTATAAAGGGTACTGTCCCAAATGGGCATTTTGTATATAGCTCAGCAAAGTCTACATACATGGATGAATGTCACATGTGGCCAGTGATCGGTATTGGCAGGATGCTGTTCTCAGCTTAAGGTTTTTACAAAAGAGTTACCAGAGAGGAAAAATTAATATGGTTCTCATCACATCTTACCTTTTGAGCTCTCTTAAATGGGAAATAGCTAGAATAGATAAATGGTTCTGATCACAGAATCTTCCCTGTAACTGATGATACTATCCCACTGCCTTTTCTTGCCTCTCATCGGGATCTTAAAATTTCTTGATGGTTAATATCAGCCCTACTCTGTAGCCCCATCCCTTGGTCCTGCAGAGACTAAGCATGCTCATAATCCAAGTTCTCTGATTCTTCTGCGAGGTTTTTTTTTTTCCTTTTTCTAATGAAATAAATAAGGCTATTGCTGTCCAAATGATAATTTCTGACTGGGTTCTAAGAATCTATTTTGGAAGTTGAATTTAAAAAAAACAAACTAAAACTAAATTAAATATTTACTTCTTAATTTTATATTTCCATTAAACATTCCTAATTTCCTGAGGCCTCAGAATGAGAAAAAGAACTAAAAGCAGGTAATCAGAACAGAAAAGCTGAAAGATTAATTGTTTTACTACAACTATAGATCTTAATATAACTATGTAGAATGAGCAATGTATTTTCATCATTGTATTCTTGCAGTCTTGCAGAGTACATACCTTATAGTGGAGATTTATAATCATATATTACATACATAAATTATTTAGATAAGAATGGCAATTTAGTAATAGTAATTATAAGGAAGGAGGGACATTATCAACCAAAAAATAAACACTATAAATGCTTAAAATACATTACGTTTTTTAAATAATATAGGGGACCTCTGAAATGTTTACTCCGGAAAATTGATGCCTAACAAATCATAAGAAAAATAAATCTAATTGACAAAGTATATAAAACTTGTGACAAAATTTGTTAGAGAAACATTTTAGAGTAAGTTTAGAAATCATGTAAATTTATTAATTAAAACACAGATATCAAATACCTTTATTTCTTAATCAATTATTGTGTAATATTACACAGTATTGGAAGATAAATACATCTCATTGATTCAGTTTATGAATGTATTCAATTTTAGATGAAGTTACTAAAGCATTCTCATGTAATTGATCTTCATATAGTCTAAAATATTTTCTAGATTTTCGCCTACCACTAGTGGTCTAGAGACAGAGAGAGAGAGAGAGAGAGAGAGAATGAGCTCAGATGAGGCACCATACTAAGATATGATTCTTTTCTGGATAGTGAAGAGGTAAATCCATGACTCCTGTGCTTCTTTATTGCTAAAG
This sequence comes from Homo sapiens, assembly GCF_000001405.40. Lineage (NCBI taxonomy): Eukaryota > Metazoa > Chordata > Mammalia > Primates > Hominidae > Homo > Homo sapiens. The sequence continues at coordinate 9,445,907 of NC_000007.14, forward strand.
CATTTTAACATAGTATCTATTTTGGGTATGCTTGATATTTAAATTGTGACTTACTCCATACGGGGAGGCAAATTTGCCATTTAGCTATAAAACTTAAGTCTCAGACCCCCTTTCTCACAGACAGCTGTGAGAGAATGAACATATTCTACGCCGCTTGGTGCTAGAAATATGGGCGTGATTAAAAAGAATTGAGGTGTGAAATGCATAGAATCATAAGCTCGTCTAGAAAATTCTTCCAGTTATCCAATGTGTAAGCCTGGAAATGAAGGATGTGGTGATCATCAAAAACCCATCAAATATCAGTGATAATAAGCACATTTTGATCAGCCTAGAAAATAGACTTTCTTTTTTTCTTTATTGAACAGATATTTTTAAATTGTTGTAATATGAACAGACAATGAAGAGAATGCAGACTAAAAGGTGACAAAAACATAGAGGTATGACAGAATAGTAATTAATAAAAATATTATCATCATTTTCTGGGTCTTGTTGTTGGTATATGTCAACATTTTAGAATATATAATTTGTTATAATTATAATTATTATTATATTTTTGGGATGGAGTCTTCCTTTGTCACCCAGGCTGGAGTACAGTGGTGCGATCTCGGCTCACTGCAACTTCCAATTTGTTATAATTTTTGTTTGAATTAAATATTCCAGTTCATAATTAATTTTCTCTATACTTTTTTGTATTATTTTCCATAAGGAAGGATTCCCAAATTGTTTAAGTTTTAGGACTCACAAAACCTGGATCTATCCCCTTGTACTAAATGAATGTGTATACGAATAGGCCCTTGAGGGTAACAAGATAAATAATAATAATAATAATTCATAAACAATACATACAATAAATAAATGCAACAACTGCATACAAATACTAACTCATCTTCACACCAGAGACAAAAAGACACATTGTTAGTCCTTAAAACAACTCACTCAGCTCTTATTGACCCTTTTTAGTTCTTAATTGCCTACGTATGCTTTCCTCTTAGTTCTAGGAGATTAATACTATAAACTTTCACTATAACATGGCCATAATAGGGGAATAATTCACTCTAATATAAACATATCTTGGATCCATTCAAAGCAAGTAAGAGAAAGGGAACAGCAAATATTATTTTATAATTTATATGAATCTTATCATCCCCCTAAAAAGGAAACATAAAAAGGAATCACTCTCTGCAGCTGTTTATGCTCATATAGAAAAAATGTTGATTAAAGCTATCATCAGGGACGATTCAATCCACCTTTCCTTTAACTTCATTCTGTCCTAACACCACCTTCAATCTCTGATTTCATCTGTATCATCACACAGACTCATCGGAATGATTCTATTGGAAATTATTTTGCTTACATTATTTTACTAAGCAGAAGTAATTCTACTAAACCTTATAGATACTCATGTAAGAGTAAACCAGTGAGTCCCAATTGATAGTAATTGACAATTTCCATGGTGTAAATATTTTCATCATGGCCAATCTCAGTATATCAATTATGTCACTAAAGGTGAAGTTGGAAAACAGGTGAACCATGGGTTCTCATGAGCCAGTAGGAGCTGGCTCCAACACACTACTTCTTATACGTAGGCTCTGAAATAAAGCATGTAGCTGGTAAGCTCTTTTAGAATATCATTTACATTATGTACTTTAAAAAATAATTATCTAATAGTCCGTAGAAAAACATTTTGTATAGGTTCCTATCTTAATTGGCTGCTAGTCAACAGTTTGTTCACATTTCTGTAGTGCATATTTCTCAAACAAGGTGAGTTGGGTTGAAAGCTTTACATCATCCATTAAAAATTAATAACCCTGGCTTCTGTTATACCAGATTGTATATTCTGACCTACACTGTGTTCTATATATGTGGGTATGCCGGCATGCCAGTTTGTTTCTTGTTGAGTGCTATGTCCCCATGTTTTCTTTCAGTTCTTGTTTCTTATATGAAGCCAAATGATCTATGTTTGTCATAATAAGAAGTGCAAAGGTCCTTCGAAGCAAAAGTCATTTTTATTTAGTAAATAGAAAGCATGAATAATGAACAATACAAGAAAATTATAAAATAATTAGGAAGTGGTTCAGAGGTGCTCATTTACAACTGAGGAAATTAAAAATGCAAATGTATTATTATCACAAAGGTAGTTGACAGACAAATGAATGAAAAAAAGAGCATTCCTTCTAATTCATCATTGTTTAAAAGACACCTGTGAATTCTAACTGGAAAAGACAAGACTGAGGAATGCAGATGGTCACATTTTGTATTATATTCATCAATTTTTTCATACTCTAATTAGAGAGTGAATCATTCTCCATAGGAAGAAGATACTGTGTATTTGAATATTTAAATAAAAGCCAGTTGATGCAGAATTCAAAATACTCCCTGTCTTTTTGTCTTTGTGACAGGGGTGGTGCAAAATTTATTTTCTTTGACTGAAGGAAATGGCTGGCAGTCTGCCCTAAAAGATCTATATTTGGATTCTGAAAATTAAATGGATTTCAATATCCTCTTTGTTCTAAGGCTGAATTTATTGTACTGAGTTATGTTGTGATTTTATAAAATGTTAACCTACAAGCAAAATGTTGGCAGTGTCAGATTATTTTGTGTAAAATTAGATGTTACTTAAATAGATTTATATGAAGATTTATTTTTTAAATCATTTAAAACACATGATTGTTTCAATATGATCATCCTAACAGTGAGATCTGTTTTAAGAGTGAGACCTATTATTTTCAATATATATACAATTTCACATTTGTAGTGACTAGGATTAGAAATGTGAAAGAAGATATAAAAATAGCTGTTTTTGTTTTTAAATGTTGAACATATAAAGAGAAATACACCACCATATCATAGCAGAATAAGAAACATACAAAATGTAAAGGAGGGGAAGAAAATATGCATATTAAGATTTGAAAGAGTGCATTTCTAGGCACTTAGAGATGAATAAAAGCAATTATGTTTAACTACAACAACTCGGCCATTTTCTAAAACTTTTTCTTTTGCCCAATGAAATCTCACTGTAGAATCAAACAGAAGGTAAGGCAAACTATGCAATGATTTCATACAGTCTAATAATTGTACATTTTTTATCTTTTCTTTATATGTACTGCTTATTTGATTTTTTTACATTTCTCTTTCAATCCAAAATAGAAATCTGATAAATTATGTTTAACGCATCAAAGACAGCAGCTTTGAGCAGATTACTTTTACCAGTTTCTAGTTCAGTTCCAGGTACACTTCATAATAAATTGCTGCTCAATTGAATTTTAGTGCCACCTGCATAAGAACTTGTTTATTGGTGTGTCTTTAGGCTCCTGCTTGGTTCTTTTGCATATTATAATAAAGTAACTGAACTTTCAGTTTCTTAAACCAGCTATATGGATGGGAGAATGATTGTGACCAACTAATGAAATATGCTTTCTTATCATTCTCCTCATAGAGTCAACCATGGTATTGTCATTAAGTCTTTAATATTACCATTACACTTCTTTTCCTACAATTAATGAGGCATCCATAACTAAGATGGATTGTTAATAGCAGAAAATGATATATGTTAACTAAATAAAGATAATTGAACAGGATCATTAGCAATGAAAAGTATTCATTTGGAAGGTTTCTCTTTCACCATGCTAGCTGACGTAAAAGACAGATTGGAGACTACATTGTATTATTTTAATGTAGACATAATATCCTAAAATTCCTTGTAAGTCTGATAAAGTCTACTTTAAATTACACACAGATAAAGTTATCCAACATAAACTTTTTCTAATACACTTCTATAAAATATCACTTAATGTATAATATAGCATGTAATGAAGATATAGCTCAGACACTAAATTTAACGTAATACTGACTGGAAGCAAAAAAGTCAAGATGGAATATGACGAACTCCAACACAATTGGGCCCTAAGGCTTTTAGGCCTCTCTTTTTATTTTGCTTTGGTTTTGTTTATCTTTAGAGATATGCTGTTTCTCCTGGGACTTAAAGTGGACTCATCTTTGTGCAGTGCTGGTTTTGCCATACTCATTTCAAGTATTACAGAAATATCTCATGGTGAAAACATATGAAGTTACTTGTGATGCAATTAAGTGAAGATAAGAAAAAAAAAGCAGAGACTTACCATGTATCAGAGCCTCACTTCTTGTAATAAAGGTTTGTTTGTCTAGTGCTCTTTTGGGTATAAAATAGACTGTAGTACACCCTAGTAAAAAACAAAACAACAACAACAAAAAACTAAATTAAAAAAAAAAAATTTGGCTTAAAAAAATAAAAACAAAATGATAAATGCTTGAGATGACAGATACCCCCATTTACCCTTATGTGATTATTACACATTATATACTTGTATCAAATGTCTCATGTACCCCATAAATATATACATATACCTACCATGTACCCATAAAAATAAAAACTTAGAAAAAGAAAAATCTATTTAGTAACAAGGCCTAGGATCCAATACTCTTCTCAAGTGATCCCACTGGTCCTTACTGTGAGAGTCAGTGCCTCCATTCTTCTACCCCACAACTCCAAGGTAGACCACTTCAGGGCAATTAGGTTCAATGAGGCCAGCTCTCAAAACCTTTTTCCAGCTTTTTGTCAAACTTAACACAGACTCTCCACTCTCCTCTGCCAGGGTAGCCATCTGCCCTCCCATATGGGAGATCAAAACTGCCTTGTTTCTCTGCTGGAGTTTCTTCACTTCTTCAAATCGATTTAGTTTTTCTTTTATCCCTGTGGAATGTTACCATGAAAACTAAATCAACTTTGAGATATATATAGATAAAGAGAGAGAAAGAAATTTTGTAAACAATTAATTAAAAGTACTTATTTTTCTTTTACAAATAATGAAATTGTGGAAAATAAAGTGAGGATATGTATTATAATTCCTGGGGAAACAACTACATTCTAATTTATTTGATAATCTGGGTAAATTGTATGATATTTCCATGAATAAAAAAGTATTAAAAAGTCACTAGAGATGAAGTTAAAAATGTTAATATAAAAATAGTCATGGATAACATTGAAACAGTGGGTGAACCCTTAACTCTAATATAGGGTAACAACAGGCCCAGTCATATGGACAAGGTTTGCCAAACCTTCAAGTAACGCGTGATTTAAAGGTAGTTTAAATTATACCAGAGCATGGTAAATTATCCAAATGAATAATCTCCAATTAAAGGCAGGCATGATTTTGATTCTAGAAAAAGAAAATAACAACTTTCATCAGCACCACAACAACCAAACGACGGTTAGACCAGGTAAAAAACACTGAAGAAACATTCTGTACAACCTATTTTAGAATACAGTGAATATTATGAACATGGAGCTTGTGATCCTTAGGAGCAAAAATCATCTTATATGTGGTAAATACTTTGCAGGACATGAAAATTAGGTAAAGTATGCCCAATTAAACTGATAATTATTTCCTAGTTTTAATGAATAGAACATGGACATCAGCTACCAGAATCCATTTGTTAACTTTTATAAATTATCTATAATTGAGATTATTAAGCCTGTTAAAGAAAGCAAGGTAAAGAGAATAAATTATACCTGACTTTTTATAGACTCTGCCTGTATTTAAATTAATCCTTCATAATTATGCCAGAAATATATTTTACAATTGCAGCCCTGCCCATTTGGCTTTAACTTGGCACCAAATTGCCTATAGAATACTTTTTGAATTTCTGTACATGGTATCAAATTTATACTCATGATCTACCCTAATGTATCACTGAATATGCCATGTAAACACACCCTATCAGGTAGGCATTGTTTTATAGGAAAAAAAAATTAATACCTTAGCTGTTTTTCAATGTTTATTGCCAGACATTTTACCTTTTAAATTTAACCATCATTTTACAGTTGTAAAATGATTACAATAATCTAGGCTTTCTTGTCATAATGAACATATTTATATTGTACTTAATGTTCCCTATTTTCTTATCCCCTATATGGTCAGTACGGAGTTCAGGGTTAATAAATCTAAAACTCTAATTTTATCAAGTCAAATAGCTAGTCAATTGCATGTCCTCCTTTGACTTCAGTTGTTATAAAATAAACCCCCCCCCCCAAAAAATAAAATTATAAAATTCAAAGATACACATTTTTTAAAAAGAGACTATGAGACTCTCATGAGTAACATGGCCATAAATTAAAACTAAAGATTTTTGTGATATGAAAATTATCCTAGAATACAATTTACCAGCTAAAGAAGAAACAGGATTTGTATGGTCATATAACCATTAGTTAAACTTAATGAGTATTAAAAAACATATTTCCACAAAAGCTCAATCCAACATATCATCTTCAATGAATTCTCAATTTGAAGGAACATGTAATTTCAATTTTATGTAAACACTTTTCAATACAATTAAAAAGAAAATATAGCAGGTTTTCCAACTCTTTTTGCCTTGATTCCAAATCTTGAAAGGACCAGTTTAAAAAAGTTATTCTCACACAGAAAAGTTACCCTACTCAAGTATGTAGACAGAAACTCTCTTTCCTCTAGAAAAATAAATAAATAAAAAGGCAAAATGAATCCACAACATATCAAAAAAATACTGAAAACGACATGTCATGACTAAACAGGAATGATTTAACAGTGGGAAAACCATTTATTATATTCATTTATTATATTCCATTACAATCACAAAGTAAAGGAGAAAAATCACATAAGCATCTTAATAGATGAAGAAGACATCCTTGATAACATCTATTGATTGAAAAAAATGCAAACTTTTAGAGAAATAATAAAAAGGCATTTGTTTAAATTTAATCCAATTAAAAGGATGAAAATAAATAGCAAATAGCATAGTCAACTGTGAAACAATAAAAGCTTTTCCTTTTAAGAAGAAATAAGGAAATGATGGCCACTATCCCCATTTCTATTCAACATTAGTAATGAAAGTTGTAGCTAGCACAATAAGATTTAAAAAAAAAAACATGTAAAAATAATAAGAATCAGAAAGGGGGAAAAGAAGTCTCATTGTTCAAGGAGGTAGGTAGAAGAATGCCAAAATTATAAAAGCTCATGTTTGCAGTCACAATAGTATCATTTTAATTTTGAATATGCTATATAAACACAGTGCCACAGTGGTAGGAGACAGAAACTTTACAAGGCAACACCTTGAGTAATTTCTTGTTTTTATGTTTTTAATAATATCTACTTTTATTTTAGGTTTAGGGGCTACATGTGCAGTTTTCTTACATGGGTATAACGTGTGATGGGTTTGGGGTACAGATTATCTCATTACCCAGGTGGTGAGTATAGTAGCACAGAGGTAGTTTTTCACCACAAGGACCCGCTTTCTCTCTCCTCCCTCGAGTAGTCCCTGTGTCTATTGTTTGCATCTCTATGTCCATGTACACTCAGTGTTTAATTCCCACTTATAAGTGAAAACATGAGGTATTTTGTTTTCTGTTCTGGAATTAATTCATTTAGGATTATGGCCTCCAGCTGCATCCATGTTGCTGTAAAGGACATGACTTCATGCTTTTTGTATGGCTGCATAGTATTCCAAGAAGTGTATGTCCCATATTTTCTTTATTCAATCCACCACTGATGGGCACCTAGCTTGATTCCATGTCTTTGCTATTGTGAATAGTGCTGGGATGAACATAAAAGTGCATGTGTCTTTTGGGTAGAATGATTTATTTTCCGATGGGTATACATCCAGTAAAGGAATTGCAGGGTCGAATAGTAGTTCTCTTTTAAGATCTTTGAGAAATCTCCAGACTGCTTTTCACAGAGGCTGAACTAATTTTGCATTCCTACCAATGGCGTATAAACGTTTATTTTGCTCTGCAGCCTCACCAGTATCTATTGCTTTTTGACCTTTTAATGGCCATTCTGATGAATGTGAGATTATATCTCATTGTGGTTTTGATTTGCATTTCTCTGATGATTAATGGTGCAGAGTATTTTTAAACTGTGTGTTGGCTCCTTCTGTGTTCTCTTTTATGAAGTTTCTGCTCATGTCCTTTACCCATTTTTTAATGAGTTTTTTTGTTTTGTTTTTTGTTTTGTTTTGTTTTTGAGATGGAGTCTTACTCTGTCGCCCAGGCTAGAGTGCAGTGGCGCGATCTCCGCTCACTGCCAGCTCCGCCTCCCAGGTTCACGCCATTGTCCTGCCTCAGCCTCCCTAGTAGCTGGGACTACAGGCACCCGCCACCACGCCCGGCTAATGTTTTGTATTTTTTGTAGAGATGGGGTTTCACCGTGTTAGCCAGGATGGTCTCGATCTCCTGACCTCGTGATCCACCTGCCTCAGCCTCTCAAAGTGCTGGGATTACAGGCGTGAACCACCTCACCCAGCCTTTAATGAGATTTTTTTGTATTTTGCTTGCTGACTTAAGTTCCTTATAGATCCTGGATATTAGACCTGCGTCAGATGCATAGTTTGTGAATATTCGCTCCCATTCTGTAGATTATCTGTTTATTCTGTTGATAGTTTGTTGTTGTTGTTTTTCTGCTGTGCAGAAGCTCTTTAGTTTAATTAGGTCCCACTTGTCAATTTTCATTTTTGTTGCACTTCCTCTTGGGGACTTAGCCAAGAAATCTTTGCCAAGGCCAATATCAAGAAAGATGTTGCCTAAGTTTTCTTCTAGGATTTTTATAGTTTGAGGTCTTACATTTAATTTTTTAATCCATCTTGTGTTGACTTTTGTGTATAGTAAAAGGTAGGAAGTCCAGTTTCTTTCTTTTGCATATGCCTATCCAGCCATCCCAGCACCATTTATTGACAGGGAATTCTTTCCACATTGCTTATTTTTGTTGACTTTTTTAACCATTAGAGAGCTCTAGGTGTGTAGCTTTATTTCTATGTTCTCTATTCTGTTCCACTGGTCTTTGTTTTTGTGCCAGCACCATGATATACTGGTTACCTTAGCTTTATAGTATAGTTCGAAGTCAGGTAATGTGATGGCTCTGGCTTTGTTCTTTTGCTTAGGATTTCCTTAGCTATTTGGGCTCTGTTTTTGTTCCATAGGAATTCCAGAGTATTTTTTCCCAGCTATGTGGGAAATGAAGTTGACAGTTTAATAATAATAGCATTGAATCTGTAGATTGCTTTGGGCAGTATGGCCATTTTAACATTTTTTTATTTCCAATCCATGAGCATAAAAGATTTTTCCATTTATTTGTGTCATCTATGATCTCATTCAGCAGGGTTTTGTAGTTCTCCTTTTAGAGATCTTTCACTTCCTGGATAAGCTGCATTACTAGCTATTTCATTTTCTTTGTGGCTATTGTAAATAGAATCATGTTCTTGATTTGGTTCACAGCTTGAATGTTATTGTTGTATAAAAAAGCTTGTGATTTTTGTGTTTGGATTTTGTATTCTAAAACTTTACTGAAGTTGTTATAAGTTCTAGAAAACTTTCGTTGGAGTGTTTAGGGTTTTCTAGATATAGAATCATATTATCAGTCAAGAGAGATAGTTTAACTTCCTCTCAGATTTGGATACATTTTTTTCTTTTTCTTGCCTGATTACTCTTGCTGGCACTTCCAGTACTATGTTGAATAGGAGTGGTGAGTGGGGGATCTCATTACAATTCTCAAGGAGAATGTTTCCAGCAATTGTTCATTCAGTATCATGTTGGCTGTTACGTTGTCACAGATGCCTCTTATTATTTTGAGATATGTTCCTTTAATGCCTAGTCTGTTGAGGGTTTTTGTCATAAAGGTATGTTGAATTTTATTGAAAGCCTTTTCTGCTTCTATCGAAATTATCACATGGATTTTGATTTTAATTCTGCTTATATGATAAATCACATTTATTGATTTGCATATGGTGTAATAGCCTTGCATGCCAAAAATAAAGCCTTCTTGATCATGATATATTAATTATTTGATGTGGTGCTGAGTTCAATTTGTAGTATTTTGTTAAGGATTTTTCCATCTATATTCATCAGGGATTTTGGCCTGAAGTTTACTTTTTTCCTTGTGTAACTGTCATATTTTGTTTTCTTAATGATTCTGGCTGTATAGAATGAGTTCAGGAGGAGTCCCCTCTTTCTTGTTTTTTTGAATAGTTTCAGTAGCATTCACATCAGTTGTTCTTTGTACATCTGGTAGAATGTGGCTCTGAATCCATCTGGCTTGGTGCTTTCATTAATTCAGTAAGTTTGCTTATCACTTATTCAATTTCAGAACTTGGTATTGGTCAGTTCAAGTTTTCATTTACTTTCTGGTTCAATTTTGGGAGGCTTTATGTTTTGAGAAATTTATCTGTTTCCTCTAGATTTTCTCATTTGTGTGCATAGAAGTGTTCATAATACTCTTTGAGGATATTTTGTATTTCTGTGACATTGGGTATAATGTCATCTTTGTCATTGTTAATTGTACTTATTTGTGTCTTCTCCTTTTATTTCTTTGTTAATCTTTTTAACAGTCTATTATTCATATTTATTTTTTCAAACCAACTCTTGATTTCGTTGATTTTTTTTTTTTTTTTTTTTTTTTTTGACGGAGTCTTGCTCTGTCGCCCAGGCTGGAGTGCAGTGTGGCGCAATCTTGGCTCACTGCAAACTCTACCTCCTGGGTTCACACCATTCTTCTGCCTCAGCCTCCTGAGTAGCTGGGACTACAGGCGCCCACCACCACGCCCAGCTAATTTTTTGTATTTTCAGTAGAGATGGGGTTTCACCATGTTAGCTAGGATGGTCTCGATCTCGTGACCTCGTGATCTGCCCACCTCGGCCTCTCAAAGTGCTGGGATTACAGGTGTGAGCCACCGCACCTGGCCTTCATTGATCTTTTGTATGGAGTTTTGTGTCTCAATTTCATTCAGTTCTTCTCTGATTTTAGTCATTTATTTTCTTCTGCTAGCTTTAGAGTTGGTTTGTCCTTTTTTTTTTTCTAATTCCTTTATGTGCAATATTAGATTATTTATTTGAGATCTTTCTAACTTCTTGATAAAGACATTTTGTGTTGTATAGTTTTGTCTTAACATTGCCTTTGCTGCATCCCAATGATTTTGGTAAGTTGTGTCTCTATTTTTATTAATTTCAAAGGACATTTTGGTTTGGAGCTTACTTTCATTGTTCACATGGGTTATTCAGAAGCAAGTTGTGTAATTGCCATGTATTTATGTAGCTTTGAGAGATCTGGATATTGATTTTTATTTTTATTGCACTGTGGTCTGAAAGTGTGCTTGGTACGATTTTGATGTTTTTGAATTTATTAAGACTTGCTTATAACAAAACATGTGGTCAATCTTAGAAAATGTTTCATGTACAGATGAGAAGAATTATACTGTGGTTGTTGAGTGGAGTGTTCTGTAGATGTCTATTGGTCCAATTGATTCAGTGCCAAGTTTAAGTCTAGATTTTTTTTGTATAATTTTCTGCCTTGATAATTTTCTAATGTTATGAATGCTATGAGTGGGGTATTGAAGTCTCCCACTATTATTGTGTGGCTGTCTAGATATTTGCATTGCTCAAGCTGGGCTGATTTTATAAATATGAGTGTTCCAATATTTGGTGCCTGTATATTTAGGATAGTTGATTCTTGTTGAATTGAACTCTTCGTCATTATGTACTGCCTTTCTTTGTCCATCTTATTTGCTATTGATTGAATGTCTGTTTTACCTGATATAAGAATAACAACTTCTGCTCTTTTTCTTTTCTGTTTGCATGGTAGATATTTATCCACCCCTTTACGTTGAGCCTGCAGGTGTTGTTACATGTGAGATAGGTCTCTTGAAGAAAGCAGAAAGTTGGGCCTTGTCTTTTTATCCAGTTTGCCACTCTATCCGTTTTAAGTGGGGTATTTGACTATTTATATTCAGTGTTAGTTTCATGCGCATCTGTATGAAGAGACCACCAAACAGGCTTTGTGTGAGCAATAAAGCTTTTAATCACCTGGGTGCAGGTGGGCTGAGTCTGAAAAGAGAGTCAGCAAAGGGAGATAGGGGTGGGGCCATTTTATAAGATTTGGGTAGGTAAATGAAAATTACAGTCAAAGGGGGGTTGTTCTCTGGCGGGCAGGAGTGGGTGTCACAAGGTGCTCAGTAGGGGAGCTTGTGAGCCAGGATGAGCCAGGAGAAGGAATTTCACAAGACAGTGTCATCAGTTAAGGCAAGGACTGGCCATTTTCACTTCTTTTGTGGTGGAATGTCATCAGTTAAGGTGGGGCAGGGCATTTTCACTTCTTTTGTGATTCTTCAGTTACTTCAGGCCATCTGGGCATATACGTGCAAGTCACCGGACATGCGATGGCTTAGCTTGGGCTCAGAGGCCTGACATTCCTGCCTTCTTATATTAATAAGAAAAATAAAACAAAATAGTGTTGAAGTGTTGGGGCAGCGAAAATTTTTGGGGGGTTGTATGGAGAGAGAGAATGGGCGATGTTTCTCAGCGCTGCTTCAAGAGGGATTAGGGGCTGCGTGGGAACCTAGAGTGGGAGAGATTAAGCTGAAGGAAGTTTTTGTGGTAAGGGGTGATATTGTGGGTTTGTTAGAAGAAACATTTGTCGTGTAGAATTATTAGTGATGGCCTGGATACGGTTTTGTATGAATTGAAAAACTAAACGGAATAAGATGAGGAGAAAAACAGGTATTAAAGGACTAAGAATTGGGAGGACCTAGGACATCTAATTAGAGAGTGCCTAAGGAGGTTCAGCATAGCCTTGCCAGCAAAGATTATTTATTTACGTTAAGACTTAAGAGTGGTGGTTTAGGGATAGCACCAGGAGATATCAGCTGTGATAGCTTGGAGAAAGGGTGTAAACCGGCAGTGTAAACAAGAGCAGGGCATGTAGGAGTAGTTGAGAATGGTGAATAGGAGTATGACTAGACAGAAAATAGTAGGGATGACAAGTTTTTTGGGGTGCAGTCTAAGTTGGTCTGGTGTCTGGGATGAGACTGGGGCCTAATAAAAAGGAGCATCTATACAGGAGCTCAAATGGGCAGTACCTTGTAGCATTCTGAGGACAGGCCTGAATTCTGAGAAAGGAAAGTGGTAAAAGTATTGTCCAGTCCTTTTTAAGTTGGTGGCTGAGCTTGGTGAGATGTGTTTTTAAAAGACCTTTAGTCTGTTCTACTTTTCCTGAAGACTGAGGTCTGTAAGGGATATAAAGGTTTCACTGAATACCAGGAGCCTGAAAAACTGCTTGGCTGATTTGACTAATAAAGGCTGGTCCGTTATCAGACTGTATAGAGGTGGGAAGGCCAAACCCAGGAATTATGTCTGACAGAAGGGAAGAAATGACCGTGGTGGTCTTCTCAGACCCTGTGGGAAAGGCCTCTACCCATCCAGTGAAAGTGTCTACCCAGACTAAGAGATATTTTAGTTTTCTGACTCGAGGCATATGAGTAAAGTCAATTTGCCAGTCCTGGGCAGGGGCAAATCCCCGAGCTTGATGTGTAGGAAAGGGAGGAGGCCTGAACGATCCCTGAGGGGCAGTAGAATAGCAGCTGGAACACTGAGAAGTGATCTCCTTGAGGACAGATTTCCATGATGGAAAGGAAATGAGAGGTTCTAAGAGATGGGCTAGCGGCTTGTAACCTACATGGAAGAGGTTATGAAATGACGACAGAATAGAATGGGCCTGTGAGGCTGGCAGGAGATATTTTCCTTGGTCTAAGAACCATTTGCCTTGTGTAGGAAGAGATTGATAGGTGGAAGTTTCAGCAGGGGAGTAGGTGGGAGTGACTGATGTGAAGGAGAAAAACTGGCCGTGAGGGACAGAAGTTGGAGAGCTAGCTGCTTGTCTAGGCACCTTATCAGCATAAGCGTTGCTGTGAGAGACAGAAGTTGGAAAGCTACCTGCTTGTCTAGCCACCTTATCAGCATAAGCGTTGCCTAGAGAAATGGGATCTGGCACCTTTTGATGCCCCTTGCAGTGAATGACCCCAGCTTCCTTTGGAAGTAAAGCTGCCTTGAGCAGAGTTTTTATTAAAGAGGCATTAATGATGGAGGACCCTTGTGTAGTGAGGAAACCTCTTTCAGCCCATATGACTGCATGATGGTGCAGAATATGGAAGGCATATTTACAGTCAGTATAAATATTGACGCATAGTTGTTTTGTAAGAGTGAGGGCCTGAGTTAAGGCAACTAGTTCGGCTTGCTGAGAGGTAGTGGAGGGGGGCAGAGTGGTAGCCTCAATAACAGATGTGGAAGATACTATTGCATTGTCTGCCTTTACTGGTGAGTGGCGATTAGGCCTGGTGGAACTGCCATCAATAAGCCAAGTGCAATCAGGGTGAGAAACAGGGAAGAAGGAAATGTGGGGAAATGGGGTGAACGTCAGGTGGATCAGAGAGATGCAGTCATGAGGGTCAGGTGTGGCATCTGGAATAATGTGGGAGGCCGGATTGAAGTCCAGGCCAGGAACAATGGTAACTGTGGGAGACTCAACAAAGAGTGAGTATAGCTGAAGGAGCCGGGGAGCGGAAAATATATGCATCAGGTGTGAGGAAGAAAATAGATTTTGGAAATTATGAGAGCTATAGAGAGTGAGTTGAGCATAGTTTGTGATTTTGAGGGCCTCTAAAAGTGTTAGGGTGGCAGCAGCCACTGCACGGAGACATGATGGCCAGCCTAAAACAGTAAGGTCAAGTTGTTTGGACAAAAAGGCTACAGGACACGATCCCGGTCCTTGTGTAAGAATTCCGACTGCACAGCCCTGCATTTCAGCTGTGTGTAATGAAAAGGGTTGGGATGAGTCAGGGAAAGCTAGGGTGGGGACAATCTCTAAAGCTGTCTTCAAGGAATGGAAAGAGGAGTGGGGAAAGGATTTAGGATCTATGGGGTCAACTAGGTTTCCTTTTGTGAGTTTATGTAATGGTTTTGTTAGGATGGCAAAACCAGTTATCCAAAGGTGAAAATATCTAACCATGCCCAGGAAGGAAAGGAGTTGTTGTTTTGTAGAAGGTTTGAGAGATTGTTGGGGTTTGAGAGATTAGTCAGACGTGATGGGCAGGGAGAGCACGTGTGTTTTTATGAAGAATTATGCCGAGATAGGTAACAGATGAGGATGAAATTTGGGCTTGACTGAAGTAATGGGGGCTATCTGTGAAGCCTTATGGCAGTACAGCCCAGGTAATTTGCTGAGCCTGATGGGTGTCAGGGTAAGTCTAAGTGAAAGCAAAGAGAGGCTGGGATGAAGGGTGCAAAGGGATAGTAAAGAAAGCATGTTTGAGATCCAGAACAGAATAATGGGTTATGGAGGGAGGTATTGAGGATAGGAGAGTATATGGGTTTGGCACCATGGGGCAGATAGGCAAAACAATCTGGTTGATAAGGTGTAGATCCTGAACTAATGTGTAAGGCTTGTCTGGTTTTAGGACAGGTAAAATGGGGGAATTGTAAGGGGAGTTTATAGGCTTTAAAAGGCCATGCTGTAGCAGGTGAGTGATAACAGGCTTTAATCCTTTTAAAGCATGCTGTGGGATGGGATATTGGTGTTGAACTGGGTAAAGGTGATTAGGTTTTAATGAGTTGGTAAGGGGTGCATGATCGGTCACCAAGGAGGGAGTAGAGGTATCCTATACTCGTGGGTTAAGGTGGGGGGATAAAAGAGGATGATGCAAAGGAGGCTTTGGATTGGGAAGAAGGGCATCAGTGACATGTGGCTGTAGTCCAGGAATAGTCAGGGAAGCAGATAATTTAGTTAAAGTGGCTCGGCCTAATAAGGGAACTGGGCAGGTGGGGATAACTAAAAAGGAATGCTTAAAAAAGTATTGTCTAAGTTGGCACCAGAGTTGGGGAGTTTTAAGAGGTTTAGAAGCCTGGCCATCAATACCCACAACAGTTATGGAGGGAAGGGAAACAGGGCCTTGAAAAGAAGGTAATGTGGAGTGGGTAGCCTCCGTATTGATTAAGAAGGGGATGGACCTACCCTCCACTGTGAGAGTTACTTAGAGCATCTGTGATGGTCCTGTAGGCTTCCGAGGCAATCAGGAATTGTCAGTCTTCAGCTGCTAAGCCAAGAAGATCTGGGAAGGAGTCAGTCAGAGTCTTGGGCCAGAGTTCCAGGGGCTCTGGGAGTGGCTGCCAGGTAAGTTGAACAGTCCAATTTTCAGTGAGGTCCCGCACAGATGGGACACAGCTTAGGAGGAATCCTGGGCTGCAGGCATTCCTTGGCCTGGTAGCCAGTTTTCTGGCACTTGTAGCAAGCTCCTGGGGGAGGCGGGCCTGGAGGAACACCTGACCACTGCGGTTTAGGCGTTTGGAAGTTCTTGTGTGCTGGAGATGTGGCTGGGGTTTGTCTCACAGTGGAGGCAAGGAATTACAACTTTTTTCTATTATTGTACACTTTGAAGGCGAGGTTAATTAAGTCCTGTTGTGGGGTTTGAGGGCTGGAATTTAATTTTTGGAGCTTTATTTAAAGTCGGGACAGGATTGGCTAATAAAATGTATATTGAGAATAAGACGGCCTTAAAGCATCTCAGGGTTGCTGCCAAACAAGCTATGAACTGGGCTGGGTTTTTATATTTGATGAAACAGAGCCTAAACGCTATCTGATTTGGGATAAAGAAAAAGGAACATTAACTTTGACTATGTCTTTAGCTCCAGCCACCTTTTTAAGAGTTAATTGCTTGGCAGGCTGGGGAGGGCTAGTCACGGAATGAAACTGTAAGCTGGACCAGGTGTGAGGAAGGGAGGTGATTAAAGCATTATAGGGTGGAGGAGCAGAGGCTGAGGAAGAATTGGAACCTAGCTCAGCCTGGCAAGGAGGGGAGAGGTCAGATGGGTCTGTAGAAAAGGAATATTAGAAAGACTCAGTGATGCTTGGGGTTGGGACTGAGGGGACAGACGGGAGGGAAAGAAGGAAGATTTGGAACGAGTTGCATTGGGAACAGAGACTAGGAAGGGACTGATGTGTAAAAGAATGCCTGGACGTCAGGCATCTCAGACCATTTGCCCATTTTACAACAAGAATAATTTAGATCTTGCAGGATGGAAAAAATGAAAGTGCCATTTTTTGGCTATTTGGAACCACTGTCGAGTTTGTATTAGGGTCAAGTGGCATTGTAGAAGAAAATAAGGCATTTAGGTTTTAGGTTAGGTATGAGTTGAAGAGGTTTTAGGTTTTTAAGAACACAGGCTAAGGGAGAAGAAGGAGGAATGGAGGGCGGAAGGTTGCCCATAGTGAAGGAGGCAGACCCAGAGAAAAGAGAGTAGAGACACAGAGGGAAGGGATTTGGGGGTTCTTACCCTCCAGAAAAGTGGTAAAGGGGTCAGGGCACAGAAATAAGGGGTTGGGGCACAGAGATAAGAGGTCGGGGTGCAGAAATAAGGGGTTGGGGCACAGAGATAAGAGGTTCGGGCATGGAAATAACTGATTGGGGGGTTCTTGCCCCCCAGAAAAGCAGAGAAGGGGTAGAGACACAGAGAGAAGGGGTTGGAGTACTTGCCCCTCCCCCAGAAAAGTGAGACTTGCCGCTAAGGGGCAGGACTTGCTGCTAAGGGTGAAGGACCAAGGCAGGCATCCCTGTGTGGTCTGACACCTCTGAAACGTGGGTGAATAATCAGAGAAGCCTCCCTGCAATGATTAAACAGCAAGGGAAGGCTGCCTTCCCAGTCTGTGACCGGCGCCAGAGTTTTGGGTCCACAGATAAAACATGTCTCCTTTGCCTCTACCAGAAAATGAAAGGAATTGAAATTAAGAGAAGCGAGAGATTGAACTGTGGCGCCAAGATTGAAAGGAGAAAGAAGTTGAGGGATAGTGAGGGAGGTTGGAGAAGAGAGTAAAAAGAGGCCGCTTACCGGATTTGAAATTGGTGAGATGTTTCTTGGGCTGGTCGGTCTGAGGACCTGAGGTCTTAGGTAGATCTTTCTCATGGAGCAAAGAGCGGGAGGACAGGGGATTGATCTCCCAAGGAGGGGGGGTCCCCCGATCTGAGTCATGGCACCAAATTTCATGCACGTCCGTGTGAACAGACCACCAAACAGGCTTTGTGTGAGCAATAAAGCTTTTAATCACCTGGGTGCAGGTGGACTGAGTCTGAAAAGAGAGTCAGCAAAGGGAGATAGGGGTGGGGCCATTTTATAAGATTTGGGTAGGTA
Source organism: Homo sapiens (assembly GCF_000001405.40). NCBI lineage: Eukaryota > Metazoa > Chordata > Mammalia > Primates > Hominidae > Homo > Homo sapiens. The sequence goes on from NC_000007.14 coordinate 9,463,917, forward strand.
AAGGAAAATTACAGTCAAAGGGGGGTTGTTCTCTGGTGGGCAGGAGTGGGGGTCACAAGGTGCTCAGTAGGGGAGCTTTTGAGCCAGGATGAGCCAGGAGAAGGAATTTCACAAGACAATGTCATCATTTAAGGCAAGGACCGGCCATTTTCACTTCTTTTTTGGTGGAACGTCATCAGTTAAGGCAGGGCAGGGCATTTTCACTTCTTTTGTGATTCTTCAGTTACTTCAGGCCATCTGGGTGTATATACGTGCAAGTCACCGGGCATGAGATGGCTTAGCTTGGGCTCAGAGGCCTGACAGTTAGTATTGATATGTGAGATTTTGTTCCTCTCATTTTGTTGTTAGTTGGTTGTTTTGTAGATTTGATTGAGTAGTTTCTTTATGGAGTCTGAGGGATATGTGCTGGAGAGTATTTTTGTTTGTGGTAACAAGTCTTTCTTTTGTTTCCATGTGCAACACTCCCTAAAGAACCTTTGTAAAGTATGTTTGGTTGTAATTAATTCACTTAGCATTTGCTTGTCTAAGAAGGATTTTATTTCTCCTTTGCTTATGAAGCTTAATTTGGTGGGATATGAAATGCTTGGTTGGAATTTATTTTCTATAAGGAATCTGAATATTGGTCCCTAATCTCTTCTGACCTCTTTCTGCTGAGAGGTCTCTCACTGGCCTGATGGGGTTCTCTTTGTATAAGAACTGAGCCCTGTATCTAGCTGCCTTTAGGATTATTTCTTTCATGATGATCCTGGTGAATCTAATGATTATGTGCCTTGGGAATGGTTGCCTTTGATAGTGTCTCACAGGGATTATCTGTATTTTTTAAATTTACATGTCAATTTCTCTAATGAGATTGGGGAAATTTTCAATGACCATTACCTCAAATGTGTTAAATGTGTTTTCTGAGTTATGCTCTGTCCTTCTCTAACAGGAATGCATCGAGTCATAGATTTGGTCTCTCTATATAATCTCATATTTCTTGGAAGCTGTGTTTGTTTTTCTTAATTGTTATTATTATGTTTTTTTGTCTGACTGAGTGGATTCAAATAATTGGTCATAAAGCTCTGAGAATCTTTTCTCAGCTTGTTCTAGTCGGCTATTAATGCTTCTTACTTAATTATAATTTTTTGTAATTAACTTTTTAGTTCCAGAAATTTAATTTGACTTTTCTTCAAATGGCTCTTTCATTTTTCAGCTCTTAGATCCGTTTACTATATTCTGTGGATTTCTTGGATTGGGTTTCAACTTTCTCCTAAATATTTGAGTTTTCTTGCCATCCATATTCAGAATTCTATGTTTCTCATTTCAATCATTTCACTCTGTTTCAGAACCATTGCTTGGGACCTCCTGGCCTCATTTGGGTGTAATGGGCCATTCTGGCTTTTAGAGTTGCCAGAATCCTTGCACTTGTTCTTTCATATCTATGTGGATTGGTGTTCCTCTAACCTTTGAGTTGCTGTCCTTTGAATGGGGCTTTTAGCTATTATAAACTTTTTTTCTCAAAATGAATGCATGTGTCTTGAGTCTTTGTGTCTGGGTGATGGTATAATTGGGAGTACTCCAAATTAAAATACTGTATAAATTATAATGTTTATTAATGTAAAAATAATACAATTATTCTGCATTGAAGATTTCATATATATTATTAAAATTCAACAGTAGCAACAGCAGTTGTTCAGAATGTAGATAAACTCAGCAGGACCATACAAGCCAGAATAGATTTGGAACCTGTTTCACCATTCTTAAAGAAAAGAAATTTCATCCAAGATTTTCACACCCTGCTAAACCAAGCTTCAAAAGCAAAGTAGAAAATCAAATCTTTTACAGACAAGCATGTGCTAAGGAAATTTGTCACCACTAGTCCAGCCTTACAAGAGATCCTTGATGAAGTTTTAAACATGGAAACAAAACAAAGATACCTACTATCACAAAAACATATAGTCTGCAGACTCTGTAATGCAACCACAAAATAGAAACTACAAAGCAAACAGGAAACAACTTTGTAATAGAACCAAGTCACACATATCAGTTTTAAACTTGAATGTAAATGACTTAAACTTCCCACATAAAGGTGCAGAGTGGCAAGTTGGATTAAAAAAATAAGACTATCTGTCTGCTGTCTCACACATAACCACACCCATAGGCTCAAAGTAAAGGGTTGGAGCAAGTTCTACCATGCAAATGAAAAACAAAAGACAGCAGTATTTACTATACTTATCTCAGACAAAACAAACTTTCAACCAGAAATGAAGAAAAAGGGCAAAGAAAACCATTGCATAATGATGAAGATCTCAGTCAATAAGAAGACTTAGTATATAAGCACCCTAAGTATATATGGCACCCAGCATTGAACATCGAGATTTATAAAACAAGTATTTCTCTATATACTAAAGACATAGACAACCACATAATAAAAACAGAGGAGTTGAACACCTCACTGACAATATTAGACAATTAATTGAGGCAGAAAACTAACAAAGACATTCTGGACTTAAATTCAACACTTTTCTAATTGGACCTACTAGTTATCTACAAACTACTCCACCCATCAAACACAGAATATACAGTCTTTTTTTTGTGCACACGAAACATACATAACACTGCAGAAAAGCAGTGTTAAAAGGAAAGTTTAGGCTAGGCGTGGTGGCTCACGCCTGTAATTCCAGCACTTTGGGAGGCTGAGGCAGGTGGATTACCTGAGCTCAGCAGTTCAGGACCAGCCTAGCCAACATGGTGAAACCCCATCTCTAGTAAAAAATACAAAAATTAGCCAGGTGTGATGGCAGGTGCCTGTAATCCCAGCTCCTCAGGAGGCTGAGACAGGAGAATTGCTTGAACCCAGGAGGTGGAGGCTGCAGTGAGCCAAGATATCGCGCCATTGCACTCCAGCCTGGGCAACAAGAGTGAAACTCTATCTCAAAAAAAAAAAAAAAGGTTTACAGCACTAAACGTCTACCTCAAAAAGCTAGAAAGATCTCAAGTTAACTCAAACATTACACCTAGAGGAACTACAAAATAAACTAAACCCCAAGCTAGCAAAAGAAAACAAACAACTAAAATTAGAGCAGAACTGAATCCATCCAAAACTAAACCCTAAGCTAGCAAAAGAAAAACTAAACACCAAGCTAGCAAAAGAAAACAAACAACCAAAATTAGAACAGAACTGAATCCATCCAAAAATCTATGCAAAGTATTAACATAAGCAAATGTTGGTTTTTTGAAAGGATAAACAAGATCCATAGATGGCTGCCTAGATTAACAAAGAAAAAAAGAGAAAATCCAAATAAGTACAATTAGGAATGACAAAAAGTGGCATTATCACCAAGTTTACAAAGATACAAAAGATCCTCAGACTAATATGAACACCTCTGTGCACACAAACAAGAAAATCAACAGAGAGTGGATAACTTCCTGGAAACATGTGGTCTCCAATGACTGAATCAGGAAGTAATTGAAACATTGAATAGACCAATACTGAAGTGGCTACATTGTTTGGGGTATATACCCTGGGGCTCATTGTCATACACCAGGAAAATGTAGGACATGGACACACATGTGGAGTTTAGAAGGGAAGGTTTAATAGGCAGAAGAGAATGAAATGGATCTCTAAGTGGAAAAGACCAAGACATGGCAGATGCATCAAATTACGTAGTTAGGTTTGAGGAGGTGGTATCTGATTTACATAGGGCTCACAGAGTGGTTCGATCAGGCATGCTGTTTACATAGCATGTGGGAAAGTCTGTTCGCCCCACCCTGATCTTATTATGCAAATGGATTTCCAGTTGATCCTCACCAAGTGTCTGATTCTTACTGTACATGTGGCTGGCAAAGAAGGGAAGATGGAGCTACCATCTTGAACATGTTTAGTCTCTAGCTCCTGCTGGCATTCACCCGTGCAGGCTCCTGTCAGGCCTCTGAGCCCAAGCTAAGCCATCATATCCCCTGTGACCTGCACATATACATCCAGATGGCCTGAAGCAACTGAAGATCCACAAAAGAAGTAAAAAGAGCCTTAACTGATGACATTCCACCATTGTGATTTGTTTCTGCCCCACCCTAACTGATCAATATACTTTGTAATCTCCCCCACCCTTGAGAAGGTTCTTTGTAATTCTCCCCACCTTTGAGAAAGTACTTTGTGAGATCGACCCCCTGCCAGCAAAACATTGCTCCTAACTCCACTGCCTATCCCAAAACCTATAAGAACTGATGATAATCCCACCACCCTTTGCTGACTGTCTTTTCGGACTCAGCCTGCCTGCACCAGGTGAAATAAACAGCCTTGTTACTCACACAAAGGCTGTTTGGTTGTCTCTTCACACAGACGTGCATGACAGCTCCCAGCTTCCATGTCTATGTCTGCAGCCTGACTTTACAGGCTGCTCTTTGCTCAATGATTTTGGGCTGCTTTTCATTAAAGAGAAAAGCTTTACCAAGGACTTTTGTACCCTCACTATCTACCTAAAGGATTCCTTCTTAACTTCTGTATCATTATCAAGTGACAAAATTGAATCAGCAATGCAAATCTACCAACCAAAAAAGTCCCAGAGCAGAGAGATTCACATACAAATTCTACCAGATGTACAAAAAAGACCTTGTATAAATTATACTGAAACTATTCTAAATAATTGAGAAGGATGGACTCCTCCCTAACTCATTCTATGAAGCCAGCATCACCCAGATATCAAAACCTGGCAAAGACACAATGAAAAAAGAGAAATGCAGGCCAATATTTTTGATGAATATGGATTCAATAGTCCTCAATAAAATACTAGCAAACCATATCTAGTAGCATACAAAATGTTATTTCACCATGATAAAGTAGGCTTCATTCCTGGAATGCAAGGTTAGTGCAAAATATGTAAATCAATAAATGTTCTTTCCCACATAAACAGTATTAAAAATAAAAACCATATGATAATCTCAATTGATGCAGAAACATCTTTCAACAAATATCTAATGTCTCATCATGATTTAAAAAAAAAAAAAAACTCAAGAAACTAGGCATCAAAGGAATATACCTGAAAATAATAACAGTCATCAATGACAAACCTACAGCCAACATTATACTGACCAGGACAAAAACGGAAGCATTTCTCTTGAGATCTGGAGCAAGACCAGTATACCCATGCCCACCACAACCTATTCAACCTAGAATTGGGAGTGGTAGCCAGAGCAATCAGGCAAGATACAGAAATGAAAGGCATTCAAATAGGAAATGAAGATGTGAAACTCTCTCTTATCTGGTGATATAATTCTATGCTTAGAAATCCCTAAGGACTCTGCTAAAAGGCTATTAGAATTATTAACTGATTTTAGAAAGGTTTCAGGATACAAAATCCACGTACAAAACAGAGTAACATTTCTATATACCAATAGTGTTCAAGCTGAGCGCAAAATCAAGAACCTAATCCCATTTACAATAGCTACAAAAATATGGTTTGGTTCTGTGTCCCCACCCAAGTTTTATGTTGAATTTTAAACCCCAATGTTGGGGGATGAACCTTGTAGGGGAGTAACTGGATCATGAAGGCAGATTTTCTCCTTGCTGTTTTCATGGTAGTGAGTGAGTTTTCATGAGATCTGGTTGTTTAAAAGTGTGTAGCACTTTCCCCTTCTCTCTGTCTCCTGCTGGTCATGTGAAGAAGTGCCTGCTTCCCCTTCACCCTTCTGCCATGATTGTAAGTTTCCTGAGGCTTCCCACCCATGCCTCCGGTACTGCATATGGAACTGTGAGTCAATTAAACCTCTTTTCCTCATAAATTATCCAGTATCAGGTAGTTCTTTATAGCAGTGTGAGAACAGAATAATACAGAGAATTGGTACCAGATAAGTGGGCACTGCTATAAAGATACCTGAAAAATGTGGAAACGACTTTGGAACTGGGTAACAGGCAGAGGCTAGAACAGTTTAGGGGCTCAGAAGGAGATAGGAAGATGAGGGAAAGTTTGGAACTTCCTAGAGACTGGTTAAATTGTTGTGACCAAAATGTTGATATTGATATGAACAGTGAAGTCCAGGCTGAGAAGGTCTCAGATAGAGATGAGGAACTTATTAGGAAAAGGAGTAAAAGTCACTTTTGCTATTCTTTAGCAAAGAGACTGGTGGCATTGTGCCCCTGCTTTAGAGAACTGTGGAGGTTCGAGCTTGAGACAGATGACTTAGGGTATCTGGCAGGAGAAACTTCTAAGAAGCAAAGCATTCAAGATGTAGTCTGCCTGCTTCTATTGGTTTACACTCATATGCCTTTGCAAAGTCATGGTCTAAAATTGGAATTTATTTTTAAAAGGGTAGCAGAGTATAAATGTTGGAAAATTTGCCTGATCATGTAGTAGAAAAGAAAAACCCATTTTCCGGGAAGGAATTTCAGGCTGCAGAAATTTGCATAAGTAAAGGGGAGCCAAATGTAAATAGCCAAGACAATGGGGAAAATGTCTCCAGGGCATGTCAAATATCTTTGCAGGTTTCCCTCCCATCACAGACGTAGGAGGGAAAAATGGTTTCAAGGGTTGGGCCCAGTATCTTGCTGCTCTGTGCAGCCATGGCAGTGGGTGCCCTGCATCCCAGCTGCTCCAGCTCCAGCTGAATCTAAAAGGGGCCAAAGTACAGCTCAGGTCATTGCTACAGATGGTGCAAGCCCCAATCCATTGTGGCTTTCATGTGGTGTTGGGGCCTTTGGGTGCGAATAATGCAACAGTTTGGGAGCTTCAAACTAGATTTCAGGAGATGTATGAAAACACCTGGATGTCCAGACAAAAATCTGCTGCAAGGGCAGAGCGTCAGGCCTCTGAGCCCAAGCCTGCACAGATACATCCAGATGGCCAGAAGCAAGTGAAGAATCACAAAAGAAGTGAAAATGGCCAGTTCCTACCTTAAGTGCTGACATTTCCTTATGAAATTCCTTCTCCTGGCTCAGAAGCTCCCGCACTGAGCACCTTGTGACCCCCACCCCTGCCCGCCAGAGAACAACCCCGTTTGACTGTAATTTTCCACTACCTACCCAAATCCTATAAAACAGCCCCACCCCTATCTCCCTTCACTGACTCTTTTTTCTGACTCAGCCCACCTGCACCCAGATGATTAAAAAGCTTTATTGCTCACACAAAGCCTGTTTGGTGGTCTCTTCACACGGACGCATGTGACACAGAGCCCTCACAGAGAACCTCTACTAGGGCAGTGTGGAGGGAAAATGTGGGTTTGGAGCCCCCCCCCCACAGAGTTTCCACTGGGGCACTGCCTAGTGGAGCTAGAAGAAGAGAGCCACCATCCTACAGACCCCCAAATTGTCCACCAACAGCTTGCACTGTGCACCTAGAAAAGCTGCAGGCACTCAATGCTGGCTTGTGAAAGCAGCCATGAGGGCTGTACCCTGCAGAGCCACAGGGGCAGAGCTGTCCAGGGACATGGGCACCCACTCTTTACATCAGCATGCCTTGGAGGTGAGATATGAACTCAAAGGAGATTTTGGAGCTTTAAGATTTAATGGTTTCCCTGCTGGGTATTGGACTTGCACTGGGCCTAAAGCCTCTATGTTTTGGTGATTTTCTTTCTTTTGGAATGGGAGAATTGCCCCAATGCCTGTATCCTCATCGTATCTTGGAAGTAGCTAACTTGTTTTTTACTTTACATTTTCATAGGTCTAAGGGACTTCCCTTGTCTCAGATGAAACTTTAGACTTGGACTTTTGAGTTAATGGTGGAATGAGTTAAGACTTTGGGGAACAGCTGGGAAGGCATGATTGGTAGTTCTTTACAGCAGTATGAAAATGGGCTAATACAAGTACTATGTTTCCTTTTCATTTATATAGTCAAAGGGGAATACAGGTTTATCTTTTAAGCTTTTTGTTTGTTTGTTTGTTTTACAAGGAGAATATATTTAGTAATTTTTATGTGACTGTAAATTAATCATTTAAACATTTAAAACATATTCCTCAAGGGAGAAAATCGAGGAAGGTTTGGGGTAGTGTATTGCTGCAATTCATTTGAAGTGCTCCTGTAATATTTGCTCTTTTTAAAATAAACATAACATATTTCTATTTGACACTTTTTTTCTAAATATAAATTTAAAGAAATGAGGTAGACACATCTGAAACAAAACAAAGAACAAAATGAAAAATAAAGCAAAATTAGAATGCAATCAAAATAAACTAGTAATGAAAAATATACTAAATTTAGTGGAGATAAAATCAAAACTAAACTTTAAGTATTATAAATAATAAATAAATAATATCTAAATTGTTGTGACCATGAGAATATGATAAAAATAATAAAAATTTACAAATTTAAAATCAGTAATTAAGGGTAAGTGGGAGTTAATGTTAATTCCATATTTTAAGCAGGGTGACAGCAGATTATGTTAACATTTGAAACATTTGAAACGTAAGTTTTCATAATCAAACTTAATTTTAGGGAGATATTTTAGTATCTTCTACTTTTGCAAAAAAAATTGAATGTCAGCACTCTTCTATTTGTCTCACATATTTTTTCCTTTAAGTGACAATTATAATTAATTTTAATTATAAAAATAAAAAGATTACAATCACGTTTTTTTCTAAAACAATTTTTCTCAATATTTATTTAACTTTAAACTTCCATATAGCTATATAGAGGTATCTAAAGTGATACATACCAGTTGTGAAAAATGGTGATTTCCCATATAACATATTGAGTGATTTTTTCTTTTATTTTCGTATTTTTATAACATTTGTATCATTTTATTTGAAGCATATATTTCTATAAAAACAATAAAAGCATTATGTTTTACAAATATCTAGCTATAAAAGACTTTACAGTTTTTTTGACATGCTAAAAAATATGACCACAAACTAGTAGCTACAATTTCACTTTTTGAAAAACTATAAAATTATGTTTCTTAACTTAAAACAAAACAAAAATTACCAGTGATTTTTACTGTTTAACATTGATGTAGGAGGTCTAGCAAACTTAACCATACATAAAAAATAAATAACAAGTATAATTTTTAGAATAAGAAAAAAATTGAGCAAAAAATTATAATTCTATGCTGGTATTATTTGAACGTTAGTCCACTCCAAAACTCCCAAAACTCTTGCTGAAATTTAATCGCCATTCTTACACAGCACAAGGTGGGATATTTATCAAGTGATTAAACCTTGAGGGTTTTGCCCTCATGGTTGAGATTAGTGCCATTAAAAGGAGCCAGCTCAACCCCCTTTAGCCTTTCTTGCTCCTCTGCCTTCTGTCATGTGATGATGTAGCAAGAAGGTCCTTGTGAGATGCTGTTGCTTTGATCTTGGACTTCCCACTTTCCAGAACTTTTCACCAATAAATTTCTGATTATTGTAAATTACCCAGTCTTTGTTATTTTGTTGTAGCAACACAAAACAGACTAAGCCTTGTATGCCTAGAATTATATACCCGACCAAACTGGAGGGAAAGCTCTTGAATAACAACAAAAAATAAATAAAATGGTAAGATATAAAAAGTAGACCAATATATGGCAGAGCCTCACAGATTTTAGGAAATTGTTACTTGAAGAGCAAGTTCTGATCTTTTCTTCAAGGCATTTACCAAATTAGGAAATATCATAGAGTCCCTGCACGTCGAGAAACATTGGAAACTTCAAAAGATAGACTGAAGCCCTCGCAATTTTTCAGGATTACAAAGATATAGAACAATAAAGCTCTTCATCAATGCAAGTTAAAGACTGAGAGAAGATACTTGCAATCTATATTTGACAAATAACTTGCCTTCTATAATGTATAAAATATCCCTAAAAAATAGAAAACAGACAAAATAATCATTTTGAAAAATGGGTAAAAAGTTCTTCAGGCAACTCACAAAGATGTTCAAATGACTAATAGATATATGAAAGGGCACTCACCATGATTTGTCATCAAAAAAGAAATTCAAATCATAATAAGATAAGAGTGCACCATACCAATACACACTTACCAGTATGGGAGATGAACAGTATGTGCTCTTTAGAATGTCAAACATTTGAACATCTCATTCACTGCTGGAGGGATTGTGTACCCTAGGCATACACATTTTGGAAATCTGTTTGCCAACATATACTAAAAATAAACATTTGCCTATTCCATAAAGTAGCAATTGCAATTGTAGGTACTGAGTAACATAAAGAAATGTTTATGGCCAACAAGAGACTTATACAAGAATGTTTATCATACCTTTATTTCTAATAGCCCCAAACTAGAAACAACTCAAGTGCCTTTTGAGAGTAGGCTGGCAAAATAGTGTATGTTCACACACAAAAATATTATATAACCATAAGAATGAGAAATTGATACATGCAACAATATGGATAACTTTCCAAATCAAAATATTGAGTGAAAGAAACCAGATATTAAAAATTACATAATAGTGTTTCCATTTACCTGAGATTAAAAATAAGGATGAACTAATGTATAGTGTTAGTTAAAATAGTTGTTATGTTTTGGAGGATTATTTATTAAATGAAGGCACAAAAGAGTTTTTAGGGAATTCAAAATATTGTATTTCTTTATCTGGGAGGTGTTTATGTAAGAGTATGCCAATAGAAAGTTATTGTACTGTATAGATTGATTTGCTTATTTCATTGTAAAGGAGTTTACAGCTTCTGACCTAGAGATCATGTTCCAAGAAATCTATCTTATGAAAATAGTCAAAACATAATATACTAAGTTCTTCTTCTTCTTCTTTTTTGTTTTTTGGAGTCTCACTCTGTCATCCAGGATAGAGTGCAGTGGCATGATCTCAACTCACTGCAACCTCCACCTCACAGTTTCAAGCAGTTCTCCTCCATCAGCCTCTGAGTAGCTGAGACTACATGCACGTGCCACCACTCTCAGCTAATTTTTGTATTTTTAGTAGAGATAGGATTTCACCATATTGGCCATGTTGGTCTTGAACTCCTTACCTCAAGTGATCTTCCTGCTTTAGCCTCCCAAAGTGTTGGGATTACTGGCATGAGCTACCCTGCCTGGCCTATACTGAGTTATTCATACTAGTAAAACCTTAAAATCCTTGTAACAAGTTATTCAAACTAGTAAAACCTTAAAATCCTTATATTGAGTTATTCATACTAGTAAAATCTTAAAATCCTAAGGTGCAAAAATAGGCAAATTATTAAATAAACTGTGATATATCCGTAGGGTAAAATATTTGCAGTCATTAAAATATCTGTGAATGTGCCAAAATAGTCACAAAATTACCACTAGTGAGCTTGGGTGACAGATAGGTGAGGTTATATGTGATTGTTAATTTATGTATGTATATTTATAATATAAATAAAATATAAATATTAATATACTAATAAACCTAACTTAGCTAGGTTTGACAGGTAAAATTGATGTAATAGTCAGAAATGAATAAAATATCAGAGAGCAAGAAAAGAACATTCATTCCATTGTGTATAGCCTTTTATATTGAAGTAGATTCTCCCAGACAATTATAGATTATTTGGGCAATAATTTAGACAAAACTTATGAGTTGCAATCATGTTTTCTATTTTTTTATTTACATGAGCAATATTCAATCAATTTTCAAAGGGTATGTGAGAATTCAGCTGTAAAAATAATGATGGTCAAAAAGGAGGCAACATCCGTTTTAGGTAAATCGTTTGGCTTGCAATGAATAAAAGGCAACTTAATGAAAGTATTTCCTAGACACTTGATTTTGTTTAATTCCTCTAACCTAACACTCAGTCAAGCAAAAGCACTACTAATCAACATCAATTTATGTATGTCTTCTTCTCTTCCCTTTCCCTTTCTGTTCTCCTCTCTCCCCTTGTGTTTCAACTCAGGAAGAGACAGCATTGCTGCAAAAGAATCATGTGATTTCTGGCAATTGGAAAGATGCCACAGATGGTAAATGTAATTCCATACTCAAGAGAGTAAAATGATCAATATTGTCTACGTACATAGTTTCTTCTTTCTCCTTTGTGCTCACATTAATTACAATACTTTATTACTTCCTATATTCTTTTTTTTTTTCTTTCTCCTGGACCCATCGCTACCTCTCCTTCTAGGCTAGCAGCTCACATATTCTTCTTTCCTTTATTCTTGGTTCCAGTACCAACCAGCTGTCACAAAATAATCATACCTTGGATCAGGAGCCATTTCTAAAGTCTTTACCAGGCTACACAGAATTCCAAACTAATAATATGTCACTGGTCATATTCACTGCAAGCCTAATGCCTTACTGAGCTACGGAAGATGTTCCCATCCACAGAAAAACAGTATTTTAGTAAATACATATGCAAATTCAATAATATAATGGTATAAGTATAATAATCTGCCTGTTTAAGAGTTTCTAGTCAAAAAGGAATGAAAATATCAGAAAAGCCCTAGTGCTGTATTATTTAGTAAATAACATCTAAGTGGAAAGAAATATTGATGAATCTACCGAAGTGTCTGCTAATTCCACGTAATAGGTAATGCATAAAAAAAAAAATCCCACAACCCAGTTAATTAGGAGGTTTGTCTAGTATCTTCAGATCCTCAAATATTTACATATTCACCCACTACTTTAATTAAACATGTTTACCAGTGTCACTTGCTACACTCTGCTTTATTTCTTAGCTCATATTTGCACTTTGAGGTTAGCACTGTTTGTCAAGAACCATAATTTTAAAATTTTAATCAGGATTCACACCCTTTGCTTGATAAGGATCATATTACATAAGCAGGGTTATTAAATGGAGTCAGCCTACCACAATCCCTTTCATTCATACTCTGGAGAGTTGAGAGTCTTGTTGTAAAGGAGGCATACTCTCCATCAAAAGCAGCATCAGCTGAATCAAGCACCAACTGTGCAGGCTGCTGAATGAAGTATAATAGTGGTAATTATGTGTCCAGCTATCTGAAAACTTGTGAGGATCAGCATTTAATCAATGTAAAGTCCATCAATGTGATAAACAAAGAAAACCTTTGTGAAACTAGATTGCCTCTTTGATCTGAAAGCAGAAAATCCAAATTGAGAATATGAGAAATCCAAATTCTTTCAGTAAATTGTTTCTCAGATAAACGAACCACAAGTGGACTTGAAAGAAAAGCAAATGTTTTTCCCTTGAATATATATGTACATTTCTATAAAGGAACATAAGATACATACTAAAAAGGGAAAAGCTACATTCTTACTTTCGTAACTGAATTGGCGTTGCCTTCAAGTCATGTAATTTATTTTGCTACTATTCTGTCACATTAAGTTGTGCCCATGGCTACAAGTCTCTAAGAATGAGACTATTTTTCAACTAGTCTTTCTTTTTTGGTCACTGTCTAGCCTTTTATTGGTCAAAGCCTACCTTTCTAAGTCTGCCTTCCCATCAATTGAAGTCAACTTCTCTTGTATATCTCTGCACCCATTTGCAACCAGAAGGTATAAAAATATTATAAAAGTCTAAATGTTATAAGTATAGTGTGGTAATTATGCCTTAATGCATTTCCCAAAGTATCTACTAATTCCAAGTATTAAGTATGTAGAAAAGCACATCTTGGACTGAGGGATTTAAAGGTCTCTAACATTGTCACCCTGTCTAACTATGACATATTCAGGTTCTCACCCATATCTCCTTCTGTCCAATTTCCCACAGTGGAAATCTTTTTACTGTAAGACCTGGATGACCAAGGAGCAAGTTTACACCTGCTGGGCTTTCTTCAGGAATTGAGTTCTATGTGCTCCATGTCCCCTGTGCCCTTGATTCTAATTACCACTGATTTATTTTTGCTTTATACTGTCTTTAGTTATCATGCTTTGCCTGCCAAACTTAACGATGTTTTTGTCTACAAGCCTACTAAATCCTCAAGACAGAGCTAATTCTAAGTTCACATACAGAGCTGGTTCTAGGTTCTAGTACCCCCTTCTCATTCAATCTTGCCATATTGAATTCAATTTTGCTCAATAAATGACTGCCTTTAATTCCCATTAACACTTTCTTCAGAATAAAGTCACTTCCTCTCATCAATCGCTGGGTTTTCTGAAAGTTATATAACAAAACTATTAAAGCATAATTTTATTTTGGCCAGGCCAATAAAGACCAATCTTGAAGAGATTACTAAAATTACTCCCTGATTTAGGGCATGTCTTCAACTGTGTACCTGCAATTTGTTTAGATTTTTCTCACACAAGACAATACGAATAAATTTAACTATACCATAAATGTATCAATTTGGTAAATCTCTGTTCCTAAATCCATAACATGTGCCACATTGTCAAACTGCTGTTTATTTTACTATGAGGCAGCTGATATTCACAACTTCATGAGAAAAAAGTACTATAAAATAAAGCTTCTAATTTTTTAAAATGATTAATCACAGAGAAAGATATTCATCAGGGAAAGATGTTTAAAATGTTATTGGAATTCAGGTGTTTCCATTCCAGGTGTCATCTTACAGTTTTTCTCTAGAACAAAAGGCAAGTAGATAGAGGCACCACATCTTGGATAAACAAGAGATGAATGAGGAACTAGGGAAAATATACCCAGATCTCACCAATCTCCACAGAGAAGAGATTCCTTTCTCCAGAGTGACCTCAAAAATTCATTCTAATCAAGAGACTAATGTTATCCTTACTGTGAATGCTTAGCAAATTAAATTATTTCACTCTTCACTGAATAAATACAGTGATTCCCAAAAACTTTAAGTAAATGTGTTGGAAATGAATTATTGATGAGATCTCATAAATACCAACTTAATGATGTGTAATTGCTTAATTTAGAACATTTACCTGATTAATACAATAAAGCTCCTTATATTTTAAATTTTTCTAGTCATTCTATTCAATTTTCTTTGACAATAAAGGTGTTATGGAACTTCTGCCTAATTCAAACCCACAAATACAGTGTAGGCCACAGTTTTCATGCTGAGTGAGCATAGGAAGAGGCCCTTTATTTTCTGTCAATATGTGTGATGAATTAGCCATTTGGCCCATAAACATAATCCACATTTGCTAGAAAATCTAAGTAGACAAGCTTGATTACATCTGAGGCTTAAACCTCAAGCCAAGTGGGCACTAACATATCCATTTGCAATTTATAAGAGATATGAAGATATATATCAGCTTTCTTTGTCTTAAAAATGTTCTGCCTTCTGATACAGACCTTAAAAAATACTGATCAAGTTGGGCTTTCCTCATATTAAAAGACCAAATGCAAAAAGAGCAATTTTTATAATATTGGAAAGCATTTTTCATGTTCATTAACAAGCAACATGTGTGATAATTCATTTGCATATATATATATCTGCTTAGAATATGAACCATAATTAATTTGCTTATATATATGTCCTTAGAATATACCATTACTTAATGTTATTTGGTATGCTGAGAATTCAAAATTTAAAAGCATCAATTAAAAGAGTAAAAATTTTATTGAACAAATAGAAACTTAAGTAACTTTATCTTTGGGCCAGAGAGTAAAATAAGTTAAATACATAACGTCATATAAAGTTTTTCTTAAAACATATTTTTATTAGGACTATTTTTAAATGTTTTTTCTCTAAAAAGACTTTCTGAAAGCTGAAAATAGTTTCTAGTTAATGTTTACCATCCATAAGTAACACAGGATCCTAGAATAACAATCTTTTTTAATAACTATTGTTTTTATAAATTAATACATTACAAAAAAATCAAGCAATTTTAAAAATGAAGACCATAAAATGTTTCTTTCTATCAGTTCTTTTTAGTAATAACTTTAGTGTTTTGTAAGTTAACCCATACTGATTGGATAAAAACCCAGGGAACAGTGTAAAATATTTCTCTTGTGTTTTGATAGCATTTTCTAGAAAAGTACTTTTATGTTTCTGTTTCTCAAGCTCTTTCCCACTGGCTCTTCTCTACCCTGCCCACTGCTCTCTCCTTCACCATTTTATAGAAATAGAATCACACAATGCATCTTGCTTTGTAAGATTTTTTATTCAAAATATTAAGAAACACTTATAATCCCAGATTCACATTTTTATGCTAAATGATTGTTATATATTTGTTTGTAATTTAATTAACTAATTAATTTTGGACAGATAATTATTCAAAACATAAGAGTGATTGTCAAATTTTCTCATGCATTTATATACACATACTGGTATGATTATATATTTTATTTAAGTATAAAATTAAGACAAATGGATCAGAGTCATTGTACATGTTATGTTCAGTTACATATTTATAAATGTTCACACATGAAGGCTGAACAATCTACATGCCCACCAACAGGAGTTAAAAGGTCACTCTCCTCATACTTTCTCAAAAACTGGATTTGTTCAATATTTTCCATTTCTATCAACTTTAGAAGTTTTACATGTTTTTTGAGAAGATTGCACAATTATCAAGTATTTTAATTCCTAATGAACTCTCAATACCCTTTATGAAACTTGGGCTAAGTTTCTTTCTCCACTGATATTTTCTTCCCACCTAATATTTATTTGAGCTATTCACATACTATCAAATTCATTCTTTTAAAGTGTGCAATTTAGTGGTCGTTAGTGTTTTCACATGACTGGTCAGTCATCGGCACTATTTAATTCCAGATTATTTTTAGCACCCTAAGAAGAAATAGGCACCCATTAACACTAACGTTCCATTAGCCCCTTTCCCCAAGTCCTGGTGAAAACTAACCTACTTTCTGTCTCTAAAGATTTTTCCATTCCAGATATTTTACATAAATGTGGCTTTTTGTGTCTGGCTTCTCTCAATTAATGTGATGCTTTTGAAATTTTTCTGTGTTGTAGCATGCATCATTACTTTATTCATTTTTATGCTTGAATGCTATTCCATTGTATAGATATAACACATTTTAATCCATTTATTAGTTTATAGATATTTAGATTGTTTCTAAATTTGGCAATTATAAATAATGCTAATAGGACCATTTGTGTGTGTCTTGTGTAAACATACATTTTTAGTCTTTTTTATTATATAACAGTGGAATTACTGGGTCATATGATAACTCCACATTTCACTTTATGAGGAACTGCAAACAATTTTCAAAGGACTGGGCCGTTTTCTATTCCCACTAGCAAGACATAAGATTTCCAGTTTCTCCAAATCCTTGCCAACATTTGCTGTTTTACTTGTTGATTATAGCCATCCTAGTGGGTATAAAGTAGTATCTCACTGTGATTTTGATTGGTACATCCTTAAAGATGTTGAGTGTCTTTTCATAATCGTATTGGGAAAATACATCCTCTTTGGAGAAATATATATTCAAATCCTTTCACCATTTAAAAAATTTGGTTACCTGTCTTATTATTTTGTTGTAAGAGCTCTTCATATATTCTAGATACGAATTTCAAATTATATTTTGCAAATATGTTCTCTCATTTTGTGGACTGTCTTTTCACTTTGAAAGTATCTCTGGTAGCAGTAACATTTGTAAAAGTTAGCATAAATTGCAATTTGATCTTTATTTTTCTTTTGTTGCTTGTGTTTTAGGTGTCACAACTAAGAAACCACTGCCTAATCCACAGTCAAAAATATTTGCACCTATATTTTCTTGTAAAAATCTTATAGTTTTAGCTATGTTCTTTGGGTAAATGGCCCAGATTCACTTATTTCCACATGGATATACATTTTGCAGGAACCAACGGTTGAAAAGATTATTGTTTCTCCATTAAATTGTTTCAGTGTCCTCATCAACATTCAATTATCTATAAATATATGTGTTTAATTTTGGACAATCTATTCTAATCAATGATGTTATGTCTAACATTATACCATTAGCACATAGTATTAATTACTATAGATTGGTAGTCAGTTTTGAAATTGGAAAGTGTGAGTTATCCAAATTTGTTTTTCTTTCTCAAAGTTGTTTTGACTATTCTGGATTTCTTAAATTTTCATATGAATCTTAGAATCAATTTGTCAATTTTCGACAACCACAGCAAAAAGTCACCGGATATTTTGATCGGAATTTCATTAAATCTGTAGCTGCATTTTGGTAGTATTGCAATCTTAACGATATTAATTCTTTCAGTACAAGAAAACAGACTCTTTTTTTTAATCTTAGGCACTTTGTACATTATTTCAATAATGTTTTGTGTACTCTTACTAAACAAGTGTATAATTTTGCACTTGTTCTGTTAAGTTTCTATGTAAGTATTTTATCCTTTTGTGATATTTCAATACTTTTTTACTTTTATTTTCTGAATTTTAATTGCAAGGGTATAAAAATACAATTGATTTTTGCATACTGATCTCCTCTCTTGCTTCTTTCTGGAACTTGTATGTTAGCATTACTAGTTTGTTACTGAATTACTTAAGCGTGTTTATTTATATCATTTGCATCATTCTAAAATATATAGTTCTACTACTGTATTTCCAATTTGGATAGCTGTTATATACATATTTTTTATTGGGGGAGTTAATTGCCCTGGCTAGAACTACCAATAAGATGTTGAACAGAAATGATAAAAGAGGATATTATTGTCTTGTTCCTGATCTAAAAAGGAAAGATCCCTATATTTTAACATAAAACATGTTGTTATCTGTGGGTTTTTCATAAGTGACTGTTGTCATATAGTGGCAGTTGCCTTATATTCATAGTTTGGTAATTGCTTTTATCATTAAACAATGTTGGGTTGTGTCAATTTTTTTCTGTATTTATTGAGATGACAATGTGGTTTTTGTCCCACTCAAGGTATATATGATTTGTTACTGTGGTGTTATATTAAATGATTTTTGTATATTGAACCAATCTTGCTTTCTTGAGACAAATGCCACTTGGACATGGTATATATTCTAATTCACATGTTGCTAAATTTAGTTTGCTAGTATTTTGGGGAAAGGTATTGCTTCCATATTAATGAAGCATATTGGTCAATCAGTATATTTCCTTGTGGTTTCCTTGTCTGTTTTTGGTGTCAGAATAATGTTGGCCTCATAGAAAGAATCAGGAATTGTTTCTTCCTTTTCTATTTTTCAGAAGAATTTATTTAAGTTGTTGATTTTACTATGAACCTTTGTTAGATTTCCCTAGTTAACCTATCTAAGCCTGTATGTTTCTTTGTGGAAAGTTTTATTTGTTGTGTTTTTTCAAATTACAAATTAAGCCTCTTGTTTTGTGTGTACTATGATTTTCTTTATATTTTTCACTCAGTTTTGATAGCTTGCACCTGTCTAAAAATTTGTCCATTTTATATATCTAGTTTGTTGCCAAATAATTGTATATGACATCCCCATATAATCATTTTTATTCCTGTAAAGTCCATGGTAATAGCCCTATTTTATTCATGAATTTGGCAGATTAAGTCTTCTCTCCATTGTTCTTGGTCAGTCAGTCTTAATAAAACTTGTTGATTTTTACAAAGGGCCAACTTTTAGTTGTTTAGTTGTTTTTACCTTTTCTAACTCATTCATTTCTGCTCTTATATATATTATGTCCTTCCTTATGCTTGCTGTGGGTTTAGTTTGCTCTTCTTTTTCCAATTTTCTGTAGTAGAAATTTAGCTATTAATTTCAGATATGTGCTTTTTCAATATATTTATTTATAGCTACAAATTTCCTTCCAAACACTTCTTTGAGTGTGTCTCAAAAGTTTGGTAAGATGTGCTTTAATTTTAATCCATCTCAGAGTAGTTCTAATTTCTTTTGTGAGTTCTTATTTGATAAATTGCTTATTTAGGAATCTGTTCTTTTATTTCTAATTATCTGTGAATTTTTAATATTATCTTGTTATTGATTTCTGATTTATTCCATTGTGGTCAGAGAATATACTTTTCATGATTTCAATGTTTTTAGATATACTAATGTTTGTTTTACAATCTGACATAGCCTATTCTGTAGAATGTTATACCTGCAGAGGAATATATATTCTCTTGTTGTTGGGTAAAGTGTTCTAGATAACTGTTAGAAGTCTAGTTGGATTATAATATTGTTTAAGTCTCCTATTTTTTATCAATCTATCTAGTCATTCTGTAAATTATTGCAAGTAGGGTACTGAAGTCTCCAACTATTATTTATGTCCTTAAATCTGTAGTGTTTCTGTTCTAAAGAGATTATAGTTTGGATCATATTTATATTTTTTCTGCCCACCTCTGCCTTTTAATTTTAGTGTTTATATCGTTGACACAGTATAATTACTTATACTGTTGAAGGTATGTCTGCCATTTTATATGTGTTTCCTATATATTTGCTATATTATTTGTTCCTCTATTCCTCTCATATTGCTTTTATGTTAAATAGATTGTTTCTAGTGTAGCATATTTATTACCTTGTTATATGTATTTATTTTAATTATTTTAAGTTTTAAGTTGTTTTCCTGGTGTTTGCCCTTGGGATTAAATTAACGTCTTTCCTTGTAACAATCTAATCCTGATGAATATCAATTGATTTTAAACACTATGTAAATCTTTGTTACTATATAGATTTATCCCCTCCCTTCTCTTTTGTTGTTATTGTTATTCAAATTACACCTTTATCCTATCAACATGTATTTATACTTATTGCTTTGTCTATTTACTTTTAATTGAAAAAAAGGATTACAAGTAAAATGCATGTACATGCCTTCTGTATTTATGTAGTTTATTTTACTGGTGCTGTTTAATGCTTTCACATGGAATTTAGTTAGTGTCTAGTATTTTTTATAGAAAAATGAAAGATTCCCTTTAATATTTCTCCTAGGGCAGGTTTGCTAGTGACAGATCTCTCAATTTTTGTCTTGAAATGTCTTAATTTCTTTTTTTTTCTTCTTTGAGATAGACTCCCACTCTGTCACCCAGGCTAGAGTGCAGTGGCACAATCTCCGCTCACTGCAAACTCCACCCTCCAGCTTCAAGCAATTCTCATGCCTCAGCATCCTGAGTAGCTGGGATTACAGGTGCCCACCAACACACCCAGTAGTTTTTTTGTATTTTCAGTAGAGACAGAGTGCAAGGCTGCTCTTGAACTCCTGCGTCGGCCTCCCAAAGTGCTGGGATTACAGGTGTGAGCCACCATTCCCAGCCATTGAAATGTTTTAATTTCTCCTTCATTTCTAAAGTGTAGCTTTGCTACACACAGAGTTTCTGGGTGCTAGTCTTTTTTTTTTTTTTTTTCTTTTTTCTTTTTTTTGGGACTGCGTTTCACTCTTGTTGCCCAGTCTGGAGTGCAATGGTATGATCTCGGCTTACCGCAACATCTGCCTCCCTGGTTCAAGCAATTCTCCTGCCTCAGCCTCCTGAGTAGCTGGGATTACAGGCATGTGCCATCACGCCCAGCTAATTTTGTATTTTTAGTAGAGACAGGGTTTCTCCATGTTGGTCAGGGTGTTCTCGAACTTCTGACCTCAGTTGATCTGCCTGCTCTGGCCTCCCAAAGTGCTGGGATTACAGGCGTGAGCCACCATGACCAGCCTAGTCTTTTTCTTTCACCACTTTGAATATGCCATCCCACTGCTTTCTAATTTTTATGGTTTCTGATGAGAAGCTGGCTATTAATCTTATTGTGGATACTTTGTACATGATGAGTTATCTCTCTTGCTGCTAAAAATTATCTTTGTCTTTAGCTATCAGGTTTGTTATGGTGTTTCTACATGTGGCTGTCTTTGAGTTTATATTTATAGTCTTTTTTAAGATTCTTAGATGTGAAAATTTATGTTTTTCATCAGATTTTGGAATTATTTACAATTATTGTTTGAAATATTTTTTTCTGCACCTTTTTCTTTTTCCCTTCTGCTGAGACTCTTATAATGTGTATATTGGTATGTCTGATGGTTTCCCACAGGTGTATGAGAATCTGTTTATTTATTTTTTATCTTTTTTTCTTTCTGCTCCTCAGACAAGATAAGTATTATATTGTATTCTAGTTGTTTAGACATAATTTGGTTGTTTGAACATACTTTAAGTAGATGACTTACAGTTTCTTTAGTAAATTCTATATCTCTGCTCCTTTAGGGAAGTTTCTACTGTTTGCTTTGTTGTTTTTCTTTTTTTCTGGAATGGGTATTCTTTTTCTTTTCATTTCTTGAAAATTGTGCTGAAATGTTAAATCTATCACCTTTAAAATAACATTATATGAAACTCTTGAAATCTGATTTTCTTCCTTCCCAATATTTTTATACTGCTATTGGTTATTTATTATATTTATTTAATGTCTTTTCTGAAGTGATTCTGTAAAGTCTGTCTTCCTTGTCATATATTGCCACTGAAATCTGGGCTGTTTGTTTAGTTGTCATCTAATGATTAACAGACATATTCTTAAATTCCTGGAACCAGTAAGTCTCTCTGTTTTGCTAAGGATCTTAATGTGAATGTTGCAAACTACAGCACTCAGCCAGGCAGTTGATAACTCATTTTTATCCTTCATTTTGCTTGGATAAGGATCAAAATAAGCCAGACGTGATAATTTAGGACCTACTTAGGATTTTGTTTTTGTTTTTGAGCATGCATACAGCTAGAGAAAGAAGGATCAGATGAGGGCATGTTAAATTTCCTCAAAAATCTTGTTCTTAGTATAATTCAGCTATTTTTCTTGAATAAATATTCTCTGAGTTGCTGTAAGTCTAAGTTCTTTTTCAGAGTTCTGAAAAAGTTGATTCTGAAAAATATCATCAGCTTTCTCATCGGTTTTGTGATTGGGAAAATTTTTGGAGCTATTTATTCCATCATGTATGCTGATGTTTCTACCTTTCAATTGAGTTTTTACTGTCTTGTTTCCATGTTATTGTTATTAAGTGGTTTTTAATAGCAAATAGACTTCATTTATGTATTTCTCATTTGTACATTGTTTTTAGCTGAACAAAATAGTTTTACTTCTTAACCTGAGAATATTTAGCCCATTCCTACTCCACTCTAGATTGATTTTTGACACGTTATAAATGTCTTTTTAATAAAGTAATAATAATTATTATAACATTATTAGTATCAGTAATTGAGAGTTTTATCTGTGGCAGATATTATGGTAAATAACACATTGAGTTATCTCAATGCTCTCAAAAATTCCATTATTATTTTTAATATGTCTATTTTACAGAGGCAAGAACTAAGTCTAGAGAAAATGAGCAAAATAATCATGATCGCTTGACTTATAGTAAGCTATAAAGAATTTCAACTACTGTGTTATACTATAACTTTTTCTTAAAATGTTTTTTTGTGATTTTATAATCTATAAAGAATTTCAACTACTGTGTTATATCATAACTTTTTATTAAAATGTTTCTTTTCTGGTTTTTGTGATTTTATGGCTTTATTTAATTACATATATATTTCTGGTTCATCTGAAATTTACTTTTAAAGGAGTAATTAAGGATTAATCTTTGTTTTGAAATGGCAAGGTTTTGAATGGCAACTCAACACTATGATTGATTATCCCCTACTTTTCTCACTGTTTTGAAATATTAGTGCATTTACTCGTATTTTCTTTTTCACTTTTATCTATTTCTGGACTCTCAATTCTGGTCTATTTATATTTTTGCATGTCTGAATTTATATTATGCTACATGATTTTCTAGAGAATACTATAAATTAATAATATATTTAAATATTCAGTGAGAATAGTCCACCTTTTAAAATAATTTTTTCCCAAATTTTACTCAGTTTCATCTGCGAATGATTGGATCAGATCTCTTGAGGATGAAATAACATCTTTATCAAGGGTTCTTAACTGTGTGTCTGTGTGTGTGTGTTTGTGTGTGCGTGTGTGTGTGTGGTTTGTGCACACACATTTTACTCAAGGCTTCCTTTCTAAAACTCAGTCAGTTTAATTTGGTATAACTTCACTCCTTCATTTCCAGGCCATGATGTATGATTTTATTTCTGAGTCTGACTGTATTTGGGTAGGGTCATAGTGATTTTTCTGGAAGATCAGATATGAACGAAAATGATATCCTTAATTCATAAGAGGCTAGAATGATTTTTTTCCTCTATGATGGTCACTTGGAATGTTTAATATGATGGTTACTCCAACAGTCTGAATTTCAGAGTGAGGATATTGAAAATAAACCACGGAGTGAATTATGATGAATATATTGTGTAAGAAATACATTTTGTAAAAAAGAAATACATTTTGTAATGAGTTTTTACAAGTGTAGGTAGATTGTTTTTTAAACTCAGGATTTATGCAACTCAGTTAACAGGAACAATTTTTCTATTTCCTGGTTTTATTACTTTTTATGCCTGATTTAATTCTTAAATTTAAAATGAAATTCCTTTTCTTTTTCAAATTTTATTTTAGCTTCAGAGGGTCCATTAGCAGGTTTGTTACATGGGTAAGTTGCATGTCATTGGGGTGTGGTATACAAATGGTTTCGTCACTCAGGTAGTGAAGATGGTACCCAATAGGTAGCTTTTCAGTCCTCACTTTCCTCCATCCTCCACCTTCAGGTAGGCCTCGGTGTCTGTTGTCTCCATCTAGTACTCAATGTTTAGCTCCCACTTGTAAGTGAGAACATGTGGTATTTGAATTTCTGTTTTTGCATTCATTTGCTTAGGAAAATAGTCTCCAGCTACATTCATGTTCCTGAAAAAGACAGGATCTCATTCTTTTTATGGTTGCATAATATTCCAATGTTTCTTAGTGTGTGTATATCATATTTGTTTTGTTCAGTCTACAGTTGATGGGCATCTAGGTTGATTCCATGTCTTTGCTATCATTAATAGTGCTCTGATGAATATAGAAGTGAATGTGTCTTTTGGTAGAATAATTTATATTCCTTTGGGTGTATATCTAACTATGGAATTGCAGGGTCAAATGGTAGTTATGTTTTAAGTTCTTTGAGATATCTCCAAACTGCTTTCCACAGTGGCTGAACTGATATACATTCTCACAAACACTGTATACATGTTCCCTTTTCTCTGAGATGTGGCCAACATATATTATTTTTTTGACTTTTTATAAATAGCCATTATGACTCATGTTAGATGGTATCCCACTGTGGTGCTGATTTGCATTTTTCTAGTGATGAGTCATGATGAGCATTTTTTCCTGTCTTTTGGCCACTTTATGTGTTCCCTTGAGATATGTCTGTTCATTTCTTTTGCCCTCTTTTTAACAAGGTTATTTGTTTTTTGCTTATTGATTTGTTTAAACTCCTTATACATTTTGAATATTAGAACTTTGTTGGTTGCATAATTTCTGAATATTTTCTCCCATTCTATAGGTTGATGATAGTTGTTGATGATATTTGTTGATGATAGTTTCATTGGTCGTGCAGAAGCTCTGTCGGTTAATTAGGTCCTACTCGTATATTTTTGTTTTAGTTGCAATGCCTTTGGGAGACTTCATAAAAAAATATGTGTTAAAGCCTACATCCAAAGGACATTTCCTAGGTTTTCTACAAGGGTTTTTACAGTGTTAGGTGTTACACTTAAGTCTTTAATTCATTTGAGTCAATTTATGTATACGGTGTAAGGAAGGGGTCCAGTTTCAATCTTCTGCTTATGGCTAGCCAGTAGTCCCATCACCATTTATTGATTAGAGATTCATTTTCTCATAGTTTATTATTGTAGACTTTGTTGGAGATCAGATTTTTGTGGGTTTGTGGCTTTATTTGTGGGTTCTCTAACCTGTTCCATTAGTCTATATATCTGCTTTAGTACCAGTACCAGCACCATGCTATAGTACTGTAGCATTGTAATATAGATTGAACTCAAGTAGTGTGATGCCTCCAGCTTTTGTTTTTGTGTGTGTATGTGTGTGTATGTGATTTTTTTTCTCAGTATTGTTTTGGCTATTTGGGCTCTTTTTTGGTTGCACATGAATTTTAGAATAGGTTTTTTTCCTAATTCTGTGAAAACTTATGTTGGTAGATTGATAGAAACAGCCTTGAATGTGTAAACTACTTTGCACAGTATGACCATTTTAACAATGTTGATTCTTCTTATCCCTTAAAACGGATTGTGTTTCCATGTGTTTGTGTCATCTCTGATTTCTTTCAGCAGTGTTTTGTAATTCTCATTGTAGAGATCTTTCACCTCCCTGGTTAGCTGTATTTCTGGATATTTAATTCTTTTTGTGGCTATTGTGAATGGGATTCTGTTCTTGATTTGGCTCCCAACTTGGACATTATAGGTGTACAGAAATGCTACTGATATTTGTACATTGATTTTGTATCCTGAAACTGCACTGAAATTGGTTAACAGTTTTAGGAGCCTTTGGGCAGAGACTGTTGGGTTTTTTAAGTATAGAATAATACCATCTGCAAACACAGATAGTTTGACTTCTTCTCTTCCTATATGGATGACTTTTGTTTATTTCTCTTCCCTGATTACCCTGGCTAGGACTTCCCATACTATGTTGAATAGGAGTGGTGCGAGAGGTCATCCTTGTCTTGCTCTGGTTCTCTAGGTGAATATTTCCAGCTTTTAGCCATTCAGTGTAATGTTGGCTGTGGGTTAGTCATAGATGGCTCTTATAATTTTGAGGTAAGTCCTTTTGATGTCTAGTTTGTTAAGTGTTTTTAACATGAAGAAATGCTGTATTTTATTGAAAGCTTTTTCTGTGTCTATTGAGATGATTATGTAGTTTTTATTTTTAGTTCTGTTTATGCAATGAATCATATTGATTTGCATGTGTTGAACCAAACTTGCATCCCAGAATTAAAGCCTCCTTGGTCTTAGTGGTTTAGCTTTCCGAGGTGCTGTTGGATACATTTTACTAGTATTTTGCAGAGGATTTTTGCGTCTATGTTCATCAGAGATATTGGCCTAAAGCTTCGTTTTTTCAGGGTATCTCTGTTAGATTCAGTATCAGAATGATGCTGACCTCATAGAATGAGTAAAGGAGGAATGCCTTCTCCTTGATTTTTTGGAATACTTTCAGTAGGATTGGTACCAGGTTTTTTTAATATGCCTGGTAGAATTCAGCTGTCAATCCAACTGGTCCAGGGTTTTTTTCGTTTTTTTTTTTTTTTTGATTGGTAGGTTTTTCAATTCTGGTTTATTTGTGGAAATCATTATTGGTCTATCCAGAATTTCAGCTTCTTCCTGCTTCAATCTTGGGATGTTGTGTGTTTCCAGGAATTTATCCATGTTTTCTGTATAGTTTGTGTGCACAGAGGTGCTCATAATATTATCTGAGGATTATTTTGTATTTATTTGACATCATCCATAATGTCACCTTTTTTATTTCTGATTTTGTTTATTGGAATCAACTCTGTTTTTTCTTTATTATTCTAGCTCGCAGTTTATCAATCTTATTTATTCTTTCTAACAAACCAACTTTGGTTTCCTTGGTATTTTATATGAATTTTCTCATCTCAATTTTTTTCAGTTCAACTCAGATTTGGTTATTTCTTTTCTTCTGGTAGCTTTGTGGTTGGTTTCCTGCAGATTTTTTAGTTTCCCTAGGTATGATGTTAAGTTCTTTATTTAAAATAGTTTTAAATACTTGATGTAGAGATTTAGTGCTGTAACCTTTCGTCTTAACATTGCTTTAGCTCTGTTCCCGACATTCTGGTATGTTGCACCTTTGTTTTCATTAGTTTCAAATAATTTCTTGACTTCTGCCTTAATTTCATTGCTTAACCCCAAATCATTCAGGATCAAGTTGTTTAATTTTCATGTAATTCTATAGTTTTGAGAGATCTTAATGGTATTGATTACTTTTATTGTACTGTAGTCTGACAGTTTGGTTGGTATAATTTCAGTGGTTTCAAAATTGTTGAGACTTTCTTTATGGCCAAGTGAGTGGTTGATCTTGCAGATGAAAAGAAAGAGTTTTCTGTTGCTGTTGGGTGGAGTATTCTGTAGATGTCTTTTAGGTCCTTTTGTCAAGTGTTGAGGTAAGGTCCAAAATATATTTCTTTGTTTTCTGCCTTGGTGATCGGTTTAACACTGTTGGTGGGTTGTTGAAGTTTCCCACTATTATTTTGTGGTTATCTAAGTCTTTGTAGGTCTCTAAGAACTTGCTTTATGAATCTGGGCGCTCCAGTTTGTGTGCATATGTATTTAGCATCCTACGATGTTAAATCTTCTTGTTGAATTGAACCCTTTACCATTACATTATACCCATGTTTGTCCTTTTTCATTGTTGTTGGTTTAATGTCTGTTTTATCTGAAATAAGATTAGAACCCCCTGCTCATTTTTCTTTTTTGTTTGCTTGACAAATATTTCTTCCTCCCTTTACTTTGAGCCTAAGGATGTCATTGCATGTGAGATGGGTCTCTTGAAACCAGCATACTATTGAGTGTTGCTTATTCATCAAACTTGGTACTCTGTGTCTTTTAAGTGGGGCCTTCAGCCATTTACATTCAAGGTAAATATTGATAAGTGAGGATTTCTTCTTATCATCATGTTGTTAGCTGATTGTATTGTAGACTTGATTGTATATAGTTGCTTTATAGTGTCAGTGTGCTATGTATTTAGGTGTGTTTTTGTGTTGACAGGTAATGGTCTTTTGTTTCCATGTTTACTACTCCCTGAGGACCTCTTTTAAGGTAAGTCTGGTGTTAATGAATTCCCTTAGCGTTTTCTTCTTTGGAAAGAATTTTATTTCTCCATTGCTAATCTGCTTAGTTTGACAGGATATGAAGTTCTTGGTTGAAATTTCTCTTTTATGAGGATGCTGAATATCGGCCCCCAATCTCTTCCAACTTGCAAGGTTTCTGCTGAGAAGTCTGCTGTTAGTCTGATAGGCTTCCCTGTGTAGATGACCTCCCTCTTCTCTCTAGCTGCCTTTAAGACTTTTTCTTTTGTGTTGATTTTGAAGAATCTCATGAATATGTGTTTTGAGGAATGTCAATCTCATGACTATATGTCTTGAGGTACAGTATTTTGCAGGGGTTCTCTGAATTTCCTGAATTAGTATGTCCACTTCTCTAGCGAGGTTGGGGAAATCTTCATGGACAATATCTTTAAATATGTTTTCCAAATTGTTTGCTGTCTGTCCATCTCATTCAGGAATGCCAATTAGTTTTATGTTTAGTCCGTTTATATAATTTCATATTTCTTGCAGGTTTTGTTCATTTCTTAACAATCTATCTATTTTTTTTCTGCCTGTGTTGATTTGAAGGAGCAGTCTTCAAGCTCTGAATTTTATTCTTCAGCTTGATTGATTCTATTATTATTTCCAATTGCATTCTGAAATACCTGTAGAGAATATTCATTTTCATAAGTTCAGTTTTGTTCTTTCTTAAAATGATCATATTATCTTTTAACTCTTGGACCACTTTACTTTTTTCCTTGAATTTGATTGCAACCTTCTCTATGTCAAGCTTCCTTGCCATCTAGATTCTGAATTCTATGTCTGTCACTTCAGCCATTTCAGTTTGGTTAACGACCTTTCCTGGAGAGCTTCAGGTTCATGTAGAAGAAATGAGGCACTCTGGCTTTTAGAGTTGCCAGAGTTCTTACACTGGTTCTTTCTCATCTACGTGGGCTGATGTTTCTTTAAACCTTTAAGTTGTTGTCTTGGGATGGGGTGTTTTGCTTTTATATTCTTTGATGTTCTTGAGGGTTTGACTGTGGTATCAGTTGGGTTTAGTTGATTGATTTCATTTCTGGATGCTTTCAGGGTACCCAAGCCTCAGCCCAGCACTTTTGGGTTGTGTGCTGTAATCCTGGGGGCGGTGACAAGTCCTGTGGCTTTGTTCTCTAGTCTCTTGAATTTAAGCACCTGCTTTGCTCAAGGGGCTGAGTTTCCGCAGCCTGCTTGCAACTACATTTCAATGGGGATTGCGGCAAAAGTGCACTCGCTGGGTGTCAGTAGCGGGAGGCTGTGGGTGGGTATGCACTGGTAGGGCTGTGTCTGCAAAAGTGCTCTAATGGATGGGTGGAGTTGGCCAGTGAAACAGCTATGGCAGTGGCTTCTTTCAAGTGCTTCAGTTGGGCAACTGAGGTTGCACTGTAAATGGGTGCGGCCAGGCAAGGACTCTAGTGGGCTGACAGACAGCAGGGTGCTCAGATTAGATTGGCCCCAGCCCATGGGCAAGACTTCCTGTTCTGCCCATGACCAGCAGCTAACAAAGGCTAAAGCCACCTAGATGAGTGTGGCAAGCCTTGGGGAATAGGTGCCCTGGCCATGCTCCACTGCAGTTATTCCCATACCGAGTCCTCTGGATTCCATGCAGGCTGTCATTCTGTTTCTGCCAACTCTCTAGGTAGTTCTCACTGCCAACCCAAATGTCCATGGATGTTGTGGAGTCTCCCAAAGCTCCATGATGAGAGTGGGCCACTCCATGCCTATTTTACTCATCCCTTCCATAGAAGCCACTGAGGAATGAGAACAGGTCCTTATGTTTGCCAACCCCATGCACAGTTCCCAGCTTCCTCCCCTTTCATCCCATTATCAGTGTTCTCCTCCTGTCCACCCTCCAATGCCTTCTTTTTGAAGATCTATTAAGACAGTGCCAATCTACCTGATGGTCTCTCTCAGTGGGAGAAATTCTTCCTGAGAGCACTTAGTGGGCTATCTTGGCTCTTCTGTTATGAAGTTTATACTAGTGTTGAAATGTAGTCATAAAAGTTTCCCCTTTGACCTATTTCCCTGTAAGAATATTTGTAACATAGGGCCTAATATTACTCAAAGTTTTAATAAAATCTGCTTGTAAACCTACTGTTAGGCAAACTTTTGAGGGCTGATTAAATTTATTTAACTTTTTTTAGTTTTTTTTTTTTCTGTTTAGTCAGTATCTGCAATGATATTTTTAGACATCAGTTTTACCTAAATTTTAAAACTTGTTGGTAAATTTGAAGACTTATGTATTTTATATTTCTTGTTCTCCAATTATGCAATTTTCATTCTTACTACTCTTCACTCACAATATCTCATTTTAGTACTTATTGTTCAAATATCCAGAAGGTTGTCTATTTTGTGATTCTTTTTTAAAAGTAACTTTTATTATATTAATTGCATTTACTCTTTTCTATTTCATTAAATTTTGCTTTTAGATTTTGGTGTTAATGCTTTTATAATCTTTGCTGAATTATTTATAAGTATTCATTCAAGATAATATATTACCTTTATGTAAGTGATTTACTACTTCCTATTCCTAAATTTGATAATCATTTTCATGTTTTTCCATATTACATATTTTTAAAATTTCAATAATCATTGATCTTTTGGTCTTTTTTTCTTTCAATAATGTGTTTGTCATGACCCATTTACTTGGTATAAATTATGAAATACTAGCTTTCTTTTGGACAGTAATCACATTAGTAATCTTTTTTACTTGTAATCTTTACTTCAAATATATGTTTTTAAATATACAATCATGTCTTCTTTATCATATCTTTTCTTCTTTCAAACTTTCCAATTTTAATCATCATGCAAAGGAAATGTTCATCTAGTCAAATTTTTATGATTTAGTTGATTTTTATTTACTTACTTTTTTAAAAAATGAAGAATGACTTTTTGAAAATATGTTTTATCTGTTTCTGTAGAGATTATCATATTACTTTCAGAAACATACACTGAATACAATCAGTTTTGTTAAGGATTGTCTTAATAATGAACCATTTCTGGATGTTTTTCTTATTCTTTTAATGGAAGTCTATACTCTTCTTGCTGTTTCATAACTAAGATTATTTTTCTTTTTAGCATTGATATTCAGGATGATATTTGTTTATAGCATTTACCTGATGTATTATTTGGTATCAGTATTATACTGCATAGGAAGAATTTAAGTAGTGAATCACTGCAAGGTTATAAATCAGCCTCCACTTAACAATTCTGGATGAAAGGGGCAGAGTCGCTGCCAGAGAAAAGTGATAAATCAGCTTTTGGTTTTTATATTTCCTACCAAAATCCCACAAACAAAAAAGACAAAATGATACTTCAGTTGACAATTATTACACTTTCAACTTTGGCACTAAGGAGCATAGAATTTTTTTCAGTTATTCATTTTAATAATTAGATTTTTAGTATGCTGTTACACATGCAAATTTATGATAATCACTGCAGTACCTAATGGTGCACTATTCTTTTCTGTTTCAGATTCCTTTTTGCCACATAGTGCCATAACATATACAAAAGGCTTTGTCACTTCCCAATTTTAAAGACAAAACTGAATTCTGGTCAACAAAATGTGAATAACAGTGTCTAAAATTGATAATAAAACAAAAGAGTCAACAAAAGCAAACAAGACACAGACAAAGAAGGATTATTTAGAAAAATGTTTACTTTTTTTAAAGGAAAATCTTTTGATTAGAAATAAAATCAGTATGACATAGTGGATAAATAAACAACAAAAAAACTATACTAATATATGTTAAATGTGCATTGGCACAATCATAGCTCCCTACAACTTCAAACTTCTGGGCTCAAGGGACCCTCTCTCCTAAGCCTACCAAGTTGCTAACACTACAGGCATGCATGACCACATGGTGATTTACTTTTGGAGACATGTTCTCACTATGTTTCCCAAGCGGGGTTTGAACTCTTGGCCTCAAGTAATCTTCCTGCCTCATCCTCTCAAACTGCTGGGATCACAGGCATGAACTACCAGGCCTGGCCCAACACTGAATTTTAATAACAGGTTTTAATTATTGATTAAAATGACGATTTTAAACTCAAATGGCTCTGCTTACTCAAACACATGACTGTCCTTGAATATAAGAAACTGACTTTTTTAGGCCTTAGTATGGTTAGATGACAAATGCATCCACCATCCTGTGCACTGACATATCTTGATTAGGTTTTTTTTCCCCTCTGAGCTGGGTTTACCATTTGTTTGTTAAACAGGTTTCTCAAGCTGGCTTTCTCTGACACAGCAGAATAAGATTCATATGGTCTGAAATCGACTACTAGAGGGCTGTATCTTCCAGTGGCACAATCTTTCTTGAGAAATTATTAAAACTAAAGGTCAAGTAAAGAATCCATACATTTGTTCTATGTATTCATATAGATTGCAAATTGCATTATATTATCTGAATGTATTTTAGAAATCCTTATATTATCTATTGATTGTAATGGTCTATTTATCAATATGGAAGTTAAGATATAACATATAGAGCTTGCAATCAGTTTTGATTGTTTGAGTTTATTGGACTCAAAGAAAAAAATTGGTTACACATATAGATTAAACGCTTAGAATAATCCAAATATTATTTCTACCATATGGCAGGACGGTTAGATAATTTATCCATAATCCTCCTAAAGTATAGAAATGTGAGTGAAATGCCACAGATATATTCTGATTTACATAAAATTGTTGGGGATATTTGCATTTGTTATGAGATCAAAAGATATTAATACTAAGAGATCTCTTCAAAGTATATTTTAAATATTTTTTCCTGATTATATAGTTATATTATTCATTACAAAATATACAAAGATAAAAATGTAAAACAAAGAAATCAAATGTCCCTAGAGTGGATTCTATATTATTAAGTTTATATTATCCTCAATTTATGTGTATTTTATAATTGTATTAATAATGTTCTTACATTTAAAAATATTTTATGAAGATAACACGTTGGAAATAAATATTCTTCCAAAGTAGCTTTTTCATGGCTGCATAGAATTTCATCAATAAATGTTTTTTACTTTGGCAGCCCCTTACGTTGACCATTTCAGTTATTTCCCAGTTTTAGTTAGCATCCTTCTACTATATGTTATTGCAAGTCTTTGATAATTTATTAGAATGAATATTTGCAAATAGAATTATTTATGATGTTTAGTATACTTAGCCACATTTTACTGTAGACAATTTGAACCTGTGTATAATGCTACTAAAAAAAATGGGCTACACTTACTCATACATTTATCATCGTCAAATATTTTTAATAGCAGTCACTTTTATAAAGAAGAAGTCTCGCTTTTGTTTTAATTGTATTTGTTTACTACAGACACCAGTGCATATTTTAAAATTAAAAAAAACCTTAATAACTAGGTGTCATCATTTTAAGTTTTAATAATTCTTTAGTTTTACAATAATGTTTTCAAATAAATCTCATTTTCTTTATAATCTGGAAATTCTACCCTTACTGAAATCTTTACTCTGTTGTTTTACTTCAACCTGGAATTATATAAATTAAACCTGAAAGTAAATGCCTGCTTCTATTACCACTACCTATTCTTACAACTTGTTTACATAAAGATTCTATTTTACTACATTTAT
Source organism: Homo sapiens (assembly GCF_000001405.40). NCBI lineage: Eukaryota > Metazoa > Chordata > Mammalia > Primates > Hominidae > Homo > Homo sapiens. The sequence goes on from NC_000007.14 coordinate 9,497,854, forward strand.
TTATGGAATAGGAATATGTTACTTAAATTTCTAAAAACTATAATCTTTGAGAAATATCTGGACCTACATATAAGGAAGAAAAGGAAAAAAAATTTAAAAAATGGTGATTTATTTTAATACAATTTGAAAAAAATAAATTACTGTATTAACTATTGCTCCTACTTGAAATTTTGAATACTGTACCAATTTGAGGCTTCCAAAATTCATGTTATTCCCTATTTTAGAAGAATCTTTGAGTACTTTTATAAAAATAACAAATTTTTAGACTTTGATATATTGTGTGCAGACATCTGATTAATCTACTACATTATTTTAATTATTATCTTCTTTAAGGTTATTTTCTCATATTGATTTAAATATTTCACTAAATGATAATGACAGGAAAGGGAATATGAGGTTTATTTCTAATATTCAGAGATGAAGCAGAGATAGATTATATATGACTGTTAAGTGATACTAGAGTATTGATTATTTCAACCTCTGAAACTTTTTATTGAATATGAACAGAACCATTAGGCCGAAAAAGATACTATAAATATATAAGTAGTCAATGTCTGATAAGACACTACCTATTTGATGCTTCAGTGATGCTACAGAGAGTAACAAGTTAGGGAAGCTAGATGGCAATCATTCTACATGAAACCTCAGGATGGGGAAGTGAAAACATATTTGGTTCATCTGTTAAAACGTTTTCACTTTGGCACATCCTGAAGAACCAGTAAGTGTTGATAACTGATCACTCCTACGGAACACTCACTTGCCCTGTGGTATGCTTAATCCTTTATGAATTTGTCTTGACTCTCTAGCTAAATAATATTCTCCTTGGGGGCAAACCATTTCTGTTTGCTTCTGTATTTTATGAGGAAGATAGCAGGGTGGTTATATAAGTGGCAGATAGAATAATTATAATTGTATGTAATACATAATTAAATTATAATAAAATACAATTGATGTCTATTCTTCTTATATCTTAATAGTATCTTCATAACGTTTCTTATTCCAGAATAAACTCTAATTACATAGATTGCAAATTGCATTATATTATCTGAATGTATTTTAGAAATCCTTATATTATCTATTGATTGTAATGGTCTATTTATCAATATGGAAGTTAAAGATGAGGAAAATCATCAGGTAATCTTTTGAGACTTTACTGAGGCTACACAAAGCAGAATAAGGCCATGGGTTTAAGATGCTTTTGAAAATGAACAGGCCTGAAACCCAAATTCTGAATAACTATATATATCTATGTTATGTTTCATCTTGTCCCACGTGCTATTGTCATATTCTATATATTGTGTTTGAAATAAATACATGTCTCTTATTGGTTATATCATACTATTTTCTATAATAGTGGACTTTTAAAAACTATATTATTTTAAAATACCTTAAATTTTTATTTTTTAATTTATTCTGTCAATATCTAAAATATGTCAGTCTCTCACTATTGTGGGTTGTATATTTTTTCTGACTCTGTGAAACACACACACATAAATATAAGACATATATATTACATATATGAAATACACAGTTTCATGTCTGTTTAATTGTCTTAAAAGATTTTATGTTATCAATGTGTTTTTATTTATTCTTTTACTTTGGTTATATTTTATATTTTTTCTCAATGTTTTTAAAAATTTTGTTATATTTCCTTTTACATCTGTTCGCATTGATTTGTTTCATAACGTATTTACGTTGTTTAAAGCCAAAATTAGGTCATGCTATTTTTGATTACTTCCCATCCCACTTGGAGTAAAATCTAAAGTTCTCACTTTCCTCTACAATCCCAGTTATCCGCACTCCTACTAACCCAACTCTCTCGGCCCATACTTGTAACATTCTCCCTTTGCTCCCTCTTCTCCAATGATACTGATCTCCTAGCTATTTCTTGAACTGGCCAAGCACACTAGTTGGACCACAAGGCTCTTGTACCTTCTCTTTTTGCGGAAAGTCTTCTGTTGATAGCATGACTTACCTGCTTACTTCCTTTTGTCCACTGGTCAAATGTCAGTGTTCAAATTATCAGCAAAGCTTTGTGTGAGAGGCAGAATTATTATCCAAAACAATGTCTATGTTTTAATCTCCAGGAGCTGTAACTATGTTAAGTTACGTGACAAAAGGGAATTCAGGTTGCAGATGCATGTAAACTTGCTAGTCAGCTGACCTTAAGACAGGGGGATTATCCTGGCTTGTCAGAATGAGCCCAGCTTAGTCACAGGGTCCTTTAAAATGGACGAGGAGGAATAGGAAAAACGGTCAGAGTGACCCCATGTAAAAACTCAATGCATTGTTGCTGACTTTGAAGATAGAGGAAGAGCGCCACGGGCCAAGGAATGAGAGCAGCTTCTAGAAGGCAGAAAAGCAACCAAGCGGATCATACTCTAGAATCTCTAGAAAGGAACTCAGCCCTACTGACTTTTTGATTTTAGCCCAGTGAGACCCATGGCAGACCTTTACATTATGAATATAAAATAATAAATTGATTTTCTCTCAATTCATGAAATTCTGGTAATTTGTTACAGCAGCCATTGGAAACCCATATACCTTCCTAGACCCGCTTATGTGAAAAAGCATACGAACCCATCATTTCACTGTTCCTTACCCCATTTTATTTCACTTTATAGCATTTATTATCACTTATTATATAACATAGTAGGACATAATATGATAGATATTCTGTCTATATGTGTATACATACTATCAACAGTATGCATACTATTAGTAGTTTTGATTTGAATATTAATATATTATTCCATCTTTCTCCAATGCTTTTTTTTCTTTTTGAGACGGAGTCTCGCTCTGTCGCCCAGGCGGGAGTGCAGTGGCGCGATCTCTGCTCACTGCAAGCTCCACCTCCTGGGTTCACGCCATTCTCCTGCCTCAGCCTCCCGAGTAGCTGGAAGTACAGGCGCCCGCCACAACGCCCGGCTAATTTTTTGTACTTTTAGTAGAGATGGGGTTTCATCGTATTAGCCAAGATGGTCTCTATCTCCTGACCTTGTGATCCGTCCGCCTTGGCCTCCCAAAATGCTGGGATTACAGGCGTGAACCACCGTGCCCGGCCTCTCCAAGGCTTTTTAATTTCGCTCTTTGTCTGACACATTTCTATTCACTTACTAAGACTAAGGCTGAAATTTTCTCCTTCATAAACTTTTATGGAATTCCTGCAAAAAAAAAAAAAAACTTTCTCTAACAATATGTTAGCAAATACAGACTTGATCTGCTTACATATCTGAGTCTACAATAGACTATGAACTTTTGTCAAGAAGGACTGTGCTTAGTTCAGCTTGTAATCATAATGACTATACTCATTAATTTAGAATATTTACCTCGTTTCTACTGACAGGTATGAAACAAGACAGATAAGTATGCAGAGAAATAAATACAGAAAAGTGACATTTGCTATGACTATATTAATTTAAGGTTAAAAATGTGGAATGTCTGCCAGTGGTGATAATTGGAAGGGCAGGCAATTCTGAGATTGCAAGGTTGTAAAGGCATCTCTGAGGGAATGCCCTTTGAGCTGAACAGTAAGACGTACATAGCTATGGAATACTCTCTGAAGAAAAGGCATCCCAGGAAGAGAGGTGAGCTGATTCAAAGGCCCCAAATGGTAACAAGCTTGCGATGTTGGAATAACAGAAGGAAGTGCAATATGACAGGTTTATAATAAACAAGGTGGGGAATTGTGTGAGGTAGAACTGAAGAGGCAGGCAGGAATCATGTTGGTGAAGTGGAATATGGAATTTGGGTTCTATCTTAAGTAGAATGAGAAGCCACCAGAGGGTTATAAGCAGAGTATGGTACGCTCAGTTTTACATTTTAAAATGTTATTGCTACTGCAAGATGTTTGAATAGTCCCAAGGCAAGAGTAGAAGCAGGAGAATTAATTAGGATATGGCTGTTGTAGTCCAAGTGGGAGAGGAGGCTGGTGTATGGGAATCATGACAGAGTATAGATAGCACAGTATTTATCCAGAAGGGATTTAACTAGGAGGCAAACATAGCTACAGCTCCTGGTCCTTCACTTATAGAGGCATCTCATGAAGCCATTTACCTCATTTTGTATTCAAAATTTTATGTTTTTCTTGATGAAATATTGTACAAAATTATATAAAATTCAGATCCCACAAAATTTGAATTCAAATTTTCTGTCATGTATTAAATCGAAAGAAAGATTACCTAAGCATAAGCCATAGGGTCATCATTAGTTTTATATGTATGTTACACACATGTGCACACACGCATACATACACGCACACATTTTTTTTTACCTTGAAACATTTAAAAATCTGTAGGGAAAATAAAGTCAAATAAATAACGTAGGGCAGTCTTCCAAAGGTGCCCAGGACAATTGGCTTCAGAATCACCATAGCCGTTCCATTGCCACTAGATTCTACATTCCAAAGAAGTTAAAAAATAACCTATAATTTCTTAAATATTTCTTATTCTACTCTTTTGCCAAATACATTTTTTTTTTGGAAAGAGACTGAAGCTGCCCAGAATTGAGGTAACTGTTTCAACCAAGGAGTAATTTTATGTTTTATCAAAAGGCACTGATTACCACTTAGGAGAACATTTCTATCTATAGCCAGATCCATCTGGATGATAATGTCCATTAGTTAGGAAATGGAACATCCACATGTTTTCCAACATATAATCATCTGATCTCTAAATAGCAAATCATACTATTTTAAGTGTCTTAATGTGCCTTTTTAACATATGTAGGAATACCATCAACCTTAATTGTATATTCTTTCTCCGTATACTAAAGACACATTTCTGTATACCCAGAAATCTGCAATTTTAAAATAACAGACTGGATGGATATTAGACATAAACATTTCACTATGCAGCCTCCTCTACATTAAGAAATAGACTCATATAAAGATAGAATGATTGACAGAAACAACGTATTGAGGTATGATTTCCTTTCAGATTTTTTATTTTAATTTTAATTTGTATTACAAGACAGTACACACTGATATGAAGAACAGTACAAATGACAGTGTTCCCCCTCATGCCCCACTCCTCATTCCTAAGCTCCAGCGATAACTATGGAAAATAATTTGGCATATATACTTCGGGATCACATGTGTGTGTGATTAGTACATATGGAATTATGTACTAGTTCCGTACTAGCACATAAAACATTTTCTCTTTTCCTGGTAACTATGGTTTGTTTTTTTGTAATTTAGCCATTCACTTACTAATAGATATTTAAATTCCCTTCGTCTCCCTTCACTTCTACATTCTATTATAGTTACCATCAAAATCTTTGTGCATATACTCAAGAAATTTCTGGAGATTATTTCTATGTGTTATATTTCTTAGGAGAAGAATTACTAAGACAAAGGCTAATCACCCTTTATGTTTTAATGATTGCTATATAACTTACTTTCAACGTGCTATACTAATTTATGTTCCTCCAAAAAAATATTTGGCAACATTCTTTCTCAACACAACTGCCAACATACTAAGGTAAGGTTTCTTTCCTTCTAAAAATGTTTGTTTTTCCTAGAGTGGCAAATTGCTTCTTTCATTAACATTTGCTTGAGTTTTTTTTCTCTGCTCATTTTTATTCCAAACCCAGTTTTTGATATAATATAATCTCTCCAATATAAAACTCCTTGTATGGGCAAAGAAAGTAAGTAGTCTATCACTTCCTTTGATTTCTTATTTCTGTCCTCTAGTCTCCATTCCAGCAGGAGCCCTGGCTCCGCTGCACACTTAGAACTTGTAGATTTTCAGAGCAAGAGTGCTGCTGGCACTCTGCAACTTCCTTTAATATTGACCTGGGAATATCCTTCACCTTTTGCTGATCAATCAGCTCATGTTACTAAAATCTTTTGTTTTCTTTCTAGGATTACCACCTTATATTAGGAGCAAATACCCTGCAGTAGATTGCTGAGAAAGGGCTTATGAGCAATCAATTGCTTTAATTAGAGAATATTAGATTTAATTTTGAAAATCGGTAAAGGAGTAATGTGGCAGACATAAAATATAGTGTTTAGGCTATGTGAAATACATTAATAAATAATCAGATCATTATTGGATATATTCATTTTGTAAACAGAGTAGCTTGTCTGTTAACTGCTGGCATAGGAATAAATGGCTCTCTTGTATGAAAGTATATTTGTACCTATTCTCAACAACTACAATCTTTATTTTTATTTAAAATTGAGAGTAGTTCTTTGGTTTCCCTTGTTAAATTAGCTCTCTATCACATGTCAGTTCTTACTGGAGTCAGTGCATCAGAGGAGAGTCCACCCTCTTCCTATTCTTTCCTGCTAGCCCTCACCCTGACATTCCTCTGCCCAATACAAACACATTCTCTCTTCTTTCCTCCTTTCAAAAAATGCCTAAAATAGCAGAAGGTAAGCGCTCTCTCTCTCTCTCTTTCTCTCTCTCTCTCTCTCTCTCTCTCTCTCTCTCTCTCTCTCTCTATATATATATATATATATATATATATATATATGGCACTATCATAACTTTCATGAGTTTCAGAATGCAGATCCTGTAGATTTTATGACTTGTGACGTCCCTTTAAATGTTTAAAATGAGCCTGGAGAACCCTACTTCCATGAGGAGTTAATATACGTTCATACATATACTCACATATATGCCAAGGGAAAATATTGAAGGCTTTTTTATAACTGTGAGATATTTTAGAACCTTTAATATGCTTGTGTGCAAAATAACTATTCAATGCTGAGATGTGATGTTTAGGGTATCTCAAAATCTAATTGCTTCTAGATTTCTTTAATTTTAACAACATCATGGTAAACTACTGTCCAAAGACTATTGTGAAAAACTTAGCTTGCATATTCTTTTTGGTCAATTATTTCTGAGTCTCATTACTTTCCCAACAGTTTAGAATGCCACATAGTTCATACTCATGGAAGTAGAGTACTATATTTGGCATTTTATATTGTCTTATGGGATTCTACGTACAAATATTTTAATTAAAGCCAAGTTTAATGAAAAATTTCAACTTGTTGTTGATTTTATGGCACCTTCATTTTCTTTCTTTATGACGTCAGAGGTGATGAACCACATTTTCCTTTGGGTGCCTATAGGTCACTGATTCTCAATGAGGAGTGGGTGTTGTGGGCAGTTTTGTCCCCCAAGGATATTTGGTGATATCTGCCACTGGCATCTAGTGGACCAAGGCCAGAGATGTTAAACATCTACACTGCACAAAGCAGCCCCCAAAACAAGTACTAGTAGTATCAAAGTTGAGAAAAACTGCTGTAAATATTTGTGATTTCCAGAAACTCTATTCAAAAATAAAGTGATACTGCAGGAAAAATATGGAATGTCCTAGTGAAACTAAAAACCAGAAGATATACGAATATGATGGTCTCTCCTCTCAGGTAAAATAAACATTGAATCAGAAAAAACAACTTTCTCAGACCCCGAAAGTGCAGGTCTAATTATAAACTCTCAAATAGTGTAAAATAAACATTAACCACACTTGATAGGTAAATTAATGCCACGGGCCAATTTCATGCGATGCTCATGCTTTGACACTTTTCTTAACATTTTCCCTCCTTTCTAATGCTTAGATTGAAAGTGGATTTCTAATTCTTATTCCACTCATTACTTAACAGAAACACTGAGGTCACAGCAAATAAAGCAGTATGAGTTAATGAGAACAGCTTTAGCCAAAGAGGAGGTATTTCTCCAAGTACATCAAGTGCTTCACATATATTAAGAAACCCCAGCTGAATCAATTTAATAATGTTGGGATTTACACAATTATTACAGAACCTTCATTATTCACCCAGTCTGCGCATACCACAGCACAAATGAACATCTCAGTCTGGTGGTATTAACATTGCCATTTTCTCACCCATTCCCAGACCATCTGCTCCATGCTGATCATTCACTGCTTTAACATTTAACAGTTACCCAACTGCAACTTAGCATATTTGTGTACTTTTGAAAACAGCTGGTTTAATAACTGCTTCAGAGCTTTTGGATAAAGAAATTATTTTGTAGTGCTTTATAATAGTCTTTTTTTATTGGTGTCTCTGAGGAAAGAGTATTACGGTTGCTTCATTTTTGCATCTGCAATCACTCGTAATATTTCTTGTCACATTTGGAAACATATTTTCAGTATTTATAGCACAATAATGTAGGAAATCTTTATTGCCCTTTTTGTTTTGCTGTTTGTTTTTTTAAAATGTCTCTGAGGACTAGAGTAAAACCTTTTGCATGAAATAATTTAGAGTAGCACGATGGTATAAATTTGAGTTGTTTCAGAGTTCCCACTCACTTGCTCACTTGCTATGCCATATGAATGTTTCTACATCAGTGATGTTTCTCTTTTGCCTGTTTGTTAAAGAAAATGCAAGAAAAAATAACTACTTGTTTCAATATTCCAGGTTTCTAACTAGACATATTTCCCCTGAGGAGGTTCTTAGATAACTTTGTGAATCCGCTGCTTTGTTAATGACTGGAAGTGGCCCAGGGGCTGCTTCTGGGTGCTGGCACTGTTGTGATTTTTGAGTCTGTGTAGGGGCTACACATGCATATTTACCTTGTAAAAATTTATTGAGGTGAACCTTTTGCATACCTTCTTGTGCACATATATATATATATACATGTTATATATATATACACATATAATATATGTAATATTTCAATGAATTGTTCAAAAATTGAACAAACAAAGCAAGAGAAAGAATTTTACTTGTTGTCTCAATGCTTATAGGCCAAACCCTAAACTCTTCACTCAGTTGGTCTTTGCTCTTGACCTGTCACTATGACCTCAGACTGATAGGTTACCATTCACTTTATATTTTGTATTCAGCTACAGAAAGATAAAGGATAGATAAAGGATGAAACCCAATTTTGTTGAAACTATTCAGTTTGGAAGTCAGTATAATAAACCACTTTATTATTCTTTATAAAATGGATACATATTCCACATATGTAGGATTTTTTAAGATTTTTTGAATTTTACTTTAAGTTCCGGGATACATGTATAGAATGTGCAGGTTTGTTACGTAGGTATACATGTGCCTGGTGGTTTGCTGCACCTAACAACCTGTCATCTAGATTTTAAGGCCCACATGCATTAGGGGCCATAATAAATGGGCAAAAACTGGAAGCATTCCTTTTGAAAACCTGCACCAGGCAAGGATGCCCTCTCTCACCACTCCTATTCAACATAGCACTGGAAGTTCTGGCCAGGGCAATCAGGCAAGAGAAATATATAAAGCGTATTCAAATATGAAGAGAGGAAGTCAAATTGTCTCTGTTTGCAGATGACATGATTCTATATTTAGAAAATCCCATCATCTCAGACCATATATGTGGGATATTCTAATGAGACAGTTGTACTGAGAAAATAAAGCGTTTTTGAAAAAGTAATTTTATATTTTTAAAAGCAAGATGTATGTTTAAAGTATCTACTGTTATATAACAAATTACTTCACAACTTAGTAGCATGGAACTACAAGCATTATCTCACAGTATTTGTAGGTTAGGAGTTTGAGAACAGCTTGGCTGGGTGGTTCTGGCTCAGAGCCTACTATAAGGCTGCAGTCAAGTTGCAGGCTGAGGCTGCAGTTTCTGAGACGTCTCACTCACATGGCTGCTTGCAAGCAGTCCAGATTCCTTTTTGCTGGCTGTTGTTAGGAGGCTTTACTTCTTAGTTTCATGCTATGTAGGTTTCTCCATGAGACTGCTTGAGTATTCTAACAACACGGCAGCTCATTTTCTCTTGAGAGAGAGAGAGAAAGAGAGGTTACATATATTTTATTACTTAATGTTGAAAGTCGCACATTGTCACTTCCACCACAGTCTGTTTATTAGAAATGAGTCAATGAGTCAGTACATCTGGCCCTCAGTAAAAGAGAAGGTAATTAGGTTCCATCTTTTGAAAGATTGCAAAGTCTTGTGGACTCATTTTAAAATTATCACAGTCTTATTACTGTTTGGTGTTTTAAGTGCTCTGGATGGCTGTCAGTGAGATTCTGAATTATTTTAATCATTAGCATTCTAATTTGGTATTAAACTAGTACACATTGTAACAAAGTAAAGTTTAATATAGCACATGAGAAACTTTGTTAACAATAATAAAAAAAGAAAATAAAAGAACCATTGCAGTTACAATAATTATTCTGATTATTGCCACTAAATGAACAAATACACAGAAAGGAAAATGTTTGCGTTGCTTTTTTATTTGACTTTCTTTTCTACTTACCGAGGTTAACTTCTCTTTAATATTAGGAAGAACATTGATAGTTTACAATATTAGTGATCGAAAACACTGTATTTTTCTGTGATTTTTTGTAATGCTCTAAAGAAAATGTCTTGAAATGTAGGTGGTCCCTAAATGCTCTGCTTGTTGTCAAACTTAAGCATCTCTATGGGGAACAAGCCATTCTTGCTAAGTTATTTGAGAATTACCATTATTCTTATGACACATTAGTGGGAGTGTCACTGCAACTTTAAATAATCTCGATTATCAATGTACAGCTTAGGTAGATTTTTTTTTTTCACTAATGTCTGAATTTTACCTTTTATTTGTTTGAAAGGCACAATCTCCAGATGTTACATAAGTTGATATTTGTTAAGAGTTAAACGAAATTTCTGTCATTTGAAATATTAAAATTGAACATTAATTTGCGATTTCTACTTATGAGCCTGTAATCAGCTTGTAAAAAACATAAATTAGGTTTTTTGAACTTTTATGTTCTTTTTTATGTATTGTGTTGCAGTGAATAGATTTTCATTAAGTTGCAGTCAAATGAATTTAGAACATTTCCAATGCAGAAAGAAAAATATATAGAAAATCTTATATGTAAGACTCATTTCCTATTTATGAAAAGTTTTCATAGGCATTATATACTGAGAAACTACATGAACCACAACTTACAGGACAATGAAATGAAACGATGTGATTGATGCACACTGACTACTTATGACACTGAGATGTATTTTCTGCATTCTTTAATGACAGTGAAATGTTTGACGATGAACAGTAAGTACTGACAAAACTGTCAATATATTAGTATCGATTCACTTTTTAATAGCAGTAAAATAATTGTGCATGCAGAGATATATTGGAAGTCTAATTTCAAACCAAATGCTCTTAGAGATACAATTTTCTTTCTTTACATCCTGGTTTTTCTTCAGAGGCTAGAAATAAAAGGAATAAGTGAAATAAATAGCATTAGTGATAAGCAAAATATATTCTCAGCTGTTCTAGTAATTTCATTGGTATTTTACATATGATACATTTGACAATATTAATCAGATTATAAGGTTTGCTTTTTGAACTACCAATGAAGATAATATTTTAAAAAATGGATTCTAATTTTACTTACCCCAGTTACATTTTGTGTAGGTGTTTGTGTTAGACACAGTGTTTGAGAAAATTGACAGAGTTCACCATCTTTGCAAACAATGTAAAAGACCAACTGATTTTGACCTATTGATTGCAAAATTAGTTGTATTTATACATTATTCAAAAATAAACCCTATTTGTCAATTTACATGATAGATATAAACATTTTTTAAAGAATAGAACATTTATACATTTCTGTTTTTCTTTTATGTATTTATGAAGTCATTTTCTTCTTTTTCTCAAGTCCAAGACATTTTATATCAATGTGTCTTTTCAAATGTAGACTGCATTTTGCTTAGTTTTTTGCTTAAGCTTTCTTACCACCCATTATCTTTAACGGCTCAGAGCTTTTGTTACACAATTATTTTCTCATAGATTAGAAGCTATCATAAACCCTGTCTTCTAAATGTATTAAAATACAAGAGAAGATACTTCAGTCAAGATGAAATCGGGGGCTGGATTTATTTTCTCACCTAAAACAAATCCCCAACAGTAAACAGATGATACATTAAAATGATAGTATTCGAGGCACTAGACATGAGACAACAAAGGAAAGGAATCCCTGAGAGACAGTTAAGATAGATAAAGTTTGTAAGACAAAGTAACAGCTAGAATAAAGGTGCACAGAGTAAAAACCTGAGAAATCTATAGAGAGTCCAAATGGAACATTCAGCATAGTAATGATCAAAAAGCATGCAAGTAAGGAAACTTTCTGAATCTAAAGAAAGAAGCATGCAAAACATTATAAGGAAGATCTTTTAGCCTTCATATACAAACTGGAATAATAACTGTTTCAACCAGTTAGACTAGAACATATCTAAATTCATAGAAAATTGGCTAGAACTAAGAAAGGTCTTGTCTCAGTAGTGGGGAGTAATTAGACCTAGATTAAATGCTGCTGTGGTCCTGCCTAACAAATCAACTTACGTTTTTTTTCTTTTTAAGTAACTGTAGTGTATCCTAGAACAAAGCTAATATAAATAATGCTTTATATAATATAATATAGAAATATTATTATTAAAATAAATATTTAGCTCTTTCCAGCAGTATTTACAAGGCTTGCTGTAGACAGAAGAGTCATATCCAAAGAAACAAGAAAACATAACTTATAATGAGAATTTAAAGTCAATTAACTGAAACTTACCCAGAACTGACACAGATGTTAGAATTAGTAGAAAAGGACCTTAAACAATTATAATGCATTCTATATTGTCAAAGAGATAAGTACAGAGATGCAAAGTTAATCCCCAAAATGGTCCAAATTGAACATCTAGAACTGAAAACTAAAATCTTTGAATTGAGAAAGATTATATATTGGATGGGATTATTAGCAGACTAGGTATTACAAAAGAGAAAAAAAACTGTTAACAACATAGCAATAGAAGCTATCTAAAACGAAATATATAGAAAATTAAACTATAAAACAAACGAAAAACTGAACGTGGTATCAGCAAACTGAGATAACTTTAAGCAACTTCAATGTGTGTCTAATTCAAGGACCAAAGGAAAATACAGAGAAGAAGACACAAAAAAACTTTGAATAAATAATGGTCAAAAATAATTTTCAAATGTGATCAAAACTATAAACTCACAGATTGAAAAAGATAAAAAACCTGAAGATAAAATAAATGAAGACAATTTTACCTCATAGCAGCATATTGCACCTACTATTCACACTATCATCTAATTGTCTGAAATCAGGGAGAAAGAGAAAAACTTAAGCTAAAACAGAAATAAAATCAGTATGATAGAAGATTTCTCAACAGAAGCAATACAAATGAGAAAGCAGTTATTCAAGATCTTTAGAATAATGACAGAAATAATACTGTCAACCTAGAATTCCACATCCAGCATTAATATCTTTCAAAACTAAAGCTAAACACTTTCAGATATACAAAAGCTGAAAGAGTTAATAATTAACCATAGACCCACACTATAAGAAAGAGTAAAGAAAGTTTTTCAAGTAGAAGGATAATGGTATTAGATGGCAATATGGATCTATAAAAAGAATTAAAAAACACAGTAAATTTTGAATAATACATAGAATAAGATATAATATTACTTTAAGGAAGACTCTGATAAGTTAAAAATATTTAAAATCAACCTTAAAACAACCACTAAAATGATAACACAACGAGTTGTAGCTCATAAACAAATGAAGAAAATAAAATTAGATCATAAAAAGTACCTAATTAATCAAAGAAGGCAGAAAAAAATAAAGATAATCAAGAACAAATGAACTAAATAGAAAGAAAATAGTGAGTAAATGAAAAAACAAGCTGGGAGAAAATATTTGCAAATTAAATATCTGATAAAGGAGTTGTATGTGGAATAGACAAAGAGCTTCTAAAACTCAACCTTTTAAGAAGGGCAAAAATTTGAACATACATTTCATTAGCTATGATAAACCAATGGCAAATAAGCACATGAAAAGATCCTCAACAACAGTAGTAATTAAATAAATGTAAATGAAAACTGCACAAGATTCTGTTTACATATATTAGAATGAATAGAATTAATAAGACTGACCATACCAAGTGTTGTTAAAGATATGGAGAAACTATAACTGTGCTAAAATGCTGGTGGATGTGTAAAATGTTGCACTTGGCAAAAAATGTGGCATTTTCTCAGAAAGCTAAATAGGCATCAGCCATATGGTTCAGTCACTTTAATTCTGGATTTTATTCAAAATAAATAGAAGTATATATCCATACATAGATTTGTACACAGATGATTGTAGATGCTTTATTTAAAATATGCCAAAATTGGAAATAACTCTAATTGTTCACCAAAATGTGAGTAAACAATTTATAGCATACTCATACAACAGAATACTATTAATAATAAGATATAATTAACTATTGACGTATGTAACATGAATATACTTTACCTTAGTTATGCTGAGTGAAAGAAACTGCACACAAAATATCAGTGGATACTTTACAATTCTATTTACTAAAATCCAAGAAAACCAAACTAGTCTGTAGTGACATAAACTACATCAGTTTTTATCTAGAACTGAGTGGGACCAGGGAGAAAAGAAACATAGGGATTAATACAGCATTTGAGGAAATCCTTTGGGGTAAAAAACACATTATTTGTCATCATCGTTAGGATGATGTGTCAGGTATACACATATATAAAGCTATGTTTATTTGTATGCTTTTAATTTTTGTACATCAATTATACTTCAATAACTATTTTTATAAAAAGACCACAGCTGTGGTAAGCATATAAAATAAGATGAAAATTTAAACTTGACTTTAATGTTCCTACGCTTCACATTGATATTTAAAACAAAGCTGAAAATATATCTGCTTTTTTGAAATGAAGTAAATATTTATTTACAATCAAAACTGTATCACCAGAAATGACAAATAGAAAAAGCTAAAAATGTCTGAAGCATCATATAAATCCCAAAAGTGACACAACTATTTTGGAATAGATTTTGTTTTTAGAAAACTTAGGTTCACAGCAAAATTGAAGGGAAATCAGAGTTCTCGTATAACCCCTGGCTCCCATATACACCCATAGCCTCCCCCATTGCCTCAACAACCCACACCAGAGTGATACATTTGTTACAGCCAATGAACCTAAATGGACACATCATCATCAGCCAAAGTCCATAGTTGACATCAGGATTTACTCTTAGTGTGCATTCTGTGGGTATTGACAATGCACATGACATGTATCTACCATTACAGTATCACGCAGAATAGTTTTGCTGCCTTAAAATTCCTCCATGCTCCACTTATTCATGCTTTCCTCTCCCCAAACCCTTGACAACTATTGATCTTTTTATGGTATCTCCAGTGACGCTTTTGGAGAGTGTCACATAGTTGGAATCATATAGTATGTAGCCTTTTCATATTAGCTTATTTGACTTGGTAATATGCATTTAAGTTTCCTTCATGCCTTTCGATGGCTTGATAGTTCATTTCTTTTGATGATGAATAACATTTCTTTGTGTGGAGGTTTCACAATTATTCATTTGCCTACTGAAGAACATCTTGGTTGCTTCCAAGTTTTGGCAATACAGTAGTCCCCCCAGCTTATCCTGTTTCACTTTCCATAGTTTTAATTGCCCACAGTCGACAGTGGGGAACCTGAAATAGGTACGTACAATAAGAGAGGAGAGAGAGAGAGACCACAATCACATAACATTTATTAGATTATATTGTTATAATTGTTCTATTTGATTGTTAGTTATTGTTAGTTATTGTTAATCTCTTACTGTGTCTAATTTATAAATTAATCACAGATATGTATGTATGGGAAAATATAGTACCAATAGATCTCAGTACTATCCATAGTTTTAGGTATCCACTGGAGGTCTTGAAATACATCCCCCATGAGTAAGGTGGGACTACGGTAATAAAGAAAGCTTCTATAGACGTCCTCGTTTGTGTGCAGAAGTGTGATTCCTGGATCACATAGTAGGAGTATATTTGGTTTTAAACGGCCAAACTCTCTTCCAAAGTGGCTGTGCCTTTTATCATTCCCATCAGCGGTGCAGAGAGCGAAATGTTGCTCCACTTCACCACCAGCATTTGCTGTCAAAGGGTATCATTTTTAATAGTGCGGTTCTCACAGAAAGGACTTTCTAGAGCCATCATAAAGGTTGGTTTAAATTCAAAGCTCCCAACTAAAATCTTCATAATGACCAAAACCATTATCTTCAACATTTGGATATTACTTTTTAGATAATTTGTTTATTGTTTTTGATGTTTCACATCAGCCGTGTAAATTAAGTGGGGAAGATTTAAGGAGTTTAAGTTTAATAGTGCCTATCTCATAGTCCTATTAAGATCAAATGAGCTAATACACACAAGTTCTTCCTGACACACTGAGATAACTCATAGATCATTATATTACTATTCTTGTTGTTGATATTATTATTGCTTTTGTTTTAAAATTCCTCCTCTTTTCTACATAAGGCTCACAATAAAAAAAAGGTGAACTTTATTTTCTTCATTGTGAACAACATACTTCTTTCAGTTTACTTATAAGTGTGACTATATAGAAAATAGACTTTATATATTTCTTATTACATTTTCTTGTTGAATTTTCTAAATTAGAAGTTTCAGAGGTGACATGCTAGATCTTTATGTATTTACATCCCTGAAAGTGGACATAAAGAAAGAGAAATGACAGAAAAATGCAGAGAAGCTAAGCTGGGAACCACCCAGGGAAGATCTCTGAGACACACTTCCAACAAAAGAGAATATAAAGGTTTGAAAAAAATGGAAGGAAATGTAGAATAACAGTTCTCTCCACCCCCAGAATGGAACTCTTGAATGACTCTGACTTCAGTAACAAGAGCCTTACTTTTCACATTTGATGGGACACTTTGACTCAAATATCCCTAAAATAATTTAAAAATGCAAGGTCATTTCTATGCACATTTTATCTTTTTAACAGTTGACAAAAGCCAGAAACAGAAGAGGTAAAAATTATTTAGTAAGAACACTTAGGAGGAGTATATCAAAAACAGTAAGCTTTCTTGACAGTTTTCCCCAGGAAATAATCTATGCATATTATTCAAACTTTTCTCATATATGTGTTTATGTGTTTGCTTCCTTCTTGTTGTTCTAAGCCCATAAAGCCAAGGCTTATTTTTTTATACAATTCCTAGCACATTGTATAGCATAGGTCCTGATAATTTTAGGTGTTCCACAAATGCCTGTTAAATGATCAAATGGTGATATATGAACTCTCTTCCTCCAATTTTATTTTTCTAATTTTTGAGATCTCTTTTCCCTTTTATGAAAAGAGGGGAAAATTTATGATGTAGAAAACAAAACCAGAAACAACTCCCAGGATATCACTAGTTAAGGCGAGTAATTACAAGAAATTAAAACATTCTGTGACCTAGATGCTTTATTTATAAAATAAAGGAGTGAGGTTTCACTTGGAGAAAAATAGTAAATCTGTGATTCTAATTTTCTTTCATCTTTGTGGTCATCAGAAAATTATAGATACAAAATATGAAGCTCCCTTACTGATACTTCATCTTTAAGTGTGATTATAATTCACAGATAAGTAATTCAATCTATCAAAGTTCATATAGTTTTCATTCTCTCTTCTCTCCAATGCTCAGCAGAAAGACATGAGCAAGGTGAAAAATTAATAAGCACACATACTTCTTAACTTTTCTTACAGATTGTGCAAGCATGAAAGCTTTGCTTTGATTCTTTTAGAAAAAAAAAACACTACCCAGCAATTATAGGTGTGTAAGTAGAAGGTAGTACCAATTTGCAAAATAAATTATTTTGACAATCAAGTTAAAACATTCCACAAGAATTGTGTAGATAATATGTTAGTAAAATGGCACTTTATATTTCTTGAGTATGACAGTGTTTACAGATGCAATTGTTTGTTTTTATTGATATACTTTGTCCATTCTTCTATATCCTAGGTAGTCCACTATTAAAACATGGGTAATTGTTATGCACACATAAACATTAGTATGCAGTATCATTCAGTAGAATTCAATTAGTTACACAGACAAAACCTTGTATTTATGTGCTTACAGAGTGACGATTCATGAGGATTTTTAAAGACTTCTTCTCTCCCACAGCCATCAATCAAAGTGACAGCATTCCTTAGATTAACTTTGGATTCCCCAGCACAAATTAATTAATCTGTCCACTACTTCCTATCTCAGTGTTTCAATCAGCCAACAAATAAAGCCAATCAAGATTTCAATTTCTTGCTGATTAGCCAATAAACTGTGACAGTGGACTTGTGGCAGGACTTCTGGGACTCTCATAGTAGCTTACTTATAGAGGGAGCAATGTTATGATCAATCTTTAAACCACAAATAAGAAGAACATTGTGTTTTCTTCCCGCTTACCTTCAGCCAGGGAAAGGACCTTTTCAGGTAGAAACAAAACTGTTAAAACAACCAGTTGCAAGTACACTCACTTTGAGATTATATTGTCAACATTTTGGTAATGCTGCTGCTTTAGAAGCATCAAATTGTGTAAATGCCATGAAATTTTGAATTAAAAATTATTATATTCAAATAATGTATGCATACTAGAGCCGTCACTATTTCGTCATTGTCAAGAACCCTTACGGAAAAGCACTCTCTACAACAAAGGAACCATTACTTACTGCTTTCTATATATTTTATAGTATATAGTAAAATTAATCTAGCACATGTGTTGTCTCCTGTAAATCCTTCTGACAGGAGAATAAACCCAACTAGAGGAAAGAATATGGACTGAGTATCAGAAACCTAACGTTAGTCCAGACTTTGCTAGTAACAAGTTGTATGCACTTGAGAATCATGTATTTTGTACACGCTTTGGTTTTCTCATAGGTGAAATTAAGAATGTAGACTAACTTCTAAAATTGGATGACTCAGCCAGACACAGTAGAGTCTTTTTTTCTTACAAAGACTACATATAGACATTTTTTCCTCTTTTTGTTTCTGCCACTATCACTGTTTGAAGTTTATCAAAGTATCAGTGACATCATGGGCTTGATACCCAGCAGAAGGCAAATGCAAGGTAAGGTTAGTGACCTTTTGGCTCCCCCATTATACTTTGCATTTCATTTCTTCGCCTCTTGGCTGGGTGAGGTAGGAGTGGGAGGAATAAAATAAATCAATCCTGCTCCTCGAAGTATGTATGATATCATCCATTCCTCCTGATACCATCTATCCCTCTTGACAGTCCCTGACCTTAACCAATCTAATCTTCTAGCCATTCCATTTCATTTCTTAAAGATTTTCGCTCCTGGATAACAATCTTTATTTTAGTGCCTGCTCCTGTCATCTTGGAAGATGACCTGTCAGTTCCAAGGCTTGTTCATTCCTTGGTGTTCTTATTTCTAACGGCATTTTCTTCCATCCCACCTCAGCCAGCCATTCCAGTTTTACAACAGAGTGAATCACTTTTGAAATCTCTAACCAAATATTTTACTGTCTACACCAAGCGTCTCTTACCTTTCCAGATAACTTGTTCTAGTGCATTTACAACTAAAATTATTTGACTTCACAACAATATTAATGATAATCTGTTGTCCATCATTATAGTTGGTTTCGAAATCATCTTGCCTATCTCATCTTCCATTGATAATGCCTTACAAAATCTCAACCATATTTATTATTTAAGTTCACAGATTTCATTTGGTCATTTAATACGACGTGAAAACCAACTATTATTTACTGGTGAGCTTGCTTTCTTACTTTTTGGGATGAGAATTGGATCGTCCTCTCACAGCTCACATTTCTACCTCATAATCCACTGAAAAAATGTAAGTGCAAAATCTGAAACCCTCTTATATTTGCACCAACAAATTTACTTTTTCCCTTGCACATGTACTCAACTTCTTTTCCTCCTCAATATAATAAAATAACTATTCCTCGTCATATTAAATTCCATTTTCTCTATTTCTGTTCTGGGCCTAATTATCTTCTTTTGTGAATTAATCTTGTGTTTTTTTATGATTTTTCTGATTTCTTACTCTTTGCATCTCATTCACTTCTCTGCTGTCTCATTGGTGATAAAAAATTCTGCACTGTCTACTATTTTATAAAATTGAAGAAAGAAATTAAAAAACCACTGAACACACAATATCTTCAACAAACAAACCAGTTAGCTACACGACTTGTTTCCTTTCATATATCTCTGTTGATAAGTTTATTCCTTAATATTTAGATATTCTTACTTAGCATCCAAGCAACTCTAAGGCTATATACAATATCAATCTTTCTTTTTTTTTCTTTTTTTTTTTTTTGAGATGGAGTTTCGCTGATGTTGGCTGCCTGCAACCTCCACCTCCCAGGTTCAAGTGATTCTCCTATCTCAGCCTCCTGAGTAGTTGGGATTACAGGAGGATGCCACCACATCGGGTTAATTTTTGTATGTTTAGTAGAGATGGGATTTCATCATATTGGTCAGGCTGGTCTCAAACTCCTGACCTCAGGTGATCTGCCCACCTCGCCTCCCAAAGTGCTGGGATTACAGGCGTGAGCAACCATGCCTGGCCTACCAAACTCTTAATTTGTAAGTAATCATGAAAATATGCCACTCAGATATCCTTTCAAATTAGTAATTCCGTTTGATTACAAGGAGTGAAATCAGCTGATAGTCTTTAGCCTCAGTGCCTTCAAAACCTTCTTCAGCTTTTAAGCTGAGACAACTTGTTCCCAGGCAGCCCCCCACCAATGACTGTGTATGGCAAGAATACCAGAGCTCAGCCTTTTCTGTCAAATGCAGATCACCTCAAAAAGGCAATTTACTTTCTATCAAGACTATATTTTCTTCTTTTACACCATTTATAGGAAGCTATGATCGTTTTATTTATTTCATTATTTTATTATGCTTGTATTTTTTTTAAACCTTTCTCCCAGCTAGAGAACAAAGTTTAAAGCACAGCTTAAAGACAGAACTCATGTAAGGTCCCAAAGAATGTCTAACTCTTAACACAGCATTCTCAATACATTTTGTAAAATTTTTTTGAAGTTTTGGCCAGAGCAATCAAGCAAGAGAAAGAAAAGGTATTCAAATAGAAAGAAAAGAAGTCAAACTATTCCTATTTGCAGATGATGTGATTCTATACCTAGAAAAGTCAGAGTCTCTGCCCCAAAGCTCCTTGATCTGATAAACAACTTCAGCAAACTCTGACGATACAAAATCAATGTGCCAAAATCAGTAGCATTCCTATACACCAACAAGATCCAAGCTGACAGCCAAATCAAGAGTGCAGTCTCATTTAAAATAACCACGAAAAGAATAAAATGCTTAGGAATAGAGCTACCTAGGAAAGTGAGAAATCAGAAATGACACAAACAAATGGAAAAATATTCCATGCTCATGGATAGGGAGACTCAATGTTGTTAAAATGGCCATATTGCCCAAAGCAACTTATAGATTCAATGCTATTCTTATCAAATTAACAATGACATCCTTCAAAGAATTAGAAAAAACTATTTTTAAATTTATGTGAAACCAAAAAAAAGCCCAAATAGCCAAGGCCATCTTAAACAAAAAGAATGAAGCCAGAGGCATCACATTACCTAACATCAATCTATACAGAAAATTGAAACTGGACCCTTTTGTTACATCACATACAAAAATAAACTCAAGATGGATGAAGGACTTAGATATAAAAGCTAAAACTATGAAATCCCTGGAAGATAACCTAGGAAATGCCATTCTGGACATATGACTTAACAAAGATTTCATGACAAAGACACCAAAGACAACTGCAACTAAAACAAAAATTGACAAGTGGGACCTAATTAAAGTAAAGAGCTTCTGCACAGAAAACTATCAATAGAGAAAACAGGCAAGCTACAGAATTGGAGAAAATATTTCCACGCTATGCATCCAACAAAAGTCTAATATCCAGAATCTATAAGGAATTTAAACAACCAAGCAAAAAAGTAATACCATTAAAAAGTGGGCAAAGGATATGAGTAGATACTTCTCAAAAGAACCCTTAAAGTGACAAAAAATTATGAAAAAAATGCTCAATACCAGTAGCTATTAGAGAAATGCAAATGAAAGCCATAATAAGATAGCATGCCCCACCAGTCAGAGTTGATATTATTAAAAAGTCAACCAATTAGAGATGTTAGTCATGTTCCAGAGAAGATGGCAACACTTATACACAGGTGATTTGAATGTAAGTTAGTTCAGCCATGTGGAAAGCAGTTTGGATATTTCTCACAGAACTCAAAGCAGAATTATCATTTGACCCAGCGATCCTATTATTGAATTTATACATGAAGGAGAATCAGTCTACCATAAAAACACATGCATGCATAGGTTCATCACAGAATTATTCACAATAGCAAAGACATGGAATCAACTTAAGTGTCCGTCAGTGGCAAACCAGATAAAGAAAATGTAGTATACATACATGATGGAATACTACAAAGCTATAAAAAAGAATGAGATCATGTCTTCTGCAGCAACATGAATGGAGCTGGAGGCCATTATACTAAGTGAACTAACACAGGAAAAGAAAACCAAATACTGTATGTTCTTACTTATAAGTGGGAGCCAAACATTGAGTACATATGGACACAAAGAAGGGAACAACAAACACCAGAACTTACCTGAAGGTGCAGGATGGGAGGAGGTGAGGATTAAAAAAACCCCTATTGGATACTACGCTTATTACCTGGGAGATGAAATAACCTGTACAACCAAACCCCCGTAACATGCAATTTATCTGTATAAGAAACCTGCACATATAGCCATGAACCTAAAATAAAAGTTTAAAAAGTTTATAAAATCAATAAATGAGTGAAAAAAATGAATAAATGCTTTAATGATTTCTATATCTCCCTTTTAAAAATTGACCTTTATCCAAATTTTCAGTATCTGCCATAGATAATATAAAATAATTTAAACTGAGATTTAAATTATAATCATGCTGAAAACATTACCAAAAGTTTTCATCTATTTTATTTTTAATTTACTTCTGCTTCATTTTCTTTAATATGCATAATAGATTTTAAATGCTTTCAAGGTCTATGGCAGTTTATATGGAAGATACCAATGAGCAGCAAGCAAGTATAAAAGTTAATCACACTATCAATTTAGTCAAAAACTTAAAATGCTTTCCAGTTCTCCCTTTAGCTGTCTTTAACTCTCTCTTTCTCTCTCTCTGTCACATACACACACACACACACACACACACACGAGTGTGCATGCATGCCAATGACTTCAGCCTGTATCGCACAGCTTTATAAACTTAGAAAAACCTAATTTTGAAAATATCACAACTATTGGGAAACACTGCAAAACAGCCAAAATTGTGTGAGTATGCATGTGTGTCTGAATAGTAGTGCTTTCTCCAAAAGAGGGCTCTCATGACCCTCTTTCAGCTTTTGCTGTGCTTTAAAAATCGAACAGAAAAGAAAGAAAAAGAAAAAGAAAAAAAAAAACTCTGGGTAATAGATAAAGAGAAATGAAAACACACAGAAAGTAAATTCCCCACTGAATGTAATAAAAGAAAATCAAACTAAATATCATTGTGGTGCTCAAATGACAGTGAAAACTCCTTAAAGTTAAATCAGATTACTAAATACAAAGAAAATGCCTAATGGTAAAGTATAGCAGCTCCAAGAAATAAGTCTATGCTGTCAGTGAGATATAACTGAGAACGTATATAGTATTGTGTTAACATTTAATTTCTAAATATTTTTTGGAATATGTTAAGTGACTTTCCAAAACAAAATTTAAACTTCAAATTATTTTCATGTTCACAATTGCAGGTCCAAAATCATGCAGCACATAATGAAAATATCCTCTTCATTTCAATAATTTTAAAATAAAATTAATGTGATTAGAAATGCTAAAATTTTGTACTCATTTAAAGGTAGTTGATGATGAAACATGGGATATTTAATGTCACTTAGAAATTAAGAAATTAAATTACATATTAAGTGCAGTTCACTTTCCTACGGTATATCTATACCTTTCTATAGTTCAATTTCTCAATCTTTCTATTAACCATAATGTCCTCTAATCAGCAATAATTTTTACATAACACAGATAAAGAGAAGAAAGTCATTCTATACCAAATAAAAAAATGTTTAAGTAGAAATTCATTGAGTAACATTTTCCATACGGCTTTGTGTTTTTTTCTTTTTCAAATTGTTTAACATGTTAGAAAAGAAGACATTCATCATATTATAATTTAATTAGAAATATCTGTAAAAACATGAGAGAATCCATATATTTCCTAAAAATCTTAATTGAACTTTGGGTACTTAGAATACAGAGGCTATTTGGCCAGGCATGGTGGCTCACACCTGTAATCTCAGCAATTTGGGAAGCCAAAGCAAGCAGATTGCTTGAGCTCAGGAGTTGGAGACCAGCCTGGGCAGCATGACAAGACCCCATCTCTACAAAAAAAAAAAAAAAAAACACACACCACAAAAAACAGCCAGGTATGGTGGCATGTGCCTGTAGCCTGAGCTACTAAAGAGGCTGAGGTGGAAGGATCACTTGAGCCCAGGAGGTCAAGGCTACAGTGAGCCCAGATTGTGCCACTGCACGCCAGCCTTGGCCACAAATCAAGACCGTCTCAAGGAAAAAAAAAAAACAAAAAACACAGAGGCTGTTGACAATTTTCCCAGGAAAACATTTATGATACTCAAGTCTGGTTGAAATTATCTTGAACCAGTCATTTAGCTTTGTATGATCTTGTGACTATAAACTAGCAAACCTCACAAGATTTGTTAAAATTGGATTAAGTATCTCAGGAAGTGCAGCAGTTTAATGTGAAGAGTAATTAACTGATAAATAAAGGGTAAGCATGTCCTCGAATAACTAAAGAGATGCAAGTTTTGGTCCCTCAAAAAACAGATATTGCTAAAATAGTAGATTTTAAATGTTCTCACAACAAGAAAATAAGTAGATGGGTTGACGGGTAAGCCCATCAGCTTATTCAATATTTCTACAACAGACACATATATCAAAACATCACACTCTATCCCATAAATAAAAACTTATTATTTCTCCATAAAAACATATTTCATTCTATACAAAGCAACCAAAAGCCAACACATAGACATCAAAATTTTTATGCAACTTTGTAAAACACTAAATTCATGATAGCCTACTGGAAAAATAACTTGGTTCTGACATAAGTAATCAGAAGTTTCTTTTGATCCAACATTTTCCCCAGTTTTCTTGAGGTATGATTGACAAATAAAAATTGTGTACATCTAGAGTATGCAACTGGATATTTTCGTATATGCATACATTGCATCGACCGCTACATATAGTTACCGTGTGTGTGTCTGTGTGTGTGTGTGTGTGTGTGTATTCCACAATTTATGCAGGTTACATTCTTTTTATATTATTACTTTAAGTTCTGGGATACATGTGCAGAACATGCAGGTTTGTTACATAGGTACACATGTGCCATGGCGGTTTGCTGCACCTATCAACCTGTCATCTACATTAGGTATTTCTCCTAATGCTATCCCTCCCCTAGCCCCCCACCCCCTGACAGGCTCCAGTGTGTGATGTTTCCCTTCCACACAGGTTATATTCTTAAGAAATAAATCCCATTATCTCTAAGCATGTATTGGACACCTATATTATTGGGTCAGGAGTTAGGCCTAACATAATTCAGAGTTAAGAAGACTAATGGATAGAAAAATAAATATGTGTATATTTTGTGGTTGATATAGTTCAGTGTGCACAAATTGGCAACATAAGAGTACCAATAAAGAGAGGCATTGGAGATATATTTTTAGCAATATCTAAATTCTTCACTAAACATTATTTAACATAGTTTGTGGTTATCATATCTGGACATTGAATTGATATACAGAATAATATAGCTAGTAAAATTGGAAGTTTATTTTTTTCCTGGCTATATATTAGACCACAAACCCTCCCACTACAAGACACCCAAAACTGTATATATATAAAATGTTAAGAGATATATAATAGATAAAAATGTAATTTATATATAATTTAAATATTTATAAATAAAATTTAAATATTTATATTTTTATATTATATACAAGCCATTATATAATTATAATATATAACATCTATTTTTATATAATTTATATAATATATATTTTATTTTTAATTATTTAATTATTTTATTTTTATTTTTATTTTGACTTTAAGTTCCAGAGTACATGTATGCACAGGATGTGCAGGTTTGTTACGTAGGTAAACGTGGGCCATGGTGCTTTGCTGCATGTATGAACCCATCACCTAGCTATTAAGCCTAGTGTGCATTAGCTATTTATCCTAATACTCTCCCTCCCCCATCCCACCCCCTGACAGGCCCCAGTGTGTGTTATTCCCCTCCCTGTTTCCATGTGTTCTCATTGTTTAGCTCCCACTTATAAGTGAGGACACGCAGTGTTTGGTTTTCTGTTCTTGTGTTAGTTTGCTAAGGATAATGGCTTCCAGCTCCATCCATATCCCCTGCAAATGACATAATCTTTTTTCTTTTTATGGCTGCATAGCATTCCATGGTGTATATGTACCACATTTTTAAAAAATCCATTCTATTATCGATGGGCATTTGAGTTGATTGCATGTTTTTGCTATTGTGAATAGTGCTGCAGTGTACATATGCATGCATGTGTCTTTGTAATAGAAAGATTTATATTTCTTTGGGTATGTACCCAAAATGGGATTGTTTGGTCAAATGATATTTCTGCTTCTAGATCTTTGAGGAATCGCCACACTGTCTTCCACAATGGCTGAACTAATTTGCATTCCCACCAACAGTGTAAAAGTGTTGCTATTTCTTTGCAACCTCACCAGCATCTGTTGTTTCTTGACTTTTTAATAATCACTATTCTGACTGGCGTGAGATGGTACCTCATTGTGGCTTTGATTTGTAATTCTCTAATGATCAGTGATGCTGAGCTTCTTTTCTTTGCTTGCCACATGAATGTCTTCGTCTGTTCATGTCCTTTGCCCATTTTTTAATGGAGTTAATTGTTTTTTTCTTGAAAATTTGTTTAACTTCCTTGTAGATACTGGATATTAGACCTTTGTCACATGGATAGATTCCAAAAATTTTCTCACACTGTGTAGGTTGCCTGTTCACTCTGAGGATAGTTTGTTTTGCTGTACAGAAGCTCTTTAGTTTAAGATCCCATTTGTGAATTTTTGCTTTTGTTGCAATTGCTTTCAGTGATTTTGTCATGAAGTCTTTGCCCATGCCTATGTCCTGAATGGTATTGCCTAGATTTTCTTCTAGGTTTTTTCTAGTTTTGGGTTTCACACTTAAGTATTTAATCCATTTTGAGTTAATTTTTGTATAAAGTGTAAGAAAGTGCCCCAGTTACAATTTTCTGCATATGGCTAGCCAGTTCGCCGAACACTGTTTATTAAATAGGGGATCTTTCCCACATTGCTTGTTTTTATCAGGTTTGTTGAAGATCAGATGTGTGGTTTCATTCCTGAGTTCTCTAGTCTGTTCCATTGGTGTATGCGTCTGTTTTTGTATGAGTACCATATATATATGTATGTTTTATATATGTATATATGTTATATATACATATATAATACTCCATATATGTATATATAATTTATATAATATGTTATATATAATTTATATGTTATATATTAATAATATATAAAATATACAATTTATAAATATATAGTATAAACAGATATAAATAAAAGAATATTATATATTATAAGTTATACATTTTGTATTATTGTATAGTATATAAATTTTAAATTATGTTATATATAAATATATAATTTAAGTAATTATATATATTACATATAATTTATATATTTCAATATATGATTTATTTATGTATATTATAATTTATAGACATTATATATAATATATAGACATAATGTTATAATCTATATAGATGATATATCTGTAAATTATATATAGTATGATTATGTATGTAATCTTATAATCTTAACCATATATACACAATCTTATCATTTTGATCTTATATATATGACCTTATATATCATATATAGGTATTTACATAATAAACTTCTGTTTACACAAGTTTACACAAATATATATTGATATAATAAGTGTAATAAATATGTCCTTATGTAAATATTGATATTAATATAAAAGTATGTTTATATTATGTATAGCTACATATAATTTTATAATGTGTGTAATTAATTTAGGCATCTTTTATATATAAGCCTCAGAATAAATAAGGCATGCATTCCGTTGCTAAATATCTTCAATGTAACAACTTTTAACTTTATAAGGACCACGTTTATAGTTCCCTTTATTGGTCAAGCTTCAGTTATAGAGTACATAATCCACTTCATATAGCTGAAGTAGAAAATGATTTATTACAATGAATTAAATGACATATGGAATTTTTTCATGAGCTAAGCAATCATTTGAAGTTCCAAGAATCTCACCAATGACACATTGTAGAACTAGGCCACCAAAACATCACTATACCCTGTCACTATAGGAAAAATTTACAATCAGGAACATGGCTGCAAATTTTGAATATAGCTTTAAACCTGCTGGTTCCAACAACCCTACTCTTCTTTCCATGATATGCACAGGCACATTTCGATGCCTGATGCCATCCCTTTTGTCCCCCCACAGGAATGAGGTCTAAATCCAGTCTCATACTGGGAGCATCTCTTGGTGAAACCTGAATCTCAATGCAGAAACTTAACAGTAAGACAGGTTCACTAATAAAGGCATTTTTTTTTCTAGAAAAAAGTTGAAATGCATTTTAAATACTCCAACTTAGTTATTTAGAATATATCTCAATTTGCTTGGCAAGGGTGACAACCTTTCCCTGAGGAAAGCATCTCTTGAGGAAACCCAGAACACAGATTATTTCTGGTAATAAAATTCCAACAACTCTTATTGCTCACAAGATAAATCACAAATATGCAAGAAAATAAAACATTATAAGCAAAAATGACCTAAATCAATAAACAACACTAAACCATCAAAGACTATAAATATCAGAATTATCAGTTATGATACAATAAATTATCCTAGTTACAAAATAACTGTGCACAATACAGTTAAATAAATAAAAGAGGGAAAAAGTCCATGAGGAAGGAACAATAGTCCTTCAAACTAAGCTGACTTAATTCCGGGTTCCTGTAAGATAATCTCTACACCAGATCAAAAGGCATTAATGGATCTAAAAATAATTACGTATATACATATATACATACATACATAAATTTCTACATCCTTAAAACAATTTTTATTAACAAGGATAATTATAACCATCCTAACCTGTGAATATATATATATATATATATACAGAAAAACAGAAAATAATATAAACTTCACATTAAGTGTATGTAGTCAAATAAATACCCAGATCCGGCAAAGTCACCTCTAGAGCCCACGTTAGAGTAAGTGGAGAGTCAGGAAGCATTTACAAGAAAAACGGAACAGAGAAATGGAGGTCTATTGGTGAGAAATCACAGAATACTCTCAGAAGAAAAACCTTTCTATTATGGGCTGAATTAAGTCTTCCCACCTAACCTCCCCACCTACCATTTATGTCTTGAAGTCCTAACTCCTAGTACATCAGAATGTAACTGCTTGGCAAGAGTCTTAAAGAAGGTAATCAAGTTACATGAGGTCATTATGGTGAATTCTAATACTGTATGACTGACTGTCCTTATAAGAAGATATTAGTACACAGACGCACAGAGAAAAGACTATATGAAGACACCCGAGGAAGGCAGTCATCTATCTACAAGCCAAGGAGAGGGGCCTTAGAAGAATCCTGCTGACATCTCAATGCTGGACTTCTAGTCTTCAGAATTGTAAGGACATAAATATCTGTCATTTAAGCCATCCAATCTATGCTATTTTATTAAGGCAGCCCTAGAAAACTAATACAATCACTAAGTTGAGACATATGTGGAATAGTTATTAGACCTGGTAGATCAGACCACTAACTTGTGTGGCAGGGGTTGCCAACCTCTTTACGTAAGACACCAGATGGTAAATTTATGAGGCTTTGAAGGCTGTGTGGTCTCTGGCAGTACTCAATTCTGTTGTTATAGCATGCCAGCACTCATACAAAATACATAAAGTGAACATGGCTGTGTTCCAATAACTTTATTTACCAATATAGGCAGTAGTCTGGGTTTAGTTCCTGAGCTATAGTTTAATGACTTCTGTATGAGGGAATAAAGAAAAACAATCTTAAAATAGAAAGAGGTTAGAGGTGGCAATCTTCGTGGAGCACTGCTTTTGGGAAAGAGATAAGTAACCTGGAAAGGAGAAATACTCCTAGGATTATTGGTGGTGAAAAAAAAGAAAGAAGCAAGAATTGGATGACATAACAACTCTATATCCTCCACAAGATAATCCATCTCTTACACTGAATGTATTAAACCAATAGAAGAGGGTGCTGTTGATGTCAGAAATTATAAGCCTCCTGAATCTCTCACCTTTGTCTGCATACAACTGTCATTTCTAGCTCAGGAAAATAATTTATTTTAAGCAGTGGAAGAAAACATCGAAACATAGATTGTATGCAAAGTTTATGTAATGTGAAATTTAGAATGCCATAATTTGAGGCTTGGCAAATTTAGTGGCAGCCTTAACAGATACAATTTGTGGTGCATTGTACAAGGTTCTGAGCCTACTGACAAATTAATTTAAATATTTACTTCCCATTATTGCCTATTATTTCAGAAGGCTTTGTGTTGTTGGCCATTAAGTTATGATAGATGGATAGTAAAAGCACTGAAGACTGTAAGAAAAGATCTCAGACAGCAAGCTTAAAATTACATCATGATAAAGGGTTTGTTTGTAGTTATTCAAACACTTAATGACAGAAACAATATAGACTCTGAGTTTATTAATACCTTTGGGAAACTATTGTCAAAGAAGCCTCAATCCTAATTTGCAGAAGATGGTATCTGCCAAACCTCTACAGAACCCCAAGTTTCACTGTGCTTAGAGAAAGTGGGTTGCTAATAATATAATCTACTCTCCATTTCTTATATGGAGGATAATACACAAGAAACAACATTCTAGATTGCAAAACTAGGGGATAATCAAGTAACTTATGGTTAGTGAGGCAAAACTATTCTTGGCCAAGAACCAGAGACTCTTGACTATTTCTTATTTCTCCCTCATATAGAGGGGAGGTTTAAAAAATCCTAATTAACAGGTAAAATTTATATACAGTTGGTCTTCAACTTATAATAGGGTTATGTCCCAATAAATCCATTATAAATCAAAAGTATTATAACAGGAAAATGTATTTAATACACTTAACCTGCTGGATATCATAGCTTAGACCAGCCAATCTTAAACATGCTCAAGATGCTGACATCTTAGCTTACAGTTGGGCAAAATCAACTGGCAACGCAGCACCCTCTAAAATATTGGTTGTTTACCCTCCTGATTGTGTGGCTGACTGGGAGATGCGGCTCACTGCGCCTGTCCAGGAACGCCAGAAAGTATTGCTAGCCCGGGAAAAATATCAAAATTAAAAATTTGAAGTAAGGTTTCTATTGAACTACGATCACTTTCACACCACGGTAGAGTTGAAAAATCATAAGTTGAACCACCATTAAGTCGAAGACTGTCTGTATTTATGGTGTATAACAGGATGTTTTGATATATGAATATGCTAGAAGGAAGTTTTAATGAGCTGTGTTGTTCCTTGTCTATCAACGTAAAAACAATAAGTTTTAACCAGATAGGTAGGCATTTGATGCTGATTGGGAAGGCTGCACACAAGTCCAGATCTGGGTCTAGTAGTAGCAACTTGAAGAGAATTTGGGTTTGGAGAGGTAACGTGTTTATAGAAATATGTATAGAAATAAGGATGTTTATGAATGTGCACTGGCAAAGGGGTTGACTGTAGCTAACACATAGCTTTATATATCAAATCAATTTTATTCTATGTTTTGTAACCGAGCCCTATTTCTCCCGGACACATTTCCCAAGCTGCACTTCCTAATTTCCTTTGCAGTTGGGTATGACCATGAGACATAGTTCTAGCCAAGCACTTATAAGCAGAAGTGTTATGTGCAACATCCAGGAAGACCCGTTCAAGACATTTCCCCAACTGTTTAACTCATCTCTTTTAGTGAAGTTCTTTTCCTCTTTCTCCTATTCCTCCCTCATTCCCAGAAGAACAGAATACTATGGCTCTGTTAGCTGTATTTGTCTGTGCTGCGACCTTGAGTGTGGAAGTCAGTATAGCAGAGGTAAAAAGAGTGGAATAAAGCTATCATATTATCCCAGCACTGCTTGCTAATTTGTTTATTTGTTTGTGGGGTTTTGGTAGTTGTGTTACTTTTAACATGCGAGAATAAATTCTAAGGTGTTTAAACCAAGGTATTATTATTATTATTTTATATGCACCTAAACCTAATCCTCACTAATGAAAATTTCCACATATTTTCATGAATGCTCTGAATTCTTTTCTTGATGGGGTTTTAAGCAGAGGTAGAATTAGAAACATTACCAAACTATTTTTTTATTGATTATCAGAGGACCATTAGTTATGTTAGGGAGTAACTGCTAACCTCTAGAACATTGCTCTGAAAAGATTACACGTGAGTATACACAAGAACAGGCTTTTTTTTTTTTTTTAGCATTTTCTTGAATATCTACATTGCACATAAATTAAATGAACTGTTCACTTAGATATGTGATATGTACCTAATTCAGATTCAAAATATTAATATATTTTGTCAAATGGACTCTTACCTAGATGTTATAATCTGGAAATGGCCAAATTTAAAAGTTAAATCATTCCTGGTAGTTAAAAATCAACTAAACCCAGTATTTTATGTATGTTACATAAAATTAAGTTATTCACTTTATTGTTTTTATCTTATTGTTACAATGCAGTTTAATTAAAATGAACATAACCATTGTTTACTATTTTTATTAATTACCTATTTCTTACATTACTGCTGTAAACCTTGATATACAGAAATTAAGTACGGTTTTCCAAGTACTAGAGATAAAAGAGTGGAAATACGAAACATCAAATGGTTGTGTCAAAAGACACTAAGAGAATCTTTTTTTTTCACTTTATCATTGGAACCATGAATAATTCTAGAATATTTCTTACTGTAATAGGAATAACCTTTATTGAACCTTAAAGAAATGATGCTAGAGTTTGGTTAGAATCCCTATATACATGGTTCTGCAGTTCAGAAGTGTGACTATCAGGCAACTGGGTAGAATCTATTGGTATATCTGCTGGAATAGTTACATTTTATTATTTTACTCATATACTACATTGTTTCTTCAATTTTCATGAAAATTATATCTTATAGTCTATAGGAAACCTGTGGAAAGAAACTTGTCTTGAACCTCAATTTGAACTTTTTTCTATTTTTTTTTTTTTTTTTGAGACAAAGTCTCACTTTGTCACCCACGCTGGAGTGCATTGGCATGATCATGGCTCACTAGCCTTGAGCTCCCAAGCTCATGCTATCTGCTCCTCAGTCTCCCTGGTAGCTAGGACTCCAGAACGCCTGGCTAATTGAACTGGCATTTTAGTTTGAAAGATCAAGGCCTATTCTGAACTCGCTCAAGGTACATTTGAATATCTTTCGAATATCTAGTCATGTAATCTCAGGTATGAAATAATAACTATTTAACCATAAAATATAAAACTGGTGGAGAATTTGTTTCTTTCAAAGAGCTGCCCATTAAGTATTATGCGTAATAGAAAATCTAAGAACCAAGAAAATTAATTCTTCTCTTGGGTAGAAAGTGGTGTTGGCAGTAAGCCAATGTTTCTGCCAAAAACAACTAAAACATTATAGTTACAAAATTTATATATCAAAGGAATAAGAAATCTGAAAATCTTAACAAGTTGTCCCAAGCAAATATTTTGAGACAAAGAGTACTAATTATAAGTGGAAATGTTGATAATTTATACTTCATCAAATTTTAATTTTTCTAAAAAGAAAGTCCAGAGTACAAAGAGCATATATATATGCACTGTATATAGTATATGTACAAATAGTATATATATACTGTATATAAAGTAGTGACATATATAAAAATAATATGTATTATATATTATTATATGTATATGTAAAGTAGTTCTATTCAGATAACATAAAATACTGCTAAAACTCTATTTCATATAGATATGAATATAGATATTCAAATGTACCTTGAGCAAGTTCAAAATAGGCCTTGATCTTTCAAACTAAAATGCCAGTTCAATTAGCCAGGCATGGTGGCACATGCCTGCAGTCCCAGCTACTAAGGATGCTGAGGAGAGGATAGATTGAGTCTGGGAGTTTGAGAGTTCGAACAGGAACAACCTCATGAAAAGTTGGACTAAACATTTAAGTAGGTATGGCAGGAAACTACATACAAATGACAAATAAGTATATAAAAAGGCACAACATTTTTGTTAAAGAAATGCCAATTAAAACCACAATTAAATACTATTGCATATTTACTAGAATCATGGAAATTTATAAGACTTACAATGCAACATTTTGGTGAGGGTTGGTAGCGACTGAAGCTGTCATATGTTTCTGTTGGAAACCTAAATGGCACAATCACTTTGGAAAACAGTTTGACAGAATTTATATAGTTAAACATTGACAGAACACTTCCACTTCTAGGTATTTACTCAAGAGAAATAAAAAACAAACATAAAAATTGATTAAATAAAAGCAGGTAATCCTAAAAAAATTAACAAATTCAGTGATATATATTAAGAAAAGAACAAATTAATTCCAGATATTTCACAACTAAATGTGAATGGTAAATCAGTGGAGCTTTTAAATAAAAAAAAAAGACAATACCTCATGAACTTGGAGTAGAAACACATACACGAGAAAGAAACTGTAAGGGAAAACTTTTATTATGGGATTATTTGAAGGTTGTAATATTATTAAAAATGAAAAAGAAACACTATTTGTGCCAGTGTATGTGTAGGGATATTCTCATATGTATATCTTAATAAGACTTTTATTCAGAATAATTTCTATAAGCAGCTTGTAAATCAATAAGAAAGACAATCTTATAATAAGTGGGGTAAGGATACAGAACTTGAACTCTCATATAGTGTTGATGACAGTACTGAAATGTACACACACATATATGTACATATTTGCATGCAAATGAAATATATAGCTACACTTTGCAAATACATAATAGAAAAATACACATCTATCAAACAAAAGATGTGTACAAAAATATTCATAGCACTGTATTTATAATAACCCAAATCTGGAAACTACACACAATCCCATCAAGAGTAGTGTGGATAGACAAATTGTTAACATATGCAAAAAACTGAAATAAGAGACTACCATAATAAGAAAGAAAAATCACAACTATATTCCCAAATACAAATATATCTGATAAATATAATATTGAGTGAAGTGACCCAGAGACAAAGTATTGCAGGTTGAGCTTTTTCATATTCATAAATTTCAAAAGCAGGCAAGCCAGTTTGTGATTTTAGAATTGAGGATAGCAAGTATTTGGGGGAGGTGGCTAGATGGGGGAAGAGAGAGGCTTTTGAGAATCTTCCAAGGTTCTGTTTCTTGATCTGGGTGTTACACAGGTGTCGTACGTTGCAAAAACTCATTAAGCAATATGTGTATTGTTCTATCTCTATGCTATATTTCAATAATTTAAAAAACAGAATAAATGCTAGAATTAATTGAAAAATATAAACACATATGTAAATCTATGAAGTCATCATTATTTAAAAATAGGAGAAAGTCAACATAATCAGACTAACCATGTATTTTCACCATTTGATGTGACTATTGTGCCACATTTTTACACAGAATAATGTTAACTGAAAGAAGTAACTGAAAAGTCCCATGCCTATAATCTCAGCATTTTGGAAGGCTGGCCATCACTTGAGCCCAGGAGTTTGAGACCAACATGGGTAACATAGTGAGACCCTACCTCTACAAAAGATTGAAAATAAAAAAAAAACAGCAAAGTGTGGTAGTGTACCCCTGTAGTCCCAGCTACTTGGGAGGCTGAGGTGAGGTGAGAGGATTGCTTGAACTCAGAAAATCGAGGCTGCAGTGAGCTGTGATTGCACCACTGCACTATAGCCTGGGTGACAGAGCAAGACCCTGTCACACTCACACATAAAAAAAAAAGAAAGAAACAAAAAAAAATTAATTATTCATTTCTAGAAAACACTATATTTTTCAGTAATCATATAACTTAATGTTGCAAAGCTCTTCTTTATGGAAGAACGTTGTCTAATAAATGTGAGGGAAAGATAGATTTAGAAAATCACCATTTCTAAATAATTTCAACTTTTATTTTAGATTCAAGTGGTACATGTGCATGTTTGTTACATTGATATATTGTATGACGCTGGGGTTCTGGGGGGTATAGATCCTGTCACCCAGATGGTGAGAACAGTACCCAATAGGTAATTTTGCAACCTATGGTCCGCTTCCTCCCTTCCCTCTCTAGTAATCTGCAGTGTCTATTTTCCCATCTTTATGTACATGTGTACTCAGTGTTTAGCTCCCACTTGTAAGTAAGAGAATGAGATATTTGGTTTTCTGTTCCTGTGTTAATTCCTTTAGGATTATGGCTTCCGGCTGCATCCATGTTGCTGCAAAGGACATGATTTCATTCTTTTTTTATGCTGCATAGTATTCCATGATGTATAGTTAGCACATTTTTTAATCCAGTCTACCATTGATGGGCACCTGGGTTGATTCCTTCTCTTGTCTATTGTGAATAGCTCATTGATGAACATGAGGGCATGCATCTTTTCGGTTGAATGAGTTATTTTATTTTCGGTATATACCCAGTAATAGGATTGCTGGGTCAAATGGTAACTCTGTTTTAAGTTCTCTGAGAAATCTCCAAAGTGCTTTCCACAGTTGCTGAACTAATTTATATTTACACCAACAGCATATAAGCATTCCTTTTCTCCATAGTCTCACCAGCATCTATTATTTTTTGACTTTTTAATAATAGCTATTCTGTCTCATGTGAGATGGTATCTCATGGTGGTTTTGACTTGCATTTCTCTGATAATTAATGATTGTGAGCATTTTTTCATATGTTTGTTGTCTTTTTGTGTTTATGCGTTCTTTTGAGAAGTGTCTGTTCATGTCCTTTGTCCACTTTTTAATGGGGTTATTTGTTTTTTGTTTGTTGGTTTAAGTTCCTTATAGATTCTAGATATTAGACTTTTGTTGGATGTATAGCTTCTGAATATATTCTCTCATTATATAGGTTTTATATTTACTCTTGAAAAATTTCTTTTGCTGTGCAGAAGCTCTCTAGTTTAATGAGGTCCCACTTGTGAATTTTTGTTTTTGTTCCAATTGCTTTTGGGGACTTTGCTAAAATTCTTCACCAAGGCTGATGGTGAGAAGGGTATTCTCAGTTTTCTTCCAGGATTTTTATACATTGAGGTCTACTATTTAAATCTTTAATTGATTTTGAGTTAATTTTTGTATATGATGAAAGGTAGGGTTCCAGTTTCATTCTTCTATGTATGGCTAACCAGCTATCCCTTTGCCATTTATTGAGTAGAGAGTCCTTTCTTTGTTGTTTGTTTTTGTCAGCTTTGCAAAAGATTAGATGGTCATAGGTGTGTGGCTTTATTCCTGGGCTCTTTATTCTGTTTCCTTGGTCTATGTGTCTGTTTTTGTACCAGTACCATGCTGTTTTGGTTACTGTAGCATTATAGTATAGTTTGAGGTCAACAGTGTGATGTCTCTGGCTTTGTTCTTTTTACTTAGGATTGCTTTGGTTATTTGAGCACGTTTTTGGTTTTATATGAAATTTAGAATTTTTTTTTCCTAATTCTTTGAAAATTGACGTTCATAGTATGATAGGAATAGTGTTGAGTCTGTAAATTACTTTGGACAGTATGGCCATTTTAATAATATTGATTCTTCTAATCAATGAGAATGGAATATTTTTCCACTTGTTTGTGTCATCTTTGATTTATTTCATCAGAGTTTTTAAGTTCTCTTTGTAGAGATCTTTCACTTCCTTGATTAGATGTATCCCTA
Source organism: Homo sapiens (assembly GCF_000001405.40). Classification (NCBI taxonomy): domain Eukaryota; kingdom Metazoa; phylum Chordata; class Mammalia; order Primates; family Hominidae; genus Homo; species Homo sapiens. Next base: position 9,535,677 of record NC_000007.14, read on the forward strand.
GGTATTTCATTTGTTGTGTGAATATTGTAAATGGGATTATATTCCTAAATTTACTCTCAGCTTGAACTTTATAGGTGTATGAAAATGCTACTGTTTTGTACCTTTATTTTATATCCTAAAATTTTACTGAAGTCTTTTATCAGCTCTGGGAACCTTTTGGTGGAGTCTTTAGGGTTTTGTAGGATATAATTATGTCATCAATGAAGAGCAAAAGTTTGATCTGTTGTTTTCCTATTTGGATGCCTTTTATTTGTTTCTCTTGCCTGATTGCTCTGGCTAGGACATCCAGCACCATGTTGAAGAGGAGTGGTGAGAATAATCATTCCTGTCTGGTTCCAGTTCTCAAGAAGAATTGTTTCAGCTTTTACTAATTCAGTATGATGTTAACTGTTAGTTTGTCCTAGATTGTTGTTACTATTTTAAGACATGATCCTTCAATGCCTAGTCTGTTGAGGGTTTCTATCATGAAGGCATGGTGGATTTTATCAAAAGCTTTTTCTGCATCTATCGACATGACCATATGGGTTTTGCTTTTAATTCTGTTTATATGGTGAATCACATTTGTTGATTTGCATCTGTTGAGCCAGGCTTGCATGCCAGGAATAAAGCCTACTTGATTGTGGTGTATTAACTTTTTGATGTGCTGATGGATTCAATCTAGTAGTATTTTGTTGAAGACTTTTGCATCTATGTTCATCAGGGGTATTGGCTTGAAATTTTATTTTGTTTTTTTGTTCTGTCTCAGCCAGATTTTTCTATCAGGCTGATGCTATTTTCATAGAATGTGTTAAGGAAAACCCCTTCCTTTTCCAGTATTTTGGGATAGTTTCAGTAGGATTGGTACCAGTTCTTCTTTGTACATCTGATAGAATTTGGCTGAGAATCCATCTGATCTGGGGCTGTCTTTGGTTGGTAGTTTTTAAATTAGTGATTCAATGTCAGAACTTGTTATTAGTCTGTTAAAGGTTTCAATTTCTTCTTGGTTCAACCTTGCAAGGTTGTGAGTTTCCAGGAATTTATTAAATTCCTCTGGATTTTCTAATTTGTGTGCATGAGCTGTTCATAATGGTCTCTGAGGATCTTTGGTATTTTTTTTGAAATTGGTTGCAACTTTATCTTTGTCATTTTTGATTGTACTTCCTTGGACCTTCTCTTTTTTTTGCTTGTTCATGTAGCTAAGCAATCTATCATCCTGTTAATTCTCTTGAAGAACCAACTATTGATTTTATTGATATTTGTATGGATATTTGCATCACAATTTTGTTCAGTTCTTTTCTAATTTTAGTTATCTTTTCTTCTGTTAGCTTTTGAGTTGATTTGTTCTTTTTTTCTAGTACTGTTAGGTGCAATGTTAGATTGTTAATTTAAGATCTCTTAAACTTCTTGATGAAGACATTTAGCACTATAAAATTCTCCTTAGCATTGCCTTAGCTGCATTCCTGAGATTTTGATGAGTTGTATCCCTATTTTCATTAATTAAAAAAAATAGAAAATCACTATTTTTAAAATTACAGTACAAATTTATGAAGAAAATATATGAAATATATGTTCTCAGGACATACACAAAAATCACATCATTCAATATTTTGACTGTTAAGGGAAAGAAGTAGAACTTTGCAACAGATGAATAAAACCATCCCCAACCTCATTTGGTGATTAACTTTAGCTTCCTATGAATGCCACAACAAAACATTGCACACCTTTCACCTATAAGGTATTCTTGCCAGCAGTGTTTCACTTCAGTCAAAAAAAGGCTTTAAATCAAACCTCCATTTTATGAGAAATACAGAGTGAGAAGATAATTAAGTGTGTCAATTTGGGAATTTGAATACAAAATGTTTATTCAATTAGGTTGATAAATTATTGCTTTCACATTGTCATAATTGTTAACTTTGTTAGATGTAATAGGGTATTACGGTTAAGTCCTAAAATGTCCATATTTATTTAGAGAAACATAATAAAGTACCTTACTGAGAAAATTCATAATGTCAATAATTTAAATATTTTATCATAAATAAAAGATATAAATATGAAAAAATGTGAACAATTATTAATCCAGTTAATGGGCATGTAGGTGTACATTATATTATTTCTCTGTATAATGTGGAATATTATTTCTAGAATTTAAAAAATTCAAAATTTAATATTTTTATATATGTATATATGTACATATATACACACATACATATACATAATAGTAAATTATAGATTTCTTATGTTCTTTCTAATATTTTAGAGCTTTTATAGAGTTCACTTTGATTTTATTGTGGTGAGATGTACATACAAAGATTTTTTTCAACAATTCATTATTTATATTTGAATGTATAACACTGAGGTAATTTTGAAATTAAATGACATTACTGATTATTTTTCAAAAACATTGTCCATAGTGAAAAAAGCCCCATGGCCATCAATAATGTTATATTTTATTTACAGTTCTGTGACTTCTATCTCATGTAAGCATACTTGATATTTCACAAAGCAACCAAACTTGTGAAAACTGACACTTTTCTGTCAGTCTTTCTCATTTGTTTCTATAAATGTGTGACAGGCCAATTCTATCCTCAATGAGTGACTTGAGTAATTTATTTTAAAAATTAGTAAATCATATATTGGTACAGATAAATTTTAATGTTTTGTAATTGCAGATTGCTTTACTGTTTGTTTATTTTTTAACATATTGGTGGGGGAGTGAACCTGCCTATCATTTTTTTATTTATATCACCAAGACTGACAGATAATAACTTAATCTCTAATATTATCATGGCAAAATGAATTTTACCAGATAATACTTTATTTTATTTTGTTTTATGTTAAATATTAAGATAATTAGTTTGCACTTTACTGTTAAGTATAGGTTCAAATGGCAAACATCTTTCTTTCGGTGATCTATTGTTTGTGACTTTCTGAGAGTTTCTACATTCATAATTCAGGGAGTTTGACACCATGACTCTCTGGCTGAATAAAGAAGGTAGCATACACACCAAAAACACTGAGTTAGAAGTAAAAACTCAGAGAGAAGAGAAAGCAACTTATAGTTATGTTTGCTAAGGTTGGAAATTTTCCTCGACAGTAGGCTTCTTATTCTAGCATTAAAATCTAGCCAAATTCACGGTGTTAGTCATATCTTGGATTTATTTCTAAATTTGGTGTCTAGGAAAAATAGTGTGCAAAATGTATTTTTTGTTTTGCATCATTTACTGCATATTTAGTGGGAGAGGATACAGTATTTTTCTTCGTATATATTTCAATGTGTTTGTGCTTTTATCTTCTATTACTCATTATCTTTCACTGTTTTAGAAGAAAGCTAACTAAAAGAAAAAAATTCTATCTGCTACATTAACTTCCATTGATTCAGTGGTAGCTACAGCCAAGACTGTTAAAGTGAATAGGTAATTATCCCATTGTGAGTTTCTCTAAAATAAATGCCTGCACATATATAATAGGCTGATTGGCCCATGAGGCTGATGTTTATGTTTTCAAATATCTTAGAAATGCTTAGTTATCTGATTCTTTATTCAGTATAGAGTATTTTGCAGTGTTTAACTTACAAAAGTTAGTAGTTTGCTTTTTATTCTACTTTATATAAATATTTTTGTATTAAAGAAGTATTAATTTCACAAAGAAAATCTAGTGGTTAACTATAGAGGCGATATACAAGAGAGGATAGAAGTAGCAAGCATCTACTGAGTACCTGCCTTGTATGTACTGTAATATGTTGTTTAAGGATATTATCAGTAGGAAAACCTTGTAAGGTAAGAAAAATCAGTACCTACGTGTAGCAAGTAAGCAGATAGAGACCAAAGGCAGTTGAATTTGTATCACACAACCAGGACTCAAACTTTATTATTCTGATTCTTCTTCTACTTATAAATAGTAAATATTAGTGAATAGTCAAATGATGTAAACATTAGGAGGTAAACACACTATCTTTTAGTTAAGTTTAGCATTTATTGAATACCATCTTTTTGTCAGTCATTTTGCATCCTAGGTACTTAAGAAAAGATATCCACTCCTTACCTAGAGATAGATGGCTGATATGATTTGGCTCTGTGTCCCAACCCAAATCTCATGTTGGGTCGTGATCCTTAGTGTTGAAGGGTGGGGCCTGGCAGGAGGTAATTGAATAATGGGGGCAGGCTTTCCTTTTGCTCTACTCGTGATAGACTTCTCACAAAATCTGGCTGTTTGAACATGTGTAGCACCTCCCCCATTCTCTCTCTCTCTTTTGACAGCCGTGCAAATACATGCCTGCTTCCCCGTCACCATCATCTTAACATCTGGCATGATGTTAAGTTTTCTGAGGCCTCCCCAGAAGCAAAACCTATACAGCCTGAGGAACTGTGTTTCAATTGAACCTGTTTTCTTTATGAATTACCCAGTCTCAGGTATGTCTTTATAGCAGTGTGTGAATAAACTAATACAGAAAATTTGTACCAGAAAAGTGGAGCATTGTTATAAAGACACCTGAAAATGTGGAGGCGAATTTGAACTGGATAATGGGAAGAGGTTGGAACAATCTGAAGGGCTCAAAAAAAGACAGGAAGATGAGGGAAAGCTTGGAACTTCCTAGATACTTGTTAAATTGTTGTGATCAAAATGCTGATAGTGATATGGACAGTGAAGTCCAGGCTGAGGAAGTCTCAGATACAGATGAGAAACATTGAGAACTAGAGTAAAGGCTAGTCTTGCTATGCTTTAACAAAGGGACAGGTGGCATTCTGCCCCTGCTCTAAAGATCTGTGGAAATTTGAACTTGAGAGAGATGATTTAGGGTATCTAGTGGAAGAAATATCCAAGCAGCAAAGTGTTCAAGTTGCAGCCTGGCTACTTCTAAAAGTCTAAGCTCATCTGGAAAAACAAAGAAATGACCTGAACCTGCAACTTATACTTAAAAGGGAAATAGAGCATAAAAGTTTAGAAAATTAGCAATTTGCAGCCCAGCCATGTGGTAGAAACGGCAGACCCATTTTGGGGGAAGAAATTCAAGCTGGCTGCAGAAATTTGCACAAGTAAAAAGGAGCTGAATGTTAATAGCCAAGACAACGGACAAAATGCCTCAAGGCATTTCAAAGACCTTTGCAGCAGCCCTTCTCATCAAGACCTGGAGGCCTAGGAGGAAAAATTGGTTTCATGGGTCAGGCCTAGAGCCTAGCTGCTCTATACAGCCATGGGACATGGCACCCTGCATCACGGCTGCTCCAGCTCCAGCCGAAGCTAAAAGGGGTTAAGATACAGCTTAGGCCATTGGTTCCAAGGGTGAAAGTCCTATGACTTGGTGGCTTCCATGTGGTGTTGGGCCTGACGCTGTGCAGAGGACAAGAGTTGATGCTTCAGAGCCTCCATCTAGATTTCAGAGGGTGTATGAGAACACCTGGATGTCTGCTGCAGCTATGGAGACATCATGGAGACCCTCTACTAGGGCAGTGCAAAGGGGAAATGTGGAGTTTGAGCCCCCACATAGAGTACTCACTGGGGCACTCCCTAGTGGGGCTGTGAGAAGTGGGTTACTATCCTTCAGCTCTTAGAATGGTAGATTCACCAACAGCTTGCACTGTGAGCCTGGAAAAGCTGCAGGAACTCAATACCAGCCTGTGAAAGCAGCTGTGGGGGCTGTACCCTGCAGAACCACAGGGGTAGAGCTGCCCAAGGCCTTGGGGGCCCACCGCTTGAATCAGCATACCCTGGATGTGAGACATGGAGTCAAAGGAGATTAGTTTGAAGCTTTAAGATTTAATGACTGCCCTGCTGGGTTTCAGACTTGCATGGGGCCTGTAGCCCCTTCTTTTTGGACAATTTATGCCTTTTAAAATGGGAACATTTACCTAATGCATGTGCCTCATTGTATCTGGGAAGTGACTAACTTGTTTTTTATTTTACAGGATCATAGACAGAAGTGTCTTGCCTTGTCTCAGATGAGACTTTGGACTGTGGACTTTTGAGTTAATGCTGGAATAAGTTAAGACTTTTGGGACTGGTGGGAAGGAATGATTGTGTTTTGAAATATGAAAATGACACAAGATTTGGGAGGGGCCAGGGGCAGAATGATATGGCTTGTTTCTGTGTCCCCACCTAAATCTCATGTTGAATCGTATTCACCAGTGTTGGAGATGGGATCTGGCAGGAGGTCATTGAATCATGAGACAAACTTCCCCTTTGCTGTTCTTATGGTATACTTCTCATGAGATCTAGTTATTTGAAAGTGCACAGCACCTCCCCCTTCACTCTCTCTCTGTCTCTCTCCTGCCAGGCATGTGAAGATTTACCTGCTTTCCCTTCACCTTCTGGCATAATTGCAAGTTTCCTGAGGCCTCCCCAGAAGCAGAGCCCTGTACAACCCGTGGAACTGTGAATCAATTAAACCTCTTTTCTTTATGAATTACTCAGTCCTAGGTATGTCTTTATAGCAGTGTGAGAACAGACTAATGCAATGGCTTACACTACAGTACAGTGAAAATTAAATAAACAAATAATTATAATAAAACTCAGGCCATAGTAGAAGTAAGTTGAACGCCTAGAGAGAGAAGGCTGTAAATATATTTGTCTAATAATATGATTTGGCTCTGCCCCCACCCAGATCTCATCTTGAATTATAGCTCCCATAATACCCACATGTTGTGGTAGGGACCCAGTGGCAGGTAATTGAATCATGTGTGTTTTTCCTGTGCTGTTCTCGTGATAGTTAATAAATCTCATAATATCTGATGGTTTTATAAAGGGTAGTTCCCCTGCACACTCTTTTGCCTGAAACCATGTAAAATGTGCGTTTGCTCCTCCTTTGCCTTCCGCCATGATTGTAAGGCCTCCACAGCCATATAGAACTGTGAGTCCATTAAACCTCTTTTTCTTTATAAATTACCCTGTCTTGAGTATGTTCTTATTAGCAGCCTGAGAATGGACTAATATATCTAGGAAGTTAGGAATTGTGCAAATAGTTAGCAGTTCCTAAGTATAATTGTTATTGATGGAGAAAAGCCTACCATTTACATGAGGAATTTAAGGGGATTTCAGACACCTAGAGTGTTTAAGACAAAGCTCAGAGCCACAAAATCACATGATACAGACATAGAACAACTAGGAATCTGATTCTCTGGGACCCAAGTGATGGGAGCATGTGGTAAGATATATAATTGAAGTGGCAGGCAGGATTCTGATAGCAGGGCCTACACACAATATGAAGAAGCTTGAACTCCTATCTGAAGGTTATAAGAACTATTGTAAAGTGTCAGCATTGTATCCATGTATCAAGATTTTCATTTCAGGAATCTAACTCCAGCAGTGACATAGATGCAGGAAGAGATGAGAGCTGTCACTAGTGGAAGAGAGATAATTGAGGAAACTATAAATGGCCAAGTGAGAGATGGTGAATATATAAACTAAACTGCTTGCATTAGGATTGGAGAGGAGCTATTCAGGAGGTATAATTGACAAAATTTAATAATTGATTTGATTGGGTAATATGTTGACTAAAACAGAGTCTAGCACTATTCCCAGAGATCTTCATGAAATATAGGTGGTAGAGATGTTTAGATATGTACTATCTGGTAATATAGAAGAAAATGGATCCCTATATTACATGTCATTTAAGAGGTCAGCAGACAAAAGACGTATAAAGGAAATAATCAGGGAAGTGTATTGATAACCAGTAGGGCTGAACTTTATTTGTGAGCAGTATTTTAGTTTTAAATGGTAGATATTAAGCCTGTACAATGATATTCAAACAATGGTATATTGAATGGATAGAAGAATCTGTCATAAAATTAGAGTAATGGTTTGAAAAACCAATGTTTGTGGAGATAGCAGTCAGGGTAGTTATGGGGAGAACAGAGACTAGAAGCTGAAATTACAAAGTGATCAAGATGTTCTCTGGATAAAGATGGTTGACTAGAGGCACCCAACACCTAACTCCTACAAAAACAAATACCAAAATAAGAAATAGATAATCACAAGTTAGTAGAGTGTTTAATGGAATATACTGAAATTTAGTAAGGAAGAGATGAAGATCTTCTGAGGCACAGAAACTCGTGATGGCAGCATAGACGGAAGTGAAGTGCTACTTGGGTTTAAATTTGCACTCAAGAAGGACTCCTCACTGTGGGAAAAAGGTAAGCAGGAGATCCCCAGCAGTCCACATTTCCAACAGAGATGCCTGCAATCCTAGCTATAGGAGAGACCCGCAGCCCTCACAAGCCATGAGTCTAGTAAAGATAGTGGCTGGAGTCCATGTGATTACATTATTCTAGAGAGAAAATTTATGCTGGAGCACCCTCATTCCCTGGGACCCAGGCTGCTGCAACATGGCACCATTCTGAGAGCAGAGCAACCATCTGACCCCTGGGACCCAACAGCTCCAGGCTCCATAAATATGGCCCTGCTTACCATCTCACCACATCCACTCAGATGGCTGCAGTGTCACAGCAAAAGCTGGGCCTGGTGTTGCAGTCATGGCACCAGCACCCAAGTCCACACAGTGCCCTACACCTTGGAAAGCAGGCAATTCATCAAAGCATACATACATGAAGACTTCATGCCAACAAATTGGAAAAACTAGAAGAAATGGATACATTCCTGTATCCTTACAACTTACCAGGAGAGAACCAAGAAGAAATAGATAACCTCAACAACCGATAATCAGTAACAAGATTAAATCACTAGTACAAAGTCAGCCAACAAAGAAAAGTTCAGGACAGAATAGCTTCACTGATGAATTCTAATAAACTTTCAAAAAAAAGAACTAACAGCAATTCTTCTCAAACTATTCCAAAAAATTAAAGGGGAGAGAACCCTTTTGTTTTTTTGTTTTTGTTTGTTTGTTTTTTGTTTTGTTTTGTTTCTCTTTCGACAGAATCTTACTCTGTCGCCCAGGCTGGAGTGCAGTGGCACAACCTTGGCTCAGCGCAACCTCAGCCTCTTGGTTTCAAGTGATTCTTGTGCCACAGCTTCCCCAGGGGGAGAGAACTGTTTCTCACTTATTTTCCAAGGCCAGCATTATCTTGATACCAAAACTAGACAAAGACAAACAAACAAAAGAAAACTGCAGGCCAATATTCCTGATGAACATAGGTGCAAAACTCCTGAATCAAATATTAGTAAAATAAATCCAACAGCACATCGAAAAGTCTATACATCATTAAGTGGACTTGTCACAGAGACTCAAGGATGATTCAACATATGCAAATCGGTAAATGTGATATACCACATCAGTGGAATAAAGGACAAAAGCCATATGACCATCTCAATAGATGTGGAAAAAATGATAAAATTCAATGTTTCTTCATGATAAAAACTCTCAGTAAATTAGATATGGTAGGAATATATCTCAACACAATAAAGGCCATATATGAAAACCCCCACAGCTAACATCATACTGAATGGGGAAAATCGTTTCCTGTAAGAACTGGAACAAGACAAAGATGCCAACATTCATAATTTTATTTGACATATTATCGAAAGTCCTAACCAGAGAAATTAAGCAATAGAAAGAAATAAAGGACATACAAACTGGAAAAGAGAAAGTTGAATCATCTCTCTTTGTTTAAAACATAATTTTATATATAGAAAAACATAAAGACTCCACTAGAACACTATTAGGGTTGATAAACAAATCAGTAAAATTGCAGGATATAACATCAACATACAAATTTCAGTAGTATTTCTAAATCCCAATTACAAACTAGCTGAAAAAGAAATAAAGAAAGCAATTTTATTTACAAAGGCTATAAAAATAAAAAGTAAAATACCTAGGAATAAATTTACCTCAGGAGGTAAAATACTTTTACAATGAAAACTACAAAGAAGTGATGAAAGTAATGGAAGAGAACACACCAAAATAATGGAATTTGATTCCATGTTTATAGATTGGAAGAATAAATATTGTTAACATGACCATACTACCCACCTACAGATTCAGGGCAATTCCTATCAAAATACCCATGACATTTTTTCATGAAAATAGAAATAAAATTCTAAAATTCGTATGGAATTTCATTTGATGTTTCACAAAAGACCCCACATAGCCAAAACAAGCCTGAACAAAAAGAACAAAGCTGGAGGCATCACATTACCTGACTTCAAAAGAAAACTACAAAGCTATAATAACCAAAACCACATGGTCCTGGCTCAAAAACAGATACATAGACCAATAGACCAGAATATAGCACCCAGAAATAAACCCATGTATTTACAGTCAACTGGTTTTTGACAAAGGCGCCAGAACATCCACTGGGGAAAGGATAGGCTTTTCAGTAAATGGCACTGGGAAAACTGTATATTTATGTGTAGAAGAATGATGCTAGACCCCTACAAATATCAGAGTAAAAGTGGATTAAATATTTTAACATAACATATGAGACTACTGGGATAGAACATGGAAGAAGTGCTAGAGGACATTAGTCTGGGCAAATATTTTATAGGTAAGATTATAAAAACACAGGCAACAATAGAAAAATAGACACATGGTATTGTATCCAACTAAAAAGCTTCTGCACAACAAAGGAAACGATCAAGTGAGTGAAGAGACAATCTGTAGAACGGGAGAAAATATTTGCAAACTATTCATTTTACAAGGGATTAATATCCAGAATATAAAAGCATTCAAATCAACAGCAAATAATGATAATAATAATACTATTAAAACATGGACAAAGGATCTGATTAGACATTTTATAAAATAACTCAAACAAATGGTCAACTAGTATATGAAAAAATGTTCAACTTCACTAATCACCAGGGAAATACAAGTCAAAACTAAAAGATATCTTCTCACTCCAGTTAGAGTGGCTATTATCAAAAGGAGAAAAAATAACAGATACTGGAAGATCTGGAGAAAAGAGAACTCTTACAAACTATTGGAGGGAATGTAAATTAATACAGTTATTATAGAAAACATGCAACTGACTCAAAAAACTAAATATAAAAGTACCAGGGTCAGGCGTGGTGGCTCACGCCTGTAATCCCAGCACTTTGGGAGGCTGAGATGGGCGGATCTCGAGGTCAGGAGATAGAGACCACCCTGACTAACACGGTGAAACCCCGTCTCTACTAAAAATACAAAAAATTAGCCGGGCGTGGTGGCGGGCGCCTGTAGTCCCAGCTACTCGGGAGAAGGAGGCAGGAGAATCGCTTAAACTGGAGGCGGAGGTTGCAGTGAGCTGAGATTGCGCCACTGCACTCCAGCCTGGGCGACAGAGAGAGAATCCGTCTCAAAACAAAACAAAACGAAACAAAAAGTACCATATGATCCAACAATCTCAATCTCATTTGGGTATTTATTCAATGGCAAGAAAATCAACACATCAGAATGATATCTATACCGCCATTTTTATTGCAGTGCTATTCACATTAGCCAAGATATGGAATTAGCCTAAGTGTGTATCAAAAGATGAGTGGATAATGAAAATTTACTATATAGACACAAGAAAAAGAAGGAAATGTTGTCATTTGCGGCAAAGAGGGAGCCAGAAGGATATAATTTTAAGTGAAACAAATCAGGCACAAAAAGATGAATATAGCATGTTCTCTTTCATGTGTGGGAGCTAAAAATGTTGAGCTTATATAACCACAAAATTGTGGTTATTAAAGGCTGGGAAAGGTTGGGGACAGATGAGGATCGAGAACACTTGCTTAATGTATATAAAATTATACCGAGAAAGGAGGACTAAGTACTAGTGTGCTATGGCACTGTAGGGTGACTATAGTTAACAATAACTTATTGAATAATTTCAAATAGCTAAAAGAGATGATTTTGAATATTCCCAATACTAAGAAATCATAAATATTTGAGGTCATGTATATGGTAATTACTCTGATTTGATCATTAAACTTTAAATGCATGTATTAAAATATTACTTTGTACCCCATAAATAAACATAATAATTATGTAGCAATTAGAAAATTAAAACAACAACAAGATGCTTTCTCACTTCTATTTTAATTCTCTTTATGTGTCAACTTCATTCTGTCAGACCAGTGTTTCACGTGAGGGAAGATATGGTGATCTGCCTCTTGGCGATTAAATATCAATTGTGGCAAATGCAAAACCTCTATCCTAACGTTTTGACTAAAAAAATTAATAAACAGAATGCTGCTTGGCCCAGTTTGGCACAAGTGTCTATCTCTTGCTAAATTATTGAGTCTAGAAGGAAGCTTTATGCTTGGATCGGGTTAGTCAGATGCCCACACCAGTGTCAGTTGGAGGAGTAGTCTGATTCTTCATGAGAATTTCATAGTTTGTATATGGATCTTCAAGCGTAGGTGGATCATGACTAAAGGAGAATAAAAGCAGAGGAAGAGGTGTTGAAGTAACAAAAAATAGTAGCTCTTTTCCAGAAATCAAGAAAAATATTCAAGGAAAAAATGCTCAACAAAAGCAAAAGATACAGCTATTTCAAAAGTTCATGACAGCATCCAGGAACTCAACTTTAATATTTCTCTATTCCTCATTCTCTACAACCAATACCTAACTAATTCAAACTCCAAACTATACCTTCAATTTATTGTCTTCCACATCAGCATCACCAATTTGCCAAATCAATATCATCTTATACCCAAATTATACTCTTAACAATCAATTCTCCAGAGCACAAATTTTTTAATAAAAAATACATATTTGATTTTGTCCCTTCCTACTTACTCTTTGCTTGAATTGCTTATAATTTTGCTTAGGATGTAAGTAAAAATTCTTAACATCCTTAAAGACCATTGGGCTGTATTCACCTCATAGATATACTTTATTTGATCTATGGAGTATATACATCATTAAGCTAGAATTTTAAAATTAGAAAATTTCACATATAGTAACATATTTCTGGTTTCCCTTGATAAATCAGATGTCTGGACAACATAATGCCCACATTTCATGTGCAACAACCTTCTAAAATTAGTAGAAGCTGATCCTGTGCCCTGCAGTTTCCTGCAGTCTCCATCATTCATTACTATGCTTATCAAATAAACTTGATATGATTGTTTCTTGCCTGGACACACAAGCATGTGTTTGCCACTGTTGCCATATATAACATGTAGTATGATATTATATAATATATTTATGACATGTTAATATCTTTAATGTCATAAGCCCATCTCCTTCATACTGTTTGTGCTCTAATTATACTGATCTTTAAGTAAGTCAAATGCTCCAACTGCCTGTTGGGCTTTTGAAAAACCTAATGCTTTTAAACGATTCTTCCCTATATATTGGACCTGGCCAACTCTTACTCATCCTTCAGATCTCTTCTAGAATGCCACTTCATCAGAGAAGCTTTTTTTGATCACTCTATGTGACCACCATTTAAATTCAGTCTTTCTTTTTAAAATTTCTCATGGATTCTTTAAACTTTCTTAATGCTAGTCAGAACAATTTTCATTGTATGTTTGTATATGCGATTATTTGTTTAGTGCTTGTTGCACTTTTGGTTTCCTGTTTTATTACCACCTCTAGTGGAAGGCAAAAGACTGACTCATTTGCAGCAATCCCAGCTCCCAATATCTTTTGAATAATAAGTATGTACCCTCTTCCATTTCAGTATTCCATCTGCAGTCATGAGTAGGGAGGCAACATGGCCTGAAATTTGTGTAGTTTATTTACTACAATAATTTGACTATCTATGTATGGTTCTTTCTTCAATAATAATCTAAAGGACAAACTACATTATTCTTAATAATTATGCAAAGAACCAGATGATTGCTTTCTATTATATTTTACAGAAGCTAGCAGATATTAAACTGACTTATCTGGTTTGTCATTCCCTGCTTTGATTCTCATCTGTTTTTGTCATCGTGCCTGTGTTTGTTTTGTAGTTCAAATTTGGATTTTTTTTTCACTGATTTTGAAAGCATTGCTTTCAAAATATCATTATACTTTCAAAGTATCATTATTTATATTCAACTATATTTTCATTACTCTTCAATAGTCTTTAAGTTCAATGGAGAGAAACATTTTGTGCACTTTTTTTTTTTTGAGATGGAGTCTCGCCCTGTCACCCAGGTTGGAGTGCAGTGGTGCCATCTCGGTTCACTGCAACCGCTGCCTCCCAGGTGCAAGCGATTCTCCTACCTCATCCTCCTGAGTAGCTGGGATTACAGGTGTGCACTGCCACGCCCAGCTAAGTTTTGAATTTTTAGTAGAGATTGGGTTTCACCATGTTGGTCAGGCTTGTCTCGAACTTTTGACCTCGTGATCCACCCGCCTCGGCCTCCCAAAGTGCTCAAATTACAGACGTGAGCCATTGTGCCTGGCTCACTATGAGAACATAGTATGTTCTCAATGTGTACCTATGGAATAAAAAAACAAGTATAGATATTGTGCCTAAGTTTAAAAAAGGTATGCACAGGCAAAATTCATTATCGAGATTCTTTTTTTTTTTTTTTTTTTTGAAACAGGGTCTTATTTTGTCACCCAGGCTGGAGTGCTATGGCACCATCTCGGCTCATTGTAGCCTCGACCTCCCAGGTTCAAGCGATCCTCCTGCTTCCTGGTTCAGTGCCCTGAGTAGCAGGGACTACATGTGCATGTCAGAGTACCTGGCTAAATTTTGTATTTTTAGTAAAGACGGGGTTTCCCCATGTTGGCCTGGCTGGTCTTGAGCTCCTGAGCTCAAGACGTATGCCCACCTCGGGCTACCCGAAGTGCTAGGATTGCAAGTGTGAACCACTGCTCCTGACCCATTACTGGGAGTCTAAGAATAAAATTCACTGCTCTTTGGATGTTTTATTTGTTGTTCTCACAATGGTATTCAATACTATTTTCAAACAACTTTTTTCAAAGAAAATTATTATTTTATCCCCATGATCTTAGCTAAGGAAATTAAACAAGTTTCTAAGGAAGAATTTACAGGCAAGTAAAAGAGACTGGCAAGTGTTGGACTTTTTCAAGATGTTTTATACAGAAGAATAAGTTCCATGTAGAGTTCATGAAGGTTAGAGGAGAGGACGGACATGTTCATATTCTGAAAACTCACAAGAAAAGAAGTTGAGGATAGAGGAAAGAGAAGAAAAGCACTTCTAAATAAACTAGGCAAGGAAGATAGAAATCACATAAATAGTTAAAATTTTTAATGATTGAACTTTAAACGATATAGTTTGTCTTCCATGATAACTTGAATTAGATCAGTTATTTAGTTCGTTCTGATCCAGGAGATGGATAAGTGTTAAATTGAGAATATGGAAAGAAGCCCGTTTTATTTTTCAACACTGCCCAGAGGTTTGAAATAAAATTTTCTGAGCTTAGCCTTTTGTGAAGGAAGAAAACAAAGCCCGTACTCCATGTTTATATAAAAGGACACAAAGCTACTTAAGTACCTGGCGTTTGTGTAAACACTTTGTAATCTCTGGCGTACAAGTAATACACCAGAGAATGTAGTGGAATACATGTCACATACTTACCTGTAGAATTTGAGAAGTTAATACGGCATATTTTAAACTTGCTATTCAGCTCAAATATTTTGATTGCATTGTATCTATCCTTTTGTTTATTGCTTACTGACGGAACTTAGAAAAGTTTGATAATCTAACAATTTATAAGCATGTTGTACTTGTAAATATAAGAGCTCGTATTTTATGCAAAGATTTAGAGTGGGTCTTTCTTGCAAATATTATTTTTATATTAAGAAAATATAAAAATTTCTTAAAGAATTTATGTTAAATCTTAAGAAAATATTTTTAACCTTCCTTCAAAAAGAATTTCTAAAATCCTTTTTTTTTGAATTTTTGTTTTTGATTCCATCTATTTTTGTTTTAAATGTAGATTAAATTATTCCAATGTGTCTGGTAGATGCTAGGTGATTTGTGTACATCATTTACTTAATCCTCACATCAACATTATATGAGGTATTATGCAAATGTGTCATTGTTTAGGACCATGTAGTTAATATGTGGTGTATCTTGGAAGATTACATTGTTTTGATAATTCATGATACATGAGTGATGTATTTTTCAGTATAGTTAAATCAGAGTTAACATCTTCAGTATTCTTTTTACTTAGTAAATATAATTTTATTGATTGCCAACTGTGTGCCAAGCACCATGCTAAGTTGTGTTAGTTAGTGGTGAGATATACACATATGGACATTCTGTTTATGCAATAAAAATAATTATGCTGCACATACACTACGCATGTGCCCCACGAACCAACTGCAAATCCCGTGATTGATACAGCAACTGTCATCACACATGTAAATGTGCTCATAGGGGTGAGACAGGAAAGTTGCTAGAGACATTTTCACTTTTAGGAATGAGAGTGTGTATTACTGTCATCCATAAATGAGTAGTACACACTCTAATTCCCACAATGAAATCCCAGGGTTGTTTACGAAAGTATATGTCTATTGCTACTTATTATAACTTTGTCCCTAAGGCACTTTTAGTTACAAGTGATGCTCAGGAGCAGATAATGTTGGTAAAATTGTGGGCTGGTTCAAATATATATAATGTCTTACTGAGATCTCTGGAAATTGCAAATGCCAGAGATCCAGCTGCTGGTTTTATTTCTGAGTGTATGTTTGCATCTATTAAAGACAGTGACATGTAAAAAGAAGAGGGAATAGAAAGCACAGAATAGCCATGAGCCCACCAGAAAACTTATAAGACTGTGGTTTTTATATGGGAGAGGAAAGTGTAATAGAGGAGTTAATCTAAGTTCAAGAGTCAAAAATAAATTAAATAGAATGATTTCTTATGGTGAAAAAAAACCTGACATTATGTACACTGATATCTTCAAATGGTGATCTTGACTAAAACTAATTTTTATACAGCAATATATTTTCAGCATTTCCATTGTAGAAGTTGTAAAATAGGCTACAAATCAATGGATGTATAAAAATTAGTTGGCATCAGAAATCATGAAGAGTTTTTAGTTGACAATGCAAATATGGTCACTTTTATTTCCTACTCATTATGAGGTACTATAGGATACGGATGGTTTTGAGATGAATCACACATGGTGTTTAACCTCAAGAATTTATTAGTCTACCAGGTATGGTGGCTCACGCCTATAATCGCAGCAATCTGGGAGGCCGAGACAGGTGGATCACCTGAGGTCAGGAATTCAAGACCAACCTGGCCAACATAGTGAAACCATGTCTCTACTAAAAATACAAAAATTAGCCTGGTGTGGTGGCAGGCACCTGTAATCTTAGCTACTCAGGAGGCTGAGGCAGGAGAATCACTTGAACCCGGTAGCAGAGGTTGCAGTGAACCAAGATCACACCATTTTACTCCAGCCTGGGCAACAAGAGCAAAATTCCATCTCAAAGAAAAAAAAAGAAAGTATTAGTGTACTTTCTAGAATATTATTCAGAATAATACATTTTAATAACGTGAAAAATATCTAGAGCAGTGATTGCCGCAATTAAAAGATGATATATAATTTGCCACAAATTTTCAGTTTTAAAAATATTACCTGATTAGTATATTACGAAAAACTAATGAAAGATGTTTGCATGTATTTAGATGCATCTCTTCTGTTTTAACATTTTTTTCTTGTGAAAAAACATTGTTAAGAAATAGCAAAACATGCAAAATGCTTATACAATAGACAAAATATTTTCACACAAATTTTTATAATATTTAAAATATTTCAATTATTAAATAGTTCTGAGTAATATGATTCTCAGTCATAATGCATTTTAAGAGTTGACTATAGATAGTGTGAGGCCTCCAATAAGTAAAATTTGCAAGACACTTATTTGTTGGCAATTGTATTTTGAATGTACTAATAGTTTCTGTGATTTGACCCATTAATATATACACAAGTTAAAGGCTACTCTTCAAGCAATAAAATATCAGTCCAAAAGGGAAGAACACATGAAAAGTAGTGGTTTATAATATGGAATTTCCAGATAATAGAAACAGTTAAAGAAATCTCTACCAATCTCAAATTTTAAAAATCTGAAGTGTGCTGCTTCCCTAAAGGAGGGTGATTGGATGATATCATTAGATTAATCCGTTCACTAAAAACTTTTGTAGGGCAGAATTATAGATTTGCTATTTGACTTCAAAAACAGCTTTGAAATATATCCTAAGAAAATTAAATGACTAAATTCCCTAGTATTCTGATATGAATATGTGAGTAATTCTGACATAAAATGAATATGCACAATATTGACTTTTTTATATAAAAGTAATAATGTTTAGGGTATGAGGAAAAACTGAGAGAAATAATACAAAAAAAAGTTATATTTTTGTTCTTTATGTAGACCAGGGAGGAGTTGTGGTAGAGACGATGGTGGTCCTCAAATAGTTCCTCTACTCCTCCACTTTTGTCAACATATTCAGGTAAAAATGACTAGTTATGCTCAATTGACTTTAGGCACAATTGTCAAGTGTCATTTAAAGGCAGAAATATGAAGAAACACTTTACCTACCATCCTGTTATCTATCTACCTTCCACAGTTCCTAAGAAAGTTTTGTATTGGGTATGAGATGTGAGAGAAAGAAGGTATACACCCTACCTCAATTAGAACAGGGCTCTGCAACCACAGGTCTGTGCACCAGTAGGGGTTTATGGCCTGTTAGGCACTGGATTGCACAGCAGGAGGTGACGAGTGGGCCAGCAAGCATTAAGGCCTGAGCTCTGCCTCCTGTCAGATCAGTAGCTGCACCAGATTCGCATGGGAGCAGGAACCCTATTGTAAGTTGCACGTGCAAGGCATCTAGGTTGCATGCCTCTTGTGATAATCTAAATAATGTCCGAGGTGGCACACTTTTATTCTCAAACCATCCAACTCCCCCTTCCATTCCATGGCAAAATTGTCTTAAACAAAACTGGGCTGATAAGGTTTGGCTGTGTCCCCACTCAAATATCAACTTAAATTGTATCTCCCAGAATTCCCACATGTTGTGGGAGGGACCCAGGGGGAGGTAATTGAATCATGGGGGCCAGTCTTTCATGTGCTATTCTCATGATAGTGAATAAGTCTCACAAGATCTGATGGGTTTATCAGGGGTTTCCACTTTTACTTCTTCCTCATTTTTTTCTTGCTGCCACCATGTAGGAAGTGCCTTTCGCCTCCTGCCAAGATTCTGAAGCCTCCCGAGTTATGTGGAACTGTAAGTCCAGTTAAACCTCTTTTTGTTCCCGGTTTGGGGTATGTCTTTATTAGCAGTGTGAAAACTAACTAATATATGGTCACTGGTGCCCTTATAATTCAGTGGTTGGGGACTGGATGGAGTTCCTAGCAATTAAGATAAGGAAGACTGTATATGGGACACATTTAAAGGCAGATATTACCTTAGTTTGGGACAATTAGAGTTTGAGATGGCAATTAGATATCCAAGTGGAGATGTAATGTACGCTATTGGATTTATGAATACAGAGGTTTGCAAAAAATTTTCATCTAGCGATTTAAATGTGGGAGTTGGCATATGGTTGATATATAACCATATGAGACTAAGATTACCAGGGGATGAAATTTAAATATAAAAGAAAGATAAGGACTAAGCACTGGATTACTCCAACCTTATGAGGTTATATACAAGAAGAATTAGCAAGGGAAACTGAGAAAAACAACAAGAGAGTCACTTAAAATCTTAGAAGTGTGTGATATACTAGAAGTTGAATACAAAAAAAAAAGTATACCAAGGAGAAGGAAGTTCACAATTTTGTGAAATAATGCTGTCAGCTCAAGGAAAATAGTAAGAAAAATGACCATTGGAGTTAGCCAAATGAGGTTTACATTTGCTCTATAGCCAACCACCCTAAAACTTCAGGGCTTAAAATATACATTTATTATTATTTGCCCTGGTTCTATATATTGGTTTGGCTCTGTGGGGTGATTAGCACTTGGGGAGAATCAGAAATTTGCAATTAGATATAAATTTGGTCTGTTGTCATCTGAAGCCCTGCTGGTCTAAACATCCAAGATAGATCATTCACATGGCTATCAGTTGATGTGACTGTCAGCTGGATGCTCAGCTCAGGCTCTGTGGTAGGCAGAACAGTTGCCTCCCAAAGATTTTCACTTCTTAATTCCCATAACTGTTATTTTTTTCCTGTTGCGTGGTCAAGAGAAACCAAGGTAGCAGATGGAGTTAAGGTTGTTTATCAGATAGCCCTAAGAACAAATGGCTTAACGCCTGTTGAGATTCTAGTGCATGCCCCTGATGGTTTATATTTGTTATGCATGTACTCATTACACAATGTATTGTAATATGAATTACAGCTATGTAATTGTTTCAAAAAATTTTATTTTCTACTTAAATATTTTAAAATTAAGCTGTTGATTCCACAAAACAAGTTGACCTCAAATTATAAAATTCAGTTATGAAGAATTATGCTAAAATTATAAAAAAAGAGACCAAATATTATACAGGAATTGTTTTCCTAATTTATAAGAAGAAATAACCTTAAAAATAACTTATTAATAAATATCCAACGTTAGGTGATTGGTTAAATTAATTTCTTGGTTTGTGCATGTGACTGGGTATTATTCAATTACTACAAACTAAGAAGAACATGCAACAGCGCAGGTTTCTAATCGAAGTTTACTAAGCAAGAAAAGTAGACTTATTATGTAAAAAAAAAGAAAAATGTAAGACGTAGGATGATAATAATCCCGGTTTGCTTGAGACTGAGGAGTTTAACAGGGTAGGGAACTTACAGTGCTAAAACCAGGAACGTATCAGGCAAACTAGAAAGAGTTGGTTGCATTAGAATGAGTTGGTTGCATTAGAAGCAATCTATTTCAAATCTATGTGTGTGTGTGTGTGTGAGTGTGATCTACTGCATACCTTTGTACATGCACACACAATCTCCATTGAAATTGGATGTATATGTCAATTTTTGCTGTGTAATAGACAATCTCATAATCTTAGGGACTTATAATAAGAGACATTTATTTTAGGCTTAAAAGGAGACTGCTTAGAACTTCACTAGATCTGGTTGGACCCAGGTCTTGTGCACATCTACTTCTTACTGGGACCCAGGCTGAAGAAGCAGGACCTGTGAATGTCATGGTGGACACCAGGAGTGCAGAGGGCAAGCCTCTTAAAGCCTTTACTCTGAACTGGCACTTCTGCCCACATTCAACATGTCACTTTTTCCTACCTTCCCAGTGTCAGAGGAAAACTCATAGCCAAACACAAACTCAGTGGATCAAGGAGTATATGCTATGTTAAGGAGGAGCGGAGTGGATCTTTGCTGAGAAATTATCCAATATATCAGTGTGGGATTTTGAGTGTTTTTTTTTTCTTATTATATATTTTTAATGTTCTAAACTAAAGGTGTATTAGTTTAATAATCAGAGAAGCATATAATTTAAAACCAAAAAAAACCCCTAAAGTCTCATTGACAATGTCCTGCTTAACATAGTAAAGAAACAAAAGGTATCTATTTGGGGCCATATAGAAAGATGAATGGATCATAGGGATTCAATGTACAGCATGGGGAGTATAATTAATAATATGTATTGTATAGTTGAAATTTGCTAAGAGAATCGATCTTAAATGGTCTTACCACACACATACACACACACACAAACACGCTCACGCACATAAATGGTAACTATGTGTGATGGATGTGCGAACTAACTTGATTGTGGTAATCACCTCATAATGTATACATATAACAAATCATCACATTTCACACATTAAATTTATACAGTGTTATTGTCACTTAATACCTCAATAAGACTGGGAAAAAAATTTCTATTTTCTGATATACTTTTACTCAAATAAAAGATGATTTTTAAAATAAATTTAAGATGTGTAAACAATAAAAATTAAATGGTACTAAGAACAGTGTCTGAACTTAGAAGCTACAATTCTTTGTATAGAAATGGGGGTTTTGTGTCTCAGAGACCTGGCTCTGTGTTAATACCAAGGTATCGTGTGTCCTTAGTTAAAGTAAGAGAAAGAGGACAGCATCAGTGATTTTCATTCATAGTAGAGGAAAACAGCTCCCCAGAAGATGCTCTGCTCTCCAGGGACTTGACAGAGATTAGAAAGCCATCCATATTTCTTCATCTGGTGATTCTCTGGAGAAAATACCCAGACTAGTTCTTATGATTTAAACCTCTTTAGTGGCAACAGGTATCATTGGTTTAAAGATTCATCCCTGTTTTTAAAAATGGATTATCCTAATATATTCCCCAGCAACTCAGCCACTTACAAAGCCGGTATTTGGGGGAAAACTCAGTCATAAAAGAAGTCTAATAGTGCCCAAAGTGCCACTTCTACTCACCCACGTATTTGAAATTGTTAGGCAAACAACAATAAAGAATTTGGCTCCTGACAGAGCTTTTCAACAATTAAACTTCTGATGTATCAGGCTGCCAGCTGCGGAAATGGGCTTCTTGGCAACAATTTTTTAGTCACTTATAACAATTTGTTTAATTACAGAACCATAAAGCAGACAAAACTCATTAAGAAATGAGATGCTGGGCCAGTAGTGCAGATGCACATCAGTCCTGACCACCACCTGTGGCAAGTCTCTCCAGCTTGCTTTAACAGAGGCACTTTGAATTTGTTTAGAGAAAAAGTGAGTCTAAACAGGCTGCCTGTGTGCACTAGGAACCCGGCTGCATCTTTCCCCAAAGACCCTGCCTGCAGTGTTTTATGAGGCAATGCACGGAATACACAGTCACTCCATTCGTCATTTTATTATTCCAAAAGAAATTTCCACCATTTACCTTCCTGGAAATATGGAATGGCAAATTCAAAGGAAGGCTGTAATATACAGTGAGTCTACTTTGCTACATTTTACCTATACAAACAGACATTCAAGTTTGTTTCTAGTACATGGGTTAATTAATTCATCAGAGGCTGCAAAGCACCTGCTACAGGTCACATATTAATTTTTGTGCTAGAAATGCTATTGTAAAACATTTTTAAAAACAACAAAGCCAAGATTTGAATACATCTGTTTGCAAGTAATTTTTTTTTCATTTTTGCTCACCTGAGTCTAATCAAATCACTGTGTGTTAGGTCATAAGCAAGTATTAGGACTAACATAATTTCATCATTAAGAAAAAAGCAATTGTTTTTAAGTGAAAAATTACGTGATAGCAAAGAGGAAGTACACCTGGAACTTGATTATTCAGCTCTTCTAATAAGATAATTTAACAAGAGGGGCTCAGTCTTGGAAGACGGACATACCTGAGTTTGAAGCTCAACTCCGTACTCACCAGGTATTGAGTGTTGAGCACATGGTGAAGTTAATTAATCTTTATACCAGTAACATTTCTCCTATGCAAGTGTAGATAATAATATCTCCCTTAAGGGACTAAGACTAGTAAACCATAGGTCTAGCACACAACACAGAATCTGGCACCTAACAAAATGACCAGAGTTGTTAATTTCCTTTCTTTTCAGACATTAGTAAGCTATTTATACATCCATTTATTTATTGATCGATGTTGTGATTTGTTCTTAGGCATACATGACTCAAATATTTATCAGGGCCGTGTCAGATATGAAAAGTAAAATTTCTCTTTTTTTAAAAATTTTTCTAATGCCAGAATCAGTTTTCACTTAATACACCCTGTATATCGTTTTTTCCTGTCCACAATCTGCAGTATGTCCTAAAAGACTCATGAATGGAATGTGTAATGCAAGGCTAGGAATTCTGGAAAAGATTGGACACAGAAAACAGAAGCATACATTTCTAAGAGTTTGGTCTGGAAGCATAAATGCAATTTTAAAAGAAAGTTGTTTCCAGGAAGGCAGGCGACAGTATACAAAGATTCAACTATTACACAAAGCTTTTGGAAATGATCAAGGATTGAAAATATTTTTATTAAAGAGTTGGCAAACGTTTCTAATATTCTGCTATATATTGTGAATTATGTTTGGGGAAAATATGCACATGTTTCTGGTGTTTTGATGACAGCTTTTTGCCAGAATCTTTCTTAGGTTGATATTCTAGAGGACAGATTTTAAGTAAAACAGGCACATTTACCCATCACCCCACCAGATAAATATTTAGTGCATCACCCCTCTTTATTTTAATTGAAAGAGGCTACCTGTATAACCGGACCAGAAAAAAATTGCTACTGACAGGATCAAAGGTATTGTGTGAAAAAAGATATTGGTATATGGATTTTATGCTATAAAGTATACTGTACTAGATATATGTGTGTGTATATGTATACATGACTTTTATACATAAAAGAATATTAATAAATTATCTGTTTATTGCTTAGCTTCAAATAGAAGGTCCCTCATATTTTAAAGTCTTTATATACCATGAATGAATGTCTCCGTATCTCAGCTCTCCAGGCCCCCAGTTAACCATTATTCCAAATTTGTTATTAATAATTCTTTTGCTATTTTTTAATAACTTTACCATGTGTTTCTTTATCATTTAAGAATATATCATTTTATTTTACTTTTTTTAACAAGTTGTATTATAAAATAAGATTACACAGACTCTTCTGTGACTTATCCTTGTTCTTTCAAATGTGTTTTTGAGATCTAGACATCGCAATGTGTATATCAATAATTAATTCATTACTTTCACTGCCATGTTTTAAATTATGTGTCTACACCAAAATATATTTTGGAGTTATGTTAATAAGTACATAATGTTTTCAAACTTTTATGACCTTCATTAAGTGGTTTAATATTACTTGAAGATAAATTGTAATAAGTTAAAAATGTGTGCCAGATACCCTAAAGCAACCACAACAACATGATCTATATCTTACTAATCCTTCTTTTTGATATTTTATATTTAAAGTATATTTATATTTAAAGTATACCTCATGTAGGCAGCATACCAAAGAGTCTTTTTTAATCCAATCTGACAATCTCTGACTTTTAGTTAAATTCTTCAGACCATTTTATATTCAATGTGTTTATTAATATGGTTAAATTCAATCATGTTACTATTCTTTTTTTATTTAATAGCTATTTTTTACTATTGTTTAATGATTATATTTTTATTCATTATCTTATTAGCTTTTTTATCTATTTGAGTGATTAATACATCAAATAAATGGAAAATTAATAATACAGAGGGTTTGAATAACATCATCAGCCAAACTGACCCACTCAGCTTGTATATAATACTCTACTCCACAATAGCGGATACACATTTTTTTCCAGTTAATATAGACTATTTACCAAGATAAACTATATTTTAGGTTAAATTAATAAATAAATACCAGTGAATTCAAAATGATTTGAATCATATAAAGTGTGATTTTGGAGTACAATGGAATTAAATTAGATAATCACAGAAAGATCTTTGGAAAATATCCAAAAATTTGAAAACAAACCACTTCTAAGTAACTCGCAGATCAAAGAAAAAATCAAATGGTAATTAGAATATAACTTTTATAATAAAAATGAAAACACGACATGTAGAAATTTGTGCAATTTTGCTAATGTAGTAATTAGAGATGAAATAGTAACAAAATGATTTTATTAAAAATAAACTTTCAAACAGATAACTTTATTTTCATCTTTAAAAACTATAAGACAAGAAAATTTAAACCTAAAGAATAAAGAAATAGTAAATATCAATGTGGAAATCAACAAAATAAAAAAGCATAGTAAAAAAGGAATAAAATCAAGAGGTGAGTTTTAAATTTGTTTATTTAATTTAATTATTTTACCGTCCTCCACTCTGTCAGCCATGCAGCCTTGACCTTCTGGGCTCAAGGGATCCTCCCACCTCAGCCTTCCAAGTAGCTAGGACAACAAACGTGTAACACAATGCCGGTTAATTTTTACAATTTTTTCATATATATGGGGTCTCTCTGTATTGCCCAGGCTGGTTGCAAACTCCTAGACTCAAGTAATCCTCCTGCCTTGGCCTCCCAAAGTCCTAGGATTACAGGCAATGACCACCATGCCTGACCAAGAGCTATTTTTTTGAGATCAATGACACTGTCAAGTTTTTAGCTAGATTAATAAAGGGAAACAATAGAGAAGACCCAAAATATCCATATTAATTATGAGAAAAGTCATGGATTTACAAATTCTATAGATGTTAAAAGTACAATATTATAATCAAATCTGTACAACAACATTTGCAATTTTAATGAAGTGAGCTAATTCCTTGGAAGACTCAAGCTGGCAAATTCTGCTCAAGAACAATTAGCATACTAATATAGTATTTATTACAGTTGAATTTATAGTTAAAAACTTCCCCCACAAAACAAAACAAGAACAAAACAACCTTCAAGCTTAGATAGCCTAATAGATAATTTCCCCAGACATTTAAAGAAGAAATAATATCAACCGTTCAAAAATTCTTCTAAAACATAGAAGAGAGAAAAAAAGAACTTTCCAACTCGTTCTATGAGGACAATAAAAACCTGATATCAAAGCTATTGCAAGAAAACCAATGACCAATGCCCATCGTGATTTCTGAAAGCATAAAAAATTTAATTTCACAGAATATAAATATAATATTTTATTATCAAGTAGAGTTTATATTAAGAATGTAACATTCTCTTAATGTTTAAAATGTATCAATGAAAGTCATTGTATTACAAACTTAATACCAAAGCCTTATGATCATCTCAGCAGACACACCAAAATTACTTCAACAAAATCAAAAATTTGTTTTACGTTAAAAAAATAATAAAAATGAAAAAACTCAGCAGTATAAAAATGCATGTCAGTTTTCAGAACCTGATGAACGGAATCAATAAGCACTTAAAGCAAACATCATACATATTGGTAGAAAATTGGGTCTTTTTCTAAATGATTAAAAAACTGCTCTGACCAGTTGTAAGTAACATTGTACTAGAGGTTTAGCTACTGCAGTAAGATGAAAAAAATAAATAAATAAATAACATGAATATTGGGTAGGGAAATGTAAAACTATCTTTATAAAAGGCATAGTTGGTCTTTGTAAAAAAGATTAGTAAGGTATTTTTTAAAAATCCACTTGAAATAGTGGGTTTTTAAAGTTTGTAAGATAATAGGTTAATAACAAAAATAAATCATAGATGTAAATACTAGCAGTGAGTAACCAGAAATTAAAATATATTTAAAAATTATCCATAATAAGTGTGCAAGAGCAATTCTCTAAAAGTACAAAATAGTGCTAGAAAAATGTAAGCAGATTTAATAAGTGAAACTATAATCATACTATTGGAGTAGAATATTCTGTATCAAGATGTTTGACATCTTGATACAGAATATTCTACACTGCTGAGTTTTTTATTAAAGATTTAATGCTTTCCCAATCAAAATAGCATCAGACTTATTTTCCTAGACATTAAGAAGAAGCTGATTTTTTATGTAGAAAAAACTCAAAGGACCTAGAATAGCCAAAACAATAAAAAGAACAATAAGATTGGAAGACTAGTGCTACCTGATTTTAAGAATTATTGGAAAGCTATAATAATAAAATATTTAGGTTTTTTTTTCAGATAATTTTTATTCATGATAGTTTTGTTTCTTTAGAATTGTCTTTTTTTTTAATTGTAACTTTATGTTGTTTGAACTTATTCTATGGAAATATTTAAATGTTTATCTTCTTGTGTTTCAGCTGCATTCCTTGTTAGACAACTCACATCGCTTCTAACAGGTACCTGGGTGTTTTTAAAAATAAATGATTTTAAAGGAAATATTGATTAACTGTTTTTATTATTAAGAAATCATAACCTAAAAATGATCTATAAATAATATCCGAACTGTAACTTGAATTTTTGTTAATATGATTACAAAAACTATCTAAATCTAAAGCAAATATTAATCTTGCATTTTAAAGTTTGAATTTTCAAGTATCAAGCCTGAAGACATGAAAAAAAATCACTCAAGTGCTGTATTTACTGAGTGAGTTTCCTTAAGCAAGGCACAAAAATATGATATAAACAAGTTGTTCAAAAACAAAAATGATTGACAATTTACCTCATTACCCAGATTGTAAAACAAGGTGGCATTTAAGAAACTCTGATGAAATTAGTGAATATAGTCAAGAGGAAAACCAATAAATGAAAGAATGTTACCTTTGAATAGCCCATTTGTTAGTATGATTATAGATAACTGTAGAGTAAGCGTTTTCATTATCTTCTGAAGCTTTTTCTTTTCTTTTCCCAAATTCTCACTTTGTAACCAATGAAAATACCTTATACCCCTTAGTCGTGCATTCCTTGGCTGAGATTAGGTTTGTCTGCTTTGTAATGCATAGATATATAGAGACGCATTTTTGTTCTCAGTATCTTTGATTTTTGCCATTTTATTATACAGATGGTAGACTCACTCAGTAATTATTTTAAACTGGAAAAAAAAAACCTGCCCTTTTTTTGTAAATGATGTTCTGAGTAAACGGAAAAATGAACCAGTATTAGGAGTGTTTGTATGGCTATTTCACACCTCTTTTACTGTAATGCTTGGTTTATTATGAGATGAAAACTATCATTTGGAGTCATTTCAAAACATAATTAAGAGTTGTGGTAAAGCTTAATCTAGTGTCCTAAACTATTACTGAATGTCTCCTTTTTGTGAGTTAGAATACGGTAATTCAGGAATAGAACATATGTATACCGTATAACAGCACTTGAAAATAAGCACAAATAAAAATAAGTCATTTCTACCCAGTTAAAATAGCATGAATTCAACTGCCAAATAATTGTGGACTAACAAGAACTAGAGATATGACTACATAGACTGATCTGCGCCCTTAATGTTACAAAATCTGGGATGAGTAACATGGTGGACATATTCTGTATCTAGCAATATGGCAGAGGATTTAATGCCAAGATTAGGCAAACAAACAAAATGGTTAATAGAACATTTAATGGAGGAGGTTTTACCTAAAAATTACTCAGATTAAAAAGAGCTCAGAAAGGCAGGAGCAAAAAAAAAGCAAGCTAAGGTTTTGATTTTAATGGACAGTGTGGTGCCATCTGCTTAATGTAATTTACTCAACTTAATTCAAATATGTTCACTGTACACATCATATTTTTAATAGCCTCTTTGTCAGCATTTTAGACCAAAGGCATTAAACCAGAAATATTAAACCAGTAAGAATGTTTTGGCAATCTAGGTACTTTCTTGTATCTGGAAACTATTTGTCTGATTACATTTCCAGACTTAGAGTTTGGGAAATATAATCAGCAAACCACATAAATTATGTTTATTTTCTAACTTCAAATAATACAAAAAGGCACTCACCGCTAGTATAATTGTGTATATAGTTTCATATCATTTTAATAGAACAAATAACATTTTTTGAGATCACAGTATTATTCTTAGAAAATTAATTAATCTATTACTCATCTGTAACATGACTGGCCAAGTAATATAGAATTCCAGTTGATAGTGTGTCAAGTACATACGTTAAAACTTTTTTCTTCTAGTGTCTTCAGCCATTATCTGATGGAGTTAATGGTTAGAGAGCTAAACAGTGCACTTCAAACACTAATTTATGTTTATTCAGGAAATAAAAGCTGTTGTTTTTTCAGCACATATCAGTGAAAGAGGATTATCAGTTTTAGAAGAAAGAAGCAATTCATAGAAATTATAATGGACATAGTGTATGGTAGATCCAACGTACTTACTGAATTTAGATAGGTGTGAAAAAAAGTCTTTTTTGTTGTTATTCTCACATATTCTTTTTGAACACATTCTGAAGTCTTGTTCTTTCCTACTCCTGAATAAAATCCTAAGCAAATCCCACGGCTTTCTTTCCCTGTAATTTCTGGGTATTAGCAAGTACTCTTACTTTTTCAGGTAATAAAAGGTCCAAGCTAATTTGAGGTATACCAGTTGATAGCATTCAAACATCTCCACTCTCTTCAACCCTCTTTATTCTCAACCTCACCTCATCTGCTGTCAAATTCTAACTTGTACCTTTCAGTGGGGAAGGGAAGGGGGGCATCAGTTTGCTACCTTTTCCTGACTACAGACATCTTTCTTGTAGTGATTGCAATTCTTTTTCTTAGAGCTGAGTCCCTGGAGGTGAGCAAGGGAGAGTTAGAGGTAAAGAATCAAACCTTACAGCTTATGTTACTATAAACCAGTGCTAGTATCCTCCTTGGCAGAATGTCCAAACACTGACTCTCTCACTCAAAAGGTCTTTCTCTTTCTCTCTTTCATTTTCTCTTTCTTAGAGACCCCAATATAACCAGATATTCCATCTTCAAGCCCCTAGTTGAAGATGAAGCCTCATAGACAAGTGATGATTGACTGCAACACTGAGCTCATTACCAATAAGCTTAAGTTTCCTCTATTTAGACACACTGCTATCCCTTGATACACATTTTGCAAACTCCATGTTAGAATCCCTTTGCAAGGCACCAACTGTAACACCATAAAACATGGCCCTAATCTTGCCTAACAATGGGGGTGTTATGGATCTGTTTGTGAGTTCAAATCTGAATCACAATAAATTTATACCTTTGTCAAAATATCCTCCAAAACAGAACCATTCACATCATACTTTATCTTCATTGTTATCAAGCAAATCACTCAAGCCAGACCCTCCCAAGCCTTGAGGTTTTACAGCATCAGTTAACATGACCTTTATTCTCCCAGTTCCAGCAAATGTTTCCCTATCTCTTCAAGGGGATTCAAATTATCCTCATCCCTAGACCCTTATGACATGGTTTAAGGTGAGAAAGAAACTTATTACTGATCAAATCCTTAAGGATCAGGAAGAACAGTGACTACTCTCTTCAAAGAAATTCTCACTTCTAGCCATTTCAACCCCCTTTTATACTGTGACTAAAGAACTAGGGTTGATGCTGAGGCCATGAAACTAGAAATTACCTGAACTCTATTCAAATCAAACTTCACCCATTCTTAAGGTGTTTTGGAAATACAGAGGTTTCTGCCTCACTCTTGAATTAGAAAATATGTTTTAAAAACAATCGATATATATTTGCTAAGATTCTCTGAGAGATGAAAGGAATGGGACAGGGTTGACCAGGACAAAGACAACCTAACAAAAGTTAGTCAATAGGCCACATTACATACAGCTCAGCCAAGACAAGTAGAAACAAGTGAGAAAGATTATAGTCTAGAAGGTAGATGGAATTGCTTGCACCAATAAATAGTGTTAAGGTATCAGATTTACATCCACTGATTTTAGAATACAGAATACCAGCTCTACAGATTTATAATGCTCTGTTTGCTGCATTATACAAAGGGATGTTGGTCATAATGAAAAATGAAATCAGAGCCAAACCCTAGTGAGTGTGAGAAATTGGTGCCAGGATAATTGCACAGTAACCAATGTAAAACTAAATACATTATGGAGGCTAAATACCAAAACCACAATTGTTTTACTTTTCCTCGTATCTTGACATTTTAAAGGCACGATATATTATTTTTCAGCCAATCAAGGGCCATTTACTGAACACCAACTCTAAGTATCTTCCAAAACTAGGCACTAGAGGAACATTATGTTAGTTGGTCAGTGTCACATAGCAGAAAGAGAAAGCATCAACATAATTTACTGAAATATATACTGCCTGCTGAAATCACAAAAATATGAAATATTTGAAATCTTTAGTGCTTACACTGAATTTAATATGCCGGCATGTTGAAATTATCTCTTTAATTTAAATTAAGGTGAATTTTCCTGTTCTTCTAATAATTTTATATAGTTTTAATGCTCATGGTTCCAAATAAATGTGCATTAAGTAGCACACTTTAGTTAAGCATTTCAATATGCATTCATAAAAGCATGTGTTTGAAAATGCCGACACATATGAAAGCTCATTCAGTAGAAACTAATGCTGTCCAGCAGAGAATAAAGTAACTAATTGAATTGCATAATGTAGCCAGTAACATGATTTTCAGAGTGTGGGTATTTGCAAACAAAATACTTCATTATCTATAATGTCATGAGAGATCACCGAAAAAAAAACTTAAATGTTTTTTCATCTAAGTGCTTCTTTGCAACAGTTAATGGAAAATAGATACACCCTAATGCTTTTTGATATAAAAATTGTGAGTGAAATTTTTTCTTCTAGCTTTCTTATTGTACTTAACATGCAAGTTATTGTTGAATTATAGTGATCATGTCAGTGAGACAGGAGAATATGCTGCACTTTGCTGCACTTTTTGTAGATATTTCATTATATAGGAAGAATCTGGAGACTAAGACTCTTTCTAGATTCTTCAGTTTTCATGTAACATAGGGAAGTTTTCCTATTTTATCCATGAGTTTTACTTTTTATTAAATGAAAATATTTGTATCTGTACTATATTATCCAAAAAGAAAAAATAAACAGAAACAAACTAAGCAAAACAAATAAATATTTAAGTTAATATATATGGCCATAAACAATAGATCATTGTGCAAATAAAATAATTTCTGTAGCCATTTGACAAATATGTGTATGTCATCTGCTATGTATTAATAACTGTGAAAAACCTGAGATTTTACCCTACTTGCAAGCTAAGAAGTTAGGTCACCACAGTTCAATGAATGTTGACAGACAACATATGACTCCTGGATAAAAGACAAAGGGTAGTTTATTTATCACAGAAGTAACATGCCCAGAGCAGACACATTATTTTTGTACCAGTTTCCAAGATTCAATTCCCACTGGGTGACCTGAGAAGGACTAGCTGATACTTGAACATGCAACGGGTGGCATTATAGGAGAAAACCTTGAGTTTAAGGAAACTGAATCATATGAGCAATCGGCACATCTGCCCTTTGCTCCAGAGGGAGATACTGTATCTTCTAAGGTTGTTTGGTATATAAACTTTCTTGAAAAGATAGTCCAGGAAAAGATAGCCCACATCTCTGCTTGCAAAATATGCAGAGGTGCAAGACACATCCATTTGACAAGTATGGCCTCTTCTAAAGATGTTACCCTATAAGAATATATATTCTATGCAAAATAATAACACTACAAGAAGAGTAAAATCTTAAAAGTTATTTATTCATCTGAATTACCTTATAATTTTATTATTTCTTTCTCAGAGAATGAAGAATTTTGGCTTGGATATTTAATAAAACATTGGTATATATAATAGAATGATATTTTAACATTTCAATTATTGCATAAAATGTATTGCAGGAATTAAAAATATGGCAAAATACTATCATATACTTAAATTTAACTCAGTAAATATTTACTAAGGTTGCCTGCATGCAAATCTGATAATATGTATAGAAGATTAGGAATTATATGTTCTATTCCAAGGATATTAACGCTCTTAGATACATGCACAAGGGGTCCCTGTCCTGGGGCCAGTGCTATAGAAAACCTTCTCTTCCCTCTTCAGGGCATGTGCCCATCATGAGAAACCATGTCCTACCTTCTACAACACAAGCCATGTTATTTGGACTTCTAAATCTCCCTATGGGGTCCCTGAACTCACTTTTATGGCTTGCACATGCTTCTGTCTCAGGACACTCCGTCTCAGGGTAAACTACTCTATTACTGTGTTATACCTCTAGGTCCTAGAGGTGGTAAAGTTGAGCAGTCTTTTGCTGACAGTGATGACATTTCTTGCATTTGAGGGTCAGGGTATTTGTATGCAATTATACAAAGCTCATAATTGTATTGGATGGAGGTTGGAATGAGAGAAGTGAGGCAGGCCATGATGTTGTGGTCAGGAACTAGCCGTCCTATGTTATGGAGTCTGGTATGGAATTCAAGGAAACACTATAATTGTTACTTTGTATTTGGCTTTCTAGTTAATTATAAAGCTACAGTCATTACTTAGGAGACTAGAGCATATTTTATTTAATAGATGGTTACCTTTATTCATGATGTCTAACATTTATATATATAGTATTGGTGCCTTTATATGTTCTCATGCCCTGGGTACCTCAAATGTTACAGGAGGTTCTGCCCAAGGAATTTGAAATCTATAGGTGAAAATATTCATCAACAACCAACAGCAATAAAAGAAAGAAAGCAGTAACTCTCACCTAATAGAGATATAATGAACTGAAATGCTTTGAAATTAAGACGGTGGCTTGATCATCTTCTGACGCAGAACTTACGAGGTTTCAAAAAGGATGAGTAACGTAAGCTGGTCCTTTAGAGATGTATAGGAGTTTAATAAATTGGTAGGTAGAAAAGGAATAGATATATAGATATATTTGTATATCTATATAGATCTAGATCTAGTTATTAATATATGCACAATATATGTACAAAACATGTATACAGTATATATTTTTAAATTAAACACGCAAAAATATTCTGTTAAAAACTATATAAATTAAGAAATAGCAATGCATCTTACAAAAGAGCAAACAATATTTTAAAAGTATTGAGGTAAAGAAAATGTTAGCTCCTCTAGTGATGTAAGGATTCTTTAATGATAATTAAATGCCTGATACTTAGGCTATGATCAGTATTAGAATATGAACAGAAGATCACAAAATCAGAAGAAAGTTAAAAAACCTTAATTACTGCTACTGAAACCAGCCTGGCCAACATGGTGAAACACCATCTCTACTAAAAATACAAAAAAATTAGCCACGTGTGGTGGTGTGCACCTGTAAGCCCAGCTACTTGG
Organism: Homo sapiens; assembly: GCF_000001405.40. Classification (NCBI taxonomy): domain Eukaryota; kingdom Metazoa; phylum Chordata; class Mammalia; order Primates; family Hominidae; genus Homo; species Homo sapiens. The sequence goes on from NC_000007.14 coordinate 9,570,060, forward strand.
GAGGCTAAGACAGAATTGCTTGAACCCGGGAGGCGGAGCTTGCAGTGAAACGAGATCACGCCACTGCACTCCAGCCTGGGTGACAGAGTGAGACTCCATCTCAAAAAAAAAAAAAAATCATTCAGATGTAAAACATGCAAAATTATATAACTGATATATTATTTCATAGAATTTTACAAATATGCCCAAGAATACTTTGTATAAAAGGAAGGAGTTTATTTGTTGTGTATGTGTATACACACATATGTAAGGTAGTTTATTGTGAGTTTACTGTCTTCATTTATTGAGAGTAAATGATGTCGATTTATTAACTCATATAATTATCCCAAATACTATGGGAGAGGCATATTATATTTATTCCCATTTTATAGAAAAGAAAACTCAGTGATAGAAAGATTATATTGATGTACAAGGTCACATAACTAGGAAGCAGCAGAGGAGGAGACAACACCAGGACTCTGACCTGCTTTTAACTGCGACGCACCATGTTTTGTGACCACCATGTATATTATACATTTTGTGCTATATGTTAAATGTTCTCTTTTCTAGAAGAGATACCAGAAAATGTAATTATACTCTCTATTGACTCCTTTGTATTTTATTATTAGAAAGATATAAGAATGTTTCATTTGTTCAGTCGTTTAACAAACATAAATATTATATACCAAGCTCTATGCTCGATCTTCAGGCATTTAAAATCTAACAGGGTAGCTATGTATACAGATATCATAGTGTAGTAGGATTAGATAAGTGCTATAAGAGAGGTCGAATTACATACAGTGGCAAAAAGTATATAGTATTCATTTTTTAGAGCGAACCAAATCATGCTCCAAAAATAAGAAAACCTCACATCTCATGGCTTAACACAACATAGTATTATTTCTCATAAACAACAATATCCAATGATGATTGAAAATAAGGGACGTAATTAATTAGTTATTACAGGTCTCAAAATATTTACTTGACTTATTGCGGGAGTGGAACACTCTTAAAACTTGGGTCAAAAACTAAAATGTCATTTGTGCTTCTTGTCCAAAGCAAGGATTGAAAGGAGACATAAGCATGAAAAGAGAAAATAACTATAATAGTGGTTAACAACTCAAATAAATATCAAGTTGATATAAACAAAGAGGAAATTGACTCTGGCTATGAGATTAGGGGCACACTAATAATGAACTTAATAGATAATTAAACATTTAATTTAATAGACTATTGTCTACATTACCTACATATACCTTCTGTCTATATTTCTTTAGGCATTCATTTGAAGAGAACATTTCTATCCATTCATTTTTTTTGACACGATCAGAAATATATGTGGGTTTGTGCATGCATGCTCATATGTGTATTGCATGTATGTATATATTTTATTTCACTGATAATACAGGCAAACCTTAGAAATAATGTGGATTCAGCTCCAGACCACAGCAATAAAATAAATAGTGCAATAAAGTGAGCCACATACATTTTTTGGTTTCCCAAAACCAAAATACATGTAAAAGTTACATTTACACTCTACTGTTGTCTATTATATGTGCAAAAGCATTATGTCTAAAAAATGTACATACCTTAATTAAAAATACTTTTTTTTTGCTAGCAAATGCTAATGTTCATCTTATCCTTCAACAAGTTGTAATTTTTTTTGTTAGTGAAGGGCCTTGCCTCAATGTTGATGGCTGCTAACTGATCCAGGTGGTGGTTGGTGAAGGCTGTGGTGGCTGTGGCATTTTCTTAAAACAAGACAACAATGAAGTTTGCCACCTTAATTGACTTCAATTCATGAATGATTTCTCTGTTGAATGTGTAGTACTTGATAGCAGTTTGCCCATAGTAGAACCTCTTCAAAATTGTAATCAGTCCTCTCAAACCCTGCTGCTGCTTTATCAAGTAAGTTTATGTAAAATTCTAAGTCCAATGTTGTTATTTTGACCACGTTCATAACATTTTCACCAAAAGTAGATTTCATCTCAAGAACCACTTTCTCTGCTCATTCATAGGAAACAAATCCTCATCTATTCAAGTTTTATCATGAGATTGCAATAATTTAGTCATTTCTACAGGCTCCACTTCTAAATCTAATTCTCCTTCTGTTTCTACCACATATGTAATTACTTTCTTCATTGAAGTCTTGAGCCCTTCAAAGTTATTCTGGAGGGCTGAAATCAACTTTTTGCAAACTTGCAAATTCCTCTTAATATTGTTATTTTCCCCTGCTCCCATGAATCACAAATGTTCTTAATGGCACCTAGAATGGTGGATCCTTTCCAAAAAATTTTCAATGTACTTTGCCCATAACCATCAGAGGATCAACTATCTGTGATCGCTATAGCCTTACAAAATGTATTTCTTAAATAATAAGACTTGAGAGTCAAAATTGCTCCTTAATCCATGGGCTAAAGAATGGATTCTGTGTTAGCAGGCATGAAAACAGCATTGATCTCCTTGTACATCTCCATCAGAGCTCTTGGATGACTAAGTATAGTGTCAATGAACAGTAATATTTTGAAAGTATTTTTTTTTCTCTGAACAGTTGGTCTCTACAGTGGGCGTAAAATATTCAGTGAGCCATGCTGTCAAAAGATGTGCTATCGTCTAGGCTGTGTTGTCAGTTTTATAGAGCACAGGCAGAATAGATGTAGTATAATTCTTAAAAGCCCTAGGTTTTTCAGAATGGTAAATGAGAATTGGCTTCAATTTAAAGTCACCAGCTGCATTAACCCCTAATGAGAGAGTCAGCCTATCCTTTGAAGCTTTGAAGTCAGGCAGTAACTTCTCTTCTTTAGCTATGAAAGTCCAGGATGGCATCTCCTTCCAATATTAGGCTGTTTCATTTACATTGAAAATCAGTTATTTAGTGCAACTACCTTCATCAATGATTTTTTTTTTATTTTTTAAGTTCTAGGGTACATGTGCACAACGTGCAGGTTTGTTACATACGTATACATGTGCCATGTTGGTGTGCTGCACCCATTAACTTGTCCTTTACATTAGGTGTTTCCCCTAATGCTATCCCTCCGCCCTCTCCCCTAACGCTATCCTTCTGCCCTCTCCCCACCCCATGACAGGCCCCAGTGTGTGATGTTCCCCATCCTGTGTCCAAATGTTCTCATTGTTCAATTCCCACCTATGAGTGAGAACATGCAGTGTTTGGTTTTCTGTCCTTGTGATAGTTTGCTGAGAATGATGGTTTCCAGCTTCATCCATGTCCCTACAAAGGACATGAACTAATCCTTTTTTATGGCTGCATAGTATTCCATGGTGTATATGTGCCACATTTTCTTAATCCAGTCTATCATTGCTGGACATTTGGGTTGGGGTTCCAAGACTTTGCTATTGTGAATAGTGCCACAATAAACATACGTGTGCATGTGTCTTTATAATAGCATGATTTATAATTGAAATGCAAATCAAAACCACAATGAGATACCATCTCACACCAGTTAGAATGGCGATCATTAAAAAGTCAGGAAACAACAGGTGCTGGAGAGGATGTGGAGAAATAGGAACATTTTTACACTGCTGGTGGGAGTGTAAACTAGTTCAACCACTGTGGAAGACAGTGTGGTGATTCCTCAAGGATCTAGATAGAACTAGAAATACTATTTGACACATCAATGATCTTAGCTACATCTTCTGGATAGTTCCTGCAGCTTCTCCATGGCACTTGTGCTTCACTTTGCACTTTGATGTTCAGACATAGCTTCTTTCCTTAAATGTCATGAAACAACCTCTGCTAGCTTTAAACTTATCTTCTGAAGCTTTGTCACCTCTCTCAGCCTTCACAGAGTGAGAGAGTTAGGGCTTTGTTGTGGATTAGGCTTTAGCTTAAGGGAATGTTTTGGCTGGTGTGATATCCTATCCAGACCACTCACACTTTCTCCCTATCAGCCAATAAGACTGCTTCACTTTCTTATCCTTCATAAGTTAATTGGAGTAGCACTTTTAATTTCCTTCAAGAACTTTTGCTTTGCATTCACAACTCAGCTAACTGGCACACAAGGCTTAGGTTTTACTCTATCTCAGCTTTTGACTTATTTTACTCCTTGAGTTTAATCATTTCTAGATTTTGATTTAAAGCGAGAGATGTACTTTTTTTTTTTTTAGCTTGAACACTTAGAGGACATTGTAGAGTTATTAACTGGCCTAATTTCAATATCATTATGTCTCATGGAATAGACAGCCCTGAGGAGAGGGAGAGACACAGAAGAATGACTGGTCAATGGAAAAATCAAAACACACACTGCATTTACCCATTACGTTCACAGTCTTAGATAAGCATGATTTGTGGTGCCCCAAAACAATTACAAAAGTAACATCAAAGTCATTGACCACAGATCACCATACTATATATAATAATAATGAAATGTTTGAAATATTGTGAGAATTACCAAAACGTGACACAGAGACACAAACCTTGCACATACAGTTGAAAAAATGCCAGTCATAGACTTGCTTGATCTAGAGTTGCTACCAATTTTCATTTTTTACAAAACACACTATCTGCCAAACACAATAAAGTGACACACAATAAAAGAAAGTCTGCCTAGATGTAAGAGTTACTATCATATTAAATTAGATTCATGTCTAAAATTAAATTTTCTCTAAAAAAATTCAGTGTGGAAATCACTTTCCAACTGAATAATATTCGATAAAGCCAATACAGAATCTAATGTGAAAAAACCAGTTATCTGAGTCTATGATGAACACGTGCTTAATTTATATCAGATCAGACTAAACTAGAAATGACATGCTTGGTTTTGTTTTTATTAGGTGAGGATTAGGAGTGATTAGGTAAAATCAATCCCCCACTAATTACTGCATTCCACGGCTTAAGAAGTAAACTGTAATTGGATAAGATTTTTTAAAAAATTCCTACTGTGTATGCAGACAAGGGAATTAGGAGGTGAATTTATAACATCGATTGTTTTGCTGGCAAAACACATAAGAAGGTGCAATCTTATTAAGAAATAGCTGGCTGGATGTGTTGGTTCATGCCTCTAATCCCAACAATTTGGGAGGCTGAGGCGGGAAGAACACTTGACACCAGGAGTTCAAAACCAGCCTGGTTAACATGGCAAGACCCCAGCTCTACAAAAGAAAATTGTTAAAAAAGAAATAGCTATGTCAAACCATTTGCTATTGTTTTAGGTAATAGAAACCAGAAACTCAAATTCAAGTAAATTAGGTTAAGCTTAGCAGAAATGTCAATAGATGTTTGTCTCTCTTTCTTTTTATTTTTTTCTCTCTCTCTCATTTTCCCTCTCCCTGTCATTACTTTTACTAGTTCTCTAATCTTCTTTGTTGCCTTTACATGAGCTCCATATTGAGGCACCAAGAATTTTAGGCTTGCCTGCTTCTCAGAACCACTGATCCCAGAGAAAAGCATGACTCTCACCCAATGCTTGGATTAAAACTAAGTGCCCTGAAAGAGTTTTATGCCCACATCTGCAGCTAGAGAATCAGCATCTCCATAAACACATGTAATTGGAGGTTGGTTCTTCCCTTTATAAATAGAGATTTTCTTTTCAGAAGACACAGAAAAAAAATGCTAGCTAAACACTGAAAGAAAAATAACAGCAACAGAAACAGCAGGAACAAAAAACATTAAAAATATATCATCTACAAAACAGTTTACCTTTACACACTTCTTTAAGGGGTAAAAAGTTATCAAAACATAAATAAATAAATAACATATGAGTCAAACAGTAGAGAAAGGGCAATGATTATCAGTATGTGTTTGTACCTTTAATTTTTTTATAGACTAGTCATTCTACAAATGGCTTCAAAAATAAACTCTGGTTTCTTTAAATGCCGCAGAGGCAGAAACAAGTATGTCTTTCAGAGTCTGAGAGTCAACTTTGATAATAAAGAGAATGCAGTATTCTTCAGACCACAAAAATTCTCAATCAAGACACTAGCCCAAATTATATAGTCCAAATTATACAGTAAATGTATTATTTCCCATTAAAACTTGTATATTCATATTTGTTTTAAGTCTAGTTTCAAAAAATAGTGTGCTCTCTAGTTTTGCCCTCCTGAAATGACTTATATAATTATTATATTTCTTTTAACATCAGGATTTATACAGGACTATATTACATAATTACTTACTAGTGAAATTATGTAAAATAAGGGAATTTGCCAGAAAGCATCAGAGTGAACATATATTATTTATGTTCACATCAAAAACATAAAAGCAAATTTAGAAGCAATTACTTATTTACAGGTGGCTTGGAAATCTCGAATTCTGACATTTCTTGCAAAAAACAAAGCTACGTATTTATTGCCCACATTTCATAATTTTTGTGTGACAAAGGAAGAAAGTTGGAGTGTTTCAAGTGAAAATTAAACTAATTGCAAAGTAGATATGAAACTTGCAGAGCTTGGAATAAATTTTCCTAAAGGAAAACAACTTTTTGGCAACCACTCATAAAACAAGAAGTGTAGGGTTAGTTACAATAAATCTATAGTCTAGTTTTCAAGAAAATATGTGCTTGGAATGTATTTGTAAAACCATATCTTCCAATCTTCCAAACTGAAATTATATTCAGAGATAAAATTTTTAATATTAGATCATAGACTTCGATTTTTACTGAGCTTACTTAGTACAAAAATTATTTTGATAAAATTGGTTGTATTGTCAACTTATCTGCCATCCTTTTTATTAACAAGTGATGTCAATTTTCAAATATCTCATACTTTTTACATATAACAAAACAGTAAAACATGAGTTGTCACATCAAATCTCATTCTATACACAGAAAAAGTCCATTAGTGACTCCTTCTTCTATACTATAGTTAAAATATCAGTTAGTTTTAAATTTCCAAATCAGAATTCTCCTTGAGATGCAATCCCAATAGCTATAAATAGCTACTTATTCAACCTTAAAATTCTTTTCTGGAACAATAATTAGTATATTCCTCTTTCTCTTGATTTTATTCATGACAGCTCTTATAAAAAACGGTTTTCTTTTTGAAGATTGGTAGGTAAGTATTTATCTGACTGAAAAATACAAATAATTATTTTGGATGCAAATTTCATACTGTAAGCTGTTAAAATCATTTTCTGTCTCATTAATCACTGCCATCAAGTTACTAGACTTAGACCACAGGTTACCAAATGAAATTATAGACTGTATTTTCCTGTAGCGGATAATTATGATTTTTAAAAAGTGTTTCTTTCATTAAATTGCATATTCTTTATTGTTGCAATAGTATCTTCTTCATTAGTGAGATTTCATTGTCTATAACAATGCCTGGAGAGTTCCGTACTTGCTCAAGAGAGCTTATTAGCACTTTCAAAAAATACAGCAAATAGGTAGCAATATACTTATTTTATCAGACTTTTGTTATATCTAGATTTAATAGGATACATCTGGAAGCTAATTTTAATTATTACTTTTTATTTTGTAGAAGTGTAATCATAAATATGTATGAAAACCACACATTTCCAGAAATAAGAGTTTCCTTGCTTTGTGTACTGTAATGTAGAAATTTGTCTCTGTTGTTGGTATTTTTGATAATGGGTAAATACCTTTGCTTCTCACTTCTTAAGAAAATTGCCTCAAGGTTTAACTACAGTCAAAGCTAATACCTCATTTATGTCCCTTTAATAAAGTATATTACAATGAAACATGATTGAATAAATACATATTTAAATTTAAATAACTGGATAAATGAAACAAAGGAACTCAAATTTATTCGTATGCTGTAATTCCATTATGTATACAATTCCATAGCAAACTTGTACATTAAAATACCAATTTCCATTTTAGGATTCAGACAGTATACTTACCTTCTTCCACTTAATTAAGCTCTGGATATGGATTGCCATCTTTCTAATTGTAAAATATACTTTCTCTTTACTACATGATACTGTTTTCATTTCACTATCACTTAAACAGGGGTAAGTAGGAGTGACTTAAAATTAATGGTGTTGAAATAATGTAAATGTTGATTTTTAGAAATGTGCAACTAATAAGCTATAAAAGTTACAATAATAAATAATACATCTTTCTCTCACTTTTTCTTTCACTTACAAATACTTTAAGTAAGGATACTCCACACAGGGCTTATAATGCCTTTGTAATGTAAAATATTAAAAATAAAATAAAAAAAGACAAGCAGGCATTTGATTTACTCATTTTAAGTAAATTACTAAATTATTATTTCTTCATTTATACTTGCTCAGATGTTTCATACGATTCCTAACAGTGGTGTACTGGGAATGTTTTCCTGTAGAGAATAATTTTTAAATGCTTCTTCTTCAATAGAACAAAAGTATTTTAAAAAATATTCATGTAATAAAATAAATAATAATGGGCAGGAAAAAAACATTGTGAATTTTTTCATATTTTACTTTACATGTAATAATGTCAATAAAAAATAAAACATCGCTATACAAAAAATGAAAATATAACAGATTAATATTTGTAATTCAATTAATGTAGTTTTTAAAAACATAAAATTATAATTAAATATTGGTCTGCCACAGTAATGCATAGCAACATTCAAGTTTAAGAGCCTTCATTTCTGCCAATTTGTCAAGGACTTTATCAAAATTTGCCATATCCACATATTCTTGTTTATAAACATTTTAATGAGATTTGCCAACCTGTTTTAATTCATACTTGATTGAAGTATGTATTTTAAACCTATCTTTTAAAAGATATTTTCACATGAAGAAGCAGCTTTGCAAGAAGTTAGAAAAAGTCTTGAATATAAGAATAATCGTGAAAAAGATTTTAACACAAATATCTCAAATGGTTTATACAATAAAATTTAGCAATTCAAGTTCTATTTCAGCACAGTCACTAAAGTGTGATTTTATATTTCAAATATAATTTCTAAATGTAAGAATATTCTGTATGACTGTGCTTAGAAGCACAAAATCTGTCCACAAAGCTAAAATGGTTTTGAAATATTACAAAGTTACACCCAAAACAAATGTGTGAGGCCAAATCCCTATATGTGATAGTCAACTGTCTTACTGGTATTTCTTCAAATTAACTTTCTCAAAGAAGACATTTATTAAATACAAAATAGTGTTAATTTGAATCTTAGAGATACATTATTAAAATTCAATTGTAACTCAGCAATTATTTGGAGGCTTTATGCAAAAGATCATTTCAAGGAGAAATAGTTTATTTAGATTCATGGAGATAATGAAAAGCTAATTAACAGTAGGTCTTTTATTAATTTTAAAGTTCTCAAGAGATCATCTACCACAGCCCTATTTTAGACACATGACTGCCTTTTTGGGAATTCATAGTGTGACGGTTTTTTATATCATACTAACACTCAAGAAGAAAATTACATTAAATTTTAAAATTTGAATGAAATAAGAACTTCAAAGAGTATGATTAAGAAAAACTTTGAAACAAATGTTTTAGCTTTTTTTATTTTATTGGACACAAAGTAATTATTTTGAAAATGTATCAGAAATTTTTAGATACATTAAAATAATTTATAGTATAAAAATAAATTAAACATAGTGGTCATTTTTACCATTTTTTCCCTCAGTCTCAAGCTAACTTAGATGGTTAATGATATAAATTGAATCCACTTTAAAATCTTTAAGTTGTTGTTACTGATTTTTTTTCCAAGTAAACATTAAAACCTGCCCTTATTTGTCAAAAAACTAATAACTAATAAGTGAATGTAGTTGAGATCACTTTACAGAATACAATCTGGGACATTTAATTTCGGTTTTGAAAATATAAGCAATGTGAAATATTTTATTATTGCAAAGGTTAGTGAGAAATTAATTCCAAATACTTTTTGTAAATGAAATAGATAAAGGAAACACTGTCCCTGAGAAGCAGATGATACAGTCCCTTAGTTTATATCATTCTGAGTCAGGGAACATGGCCTTTATACGCACTGTTATCAATGAATTTGAAATGACTCCAAAGTTCAAACATCAGTGAAGCATCACATCGTATGTTCAAATCAGATGACTGTTTAGCTAGGCAAATGCCATTTATATTTCAGAAGACATCCATGTTATAATCAAAAATGAATTAGTAGACATGGAAACTTCAAGCACCATTTGTCATCTGGAACTCATGTGCATTAATATGCCTCATATCTTTGACTCTGAGAAAAGCTAAGTCAATTCCAGAATTACCATAACATTCAAAACTAAACAGTAATGCATTTTAAAGTGAATGTATTGAAAATTGAATGCCAACTGAAAATAAATAATGGCACCTTTTAAAATTAAATTACAAAAGGCTTTTTCTTTGTCCTTTACCCTATTGTCATCCTCAGTTAGCATAACTGTCACATTTCTACCACTTATATCCTATAACAAAAATGGTTTAGAATATAAAATGAGATAAAACACATACCTAATTCTACTTAAGTGAATCTGTGATAAATGTACTTGGTTTCTTATAAAGGAAAAATTCAATGTTATTCTACTAATTGATTGTGTCTTCTACATAAGAGTCTGTTAGTAACTTACCTGAGTTTATTTATATCATTATTACTTTTAATATACAATGTTCTCTGAATATATTTGCACTTCAATAAGGAGAGACAGAATGAAACAAACCATTAATGTGTTAAAATGTTATATATACTAAGGGACAACATAATATTTATGGTAAAAATAAAGTTATAAAGTATTTTTTGTCCTTCTTAATAAGCCCTAAAAAATGAACCCATAAAATTGAATTACTTTTTAAGCCTAAAAGCAAAAACAAACCAAACAAAGGACAGCTGAAGCTGTATTTTGCCAATAGATTACTCTCTCTTTGTGTATGGGTATGTGTATGTGTACTGTTACAATGAACACTCTGCCAGAATACATGAATCATTCTAATTATCTAGGAGGGAAACTGCAAAACAAAACATAAAATCCTAACCGTCAAATACTATTAACTAAAACTAATTTACAGAATTTCTCAATTTTTATGAACTAAATGGATAATATCCAAGCTTTCAAATGCAGTAATTGCAGAAACACTTTACCTATATCAAAACACTTTATTAGAGCACTTCAGTCATATTAAAGTACTATATAGTTTTACACATGTACTTTTATTTATTTATTTGCTAATTACGAATTATGTAAACAAACAAAACATCATTTATAACCAATAAGAATTGAAGCCCCAAGAAATTGAACGTAATAGATAAAATTGATAAAAATCATGCATGGATTGATTAAATAATGAAAATAGAAATAGTAGCCATAATAAGATTAGCAGCTTCATTTTTTAGGTTCATTTGTGTGTAAAACTTTAAAAACCCAACCAATTGAATTTAGATAATTAAAATATATTTTAAATTATGAATTTATTGGCAGTACCATTCAGCAGTATAAGCACAGCTGAAGAGACAGTGAAATGGAAGAGAGGTATGAAACCTTACCCAGAATGAAGTATAGAAAATTAAAGATAATAAATTAAGACGTGGATGATAGAGTGAAATGATCCAATAAATGTATATTCAGAATTCAGAAAACTGAGTCTCCAGACAACTGAAGACAAAATGGCTGTAACTTTGTCCATAATTGAAGTAAAAAGATGAATCCACAAATCAGACTTATTGGAAATGTGTGTCTGTATGTATTGTTATATATGTATCTGTGTGATGTGTGTTGATATATATTATGCATATGTAAATGCGTGTTACGGACTGAATGTTTTTGTCCCCCAACATTAACATGTTGCCAATGTTAACGTTAACATGTTAACAATGTATGTGATGGTATTAAGAGGTTTAGGAGGTACAAAGTCCTGAACATTGGAGTCCTCATGAATAAGATTAGTGCTGCTGTAAGAAGAGTCTTGAGAGCTTGCTCTCTCTCTCTCTGCTCTTCACCATGTGAGGATACAATGAGAAGATGGCCATCTGTATGTCACTAAGCAAGTCCTTAGAAGTCACTGAATCTGTAAGCACCTTGGTCTTGGACTTTCTAATCTCCAGAACTAAGAGAAATACATGTTTAAATCACATACTCTATAGTAATTTGTTACAGCAGCACAAACTGACTAAAATAGTGTATGTATAAATTAGGGGATAATTGCATGATGACTTAAAAAATTACTAGCATTCTAATTTGGTACATGAAAACTTTCCAGAAATGATTTTGATTACTATCAAGTGTAGTTAGTTCAAAATATTTCAATTGTGAATATGACATCATTAATTTTGTAAAGAACTAACATTAAGTGTTATGTGGATAAAAGAATAAATTATGAATTTAATGAATATGTTTTTATTAAGTTCACATTATCACTTGACTAAAATGTGGCTGATATACCACATAAAATATTTTCATTAATTCTAGAAAATTGAATAAATCACTAATTTTTTAAATAGCTGTATCTATTATAAACATTAATCCATTGATTTATTGATTTACTCAATATTCATGGCTTGCATACTGTAATATATATGTATGTTTATACATAGATACATACTGTGTGCATATACATATATGTGTGTGTGTATTTACTGTTACAACCATTCTGATGCCATATCTCATAATATGTTATATGAATATCCTACTTGTTTGAACTTGAACTAGGCTTTCAAAGAGTTATAACTCAAATATCAGTGCAGTCGATTTGATTTTTCAACAAGTTGCTTTTGATTAATATCTCAGATGAAAATGACATTTGGAGTCTATTGCATATTTTTAGGTTAAACACTAGACACTGTTGCTGTATCGTTGTCATGTTCCTCAACTTGTATTTTAGTATCCAAGGAGTAAAAATTATGTGCCCACACCCACAGTGAGAAAGTTTCAGGTAGACAAGTTCATTTTCTTCAATTACTGATGCCACTTTTGTATAGAAGTTGTATTTGTTTTCAGGTTTCTTATTTTACACAATTAGTGACATTATTATTTATGATCAGGCATTTTACACTTCAGAGTGCATGACATGTTTGAGAGTAATAGGGTTCCCGCTTTGAGGGGATTCTAATTCATCATCCTTTAATTGCCTGCTTGGAGCAAAGTCAAACCAATTCCCTTCTTGCCTGTCCAAAGCAGCATTCCTTTTGGCCTTGAACACCTGACTCTCACTTCTCTTTATAACAAAACTCATGTCAATTTGAGAAACGTTCACTATAAAAAGAGGGTGAGGAAATAAAACATGTTGAAATGATTTTTATTAATGTCATTGTTAGCACCATTTTCAGGCTTGTGATATGTGACAAAATAAGACCTCATAGTGTCCTCAAATATCCTTAAAGCCCTACATGCGGAACTCAAGTTAGAATAGACTTGGGCATGAAATAACGTTCAAGTGATGAAAAGCAGAATATAGTACGTAGGAAAATACTTTTTCCATGACAAAATTCTACAAATTTCAACTATGTCACCATTTTTGCTATAGATCAACCATCTTTAATTTTTATCCTTCAAAAATTTATATCTTTTAATTTGTTTGTTTGTTTTGCTTATAGGATACCTGAAAGAGGACTCTGGTAATTTTAGAGTATTTTGTTTTATCCAAATACATCTCTTCAAGGAGAGGTGGAGGAATAAAATAAATGAAATGTAAAATATAATCTTATAGAAAAGTAAAAAGTTGCAGAAATCGTATGCATGTTCATACTCAACAAAGCTGTTTCTCTTACGCTATTTGTCTTTTATTTTCTCTCCTCCTACTTCCTTCCTTATCCTGTGACTATGTTCCTGCTTAAATAACGAGGGTCCATATTAACTTTTCATGGTTCTTAGGAGCCCCCAATCTCATAACATGTCAGTTAGGAGAGCATCTCTACAATTATAACGATCTCCACTCCAGTGCTCCAAATGTTCTTTTACAAATGTAATATTTTACGACACGGTGCAAAACCCTTTCTCAGCTTTTTGCCTTGTTGAATTTGTTAAGTTGATTCAGGTTGGAATACTTTTTACTATTGTAGAAATATATCATGATGTGTTATTTTTATATTACGTATATTAATTTTTGTGGGTACATAGTACATGCATATAAAATCAACAAAGTGAAGAGACAATTCACAGAATGGGAGAAAATATTTGCAAACTACCCACCTGACAAGGGATTAATAACCAAATTAGACTTTTCAGCTATAACATCTAGATTTTTGCATTTCATAAGGAGTAAGCTGGGTACTAATGAAATTCATTTATTAAAGATCGACAGACTATTATATATTTCTAAAGTTATTATGTTGGGAATAGCTACCTGAATGTTCCTGAAATCATCTGACATAGATAGTCATGTGTCAAGTATATACAGATGTTGGCACTTATTTGAAGTTCCCTCCAGAAGCTCTGGCATAGTGTTGCTGTGAAATGTATGGCAATATAAAGAGTAATGCAAAAGATGAACACTCAGAATGCTAAAGAGTCAGTTCTGGCAAACCAGGTTGTCTGCTTCTATACATTCACCCAACCTGTTCTCCAAAGTATTTGCTGAGAACAAGGCTGGCTTATAAAAAACAAATTTGGCAAACCGCAGTCGATGGGCCAAATCTGGCTTGGGGCTTATGTTTGTAAAGTCTGAAAGATAAAAGATTTTTTTTTTTACACTTGTGAAAGGTAGTAAGAAAGAATATAATACAGATAGTGTAAGTGGCTCAAGAGATTAAACTATTTACTTCCTGGCTCTTTTTTTACAGAAAATTTTTGCCATGCCTTGCCTTGTAAAATGAAGGGATCCAAAACCAAAACCTAAATCAACAGCAATAGATGGAAAACTGATCTATTACATCAGACCACATCAGATTTTTAATTACACAGAAGACATTTAAACATGAAATGTCTTCCTCTTTGATGCTACATAACCAACAAGCATTAATCTACTATTATAAACCAACAAATACAAACACACTTACCACTGAAAAAAGCATATTATTTCTTGTTTTGTGCTCAAATATAAAACATATTGGTTAGCATGTCCTCCTGTTACCTATTGTTAATAAAACAAGAGACCCAACATTCTTCATGTTCACCAGAGTTTCCTTTATGCCAAATGTATACAGGTGAGTCATGCGTTTATTTCTTAATAAATCAACGCATGTTTTAAACAAGCTTTAAATGTTTGACAAACATTCAAAGAATGATAAAGGAATGATAAATCCTTTGCTACTCAGAATAATTTTGTTGATATACCTTATAAGCTTATATTTTAATATACAGGTAGATCATACTTAATAACAGAATGTCAGAATAATTTTGGTAGTGGTGCTATGAAAGAGGGACAAGTTAGAGATGCCAGTAAATCAGATAGATTGACAAAGTAACATTTAAATTAAAGTCAAAGATTAATTAGTAAACACTATGTCCATAAAATAGACCACTTTATAGACGTCTACTATATAGACTTGTTTTGCAGGACATAAGACCTCTATCATTACCACACAACTTAACCTTGTGTAAATAAATGGATGTTGCTGGGTTATAATAAATCTTTATTTACAAAGACAGGCAGCATACTGAATTTGGCTCCAGGAATGTAATATGCCAAATCCTGATATGGATTACAGCCTGGATCTTCCTAATTTCTAAGTTTCTGTAACTGTAGATTATAGAAAGTAATTAGGAAAATGAAAAAAAAAACATATTTAATACACTATTTTCTTTTTTCTTTTTTCTTTTTTTTTTTGAGATGGAGTCTCACACTGTTGCCCGGGTTGGAGTGCAGTGGCATGATCTCGGCTCACTGCAATCTCTGCCTCCCGGGTTCAAGAGAGTCTCCTGCCTTAGCCTCCCGAGTAGCTGGGATTACAGGCACCCACCACCACGCCCGGCTAATTTTTTGTATTTTTAGTAGAGATGGGGGTTTCACCATGTTGGCCAGGCTGGTCTCGAACCCCTGACCTCGTGATTCACCTGCCTCGGTCTCCCAAAGTGCTAGGATTACAGGCGTGAGCCACCGCGCCCAGCCTAATACACTATTTTCTTAGTTATCAAATGAAAATAAATTACCCCTATAATATCCCCCACATACACATGTAATTTTTAATTTATGAAATTAAATTCATTCTGCTTACGCCTTATTTTATGATAACGGATTGGTACCATCCACCATTCATTCAGGAATCTGAAAGAAAAGACATGACATAAACATTCTGAGCAACAGAACAGAAGAATACTGTTTTGTTTTTTGTTTGTTTTTTTTTTTTTTAGTTGTCTTCCTTTAAGGGAAAGAGGTGCTGCTATATTCATTGTTGACTTTGGAAGGGAAATTGATAAAAAGACTCATGGAAATCAATGTTATCATAAAAGCAGGTGCTGTGAGAAGGGAAAGTTGATTCAGTCATACCATTAGCAAAGCTTTCTTTTTTTGTAGTAACACGTCTTATTAGATGGACTGGTGGTCTCAACAGACAGCAAGGATTCAAATACCAAACTTGGCAGAAGTTACATGCTTTCTGTTTCTCTTGCCTTCCTGATGAACAGCATTGCCTAAAAAAATCATAATACAATTAGGTACTTTGTCATTATTTACCTGTTTTATTTTGAAGATGTGAAGATATATATCCTCAAACATACTTTATTTTATTTTGTTTTCCCCAGGATACATTCCCAAATCAGATTAAAAATGCATTACATGGTATAAAATCAAATGGGTCCAATAAGAGATCCAACTCTTTATTCTGATTTCTATTTTTTATTTAATTGTATTCAGAATTTTTGAGGAAATTACCCTGTTGAAACTACAAACTACCTTATATTTGTCTTGTTCATATGTTCATCGGATAGAAAGGTGGGTTTATTTATAGGAAGTTGGTATTTATTGATACGAACTCTGTAATTTTCTAGTTCCATGACCTTGAAGAACCTTAATTTCTCATCTGAAAAGTATAAATAATTGGGCAACCTATTTTAGAGAGAGAATTGTGATGTCTGTTAAATTAAATAAGTAATTACTAAAGTACTTTGTACTCTGTCCCTGCCATTTCACACCTGGAAATAACAATTGTCCTCTAACTAGTTTTGTTTTTACTGTTGTTCCCCATTCAGTCTAGTATCTGAATAGCAAAGAAATTCATTTTTTAAAATGTAGATCAAACTATGTATTCCTCTGCTCAGCACCTTCTACTGGCTTGCAATCACATTAAAATAAAATCTGAAGTTCTTACTATTACTTGCCAGCCTATTCATGAACTAATTCTTTTCCAAATTTTTCTCCACTCTTCGCCTTTGATCATTCTTTTTGTTTCCTATAACACAACAAACTTTAGCCAACTTCACGGCCTTTGCTCTTTTCTTAGTCTTTCTCTTGACCCTCTCGAGTCTTTCTGGCTTCTGTTCAAATGCCACTTTATCAATAGAAGCTTTCCCTAAATATTCTGTCCAAAATAGCTGAAAATAGCTGTGCATGCTTTGGTCCCTTTCTCTTCTCTACATGCTCTTCTCATATCATTTCCCTCCTCTCCAGCCACAGTAACCTTCTTTTAGTCCTTTTCATGCTTGCTTTCAACCATGGGGTGACATGAGGTCAGTCTGAATTTTAACAGATGATAGGAGGTATGGACCTTGTTTAAAATATGATATCTAGATACTAAAGAAACATTTTTGAAAAAAAATGCCTGGCTCCACTGAGTTACCAAAATAACATTGTCAATGATAATGTGACTATATATGTTTAGTTTGATTTTTAGACATTTATTTTGTTCCTTTGATTTACTTATTTGTCCTTTGTCATTACCACACTCTTGCAATTACTGCTACCATACATGAAGAGCCAGCAAACTTTTTATGTAAAGGGCCACACAATAAATATTTTATGTTTTGTGAGCCACATATGATCTCTGTTTCATATTCTCCTTTGTTTTTATAATTATTTAAAATGTAAAACCATTGTTAGCTCTTAAGCTGTACAAAAAGAAATCACAGTAGGATTTAGATAACAGGCTATAGATTTTGGACTTCTGATCTATATTTATAATTAAAATCAAGTAACATAAGTTCTCTGTGCTCTCATTTAAAATCTGTTTACCTATTTTAAGCACTTTATTTTATATATAAGTTTTAGTATTAGTTTAGCAGGACCAAAATTCTCTTGGAATTTTGATTGCAATTGTGTTAAATTTATAGATTAATTTTAGGATGATTGATATCTGTATTGCTTCAATTCATATAATTAAATGGTTATACCAATTAACTTTATGACTGCAAGTGACAACAAAATTTAGTATTCCAGCTCCTAAGACAGCCCACTGAGGTAATTTGCTCATTTGATAATGTAATAGTTCAGTTTTTTATTTGTTTATTGGTGTGAAGATTAATATGTGATTCCATAACACTGTAAGGTGAAAACTGTGAAATTCATCCAATTCCTATCATCAGTTGGAAGTGGCAAAGAGTCTTACTCAGATCACTTTTACAAAGAAATTGAACAAAAGCATCAATAAACTGTGGTTATGATCCACAGCTTTTCGACCTAGAAATAACCAATCTTCTGTAACAACAAATTCAGGAACTTGTTGGCTAATTCTTAACCATAAAATAATTGGATTACAGCAAAGTCAAATCATTCATTTAAATCTAAGTGATAAAAAACCAGCTAAATAACTCTGACATCTCAAAAATCCAGAGTTTCTTCTTATATCCAAGTCACTGCACTAGTTTCCCAGCAATAGTTCGGAACCAGGCTAAAATGGCTGAAATGATAGAAATAGGATTCAGAATATTGATACAAAATGAAGAACATCAAGCTTCAGGAAAAAGTTGAAACCCAATCCAAGAATTCTAAGGTATACAGTAAAATAATACAGAAATTAAAAGAAAAAAATTTCCGTTTTAGGTAAGAACCAAACTGACCTTATAGAAGTGAAAAACTCACTTCAAGAATTTCAGAGTACAATCACAAATATTAACAGCAGGATCGAACAAACTGAAGAAAGCATCTCAGAGCTCAAAGAATGGGTCTCGAAAATAACTCAGTCTAGCAAAAATAAAGAAAAAATTTAAAGAAGATTGAACAAAACCTCCAAGAAATATAGGATTGTGTAAAGGGACTAAATCTATGACACATTGTCATCCCTGAAAGAGAGAGAGAGAAAGCAAGCAACTTTGAAAACATATTTCAGTTTATCATCCATGAAAATTTATCTTGAGTGACCAACATTCAAATTCAGGAAATGCAAAAAAAAAAAAAACCCTGTGAAACACTAACAAGAAGATCATCCCCAAGACACATAGTTGTCAGAATCTCCAATGTCAAAATGAAAGAAAAAAGTGTTAAAGGCAGTTAGGGAGGAGAGGCAGGTTACGTACAAAGGGAAGTATAACAGGCTGATAGCAAATCTTCCAGTAAAAACCCAGAAACCAGAAGAGATAGGGGGCTTACATTCAGCATTATAAAAGAAAATACTTTCCATCCAAAAATTTCATATCCAGTCAAACTAAGCTTCATAAACAAAGGAGAAATAAAATTCTTTTCAGAATACCAAATGCTAAAGGAACTTTTTACCACCAGAACTACTTTATAAAAAGTCCTGAAGAGAGTGCGATATATGGAAAGGAACGACTGTTGCTGGCTAGTACAAAAACACACTTAAGTACATAGAATGGAGACACCATAAAGCACCCACGCAAACTAGTCAGAATAATAAACAGCTCACAACATAATGACAGGATAAAATCTGCACATATCAATACAAATCTTGAATGTAAATGAGGTAAATGCCATAGTTAAAAGGCACAGAGTAGCAAGCTGGATAAAGAAGCAAGAATCAATTGTATGCTATCTTCAAGAGACCCATGTCACATGCAATGACACCCACAGGCTCAAAGTAAGAAGGTGGAGAAAAATTTACCAAGTAAGCAGAAAACAATGGAAAGCAGGATTTGGTATTAATTTTATACAAAATAGACTTTAAAACAACAAAGATCAAAACAAAGAAGGACATTCAATAGTTGGAAAAGCCTCAATTCAACAAGAAGACCTAACTATCCTAAGTATATATGCACTCAACACAGGAGTACCCAGATTCATGAAGTCCTTAGAGACTTATGATGAGACTTAGATAAGCACAGAATAATAATGATAGAATTCAACACACTGACAGAATTATACAGATTATCAAGACAGAAAAACAGCAGATATTTGGGACCTAAACTCAACAGTTGAACAAATGGATGTAATAGACATCTACAGAACTCTACACCCAAAAAAAATCAGAATATATATTCTTTGCATGTGCACATGACACATACTCTAAAATTGACCACACAATCTGGCATAAAATGATCCTCATCAAATTACAAAAAAAAAAACCTGAAATCATACCAACCACTCTCTCAGACCACAGTGCAGTAAAAACACAAATCAGTGCTAAGAAAATTGCTCAAAACCATAAAATTATATGGAAATGAAACGACCTGCTCCTGAATAACATCTGGATAAATAATTACATTAAAGCAGAAATCTAGAAATTTTTTGAAACTAATGAGAACAAAGACACAACATACCATAATCTCTGGGACACAGCTAAATTTAGCTGGGACACAGCTAAATAAGTGTTAAGAGGAAAGTTTACAGCACTAAATGCCTACAACAAAAAATTGGAAAGATCATATATTAACAACCTAACATTACAACAAGAAACTAGAGAAACAAAAGCAAACCAATCCCAAAGCTAGCAGAAGGTAAGAAATCACTAAAATTAGAGCTAAACAGAAGTAATTGAGAAACAAAAAACATACAAAAGATCAAAAATTGATCAAAGATAGAAAAGCACACAAAAGATCAACCAATCCAGCAATTGGCTTATTGAAAGACTCAATAAGATAAGTTGACTGCTAGCTAGACTAATAAAGAAGAAAGAGAGAAGAACCAAATAAACACAGTTAGAAATGATAAAAGGGATGTTATCACTGATGCCACAGAAATACAAAAAACCCTCAAAGAGAATGTCAAACTATTCATTTTTGTAGATGATATAATTCTTTTTTTATATTACTTTAAGTTCTTGGGTACATGTGCAGAATGTACAGGCTTGTTACATAGGTATACATGTGCCATGGTGGTTTGCTACACCCATCAACCCATCATCTACATTAGGTATTTCTCCTAATGCTATCCCTCCCCTAGCCCCCCGCCCCCAGACAGGCCCCAGTGTGTGATGTTCCCCACTCTGTGTCCATGTATTCTCATTGTTCATTTCCCACGTATGAGTAATTCTATACCTCAAAAACCCAATAATCTGTATCCAGAAACTCCTTGATCTCATAAACAACTTTAGCGAAATTTCAGTATACACAATCCATGTTCAAAAATCAGTAGCATTCCTATACACCAACAACATCTAAGCTGAGAGCAAAATCACAAACAAAATCCTATTCACAGTAGCCAAAAATATAACATACCTAGGAATACAGTTAACCTAGGAGGTGAAAGATCTCTACAATAAGAATTACAGAACACTGCTAAAAGAAATCAAAGATGACACAAACAAATGAGAAAACATGCCATGCTCATGGATTGGAAGATCAATATTGATAAAATGGCCATGTCGTCCAAAGCAATTTACAGATTCAATGTTATACCTATCAAACTACAAGTGACATTCTTCACAGAATTAGAAAAAAACTATTTTAAAATTTGTGTGAAACTAAAAGGAGCCCACATAGCCAAGGCAATCCTAAGCAAAAAGAATAAACATGGAAGCATTACATTACCTGACTTCAAACTAT
Source organism: Homo sapiens (assembly GCF_000001405.40). Taxonomy (NCBI): domain Eukaryota; kingdom Metazoa; phylum Chordata; class Mammalia; order Primates; family Hominidae; genus Homo; species Homo sapiens. The sequence continues at coordinate 9,591,697 of NC_000007.14, forward strand.
ACTACAAGGCTATAATAACCAAAACAGCATGGTACTGGTACAAAAACAGACACATAGACCAATAGATAAGAAAAGAGAGAACATAAGTAATGCAGCACACCTACAGCCATTTGATCTGTGACAAAATTGACACAAACAAGCAATGGGGAAAGGACTCCCTATTCAAAAACGTGGTCCTGGGATAACTGGCTAGCCATATGCAGAAGACTGAAACTAAAACCCTTCCTTTTATATATTACACCATATATAAAAATCAATTCAAGATGGATTAAAGACTTAAGTGTAAAACCTAACAATATAATAACCCTGGAAGATAACCTAAGAACTGCTATCCCAGACATAAGACTGTGCAAAGATTTCATGACAAGATGCCAAGAGCTGTTGCAACTAAAATAAAAATTGACAAATGGGACCCAATTAAAGTAAAGATATTCGGCTTCACAAAACCATCTATCTTCAGAGTAAACAGACAACTTTCAGAATGGGAGAAAATATTTGCAAACTGTGCTTCCAACAAAGGTCTCATGTCCAGAATCTCTAAGGAAGTTAAACAAATTTACAAGCAAAAAACAAACAACTTCATTAAAAAGTGGACCAAGGATGTAAACAGACATTTTTCAAAAGAAGACATATACACAGCCAACAACTATATGAAAAAAATGCTCAACATCAGTGCTCATTAGAGAAATGGAAATCAAAGCCCCAGTGAAATATTAGCTCACACCAGCTAGAATAGCTATTATTAAAAAGTCAAAAAACAGCAGTTTTTGGCAAGTTTGTGGAGTAAAGGGAATGCTTATGTACTCCTGGTGGTTATGTAAATTAGTTCCCTCACTGTGGAAAGCAGTTTGGAGAATACTCAAATAACCAGAATTACTATGCCACCTAGCAACTCATTATTGAGTATGAACTCAGAGGAATATAAATCTTTCTACTGTAAAAACACATGCACATGTATGTTCATGGCAGCACTATTCATAATAGCAAATACATGAAATCAACCTAAATGCCCATTCATGGTAGACTGGCAGAAAAAATGTCATAGATATACACCATGGACTACTAAGTATCTATTAAAAAGAATGAGATTATGTCCTCTGCAGCAATGTGGATGAAGCTGGAGGCTATTATCCTAAGCATACTAACACAAGAAGAGAAAATCGAAAATGGTATGTTCTCACTTATAAGTGGGAGCTAAATATTGAGTATATATGGACACAAGGAACAGAACAACAGACACTTGAGCCTACTTGAGTGTGGAGGGTGGGAGGAGGGTGACGATCAATAAGCTACCCATGGGATAATATGCTAATTACCTGGGTGACAAAATAGTCTGTACATCAAATCCCCGTGACATGCTATTTATCTATATAATAAACTTGCAGCAGTAACACACAATCTAAAATAAAAGTTAAAAAAGGAGAAGTTCAAATAATTAGCCCTATTGATTACATTGTTCCCAATAATATACTGATCTTACTATAGGATACTAAGGAATTCATAGTTTCAGAAACATATTCTAACTCAGTTATGGCAAAGATTTGAGAGTAACACAGTAGCTAATTAGAAGTTCTCTTTCACTTTGATGTCAAGTCTTTTCACTATTATATTTGTGTTCCAAATTAATACTTAATAATCATTTGATTTAAAGTATTAAGATAGCTATTGTCATCCATGACTTCAATTAGAATCTATGCTTACTTTAATTGTGAAAATAGGGGAAATATCTACCACTTTTATTTTAAAATAATCTTAGATGAATGGGAATTCAAGTATTATATAGAGGATATAATTTGAACACTAAAATTCAGGCAGAAAATTTTGACAGGTAATTTCTTTAGCTACCACAGTGATAGATTGCCTTACATAATGAGACACATATAATCAGCACATTCATTGTAATCAAAGATGATTCTGGGAAGGTGTCACTATTCAGAGAAATAGGGATATGAGGGTTGCATCAAACCTTGAGTTTTAGTAGAGACTTCCATCTTGGGTTTTAAATGCTATTTGCCTTTGTCCCCATTGTTTATATTCCAGAGATCTCTCTAAATGTTTATATGTATATAAAGCTTTAAGGTAAAACTAACTGCCACACATTGAATTTTTCTTTCTTCTTTGCTTTCAGCAATGATTTGTCAATATGGCCTGTGGATCATTATCCATTATTCATCATGAGCAATTTCTGCAGCAATATTTCCCATCATCACTGACTACTGTTAAGTATGATTTATTTTTCTCTTTTCCAAATGTTCCCCTTCCTATCAAATCTTCTCTAGTGTATGCTATGGCCAATCACTTTACTATCTCATTTCTGAAGTTTAAGTTAAAAAATCTGATTTATAATTTTATGACTTAGGAAAATAGAACATCCTTTTGTACATTTTATTTTAATTCCTTGCTTCATTTTAGAAAACCAATATATTTGACTCCTTATTAAGAATGATTTACAGTTGATGCAACCATATAAAAGAAACTATGTATTTTGTCTATTGCTAGTCCGAATACTTGTGGTTTATGACATTTCTGTAGACCACTGAACTACATGGTGTTTGATATAGTTAGGCTTTGTGTTCCCACTCAAATCTCATCTTGAATTGTAATCCCCAGATGTTGAGGGAGGGACCTGATAGGCGGCGATTAGATCATAGGGATGGTTTCCCCCAAGCTGTTTCTCCTGATAGTGAGTTCTCATGAGATCTGATGGTTTTGTAAGTGTTTGGTAGTTTCTCTCTTGCTCTCTTCTTCTCTCTTCTGTCACCCTGTGAAGAGGTGACTTCTGCCATGATTGTAAGTTTCCTGAGGCCTCCCAGACCTGCAGAACTGTGAGTCAATTAAAGTTTTTTCTCTTTTTTCTTTTTTTTTTTTTGGTTTATAAATTACCCAGTCTCAGGGAGTTCTTTACAGCAGTGTGAAATCAAACTCTTATGTTGATGCAAAAGTAATTGCAGTTTTTGTCATTAAAAGTAACAGCAAAGTAATTAAAAGTATGGCAAAAACTGCAATTACTATTGCAACAACCTCATAATACAGGAAATTGATACCAAGAGTGAGGTATTGCTATAAAGAAATGTAAAAATATGGAAGCAACTTTGGATCTGGGTAATGGGCAGAGGGTGGAACAGTTTGGAGGGCTCAAAAGAAGACAGGAAGATGTGAGAAAGTTTGGGACTTCCTAGAAACTTGTTGAATGGTTGTGACCAAAATGCTGATAGTAATATGGCCAATGAAGTCCAGGCTGAGGGGGTTGCAGATGGATACGAGGAACTCCTTGAGAACCAGAGCAAAGGTCAGTCTTGCTCTGCTTTAGAAAAGAGACTACTGCCATGTTGTAGGTTGCCTGTTCACTCTGATGGTAGTTTCTTTTGCTGTGCAGAAGCTCTTTAGTTTAATTAGATCCCATTTGTCAATTTTGTCTTTTGTTGCCATTGCTTTTGGTGTTTTGGACATGAAGTCCTTGCCCACGCCTATGACCTGAATGGTAATGCCTAGGTTTTCTTCTAGGGTTTTTATGGTTTTAGGTTTAACGTTTAAATCTTTAATCCATCTTGAATTGATTTTTGTATAAGGTGTAAGGAAGGGATCCAGTTTCAGCTTTCTACATATGGCTAGCCAGTTTTCCCAGCACCATTTATTAAATAGGGAATCCTTTCCCCATTGCTTGTTTTTCTCAGGTTTGTCAAAGATCAGATAGTTGTAGATATGCGGCATTATTAAAGGGCTAATATCCAGAATCTACAATGAACTCAAACAAATTTACAAGAAAAAAACAAACAACCCCATCAAAAAGTGGGCGAAGGACATGAACAGACACTTCTCAAAAGAAGACATTTATGCAGCCAAAAAACACATGAAGAAATGCTCATCATCACTGGCCATCAGAGAAATGCAAATCAAAACCACTATGAGATATCATCTCACACCAGTTAGAATGGCAATCATTAAAAAGTCAGGAAACAACAGGTGCTGGAGAGGATGCGGAGAAATAGGAACACTTTTACACTGTTGGTGGGACTGTAAACTAGTTCAACCATTGTGGAAGTCAGTGTGGCGATTCCTCAGGGATCTAGAACTAGAAATACCATTTGACCCAGCCATCCCATTACTGGGTATATACCTAAATGAGTATAAATCATGCTGCTATAAAGACACATGCACACGTATGTTTATTGCGGCACTATTCACAATAGCAAAGACTTGGAACCAACCCAAATGTCCAACAATGATAGACTGGATTAAGAAAATGTGGCACATATACACCATGGAATACTATGCAGCCATAAAAAATGATGAGTTCATATCCTTTGTAGGGACATGGATGAAATTGGAAACCATCATTCTCAGTAAACTATCGCAAGAACAAAAAACCAAACACCGCATATTCTCACTCATAGGTGGGAATTGAACAATGAGATCACATGGACACAGGAAGGGGAATATCACACTCTGGGGACTGTGGTGGGGTCGGGGGAGGGGGGAGGGATAGCATTGGGAGATATACCTAATGCTAGATGACACATTAGTGGGTGCAGCGCACCAGCATGGCACATGTATACATATGTAACTAACCTGCACAATGTGCACATGTACCCTAAAACTTAGAGTATAATAAAAATAATAATAATAATTAATAAATAAATAAATAAATAAAAGAAAAGAGACTACTGGCGTTTTGCCCCTGCCCTAGAGATCTGTGGAACTTTGAACTTGAGAGATGATCTGAAATTGGAACTTACGTTTAAAAGGAAAGTAGAGCATAAAAGTTTGAAAAATGCGCAGCCTGATGATGTGGTAGAAAAGAAAAACTCATTTTCTGGAGAGAAATTTAAGCATGCTGCAAACATTTTCATAAGTAATGAGGAGCATAATGTCACTTGTCAAGACAACAATAGGGAAAATGTGTCTAGGGCATGTCAGAGATCTTGATAGCAGCCCTTCCCATCACATGCCCAGAGGGCTAGAAAGGAAAAATGGTTTTACGGGCTGAGTCCAGGACCGCTCTATACTGTGCAGCCTTGGGATTTAATGCCCTGTATCCCAGCTGCTCTAGTTCCAGCAGTGGTTAGAAGGGGCCAAGGTACAGCTCAGACTGTTGCTTCAGAAGGTCCAAGCCCCAGCCCTGTGGCAGCTTACATGTGGTACTGGGCGTGCAGATACACCGAAAACAATTGAGATTTAGGAGGAAGGGAAATGTGGGTTCGGAGCCCCCACAAACAGTCTCCACGGGGACATTGCCTAGTGGAGCTATGAGAAGAGAGTCACTGTCCTTCAGACCCCAGAATGGTAGATCCACACACTGGCAGCTTGCATGGTGCACCTGGAAAAGTCACAGACACTCAATGCTAGCCCATGGAAGCAGCCAGGAGAGGAGCTGTACCCTGCAAAGCCACAGGGGTGGGGCTGCGCAAGACCATGGAGAGCTCACCTCTTGCATCAGTGTGACCTGGAAGTGAGACTTAGCATCAAAAGAGATTATTTATCAGCTTTAAGATGTAATGACTGTCCCTACTGGATTTCAGACATGCATGGGACCTGTAGCCCCTTTGTTTTCGCCAATTTATCTTATTTGGAATGGAAATATTTACCCAATGCCTGTACCCCCATTGTATCTCGGAAGTAACTAACTTGATTTTTTAATACTATCTTGCTTTGGATTTTACAGGCTCATAGACAGAAGTGACTTGCCTTGTCTCAGATGAGACATTGGACTGTGGACTTTTGAGTTAATGCTGAAGTGAGCTAAGACTTTGGGGGACTGGCGGGAAGGCACAATTGGTTTTGAAATACTAAAATACATGAGATTTTGGAGGGACCAGGGGCAGAATCATATGGTTAGGCTTTGTGTCCCCACCCAAATCTCATCTTGAATTGTAATCCCCAGATGTTGAAGGAGAGACCTTATGGGAGGGGATTGAATTATGGGGGCAGTTTCCCTTGTGTTGTTCTCGTGATAGTGAGTTCTTTTGTATAATTTTGCAAAATTGATAAAGTTGGTATAATACACATCAAAAAATCTCCTTCTAGAATTCTAAATACATGTACATTAGAATATTTAATATTTCACCATAGGTCTCTGAAGTTCTGCTGAGTTTAATATATTTTCTCTGTGTTCAGATTACATAAATTTTATTAATCTTTTGGGTTTTTTCTTCTTTATCTAGTCTGTTGATATATCCATCTAATCTATTTATTATTTTAGATATGATATGATTCAGTACTAAAGTTTTCATTCAGTTCTTTTTTAGGATTTTGGTTTCTCTGATGAAATTCTCTATCTTTTCCACATTAAGTCCATCTTTTCCTCATGTATACATTAACTAATCCTAACAGTTATTTTAAATCTTCATGTTCAATGTTTTACTTTATTGGGAGTTCCATTGTTTTGTTTCTTTGTGTATCTCAGATTTTTGGTATTCTATGCTGGAAAGAACTGAACAGATGCTGGTGGATAATATTTATTTTCAGTAAATAATAACCCCTTTTTATAAGGTATTAAATGTGAAGGCCTTACTTCTACAAATTCATCCAGAGTAGATCTTGTTGTGTGCTATGCTGTACCTTTAGCTAATGTCAATTCACTACCTATTTCAGATTATTTAAAGTCAATTTTAGGTCCCCCTGCCTTCCAAAGGGCTACAATCGAAGCATCACTAGATTCTGGAGAAATTTATCTGCTTTCCAGCCCTGCCTTGACTTCTTGTGTACTGTTGTGTTCTTGATGAAAACCCAGGGAGAACAAATGCGGAAAAGAAGGACTTTGGTCTCTGCTTCTGAATTTCATCACAATAAAATCTGTCACTCTTGTCTACAGGTTCTCAGAAACATGGCTTGTAACTAATTGGTCAATACTGACGTAACCACTATTAAATCAAGGTGATATCATGTGCCTTCTGATGTGATGTATTCTAACAAATTGCTTAATTGGTGTCTAATCATGAGGAAATATCAGCAAAGGCAAATAAAGAAATATTATGCAAAACAAATAAACAAACACCTGGCCTGTACTCTTAAAAAATGTCAACATCAAGGAACATACACACAAAAAGACAGAGAAACTATTCTGGAGTAAAGAAGAATAAAGGGACATGAAAATTAAAGGCAATGCATAACATGGACTAGGGAAGAAAAGTACTACAAAGAACATTATTAGGAATACTGACAAAAATCTGAATATGTACTGTGGGTTAGGTAGTATAATTTTATCAAGGTTAACTATAGAATGGCTATTTGGATTTTGATAATTATACTAATTTTGTTGACTAGACTGTGGTTATTTAAGGAAATGTTCATATTCTTAAGAAATTCACACGGAATGATTTCAGGTAAATGCCTCTAACTTACTCTGAAATGTTTCAGGAAAAATATATATGTAAATAGATTGATAGATCAGGAGGAGAGAGAGTAGATGATAAAGCAAATGAGGTAAAATATAAACAAAAGACCAATCTAAGGAGAGACAGAAATATTTGTACTATTATTGCAGCTTTTCTTTAAGTTTGAAAATGTATCATACTAAAAATTTAACAAAATAAACGTTTTTGCATTTCCCCCCCTTACTCCTGTAATATCTCTGACAGGTTTATTTCTATTTCCACCATGCTTTCCTAGGGAAATATAAGGCCATTCATCTTTTCTCACCTGATAAGGATTGTACTACTTTGGAATTTTGTACATTTCGACTTTATTTTTATCTACAGCTCTGATGGGTTTAAAAATGCTTATTGAATATTTCCTTATTGTTTAGGTGGACGTGACAGTCTCTTGTCATTTGTCCCAATTTGAAATGGTTAGTTTTCTACACACAGTCTTCTTAAAATAATGATTAATTAGAATAAATGCCAATGCTATTCTAACAGATCGGTGTCTTTAGAACAGTAATGTGAAAATTTAGACATATAGACGCTCTATGAAAAATAATAACTTCCCTATGGCTGACTTTTAACATGTGTTCTTTTTCATTATAGCGGAAGAATTCTTCATATTACCTAATAATGATCTTGAGATCAATGGCCTAGCATTTTATTCCTCATACAGTTATACTATTCTATTACATAATTCCTAAACAATTAGGAGAAGATTCATAATGATTTTCATCCTAAAGCCAAATTATAGTGAAAGTGTTGTAAGTTGTATATTTATTTTATATAAGCTAAATAAATAACTCTGCAGCAATTCTGTGATGCTGTAATGATGTTTAGATGTTATCCATTAAGTCATGGCTTCATAAATAACCAAGTTTCCTTGAATTTCCTAGAGCCAGGGACTTTCTATGAATTCCAAACAAAGATAATTGAAAGAAAAGAAGTTATTTTAAATAAAATTAATATATTAAAGAATATTCATAAAGAACAAATAAACTTTTGTTAACTAATTATTTAATGTCTTACTATGTATCAGGCACTGCTGGGCATACAAAACACATCAGTGATGAAAATATTTTGCTTCCTTTATGGGGTTTACATTCTACTATGGTGGAGAAAAACAACACATATTAAAAAAATCAATAAGTACATCATTATTTACTTATTGTATAAAATATAAATTTTATATATATTTGCTAGGTGTTACGGGGAAAATAAGAAAGTAGAGCAGATTAAATAGGTCAGAAATATTGGCTGTGGGTGAAGTTTTAAATAGGCTTACCTGAATTGCACAAAAACCCCAAAAATTGATAAGTAGGACCTAATTAGATTAAAGAGCTTCTGTACAGCAAGAGAAACTATAAACAGTGAACAGATAACCTACAGAATGGGAAAAAAAATTGCAAACTATACATTTAACAAAAGTCTAGTATCCAGAATCTACAAGAAACTTAATTCAACAAAGAAAATCATGTAATCCCATTAAAACATGGTCAAAAGATATGAACAGACACTTCTCAAAAGAAGACATACAAGTAGCCAACAAACATGAAAAAATGCTCATCATCACTAATCATCAGAGAAATGCAAATGAAAACTACAATAATGTATCATCTCACACTAGTCAGAATGCCTACTATAAAAAAGTCACAAGATGTTGGTAAGGCTGCAGAGAAAAGGGTACGCTCATACACTGTTGGTGGGTATGTAAATTAATACTGCTACTGTGGAGAGCAGTTTGGAGATACTGCAAAGAACTAAGGATTGTACTACCCTTCAACTCAGCAATGCCATTACTGATTTTATACCCCAAATAAATAATTCTACCAAAAGGATACATGCACCTGTATGTTAAATATGGAATCAACCCAGGTGCCCATCAATGGCAGGTTAGACAAAGAAAATATGGTACATATATACCATGGAATACTATATTGCCATAAAAGAGAGTGAAATCATGTCATTTGCAGTAACATATATACAGCTGGAGGCCATTATCTTAAGTGAAATTACCAGAAACTGAAAACAATATATGGCATGTTGTCACATATAAGTGGGAGCTAAACATTGGGTACACATGGACATAAAGATGGGCACAATGGACACTGGAGACCACTAGAGGGGGCAGGTGGGAGTGGATGGACCAAGGGCTGCAAAGCTACCTACTGGGTACTATGCTCATTTCTTGGATGACAGATTTAGTCATACCGCAAAACTCAGTATCACATAATGTACCTTTGTAACGAACTTAACATATGTACCCTCATTATAAACTAAAAGTTGAAAAAGAAAAAAAGAAACAATAACAAATAAATAAAACAATAAATAGGGTAATCTAGGAAGGCCTACCAAGAAGGTGACCGTTGAGAAAAAATTGAATGCAAAAACTTGCAAAGGTTGCAAAAGAAAAGTCACCTCCCAGGAATAATTCCTATTAATTGTTTTAGCATAAGGATTCAGTTTTTTTTCTAAAGATATACATACACACAGATGGTCCTCAACTTATTATGAGGTTATATCTTGATAAACCCATTGTAAGTATAAAATATCCAAAGCCAAAAATGTATTTAATACACCTGACTTACCAACATCATAGCTTAGCTTAGCCTACCTTAAATGTGCCCAGAACATTTACATTAGCCTACATTTCAGCAAAATCATATAACACAAATCCTATTTAATAATAAAATATTCAATATATTATGTAATTTATTGAATACATTCTTGTGTATTGAGACATACATATCACTTGCATAATCATAAAGTCAAAAAAGCATAAGTCAAGCTCTCATAAGGTGGGAACTGTCTGTGCATGATTTTGTTGTTTGTAACTTGTGTTTAATTTGTTAAAGCCACATATTTTGAGTAGATGTAGAGTTACTAAATAGTGTTCTGTAACAGCGATTCGCCAATAGAGTTTCAGCACGCCCCTGGGTTCCATGGAAATGCTTCATGGGGTGTCCTTTGCGTTAGGGAAAAACGAGTGGCATCCTTAGACAGAGAATTGAGCACTACATGCAGTCTCATAGGGTGGGGAGAATACAGCAGCTAAGAAGTTTGGAAAACTGCTGTCTTTCATATTTTAAAGTTCGTTATTTATGTTTTATGACTTTTTGAATCAATTCCATATGTTTGTGCTTTTAGATTGTTTATAATTTCCCCATTTCATATATAGATAAATATAAGTACCCCATTATATATATACATACTATATATACATACATATAATTTTCCACACGATGTACACACACACACACACACACACACATCTCCCCTCAATGGATATCACAGCAGTTCTATGGTTGCACATGTTCACATTTATTTTACTAAGATACAGAATATATGGAATCATATATGCAAATACTACATAAAATTCTAGCATGTTTTATTTATTAAATTACCCTACAGTAAGACTACTATGTACGTTTCCACAATCACTGCTTAAAGGTAGCCATTTATCATAATCTTTATTTTTACAATATTTTATTTTTATTTATGAATCTAATGGATGTGATATGATTTGGCTGTGTTCCCACCCAAATATTATATTGAATTGTAGCTCCCATAATTTCCACGTGTTGTGGGAGGGACCCAATGGGAAATCATTGAATCATAGGAGAGGTATTTCCCATACTGTTCTCATGGTAGTGAATAAGTCTCATGAGATCTGATGATTTTATAAGGGGTTTCCTCTTTCCCTTGACTCTCATTCTTTCTTCTCCGCCACCAAGTAAGACATCCCTTTCACCTTCTGCCACCACAGTGAGGCACCCCCAGCCACGTGGAACTGTGAGCTCATTAAACCTCTTTTCCTTACAAATTATCCCGACTTGGGTATGTCTTTATCAACAGCATGAAAATTGACTAATACAGAATGAAAATGGTATTATTGATATTTTAATATTTCTTGGCTCTCTAAGGGTGTCGATTGGATAACTACATGCACAAAAAATATCAATTTAAAAAATAGCAAATTCCCTTCCAAAAGTAAAGAGATATAGAGAAGATATTGCTTTGTTTCAACGAGTTAGTGTAACAAGGGCCTTGAACTTTCTATTCTGCTATACCTGCTTCACTTTCTCATCTATCTTTGTAAATAAGTTAAAAGTTATCTGTCAGAGAGATAGGTTGGTGTCCTAAGTTCTAGGGCAGATGCTGAGATTTATTTCTGTGCATATACCAGTAGGTCATTTATAAGATAAAGAGGAAGCTTTTCCTGTAGGTCCTTCAATGCTTACACATGTGCTGTGTGGGCAAGAGTAAAAAGTTGTAGGAAAAAATTGTGTAGCAACAAATAATATACTACACTTGCAAAGTGCTTGTTTTGCCTTATTAACAAAGATAAATCTATAAAAAAATCATTTGGCTGATTTAGTTGGTTGGGGAATTCATTTGTTCCCAGAGAAGTTACATTAGGATTCCATCCAGTTCCTTATAATGTATCCAGATGCAAGAAATTTAATTTATGCTTTAAATATAGTAAATATTCTAGATTAAGGACTGAGTGCCTGCCAAATTTTAAGCTCAGCTGTTTTATTTTATTTTTTTGCTTAAGATATGAAATAATGTCTTGAACTATATAAAACCAAGCTATTTACTTCCTAATTTTTTGAATGTGCTGATTTGTATCAAATTTTGTAGTGATCTTGCCAGGCAGGCTTAGAGCCTATATATTAAAATGTAGCCCAAAGGATTTGTTTTAAAAATCAGCTTCTATGAGATTGAAACTTAACTAAACTTATTGCCATGTGCATCTAACTTTGCTTTGTAAAATGACTTCATTAAGCACTTACACTTTTAATTTGCTATAATGTACAAAAAAAATCAGTATATCTGACAAATGGAGAAAATTAAGCATTTCTTTTCTGTTCTGGTATATTTATACATATGATTAATGTTTTAAATAATGCATATTCAGCATGGGTATTTCTCATAAAATAAATTGTCTGTGTCATGGCTGTTACCCACCATCTTTTTTCCTTAATTCTACTTATTTCTTAAATATATTCATGAAAATATAGATTTCACGGCCTTAGGTTTCAATGATTTTGTGACTGCCCTTTTCCCATGTTGTCTGTGGCTAAGTTGGGTAAGAGTGAAGTGTTTAAATGTCCCCTGATTCATTAAGATAAGATGTAAGATCTCTCTACTGACATTTAGGATATACATAGAGCTTTCCTATGCCTTTCAAAGCTCCTCAAACTAATGAGAAACCAATGGAAACAAAGAAATAAAAATAGTTACAAAAAGAACAGTTCCTGTTGTTGTTCCTTGGAGGTTGTCTCTTCACCTTCAAGGTTAAAATAGGAGACAATTGTGAGAATAACTCCAGAAAATTAAAAGCAAACACATTGACAAAAGAAGCTGGCTCACATAAACAGATAATGACCAGTGGTTGATGGTGTTTTATTGCACATTAAATTTTAAAAAGAAGGAGTAACCAGCCAGGCGTGGTAGCTCACGCCTGTAATCCCAGCACTTTGGGAGGCCAAGGCGGGCGGATCACGAGGTCAGGAGATCCAGACCATCCTGGCTAACATGGTGAAACCTCGTCTCTACTAAAAAATACAAAAAAATTAGCCGGGCGTGGTGGCGGCCGCCTGTAGTCCCAGCTACTCGGGAGGCTGAGGCAGGAAAATGGCATGAACCCGGGAGGCGGAGCTTGCAGTGAGCTGAGATCGCGCCACTGCACTCCAGCCTGGACGACAGAGCGAGACTCCGTCTCAAAAAAAAAGAAGAAGAAGAAGAAGAAGAAGAAGAAGAAGGAGTAACCAAATTTTCAGAAAAGTAAGAAACCTCTTGCTATTCTCTTGTGAAGGTCTATGTTACTGAAACATCTCTAAAGTTTGAGATGAACCTAACTGAAATAGGGGTTTACTAAAGGACACAAAAGGCACTCCATCAGGACACCCACTGCAAGGTAGGTGGTTGTTTTCTGTGTTGCTTTGTTTTGTTTTTTCCATTTATAATTGGTTTTTAACTTTGAAGATGGGATACGTTTCTAGTTATTTATTTATTTTGACTTGTATTTCATTTTATTTAAATTTTTCCTAGCTTTAGTGAGGTATAATTGACACATAAAAATTCTATATATTCAAAATGCACTATGTAATGTTTTAATATACATACATATTGTGAATAATTACCAAAAACAAACTAACGAGCACATCTATAAGTACACATAGTTACAACTGTGGGGTGTGTGTGTGAGTGCCTGTGTGTGTGTGTGTGTGTGTGTGGTAACACTTAAGATCTACTCCCTTACCAAATTTCAAGTAAACAACACGATATTATTAACTATATTCACAATAAACCCACGTGCACTGATGGTAGGAATGTAAATTGATACAGCCCTTATGAGGTGGTTGTTTTTACTCCTTTTTTGTGTTTGTGTATGAAATTCTTATTCAATGAAAGAAAAGAGTGTATGATTCATTTGAAAGAAAGCATGACTCCATTTGTCCTGTACAGCTGAATTTTTTTCCTTTTCCATTTTTATTTTATTAAGTTCTGGGATACATGTGCAGAACGTGCAGGTTTGTTGCATAGGTATACACGTGCCATGGTGGTTTGCTGCACCTATCAACCCGTCATCTAGGTTTTAATCCCCGAATGCATTAGGTATTTGTCCTAATGCTCTCCCTCCCCTTGCCCCCGGAACCCCCGACAGGTTCCAGTGTGTGATGTTCCCCTCCTTGTGTCCATGTGTTCTCATTTTTCAACCCCTGCTTATGAGTGAGAACATGTGGGGTTTGGTTTTCTGTTCCTGTGTTAGTTTACTGAGAAGGATGGCTTCTAACAGCTGGATATTTCTATAAGCCAATGAGGGCCCAAGGAAAAAGAAAAATGTTCTCTTAATGTATTGTAAACTTTTGCTTAGAAAAGCATCTCATACCATAAATTCTTCCATTTAACGTAATTGAAGAGTTAACAATGACTTTCTCAGAAAGCAAGCTTCTCTTTACTTCTTAGGCATGTATATTTCTATATTTCTATGAGACTATTGATGCCTACTTGAGAAAGCAACATCTAGTAAGTTCTCAGTGTTTGCTTACGAACTCTCTTTTTCTGTCAAACTTATTCATTTCCTGAGTGTCCTCTCCTCATTGCTTATTTTTGTTGACTTTGTTGAAGATCAGATGGTTGTAGGCATTAAAAACATACATCAGTATAATAGCCATCTATGACAAACACACAGCCAACATGAAAGAGTTAATGATGAATCTTTTTTAGAAAGTAAGCTTCCATTTATTTCTAGGGGTGTATTTTTCTTTTTACCTTTTCTTTAATAATTTCAACTATTATTTTAGATTCAGGGGATACATGTGTAGGTTTGCTACATGGGTATATTGAGTGAAATTAAGGTGTGAGGTACAAATGATCCTGTCACCCAGGTAGTAAGCATAGTACCCAATAGGTAGTTTTTCAGCCCTTTCCCTTCTCCCACTCCTAGTAATACCCAGTGTCTATTGTTGTAATCTTTATGTCCCTGTGTACCCAATGTTTAGCTCTCACTTATAAATGAGAACATGACATATTTGGTTTTCTATTCCTGCATTAGTTCCCATAAAATAATGGCGTCTGGCTGTATCCATGTTGCTGCAAAGGAGATGATTTTGTTCTTTCTTATGGCTGTACAGTATAGTGTGTATGCACACTTTCTTTATCAGTTCCACTGTTGATGGGCATTATTCCATGTCTTTGCTATTGTGAATAGTGTTGTGATAAACGTATGAATGCATGTGCCTTTTGGCAAAACAATTCCTTTTCCTTTGGGTATATAACCACCAATGGGTCAATGATAGTTCAACTCTTAGGTCACTGAGAAATCTCCAAACTACTTTCCACAGGGGGTGAACTAATTTACCTTCAAATTAACAATGTAGAAGTGTTTTCTCTGCAATCTTGCCAGTATCTGTTATTTTTTGACTTTTTAGTAACAGCGATTCTGCCTGGGGTGAGAAAATACGTAACTATGGTTTAGATTTGCATTTCTCTGATGATTCGTGACGATAAGCATTTTTTTCATATGTTCATTGGCCCCTTGTATATCTTCTTTTGAGAAGTGTATGTTCTTGCCCTTTGACAAGAATGGAGTTATTTGGTTTTTGCTTGTTCAATTGTTATTTGTTTTATGGTGTTATTTGTTTTTTGTTTGTTCAATTGTTTAAGCTCCTTATAGATTCTGGATATTAGGCTTTTGTTGGATGTATAGTTTGTAAATATTCTTTTCCATTCTGTAGGTGTTTGTTTACTCTGTTGATAGTTTCTTTTGCTGTGTCAAAGTGCTTCACTTTAATTAGGTCACTCTTGTTAATTTTTTGTTGTTGTTGTTGCAGTTGCCTTTTAGGAATTATAAATTATTTGTCAAGGCCAATGTCTGAAATGATATTTCCTAGGCTTTCTTATAGGACTTTTTTAATAACATGAGGTCTTACATTTAAATGTTTAATTCAAGTTGAGTGAATTTTTGTATATGATGAAATGTAGGGGTCCAGTTTCATTCTTCTGCATATGGCTAGCCAATGATTCCAGCCTGATATATTGAATAGGGTGTCCTTTCCGCATTGCTTATTTTTGTTGACTTTGTTGAAGATCAGATGGCTTTAGGCATTAAAGGCACATACATCAAAATAATGACAAACACACAGCCAACATCATACTGAATGGATAAAAGCTGGAGGCATTTCCCCTTAAGAACAAGAATAAGACAAGGATGTCTATTCTCACCATTTCTATTTAACACAGTCCTGGATGCCTTAGCTAGAGCAAACAGGGTAGAAAGAAATAAAACACATCCAAATCAGAGAAGAAGAAGTCAAGTTATCTCTCTTCACTAACAATATGGTTCTATATCTAGAAAACTCTAAAGAGTCCTCCAAAAGGCTCCCAGAACAGATAAATGACTTCAGTAAAGTTTCAGGATACAAAATTGTCAGACAAAAATTACTGGCACTTCCAATAATGTTCAAGCTGAGAGCCAAATCAAGAATGCAGTCCCATTTATAATAGCCACGAAAGGTTGAAATACCTAGGAATACATCTAACCAAGGAGGTTAAAAATCTTTACAAGAATTACAAAACATGTAAAAGAAAACATAGGTAATATAAGCAAGTAGAAAAACATTACACATGCATGGATTGAAAGAATATTGTTAAAATGACCATACTGCCTAAAGCATTCTACAGATTCAATGCTATTCCTATAAACTACCAATGTCACTTTTCACAAAATTAAAATATATATATAGTGTATATATATACATATATATGTATATATATAGTGTATATATATGTATATATAGTGTATATATACACATATATGTACATATATACGTATATATACATATATACATATGTATATATGTACATATATACGTATATATATAGTGTATATATATACATATATATATATGTATATATATAATTCATACAGAACCATAAAAGGGCCCAAATAGCCAAACAAATCCACAAATCCAGGCAGAGCAAAAGGAACAAAGCCAGGGGCATCATATTTCCAGTTTTCAAACTATATTATAAGGCTACAGTGACCAAAATTGCATGTTAATGGTACAAAAACAGATACACGAACCAAAGGAACAGAATAGAGAACCCAGAAACAAAGCTGCACACCTCACATCCTGTTTTCACTTGTAAGCCTGGGTGTGTCTCCAGATTTTTCTGGGTAAGAATGTGTTCTGGGCATAGCACATGGTTGAGGTCAAAAACTCCTGACTCAGACAGACTAACACAATGGAGTTGCATTGGCTATGGAGACTGGAAGTGAATGTAATATTTTTTGATGCTACCAGACAGCCAAGACTGATAGTGATGCTGTCTTCAATAAAAAAATAGCAAAGCACAGGGCAGGGGCATGGCTGAATTTTGATACTAGTAGATTAGATATGTGAGTGAAAAAACACCTTATGTTCAGGAAACCACAAGTAATATTTTCTGGAATCACATTAATTGTTCACTAATTTCAGAAGTGGGAAAGTACGTAAATTTGGATAAATATAAGATACTTGTCTAATTCTAGGAAAGGAAGAATTGTCAAAATATTTTAAAATAATGGAGTGATAATCAGTGTATTTTAGGAATAATGCAAAATTAATAATGAAATTGGATAAATAAGAAAACAGTAAAACAGAATAGATACTTGAGATTGGATAGGAAAGAGAAGAAAGATTTGAGATTGAATGCAAGTTTTTGGCTTGAAAACATGATTTACTGTGAAACCATATACCATTAACTGACAAAGAAATATAGAAAGTCAACCATGGTATTGATTTTTTCTATGAAGAAGACAGAATTTGGAAAAGAAAATGAAGTATTTTGTAATAGGCTAAATTTAATTAGTCATGAGACTTACATGAAATTTAAGACATGCAAAGATGTCCAAATGGCAGTTATATCTTTATATCTATGGAGAGAGTTAGGGATTAGATAATTAATTTTCAACTACTTTATAAGGGCTCGTTGAACTTGCCCATGTGAAGCCCTACTGAAACACACACAAAAAAACAATATGGGTTTTGATTTATCTATGTTCTTAGTTTTCAAACCAGAAACTGATAATAATAAATAGATAAAAATTTTCATAGGTAATATTACAAATATAATTTACATTTATACTCATTTGCATGTTGAACTTAAATTAATCTGTGATTTCATGAATTCGGAACTGATATTATCTCTAGTCATCTCTATGGAGAGGAGCAAATCCTTGGATAAAAATGCATCACTTTATAGTTGTTTCCTTTCAGCAGAGTGAGTACCCATTGCAGTTGTGTTTAACACCTTAACTTATAGTTAATACTCATGTTTTCTCTTCCACAGATTCATGTAAAAAACGTCCACAAATATTCTAGCTAGGATGACTCAAGAGGACAAGCTTGGTCCAGGGATGAAAAACCATTCCATCTGAATGCTAGCTTTTCACATAGCTCTTCTAAGATCTCTATCCCTGAAAGACAAACAAGCCTACCACAGCATGTTTTAACTTCTTAAATATTCTACATTCCTCTACTTTTCAGAATTCTAGATTCTGCCAAGTAGAAATGAGTGGGGTAGTTTAGCTAACAAAAAATCTACTATCTAGGTATTTACTCTTTTGTTTAGGATGAACAGATGTATAATTCAGGTGAAAGTGAGAGGATTATAACAAAATAAAACATTTGTGAACTCAGTAAATCATAAGCATATCTCCTTTCTCTTTAAAAAGGTTTTAGATAAGTAAAACTGAAAAAAGGTATTCCTCCATATTTTTCTTGTTATTCCTTTTAATTTTTACAAATTTTATTTATTAAAATCTTTAAATATATAGTACAATAGAAAAAGTAGCATTCATCATATTGAAATAAAATGCATAAAATTTTTTGATATCAAGGCAGCTAATAAACTTAGTAGGAAAACAATTTAGATACTAACTGTATCAGTTAAGTATTGCTAATAATTGCCAAATCACAAAACATGTTCAAACTAAATACCTGAAAGCAACATTTGTTTCTGCTCACATATCTCCAAGATCGCTGTGGTTCAGTTGGTTAAAGTAGGAGAGAAGGATGGAACTGTTTCTCCTTTACAGCCCTCAGAAGGAACCAATCTTGCCACCACTTTGATTTCAGAATTCCAGACACCGGAATTGTAAGAACGTAAATATCTATCATTTAAGTCACCCAGTTTATGGCATTGTGTTACCGCAGCCCCAGAAAACTAATACACATGGTCGAACAAAAAGTCAAGAGGCAAGCTATGATGAACTGTAGGGAAAAGTATGGAAGCATGAAAGGGTGAAGTATTGGGGCCAATAATCGAATCTACTACATTCCCAAAATTATTTTAAATAGATCTCACCCACTACACTGCTGAGTCCAAACAAAATAGGGAATGAGAAACCCAAACTAAAATTCGTCACTCCTGAGAAGCATCAGCATCCTAACCTAAGCTGTAAGAAATGTTCTTGTATGTTTAATTCAACTTCATAAATGAAAATTTTAAAATATTGTAAAACATTTCTTTAAAGTATAGAAACCATTTCTTTTAACTATACTTAGCATATACAAGGGGGAAAAAGGGAATCACTCAAATAAGAGCATTTTCAGGTCATTTTAAAAAGGGAGCTAGCATTATTCAGAAAATTACAAAAACAATTCTGAAAATACTTATCTGAGTGAATAGTATGTACGTTAGGCAAACTTAACCAATGAGTTCAATAAAAGTAGAAAATCTATTAAAAACCTACTATAAATCACAACTTGTTATGGATGTTACAGAAATTTCTTTAGAAAATTTCTTTCCAGCTACTTTGTCTATTAAGCTATTCCATCAATATTTATTTCATTCTCTCTGGATATAAACTGCATAATGCCTAGTGTGGATACTAAGAAGAAAAAAAATGCTTACTTCATACTCTATGCATTTAAGAAACTTCACTCTTGAATATATACATATGTGTGTGTATGTGTGTGAGTGTGTGTAAAATGAATACCTATAAGTAAAGAATTCTTTATCATAAAGATATTTTTCCGTGTATAATAAAAATATTTAAACAACCAGCAGTAAAGTTTTTTTTATCACAGACTACAAACAGCAAAACTAATAGCTAGAGACCATTATGAACACTTTTCAAATTCAGGCATAGAAAGATTTGCCATGAAAGTATAAACCTTAGATTTCGGACTTGGCGGTTACATCAGCCCCTCCCAAGGCCCCAGGAAGGCCCATGTCAATGTGATTACATGATTATATGCATTTATAAGATTTCAAAACTAAAAAATGAATGACAATAACAAAATATTTAGCCATGATAATGTAAAACCACTCTCCCTTTGCACTTTGAATGTCTTGCTACCATCTTTCCCGGCTTGAAGAATGGCTTTGGAGTGTTCATGGGCATTTTGGAAGACGAAAGCCAAAGGAAAGTTGAGTTGAGACATGTTTCTGTTGGATTTACTTGGCCGTACAGATGAATTGTTGCTGTTTTTCGGCCATTGACTTTCATCTCTAATTTTGTATTTCTATTGTATAAATTTCAACATGAACAGCTTAGAGTTTCAACATTTTTTTCTAACTGGCTTACTAAAAATATCAGACTATCTGAGAAATTGTTGCTAATCAAGAAGAAAGAGAGGCTTGTTATTTCCTCTGTTTCTCTTACTGAAATAGATGATATAATCCTTTGAACCACTGAAAATTTTTTCTCATTTTTCTATCACACTGTTTGGACAACTATTGAAGCCAACTAAAAGCAGAGAGTGTCTTGAAATTAATTAACCTGTTTTCCTTCCAGTTAGCCCATTTATACAATGATTTTCTTTAACACATGCCTTTATAAGCATGGTATTTTGTATAGAAGGCAACTTTAATCCATACCCTAGGGGTACTCATTATTTGAAGACCCTTTGAAATCCACAGCCCAAGCATTATTATATTGAACTTTTCAAACATTGTTGTTGTGTATACCAGAGTAGTTTCATTTTCCTGTTTGTTCTTTGTTTTGTTTTTCTTATACAAATGATAAAAATAATTTCTTTAGCAAAATGAGAGGTGTTCAAAAGCTTTGACTACCCATAGAGACTGTACAGATACCACGACCTTTGCATCAAGGTATAAAATTTCAACAAGCCCAGAAGCATCAGAGAAGTACTTAAATTATCGAATCAAATTATCTTGTCCTCTACATCGCTACCTGGTCCAATGCATCTCATTTTGTGAAAGACTTTCCTGGTCCATTTTGGCTGATTCTGCCCTCAGAAGATCACAGCATCAACATTAGGGTGCAGCTCTCTGAGGTCTCTGAAAGGAGACCGGGTAATTCACCAAAGTTACAAAAACTGGTTTATGAATGAGTGCGTACTACTAATAAACATTTTATAGAACATTGTTACTTTGTACCACCTGATAGCAAAGTGTTATGAGAGGGCAAGCCAGGAGATGCATATCATTCACTGACCTTTAGCTGTATGAAGCTACTGACATTTGCTATTTCTTAAAAAATGTGTTTCAATTTTCATATAGCCCATTACACAGTTACTTCAAAGGCAGTCAAGAAGGTGAATGTGTATGTATGAGAGAGAGAAGGACAGAAAGACAGAGAGAGGTGAACTTAGTTTGTTTAATTTTTTACAAAGGAGTGGAGCAGGGGAGGGAATTAATTATGTTGTTCTACTTCTGCCTTCTCAATTGCAATTTTCTTTCTCAACAAACTTAGTAAATAAGAGCAACAATTTCTCTTTTATTATGTGTTCTGTATTGTCAGTGATAGTGGAAATGCTTTTAAATGAATTTTATTTCTATAAGACCTAATACAATGAATGCCTGGTTCATAATAAACACTCAATAAATGTTGTATCAAAAGTGAATGAATGAAATCACACTTTTTAGCTTGGCAAAATTTATAACATCACTTATTTTTCCCCAATTATCTCTTATCTAAGTAACTTTCCATTTTAGGAAAAAACTACAAATAATATTACCATTATACTATTTTAAGACTAACAGAACACCATGTTTAAGCTTTATGCCTCATTTTTTCATCTTAAAGACAAAGCTAATAAGTGTGTTATACATGGATTATATGCATGTAAAGAGCATCAATTTGTGACAACACATATATGCATTCAATACATCTTATCAACTAAAATCACTTTTTGTATAAATATGGGATATATGCTCAAATATAATGGTAAAGTTGTAGTTTAAGGCTGATTTGTTTCATAGTTATTCCAATCTCTTATTTATTTAAGTGTACTGCCAAATTTTCTGTCATGTAAAGCTATGCCATGAATATAAAAATATTTAAGCCTACTAATTTATACAATCAGAATAACATAATTTACATTCTTGATTTTATAGCCATATACTCAAATTAGTAATCTATAAGCTGAGGATATTCTTTAATCCCCAGTGTCTGCAGAACATTTACAAAATTGTATTACTTTGCAGACCACAAAGAAATTCTAAAGAAATTTTAAAAGTAGAAATTGTAGAGGTCACACTCTACAACCACCAGTCTATAATACTAAAAATTAACATCTTAAAATTTAAAAAAATGGATAATACAGAACATTTCCTTGAATATTGGGTTTAAAAGGAAATGAAATTGCAATTATAGTCCATTTAGAAAATAATTACAACAAAAACACTATATTTTATGGTGTTCAGCCAATATTGTACTTAGTACAAAATGTGTTATACCTTGAATATTCACAGTTATGCTATGATTACTGGAGTGATTGACTCAAGATATCAGAGAAATAGTGCCAAAGAAAACAAAAGAGCAAAAAGTAGGAATTAAAACTCTATTAGAAAGTAATCAAATAAGAAACATGGAAGCTTAACTATTTTTTATAAAGAAATTTAAGATTTACTTAGAAGATACTAATATCATCCACATGTACCTAGTAAATGTAGTCAAGTCAAAAAGAAAACTGCAAAGAGATAATATTGGAAATAAGAAAAGTGTTTTTAAATGAAAAACAATTGAAAAAGAAGAGATAAACAAGAATTTTTAGAAGATACTTAAAATATGAGGTAATCAACTTCAAGCCTATATGCTAATATATTTAAAAACCTAGAAAAAATAGATGATTTCATGTTAAATATAAATGAAAAAACTGACCTATGAATTGAAATACCTGAATACCCTCATAAATGCAGAAGACCTTGAAAACTGCATCAGAGTACAGCCTCCAAAAAAATGTGTTTTCTTTCAAAAGTCAAAGAACCAAATAACTTTTATTATACTTAAGCATTCCAAAGCCTAGAAAAATATGTATTTTTTAAATTAACATTTTATACTAGCGTAACAATAAAATTAACATAAAATAGTTCAACATGAAAATTATAGGCTCTCTGCTCCTCCAGTTTGACAGACAGCTGCATCTTCTCGTGCAGCGCCATTGGCATCCCTGACACACTATGGTGGAAGTAAAGGCCCAAGTCAATGGATTTGGCCATATTGGGCACCTGGTCATCAGCACTGCTTTTAACTCTGGTAAAGTGAATACTGTCGCCATCAATGACTCCCTCATTGACCTCTACTACATGGTGTACATGTTCCAGTATGATTCTACCCGTGGCAAATGCCATGGCAGCATCAAGGCTGAGAACGGGAAGCTTGTCATCAATGGAATTACCATCATCATCTTCCAGGATAGAGATCCCACCAAAATCAAATGAGGTGATGCTGGTACTGAGTACATAGTGGACGCCACCAGTTTCTTCACCACCATGGAGAAGGCTCGGGCTCACCTGCAGGAGAGAGCCAAAAGGGTCATCATCTCTGCCCCCTCTGCTGATGCCCCCATGTTCGTTGTGGTTATGAACCATGAGAAGTAGGATAAGAGCCTCGAGGTTGTCAGCAATGCATCCTGTACCACCAACTGCTTAATGCCTCTGGCCAAGGTCATCCATGATAACTTTGGTATCGTGGAAGGACTCATGACCACAGTCCTTGCCGTCACTGCCATCCAGAAGACTGTAGATGGCCCCTCTGGGAAACTGTGGTATGATGGCTGTGGGCTAATCAGAACATCATCCCTGCATCTACTGGAGCTACCAAAGGTGTAGGCAAGGTCATCCCTGAGCTGAATGGGAAGCTCACTGGCATGGCCTTCCATGTTCCCACTGCCAACGTGTCGGTCGTGGACCTGACTTGCCATCTGGAGAAACCTGCCAAATATGATGACATCAAGTAGGTGATGAAGCAGGCATCAGAGGGCTCCCTCAAGGGCATCCTGGGCTACACTGAGCACCAAGTCATCTCCCCCGACTTTAACAGCGACACTCACTCTTCCACCTTCGATTCTAGGGCTGGCATTGCCCTCAACGACCACTTTGTCAAGCTCATTTCCTGATATGACAATGAATTTGGCTACAGCAACAGGGTGGTGAACCTCATGACCCACATGGCCTCCAAGAAGTAAGACCCCCCAGACCACCAACCCCAACGAGAGTGCAAGAGGAAGAGAGAGGCCTTCAGCTGCCGGGGAGCTCCCTGCTGCACTCAGTCCCCCACCACAATGAGAATCTCCCTTCCTCACAATTTCCATGCAGACCCCCTGAAGAGGGAGGGGCCTAAGGAGCCCCACCTTGTCGGTTACCATCAATAAAGTCCCCTGAGCTCACCTAAAAAAAAAAAAAAAACAAAAGAAAATAAAATTATAGCCAATTTCATTTAAAATAAAGAAACAAAAATTAAAAATAACACACTGTCATAAATTAATGTAAGACTATACTAAAATCACATTTCATTATACATTGGGGTTACTTTTAAAGTGTGAAGCTTGTTTAATGATTAAATATCTTAAATTAGTTTATTATGTGAAAATATTTTGTTGATAACAATAAGGATAATTATCTAATAATATAAAAATTCTAAAATTTTCAACAATTTCTAAGTATAATTTTTTAGAAACTAGAAAGAATGAATAGCTTCTTAAAATGCTGTTTTAAATTGTCTATTAGAATTCAGTGGACAACATTTGTCATAATAATAACCTAGAAGGATTCATGTTAATTTTAGAAACACAAATTGCTAATGGTGAGAATACATTCTGAGCAATGCATCATTAGGCAATTTTGTCACTCTGAGAAAGTTACAGAGTGTACTTACACAAACCTAGATTGTATAGCCTAGGCTAGATGGTACAGCCTACAGCTTCTAGGGTAAAAACCTGTACAACATGTCACTGTGCTCAATTATGTAGGCAATTATAACACAATGATCAGTTTTGTGTGTGTCTAAATATGGAAAAGACACACTCAAAATATAGTATAAAAGATAAAAAATGGTACACCTGTACAGGGCATTCACCATGAATAGAGTTTGCAGGACTGGAAGTTGCTCGGGGTGAGTCAGTGAGTGGTGAATGAATGTGAAAGCCTGTACACTGCTATAGAATTTATCACTGTACAATTAGGATACACCAAGTATATAAAAAATATTTTTCTTTTTTCAATCATAAATTAATCTTAGTTTACTATAACTACTTTATAAACTTTTTTTAACTTTTTGACTCTATTGTAATAACACTTGGTTTAAAACACAAACTCATTTCACAGATGTACAAAAATATTTTCTGTCTTAATATGCTTATTCTATAAGTTTTTTCTTCTTTTTTTACTTTAAACTTTTTAATTAAAAACTAAGACACTAATACACACATTGGCCTAGGTCTGCACAGGGTCAGGATCATCAATATCACTGTTATCCACCTCCGCATCTTGTCCCACTACAAGGTCATCAGGGGCAATAACACACATGGAGCTGTCATCTATGATAACAATTCCTTCTTCTGGAACACCTCCTGAAGAACCTGCCTAAGCCTATTCTACCATTAATTTTCTTTTAAGATGAGTTTTAAAAGTATGCTCTAAAATCACAATTAAAAGTATAGTGTACTAAATACATAAGCCAGTTACAGTCTTTTATTATCATTATCAAGTACTACGTGCTGCACATCAATTGTATGTGTTGTACTTTTATACCACTGGCAACACAGTGGGTTTGTTTACACCAGCATCACCACAGACATGTGAGTAACATGTGGCACTACGATGTTATGATGGTTATAATGCCATGATGCCACTAAGTGATAGAAATTTTTCACCTCCATTATAATCTTATGGTATCACCACTGTATTTGTGATCCACTGGTGACCAAAATGATGTTATACAGCACATGACTGCATACTAACTGTGGTGTCATTTAATATACTGTGTGTTCTGGAAAGGACAATACTTCAGAAGATAATACAAATTGCAACGTGTAATAATTGAAAAAATAGTGTCAAGATCATAGTTTCTTGGATTTGATATGATTGAAGACTACATAAACATTGTAATAACTCTTAGAATTTATAAATATTAACATTTACTAAGAAGGCTGATTAAAATAACATAAGAATATAAGAATCCTTATTGGAATACTTAGGATAATTAGTTTGTAATATAAACTGCTGTGTACATTCTCAACCCTGTATTAAAAGACATTAAAATAATTAGAAATAAAATTTGCCAGATATTTGTGGTATAAAAAGAGATATCTAAAAATCTGACTGAAACACATAAAAGACATTTGGCTCATTGAAGAGATCTACTATGTTACTTGATAGTGCAAACTATGTATATTGTCCCTCTATTAAGCTATAAATGGATATCAATTTTAATTAAAATTCAATTTTGGTGAGTTTAAGAGGCATACATTAATATTTAAATTTCCCATGGGAAAGTAAATGTTCTAAAATAACCATCAGCATTTTAAAGAGAAAAAAAGGTTGGCACTGGCTATAAATATTTAATAAGTAAAGTCAAAAGAACTGTCAGATTAATCTATAAGCAGAACTGTCATCTATAAAAGAACTGTCAGATCTATAAGCAGAAAAATTTGGTGAATTTTATGTGGGAAAGCCTACATCCATCTTTTTCAAATATGTATATAATGTATATTTATATTATATATTATATATATATTTAAGAGTGTAGGTGCTAAATAAAAATTTGCTGAATGAATGAATGAACAAAATCAGGTTTTAAGACAACAGTAGCCCTGGCTGACACCTTGATGGCAGCCTTGTGAGATGCTCATAGCTTGAGGACCTAGCTAACCTATGCCTGAACTCCTTGCCCACAGAAACTGAGACAATGTTGGTGGCTTTTAAGTTGCTATGTTTTGGTGTATTTTTTATACATAAATAGATAAATAATACTCATGGAAAGATGCAAGAATTAAAACAAGTTGAAGACAATATGTGAGAATATTTGTCTTACCTTTCCCAATTGAAGGACTTCTAAACATGATGATAACTAAAGAAAATACAAAGACTGAAGATTTTATGGCATAAACATACCCAATATACAGTCTGTAAAAATATACAAATATGTAACAACCATTTGGGAAATGGCTTATGGTAAATACAACAGGAAGATGTTCAATATTCTTACTAGGTTGGCGCAAAAGTAATTGCGGCTTTTGCCATTCCTTTTGTTACCTTTACTAAGAGCTTTTTCTATTAATAAGAAATAATTAAACATCACATTTTAAAAACGGGAAAAATGAATAAAAAGTCACTTTAAAAGTTAAGAACAAAATCAAAATAAAGTTTAACCCTTACTAGTCATTAACAAGCCATACATTAAAAAAAAAAAAATCTACAGAGACAACAGAAAAACACCGATCGGATCGCTTTTCTCATTGCTGAAAGACTTGTTCTCTGCTTGCTTTGGCATCGAAACTTCTCCCCATACACATACAGTTTCAGCAGGGTTATGGCAATTTTGTCTTCTTCATTTTGTCTTCATTTTCAATTTTGTCTTCTTTATTTTGATTGTACAGTGGGCCCCCAGACTTGCCTTTGTGTATTTACTGATCATATTTACCTCTTTTCTTGTCCATAGTTTCTATTTTAACTATACAATCGAAAGGTTATCTTTTAATTTGATCTTTTGAAGCTGAAACAATAGTTCTCTTTTCAAATACCAATTTCTTATGTTTTCTCAGTTTCTGATTGTGTTTGTCTTTGACAGAACAACCTGGCTGTCAACAGCTTGTATGAAATAGGAATTTTTTTTTTCTATAATGAAATCTGCATGCATTTTAAATCTGCACAACATTCTTCTTACTAATATCTCTATTAAAGTGATTATTTGTTTCCCATTTCCACTGTTCTTCAATCCTTTCTACTTTTCGATCCTTAAAGCCACCTCTTGGTTTTATTTTTTATTTATTTTCTCCCCAAATCAGTCCCCAAAGAAATACATATCTCTTATATTGTAGAGATAAATATTGATCTTTTTATTTTTATTAATTTTTTGTGTGTATGTTGTATAAGCAAATGTGTATCATTCTTTGGGATTATAACTTTCTCAAATACCCTCAGTCTCTCAACTGTGAGTAAAAAACATAAAAAAGAGTCGAAAAAATCCTTGACCTTCATGGCAAGCTTTTGAACTCTCGCGATTTTGTGCTTTGCATCATTCATAATCACATTTCCTTCCTCCTCCAAGAGTTGTTCAAAATCAAGAAAAATAAACACATGTACCTATTTAGATATCAATATGAAATATACAATAATAAATGCATAAGGCATATGATTAAAAACACAATACATATGAAGTTCGAGATCCCTCCTTTCATGGTAAAAAGCTTCTTTTAAAAATCACTGCTAATATTTCTTGCCAGTAAAAAGATAATTTTAGTCAAAAATTTAAAACCTTTAAAAGAAAATAAATGAGACTATCTTGAGATACAAAATATGTTTTTAGCAGGACACCAAAAGAACAAATAATGAAGGCTGATAAATCAAAATATATTTATGAGGAAATCTGCCAAAAAATAAACAACATAAAAATAAAGTCAAAAGACACAATGCAGGATGACTGTGACAGACTACCAGTCCTCCTGAGAAACAAAGGACACGGGATAAATTAGAAAAAGACATTGCTTTGGAGAGCTACCTAGGGAACTGGGATTTGAGGAATTCAGAGCCCACAGATAATAGCAACACACTAAGGTAAGGCTTATGCCTGGGAACTGGGATTTGAGGAGGTCATGTGTCCGGAATTGGTGGGTTCTTGGTCTCACTGACTTCAAGAATGAAGTCGCGGACCCTCGCGGTGTGTTACAGTCCTTAAAGGCGGCATGTCCGGAGTTTGTTCCTTCTGATGTTTGGATGTGTTTGGAGTTTCTTCCTTCTGGTGGGTTCGTGGTCTCGCTGGCTCAGGAGTGAAGCTGTAGACCTTGGCGGTGAGTGTTACAGCTCTTGAGGCGGCGGGTCTGGAGTTGTTCCTTCCTCCCGGTGGGTTCATGGTCTCTCTGGCTTCAGGAGTGAAGCTGCAGACCTTTGCTGTGAGTGTTACAGCTCATAAAGGCAGTGTGGACCCAAAAAGAGAACAGCAGCAAGATTTATTGCAAAGAGCGAAAGAACAAAGCTTCCACACTGTGGAAGGGGACCCCAGCGGGTTGCCACTGCTGGTTCGGGCAGCCTGCTTTTATTCTCTTATCTTGCCCCACCCGCATCCTGCTGATTGGTCCACTTTACAGAGAGCCCAGTGGTCTGTTTTGACAGGGCGCTGACTGGTGTGTTTACAATCCCTGAGCTAGACACAAAGGTTCTCACATCCCCATTAGATTAGCTAGATACAGAGTGTCAACACAAAGCTTTTCCAAGTCCCCACCAGAGTAGCTATATACAGTGTCGATTGGTGCATTCACAAACCCTGAGCTAGACACAGGGTGCTGATTGGTGTGTTTACAAACCTTGAGCTAGAAAGAGTGCCAATTGGTGTATTTACAATCCCTTAGCTAGACATAAACGTTCTCCAAGTCCCCACCAGACTCAGGAGCCCAGCTGGCTTCACTCAGTGGATCCGGCACCGGCCCGCAGGTGGAGCTGCCTGCCAGTCCCGTGCCATGCGCCCACACTCCTCAGCCCTTGGGTGGTCGATGGGACTGGGCGCCTTGGAGCAGGGGGCGGCGTTCGTCGGGGAGGCTCCTGCGCACAGGAGCCCACGGAGTTGCGGGGAGGCTCAGGCATGGCGGGCTGCAGGTCCCGAGCCCTGCCCTGCGGGGAGGCAGCTAAGGCCGGGCGAGAAATTGAGCACAGCAGCTGCTGGCCCAGGTGCTAAGCCCCTCACTGCCGGGCCGGCGGGGCCGGCGGGGCGGGTTGGCCGCTCCGAGTGCGGGGCCTGTCGAACCCACGCCCACCCGGAACTCACGCTGGCCCGCGAGCGCCGCGCGCAGCCCTGGTTCCCGCCCGCGGCTCTCTCTCCACACATCCCCGCAAGCTGAGGGAGCCAGCTCCGGCCTTGGCCAGCCCAGAAAAGGGCTCCCACAGTGCAGGGGCGGGCTGAAGGGCTCCTCAAGTGCCGCCAAAGTGGGAGCCCAGGCAGAGGAGGCGCCGAGAGCGAGCGAGGGCTGTGAGGACTGCCAGCACGCTGTCACCTCTCAGTCAGAGCCCACAGATAATAGCAACACACTAAGGTAAGTCTTATGTCTGCCCCTCTTTCTCCTAATTGCGTTTTCTAGCAATATGTGATAGGAAGCTGTTGGCAGGGAGAACTTGAGCAGAGCCTTAAGCAGCGTTCTAGGACCGCAAAACACACACACACACACACACACACAAATGGAGTGCAGGCACACTCAGGTGGAACTGCCCCAGTAGACATTGCAGGTTTTTAGTTGGGATGCCTGAAAGACTATATCCAGGAATAAGAATGAACTGAAAATACATAAGGACTAATAAAAACTGAAACTTAGCCTTGAATAAACTTAATCCATGGTGATTGATTACAATACTGTCAGAAGCAAAACAAAATACTCTCTAAAGGAAGAAGCATACTCTAAACCCTCTAAAATTTTTCATACACAATGTATAGAATTAAATAAAAAATTGGAACATGAAAGAAAGAAAAAATTGGAATAAAAAAATTTTTAAATGACGGTAGAAACAAACTCAGAGGTGATAGCTATGAAGATTATCATTCACCAACTTTAAAAGAAATACGATTTATATATTAGGAAGAACATATCAATATAAAAGATTTTACTATAGATTTGGAATCTATAAAATTATATAATTAATATAATTAATTACAAATTCTAGAAATGAGAAAAATAACTGATTTAATGCATGCAAATGGGTTCAAGAATAGACTAGATACACCTAAAAAGATGATGCATGATCTGAAAAATAGATTAGTAGAAGATATTCAGGATAAATCACAGAGAAATAATCAACATGAGAAATACAGAATGAATTAGAATTATACAAATAGACACAGAGAGGGAAGATTGAAAGAACAGAATACAGGCGATTTTTTGAAGACATATAATAAAGATTTTTCCATAATGAATGAAAGACATCAAACTACAGATTTCAAAGCAGTTAAGCTCAAGAAGACTAAATACAAGGATTATCAAACCTGGGCATATCATAAGAAAAATACTAAAAGTAAAAATAAAGAGAAAAATCATAACCAGCCAGAAGAAAAAAGGCACATATTCTTCAAAGGACCCACTAAAACATTTACAATGTTTTCTTCAACAGAAATGTAAGAAACCAGAGATTAATGAAACAGAATGTGTAAAGTTCTATAACCAGCTAATATGGAAATAATAAGTCCCCTGACCAAAACAAAAAATGAGAAAACTCATCTCTAAAAGATAAACTGTATAAAAAATACTAAAATAGTTCTATGGGAAGAAGAAATTTGATCTTACATACAAGAATAGGAAGTTTCAGAGGATTGAAGAACAATGGAAATGAGAAATGTATCATCATTCTAATAGTAAGAGGAACGTTGTGTGTGTTTGAAATGCATGCAGATTTCGTTGTAGGTATCAGTAGAAAGAAATCCTGGATTTCACAATAAATGACAAAGACTTCTATCGAGAATGTATAAAAATTCATTTAAATGTCAATATAAATACCAAAGATTACAAAATGATAATTCATTAAAAAATATAAGATTAAAAAAGAAAACACATCTATGTATTTTATGACAATATGACATGTATATGATAGCCATAGGATGCTGTCATACATATGTCATGTTGTCATAAAATATATGGATAAGAACTTGAAGTAAAGGAAAATCTCATGCTGTGATGGTGGGAGTGGAAATGGATACTACAATTTTTAAATAATGATTTGATGATTTTTTAAATGTTTACATATGAGAAAAAACATACTATAATGTATACTGCAACACTTTGAAATATCAAAAATACATATACAAAACAATGTCTTTCTACATGAGAATGAACAAATAAAATATGATATATTTATATAATGAAATATTGTAAAGTAGATAAAATGAGAGAGAACTATAAATAAAACAATGGATACATCTTCAAAATATATTTTTAAGCCCAAAAATTATTGCCAGGGGGTATTTAGAGCATAACATAATTTACATAAAAATTGAAAACATACACATTACTCATATATTATAAATACATAAATATATATGTAAAGAT
Organism: Homo sapiens; assembly: GCF_000001405.40. Taxonomy (NCBI): domain Eukaryota; kingdom Metazoa; phylum Chordata; class Mammalia; order Primates; family Hominidae; genus Homo; species Homo sapiens. Next base: position 9,624,041 of record NC_000007.14, read on the forward strand.
TTAAGAGTGTGTCAGACCAGTTTTAATTCTGGAGGGAACAGAGGAAATTGCAATAAGATGAAAATACACCTTCAGGAACTTAACTGTAATTATAATGTTCTATGTCTTAAAAAATCTTAAGGAAATATAATTTTCCTGAAATGTAAGGCAGCTAATGAGTATAGGAGGCATTCTTTTATTTTGTATTCTTATTTTTTATATTTTTATAGTAATTTTATAATAAAATGCTTTTTTAAAAAGTCTGTTATGATATGAGTAGAACCTGAAAGCAGAAAGCTAGAGGGTAAGATAATGGTCCAGGTACAAGATGGTTATGTCTTGGACTTAACCATATGGCTTGGACAGTAGTCACCAAGTGACAAGTGGTAGGATTAAGGATAGTTTTTTTAAATTATGGCTAACAGAATTTTCCAGGGATAAGAACTGAGAAATCATAAACAACTCCTATGTTTTTGGCTTCAGCAGTATATTTTATGCAGTAACGTTGAACAAGAAATAGATTCGAGAAGGAATTAAACTGGGAGTTTAAAAGGAGTAATGTCTTTAATATTAAAATTTATGGCATCTGTCAGGTGTTCAACAATATATCAAGTAGGCAACTGAATGTATAAGTTAGAGTCAAGAGTGAGATCAGGTCTGGGAATATAAATTGGGGACTTAGCATGAAAATGATACTTAAGGCCAGGCGTGGTGGCTCACATCTCTAATCCCAGCACTTTGGGAGGCCTAGCTGGGTGGATCACGAGGTTAAGAGTTGAAGACCAGCCTGGCCAAGATGGTGAAACCCTGTCTCTACTAAAAATACAAAAATTAGCCGTGCATGGTGGCAGGTGCCTGTAATCCCAGCTACTCGGGAGGGTGAGGCAGAGAATTGCTTGAACCTGGGAGGCGGAGGGCAGTGAGCCGAGATCACACCACTGCACTCTAGCCTGGGCGACAGAGCCAGACTCCATCCCAAAAAAGAAAAAAGAAATGATACTTAAAGCAATGATACTACTTATGGACAGAGCGAAGACGGAGTAAAGAGGGGAGTGTTAAAGACTGTTTCTTGGAACCCTACGTAATTAATAGTACCTGAAAAAAGGTCTGAAAAAAGAGAAGGCAACTAAATACGTAAGAAAGAATAACCACTCCATCAAGAAACATGCTCAGGGCTGGGCTTGATGGCTTACACCTGTAATCCCAGCACTTTGGGAGGCCAAGGTGGGCAGATCACTTGAGGTCAGGAGATAGAGAACAGCCTGGCCAACACGGTGAAAAATACAAAAATTAGCTGGGCCTGGTGGCACACACCTGTAGTCCCAGCTACTTGGGAGGCTGAGGCACGAGGATCGCTTGAACCCATGAGGCAGAGGTTGTAGTGAGCTGAGACCACACCACTGCACGCCAGCCTGGGCGACAGAGTAAGACTCTGTCTTTAAAAAAAAAAAAAAAAAAAAAAAAAAATGCTTGGAAAGTGTGGATCCAAATATTTAAAAAGGCTTTCATAAACAGATAATGTAAATTCTAAAGATAACTGTTTAAAGTGAGGGCCATGGATTGAATTAAAGAATTAAGTAAGATGGATGAGAATTCTGTTTAAGTTTGGGGCTGTTATAGTAGCTGTATATTCTAATGGAAATTACCCAATAAGAATATACTGACGATGGAGAATGGGAATGGGACATAATCTTGAGCAAAAGGCATGTACGTAGGGGGCATGAGTGAATCAAGTGCACAGGGCAGTAGTTGTCCTTGGCATAGCCATGCACTGCAACAGAAAGGGAGGAAGACTGTGTGGGAACATATGCAGATAGTTGTTAAATTTGCAAGTGGAAAGATGATTCAGTTCTCATCTGATGTCTTCTATTTTCTTGGTGAAATAAGAAGTGTTATGTACTAAATTGTGTACCCCACCCAAAACTTATGTGTTGAAGCCCTAACCTCCAATGTGACTATATTTGGAGACAGAGTATATAAGGATGTAATCAAGGTTAAATGAAATTATAAGAGTGGGGCCTTGATCTAATAGAATTTCTATCATTATAAGAAGAGACATCAGAAAGCTCTCCATCCCTCAGATCTCACCCACACACAAAAATTATGTGAGCACCAGGCAAAACGACAGCTGCCTCCAGCGCGAGAGAAGAGGCTTCCAAATGAAAGCTACCTTTGGCCAAGCAAAATAATACAAGAAGCAATATTATCATCTGAAAGTAGAAAAGGAAAGGGATGATGAAAGTTTGAAAGAGAACTGAGATAGTGATCTCAGAGAGTGGGATAGTGAATTAGGGAAAGAAATTTACCTCTGGGCCATACTGAGGACTCCATAAATATGGATGGAGTGACTGAACTAGAGGAAACGAAAGAAAATAATTCAGAGAAGCATTTGAGAGTAGAATGAGTGTGGAGTTTGAGGGCACATTGGAAGTGGCAGGGTGATACAGATTTGATGTTCAGAGGTATGTGGGACTAAATGAGTGGTGACTGGTGACTTGTAAATCCTAGAATTCTGCTCAATGTGGAGGAAATGAGCCTGCAAGTTATATGAGGATAAGTACTAATGGTCACTTAATGGGAGATGGGCAATATTTTGAAATGTAATTGTTCAACTTCTCTTATATATTTATATCCCTTTCAGTATTAAATGCTGGTAGGGGGATCTCTCCCCTCTTCATTAAGTAATTAAGTAATATTACCCTTTTTTGCTTGAATGATGGGAAATGCAAACTAATTTGCATGTCCCAATGAAATAGTTTCTCACAGGCTAATTCCTAATTATTGGTTTTGAGTATAATAATTTTTAATCAGCCTCATTCCTTGTTCTTATTCTTTTGGGCCTTATTTCAATGGACTACTTGCACCGATGCTATTTATTATAAGCTTCCTCTGTTACTTTTTGATGCAGTCAGAGAAAAAATGTTAGTCATTTATTTTAGCTCTTATATTATTTAGAGCTCACCTTTCTTACTTTAATAGCTTTACATCTTCTCTTGCCTTATTTGAAAAATGTCAATTACAGAAATATCTACTTATCTAACTCTGGCTCAGGTTTACCTCCCCAAGTTCAACTCTTCCGAGTTGAGCCCCATCTATTAAAATCAGAACTCATTTCCTCTTTTTTAGGTCCTTCAATGAATCAAGCCTTCCTTAGACATTTCTACATGCTCTTTTATTTTTAACATTCTCTTCACTCTTTCCTCTTGAATTTAACTGTCAAAGGTTTCCCTTTAGAGGTCAATTATTTCTTGACCTCTTCTCTGTGTTCTTATTTTCTTATCAAATCAGATTGAGGGCTTGCTGTGCTTCTGCAAATCCTCCCCTATCACAGCCCTTATGATGCTATATTTTAATTATTTGTTTACATAATTTACTCCTTACTATATCATCACCTCCATGAAAGTAAACAATTTGTACCTTTTGCTTATCAGTATATCCTCCAGACTATAAACGCTTAATTCACATTTCTTGAATAAATGTATGTATGCTTCTTCTGACTGAATACATTAGAAATATTTTAATTAACAATCTTAAAATGTCTACTTTTTATATTATAACTTGTATATGAGTCCTGGTTAGTAGCCATACATTCCATCCAAAATAGCAGTGATGGTTATGAAATTATTCATTGAAAACTTTATTTCCTGTGTTATACAGATAATTTCCTAACTTTCTGCTACATTTTAATTGCCTGAATTTGAAGGCCAGCAATATAAGGGAAATTTTATTGGTCAGATTACTATGCTAGATTTATTCAATTTTGTTTTACTTAACTGTGGTATAAAGAGTTTCAATTAGCACACTGGCAGTGATAAAATCCTTTGTCAATACATTATAGCAATATTCTAAGCATGAATAAACTTTATTAGGGACACAAATCATTAGTAATGAAGTGGTCCTTTGACAGATTTAAAAAAAAAAACCTTAACACAGCAGAATGAGCTTACATGCATTTTGCTTATCAAGTGGAGACTGGGAATGAGTTGCACTGTCAAGCAGGCTGCAGACTATCAAAGTCAGTAGTTGCCCCAAACTTTTCTGAATATAAAAGCTTGAGTTATCTGATTCTTCTTCCCTAGTTTATAAAAAATTCAATCAATTTTTTTCAGAAGTAATAAATTAAAATTATAGAAGGTTAAATTATGCATTTTTAGTTGATTATCTTATTAGATGTTAAGGCTAAAACTCAGTGGATGAAGTGATTTTCCCGAGGTCTTATACCTTATAAATGACACAAATGCACCTAGTATCCAAATGTTCTGACTCATAGTGATTTATATCTAGATCGAAGTCCCTGTTTGGATTATTGGTTCCCGAATGTATGTGTCACGCTACCACGTAGAAATTTACAAATTTGTCTTCCTCCTTCTCGTCTAATTTATATTTTCCTAAAGAAATACCTATACTCAGACCCCTGTTTCTAATATATATAGGATATTAAACTCAATTGAAAACATGTAGGCATAGATACCAGATTATAGGTTATGCTTCATTATAACAGAATTGACCCTTGGATTAGTACATTCTCATGCTGCTAATAAAGACATACCTGATACTGGGTAATTTATAAAGAAAAGAGGTTTAATTGACTCACAGTTCAGCATGGCTGGGGAGGCATCAGGAAACTTACAATCGTGGAGAAAGGGGAAGCAAACACATCCTTCTTCAGATGGCGGCAGCAAGGAGAAGTGCAGAGCAAAGTGGGGCAAAAGCCCCTTAGAAAACCATCAGTTCTCGTGAGAACACACTCACTATCATGAGAACAGTATGCAGATGACCACTCCTGTGATTCAATTACCTCCCACAAGATTCCTCCCATGACACATGGGGATTATGGGAACTACAATTCAAACTGAGATTTGGGTAGGGACAGAGCCAAACCATACCATTAAATCTTCATAATATGGGGACTATTCTCCTGCAGGGATAAGAATTATTGTGTATTAATCTCATTTAGAATATAAAATATTTGTAACTATTTATTTCAGAGTTAATAGAAACCTCAAATTATGTATTTTTAAGGAGACAATGTTGTTTATTTTATTAAACATACATAGAGGAATTGAAACAAAAGGATAGAAAAGTACATAGTGGGTCCTGACACAGCAGCTATCATGACCAGAAAATTAACTGAGTACTATTTTTTTTTAAAACAGGCTATTGTACTTGAAAATACTCTATTCAATAAGTTGGACATTTCACCTACAAACTTATTTAAAAGTTAATTTGCTGAGCAATTCCTATCATTTAAAAATAGTTTAAAGGTAAGTTTTAACAGAGCCCATTTGCAAATCTTTATGAAATCTTATTTTCATGAGATTTTACTGTCATAAGAAAGAATTTAAAGTCCTTATTTTTTATTGTTGTATTTACATAGCTTAATCTTGTATTCATTTTCCACTTACCTAAAAGCAACTTTATGTTACAGTTTTTCTACTCTTGTAAACAGCACATTCATTTCAGAGATTTTCTCTCTAAAATCCAGAATGTTAAATATAAATGATGATCTACTCATTTCTGACTTTACTAGCTATTCTCATTAACAATAAGTTGTTTAAAGGAATGAGAGATATAACCACAAGGAGATATAAAATTCTTGTGTGGATGGCTAGTTTGATTTTGCTATACCAGTACCTTAGTCCTCCTAAGTATTTTACATTAAATTCCATTTAAATGAATTTTCTTTTGAGATCTGAGAATGACTTTTTAAACTAAGAGAATTATAGATATTTTTCCTTGAGTCATACAAATGAGAATACAGCATTGTGATTTGAATGTAATCTGTGCATTAACATTGCAAAGGTTCAAATCACAGTTCAGCTGTTAGTTGTGAGATTTCCGCCTATTTACTGCATCACCTTTACATTTCTCCAGGTGTGAACAATGATGCTATTAGAATCTCTAAGGATTAAATGAGATAGTCAAATAAAGCAGTTAGGACAGTGACTGACACACAGTATGCACTGAACACCTAACTATTAAAGTTTATCAACTCTTATGATTTGAAAATTAATGACTGAGACAATATTGTCCTTTAAAAATTAATTATGGTACAAAAATGAAACAAATGAAAAAAAGCCTCAAAATGTAAGTAAGGTGGCTTTGAATAAAGATGACAGATATTTGTAATGTATTTCACCCCTTGAGCATCATTGAATACAACAAAATAAACATATAATGAAAAGAATCAAACTCCATAGTCAAAGCAGAAGAAAGTAAATTATCAAAATCTAAAGCACCAGTCAAGAAGAATATATATCCAATAGTGAAAGTGGAATAAAACAAGAAGTCGAACTCAGAGCTTGGAGCTCCTCAAAATCAGAAAAGATATGGACTGAAAAAAAAAAAAAGAGCTCTCATCATTGAAATGTCCCTATTATGGCAAGACACTCCCTAATTGGGAAATGCCCCCTGCGTCCTCCCCACTATACCCAGAAAAGAGCAACAGATCACCACTGCACCCTGCAAAGCAGCTAGTGAGGTTTTCGAAAACATGCTCACTAGCTCTCTTTGGTTACTATCGTAAGGTTTACAAACTGCAGATATGGAAGAATGAAAAAGGGAGAGAAAAATGAGCACATCATGGAGATCCTGAAATTAAAAGGGGTTGATGGAAGGTATATGATAACTTCATGCTGAGGGAGTATACAAGACTGATAGTTGAATGGAAGAGTAGAACATTCCTCTTTCCCATGTCTCCTTCTCCACACAATTCTGCAACAATATTTGAAGAAACAGCTAGCTCACACTCAACAGTATTACTAGAAAGGAAGGTGTTTGGTGACAAGGTATACATAGGAATAGAGGAAGAGGAAAATACAGGAAGCAGAATGCAAATGCATACCTGATGCAAAATGGGAAAGCACTCTAAAAAGAGAGATATTCTCGAGAGTCACAAGTAAACATACAATTAATGTTTCCAATGATAAGGAAGCTTTGCAGCTTGGAATTTATCCTTTTTTCACCTGCATTCTTAAATGATAGCTTAGCTATGTATGAAAGTATACAATGAAAATATTTAAATTTCACACTTGGATGGTAATAATTTATTTTACATCTGATCTCTAAGTATTACTGATGAAAAGTCTGCTGAAAGTCTTGCTATCGGTAACTCTTTTATACCATAAAGTAAAATTTATATATTTTAAGATTTTCCTTTGTCTTTCCTGTTCTCTGGTTTCAACACCTAGTTTCTCAGTGAATATAATTAATATCTTCCAAGTAAATGCTCCTAGTTTCTTTTGGTCTCTTTTTCAGTTTGTTTTTGAAAACTGTGTTGCCTCATTTATTTATCCATTTTCCTTTTCTAAAAATAGTATTAAATAAATCTTGAAATTTTCCTAATCTTCTGTATCTCTTGCCTTCTCTTTGATATTTTCTGCCTCTCTTTTGAGCTATTTCTTTAGATTATCTTCCAATTCACTTATTTTATTTATAACAATATTAATCTGGCTACTTACCATATCTGTTCCACACGCCATGGCTATACTACTTGTTTATAGATGGTACATTACTGCATTTTTCTCATACTTCTTTTTGTTTGTCTTATAACTTCAATATCTCTTTATTAGCTCTGAAAGTTTCAGTTCCATATACTTATTTTTAAATCTCTTAAGATTATTTTATTCTGTAGTACTTGGGGCTTAAATACTCCCAAACGTTGCATCTGTTGGTTCTTTCTCCTTGTGTATTTTGCAATTTCCTACGTGAATTTATTCTCTGGCATATCATGTTCTATGAAATTAGGTGACCTCGGTTTTGGAGTCTTCTCTAAAGATCAATTTTGCCTTGTCTAAATGTGACCTTACAGTTTTTCACCTATTATCGAATAGTTTTTATTGTAAATAGCTCAGGCTTCTGTATAAACAGCATACAGTTGTGTAGATCATACATTGAAAAAGAGCACCCAACTGAGGGGATACCAGTGCCAGAAATTCAGTCTTGTGCATTAATCAAGCCATGTATTCTGGTGTGAAAAGGCAATCATCCATAAAAAGAGACACTTTTTTCACAATTCATGCAAGGAACTATTATGGGCTGGAATCAGTCCTGCTCATCTACCCATGACCCAAGCAGATTTTTAGTTTACTTATCACTTTCCTGAGCTACTGGATGCTGTGTTTCCTAGCATATTGAACAAATAGCCCTTTGTGGCTGCCAATTTTTCACAGAAATCTCAGTTTTAGCTCATGGGTTTCACAGGCCAGATGATCATCATCCAATATTGCACGGACATTTCAACCTTAGCATCCAGTTTTAAGGCCTGTATGTAGACTTTGTACTTTGTTGAGCCACTAATTATCAAATACCACTCACCATTCTGTCTCTGTTACCTCTGGCACTTAGGTATTTCACTTTCTTACGATTTTTTGTCTGCTTCTTATGTTTTATCCAAGAGACTTGTTTGTTTGGAAAGAAAAATACCAGCCCACCAAATCTAGTAGAAACTTAGTACTTTCTTTTTGAATTCATTACCGTTTTCTTCATGGACATCAAAATCTCAATGTTACCCTCACTTCACTGGCTGCTTCTTTTAAATCTCTATTCTGAAAAATAATTTTTCTAATTTCGTTGACTCTTCTACCTTGGTTCTAATCCTTTGTTGTGGATTAATCTGTTGTTAATATGGTACATTTTTTAATGTGGACAAATGGTAGGATTATTAAAATTATGTTAAAAATTCTAAATCCTTAAAGATATGACAATTCTTAGTGCTCATTTGTTTCCTGGAAAGAGGTTGTATCTCCAAGAGGGAAGGCATGGAGGAAGTTTGGTGATTATCCAATCCTTTTCTTTTGATCAATCATATCTCCCTGGAGTCATAACTTCTATTCAAAGTGCATACCAGTAATGTTACTCTTTTCTTTACATTTTAGTATATATAGTATTGTAAAAGTAACATGTTCTCATTATAAAAAAATGGAAAAAATATAGAAATGTTTTTTAAAAATCAGTTCCATAAAAATAAATAAATAAATGTACAACCACAATTTCCAGCCCTTGGTTACTAAATGTTACTGATATTTCTTGACTATCATTTCAATTATCTTTCTATATTCATATTGAAATGAATAAAGAGATGTACAAAATTTTCTAGTTATTTTATTTAAATGATTTTAAAATGTTATATTTGATTAAGTTTAATTTGTGTTTAAATTTCTAAGAAGAAAAAGAAACTGAAGGATAGATACCTAATAGTCAGCCAGGACCACCCTAAAAGGTATTCTTCCGACATAATTACACTTAATGTAGTGACTGTCAATATTTTCCATATAACCTTTGAAATTTCTTCATAGACAGGTAAACTGTATCTTAATAATACTCAGAAAAGAGGATTAGCTGTGATACTTTATTATCCAAAGACCTGTAACTACCTGAAACTTAAATCTCCAAAATGAAACTCTTGATCTCCTCTGCCAAACCTGTTCTTCCTACCACCTGCAAATCTCTGAAATGGTAAATTTATTCTGCATAGTATTCAAGCTAAAAATTTTTGTCATTTTTTTGTCTCTTTACTTTTCCTTATACCCCAAATCCAATCCTGCCAGTTTTATTTTCTAAATATACCCATAACCCAAACACTTTTCATAGCAACTTAATTATAATCCTGGTCCAAATCACTATTATCATCCATGAGAAACTATTGAAATAGCATATTTTACTGCAATAGCATATATTATTAGCATGGTCTATTTTGCCTACAGAGCTAGCTTTACTGGCTAATCTCATGGTCTGCTGGTAGAGCGGATTATATCTACCATAAGTAAAAATTTCTAAGAGATTTCCTGGAAATATAGGAAATAAGAAATACATCGACAAGAATGTAGATAATTAATTGTCAGTGTATGATGACTTAATAACTTTCCCTAATCAAACAGTATTGACCAAATGGATTCAGTGAATGATTCTAAAATAAAAAAGAAGCAGACAACAGAATCAAGGGCTGGAGAGGAAAGGATGGTCTAATCTGAAGATCTACAGATACCAAACAATAAATCTTGTGAAAATGATTCCAGCAGAAATGACCCTAATAACATAATGGACCACAATCCAGTGGTATTGAGTTCCTTCAGGAATAATCTGATGTATTGTGAAGCCAGAATACAAATGGCAGAGTAACATAGAGTGTGGCAGCAGCCACGGAAAAGTGTAGTGGAGACTCAACAATTTAGAATGAGGAGTTATAGGAAATTGAAGGAAATAACTAAAGTACACTAGAAGGAAAAAGCACAATTTAAAAAAAAAAAAAAGCTTTCTGAAGAACTTGTGAGGATGGTAAAGGATATGAAAACCTACTTTCCATCATGGAGACATAGTAAACCATATTCTTTCTATGCCTTCAACCATGTCCTTCACTGTGTGGACAGCATGCAAGCAAACAGTGAGATTTTCCAGTTAAAACTCACTACCTCTAGCACATACAACTATGTTCAACTTGAGTTGCTAGACACTGTTGATTCAGAACATGCTTCCAAAAACACAGATACTCTTGTGGCAATTTTTTATTGCCGTCTAGAAGGTTAGTCCTGAAATTTTGTGTGTGTATGTGTGTGTACATACATATATATCTTGGAGTCCTCTCACTTTGCTGAAATGTGTGCCTTTAATATATGAGAGTGTTCTATACACATAATACCCAGTCTCAGCTTTCTTTCTGGAGCAACTATACCTGCAAAAGTATCTTCACAGCATGCGTATGCTTCAGTGAAATTCTTTTTTTTTCTTTCATAACCCATGGAGGTAAAGACACAGAAGAAGAGAAATAATACAGTAGTCCCACCTTATCTGTGGTTTGGCTTTCTACAGTTTCAATTACCTACAGTCAACTGTGGTCAGAAAATATTAAATAGAAAATTCCAGACATAATTCATAAGTTGTAAATGTATACAGTGTTCTGAGTAACCTGATGAAATGTTGGGCAGTCCCACCTTCTTCTGCCCAGAGTATCTGCTCTATAGGTGCTCCCTGATTGTTAGTCACTTAGGGTTATCACCTGTCCCAGTATTTCAGTGATTTTGTTCAAGAAACTCTTACTGTATTTCTTAATGGACCCAAAGCACAAGAGTAGTAATGCTAACAATTAGATATACCAAAGAGAAGCCATAGAATGCTTCCTTTAAGTTGTTAATAAGGAAAGAAAATATATATATACTAAGCTGGCTAAGATCTACATTGTAAGAACCAAACTTCATCTGTGCAGTTGTGAAGAAAAAAAATTAATGCATAGCATACACAGGGTTTGGTACTATCCTCGATTTCAGGCATCAACCAGGCATCTTGAAATGTAGTCCCCATGGTTAAGGGCAGGCTACTTATTACTTAATCTACATTATTCTCCTTTAGCCCTATATACACAGCTTTATCCTAACAGAATCTGAATCTTGCTGTCTCACACTGGTTAAGAAGATTCACTCTGGCTATGGAGCTCCTCAAATACTAGTGGATAAAGTAATTTTTACCACCACACACACTCCAAAGTGTGTTTTTCTTTAATAGAGTGGCAGTTTAGATAGTGGTGTCTTTGCTGGGTGACTGTCCTCAAGATCTGGTTGGAATATCATTCTTAATGTATTTGCATACAGGATATAATTCCTTGTTGATACATACCAAAAAGGCTTGATGTTTGTAGGCCACCTTCTCTTTGAACATTCATTCACTACATTTTGTATTCAAATGGAGACTACAAAGGGAGAGATTTTACTGGGGCACCAAGAAACTCTGAGGAAGATAAATATGTTCTTTATCGTGATTATTGTAATGTTTCCTAGATGCATACGTAACAATTTATCAAATGTTGCTTTTTAACAAGATATGGTTTATCATACATCAGCTATACCCCAATAAAGCTGTTAAAAAAAGAATTATATTGGAAACTTTTATAATAACTGGCGTTTTCTTTTAACTGCATTCTGAGAGTTTATTTTCTTAATGTACTAGGATTCTGTGTAAAACACCAGAAAGAGCAGGAGAGCTAGAACTGGAAAATGTAAACTTAACTTCTGGTGGTAATTACATTTTAACTTGAGAACTAGAAAACAACAGACAGTAAATAGTCTGTATGCATATATGAAAATTGTTTATGAATACCATGGTGGAGATTTAATAAAGTACTATGGCTCTCCTAAGAATTTTGTATTTCTGCCAAAGGCTTTTATGAAAACTCTAGAGAAGATTTAGGTAAAGTAAACCTAGTGAGGGGAATAAATAAAATGGTGTCTCGTTATTCTTTTCAGTTGTGTGATTCTTACTGTCCACTTTCATTGAACCATGGGAAGCTGCTGCACATTGAACAGAGAAGGTTATGTTAATTTGCTAAAGACACAAAGAAATAAAAACAATCTACACTTCTTTTGTTTTTTCTGACCAAATCCTTTGTTTTTTTAAAAAAAGAGTTGGTGTATTTTCTCATTCACTTATTTTCTGGGCAGTCTTCATCTCTAATCTGTAATTTAAGGCTAAAGGTTCTATTAAGTCTTAGAATTTGAATCAAGTAATTTTTGTTTTTCATTTTTACTTGAGTGCATTAAAAACTATGACATTAAAAAATCCACTAGCATTAGTGAACAAAGATGTTATTGTAAGTCTTTTATTGTTGGTATTTGTAGATATTGTGGAGCTAATTGTTTATTGTTGCCAAAAATATTTCAATGATGTGCAAAGAACTGGAGAAGGAAATACATGATAAAAAATTAAAAGCCTAAGACTAGAAGGCTAAAGGGTACTCAAGAAGTCATCAAAGATATAATCACCAGTATTTATTTTTACCAAAGATAAAACAAAGAGTCCTAAATGACACTACCTAATAAAGAATATAAATTGCATACCTGAGGACTATTTCCAGGTTCTGAAAATTATTAGCTTCTGAAATATATTTCTGAGGCAAAGATAGGTGGCATAGAATCTTATTTGTCTGAGCTATTTTCAGGGTAGCATGCTCAGAAGTCTTGTGGAGAGACTATTTTTTTTTTTTTTTACCATTGTTTATGTGAAAACCAGTCAAAATATGACCAAAAAAATTCATACTAATACCTCATTTATGTGACATTTTATGTTTTTATCTCATATAAGGATTTTATAGATAAGATTAAGAACAGGAGTTCCAGCATATAACAAAATAAAAGCAAAATATGACAAAGCAACAATTAACATTACACTATACAAGGAAAAGCTGAAGGTTTTTTTTTTCTAAGAACTGGAACAAGACAAGGGTGCTCACTCTCGCCACTCTCATTCAACATAGAACTGAAAGTCCTAGCCATAGCAATTAGGCAAAAAAAAGAAAGAAAGTATCCAAATTAAAAAGAAGAAAGTTGAATTATCTCTCCGTGCCAACATGACCTTAAATAGAGAAAAAGCTAGATTTCACCAAAAAAACTTTTAAAATGGATAGATGAATTCAGTAATGTTGCAGTATACAAAATCAACATACAAAAATTAGTAGCATTTTTGTATACCAGTAATGAACTAGGTGAAAAAAGAATTCAAGAAAGCAATTTCATGTATAATGGCTACCCAATAAATAAAATACCTAGGAGTAAATTTAACAAAGGAGATGAAAAATGTCCATCAAGGAAACTATAAAACAATGATGAAAGAAACTGAAGGGGACACCCACAAAAATGAAAAGACATCTCATGTCATAAATTGGAAGGGGAAATATTGTTAAAATTACCACACTACTCAAAGTGATCTACAGATTCAATGCAACCCCTATCAAAATACCAGTGGCATTCTTTACAGAAATAGAAAAAATACAATCCTAAAATTTGTACAAACCACAAAAGACACCAAATAGTCAAAGTAATCCTGAGGAAGGAAAACAAAGCTGAAGGCATCACATTATCTGTGTTCAAAATATTCTACAAAGCTATAGTAACCAAAACAGCATAATTATAAAAATAGACACATAGGTCAATGGAACAAAAGCCCCATATTAATCTATTTATAGCCAACTGATTTTTGACAAAGGTGCCAAGAACATTTATTGGTCTTTTCAATAAATGGTGCTGGAAAAACTGTATATCCATATGTAGAAGAATGAAACTAGACTCCTACCTCTCACCATATAAAAAATCAGCCCCAAATGGACTAAAGACTTAAAGACCCGAAACTATGAAATTACTAAAAGAAAACATAGAGAAAATACTCTGGGACACTGGTTTTGGCCAAGAATTTATGGCTAACATCTCAAAAGCCCAGGCAACATAAGTCAAAATAAACAAATTAGATTATATCAAAATAAAAAAAAACTTCTGCACATCAAAGGAAAGAATCAATAATGAAAAGACAACCTGCAGACCAGAAGAAATATTTGTAACGTGTTCATCAGACAAGGAATTAATATCCAGGATATAAAAGAAACTCAACAGTCAAAAAATAGTAATCCAATTAAAAAAGAGCAAATGATCTGAATAGAAAACTCTCAAAAGAAGACTTACAAATGTCCAAGTCTGTGAAAAAAAAATACTAATCACTAATGATCAGAGAAATGCAAGTCAAAACCAAAATGTGATATCATCTCATCCCAATTAGAATGGCTACAAAAAAGGCAAAAATTAGCAAGTGCTGTCGAGGATGCAGATAAAAGGAGACTCTTTTTATACACTGTTGGTAGAAGTGTAAATTAATACAGCCATTATTTAAAAAAAAAAAAGTAGGGAGTTTCCTCAAAAAGCTAAAAATATGACCGGGCAATCCCACTGCTGGGTTTGTATCCGAAAGAAAGGAAATCAGTATGTCAAAGAGATATATGCGCTACTGTGTTTATTGCAGCATATTGACAGTAGCAAAGATATAGAATCAATTTAAGTGCCCATCAATGGATGAATGAATAAAGAAAATGTGGTATATACATCTAATGGAATAGTATTCGGCTATAAAAAGAATGAAATCCTGTAATTCATGGCAATATGGGTGAGCCTGGAGGACATTATGTTACATGAATAAGTCAGGCAAAGAAATATAAAATGCTCTCACTCATATATGGAAGCTAAAAAAGTTAATCTTGTAGAAGTAGAGAGTAGAATAGTGGTTACTAGTGGTTGAAAAAGGTATATATAGTCAACTAGTTGGCTATAACTATAGTTAACTATAGTCTTTGTGTCCATTGTTTTCAATGTTTATTTGAACATATGTATCTTTTACATTTTCCTTTGGATCCTAGAAGAAATATTTTTTTTTCTATTTTTTCCCATTATTCATTGTTTTCATTCAGTTTAACTGCTTGCAAGGTGATTTTTAATTTTGTTTTGGGGTTTTAAGATTTTAATTTTATTCCTAAATTTAAATATTTTGTTAAATGGTTTTTAAGTAAAAAGGTTGGTTATTGCAACAAATACAATAATGTTAAATAAACAATTATCTATCTGTCTTCTATTTGTATTATGTATCTACCTATTTTGTGTTTTTAGTGGAGACAGGGTTTCACCATATTGGCTAGGCAGGTCTCAAATTCCTGACCTTAGCTGATTCACCCACCTTGGCCTCCCAAAGTGCTGGGATTACAGGCGTGAGCCACTGTGCTTAGCTTAACTTTAATTTTTAAAAATATTCCATCCAAAAATTTATAAGACTAAAACATTGAAACGGCATACACTTTTACCTAAATTTACAAATTGTTAATACTATTATAATTTTTATGAGCCAGCTGAAATAATTAGTGGGCATTGTAACCTCACATCTCTCAAACTTAGAACAAAGAAATCATATTCCCTAATTTTGTACAATTATTAAATTCAAGTTTAAGTTTAATAACATATTATTTGATGTAATTCATATTAAAATTTTTACAATGCCTCCATTCACAATTTGTACGATTTTTTTTTCTGATCCACAATACAGTCCAGGATCATGAACTGCATTTATTTTATGCCTTTTAAGTTTTCTTTAATCATGCACAGTTTCTTTGTCTTTCTTAAGCTGACTTTCTTTTTTAGGAGAACAGGCCAAATGTTTTGGAGAATGTTCCTCAGTTTGTAACTATTAATTATTTTCCCAAGATTAGATTCAAGTCAGCTATTTTTGGCAGGAATACCAAAAAAGTGATATCTTCCCAGAGTATCATGTCACACTAATTGTGTCCCATTATTTGTCATGAAAATGTTGATTACTTGGTTACTGTGGTGGCTATCAGATCACTCCACTGTAAAGGCACTTTTTCCTTTCTAATTAATATGTAACTTATGGGGAGACACTTTGAGATTGTATAACTGTCCTATTAACTCATTGGTTTTAGCATCCATTGTCTGAATAATTATTTTGGAGATAGTTTTAATTCTTGACATGCTTTGTGCTTCCACTAACTTTCCTGAAGCAAAGCTTTCCCCAGGCTGATAGCTCTGGTCTCTTTCAAAGCCTCTTTAACCTTCATTTCAATTCCTCCAGGTCTCAGACATGGTGTCCATATCTCCCCCTTTGCTTTCTCTCTGAGAGTGGCATTTATCTGCATTCCCCTCTTGCTCAGACAGGGCTGCATTTTTCTCTTCTCCATTCAGTTTCTGCTTGATATTTCATTCTGGCATGGCCTCCAGAGCTGGCTCTCCAGATTTGAGCTGTGTATTTCTCCACTTGCACATAAACTGTTACAGCGTTTTGTTTCAGAGTCACATTACAGGTCTGATGACCATCGGTGGTTTTATATTTCTTTCCTGGATTTTCTGGAAGAGGGAAAAAACAAACAAAAAAAAATTGAAAGAGAGATTGAGAGATAAAGTAACAGAAACTGAGAAAAATAGAGACAGAGAGAGGCAGAGAGACAGTGGTTAGGAGGATGAACAAAGCATCAGAAGGAAATAAAATAGCATGTAATAGAATAAATATTTTATTGTTATTTTTGCCCCATATTAGGTCAGAATTTACTGAATATCTAACTTACCTTACCACTTAATTTGGTAAAAACGTGACCAAGTTAACAAGAGTTATTTCTGTAGGTGGCAGATGAATTTCCTGTTTTCAGAAGCCATCTTAAAACTGCGTTTCTTTCTTTTTTTTTTTTAAAATTATACTTTAAGTTCTAGGATACATGTGCACAACGTGCGGGTTTGATACATAGGTATACATGTGCCATGTTGGCTTGCTGCACCCATCAACTCATCATTTATATTAGGTATTGCTCCTAATGCTATCCCTCCCCCAGCCCCTCACCCCCCGACAGGCCCCGGTGTGTGATATTCCCCACCCTGTGTCCAAGTGATCTCATTGTTCAATTCCCACCTATGAGTAAGAACATGCGGTGTTTGGTTTTCTGTCCTTGTTAACACTGCATTTCTTTATTTGATAAATTGCACAAAGATCCAGGATTTAAAATTGTTGATGAATGTGAATGTAAAAGGAAAAACATATACAAAATGGTTTATGTTAACACACCACCAAATATTTTATGTTATGCTTTTCTTTTAAATATGTAACTTTCTCTAAAATGTATATGACACCAATTTGTAATGAAAAGAAAAAAAGAACAAATCCTTAGTTTGATTTCAAGATGTTTCTCACTTGCTGTATTTAACTAAGAAAGCTACTAATAGCCGATATATGGAGTTTTAGGGAAGTTTCAAGAGGTGCATTCAGGCTTCACTGATGTTTACTCATCCTTACACTCCCACACTTAAGGAATTTCACTGTATGTATTAAACTTAATGTTTTTACTAATGCATAGAATCGGACTTATTTAAATGGTTCGGTGACATAAGAGTATTAAGAGTGTATGAGTCACTAGTTCTCTCTAAAAATCTTCTGTAATAAATGAACTGTGGCAATCAAGTTTCCAAATTCTGTTAAGCATAAAATGTAAAGTTTGACTATTTCAACCTAAGAAATACATTCAGGCATTTTTATTTTACAATAGTGAGATGGTATCAAAATGGCCCAGTATAATAATACACTTAATTTGCCATGTGAAAAATGCATTTAATATTCCTGATGAAAAGAAGCTCTATTAAACTGAATGGCCTATTTCCTATTTTCAAATATCTTAGGTTCTTACAATGAACTTCTTAAAATATCCCAATGCTGCTGAATTGCTAGTGCATTAAGTGAACATTTCATTTACCATTCTCAGATAAATATACATATAAACTATGTTTTATTTAAGACGCTTAGCTGGAGTGTGAAACATAGTTAAATAAAAAATATTTAATAACCGAGTTTCAAATATTTAATAACCCAGTTTCAAAAGGTCAGCTTTC
The DNA here is from genome assembly GCF_000001405.40 of Homo sapiens. Taxonomy (NCBI): domain Eukaryota; kingdom Metazoa; phylum Chordata; class Mammalia; order Primates; family Hominidae; genus Homo; species Homo sapiens. Next base: position 9,642,202 of record NC_000007.14, read on the forward strand.
TATTTTAATTCCTCAGAATATGTAAATTCTTGACATCACCAGTATTTAATGAAAATTTTATTTCAATACTGTGAATAAATTAAGAAAGATCTTGTTAATACATCACATTGAAATGTTGATTGTATCTCATGCAAACTCTAAAATTAGAGTCTGTATAATGTTAAACAACTATATCTTTTGCACTCAAAGAGATTTTAATATCTGTTAAAATAATTTTTTTTGGCCTGGTCTCCTTGTTCCGTCTCTTCTTAATCAAAACCATTCTCCACATTATTTTAGTTAAATCAATAATTTCATCACTTTTGTGATGAAACTAAAACAAACAACTCTGACATCCAGGAACTAGCCTGATACTCACAGTGAAGCCACATGTTTTTCCTTTTGGATATAAACAATTTTAGAGAGCATAAACACCAGATAAGGTCATTTTGAGATCATTATAAAGTAACCCAAAACAAGGTCACTACTTAAGCCACAATATACTACACAATCCCTGACCCAGCTAAAATGAGTAACTGCTGCTTCTTTACCAATGACAGCTGTATCCCTCCTCTAGTCTGCCTAACCTATAAGATTTATTGAGATACCCCACTGTGGAATTGCCCCCTCTTTCTGACAGAACCTAATCTAGAATGAACTCTGCCTTCCCTAGATACTCAAAATTGCCTGACAAGAGCTCAATCCTACTATAGTTTTTTCCTAATATCGGTTATCAAGATAATCACCTTTCCCCATGGTGAGTGTTCCCCCTCATTGCAACAATAAGCCCATCTTGTTAATTATAGGTGTATTCTTTTTGGTTTAACAGCACATTGACATTGCTTCAGTGATTTTCTTTGTCTACATGAGTCCATCCAGTCCTTTGAACATGTCTTGCAAGATCCTGCATGCTTTTCTTCTCCTACTTGGCAGCTTATCAGCTGCTGCTACTTTTTCAAAAGGCAGCTTTTTCTTCCAATCAACTTTCCTATTCCCCAAATGCTCCATAATAACAACTAAGTCACAAGAAAAAATGAGGAGTTTGGAAGAGAAAAGTAGGGTAAAGAGGAAAAATAGGAACCCAAATTGCTCATGTGTTTTTATTTGAAAGAGATTTGTAGTGAATGCATCATGGCCTTGGCATCAGTTCTTTTATAAGGGAATCTGAGGAGAGCTAAGTCGAGCGTCTTACAATGCTTGTCTATTCTTTACACAAAGCTCTCATCAGCTAAGACTTTGTGTGGAAAATAATGTCATCCTATCAGTTAACCACAGAATCTGAAGGCTGTACTCTAGACCAATTAAATCAGAGGCACTGAGGGTGGCTCTTAGACATCAGTATTTTTGAAGTCCCCAAGATAATTTCAATGTGTAGTCAAGATCTATAGCCACCACTATGAAGAAAAACAAGAGAGTAATAAAAAGAATATTCAGCTGAGTGGTTGTTTCTGGCAAGGGGAGAGAGAGAAATGCATTCAGAAAGGGACTTAAGTATGTTGGCATATTCTATTGCAAAGGTGGGCAATGATGTGTTAGGTTTTACTAATCTTACTATTATATTAATATCACTATTAATAATTCTGACTGTACTTTACATATATTATTTTTTGAATGAAATGGTAATTTAAAAATCATTTATAAAATTCAAGGACGATAGATTTGCCTTTTATTTTCAATAATCCATTTAAGAGAGGTCCTTTCAGTCATCAATGCTAACACATATATAATTACTTAGATGCCACTAACCCAATTACTTACACAGCCTGTATGTAAACAACAAAGCTCCCCCACAAAAAAGTTAATTTATTGGATGGAGATAAATAAATTTCCATAATGAATATCATTGTCTTAAAAACAATAACAACAGAAACTTTTTTATGCAGCATCTTTTTCTCTTCTATAAATGAAGAAAAAATGAGAAAAAAAAACAGCATTTCGGAAATTCTGCTATTGCTGAGTGACTCTAAACTGAACTGGCAAAGGCTCTCTTAGAGCTACTGGAGACCGCACTAAAGAAGAGTTGGCATTTACTCTTTCTTCTACCCACAGGATACCAATATAAGCATTAGGAACACCAATTCCATGACTCTCCTAGTACTGCCTGGCAAAGTCCTGTTAAAATTCTGCAGCTAAATCTTAATGTTCCCCTGTCATAACCAGGGGGATACTAAATTCCTTTTTATATCTCACAGAAAATATTTTCCATTAAATGGCAGTTGATATTAAGGAAATGTTTGAGGGATTTGCTGATTATCTCAATACTTTGTAAGTAATTGACATAAATCTAGTCACATTGAAGTGATTATACTTGTTCTGACAGTGATAGGAAAGAATACCACTCAAAATAGGTTATTGAAAAGAAGAGTGCATTTGCTGTGTTTGAATACCATTTATTTACTTGTTTAAATTTCCATGTTATTTCAAACTACAGTAAGGCATTTTCAAGATTATCTGTAATTACTACAAGGATGGTAGTTCTGTCGTTTTATTCTGTTCCATTTTTAGTGGGAAAGTAATAATAAAGAAAGTAGTAAGGATATAAATGACATCTAAATCCTATGATTGTCACTCCAGCATAGATTTGATTGATCTGAGTTTGTATGTGCATAGGAATTTGAGCTGGATATCAAAGAGGATAAGATCCTAAGAGATATAAATTCAGATCTATATTAAGAGCTTTCATCTATCCGTGTCCCAGAAAAACACATACAGACAGCCTCTCAACAGTAATATAAATAAAACAGATGTCAGGTAATATATGTGAATAATACAAATCTTAGAAATACTTTCTGATAATTATTACAATAGCAATGTTTTCTGAATATTACTCTGAGGAAGTAGCACTAAGTAGTACACAGGTCTTCACACCACTGTTCATCTGGCATATTACCTATTTTTGTAAATAAAATTTTACTTGAACACAGCCATGACTCTTCATTTATGAATGTCTATTTCTGCATTCATAATACAGCAGCCTCATTGACTTGTTGCAACAGAGAACTTTAAAACTTGCACGTTGAAAATAGTTACTATCTGACCCTTTACAGAAAACTTTTATTGACCTCTAAAGTAGTAGATGAGAGTAAATATGGTACTTGCATTCAGGTTGCCTTACTGGTTACTGTGTAACTTTGGACAAATTACTTACTCTCTCTCTGCCTTAGTTTCTTCTTCCTTAATATTTCTAAGGCATGTAGAGTATCACCTATGGTTCTTCAAATTTGGGTAATGTAACAAATAATATCTTGTTAAATTTACCAAAATTATTTTCAGAATGAAAAATGCAAAGCATTTTTTAAAACAATGCAACTTTATTATCATCATCATATTTACAGATTTTCAGGAAATATCTGTTTTTGTAGTAAATATCAAAGTTATGGGTCCAGATTATCTAGCCTTCCAGGAAGTTATATTTCTCAAATCACACTTTATACTTTTATTCTCCTCTCACAAATGTATTTTTATCCCCTTCAGCAAATGACGTTTTGCCACTTGTAAAGTTAAGTGATTTGAGAAAATCTGTCATTTTACTTTCTTTGATAGTCCACAAAGGTCTAACTGCATCTTCCTTAGTATTGTTCGTACTATTTTTTACTTTATTTTTCAAAAAGAAGAGCATTAATTTATCAGGGGTTATGTTATTTGTTGCTTAGGCTTTTATCACTTTGTCCTTCTCTAGGTGGAAAAGCGATATATCCTGTTAGGAATGTTATGGTTTTGATAGTCCACCACAGTTATGTGCTGGACTGATTATGCTGGTTGAGGTTAATGGCACAAGACTGTCCACACATTCCTTTTCACTGGATCTATTTTCTATGGCCCTCCTTACTGATAAGGGAACAACATTTGGCAATGACACAGTAAATAGCAAGATTTTAACACTGCCAAGGGACTCTGTGAGTACTTAATGAGCCATTTTACTTTGCTAATTTCTTACCCTTTGCTCTGTGTTATTAGGTTAGTAGGCAAATTGGAACTATAAAGTCGAAGGCTGCCACACACATCACTGAAATAAATTCTGGGTTTTGGTTTCTGTGTCATTGTTTTGCAAAGCATTTTCGATGTCAGTTTTCAAGAAATGATACATTGTCTAATCAGAATGGTAAACATTGTCCTATGTTTGGGGATTTTGGCACTGAAATATTTTCATTTATTTTACCTTGGATCTGAATCCTCATTATTCCTCCTACCTCTCAGCTCTAGCGTGAATAGTTTGTGGCTTTCCTATGTCAACTAGATGATACTGTTAAAACAGATGAGATCCATCTCTATCTTCTGGTCTACAGTAATAATAATTTGATCAGATAATAAAAAGTAAAGATCCCAGAATTTGAAACATGATGAAGTCATAACAACAATAAAAGGATCAAATAATCTCATTCAGTATCAGAGTTCAGTCATAATGCTTGCAAATTTTCCATATGTCCTGAGACACACACATGCAATAGTCTACAGTACTCTCTTATTTCTTCTCATTACCCTCATAAATATAGCTTACTTCAAGCTGAGATACAATGGTATATTAAAATAGTTGACTTTACAGTCAGACTTTCTGGTTTTGAGTATTGTTTAGATCTATTAGCAGCATTGTAACCTAAGGCACACTCTAAATATTTTTAAACTGATTTCCCCAATTATAAAACATAGATAACACTCACATGTGCTTCATAGAATTATTTGAATAAATATGATAAAGCATACATATTGTTTATTATAGCACCTTAAACACAGAAGTACTAAAATGATAATATTAACCTCATAATTATTACTTAGCCAATAAAAGAGGGTTTGTGCTAAAATAAGTTATTATGTTACTACTTCTCTTTTGATCTATTTATATTCCTTCTTTCCATTGTGGATCCTCAGAAAATGCACAGAAAGAAGGCTAGCTGATTGGATGAGTGGTTGGATGGCTTCAGGAATCTTTTCATAAATAATCCTCCTTGAGTGAAACCCTTCATAAAATGTTTTTGTAATATCAACCATTAATACTCAGATTATCAACACAGATTCTATAAATTAAAATTTCTCTATAATCCGTTAGAACACTGTCATTTTACTTTATGCTGGTCTCTAGAAGCCATGCTATGACCTGATTAAGTATTATATTGTCATATTCTGGCCAGGAGAGCTCAACTGGACTTTGCCTTTATTTTTCTTTGTTTTTCTGTAAAAAGTAAAGAGGCTAGAAAATTAAAGAAAATAAAAAATTAACACATTGAAAGTCACACCTAGATTTTTCAGACTGTAACATTTTACTGTATTTGCTTCAGATCATTTATAAGAGGAATAACACATTGCAATTGCAGTTGGCGATTTCATCTTACTCCCTCAATTCTAATTCCAGTTTTACATTTTCTGCCAAAATGTAACCACCACCCTATTTGGCATTTTATATAATTCCTAAAAACATTTATTACTTTTATTTCATGCATCTCTAAATTATAGATAGATAGACATAGATGCAGATTTGTAAATATGTAGTAGTGCATCGCATGTTTTTAAATGGCATATGAGCCTTCATAATTCATATATTCTGCAATTCTTGGTTTTTACCCAACATTATCTGTAGAGTCCATATGTTGACTACAACAGTTTATTCATTCTATTCTTTATAGACATTGGGTAGTTTTCAGTGTGGGTCTATTTCAAATAAAAAGAAGGTACAGTGACATACTTGAATAGATGTTTATGGGCTTGCATTTTCCCTGGATAGAAGAGATAGACTTGGATAAAAGTGATACATGCTTTTACTATTACTGTATCTTTTTTCCTGTCATTGTCCAGGTATGAGAGTTCTCACTGCTATAAACTCTTTCTTATGTCCGATGTCAGACTTTTTTAATTTTTGCCAATTTTATGATTATAAAATAGACTTCTATCTTTAATTTTTATTTTCATGATTTATGAAATTGAAAATCTTTTAAATTATTTTAATAACATGACTTCTTAAAGTTTTCTTGAATGTATTGCTTATGTTATTTACCTGTTTATATTTATACGTTCATTTTTTTACTTTTTAAATTCATTTAAATATTCTTTATATTCTTCTTTTGTCAGTTTATTCATTGAAAGTATTTTTCCTCAGACTGGCTTGCTTTTCCTTTTTTTTTGTTTTTGTTTTTTCTCACAACAATGATTGAGCAAGATAATCACACATAAACATTATTAGCAGGTGCTGACAAATATATATTACCTCTATTTTGTGGCTTTACATAATACAAATTTTTAAAAAAATTAATTATATTGATCTTCCCAACAGGAAGAAAATGTCATTGTAGAGAATTTAAAGCTACAGAGAAGAATATGACACTTTTATGTAATTAATGACACAATTATTGTTGACATTTTGGGCTTCACTTTGTTTTGAAATTTTCCCCTATGAAAAACAGGACCCTGAATATTCATAGAAATAGACTTACTAGATGAAAAATTTATGTGCATTTTTAAGGATTTTGATTAGATATTTCTAGATTGCCTTCAGAAATTTTGCACCATATTATAATCCCACCATGAATTTATGAAAGTATATTCTCCTTCATTTCTTCTCAAAACAAGACTTAAACTTTCCTCATTCTTAATTATTTTAATTTAACCCAATGTAGCCTTTTCTAAATATTAAAAAATATGTATATTTTTTGAGAAAAAATTCTCTGAAATCAAAAATTAATGTAAAGTGGGTAAAAACACATTTAATCCATCCAGGAAAAAGGTATCAGTGCATACTCATTACAAACTTTGTGTAAATTTTTAAGCACATCTTCAGTTTTCTTCAAAAATCCTATTTGTTGGTTTTCATTTGTTTCATTGCTACTGTCAACAGAAATCTTCTTACGAGAATTACAAATAAATAGGAAAACTGTTGATTCCTGCTTCTTTATTCATTCTAGAAACATTATTCTTCTGTCATTAATTTTAAAAATAGTTAATGGATTCTTTTATGCTACCTAGATATGCAAAGATATTAGCAGACATAATGAAATCTTTTTCTCTGTATTTCTAATTGTTTATTATTTCTGTTTTATGAGTTAGGGATACTGATGATGGCATTTATCTACTTCACATTTTTAATTCTGAAATTGTGTTGTTTTACTTTCCAACATTACACACACTTATTGGATTGAGATGCCTTCTTTTTATTACATGAAAGAAATGCTCTTTGATTGCTTTTTTTATTTTTATCAATAATTAGGTGCTAAAATTAATGAAATATTTTTAAGCTTTTAAAATAATCTGTAATTATAGGCTTAATTTCACCTTTTATTGATAAATATGTAGGAAGGTATTTTAATAAATTTATAAATATTAGGTTTTGTTCTTGATGTTCCAATGTGTACTGGATAATAGTCAGCAAATGGATCCATACATTTACTATTTTAATGAGATTTTATTTGCAGTTTATTATATAATCAATTTTGATTAATACTCCTTTACGTGCTCAATAGAATTTCAATTGAGTTGTTAAATTATCCTGTAATAATCTCACTTTCACATTTTTCTTTATATTTCTGCTATTGGGATTTGTTTTATATATTAACAAAACAGTAATTTTGTTATTTAGTCAGTAAAGGTTCATGACTTCAGTTCACATTGTGGATTTTACACGTTATGAATATAAAATGGCCCATGAAATTTTTTTCCTTCTATGCTTTTTATATAAAATAAATACACCATATTTGTTTGTTTTGTTTTTATATTGTTATTTTCTGGCAAATCTTTTTCTATAATTCTATTATAGTTCCTGAAACAAAGCCTAAAATTTTAGTGGCTTTAAACATTAAAATTTTATTTTAATTTTGTATGAAAAGGTAAAATTTAGTTTGCCTAATTAATGGGAAGCTCTTCTCACACCAGTGATTCAGGAACTCGGGATTTCTTCATCTTGTTGCCTCATGGTCTTCACCATATGGCTACCATGGTTCTGCTGACACTGATATCAGCTGGCTGAAAGAGGAAAGGGTATGGTGCTGTGCCCTTGAGAAGATTTTACGCACCTGATCTTAAAGGGCAAACATTTCTACTCTCATTCTATTGGCCAGAATGTAGCATGGTAGTCAAACCTAACTATAAAGAAGGCTGGGAAACATACTTTTGCTCTACTCTCAGGAAGGAAAAATCAGTTTGGTCAATAACTAAACAAACTTTGCAGGTAATATTTTGAAGTACCTTTTTTAGACATCATTTATATATATATATATATATATATATTTTTTTTAATATTACTTTAATTAATTTATTTATTTTTGAGACAGGGTCTCACTCTGTCACCCAGGCTAGAGTGGAATGGTGATCTCAGCTCACTGCAATCTTTGCCTCCCACACTCCAGGGCACCTCTCAGGCTCCAGGGTGCCTCTTGGGCTTAAGCAATCCTCCAAACTTAGCCTCCCAGTAGCCGGGACTACAGGTGTGTGCCACCATGCCTGGCAAATTTTTGTGATTTTTTGTAGAGACAGGGTCTTTCCATATTTCCCAGGCTGTTCTTGAACTCCTGGACTCAAGCGATCCGCCAACCTTGGCCTCCCAAAGTGCTGTGATTACAGATGTGAGTGCCTCAACAGGCCTATGTTATACATGTTTTCACCTCCATTTTTTTCTTTTCATTTATAGCCAGAGGAGTATAATTTGATTATATTCATGTCATTTTGACATACTTAGCCTTATTTCTGTCAATTTTATGCTCTTTTTTCTCTGTGCTTGTACTTCTTCATTTTGATTTATCTGCTTAAATATTATTTGGTGATTTAAAAACATTTCCAAGTGCTTATTTATTTATTTATTTGTTTTTTTTTATTTTACCTTAAGCTCTGGGATACATGTGCTGAACATGCAGGTTTGTTGCATAGGTATACATGTGACATGGTGGTTTGCTGCACCTATCTACCCTTCATCTAGGTTTTAAACTCCACATGCGTTAGGTATTCGTCCTAATGCTCTTCCCTCCACTTGCCCCCACCCGCCGACAGGCCCCGGTGTGTGATGTTCCCCTCCCTGTGTCCATGTGTTCTCATTGTTCAACTCCCACTTATGAGTGAGAACATGTGGTGTTTGGTTTTCTGTTCCTGTGTTAGTTTGCTGAGGCTGATGGTTTCCACCTTCATCCATGTCCCTGCAAAGGACAGGAGCTCATTCTCTTTTATGGCTGCATAATATTCCATGGTGTGTATGTGTCACATTTTCTTTATCCAGTCTATCATTGATGGGCATTTGGGTTTGTTCTAAGTCTTTGCTATTGTAAATAGTGCTGCAATAAACATACATATGCATGTCTCTTTATAGTAGAATGATTTATAATCCTTTGGGTATATACCCAGTAATGGGATTGCTGGGTCAAGCCGAATCATGAGTGCATTCCCATTCACAATTGCTACAAAGAAAATAAAATACCTAGTAATAAAACTTAGAAGGGATGTGAAGGACCTCTTCAAGGAGAACGACAAGCCACTGCTCAAGGAAATAAGAGAGGACACAAACAAATGGAAAAACATTCCATACTCATGGATAGGAAGAATCAATATCATGAAAATGGCCATACTGCCCAAAGTAGTTTATAGATTCGAAGCCATTCCCATGAAGCTACCACTGACTTTCTTCACAGAACTAGAAAAAACTACTTTAAATTTCATATAGAACCAAAAAAGAGTCCTTATAGCCAAGACAATTCTAAGCAAAAAGAAGAAAGCTGGAGGCATCATGCTACCTGACTTCAAACTATACTACAAGTTTACAGTAATCAAAACAGCATGGTATTGGTAGAAAATAAGACACATAGACCAATGGAACAGAACAGAGTCCTCAGAAATAACACCACAAATCTACAACCATCTGATATTCAGCAAACCTGACAAAAACAAGCAATGGCGAAAGGATTCCCTATTTAATAAATGGTATTGGGAAAACTGGCTAGCCATATGCAGACAGCTGAAACTGGACCCCTTTGTTACACCTTATACAGAAATTAAATCAAGATGGATTAAAGACCTAAATGTAGGCCGAGCACGGTGGCTCATGCCTGTAATCCCAGCACTTTGGGAGGCTGAGGTGGGCAGATCAATAGGTCAGGAGATCGAGACCATCCTGGCTAACATGGTGAAACCCCGTATCTACTAAAAATACAAAAAATTAGCTGGGCGTGGTGGCAGACGCCTGTATTCCCAAGCTACTTGGGAGGCTGAGGCAGGAGAATGGCATGAACCCGGGAGGCAGAGCTTGCAGTGAGCCAAGATTGGGCCACTGCACTCCAGCCTGGGCGACAGAGCAAGACTCCATCTCAAAGAAAAATTAAAAAAGATTTAAATGTAAAACCTAAAGCCATAACAACCCTTGAAGAAAACCTAGGCACCTAGGCAATACCATTCAGGACATAGGCACGGGCAAAGACTTCATGACTAAAACACTGAAAGCAATTGCAACAAAAACCAAAATTGACAAATGAGATCTAATTAAACTAAGTAGCTTCTGCTCAGCAAAATAAACTGTCATCAAAGTGAACAGGCACCCTACAGAATGGGAGAAAATTTTTCGAAGTGCTTACTTTTAACTTTATTTTTTAAACATTTTTGTGAGTGTGAAAATATAGGAATTCTAAATATAGTACTTAATATGCACCTGGAAATCTCCAAAAAGCTTCAAGCATATTAACTTATCTAATCCTGACAACAACCTTATGACGTTGGTAGTATTCATAGTCCAAATTTAATCATGAAAAAGTTAACAAAATTTGTATTTCGCTAGTAAGATTGCAAATCTATGTGCAATTAAAATATAGCTTCAAAATGTATAAAATAAAAGTTGACAGAATGTAAAGGACAGATAAATAACAGCATTATATTGGAAAACAGTAAGTATTCAAACACAGACAACAATAAAATCAATAATTACATGGAAAATTTGGGCAACCTCTTAAGCAAAATTTATTCAATCGATATAAATATACTACCATACTCAACAAATGTAGGATGCCTATCTTTTTCAAGTACACAAGAATGATTTACATAAACTAATGATGTGCTACATTATAATTCAACATTTCAAAGAATTGTTGTCATACAAGATGGTCTCTGATCAAATTGGTTATAAGCTAGAAATCCAAACAAAATGAACATTAAAAAATGTCTATAAGTTCTAAATTACTAAATACATGTTTAAATAACTATTTAGGTTAAAGTAGTAGATACAATGCCAATTAGAAAAACTTGTTGAGTAAATAGTAAAGATATTACATATAAAACATTTGGGGAAATATAAACGTGCACTTGGAGTGATATTCATAGTCATAAACAAATGTATTTGAGAAGAGGTTTAAGATCAGTACATTAAGCATACTCAAGTACTTAGAAAGAAAGGAAGTAGAAACTTAAGCCCCCCCAAACCAAAGGAAACAAAATACTAAAAACGAAAGCATATATATATATATATATATATAAAATTTTTTTTTTTTAAGACAAGATCTCATTGTGTTGCCCAGGCTGTGCTCAAATAGTCCTCCTGCTTCAGCCTCCTAAATAGCTAGGAATACAGGCACAGGCCACCACGCCAGGCTAATTTTTATAGAGAAGGGGGTCTTCCTATGTTGCTCTCAAACTCTTGGTCTCAAGCTATCCTCCTTCCTGTGCCTCCCAAAGTGCTTGGATTATAGGTTTGAGGCACTGCATCTGGACTGAGAACAGATTTTTTTTTAAATGAAAATAAATATAGTTTAAAACAAAGTAGAAAAAATTTTGGTTATTTGAAAATATAAATATAAGTAAAATACTTGTGATGAAACTTACCACGGTAAGACTGGTAAAAAATTCACATATGCATGTGTACATGTTCACACAAACACACACACACACATCTCAAAATCAGTCGTGTAAAAGAGAAATCAAAACAGATTTTTAAAACACTAAAATATTAAGGCAGACGTCCATAGAAATATCACATCCAATGACAGAATACATGTTCTTCTCAACTGCATATGGTTCTCCAGAATAGACCATAGTCATAAGTCACTCCTGTATACATTTGAAAATTTATAAATCATAAAACTTATGTTATCTGTCCAAAATAGAATGAAAGTAGAACTCTTTCTATGAGGCCATGTTACCATGACACTTGAACCAGGAAAAGACATAATGAGAAAAAAACCAAAACACTATGTACAGATTAATATCTTCTATGATTACAGATACAGAGATCATCTACAAAATACAAACTAAATCTAGCAATATAAGAAGGATAAGACACAATTACCTAGTGGGATTTATCTCAGGAATACAATGATGTTGTAACATACAAAAATCAGTCGGTTTAATATGCCACATTAGTAGAATAATGAACAAACACCAAACAATCATCTCAATAGATATTTAAAAGCCTTAGAAAAAATTCAATGCCCTTTTATTATAAAACAGTCAATGAACTAGACATTGAAAGAAATTTCCTCCATCTGACAAATATCTGTGGAAAACCCATTGGTCATATTATACATAATCATGAAAGACTGAAAGCTTTCCTTCGAAGATAAGAAATAAGACATGATTTCCCTGCTTGATAGTTCTATTCAACACTGTATGGGAGGTTCTAGCCAGGGCAATTAACCAGGTAAATATGTTTTTAGCATACACTAGGACTGAACAATAGAGAAGGGCAATCTCTTCAAGGCTTACATTCGTATCTCCATGGAAAATAGGTTATATAGCTCATTGAATAGCAGAGAAGTTCACTGGGTGCCAGGCCAGAGCTGATCCACAATAAGTGGACAGCTTATGTCCACTCTGGAGTAAATGTACACTGAAGCTGTCAGACAGGAGTGTAGAGGGTATTGAGGTGCACATGGAGAAGGCTGATGTGAGAATATGCAGAGAGCTCAGTATGTGTGAGCCCACTCATTGGCAGGCCAGCATGAGATATAAAATATGCAGTGACTGCACTCAGCTCTACAGGAGACAACTCAAGGGAGTGTAGGTAGCCAAGTATGGCGGTTGGGTGCCCAGAAGTCATCGGGAACCTAAAGGGAATGTGTGCAGAGGAAGTCAAGAGTCTGTGTGCAAACAGGGAGACATGAGGTTTGGAGCGCATGGTATATAGGTCAGGAAAGCCACGGCAAGGTCAGGCTGGGATGGAGAGTTTGCTTAAGGATTGGCCCCTTTGAGCTCATGCCTGGGGCAGTACACAACTGCATGTTCTTCACATGAACTGCTTCAGCCTCACAGGAGAAAGAGGAAAAGTTTTTTTTTTTAATTATATATATATATATTATACTTTAAGTTCTAGGGTACATGTGCACAACGTGCAGGTTAGTTACATATGTAAACATGTGCCATGTTGGTGTGCTACACCATTAACTCGTCATTTACGTTAGGTATCTCTCCTAATGCTATCCCTCTCCTCTCCCCCAACCCCACAACAGGCCCTGGTGTGTGATGTTCCCCTTCCTGTGTCCAAGTGTTCTGATTGTTCGATTCCCACCTATGAGTGAGAACATGTGGTGTTTGGTTGTTTGTCCTTGCAATAGTTTGCTGAGAATGATGGTTTCCAGTTTCATCCATGTCCCTACAAAGGACATGAACTCATCCTTTTTTATGGCTGCATGGTATTCCATGGTGTATATGTGCCACATTTTCTTTTTTTTTTTTTTTTTTTTTTTTTTGAGACGGAGTCTCGCTCTGTCGCCCAGGCCGGACTGCGGACTGCAGTGGCGCAATCTCGGCTCACTGCAAGCTCCGCTTCCCGGGTTCACGCCATTCTCCTGCCTCAGCCTCCCGAGTAGCTGGGACTACAGGCGCCCGCCACCGCGCCCGGCTAATTTTTTGTATTTTTAGTAGAGACGGGGTTTCACCTTGTTAGCCAGGATGGTCTCGATCTCCTGACCTCATGATCCACCCGCCTCGGCCTCCCAAAGTGCTGGGATTACAGGCGTGAGCCACTGCGCCCGGCCATGTGCCACATTTTCTTAATCCAGTCTATCATTGTTGGACATTTGGCTTGGTTCCAAGTCTTTACTATTGAGAACAGTGCTGCAATAAACATATGTGTGCATGTGTCTTTATAGCAGCATGATTTATAATCCTTTGGGTATATACCCAGTAATGGGATGGCTGGGTCAAATGGTATTTCTAGTTCTAGATCCCTGAGGAATTGCCACACCGACTTCCACAATGGTTGAACTAGTTTACAGTCCCACCAACAGTGTAAAAGTGTTCCTATTTCTCCACATCCTCTCCAGCACCTGTTGTTTCCTGACTTTTTAATGAGTGCCATTCTAACTGGTGTGAGATGGTATCTCATTGTGGTTTTGATTTGCATTTCTCTGATGGCCAGTGATGATGAGCATTTTTTCATGTGTCTGTTGGCTGCATAAATGTCTTCTTTTGAGAAGTGTCTGTTCATATCCTTCGCCCACTTGTTGATGGGGTTGTTTTTTTCTTGTAAATTTGTGTGAGTTCTTTGTAGATTCTGGATATTAGCCCTTTGTCAGATGAGTAGATTGCAAAAATTTTCTCCCATTCTGTAGGTTGCCTATTCACTCTGATGGTAGTTTCTTTTGCTGTGCAGAAGCTCTTTAGTTTAATTAGATCCCACTTGTCAATTTTGGCTTTTGTTGCCATTGCTTTCAGTGTTTTAGACATGAAGTCCTTGCATTCAAATTCAGGAAATACAGAGAACACCACAAAGATACTCCTCGAGAAGAACAACTCCAAGACACGTAATTGTCAGATTCACCAAAGTTGAAATGAAGGAAAAAATGTTAAGGGCAGCCAGAGAGAAAGGCCGGGTTACCCACAAAGGGAAGCCCATCAGACTAACAGCTGATCTCTCGGCAGAAACTCTACAAGCCAGAAGAGAGTGGGGGCCAATATTCAACATTCTTAAAGAAAAGAATTTTCAACCCAGAATTTCATATCCAGCCAAACTAAGCTTCATAAGTGAAGGAGAAATAAAATCCTTTACAGACAAACAAATGCTGAGAGATTTTGTCACTACCAGGCCTGCCTACAGGAGCTCCTAAAGGAAGCACTAAACATGGAAAGGAACAACCAGTACCAGCCACTGCAAAAACATGCCAAATTTTAAAGACCATCAATGCTAGGAAAAAACTGCGTCAACTAACGAGCAGAATAACCAGCTAACATCATGATGACAAGATCAAATTCACACATAACAATATTAACCTTAAATGTAAATGGGCTAAATGCTCCAATTAAAAGACACAGACTGGAAAATTGGAAAACTTGTTTTAAAAGAGCAAGTACACCAGATCAAACTATTCTTCCTAAATCCCTCTCATGCCCTCTACTGACCAAGCTTAATATGGAGCTTACTGCAAAACTGAAATGCATCAATCCAACTCATTATCGCAGGTACTGAGGGGCAAATTTGAAACGGAGAGGTAATTAGCTGATATCTGGCATAATCTGGAAGAGGAAGAACAATGCAGGAAGACTTGCTCTATAAAATATAAGGAATCATAAAGCTTTAATAATTAAGTATAGTATTGCTGTGGGGATAGGCAAAGTAAACAACAGAATGGAATAGAAAGGGTGAAACAGACAAACATAAAACTATGACCAAAAAAGTGGCTCTTAAATATAGAAAAATAAAACTTTTACTAAATATATAAAAAATGTTTTAAAAAATGTTGCCTTATCTGATATTATAGGTAGATCACAGTTCTGAATGTGAAGGAGAAAGAGTAATGCTAATATGTAATAACATCATTTCCATAGGATAAAAAGATTTGTATTGAGGAAAAGTATACTTCTCATGAAAAAAAGATTATCGAATTGGACTTCTCTAAAATTAATACAATCTAGGCATCAAAATATATCACAAAGAATGTGAAAAGACAACTCAGAATAAGGGAAGATATTTGAAATACATGCCTATATCCATAAGGTATGAAAAACACCTACCTATCAATGTTTAAAAAAAGGAAAAAGAAAATTTCACAACAGACTTGACTAGGTACTAGAAAATATTGGACAACAAAATGGCAAACACAAAGATACTCAACCTTGTTATAATCAAGGAAATGAAGATTGAAACCACATGAGATAGCACTACAGCTATACCAAAATAGCTAACAGACAAATGTCTGTGAAGACATGGAACAATGAGAATATGAATTGTTCTAATCATTTTAGACAAATGTTTGACTTTCAGGTTAAGTATATGTAGCCCTTAAGACCTAGCAGTTCTACGCTATTTATTAATATATACATCACAGAAATATGTGCACAAGTACTTGAAGAAACACATACAGAAATGTTTCCAGCAGCATTATCTACAATAGAAGCTAAAATCAACCTATGTTTATCAACATTACAAACAATAAATAAATGTTAATTTAATGGAATATGATAGAGCAGTAAAACCAACTAAAAATAGAGCTACATAAATATATTGATAGAAAGAAGCCAGATGGATAAGAATACATACTTCAATATTCTATTTATGAAAGTCCAAAACAGGTAAAAGATACACAGTGTTTTAAAAGACAGTTTAACTTTGGAGAAGACAAGGATAATAATTGGAAGAAGGACATAAAAGGAGACTCCAGTGTGCTGGAAATGTTCTGTTTTAAGAACAGGGTAATAGTTACACAAGTGAGTTTGTTTTGTACAAATTTATTGGGTAAATATATATTTTATTCTTGACAGTAGATCAACTACAACCTGAGTTTTAGATAATTTTTAATACTTTTCACTCATTTTTAATGTCCTATGGTAGACAGGATGAATGAGATAGAGATCCAACAACTTAAGAAATACAATTTCCACGATATTGATTCTTCCTATCCCTGAGCATGGAATGTTCTTCCATTTGTTTGTGTCCTCTTTTATTTCGTTGAGCAGTGGTTTGTAGTTCTACCTGAAGAGGTCCTTCACATCCCTTCTAAGTTGGATTCCTAGGTATTTTATTCTCTTTTAAAATGACCATACTGCCCAAGGTAATTTATAGATTGAATGCCATCCCCAGCAAGCTACCAATGACTTTCTTCACAGAATTGGAAAAAAAAGTACTTTAAAGTTCATATGGAACCAAAAAGGAGCCAGCATTGCCAAGACAATCCTAAGCCAAAAGAACAAAGCTGGAGGCATTGTGCTACCTGACTTCAAACTATACTACAAGGCTACAGTAACCAAAACAGCATGGTACTGGTACCAAAACAGAGATATAGACTATTGGAACAGAACAGAGCCCTCAGAAATAATACCACACATCTACAACCATCTGATCTTTGACAAACCTGACAAAAACAAGAAATGGGGAAAGTATTCCCTATTTAATAAATGGTGCTGGGAAAACTGGCTAGCCATATGTAGAAAGCTGAAACTGGATCCCTTCCTTACTTGTACAAAAATTAGTTCAAGATGGATTAAAGACTCACATGTTAGAACTAAAACCATAAAAACCCTAGAAGAAAACCTAGGCATTACCATTCAGGACATAGGCATGGGCAAGGACTTCATGTCTAAAACACCAAAAGCAATGGCAACAAAAGCCAGAATTGACAAATGGGATCTAATTAAACTAAAGAGCTTCTGCACAGCAAAAGAAACTACCATCAGAGTGAACAGGCAACCTACAGAATGGGAGAAAATATTTACAATGTACCCATCTGACAAAGGGCTAATATCCAGAATCTACAAAGAACTTAAACAAATTTACAAGAAAAAATCAAACAACCCCATCAAAAAGTGGGCAAAGGTTATGAACAGACACTTCTCAAAAGAAGACATTTATGCAGCCAAAAGACACATGAAAAAATGCTCATCATCACTGGCCATCAGAGAAATGCAAATCAAAGCCACAATGGGATACCATCTCACACCAATTAGAATGGCGATCATTAAAAAGTCCGGAAACAACAGGTGCTGGAAAGGATGTGGAGAAACAGGAACACTTTTACACTGTTGATGGGACTGTAAACTAGTTCAACCATTGTGGAATACAGTGTGGCGATTCCTCAAGGATCTAGAACTAGAAATACCATTTGACCCAGCCATCCAGTACTGGGTATATACCCAAAGGATTATAAATCATGCTGCTCTAAAGCCAAATGCACATGTATGTTTACCTGACTGTATTATAGTTGTTCTGAGTATAAATTATAATGTGATAAAGAGGAAAAAACAAATAGGCAAAACTCAAAATATGAAAATTAATTTTCTGTGGGATGCTTGAGAAAACCATTTGAAACCTATTTCTTGAACTAAAAGTTTAATACAGCACATATTCAGAATATGAATAAAAAATAAATTTAATGTACAAAATATCAAAGTGTTTAATTTCTAAATAAAAATCATATTATTAAATAGCATATATTATAGAAAGTACCTGAATAGCTTTACATTAACTGGAACTGAATAACAATAAAAACATGGTAAGAGAAAAATGACTGTGTCTTGTGCCCAAATTCTGGGATACACAGACTATCTAAAGACATAGAATTTTTCTCATAGAGCATCTGAAATATTCATAGATCCTCCACTGGAATAAATTTATTGCTGCTATAAGGTATATAAAATGTTGATAAACTGCTTTCCTGACCTTGGAGAACTTTGTTGGCATATTAAGAGACTTTGATACATAGCAGAATGCAGACATGCTTTGTGATTTGTTGGATGCCTTGCTCTAGGTCTGCACTATTAGGTTCGTGGGAAACAAGGGGAAGCTTTAGAGAAGGCAGTATGTGCCAATGAGCGATAGTCTCACTGGCAAATGCCCCAAGTGAAAAACTCTGGGGATTTGAATGTTAAGCAAGTTCATTTAAACACCACACAACCCCAAACTTTATGACACATATATTGTTCCCTGCAGTATATCTCTTTGATTTTCTGCTGTCTCTTTGCTTTCCTCACTGGTAACATAGCATTTGACCCCCTGTACCTTGTTTACAAAGCATTGCCTTATGCAGCACATTGGGGCTCTAATGAGTGACAGCCATAGCTGGAGAGACTACAATAGTGAAAAGTAAAACCAAGCAGAGTTTTAATAACATGAGTCCTGAGCCCTATTAGCTCTACAGAAATGTCCTTGGAATATAAAGGCTTCAATGACAAACTGGGGTATGGAAAGTGGGAAATGCTGAAACGAAGTAAGCATTGGAAAAATCAATTGTCAAAATTCATTTTTACTTTATATCCCAGAAGCCTCCTTTTAAAACCCACTCACTACAAGATGTCTAGGAAGGGCTTTTAAATCATATTGTTTTCCTCTAATATTTAATTTGTAACTTTCATCTGTTTTATCAATGGGTGAGTTCAAGGTTAAAAAGTATACCTAGGCAACAAAAATATAATCAATTCACAAGTAATGAGACACAAAACTTAATATTTCCCATTTATTCCAATGTATCATTTATCGGATATTTCAGTGCTTTCCCACATAAAATCTATGCTGTTTTATTGACAAAAAAAATTCTATCATTTTTTTTTTCTGTTTTAAGAAAGATAATTAGGTGTATTTAAAAATATTTGTAATAAAGGAAAGGAGATTTTCTTCCTAATGGACTCGATGGACTCGGATCATGCTTATACAAGTCCTAGACCACCAGTAGTAAAATAACAATGGATAAAATTCCCTTTCCTGCTTCTTGCTTTGAATTTAGCAAGGATTACGTTTCAGCTATGTAGGTTCTACCCAGAAATACATTATATGTTCTTTTGATTTACCAATTAGCCTTGCATATCTGTGGATGCCTGAGAAGACAACACTAGCGCTGTGGGTTTTTCTCCATTCTTGTGCTATCAGCAAGTGCATTCTTGGTTTACAACTAGGAGACAAACATCTGGGACTCTCCTTGTGCTGTCTATAGTGGAGGTGGGAGCATTTATGCCTGCTAGACCAATAGTGAACTAGTGAACTAGTTAATTATTGGCTTTTTAATAAAAGTCATATATAACCCTACTTAGACAATCTAGCTTAAAACATTCCTTTTCAAAATTCTGGAGGTTGATGGATTTAACTTTTGCCTAGCAATGTTTTACAGACACAATGCCGCTATGCATTTTAAAATTTAGAATATTGGATGTTAGAACTTTTCAGTGAGTTTGAAGGAAATATCCATTTAAGTCATCTTAAAAACAATGTAAGAAGTTGCTATTACATCAACTACATTACTTAAATTCTCTACTGATTACACACGTGAATAAGACAATGCAACTTATAAAGCCTATTAGTTATTAAACATATTAATGTGTATTACCAGTTAAAGTAATTACATTGGTCAAATGTGATCTGGTCTGGAATTGCCTCAGTTCCTCACTTTTGTTGCAACGCAGAATCTATTTCACTACCTCTTTTACTCACTAGGCTTGACACTAAAAGTAATTAGATTTTAGTAAATTGGACTCTCGATTAGTATAATATTATTGGATATTTTTGTATAATATATATGGATGTTTTTCATTTGTTTTTCCAGACTCATCTTCCACTCTCTATCCTGCTCCATATGCCAGGAAGCTGACCTATGCAAGCCACATCAACTGGCTCCCTTGCCTTTTGGCTTCCAGTTATGTTGTGCTAATAGGAGGCACCAGTCACAGATTGGCCCATAAGGGAAAACGAAGATTTGCTAGGTTTTTCTACTGAATGCCAAAGCTTTTTTTTATTCAGTCCTCTTCATGCAATTACACTTTCATTAAGCAAACCTCCCAGTCCTCTTTGCCCTAGGGTCACTGGTCTCTCACTACTGCAGCTACATAGAAAGGGATGGTATTTGCCAACACCCTTTATCAGTTTCTGTAAGCTCTTTTAAAAACACTGGAAGTAATATCATTTTTTGTTTTTGCTTGTTTGGTTGGTTGGTTGTTTTTGTTTGTTTTTTACCACAGGAGGGGTTCATGGGCCTCACTCTGTTGCCCAGGCTGGAGTACACTGGCGTGATTATAGCTCACATGACTGAGTGGAGTGAACGCAGTTCTCTGGAGTGATTGTAGCCTCCAACTCCTGGACTGAGCCCATCCTCTTGCCACCATACCTAGCCTGAAATTAATACCTTAATTAAACTCTTCAGTCACCCACTTTAAATGTGCTCCTGGGCCAGGTGCAGTGGCTCATGCCTGTAATCTCAGCACTTTGAGAAGTGGAGGAGGGCAGATCACTGGAGGTCAGGGGTTCCAGACCAGCCTGGCTAACATGGTAAAACCCTGTCTCTACTTAAAATACAAAAATTAGTCCAGCATGGGGGTGTGCACATGTAATCCCAGCTACTTAGGAGGCTGAGGCAGGAGAATCGCTTGAACTTGGGAGGTGGAGGCAATAATGAACAGAGAGCTCACCAGAGACTCTGTCTCAAAAAAAAAAAAAAAGTGCTTCTGGTTTTCTACTAGATCTATGAATAATAGGTATAATTTTTTAGAGTTAACCTTTAGACATATTTTAAAAATAAGTATTAGCCAGGTGTGGTGGCGCAGGACTTTTCCTTAGTTCAGCAAAGACGGCGTCCTTGTCCGTCCCATGGCCATGGAAATTTAGGCTCGCGGACAGTTTGAAGGGTGAGCAAAGCAGGGTTTTACTGGGTGAAAAGGAAGAAAAGGGGGAAACAGGGACTCTGGCCAAGCAGAGTCCCTGCTAGAGGGCTTCCTGCAAGGCCATTTGAATCTCAGATTCCACACAGGAAGAGGAGGGTCCAGGCCCCTCCCTGCTGCAAATGTCATGAACTTTTTGAGACTCCACCCCAGTGGAGTCCGGGCTGGTTGAGGTTTCTTCAGGGACCCTCTCCCATCTGGCTGTCTCATTCCCCCCTCAAAAGAAGTACATCTAATTACCATTAGATTAAGGATAAGGACGAAGACTAATCATAACTGCTTCCTGCTGAGAGGGGGCACTGTTTGGGGGAAATGGCAGTCAGAGCTCCCTCAGAGGCCTATTTAAGGGTTCCCAGCGGAAGGGGTCATTGTCAGAGGTTCTAGTTGCATGACTGTGTGGAGTTTGATGGACCAGAGAACAGACAAAACGGGTTATTAGAAAACATGTACCAAAATGAAACAAGGAGGAGGTAAGGACAGCTCAACAATTTTGAGGCCTTTTACCAGTTTCCACAGGGAGAGGGAGGCTAAAAGCCTGACTGGCAAAATATTTCACCTTTTTGCCAGCATGTTGGGCTTTTGGATTCCCTTCCCCTGAGCCCAGTCTGAAGCCAACCAGTTTAAGGTTTGGGAAATTAATTCTTTCCAGTTTGGAAGATGCATCCGAGGGAAGTGTCCCGTAGTATGGAGACACAAGTACCTATCAGTGAAGAGAGGTCAGAGAAGGAGAGAAGAAGAAAGAGGATATTTTTGCAAAGCTGTTCCAGGAGTTCAGGATGCATTAAAAAGGGTACAGACTAGAGATGAATGGCTACCCATCTAGAAAGAGGGGAGCAGGCATCTCTGGTTCCCTTCTCTTCCTAGCAGATATGTTCCCTTCTCTTCCTAGCAGATACTCGGTGTAAGTGAGGAAGAAAGGGAAGAGTGTCCTCTTTCCCCCCTTCCATCCTTGCATCCCCGAGTCCTGGTGATCTTGGTACATCCTGCCATGAGTGCCAAAGCATCTTTCACCCATGAAGCAGAGAGGCCTAGAGAACAGAAATTATCTACTCTTACCTATGTCTCTCTCCCACCTACTGTCAGTAGCCTTGGAGTTCCCTAGACCTCATTTATGCCATGGATATTAACATGGCCTTTATCCATGAAACAGGAAGCTTGGGGTTGGCTTAATTGGCAGGAATCAGCCATGCTTACCTGCGCTGTGCCTTTTAAACTCTGTTGTCATCTGCCTCTGGATCCCTTAGATCCAGTTTTTTTTCCTAGGGCTTTGACCCAAAGCTTGGAATTGAGTCTGGGACAGACAAAAATGTGTCTCCTGGGGGATTGCATGGACTCCTTATCATAAGCCAAATGCTAAGGTGAAACTGTGGAACTGAGTCCTCCTCCAACAAGGGAGGATGTTTCATGATGCATTCAGATAACTGGTCACTATAGTTATGCTTGCTAAGATTTGGGTGCTTTGGCTAGCTCCCTTGGTTTTACTTTCCCAAAAGGAAACCTCTGAGGCGTCGGCATCCTGTTTATTCCAATCGCCTGGCAGGATTTTCAGGATAATTGCTCAGAGCTAGAATATTGATCCAGATTTCTACATCACCCATTCCTCTTGTTCTTTCTTAGCTTCAGCAAGGGATTGCTGGGTGATTTACAGGATCAAGCAGGGTTAGGCTAAAATAGGTGAAAACTTAAAAACAACTAATGAGTTTAGAATTTAATGACAAATGTACAAGTTTTGAAATATAATTTTTCTCTCTCCAGTCCTCATTTTTGTTAAAAAAAAATCATCATGGAACTAAATGGTTTGCAAAATAGACTTTTGTCTTAAACTTGCCTGATTATTTGCATACAGTGCAGCAAGAATAATTATTTCTTCATAGGCCTTTCGGATTGGCTGTGATGGATGTCTGTTCCATAAGGAAGGCCTTTTAAAGCTATGCCCAGCCATGGGTTTATCCTCAAATACCTGTGAGTTGGATGATTCTTTCCTCTTAAGATCCCAAGGTAAACTTGGAGCTCCTAGGCCTGTTAGAAAGTGACATTCTTTACTGACCACAGGTCAGGAACCCTGTACAGGGACTGTGTAGATGAGGGCATGAGCCCAGTCTCTCATGGGAATTTTATCAGCTCTGTAAGTAGAGCTTGACTCCTTAAAGTCAAGGGCAGCATACCCTTCCAGTCAAAGTCTTGGTAAAATAACTACTTTCTACAATTGTGTCCTGTTGCAAAAGAAAAATAGATTTTTATTGCACTAATGAAAACAACTATATTGCCATAAGAATACTCACAGGTAGGGTCCAAATCCTAGAGGAACCAGGCAGAGAGAAACAAACGTGCTTCAAATCTTGATTATGAGAGCATATACTTTACTTAATTATTTAAGGCCATAAATACTTAAAAATAAGTTTCCTTGACTCTGAAAAACAAAGCATGGATTAGCAATATTCCAAACAGTAGTCAAAAAGTTTGATTCAGGTTGCTGAGTTCAGTTCATTTAGTTAACTGTTGTTTTGCTTACTATTTGTGAACATTTCAGCTCTTCATGAGTCCTGTACATTTTCCTTTATTCCAATGTTATCATCTCTGAAGTTATCAAAAGCCTGCATTTGAGAGAACTTGTTAAAATTCTATAGCTCATTATAAACCATCTTTGAAAATGATTAAAACAAGACAACAACTATCTGTGAATAGCAAAATGTTCAGGGCAAGTACAGTTAGAAACACAATTGACAAACAAGTTTGGTTATCTCTGTGGTTTATAATAACTTAGCATTAACAACCTTAATTATGATTGACAGCTTATACTTAGACATTAGAACTTTAGAAATCTCATGCAATTTTGGAACATATATAAGCATTATTTACTAAGATACAACCTAAAGAAGACTGAACATCATTTTGGCAAGCCCATGTACCTGAACATGGCAAATAATCCTGTTTACCTCTCTTTTTTGGACACTTCAGAGGCCCTCTGAAGTATTCAAAAAGCCAGGTGCCAGGGAAGACAATTTTGAAACTGAAGTTTGATTTTGGGAAGGCTGTTAAATGTTCGAGGTTTTAAACACTTGATATTATAAAATAGAATTCCAGATTACCGTAAGTTATTTATTTTGCCAAAATGATTACTCAGAAATTTAAGAAGCAAAAACCTTTTATAACCTTTTACAAATTTTGCCAAAGAGCAGATTAGTGCCTTAGGAAAAGCTTGTTATGCTTTTATTTCAATGCTCAATTTACAGAAAAAAAAACATATAATACCCTTTTTTGAATTTGGTCAATATGTTCACACAAAGAACCTCTTCTGCAAGATTAATTTCCGCAATGCTTCCTCCACTTGTTTGAACTTTCAGCTTTTCCTAATTTAAATTAAAACAATCCTTTAATCCTAGGCCAAAGTATTCCCATGCCTTCTTATAACCTTTTACAAACACACACACACACATTTTACTGTTTTTACATACCTTGATTGTAAATCTATTTCCAGTAGTCTCAATTACATGTTATAATGGTAACTCCTCGCAATTTTTAACTTTAAGGTAAAACTTGGTAAGTTGCTTTAATTGTGTGATAACTGAGGCCAAACTTTTCCTTCTTAGTTAAGGGTGTGGTTAGTTCCATATGTCCTCAGGTCTAATCAGTTTTGAAGCAGGCAAGACAGACTGTCTTCAAAACCCAAATTCAGTTTGTAAGCTCAAAACACTAGCAAACCTTGCATCTCACCTGCATTTTACCAAGAGTCTTTAGGGCTCTTTTTATTTCTCAAAGATTGAAATCACGAAAACTGAAAGGTACCACAACTTTTATCTTCCCTTTAAAAAATATTAGATCTAAGCGATTGTCTTTCTTTGGGCCAAATTAATTAGAATTCTTTTTACAGACATCACACATAGTGCACCCACAGACAGGCAGAAGAGAACTCCTCCCTTGTTTTCTGTAACCGAGATGTACAGTAAAGGGCAACTAAGTCACAGGCTCTGTTCTTGAAGCATTAACAAATTCATTCAATCAGTAAATTATATATACATGGAAAATTTCATATATTAAGTAAAATATCACATAGACATTGTATTAAATGGTTGTTAAACCATTAAATGAGTGTTCATAGTAGGAAGCCAGATATATGTCTATAGGTAGATTAAAATAGTGAAGAAAGTGAATATTTATCTTAATCATGGATCGTAATCAGCAATATCTGCATAATTTAACATAAAGTGTAAAACATACTCTGAGATAAGCTCAGGGGAACTCTCAGGATCAAGTTACAAGAGATAGAAACAAGAAAGCATTAACAGCCAGGCACCTGGCTCACGCCTGTAATCCCAGCACTTTGGGAGGCCGAGGTGGGCAGATCACTTGAGGTCAGGACTTTGAGATCAGCCTGGCCAACATGGCGAAAACCCATCTCTACTAAAAATACAAAAATTAGCCGGGCATGGTAGCATGTGCCTGTATCCCAGCTACTCGGGAGGCTGAGGCACGAGAATTGCCTGAACCCAGGAGGCGGAGGTTGCAGTGAGCTGAGATCGCGCCACTGCACTCCAGCCTGGGTGACAGAGCGAGACTCTGTCTCAAAATAAATAAATAGAAAAAAGCACTATTTATGTTCAATATATCGTTGTATTATACAAGACCTAAGAGAGAAGTTTGCAAAGGTAACTTAGACATGACTGAAATATTTTTATAGAGAAGGGGTTTTTTGAAAGCTGTAATTTAGAAAGATTAATTCAGGAAGTTGAACGGTTGTACTATGGAAGAAACTGAAATCGAAATTGTACCCAAAGCCGCTTTCATATAAAATGCATTCTTCCATTTTTGGAAACTTTATACTTTAAGTAATATATTCTTTCTTCTATTTAGTAGTTTATGTTCACTATAAAAAACTTGGAAGACGTGCACACATACGCAAAAGAGCTAAAAAAACATAAATTCTTCCGTGGTTTTATCACCTATTTTGGTATGTATATTTTTCTGCTTTTTAAATCAATATCATAGAGAGAGAAAGAGAGAGATCTCAAGCTCAAATGCCTAAACATTCCAAGCATGGAACCTCAAAGAATGTCTAAGACTAATTATGGCAAATTGTGAAGTTAAAGTGCCACTTAAAGAGAAAAGCTGCTGCTAATACCTATGACACTGTTGCCACATAATAATGGTCAAGTGTTCATAGATCTTTCAATTTTTAATAGAAACAGGGAATTAAATTTTCATGCCTAAATATGCTGGCAACAAATTCCATTTAAAATAAAAACCAAAATGTGTGCAAATACCATAAGGGCCCAATAAACAAAATAACCTCTGTGTTGTGTGCTATATTTACCTCAGGGTCAGATTACCAACAATAAAGCAGAGATTAGTCTTGAACTCTGGACTCAGATCTATTAAAGTTGAAATTTCAGCCTTGTGATACATTATACAAATATGATAATATTCGATCACCTTTTTATGCCACGATTTTCTCATCTGTAATACAAGGATAAAATCTTTGCCTCATAGAGCCATAAGGGTTAAATGAATTCATAAATGTGAAGAGCTAACACATCACTAGAGATATATGAAGTGGTCAGTCAGTGATAGTGATATTTTATATAAGTGGTGCCATAAATGTTTAATGTTTCCTATCTTAATCTTTTTAATGATGTTTTCTGAACACATGTTTGCTAATGACTACATGGCATTTCGTCATATATATGTGGACAAATATTTATAATTAGCCAATTCCTTATTATTGGGCTTTTGAAAATTTTTCTAACTAATATTTATTATTTTATTATAAGTAGTACACATATATGTTTACTTTCTTCCTAAGAGTAAATTCCTAGAGATGGAATTATTTGTAGAATTCTATATTTTTTACATTTTTGGTATGTTTTGCCAATTTATCCTCTTCATAAATTAAAAAAAATTATATTTTCATCAACTATGAGTGCTTATTTCTCTGCTTATGTTGGATACTTTTTAATACATTTTGAATTTTTTAAATATTTACTTGATCCTTTGAACACCACAGTATAAATAATGCTTTCTTCATTTGATTGTTGAGGATTTTGTGACACATTAATTTTCGCAAGTTCACACAGTCAAGGAGGGAAGTGGGACAAGAATGTAGGTCGTACAAAGCCCAATTTTTTTGTGAAATGTTTTATATGACACATAGTTTTCCACTGAACAATGCAGGGCTTAAGAGTGCCACCTCAGCTCCACCCCCATGCAGTTGAAAATCTGTGTATAATTTTGACTACCCAAAATCTTTACTAGTAGCTTACTGTTGATTGGAAGACATACTGATAATTTAAACAATCAGTTAACAAATATTTTGTATGTTGTATGTATTATGTACTTTTTTCATACTTCATTTTATTAATTTTATTAAGAAAATTATAAGGAAAATACATTCACAATTAACTAAGTTGAGTTGTATCATCACAAAGGTGTTAATCCTTGCCCTCTTCACATTAAGTAGGCTGAGGAGGAGGAGGAGGAGGAGGTTGGGCTTGTTCTCTCAGGGATCACACAAGCACAATGGGTGGAGGAGGTGGAAGGGGAGGCAGAAGAGGCAGGCACTCTTGGTATCATGTTTATTAAAAAAAAAAAAAATCCCCGTATAAGTAGGTCTGCACAATTTCAACCTGTGCTATTCAAGGGTCAACTGTATTTCTTTGTTTTTAATAGAAAAAAATTACCTCTGAAAATGTAGTTAATAGTAATTTAATATTATAACACTTCAATTGCATGCCAACACTTTTTATTTGCTAAAGATACACCAATATTTTGAGATGAGACCAAAATTTTGAAAAGATATTTCAACTTCATAGAAGTGACAGCAACCAGGATTAAGACCATTCCAAAATGTTTGCACTATACTAAGCTTCAAAGATGAATGTTAGGCCGGGCATGGTGGTTCACGCCTGTAATCCCAGCACTTTGGGAGGCCGAGGCAGGGGGATCACAAGGTCAGGAGATGGAGACCATCCTGGCTAACAAGGTGAAACCCCATCTCTACTAAAAATACAAAAAATTAGCCACGTGTGGTGGCGGGCACCTGTAGTCCCAGCCACTCGGGAGGCTGAGGCAGGAGAATGGCGTGAACCCAGGAGGCGGAGCTTGCAGTGAGCCGAGATTGCACCACTGCACTCCAGCCTGGGTGACACAGCGAGACTCCATCTCAAAAAAAAAAAAGATCTAATACAAAAATACAGGAGATCGAGATCATCCTGGCCAACATGTTGAAAACCCTGTCTCTACTAAAACACAAAAAAATTAGCCAGGCATGATGGTGCACACCTGTAGTCCCAGCTACTCGGGAGGCTGAGGCAGGGGAATCGCTTGAACCCAGGAGGCAGAGATTGCAGTGAGCCGAGATGCACCACTGCACTCCAGCCTGGCAACAGAGTGAGACTCCGTCTTAAAAAAAAAAAACAAACACACATTTAAAAATTCCTTATGCTAGCAGAAACTGTATTATAATAAACAGGAATTTTCTGAAATGAAAGATCAGAAATTGCAGAAATAAAAGGAATCATAGACAGTGTCAACCTTCATAATGTAATCATCATAACAGTGAGAAAATGAGAGCAGAGCTGGGGAACTCTGACTACCTGTCTCCTAGACAACTGAGGTTGATTTTTTGCATTGACGATAAAGTATTAAGATGGCTTTTTGCTAAACCAAGTCGTAGGAGTTTTGTGTTGTTTGGTTTGGGTTTGGTTTTGGTTTTGGTTTAGAGGTAGGGTGTAGCTCTGTTGCCCAGGAAAGGGTGCAGGGGCGATCACTGCCACCTTGAAT
Organism: Homo sapiens; assembly: GCF_000001405.40. Taxonomy (NCBI): domain Eukaryota; kingdom Metazoa; phylum Chordata; class Mammalia; order Primates; family Hominidae; genus Homo; species Homo sapiens. The sequence goes on from NC_000007.14 coordinate 9,671,473, forward strand.
TCCTTGTCTGAAGTGATCCTCTTGCCCTAGCTTCCTAAGTAACCGGTGCTACGAGCATGCACCACCATGACCAGCTATCTTTTTTTAAATTATTTTTTGTAGTGATGACATCTCAGTATACTTCTTAGGTTGATCTCAAACTCCTGGCTGCAAAGGATTCTCCCACCTCAGCCTCCCAAAGTACTGGGCTTATAGGCATGAGGCACTGCTACCAGCTCAAGTTGTAGTTTTTGGTAGGCACTCCGTAGTAGCTAAGGACACATCATTCACCTAATGATGAACACACTAATTCATACTTTTAATTTCTAAATTTCCAAGTCAGTGCCTTTGGCTTCTGACTCTTTTGGTTTATTTTATTTTCACCACTACACTCTTTATTGAAAGCAATGGACAAAAAACTAGAACTATAAAGAAACTTATGTCTTTTTATTACTATCCTAGTTGGATAAACGTATGCAAGATGTTTTCCCACAGTTATTGAAACACTAACTTCTTTATAAAAGCAGTGCGATAGAATTGACTTAAATTGCTCAATTGTATCATTACTATAATCGTTTTGAGTGTGAGTTAACATAAATAGATGTATGACTTTTTCTGCTGTCTAGGGAAAATCTCAATGGAGACACTGACAAATAAGCTTCTTCTTTATGCATGTAGCCTATTTTACTCCATAGTCATGAAAAGATACATGACAGTGTCTCTAATAGTTTCCTGTTCTATTTTGAATTATCTTTCAATACAGGAATTCCTTGTGTTATAAGCACACTTTGAGTGGATTTAAATTTGAAGCCAACTAACTCGAAGCTCAATTACATGTCAGATTTGTCTCAAGCCTTTTATTTCTGTTTGTGTCCGAAAAGACTGATTCCATGGTCATAGGTTTGAGGTTATTTGTTCTTAAGAACAATATCTGGGTTATCTGTCATTGGGACAGGCAGCCAATGTTGGCGGTGCAGAAATATTCTGGGCCCCACTGCAGGGTTACAGTTCATAGACCCGGTCTCTCTAGAAGATATATGAGTCCTCCCACCATTGTTCAGTGTTCAGTCCAGGAGTTTAACAGAAGAAATCAATGAGGTGCAACTGTGCAAAATAGGGGTCAAATATGTACAGCTGTGGCTCCACATGTATCAGATAGCTCTGTTTGATTTTTCTCTAGACAGTATTCATTATCAAAATGGGCTTCAGAAGCTTTTTATTAAAAACAAATTGATGTTAATTAATTCAGATTACAGTGGCCATTAGTCAGCTATCTCATTGCAGAAAACTGAATCAAATCAAGACTGTTCCCTGCAATCTCTGAGAGTTTCCTATCTTTAAATCTAATTGTAAATTGGAATTCTTATGTATTAAGTTAAAGTAGGCTTCTTTACTCTGGCTGTCTCTTGACTATCAGCTGCCTTGTTCCTTTGCTGCTTAACTTTATTTTAGGAGTCCGTATTATGTTTCTACTTATTTACTGATAATATTTAATAATTTATATTTTCCTATCTATCATGGTTTTTTGGATGCAATTAAATTATATGTATTTTCACTTAAATATTTGGAATTTTAAATCTAAAGACATTTTTAAAGGAATAGTTTTTGTTTCCTGTTTTATAAGAGAAATATATGAATTCTAACAAATTACTTCTCTGGGGTTTTAACTATTCACACTCTATAATTCTTTTCCTGTATATTATTTTTCTTTCATGCCTTATCTCTTCCCAACAAACACGCACATACATAAACAAAAAGAAGAAAGAAGCCTGTCAAAAATCCTTTATTTTTTTCTCTTTTCCTATAATTAGTATGAATAAGAATCAGTTCGATTGCCTTTTTTCTCTTTGTCTTGGTCGTTTGCCTCTCTGAGTGACCAACAAATCATGTATAGGCAGATATGAAATTTGTGTGCTTCTTTTTCCTCTCTTTTAATTTGGACGGATGAACAGTAGAAAGCCAGAAATAGGAGGCTGAATCTCTAGAAATAGTATGTGAGAGAACAAGAAAGGTATGAGTGAATGTGTGTGTATGCAAGGAGGGTGGGGGAGCAGAGGAGAAGTTTAAATGATTTGCAACAGGACAAGGGATTGTGGAAAGATGAGACTATTGGGGTACAAGTTGTAATGAGGAGGAAATTGGAGCTGATGTAAAAATTGCGGCCAATACTGCTCTGAGATCGGCAACAAACACAGACCCCTCTCTTCAGGTGGTCCTTACCCTCTGAAGTGTCACCTTCAAAACTTTCTACATCCTGCTTCAGTGTCTCTGAAAATCTAGGCTGGTTGTACTACTTTGCTGGGGCACCCCAAGCCCACACTGGGACTTGCAATGGCCTTGCTCTCTGTTTCTATATTATGGGGTTTCTCCGTCCCCACCCCCATCAAAACTGAGGTCATCTAGAAGACCTGAGGGGCCCCAGGATTTGCAAATATGAGAGCATTCCAGGGTTCTCTGTCCAGGTCCTTGCGTCCTGGTTCTAGAAGGGCAGGCTGGCACGTGAATTATTCCCTTTAGTTACTTAGGCATTTCTCTAATGGGACCATATGAAATCAGGCTGGCACGTTGGTGGTGGCATATCAATTTGAGGTGATAATCACTCCTGTGTTCCCCCGACCACTCACCAAATACTGGCACCTATCCGTCAGCAGAGAAATCACAGGGTAAAATAAATCTTGATCAAATCTTCCACAGGTTGTCACTTCTATTTCTTCATTGTTCTATAATGCCAATGAACCTTTTTAAGCAATGTCTTTGCTTGCCTGTAAGTGATGTGGTGACATTGTGCTCTCCTGGGTCAGTCTTAAGCCATGACAGAAAGGGGAAGTCTGTTTCTTGTGTGAATGGGACCACTAATCTCACTCCACCCACAGATCCTGTGATAGACGGAGTGTTTGTCTCCCAAAAAAGCCGTACGTTGAAATCAAATCCTCAATGTCATAGAATTTGGATGCGGAGTCTTTGGGAAATAAATAGGCCATGGGCATGGAGGCCTGATGAATGCCCTTTTAATTAGTGCCTTATAAAAACAGGTCAGAGATCAGGCTCTCTTTGCTTTTTGCCACATGAGGACACATCAAGAACACAGCCCTCTAAACCAGCAAAAGGGCACTCACCAATTACACAACCATACTGGCACCCTGATATTAGACTTCCAGCCTCGAGAACTATGAGAAATAAATGTTTTTATTTTAAACTACCCAGTCTATGAAAAGTTGTTTTAGCAAACCCAAACTGACTAAGACAGGCCTTACCTATACCCCCTTCCAGCTGGTGGTAGTATATATAAAAATATCTCACATATTAAGAATATGGTGATCACAGCCTCAAAAATTCAAGGAAAGATATAGTTGGAAGATGGATTATTCTATTTTTATGCTATCAAATTTTATGTACTCAAATTAACCAGATAATTTCCTGAATACTCTAGGTCAGACTTGTATTTTTGGTCATCGTCAAAACAGTACAGTAACATGTTTTGAGAGAGTCATTGGAAGCCAGTTCTTTGGGCAGCATGATGGATGGTGCAGTCATGAGTAATGATGTAACCAGCACTAAATAAATGGTATTAGGGAACTGTGGTAGCAAGAAGATCTATATTGTTTCAATACAAACAGGTTGTGGAGAGCCTGACATTGTGAGTAATAATAGTGTTGCTACCTTTTTCAAAATGGGAGATGTGAAGTTAACTAGTTATGACATATTTGAAAGAAGAGGACATGAAAAAGTGGCTCCTGGACCTCAACATAGAGAAATTGTACCTGGACACTACAAAGAATTATCACATGAACTGACTGAATAAACAAATACCTATACTTCTCCTCTACCATTATTTTAAGTCTTCACCAGTAAGTCACTAAGCCTCAAATAGGCCCACATGTTTTTAATACATATTTAATCAAAGTGTTGATATACATAGAAACCCTGCAAGAAATATTTTTCCAGGATTCTGCATGTACTAGGGGCAAGTCCACTTCACCAATTGGATCTGGTGATCCATTTGGATACCTAGAGATGTGTGCAACATGATCATACCTTGAAAATGGCAAAAGCACCTTACATTTACAATATGGATGACAATTATAATTTTCTTAAAGAAAGAGGAAAGCGCATTATTTTCCCAATTATGAAGAGAGGTCTGTAAGAGAGACAGGAAATAACCAAAAAGGTAACTAAAAACAAATAAATAAATCATGGCAAAGATTTTTCTGAATATTTCTCTCCTATTTTAAGCATTCAAACAAATGTAGTTGAGAGCTAGCTATAATTCTGAAGAGTTTGAATATATTTGCTTCTTGTAGACTGAGTTCACATGTTTGAACTGATGGAATTTAATGAATTCATTCAACCTTATTTGAAGAACCACATACGTACCAGGTATACAAATATAAAAATTATGTATTTTTTGTCTTTGAGCTACTAACAGTTTAGTAGAAGAGGAAAACATGTAAACAAATGATTACACAATATGTTTTGAGGACAAACTGAAGAAAGAAACTAAACTCTATGGGAAAATAGAAAGAAGCTTTTTATGTGGTAATTACCGAGCAGTCTTGCAAGATTAATAGGCGTTTCCAGGGACATCAGTGAAATAAATCTAATACAGGAAAATGGATATGTATGCAAATATTAACATTGACTCCAACTTCCTGTTTCCCTTACTCTGTGGCTTAGATTCCTGAGTTTGAAAATATTTCTCATAAACTTTAATTTACCTCTGCAGTTTGTCAGAGTTAGAGGAGTATTAATTGGTGTTATTTTAAGGGGTATTTGTCAATTTCCAGACTTGCAAAATATTACACACAATGTATATATCAGCCTGGCCCTTGATGTTAATGAATTAATTCTGAATCGCAGTTCCACATTCTATAGAATTCAGTCTCTCTCTCGAGTGAACAGGAATTGCCAGAGGTTTATCTCTTAGGTTCTTTCACCTGGCTCCTGCTTCCATGCATGCTGTATCACTTCTGTCATACTGATGAAGGTATGAGACTGAGCCTTTTTACCACTTCCTTAAGAAACTACTTTTCTTATGTCTTGACATGCTCAAATCTTCTTTGACATATTCACGCTTTTCATGTCCCACCCAATTATGTGGAATTACCTAGACAGTTTCCTAAGCAAGACAGCATCCTCTTTACTGATGCCTTGGTTTGTTTTTTAAGGGTGATTCCCAAATATGGCTGCATATTAAAATCACCCAGATGAGAATTACAAGACAATACACAGACCCCAGAATACCATCTGTTGATATTGTGATTTAATTGGCCACAGGTGAGTACAAGGTACTGCGCTTTTAAAAGCCTCGCAGGTGATTCTTATGTGCAGCCAACTATTTTATAGATTACCACAATTTGTATAAGTTTGAAAAACATCTTGCTCAATTTTTTTTAGGTTTGAGCTTTATATAAATTAGACCAAAAGTATGTGTTTTCCTGTAATTTTATCTCAACATTGTATCTATTGCTTATTCACACTCTCACTGTTGCATAATATATAATAGTATATATACATATATACACATACATATGTATATATATATGTATATATATAGTGCAATAATATATTTAATGGATTTGAAGATTAATGCATATATTGCTCTTAACAATGCTTCCTGAATATTTTAAAATAGCTTCTGGTGCAAATTTTCAAGTGTTTCTTATAAGGTATATATAATGTATTGAAATTTAGCAAGTTATCCGAAATTATTTTCCTAAGTGGTTGTACCAGTGTACATGTCCAACAGCAGCGTATGAAGTCATTGTACCAGTGTATGCTCTCAACAGCAGCCCATGAAAGTTATCCTTTTCAAGGATGAGTTCACATGCTCATCTGCAGGGGAAGTCCCTATCATAGTTATCTTGGCTAGTGCCTGATAGCTACCCTTCAGGGCCAGCGGGAGCCCAGTTAGAAGGCCAGAAGTAGCCTGTGTAGCCATTCATCTTTTTTGCTGACTGACAGTGGGCAGCACTTACTATCAGTGGTCAGAGTCTCCAGGATTTCTATTTGCTCATTTCTGGCTATCTGCCTATTCTAACAAAATGAAATCATGAAGATAGAACCCTCATAGTGGGATTAATGCCCTCATAAGGAGAGACACCAGAGAGCTCTTTCTCTTTCCATATAGCCACAAAGAAGAGGTCATGTAAGTATACAGAGAGATGGTGGCAATCTATAAGCCAAAAGAAGAGGCTTAAGAATAAAAACCTACTTTGTTGACATCTTAATTCTGAACTTCACAGTTTCCAGAATGGTGAGAAAATAAAATTCAATTGTTTAAGCTACACAGTATGTTAGTTTTTTATGGCCGCCTAAGTTGACCTATATATCCACTTACAAACACACATCACCCACATACAATACTACATTTATGTATATTATATTCTGTCTAGCACTTTTAGTTAGAAAGTGGAGGCTAAGCTTTTCTCTAAACATCTTTCTCAAAATTGTTGAAAATGAATATTCTTATATTTTCAGTGTCACATAATTACTAAGATAGTTCTTTTAATATATTTGTTATAAATTGTGATCAAAATTGTGATGAAAATAAATGAGATAGTTGCTTTACTATCAAAAATCCTGTTGATTAATTCCAATTCAAGATAGTTGTAGGTGTCTGAAAGCCAAAGTTTGTGATTAAAAACTTGATGAACAGAATGTATTTGATTGGACAGCAGAGTAAAAGGAACTGAAAATAGGGAAAATGGGCAGTGGAAGTTTAAGGCAATTTGCTATAATTATTAAAACATAGGCCTCTGTTAAGTGGAGGATCAGGAGAAAATTTTTGCAGATGACTTTCTTGGGAAAAAGATGCCTACGAATCCAGAAAAAAACAATCAGAATTTCAGAGGTGAATGCTATTTCCAGACACAAATTAATAGTGAATCAAATGAAGTGTAATATCCACTTCCCTCTCTTGCACAGGTCCTCTAGAAGATCCTGAATCTATTTTTTATTAACAGTCTTGTTTCCTCTTTATAAAGAGTATCCCTTAAGTAATTTGGATATTTGTATCTGCCCAAATATCATGTTGAATTCCAATATCCAATGCTGGATGTGGGGCCTGATATGTGTTTGGATCATGGGGACAGATCCCTTATGAACCATGTAGCCATCCCCTTGGTGATAAGTGAGCTCTCACTCTGAGTTCACACAAGATCTAGTCATTTAAAAGTGTGTGGCACATCCCTTCCCCCAACTCTTTCTCACTTGCTTCTGCTTTTGACAAGTGATGTGCCTGTTCCACCTTCACCTTCCACCATGATTGAAAGCTTCCTGTGTCTTCACCAGAATCCCAGCATATGCCAGCATTATGCTTCCCATTTATACATTCTAGTAGCCACATTTTTAAAAGTAAAAGGAAACAGATGAAATTACTTGTAATAATATATTTTATTTAATCCAATATGTCAAAATTATCATTTTAATATGTAATCAGTATAATAAATTATTAATTAGATGTTGTACATTTTCTGTATACTTATAGAACATCTCAAATTTGGCAAGTTACTTTTTGATGTACTCAGTAGCCACATGTGGCAAGGCACTATGAATTGTATGTGCAACTATAGGAAGGAACAAATAAATCACTTAGGTGTTGGGACTTTCACGTACTCTGTCTAAACTTCCCTGGATTTAAATACCACTGGTAGAAAAGAGGTATTTTGATGGATAGACTCCTATCTAAGAAAGATATTTGAAGAAAGAACAAAGAAAAAAATGACCCAAGTTTTCTTTTCTGGGTTATCAAGGTTAAAGAACCATGGCCGTATCAGTCAGAGGGGCATGACTTTGAAGAGGTCATTGCTCAGAGAAAACGACCTAGGAGTCAGAGACATTACTTACAACAGGAAACTAAGAATTCCCCATACTAGATAGGACCAACATTAGTCCATTTAAAATATAATTACTTTTCTGTTCCTGTGGTTGTTAGCTAAGGATAATGGCCTCCAGCTCCTTCCATGTCCCCACAAAGGACAGGATCTCATTCTTTTTTATGACTGCATAGTATTCCATGGTATATATATACCACATTTTCTTTATCCACAATCAAATACTACATATTCTCACTTATAAGTGGGAACTAAATGATGAGAACGAATGGACACATACAATGGAACAACACACACTGGAGCCTTTCAGAGGGTGGAGGGTGGAGGGAGAGGATCAGAAAAAAATAACTAATGGGCACTAGGCTTAATACCTGGGTGATGAAATAATCTGTACAACAAACCCTTATGACAGAAGTTTACCTATGTAACAAACCTATACTTGTAATTCTGAATTTAAAATAAAAGTTAAAAATAATAACACACACACAAACTCTTTGATGATGGCTTCTGAAATATTTTACCTAAAATGACTACCTGATAGTTAGGTCTTACAATCCCTTTGTAATTTATCTTGGGTAACTATCTTAATCCATTTTGTATTTCTGTAACAAAACTTCTGATACTGGGTAATTTATAAAGAAAATAAGTTTATATGGCTCATAATTCTGGAGACTGAGAGGTTCAAGAATCATGGTGCTGGCACCTCATTGACCTCTGGTAAGGGCCACATGCTGTTTCACAACATGACAAAGCATAAAGGTGAGTGAGCATGTACAAAGAGGCACACATGAGGGCTACAAACCCACTCTCACAGGAAATGAACCGTATCTGTGAGAGGTAGAACCCGTGTGCTCATTCTTGAGAGACAGCAGTAATCTATTCATGAGAGACCCACCCCCATAACCCAAACACCCCCTACTAGGCTCCGCCTCTCCACAGTGCCTCATTGAGGACCAACCTGCCACATTAGTTTCAGTGAAGACAAACCATGGACCAATCATAGCAGTTACAGAACTATCCCTCCATTAGTTAATTTAAAAAATAGCTTTCATAGTAAGGAACAGCAGGAAAAAAAATGGAAGGAAAATAGAGAAAGAATATCTACTGTTAAGCCAGCACAATGGTTTTCTTATTTCCTCACAAAGAGATGATTTAGATTATCTAAATTGAGAAACCTTATTTTTTGTTCATTTATTAATTTGCTTTTATTTTTAAATAGGCTCAATCTTTTTGAACTGTATGTGTGTTTTCTCTATAAGACTCCCACCATGAGATGCAAAATTCATGTGCCCAACCATTTAAGTGATTTTTTAATAATATAGGAAGAATAATTCCTGAATTAGGATATTCTTAGCACATTGTTCCACTCTATACATTACAAATGTAAAGCAGGCAACAGTACTGTCTCTCCACAGGGAGAATTTATGACATAGTGCTATTATAAACCCAAAGATTTTATAGTGTTTCATTTTATGGTCTACTCTGCCTAAAATGACCTAAGGTATAATTTTCCTCCCACTGATTGATGCCATCTACAAAGTGCCATTGCTATTGAAGGGTTGGGCTGAACCCATAAGAAAATAATTCTCACCTTTATAGCTTTTGCTTCTAAGCCCAGGTGGTAATGAAAGGGTGGTACATCAGTAAAAGGTTATTCATTAAGTGCCCTTAAGCATGTTTGTAAGTACAGGGAATCAGAAAGACTCTAAGAACAGTTCTGACCACAACTTTTGGTCATTTGAAGCAATTACCTGAGGCGCTCTCCGTGAATGCTTACAGAGCAACTGAATTGTCTAAGAAAAAAAGGAAAAAACAGTGGATTCCTAAATAAGTTTTACAGCTCATGTGGTCTCTGTAGCCATTAAGCACATCATCTCACATGAGACCAAGCACCTGCTGATCACCTCAAAATATATTTCATCTGTAGCTGGGTATGTGTAATCTCTCAATGTCCTGTTCAAGGTAAAATACACTTCCTTTCAAAAGGTCCTTGGTAATACACATTAAAAAGAGCTCTTGGAATAATGCGCATGAATTTGGAAGAATTGACATATTTATTGTGAACAAAATATATCACTGGTGAACGTAGTCAGTGTATTTCAACTCAATCAGTGTGTTTGAATTTCAATTCAATCAGTGTAACAATAGGTCAAGTTTTAGAAATCTTCAGTTAGGCCAGACAATCATTATTAGATGACTCAGCACTGTAGTTCTCATGTACTAACCACATACAAGCATAGTATTAATTAGAAATCAGTCAGTCTCAAGTATAAACCCCAACACTTCACTCTTCTGTCTTTAGTTAGTGTTTCCCATTGGTTGTGCTTGTTTTAATGTTGGAGCTATTTGTCCCTGGTTAGATAGACGGATGGATAGATAGATATAGATGTAGATACGGGTATAGATATCTCACTTATTTTATTCTAGAGTTGTGTTGATGCTTACATTTAAATAGTACTATTAGCCTTTTATCTTCTCCAGGATGAGGACTGTGCCTGCTTCTTATATTCTCTATAGATGCCTTAGGAAAAGATATGTTCACACCATGGGCAAAATTAATATTGAGAAGCAGTTGCCTTAGGTCACATATAAGTAAAAGACATACCTATGAACTTTAACAAATGTAAGTTTTACATAAACTTATTACTTGATTTGGTTACACAAGTAGTTATGGAAAACACAGGAAGTGTACTAAGTGAACACTCAATTTTTTTCATAGGCCATACATGCTTAAAGGTATGAATCGGTGATATGGACAGGAGACAGGGAAATTTTGGGTAGAAGAGGGTGGTTCCCTGGCAAAGGCCCCGCCCTCAAGCCTGAAGACCTGCTGCCCTAAATGAGGACAGGCAGTTCTGTTTTTGCACCCAAAAAGTCGTCCCTGTCGCACATTCTGCAAAAGGAATCAGGGAACTCTCCCATTTCATTGGTACTTGCAATCAGCTCTAATTGAAACATATTTTTACCCTTTGGGAAAGAGGTGATTAGACATTTATTTTTCACTTTATTTCTTAGTTATTGAAAAATAGAGGTCAGAGTGAAAAAGCTATTACTTCAGGTGTTCAGGTGCCACCAGGCACTTGTCTGTTGGGATGGACACCAATTGTGAAGAATGTAAGAGAATTCCCTCTTAAAGGAAGAGCAGAGAGGAAATAAAAGCCTCTTTGGATAGACTACACTCTGATGCATTGATATGGTTTGGCTGTGTTCCCACCAAAATCTCATCTTGAATTGTAGCTCCCAAAATCCCCACGTGTTGTGGGAGGGACTCGGTGGAAGACAATTGAATCATGGGGGCAATTTCCCCATTACTGTTCTCGTAGTAGTGAATAAGTCTCACAAGAGCTGATGGTTTTATTAGGGGAAACCCCTTTCTTTTCTGTCTTCCCAGCCATCATGTAAGATTTGTCTTTTGCCTTCCACCGTGATTGTGAGGCCTTCCAAACCATGTGGAACTGTGATTCCATTAAACCTCTTTTTTTTGTAAATTACCTAATCTCAGGTATGTCTTTATCAGCAGCTTGAAAGTGGACTAATACATGTATGATCCCAAAATAAAAATATTTTCTTCTTTCCTTTTTATTTTGATTTTTTTCTAAAATATGATAGGCATTAGCCAGGTGCAATGGCTCACGCCTGTAATCCTAGCACTTTGGGAGGCCAAGGTGGGCAGATCACTTGAGGTCAGGAGTTCGAGACCAGCCTGGCCAACATGATGGAACCCTGTCTCTACTAATAGTAGCAAAATTAGCGGGGCATGGTGGCACATGCCTGTCATCCCAGCTATTCAGGTGGCTGAGGCACAAGAATCACTTGAACCCAGGAGGCAGAGGTTGCAGGGAGCTGAGATCACGCCACTGTACTCCAGCTTGGGCAACAGGTGAAACTATGTCTCAAAAAATAATAAATAAAATAAAATATGTTAGGCATTAATCCAAGATTGGACTCAGTATGATAACACAAAGAGTGAGAATTGTATTTTACTCATCTTATGTATAGGACAGTACAGCTTAACAAAGGCCTGTTCTCTTAAGTACAAAGTCAGCTGTGCTTGCTCAGACTTTCGGGATCATTATACTAAAGTAACAGTTTAACCAGCTTATTCAGCTCAAATTGAGACAAACTATTCTGGCAGGAGGTCTTCTTTACAACTAGGTTGATTAATGTAATGAAAATTCACAAGTTGTCCTCAATGATTTTCTAATCCTAGCTCCTGGTGGGTCTTGCTTGCTTTTGAGTATTTTATTTTCATAAGCACTACCCAAAAAAGAAGCTGGAAATGAGGAGACTTCTTAATGCTCCTAAATCCATACTCTTCTGATAAGCACAGAAGAATGTGTCAACATTATTCCACTGTTATCCTTTGCCAGCTCTTAGCTATTCTAGAACAGGAGCAACAGTAAATCTTGTTAGGGAGTAGTATACCACCATGATTAAACTTGCAGTCTCCAGAAGAGGCAAACTGGATATTAATTACATTCACCTGTTCGGTTATATGTAAATAAAGAATGCTGTGTTTCTCACAAGACAATATAAATATTAAGAGAGATGAAAATGTGTGACATGTAGAGGGGTTTTAGCAAAAGCTAGTTCTTTTAATTTTAGTGCCTTAATATACAAAAATACATGAAAAATGTATTAAACTCTCTGACTTTATAAAGCAGAAAGTGACACACTTGTTGGTGTTACTTAATTTTTAATATTCCTTACTGTCTTGGACCCTGATTTTCAACTGAGTGTATTATAACAAAAGTACATTTTCCAGTCCCTGTTGTTGTCAGGGATGGCCAGTAAAATTGTATCTGAAAGTGGCATAGGACACTTCTAGGAATTATCCTTATAGAAAGAGAACAGTGTCTCTATTCTTTTTTCCCTTCCTCTTCCTTGGAGTTTGATATGATGGCTGGTGCTCCAGCCATCATTTTGGATCAAGATGATAAATATGTAATACATGCCCTGGATTGCTTAATTCCAAATTCAATTTATATAAGGAAAATGATTAAATTTATTTGTGCCTATTATGTGAAAAAGAGATGAACATCTGTCTTTCGTAAGTCACTCTTATATTGTTCCTTTTGTTATTCTGTTGTATGCAAACTTAATCATATTGTCCAGGCATTCCCAAATTATCCTCTCCTGGGGGTGACTGGACTGTATGTGAAAAAACCCAGTAGCCACTCAATTATTTTTAAAGGAAAGAAATTTTTTTAAACTGTTAGTATATTTAAAATTTTTAATTAGAAGAATTAAATCTATTAAAAGAATAAGGGGAATGTTTTTTGAAATATAACATTTATGTTCATCTGCAATGGTAATACATGTCAATTGTAGATTTTTTAACAATAGGCAAAACACAAAAGAAAACAGAATTCAACGTAATAATTTACTGATTTTCTGTTTATTTCTAAAGAAGTGTGTGCCTGACCATGATTAGAATTTGAGATATGTTTTGTCAGAGATGGAAATATATTCAAATATTTTAAACCCAGATGAGAAGAGAACATATTAAATTTAATTTAGTTTCGCTTTGCCACATCAGATGCTCAGATGTCTTTGAATAGGAAAAGAACAATAAGTTGAAGTGGCCTTTGTGGGAAATTCTACTTGTATTTCTAGAAGTTTATTTTCTTGGCTTGTTGGGAAGTCCAAAGTTAGCCAGGATAGTTACCACTTCTTGAACAGGCATTTTTGGGAACCAGCTTAAAATGTGGTTAATAACATGTGGAAGCCAAAAGTACAAATGTGGAAGCTCAATATTGGTTGAGTAGGTGAAAATTTCTATGCCATCAATGACTCTAAATGTTAACTTTCATTCTTACACCAAGTGTTGTACTTTGTTCCTTTTTTTTTTTTTTTTTTTTTTTGAGACGAGTCTCACTCTGTCACCCAGGCTGGAGTGCAGTGGCATGATCTCAGCTCACTGCAGCCTCCGCCTCCTGGGTTCAAGCGATTCTCCTGCCTCAGCCTCCTAAGTAGCTGGGGCTACAAACACAAGCCATACCACCCAGCTAATTTTTGTATTTTTAGTAGGGACGGGGTTTCATCATGTTACCCAGGATGGTCTCGATCTCCTGACCTCGTGATCCTCCCGCCTTGGCCTCCCAAAGTGCTGGGATTACAGGCGTGAGCCACTGTGCCCGGCCACTTTTCTCCTTTCTTTACATAAGAAAAGCTTTTACTTCACACATAGCAAATCCAAAGTAGTTAATACATATGATATTTTGCAGATGTTTCCAAATTTTCTGATATATACTTCAAAATGATCCCAAGTTATCAGGGGTGGCAGAGGTCTTTGCCTGTAGTTATGCCATTTTGGTCTCAGGCAAATACCTTTGAAATATTTTACAGAAAAGATCTTCTCTACCTTTTATCTTGTCAACTGTTACTCGTATTTCAGGTCTAGTTTAAATGGAAAATGCTCAGGTAAGCCTTTCCCAAACTAACAAATAGAATTATTCTCCTTCATTATATGGCTTGAGCCATTACTTGGCATGACACAGGTAAGCTCTGTTTTCTACTGGATCCTTAGTGCCGTAAACCTAGTGTGGCTGGGTGGAGTGCCTAACAAAGTAGAAAGTTCTTTACACCTATTTAATCAGTGACAAATTGAATTAATATATTTTCATAAATTTGAAATAACCACAGTTAAAATGAATTCAGATTATCTTCATTGATTAGAAATTTAGGATTGTTGAGTATGTAGCATGTTTTATATTGATCAAGTTTTCATCCTCAAAAAGCGAGTGAGGATTTGTTGGTCAAATTTCTTAACAAACATGCAGCATGCTGATAGAAAATGGAATACATAATAGGTGAGTTGTTTTTGTTTGTTTGTTTACCAATACTGTTAGATGCAACCTGATTTTTAAAAATAGATTTAGGGGGTACAAATGCAGTTTTATTACATGAATAAATCATTTAGTGGTAAGGTCTGGGCTATGAGTGTAACAATTTTTCAAATACTATACATTGTACCTCACCACCAGCCCACCATCTATTTTTCCACTCTCTATGTCCATGTGTGCACATTCTTTAGCTCCCAATTTTATGTGAGACCAAGTGGTATTTCAGTTTCTATTTCTGAGTTGTTTCACATAATATAATGGCCTCTAGTTCCATCTATATTTCTGCAAAATACATGATTTCTACTAAGCTGTATTCCATGATGTATATGTGTATGTATGTGTGTGTGGGTATGTGTGAATATATACACTACATCACTACATTTTTTATCCAATTATCTGTTGACGAACCCTTAGGTTGATTCTTGACCTTTGCTATTATGAATTGTGCTGTAATAAACATACAAGTGCAAGTGTCTTTTGGATATAATAATTTCTTTACTTTAGGGTAAATACCCAGTAGTGATTGCTGGATCAAATAGTAGTTCTATTTTTAGTTCTTTGACAAATCTCCATACTGTTTCCCATAGAAGTTTGTACTAATTTACATGATCACCAACAGTGTATAAGTATTTCCTTTTTTCTGCATCCTCCCCAACAACTGTTGTTTTGACTTTTTAGTAATATCCACTCTGACTGGTGTAAGATGGTATGTCATAATGGGTTTAATTTGCATTGCTCTGATGATTACTGATGTTGACCATGTTTTCCTTCATTGCTGGCCATTTGTATATCTTCTTTTGAAAAAAATCTGTTCATGTTCTTTGCCTATGTTTTAATGGGGTTATTTTTGTTTTTCTTTTTGAGTTGTTTGAGTTTCTTATAGATCCTGGATATTAGCCTATTGTCGGATGCATAGTTTGCAAATATTCTCTTCCATATTATAGATTGTATTTTTACTCTATTGATTATTTCTTTTTGTTGTGCAGAAGCTTTTTAGTTTAATTAAATTCCATTTATTTATTTTTGTTTTTGTTGCCTTTGATTTTGAGGTCTTAGGCATAAATTATTTGCCTAGACAAGTATCCAAAAATGTTTTCCTAGATTTTCTTCTAGAATGTTTATAGTTTCACGTCATACACTTTGGTCTTTAATCCACCTTGAGTTAATTTTTGTATATGTTGAGAGCTATGGGTCCAGTTTCAATTTTTTTGCATACAGCTAGCCAGTTTTCCCACCACCATTTATTGAACAGAGTGTACTTTCCTCAGTGTATGTTTTTGTCCACTTTATTGAAGATCAGTTGATTGTAGCTATATTTCTAGGTTCTCCATACTGTTCCATTGATGTATGTGCCTATTTTTATGCCAATACCATGCTGTTTTGGTTAGGAAAGCCTGGTAATATAATTTGGAGTCAGGTCATATGATGCCTGTAGCTTTGTTGGTTTTGCTTAGAGTTGCTTTGGCTATTCAGGCTCTTTTTTTTTTTTTTTTTTTTTTTTTTTTTTTTTTTTTTTTTGCTTGGATACAGATTTTAGGATTATTTTTTCTAATTCTGTGAAAATTAACAGTATATATTGATAAGAATTATATTGAGTCTACAGGTTGCATTGAGCAGTATGGTCATTTTAACAATACTGAGCAATAAGCAATTCATTATTATGAGATCATTTTCAATTTGTGTCATCTACTATTTCTTTCATCAGTTTTGTCATTTTCCTCGTAAAGACCTTTAGCCTCCTTGGTAAAATGTATTCATAGGTATTTTATTTTATTTTATTTTGTAGCTTTGTATATGGAATTGAGTTATTGATTTGGTTCTTATCATGGTTGTTTATTGATGTATAGAAATGTAACTGAATTTTTGTATGTTGATTTTGAAAATTTACTGAATTCATTTATCAAATCTAGTAGTCTTTTGGTGGATTTAGGGTTTTCTAGATATAAGATTACATCATCAGCAAACAGAAATAATTTGACTTCTTGTTTTCCAAATCGGATGTCTTTTATTTTGCTCTCCTGCCTGATTGCTCTGGTGCAAGGTACTTTCAGTACCATGTTGAATAAGACTGACGAAAGTAAGCATCCTTGTCTTGCTACAGTTCTTAGGAGGTGATAGGGTTTAGATATTTGTCCTCTCTAAATCTCATGTTAAAATGTGACTCCCAGTGTTGAAGAGGCCTGTTGGAAGGTAACTGGTTCATAGGGTGGATCCCTCTTGAATGGTTTAGAACCAACCCCTTGGTGATATGTGAGTTCTTATGCAATTGCTTCACGTGAGATCTGGTGATTTAAAGGAGTCTGGGACCTTTCTTTCTCTCTTGCTTCCTCTCTCACCATATAATATACCTGCTTGTGCTTTAACTTCCACCAGGAATAAAAGCTCCCTGAGGCTTCACAAGAAACCAAGCAGATGTCAGCACCATGCCTCCTATACAGCCTGCAGAACCATGAGACTATTACATCTCTTTTCTTTATAAATTACCCAGCCTCAGGTATTTCTTTATAGTGACATAATAATGAAGTAACACAGGGAGAATGCTTTATTTTCCCCATTTTGTATGATGTTGGCTATGAGTTTATCATACATGGCTTTTATTTTTTCAGGTATACTCCTTTGATGCCTGGTTTGTTTACTTTTTTATCGTAAAGAAATGCTCAATTTTATCAAATGCTTTTTCTGCATCTATTGAAGTGATCATATGCTTTTGTTTTTAATTCTGTTTTAGTGATGAATTGCATTTATTGTTTTGTGTCTGTTGAACCATCCTTGCATCCCTTAAATAAAACCAACTGGATCATTGTGTATTATCTCTTTGATGTGCTGTTAGATTAAGTTTGCTAGTATTTCGTTGAGGACTTTTGCATCTATGTTCATCAGAAATATTAGTCTGTAATATTCTTTTTTGTATGTAATATTGCCTGGCTTAGACATCAGGGTAATATGGCTTTGTAGACTGAGTTGGGGAGGATTCCCTCTTCCTTGATTTTTTTGGAGCCGTTTCAGAAGAATTGGTAGCAGTTCTTTGTACATCTGGTAGAATTCAGCTGTAAATACACCTGGTCCTGGGCTGCTTTTGTTGGGAATTTTTTTTATTACTTATTCAATCTAATTACTTGGTATTGGTAGTTCAATATTTCTATTTCTTCCTGGCTCAAACTTTGGAAATTGTATGTTTCTAGAAATGTATTCATTTCCCTTAGGTTTTTAAGCTTGTGCCTATAGAGATCTTCATAGTATTCTTGATGATCTTTCATATTTCTGTGGTATTGGCTGTAATATCTCTTTTTTAATTTCTTATTGTGCATATTGGAATCATCTCTCTTCTTTTCTTGATTGATCTATCTAGTGATACATCAATTTTATCTTTTTAAGGAACTACATTTTCATTTGGTTGATCTTCTGTAATTTTTTGTCTCTATTTATTATTTCTACACTGATCTTTGGTATTTATATTCTTCTGCTAGCCTTGGGTTTGGTTTGTTATTTTTCTAGTTTCTACTTCCTTGAGATACAACATTAGTTTGTTAATTTGTGATCTGACTATCATTTTGATGTAGGCGTTTAGTGCTATACTATTCCTTCTTAGCACTGCTTTCAACCAGTTAGGTGGGTTTCGTGTATGCAGCATATGGTTGGATCTTATTTTTTCTATGCATTAAACCAATCCGTATTATTATTTATTTATTTATTTTAGGCCATTATTTCTGAAGAACACTGATGCAATTTTTTTTTTTTTTTTTGAGACGGAATCTCACTCTGTCACCCAGGCTGGAGTGCAGTGGCCTGATCGCGGCTCACTGCAAGCTCTGCCTTCCAGGATCACGCCATTCTCCTGCCTCAGCCTCCCGAGTAGCTGGGAGTACAGGCGCCTGCCACCACGCCCGACTAATTTTTTGTATTTTCAGTAGAGGCGGGGTTTCACTGTGTTAGCCAGGATGGTCTTGATCTCCTGACCTCATGATCCACACCCCTCGGCCTCCCAAAATGCTGGGATTACAGGCATGAGCCACCACGCCTGGCCCTTGTTTTTTATTTTAAGTTCTGGGATACATGTGCAGAATGTGCAGGTTTGTTACATAGATATACACTTGCCATGGTGGTTTGCTGTCCCTGTCAACCTGTCATCTAGGTTTTAAGCCCTGCATGCATTAGGCATATGTCCTAATGCTCTCCCTCCCCTTGCCCACCACCTGCCGACAGGCTCTGGTGTGTGTTGTTCCCCTCCCTGTGTCCATGTGTTCTCATTGTTCAACTGCCACTTATGAGTGAGAACATGTGGTGTTTGGTTTTCTGTTCCTGTGTTAGTTTGCTGAGAATGATGGCTTCCGGCTTCATCCATGTCTCTGCAAAAGTCATGAACTCATTCTTTTTTATGGCTGCATAGTATTCCTGGTGTATATGTACCACATTTTCTTTATCTAGTCTATCATTGATGTGCATTTGGGTTGGTTCCATGTCTTTGCTATTGTAAATAGTGCTGCATTAAACATATGTTTGCATGTGTCTTTATAGTAGAATGATTTATATTCCTTTGGGCATATATCCAGTAATTGGATTGCTGGGTCAAATGTTATTTCTGGTTCTACATCCCTGAGGAATTGCCACACTGTCCTCCACAATAATTAAACCAATCTACATTCCCACCAACAGTACCAATGGATTTTTGCAATTTGTGGATCAGGAGATTCCTTCATGAGCCTACACCACCAGGGCCCTGGGTTTCAAGCACAAAACTTGGTGGCTGTTTGGGCAGGCACTGACCGGCAGGAGTTTTTTCAGTGGCACCTGGAACTCCAGTGAAATGGGAGAATCGTCCACTTCCCTGGAATAGGGGCCGAAGCCAGGGAGCCAAGCAGTCTTGCTCAGCGGGTCCCACTCCCATGGAGCCCAGCAAGATAAGAACCACTAGCTTGAAATTCTCACTGCCAGCACAGCAGTCTGGAGTCAGCCTGGGATGATCAAGTTTGGTGGGGGGAGGGGTTACCACCTTTACTGTGGCTTGCCGGGGTGTACTCACCGGGGTATCACCAGTGGAGACTGCAGAACAGCAATGATTGCTCCCTGATCCTTCTCCTGGAAGCTTCTTCCCAGAGGGACACTGTCCTGATGCCAGCTGGAGTGCTCCTGTATATTTTACTGTGGCTTTAGTAGGCAGTTTTCCTTTGACAGGGCTAAGGATACTAGAAGGTTTGGAGTGCACGGAATTCACCACAGCGCAGCAAAGTGGTTGTGGCCAGACTGCTTCTTTAGATTCCTCCTCACTGGACAGGGCATCTCTGCAGGAAATACAGCAGCTCCAGTCAGGGCCTTACAGACAAAACTCTCATCTCCCTGGGACAGAGCACCTGGGGGGAGGGGTGACTGTGGTTGCAGGTTCAGCATACTTAATCTTTCCTGCCTGCCAGCTCTGAAGAGAGAGGCTGATCCTGACAAGGGGGATTCTCCCAGCACAGTGCACCAGCTCTGCTAAGGGACAGACTGCCTCCTCAAGTGGATTCCTGACCCCCTTGCCTCCTGACTGGGAGAGATCTCCCAACAGGGGTCAACAGACACCTAATACAGGAGCGCTCCAGCTAGCATCAGGCCAGTGTCCCTCTAGGGAGAAGCTTCCAGGAGAAGGATCAGGCAGCAATCTTTGCTGTTTTGCAGTCTCCACTGGTGATACCCCGGTGAACAGGGTCTGGAGTGGGCCTCCAGCAAACTGCAGCAGACCTGCAGAAAAGAGGCCTGACTGTTAGAAGAAAAACTAACAAACAGAAGGCAATAACAATGGCAAGATCAACAAAAAAGATCCCCCCACAAAAACCCCATCCAAAGATCATCAGCCTCAGAGTTCGAAGATAGATAAATCCAGGAAGATGAGGAAAAACCAGCATAAAAAACGCTAAAAATTCCAAAAGCCAGAATGCCTCTTCTCTTTCAAATGATCGCAACGCCTCTCCAGCAAGGGCACAGAACTGGATGGAGGATGAGATGGATGAATTGAAAGAAGTAGTCTTCAGGAGGTGGGTAATAACAAACTACTGAGCTAAAGGGCATGTTCTAATCCAATGCAAAGAAGTTAAGAACCTTGATAAAAGGTTACAGGAGCTACTAGCTAGAATAACCAGTTAAGAGAGGAACATAAATGACCTTATGGAGCTGAAAAACACAGCACAATCACTTCGTGAAGCATAAACAGGTATCAATAGCCAAATGGATCAATTGGAAGAAAGGATATCAGAGTTTGAAGACCACCTTGCTGAAATAAGGAATGCAGACAAGATTAGAGAAAAAAGAATCAAAAGGAATGAACAAAGCCTCCAAGAAATATGGGACTATGTTAAAAGACTGAACCTATGATTGATTGGAGTACCTGAAACACACAGAGAGAATGGAACCAAGTTGGAAAACACACTGCAGGATATCATCTAGGAGAACTTCCCTAGCAAGACAGGCCAACATTCAAATTCAAGAAATACAGAGAACATCACTAAGATATTCCACAAGAAGATCAACCCCAAGACACATAATCATCAGATTCTCCAAGCTTGAAATGAAGGAAAAAAATGTTAAGGGCAGCCAGAGAGAAAGGTCAGGTCACCTACAAAGGGAAGCCCATTAGACTAACAGTGGATCTCTCAGCAGAAACCCTACAACCCGAAAGAGAGCGGGGGCCAATATTCAACATTCTTAAAGAAAATAGTTTTCAACTCAGAATTTCATAGCCAGCCAAACTAAGCTTCATAAGCAAAGAAGAGAGAAAAACTTTCCAGACAAGCAAATGCTAAGGGATTTCATCATCACCAGGATGGTGTAAAACAGAATAAAAGAGAGTTTTATTCACTCTAGTGCAGTTCAAGCTGCAGGAAAGAGGGGTGATTGCTTGATCATTGTTTACCTGAAGAAACTCTCTGTTGCTGCAGGCAACAGGTTGGTCCATGGAATAAACTTGAGTGACTTGAGCTCCCTGCTCAGCCCTTGAGGGGGTGACAAACTTGGTAGAGCTGAACTGCCAAGTCTGCCCTTGGATATTACAATGGTGGGCACAACCACCAACCCAGACAGAGGTGGTGGCAGGAGCTTCTGGTGAAATTTGCTGAGGTCTTTGCACTGGAGAAGTGAGTTTTTCTAGTCCATGGTCTAGGTAGGCAGGGATGTGATCCACTGTCCCATCATACCACTGTCCTGGTGCTTGGGACAATCAGATCAGACAAACATCACGCTCTATCTTGAAGCTGCAATGTAGCCAAGAGCCATGAATGATGCCTGCTCTGTGGCTCACCACCAAAATGTCTTTGGTGAGGAACCTTCTCCCTCAGCTCAAAAGACACAGCTTTTTTACTCTCCTGCTCTCTGCTGCAGGAACACTGCTGCTCTGTGTAGGGGGAGTCTTTTGTGCAAGTTGGCTCCAGTGGGCACACTGCCAGTTGGTATACAGATGTCCCTAATAACCCTAGAATGGCCATCCTCTGGTGCACCTGCACCAGTCTCCTGAGAGTAGCCATAACTGGGTCCACTGCACTGGGTAAGCGGGAAGGAGAAATCTCCCTGTCCAATTCTGTGCCCAAGTACTGGGGCTGTCTGGCCACTGAGATGGAATCATACTTCTACCTTGTGGAGCTGAGCATAGCCCCTGTGTCTCCACTAGAAGTGCTGCCATCACTCTCAGCCCACAAGTGAGGCACTCTTAACTATAAGAAAGCATGCATACCCTTTTGTGTTGTTGTCGTTCAAGGGGTGCTCCCTTTCTGCACTGCACTCTTCCTTCCCTTAGGGGCAGCACTCCATTCCCCGAAGGTTAAACCCCTGGGAAGCCTGCACCTCTCTTGGGTCCAGCAAGGCCTGTGTGGTTGGCTGCAATCCAAGCTGGTCCTGGGGAATATCTGCAGGGGCTCCAGTGATTTGGAGAAACAAGGGATGAGGTTCCCTGGGCAAGACAGAGTCCCTCAAAGGCTGTGCTCCAAGTAGGGCACCCACCACACAGCTTGGGTCTAGGGGGAGGGTAAGTGACCTGGCTCATGCAGGTAATCGGGTGTAATGCCCTCAAGAAGTCTCCAAATCACTGCCCACACCAGTGTTTGGGTTTGCAAGAACAGAGGCACTCTTCAACAGGTGGGATACCAGTGGTGTGCCGCTGAAGCAAGGGCAGCCAACAACACTCGGACATACCTTTTCAACAAAATACCAAGTCCCTTGGGGTTCCTAGCTAATCTCTGCCAGCTTTTTGTTTCTTTCTTTTTCGTGCCCTGGCTTCCTTCTGTGAGTTTCATGCTAAGTTCCAGTACTCTCCCCTTGGCATTCATTCAAGTTATGATTATTCAGCTGTAACTTTGGTTCTTTTTATGAGGAGAAGTGGTGTCTGGAGTCAGCCATCTTGACAAATATCTCACAATAAGTATCTCACGACAGATAAGTTTTTGATAGGGGAAGGATAGGGACTAAGATATTGCCAAGGTAGAGTGGACTTACCTTAAGTCTACTTAAGGACTACACTACCTTAACTGCATTAGGTCTTAAAAGGGCAACATCTGCTTTTGGATACCTGAATCTTTTCATAGGCTGGGTAAATAGTAAGTTTCAATTGTCAATATTCTTAAAGTAAATGTATACTAACTCTTTTTACATTTTTTTAAATCACATTTTAACATTGCAGTAGCTGACTGCAAGTTGTCTTTCTATCCATGTGTTGTAGATTTGTAAAAGTCCCAGAGGCAATAAGCAATTTTCTGAAAGTCAAACAACTCCTAAGAGTTAGTGCTAGAATTTGATTTAGGGTATAAATGGAAGATATTTTCACTCCATTTAAACCATAGCAATGATACATCTATGCACTCCTATTTTTGTTAACTATGTATTACAGAATCTTGAGACTAGATCAGGATTAAAGTGGTTATATATTCTCTAGTGATTAAAGTCAAAGGCTCTGAAGCCAGATGACCAAGGCTCAGATTCCAGCTTCACAACTCCCTATCTCTGCAATCTTGGATAAGTAATTTAATCTCTCTGTCCCTCAGGTCATTCTTCTATTACATGTGGAAAATAGAGGTACAGGTACTAATTCATAGAATTTCTCTAGATTTGTTCTGTTTAGAACCAAAGCTAACTCACAATCCTTTGAGTATTTATTCTAGATGAGAGAGTTTAATTCACCTGAAGTATAGCAAATTAAAACTTACAATTAATTATCTATCTAAAATATTTTTAAAGTAATCAAAGACACTATAATGTTGTCAATGTTCCTGACATATGGAAGTTTTATTATACTTAAACATGAAATCAGTAATCAACATGTCTGAAGTCTTCTATGCTTTCAGGATTAAGTTACTACTAACCCTCATTTCACTCCATGCCACTCAGAGTGCAGTGTGTTCAAACACATAAAACAATGACTATATGAATTGTAAACTAAAGTGAATAAAACCCTGAATAAAATATATATTCTCTAACATCAAGTGTAGTGATATATAATTGATTTCATTTTGTTCATACAGAAAATAGAAAATCATCATCTACCACTCATTTGCTTGAGGAAAAAATATTCATTTTTAATATTTGCACCAAAATATTGAAATAATTTGTAGCACAGAGATGATTTGGTTTTCTTTTTTACAAAGTTTATTCTTGCAGACTGTGCTTTAGAACTGTGGTACAGAATTTCAGTTCCCATGGTAACTTTATTTTAGCAACAGAAAAAACAGACATAAAACATGTATAGAAACAGTGAAGGCTGTATCAGCTTCAACCAATTTTTACCCACATATACTTTCTGCTCTGTCTAGAAGAACCAAATATAAGCCTTTTTATATATCAATATATCAAGTCACTCCTTGAAAAGACTCTTTACATATTTTGTTATTATAAGAATAGTCAAAGACGGCAGATAACATGTAATAGAAAATGTAAATAATATATAATATCTATCAGACATATAAAACTTTTCCTGTCAATGACAGCCCCAATAATTTAACCAAGGGAATCAAATCCTTAGACTCATATTTTATTTAATATTTCATTTATCTCTTTTACTGTGTCATAAATCTTCTCAGTTATTCTGTAAAATATCAGTTGTGTTCATTCTTGTATCTTCATTGTTGCCACTACCAAACTTATCCAAACTCAAATCAACTCATGCCTAGATATATGCAATAAACCAGTTAACTGAGTTTCCTGAATCAGGTGAAATTACCATACCCTCCTTCTCAAATGATTTCTGAACATCACTGACAAATAAAACTAATATCTCCCCCAATACTAAAGATATAATGTTTAAAATATTTGAGAGTTTATTATTTTAAAAAATTTCAAGTGCTTGATTCTTTAAATATCTATTAATTATTTTCAAATTGATATTAAGCAATGCTCCTAGATGCAACAGTATGACAACAATAGCCACGCTAGCATCAGACAGTGGACATCTCTCTGTCCTGCTTCACTCTCTGGCCCACATGTGGCTCTCTTAAATTCCTTTCCTGAATTTAATCTATCCCAGATGGGATAATGCTCTCATCACTTCCTCTACTGTGTAGGCCATTTCTCTCTAGGTGTTCTTCAGGCACTATCATACAACACAATCTGTTTGGTCCTCTTCTGGCCATCTCCAAGAAATGAGGAAAGTAAAGGTAACATTTAAAGAATTTAAGATGTGGGAAAATTAGCTGAAAATAATTAAGAATTAAAATCCAGCTCCCTTGCTATATAACTGGGCAACATTTTAGGTACTGTTTTACATTCTGCTACTTATTTCGTGCCACTGAAAACATGCTATCAGTAGGAAAGTATTAGCGATGTTGAATACCAATATTTTTGTACATCAGTGTACTTTTGTGGTCTTGAAAGGCAATTTTCTAAAGGTCATAGCCTCCCGAGCTATAAGTTAAGAAAAGTTAATTTGAAACCAAGTGTTGGTGCTAACTAGTAGTTAGAATTTGTGAAAATAAGTACTTTATGCCTCAGTTACTTCTAGAAAAAATAAAGAGGTTAATTTGGAATATTTTAAAATTTTCAGTCTTAACATTTCTACTGTTTTCAAAAACCCATGTATTCAATTTGATGGTTTAGTTTTAAGAGTTTAATATGCAATGTGGTTGACAGACACTAAGGCGATCCCCCAAATTCCCCATCTCCTGATGTTCAAGTTTTGAGTGTATACAGGACGTGTGACTTACTTCTAACAAAAATAATATGGCAAAGATAACTGGATGTGTTTCTTTATCCTTCTTATCTTAATAGAATTACTCTAGATATTCTCTCTGCTGGATTGCTGAAGTTAGCAATCATGTTGGGAAATCCTCCAAAGCCAGGAACTGTAGATTATTCTAAGAATGACAAGCAGCCTCTAGTAACTTTAGGAGATCTCTAGGAGCTCACATGGTCTACAGCAGAAGTCAGGAAACAATCAATGGTCCTTACTCTCACAGCCGCAAGGAAATACATTCTGTCAACAATCTGATTAAGCTTGGAAATGGATTCTTTCTGAGTAAAGTCTCCAAATGAGAATGCAGTCCAGCCAGGACCTTGATTGCAGTATTGCAGAGGTCCTAGTTAAGCTGTCTGTAAGACTCCTGACTCATAGAATCTGTGGGTTCATAAATGTGTGTTGTTTGAGCTACAAAATTAGTGGTAGTTTTTAACATAGAAAATTCATAGACACAAAAAGCAGGTTGCTTTACTACATCCTAATCTACATCAGAATTTAGCATCCAGTAACCACCCAGCTGTTCAAGTCATCATTGTTTGTAACTTGAACATCTAATCCATTAAAAAGAATTTGTCAGTTCTACCTATAGCACATATCCCATATGTACCCCTTTCTCACAGTTCCTTTCACTGCCACCCTTCTATCCTAAGCTATTATCATCTATCACCTGGACTATTTTAACTGTTTATTTTATTTTGTTTATTTACTCATTTTTTTTTTTATTTTTGTAGACAAGAGTCTCACTCTGTCGCCCAGGATACAGAGTAGTTGTGCTATCTTGGCCCACTGCAATCTCTGCCTCCCAGGCTGAAGCAATTCTCCTGCCTCAGCCTCTCTGGTAGCTGGGATTACAGGCTCACGCCACCACGCCCAGCTAATTTTTGTATTTTGGTAGAGATGGGGTTTCACCATGTTGACCAGAGTGGTCTCGAACTCCTGACCTCAAGAGATCCGCTCACTTCGGCCTTCCAAAGTGCTGGGATTACAGGCATGAGCCACTGCACCCGGCTCAACTGTTTTTTTACTGATCTTCCTTCTCATACTTTTGCCCCTTTTCATTCCACGGAGAAACACAGTGGGTCCCTCATCAAGTTGAATTCCTACTCAACACCTGGGAAGTTCTATTAAGAGGCTGTAGGAGGAAATCATGACTTGAGACAGTAATCAACAAGGAAAGATGAGGAAAATAATTTATCTCCCTGATTCCCTTTTTCTTTTCTCACAGTGGTGGAAGTTCACCCAATAGGTAATGAATTCTGTACTTTTGGATGATGTCATCAGGTTCCTTTCTGCCTCTCAGCAACAGCAGATATAACCTTTTCTGTGATGTGACAGTTTATTCCATTGTAGTAAATGAAGCCATAAACTCTGCACATACAGCTAGTCACCCCAGTTTAATGACAGTGACCAAAAAGGAAGGTCTGACACTCTCAGGGTTGACTGGCCCCAGTTGTGGAATCTCAGCCCACTGAGGAAGTAGAGAAGGCCAAGGAAATCTGAGATGGCCCCAAAATATCTGTGACTGATACAGAATTTTATGTGTTAAAAAATTTTTCTTCTCAACATATTTTAATAAATTGGCTCCATGAGTAGAGAGAATATTGCCAATTTAATTTGTTATGAGTAAAACTTCATTTTTATTTTTTTTTTCAATCTCAAGTCATCTTCTCTTCCTGTACTGCCATTCTTAGTTAATAACCTCATTGCATTCATCCTGCTAGCTTGGTAAAAATCTGATGAAAAAATGGATCTCATTTAATATGTTACAAATTCCTGATAATTCTGGCACATAAATATTTCTCAAATTCATTCCTATCAATACCTATATCAGTCACTTCCATGGCTGGCTCATCTTTTCTTACTTTGATTATGGGAATGATTTTCTAACTGTTAAGGATTGAACTATGTCCCCGAAAAAAATGAGTTGAAGTCTTAAACCCCATACCTATGAATGCAGTGTTATTTGGGAATAGAGTTTGCAGATGTAATCAAATGAAGGTATCATGCTGGATTAAGGTACACCCTAATCCAATGTGACTGGAGTTCTTATCAGAGGAGAAGGAATATACAGATGCGCAGGGAGAATGCTGTCTCAGGACAGAAGCAGGGATGGTAGTAGCATAACTGCAAGCCAAGGAACAACAGGGATAACAGCCACCATCCAAAGTTAGAGAGAAATGAGGAAGGATCCTCCTCCAAAGCCTTCATAGACAGCATGGCCCTGCTGACACCTTAATTCTGGACTTCAAGTCCCTAGAAATGTAAGAGAATACATTTCTGTTGTTTTATTTAAGCCACCCAGTGTATAGTACTTTGTTATGATAGCACCAGGAAACTCATACACTCATAAATCCTGGGCCTTCAGTCTTACAGATCGTGTAGTTATTTACACTTTCCAAATGGCTATTATGTCACAGAAGGGTCTTCATGATCTGGCCCATTGCCCACATCTAAAATCTAATGTCCTGCAATGGTACCATATGTAGGTGAACCATGTGAAATGAAGAATCTACTTGGGAATACTTGAGCTTTGACTGATAAGGTTTGCATAGTCAGGAAAACTTTCAAACACGACAACAATAGTCACTAAACTTGTTATTCCCTTTCTTCTATCTTTTTTTTGGTTAAAATTTTTTTAAAAAGTTAAAATCAAATGACCACTGACCACAATTTTGAAATTCAGGAACAGAACATGTTACACAAATAAACAATCAAGTCAAGTAAAAAAATAAATAAATAAAACAAGACCGAGTGCAGAAAACCAGGGCATAGTATTATAATTAAATATAATTAACAAAAAATTAATCTGACATTAATGTGCATAATTGCTATTTTTGTATATTGTAATCAGCAATAAATGGCAAACCCTGTTTTTAAATAAAGTATAATTAGTAACTAGGAAGCTACAAACTACATATATGTACATAATGATATTCTGTGATCTGTCAATAATTTATACTCCCCTTCTGGAGTACGATCTGGGCATCATTCTTTGAATAAGTTGCTAAATTAAACTCAGGTAATTAGTGAAATTGTAGAAAATTTTTCACTTTAAACAGGTTGCAAAAGCTTTTGGCAAAACCACTATATTAAAAGACTATTGATGTTGGGTCCTTTAAGATCTCATCTCAAAGTGCTTGGAATTGCAGTAGTGGTGGAATGCCACCTAGCAAAGAATCCACACAAAAGAGAGTATGATAAACACCTAGTGCCAATTAATATTGGATTATCAGAATATGAGTTGCATCAAATAAGGATGATGATGTGTGCTTAATATGGAGATGAGGAAGGAAAGAGGCCAGGTGAGAAGACCTGGGCTCAAAATCCCAGGCAAGGGAATTTCTAGCTTGGAAATATTCTATGGCACCCAGTATTTATTGGAAAGCACAACAGTATATAACATGATTAACATAAGATTCTATTTTAATTTGATGGTAACCAAAGAAAACGCATGAATGAATTGGGGAAGTCAGTGGATTTCTTAGCTACAGAATTAAAAGGAATTTATTAATTTATTTTTACTCTGTTACTCAAGAATAATGCTACTAAAACTCTTGTCCAAATGCTCACATTCTCTTGCTGCATACACTTTCTTTTCAAATATGTTTTATCAAAATGACAAAAGGACAACCTCTAAGAAGGCTTATGCTAAACGTAAGTCATGTGCCCACATTTCCTACTCCAGTTCCCACTCCCTAGATACATTCACTTTTAATAGTTTCTGTTTGGGGGCTTTCCGGGTGCTTGACCCCATATCTCTAAATATTTTTTTTGAGATGGAATAACGAAAATAATTAACATATAAAGAAGGACACAAACAAATGGAAGAACATTCCATGCTCATGGATAGGAAGAATCAATATCGTGAAAATGGCCATACTGCCCAAGGTAATTTATAGATTCAATGCCATCCCCATCAAGCTACCAAAGACTTACTTCACAGAATTGGAAAAAACTACTTTAAAGTTTATATGGAACCAAAAAACAGCCTGCATAACCAAGACAATCCTAAACAAAAAGAAAAAAGCTGGAGGCATCACGCCACCTGACTTCAAACTATACTACAAGCCTACAGTAACCAAAACAGCATGGTACTGGTACCAAAACAGATATATAGATATATAGACCAATGGAACAAAACAGAGGCCTCAGAAATAACACCACACATCTACAACCATCTGGTCCTTGACGAACATGACAAAAACAAGAAATGGGGAAAGCATTCTCTAGTTAATATACGGTGCTGGGAAAACTGGCTAGCCCTATGTAGAAAGCTGAAACTGCATCCCTTCCTTACACCTTATAGAAAAACTAATTCAAGATGGATTAAAGACTTAAATGTAACACCTAAAACCAGAAAAGCCCTAGAAGAAAAGCTAGACAATACCATTCAGGATATAGGCATGGGCAAAGACTTCATGACTAAAACACCAAAAGCAATGGCAAGAAAAGCCAAAATCCAGAATCTACAAAGAACTTACATTTTCAGGACAAAAACAACCCCATCAAAAAGTGGGCAAAGCATATGAACAGACAGTTCTCAAAACATGACATTTATGCAGCCAACAGACACATGAAAAAATGCTCATCATCACTGGTCGTCAGAGAAATGCAAATCAAAACCACAATGAGATATCATCTCATGCCAGTTAGAATGGCGATCATTAAAAAGTCAGGAAACAACAGATGCTGGAGAGGATGTGGAGAAACAGGAAAACTTTTACACGGTTGTGGGAGTGTAAATTAGTTCAACCATTGTAGAAGACAGTGTGGCGATTCCTCAAGGATCTAGAAATAGAAATACCATTTGACCCAGCAATCCCATTACTGGGTATATACCTAAAGGATTATAAATCATGCTACTATAAAGACACATGCACAAGTATGTTTATTGTGGCACTATTCACAATAGCAAAGACTTGGAACCAACCCAAATGTCCATCAATGATAGACTGGATTAAGAAAATGTGGCACATATACACCATGGAATACTCTGCAGCCATAAAAAAGGATGAGTTCTTGTCCTTTGCAGGGACATGGATGAAGCTAGAAACCATCATTCTCAGCAAACTATCACAAGGACAGAAAACCAAACACCACATGTTCTCACTCATAGGTGGGAGTTGAACAATGAGAACACATGAACACAGGGCGGGTAACATCACACACCAGGGCCTGTTGTGGGGTGGGGGGCTGGGGAGGGATAGCATTAGGAGATATACCTAATGTAAATGTCCACTTGATGGGTGCAGCAAACCAACATGGCTCATGTATACCTATATAACAAACCTGCACGTTGTGCACATGTATCCTAGAACTTAAAGTATAATAATAAAAAAAATTGTTATATATGTATTTTATATATATAATATATATGAAATGGAATAATACTATTACATATTATTATATATAATGGAATGCAAATACTACTATTATATATTATATATATAATGGAATGCATATATATAATGAATGGTATATATATATATTTATATATAAAAAATGGAATACTACTCAGCCTTAAAAAGGAATGAAATAATGACATTTGCAGCAACCTGGATGGAATTGGAGCTGCTTATTTTAAGTGAAGTAACTCAGAAATGGAAAACCAAAACTTTGTATGTTCTCACTCATAAGCGGGAGCTAAGCTATGAGGACACAAAGGCATAAGAATAATACAATGAACTTTGGGGACTCAGGGGGACAGGGTGGGAGGAGGGTGAGGGATAAAAGACTGCACATTGGGTACATTGTATACTGCTCGGGTGATGGATGCACCAAGATATCAGAAATTACCACTAAAGAACTTATTTATGTAACCAAACACCACCTGTTACCCCAAAACCTATGGGAATAAAAAATTTAAAAAAAGCAATCTTTCTAGTTGTAAAAATATTACATGCTTTATGAAACCTTCAGAGAGCATAGGAAATTATAAATTAGAGAACGAAGATCAATCTCTATCACAGATAATTATTATAAACATGTATATACAAGGTAATTTATTATTTTTCACTTGAACCATTTATGTGTAAATATGTTTTTATATATTTATGCCCAAATATATATAAACCACTAACTTGCTCTCATTTTTATGTATATTATATATCATATATCATATGTATTATATACATCATATGTACTGTATATATGTACAGATGTACAGTTTATAATCCCCTGCCTGTTTAACATGTTAACATAAATATGCTTGTTTTTAAATTATTTTAATATTTGCATAATATTCAACCAAATGGTACATCAAAATTAATTTAATCATCTGTATTTTCTGTCTTCTTTGTATATTATGCAGTTCCTTATTCTTTTCATTTGAATTTTTCCTAGCTTCCAAGACACATATTCAAGTTAATCTCTTCTGTAAATGATTAAATTTTCCATGTTTCCAAACCTATACTTTTCTGTCTTTAATATAAGTTTTAAAAATATGATTGCATTTTGTTTACTTTACAATCTTATATGATTAGTTTGCACAGTCCTCTCTTCTTGAGATCATTTCTTTGTGTGTCATTTTTTGTCCTTTCATTTTGGACTGTTATTTTCTTACTTATTTCATTTATTTCCTAAGGGATTCTTCTTAAGGCCCATTAAAGGCATCAAGTAATATTATAGATTTTAAAATCTATAAAATCTACCTATGCTGCTTCTACTAAGTACTTTCTTTTTGGTATCTTTCTTTTTAAAAAAAGTTATTTTCCACAGGTCCTGTGTTGTTGTTTTCATTTTTTCCTTTACTTAAGGTAAAATGGAAAACATGTACCCATATTCCATGTTGCCTTTTGACAATCCCATCTCCTTCTCATTTCTTTCCACTCCATTCTTCTTGGGTAGCTGTCAAAGAACCTTACCGCTTTGTAGCTTGCACATTGGTTACAGTAAACACTTCTCAGCCCTTTGTTTAGGGTAATCTGGGATAGAGCTAGGATGATTCTGCTGAACTAAAATGGGTTTACCTCCTCTTTCCATTGCTTGGTTTATGATACTTTGAGAATGAATGAGACATTTTATGAATAATCAAAGCAAATTGCTTCTATTGTTTACTATCTCTAAAACTATTCATGTGCTTGCTGCTTACCAAAATGATTCTCATAGGATCTAGAGTTTACAAGGCAAAAATTTCCACTGACCATCTACATTTCTTCTTGCCCTATTAGTTGACTGTAGTAACATTCCTTGAAAATAGATAAGAGAGGGCAAGTGTTACTAAGGCCATCATATAATACTGTCTGCCCATAGGAGTCCACTAGAATTATTGAATAAATTGAATAAGTAGCTATTTGGTGCTATTTGGATGTAGTGTATTGTCATTTGCATTATTTATTGAGCATCCACTCTGTATAGGATGCTGTCCTACACAAGTTGGAATCAATTTGAAAGCCAAAATTAGCCATATAACAATATATGTTAAATCACGTATTTATTTATGTATTAGGCCTGTGGCTAAATGTCTTTTGTAACAGCTTTATTTTTCTCTCTTTCTCACTGACGTATACAAAATTAGAGACCTGCTTTTCAGTAGTGAGCTGCTCTTTGCCTATCTACTGAGGAAGGATGTAGCATTTATGTAAAGTGAAAAGCTACAAGATATTACCATTATGCTGCCCAGTGAGCTGTGGCCCTGGCCATTGCCTACCACGCAACTAATTACTACCCCCATGCGAGGCAGTGCAAGCATGCATTTCAGAGATTGCTAGGGTAAATATATAAATATATCATCCAGTCTGTATTGAAATCCTTTGGTGAAATTAGAAAATGAATTTAGTTACATTTTAGTGCCGTAGAACCCCAAATATGAAATAAATAGAAAACAAATCCATTAAGCAGATGCAGTTTATTTCTTTCAAGTTGCCTAAACTAATATTCTTAAAAGCTAAAATGTTATGTGACAAAAAGCAGACCCTTTTTTACATATGACCAAGTGTCAACAAATTTGCAATACTGCAAGTCATTCTGTCTTTAATAGATCTTGTTCTCTTATTAGTACAGTCGTCCCTTGGTATGTGTGGGGAATGGGTTCCAACATATCCTGCAGATACCAAAATCTATCTTGCTCCAGTCCCTTGATATAAAATGGTGTAGCATTTGCATATAACTTGTGCATATCCTCCCATATACTTTAAACCATTAGTAGATTTCTTATAATACCTATTACAATTGAAATGCTACGTAAATAGTTGTTATACTATATTGCATAGGGAATAATGACACATAGAAAGTCTGTACATGTTCAGTACAGGCACAGTTTTTTTCCTGGATATTTTTGATTTGCTGTTGGTTGAATTCACAGATGCAGAACCCACAGACAGAGGGCTGACAATGTATTCTTATTTACTATCCTTTAAAAACTCTTCAAATATTTCTTAAAATAGTTTGTAACTTTTGATAATTCTCTTTTATTACTTCTGATTTTAATCTATTTTAATTAAAATTAAATTATGATAATGTTTACATTATGAGGTGTTTGTTTACTTTTATTGAGAGAGAAGTCTAAAGTTAATTAAATATTTAAAATAATAATATCCTAATTGTTTCACACTGGCAAAACACTGTTCTCTGTAGAACTTGTCCCTAGATATTCCACTATAACTATACTTAACATTATTTGCAGACATTGAGTAAATCCTTTTTTCTTTTTCTTTTTTTTTTGTTTTGAGACAGAGTTTCGCTCTTGTTGCCCAAGCTGGAATGCAATGGCACGATCTCAGCTCACGGCAACCTCCACCTCCCAGGTTCAAGCGATTCTCCTGCCTCAGCCTCCCAAGTAGCTGGGATTACAGGCGACCACCACCACACCTGGCTAATTTTGTATTTTTAGTAGAGATGGGGTTTCACCATTTTGGCCAGGGTGGTCTTGAACTCATGACCTCGGGTGATCCACTCGCCTCAGCCTCCCAAAGTGCTGGGATTATAAGTGTGAACCACCGTGCCTGGCTGTAAATCCTTCTTATTATCATCATTAGTTGGTGTGATCAAATTCAGAAAATTCAAATGCTTACTCCAAATCCCACAAATATTTACTATTCTACTCGTATTTTCCAAGAATAGCATTTGACATATAGTTAATTTATTTGAGGTAGTTTGGAAACAGAGGTGTTACTCTTTGTGTCAGTAACCCCAGTTCAATCAATTAAAGCCATAAATTCTCAATTTTTAAAAACATTAGTAGCTTTTATAAACTCAAAAAACCTCTGTTAGACCCCTATGATATGCAAAGCACTGTGCTGCATAGAAAGTGGCTTTTATGCCCATGTAACTTTTGATCATTAACAAGTTTTTAATTTCCTATATTAAAATGTAAGCAAGATCTTTCTTTAGAAAGTAGTTTCTAACAGGAGTTAATGTGAGTGCTCACTTCCCTTTGCTTTACTTGTCTATGACTCCTAATAGATAAGATTATGCTTGAGAATGCTACAAAGTGTATGTTAGAGTTCTCTGGTTGTAACTATCAACTCTGTCAAATATCATCTCTGTCAAACCTAAGAAAGGGTGAATTTATGTAAAGATTCAGGATAGGGTATTCCCAAGCTTAAAAAGAAGCCTATACAAAATAGGTTTAGAGAGTATAGAAAATCAGCACAAAGATCTTAGTAACATGAATTGAGTGACAATTTAGGGTAACCCAGTTAGAATGAATTAATTCCATTTATTTCTTCTGTCTTTGCAGTACCCAGTTCAAGATTTAAAGTTCTGTATCACAATCTCATTGATGGATAGGTCACTTAGTCTTGGTTACTGAGCTGTGGAAAATAAATATGTAGTAGAAGGAATCTCCAGATTTCTTAGTGGGATGGCAGATTCCACACCTTACCTATACCAAATGGAGAAGTGTTAATTCATCAGAAGAAAACCGGGATGCTGTTTATTGTTAAGTAGAGGAATGGAAGGTGTTTTCAGAAAATAATCAAAAATATATATTATGATTCCTTAACTTTTCTTTTGTGAACTATCTCCATATACAAACATACCTCGACCACATACATGTATGGCTAACACAAATCTCTAAAAAATTGCTACTTATCTTCCAAGAGAAGTAAACCTCTATTCTGGAAAGCTCTTGAATTCACAAGTGGTAATGCCTATAGCTGCTCATCAAATAACTTATAAGTAGGGAGAGGTGTTAATGTCAAGCAAATATTACCTCATAATAGCTGAAAATTAAAATGTCTATTAACAGCCTGAAATATTAAAATTGCTCCCTTTTTGATATGGCAATGTTAACATATCAACATAGCCAGTGGATAATTGATTGACCCTGAATATAGAATTCTGAAAGTACAGACAAGTGCCTTTTTAATAGGACATTATTTCCAGGGAGCAAAACCATGGTACCAAATAAAGGAACAGTTTCAGTGGCTTAGGAAATGTGCAAGCTACCTGGTAGCAATCCTTTCACAAAGTACATCCATCCTTATACATATAAATAATAAACCAGTTAATTCAGAAGGAAAATTTGGGGAGAAATTGGCTTAAAGAGAGAAACAACATTGAAACTCCAGGTATGAACATTAGTTTGTTCATTGATTTCCTCATTAAAGATACACTAAAATCTCTAAGAAACTAATCAAAGAATAAACTAATATTTAGGAGGGCAGAACTGAAGGGGTAATAAAATGTTTTTGAAGGCATGCATATAAATGAAACCCAAAGTACCTATTTTTGTCTCTGAATTCAATAGGTCCTAGGAGATGAGCTCTCCAGGATGGCGAAGCATCTAATGGATGATAAAGTAGGTACTTGAACAGGACTAAGTGCCTTGGTCTGGGACAATGAAGCTCAGCAATCACTGAAGGACAGGTCAGCAAATCATCATCTGTTTGCATATTTATAAGGGGTCACAAAGACATAAGTTATTTCAAACCCTTACTGGGACTTAAAATTACCACTTTAAAATAGGGAAGACAAATGGACTAACTTGAAAATGAATTGGTAATGACATACTACAGTGGAACACAAGTTTTTAAAAATAATCCCTAATATTATTTTCATTGTGCTGAATTTTCTCGAAGCATCTAATGATTATTAATTATAAGACAGTCAACATAATACAAATGTCTAACATGATTAAATGTTATTTATGAAAAATATGCCATGTCATTGGCATTTTTAAACAAGCTATAATGAAAAGTTATAAATATATTTTCAAATAATACATACATGATCCTTTTAAGTAAATAATCTCTCAGACCAGGTAAAGGGGTAGATTAATATTCTGGAAGGGTTATGTTTGAGTTGTAAAGATAACAACTATAAAGGGCTACAATTGTGACTAGAATTCTGCAATGAAAAAAATACTAGGATAGGTGCTGTCTTACTAGAGAGAGAAAATTAATTACGAAAAAATAGGTTTGAAAAATCTTACCTGTCTTTGACTTTCAAGCATATTATTTTCTGTAATCACTTTTTTTTTCTTGCAATGGGCCCATGATTTGGAAGTCCAAGTAGTTCAACAGCAGGCAAAACCTTTTAAAATCTAAGGATGACTCCTCTATATTTCTTCTTAGAGAAGAAGAAAAAATTAAGATGGCAATGAATACTAAATGTTTAAAACTAGGAAAGATGTATTTTAAATTTCAAATGTTTTAAGTGGTTGGCTCAGTTTATTGGACCATTATATATTTTTTTATTTTTTAACTAATCCACCAATAAAATTTTCCTCAGACTTTAAGGAAGCATAAAATAATTAAGGAAATGATCAATCCATGCTTAAAGGGTATCATCATCCTGTTGTTATAGAATTGGAATACAAGAAACGTTAATTTCTAACTTAGAAACACTTAGGAACCAATGGATGCTTAGGATGCTGGAAAAATGGTTTTTCCAAGGGCAAACCCTCAGTTTCCTCATGTGATAAAGCATTGTAAAACAATATAAAGTCATCAGGAACACATACAAATCCCCAAAAAAACACTCCAAAAAAAATAAAAAGTTTCTGTTAGGTCAGTTTACACCAAGTAAAAAGAAGCCTGACAATTTTTTCCTTAAAACTCAAGTTTTAGTTGCCTCAGCCTCAGGGAAATCATAAATTTGAGAAGTGGCAGTTTATATGGGTTTTATGAGCCTGTTTACTCTGTTATTCATGAAAAAGGAACTTGCTTTAGCAACTGCTGCACCTCATGATACTTACGTTACCTGTGAGTTAGCTAGCAGATTTTTAAAGAAGCAAAAAGAACTTGTATTAAGAAAGCAGTATGCTAGCAACATATGTTTGAAATAAATATCATTGTAAAATTAAGGTGAGTTAATTTTAGATAAATACTTTCTACCAAAGGACATTTGTGAGAAGGCTACAGTTCATGGGATGCTCATATGCTCTAATTTGATTTGCTTGCTCAGTCAACATTTATAGAACTTTCCACACATAATATAATAGGTATTGGGTTAGAAAATATTAAAAGCAGCTGTTCATGCCCCAGAGACCCTCATACTACAAAGAAAACACTTCAAATTATTTTCCAATTGAGAATGATAGCGATTATTTTTTTATTCCTGAAAATCTGCAACTTTCTATTGATACTTAAAGTTACAAATCACATTTACATCTCAAGTTAAAGATGAGATTGAATTACAATCACAAATACAGAATAAAAATCCCTAAACCTTAAATATGTGTACTACCTATAATCATTTGATGATTTACCATGTCATAAGATGGTGACAAATTTTTTAACCCCTGAACCCTTTGACTCTAGTAACATTTGTTGGGCATTTCAAAACTGCAGAATGTTTT
Source organism: Homo sapiens (assembly GCF_000001405.40). Classification (NCBI taxonomy): domain Eukaryota; kingdom Metazoa; phylum Chordata; class Mammalia; order Primates; family Hominidae; genus Homo; species Homo sapiens. The sequence goes on from NC_000007.14 coordinate 9,710,053, forward strand.
CTTTTGGGTCTCAAAATGAAAATGTCTGAGGAAATATAAAATGTGGCAGAAAATAATGCAATGGCCATAATTTTGGTTTGAGAGAAAAATTAAATTTGAACTCTGGCCCTTCAGCCTCCTGCTGTTTGCATTAGTGAACGCTACTATATTTCCTTAATAAAGAGTTTCTTCATTTATAATAATGACAAAAAGTGAATCCCTGTCTTATGATGATATGGTCATTATGAGAATTAAGTAAAGGTAATATATGCCATATCATGAAGTAGTAACAGTAATTCTTAAGAGTCCACCAGAATGACATCAGGAGAACAGCGATGTTTGGCCAGCACCGCTTAAGAGTGTGGTCCAGGGCCCAATAATGTCAGGATCACCCGGCTCCACTCCAGATCTCCTGAAACAGAATTTCTGTGTGGGACCCAGGAACCTGTGTTTTAATAAGTTTGCCGTCCAATTTTTGTGCACACTAAATTATGAGAAGCAGTCCTCTAATCTGCTCTCAGCTATATTTCCAGTACCTACATTTACAGTGGGCAACAAAGATAAGCCTAATTCATTAATATTTGTTTAACCATTCTCTCAGTAATGATTGCTCTGTACTTCAAGACGTCTTTTCTTATACTTACTATTGGGAAACATCTCAGGATGAGAGACTTCAAGTAACTTCCTTTGTTATTTTGCAGGTCACAGCAACAGTAAGGAACAAAAATTGTATTTTCAGGTATTTTACATCGTCAGATAATCCTTTTGGAATGACAATAATAGCAGTGCCTACACTATAGGACAGTTGTGAACATTTTGGGCAATGCATGAAAAACATTTGGCAAATTACTTGCATTATATTATGTGCAATCAAAAATAATATCATGGTTTTGGGATCTTATTTTCTTAACTAACTTAAACAGAAATTTTATTGGGAAAACAAATGTATAGAACCTTTAAGAATTTTATTTTGCAAGGAAGAAAGAGAATATTGCCTTTTTATAAGTTGATTTTTTGCTTTATTTCCATTTTCCAAGTCAGTGTATGTAGAATAATGATTAAGGTTCAAAAATCTATTTACCCTCTTAACAACAGAATAGGTTGAGTTGTTTTAAAACTCTTTCATTGTATAATATAAGAGGTTAAAGATGACGAATAATAATCAACCTAAGCAAACTGCTACTGCAACTTTCCTCGACTCAGGTGTTTTGCACACAATGTGTAGAAAGTGGAATCTTTGAAAAGGAAAGTCTCTATGTAAGTTTAAACACAGTAATAATCATGAAAATGAGGAATAAGTGATTCATTCTATAAACATAAGATTTTTCTCAACTAATAATTATGTCTGTAGTGAAGTACCTAGTCATCAGCAAATCACAAGACTGAATTTGTCTGTTTTCTTTTGATCATCACTAAGACTTAGTTGTGATGCATTTGATGACTTCCCACTGCAACAGGAAACAGGATATTGTGCCATTATGCCTGCAGCCATAAAAATGGTTAGAAGCTTCTTGTAACAACAAAAAATCCCCTGAGAAATATACTTTTAAAAGCTTCAAAGAATGTTAAAGATTTTCAAATACGCTATAAATGGACATCTGCAGTCCGTGCTGTACTTCAATAAAATGAGAATGGTTGTCATGTCAAATCTCCACAGGCTGTCTTTGCCTGTGTTTTCCTGGTTAAGAAATTCCACTCAAGCAGAATGAAACCTAACCTTTAATATTACATTCTGTAGAACAAGCCCCAGTGACACGTAAGAGGATCTTATCACTGGATCTCAATGGATTTGGTTTAAAACAGCTTTTTTCCTGCAAGACAGATATCAGATTGGGAGTACTTTTCAAGAAAAAAAGCCCATCTCCTCTTCATAGTATAACCTGAAAAATAAAAAGTTTGCTCAGAATAATCACCAAAGAACAGATAAGGCTATTTGGATAGCACTTCATCCAATAGGCAAGGCTCAAAAATCTATACTGATCTGTGAACAAATTATATATTTAAAAGATGTTCTATTCTTTTTCAGGTTGTAACTAGCAAGTTATAAAACTCACAAAAATAAATAAATATAAAAATCTGATGCAAATGAAATTTAATAATATATATTCCTATCTAAAATGAAATGAATCGAATAATCAAAATCAAGTATTGCAACATACAACAAAACTAATATTGACCCCAAACATAATAAAGTATATTTAAATAAATAATTAATTTGATAGTATTAGGTTGGTGCAGAAGTAATTGCGGCTTTTGTCATTACTTTTGCACCAACTTAATATAATTTATGTCTACTTATTAGTCATTTGTTTTCTACTTATTTCCCCTAGAAACTGAAGTAGAAGTTGATAAATCCCAATGGGAAATATAATTTATTCTTTGATGAGAAGAAAATAGATGTAAGCATGATGTTAAATCTAAGTTTGAGAGTTTAATTCCAAAATTAACTATATGTAGAATTAATATATTACCAAAAATTAAATAAGAGTATAAATTATTTTGCTTTTATTAATATGAATTAAAAACATTACCTATTTAAAACTTAGATTTTAGTCTCTTGAGATATTAAAATCTATTTTCGATATAACTGTTTCTTTTTTGAGGAAGATCATATCTCCATAGAGGAATAACATGGAGATTTTAATTTGGATACTGTAGAGTTTAAAAACAAGAAATTATATTTTCCATGTAATTTACTTTGGTTCTTGAATGTGTTCTCAATATTGATGGCATGAATACAACATTTTAAAACTTAAAAAAATTATTTAACAAATACTTGTATAGTACTTACTATATATGTGCCAGGTACACAGAATATAAGCACTTTGAAAATACTAGCTCATTTCATCTCAAAACCTACTTTATAAAGGAGATGTTACTGTAATCCCCATTTTGCATTAAGGAAACAGAAGAACGAGGGAAAAATAACCTGCCCTAGGTCACAAAGTCATGGCGCTGGTGAACGAACCCAGGCACCCGCACAGGATGTGTGTTGTTAACCACCATTTTAGCTGATGCTTCTATGTGGTCTTAGGCAGCAATTTGTTGGTTAAAATTAAATTTTCTTGAAGAGTACACTTTAATTGAATGAGATAGAATTCAGGCATTCCTTTTTATTTATTTATTTATTTATTTATTTATTTATTTATTTATTTATTTTTTGAGACGGAGTCTCGCTCTGTCGCCCAGGCTGGAGTGCAGTGGCGCCATCTCGGATCACTGCAAGCTCCACCTCCCGGGTTCAAGCGATTCTCCTGCCTCAGTCTCCCGAGTAGCTGGGACTACAGGCACCTGCCACCACGCCTGGCTATTTTTTTGTATCTTTAATAGAGAAGGGGTTTCACTATGTTGGCCAGGCTGGTCTCGAATTCCTGACCTTGTCATCCACCCACCTCGGCCTCTCAAAGTGCCGGAATTACAGGTATGAGGCATCGTGCCCGGAATTCAGGCATTCTTATATATATTTGTTCAGCTGACATTTGTGTTTTTATGAAAGTATCATGCCTGAAACCCAAAGCACCAGAAACCACAGGGGAAAACCCAAAGTGTTCATAGCACTTCAAATCAGTTTATAGAATGAAGTAGAAGTCTGATAGGTACAGAAAGAGGAATACTTTCCACACAAAGGGTATAGGCCTCACTTCCCATGAGTTGTAATTTGAAATTTGTGACCTTGAGTAACACAAATTTTAAGTAAAAATTTGCATGAATTCTAAGCTATGTTATAATAGAAAATCCCAGGGAAAACAGATGTACTTTTAGAATGTTCCTTTTAAAGACTGGCAGGGCCTAAATTGTGTGAGGCAAAAGCAAGAGAGTGGTCATACCGACAAAAAAAAATTTGAGAAAAGTTTTAATTAAACTCTTTTATTTTGGAAGGGGGCATTTTGTATTTATTATTTAGCTTTTAAAAATTCCCTAAAGAGAAATGAACAGCCAAAATCATATACTAGGGAGAACACAGAAAAACGTTGAACTCCAGTGTTCATTGGGCAGTTAAATGAGTGCAGTGGGTGAGGTGAGGACTGTGATGAGGGGTCTGTATGGTAGAGCCACTTCTTTCCTATATCTCCAGCACACTGTTTCTTACAGTCAATTTCCAAATTTGATCATCAATTTGCCTTTTTAGCATGATGAATCTGCCAGGTCATAGTAGCCCCAAACTACAGGGTCACTGCCTTTTATAACACTTTAAGCTGCAAAAAGGGTAAAAGGTGGGTCATAGGTGGGCATGACATGTCAGCATTCAAGAACAAATTCCATTATTGTGTAAGAAAATATTCATTGTACCACAGTTACATTTTTAATTTTTTTCTTATTGTATTCAGATTATTTCTACTTTTGGCACTAATGCATTTTTAAAAGAGAGAGTATATTAAAGAGTTTTGAAGGTTCAGCTGAGATTAAAAGTCATAAATATTTAGAAGTGCCAATCAGGATGGTTTTATTATCTTTTCAGCCAATTTTAAGAGACCTGATATAAGGCTTACGATTAAGCTAAGAACATTAGATAATTAAAACTATTGGTAACAACACAGTTGTAATAGTTGACCAACTATTGGAAAGAAAATAAAAGAGCAGGCTGAAGGATTTGAAAAATAGGAAGCAGTCAAGGAACTCGTTGCAAAGGAATGGAAGAGCAAGTTTGCTAAGTGATATTGAAAGAGAGGATATTCCCATTAGACACTAAACTCAGAAAATAACATTGCAAATGCATTAAACCATAAATAAATTAAATTCTTATAGAATTTTATTAAGAGTCTAATCATATATTTATTGTTCTCATGTTATGGTTGGGGATAACAGGTTTCAAGTATTTAAATAATTTGCAAAATAGCAGGTAATAAGAAAATGTCAGAGCAAAGATTAAACACTAGGCCTGTTTGAATCCAGAATTTTAACTCTTAATTACATTAATATTATCTTCTGAATTAATATGTTTCTGGTTGACAAAAGGAAGCCATGTAGAGGACTACTCTAGGGGGTGCAGAAACGATCTTTGTAGATGAATGAAATGAGGTTAGAATATCCATGTTGAACATGAGTGGTGCCCAGTATGATCACATATGGATAACAAAGAGGACAATGGTGAGTTAGATGGCCAGATCTAGACACAGTGAACAGTGCTGACATAGAAATTTATAAGGGCTGACAAAAATAGGTCAGAATAATTGGATAGCAAGAACTTCAGAAAAGAATGTTAACTCAAGTTACCAAAATAATGGTGTGGAAAGTTAAATAGTAAAGAAGACTCCATATTAACATTTCATTTTACTTAATGTGTTTATATTACAAAGGCTTCTAATGTTTTATATTACTTATCACTATTGCTATATTATTAACTACCATAAACTTGGCAGTTACACACACACACACACACACACACACACACCACACACAAACACACCACATACAAACACCTTTATTATCTTAGAATTTTGATAGGTAAGGAATTTGGGCTCAACTTAGCTGGGTTTTCTGTTTTTAGTGTTTTCCACAAAACTGCATTCAAAGTGTTGGCCAAGGCTGAGGTGTCTTCTGAAAGGTGGACAGGGGAAGAATCAATTTCCAAGGTAACATGGATAGTAGCAGAATTCAATTCTTTGCTGGTTGTCAGATTGAGGACTTTCTGTTTTTGCTGGCTCTAACCTGAAAGCTGCTGTCAGTTATTTACCCAGTGTGCCTCTCCACAGAGCCCCTTACACAATGACAGCTTGTTTCATCAAAAACAGAAAGGAGAGAGTTTGCTAGCAAGATGGGGGTCAGAATCCTGTATAATCCATTCTTGACAATAATATCAGATAATCTTTGCCATATTATATCAGTTAGAGGCAAGTCACAGATCCAGCCCACACTAAATGGGAGCGGATTGAACAAGTGTGTGAATACCAAGAGGTGGAGTTTGTTGAAGACCAACTACCACGTATCTCTAATAATAATCTTCTATATTGAATGACTTATTTTTTTCTCACAGTGGGATGAATAGAGGAGGGTAGAGAAAGACCCTATAGGAACATAAAGACAAGCTACAAAATACAATTTCATTGCTTCCAAGTAGTCAGTGAGTGTTGCTTTCCCTTTAATCTCACATATTTGCAGAAATGAAAGCTATTCTCCCAGGAAAATCATATTTCTTGCTAACTTGACTTTTGGTTTACCTCGTAATTTATTTTCTACTTTATTATTGATAAACTGTTTTATTCTTCCCTTTACTACAAGAAATTTTAGTCCCAGATCAAAAACCTACCAGTTACTTGGGAAATTACTTTTGACTCACAGTTCACATTGCTGATTTCATTGATAATTACAACAACACCAGCTATAAGGATAACTCTCAAAAAGTAATTATCCAGAAAGTGTTCATTATGTCAAAATGCCTCAGATAAGAAACATATTTTGTGTTATATTGGAATGACCACCAAACAGCAAGGGATATGAGTCCAGTAGTACAATGTTTAATGTGCTATGGGTTAAAAGAAGTAAAGGTTTTAATACTTGACTACATTTAAAATCTCAAATTGTTAACAGAAATTTTACTATAGGATACTTTGCTGTGAAGCTAATGAAGGTTAAGCTTCAGGGCCCTTCACTTGGACAGGCCTCTTCTGATGCTTTTATGCTCTACTCCAGGGACTTCGGGGAAGCGAGGGGAGCAAAAACCAGAGCTACAGAGCACGGCCCCACACTAGGTGTCACTTGCTGTACCCTAGTGGTGATTTCCATATCTAACCTGTCCCTAATAAACATTTGCCCCATAGGTCCTCAAGGTACATCGTTGGGATCAAGCAACTTTGATCCCAAGGAGAAGAATAAAAACAAGAGGGACGACTGGGCCAAGGTGCCATGTGAAGTGACCTGTGAGGATCAACCCAGTGAAGGTAAGGATGGAATTGGCATGGAGAATAAAGCAGGAGGGAATGGCCCATAGCCTTTGTAAGAGCCATTGGGAACCATGTCTACTTAATCAAAAGTATGGAAGCCTTCAAGAGTTTTTCTTAGGGCAAGAATCATTGCCTAAACAAGCCACTGCACAGGAATTTATAGATGTGTCATTACCAGGAAAGAGTTGTGGAGCTAAAAGAAAGTTTTCTAAACTATTAACCACTTTTTTTTTTCAATCGACCATGCTAGATTGAATTAACTTTCTAGTGTCCCCACAGAAAATATTTTAAAATTGCTACATATGAAGAAACAAAGGCTGTGAAGCCAAAATATGTAGAGATGTCAGGCAGCTAACTAATACTATTAATACATTATTTTTCTGAATGTTGTAATGTTTGTGATATTGCCACTTTATTTGCTTTTGCTTTTTAATTTGTTGGAATTCATTTTCTCAAACAAAATAAATGTTTTACTTTCATGCTTTTTTCTTTTTATAAATTTGTAATAATTTTTCCTCAAAGAGAACTTCCAAAACAGTGTAAGTGATCTGCCCTGAACACTATAAAGTCCTTCATCACTGTCTCTTTCTGCGTTGTATATGTAACTATGTATCTGAGCCAATTATTCCTAGTAAAAATCATTTTGGGCCGGGCGCGGTGGCTCACGCCTGTAATCCCAGCACTTTGGGAGGCCGAGGCGGGCGGATCACGAGGTCAGGAGATCGAGACCATCCTGGCTAACAAGGTGAAACCCCGTCTCTACTAAAAATACAAAAAATTAGCCGGGCGTAGTGGCGGGCGCCTGTAGTCCCAGCTACTCGGGAGGCTGAGGCAGGAGAATGGCGTGAACCCGGGAAGCGGAGCTTGCAGTGAGCCGAGATTGCGCCACTGCAGTCCGCAGTCCGACCTGGGCGACAGAGCGAGACTCCGTCTCAAAAAAAAAAAAAAAAAAAAAAAAATCATTTTGAAGTTTTGCTTCTTTCTCTCCTCCAATAGAAGTATCCTTCTGCCTGCAGTTTCTGAAAGAATATGCCTGCATGCAGCATCTCTTCCTTACTGGAGCAGATATCTCATGACTAGATTAGGTTTATTAATTTACAGAGATTTTTCAGGATAATGCCTAGTCATGAGGCTCATTTTTTAAACCCACAAACAATGAAGGAAAAATTGGCTTGTCATCCTAGTTCAGGAAAAATTAAGAGGTTTTTTTCTTGCCTACCAGGGATTTAGAGAAAATCTCTATAATCCCACTGGCATGAATTGCAAATGTAATCACCAATATGAAAAAGGTTAAAAAGCTCTGAAGTGTTGGGCTATGCTGCTTTGGCAAACAAAGGCCTCATTGTTCACAGAGCAGAACTCAGCTTCTGGGTTTCTGTATAATGGTGGTGAGCAGAAACACATTCTTAAACCCTGGGTCAGCAAAGCATCAAACAATAAAATAAAGAATATGATAGATGTTGCCTTCAGAAAAGAGAAAAGAGTAAAATCTCCCTTCACAATGCCACTTCATATCTTGCCTCACTTGATCCCAGTAGTCACTTCTAGCCAGGTTCACAAAGGTTTAATTGATGTCTGGGATGTGTATAGAACATAAGGTCTCCCTTAGTAAAATATGCTATTATGCTTAAGAGAAACACCTTCATAATTCATTAGGAACTTCTGGGAATGGAAGCCATTAAGTTAGTCACAAAAGAAAACTCATTCAGTCAAATGAGTTTGTTTTCACTGTGCTTTTTTCTCCTTCCAAAACCAAAGACTGAAATTTCTAGAATGCCTGAAAATAAAAATGTGCAACAGACAAAAGTGTGCATCTAGGATTAGGTTTAAAAACCTGAGCAAAATGAAATAAACACTGCTGTCTTCAGTTTATCAGTTTAATTCTGATTTCACTCTGATTTGAAAGGGATGGGTGACATCTTAAAAACCAAGTCCAGTTTCTCCAGCCCAGGGAATTACTTGGATTAGGCCTTGGCTATAATGGGTCTTTGAGTAAATGCTGCATTTTTTTTTTTTTTTTTTTTTTTTTTTTTGAGGTAGAGTTTCACTCTTGTTGCCCAGGCTGGAGTGCAATGACACGATCTCTGCTCACTGCAACCTCCACCTCCCAGGTTCAAGCGATTCTCCAGTCTCAGCCTCCCAAGTAGCTGGGATTATAGGTACGCACCTCCACGCCTGGCTAACTTTGTATTTTTTTAGTAGAGACAGGGTTTCTCCATATTGGTCAGGCTAGTCTCTGTTTTCTAAATAAACTACTTATAAGGCTCACTCGAATGTTTCTAAAGGGTGGTAGATATTTTAAATGCTTGTTCTTAACACAAATCTCAAGACAATTAGGCATATCTTTCTTAGATTTAACATTTTACTTTCATATTTTACTTTTACTTGAATTACTGTTGATAGTTTTCTCATATAAGAGCCAAAAGGAGAAAACTTTGAGAAAGTCAAGGTTTAGACAGTGGCTAGTAAAAGTCAGTTTATGGGGTGTTTTAACTACACCTTGAAGGTTCATGTGACTATTACCCACATCTCAGGGATGATACAATAAATAAAGGCTAGACTCGGGCAGTGACTCACTGAGCTCAGCAACACGCTGGGGACGTGCATGCTGGGAGTTACAGTTTAGGAATGGTCAAGTCACTTAGCTGCTCAATGACTGTTACCACCACTGTAAAATGAGGTTAATATTGCTAAGAACTGGGAGGTAAACATTACATGTGATTGCAAAGTTCCTTGAAAACGTAAAGATAATATGTAAATGCTGAAAGGCACAGGTCATACATCAATGAGTGCATATAATTTGTGCATAGAAGAGAGAGATGTTTTACCCAAAACAGATGATCAAAAGTGATTGAGCTTACTTAGCTGGGCTTCAGCCATTAAAAACAATTTGAAAGATGAAAAGAATGAGGAGTTGAGAAGGAGAGGGAGCAAGAGAAAGAGGAGACTTGGGCAGTGGTTGGGGATTAAGGGATTACCAAACATGTTGAATATGCTAGTAAAAGTCAAATCGATTGACCCTTTTTTCACTTTCTTACTACACTTAAGTTTATTCTCCATGATAAAGGCCTTTAAATTTTCTCATCTCCAAAAGCGTTTCTTCTAGAAAGACTACTGTTATTAATTCACCCCTCTGTGAGAATCCATTTTTAAAATCTCTTAAGTAGTTCTAATTTCAAAATGTGATCCGGTGCTTTGTCATTATGCTTAGGTAAAAAAAGTGAATATTAAGTTTAGTATAAGAAGAAAAAATAAGAACACAAGTGTTTGTGTTTTTACTTTCATGTAAAAAATAAGAAACCAAGTGAAATGCTAACTTGCAAGGGATAGGTGGGAGCTAGAAGAAGGAAATGAGAACATGAGCAAGGCGTTTTTGAGTATTTTTAAAATATGCTTTGGTCTTTTGAAACATCATTTATTAATAAATGAATCAAATCAAAAATATATGAAAACAAAACTTATATTCAACCCAAATAGAAACAAATTTTTTGCCATATTGATAAAATAATCATCTGATAATAAGATTCAATTAAAGTAACTTTTGAACATTGTATTCTTTTTTTATATGAGAGACAGAGAGAAAGAGAGAGAAAACAACTACAAATAAATCTTCAAGGCTTTTTTTGTTTTTAATAATAAAATGGGTGTCAGAATTTTAGTAGTATTGTTAGATATATTGATACTGATGGTTACCAGAGTTTCAACCTGCAGAGAAGAAAGACAGATGTGTAATGAAGAAAGTGAAGAACACTATGATATTGTTATTGATGTGGAAGTATCAATATGAAATCATTATATAACTGTCCATGTCATCCATTATCCACCTATGTATGCATGTATATATGCACGTATCTATTTCTTCATATTCTCCATTGAAAGAGATCAGAAGCAATGACACTCTATGAGTAATGAGCATACCTAACACACAAATATTTTTTTCTCAATGGCAGTCTCCAGTGAAAGGAACCAGGGCATCTTGAGCAATGACATATTCAAAATCTGAGTCCTGGAAAGTATAATATGAGCCTGGAACATCTTGTTGTTTCACAAAACAAAGAAGTGCTCAAATATCAGTGAAGCTAGTTTAAAATGATACCAGAACTAGCTTTAAAGGGCTTACTATGGCCAAACAAGCATTAAAAAAGTAACTACGTGAATGGATTTGAACACCATTGAAATACAGATGTGTAAGTGTGTGTGTGTGTGTGTGTGTCCAAAGTTTAGGAAAATGATAGGCTTTAAGAACAGTTATGTAGGCCAGGCGCGGTGGCTCATGCCGGTAATCCCAGCACTTTGGGAGGCCGAGGCGGGCGGATCACAAGGTCAGGAGATCGAGACCATTCTGGCTAACACTGTGAAACCGCGTCTCTACTAAAAATAAAAAAATTAGCGGGGCATGGTGGCGGGCGCTTGTAGTCCCAGCTACTCGGGAGGCTGAGGCAGGAGAATGGCGTGATCCCGGGAGGTGGAGCTTGCAGCGAGAGGGGATTGCGCCACTGCACTCCAGCCTGGGTGACAGAGCGAGACTCTGTCTCAAAAAAACAAACGAACAACAAAAACAAACAAACAAACAAACAAAAAACAGTTATGCAGAAGGCCCCCAATCTTATCTTTCTTCCCTCTTTTCTCTTTAATCCCTGTCTCCTTCTCTCTTCTTGATCTTAGAAATTCTGTGCCTCTGGTCATTTTTTGGAATACATTGATAATAGTGTCTCCTAAACTACGAGTGACATCATCACCCCTTTCAGAATTATTAAAAAGAAGATTTGGGAAACCAAAAGAATGAATCTGTAATGGTGAACTATATAAAATTATGCTTTTTAGTTTTCACCTGCACCTTTTAAATGATGCTAATATAGTAAGACTTTACTCAGTCTGCACAGCTGATTTATAAGGCTCTCTTATTTTATTTTATTTTTATTTTATTATTATTATACTTTAAGTTTTAGGGTACATGTGCACAATGTGCAGGTTTGTTACATATCTATACATGTGCCGTGTTGGTGTGCTGCACCCATTAACTCGTCATTTAGCATTAGATATATCTCCAAATGCTATCCCTTCCCCCACTCCCTACCCCACAACAGGCCCCAGTGTGTGATGTTCCCCTTCCTGTGACCATGTGTTCACATTGTTCAATTCCCACCTATGAGTGAGAACATGTGGTGTTTCGTTTTTCTTCCTTGCGATAGTTTGCTGAGAATGATGGTTTCCAGTTTCATCCATGTCCCTACAAAGGACATGAACTCTTCATTTTTCATGGCTGCATAGTATTCCATGGTGTATATGTGCCACATTGTCTTAATCCAGTCTATCGTTGTTGCACATTTGGGTTGGTTCCAAGTCTTTGCTATTGTGAATAGTGCCACAGTAAACATACGTGTGCATGTGTCTTTATAGCAGCATGATTTATAATCTTTTGGGTATATACCCAGGAATGGGATGGCTGGGTCAAATGGTATTTCTAGTTCTAGATCCCTGAGGAATCGCCACACTGACTTCCACAATGGTTGAACTAGTTTACAGTCCCACCAACAGTGTAAAAGTGCTCCTATTTCTCCACATCCTCTCCAGCACCTGTTGTTTCCTGACTGTTTAATGATTGCCATTCTAACTGGTGTGAGATGGTATCTCATTGTGGTTTTGATTTGCATTACTCTGATGGCCAGTGATGATGAGCATTTTTTCATGTGTTTTTTGGCTGCATAAATGTCTTCTTTTGAGAAGTGTCTGTTCATGTCCTTTGCCCACTTTTTGATGGGGTCGTTTGTTTTTTTCTTGTAAATTTGTTTGAGTTCATTGTAGATTCTGGCTACAGTAACCAAAACAGCATGGTGCTGGTACCAAAACAGATATAGATCATTGGAACAGAACAGAGCCCTCAGAAATAATGCCACATATCTACAACCATCTGATCTTTGACAAACCTGACAAAAACAAGAAATGGGGAAAGGATTCCCTATTTAATAAATGGTGCTGGGAAAACTGGCTAGCCATATGTAGAAAGCTGAAACTGGATCGCTTCCTTACACCTTATACAAAAATTAATTCAAGATGGATTAAAGACTTACATGTTAGACCTAAAACCATAAAAACCCTAGAAGAAAAGCTAGTCAATACCATTCAGGACATAGGCATGGGCAAGGACTTCATGTCTAAAACACCAAAAGCAATGTCAACAAAAGCCAAAATTGACAAATGGGATCTAATTAAACTAAAGAGCTTCTGCACAGCAAAAGAAACTACCATCAGAGTGAACAGGCAACCTACAGAATGGGAGAAAATTTTCGCAACCTACTCATCTGACAAAGGCTCTCTTATGTTAACCAAGTTTTAAGTATAGCCCACGTGCCACCATTTCTTGAAAAAAAAATTTTTAACGTCCAGTTTCTTCTTAGTTCAGATGAAGGTTAATTCCATGGACTGTACACGTGACTGTAGATTTACTCTACTTTTTTTCATTGTTTTTACATATATTTTTTCACAGACTTGCTTTACAGAATCAAACTTATCTTTCTGTATTGCGAATAAACTTGATAATTTTGAAATGTGTGTTATAGCATGGCTAGTATCCTTAGATTCCCAGGAACTTTCTTTCTACTGTGTTTGGAAGATCCTTTTCTTCGTACACTCAGAAAGGGATCTGTTGTAGATCTTAGATGAGTAATGGTCAGTTTGGGTAGGAATAGTATAAATCCAAGTTAGTGCTTGTTTTTTTACTATTTATTTTTACTACAGTTTCTCACCAAAACTACCTAATGAAAGAAGGGTAATTTATTCGGTTTAAATGGGTATCAGTGAATAATGAGGGTATCTGATCCATGATCTGCAGTGCTAATAATGCAAAACACATAGACATGAGGTCATAGGTAAGTTTAGGAACTTACCTATGGTACTAATATATTTATATCACTTGCAGACAATAATTTTTAGTGATTGCCAAAGTGAATGACATTAGTCCACTAAGTGGCCTTGTTGCAGGTTTATTTAAAACAAAAAGACAGTTTTATTTTATTGTAAGCATGAAAACTTTAAATGCAGCATTAATGGGTAAACTCCTTTTGCTCAAATTTGACAACACTAACATAAATATGGTAATGCATTTGAAATGCTTAGCATAGCTTTTCACTTCTAGAGAATATTTAATATATACTAGCTGTCATTTATATGCAGCTCATAGTTATTTGTGTACTATTGTTTGCCTTTCTCTTCCACTATAATTTTCATCAGGGTGGATTTTTTCCCATGATTTTACACTCACCACCTAGCATGGTTCCTGGAGTACCACAAGAGTTCAATAAAATATTTGTTGATTAATCAAAACCATTCTCCCCACCAGAATTCATATTTACTAAGTGCTTATTTTATATAAATTCTGTATTCAAACTAATACACAAAGCAATTTCTTATAAGGTTTTTACTATGAGACATAATTTGCATTACATTGTCCATAATATAAGGAATAATAGCACTGATTTTGTAGCTGCATTATCTTAATAGTGAACTCAGTCATGTAATATAGATATTAATATTTCCATTTTATAGATGAGAAAACTGAGGTTGGTCAGATTAATTGTAAGAGTTCTGTCCTTGCCATGATATCTGAAATTCAAACAATATATTTCCTGCATCTCTTTTATTAGATGTATCTGTGAAGCACTTTGACAATTATTAAAAGAAAATGAAATTCTAGCTCTTACACCAATGAGTATGTTCATAGTTTTAAAAAGCCTCCTATGGGATACAACTACATTATGAAAAGAGACCTTTACTGTGTGAACAGATTGGAAAGGAGTCTGGAGATGCTATTTGAAAGGGCAAAGATCTCAGAAATAGGGCTGTTTGTGTTTGACAAGCTGCTTCCATTTGGTTAAATAAGAAATAGAAGACATCACAGATAAATGTCACATAGGCAAAATGTTTTAGAGATACTGTAATCACTGGCTTATGGGAGATTTGTGATACAGCCTTGGAATGTGTACTTACTGAATCATGTGCCAAAATGGATGTGGAAAACTAATTATGTTTAGATGAAATGGAAAAGCAAAATGGATACCTGAAAATTTTGCAGGATTAAGCAAAATTGAGCATGATAACAAAGAAACAGACACAGAGACTTAGATATTACTTTGGAGTTTTAAATGTCATTTCTGTTCACTTCAACGGAGGCAAGGCATTGACAATCAAACATGTCAACATATGGCACTTAACAAATTGACAATGGGGTTGAGTACCAGTGTACCGCACCTGCATCAGCTCTCCAGATTTTCTGTAAATCTGCTGTTCTTTGTCAATGATAGAAACTACCTTACAGAGTGTTAACACAGTGTGCCCCAATTAAGAAAATGTAGAAATTATATCTTCATTATAAAAATTCAAGGATCCTAAAATTTTGTTCCAGGTTTGTTGTTAATATTGCACGTTATTTACAAATAATTGTTTCAGTTGATCTGCTTCATTAATAAAATTTGTTTTGCATAGCAAGCTGCAAATAAGACTGTAGACAACTTGTATACCAACTTTTTAAACATAATTTTTAGAATATATATATCTATATATTTTAAATACTACATATATTATGTATACCTATATTAGGTATATAAATACTTTTATTAATTTTAAAAATTTTGTGATACTTATTAGTCTTCAGTATATGTGTATATATTTTGTCCTTATAAAACATTTTTTGCAAAATACTTGCATACATACCCCATATGTCTAGAGTTGCTTTTCCTTAGCATGTAGGAAAAAGCTGTTTTGGCTAGGCCAAATTCACCACCACTGTAGGCAAATTCTGTACAATCTATGTCTATAGTATGTGTAAATTATCTCAGATATCATAATAAAATTGTCAGGATGTAATCTGGGATAGTAATCTTGGATACTTTTTTGAAGCATTTTTAAATATTTGCTCTGTAACTAACATTGATTGGTATAACTAATACTCTTATTTTTTAACTAGAATGATGTCATAATATTATCATATTGTTTATCTGATACTAACAATTATAATAACAATTTGCTTTGGATATAAATTTATATGTTGAAATTGACTTCCTTCAGTTATTGAAGGCCAAAAATACATACTGAACTATAAGGAATATAGAAAATATTATTGGACGAGGCGGGTCCGGGGAGGGGGCTGGCCCGGGGCTGCCCCAGCTTGGCCGGGCGAGGAGCGGGGCGCATGGCGCCGGGCGCACTGCGCGGGGACTGCGAACAAAGGGCCCCCGGCGGCGGCGCGAGGACGGCCGCGCTCGGACCCTGGCCCTGGCCCAGCCCTGGCCCGGCCCCCTCCCCAGGCGCGGCGCCCCCCAGGAGCCGAAAAATGAGCGGCGCCCTGCTCTGGCCGTTGCTCCCGCTCCTGCTCCTGCTGCTGTCGGCGCGGGACGGCTTGCGCGCCGCACAGCCTCAGGCCCCGGGTTACTTGATTGCAGCTCCCTCTGTTTTTCGCGCGGGCGTGGAGGAAGTCATCAGCGTGACCATCTTTAACTCTCCAAGGGAAGTCACGGTCCAGGCTCAGCTGGTGGCCCAGGATAAAGGGACAATCAAACTCAAGGTGCCCACGGGCCTCCGGGGCCAGGCGCTTCTGAAAGTGTGGGGCCGCGGCTGGCAGGCGGAGGAGGGGCTCCTCTTTCACAACCAGACCTCGGTGACCGTGGACGGCCGGGGCGCTTCTGTATTCATCCAGACGGACAAGCCTGTGTACAGACCCCAGCACCGAGTGCTCATAAGCATCTTCACCGTCTCTCCAAATCTGAGGCCTGTCAACGAGAAGCTGGAAGCCAACATCCTGGACCCCCGAGGCTCTCGGATGATAGAGTGGAGACACTTGAAGCCGTTCTGCTGCGGCATCACCAACATGAGCTTCCCCTTGTCCGACCAGCCTGTGTTGGGAGAATGGTTCATTTTTGTTGAAATGCAAGGCCACGCGTACAACAAGTCTTTTGAAGTTCAGAAGTATGTGTTGCCCAAGTTCGAGCTTCTGATTGACCCGCCCCGGTATATCCAAGACCTGGACGCCTGTGAGACAGGCACTGTGCGGGCCAGGTATACCTTTGGGAAACCTGTGGCTGGTGCCTTAACGATCAACATGACTGTTAATGGTGTAGGGTACTACAGCCACGAGGTGGGACGCCCCGTCCTCAGAACATCCAAGATCCTCGGCTCCCGGGACTTCGACATCTGCGTGAGGGACATGATCCCAGCGGACGTCCCTGAGCACTTCCGGGGCAGGGTCAGCATCTGGGCCATGGTGACCAGTGTGGACGGGAGCCAGCAGGTCGCGTTCGATGACTCCACCCCCGTGCAGAGGCAGCTGGTGGACATCCGGTACTCCAAGGACACGAGGAAGCAGTTCAAGCCGGGCCTGGCCTACGTGGGGAAGGTGGAGCTATCCTACCCCGATGGCAGCCCAGCTGAGTGGGTGACGGTCCAGATTAAGGCAGAGCTGACACCAAAGGATAACATCTACACCAGTGAAGTTGTGTCCCAGGGTGGACTAGTGGGGTTTGAAATCCCTTCCATCCCCACGTCAGCCCAGCACGTGTGGCTGGAGACCAAGGTGATGGCACTGAACGGGAAGCCCGTGGGGGCTCAGTACCTGCCCAGCTACCTCTCCCTTGGCAGCTGGTACTCCCCCAGCCAGTGCTACCTGCAGCTGCAGCCACTCTCCCACCCACTGCAGGTTGGGGAAGAAGCCTATTTTTCTGATAAGTACACATGTCCCTGCAACTTTACCCTGTACTACGAGGTGGCTGCACGGGGCAATATTGTGCTATCAGGCCAGCAGCCTGCCCACATCACCCAGCAGCGAAGCAAGCGGGCGGCCCCTGCCCTGGAGAAACCGATTCGTTTAACACACCTTTCTGAGACAGAGCCCCCACCAGCCCCAGAAGCTGAGGTCGACGTGTGTGTGACCTCTCTTCGTCTGGCCGTGACCCCAAGCATGGTCCCCCTTGGTCGCCTGCTGGTCTTCTATGTCAGGGAGAATGGAGAAGGGGTCGCCGACAGCCTTCAGTTTGCAGTCGAGACCTTCTTCGAAAACCAGGTTTCAGTGACGTATTCAGCAAATGAGACCCAACCTGGGGAGGTTGTCGACCTGCGGATCAGGGCTGCAAGGGGCAGCTGTGTGTGCGTCGCCGCAGTTGATAAGAGTGTCTACCTGCTCAGGTCTGGGTTCCGGCTGACTCCTGCCCAGGTTTTCCAGGAACTGGAAGATTATGATGTTTCTGATTCCTTTGGAGTGTCCAGGGAGGATGGTCCTTTTTGGTGGGCTGGGCTGACGGCACAACGACGCCGGCGCTCCTCCGTCTTCCTGTGGCCTTGGGGCATCACCAAAGACTCTGGGTTTGCCTTCACCGTAAGGAGAGGTGGTCTCAGATCCCGCTGCCCCCTTCTAAGGTCCTCTTGCCTAGAAATAAGAGTCTTGGAGATTCAGAAATGGGTTGGAAACAGAATTGGAAGCTTTTCTTTCTTTTTTTCGAAATGGGGTCTTGCTCTGTGGCCCAGGCTGGAGTGCAGTGGTGTGATCGTAGCTCACTGCGGCCTCGAACACCTGTGCTCAAGTGATCCTCCCACCTCAGTCTCCCAAGTAGCTGGAACTGCAGGTGCATGCCACCACACCTGGCTAATTTTATTTTACTTTATTTCTTTGTAGAGATGGGGTCTTACTACATGGCCCTGGCTGGTGTCAAACTCCTGGCCTCAAGCAATCCTCCTCCTTCAGCTTCCCAAAGGGTTGGGATTACAGGCATGAGCCATTGCACCCAGCCTTCCAAACTTTTCTTTTTCATTTCTCCCCAGTGAAAGCTCACAAGTAGATTCTTCCAATTTGCAAAGCCGTGGAGAGCAGAATGTTATGCATGTCAATGGTCAGGTTCAAATGGGTAACTTGAACTTGTGATGGGATGTGTTATGACATTGACATGCTTTGCTGCGAGGAAAACCTTCTCATTGGGAGCTGTGGGTGCCAGTAGCTCTTAGCTCCGCCTCGGCTTTGGTTACCTTGGTTGTGTGTCTGGCAGCTTTCAAGCAGAAGGAGGTGGCTGTGTTCCCAGGTGGCAGGGGGTCTGAACTGCATAGGTGATCCTCCTGCCTCAGCCTCCCTAGTCGCTGGGATTGGAGGCATGAGCCACTGTGCCCAGCTCCAGTTTACCCGTCTTAAAAAGGGCTAATGGGGCGCCTGTAGTCCCAGCTACTCGGGAGGCTGAGGCAGGAGAACGGCGTGAACCTGGGAGGCGGAGCTTGCAGTGAGCCAAGATTGCGCCACTGCACTCCAGCCTGGGCGACAGAGCGAGACTCCGTCTCAAAAAAAAAAGGGCTAATGCTGGCTGGGCGCGGTGGCTCACGCCTGTAGTCCCAGCACTTTGGGAGGCTGAGGTGGGTGGATCACAAGGTCAAGAGATCGAGACCATCCTGGCCAACATGGTGAAACCCCCTCTCTACTAAAAACACAATAATTAGCTGGGCGTGGTGGTGCCTGCCTGTAGTCCCAGCTACTTGGGAGGCTGGGTCAGGAGAATCACTTGAGCCCGGGAGGTGGAGGTTGCAGTGAGCAGAGATCGCATCACTGCACTCCAGCCTGGTGACAGAGCGAGACTCCGTCTCAAAAAAAAAAAAAAAAAAAAAAAAAAAAAAAACAAAGGGCTAATGCTATCAGGTGCCCATCTCTGGACGTTGTCATGATGTGATATAGATAGAAAGGGATTGGGATGGGAGCATGCTTCGCCCTTCAGGGTCACACCTTAGGGTGCTGGTGGTCTCCACTCAAATGTGTGTCCCATTGGAGGGTGCCTTTCATTTCAGCTTTAAAAAATATTTCTGGCCAGGTGTGGTGTCTCACGCCTGTAGTCCCAGCACTTTGGGAGGCCAAGACAGGTGGATCACCTGAGGTCAGGAGTTCGAGACCAGCCTGGCCAACGTGGTGAAATCCCGTCTCTACTAAAAATACAAAAATTAGCCGGGTGTGGTGGTGGGCGCCTGTGATCCCAGCTACTCGGGAGGCTAAGGCAGGAGAAGCTCTGGAACTGGGAGGCGGAGGTTACAGTGATCACGCCACTGCACTCCAGCCTGGGTGGTAGAGCGAGACTCTGTCTCAAAAAATTGAAATTAAGTAAATAAATAAATAAATATAAAAAAAAGAAAATATTCATGGTTGATAAAATCAAGGTATTTAACATATCTCAGATGTAAACACATAAATAACTACGATGTTTATATATGAAGTGTCTGCAGTGTTTATGAAGGAGAATGGCACAACTGAACCAGTTTGGAGAGATTATATAAAGAAAAATGCATTAAGGTAAGAATTTAAAGACAGAATTGATAATGAATAAGCATTCTAGGCAGATTAAATTATTTATGCAGAATAAGGGAGTGGGATATTACCAAGTGTATTCAAAGGACAAGATGGTAAAGAACAAATTGGATCAACAGAGTCTAGTTGGGTATAACTGGACAAGTAAGATTTTGAATACTAGATTATAAAATTTTATAAACCAACATTTTTCAAAGTTGCCCCATGGAACATCATTACTTCTTGGAAATACAGAAGGTATTTTTGAACGAAGTCTCCCTCAGCAAAATCTAAAGAGATAACTGTATATTTTGTCCTTTTAAAGGTTCTGAGAATCCATAGAGTAAAATTTCTATTCCCCTTCAGCCTTGCTTAACCCAGCATTGTCCCAGTTATTTGGGCATTGACTTCTTTTTTTGCTTTCTCTGTTCTGACCAAATGCCCTGCACAAATATAGCTATAAGCAGTGAGAAGCCATTAGTTTTTAGAGCAGTTGAGTAACTTGATAAAAACCAAGACTTCAGAGCAACCATTTTATGCTTATGTGATGTGGAAAGAATGAGAAGAAAGCTGGAGATGGAGAGACGAGGGTCAGAAACCAGAAAGGAAATTAGCCAGCTTGTCAGTGTATTAGACATAGTGTTATGGCAGTGAGAAGAGATAGGAACATTAATAAAACAGAATGTGAAGTCTCCAGTAGTAGATTAAATATAGAAGTACAAGCAAAAGGCAAAGTTAAAAATAATTTAGTGAAACAAAACATCAAAAATTATCACTCACATATTAATGTATGTTTAGAAAAGTTCTCCGGAATTGGAGTTCTATATTCATTCTGGACCTTTACTTCAATGTTTTAACAACTTGCCAGCCAGAGAATTGTGTCTGAATATTAATCTTAATCACTCCAGCTGTATTTCACCCCTTTTCTGGTAGTATTTCAGAATTTTTCAAGTAGTATAGATTGGGGTCCTGCAGAGTTCTTGTTAATCTAATTTCTCCTGACTTGCAAAATAGAAGATGATTTAAACATCTTTGAAAATGATTGAAACACAGGCCTTAATTAATTTTAGGGAGGTGGCTTGCATATATTTTGCACACATGGCTTGCAAATGATTCTAGACTTACTAAATTAGGATCAAAGAAAATAGAAGTCCTATGTATAAGATTTATTTTAAAATATTTTCATCAGGCTTGGAAACCTTTTATTAGGTGTCAATAAATTACTTTGACCCAGAGATGTGTAACCATATTTTATATTCATACCAAAATATGATATGGTGTATGTGGGCTGAGGAGTCATTTGACTGCACAGGATTGCAATTCTACCTGTCCCATATTAGACATGTGGCCTGAGGCAAGTTATTGTAAGGATCTGTATCACATTTTTTAATCACTGTTTTGGAGGAGTAATTATATTCTCCTCAGTGACTGTGAAATGTGTGTGTGCATGTGGAATGGCTAGCATAGAGCCCGGCATATAATCAGTCGTCCGTGTACTTGAATCCCCTGTCTCCTCACTTCTTAATCTTCAAACAGTTGTGTTAACTGAATTTTTAAATTGCCTCTAAAATCTTTGCCATTAATTTTTACTTAAATCAGTTTGCCACCTTTCATCTCTGTCCATTTTATCGTAGTGATCCTTTTCTCTGTAGCACTTTTCTTCCCCTACACATAAAGACCAGGGTTTATGGATTTATCATTTTCATTCTCTTTATCAATGTCACCTTTGCCAAGGTAAAGAAGGATGAATATTTCCAAAATAACTGATTCTGTTTGTAAGAAACCTTAGGCCCAGACCTTTCTGAAAAAGGCTATTTGAAGTGGAATGTGTGTTTTTAGATGTAAATTCACTCCCATAGTCCTGCAGACAAGATAAACATGTTCATTTTTTAAATAGACACTTTTCATAGGAACATCAGTCTAAGTGCACAGCTGGGATACAAGATAACAATAGCTCTTCCTAACCAGCTTTCATTACTAGAACTTACAGTCCCAGGTAAAAATCATTTCTTTTAACACAAAAAAGAACAGCAGTAGATGGCTGGAATTTCTGACATATTCCATGGGCTACCATTATATTTGATATCGTTTTCTTAGCCTCTTTGCCTTCCAGTTCTCTGGGGTAGAAGTAAACTACTCTCAATATACTTGAGTATCCACTCCCCTACTCCATGTACCCAAAACCCTCTATTTATATATATATATTTATTCATTCATTTATTCATTAATTCATTTATTTTGAGACGGAGTCTCGCTCTGTCTCGCTCTGTCACCCAGGCTGGAGTGCAGTGGCGGGATCCCCTCTCGCTGCAAGCTCCGCCTCCCGGGTTCACGCCATTCTCCTGCCTCAGCCTCCCGAGTAGCTGGGACTACAGGCGCCCGCCACCGTGCCTGGCCAATTTTTTTGTATTCTTAGTAGAGACAGGGTTTCACCGTATTAGCCAGGATGGTCTCAATCTCCTGACCTCATGATCCGCCTGACTCGGCCTGCCAAAGTGCTGGGATTACAGGCGTGAGCCACCGTGCCCGGCCCCCTCTATTTATTAATTCAACAAAAAATATTGAGCACGTAGTATGCAATGGTTGGGTTGCCAATGTAGTGATATACAACAGATTGAGACAGAACCACGGTCCCTGCTTCCACAGATATCCTGTTGTTATGTTGGGACTAACATAACTCTAGAATGGAAGCTTCATGAGGAGAGACTTTTTTTTTCTGTTCTCTCATTTTATCCTAGGTCCCAGAACAGGGCCAAGCATTAAGGAGCTTCAATAAATATTTCTTGAGTGAAATAAAGGTAACAAATAATGTGGGTAGTAGTAAATATAATGAAGAAAAATAAGGCAGAATAAAGAAATGGAATGTAGGTTTATACAAGTTATTGTTTGGGGCTCTTTTCTACTTTTCATAAATGTCATCCAACTAAGTGTGATCCATACTGATTCCGTACCTGACTAGTACATCAATTTCCAAAGCCCCATAGACCATCTCTTTGAAATAACTCTCTGTCTTGATTTCTTCCTCCAGAAACTAGTCTTCATCTGTGTTTAGGCCCATTATCTTCTTCCATAGTTAGGGCTACAGATTTGTATTAAGGTTTTGTTTCTCTATGAAGTATTTGCTGCATTTAATATTGGCATATAACAATTTAACTCCAAACACAGAGATCAAATATCAGACTATTTTATTTCTTACTAGCTCCCAAATAAAACTGTTTTGCAAAAGCCATGACAAAGTTTTCACCGTCCATAGTGAGATGAACCACATCAGAGGAATATAGTCAATTATTGGAAAACTAAACATATTGCTTGTAAGATAGTCTTTTGGAATTAAGACATTTTCTTCATTTTTAGTTTCATAATGACTATTATTATAAAATGATATTCATCTCAAAAAGTAATATTGTTTTTCTGGTTGTATAATGTATTTGGCAACTGCAGAACTTAGTAATCCTACATCAAGATCTAAATTTGAGGAAGATGGGAATGTTAACTGTGTATGAAGTCAACATCCTAAAATTTCTCTCACTGGCAATTTAGTGATAAATAAAATGAATGATTACACACGCACATATGTACTTGTTTGCGAAGTCCTTGGGGTAGAGATTAATTCTATATTTAATATATGCATTTCTAGTGCTCAATACTTGGAAACAGTATATGCGCAATACATATTAATTTACTGAATAAACAATTCTAGGCTACCCTTCACAATAAACATAAAGAAGGAATATGAAATAAAATACCATGTATGAGTTTAAAAACTTCTGGATTCTATGAGGGTTCTCACCACACCAGATGGGATAGCAAATAAAAATTTAAAACAGTTCAGATCATAGATCTTTTTGGTGAACAAATAATGAATAAGAGAGAAGACAGGATTTTGCTGCATAGTTAATCTTTATCCACCCCCCATCCCAAACTTGAATAGTTACAAGAATAACTATATAGCTTTGCTAAATCCCAATCTAAACTTAATATATACTTTATTACATGGAAATCAGAAATATAACTTAGAACCTTCTATAGGTTCACATTTCAACGCTGAAAATTACTCAGTTGCACTAGATCTGCGTTTGGTTTGATTGCTCACTAATTGTCGAGTGTATGTTGTGTTTGCTTTTTGCCTTTATATGCTGTAAGCATTCCTCTTAATATCCTTGGTTCTTACGGTCATGTAATGTCAAAATCATTGTTTCCATGCTTAGATCCCTAATGCTAAATTTGAAGAGATACGGAGATGTGTGTGAATGCTTCCTGATGGAATTTTAGGTGAGAGAGAGAGACGGAATAAATAAAGGACTTAGAATATCAACCCCTCTCTCAAGGCAGTACATTTTTGAATTAACTGAATTTGAGGCTACTCCTATCTAGCAGTTAGTGACACTGTTCATCAGCCACTTTAACACAATAAAGTTGAAAAATAGGATCAAAGAACCTGAAGACAGAAATAAGCTGAACAGGCATGTAGGCACTAGTGTGTGTAAAATTAAGACAAGAAAAAAATCATTCTAACTTAAAAGCATCCCAAATGGCTCAGAATGCAACTGAGATAATGATATGTTATTTCCCACAAATATCTAATGGCTCCAACATGAGGAGCTAACTATAATGAACAGTCTTATTAAAATATAAAAATCACTGAGGGAGCATGCACGAGAAATCCAATCTCGGCAGCACCACTTTATGGGCAGTTCTTAGTTTGAAGATCAGTGAAGGTGCCAGTGCTTCTTAATTTATCTTAAGCCTGATAATCTGCACTTTGCTTCAACTTTTCTCCTAACAAAGCAGAACACAAATATTGAAATAAAAGTAGCATAATATTATTTTAAGGTGTTTGTACTGAAATTTAATTAAAACATCAAGTCTCATATGACACTAAAGACTAGTTAAAAATAACAATTCTAGGCATATATAAATTAGATTTAAGTAGCAGATAATAGTCAAGACTATACCTTTTGGCTTGAAGCAGTGTTTTTTTTTTTTGTTTAAAGGTAATTGAGGGAAAACATATAATATTTACAATTTCCATAATTCATATTGACATCTTTGAGCATACTTAACAATACTAATAATGAAAATGAAAGTGTTCTGGCTGGGATTGACAGATTTAGCAACACAATCAAATAAAAAAAGACAGGTATTCAGTAAAATTTAAATTCTGGATAAACAATGATTATTTCTTCATATAAGTTTGACACACGCAATTTTGGAGAATGCATATACTAAAAATTATCTATCTATTGTTTATCTGAAATTCAGGTTTAACTGGGAATCCTGTATTTTATCTGGTACACCTAGGTTCAGGCCAATGGTAATCAAGATAAATTGTATGCATGGTGCTTTAGTGAGTAAATTAAATAGGTCTAATTGTATATTATTTTATCTTTAGATAAAACAATCATTTGAAATACATGATAATTGAGAGAGAGAATGATACAGCTGAGCTATATTTGTGTTTCACTTATTCTTCCAGGAAACACTAATGGAGATCATTGTGCAACCCTCTTGAAGTTAGGTAAAGCTATATGACTGAATTCTACACAAGAGACTGTGAGCAAAAGTGATGTTCCCCTCTTCTAGTCCCCTCTCTCCCTTTCCTTTTCCTTGTCTGACAGTTTGAGGTAAGGCCTCCAGTGGAAGACCCTGAGCCTTTATGATAACAGTATCAAAATATGGAAGGGGGCTGGGTACCTGAGTGACTACATGGAACAGAGAACCAACTCCCCATTTCTTCCTGCCACCACTAACACACAGTAGATGGTGAAGTGCATGACAAAGGAACAAACTCTCAACATTCTGAGGTTGTTTGTTTCAATGGTTAGTGTGACTTAATTTGTCTAATAAAGATATTAACAGTTTGAGTAGGCTGCTTTTGCAACTGAAACTTCCAACATGTAATTACTGGTTTATCAGACTGGAGGTAGGTGGTGAAGGAACAGATATAACAGGATGGACGCCTATATATCTGTGTTATTCAGTGTCAAATATTTAATTAAACAGTAGAAGAGAGAAAGTGTATCTACTGGGATCTACCTTTAAGAAATGAGGTTGGTTAAAAACTGTTATTCTCTTTTGGATATGGTTATTTACTATGCTGAGCAATGTGTTACCTAAAAAGATAAATTTAGGAAAGAATAGGCAGCATTAAATGAAAAGGAATAGGAAAAAAAAAAAAAACCCAGAAACTTGGGTTTATTCAGGTTGTGAAGTACTTACCTGGACTCCAAACAATTTTTTAAGAGAGATTTAAAAGCCTTTTGTAAAAAAACAAAAAATAAAAAAATAAAAAATAAAAGCCTTTTGTAAGATTTCCTACTTAAAGTAACTCCGACCTGGAACATGTTTAGACTGAGGGTATGGATATGACATCCAATTAGTTTTAGATAGTCACCAGGTGTGCCATTAAGTTGAAAAAGAGAAACTTAGAGGTGAGAAAGCAAAGAAATAAATTTATCTAAGAGAATATTCTGGACTGCATAGATTAAGAGCCTACCAATACTTTAGGGAATTTTATTGCCTTTTATTATTCCATCTGTAACACAATCTTTGGACTCAAGCTTGCTTCCATAGGAACTAGTCTGAAAAAGTTATACAGGATTAAAATCCTTACAAAAGACAGAGACAATAAGTTAAAAACAGAAGAAAAATGTCTTCCAGGGCAGAGCCGCCAAGATCAAAGAGAATAACGAACAATATGTTATATTGCCTAGAGATCTTAGGCTTTCTGTTGAATCCCTTGGAGAGAGGCTTTGGGTGTTCCATAGATAGAATAAATGGAACAAAAGATATTTGTTGATCAAAGGGACAGAATCCACATTTCTCGTCTTTTAAAAGTTAGACTAATTTCCCAGTCTTTTTGAAGCAAGGTCATGTGACTGAATTCTAACCAATAGAAAGCAGACAGAAGGGTTTATGACTATCTTAGTCTGCTCAGGCTGCTATGATATATTATAGATTGAGCGACTTAAACAAATTTATTTCTCATCATTCTGAAGGTGAAGAAGGTCAAGAACAAGGTGTCAGCCAACTTGACATTTCGGAAATGGCTGCATATCAGAGTTCTCCACTGTTCTCCACACTTACTCTCTCCCTTATCTCCGAGCTGGTAGCAGAGGAGCCAGCAGAAGACAGCAAGCCCTTGGTATAGATAGAGAAGCCATGGATGAAAAGAAGCAGGCCTTAAAGACAGAGCAAAGTAACATAGCATTCCTCTCTACTATCATCCTGTACTGGATAGGCCCCCACAAATAATCCTGTATTTTGGTAAACCGGTGAGTTATTAGCATTAGCAGTTTACCTATGCTGATAAACACACTGATTAAAAAAAAACACAATCTTGAAACACTATACAGTGACATTTATACATGGCTTTAAAATAAATTTTAATACATTGAAAGATATCTTAGGTTTGGTGATTTAGGATACATCAGCCAATCAAGTTTCTCATTTACCAGAGAAAATGTGTTAAGCTTTATGCTTGATTTTGGACTACACCTTTTATTAATGCTTTCTCTGACATTCCAATCAGATAATGTTATTCTCTTTTTATGGGTAATAATTTTGAAATGCAAGATTCTGAAAACCAGAATCTTCAGTCTTCTCTTTTGAAACATGGTGAATTAATCATGTTGATTATTTTTAAATTCTTCTAACAGTATTCTAATTTGTCAAACTTCGCATCAGATTCACTATATTATTAAAGAGAGGTTTATGTAACAAGACAAAAATCACAGCAAAATGATATAGTTCAACATGCTATTACTGACTGATTTTAACCATAAAAGGAAAGCAGATTGGAGGAGACTCTGAATGGAATTTTGCATAGCCAATATGAAAGAGCCTTTAGGCACTGTTTTTAGCCTAAAAATTGACAAAATGAAATGAATTATCAAGAACTCAAAGTTAAAGTGAACTTTGAATCCATCTTATTTATTTCATTAAAGCCCTTAGAAGCAACTTTATTCGTTAGTCACTCGGCTTATATTTTAATGCTACAAAAAATGTGGTTGTTATGCCATCCAAATACAGTCTTTTACTAGATGTTTAGCAGTTTTATTATTTTTTCCTGATGTCAGGCGAGGTACCTTTTAACTTAGTTGTTCCCATCCTTTTTTTTTTTTTTAATTTTTCAAGTTAGTCTTTACTTGTTCTTTTTTTTTTAATGTTATTATTATTATACTTTAAGTTTTAGGGTACATGTGCACAATGTGCAGGTTAGTTACATATGTATACATGTGCCATGCTGGTGTGCTGCACCCATTAACTTGTCATTTAGCATTAGGTATATCTCCTAATGCTATCCCTCCCCCCTCCCCCCACCCCACAACAGTCCCTAGAGTGTGATGTTCCCCTTCCTGTGTCCATGTGTTCTCATTGTTCAATTCCCACCTATGAGTGAGAACATGCAGTGTTTGGTTTTTTGTCCTTGCAATAGTTTACTGAGAATGATGATTTCCAATTTCATCCATGTCCCTACAAAGGACATGAACTCATCATTTTTTATAGCTGCATAGTATTCCATGGTGTATATGTGCCACATTTTCTTAATCCAGTCTATCATTGTTGGACATTTGGGTTGGTTCCAAGTCTTTGCTATCGTGAATAGTGCCGCAATAAACATACGTGTGCATGTGTCTTTATAGCAGCATGATTTATAGTCTTTTGGGTATATACCCAGTAATGGGATGGCTGGGTCAAATGGTATTTCTGGTTCTAGATCCCTGAGGAATCGCCACACTGACTTCCACAATGGTTGAACTAGTTTACAGTCCCACCAACAGTGTAAAAGTGTTCCTATTTCTCCACATCCTCTCCAGCACCTGTTGTTTCCTGACTTTTTAATGATTGCCATTCTAACTGGTGTGAGATGGTATCTCATTGTGGTTTTGATTTGCATTTCTCTGATGGCCACTGATGGTGAGCATTTTTTCACGTGTCTTTTGGCTGCATAACTGTCTTCTTTTGAGAAGTGTCTGTTCATGTCCTTCACCCACTTTTTGATGGGGTTGTTTTTTTCTTGTAAATTTGTTTGAGTTCATTGTAGCTTCTGGATATTAGCCCTTTGTCAGATGAGTAGGTTGCGAAAATTTTCTCCCATTTTGTAGGTTGCCTGTTTACTCTGATGGTAGTTTCTTTTGCTGTGCAGAAGCTCTTGAGTTTAATTAGATCCCATTTGTCAATTTTGGCTTTTGTTGCCATTGCTTTTGGTGTTTTAGACATGAAGTCCTTGCCCATGCCTATGTCCTGAATGGTAATGCCTAGGTTTTCTTCTAGGGTTTTTATGATTTTAGGTCTAACGTTTAAGTCTTTAATCCATCTTGAATTAATTTTTGTATAAGGTGTAAGGAAGGGATCCAGTTTCAGCTTTCTACATATGGCTAGCCAGTTTTCCCAGCACCATTTATTAAATAGGGAATCCTTTCCCCATTGCTTGTTTTTCTCAGGTTTGTCAAAGATCAGATAGTTGTAGATATGCGGTGTTATTTCTGAGGGCTCTGTTCTGTTCCATTGATCTATATCTCTGTTTTGGTACAAGTACCATGCTGTTTTGGTCACTGTAGCCTTGTAGTATAGTTTGAAGTCAGGTAGCGTGATGCCTCCAGCTTTGTTCTTTTGGCTTAGGATTGACTTGGCGATGCGGGCTCTTTTTTGGTTCCATATGAACTTTAAAGTAGTTTTTTCCAATTCTGTGAAGAAAATCATTGGTAGCTTGATAAGGATGGCTTTGAATCTATAAATTACCTTGGGCAGTATGGCCATTTTCACGATATTGATTCTTCCTACCCATGAGCATGGAATGGTCTTCCATTAGCTTATCCACCATGATCAAGTGGGCTTCATCCCTGGGATGCAAGGCTAGTTCAATATATGCAAATCAATAAATGTAATCCAGCATATAAACAGAACCAAAGACAAAAACCACATGATTATCTCAATAGATGCAGAAAAGCCCTTTGACAAAATTCAACAACCCTTCATGCTAAAAACTCTCAATAAATTAGGTATTGATGGGACGTATCTCAAAATAATAAGAGCTATCTATGACAAACCCACAGCCAATATCATACTGAATGGGCAAAAACTGGAAGCATTCCCTTTGAAAACTGGCACAAGACAGGGATGCCCTCTCTCACCACTCCTATTCAACATAGTGTTGGAAGTTCTGGCCAGGGCAATTAGGCAGGAGAAGGAAATAAAGGGTATTCAATTAGGAAAAGAGGAAGTCAAATTGTCCCTGTTTGCAGATGACATGATTGTATATCTAGAAAACCCCATTGTCTCAGCCCCAAATCTCCTTAAGCTGATAAGCAACTTCAGCAAATTCTCAGGATACAAAATCAATGTACAAAAATCACAAGCATTCTTATACACCAATAGCAGACAAACAGAGAGCCAAATCATGTGTGAACTCCCGTTCACAATTGCTTCAAAGAGAATAAAATACCTAGGAATCCAACTTTCAAGGGACGTGAAGGACCTCTTCAAGGAGAACTAGTTGTTCCCATCCTTTACTCCGTATTTAATCCACCTGGGGATGTTTAAAAAAATTGATGAGTCACTTCCACTCCCAGATATTCTGATTTAATTGGTATTGAGTATAACGATGGTACTGATAATTTAAAAAATTTCTCAGGTGATTCTAGTACTTGGCATAGTTAGGAAATCACTGTTACAACTATATTTCCAGATTTAACTTCAAGGAAATAATGTTATGAATTCTTTGTTAATGTTTTTTATAAAGATGCTTGAGGAAGACATGCTAGAGCAAAAACTACAACTCTGGTCCTCTTGGATATTTTAGATAAGGTAAGATTTTTGAATTGCACTGATACCTACAGTTAATTTGAATAAAACATTTATATCTCATTTAGTCAGATGATTCAGTGAGAAAGGTGGGGTCAAGTTCAGTCACCAAGTGTTAAATCATTCCAATCTGGTGTTGGTCATCTTCTATGTGTTTTTATCTGGATAAACTTTCCTTTAAAAGGGACCCTCTAAAGAATTATTCTAAAGCGTTCTTTTTTCATTATGATGGATACCAATACTGAATCATACCTGAATCACAGACTTGGCTATAACTTTCTAATTGAAAGGACTAAAAGTAGCTAAAATGCCAATTTAAAATATTTAGAGTAGAAAAGTTGTGTAAAATAAAACTTGTTTATTATGATGGCCAAGATAATTCTGTTCCCTCATGAGAAATAATGTATATTTCACTTTCTTTTTGATTTTCAGTTTTTACAATAGCAAAGAAAAAAATTCTGACATAAATCTAAACATTTAGCTTCACTGTAATTTAACAAATAACTTCGGCAACAAAATTAAATTTAAACATGGCTATGAGTTTTCGAAGTATCAATTTCTTCTGTCAAACTGTGAGTTCTTAGGTGAAGCATCCAATGAAATGTTGCTAGCCATTTTTTTTTTGCTGTAGTTTTTCTTTTCAAACAACTTTGCATTTATTTCTCCATCTGACCTTCCTTCACAAGAGGTAGTTACAGTATATCCATCATATTTTCTTGCTGTGCTTGAGTACAGATCATATTATTTCATTTCAGAAATAATTTCCTGATGCTGTATTTAAGTAGCACATTTTATATCAATGGACAAATCAGTGTAAAAGAATGGGAATAGCCCTGATTTAAGGGAAAAAGGTCTGATTTGTGACTTTCAAATTGATTTTTGATTATCAAATTGATTACCTGTGTGACTATCCACCTTGGAAAGGTTCACAGTGCGTTTTCCAAGCTGATTCTTATTTTGAATATTTCTTCGTGGTAATATCAAAAAATATTAAAGACATTAAGCCACTCAGTTAAAGACCCCTACTTACACATAAAGATATGAGAAACAAGATCATTCATATTTCATCATAAAGATTGCATCCTAAGTGAACTATTGGACTGAACAATTACAGAGACATTAAACATATTAGAAGAAGAAAACCACCCTTAATTTGTGCCAACAATATTCTGGCCCAGATTCTCCACTGAAGTATTTATTTTATAATTTGATTATTTTCTGCACTTTACCTTTATTGATAGGAAAACCATTATAGAGGTTAAGATCCATTTGCTATTTTGTATTATTTCAGAAAATGCTAATATTATTTTTCTTTATAACATGTACCAATCTAGGGAAAAATAAGAAACAGAGGAAAAAAAACCTCTCTGGGTGTATGTATGTTTTCTGGTTAATTTTTGTTTAATTATTCATTCTGAAATAATAGTTAATTTATTAGGCCAGCTTTCTTCTCCCAGAAATCCTGTATGCTTATGTGATTGTCAAAAAAATTAAACTTATATATAAAGCTTGTAAGTTAGCCAGAAATTTGCTGGTTCACATCCAGGCAAGAAATTTGCTCTCTTCTGTTGTTAGAAACTCAAATATTAAGTTACAAAAAGGTTGTGAAATATTCAGAGTTGACCAAAAAAGTCTTGCCATTCCCTTCAGCTTAACTAAATTTTAAACAGATTTGTTCCTGACTATAGGTCCTTTATCTCACTTTTCCTAGAGCATTTAATTTAGAAAAATTGCAACTATATATTGTTTCCCTGCACCTTTGAGATATAAATCTTCTTGCCATTTTTACAACATAGAAATGTCTTTCTCAAAGAACTCAGAGCATCTCTTTGAAATGAAATTATCAAGAAATACAGGATCCTTATCCCCCAGTCTCTATGGGAGGGTAGGAGCTTAACATCAATAAATGCCAACTAGCAAGCACAGAATGCCTAATCGTACTAATCAGCCTTCCTCCAGTGTCCTTCAGTATATTTCCACTAGCTCACCCCAGTGCTTAAAAGTCTCTTGCCCTTTGTTTCAAAGGAGTTGAATTTAATCTCCCTCCCCTGTTGCAATAGTGTTGAATAAAGTCTTTCTTGACTGTTTTTGTTGGTTCTGTGCAATTTTTCTCTGGCAGAGTCAATGTTGCCTTTCTGCCAGTCTCATAAAATATGTGCTTATACGAGCATTGGTTTGGTTTTGTTATTGCCGAGTCATTTTTAAATTTTTTTAACTATATCATTTTAAAGGACTTTACCCACATAAAGAAGGTGTTGCCCTGGGGACTGGCTGAGAGAAATTACAGGTAAGTGAAAAGTAAATGGAAGCACAGGCTTCATGATTAAGCCAAATATATATTGACTTATATAAATCAAATTAACAAATAGAAGTTTGCATGTATATACAGAAAATGAAATTTAAAACGTATATAAATGTATACACATTTTGAAAAGTATCCTAAATATGTGAATATTTCAAACAGTTTAAGAACAAGGGCACTAAATTACTCATATATTTGATTCATTTCTCTAGTTCACTTTTCATTTGTAAACAATACATAAGACCTTTCTACAAGATTATTTTTAGCCTTTTTAGACTGCTAGTGAAAAGTATAATGAGCTAATTTATCTAAAATACTCCAATTGCTGAGATAACTGACTCCTTTTAACATTTTTTCATTAATTATAATAGAGTTTTAATTACCATTGGAAGGTTTTATAATTAGTTAACGTCTAGTTATATAATCAGTGACCATAAGCTTTCTAATTGACATAACACCTAAAAATTACTCAAAGCATGTTGTAGTGTTGCTTCATGTCAATAAATGGAACCTGAATTCCATTTATTTTAGAGAGGATGGGCTAGTGAAATTTATCAAGGATGTGCTGTGGCTTAATGCTTTTTTTGGCACACCTACGAATGTCCTTGTAGAGGCTAGAAAAAGGAAATTCACAAAGAAGTTTGTGATTTATATATACTATAGACCCATTATTAGCTAGGGTGAATGAAGTGAGTTTATCAAGTTGTTTTCATTGAAAATTACATAATATCAAATTATAACAATATACTTTTCTATAATTTTCAATGGTAAAAATAGTAAACCTGAAAGGAAATGGAATTCAATAATTTAAATTTTAAGAGCAATTTGTTAACAGAATTGATTTTTCCCAATTCTTGTAGCTTTGCAACCAATGACAAGTCATATTTCAATAAACATAAATTAGAGAAAATCTAGAAATATTTTGATAAGCATTGTTGCCATATGCAATGATTGTGTATATCCAATCTACCTACCTTTGTGCTTCAACTCCATAAACTGTTTTTATTTTTCTCCTGAAGAAAGTCACAAAAAAATAAAGTTTTATGCACTTGCCAAAAAGCAGTGTTTAAGTTACCAAACTGGTCATCATTTCTACCCCCAGCTCTGATTTGCTTTAGTTAGCCAATTAATTTCTAGAATCCCAGTGTATATTAAACTGTGTTGAACTGCTCACAGTCCAGAAATTACTTCTCTGTATCTGCCTATCTTAACTCACCATTTGGATCCCATTTGTTTGACTTGCTCTTTTCAATCTCTCTTTTGGTGCCAAATTGCCCAAATACTGTTTAGTACTAATATTTTGGCTGACCTTTTTTACCTAATTAGGTGTTCAAACGACTTTATCCTGCATGTACCAAATATATACTATCATATCAAGTATCCCAAGGCCTGTTTTAAAGGAAGGGATAATAAGAGTATACTTTAATAATCTGTACATCATATATGCAATACATTAGCAATGGAACACTTATGAATTTGGCGAAAGGCCAGGGCATAATTATTTGCTGATTAGCTAGAATAGTCCAACATTTAGGATATAGCGCTTCTTACAGGACATTTCATTGTACAATTTGAAAAGAAAAGTGATGATCACTTAATTATGTAATAACTATGCTTGTTTTGGAGTTATCTGTTTAGGCAGTTTCATAATGGTATCCAGAGCTAAAGTACTTTATATGTTATGTCATCTTTTATTTCATGTTGAAATCTCCTCAGGGTATGAAATACAAAATGACAGTGATTCAAAGTTGGACAATAATGTGCATTTCTAGGTCCCGTGTTTTTGTGCTGCTAGGTGTGAGTTCTTAAAAATATTTACTATAAATTATACTGCTCTATGCTTATAGTTAATTAAGAATTTCTGATTTTTTATTTGTAATATTTTTTACTCACAGATATTTTGCTAATAGATGCATTTAATCCTTCACTATAAGTATCATTTCTGCAGCATTGCAACAAAATTCAGCCTTTGAGTATTTTAAAATATATTTTAAAAACTATTTTTATATAAAGTTAATACAAAATTATTTATATCTCTCTCCTTAATAGTAGAAAATAACTTTAAGTGATTAAAACAAAGGATAACTTTTTTTTCTAAGACATCCTCTTGAAGTTAAAGATGGCTTGTGTATCCTCTGTTCTTGAACTAATGAATGATGTTTCCCAAGAGGCCTGAGCCAAACTGTGACCAGTCCAGCACCTTTGACTCCATTTAGAATGGAAGAATTGAAGATTCTTAATAAGTTTGTTGTGCACTTAAGAAAATATAGTAAATAAATATAAAAGAAAGGATCTTAAGAAAAGGCGATGGATTTTCATAGGGCCATTTTAAGTTAGTCTAAGTGGCTTTGTCAACAGAGAAATCTGAGGAGTGTTGCTACTAAAAGTAAAAAACATTAACACGTTGCAGAACAGTTAAATGTTAATGCTTTTCCTTGGCTAATTCTCTAAACTAGTTCTAAAAAGTAATTAGCGGTTTTCTATTATATACCAAAAAACCCCACATTTTCAAACTTACACCACTGCTTTGTATTTAGCACAATATGTGTGGGCAACATTGGGATAAGAAGTAAAAGCAAACCATATCGTTGCATTCAGATGGTTACAAATAATGCACAAAAATGAACACGACTTCCCCATTTATAGATTTTGATGTTAGATTCAGATGGAAAAAGTTGTGAAGAAAACTTCTGACAAATGTTCATGCTTATCCAGAGAAGTTTACTATATACCAGCTATGCTTTTGTAAAAGTAATCTCTTTCTAATTTGATCTTATCACTTCTATGATACAAGTTATCTAATAACCACATGCAACTGATTATAAAACCACAATTTAAAGAACTACAAACCACTGCTCAATGAAATAAAAGAGGATAAAAACAAATGGAAGAACATTCCAAGCTCATGGATAGGAAGAATCAATATTGTGAAAATGGCCATACTGCCCAAGGTAATTGATAGATTCAATGACATTCCCATCAAGCTACCAATGACTTTCTTCACAGAATTGGAAAAAACTACTTTAAAGTTCATATGGAACCAAAAAAGGGCCCACATTGCCAAGACAATCCTAAGCAAAAAGAACAAAGCTGGAGGCATCATGCTACCTGAGTTCAAACAATACAACAAGGCTAGAGTAACCAAAACAGCATGGTACTGGTACCAAAACAGAGATATAGACCAATGGAACAGAACATAACCCTCAGAAATAATACCACACATCTACAACCATCTGATCTTTGACAAACCTGACAAAAACAAGAAATGGGGAAAGGATTCCCTATTTAATAAATGGTGCTGGGAAAACTGGCTAGCCATGTGTAGAAAGCTGAAACTGGATCGCTTCCTTACACCTTATACAAAAATTAATTAAAGACTTAAATGTTAGACCTAAAACCATAAAAACCCTAGAAGAAAAGCTAGACAATACCATTCAGGACATAGGCATGGGCAAGGACTTCATGTCTAAAACACCAAAAGCAATGGCAACAAAAGCCAAAATTGACAAATGGGATCTAATTTTAAACTAAAGAGCTTCTGCACAGCAAAAGAAACTACCATCAGAGTGAACAGGCAACTTACAAAATGGGAGAAAATTTTCGCAACTTACCCATCTGACAAAGGGCTAATATCCAGAATCTACAAGGAACTCAAACAAATTTACAAGAAAAAAACAAACAACCCCATCATCATCATCAACAAGCGGGCGAAGGATATGAACAGGCACTTCTCAAAAGAAGACATTTATGCGGCCAACAGACACGTGAAAAAATGCTCATCATCACTGACCATCAGAGAAATGCAAATCAAAACCACAATGAGATACCATCTCACACCAGTTAGAATGGCGATCATTAAAAGGTCAGGAAACAACAGGTGCTGGAGAGGTTGTGGAGAAATAGGAACACTTTTACACTGTTGGTGGGACTGTAAATTAGTTCAACCATTGTGGAAGACAGTGTGGTGATTCCTCAAGGATCTAGAACTAGAAATACCATTTGACCCAGCCATCCCATTACTGGGTATATACCCAAAAGACTATAAATCATGTTGCTATAAAGGCACATGCACACGTATGTTTATTGTAGCACTATTCACAATAGCAAAGACTTGGAACCAAACCAGATGTCCATCAATGATAGAGTGGATTAAGAAAATGTGGCACAATATACACCATGGAATACTATGCAGCCATAAAAAAGGATGAGTTCATGTCCTTTGTAGGGACATGGATGAAGCTGGAAACCATCATTCTCAGCAAACTATCACAAGGACAGAAAACCAAACACTGCCTGTTCTCACTCATAGGTGGGAATTGAACAATGAGAACACCTGGACACAGGAAGGGGAACGTCACACACTGGGGCCTGTCATGGGGTGGGGGGAGGGCGGAGGGATAGCATTAGGAGATATACCTAATGTAAATGACGAGTTAATGGGTGCAGCAACCAACATGGCACATGTATACATATGTAACAAACCTGCACGTTGTGCACATGTACCCTAAAACTTAAAGTATAATAAAAAAAAGAAAAATATAGCTCAAAAACAAAACAAAACAGAAGTTTGGATTAAGGTTACACTGCAGAAAGTGGCAGAGTCCAAATTCAAACTCCTGCTGAGTTATTCTACTCTCATCTTGGCTGGCTCTCTTAGTGTTAGCAGTATAGAAAGAAAAATAGGCCTATTTCAGCAATGCATGCAAGACAACATCTCATAAGGGTTCAAGGGATGAACTGACTATCTCCTATAGGACTCTTTCTGCCAAATATAGGTTTCTGGCTGCTGCTCTTCTCCTAATTCCATCCTTCCTCGCCTTCTCTGTCAGAGTAATTGTTATAACTATTTATTTGTCATAGTATTATTTCATTACTCTTTTAAGGTTCATGGGATCTGCAGTGATGTTCTTTCTTCATTTCTGATATTAATAATTTGTGTTCTCCTTTTTTCATGGCTTTGTGAAGAGATTTATTAATTTTATCAATTTTTCAAATAACTAGCTTTTAATTTTGTTGATTTTTCTCTATTGCTTTCCTGTTTTCAATTTCATTGATGGAAATCTTTTTTATTATTTCCTTTCTTCTGCTTACTTTGGATTTCATTTACTCTTCTGCTAGTCTCCTAAAGGTGAAATTGTAGATTCCTGATTTAGATCTTTCTTCTTTTCTAATCTACTTATTTAATGCTATAAATGTTCCTCTAAGCACTGGTTTGGCTACATCCCACAAATTTTGAAAAGTTGTGTTTTCATTTTTATTAAGTTCAAAATATTTTAAATTTTCTTTTGAGATTTCTTGTTTAACTCATTTATTTACAGGTATATATTGTATAATTTTTAGATATTTTGGGATTTTCCAGTTGTCTTTCTGGTATTGATTTCTAATTCAATCTCATTGTGGTCTGAAAACCAATATTGTTTGATTTCTATTCTTTTAAATTATTAAGATGTGTCTTATTACCCAAATGCGGTCTGTTTAGGTGAATGTTCCAAGTGAGCCTGGGAAGAATGCATATTCTGCTGTTACTGAATGAAGTAGATTATAGATGTTCATTATATCCAGATGATTGATGGTGTTATTAAGTTCAACTATGTCCTTAATTTTCTGCCTGCTGGATCTGTCCCTTTCTGATAGAAGGATGTTGAAGTCTCCAACTATGATACTGAATTAATCTATTTCTCCATGCAGTTCTATCATTTAAATAGTTTGATGCTCTATTGTCAGATGTATACACATGAAAAATGTTATTTTTCATGAAAAATTAATCATTTTATCATTGTATAATGCCCCTCTTTATCCCTAATAACTTTCCTCACTTTGAAATCTGCTCTGTCAGAAATCAACATAGCTATCCCACTTTCTTTTGATTAGTGTTAGTATGGTGTGTTTTTCTCCTCCATCTGTTTACTTTCAATTTATAAGTGTCATTATATGTGTCTTTATACTTAAAGTGGGTTTCTTATAGACAATGTATGTTTGTGTTTTAGTTTTTGATCCATTCTGAAAAACCTCGGTCTTTTAATTGGTGCATTTAGATTGTTAATATTCTAAATGACTATGGATATAGTTGGATTAATATTTACTGTATTTGCTACTTTAAAAGAAGTTTTCTTGTCCTTGTTCTTTGTCTCCATTTTTCATTCTACCCTTTTTCTGCCTATGTGGTGTTAATTAAGCATTTATATGGTTACATTTTCTCTCCTTTCTCAGCAGATAAGTTATAGTTCTTTTTTTACATTTTAATTAGTAGCCCGAGTTTGCAATATACATGTACAAGTAACCTAAGTACACTTTTGAATAATACTATACCACTTAATGTGAATGAGAGTACTTTATAATAACAAAATAATCATAATTCCTCCCTCCTATTTCTTGTATCATTGCTGTCATTCATTTTACTTATACATAAGCATACATAACAATGAGTAAAAAACAAGTTTTTATTTTACCTGTACTTATCCCCTCTCTAATGTTCTTCCTTTCTTTATTGCATCCACGTTTCTGACCTATATTATTTTTCTTCTCTCTAAAGAACTTATGTTAACATTTCTTGCATGATGTGTCTACTGGTACCAAATTCCTTCATTTTTGTTTGTGTGATAAAGTCTCTTTTTCTCCTTGCCTTTTGCGGGATAATTTTGCAGGGTGCAGAATTCTAGATTAGTGGGGAATTTTTGTGCTCTGAACACTTTAAATATTTTACATCACTCTATTCTTGTTTGAATGGCTTCTGAGAAGTGAGATATACTTTTCTTTGCTCTTCTATAAATAAGAAGTCCCCCAAACCATGGCTGAATTGGGAATTAATTCATAAGTACGTACTATGTGATCTCCTAAGTAAATTTTTCCCAGTCACTAAGTCTTTGTGTTTACTACGGAGTTAATTTTATTATTAAATGTTTTTGGTTGTTATTTTTCCCCAATATTTCTAATTGATTTTCTTATATATCTTACTTTTCTAGTTTCACTTTGTCTATTGTGCAGTCTTTTGTAAAGGGAAGATAGCCCTTTGCTTATCTCATTAAGCAATTTTAACATATATTTTGAAGTCTTTATCACATATTTCCTCAAAGCTATTTTTCTGGAATTTATTCATTTTCTGGTTATTGATTTTACTGACTTTGTGAGCAATTTTTTAACTCATGGATCTCAAAATTTTAACAAAGAGACCTGTTTAGAGGATTGTTTCCACACTTCTAAATTCTTTGCTTTTACTCCTCTTCATCTAACATTTTGTGATGCCCGTTGTCTGCTCCCAAGACTCTCCAGTCAGAAACAGGCTTTAAAGTTGTATTTTTGGGGTCCTGTGACATGGTTAAATCAAGAATATCAAAGATCCAGGTAAAATACTCCTGGATTGCTTGGTATCATTTCAGGTTGAATGGCTTTATCTGTGTCTTCCTGCTTTTATAAGTCTACCTTGATGATGATGGTTGGAAATAGTATTTTCGATGATTTGCTCCTTTTTATTGTTTATTTTAATTATTATCTATTCACACGTAAGGAGATCCATTCTCAGCATCTGACTCCAAAAAGTGAATCAGAGACCTATTGTCAAATGTCAAATCCCTTTGAACTCTTACCTTGAATGAATAAAACACTGGTATCTATTTCCTTTTTTAAGCTAAGAATGCAGTGATTTCATGATTCAGTCTCACTCACAATTTTGTAGTTTTATTTTATTTCTTATGTTCTGAACCTATTTATTTTTTCTTGTTCCTATTTTTATTTTACCTATCACTGGAGCTGAGGGGGTGAATCAAATGTATTCTATGGAGTCATCGTGTTGGAAGTCTGAAATTCATGTTTATAGTATAAGCCTCTTTATTTCTTATCTTTTATTTGTTATTGGGGAGGTACTGTTAATCACTGGTTTTAAATCACATTTTGTCTCATTATATCAAGGATACAACTGTAAAAGTTAGAAAATAGTTTTTTCGTTATTGTAAACATACCTAAAAGGTAGGGGTTTTTTTTGCTGTGGAATTTTAAAAGTTACTTCTGATAGATAGCTTTTGGCCTGAATTTTCTATATATTTTCTTGTCATTGCAATGACTAGTATAAGAGATAATGTGGTACTAAAATATACTAATCTCAAAAGAGTATGTGGCTTACATTAAACCCTTACAAAAATGAAATATGTATTTAATAAGACTTTCATTGAGCAAATAGGAACATTTTATATTAGTAATGTTCCCTACAGAATGCTAGGTAATGTAGGGATATTATGTTAATATCTGGCTACATTTATATGAAAACTTTATTTGTATAATTAACATATTTTAATTAGTTGTGAACTTCCCTTTATAACAGTCTTCCTAAAATGATTAATATATTTTGCTTTGAGAAATGACACATTAAATGTGCATGCACATACCTGAAGAGTTTAATGGATTTATGATTATTAAAACCAATGCATCTATAAAAATTGCTTGACCATTGGGTTTAATGTAAAAGGTCAGAGTGTTCTAGGTTTAAAAATTCTTATTTTTAAGGCTCACTAGAGAAGGTGTAAAAATCTACCTTCCAGGAGAGAGAATTGTAGTTCAGATGTTTACCATCCTTGGCTTTTTAACCTCTGAAATTTTAAAGGACAGTTGTGCT
This sequence comes from Homo sapiens, assembly GCF_000001405.40. Lineage (NCBI taxonomy): Eukaryota > Metazoa > Chordata > Mammalia > Primates > Hominidae > Homo > Homo sapiens. The sequence continues at coordinate 9,751,923 of NC_000007.14, forward strand.
ACTTAATGCACTTTTATATTTCTTGATGGGAAAGTGCATTTTCCTCCTACTAAAACCAAGAATTCCTACAAAATTCCTCTTTGAGCTCAATGCAAGAGTGAAACATACACCTTTATAAAAGAATGTGTGAGGCAAAAGACTATTTGATATAAAGAATTGTTTCTTGTGTGGATAAAAGATTTTTGTAAAGTGTATATAGGTACCACGATACTATGCTGAATTCTTTTTCTTCTATTTATCTTTCTCTTTTGGTGAGGGGAGCATACACGTAATATTTTGATACATGCATAGAATGTGTAATGATTGAGTCAGCATATTTAAGGTATTTAAGGTACTCAAGTAATTATAATTTCAATGTGTCGGGAACATTTCAAGCCCTCCCTTCTACCTATTTTGAAATATACAACACATTGTTTTTAACTCTCGTCACTCTACTCTGCTATCAAACATTAAAACTTATTCCTTTTATCCAACAGTATGCTTGTGCCCATTAACCAATAGCTCTTCATCACACACACCCACACACACACATACATTCTGCAGCCTCTGTTAACTATCATTCTGCTCTCTACGTTCATGAAATCAACTTTCTTAGCTCCCACATATGAGTAAAAACATGCAATATTCGTCTTTCTGTACCTGGCTTATTTCACTTAACATCATGGGCTCTAGTTCCATACATGTTGCTACAAATGACAGAATTTCATTCTTCTTTATGACCAAGTAGTATTCCAATGGGTATATAAACCATATAGTCTTTATTCATTTATCTGTTGATGGACACTTAGGTTGATGCCATATTTTGGCTATTGTGAATACTGCTGCAATAAACTAGAGTGAAAATATCATTTTGACATACTGAGTTCCTCTACTTTGAATAAATATCTAGTAGCAGAAGTGCTAGACCATATGATAGTTCAATTTTTTGTGTTTTGAGAAACTTCCATGCTGTTTTTCATAATGTCTATACTAATTTACATTTCCAACAACAGTGTTTAAGATTTTTTTTTCTCTGCATCTTCACCAGCATTGTTTTTTTTTTTTTTTTTTTTTTTGGTTGTTTGTGTTTAAACTTTTTAAATAATAGCCATGCTAACTGGAATAAGATGATATTTCATTGTGGTTTTAATTTGCATTTCTCTGATGATTAGCAATGTGGAACTTTCTTTCATATAGCGGTTGGCAATCGGTCTTTTGAGAAATATCGAATTCATCCCTTTGGACCACTTTTTAATGGATTTGCTTTTTTGCTGTTGAGTTGCTTGTATTCTTTGTATATTCTGGATGTTAGTTCCTTGTTGGATAAATAGTTTCCAAATATTTTCTCATATTCAACAGATTGTGTCTTTATTCTGTTAATGTTTCCTTTGTTGTACAGAAGAGTTTTAGTTTAATATAGTCCAACTTTTGTTTTAGTTGGCTGTGCTTTTGAGTTCTTAGCCATAAAATATTTACCTAGACCGATGTCCTGGTGTTTTTTCCCTATGTTTTCTTTTAGGAATTTTATAGTTTCAGGTCTTACATTTATATCTTTAGTTGATTTTGAGTTAATTTCTATATATTGTGAGAGATATGGGATCTAATTTTATTCTTGTGCTTATGAATATGCAGTTTTTCCAATAGCATTCATTTTAGAAGGTGTCTTTTTCCAATCTATGTTCTTGGTGCATTTGTTGAAAATCAGTTGATTTGGAATACATGGGTTTATTTCTGGGTTCACTATTTTGTTCAATTGATCTATATGTCTGTTTTTATACTAATACCATGCTATTTTGGTTACAATATCTTTGTAATATATTTTGCAGTCAGGTAGGGTAAAGTGCTTTGGCTATTAAGGCTCTTTTTAAATTCCATACAAATTTTAGAATTTTTTTTCTATTTCAGTGAAAATGACATAGATATTTTGATAGGGATTTCATTGAATCTGTAGATTGATTTGGATTGTGTGGTCATGTGAATGATATTAAATCTTCTGATCCATGGGCATGAGATGTCTTTCCATTTCTTTCTGTTCTCTTTAATTTCTTTCATCAGCGTTTTGCATTTTTCCTTTTAGAGGTCTTTCACCTCCTTGGTTAAATTTGTTCCACAATATTTTAATTTTTTGTAGCTATTATAAATGGGAATGCCTTTTTTTCTTTCTCATTTATTTCATTATTGGTGTATTAGTCAGTACTCATGCTGCTATAAAGAACTGCCTGAGACTGGGTAATTTATAAAGAAAAGAGGTTTAATTGACTCACAGTTCTGCCCAGCTGGGGAGGTTTCAAAATACTTACAATCATGGTGGAAGGGGAAGCAAACATGTCCTTCTTCACGTGACAGCAGGAGAGAAAAGAATGTGAAGGGGGAAGCTCCCTTATAAAGCCATCAAATCTTGTGAGAACTTACTATCACGGGAATAGCATGAGGAAAACCTCCCCCATTATTTAATTACCTCTCACCAGGTCCCTCCCACAACATATGGGGATTATGAGAACTACAATTCAAGGTAAGATTTGGGTGAGGACACAGCCAAATCATATTAATTGGCTTATAGAAAACTGATTTTTGTATGTTGATTTTGTATCCTGCAATGACACTGAATTTATTTATCAAATGTAAGAGGTTTTCAGTGGAGTCTTTAAGTTTTTCTAAATATATGATCATGTCATCTTCAAAGAGGGACAATTTGAATTCCTCCTTTCCTTTTTGAATTTTTTTTTCATTTACTTTCTCTTTTTTTCCTCTTCTCTGATTATCATGGCAGGAACTTTCAGCACTATTTTGAATAGGAATGGTGACAAAAGTGGATATCTTTTTCTTGTTCTAGTTCTTAAAGGAAAGGCTTTCAGCTTTTCCCCATTTATTTTGATGTTAGCTGTGATTGTGTCATATATGGCCTTTATGATGTTGAGGAAAGTCCCTTCTATGCCAAGTTTGTGGAGATTTTTTATCATTAAAGGCTCTTAAACTTTATCAAACTTTTTTTCTGCATCTATTGAGATAATCATATAATTTTTGTCCTTCATTCTGTTGTGATATATTGTATTTATTGATTTGCACAAGTTGAACTATGTTTGCATCCCACTTCATCATGGTGTCTTATCTTTTTGATGTGCTGTTGGATTCAGTTTGCTGGTATTTTGTTAAAAATATTTGTGTCTATGTTTATCAGGATATTGGCCGTTAGGTTCCCTTTTTGTTCTTGTGTCTTTGTCTGGTTTTGATATTAGGATAATTCTGGCTTTGTAGCATACATTAGGAATAATTTCCTCCTGTTAAAATTTTTGGAAAAGTTGTAGGATAATTGCTGTTAGTTCTTCTTCATATGTTTGGTGGAATTCAGCAGTGATGCCAGCTAGTCCTGGCCTTTTCTTTGTTGGAAGACATTTTATTACTGATTAAATCTTTCTAGTTGTTGTTGGTCAGTTCAGATTTTCTATTTATTTCTGATTCAGTCTTGGCAAGTTGTATTTGTATAGAAACTTACTTATTTTCTCTAGGTTTTCCAGTTGAAATTTATTTTATCATCGATGTTTTTCCTGCCATTCTTTAATAAGAAAGACAGGCATTAATAACTGTTTAGCACCAAATATATGTCAGGACACTTCTAAATATGTTGTATCTTTTTAAATTTTACCTTCAGAAGAATCCTCAAATATTGGTTGCTATCCCCATATTTAGGTGAGGATAGGGAAGTATAGCCAAAGTTTAATCTGGGTCTCTTCATCCCTACATTGGAAAGAGAACTGGTCTCTTCCCGTTCTATGGTGGAGATGAACTTTCCAGCATAAAAATAAATGCATGTATCTGGCTATTGACATAAATTATTAATTATCCCACCTTGTATCAAAAGTATTTCTCATGTTTAATAAGTAAGGAAAATTAAATTATATAATACATTTACTTTAGAAATAAATTTTAAATCAAACATTGTAGTGGGGCTTGGAATGAGAATTTCCACAGCCAACGCTACAGTCAAAGAACAAAAAGAGCAAGATTTCATTTCTTTATTAGTGCAAAAGCACTTACATATTGGTATGAAGTAGTTTAACCCCGTAAGAGGAGAGATGGTATAGAAGACACTGCACAAAATGTAACAGACTGCAGAAATGAGTACACCTATAAGAGAAAGCTGTGCTGCTGATTTTATTTTCTGTATTTGACAGAAATGCATCAATCAACAAACTTGGATTTGTTGTGCTGATTGTCTGGAAGTATAGTTTCCTTACTGCTGAGTATAGGTTAATTTTTGTTGCTTCTTTCTTTTACTGTATGCTACGTCCAAATATATCTATGATTTCTGCAGGGCAAGAGTGATAGGAGTGGGCTCAATATTTGGTTAAGTCTTAACAGTGGACAGGAAGCATGCTTAAGGTCACCGTTCTTCAGTGTTGAAGATTCAGAGACCATGATCTTGTTCTCTTTTCTCATCTGTCCTCTTGCCTTATCATCTCTTTTTGATCCTTCCTTCAACTCTTCCTTCCCTTTAGTCTCTCTTCTATTCACTTTCTATTGTATAACTTTCTATTCTATTCTATGTTTGAGAGGCAAAAAGAATAATAATTCTGGAGCCTTCATTATTTTTGAAAATATTCTTTGATTTCCTCAGACAATGTATTCCACAAATAAATTTTCTCCCCTTGAAAGTTCTTTATAGAGACCTGACACCAATACAATTTCTTTAATTTGCTCTATGCCTTAAATTTTAAGTGTTGTACAAAGTTGAGGGGCTTAAGATAATTATCAAACTAATATAATAAGGACGAAGAACATGTTAAAAATAAATTAACTACATATAGTATCATAAACCTTAAAAAACCTTAAAAAAGTCTCCACCTATTAATTTAGAATAAGTAAAAACTGATAATAGAGTGACATGGATAATGTCTAAGCCCATGTACTATTAGTATCATAATTTATTGGTGACAAGTAAAAATATATTTTATGTAAAATTTTTATCAAGTTTTACCTTGCTAAAACTATAGTTTATTAAAAGTAAAATAATTTATACTGTATGTCCACACTTAGTAAACTTCAAGTCCAATGGACTGGAGAAATCATAACCTTGATTACTACATCAAAAATGACTTTAATGAAATAAATTACATGGCTTCTTTGATGTTACCTAGTTACTTCTTGGTATCAATTTAGGTATAAATATGCTAATATATTTTAGTTATATATAGGAAATAAGCAAATATGCTGAGCATTTATCTTTCTTTCTTTCAACTTCTATTGTTCAAGAGACTCAATAAAGAGAATATGATGCAGTAAATTATAAATGTCATTGGAAAAACATGAGAGCCATGCATATAAAGGTGTTTAAAATGAGCAAAAGTCTCTAGAGATTAGAAAGAGTATAATGTAGGATAATATGTTAAAGAAAATGCATTCCATTATTTTCTTTCTTATCATAGATATTTTATAAAATTATACAGAGAAGAAAATACGTGATATATGTTTTAATTAAAATATTACATTGACAATTTATTAATAGAGGTAATTCTAGATGGTATTTGGTTATGAATTTGTTTCCTTTAAAAAGGCTCTCTGGTCTACAAAATATAGGAACATCATTTTTGGTAAAATACAGTGAGTATGCTTCATATCCTTATCTGTGAACCACTCTTGTTTCTATCTATTTACTACGACTATTTCCAGAATTTATGGTTTTACATTTATCACCGCCTTCACAATGGAACTGCTACTTTTATAAAGACCTATATATCGCTGTAGCTGTAACTAAGTTTTCATTGTTGTTTTTAGTTGTTGTCTCTCTTGCTTAAAGACTCTGGCTGTTTATCTCAGAGCACGTACAGAAATTGAAATGTACAAAAGTGGAAGTTATTAAATAGAGACCACACAAGATACCCACTCTAATTGAATGAAGGCCTTTTCATGACATCAATTCAGCTGCAGTATCTTCAGTTCTTACAGTGGGGAAGCCAGAATCTCTAGACATGGGAAGAAGGGCTTATGAGTTGTGTTCTGGTAGGTGTAAGAAATGGTAAGTAAGTCTCATCCCCAAGGACATGGTTAAAAAAAAATTTGAGTGGCATTTTTGGAATGGGACCTAGGTTTCTGCATCTTAAAAAAGCTCCAAAGACCTAAAAATACTTAAGAACAAACATTGAGTAACAAGTGTACGGTGAACTAGTCTGAAACCGCCTATGAAGTACATGGTGTTTTCTTAGATTCTTGGTTTATTTAGTGTTACTGTGAAAGTCACTGGAGACTGAGGCATTCTCCTGAACTCCCAGCCTCTCCAGCTACCTTTTATTCTTGCAACTAAATTCATAAAATTAATATTCAAGCTCAGTGTTGACTGAATCAGAAACAACTGTAGATCAAACTCGCACAGCTTTAAGGTTGAAAATGTTTTTTGACACACACACGCAAGGTAATAAGAATCACAAATGACAGGTAATTCAAGAAGCAGCTACAGATACAAAACAAAGCAAAACTTCACATAATCATTTATTGTAGATCTCTTAAGCCATACATTCAATATTTCACATTTTTGTTACTTTGCAGTAGCATTGTTAAAATATAAGTATATAGTCACTGGTAATAAATTTAAAATGTATACATTTAAAGTGTAGGGACCAATGGAAACATTTCCGTTTGTCCTCTGAAATTTTGCTGTAAAATCAACTCACAAAAGACTGATTGATTGGAGCAAAGGCATACAAATGTATCAACATGCATATGGGGAAGAACCACGGAGTGATTACATAACCCCAACCTTCAAGTGTGGTTCAGAAGCATATATGCCATACTGAGATTACAGAATGTATGAGGCTTGGCTCTGACAAAACAGGTTATAGTGGCAAAACAGGTTACAGGAGGGAAAAAGAGGAGACATGGCTAGCAAAGATGGTTTTGTTACGTAGGTGGAAACCCACAGGTAGCAACCCTCAAAAGATGTAGTAAATGTTTCTTTGAGATCTTGAAAGCTGTCTTTTATTTGTTATTGGGGAGACACTGTTAATCACTGGTTTTAAATCCACATTTTATCTCATTATATCAAGGATACAACTTTAAAAATTAGAAAATAGTTTTTTCATCATTGTAAACATACCTGAAAGGTAGGAATTTTGCTGTGGAAGTTTAAAAATTACTTTTGATAGATAGCTTTTGGCCTGAATTTTCTATTTATTTTCTTGTCATTGCAATGACTAGTATAAGAGATAATGTGGTACTAAAATATGCTAATCTCAGAAGAGTATGTGGCTTACATTAAACCCTTACAGAAATTAATGTTTGTTAGGGTTCCACAAGGCAAGGCCTCAGAGAAACCCGGCCACATCGATGCACATTTTCTACAGATGCAAATCTCCCCCACAAAAGACAGCTTTGCAGGGCTCATTCTGTTTACAAGCCCTCTTAATAGCGATGTCAAAATATGTTAAATAAGTATATTTTGGGGTGAAATATTTTGATTTCTTTCAAAAGCATAACTCTGAACAAATGCAAGAATAAACAGGAACAGAACCACAGTATGATAACATACCTAATCAAGGAAGGCACTTTCTTATAGCTTGGAATGCATTACTTTTTCTCTGTATTTGCACAATTCTATTATGTTTTGTGTCCTGCCACTTTAGCCATAGAATGGACATCAATCTTCATTGAAATATCATAAGACCCCTGCATGAGCAAATCTGATTGAACTTTCTGTTTGCTAAGTTATTGCATTTCTTACATTCATTTAGAAATGTAAGTAATAATGAATGCTTTTAAACAAAGAATTTTAACATTTCATACTTTTACACTTTGTGGGACTATAGACTGCAATTTAGAATTAATAGAAAAGTCAAGGATATTTGTGAAGAATTTAAGTATGAGAAGGAATGCTTGCGCCAGAAAAAAAGTCCAAGAAAGACTTTCTATCATGGAAAACCAGGAGATAACTCTAAAGAAAAACGATGCTTACAAACTCAAGAGCTCAAAATGATATGAAATTCCTACTCTCTAGCCCCTCTTACTACACATGCAACTATGGACAAGCAATTTAACCACTGTGAACTTTAGTTTTCTTACCTGTAAACAATGAAGGTGATGATCATGCCTATTTCATGGAGTAGTTCTTGGAGTTAAATAAAATAATCTGTGTGAAAATTCTAGCATAATGTCTCCTCCATAGAAAGGACTCTCTGCAATCACATTTCATTTTTTTGAAAAAAAAAAAAAAAAAAAAAAAAAAGCATTGAGTATGTAGAAGCCAGGAATGCTGCTAAACATCTACAATGCACAAGACAGCATCTACGAAACCACCCCTGCCACAATATAGAAGTTTCTGGCCTAAAATGTCAATACCATCACTGTTTAGAAATTCTGGTTTAATCTATACACTTTAGCAGAGTATAATTTTCTCTGCAGAAAAATATTTATAATTTTATTATGTAATTTGGAAACTACAAATAGAAATTCTTCTGTGATTTGTAGAAAACTTTTATTAACTAATAATATCTAAAGAAATAAAAAATAATGATGTTTGTATCTCTGTTTAAGCCTTGAGTAATCAACAAACCCCTCAGAAATGCACAAAACTTCAATTTTTTTAGTCTCTTAAATAGACAATTAGGGTCTTAAAATTGTTGATATAAATGGCGATTTATTGTTTTACATCTCAATTTCTTTCTTAGACTGTTACTCACTTCAAAAGAAACGGACTGCTACAGTGGTACTTACGTCACCAGGTAAAAACTTAGATAAAATAATTATAAAACTAACCTTTAGTAACAAATAGAATCCAATAATAACACTACTATCCAAAAGAAAAGTATTTAATGGTCACAATTTCAGGTCTGCATTTCAAACTGTTTTTCCTGAATCTTTTATTCTTCCTTTTCTGTGACAGTCTTACTAATGCATCAGCACAAAATAATTAACTGTTTTGCAATCCAAGGAACACATTATGATCAATTGGGGAAATATAAAACTACCCACCGTGAGATCCCACCCACTAACAATGAAATCTGAATAACTTTGTGAAATGTCTAATATCAGAGTTTTTTTTAGGTCCCCCCCCAGGTGATTCTCAAATGTTCTGTGATTGAGAACCTACAGGGCAAGTAGGTCTTATTATCTGCTTTATGCAAAGGATCAGTAAATTAGTATGGAAACAGTAGTTTCATTGGCTAATGCCCATTCTTACAGTAATCAAAGCAAAAATTGCACCAAAGTTAAACAAGCAGGGAAGATTTTATTGAAGGCTATGCAATAGGGGAGAGAGACAAAAATGCAGTCAAAACTCCACTAAACAAAAAGCAGAACAGATTGTAAGGGCTGGGGCAGGAAGATCTTAGGCCTTACCCAACAGAGAGTAAGCTGTCTCTTACCTCCATGACAGAATGTAATTTCACACTTTGGAACAAAGGGTCCACCTTAGATTCCTACTCTCTCATAGAGACTGTAAGATAGAGGTGGTATCTCCTTTAGCATTTACATTTTAAAGTTTCAAAGAAATGGCTACACTAGTAGGTCCTTGAGAATGACACTGTTGGGTCGTAAAACTGTCAAGAAGCTTTTAAAACGATTTATACCTGAAAAGGGCATAGAAAGCATTTACAAGTTTTATGAAGTAAATAGTCTAAGGAAAAGGAGGTCAGACTCTTGAATCAGAAAGAAGGCTGCCTAAAGTTTAGCCATGCTGAGGGTAATATTAAGGCCTCCTTAGACAGAGATAATGAGGTGTTTTGTTTTTTTGTTTTGTTTTCTCTTAGAAAGGGTTCTCTCAAATTTTGCTTCACCTTATATATACCTGTAAGTTTTATAAAAATACTGATATCTGGTCCGTGCTTGGGTGCTTTACCCTATTGTTGATTTCATAGACTTTTGACTTCTTAAAGTTAAAAAAAGTACATATTTTATATAGTTATAATATACTACATATATAGTATATATTATATATTGTATATATGTATATATACTATATATGGAATATATGTATGTATATGGAACATGTATTATGTAATATGTATATATGTATATGTAAGATGTATATGTATATAATGTATATATTGTATATATAGTGTATATAATATATACTATATATACACTAAATATATTTATACTATACACATATATAAATATATATGATATATATTTCTATATAACATATATAATATATATTTCTATATAATATATATTTATATTATATATTATATATTTCTATATAATATATATTATATATTTCTATATAATATATATTATATATTTCTATATAATATATATTATATATTTCTGTAATATATATAATTATATATTGTAAAATATATAGATTATACATATCTATAAGTTATATATTTCTATATTATATATATTTATATCTATATATTATATCTATGTTATATATACTTCTATATATTTCCATATATAATATATATAGAAATATATAATATATATTTTATTTAGAAATATAAAATATATGATATTTCTATATAATATATACTATATATTTCTATATAATATATACTATATATGATATTTCTATATAATATATACTATATATATTTCTATATAATATATACTATATATGATAGTTCTATATAATATGTACAATATATATGATAGTTCCATATAATATATACACTATATATGATAGTTGTATATAATATATCAAATATATAAATTTCTATATAATACATAAAATATATATATTTCTATATAATGTATAAAATATATATATTTCTATATAATGTATATAATATATATTACATATAAAATATATAAAATATAAAATTAATATATTTATATATTATATATACAATATATTTTTATATTTCTACATATACATATAATATATAAATATAATAAGACATATATAATAAAATATATATAAAAAACTATATATATTTATATTTTATATATCCTATGTTTAGTCAATATAAATGTATATTTATATTTTAAATATAAATATATACAATATATATTTTATATATAAATATGTAAAATCGTTTTATATTTTATATAAATATATCCAATCTTTCTATATATTTATATATAAAATATATAAAAAGTTATATATATTGTATATATTTCTATATAAAATATATAATCTTTTTATATATTTTATATAAAATATATATAAATATATACATGTTTTATGTATATAAATATGTACAATCTTTTTATATATTTCATATATAAATATATACAATTTACATATTTTATATATAAATATATACATATATACATGTATACATATATACTATATATACATATATGTACAGTATATATATACTACATATGTATACACTATACATTTATACATATATGTATACATGTATACGCTATATATAGTGTATACATATACTATATATCGTGTATCCATATGTACTCCATATGTATATACTATACATCTGTAGTGCATATGTACATATACATATATACATACTTATGTACATATACATAAATACATGTATCTATACTATATACATACATGTATCTATACTATATACATATATATGTACATCTATGTATATGTATAGTACATGGATGTATACATAGTATATACATACATATATCCATATGTATTTATATGTGTATATGAACATGTATCGTACATACGTACATGTATGTATATAGTATATATGCATATACTCTATACATGTATATAGTATATATGCATATACTCTATACATGTATATAGTATATATGTAAACTATATATGTATATATAGTATAGATACATGTATATATGTATACATATATAGTAGATACATATACATATATACATACGTACATGCATGTATATCTGCTATATATGTATGTATATATACATATATAGTACACATACATGTACGTATGTACTATATATACATACATGTACACATACATATGCACATACATATAAATACATATGGATATCTGGATATATGTATGGACATATGTATACATACATATACATATATCCATATATATGTATGCACATATGTACACATACATACATATACATATATCCATATATATGTATATATACTATGTATATAGTACATGTATGTAGTATACTCATACATACATGTGCGTATATATGTATGTATGTAGTATATATACATGTATGTATATGTATGTACATGTATATGTACATATGCACTGTATATGTATATTATATACATATATAGTACATGCCTATACTATATATACTATATGTAGTATAGGCATATACTATATATAGTGTATATATATGTATATGTAGCATAGTTATATACTATATAGTATAGGTATATACATATAGTATAGGTATATACATGTATATATATAGTGTATATACACATGTATATATAGTGTATATACACATGTATATATAGTGTATATACACATGTATATATAGTGTATATACACATGTATATATAGTGTATATATACATGTATATATAGTGTATATATACATGCATATTTTATACATATATGTATATACACACAATAGATACATATATGTATATACACACAATAGATACATATATACACACAATATATACATATATTGCGTATATACAATATATACATATATATTGTATATATATACACTATATATACTGTAAATATACATATATACGTATACATAGATACACATGTATATATGTGTATATATACATATATACATATATACATATATGTATATATAGTATATGTATACTATATGCATACTATATAGTATGTATACTATATGCATACTATATAGTATGTATACTATATGCATACTATATAGTATGTATACTATATGCATACTATATAGTATATGTACATAGTATATATAGTATATGTACATATACTATACATAGTGTATACATATATGTATATATTATATATTGTATATATACAATATATACATATATGTTGTGTATATATACAATATATACATATATAGTATATATGTATATATTGTATATATGTATACATATATACATATACATCTCATATAAATATATACATATATGCATGTATATGTATATATACATGCATATATGTATATATACATGCATATATGTATACATATGTATATATAGTATATATACATACGCTATGTATATAGTGCATACATATGTAGTATATATGTATACATATATGTATATATTTGCACATATTTATATATGTATATATTTGTATATAAAATGTATATCAATATTGTATATATTTATATATAAAATATGTAAATTATATATTTATATAGAAAATATATAAAAAGATTTTACATATTTATATACATAAAACATGTATATATTTATATACATTTATAGATAAATATATAAAAAGATTATACATTTTATTTATAAATATATACAATATATACAACTTTTTATATATTTCATATATATACAAAGATTGTATATATTTGTATTTGAAATATAAATATATATATAGACTAAATATATGATATATAAAATATATAAATTTATAATTATATAATATATAAATATGTATATTTTATTATATATATTTTATTTATTATATATGTCTTATTACATTTATATATTATATATGTATATGTAGAAATATAAAAATGTATATATATGAATATATTAATTTTTTTTATATTTTATATATATTTATATACTCTACAATACATATATAGCATATATACATGTACGTATGTATATACATGTACATGCATATGTACTATATATGTATACATATATACATGTATATATACTGTATATACATATATACATATCTATATACATATATGGTATATATGTGTATATATACATGTCACTCCCCATGGGACTTGAAGGCCAAGAGAACTGATGAGAACATGAAGCTTGTGCTGACCGCCACACTATTGGTAATAAAGTCCTGTGTGTATGGTCCTGGAATCTTGTCTTTCACTACATCCATAAAACTATAGCAAGCTAACTTACTCGCTTGCAGGTAGGTAGCATAAAAAATCTCAGACCCTTCACGGGTCATGACATTGCATAAAAGTAGAGAACCTAAGATTTTATCAGAAGCCGTGATACTCAATCAAGATTTAAAGATAACACATTTATAAATAGGTTACAAGTTAATTATCTTTGTCAATAATTTTAACTTATGGACTTGATATAAAATACTAATTATTTTTCTTACTTTTATACATTGAAATATAAAGACATTTTAGAAAATTTTAATACTTCTTTATGGGCTCAGCTTCATTATTAGATTCTGCATTGGTACACTTAAAGCTATTAGTAAAATGCAACCTGATATTTTGACACTGAAATATTAATTTGAAAATATTCAGGTATTTAACGAACTGTTTGTCATATTGAATTCATTTTATAATTTTTATTAGTAATTATTGAACTGACCTAGATGACCTTGGTTATTCCTCTCAACTTGACTAAAGTTTAGAAAAGCCTTTTCCTGGCAATAGGCCCCTGACTTCCCTTTTCTTACTGCATTTACGTTAGATAATTTGCAGTTGTAAGTTCTTTCTCTGCCTCTTTGAGATGCAAATCTTCTAGTTTCTTGTCAATTTTACAAACCAGAGATTTCTTTTCACCTGAGAGCCATCCTTTTATAATAAAATTATCAAAAAAGATAGAGCCCCTATTCCCTTCTCTGTGACAGGATAGGAGCCTAACTAACTTCAACAAGTGCTGATTAGCAAACACAGAGGACCAACCCTAATCACAATGACCAACCCTTCTCCAATGCTCTACAGTACTTTTCCACTAGCTCACGCAGGTGCTTAAGACCTTCCCACCTTTTGTTTCAAGAGAGTCGAGTTTAATTTCTTTATCGGTTGTAATAGTCTCGAATAAAGTCTTCCTTGTCTAACTTATCCAGTGTCATTTTTCTTTTACAAAACCCAATAAAAATTATTAATATATTTTATAATAAAATTATTAAAAATTATATATAATTGTAAAGCAATCTTTTTAAAAGGACATTATTTTTTAATTACAGAAAAGTAATGTTAACAGGGAAAAATAATTTTCAGTTCTGTAATCTATCTTGAGTCTTTAAAAATGTGAGTTGCCACACAAAAATCAACATACAAAGAAAAACAATATCAAAAATAAATTACATATGAAGAAAAAACTGGTTTAATTTGTTCAAACTTGCAAAGGAGGATTTTGGTTTAGTTTTTCCTGCAGCCCCATTAATAAAACCAAGGAAATCATAGAGAGAGAATTTAAAGTCTGATTAAAAGATAGGAGGCAAAGAAAAGGAATAATTAGGTAATTCTCAGGACACAATTTTCCAGTGGGGTGCCCAAGGGATCAGCACTACACACTGCAATTCAATATATCTCTAAAACGTCTGTTACTAGGAGAGACATTTATGCTTTGGTTAGTTGGGACTTTGTAAGATATCTGGAAAGATTTCAAAAAACAAAATAATTGGTTTCAGGGTAGCAAATGAAATTCAACCCAAGAGTAAAGTATGTCATATTAAAACGGTCAGCTTAAGCTATTTATACTCACTTGTAAGTTCTAAATTAGTTGTAACCTCTCAGAAAATTGACCTGAGTCATCTCAGGAATTCTCAATCAAGACATCTCAACGTGAAATAGAGCTCATTTATATTAACAGTCTAAGTATAAGAGAGTTCATCTTTCACCATGACAGTCATGGCCAAACAACGAGGGACCAGCTGAGTCTGATAGATTAGAGCTGTTGGCAGTCTCCATTCCATTGCTAACTTGTCGTCTAAATTTGGGAAGCCACTCTAATACTCCTAAAACTCTGCAAAGTAAATCTGACTGCCAAAACATTTCCTAATTAATTAGGAAAATAATAATAGCACTAATGATTGGGCAATTAAGATCCCCCAAGACAATTATTTAATATTATTGAAGTCTGAGACCTTCAGCCTTAACAGACAAAAAAAAAAAACCATTCAGCCTCTAATCTTGCTTCTTTCTTATCACTTGAATGCCTGTTGATTGAAACAAACTGATTTATATTACAATGGAAAAGGAATGATATAAAAAATTTAAAAATCTTAAAATTATCAAAGAGGGGTGATCAGGAGTGTTCTGATAAAAAATGTAAAGTTACATTGCTGTTTCAAGGTAAGGAAAGCGCCAGAATGTTATGCCTATTTGAAAGAAGACCAGCAGATTCCTATACTCTGGGACTAAATAATTTAACAGAGCAAATATTTCTCTAAATTTAAATTAAGGTTTTCTTATTGAGGAATGCTGTCTGGATTCTGTCCTAGAACATCAATTCTTGGTCGAAGAGGAAAAGGTACTTTTGTGTGAAAACATGGGATGTTGCCTTTCAAATCTCATACTCATCATTGGAGAAATTCTTTCCATGCTTTTAAATAGAAAGTCATAAGAAACAGGAATAATCCAAGGCCACCCTGACAGTAAAATAACCCCAGCTTTATAGGCTTAGTAGCCCTCTCCTTCAACCCCAGATGGAATAGCACATTGGCTATGGGAGCAGAAATATCATTAAAAGTAGCCAGAAGTACAGAAAGTTAGCATCAGTTGCTCTATCAATGGTCATGGGGGCAGCAGCTGCTGATTAAAGACACCAGGTACAGAAGCAGCTATGTACAGAATGTTCGTGCCTTTCTAAATTCATATGTTGAAATCCTACCTTCCAAGGTGATAATATTAGTAGGTAAAATTTTGGGAAGGTGGTTGTGTCATGATGATGGGGTCTCAGGAGTGGGATTAATGCCCTTATTAAAGAAACCCAAATGAGCTTGTTGCCCTTTCCACCACGTGAGAGAAGTTGCCCTGCGTGAGCCAAAAGTCAGACCCTAACCAGACACCAAATCTGCCTTGATCTTGGACTTCCCAGCCTCTAGAATTGTGAGAAATTTCTGTTGTTTGTAAGTAATCTAGTTTATAATATTTTATTTTAACAGTCTGCATGTACTAAAATGGAAGCACAGGTGAGTAACAGACTAGCAGGAAAAGAAGAAATGGTGGGGGTCATCTGGGGTTTTGTCAGGAAAAACGAAGTAGCTTGACATGCCAGTGGTTCTGCAGTGTGGAAGTCCTAACTAAACACAAAATATTTTTTGTGACTTTTGTTCCCAAGTTATAGAAAAAGGATGTTACTGTATAGCTATATTGTATTGCATTGCATTGCTTCTATAGCTGAATAGTTTAGGCTGAAGAAAGATTCATTATAAATAGTGAATTTCTCTTCAAAATATTGCTTTTATCACACACACACACACACACACACACACACACACAAACACACACACACACACAGCTAGATTACCAGGAGTGTTCTTTCTTTCTTTCTTTATTTTACCCGGAGTGTTTTTTAATCAAATTTTTTGAGTTAGATTTTTTTATTTGACACGTATATTAAGTTTTCAGCGATTCAAATTTTGGTTGTTTCTCTTTCCCTTTATATCAACAGAAAGAAACACTTCCACAAAGAATTTGATTTGATGGCATCATGTGGACATAGAACTCTCATAGTAATGACCCAACCTGTGTTTCCAGTCATCCTGATGAACTCTCAACAAAATCAGATTGTTATACTGTTGTTCTCACTTTACACCGATATTTTCTCTTGCTCCTAAAAAAAGTATCTGGTATTAAATAGAATTCTGTATCTTAAAAAACTTGCCATTGAGAAAAATGAGAAGTAACTGTACATTTTAATACTGAAGGTTTTAATAAAAAAAGCAGTGTGAACTATCTGTTCCATTTTTATTCCTCGTCTACAAAAGACAAAAGTGTCAGTATTGAGACAATTGCTTGATAACAGGGATCACAAATATTGCTCTTCCTGAAATTTTTGCAAACTTGAGGTTTACTTTCTTTAAGATTTCTGGGCAATTCTGTTAGGATAAAGTGCAAATCCTATAAATGAAAGGGTTACAACTGAGATAATTAAACTGATCATTGGAGCAAAAATATTTTCCCCTGGAGCAATTACTAAATTAAGGTTTACTTCATTTTGCTTGAAATAGTAAATTTGTTACCTCTCCAGTTTAGTTTATTAGTATAAATTAGACATGACATAAATGAGAACTATGTCAAGCTAATGAATTTCATTGGAAGTTGGCTATTGAAAGTTAGAAAGAAATGAAAAATAACTCATAATAAATTCATCTAACATGTCTTTTGCCTCCTACTCCGCAACATGGCCTTTGTCTGACATTTCTAGAAGAGCAGGTATTCCAAGTCAGTTAATTTTAGTTAGTGAAATTTTTTCTTTCAAGCAGCCAATTATTTTGACAAAAATATATCCATCACTGCCATCAACTGAGGTTAGGAGAAAACTTACTTAAGCACAGTGAAAACAGTGGATTGAAGACCATGAAAAGCGGGCCCAGGAGGCCCAAGGCATCTAGCGCCAAGAGTAGGGGGAATGTGAAATAAATTTGAGAAAGAACCTCTTGAAACTATGTTCCCCTGCTTTCTCAAATGGTATATATTTGATGTAACTTAATCCCTGCACGATTAGAGTCAACACTATAAACAACCGTAAAAACTGCACTGTAATACAGTTATACATAGGAGTTTTGCAGTTATGTAAAATACTAAATAAATCATATTCCACCTTTTTAAAATGTATCTATTTTCAGTTGTGTACATTGTTATACTAGTTTTCTATATCTTCCCTCACCAACAAGTTGTCCACTCTAAATTTGTTCTGCTGACAATATGTTTCTGGCTGTAGCCTACCTAAAGCCTTCTCACGTTTTGTTTCAAATACAAGCTGAGATATTAGGTAAGTCATAATGACATTAGCTGTGTATTTACTTGCAATAGAAAAAACTTTCACACTTATTCTATATTCTCTTGTTTTATTCAGATAGCTTTGAGTTGGATTTGTGTTGGTTTATTGAGAAGTAAATGGATTAGTACTTAGAATTCATTAGGACACACTTACAATCATGTCCAAAGTAACATTAAATAAAGAATAAAAGAAGCTCTCCTTTGAGTTACATGCATGGATTTTAGTACATGAGTTTTGTGGCATCTTTCGGCTAATTCATAGCATGTTTTTTTTATATTGAAGTTTCCATCCATAGTTTGTAATGGAGGTTATTTTACTATTTATTAATGGTGCTGAGGATTTAAAGGATATATAGAATAAGGGAGCTTGGAATATTGAGTTCCATTTAAATAATCATAAAAGTAACAGACCATTGGGGGAGATTAAAAGCCAGCCGAACTTGCTTTGAAATGTTCTATTTCTACAATATTAGAAATGTTGGATTCTCAAAGACTTGCAACCGTAAATCATATTTCCCAGAAGTAAAGCTTTTTGAGGGTATTCAGGCTGCTAGAAAAACAAACACACATCAAGAGTGGCCTTCAAAAAGACAGAGGAGGGTGTATTGTCAGGGGGCGCAGCAACAGACAGAAGGCAGTTGCCATGTAAGGAAGACACTTCCGTCACACCTTCTCAGGGTTTTACTACTGTAATATTGAAATAAATGTGCACTTTTTGTTATCCATTTTGTCTCTCTTTCATCATTATGGAGCCTTGAGATATTTAGTTTCGTCAGCTGAAAAAACACAGCCTAAGTGAAACCAATCAAAATCAATGTGTTGCTTACTTTTTGTATTTTTCTAAAAAAAAAAGTTATTATTTTGCTATCATTCTCAAATCATATTCTAAAATGAGCTGTCAGCCAACACGATTCCCATTTCAAATTTTCTTCTACTCTCCACACTCATGGATTTCCATCAGGGGAATATTACTGGTCCTGATTCTGAAAATAACTTCAGCACATCAAAAAATTATCTTAACATTCTCTTCCAAAAAGTGCTACCTCCAAAGTTTCTTTATAAGAGGGAGTTAAAGTTACAAGCAGGAACATATTTGAGTTGGAGATTCAGGGACTTGTTTTGCAGATGTGCTTGTCCACGAAGCACATATTTTATTATTTACGTAGCGTGGGGGTGGGTAATGGATGGGAGGAGTGGGGCTTTGGGAAGCATGTTGTTATGAGGGCTAATGGGGAAAGTGAGATTAAGCTCATTTATCTTAAGCTTGTTCTTGAACCTTTATTGGCTCTAACCTTGGCGAAATCACAACTCTTCATTCTTGTTAATGGTGCCATTGATTTTACATCTCTAAAGCTAGAATCAAAACACTTTTAATTCCTTTTGTATTGCATTTCTCTAAACAGTCCCATTTTCACCCTTGCATAATTCTGCCACTTGACCCTGAAATCCTAATAGCCTCATTGATGGCATTTAATGCTCAACTTCCACATATGACCATCAGTAGTCCATGTTGAGAACACACGGAGACAGAGATGTATTTCCAAATTAATTAATTTTAGTTTTTCATATCTTTTTGGAATTTCAAAGAGTATACGCTTGGATGTTGAATATATTTGAACTTAACCTCTGAATTTAACACTCAAATAAGTAGGTTAACTTGAAGACACCCAACCTACAGAATCAGGTACTGTGAAAATTTTAAAAACAATGCCACAAATTATAAAATTCAGTTTCTTCATACATAATAACATACATAGTTTAGGGGTGCATGTGATAATTTAATATATTCACTTAATTTGCAAAGATCAAATCAGTGTAATTATATATCCATTACTTTAAATATTTGCCTTTTCTTCTAGAAACATTTGAATTATTCTCTTCCAGCTATTTTGAAATACATAACAAATTATTGTAAACTATAGTCACCCTGCTGATCTACCAAACACTATGTCTTATTTCTCCTATCTAACGGTGTACTTCTACCTATTAATCAACCTCTCTCTTCCTTCCCCTCTCCTCATCCTTCCTGGCCTCTGGTAACAACCAATCTATAATCTTCATGAGATCCACATTTTTAGCTCCTACATACGAGTGAAAACATGCAATATTTGTCTGTCTGTGCTTGGCTTATTTCACTAAACAAATGATTCAATTAAAAACTTCTTCCAGGAGTTTCTTTTTTTTTTTTTAACTTTAAGTGCTGGGATACATGTGCAGAACGTGCAGTTTTGTTACATAGGTATACACGTGCCATGGTGGTTTACTGCACCCATCAACCTGTCATCTATATTAGGTATTTCTCCTGAGGCTATCCCTCCCCTAGCCCCTCACCTCCTGACAGGCCCTGGTGTGTGATGTTCCCCTCCCTGTGTCCATGTGTTCTCACTGTCCAACTCCCACTTATAAGCAAGAACATGAGATGTTTGGTTTTCTGTTCTTGTATTAGTTTGCTGAGAATGATGGTTTCCAGCTTCCTCCAAGTCCCTGCAAAGGACATGAACTCCTTTTTTATGACTGCATAGTATTCCATGCACATTTTCTTTTCCCAGTCTCTCACTGATGGGCATTTGCGTTGGTTCCAAGTCTTTGCTATTGTGAACAGTGCTGCAATAAACATATGTGTCCATGTGTCTTTTAGTAGAATGATTTATAATCCTTTCGGTATATACCCATTGATGGGATTGCTGGGTCAAATGGTATTTCTGGTTCTAGATCCTTGAGGAATTGCCACCCTGTCTTCCACAATGGTTGAACTAATTTACAGTCCCACCAACAGTGTAAAAGCATTCCTATTTCTCCACATCCTCTACAGCATCTGTTGTTTCCTGACTTTTTAATGATCGCCATTCTAACTGGTGTGAGATGATATATCACTGTGGTTTTGATTTGCATTTCTCTAATGACCAATGATGATGAGTTTTCGTGGGTTTGTTTGGCCACATAAATGACTTCGTTTGAGAAGTATCTATTGATATCCTTCACCCACTTTTGATGTTTTTTTTTTCTTGTATATCTATTTGAGTTCTTCGTAGATTCTAGATATTAGCCCTTTGTCAGATGGATAGATTGCCAAAATTTTCTCCCATTCTGTGGGTTGCCTGTTCACTCTGATGACAGTTTCTTTTGCTGTGCAGAAGCTCTTTAATTACATCCCATTTGTCAATTTTGGCTTTTGTTGCCATTGCTTTATTGTTTTAGTCATGAAGTTTTTGCCCATGCGTATGCCCTAAAAGGTGTTGCCTAGGTTTTCTTCTAGAGTTTTTATAGTTCTAGGTCTTACATTTAAGTCTTATTCCATCTTGAGTTAATTTTTCTATAAGGTGTAAGGTATAAGGAAGGGGTCAAGTTTCTGTTTTCTGCATATGGCTAGCCACTTTTCCCACCACCATTTATTAAATAGGGAATCCTTTCCCCATCTTTGTCAGGTTTGTCAAAGATCAGATGGTTGTAGATGTATGGTGTTATTTCTCAGGCCTCTGTTCTGTTCCATTGGTCTATATATCTGTTTTGGTATCAGTACCATGATGTTTTGGTTACTGTAGCCTTGTAGTATAGTTTGAAGTCAGGTAGCATGATGCCTTCCGCTTTGTTCTTTCTGCTTAGGATTGTCTTGGCTATGTGGGCTCTTTTTTGGTTCCATATGAAATTTAAAGTAGTTTTTTCTAATTCTGTGAGGAAAGTCAATGTTAGCTTGATGAGGATAGCATTTAATCTATAAATTACTTTGGGTGTTATGGCCATTTTCACGATATTGATTCTTCTCATCCATGAGCTTGGAATGTTTTTCCATTTGTTTGTGTCCTCTCTTATTTCCTTGAGCAGTGATTTGTAGTTCTCCTTGAAAGGATCCTTCACATCCCTTGTAAGTTGGATTGCTAGGTATTTAATTATCTTTGTAGCAATTGTGAATGGGAGTTCACTCATGATTTGGCTCTCTGTTTGTCTGTTATTGGTGTATAGGAATGCTTGTGATTTTTGCACATTGATTTTGTATCCTGAGACTTTGCTGAAGTTGCTTATCAGCCTAAGGATATTTGGGGCTGAGACGATAGGGTTCTCTAAATATACAATCATGTCACCTGCAAACAGACAATTTGACTTCCTGTCTTCCTATTTGAATACCCTTTATTTCTTTCTCTTGCCTTGATTGCCCTGGCCAGAACTTCCAATACTATGTTGAATAGGAGTGGTGAGAAAGGGCATCTTTGTTTTGTGCCCCGTTTCAAAGGGAATGCGTCCAGCTTTTGCCCATTCAGTGTGATATTGGCTGTGGGTTTGTCATAATTAGCTCTTATTACTTTGAGATATGTTCCATCAATACCTAGTTTATTGAGAGTTTTTAGCATAAAGTGGTGTTGAAAAACTTCCACAAGTTTCCAATTGCCTCTTAGCGACTGTGTGGTGGGTGGGTGGGAGAGGGAGTTCCTTGTGGAACTATTTAGAAGAAAAAGACACTTTCTCAAAACATCCTCATTATTGCCACACTTTTCCTTAATAATTTACCTAATTTTATATTTTAAGTTTTGTATATTATATCTTATTTCATTATTTCTTTCCACAGAAAGTTTTAGGAATGATGTATGATCATTTTATTATTTTCTACAACAAATTATTGTGTTGGAGTGTTTTTATGATTATTAACTAAAAATATATATAGTAAAGGGTTTGTTTTTCTTTACTTAATTGGCACATTAAGGAATATTTCCAGAAGCTGATTTGTAGTCTATCGATCCAAACAAATAAAAATAGAAAGCTCAACATTCTTTACAACTGTCCACACATCAAATGGATTTGAACCTTTCTGTAGCCCTTTCTATTTGTTGTTCATTTATCTTGGATGTCAGGACTCTGTATTTGTAGGCGATGCTGTTAAATGTGGAATCATAACTGGTGCTTTCTATTTTAAAGTAAAGTATTTTTAAAGACTAAGATTAGTTTGAACTTCAAATTATCTTTAGATATAGAGAAGAAAATAATAAATATCTTGAACCTGATGTATAAAGTATTTTGTTTTGAATTGTGTTTTTGTTCCTCTAATGTAAAATATTAGCAAAATAATAATTGATGAAAAAAAGCACCTGTTCAATTTATGTTTATCATCTTATACATCAGTTCATAACCCTATGTAATAAAATGTATGCAAAGATTGCATTCATGTAACATTTCTTGCACCATATTTTTAAAAACTGAAACATACCTCCTACATTTTATAGATCAATAAAGACTGTTTTTTCTCATTAATTTTTGAGATTCTGACTTGTGAATAGTTTCAGTAAATATTTATTGAGCCACTATTATTTGAAGAGGTTTTTTATTATATTAATGGTATTTATCATAGATACTTTAAATAACAATAAAATGCAATAAAGCATTATTGCTTCTTTATCTCAAATGACATAAATTTACATAACTGTACTTTAATTTTTAAAATTGTATTAAATGATATATGTAATAAATATATAATGGTATTATTTTCATCTCCAAAATCTGTGATATTATAATAAATAAATACTCAGGACCTAACAATAATAGATAGTCTGTATTGAGTACTTATAATGCAGGCCCTGTTAAAATATTTTCCTTCAGCAAAAACTCACTTCATCCTCAAAACAACCCTAGGAGATAGAGTTTTATAGATGGAGAGCCCAATCCACAGAGATTTTAGTTAATTCTTTAAAATTTAAGTACGTTTTTAAAAGTCTCTCTTTTAATCAACTTGATTACTTGCCATAGTCAGAATCCTAACTTGAGCTACTTTAGGCATATCTAAACTGGAGGTGATTGGCTTATCTGTGGAAGGACATGGATGTGTGATTTTTCTCTTGTGCCGTGAAATTAGGCAGCTCCCATGCTCATACTTGCCCAGCATTTGAACTAGAGAAAAAAGACTCTATTCCCATAGACTCAGCTTGATTGTTTGACTCCTCTTTCTCTTCTGTTCAGGAGATCCATTGCTGACAGAGGATGACTACAAAGCTGGCAGGGGGTTGTTTCACTTCTGACCAGATGGATGGGTTCCCTGCTTCAAAGGGATGGGTGCACTGCTGACATGGGGATGGGTGCACTACTGAGAAAAGATGAGTACACTGCTGACAAATGTTGGGTACACTGTTGACAGACAATGAGTGCACTGCTGATCAGAAGAATGGTAGCACTGCAAACCGGGAGCATGGAGGTACTGCTGCAAGTGGGATGGGTGCACTGCTGGAAGGGGATAAGTGCATCGCTCACCAGATGGATGGGTGCACTGAAGTCGAGGGGATGGGTGTGCTTCTGACAGGGAATGGGTAAACAAATGACCATGGATGGTGTGTTGCTGACAGGGAATGGTTGCCCTGCTGAGAGGATATGGGTCAACTGCTGATAGGGGATGGATGCACTGCTGGAAGAGGAAGGGTACGTTGCTGACGAGGTGGATGAGTGCACTGTTGACCAGGGAATAGGTATGCTGCTGAGAGGGGATGGATGTATTGTTTCACAGGGAATGGGTGCATTGCTGACTAGGTGGTAGGTGCAACTGCTGATACTAAATTCCCCCTGAAGGAGCTGTCCACACTTTCAGTGCTGATGGTTTGACTGTTAACTGGATTTAATTCATCTGAGGAAAGGCTGGACTTGGTAAGGGAGAAAGTAGGCTGCATTCTGAAGCCACAATAAGTATTAGCTAGCATGCACAGAGAGAAGCCCTCTGATTGGATTTTGAGATTTTGTGATTAAGGGGGTCTGAATATAAGAATAGATGATCAGGCAAATTAGCTGCTATGCATCCAAGAAGCCTACAGAAAATGCTAGTCTATGATAAGTGAAATAGCAATGCCTCCATTTTTCTGAGAACATAGTGAAAGGAAGAAAAAGGCTCAAAAATACCATCATGCTACAATGTATTTATTAGGTGACATCAGAAGCCCCTCAAAGAATTTTAATCCCTGGGAGAGCCATAATCCTGCCAGTGATTTAAAGCTATCAAGAATACATAGGTATAAAGACACTGGCATTACTACAGCTAGGCCTGACCATACGAGAGGTGGACGCAGAGATGGGCTCATTAATATCCATGAGCATAGTGAGGCCTTGAAAAATATAGGTGAGGTGGCAGTGCCTAACTGCCAGAAATCAGGGGGATGAAAGTGATAGATATTAGCAAGGTTAGAGGAACAATCCCCAGAGAGTTATGAAGGGGATTTATAGGCTATACCATCCCTTGGGCAAAAGCCATGGTCGGCCAACAAGGGCACTGCTTAGCATCTACAATGAAAAGGCTTGATTAAAAGTCACAGTCCCTTCCTCAGATTCTAGATCTAAATTTTCAGTTTGAAACCCATAGTCTGAAGAGGTGACCAGATGCCCAGGAGGAAGGACCCTGCAACATTTTAGCAAGTATATATTTTAATGATCCTCCCAGCCTTTCCCCAAAGGGACCTAGGGACATTGTTTACCCTCGTGACTGTACATTGAGAAAAGAGGACTATTTACAGAACAATTAGGCACAAAGTCTTAATTGACATTGACATGTGATGAGCCAAAGCATCATCATATTCTCCCTCTCCTTTCACAGGTAGGAGTGCCATGACGTTTCACATGCTAAAACCTGATCACCAATGTGATGGTTTTAGGAGGTGAAGCCTTTGGGAGATAATTAGGTCATGAGGTCTGAACCCTCAAAAATGAGATCAGTGCTCTTGTAAAGAGGCCCCTGAAAGCCACCTTACCCTTTCTACCATGTAAGGACATGGCGAGAAGGTGCTGTTTTGAGGAAAACAGTCCTTGTCAGATACCTAATCTGCTGGCACCTTGATTGCAGCCTTTCTAGCCTCTAAATTTGTGAAAAATAAATTTTTGTTGCTAGATAGTGAGGTAGGACTTTTCTTGGCCCTTTTGTTGGACTCGTGACAAGGATGAATGTTTACTGGGCCTGCTGCACTCAACCCCTTGTAGGAGGGAGCCCATGAGCAAATGAGTGCAGGACCAGGCCAGACACTCCAGGCGCTGGTAGAAGCAAGCTCCGTGCGGTGGTGCTCAAATAAGGGGCATGCCTGAGACCCCAAGACCCCAGAGGGGGTGTTACAATGCTCCTTTAGTTCTGCTGTCTGTGGACGGCTGTGTGTTAACAGCTCAGTTGGCCCTTTGCCTCATCCTGTTGGGCGGTTTCCCTCTGCCATCAAGGGCAAAGGGCCGATGTGACAGCATTTTTTGGGTATCCACACTCAGTGGGTCCCGAGCTCTTGTCCAGCATCCAAGAAGAATGAGGTCACGCAGCCATTTGAAAGATGGTGAAGGTGAAGAATTTTATTGAATGGTGGACTGGCTCTCAGCGAAGAGGGTAGCTGGAGAGGGAATGGGAAAGGCAGATAGTTTTCCTTGAAGTTCATCTGTCCCTTCCCCGAACTCAAGCCATCTCATCTTCCCCAAAGTTTGGCCATCTTCTCTCCAAAGTCAAGCCATCTCTCCACTCTACTGACTGAGTCTGGTGTCTTTATAGGTGCAGGATAGGGGTGGAGTGGGCCATAGGTAGTTTTGGGAAAAGCAACATTTGATTGGTAAAAATGCATTATTCAGAAAGAACCAATTGGGAGAGAATGAGCAAACAGGAATAGAAGTTCTCACTTTGGGCCACAGGTTTCAGGCTACTTTGGTTTGAAGGTGAGGTTTCACCAGGCACCCACCCTTTTATGCGTGGAATTTTCTTGCCTCTTGTCTCTCAATAGCAGCCCTAACGAACTAACACATGAGGCTTGCAGAGGGCAAGAGAACCTACTACAGGGAGCAGCTTTCTGACAGTCTCCAGCTACTTCCTTTTTGATCTACCACAGTGCTCACAACAAGGCTGCTTACCCTAGGCTGTCTCTAGCCAATGCCTAAACATGGAGAGGGACCTTAGAGCTGGCCCATTCCTGTCTGACATGGGACTCCTCCAGTGGATAACCCTTGCTTGAATACTCTGCACCAGGCTGGCTGACTTTCGTAACTGGAACTGTGATACAAGAAATGTAATATCCAATTTTTTCTATGTTTCTTTCTTTCACAGTGGGCACACCTGAATCATATTCTGAAGCCACTCCATGTCTACTCTGGCCCTCTCCCTCTTTATCTTTCACAGGCATTTTCCCTAATAGATCTCCAATATCTTGCACATCTAAAATTGCCTTGGCGTTGCTTCTTGCAGGGCCTGAACTGACAACTACAAAATGGACTTTCTAATTCACAAAAATAAATGATAACACACAAAATAAAGGAAAAATGTATATGTGTCAGAGCTCAAGTAAAGATTAAAATAAAATAAAATAAAATGACCTTGCAGATTGCATATTCATGGAATTATTTTTCCAAAAATGTAATGGGGCATTCTTAGAAAATACAATGGTGCTAGTCAGGCAGAACTGCTATCAAATGCTTTCTAACACTTTCACTTACAAACTGTATAATTTGGGTCAAGTTACTCGACACCGCTTAGCCTTAGCTTCCTCAATTTAAAAATAGGCACACTAATAGTTAATAGAATAAATATTTGCTGTAAACACTAGTGGGGCCATAACAGTAATTTAAGGTCAGCATTAATGTTCAACCAATTGTTATTTTTTCATAACCCCTTTACAGGACTGCTGAGAAAATTTAATGAAACAAAAGTTCAAAGTTTGAAGCATTGTACCTGATAAGAATGTAGTAAAAGCTCAGTTTACGTTAAAAACGAAAGATAACAGTTTAAAGATGGCCACAACTTATTTGACATTCCTCCTATTGAGAAAGAGAATCTCTTTTCTATTCTCATGAATCTGGACTGGTTTTTTACCTGCTTTGGTTAATAATGCAATAATAGTTTGCCAGTTCTTAGCCTAACTTCAATAGCACAGGCAGCTTATACCTTATACCTCATCTATTAGAGACTACCATGTAATAAGCATGAATACCCTGAGACCACGATTTGTGAGGATCCATACAGAGAGAGGAAAAGAAACACTGAGGTGTCAAACATGAGAGTAAAGAAGTCATTTTGAAAGTGCATCCTCCATCTCCAATTATCCCAGCCAACATCACATGGATCAGACATTAACCACCCAGCCTAGTCCTTCTCAACTTCCTGAATCGTGAAATCATGAGCAAAATACAATTGTTTAAAACCATTAAAGTTTAGGGTAGTTACTTAGGTAGTGATAGATAACTGAAACAGCTTCTACTCAAAACTGAAAATGCAAAGGGGAATTAAAGAGTTGTGAAATAAATTTTAGAAGTTAAGACTGTTGGAGGCTGTTTCCTTGGACTTTATTTTGATTTCGAGGAAAATAGCATAATTTTTCACAGCACCTGTTACTAAATAAACCAGACTGAACTGAATTTAAACCCTAACTTTGTCACTTGCTGAATGACTGTAAATTAAGTAAATTTCCCAGGCACAGTTTGCTTGTAAGGAAAATAGATATAGTCATAATTTCTAAGGTTATCATAAAGTTATAAGTGGCAAAATGTGAGCACTTTTTTTTCCAGTACATTTTGTGGTATACAGCGTAGTTGATAGTCTCCATTAGCAAATGTAGTTGCTTAGTATTTTACCTCATCTATTTTGGAGTTTTGCATTTGAGCCTAGCCTCACAATTCCTACTTCATAGCCTATGCAACCTGTATTCAGAGTAATTCCAAATCATTCCTGAGATATAAAGGTGGTAGCAAAAGTGCTCCGTACACTATGTATCAAATAGACCATTGCCCACGTTCAAGGAAAAAAATCATAGGCTCTGCTGATTGCCCTTATAAATAAGTCGACTTGGAGACCTTGGATCCCTAGTACATAGTGCTGGCTTGTAAAACTTTAAGACAACAATGGTATCCTTTATAAAGACATGTTTTTTTTTCTTCCTTTGAATTTAGTTTCAGTAGCTCTACCAATGACCTCTGTCAATAAGGAATATATTACTTTTCAGATTTTGGCATCATTCAGAAATACAGTTCTGCCAAATATGTTTTAAGAAATCTGTCATGCCTGCCTCTATCAGATAGAGTCCACCAGGACATAGATATATACTTAAAATGGTTCTTAGAGAAGGTTTAATGAAATGATGGTTCATAAAGTTTGGGAAGAGGTTAAGGGATCCACCAAGACAGAGAAAACACAGAGATACTAGAAACTGTAAACTGTTGCCTCACCTACGGTTACAAAAGCAAGGCGATAGAAGTATTTCCATCTTCCAACTGCCCTTGGGAATTTCTTTGGCAAATCCTAAACAGAAGCAGAGAACTGGAAAGGTCAGTTGATGCAAGACCATGCCATCAGCTTCCTGAGGCACAGAGAAAAGCAAGAAAAGAGCACATAATGAACCTCAAGGTCCAAGCCTAAAATAAGCAGCACACTGCCTGACTGTTGATTTCAACAGTATTGTTAGCTTGTCTGCTCTGAATGATGGAACTCGGTTTGATGTTGAACAGCTGTCAAACTTGCCTGCCCTATTTATAGTCTATTGCCTTTTTCAAGTCAGCATTCACTAAAAAAAAGAGTGAAAAATAGTCAAAATATGTAGATTATAGGGGAAACACTTCAAATAGAACTTCACTAGTAATTAGAAAAAGCAAATTGCTCTAACACATATATATATACGTTATAGTGCCTATCTCACTATAATAAGATATTATTTATAC
The DNA here is from genome assembly GCF_000001405.40 of Homo sapiens. Taxonomy (NCBI): domain Eukaryota; kingdom Metazoa; phylum Chordata; class Mammalia; order Primates; family Hominidae; genus Homo; species Homo sapiens. Next base: position 9,782,189 of record NC_000007.14, read on the forward strand.
CCTTCAGGGCAGCAAAGTTTTCAAGTTTTGTATTACCGGGGGTTGGTATGGATCTGGCCCCAGGAACTCTGCTGCATTGTTGGTGGGAGTGTAAATTTGTTTATGTTAAAGACACTGAGAGAAATTTCATCCACTATAGTAACATCCTCCAGTCATACTGGGATCAATAGAATTGGATTCCCTGTCTAAATCTGAAGGCCTATTCAGTGACAGGCTTCAGTAGGCCTTGCCCTCTCAGATTACTCAGACCTATGAGCTCTGCCCTTGATTTCCAAGAGAGACAAACCTCTCCTCGGCAGCTCATCTACAGTTGTGATCTCCCCTCAACAGAGCAAGTAAAACTCCAACTGGCACTCTTAATTTTAGCTTGCAAATAAATCACATCTTAGACAATCCCTCCAGGCACTAATCAACATGTGCTCAGGCCACGTCTACTCAGAACACACTTTTCTGTTACAATACTTATTTGGGGGTGGAGAGAATTTTAGTGATTTCTTGTTGCTATTTTCTTCTTTGCATTTTTCTATATTGCTTAAACAACTTATAATGAGCAGATATCATTTGGAAGCATGCAAACAAAACAAAATGAATAATAACAAACGGTGTTTATTCTTGAAATAATTTAAAGTTTTAAAAATAAATGAATTATTTTCTTAAAGATGGGGGATCTCTGAGAAGAAAAAGTTTTTAAAAAGCAATTAGTTTGTAAATGAATTATGTTCATTTCCAGAGATAATTTGTAAACAATTATTATTCTCATTTTATAGAAAAACATATAGAAATTTTGAGTTGGAATGTAAATGATACTACTTCTAAGAATCCAAATGTTAAAATCTCAACTTTGAATTTTACATTTTAATAAAAAATACAAAACTCATTTGCACAAGTTCACTCATAGCAGAAAAAACAGCCACCAAAACCCAAGTCTCTCAAGTGAACACATTGAGTCTTAGGAGCCTTAGTATATATCTTTTAATATTAAATAATTGCCTTACTGACCTCTCTCTTTGATCTACCCAGATGATGTTTTTTATTGATAAATGCTGATTGTTTTTTAACCTACAATAGATAATGTTTATAATAAAATTTAAAAGTCTTTTTTCTTTTTTTTTTTTTTTTTTTGAGATGGAGTCTTGCTCTGTCACCCAGGCTGGAGTGCCGTGGTGCAGTCTCAGCTCACTGGAACCTCTGCCTCCCGGGTTCAAACGATTCTCCTGCCTCAGCCTCCCAAGTAGGTGGGATTACAGGCATGCGCCGCCATGCCCAGCTAATTTTTGTATTTTTTAGTAGAGATGGGATTTCGCCATGTTGGCCAGGCTGGTCTTGAACTCCTGACCTCAGGGTGATCTGCCCACCTCGGCCTCCCAAAGTGCTGGGATTACAGGTGTGAGCCACTGCACCTGGCTGAAATAGTCTTCTTTTCAAATATCAAGCATATAAAGCTTAGAATATGTTAGCATGAGTGAGTGGTCAACAATAAAATGATTTAGTTCTTTAGATTAGTTTAGAACACAGTTTTAATTTAATGGCCTCTTTATGTATCTACCTAAATATGATATTTTTTAGGGAATATAATTGCTCTGATTAGGATTTTAAGAACCATCAGGACATAAATACTTGCATTGATTCTATGTGGCTTTCAAGAAAATTAACACACTCCATGCCAAACAGGACAGTGGTACTCAAATGTGAGTGAGAAGAAGACTTATCTGAAGTACTTATTAGACATGGAGACTCTTACACTTCACATCCAAAGAATCTGATTCATTGGCAGAGTTGGAAAATCTGTATTTTATGGAATGAATGAAACACAAGCCATTCTAATAGAAGGTGCCCGTGAGCGTAAGTTTATATAGAAGATAATACAGTGATATTTTCTTTTCCTATTATCTCACAAATATAACCAAGTTCTAAAACCATATAGATAAGTATATGTATAAATTTACAGACATACATATACCTGTTTCTATTTTATCTATAATTTTTAATAGAAGCCATTATTCAGTTCTCTAATTTATGCCATAAAATTAAAAACAAGATGCACCTTTATATGCACAATGGGTCACTAATAGCTTCCAATTCTGGTCTACATTTCTATTTATATTGAGTTGAAGAGATATAAATAGCCTTTTCAATATGTGGTTTCATGGCTTCATGAAAAGGGTTTATACTAACATGAACAAGAAGAAGCTTACAAAAGAACATAGTAAGTTTAATAAATGTCATCATATGCACATCAAGGGTTTTGATGGCTACCACTAAATGATAATATAAATAATATTATTGGCTGTCCCTTTTCTGAATATTGACAAGGTACCATTTTGTTCTTAGGTTCATGGCATGAATCAATGTTTCTTAGTCCATAAGAACAACATGAAACGTTTTCTGAAACATACAGTTAACAGTTTTCACCATACTTTTTTCATTCCATATGCAAAGGACACAATGTGATGGTGTATCTTTTAAAAAAAAGCACCCAAGTGATTCTGTTGTGAATATAGGGAACTACTGGTCTTTAATCTTAGTACTCAACTGTTCCTATTCTTTTCATCAATTACTTGATTACAGAACAGCGAATAATGATTTTTGAAATATCTAGGCCATAGATACAGAGATTTGAAAAGCGTTAGCAGGTGAATAACATGTAGTAATCTTTCAAATGATAATCTAATTGAAGTTATATACTCTTTTCTTGAAATATTTAAAATATTTGGCATGCATGCTTTCATCAGTGTATCAAGCCCTATCCAGGGGCTTGAAGGGCCATCTGAAACCTACTCAAGTACATTCTAAAAACCATTGATTCTAGGTTAAAGAAACCTAGGCATAGCTGAAAATCTGAAGACCATGCCATTCAGGCAATCCTCTATAAACTTTACTTTTCACACTTGGGTGTGTCTGAAAACTACACATGTACATCATAAAAAATCATTGATTCTAGGTTAAGGACATGTAGGCATAGCTGAATATCTGAGGACCATGCCCTTCAGACAATCCTCCATGAACCCTATGTTTCACAATCAGGTGTTTGATAATGCTGAAGGAGTACATGATTGTAAATCCTGACAAGAAAACCTAAAATAGGTATGCTGCACTTACAAAATCAAGAACATTTTTATATACTTTAAAAAGTAGTTGGGTAGAGGGTGTTACTTTCTAAGTAAGACACTTAATTAAGACTCATGTGTAGGCGTTTGGCAATCCTACTTCTGCCCACAGGTCCCAATGAGGCATGCCTTCAGGCAGAGTCAGAACTTCCTTATACTATAGTTCTGGGTCTAATCCAAGTTATACAGCAATTCCAATTTTTTTTTTGTTTTAAATTGACAGATAAATTCACCTAGTATGACATGATGTTTTGAAGTATATAGTCATTGCAGAATGACTAAACCTAGATAATTCTCATATGCATTATCTCACATAGTTATCATTTTTATGGCAAAAAATTACTTCGTGTCCAATCCCTTAGCATTTTTCAAGAATACAATATACACTCATTTGTCACTTAACCATGGGGATACATTCTGAGAAATGCGTTTCAGGCAATTTCATCACTGTGCAAACATCAGAAATTACTTATACAAACCTAGATGGTATAGCTTACAACACACTTGGGTTGTATGGTATAACCTATTGCTCCCAGGCTACTAACCTGTATGGCATATTACTGTACTGAATGCTGTAGGCAATTGTAGAACAATAGTATTTGCATATCTCAGCATAAGTAAACATTAAAAGGGTACAATAAAAATACATTATTAAATCATATGATACTATCATCCTATATGTAGTCTGTAACGGACCAAAACATGGCACAAGACTGTATTACTAACTATAGTTACTGTATTGCACAGTAGATCTATTGAATGTATTCTTCTTAACTGAAATTTTGTATCCTTTGGCCAATATCTCCTCAACCCTCTGCTCCAAGCACCCCAGCCCCAGTAACCTTGATTCTACTCTCTATTTGTATGAGATCAACTTCTTTAGATTTCACAGATTAGTAAGATCCTGTGGTAGTTATCTCTGCCTTGCTTATTTGAATTAACACAATGTCCTTGTAGTTAATTCTCATAATTTTATATTGTCTCAGCATCCATTTTGACTACAAGTTTTATTTTCTCGTACCAGAATCAGGACTCAATGACCCTTGATACAGTTTCCAGTTCTATACCATGCCCAAGTGGCACAAGCTGGTGGCTAGAGATGAAAACTTAGAGAAGTCTCCCCTGCCTCATTGACTGGACTCCCAGCTTTTCCAGTTTAAGTGGCCCACATCCTATTCCCTTATATTATATACTTCCAGTTGCCACACGCTCTCTTTCTTTGTCTGACTCTTCATTGCTTCCTTGCTTGACCTGAGGACTGAACACTGCCTTCCCAGCTCATTGTGCCCTCCTTGCCCAGGATCTGTAAACAAAAACTCTTTGAACTTGTTTTTTATTGAGGTGGTGTATTAAATTTTCACTTTCCATCTGAAGAATTAAAGGCTGCCCCAGCATCAGAGGGAATGGACGTGGGTCAGACTAGAGTCACAAGGGCATCTGCCAGTATAAACTCCTTGCCTATGTGAGGGAGGTCCTGGTCACAGGTTAGACAACTAAATATTAGGCTGTTTGCCAAGTAAAAGAAGCACTCCTTAAAAGGCTCACTATACACACTCACTTTTAGCTCTCTTTTGTGTTAGTCTGTTTGTGTTTCTATAAAGGAATACCTGAGACTGGGTAATTTATAAAGTTCTATTTCATGATTCTTCAGGCTATACTGCCAGCATGTGCTTCTAGTGAGGGCTCAACAATCTTACAGCCATGGCAGAAGACAAAGGGAAAGCAGGCATATCACACGGCAAGAGAGTGAGCAGGAGAGAGACACCAGACTCTTTTAAACAACCAGCTCCTGTGTGAACTAACAGAGTAAGAACTCATTACTGTGGGGAGGGCACCAAGCCATTCATGAGGGATCCACCCTCATGACCAAACACTTCTCACTAGGCTCTACCTGCAACACTGGGGAGGTCACATTTCAACATGAGATTTGGAGGGTACAAATATCCAAACCATATTATTGTACTCCTGGCTCCCCAAATCTCACGTCCTTCTAACATTGCAAAATACAACAATCTCTTCCCAACAGTCCCCCAAATTCTTAACTTTTTATGACATAAAGTCCAAAGACCAAAGTCTCATCCGAGATTCAAGGCAAGTCCCTTCCACCTATGAGCCTGTAGGATCAAAAATAAGTTATTTACTTCCAACGTACAATGATGGCACAGGCATTGGGTTAACATTCACATTCCAAAGGGAGAAAGTGGCCAAAAGAAAAAGGTAACAGGCCCCACACATATCCAAAATCCACCAGGGCATACATTAAACCTTAGAGCTCCAACATCATCTTTGACTCCATGTCCCACATCCAGAGCATACTGGTTCAAGGAGTGGGCTCCCAAGGCATTGGGCAACTCTGCCCCTGTGGCTTTGCAGGGTGCAGTCCCTATGGCTACTCTTACAGGCGGGAATTGAGTGCCTGCAGCTTTTCCAGGCCCAGGATGCATGCCGCTAGTGGCTCAACCAATATTGACCCTGGAGGGTGGTGGTCTTCTTCCCACAGCTCCACTAGGAAGTGCCCCAGTGGGGACTCTATGTGGGGATCCAACCCCACATTCCCCATCAGCACTGTCTTAGCAGACTGTTGAGCACTTTGCTGCGTAGAAATTTCTTCTGCCAGGTATCCTAAATCATCACTCAAGTTTTGCCTTCCATAAATCCCTAGGACATGGACACAATGCAGCCAAATTTTTTGCTAAGGCATGACACAGGTGATCTTTGCTCCATTTCCCAATAACTTCATCATTTCCATCTAAGGACTTGTCAGCCTGGCCTTCACTGTCCATATTTTCTATCTCCATTTTGGTCACAACCATTTAACCAGTCTCTAAGAAGTTCCAAAGTTTCCCTCATCTTCCTGTCTTCTAAGTCCTGCAAATTCTTCCAACTTCTTCCTGTCACCAAGTTCCAAAGCCCCTTCCACATTTTCAGGTATCTTTATTGCAATGCTCCACTCCTTAGTACCAATTTTCTGTGTTAGTTCATTGTGTTGCTATAAAGGAATACCCAAGACTGGGTAATTTATAAAGAAAAGAGTTTTATATTTCAGCTCATGATTCTGCAGGCTGTACAGAAAGCATGATGCCAGCATCTGCTTCTGGTGAAAGCCTCAGGAGGCTTACAATCATAACAGAAGATGGAGGGAAAGCTGGCATATCACACAGTGAAAGAGCAAGCAAGAGAGATACGAGGCTCTTTTTTTTTTTTTTTTTTTTTTTTTGGAGGCAGAATCTTGCCCTGTCGCCAGGCTGGAGTGAAGTAGCAAAATCTTGGCTCACTGCAACCTCTGCCTCCCAGGTTCAAGCAATTCTTCTGCCCTCAGCCTCTTGACTAGCTGGGACTACAGGCGCTTGCCACCATGCGTGGCTAATTTTTGTATTTTTAGTAGAGACGGGGTTTCACCATATTGGCCAGGCTGGTCTCGAACTCCTGACCTCATGATCTGCGTGCCTCAGCCTCCCAAAGTGCTGGAGTGAGCCACCATGCCTGGCCAATACCAGGCTCTTTATAACAACCAGCTCTTGTGTAAACTAACAGAACAAGAACTCATTGCTGTAGGGAAGGTACCAAGCCATTCCAGAGGGACCTACCCCCATGACCCAAACATAAGATCCACTTCTAACACTGGGAGTGACATTTCTAACATGAGATTTGGAAGGGGCAAATATCCAAACAATATCACCTTCATTTCCTCTTATGGCATTTCCTTTTAGGGCCACTAACTTCTCTGGTACCGTGACCCAATTTAGCTGGGCACTCTCAAAACAGTCCTCCAGGTTCATCCATGCTATTGAAATAATGGAATTCCCTTCTTTTTATGGAAGAAGATACTGCTTTACAAAATTACCACCAATTATCAAATTATCCACATAAAAATATCTAAACTAAATACTCATAGCCAAATAATTGTTATTAAGTTTAAATGGCATAAAAATTCATTTTCATTGTTGGAGTAAATCTAACTGCTATGTCTTTAAAACATAAGTGAAATAAAATAATAGGCATGCAATGCAGCAACGGCATTTTCAAAATTGCAATGATTGGTATTAAAATTACTCTAGTTTGCCAAATATGGTCAGAAGAGATTGCAAATGACATTTGCAGGTATTAGTTTGAGTTGTAAAAGCACAAATTTTAGTAGCCATTAAGATGATCCTGTGTCCCCTTGAAAGTAATTATGAATCCCATCTGTAACATTTGTCTCTTGTTGAGAAACAGCTAAGTGGGGAGCCTGATTTTGCCAAAATTTCAATTTTTTTAACATGTCCATATGGATATGTTGACAAACCACTATGCAATGTATAGGAGATTAATTCAATCCAATCTAATAACCATTTGTTGAGATTTGAAAATGCTGATCTAGTTAATGTTCCTTGGAGAATGAAGGAAGTCTTTTGTCTTTAGTAAGTATGTAATTCCCACTTTTCAGATATGCCTCAAAAAAATCAAATCCACCAAATTTTTTTTGGCCACTGCTGGATATTATTATATAAGCTCATTAACAGGATGCTAAACATAAAACTGAATAGCAAACAATGCTATTCAAATGCTTTAGATTTCCAGCCTGGAGAAGTGAAAGCTATTTTACAATAAACTAGAAATTAGCCCCGTTAGTCCCATATCATTGCTATCATTTGCAAGAGACATAGCCATTTAATGAATATACATTATCCTGAATATTAATTTCCTATTATTATAAAATGTCAGGCCAGCACAATTGTTGGCCTTGTCATCTTGTAATACTCCATGATATGACAGAAAATTGTTCTCTAAAGGAAACTATTGAAGAAATAAATCTATTTCAACAATTTTTTAAAAATTTTATCTCTATATAGCAAATTCATGTAAAGTAATATAAGAACTCTTCAGATTTATACTTTATTTCTAAAATAACATAACTGAACTAAAACTGATTTGGGGGATATGTATGTATATAACTATATTTTCTCTCCTAATAAAACAAAATTTATTGGTACCCAAATTCATCACACCATACATAAAACAATAGCATAGATGTTACCTAAGGTGTCATTCTAATATCAAATATCTAAGTACATTATAAAAGTCTGCTTAACAATCATTTAACATTTTCCATCTTCCCATTGAAATACACATGGGGTACTCAACACGCTCTACATCTCGACATTGGAGATTGAAGATTCAACATTACAGGATCTTGAGATAAATTATCCTTTGTTACAGTGCACAAGTTTCTGAAATGAGCCAGAGCAGCATGGCTACAAAAAAGGAAGGGAAGAAAAACTTTGAGCCACTTGTTCCTCGTGGGCCTGGCTTGGTGATAAAAGAGCAATGACATGAAAATGGAATGGGATCTGCTTCAATATTATTTTCTGAGTTGGCTAAAGCCAGTTACGTCTCTCTCCCCTCTAACATGTTATTCCCCATTTCTACTTCTCTGTATGCCCTATAGGCACCAGTGATTTTCAGTTGGAAGGAAAGTTTAGTGTCTATTTCTGGGAATTGCAAGTTTGTTACTAATCAAATTAGAAACAGAGTGTATCCATTTTAAATCTCCAAAGAAAAGAGAAGGAATAAAAATAGAAAAATCTAAGAAGCATTAAAAATACTTATCAAAACTTGACATGAGAGACACAAGAAATTAACAACCAGAGATGGGAAAATTCTAAATAAGTAAAAATTGATAATATACTTAAAGAATATTTTACTATTATACAATAGATTGGAATACAATTGTTTAATATCAAGAAAACTATTAATATGTAAAATTGTGACCTCTGTTCTTAATTGATTACAAATGTTTGTTGTGTTGTGTGCTTTCTCCATGAAGGCATTATTCTAGGCACTAGAAATACTATTAAATGAAACAAGTATTATGATCCTGCCCTGATGAAGCTTACAGTCTAGAGTCTAGCAGGATCAACTGAGAAAAATCAAATTATAATCTTATATTGTCAGCTTAGTAATTTTTGGAAAGGCATTCAATGAGCCACAAAGTTATGTATCGGGTGTGTGTGTGTGTGTGTGTGTGTGTGTGTGTGTGTGTGTGTAAAAAGAAAGAGACACAGATTAACTATGGAGGCCTACCATCACCATTATCATTTAATATTATTTTGAAATTCTGAATCTAGATTGTAAATTAAGAATTTAAACTGAATAGAAGAATTTTTTTAAAAAGAAGAGGTAAATTTACTATTGCACATTTTTATACATTTGTATTCAATAAAGCTATTGTATAACCACAATAAATTCTTCATATTAAATATTAAATACTAAATACATGCAAGTTAAATACGAACATTAAGAAAATAAAATTGAAATGGATACCACTTAGAAAAAAATAACGAAATGCTGAAATCTTGGGCAAATATTAAATAAATTTAAAATTTACACTGCCTCTATGAAGAAAAAATAAAAGTATCCACAACAAGGTGTGGGGTTGAATAGTATTCCCCTAAAATGTAGTCCATCTGAAACATCAGAATGTAATCTTCCTTTGGAAGTAGGGTATTTGCAGATGTTATTATTGAAGATGAAGTCATAGTGGATTAGGGTGGGCCCTAAATCCAATGACTGGTATCCATATAGAAGGCCATGTGAAGACATACATGGGAGAAACACCATGTGACAATAGAGATAGAGATTGGAATGATGCAGGTATAAGTCAATGAATGCCAAGGACTACCCAAATCCATGAGAAGTTAGAAAGACACAAGGAAGTGTTCTTCCCTACAGCCTTCAGAAGGAGCATAACCCTACCAACACCTTAATTTTGTACTAGTAGCCTCCAGAGAGTGAAAGAATAAATTTCTGTCATTGAAAGACATCCAGTTTGTGATACTCTATTATGGTGGCCCTAGTAAACTAAGACAATTAAAAATATAAAAAATATTTTACAATGTCCAATAGTTCATCTATTATGTAGATATGTCAGTGTTATGTGACAAAAGTATACTTCTGAGGTCATATGACTCTTGATCATGAAATATTTAGAAAAACAACATCCAACTCTATAGTGTATAAAATAATTACTATTGATGTGTTATCTCATACTGTCATTAAAACTTGCCTTTGAATATACTGCATTAGCCATGATCACAGAACAAGTGCTCACTGGCTGACAGATATTGGTTCTGAGTTTCCCCCTCAATTATAGTCTCTAAACCTAATCACAAAACATTTCGACTGGGAATTATTTTAACTCTGAGAGCTTTAGGGGGAAAAAAGAATAATAATTTCTCATAGGGGAGCAATCTCTATTTGAAGACTTTTAAAGTGTTCTTTTATTAACTTAATCAGTGTAATGTTGTCAAACCGTTACCAAGAATGGAAACTTGACTACAATGTATTGACTGTCGAGGCCAAAGTGAAGCTTACTGAGACGGGAGGTGAGTCAATGATATATTCTTCCTTGTGTGTATGTACAGCCTCAAGGTAAGGATGTCTCTTCAGCAGCATTCTAACCTTCTAACTGCTTTAATAAAAGACTGATGCACAATATTTGTTAAGTGCAAGCCAATTAAAACAACACTTTGCTTATTTAAATACATTCAAAGTGTAGCAGACCTTCAGCTTTAGAATTTATCCCTTCACGTAAATCTTTCAGCTCTTAACATAAAGAGCATTATACACATGAAATCAACAGCTTTTGATGGCCAGAGGTATTGCGACTGAGCTTTGCTTTGACTCAGTTATTGCTGAAATTGACTGCAGTTTATCAGTGAGTAGACAATATTGGTATGGTTTGATGTTAAGTAATTTGATATTTTCTAAAAGTTGATTCTTAATATTGCACTGATTTCTTTTATCCTCCTTGTTCTTATCCTCGTTGTCATCATCAAAATCCTCATTCAGCATCTATTACTTCATTTAAAATTAGGCTAGTTGATATAATATAATTATAATATACATAATATATTATATTATAATAATAATATTATATATTATTATTATATTATATAATATATATGCTATATTATATAATAATATATATTATAATTATATATAATATATATTATATAATAATATATATTATAATTTTATATAATATATATTATATAATAATATATATTATATATTATATCAAGGATATAATAATGTCTTGGTCCATCTGTACTGATATAAAAAAATACCATAGACTAACTAATTTATAAACAACAGAAATTTGTTTCTCACAGTTCTGTAGCCTGAGAGGTCCCAGATCAAGGCACCAGCAGGTTCCCTGTCTGGTGAGGTCCCCATCTCTCTGCTTTCAAAATGGTGACTCAAACACTGTGTCCTCACATGGCTGAAAAGCAGAAGAGTAAAAAAAGCCTAGTTCACTCCAGCCCTTCGTAAAGCACTAATCTATTCATGAGAGCAGAGCCCTCATGGAAAAATCACCTCCTAAAGTCTCCACCTCTTAACACCACCATAATAGAGATTAAGTTTCAACACCTGAAACCGGAAGGGCACACAGACCATAGCAAATAGTGAATACAGATCTTACATTTGTTAGGGGAAAACAAAATAGAAAAATGGACTATTTCAGTGCAGTGTGGTATGTGATGGTATGTGGGATTATAGTCTGCTAAGGTAGTACAAAACAAGGCACTTAACCTGTGTTTGGTGTCAATAATTTCATCAGGATAATTCCTGTTCGTCCTTCTTATTTCAGTTTAGTTAATCTTCTGCTAAAGAGTCACGCTGGAACTCTGGGGTAAGAGAGAGCATGGTGCTTTGAACTAAAGGAAATTTAATATGACTCCACGAAAGAAGAGAATGAAATTTAGTGTAGCTCAAGTACAGAGTTCAAGCATGAAAGTGGTGATAAATGAAGCAGGTGGTGCATTATTGGTGCTACAGCATGCATGGTCTTATAAACTCTTTTATCATATATATTTCTTCCCCCAGACTAAGCTGGGATTCTACAAGTTTTTTAGATTTTCTGTGCTCTCTTCTACCTCCAGATGTATGCATACTGGTTTCCCAAGCTACAGTAAACCTACTGCCATTCTTTGCCTGCATTATTTCAACCCACCTTTTAGGTCTCAAGTAGTACATCACCTCCTCAGGGAAATTTTAGAGTGATATAATGAATCCAAAGATAATCCACAATAACCCACATTCTATATAATCTCCATTCCTTGAGTGTGGGCAAGACCTACTAATATTACTGAATATCACTCCAAGATTAGGTTACTGATCAGCTGTTTTTATGTTAATTCAAAGGGATATTATCCTGGGTGGGCTTGACCTAGCCAGAGTAACATTTAAAAGAAGGTGAAGTATCAGAGAACTCTCTCTGCTGGCCTAGAAGAAACCAACAGTTACATTGTGAGCTGTCTTTGCAGACGACCACAGGAAAGCTCAGTCATACAATCACTAAGAACTGAATTCTGCCAGCAGTTTTGATTAAGCTTGCAAAAGAGCCCCATGTTAACCCATTTTCCTGCTGCTATAAAAAACTGCCCAAGACTGAGTAATTTATAAAGGAAAGAGATTTAACTGATTCACAATTTAGTATGGCTTGGGAGGCCTCAGGAAACTTACAATCACGGCAGAAAGCGAACGGGAAGCAAGGCACCTTCTCCATAAGGGAGCAGGAAGGAGAAGTGGCAAGCAAAGGAGAAAGAGCCCCTTATAAAACCATCAGGTCTCCTGAGAACTCACTCACTATCAGGAGAACAGCTTGAGAAAACTACCCCCATGATTCAATTACCTCCACCTGGTCTCTCCCTTGGCACATGGGGATTATGGGGATTGTAATTCAAGATGAGATTCGGGTGGGGATACAAAGCCTAACCCTATCAGACTCTGAACTCCAAATGAGGCTGCAACCCCAGCCAACATCTTGATTTCTGTCTTATGATACCCCGAGTAAAGAACCCAGTTATTATGTGTCCAAGCTCCTGAAAAAAGAGAAAATAATTTATAATTTATTTAAGCTGCTAAATATATGGGTAATTTTTATGCATCAATAGGAATCTAATAGACCTCTCAAACCCTCACTAGAAGTTTTTTCTTATATATTACCATAGCTTTCTGTTCTTCTGTTTTGTTTACCACTGCACCAAGTACTATACCTTGCCATAATGTTCACTCAAAACATATTAACCAAATGAGTCAGGGGGAACCATTGAACAGTTTTAAGCATTGGAATGAAGTGATAGTAAATACCCTGAACACTAATTATAATTACACAGAATTTTGTACATAACCTGTTCCCAACGTAATTGTTAACTCCATCTCTCACCACTGGCAGACTCAATCAGCACCACATATTTTTGACATTTGTCTGACACTTGTGTTTTGCTATGCATGCCACTTCTCTGATAATTTATTCTTTTTTTGACTGTTTTCCCCATTTTCTTGTTTTTACTTGAAAAGCACTCACTCTCAAGTATTGCCCACCCTTTATGTATCCAACATGCTATGTTATCAGTAAAGCCTTCACCTTTAACTCTGCTTTCCCTGAGTATCACCTTTGGTATTCAGAGGACAGAAATGCTCTCTCAGTGTTCCTGCCTGCAGTACAGAATGATTCACACTGATACTTAGCTTTGAATTTGGGCAGAGTAAAATACCACCTGTTTGTGCTTTTGGGTTTAGGATTGTCCACTCAGTAATAAGGCACATCAATCTTGAAAGCCATTCAACTAGTCACTAAGCAGAAAAGTACGTATTTGCAGTTTGGATTCAGGTATCCATCAGATGAGATTCTGAAGAGATATTCTGATTCTGATGCTTTCTTACATGATTATCATAGACCAAACACATAGTTCTGTTGCTTTCACATAAACGCCTTTTTGTTGTATTTGTTTTTGTTTATAACATAGCAAGTATACATTTAAACTTTGAATGTTTGTATATTATCATGCGTAAATTCAAGAATTGATTAAATCAGTCCTTCCTCTTCCTCCATTTTATGTACAGTGGAAAACAATTTACTCCATTTTGCCATCCCTCATTCTATTTTACTTTCTTCACTAATCCTTTCTCTCCTTTTGTGATGTCTCAAACATGGCTGTAATAACATTAAATGGGAAGCAACCCCTTGGGTGAGGGCTATTACTGACCTATAATTTTCTAAGAAGTGGTGGGTCATGAGATCCTTTTGGGTAAGCCACTTGAAAATGCACACGAATGAGCATATGTTATTAGTGGATAGAGCCCTTAGAGAGCCATTGTGGTGGCTTAACTTATATTATGACTCATTCTCTGTAATTTAATTCCAGAGCAATTATTGGTACTAGGCATCTAAAAAATAAGAAATATTTTCTCTTTCAGATTTCTCTCTCCCTCTCTCTTCAATACAGATTCAAGCACAGAAGCTGAACAAAATTACAAATAAATATGGATCTTTTTGTTAGGCTGTGGAAACTGGGATTTTTGTTGCTGGTTCTCTCCAATTACAGGGAAGTGTGGGGCAGAAGATATTGAGACAATTTACTGACAACTTTTTTCTACTTAAAATATTCAATAGATAAAATTTAAAATGATTGCAGAAATAAACAAGATATTTAGATACAAATTGTATTAATTAAAAGACAAGACCAAACATCGCATGTTCTCACTCATAGGTGGGAATTGAACAAGGAGAACACATGGACTACAGGAAGGGGAAGATCACACTCTGGGGACTGTTGTGGGGTGGGGGGTGGGGGAAGGGACAGCATTAGGAGATATACCTAATGCTAAATGACGAGTTAATGGGTGCAGCACACCAACATGGCACATGTATACATATGTAACAAACCTGTACATTGTGCACATGTACCCTAAAACTTAAAGTATAATAATAAAATAAATAAAATAAAAAAAACATTCAGAAGAAAAGAGCTAATTTTTCCAGTATTGAAAATATTTTCTAGTTCAAAGCAGTTACAGTCAACGATAATAAAAACAATTTTGATTTGCACTAAAAATCATCTAGCTAATTCATAAGCATAGTAGAATTCTACATCTGCACTTTACATAAGCCATGATAAACCAGGATCAAAATGTGCTGAGTCAATGCGTGGTAAATGCCACAGAGGTCTTCATGTGCTCCATGACCAAGGAGGACTCAGGGGATAAACTGCGTGTTGTGTTCCTTGTGTAACTTGAATATATACCACTAATTATCATGAGGCTGAGAGTTTATGTTTTACTTTGAAAAAACTTTGCCTCCTTGATAGTTTCTGATAAAAGGTGCGCAAACGCAAAAAGTCCGTTTCGTTTCAGGGAATGCTGGAAGAAGTCTGCTTACTACATTTTCTAATAAAACATATATATATTTATTAGTATATATATTAATATAAAAGTATATGTATACTTTTATTAATTGATACGAAGCTGAAATAATTTTATAGTTAATGGGTTTTAGATCAGCTCAATAGGTGGTTCAGAGCAAAGGAAAGGAAAATTCTGTTATTTTAAATAAGAAAATTCTACTTTTTGAGAAATTTTACTTATCTCTAAATAAAATTCTTTTAACATAAGAGTTAATGTCTAGGACTGTGATTGTTGGGTCATATGGTATATCTATGTAAACCTTTTTCTTTTTTTTTGAACGGAGTTTGGCTCTGTCGCACAAGCTGGAGTACAGTGGCACGATCTCGGCTCACTTCAACCTCCGCTTCCCAGGTTCAAGTGACTCTTGTGCCTCAGCCTCCCCCAAGTAGCTGGGATTACAAACGTCTGCCACCACGTCTGTTTATTTATTTACCTCCAAATAAAATTGCTATGTGATCCATGTAGATTTTTCAATTAAAAAAATGATTTTTTACAAAAGAGTTTAACATGAAGGAAAAATATGTTGGTTTTGGTATTTTTCAAAATATACATTTTTTAAAAGTAAAAGTCTGACGTTACTGACAAGTTATAGGGAAGATGCTGAACAAATAAGCTTGATCTATCGTTTGAATGCAAAATGGCACAGCTACTTTGGAAGACAGTTTGGCAGTTTCTTTCAAAGGTTTACATAGGTTGGTCACGGTGGCTCAAGCTTGTACTCTCAGCACTTTGGAAGGCCAAGACGAGTGGATCAGTTGAGGCCAGCAGTTTGAGACCAACCTGGCCAACATGATGAAACCCTGTCTCTTCAAAAAATACCAAAATAAGCCAGGCGTGGTGGCGCATGTCTGTGGAGGGTGCAGTGAATTGAGATCGTACCACTGCACTCCAGCCTGGGCAACAGAGCAAATCTCTGTTAACAACAACAACAAAAAAGTTTACATAAATTTACCATATGACCCAACAATCACAGTCCTATTCATTAACTCAACTGAAATGAAAGCTTATGTTAATACAAATACCCATATGTGAATTCTTATCTGCTTTATTAATATTTGGCCAACCTTGGAAATAACTGTTCCTCAACTGGAAAATATGTATACAAATTCAGACACTTCCATCCAATGGAATGATATTCATCAATAACAAATGAATGACCTATTGATACATGCGACAACATAAATAGATCTCATCAAGTTCCTTATGCTACATGAAAGAAGGCAGGCTGGAAAGTGCATTATTTGATTTATGTGACATTTTTGCAAAGATAAAACTAACGAGATTTAAAACAAAAACGCAAAGACCAGTGGTTGCTAGGGGTGCGGAGGAGGAAGGTGTTGTTGACTTGTTGACTTGAAAAGGACATGGGGGCCTGGGTATGGTGGCTTATGCCTGTAATCCAAGCACTTTGAAAGGCTAAGGCAGGAGGATCACTTGAGGTCAGCAGTTCAAGACCAGCCTGGCCAACATTGTGAAACCTCATCTCTACTAAAAATACAAAAATTAGCCGGGCATGGTGGCACGTGTCTGTAATCCCAGCTACTCTGGAGGCTGAGGCAGGAGAATCACTTGAACCCGAGAGGTGAAGGTTGCAGTGACCTGACATCATACCACTGCACTCCAGCCTGAGTGACAAAGCAAGACTCTGTCAAAAAAAAAAAAAAAAAAGCGAGGGGGGAAATTTTATATGTCAAGGTAGGTATTGTTCTATATCTTGATTGTAATGGTGGTTATGCAACTTTATGAATTTGCCGTAACTCACAGGACTGCACACTAAACAAGTTATACTTTACTGTATAAATATTGTATTTTAATAAAAGGATAAGAGAAACCTACATTTTAGGGTAAAAAAATTAATAATACAATTCAGTGTGGTTTAGTATATTCATAGGATTGCACAACTATCACTTCAATTTTAAAATATTATTACCTTCCACCCCCAAAAAATCACCTCAACTCCTAGCCCTTTGGAACCACTAATCATTTTGTCTATAGATTCTTCTATTCTTGACATTTTATATAAATAGAAACAAACAATATGTGGTCTTTTGTGACTGGCTTAACATGATGTTTGCAAAGGCCATTCATATTGGAGCAAGTATCCAGCATCTAACACCTTTTATTGCTGAATAATACTTCATTGTATGGATATACTACATTTTTGTTTAGCCGTTTGGCAGCTAATGGGCATTTGGGTTGTTTCCACTTTTGGGCACCTATGAATAATGCTGTCATCAAGATTCAGGTAGAAGTTTTCAGTGTGGACATAACTTTTCAAATATCAGGTATATATCCAGGAGTGAAATTTTTAGGTAATATGGTAATTCTATTTTTAACCTTTTGAGAAATTGTCATTCTAAATGGCATTCCAAAGCTTTTCTAAAGCTGCATTCCAAAGTTGAATGTACCATTTTAAATTCCCACCAGCAGTGTTAGTTCCAATTTTTCTACATCCTCGTCAACATTTGTTATTATGGCTTTTTGATCATAGCCATTCAGTATTAAATAGTATCTCATTTTCGTTTTGATTTGCATTTTTCTAATGACTAATGATGCATTGTTTTTAAATTGCAAAATATTGCTTTTTACAAAGAATTTACATGCTAAAGTCTTAAGAACTTAAATATCTGTCTAGATCATGTACACCAAAATACAGGGCCTCAGCTCAATCAAGTCTTTCTATAGTTAATGCTTGAACTCCATTTCTTCTTTCCTAGAATGGAATACGGAATAAAAGTCTTGAAAACTGTAGTTGTTGCCTCTGTTAGAGAATAAATCCCAGGCAAGATGAAGCTTTGTGTAGATTAAATGGTTCATTTTTTATTCGCCATTAGAAACTCAAATTTGCAAAGAGTTTTTTGATCTCTCTATCTGTACTTTATAAAAACTAAATGCTTATTTCATATCCTTGTAATGCAGAGTAGCAACTTCTTCATCTTTAATGATGTTGTGCTTCCCTGAAAGAGTACTCATTGGGTCCCTCCTTCTCCCCACTACCATTGGGACCTGGAATAGGGATGGGCACTCAGTTTTACGAGACATGATTTGCAAACTTTCTTTAAATGTGTAACTATTAGACATTTTGAATTTTCTATATATATACAAATCTGTATATTATACATATACCACCATCGATTTTATTTTAAATATTACTGAAGCTTAATTTTTCATTTATTTTTCCTAGCTTTCTTGAGGTATGAAGGACAAAAATATATATATTTGAGGTATAAAATGTGGTGTTTTGATATATGTATACTTTGTGAAATAATTACCACAATTAAGCTAATTAACATAGCCATCACCTCACATAAGTTGCCATCGTGTATGTGTGTGTGTTTGAGTGTGTGTGTGTGTGTGTGTGTGTGTGGTGAGCACACATGAGATCTACTCTTTTTAGGAAATTTCAGATATATAATACTTTTATAATTAACTAAAAATCCTAAAACGTGTACAGAGTCCCAAAAAAATCCGGAATAGCTAAAGCAATTTTTGAGCAGGAAGAACAAAGGTGGAGGCTTCATACTCCCTGATTTCAAAATATACAACAAAATTATAGTAATAAAAACCATGTGGCATTAGCATAAAAATAGATACATAGACCAATGGGACAAAAGAGAGAACCCATAAATAAACTCACTTATATATAATAAATTCATCTTTGACACAGTAGGAAAACTCAATGGGAAAAAGGTTAGTGTTTTTAATAAATGGTGTTTTGAAAACTAGATATCCACATGCAAAAGAATGACAGTGAATCCTTCTCTTACATCATTTATAAAAATCAATTCAAAAGGGATTGAGGAATTACATAAGACCTAACACTATTAAACGCTTACAAAAAATATAGGAGGAAAGGTCCTTCACAATGGTCTCTGCATTTTTGTTCCAGATTTGGCCTTCAAAAACACAGGCAATGAAAGCAAAAATAAACAAGTGGGGTACATCAAACTAAAATGTTCCTGCATAGCAAGGAAACATCAACCAAAGGAAAAAGCAACCTACGCAATGCTAGAAAATATTTGTAAACCATATATCTGATAAGAGGTTACTATCCAAAATATATAAGCAACTCATACAACTAAATAGCAAAAATATATAATCCGATTAAAAAATGGGAAAGGATCTGAACAGACTTTTTCCAAAAAAGACATGCAAATGGAAAACATGGGTATAAAAAATGTGCTCAACGTCACTAATCATGGGAAAATGCAAATCAAAATCATGAGCTTTCTCTTTACATGTTAAGATGGCTATTTTCCAAAAGACAAGAGATAATAACATTGGCAAGAATGTGGAACAAAGGGAATGCTCATGCTCTATTGGCAAGAATTATAATTTGTACAACCATCATTGAAAACAGTATGCAGGTTCCCCCAAAATTTAAAAATAAAATAACCACATGATCCAGCAAACTCACTTTTGGAAATATATCCAAAGGAAATAAATTACCATCTCCAAGAGATATTTGCACTCTCATGTTCATTGCAGCATTATTTACAATAGCTAAGATATGGGGGTGGTCTGCATCCTGTCAACAGATTAATAGATTTTAAAAATGTGACATGGATACACACAAACACACAATGGAATATGATTCATTCCTAAAAAGAAGAAAACCCTGACTTTTTTGACAACATGAATGAATCTTGAAGACGTTATACTAAGTGAAATAACCAGATGCACAATAGCAGATATTGCATGATTTCACATGTAGAATCTTTAAAAAAGTGAAAAGGGAGACATTAATGAAAGGGTACAAACTTTTAGTTATATGACAAAAAAGTACTGGAGACAATATACAGCATGATGACTAGTTTAAAATATTTTACTTTTTATCAGAAAAATAATACATTTAATTAAGTAAATTTGTTAATAATTAGTGATTAAAAATTATACTCACTAAAAAGTCAACAATCCACCATAAATACTATTAGTATTTGCCATATTCCTGGGCATATTCTTTTCTATGTATGTTTGTAATTTTGTGTAACCTGCAAACTTTTGTATTCTCCTTGTTTTCCCTTAACATGAACTCATAACAGGTCAGAAGTGATTATTCTTACATGAAGTTCTGCCTAGTTGGTAAATAGAACTCCAAATGTTTGCATAGAGTTTCGTCAAGTCATTATGTTATAGTTTACGGAGCTCTTTTTCTGTTGTTGAAGATTTAAGATTTTTAGTGCTTTAATTGAAAATTGTCACCATGTTATCTTCAAAAACAAACAATACCTGACTGCATTGCCATGCTTCCTTTGGGGGAAAAAAAAAAAAAAACAAGTTGTCTAGACAAGCCTAAAGAGAGAGGTAGGTCAAATAATTAAAGGCCTAAATAATAAACAACAATAAATCATAGAAAACAATTTATAGTTATTGAAGGACAACTCAAGGAAGTTTCTGAGGTATTTTCTATAATTTTTAGGTATATTAATAACTAACCTCTTAGGTCATTAGTTATTTATCTCTCTTTGCACTCTACATAACTAATTGAAATTCAAATTTTAGTAACAAACATACTCTTTGCACTATAATTTTCTTCTTATGTCAATAAATCTTTTTTCTAATTATTGCATAATCATAATTTCTCATATATATTTATATAATTGTAGGGCTGAAAAAAAAATTTTATGTCACCCAGTTTATCCTGGAGGCTAAGAATTCTTTGACTTACCTGAAGTTACGCATCTAGTTAGGGCAGTTTTAGTTGTCCTGATTCTACCTCCAGAGCTTTTTAAAATTACACTTGGCTATATAATAGTAGCATTAGAGCAGCGGTAGTGGTAGTAACAGTGATGGTAGTAATGGTGGTGGTAAAGCAGCTAGTTTTTCTGCATCTCTTTTTATGTTATAAGCAAATTTGTAAGATTTTAACATACTTTAACTTATTTAATCTTTACATCCCACCCACAGGTAATAATCCATTTTTAACTCCAGATGATAAAGTTGATAATCAGAAGACATAGTTAATAAGTAGTGAATCTCAGACTCAAACTCCAGACTGTACAAATTCAGAACTTAAAAAAATTTTCATGATATTAATAATGAAGTATAAGAATGGAATATTTAACATAATATTTATAGATGCCATTTAATATTAATATTTGATTTTTAATAATAATACATATGACAATGACTTTTCATAGAAAGAGTACCTTAAATTTATCTGAGTGTTATATTAAACATAATTTGTCATGCAACCATATGTATGTAACCATGATCATTTTCACACATAATATAGACAATTGATTAAATAAATGTTTTATCTTATAAAATTCAGATTTCAAAAATTTTAGGATTGGATTTTCTAGATACTAACTATGAGCCAGTGGAATTTGAAATTAAAAATACATTATAATTTACATTAGCACTGAAAAACTAAAATACTTAGGTATATATCCAACAAAATATGTCTAAGATCTGTAGGAGTGAAACTATAAAATTCTGATAAAACATATCAAACAAGAGCTAAATAAATGAAAAACATTTCATACCATTGCAAACAAAATTTTAGCAAGTTACTTGTTGGATGTTGACAAATTGATTCTAAAGTTTATATGAAGAGGCAAAAGACCCCAAGTGGCCTACTCAATACTGAAAGACAATAAAGTCTGAGGATTGTCACCACCAAACATCAAGAATTATTACAAAGCAACAGTATCCAAGACAGTGTGGTATTGGAAAAGAATAGACAAATAGACCAATAGACATATAAATATTTCAATATTTCTACACTTCAGATCAAATCCACTGATCTGAGACAAGGGAACACAGGTAGAACAATGGAACAAAGATAGGTTTTTCAACAAATGGTGCTGGAAAAACTGGATACTTATATGCAAAAAAACATGGAATCTAGACACAAACCCTACATGCTTCACAAAAATTAATTCAAAATAGATCATAGACCTAAAAGTAAAATATGACGCTATAAAGTTCCTAGTGGAAAACATAGGAGAAAAATCTCAATTACCATGGGTATGACGATGACTTTTTATATACAACACCAAAGGCATTATCCATGAAAGAAAGAGTTGATCAAATGGACCTCAGTTAAATTAGAAACTTCTTCTTGGTTCTCAAACCTGATTGTGCATCACAATCCCCCAGGAGTTTGTTGCAAATATTCACAGACCTCATCTCCAGAAAAACAAAACAAAACAAATAAAAAATAAAAGACCCACTTATTCTCTATAAAAGACAATGTTGAAGAGAATGAAAAGATAAGACACAGACGGAGAAAGTAGTTGAAAAAGACATCTCTTATAAAGAACCATTATCTAAAATATATAAAGAACGTTTAAAACTTGATAAGAAAACAGGCAACCTGATTTTAAAAAGTGCAAAAACACCTGAATAAACATCTCATCAAAGAAGACATACAGATGGAAATTAAGCATATGAAAAAATATTCAACATTATATGCCATCAGGGAATTGCAAATTAAAAGGACAATCAGCTACTACTACTAGAATGGCTAAAATCCAGAACACTGACAACACTAAATTCTGGTGAGGGTGTGGAACAACAAGAATTCTCACTTGCTGCTGATGGAAATGCAAACGATGGAGCCATTTTTGAGGACAGTTTGGAAGTTTCTTACAAAACTAAAAATACTCTTACCATATTGTTCAGTAATCTTACTTCTTGATATTTACCCTAAAAGGTTTAAAACTTATTTACAAACAAAAACCTGCAGAGAGTTTAGACCATATTTATTCATAGTTTGTTAAAACTTGGAAGCAACTAAGATATCCTTCAGTAGGCGATGAATAAACAGTAGTACACCCAGATAATGAAATATCATTAACCACTAAAAAGAAATGAACTACTGACCCATGAAAAGACATGGAGGAAACTTAAATTCGCATTACTAAGTGAAAGAAGTCAATCTAAAAAAGGCTACATACTATATAATTGTAACTACTGACATTCTTGAAAAGTCAAAATTATGGAAACAGTGAAAAGATCAATGGTTGCCTGGGGTTAGGGGAGAAGGAGAAGTCAAAGGGCAAAGCGCAAAGAATTTTTAGATCAATGAAAATTATGGTGGATGCATGTCATTATTACATTTGTCAAAACCCATGGAATGGACAATAGTAAGAGTGAAGCCTAATGTAAACTACAAACTTTGGGTAATAATAATGTGTCAATGTAACTTCATCAATTATAATAAAATTGCCACTGTGATTGGGGATATTGATAATATAGAGACTATGTATATTTAGGGACACGTGTCTATAGGATTTCTCTGTACTTTTTTCTCAGTTTTGTTGTTAACTAAAAGCTGCTCTTTAAAAAAGTCATTTTTTAAATTAGGATTACAAAATACTTTGTACATAGATCATCCTCATACAGAAGGTATGTCCCTTAAAGTTCATAGAAAATTATTGAAACTGTAGTAGTGCAACCAGTGATCACAATAAATGTACATGCATAAAATCTTGCTGTTGAACCACTACCAATTTTTTTCTCTTCTAGGGATATTAAATTATGTATAATTGTCCAATAGTAAGTGCTAAGACTTGTACACTGAATTCCTGATTGACCTTTTATGTTATAACTTAACTATCAGTATTTGATTTCACATCAAGTAGCAACCTAAAAATAGCACATTTGTTTTTCCTTCCCATCTTGTAGTCTTCGCTGCCCCCTCACATACTTAGCTCTTGCCAGGCTTTTCAGAGGTGTCTGTGACTCTCAGAAGAGGCTCTTAATTCTTGGCTAATCTTGCCTCTGTGTCTTGCAGGTGCTGTAGCCTCATTTATCTTCTTTCTCACTGGAGTTGTACAACCAAGAACTATCACGCCCACCAATAGATCTAGCCATAATTGTTTTAAGAGCTGGAACTCAGCTTCAACTTCCCACAAACTCCATTTTATCCTCACTGTCTCCTGGGGGAAACATGAAGAGGAATGCATTCAGGAATTTACCGAACCAGTAGCATGTCAGTTTTTTTCTCCAAAGCCATAAAATGTGAAATACAGTTTCTAAACCCCTTATGCCTATGATTAGAAATTAGAGATTAATAAGGATTGACATTGAAATTTTGCAAAGAATCTCTAATTATATCTGAACAAATGAACAGGAGGAAAAATTTTAAAAGAGGCCAATTGACTATGATGCCAGTCAAATCTTTCTTAAAATTACACAGAAATGCTTCCCATTTCATTTTCCAGAGGTAATGAAAAATATACTCTGCTGGAAAGAAATCAAATGACAGTACATAAGCAGGTTTCCAATCTACTATTTGCATTGTGACACCCACGCACACTCCACTCTGATCATGTTTTTATATTTTTGATTGGAATGAACTGTTATTAAATGTGAAAAGGCTGAAATGCATGAATAATAGCTATTAATTATCACAATTTATTAAATGGATAAAGGCAGCTGGGACCTTAGTTTGTCCCTGACACTGCACAGATGAAGCTGTAAATGAACAGTACACACACAAATGTTATTTCTAGTTGTTTTGCAGTGCTTCACTTAAATCTTAAGCTGTTCTTTGTAGTCATATTGTGATTGTTTATTATCGGAACTCTCCATCCTCAGAAATCTTGCCAACGTCACATGTACTAACAAATACTGAAAGCTCAAGTGATCTTTAATTCCCACTGTTCCCTAATTGAACATCCAATTCAGGAAGAATAGGGCAGTATGAGGAAAGTTGGACAGAGAAAAAAGAAAGCTATGCAAATGCCTCACCAATTTTACTTTTTAAAATGGCAGTAGTAAGTAAATGCTTGCGCCATCAAATGATGAAACAAGGTGACTAAAATATTTCACAGCCTAAAAGTGTTCCACTCTTATGTATTAGCCCTAATACAGTGATGCTCTATGATAATTTGATAGCACTTTTGTTGGGCAATCCCAGTACTTTACTCCTTTGGCTACTGGTTCTGACTATAAGTGAAAATAAGCATTCTGACTGTCATTGTAATCCGTCTCATCAACTACAATGAATGAGAGCAGTTTGAGATAGAAAAATATTTTGCTTCTTTTTATACAAGTCCACCTGGATTGTCTGACTTAAAAATGGACTGGGTTTTTCTAAGAACTCTCCCACCACCATTTGTGGAGATACAGACTAAAATTAAGTAACTCTCGCTTCTGGCTTCCATGATGCCACTCAATAATTATCCTACCAGTCTATCAATTACCAAATTATTTCATAAATATGTTGTTTCCTGAATTGTCTATAAAATTTTGGTGTTACCTAAGATTCTGTCTCAGCATTTTTTCCTATTCATATCACCTTTCTTCTTATTCATTATTTTCTGTTTTTCTCTTCTTTCTAACTGTATAATAGAAAATTCAGAAAAATTGAGATAGTTTTAAAGGGAATCTGTAGAATTTAGATCTAAGCATTTAAATTTAAGTATCTGTTAGGTCTCTCAAGAAATATTTAATAATTATTGGGAAATACAAGGATGGGGGTGAGTTTTACTTGGCAACCATTTGGGAATGAACACTATAGAGCTGAAGTCTAAAATTGCAGGGTGATTATGACTTTTGGGAGGGAGAATTTAGACCTACATTTATTAATGTAAATAAAGAAGGAAGGTGAACAAAAACTAGGACAGTATTGCAAGCATTCTATTTGTGACTTCATACATTTTATTTTTATTTGTTGGGCTGTGTCACCATGGCAAACAGTGAAAGATTAAGTTTTCTTCACGGGGAACATTTTAACTTAGTCACAATTATTGTAGGTAACAAATGAGATGGTATCTCATAGTGGTTTTGATTTGCATTTCTCTGATGGCCAGTGATGATGAGCATTTTTTCACGTGTTTTTTGGCTGCATAACTGTCTTCTTTTGAGAAGTGTCTGTTCATGTCCTTCGCCCACTTTTTGATGGGATTGTTTGTTTTTTTCTTGTAAATTTGTTTGAGTTCATTGTAGATTCTGGATATTAGCCCTTTGTCAGATGAGTAGGTTGCGAAAATTTTCTCCCATTTTGTAGGTTGCCTGTTCACTCTGATGGTAGTTTCTTTTGCTGTGCAGAAGCTCTTTATTTTAATTAGATCCCATTTGTCAATTTTGTCTTTTGTTGCCATTGCTTTTGGTGTTTTGGACATGAAGTCCTTGCCCATGCCTATGTCCTGAATGGTAATGCCTAGGTTTTCTTCTAGGGTTTTTATGGTTTTAGGTCTAACGTTTAAATCTTTAATCCATCTTGAATTGATTTTTGTATAAGGTGTAAGGAAGGGATCCAGTTTCAGCTTTCTACATATGGCTAGCCAGTTTTCCCAGCACCATTTATTAAATAGGGAATCCTTTCCCCATTGCTTGTTTTTCTCAGGTTTGTCAAAGATCAGATAGTTGTAGGTATGCGGCGTTATTTCTGAGGGCTCTGTTCTGTTCCATTGATCTATATCTCTGTTTTGGTACCAGTACCATGCTGTTTTGGTTACTGTAGCCTTGTAGTATAGTTTGAAGTCAGGTAGCGTGATGCCTCCAGCTTTGTTCTTTTGGCTTAGGATTGACTTGGCGATGCGGGCTCTTTTTTGGTTCCATATGAACTTTAAAGTAGTTTTTTCCAATTCTGTGAAGAAAGTCATTGGTAGCTTGATGGGGATGGCATTGAATCTGTAAATTACCTTGGGCAGTATGGCCATTTTCACAATATTGATTCTTCCTACCCATGAGCATGGAATGTTCTTCCATTTGTTTGTATCCTCTTTTATTTCTTTGAGCAGTGGTTTGTAGTTCTCCTTGAAGAGGTCCTTCACATCCCTTGTAAGTTGGATTCCTAGGTATTTTATTCTCTTTGAAGCAATTGTGAATGGGAGTTCACTCATGATTTGGCTCTCTGTTTGTCTGTTGTTGGTGTGTAAGAATGCTTGTGATTTTAAATGTGGCACATATACACCATGGAATACTATGCAGCCGTAAAAAATGATGAGTTCACGTCCTTTGTAGGGACATGGATGAAATTGGAAATCATCATTCTCAGTAAACTATCGCAAGAACAAAAAACCAAACACCACATATTCTCACTCATAGGTGGGAATTGAACAATGAGATCATATGGACACAGGAAGGGGAATATCACACTCTGGGGACTGTGGTGGGGTGGGGGGAGGGGGGAGGGATAGCATTGGGAGATATACCTAATGCTAGATGACGAGTTAGTGGGTGCAGCGCACCAGCACGGCACATGTACACATACGTAACTAACCTGCACAATGTGCACATGTACCCTAAAACTTAAAGTATAATAAAAAAATAAAAAATAAAAAAATAAAAAATAAATAAAAAACGGAAAAAAAAAAAACAAAGCAAATGAGAGATCAACATGGTATAGCCAGATGCTACAAACCTCAGCAACTCTATCAAAATATACAAATGCAATGAGGAAGAAGTAGCTAGAAACAGCCCCATGATGGCAACTGACATTAAATCAAACAAAAATTTTATTCAAACCAAATATGGAGCAGGATTTGGTTCTCCTCAAACTTAAGGCTCATAGCTAAGGGGAGAAACCAGAGAAGGGAAGCTAAGAAAGATATCTAGAGAACTAGATCTAGAGTCAACACAAAGTAAAATGAAGTTTGAATTCAGATTTACTGTGTCCACAGAATCATTAGTTCAGGTGCTCCAGCTTCCCTATACTAGCTTTTAAAGAGATTCGGTCCCTCTAAATTGGAGGAGAAAATGAGTAATAGCCATTTGGTGAGTAGAAAAACTACTATTAGGTGTAATTAGCTTTACTTGTCCCATATGCCAGGATAGAGTAGAAGATGCACTAAAGAAAATGTTGCCAATAGATCGAGCCTGTTACTTTCATTCAAGTTAGTTGTTGAAGGTATTCTGAGTTTGACTCATTTTACACGTTCTTCTAATAGCAAGCAATCGATAATTGTATTGATTCAATCAATATGTTCAAGTAATCAATGAGAATTCATATAACTTCATCACAGCATTTTAATATATTATAATTAAAAATTATAATTAATAAACATCTTGTTTGGCAAATTGATAATTTATCATCTTTCTTCACTGAACTGTGAAACAAAGTCTGCTTTGGAAGATATCCACAATCCATGTGTGATGCTTGCTGTCACACATTAAAATAATATATGGGGGAAAATAGCAGAAAGGATGAATGAGGAAATAAAACAGCTAAAAGATAACAACGTAAAATTTTAAGCAACATTTCTGTATTTTTTTCCTTTTCTTACCTAAAGGAATTTTTATGGAGTTCACTGAGATTTTTAAAAGATTACAGGGCCGGGCGCGGTGGCTCACTCCTGTAATCCCAGCACTTTGAGAGGCCCAGGCGGGCGGATCACGTGGTCAGGAGACCACGGTGAAACCCCGTCTCTACTAAAAATACAAAAAATTAGCTGGGCACAGTGGCGGGCGCCTGTAGTCTCAGCTACTCGGGAGGCTGAGGCAGGAGAATGGTGTGAACCCGGAAGGCGGAGCTTGCAGTGAGCCGAGATCCTGCCACCTCACTCCAGCCTGGGGGAAAGAGTGAGACTGTCTCAAAAAAAATAAAATAAAATTACAAGAATTAAATCCTATGTACCTGTTTGAGGTGTTTAAAAAACATTAAGAATGTGATGAATCAGAAACCAGGACAGCATCCACCAATTACTTGACACAGTAATAAATTAGTGCTCTGTATTATTCCATTATCAACCTGCTATAAAGATAGTACCTGAAACTGATAATTTATAAAGAAAGAAGGTTTGATTCACAGTTCTGCATGGCTGGGGACGCATCAAGAAACTCAAAATTGTGATGGAAGGCAAAGGGGAAACAAGGCACGTCTTACATGGCAGCAGAAGAGAGAGCAAGAGCTAGGAAGTGCCACACTTAAAACCACCAGCTCTTGTGAAAACTCCCTAAATATCAAAACAGCATGGGGGAAATCACCCCCATTATCTAATCACCTCCCACCAGGTCCCTCCCCTGACACGTGGGGATTACAAATGAAGATCAGATTTGGATGGGGACACACAGCCAAACCATATCATGCTTCATTCAGCTACAGAATAATCTAGACCCTACACTATGGAGAAAAGTGGATGATGCCTCAGTGAGGGGAGTCATGTACATTTCTCTTCTACTTTTTTCTTTTATCAACCACACATTACCCTTGCTTTATTATTAATTAAGCATACATTTGTTGTGTAAGTTTGAGAGTATAAAAATGGAAACAAATACCTTGTTTATATGGATCATTTTAAAAATACTTACCTGTCAGTATTATTTTACCACATATATTTTTGGGTTTTTGTTTTCAATCCTTAAGATTTTTATATTTATTTATTTATTTTTGAGATAGGTTCTCACTCTGTTGCCCAGACTGAAGTGCAGTGGTTCAATCATAGCTCACTGCAACCTTGAATGCCTGGGCTCAAGTGATCCTCTCGCTTCAGTCTCCAAAGTAGCTAAGATTACAGGCATGCACCACCATGCCCAGCGAATTTTTTTAAAGTTATTTTTAGCAGAGAGGTCTCACTATGTTGCCCAGGCTGGTCACAGACTCCTGGGCTCAAGGTATCCTCCTGCCTTGGCCTCTCAAAGTGCCACCATGCCCAGTCAAAGATTTTTTTTTTTAAACTCTATCTGGTGTTAGTGAAGTGATTAATGAGGAGGCAGAAAATGGCCCCTTGACATGTTGGGACTATGCGTTACCATGAGTTATCTATTTGATGAAATATTTCTTTAGAGCAGTGCATATGCGAAGTTCTTCACTCATATGTACTGTTAATTCCATCTTAATGCATGTATTAGCAGCCCAATAGATGGATTCAGAGACTGAATTAAATTTCTCAAGCATTTGAGGGAAGTTAGAAAGAACTTCAGAGATTCTGACTTTGATTAGAGAGCTAGAATGCCAAAATCCTACTCAAAAACCAAAGTGGGTAGGATTTGTTTTCAGTGGGCACATATCAAGCCCATTTTTAAATTATTGAGATACTTTTGAGAAAATGTTACTTTCCTGAGCTCATCCACTGCCTCTCACCTTGGGTGTCAGCCTCCCTTTAGAATTCCCAGGCCTCCCCACAAGGAAAGAGGAGGGGACACAGACACTCCTCCAGTACTGAGAACAATGGCCATTGTTTGCAATGCCTGTGACTGGCTGGTTGATGTGTTCAATTTCTACTCTTATCATTGCCTAATTACTAAACAGGGAAACTCAGACATCGCTAAGTGATACCAAAAGCGTGCTGTCAAATAGAAACAAAAAAGCTGTTTAACTGAATTTTCCATTTTTTTATCACTTGGTGATGGTACTGTGAATACCAATCTTTCAGCTGACAAATCCAAATAAAAGAATTTGAAAGGTTTGCATTACTGTTATGTCTGACACATAGTAAGTGGTGAACACATGCTTGAAATTTTCATCACTCCTACTGCCCTAAAAAAATTTCTTTAAGCAAAGGCAAACTTTCTGTCAGTATCATTATGAAAACTGTCAACTCTTATTCAAGAGCAGAAGTGGATCAAAGAGCATGCTCAGTGGCTCCTGGGAGATAACAGCATCTATAACCAATTAACCTGGAGCCTCATGAATGGGGATACTTTTGAGCACAGCTCCACATAGTTCCTAGAGGCAAGACTCAAAGGAAGATGGTGGGTGGACAAAAACTCTAACTTCCGGATCATGGTTCCACACATAGACAAAATAACTATAGAGACATCTCTTCATGCAACACTGATCATTATTCTACCTGTGCTGATATTTTATCATTTATGTGTTAGAAGTCAAAATAATAACTTTATTAATCACATATCAATTTGAGGTGAATGAAAATATGCTTGAAGGTATTTATAATGAATGAATGTAACTTAAATCTATGATAAGATGCCATTTTTATAAAATGGATTGGTGGAGATCAAAAAGCCTTATAATATACCATGTGGATAAGGGTGCAGGGCATTGTTACATATTATTGGTAGGAATAAATTGCTGTAACATTGAAACATTAAATTAAATAGATAAATACCCTTACATTACCCTTCAATTTAACTTCTAGGAATCTGTCATATTGGCATGTTCACATATAATGTAATTACATATGTATAAGTGAAATCACTGCAGGTGGGCTTTTTTATAATATCAAAAGTTTAGATAGGATAAAAATGCCTATTAATACAAAAATTTTTAATGGAATGTTTACATAAAGAAATACAATGCCTAAAGGAAAGTCACTTTATATGCACTGCCATAAAAAATCTCCAAATATTTTAAGTGAAGAAAACCAATCGTTGCAATATGTATTATATGCTTCCAATTTGATACAATGAAGAAAAACATTGAAAGATATGTGTATTTATACATGTATGTTCATATATACATATATATGTAAATAAATACACACACACAAGAAAACACAAGAAATCACTAATAGTAGTTGTTTTTTGGTGTAGGGAACTAAAACTTTGGGAAAGAGGAGAGGGGGAAATATTTAATCCTATCCTTTTCGAATTCTCTACAATGTACTAGGGCTCTTTATTAAAAATAATTTGCAGTGTACACTATTCAGGTTATGGGTACACTAAAACCTCAGACTTCATCACTACACAATATATCTATGTAACACAACTGCACTTGTACCACTAAATCCATAAAAATAAAAAAAATGAAAAAGCAAAAAAAAAAAAAAATCATTTATTAATACCATTGGTATGGAGCACAGACCTAAGAATTATAGAAAACAATTTTATATACTATGCTCTCTGCCTTCCTTCATTGTCTTAACTATTAGTTTGCTCAACATAAATGGAAAATGAGAACTTCTGTTAAGTATTTCATATGGGCTAGGCTCTCTTGGGCCCTGCAATGTAACAAATTACTTTCAATTTGATTTGGGGCTCTAAAATGCTAGACTTAATAATGAATTCTATATTTTCCTTAAATGCTTCTGCAAGCACTACACTAAAATTTGGGGTGAAGCTTGGAATTTTATTTCTTCTGGGGATTCTATGTCCTATTCTCATTTCTATAAAGGAAGTTGCCAGCAGCTTGCAAGCAGGGTGTTTGCTTCTTGGTTTAATATTGGACCAGTGTTTGTTTTCACATTATACATGTGTATATATGCTTTTAAATTGTATTACAGAATTTGGCCGCAAACTGGTTTACTTCTGCATAAAGGCAACATATTTATATTTTATGGAACCTTTGTGCTGCTACATGTGTTGATTTTTAAAAAGCAAAATACAAATTTTAAGCAACTCATGCTTGACATAGAAGCAGTAAAATGAATTTAAACAAGTATGGTAAAGAAAAATACATGGCAATTTCTTTTTTGACCAGGTAGAAAAAAAGAACATGCTATGATATCTTTGCTACTAAGGAAGCTAATAAACATCTCTCTGAAATCAGTGGTAAGTTACTTAAAATATTGCAGTAGCTGGTACTATTTTTCTGGAGAGGAAGATAAGAAATGGCTTATTTGTTAAATATAATTAAAACTGTTTATGTTCGTCTCAATGACCTTATTTTATATATTAATATAATTTTATAGTTGTATTCTTTAGGGTTGTATGAGTCCTAAAGCAGAATTAGAGACAGTGGAAAATTTACTTTGGGTGTGTTGAGCTTAATTTCCCATTGACCAATATCTGTTGTGGTACTATCCATTTACTCCTTCTGAGAATTACAAAGCCGTCTAAACTAAATGTAATTTGATGAATGAAAAATCCCTGCTGTGTCCTTTGCCCTCCTAAAACAAAAGACTAGTTAAAAGAATAATCTGTAACATAAAAGCTCAATTAATTAATTAATGCATTTATTCATCATTAACATGACTCTTCTCTTTGCTTGATTTTAATGTTAGCTAAAGGAGCAGGCATTAAGGTATATATGGCCTGGCTGTTTCCAGTAGAGTACTGTCTTTAATAATCAATTTTCCTAAGTACCTAGGTGTGCATGTGCTCACCTATTTGTGTGCATATGATGCAGTTGTCATTCTGTGGCACCAAATATTTTTCCAAATTGAATGAGTTCTATCTGATGAATGCACCGTTTTGTGAAGAGAAACAAATTTGAAGCAAAATGAGCTTTGAGGGATAAGGGAGAATTTGAATGAGATTCTTACAGTGACGTTCTGAAGAAGGTGGGCCTATGGACAGAGGAATAAGTGGGAGGACAGGATGAACTTTAGAGGAGATCGTCTGTGAATAAGTTGCAGAAAGTAATATTAGCAACCAATTCTGAATCTATTTTATGAAAACAGTAATTTTTTTAAAGTTTTTCCTGAATTGTTCAGTAAATTCAGATATAACTATGGCGATAAATGTGGGCCATATGTCACAAAAAAAGGAGTATGCTTTAATATTACACATAGATTTGGCATTTCATTAACTGCTTTATATTAAATAGGTGACTTATATTAAGGAGAAACCAAATATAAGATAAAGATAGGACAAGTACTAGATAAATTGGATAATGTGGATAAATGTAAACTGATAAAATTTAATTCAAACTAAACTAAACCCTCGCTGTAACTGAACCTCTGTATTAGTCAGGGTTCTCTAGAGGGACAGAACTAATAGGAGATAGATACATAGATAGATAGATAGATAGATAGATAGATAGATAGATAGATAGATAGACAGACAGATAGATAGATGGGAGTTTATTAAGGAGTATTAACTCACATGCTCACAAAGTCCCACAATAAGCCATCTGCAAGCTGAGGAGCAAGGAAGCCAGTCCAAGTCCCAAAGCTGAAGAACTTGGAGTCCGATGTTCGAGGGCAGGAAGCAAGCATACAGCACCGGAGAAAGATGTAAGCTAGGAGGCTAAAGCAGTCTAGTCTTTTCACTTTCTTCTGCCTGCTTTTTATTCTGGAGGTGCTGGCAGCTGATTAGGTTTTGCCTACCCATA
Organism: Homo sapiens; assembly: GCF_000001405.40. NCBI lineage: Eukaryota > Metazoa > Chordata > Mammalia > Primates > Hominidae > Homo > Homo sapiens. The sequence goes on from NC_000007.14 coordinate 9,816,377, forward strand.
TTAAAGGTGGGTCTGCCTTTCCCAGCCCACTGACTCAAATGTTAATCTCCTTTGGCAACACCCTCACAGACACACCCAGAATCAATACTTTGCATCCTTCAATCCGATCAAGTTCACACTCAGTATTAACCATCTCAAGTCCACCCCTTGTCAACTTGAACTCATACACATCTCCTGAGATCGTACATAATCTTCAAATAAAGACAATAACATGGTCATATTTATGCCTAACATAATACAACTATCCTTCATACAACTGGAAATGCACCAATCCCCAATCAAAATGCTATTACATAAAGTGAACAATACTTAAATGCTGATATGAAGTCAATAATTCTTATGTCACATGATAAAGGAAAAAGGAAATAAAATGAAGATATTTTCTTAGTACAACTGTACACATGCACAAACATGTTTTTAACAAACAAAGAGGAAATATTCATGACAATTACAGTCCTCATTTCGGCAGCTGGTCACGTGGTTGTAGCTGGTATTGATAACTACCTTCTACTACCTATTCTGTATTCCCTTTGCCTTCAGCAAGCACCTCAGCAGGTCATGGTTTTTTTCTTGGTGGAGTGACCCAAACCTTCATTCCTTCATTCCTGAAGGGTCTGGACTATTTGTAGTCCTGCCTGGATTGGGCTGTTGTAGTTTCCCATTGACCTTAACTACAGGGCATGGTAATACTAAGAGACACCTCAAGGGATCTCCTGTATCCACACATACTCTTCCTTATCTCCATGGTATAGTAGTAAACTGATTTTATCTTGATAGTTTGCATCAATCACCCCAGCCAACGCTGTAACTCCCTTATTAGCCTGTTTTCTTAAAGGTAAGAGGAGCCCAAAGTGTCCAGGTAGGGATCTTAACTTCCAGTTTAATGGAATCACTGTTGTGTCTCCTGGTGGCAGCATTCCTCCCTCTGGAACTAAGACCTCTAGGCCAGCAGAGCATAAAGTCATGGGAACAGGAAGCAAAAATTTTGCTAGTGGTTTGCTAGGGGTGATGGTGAGTGGTGCCACTTCCACTTCCATCCCTTGATTACTGGACCTGTGATTAATTAGCAAATGCCAGACCTCTACATGGGTCAGACTATTCTGATTGCTGCTTTGCCTCTTCTGCCCATTACAGTAGCTATGCCAACCTTGCCTTTGACTATTTAGTGCTGCCTTTGGCCCCTGCTGCCCTGGGACCCAAGTATTCCCATTGCATTTAAATTTTGTAGTTGAGTGACTGTGGTTCCCACTATTAGATCTCAGATACAGGGAAGAGCAATTACAGGGCTCTTCAAAGATGCAGGTGCTGCCCTCACAAACCTATTTCACAAAGCATTGGTCATGGGTATATCTTCTGGACCCTCCCATCTGGGATGAGTAGGTCTAAAATGACTAATTCACTCCAGCATCCCAATCTCCCTAAGCCTTTGGATCCCTTCCACTACATTAAACCAAAGGAGATAAGGCATTTTCCAGCTGGCTCAAGTGGGCCATCTTTTAATCCATATTTCAGCTAACCAAGCAAATAAACTATTAGAACGTTTTTTGACTCCCCAGGCTCCAAGATTAAATGCAGAATCTCTGCTTAGTGGGCCCAAATCAATAAATTCAGCCTGATCCAGCTCTATGTTCTTTCCACCATTATCCCAAACTCTTAATATCACTTCGCACGCCTGTTCTCCAGATTTCTGCTTATATAAATTAGAAAACTCAAGCAGTTCTCTTTTCAAGTGCAGTGCACCTCCTCATGGGTCACACACTGAACTTCACCTCAAGGGGCCCACCAGGACTTTAGTCTAGTTATAGGCATAGAAATAAACAGGGGTGTTGGTGTTGTGGGTGGCTCCTAAGGAGAAACAACATTATCTTGCCTGGCAACTGCCTCAGGGGAGGCCATCACTGTTGCCTCAGGCAGTGCAGGGTTTATCTCCTCAGACAAACATGGAAAGGCTGATGGCAGTGTGTGCTGGGAGGGGATGTTGCCAATCCTGAGGATCGGGAAGCTGTTTCTTCTGGGAAAGAAATTTCATCAGAGTTTACAAGCTCAGTATCCCCAGCTTTATCAGGGTTCTCCCACACATCCCCATTCTAAGTTTCAGGGTCCCATTCTTTGCCAATTAATGCCCTCACTTTAACAGTGGACACCTGGTGAGGTTGTGCATGCACCTTTCACTGATGGTCAGCCACTTGCATGATAAGCGCTTGTGTCTGATTTTCCACAATTTCAGCTCTTTCTCTACAGGAGATAACACTCACTCAGGGAAAGCTTAGCAGATTTGAGGCTCAGTATCTTCTTCGGAATCCAGAAGTTAGAATCCCTGAGTATATCATTTTCTTTCATTACTTTTACAGTGAACTTAGGAGCAAGCAACCAACTTCATTATGTTCCTTAGTTCTCCACATATAGTCAAAGGTATTATGTATAGAGACATTAAAGTTCTTGCCTCTCACAAGTGGTTAATCAGGAGTATCAAAAGCATTTATTTTGCATAACTCTCTAAACAGTTTCCACCAAGGACTATGCGTGTTCTTCATACTATCAGCAGTAGAATCCTTAGCATTTGGGGGTCTAATCATATTAAGCAGCCAACTACAAAAACCCCCAAACAATGAAAGAACTCCATCCTTGACACTCAGTATTAACCATCACAACCTCCTACATATTTTGGGAGAAATAATATTTATTTTTTTCGTATTTATTAGGCAACTCACACCCTTCAGCTCTTCAATCACCTTATATTGGAATTTTTTAAAAAATAACAGTACTTATTGTACACTATTTCTAAAGGAAAACATAAATTTCTCTTTAAATCCTTCTAAATTACAATAGATCATGTAACCACAAAGCACAATTTTAAAGAAACAAATCTTCATATTTGGTGGGTTGGACTTATCATTTGAGACAAAGAAATGATTTGGTATCAAATTATTTCCTTTGGAAATTCCTTCCCAACTCAGTGGTGCTTGTGGAGCTGTCAATCATGGTCTCATATCCTCCCAGTTACAGAGAGGACCACATGGTGCAAGAAAGGCTAATGGTTCTTCTCCACAACTTTACAAATTATAGACAGAATCTCTTTCCATCTGTGGATTACAAATTCAAAGGGTTTGTACCTGAGTCAATGACTGTTTCCTGCTGCATGTTGAGAATCAACAAACATAAAAGATCAGGGATTAGGAAGAGCTAGAGATATTGACTACTAGTAACAATGAAATACCCTTTCAGTCCCTGATATCTGATTTCTCTATTTCTTTCATTTTGCGAAGATGCATCTCAACTAAATAAGCCGACAAATATCCTTTTAGCTTGAGACAGACTGAAGAGAGTTTGTGTAATTTTCAACTGAAGGAATACTGACTAATAGAGATAGAAAGGACAATGTGTCAGAATAAGAAAAATTATCCATAAAGAAGGGAGTTGTAAAATGTACATATACTATATTACTTATGAGAAATTAACCATAGAAAAATTGTAGAAAAACAAAATAAAAACATTGTTATAATATGCCGTTTATTACCTTCATAATAACCCAATAATTCAATTGCATAGAATTATATTATCGCAAATTATTTAAGTAGCACAGACTTACAATCACACCTTACGACTAATGTGCCACTGCAACACATAAGTTAGGATAGAATATGGCAATATGACCTTATTTGCTTCAGTGATAATAGTGTGGGTGATTCCTATGTAAAATACAATTTATCTGCATTTTAGAGATTACATTTTGAAAAACTAAAGAATTTAATACTGTTATAAAATGCAACATGCATTACAATACATATGCAAATATACTCTATTATATAACATAAGGTTACCAAAACAATTCACAACTAAATAAATTAATAATAATAAAGAAAACAAACCGGAAGGTGTAATAAATAGAAAGAACACAGCAAATAAAATCCACAACTGAACCCAAGACTCTAAAGTGCCATTCCTGAAGCAGGCTCACAATAATCAGTACGAATTTTGCATCCTTACGAATTTTGCATCATTGCCAAGAATTATAGTTTCTAGAGCAGCTTCACTTTTCAGCAGGGTACAAACATGCAATACTCAACAAACTCTTACAACTTGTTACATTTAATTCACAGACAATTTATTACGATTTTTGTAATAACTTACTTGATAACTGAAAGATTTGTAATAACTGGTAAATTAACACTAAGAGTTTACAAAACATTCAGTTATACAAACAGAAGGAAGATATTTTATAATCTATTGCCAACCCATTGAAATAAAATCAATCCTGATGGAGCTGGGAAAATAATTTGAAACTATTTTATTAAAATATAGAGAGCCTCAGACATCCATCCAGCAGAAACAAGACTAAGCATCAATTCATCCCAGAGCTAAAATCTTCCAGAGTGGCCTTAACTTTTGGATCCTGCTTTGGACAATACTAACTATTTTTTATTCTAAGAACTAGCTCATCAAATCTCCTGGCAATTTGGAATGAGTCCCTCAGAATTACAATAAAACAGACCTGAAATAAACCCATCAGAAATGCTTTCATTTATGAAACCCCGTTTGAACATTTTCAATTAGAAGCCAGGAGGCTAACTAATTATTTTTCAGATCTATGTCATCTTTGCACACCCCCAAAAGAATATAAATCCATAGGACTTAAACTGACTCCATCTCCCACTCCCTTCAATAACATTATAGTTCCCGCTAAAGCACCATCCTCATTCTTAACCTGCCATTTTAATTTTAGTGATATATGTAATTTGCAACAAAATTGCCTATTTCCTCCAGTTTCCTTTCATATTCTTGTCTTCAAACTTTGCTTATCTAAGCCAATCATATTCTATGTTAACTTTTTGAGAAATCTTTGATCCTCATCTGTTCACTGGCATGGGTACCCTTTTTATACTCTCTTAGAACTGCCTACCATTTTCACACTTAGCAAACTGCATTGTAATTGATTTGGTTGCATTGTAGACTATAAACAGTGAGGTTAATAACTATATTACCATATTCAAAACAAAATGCCTACTTTTAACATATTTTTGATATGGAGTAGGTGCCATAAATTGTGTTAAATGGATACATAAATTCAGGAAGAAAGGAAAAAAGAAAGAATAAAAAGAAGAAAGGAAGAAAAAAGGAAGTGAGATGGAACAAGAAAGAAAAGATAGGAATGAAACAATAAACTCATATATGCACAAATATGTAGAAGAAGAAACATAATGTGTGTTTAGTAGTAATACACCTTTAGTTCTAACTTCATACTGAAAATAATGTAGAGAAAAAGTGCAAACCTCCACAATCAATCACTGAGAACTCATAAGGGATGTGAATAAGGAAAAGAGCAGGTCAGAAATAGGACTTAAACCATGATTAGAAAGGCAATGGCCTAAGTAAGGGGTCACATGTGCATTATAATTACTTAATTAATTATATTTGAAGATAAACTTGACTAAAAATAGGTTGACATGTATTCTTTTTGCTGCACTATTGTGGTGGTAGTTATATGGAGAGTTCTGAGTCAAAATAACACATTTTGGTAATTGTAAATCAGAAACAGCTCAAACAGAAAAAAATCAAAAGTCTCCTTGTAAAGCTCACTGTGGGGTACTGTTACGAGATCTTTGGGGTGTCAATTTTCTTCCTGGAAACCTCTGTGGCCAGTGGCGCCTTTGCCGGAATTCTTGTCCTGCATACAGGAAGAATGAGGTATTGAGGTACGCAGACAAGCGAAGGGTGAAGATAGGCGAAGAGATTTATTTAGTGTTAGAACAGCTCAGAGTAGACTCCTCTCTGTAGGCAGGTGGTCCTGTTGAGTGTTTAGCTCTCGACAGAAAGGAGGCCCTGGAGAGGGTGGCTTCTCTCTGCTGGCAGGTCATCCCATCATCTCCAGCTCTCAGCAGAGAAAAGGCCCTGGAGAGGATGACTCCTCTCCACAGGCAGGTCATTGGACATCTCTGCAGGTCTCTAAACTCTCAGCAGAGAGGGTAGCTCCTCTCTGCAATTGATCTCCCTTCATCTCTCCACCCTCTGCTCTGGCTGATCCTGGGCTTTTATGGACCTCAGAGGGGAGGAAGTGCCTGTCAGTTGGTTCATGGGCAAGCATGGGTGGCCCGGAAGAGGCACTGCAAGTCCCCACTCTGGTCGGAAGGACTGGCCTGGCCCCCAGCCTTTAGGACCTCCCTGGCCTGAAGGTGGGGCCTGACCAGGACCCATCTCCTTCCACCCAGGGATCTATCTGCCTCCCACTGCCATTCATGGCCCCAGGGCTCGATCCCAACCCCACTCCCAGACCGGAGCTGATGCAAAGAGAGAAGAGAGGCCAGGCAGCGGGAACGGACGAGTAGACATCATCGAGCCAGCAGGGAAGGGAGTGGGGGTGGCTTCCCAGCCCAACGATGCAGGCTGCAGAGATACCCAGAGGTCCTAGGCCTGGGAGAGCAGCCACAGCTGTGCCCAGGGAGCTCCCACCCTGCCACCTCAGAAGGGGTGGGGCTCCCGCTTGTCCCCGGTTCCTTCCTACCTGGCCTGTGAAGCAGGAGGCCCAGGTCTGCAGCTGCGGGTCTGGTAGCTGCAGCCGCACCCAGGAGGCAAATCCTGCCTGTTCCCAGCCTCCCTGTCAAGAGTACAGGGAGGCTCAGATCCACAGCTGCAGTTAGGGTAGGGCTCCTGCCTGTAGAGCAGGAGGCCTGGGTCTGCAGCAGCGATTTGGACGGCTGCAGTCGCACCTGGAGAGTTCCTGCCCCAACTCGGAAGTGGCGGGGCTCCCACTGACTCCATGGAGTGTGCAGCCCTAGCGTGCCTCCCTGCTGCAAGTGGGGTGATGGCAGCAGCCACTGCCATCAGTACTAAAACAGGTGCTCCTAAACAAATGCCTCCTTTACATGGGTTGGACAAACAGGTAGTTGAAAAATTTGGATCAAATGGGCAATACTCGTTGAGCATATTCAGGTGAAGATACTTGTTCAGGTGAAGATCATTCTTCACCTTGAATATGCTGAACAAGTATTGCCCATGTGATCCGGAATCTACTTCCATGATATAATGTTATTTATCCAACGTAATTTCAACATTTTTCAGAATTTTTATATTAATGAGTATTAAAATTTTGTCTCTCATTCTAATTTTACTATGTTTTAACCACCTAAATTTAAAATATCACCTTTAAAACTGCCTTACTTATGCATTTCATACTATTTTCAAAAAGAGATCATGTTTATTCCAGAGCATCATGGCAGCTCTTTTCAGTGAAAATGCCTCTGGTTTTAAAACACCAATGCTGCCAAAATCATTGCTGTATTTGGCTGGTGATTTAAAGTTTACTTCTGGTCACCCAACCATTTATACTACTTACTATGGGCTACTCAATTTAATCATTTAATAGTTTATGGTTAATAAAATATGGTTACTTTTAAGAGACAAATTATTGCTAGAACAAAGTAATTTATCTTTCAGATATAAGATATAAAAAGATTGTAAAATAAAGCACAATAAAAAGCCATTCACCCTATAAATACCTCCTTTTCTCAATATGGTTTCTTTCCCTGTGATAGTATAAACTATCCTTTTGAGCAACTGCTATGAATCTTGTTTCAACAGCATAACATGCATATTCCTAGAAGAACAAATATGTCAATACGTATATTACATAAAGTATTTAATTCATGCAAATTTTACTTTCCCATAATATAGTTGTAATTTTAAAGTACTGGTTTGTTGACAAATGAGAGGCTGCAGATTCTACTAAATTTTCCAAAAATATAAACATTTAATCCAAACTATTTTAAAACTACTTTCAACATTTCTATCACACACCCAGCTGGCACATTTCAGGTTATTCTCTGATATTAAAATAGCATCATGTCTCTTCATTTGTAATTTCCCTTTATCTTAATATATAATTTTTGCCTCAAGGCCCGATTTTCCTTTGTATTATTCTGATTGACTAAACAAGATTTTTTTATTTTTAAAATTTTTATTGATACATAATATTTCTACATTTATATTTGTACATGTGATACTTTGTTACATGCATAGAATGTATAATAACCTAGTCACAGTATTTAAGGTATTCATTGCCTTGACTAGTTACAATTTCTTTTTCTTTTTTCATTTTTTTTTTTGAGGACACAAGGGCCACACACTTTTTTTGTGGTTGTTGTTCATTTACATTTTTTTAATTTTAATTTTTTTACTTTTATTTAAATTCCAGGATCATGTACAGAATGTGCAGGGTATTTTACATAAGTATACATGTGCCATGGTGGTTTGCTGCACCTATCAACCCGTCATCTAGGTTTTAAGGCCCTCATGCATTACATATTTGTCCTAATGGCTCTCCCTCCCCTCATCCCTCACCCCCAACAGGCCCCAGTGTGTGTTGTTCCCATCCCTGTGTCCATGTGTTCTCATTGTTCAACTCTCATTTATAAGTGAGAATATGCAGTGTTTGGTTTTCTATTCCTGTGTTAGTTAGCTGAGAATGATGGCTTCCAGCTTCATCCAAGTCCCTGCAAAGGACAGGAATTCATCCTTTTTTATGACGCGTAGTATTCCACGGTGTATGTGTGCCACATTTTCTTTATCCAGTCTATCATTGATGGGCATTTGGGTTGGTTCCAAGTCTTTGCTATTGGAAATAGTGCTGTAATAAACATAGGTGTGCATGTCTTTATAGTAGAATGATTTTAATCGTTAGGGTATATACTCAGTAATGAGATTCCTGGGTCAAATGGTATTTCTGGTTCTAGATCCTTGAGGAATCACCACACTGTCTTCCACAATGGTTGAACTAATTTACACTCTCACCAATAGTGTAAAAGCATTCCTATTTCTCCACATCCTCTCCAGCATCTGTTGTTTCCTGACTTTTAAATAATCACTATTCTGTCTGGCGTGAGATGGTATAATATTATGGTTTTGATTTGCACATCTCTAATGACCAGTGATGATGAGTTTTTTACATATGTTTGTTGGCTGCATAAATGTCTTCTTTTGAGACGTGTCTGTTCATAACCTTTGCCCACCTTTTGATGCGGTTGTTTATATTTTTCTTGTAAATTCTTTTTTTTCTTTTTTCTTTTTTTTTTTGAGATGGAGTCTCACTGTGTAGCCCAGGCTGGAGTGCAGTAGCACCATCTCAGCTCACTGCAACCTCTGCCTCCCGGGTCCCAGTTTAAGCAATTTTCCTGCCTCAGCCTCCCGAGTAGCTGGGATTACAAGTATGCACCTCCATGCTCAGCTAATTTTTGTATTTTTGGTAGAGACAGGGTTTTGCCATGTTGGCCAGGCTGGTCTTGAACTCCTGACCTCGTGATCTGCCCGCCTCAGCTTCCCAAAGTGCTGGGATTACAGGCATGACCCACCATGCCTGGCCATGAATTTCTTTAACTTCCTTGTATATTCAGGATATTAGACCTTTGTCAGATGGGTAGATTGCAAAAATTTTCTCCCCTTCTGCAGGTTGCCTGTTCATTCCAATGCTAATTTCTTTTGCTGTGCAGAAGCTCCTTAGGTTAATTAGATCCCATTTGTTAATTTTGGCTTTTGTTGCAATTGCTTTTGGTGTTTTAGTCATGAAGTCTTTGCCCATGCCTATACCCTGGATGGTATTGCGTAGGTTTTTATCTAGGGTTTTTATGGTTTTGGGTTTTACATTTGAGTCTTTAATCCATCTTGAGTTAATTTTTGTATAAAGTATAAGGAAGGGGTCCAGTTTCTGTTTTCTGCATATGGCTAGCCAGTTTTCCCAGCACCACTTATTAAATAGGGAGTCCTTTCCCCATTGCTTGTTTTTGTCAGGTTTGTCAAAGATCAGATGGTTGTAGATGTATGGTGTTATTTCTGGGGTCCCTGTTCTGTTCCATTGGTCTATATATCCATTTTGCTACCAGTACCATGTTGTAGCTTTTTAGTATAGTTTGAAGTCAGGTAGCATGATGCCTCCAGCTTTGTTCTTTTTGCTTAGGATTGTCTTTGCTAGAAGGGCTCTTTTTTGGTTTCATGTAAAATTTAAAGTAGTTTTCTCTACTTCTGTGAAAAAAGTCCATGGTAGCTTGATGGGAATAGCATTAAATCTATAAATTACTTTGGGCAGCATGGCCATTTTCACAATATTAATTCTTCCTATCCATGAGCATGGAATGTTTTTCCATTTGTTTGTGTCCTCTCTTTTTTCCTTGGGCAGTGGTTTGTAGTTCTCCTGAAGAAGTCCTTCATGTCCCTTGTAAGTTGTATTCCAAAGTATTTTATTCTCTTTGTAGCAATTGTGAATGGGAGTTCATTCATGATGACTCTCTGCTTGTCTATTGTTGGTGTATAGGAATGCTTGTAATTTTTGCACATTGATTTTGTATCCTGAGACTTTGCTGAAGTTGCTTATCAGCTTAAGGAGTTTGGGGCTGAGATGATGGGGTTCTCTAAATATACAGTCATGTCTGCCAGGCAAGGTGGCTCATGCCTGTAATCCCAGCACTTTGGGAGGCTGAGGCGGGCAGATCACGAGGTCAAGAGATCGAGACCATCCTGGCCAACATGGTGAAACCCCGTCTCTACTAAAAATACAAAAATTAGCTGGGCATGGTAGCATGCACCCGTAGTCCCATAGTCCCAGCTACTCAGAAGGCTGAGGCAGGAGAATTGCTTGAACCTGGAAGGCGGAGGTTGCAGTGAGCCGAGATCATGCCACTGCACTCCAGTCTGGGCTACAGAGCAAGAATCTGTCAAAAAAAAAAAAAATCATGTCATCTGCAAAGAGAGACAATTTGACTTACTCTCTTCCTATTTGAATATCCTTTATTTCTTTCTCTTGCCTGATTGCCCTGGACAGAACTGCCAATACTGTGTTGTCTTGTGCTGGTTTTCAAAGGGAATGCTTCCAGCTTTCGCACATTCATTGGTTATGGGTTTGTCATAAATAGCTCTTATTATTTTTAGATATGTTTCATCAATACTTAGTTTGCTGAGAGTTTTTAACATGAAGGATGTTGAATTTTGTCAAAGGCCTTTTCTGCATTTACTGAGATAATCATGAGGTTTTTGTCATTGGTTTTGTTGCTGTGATGGATTACGTTTATTGATTTGCATATGTTGAACCAGCCTTGCATCCCAGGGATGAAGCCGACTTGACAGTGTGGAAAAGCTTTTTGATGTGCTGCTGGATTCAGTTTGCCATATTTTACTGAGGATTTTTGCATCAATGTTCATCAGGGATATTGGCCTGAAATTGTCTTTTTTTGTTGTGTCTCTGCCAAGTTTTGGTATCAGTATGATGCTGGCCTCATAAAATGAGTTAGGGAGGAGTCCTTCTTTTTCTATTGTTTGGAGTAGTTTCAGAAGGAACGGTACCAGCTCCTCTTTGTACCTCTGGTAGAATTAGGCTGTGAATCCGTCTGGTCCTGGGCTTTTTTTGGTTGCTAGGCTATTAATTACTGCCTCAGTATCAGAACTTGTTATTGGTCTATTTATGGATTTGACTTTCTCCTGGTTTAGTCTTGGGAGGATGTATGTGTCCAGGAATTTATCCATTTCTTCTAGATTTTCTAGTTTATTTGTGTAGAGGATAAACATCATTTTTAGGTATCACTTATAATTGTGTTAGTAGTAATCTTAGGATGTTAGAAATCTAAGCTCCTACCAGTTATTATCAGAGGCAACTGCATGTTATCATAATTTAATACATAGTAATGTCATATTCTCACTATAGTCATATTGTAATCTTTAATAACAACAGGATGTATATGTCTGCTATGGGGGAACAAATAAACTACAAAGGGCAGAATTTGCTGAAGCACCAGGAATCAGAAATCAAAGAGTATTCTCTTTCCAGAAATATGGCCAATTAGGTATCATGACTGATCCCAGACTATTCATTTTAGAATAAACAAATAAAAATTTGGTTAAACTCTATCGGTTTAAGCATCAGTGATGTAGGAAGTGAGTAATATGTAACATTCAAAATATGAAAAATCAGGAAACTGGAAGTAAAAAGAGCACTGAAACTAATATTCATCTAGAGGTAAAATGTGAACTTTGGCTTCAGGGCCTCTGAGGGCATAAAGAATAGGAGAAAATTACAAGACCTGTCCAAGTTAGAAAATATATAGAAAGTACCTTCTACAAACTCAATCTCCCCACTGCTGAAAGCTATGATTTGAAATAGTATGCATATGATATATGGTAGAAATACAGATAAATTCAACTTAAACCATTGTGAGGAAAATTGCCTGGCAAATACCTTGGTGTTGAGCAGAGGAGAGAATGGGACTCAATATCAAGATTTGTAACCACATGATGGCTTAGCAAATTTGTCATTGAAAATAATCTAGATGGTACTAAACAAACATAACTAAAGCAAACTAAAACAAACATTAAAGAACTTAAACAAGAATCTAAAATGGTCAAAGGGAGCACCTTCCAATGTAGCTAAATAAGCTCCTACCAGAGTCATCTCTTCTGCAGGTAACAAATGTTAACTAGAAAAAGAGTGGAATAACAATAAATTGAGGGCATTGGGTAGTAAAAGCTAAAGTAGGTCAATTCTAGAAGAAGGGTTGATACCCATAAAAAGGGAATGACATGAGTGAGCTCCATTTTGATGGCTTTTTGCCTTAAGCATTCCAAAGGTGGCACTATATAGAACAGCAAAAATTCTGATAGAAAGCCCACAGATTTTTCAGCTTAATGGAATAGAGGGCAGATTTCAGGTCAACCAGAGCCACAGGCAAATGAAAGCAGTGGAAGGAGCCGCACATGATAAACACTGCTCAAATCTTAGGCTGATTCTTGAATCATGCTTATGTGAGACAGACTCAGCTAAGGGAAAATTAGCCTACCTGAGATGTGAGCTGTTGCCCAAGAAATGGTGTTTTCTGAGTCTGACCAAATTATTAATAATTGCTTGCTCCTATAAAAGATTCAGTGTTTTTAGAATAATATAAAAGAATCCAAAATCTACACAATATAATATTTACAATGCCCAGGATTAAATCCAAGATTACTCAACATACAAAAAACCAGAAAAATGTGACCTCTTTACAAGACAAAAAGTCTGACAATGCAAATGAATCACAAAATGACTCAGAGTTAGGAATTTATGGAAAGATATTTCACATAAATTATTATGCTATATTCAATGATATAAAGAAAAATATGCTTACTATGAGTGAAGCAACAGGAAATTATAGAAAACTAGATATAGAAATTAAGCAAATTGAAATTCATTTTACTTGAAAATACATGTAAGAATTACTTCTTAAAAAGCTAGATTTCAGTAGCAATGAGTACATCCAGCACTTGATCTTGGTTTCTAATGCTATTTTGCCATAATTGGAAATACATCTCCTTGGAGAAATGGATCAAGACTTGGAACATCAAAAGTCAGAAGGAAAATGTCCAGGAAAAACAAAAACCAAAACAAAACATCTCAGTACCTCAGTTATAGGGCATCCCAAAGGGACACAGAAGCCAACTTAAAGAGCTACCGGTGGCTAATGCTGAATCAATTTGAGCAACAAAATATATAAAATATTATCAGATTATAGCCCAAAGCATAAATAAATATTTATGAGCTCATAAGGATATAAATAAACAATTAAATCAGTAACTAAATAGGAGTAAGGAGATAAATCTCACATGCAGAATAATCCAAATAATTCACGTAAACACTCCAGCCTCAAGGAGAGTGAGTACAACTCCCCACTCCTTAGTGTGAGTTGCATACAAGTGTCTTCCTTTCAAAGAATACAGTCTGTAAAAGGGGAAAAAGAAGAATAACTTCACAATATGAGAAACCTGGCAAATGATACCTCAACCAGGTGATCAAGGTCAACATAAGTCATCTTAATAGTATATACACTTGATATGTTGTAATGGGAATGGTCTTCCTCTCAAAAGCCCATTACTTGAGTCTAATTATAAGAAAAACACACAAATTCCAATGAAGGACATCCTAGAAAATACCTGACCAATACTCAACAATGTCAATATCAAACATAAAAAAGGTCTGATAAACTGTCACAGCCAAGATCCTAAGACATGAGCTCTAAATGTAGACTGGAATTAAGGATAGGATTCTGGAACAGATAGGGAACTTTGGGTAACAATGAAGAAGATATGCTCAGGTTTGCCTTTTCTGTGACATCTTCCATGACTGTCCCAAGGTAAAGGACCATTTTTCTCTCTGTGACCAAGAATCCCTGTCATCATTCAGCAGTGACCATATGCCATGCTGCATGATTTATCATCAGTCAATTGTTCTATCCTGCAATTAAATTACTTGGTAGAGAGCTGTGGATAAGTTACGTAGCTCTTTGTACTTCAGGTGTTTAGCACAGTTCCTTGAATAAGGGAAAGGTCTTCAATATTCTTGATGATGTTCTATTTTATATCTAGGTATTTTTTAAATTAAGGAAACATATAGCCCTGTTAATAGGCTTGATGGAAATGGCAACACAATAGTACTAAAGATCTCTCTTCAACTCACCTTTTCTCTGGAAATGTCAGGGCTGTATTTTTCAGACAGGAGTTAATGTTCTATATTACCTTGTTAGTGTTCCTCATAAATTCATAGTCTGTTTCCTCAAACTTATAGATTCGAAACTCATATATTAGCTTTCTGAAAGTAGATTATTATCTGTAAATGAACTGACTAGTCAATGTTAAGCAGCATTAAACAAAAGTAAAAATAATAGCTAACAATTTATACATGAAAATGATTACTAGCCCCAGGCCTATGACAAGAATGAATTTACAGAAAACTACAATATTAATGAAATAGAAATCACACAATGAAATAGTTGAACTGTCTTAAGGTAGGTGATATTTATTCATCCTTTTTTATGCCATGTCAGATTATTTTTCTAGCACTTCTATATATATTCATGTCCACTGTACCCAAAACAGAGGCCAGTTATCTAAAATAAGATCACTTTCTATTCTAACAAAATTAACTTTTTAGTCTTAATGTTTATTCTTTTTCTATTCTATTTTTCGCATTCTCCTACATTACTAGACAGAATACATATCATTCCTATAGTGAAATTGAAATGATTCTCTACTCTTCTGAGTATTTATAAGAGTGAGAGCACTCTTTCCTGCATTACTTGTATTGGATTGCTAGTTCCAAAAGCAAAGTTTCTGAACCCATTTTTGACTTGGTCACAAGTCAAGTTTTTAAAAATAAAGAAAATATTTGGTCCCCAAATATAGGACCTTGTTTTTTACAACCATGGCAGAATATAGAAAGGCTCCCCCATTTCAGAGATTCCCAAATAGCAGCTGTGCACATAAGGATTGGTAGTTTCTGTGTTGGTGGGTTTTCCTGCCACTATTACTAGGGATCAACAAAGAAAGCAGTAGTGATATTACTAGGAAACTCAAATTTAACGGGAGAAAATCTAGCCTATGGTTATTCAGAAAACGAGAGGCAGAGAGGAATTTAGGGTAAGTGAAGCCATATAAATCAACTAATTTATAGTTGTAATCCCAGAGTCATAATAAATGATCTAACTTATATTCAGCAAAGGACTGATCCAAACAGCTAAAAAATCGGGTTGCATAATATGGTTTGAGAAATTTTTAATGGATCAGAATCTGTCCTTTATTAGTTTATTGAGAATAAATTAGTTAAGTTTCAATTTGTTTCACATTAAATTAATGCCCTTCTCTATAACTTGAAAGGGACAGCGAGGTAAGTTAAAAATTTATATTTCTTAAAAATAGATCCACAAAACAGCCTTTAAGAAGAATGAATTTGGTGAGACAGAAAAATATGAAAATGTTAAGGAAGTGTTCTAAAATGTCTGACTTCACCATAGCAGCTTAAGCTCTGAAATTATCTGGTTCATTAAAAAATTAAGTCTTTTTAATGAAAGCCGAAGACTAAACAAATAATCTTTTCTTTTTGTCTTTATTCATTTACCTGGCATAAAATTGAAAACAAAAGGAACTGCTTTGATTAATGACCTCTGCTAATCCTTTTAGTAGAATACATGATGATATTTCTTAAATTTTATATCACTAACAAATTAAGTTTGTGTTAATAATAAATGTCACTCACATGAAAATTCTGCATAAATACTCAGGGTGATCTATATTTTATCAGAAGTAACAGAAAGCATGCCAGTCAGTGTGGATTTAAATAAGCAATTAGTGCATAAGTTATTAAACATTTTAAACAAATGGGTTGTATCCAGCCCAACTTATTAAAGTTCAAATAAACTTCATAGAATCTTGATGGCACAGGTGTCTCTGAACTGCCGAGAATTTCTGCATTCATAAAAGATAAAATAGGTTAGCTTTACATATGATATAATCTTCTTTTCAATCCTAAAATTTTTGTAAACATTTTTGAAAACTATTATTGTAATCCAAGTCTTTGCTGTCATCCCTTTTCTGATGTTTATAGCTTCTAGGGAATTCAGGCAAATAATGAAAGTCCAAGGAGGATCAACTTCTGAATTAGAAGGTATGAATCAGGATTCTTCAGACCTTCCAATTAAACCAGGGTTATTTCTCTCAGCTGTATCTGTAGGACTCCAGGGAGACTGCAGTTTGTTGAAATGTGGGACTGTATCAGAGTTTGAGGTTTTATTTCTTTATGGATTTCATTAAAAAATTAATTCTAAACACTTCTTGTAATTCCTTGGTATATTTTGTTTTTATGATATTGCTCATTTTCTTAAAAAGTACAGCTGGGAATGGTGATTCACACTTAGAAATAGCTAACTGTGGCAGTTTCCTTTGTTGCTAGAATGATCACAAAATTTATTTTCTCAAAATGGGATAGTTTTGAGAATAAAATTAGTGTAAATTTTTTCAGGGTGTGAAAATGTTTTAAGTTTTATTAAGTTTAATTAATTTATTAATTGTAATTATTTATTAGCCATAAATATATTTAATTTGCTTGGAAAGACCATAAAATATCTATTCAAAATTAAATTATCTCTAAAAAGAATAATGATATCTATTTACTTGTATGCCAAAAATTATGAGTTGATTGTCTAAATGACAAAAATTACATACATAAAATTAAGTATTTATGTACTTCAGGCAGTTTCTTGTTTGTTTCTAATACCATGTATATTTTTCAGAAGAAACCAATTTAAAATGATCTTATTTTTAATTTTTAAAATAAAATTCCCTATAGTTATTTTCAGAGTTGCATTTTAGGTTTAATGCATTAAAATTATTAATACCTTTAATGTAGTTTGCTCCATGACCGACTGTATGTTCAAATGAGAAAATATTATCTTTATAGGTGCTCAGGTATGATGTACACTCAGAGGGTTTCTGGAGGATATTCTTAATTCTAATCCCTACTAGAAATGCATACATATTTCAGCCAAATATTTTTACTAAGATCTTTTTTTGCTAAAATCCCAAATATCATCTTCAATAAGTGTTTTTATAAAACAAAGTTTTAAAAAATTCCTTGTCTCTATCATTATTTTGAATGTTTTGCCAAATGTAGATGCTGCAACATATAAGACCTATTAAAATTTCATTCAATTACAGAATATAACTTTAACCAATTAAAAATGTTATCTAAATCAAAAGCTATTACTATTTGTCACAAGTCAATTTGTTCTAAAACACAATTATAACACTCAAAAAATTATTTTTTATGCTGTTTGAATGCTAATTATTGAGTTTATTCCATTTCTACCTTACTCTTGTGGGATTAAATTTCAGTTTCTTCCTGTATGCAAATTAGTTTTAAATAACTATATTTCACTATAAACTATGCAGGTTTTTAGATTATTGTGTTTCATTTATTATTTTTATTAAGCATTTCTAACTGAATTTGAACTGAAGAGAAGCAAAATTCATATAGCTCATTTATAAAAAAGATTCAGTATCATTTTTAGAGTGACTTACAAAGCAATCCTTTGACAGCTCAAATATTTCTAAAATCTAATTAATAATAAGCAGCAAAGAAAGAGTTCATACCTCCATGGTTAAGGAGGCTTTTGTTTTTTGTTTGTGTTCAATGTCAATCTTGACTCAAATTTTTCATAGTTCAGTTACTCTTAATGTGTATATAAAAACATTTTCAATTTATCAATGAGCTTCTACTTTGATCCATAAAAAGTATTAATGCAACCTTTTTGGATCTGATATGAATTATGTGTTAAAATTTGTGAACCTTAAGTTTTTATACTACGAAAATTACTTTTACTAGGACAACGAAAGTTATTTTCTTATGAGCACTACAAAATAAATAAGTTAATCTTTAATATTGAATTTATTATCTGAATTCACACTAATGTCTGATATTTAACATTCAAGAGTGAACTTTCAAAACCAGTCTGGTTTCATAAATTGGATTTAAAAACAATGAATTATTAAGACTAATTTTGTATTTGAAGCTTCTGATGACATTGGATTAAAACTAGTATCATTTAACTTTTTATGAAGTTCTATTAATGTAACCAACATATTATTGCTTATGGCTTTACTTTTCCTAGTTACACAAAGCTACTTTCACTTATAACTGAGCGAAGTTAATTTTAAATAGTCATTTGATATAGTGAAAATACAGGTGATATGGTTTGGATTTGTGTTTTTGCCCAAATTTCATGGCGAATTGGAGGAGGGGCCTGGTGGGAGGTGATTGAATCATGGGGGCAGACTTCCCCCATGCTGTTCTCCTGAGAGTGAGTGAGTTCTCACACTAACCATTCCTATACCAACCACTTTGCTTTATTAGCAAGTGTTCTTTATATTTTCCTTGAAATGGGTGCCAGTTATTACACCTGGGAAAAATTAGTAAACGAGAAAGAAGTTATTGCTTGTCATGTTTCAGATTTAACCACATGAGAGAATTTCACTTCCCTGTACATGTATTTGAAATCCTAAGAAGCAAGATCATGCAAACACATGGAAGAAAAGAATAGGTCTATTATAACCATTCTGTATTATTTTAACAATTCCTTACTCAAAATGTAAAATAATTCAGACAAATGGTAAATTGAATGGAACAACCGAACAAGAACATGAACTGGAACTGTCCCTGCCAAACTGGAAATACTGGTCGTCCCATAAATAGCTGTATTGCTGTGTTTCCAATTAGTAACTGCAGCATTACAGAAGCATGCCCGGCCTCTTTCTAACAACCCACAGTGACACAGGGAAAATATGGAATTATTACACTGCCAGACAGCAAGCAAGCATCAACAATAGCATTTTGTTTAAAATATGTTATCTTTTTTCATATTTGATGTTCTATGTGTGGGTTTGGCCTTATGTGCACATATCAAATTAACAAAATACCATGTACCATTTTAACAATAATAAAGTTGAAAAGAGCTACAAATATAATCATACAGAGTGTAAAAATCAAAACTCTGTTTGATATTTTTATATGATTATCATTTAAATTAGTAAAAGTATAATGGATGTTATATTCTATAAAGTGAATTTTTATATTTATAATATTAGACGTGATACGACATAGTGTTTAAAGAAAAATGGGAGGCCAGTAGAATACACTAAATTATAGGTATCCAGATATCAGATGTGTCTGTAGCCATGTATCCTTTACATATTGCAATGTATGCTATCTTGTTTTAAATATCTTGGTTTTGGCATTTATTACCATTTAGGTATTAAATTGATTTTTAAAAATTATGTGTTAGTAGATTATATCATTATGTGTGAATTTCATTTTAAGATAGTAAAAAGAGAGTGGTAAAATATTTGTAATATTTTGTAATCAGGGATTTGAAACAAATATGATTAAAAAAATCACTACAGAAGCAAACTCTATTATTTCATTCATCCCTTGATAGTCTTTGCTTCTGTAGCTTTCCATATTTATTTCTTTTTACCTATCATAGTCTCCTTTATCCTCCCCCAACACATTTGTGTAGACCATGTTCTACTGCTTCATAAGCCACAACTTAAATTACTTTTATGGAACATATCCCAAGTCATTATTTTCTGGACTTCCAAAGTCCTTTACCTGTATCTTTTCTTTCACAAATAGCTATTAGTATCAAGGATACTAGTTATTCATGTTATTTCTTCTTAGTTCTGTAAGTTCTTTGATGGCTGAATGAGTCATATTTATATTTAAATCATATATCGCACACTTTTCTTAGCATGTGACAGAAGCCCAATAATTTTGGTTGAAGAAATAAAGGTAACACTTCAAATACATGTTAATTTTGAGTTGTATGAAGAAAGAGAGTACTAAATGAGGAAATATTAGCACGGGTAAAAGCGCGTCCACAAACAGGAGAATTTCTAAGCATTAGAGAGAACCTATGTTTTTAGAACTAACAGAAGACAAGATGGCAATGTGGGTCTGAACCAGGTTGTGGAGGGCCTTATCTGCCAAAGTAAATTCATAAGAATTCTTTAAGTGTGGGGAGTCTTTGGGGATTAGATTACAATACATAAAATGGATAGAAGTTGTGTAAATACAAGCTCAGGTGACCAGTTAGTAAGCAATTTTATTAGTTCAAATTAGAAGTAATGACCTCAGTCAGGGAGATTGGCATAAAAAAATAAAGGAGACGACATATGTGAGGGATATCAAGTAATGTCAACAAACATTTATGACAAAGCAGGAGGCTTATTAAAAAAATGTCATGAGGTTTATTGCTTCATAATGCAATGACATTTTAAGAGAAAAACATGTTAGAGGGGGGAAGACTCTTTTATTTTGAAGATGAAATTTCATTATGAGTTTCAGGAACCATCTAGGTGGAGCTGTCCAGCTGGGAAGTAGGTCCCAAAAGTTAGGAAATGGGTTCACCCACATAGAAGTGATAACTAAAGCTGTGACTATGGGGAGGAAGAAAAGGAATGTGATAGATGAAATAATGCCCTCCTCTGAAAGATATTGGATCCTGATCCTCAGAACCTGTGACTGTGTTGCCCTATATGGCAAAGGAATTTAAAGTAAAAGATGAAATTATTTGCTAATCAGCTGATTTTAAGATAAAGAGATTATACTGGATTATCCGAGTCAGTGCAATATAATCACGGGGTGCGTCAAAGTGGAAAGGGAAAGCCTAGAGTAGGTCACAGTGACTCAGAATGAGAAGGCTTGGCCTGACTTTTCAAGTCTTGAAGTTGGAGGAAGGGGACCATAAACCAAGGAAAGCAGGTGGTCACTACAATGTGAAAAAGGTGAGGGAGTGGAATCTCTATAACTATCTTCAGGAAGAACACAGCCCTGCTAACACCTTGACACCCAATGATCTCATTCTAGGTTTCTGGCCTCCAAAGGAGTGAGACAACATATTTTTATTGTTTTAAGCCATGAAGTTTGTGGTCCTTTGTCATGGTACCAATAGAAATCTAACAAAGAAAAAGCAACAGTAATGAGAGCTCATCAGAAGCAAATATACAGAGGTTATAAGTGAATAAAGTCTGCAAGTGTGTTATAGGATTTGGCAACTAATGTATCAACAATGACATTTGAAAAGACAGTGGAAAGAGAATAATAACTTTGAATACAATTTTCTTGTTCTTTAAAAATATTCCAAGAAATGGATTAGACTTGATTATTGGCCATATTTCTCAAAACAATCTTTCCAGAAAGTTATCCCAACTTTACATGCGCAACTGACATCCAGGGAAATGTTTTCAGTTGCTCATGACTAGAACTAATAGGGCTGAGATTTGACCACAGATTTGTTTGGTTTCACTGCCTATGCTCCTTCTACTATGATTCCTAAACTTGTTGGGAATCAAACTGCAAAGATTTAAAGAGGGAGCAGGTAAAGATATGAGTGGAGTGTGTTTAAATCAATGAGTTCAAGGCATTTGTTCTTTAGAAAAAAGATGTGATGATTCCTTAAAATCAGCGTTTATCAACCTTGGCCCTATTGACATATTGGGCTGGATAAATGTTTTCAGTAGGAGGATGTCCTGTGTGCTGCAGGATATTCAGCAACATCCCTGGCCTCTGCCCACATGATGCAAGTAGCACCTTCTCCAGGTAGGATTGTAACACCCCAAAATTTCTTCACAAATTGCCAAATGTCCTATGGGAGGTAAAAATCACCTTAGGTTGAGAATCCCTGTCTTAAGTTTGCTATGGAGTTAAGAAAAAGGTTTTGTTACCTTTTTTTTTTTAAAATGAAGGTGAAGTTGTTTAGGGAGACCTGAGTATGCTTACTGATAATAGGAGAAAGAATCATTAGAGAGGAAATGATTGAAAATGCAACAAAATAAACAAGGTGAGACACAGCATGATCTTCTGGTGCTCAGTATAATGTGTTTCAAGACACACAGTAGCTGAGCCACGAAAAACCTGGTTAAGACTCAGAAGCTGACATTCTGAATGTGAGCATAGAAGTGATTCCTGGGCAGTATTTTGCAAAGTATGTTTTGTGAAGGATATTCCCAAGAGTTTCCTCGAAAGCAGGGTCTCCACATCAAATTGTTTTGGAAAATATCACTTACTGTAACTCTTTGGGATGTTTACACTACAGAATAGAGTTTTTAAAACTTCGGGAAATTATTCAGCATTTCCAAACTTTTTTTATTATGGATATTTTCTCCTGTGCAATACCTATTAATATACAAAAGAACATACAGGAAAACTTATGCAACATTGGTAAATTTATTTTTATTAATACCAGTTTAGAAAAGTAATCATTCATTCATGTATAAGAAAATGAGTAGGACTCTCTTTGCCATTTTTTTCTATTCCCAAAAATGTATGCAAGATGCAGTCTTTTCTCTATCAAGGTCCCAAACTCTTTGTTCTCTTATTGTCCCAAATCCTTGTCCACTTAGGATTTAGAATTTCGAAGCATATTTTTCCTCCCTTCAGTTTACCAATGGACACCCACCCCCAACCATCCCTTCTAAGGCAAAGAAAGGAAGAAATGAGAAATTTATAAGGATTTAAAACAGGTATTTAAAGATAGAATTGTCTAATCAAATTTGAGGGAAAAAAAATGGAGGCTGAATGCTTGGAGAGCTGAAACAGCCTAGTCAAATTGCAATTCAACTTTTTATTAGTAGAAAATTGCCCTATGTAAACTTACCCATTTCTTTAAATGTATTATATTCTTTTTTATTTCATTTTTTTTCCCTTAGCATCACTGAGACATCATTTTGGAAAACCATTAAACCATGTCAGCTGTATTAAGAGAAAAGCAACCTTGGTTTATGTCTTGTTCATGAGTCCAGGAGGGCTAGGGAAAATGGGGGCCTCTCAAAGGCTCAAGGCTGTGAGATGAATTAGTGATTCCAGCCAGTGCAGTGAATAAGAACAGCAAATATCAAAGACTCAAACTCATAGTATGCATGTCCTCATAGTAGCCTAGACCAGAGTTCATTTCCATTTGAAGGAGGTGGCTAGGAATGGTGTGCTTCGTGTTTTTATTTGTTTGTTCGTTTTGTATTTTATGTGGATTTATATTACTATATGCAGGAAGAGAAATATGACATAATAAAACTTATATATCTGAAAAAGACATTGAACAATATTCTTTACTAGGCCAGAGTTTTGAGAAATGACATATGAAAAAGGCAAGAACTCACTGCAGTGTATGAATTAACCTGGACAGTAAAATGAAAGACAACATGAACCAGAAACAAAAGAACAATTTGAAATCACAAACAAGAACGATAGAAAGGGAAAGCAAATAAAAGTAAAACCAAGAAACTGCCCCTGTCAGTACTGGCTTAGTGCTGTAATAATATCCTGGTGAAGAATTGGCAAAAAGCATAGTGCATCACAGCAATGGCTATATAACATATGACATTCACACCTTTTTATTAATAATCACTACAACTTATCATGTATTTCTTTTCAGTTCATAGTTTTCTGACTTTATTCTCAAAACCATCCTATGTGGTAGATATTAATATCCCTATTTCAGAGCCTAAAGAGTTTAAATAACTTTTTCAGAATCATACATAGATGCCTATCCAACCTCAAAGTCTGTGCTGTTATTCTCCATATTTGTTGCCAAATACTGTTGATATCTTTATCAAAATCCAAGTTAAAGCTTTTCTCCAGATACCAATAAGGAGATGCACCAAAACAAAGTGGATATACCTTTTATTTTCATCACTTGCTCAGTAATCAAATGATCCAAGAAAACAAATGTGTGTGTATATACATGTTATACATATAATATTTATATGTTTACATTTACATATAAAATATATAGGCATCTATATATTTATATTAATATATAGATATATAGGCATCTATATGTTTATACATGTATAAAATATATATAATCATATATATATCACATATATATAAAAAACTGTGGAAACTAATAAGCAGAAGAAATGGCCAGTATGTCAGCCAATGTCAAATACTTTATAGAAATGTTTGAAAAAAATACAAAAACATCTTAGAAACTACTGAAGAAGAAAAAAAATAATTAATGTCCCTTGACATGATGTCTTAGTTAGTTCTGGCTCTTATAACAAATATATCCTGGGCTAGGTGGTTTAAAGAAAACAAATTTATTTTTCATAGTTCTGTAGCCTAGAAAATTTCAGGTCAAGGTGCTGTCAGATTCAGTGTTTGGTTAGAGCTCATCTGGTTTACAGAAGGCTGTATTCTCATTGTGTCTTCACATGTCAGAAAACAGAGAAAGGAAGAAAGCACTAGTGTCTCTTCTTGTAAGAGTGCTAATCTCATTCATGAAAGCTCCACCCTCACAACCTAATTACCCTCACCTCCTATTGCCATCACTTAGGGGTTTGGATTTCAACATATAAATTTGTAGGGACACAAACATTCAGTATGTAACACATGGCATATAGCCAGAATTATAAAAACGAGAAGAAAAATTGTACAACAAATTTGAGTTTGTATAAGAAAAAAAAATCAAGAAATGGTCCATTTTAATTTAACTTTATTCCCTCATTCACTATAACCATGCTCCACTTAAGGAATTTATTTAAAATATCTGATTCTCAATATTTTTCTTTCAATAGGTGGAAGTGTTCAATTATCACATTATCATATATTTTTGTGCAAATGATGTTAAATAAACATAATAAAACTTAAAATAGATGCCTAGTATATAGCAGACAGTTAATCATTTTCTAAAACTTCATTCAAAACTGCGAAAGTTACATATTGGAAATGGAAATGATTTCCCATCACATTGCATTTTCCTTGAGAATCTGACTTGTCTGAAGTCCTGGAAGAGGAGACTTCAGTACTCATTCTGCCCCCATACCTAGTCATGTCTACATGAACCAGCTATGGATACTGACCCAAATTAGATTAATAACACAAACTTTTTTAAATTTGGGACAAAAACTGAGAATAAATAATTTAGCTCTGCAGTGTCTACCTAGACTTTCAGTTTATCTTGTGGGCTCAGCTCACCACCTCGGGATGGCTGTGATTAAACTTTTACAAACAGCTGAGAATGAAGGAGGAGCCTGAATGTGAAAGCAATAGAAAGAAGTAGAGAGAATAGAGGAGCAGAGCTGTTGGAAGGAAGGGAAGCAGGGACACAAGGCAACAGAGAGGTTAATTTTCTAATACCCAATTGCTGTAAAGTTTAGCCATATTTCCTTCATTTGCATGCATCAACATTCTCCTATGTTTATATAATAATTCCCCTTTTTATTAAGTTTCTCTCAGTGGGTTTCAGCTCTTTGCAACCAAATTATTCCCAATTTAAGCAGGTTAGGAACTTAAATAAAACCATTTTGACGAACAATAAGATTCCAGCTGCTAGTCTTCTTATTCTTTAGTAAGAATTGAGCTTTCTTTCTTTCTTTTTTTTTTTCACCTCTGATACAGTAACAGTTTGTGAGGATGCCCAAGCCTTGATGTGTAGGACAAGAAAGAGAGTTACAGGAGTTAGCAGTGAATAAAATTATTTAAATTTTGAAAGAAAAGATGAGAAAATGGAAAATTGATTCTTAGTTTCCATTTTTGTAACTCAAATGTCTGAGTGGCCCTTAATTGCTAAGGAGGACACTGATGACTGAACTTTAAATTCTGACTCATAAGCTTTAGATTGTGGGAGTTTAGAGGTGGTCTGATGATCCAGCATACATCATGTGAGGACTTCTTGTTGACGCTGTAACTCAGAAAATCAAAGTTTGTTTTGTTTTGGTTTTAGATAAGTGCAAATAGAACACAACATGACCACTAATGATTACAAGATGTATTAAAGTAGAAAAGAAAGACACTAGGTGTATAACCATATTGATTTATGGCATGTCCTAAGGTGGCTGACAGCTCATGTGAGAAAATGCCCAAATATCAGTTTACTTCCAACTGTGGTCACTAGGTTTTGAATTACCATAATAGAGTCGTTGATATTTTATACCCCTCAGCTATTTTGTAATCTTATTATACTATTTTTTACTTGCACACACCCAATTAAACTATTTCTCCTCTCAAAGAAAGCACGAACTATCTTAGAAGCTTAGAAATTTTACTGAGTTTAGCAGGTGCCACTACAAAAAGAAAACCTAGCTTTCATGAGTATGATTATTTTAGGTGCCATCCAAACTAAATTATGATTAGACTATGAAATTGGGACAGTTTAGAAAAAAATGATTATATTTTCTGAATCTGGGGATCCATGACTACTTCCCCACTTATGATCCATTTTCAGAGAACTTTGTCCACCTATGGCCAGGAAATGATAGCCCTAGACATGCTATAAACCTCACCCTGTCCCCAATCATAGCTCATTGATGAGTAGCCATGAGTGGTTTCCTGATCTAACCCATGTCCATTATATTTTCCTTCTAAATTAGAATTTAGAACACAGATTCTAATTTATCAATATTAAGCTAGAGGTCACCAGAGAAGGAAGAATGGTCTTTAGAAAGAAATAAAATAAAGTAAAATAAAAAAAGACATCCTGAAGTCTTAGAAAACAAGAGGCAATAGTATCAGTTTTGTTTTTTTCAATTTCTGGTTCTATTTTTAAAATTTAGTTTAATTTAATTTTAATTGGCAAATAATAATTTTACATATTCAGAGAAGCATAATGATATTTTGTACACATAATATTTAGTGATCAGATCAATTTAATTAACATACCTATCATCTAAAACATTGTATTCTAGAGCCATGTCATACTTTCTGCATTTGTGTTTCTAAAATTTTATGATATTTTCCGTATATTTTCTTATTTATAACTAGCACAAATAAAATTTTATATATATATATATATATATATATTCCAAATAGTTTCCAGTTAAGGTATCTGGGATTGTGCAGTCTAATATGTTTGCTTTCTCAGTTATGTAGACTGGTATCCTTAACATAATGTAAATCATAGTAGAAATTGAATACATATTAATTAATTGATAGTTGTCTTTCCAATGCCTATTCTTTCAAGATTTCACTTAAAACCACTTTTCTCAAAAAGTAGAAAGCTGAAACTGGAACCCTTCCTTACACCTTATACAAAAATTAATTCAAGATGGATTAAAGACTTAAATGTTAGACCTAAAACCAGAAAAACCCTAGAAGAAAACCTAGGCAATACCATTCAGGACATAGGCATGGGCAAGGACTTCATGTCTAAAACACCAAAAGCAATGGCAACAAAAGCCAAAATTGACAAATGGGATCTAATTAAACTAAAGAGCTTCTGCACAGCAAAAGAAACTACCATCAGAGTGAACAGGCAACCTACAAAACGGGAGAAAATTTTCGCAATCTACTCATCTGACAAAGGGCTAATATCCAGAATCTACAAAGAACTCAAACAAATTTACAAGAAAAAAACAAACAACCCCATCAAAAAGTGGGCGAAGGATATGAACAGACACTTCTCAAAAGAAGACATTTATGCAGCCAAAAGACACATGAAAAAATGCTCATCATCACTGGCCATCAGAGAAATGCAAATCAAAACCACAATGAGATACCATCTCACACCAGTTAGAATGGCAATCACTAAAAAGTCAGGAAACAACAGGTGCTGGAGAGGATGTGGAGAAATAGGAACACTTTTACACTGTTGGTGGGACTGTAAACTAGTTCACCCATTGTGGAAGTCAGTGTGGCGATTCCTCAGGGATCTACAACTAGAAATACCATTTGACCCAGCCATCCCATTACTGGGTATATACCCAAAAGATTATAAAACATGCTGCTATAAAGACACATGCACACTATGTTTATTGTGGCACTATTCACAATAGCAAAGACTTGGAACCAACCCAAATGTCCAACAATGATAGACTAGATTAAGAAAATGTGGCACATATACACCATGGAATACTATGCAGCCATAAAAAATGATGAGTTCATGTCCTTTGTAGGGACATGGATGAAGCTGGAAACCATCATTCTCAGCAAACTATCGCAAGGACAGAAAACCAAACAATGCATGTTCTCACTCATAGGTGGGAATTGAACAATGAGAACACACAGACACAGGAAGGGGAACATTACACACTAGGGCCTGTTGCTGGGTGGGGGGAGGGGGGAGGGATAGCATTAGGAGATATACCTAATGTTAAATGATGAGTTAATGGGTGCAGCACACCAACATGGCACATGTATACATATGTAATAAACCTGCACGTTGTGCACATGTACCCTAAAACTTAAAGCACAATTAAACAACAACAACAACAACAACAACAAAACAGCCTGGAGGTGGTGGCTCATGTCTGTAATCCCAGCACTTTGGGAGGCCAAGCTGGGTGGATCACATGAAGTCAGGAGTTCGAGACCAGGCTGGCCAACATGGTGAAACCTTGTCTCTACTAAAACTACAAAAATTATCCAGGCATGGCGGTGCATGCCTGTAATCCCAGATACTAGGGAGGCTGAGACAGGAGAATCATTTGAACCTGGGAGGTGGAGTTTGCAGTGAGCCGAGATCGTGCCACTGCATGCCAGACTGGGTGACAGAGCGAGATTCTGTCTCACAAAACAAACAAACAAAAACCCTCAAAACCAAATAGAAGGTCAGTCATGGTGGCTCACGCCTGCAGTCCCAGAACTTCGGGAAGCTGAGGTAGGAGGATCTTTTGAGACCAGGACTTTGAGACCAGCCTGGGCATTATGGCGAAGCCCATCTCTTCCAAAAAAATACACAAAGCAGCCAGGTGTGGTGGTACATGCCTGTTGTCCCAGCTACTTGGGAGGCTGAGGTGGGAGGCACACTTGAGCCAAGGACATCAAGGCTACAGTGAGCCATGTTTGTGCCACTGCACTCCAGCCTGGGTGACAGAATGAGACCCTGTCTCAAAACAAACAAACAAACAAACAAAAAACCTGAAAAAACAACAAAACACATTAATTTCTATCTCATAGATTTTTTTTCATGTTATATAAGTTACATGTCAAGTTGTAAATCACCATTAAATTATTTAACTTTGTAAGTAGGCTCTGGTATTATAAAATATGTGATACTTTCAAAAAAATTATCAACATTATAAACCAAAGTAACTACTCTTCCCTTTTTCCATAGTTTTTTTTTTTTTTTAATCTCCATCCAGGCACTGATATTAACCATTTAATTGACTTTTAAGTTCCTTAAAGTCTAAGCAGAGTGACTTGTGCAGACACTCTCATGAAGAAGACACTATATAATATTTGTTTAATTTAGAATTCAAAGAGTTAATAAATGAGAGTACTTATATTTGGAATAATAATTATAACAAAAAGTAGCTTATGAAATATATTAAAAACCTATGTCTCCTTTTAGTGCAATGTCAACATCATTCTCAGCCGAACTCTCCATTAAATGTAAGAATAAGAACAGACTAGTTTAATTAATTCTCGAAATAGACAAACGCTAGTTTTTCTCTTTTTGTCTCTTTGTGGATTTTATTATCACCTAAATTGTTTCGGTATTTAAAGTGTCTCTGGAATTGAGTTAACAAAAACAAAAAGGATTGTACAGGCTGGGTGCAGTGGCTCATGCCTGTAATCCCAGCACTTTGGGAGGCCAAGGTGGGTGGATCACAAGGTCAGGAGATGGAGACCATCCTGGCTAACACTGTGAAACCCCGTCTCTACTAAAAAATACAAAAAATTAGCTGGGCGTAGTGGCGAGCGCCTGTAGTCCCAGCTACTTGGGAGGCTGAGGCAGGAGAATGGTGTGAACCCGGGAGGCGGAGCTTGCAGTGAGCAGAGATCGTGCCACTGCACTCCAGCCTGAGCAACAGACAGAGACTCCGTCTCAAAAAAAAAACAAAAAAAAAAAAACAAAAAAAGATGACGATTCTCCATTACCAAAACTGGTACAGGCTTTGAGACCAACATTATTCCACATTAGTTGTATGTAGTATGGTGTGTAGTTTCATTTTTTGTAATATGTATAACACCTATTACATGCAACCTTTCTGAGGGGTACTTATCATAGTGCCTACCTAGCAGAAATTATAACCTTAAAAATAGAAGCTGTCTCCCAATTTTTCTTATATATTTTATATTACATATAATTATATATAATATATTTTTATACTTATATCTCTTATATAATATATATTTCTTATAATATTACTATCCTTAAATAACATTTAAATAGAGAACCCATAATTTGTTCTTTGTATTCATTTGGAGGGTAGAATTCTAAGGTCAGTGAAAATTCACTGGTTTTATACCCACTCAAAACTATACTGTGACCAAAATGTTCCCTACAATCACCGCCCCCCCGTCATACACACACACACACACACACCCCTGCATGCGCATTTTCTGAACAAATTACAGTAAGAATAGAGTCAATGAAGCATTTGGTTTCATCCAAAGTGCTGACTGCAGTGGAGGCTGTATGTAGGTTTTGAGGAAGACACATGAGAAAATGCTGACAGCATCATTTTAGAAATTTACACTCTCCTCATGGTCATTGTACAAGGGGAAATTAAACTTCATAATTCCTCCACATCCAACATGGTGTCTAACACAAATCAGTGTTTGATTAATGAATAACTATTTCTGAATAAGTATATAAGTTAATCTTTGGCTAAGTGAATACATTGAGAGTGATTGACTAAATACATGAAGAAATAAAATAACTTAGGCACACACGTCATGCTAAAATCTACATTGACCAAGAATACCTGTCTCAGAGCACATGTAGGTCATGTTTAGTAACATACCAGGGAGTCATTAGTAAGGAAATTCTAGTAGGAGCAAATTTAGTTCATTGGTTTGAACAAAATAAGTGAAACTTTTAAAAACAAAGTATGTGAAATAGCAAATATTTTAATGGGAAAATCAAAATTAGAATATGCTAAATGAGAATGCTGGATTCACAAAATAGATTCTGTAGAAGAGTTTATTCAGGTTATTATTAAGCAGAAGTGGTTTACTGAATTTGTTTTTCCTATATTAAATATGTAGCATTTTCATATTCTCAGACATTTAAGAATATTGGCAGGCTTATTTCAAGTTATTAAGTGTCAGAAAAGTGTCCATGACCAACATAAGAAAACAGTCTCTTCATGCTTTTCAATGCTCAAAACATATTCAAATGTAAAAATCCAATAATTTAATTGCAATAACAAACTCAGTGATGTGTGTTTATCTTGCTTTTACACACAGGGATTTACTAGAAATCACCTTATGGAAAAGTAGTTCTATGTGCTAAAGCCCAAACTCAATGGAGCACTACACATAAAAGTTATTAAAATCAAATGGTTCTTTTAAACTTTAAATTTAAACCCAGAGAGCTAGATAATCCAAAAGGAAATTAAGGGAAATGTCCTTCTTTGAATAGTCAAACTACTACTGCATTTGGGAAAAAAAATTAAAAAGTTAAGTGATAGGACCCCTCCTACAAACAAAACGAAATCCCACATTTCAGTATAAGAATTATATTTATTCACATGCACTGGAATTGCACAAATTTATTTTTAAAAATTAATTTTAAAGGCTTATATTAAAGTAAGAAATTCATTTTATTGATGATATTCATACCATTAATAATGTAAAATTTAAAAGAAAACAATTATCGATATTAACAATTCTTGAATGTGATTCTGTTTCTCACAATATAAATATTATAAAATACCCTTTCACATGGACAAGTTCTCAAAAGGTTTGTAGACTTTATAGTTTCCATAACTTATTTTTACATGCTTATTGCTTTAGCGGTAAATATGAGTAGAGTATAAAAATATAATTTAATATAATACTCCTTCATATATTAAAATTCAATTTTTGTATATATATATTTATACGTACGCATACATATTCTGAGTATTTAAAATTTCAAAAAGGCTTAGAATATTTTTAAAAAAGTATAATATACTATGCCACTAAGGAAACCACCACCAATTCTTGAAAAAGAAGACATCTACAAAACCACAAAGTATTAGCAGTAGAAAATAATAAAAGAAGTAAACAAAATATTACACTAATTGGATGTTTAAAAAAATTCTCAATTAACTGTGATGTCAAAGAGATAGTTATGTACACAAAAAAATATATTAAAACCCTTGGAAGTATACTAAACTCAGAGCATCAAAAATTACGACATTTATCCAACTGATACTAAGAGGAAAATCATTAGACTTTATTCAAATTAATAAATTTGATGAAATATTTAATTTATATGTGTATATAATTTATAATATATAAATAGTAAATAGTTTATAAACAGCTTTTTAAAATAAGATACAAAGTGCAGCTTAATTAGAAATAAGATTATATATTTTACATATTTGTACAGATTAGTATATGTGAATTATATATAAATATACATTGATTACAAAGTGACTATCATTGATTACCATTGACTACACATTATCAATAAAATATGAATTGATTAATAAATAAAATATTAAATATTAAACTTAGGGTGTTCAGTAGATTAACTCATGATAATGAGATCTGATAAACTGAATCATAAACTAATTATTTTGAAAAAATTTAACAACACAGACAAAACTTTTATAAAGATAATTAATTAAAAAGAGAAGTACATATTAAAAATCCAAAATAAATTTGAGAATAAAGTGTGCATGAAAAATTTTAGAAAGTACTATGTAAAACTTGATCAAGACAAATTTCAAAATCAGTGAAATGATCATTTTTCTGGGTAATACATAAATTTTCTAAATTACTTAACTAAAATAAATATTTAGAATATGTAGATGATCTTCAACAATTTATCAGAAATTCACCTTCTATTGTCCTGAATGATCAGTGTTCATGAGATTTTGAGAAATTATTTTTCTTAAGTAGGCATTTAATTCTCATGCTGTGTATGCTAGATAAATTGAGTATACAAACATTAAAATCTGTCAAATTATGTTATGATGTTTATGTAGCCTTCTTAAAAGTAAAACAAAAAAGTAAATAAAATTTTAAAAATAAAGCTTTTGTTGGGGAGAAAACAGGAGGACAAATACTACCGTGTATCTGTACATATGCATCTAGAAAAATTATGAAAATTTGATACTAGTAAAAGTATCTACATTTGTACGTACCTGCAGTAGAAAATGTGAATGCAGAAACTAACCCTTCTGTTTTCAATAATTTAGAAAACAATATATGACCTTACAACAGAGTCAGGAAACAAAGAACTAATTGCCTAGCTCTCATGAAAAACGTATCATTCAAGATCTCTAACTTCTGCAAAAATAAATTCTAGGTGGATTAAAATATAAGATCTTTTAAAAAACTGCAGAAGTCTCAAATAAAATATAATTGAATATTTGCCTATCACAGAATAGGTGAGGACTTCCTATCTGTCAAAGTGATGGAAAAAAATCACAGAGGACATGATAAATCATTTTCCAAATAGGCCTTTTAAATCTCTGTGCATTAAAAATACCTACTTAAAAGCAAAACATGAACAGAATCACAAGGCAAACAAAAAAGGGAGGAAATATTTACCAATATATTGTCAAGAGATAAAAATCTTTAAAATATTTTTAGAGCTTCTTGAGTTGATAAGACCCCGAATATCAGGTGGATAGCGTTTACATAGTGAATTTGTGTAAAGGACAGATAAATATATGAAAATATTAAAGAATATATAATACAAAAATTAAATATAAATATGTGAAATATATAAAGTCTAATTTTATAAATTAACTTAAAGATTCAAGTATAATCAATAATGCAAGCCCATTTTTATTTAATAAGTTACTGAAATAAAGTCTGTTGAGATACACAATGTGGTCGGACATGGTTGCTCATGCCTGTAATCTTAGCACTTTGGTTGGCTGGGGCGAGGGGACCCTTGAGTTCAGGAGTTCAAGACCAGCATAGGCAACATGGCAAAACCACACTCACCCCACCCCAGCCCCTGTCTCTACAAAATATAAAAATTAGCTAGGAATGGTGGTGAGCACCTGTAGTGCCAGCTACTTGGGAGGCTAATGTGGGAGGATCACCTGAGCCCAAGGGGTCGAGGCTGCAGTGGGGTGATAGTATCACTGCACTCCAGCCTGGGCAACACAGCAAGAGAAAGAAGAAAAGAAAAGGTGAGGAGAGGAGAGGAGAGGAGAGGAGAGGAGAGGAGAGGAGAGGGGAGGGGAGGGGAGGGGAGGGGAGGGGAGGGGAAGACAGACACCATGGAAGGGAGGGGAGTGGAGGGAGGGGAGGGGAGGGGAGGGGAGGAGAGGAGAGGAGAGGAGAGGAGAGGGAAACACAGACACCATGCTGCACTGATTCAACGTAGCTCTTACTGGCTACAATAGGGGATTTAACGTCAAGAGTATGTCTGTTGAAGATGGTCACCATGGCAGTGTGGCTGGTGACAGAAAAGATGGTCTACTAATTAAAGTATCTGGCTTCACTGCTCGGGAGATTATTCTGAGTCATCCAGGCTAAATCAGTGGTGGCTATGCAGCCATGCTGGGATTGTCACAATGCTTGCTATGCAGCCATGCTGTATTGTCACATTACTTGCTAATTTTTTAGTTGAAGGAAAGGTTGCTCTAAGGATACTAGCCCCAGATTATTGAAATCTGCTGAAGCTTCCATCATTCATATGGTTCCTGGATTCTCTATCATTCTCTGGTTCATTTTACTATTTACAATATGAGACATAAGTTGTTGTGGGTATCATCAATGCAGTGTACAAGAAAACTGCCTGAACTGGCAAGGTCACCATGTCAGTCAAGAAAGCTCATGAAAGTGAAATGGGTATTATTTGTAACACTTGCACTGCCACCCTACCCCTTCTGTCATTTGAACCAACTGGTGGAATAATAGTTCCAGAACTATTTGTCAATTACCATTTACATTTCTTAGGGACGTGCTGATTAATGATAACACATGTTAAAAGCATCAGAGGGAAAGAGAGGTTTTGACTCCCCACTAGATCTCCTGTGATACCTCCTCGCTGGGAAGTGACCGGAGTGCTTTACTATTGCTCCAGAGGTGACCTCTATTGGACAGGGATGAAAGCCCAGTCTCTCCATGAAGTTTTCTGACTCCACCCTAGTGAGGAAATGGAGAGGTGCCTAGTTACTGCTGGGTGGAGATGGAATCCTAGGCAGCCTGTGTGGTCTCCACTGGCACCACGGGATGGGGTCTTATTATTACCTAGAGGGGATGGAAGTCCCTATTCTCTACCCAGCCTTCTGTGACACCACACTGGCCAATGGGTTGTGGTGCCTCATTATAGACTGGCGTGAATGGAAGTCTAGGTACTTCAATCTAGAATATAGTGGTTATTGTCTAAAAGCCTTCATTTTGTGAGGCTGCCCCGTTCTTAGTCCTTTAGCTAGAGAGAGTAGGCTTTTGTTGTTGTTGTTCTTTGTCTACTCTTATGTGTGTTTCCAGGTTGCCAGTTGCCAGAAACTTCAGCTCCAGGTTAGGAGATATGAGGCAAAAAGAAAATCCAGGAGCTCACCAGCATATCATTCATCAGGGTCATGGCCCCTAGACAGCTTGCCTCTTCTTTCCTCCCTTTAAAGAATTCTTCATTTTGTTTTATACATAATATCCAAGGATTTTAGATGGACTTAACAGGACACATAGGGAAATATATATCTAATACATCCTCATGGAAGCAGAAATTGTACATTAAAACCTTTTTTGCCATAATGAATGTAGAAATTCCATAATAAAGTAATTGTTAACTAAGTGGCAAAGTGATTATAGACATAGGGTGCATTATATCAAATTATCAAATTTTATTTTAAAAGCTTTTAATAACATGAAAATATATCCTTTACCTGTGAAATGAAAAAGACACAATTGTATATGATATTTACTATATCTTTGTGTGTGCATATATTAACTATATTTTGACTATGCAGATAAAATATATGGACCAGAATCACTGGTAATTAAGAAGATGCATATTAAAGCAGTGAGATACATTTCACACACATTCGATTGAAAAAAGTTTAAATGATTGATAATTCCAAATGTTGTCCAGATTGGGAGGAAACAGGATCTGGTACATTGCTACCAGTTTAGGTGAGTTTAGGTGAGTGCAACTGCTTTTGGAGAGCAATTTGTCTATAACTAGCCAAATTAGAGTTGCATTATTTTCTAAAACCAGAAACTCTACATATAAACATGTGCCACAGAAGGAGGGAGATAAACAAAGATGTTCGTTGTAACACTTCACACTTTTAAAACTTTGAAAGTAATGAAAATAAGTTAATTATTCAAATATAGGGGAAAGGTGTATAATCAATATGGTATATATATAATATGATAGTTAAAATGAATAAACTAGTTTTATGTGTAACAACATGGAGCTACTGCAAAAACATGAGAGAAAATAATCAATTATAAAATATATAATATTATTTATGAAATTAAATGACATATAAAACTATATAATTATATGTGTATAAAATATAACTATATCTGCATAAAAATGATATATTAATTTTGTAATGTTGGTTATGTCTGAAAATGGAATGAGGGGCAAAGCACGAGGGAGTAGGAGCTTAGCAATGGCTGTAACATGTTTTTCCCTTAAAAGTAAAGATAGCTAAGGAAAAGATGGCAACAGATTAGAAACTGTGGTTCACATGATTTTTACCGTGTAGTCCATTAAAGAACATTTTAAACAAACTTATTATTTGTAATAAAACAATGTGACATCATCATCTTCTTCATTATAAACGGATCTATTTTGTTTAAGAAGTTGTTAGATTCTGCTTAATAAACACTGGGTTTCATCCTCAAAGATGAGAGTGGAATAGCTTTCTAAATCATTGATTTTAAATTAGCGACAAAGTAGAAGCTATTTTTAAAGTATTTTAGCCAATCCACCTATCTTGAGTACTACTAGTTTCATCAATGAAAGTTCATTTTTAACTTTCAATATTCTATGGATTAAGAGAATTAAAACACTTGCTCTGGTACTTCTGGAATGTAGTCTTTTGACTAAATGCTTATTAACCTACCCTGAATATACATTACTAATTTAGCAATTTCCATCCCTTAGTATAAACCAAATAACTAATACACTCATTCATTTTTCAATGCTTATTCCGATGTATTTTAAAATATATGTGACACTGACTGTATATTTAGTATTTACATGAAGTGTTGATATTAATTTTATAATAAAAGGAACATTTAAGAAAGAAAAATAATTAGTGAATTTCAAAAACGCATGCTATATTGAAGAAGAGAGTGCTGAAAATAAGTCAATGTACTAAAGTTATATGAAACAAGGGTAAGAAGCATGTATTTACCCTATATCTAGAAAACTTGCATGTAAGAATATAAAACCAAATATAGAACAGTAATAGCTCATGCCCTCCAAGAATGTAAGCATACACATAATTTTTAACTTGAGTGCCTCTGCAACAAAAAGTGAATTATATCTAATTTTCTAAATATCAAATTATATGAAGTTTCAAGGACCAGATTAAAGGACAATAGTAAAGGAACTAACAGTTCTACCTTGTGCTTTAAGATACAACAGTGTAAATCATTGCTTTTGGTAGGGAGTTAAGGGAAAGGTATTTTTTGTTAGTTGTTTTGTTTCCTACCTGGTACAGATCAGAGAGTAAGGGTGCAAATTTGGAGGAGTACACAACTCTGCCATATAATAGTTGTATGGCATTGGATAATTTATTTCTCTGTCTTAGTTTTGTTTTTTTAATCTGTAAATGTAGCTACTAAAAGTGCTTATTGTGAGGATTAAATGAGCTATTTAATGGAAAAATCTTAGAACATCATCTTCCATACAGTAAATGCTTAATAAATGTTTTCTATAAATATCATTGCTATTAGTGTTATCTGTAAAATAATGGCAAAATAATGGGACTAATTACTATTAATTATTGTAGGGAGTCATGCCTGTCCACAGTGATCATCATGAAAGTTTCTCACTGATAGCCTACTCTTCTGCCATTATAGGTTCCACTGTAGTTGGATGAGCAAAAGTAACTAGTCCCAGGCAATGCAGTCACTGGAAAAGTTGAGTACATTTCTAGTATAGTACACTCCAGAGTTCCCTTTGATTGTTGTAGTGACTGGAAGCGTCAGTCTAGAGTTGATATTTGTATTAGTATTCTAGGGTTTCCACAACAAAATATCACAGACTGCATGGCTTACACAACAGAAACATTTGTCTCTGAGTTCTGGAAGCTGGAAGTCCCAGGTCAAGGTCCTGTGGGATTCAGGTTTTGGTACGGGCTCTCTTTCTGACTTGCAGGTAGTTGCCTTCTCAATGTCCTCATCTGGCTTTCCTCTGAGTGTATTTATAAAGCAATGAATCCTTTTAGATTGGGGTCTCATGCTTATGACAACAATTAAAATTAGTAACACCCTAAATAATCTATCTCTAAATGGAGGCATACCTCAGAGATACTGTGGGTTTGGTTCCAGGCCACCACAATGAAGTGAATATCAGAATAAACAGAGTCAACCAGTTTTTTTGTTTGTTTTCCAGTGCATACAAAAATTATATTTTCACTTTACCATGGTTTTAATGTGTGTAATAGCATTACAACTAAAACAGCAATGTACATATCTTCACTGAAAACACTTTATTGCTAAAACAAACAAACCAACCCTAACAATCACCTGAGCCTTCAGTTTTGTAAGATTTTGCTAGTAGAGGGTCTTGCCTCCATGTTGATGGCTGCTGACTGATCAGGAAGGTGGTTGCCTAAGGTTGAGGTGGCTGTGGCAATTTCTTAAAATTAGACAATAATGATGTTTGCTGCATCTATTGACTCTTCATGAAAGAGTTCTCTGTAGCATGTGATGCTATTTGATAGCATTATATCCACAGTAAAACTTCTTTCAAAATTGGAATCAATCTTCTCAAACCCTGCTGCTTGCTGCTTTACTAACCAAGTTTATGTAGCAGTCTAAATGCTTTGTTGTCATTTCAACAATATTCACAACATGTTTTCCAAGAGTAGGTTCCATCTCAATAAGTCACTTTTTTTGGTCATCTAGATGAAGCAATTTCTCATCCATTCAAGTTTTATCATGTGATTGCAGCAATCCTGTAACATCTTCAGGGTCCATTTCAAATTCTAATTCTCTTGCTATTTCTATCACATCCTCACAGAATTCCTTCACTGCAGTCTTGAATGCTTCAAAGTTATCCATGATGGTTGGGATTAAAAACTCCTGTTAAATTCCTTCTTAAAAATTCCTGTTACTGTCATTATTTTGACATCCTCCCATGAATCACGAATGTTCTTAATCACATATAGAATGGTGAATTCTTCCCGGAAGATTTTTCGCTAACTTTGCCCACATCCATCAAATGAATCGCTGTGTATGGCAGCTATAGTCTTTGAAATGTATTGCATAAATAATGAGACTTGAAAGTCAAAATGACTGCTTGATCCATGGGCTGCAGATTGGATGTTGTGTTGCAGGGATATAGCAACATTAATGTCCTTGTACATGTCCATCAGAGCTCTTGAGTGACCAGGGGCGTTTTCAATGAGCAGTAATATTTTGAAAGAAACATTTTTTGCCTGAGCAGGAGGTCTCAAAATTTGGCTTAAAATATCCACTAAATTATGCTGTAAACCGATGTGCTGTCATCAGGCTTGTCTCATTTATATAGCACAGGCAGAGTAGATTTAGCATACCTCTTAATGGTCCCAGGGCTTTAGAAATGGTAAATAAGCCTTGGTTTCAGCTTCAAGTCAGCAGCTGCCTTAGTCCCTAGCAAGAGAGTCCTCCTGTCCTTTGAAGCTTTGAAGCCAGGGATTGATTTCTCTTTAGCTATGAAAGTCCTAGGTGGCACTTTCATAGCACTTCCAATATAAGGCTGTTTTGTCTACAGTAAAAATCTGTCATTGAGTGTAGCTACTTTCATCAATTATCTTAGCTAGATATTATGGATAACTTGCTGCAGCTTCTCCATTGCTGCGGCTTCTCCATCAGTACTGTATACTTCACCTTGCACTTTTATGTTGTAGAGATAGTTTATTTCCTTAAACTTTGTGAACCAACCTCAACTAGCTTTAAACTTTTCTTCTGCAGCTTTCACACCTCTCTCAGCTTTCATAGACTTAAAGAGAGGCTTTGTTCTAGATTATGCTTTTGCTTAAGGGAATGTTGTGGTTTTGATCTTCTATCCAAAACACTAAAACTTTTTCATATCAGCAATAAGGCTGTTTCACATTCCTATTATTCATGTCTTCACTGGAGTAGCACTTTGAATTTCCTTCAAGAGCTTTCCATTGCATTCATAACATAGCTAACTAGCCTAAGAGGCCTACCTTTCAGCCTATCTCTGCTTTCAACATGCCTCCCTTAAAACACTTAATCACTTTTAGCTTTTGATTGAAAGTGAGAGACTACAACTCTTTCTTCCGCTTGAACACTGAGAAGCCATTGTAGGGTTATTAATTGACACAACTGCAATACTGTTGTATCTCAAGGAATAGGGAGGCCCAAGCAGAAAGAGAAAGACAGGAAACCGCCAGTCAGTGGAGCAGTCAGAGCACATACAACATTTATTGATGAAGCTTGCCATCTTATGTGGTAACCCAAAACAAGTACAATAGTAACATCAAAGATTACTGATCACAGGCAACTATTACAGATATAATAATAATATAAAAATGTTAAATATTATGAGAGTTACCAAAACATGACACAAAGACACGAAGTGAGCACATGCTGTTAAAAAAAAAAAAAACTACCTGTAGACTTGTTCAACCCAGGGTTGTCACAAACCCTTAATTCGTGAAAAAAAGCAGTTTCTGCAAAGTTTAGTAAGGCAAAGCACAATAAAATGATGTATGCTAGTATCTGATAAGAACTATATAGCAATTCTTATCCTTTTCCCTTTTCCCATAATATTTATTTTCTTCTCTACCTTTAGAGTTTTCTCTTTGTTGTGTTCAGCAAGTTGAGCATGACATATTAGGGTGTGTATACGTGTTTGCCCATGTGCATGCTCATGTGTGTTTTAGTTTTTCTTCTGCTTAGTGATCTTTGAGTTTCATTTTTCCATTGTTTGTTATTTGTCATTGCTTTGGGGAAATTCTCAACCCTTATTTTCTTTAAAATTTATTCTGACATTTTCTCCCTCTCTTCTTCTGGGGTTCCAAGTAGATATACAATAGACTGCTTGATGTTATCTCAAAACTCTTGAATGCCTAGTATTGTTTTTATCTCACTTTTCTGTCCCTTTGTACTTCATCTTGTAAAATTTCTATTAATCTGTTTGAGTTCACTGATTCTTAGTTGTGTTGAGTCCACTGATGAACCCATGATAACATTCTTTATCTATGTTACCATGCTTTTTATTTCCTGTCATTTCCATATGATTCTTTCTCATAGTTTCCATCGCTCTCCTGAAATTACCCATCTGATCTTGCATGTTGCCCACCTTTCCAGTGGACCCCTCAGCATATTGATCATAATTATTTTAATTGCCATGAGTCTAAAATCTATGTCATATTTGTGTCTGATCCACTCTTAATTGCTTTGT
Organism: Homo sapiens; assembly: GCF_000001405.40. NCBI lineage: Eukaryota > Metazoa > Chordata > Mammalia > Primates > Hominidae > Homo > Homo sapiens. Next base: position 9,858,139 of record NC_000007.14, read on the forward strand.
ATTTGGAAGTGAGTTTTTTTCTTGTCATTTCATATGTCTTGCGATTTTTTTTTTTATAAAAGATGACCTGTTTAAGATAGTAGAGACCGAAGTAAATAATTTGTGCAAGGAATTGTGCACACTTTTCCTTCTATTGGTTTTTGGTGTGGAGTTGTGTTCATTTTATCAGGTTTTAAGCTGGTTTTGAGGTTGATTAACATTACCATTATCCCCAGTGTGCTATGGACTCTAAATTTTTTTTTTTTTTTGAGACAGAGTATCGCCCTATCACCTGGGCTGGAGTATAGTGGCGCGATCTTGACTCACTACAACCTCCATCTCCCGGGTTCAAGTGATTCTTCTGCCTCAGCCTCCCAAGTAGCTAGGATTACAGGCACCCACCACCACATCCAGCTAATTTTTTGTATTTTTAGTAGAGACGAGGTTTCACTATGTTGGCCAGGCTGTTCTCAAACTGCTGACCTCGTGATTCTCCCACCTCAGCCTCCCAAAGTGCTGGGATTATAGGCGTGAGCCACCGCGCCCAGCAAGACTCTAAATTTTACTGACATTAGCATGTGTGTAGGGTTGTGTACGGTAGGAGGTGGTGCGCGGAGGGTCTTTCTCAATATCAGTTCCAGGCTTAGATTTAGAACATCTTTTACCTTGTTTCTCAGAGACAGCTTGCTTCTTAAAGCTCCCTCATCAGTATTACAGTCTTATTTATACTTGATGCTTGTTAGCAAGCTGATTGGGGTAGTGTTCTGTTCTCTGAAATTCTGATTAAATCTTAGGCAGATAATTTGTCCCTCAGTCTCAGGGATATGACCTTCACAAATATTCTTTCCCCTCTTGTCACTGTAGCTCTGAGCCCAGCTGGCATTCCTGCCCCTCATTCAGGATAGAGGCTTTTTGTTGCTGTTGTTTCTTTTTCTTTTGCCAGTGCTGTATGGGTGGCAATTTGGTGGCCCTTTCACCTACAGTCTGAAATTTCTATTCCAAAGAGAGGAGAGGAAAGCAGTGTCTGAGCAGTCTCACGACCCCTCTGCAGCAGCTGCTCCCCTCCCTCAGGTCTGCACCATGAGGGATGCTTTCTTAGGACCTTTCTGTCTTACATATAAGCTTCTGAAGAGTTTCATAGAGGACAGTCATACAACAGGGCACTAAAAACTTTTATATCTGCAATCCCTAGGCGCTTCATACTCTCCATACTTGACCTCGATCAATTTGTCAATTACTGTAGCTGAATTCTTCTTATTGGTGTTTGCCACACATAACCAAGTGTGTGCATCCCGCCCCTCTCTGTAGGTGCCTGTTTGTCTCCAGATTTTTGTCTAGTTGGTTGCCTTGAGACTTCACCTTTCTGATGGATTCAGAAAAATTGCAAACTTGAAGATTTCTGCCTTTTGTCTTTTAAGTTTGAGATCGACATTTTCCATCTTTCTTCATCCTTCAGTGGAAACTGGAAGTGCCAATGAGATTCTAATTGCCAAGTTCTTGGTAACTGTCAACTAAATCAGCTACCTTGCCTTTGCTATTTCTGGGACATCTTATTTTTTAAATATTTCCTATTAGTTTTATTTCTTGACATTTTCCTCCCTCTGGCCATCTCCTTTGTCTTGATGTCCCTAGAATTCTGTCATAAACTCCCTTTTCCTTTCTATAAACTCAACAACAATGCCATCTATGCAAATGTATTCAGCTATCATCTTTAATGACATTTAAATCTCTAACTATATCTGAGGTCATCCTCAAACCTCCTGAACTTCTCTCTTCTTGGATATCAAAGGAACTCTAAATATAACTAGAAGTAAGCTTATTTTCTGTTCTTGTTGTTCTTCCCCCTGCACATCCTATCTTGGTGAATAGCAGCAAAACTCATCTATTCTAAATGCAAAACCTATATTTCACCTAAGATTCTTTCCTGTCTTTAACTCCACATGTCTAAACAGGCCCCAAGTCTTCAAACTTCTACTTCATTAACTTCCTTAATCATAAGTCCAACATAAGAAACTAATTGCTACTTTGTTAAAGCAGAGCATTATCATCTTTTACTTAACCAACTGTATAGGGCCCCAATTGGCCTTTCTAATGTTAATTCTGCCACCCTTCCGACATCCTATACAACTTTCTAAAATATTCCTACAATGAAAACCATAAAACACTGATGAAAAAAATTAAAGAGGGCACCAAAAAATGGAAAGATATTCCATGTTTATGGTTTGGACTTATCTATATTGTTCAATTGTTCCCCAAACAATAATATACATTGTGAATGTATATTCATAATGCAAACCCTATCAAAATACCAGTGACATCCTTCACAGAAATAGAAACGATATCCTGAAATTTAAATGCAATCACGAAAGACCCAGAAACCAAAGCAATCTTGAGCAAACAGAACAAAACTGGAGACATCACATTATCTGATTCAAATTATACTACAAAGCTATAGTCTCAAAAACAGCATAGTACTGCCATAAAAACAGACACATAGAGCAATGGAACAGAATAGAGAACTCAGAAATAAATCTGCACATTTATAGTCAACTCACTTTTGACAAAGGTGCCAAGAATATACATTAAGAAAAGTTCATTTTCTTCAATAAATGGTACTGGGAAGATTGGATATCCATATTCAGAAAAATACAATAGACTCATCTGTCCTGCCATACATAAAAATCAAATAAAAATGGATTAAAGATTTAAGTTTAATACCTAAAACTATGAAACTACTAGAATAAAACATTTGGAAAAAACTTCAGAACATTGTTCTAGACAAAGATTTCTTGAGTAAGATCTCAAAATCACAGGCAATCAAAGAAAAAATGGACAAATGGGATCACATCAAGCAAAAAGCCTTTTGCACAGCAAAGAAAACAATCAACATAGTGAAGAGATAAACCACAGCAAGGGAGAAAATATCTGTAAACTACACATCTGACAAGGAATTAATAACCAGAATATATAAGAAGCTCAAATAACTCAATACAAAAAACAAAACAAATTTCAAATTTCCCAATTAGAAATAAGAAAAATATTGGAATAGATATTTCTCAAAAGAAAACATATAAATGGCCAACATTTATATTAAAAATGCTCAAAATCAATCTTTAGAGGACATAAAAATCAAAACTATATGAGACGTGATTTCACCCCAGTTAAAGTGGCTTTTATCAAAAAGACAGGCAACAGATGCTGGCAAGGAAGTAGGGAAAGGGAAATATTTATACACTGCTGGTGGGAATGTAAACCAGTGCAGCCACTATGAAGAACAGTATGGAAGTTCCTCAGAAAACTAAAAATAGGTCAACCATATGTGATCCAGCAATTCTGCTGGTATATTTCCAAAAGAAAGGAAATCAGGATATAGAAGAGATAGTTGTACTCTTATGTTACTGCAGCACTGTTCACAATAGCCAAGATACACAATGAATCTAAGTGTCCATTAATAGGAGAATGGATTTAAAAATGTGTACATATACAAAGTGGACTATTATTCAGCTATAAAGGATGAAATCCTTTCATTTGCAGCAATATAGATGGAAGTAGAAGACATTATGTAAAGTGAAATAAGACACGGATAGAAAGACAAATATTGCCTGTTCTCACTCATATGTGGGTGCTAAAAACAAATAAACTCATGGAGGTAGAGAGTAAATGATGATTACCAGATATTGGGAAGGGTAGTGGGGAGGGGTAAATAAAGAAGAGATTCTTAACAGATACAGAAATAGAGTTAGACAGAAGGGATAAAATCTAGTGTTCAGTAGCACCATAGGACAATTATACTTAATAATTTATTGTATATTCTAAAAGAACTAAAAGAGTGGAGTTGGAATGTTCTTAAGATAAAGAAGTGATAAGCGTTTGAGGTGATGGATATCCTAATTAATCTGTTTTGATCATTACACAGTATGATTTTTATCAAGATAGCACATACATTCCATAAATACATACAATTATTATGTTCCCAGAATAATTAACAGTTTAGAAAATAAATTGGATTTTTTTCTTTTCAAACTTCAGTAGTTCCGTTCCATCTGTAGATAATATATAAGGGTATTAATAGCCTGGTCACTTTTTAACCCCTAACTATTTTTTTTTTACTCCTCCTCTCACTCTAAACTTTAGGAATGCCAAAACATAGGTTATTTTATGCTTTTTAAAATTTTGCTCAAATTATTCTATCCTGTTCCTCTGGCAGGCATCTAAAATATCTGAACTTAGCTCACATTCTCTATGAGGCCATTTCAGAGATTTTCTTTCTTTTATAATCCATGTGTGATTTCTATCATAGCATCATTAAGACTGCTATTATAGCATCATTAATACTGAATTTCCTAATAAATATGAAATTTAATAATGCTAGTTACAGCTCAACATAGAGAAGATAGTCAGTTACTTCAATTTGTTGCAGTTTACATATAACTATAAAGAACATTGAAAAATCTATTAATATTCAGCCATTGTGGAAAGCAATTTAGTGATTTCTCAAATAAGTTAAAATAGCACTTCCATTCAACCCAGCAATCCCATTATTGCACATATACCCAAAGGAATATAAATTGTTCTACCATGAAGAAACACGTACGTATATGTTCATTGCATCACTATTCACAATAACAAAGACATGGAATCAACCTAAATGCCTGTCAATGGTAGACTAGATAAAGACAATGTGGTACATACACACCATAGAATACTATGCAGCCATTAAAAACAAAACCATGTCCTTTGCAGCAACATGGATGGAGCTGGAGGCCATTATGCTAAACAAACTAACACAGAAACAGAAACCAAATGGCACATGTTCTCATTTATATGTGGGAGCTAACCATTGAGTCCACATAGACAAAAAGAAGGGAACAACAGACACTGGAGCCTGCTTGAGGGTGGAGTGTGAGGACTGAAACTCTACCTAATAGGTACTATGCTTATTATCTGGGTGATGAAATAATCTGTACATAAAACCCCCATGAAACACAATTTACATATATAATAAACCTGCACATGTACCTTTGAACCTAAAATAAATGTTATTTTTAAAATCTATTAATATAAATAATACTATCAATAGCAGAAAGCAACAACTTTATCCAGATTTCCCATGTCATGTACATTACCCATTTTCTTTCCTCTTTACACTATGTAGTGTATCATTTGACCCTTTTCAAAACTAACAACAAAATCTGTCAAAAAGAATACTGTTCACTTGAAGATATGCCAAGCTGTGTTTTTCTCAACAAAATGCCATAAGATTATTTTGTATAGTCTTCATTTTGACTTTCAGTTTTTCCAAGTCTTTTTATCTACTTTTATAAACATTTGCACACATTTATACAAACATTGTAAGCATTTATAGAAAATTACAAAGGTCAATAAACAACTCTAGATCGATCAATTTTGCTATTTAGTTAATCAATTTGTTGAGCAATATTTAGTAAAAGACCTTTTATAAAGGTCTATGAATCTGCAGTGCAGTTTGGGGAGTAAGAACTCACGCACCATTTCAGGAAGCTGATTATTTGGGACATAAAGGGACTGAGAAGAAAGAGTAGTTTTGTATGCTTTTGTAGATTACCCAGATGACCTATAAAGAGATTTTTGGGAAGCTCTGTGAAATCCTTTAGCCAAGTTTACTCTGGCAGCAGCAACCCTTGCTGCCTTCGCTCTGAGTGCTTTGGCTCCAACTTTCGGGAAGTAGGGAACTATTTTTATTTCCCATTGGCTTCCACACTGGAATTCCCTGACCAAGAGACTTAAAAGTCCATCAAACTGGCTTTTTCTCCAATGTAAAAAAATGTTGCACCAAAATATTATAACTTCCGATCTCTAAGACTGCTTATAATGAACATTCTCTAGATGTAGAAGCATTAGAAGTTGTAGCTCTATTATTTTTATTGTGGTTTTTAAATAACACAGTCATTCAGATTTGTTATTAATCATTTCAAATAGTCATTCCTTAAAATATTATCATATGCTTATTAACCAAGACAATAAAAATGGAAACAATATATTAGTCAGTAACTATTGCTGTACTAATAACACACTACATAGCACTAAACAATCAAACACAATATTTTCTTAAAAATGAGACTAGTATTCAGCATACTGTTCTTTTCCTGTTGTGTCTAATTTTGTTTTGCAAATTCTAAAATTTGTTAGTGAATATTTCTTGTTCATATGGAACAATCTTTGAATATTATATCATTGCTGCACCTCACTAATGATTTAGTGGACTTATAAATCATTAGAAACACTGATCTGGTTGATGATGCATTTGAGTAATATACATCATGAGGAAAAGGTGCTTCAGTGATCTATTACTCTAAAGATGGTGCTGTGTAGAATCAAATCCAGGAACACTTCTAGTTACTGCAGAGAATCCCTGCTCTGGAGAGGGCTTCACTTAAAAAAATTCACTATCTTTTGGCTAAGTTTTAACCCATTGTTAAATATTTTGTCATTTCACTCTATTTGTTTCCAAAAGCAGACATTCAGACAAATATATCATAGTATAGAGTGAAAATTATTTTCTTTCTTCATCAAGAAATGCATTGACAAAAACATTTTGGATTTTCATTGAATATTAAGTTTCTATATCTGTTAGTGATACTATATGAGATCATACAATACAGAAATGTTTTTATCCTCAATATTAATCATCATTTTGCATACTCTAAAATAGCAATACTAGAATTATGTGACTCTGGAGATACATTTACAATCACTATTAACCAAGAGCCAGATGACTACTGTGTGAGCTGTAGTCTTTAAAATAGAGTAACTTAAAAAGAAGTTCTCAGAGATCATTCAATTGAATTTTGAGCCCTACATGTTTAAGACATAGTTTATTAATCTTCTAATTTTTCATTGTTTTCAAATATTATTCTACTCTTAATTTTCTACATGTGAGAAATAGAGTGTATTTTTTTTACAATAACTCATTAAGTAATAGACTCAAACTCTAAAGTTGAATAGACAGCGCTTTATTTTCTATTTTTTAATAAAAATAATCAACCTGACAAACTAAATGAACACTTTATACACTTTTAATATTAGTATAAAATGATACCATCAAAACCTTATACAGATGCCTTACTCTATGTTGTGAAAAGAAAGTTCTGAGTTTTGCAGATTCTTTCTCTGATTCGGATGCCTATTTAATTAATTTGATTAATCACTGCTCTAAAATAACTCAATGCCTTGGATTTTAGAAAAATTGACCCAATAGTCCCAAAGAAGGGATAAATCTCTTTTATTTCCCTCCAATATACTCCACTCCCACCCTTCCTAATCCAGGACCCATCTAATTTTTGCCCAAAGCTGGTAGGCAGAAAACATATTCATTATTTTTAGGATAAATCCTGGTCTCTACTCAAAAAGAAATAACTGACTCCTTGATCCACAGTGGACAGTTACTATAGCCAGAAGGTATAGTTTTCAAGAGTGCGAGTAATAGAGTGTTAAATCACACGTGTACATTTACAGTCTCAGACACATGCTATTTAGCCCTAGTAATATCTTCTGTGTTGGGGGAAGAGAACATCATACTGACCCACCTCCCATTGCAGTAGTCCAGTACCTCTCACAGTCTTCTGTCCGTATGTAGCACATCTTGTAAGAATAAGCAATAGTTCTTTGGCATAGGACAGCTCAAATTCAGATTAACAAAAATAACATAATTTGTTTTATGTAATCTAAAGAGTCTTAAGTACTTCATAAATTTGCGTCTATTTCTATCATGAAGCACAACACTTAACATATTTATAAATTGCCCATTTGGTTTACCTTCAAACCCCTCTAACTTTTCCAAGGACAATACAGGGTACTTACTTTAAATCTGTTTCATTAAACAACCTGATAAAGTGATTTTCCCAGTATAAAGAAGCCCTTAGCTCCAAAAGGTAAATTCCAAACATTTTTTGGATGGTATAAAATGCTTATGATTTTGAAATTGGCAGTTTTTCCTGCTAGGCCTTACGGGATGTCTCATTATACAAGCTTCAGGAAAGAAATTTAAACTTATTTGAAAAAAAAAAAAAACACTAAGAATGCTTTTTAACAAAGCACAATAATTCCATTCTAGTGAAATATTAAACAAATACTTCAAATTATAGGAAAATCTCCCCTCAAATATATTCACTGATATATTACTGAAAATAATGAAATAATATAAACAAGCTTAGTATCCAACAATAGGGGAATAAAGGCATACCCCAAGGAAGATCGGAAGATCTTTCCAGCTAGTGTTTTCTAAAAAGAATGTCTTCTGGCTTTCGATATTGAAACTTCATATAATACATTTTTCTTTTATTATAATGTTTTTCAGTCATTATTTATAGAGGTAAATTTTATATTTATCTCTGTAAAACACGATACACCATTTTTAAGCAAAATTTGGGGTAAATCTTACTACATTTTAAGTACATCTGTACCACGGTCACACATTTTGTAAACCATACTGAATATCAGCAAAAAGCTGTTGTATTGTGGATGTGGCTGGCCATAGGACTGGCATCTCAGGGTCGCATCCGGTGTGACACTGAGCTTTCCTTAAAAAAAAATTCGATATTGTTTTAGCACAAGATAAAAAGCTTATAACTGCACTTAACGAGAATTAAGTCAAAGTCCCATTTTGCAACGTTTTTATCTTAAGTGCCCATTACCTCCATGAAGATTTAGCAAAGCCTTCCTCTTCAATAGTTTCCACAGACATCTCTGTCATCACTTCCTCTGAGACTCATGATTTGTCTGAAGTAAGACTCTGATCATCATCTCAACTTCACCATTACATCTGTAATCAGTGACAATGAAGTGTCAACCATCCTTACCGTCTTTCTTCTGAATTTTCTTTAATTTTTAAGGCTTCACTTCATTAGTGAGCAAACAGTTTATTTCCAGATATTACCTGGTTTTTACTGTGAAATGTGCATTTCCATTATAAATTTTGTCATTGCTTAGTGTTCTTTGCTGGGCTGTATTATAAGTGTTTATCAAATGACATGCAAACTCTACAAGAATAGCATTTAAATTGTTTATCAGCAACTTTATCAACTGTCCAGTGTATGAGATGTTTTAAAAATACTTCTAACATAAGAGTTTGTTTTTTGCCCATCATCAAGTTCAACATGGATTTGAAGGGAGCTCTGCTGTCATTTAACCATTGAGACGCCCAGGTTCACAGAGATATGTTTATGAACAGAATTGTATCCTGCCCAGAATTCATATGTTGCAGCCGTAACCCACAGTACAAACTGTATAGGCTATATTTTGCTTTATTTTATGTTAATTTATTGTATTTGGCAGATATTTCTTTTTTAAAACAAAATTGAAGATTTCTGACAACCCTGATCAAGAAAGTCTATTGGCATCATTCTTAAAACCACATGTGCTTACTTTGTGTCTCTGTGTCCCTGAGCCACAAAAATATTGAAATAAGGCCAATTAATAAAACTACCATGACCTCTAAGTGTTCATATGAAAGGAAGAGTCACACATCCCTCACTTTCAATCAAAAGCTAAAAATGATTAAACTTATTGAGGAAGGAAAGATGAGACTGACTGAAAGCTAGGCCTCTTGTGTCAAACAGCCAAATTTTCAATGTAAAGGGAAATTTCTTTGCAGTATTTGACTCCAGGTTATAAAGCTAAAATATAAAATGTACTACACATCAAGTCTGTACTGTAATTAGCAAATGTGCTTCTTACACAGGTATGGGTTAGAAATTATGGAACTAAGTTATATGTATATTAAATTGAACATATAAATATGCTGTAGATAATGATAGCTAGCCTTCTCATTGTTGAAGAAAGAGGTTACAAATAAGACAGAAGAAAAGAATGAATTCTGTGTTGCTGGATTGAAATTGGAGGAAGCAGTGCGATCTCATGGTTTTAAATTATTGATACAGATAGTATAGCAGTTTCCCATTACTGCCATATGAAATTAGCATAAATGTAGCAGGTTATGACAACAATGATTTGTTATTTTATAGTTCTGAAGGTCATAAGTCCAAAAGGGCTGGGTTAATATCAAGGTGTTTGCAGGGCTGCATTTTCTTTTAGAAGATCTAGGAGAAAATCTAACTTGCTTGCCTGTTTCAGCTTCCAAAGGCTGTCTGCATTCCTTGGCTTGTGGCTCCCTTCCCCCATTTTCAAAGCCATCAGCATAGCATATTCAAATTTCTCTTCAATTCTGACCTTTCCTTCCCCTGTCTTCATTTATAAAAACCCTTTTGATTACATTAGGTCTACCCAGATAATCCCTCCCCACTCAAGATCCCTAACATATCACATAAGTCTCTTTTGCCACATATGGTAACATGTTCACAAAAGTCTGGTTATTAGGATGTAGACATCTTTAGGAGGCCTTTCTTCTGCCTACACAGATAGACAGCTCAGAAATAAATCTCCATATGTATGTATCTGCACAGGTCAAAATTTTCTCTCTCTAGATATATTTTCAAGCTTTGACTGCTGAGAGGGCCTGGCAACAGAGAAACCACAATAGCAAACAACACATCTCCACCTCAGATCTTAGTTCTGCAATAACATTCTTCAATGAAAAGAGCTCAGAGCCTTTGAAGAAGCTGTTGATTTCAGAGCTGTAGCACTGAAAACACAAGTTGAGCCTAGAACATTCTGTGGTGCTTCCAAAATAGAAAAGTTATCCAAAATAACGGAGGCATAGTAGAAATCAATCTGAAAGAACCCCCATTGGCCAAAACTGGAAATAACTAAACAACAAAATAAGTAATGATTGTATTGGATTACAATCTATAAAGTAAAACATATACCTATGTGTCTATTCTGAATGAAGTTGCCAGTTAAAATATAAGACACACAAATTTTAATTGCAGCTAAACAATGTATGAAAGTATATTTCAAATATACATGGGACATACTTATACTAAAATTTATTTGCTGCTTGGCTGAAATTAAAATCTAACTGGGTGTTCTGTATCTTCATTTATAAAATTAGGCAATCACAATCCTGATATAAATAAATAGCTGATTGATAGATATAAGTAGATGAATGACAGAAAGATAAATAAGCAAAGACAGTATTTTATTGCAGAAGGATACTGATTAATGACTATAAGCAAAATGAAAGAAACAGAAAATCACCAACAGAACACCATAGAAATATTTGTCTCAGAGAAGATTAAGTTGATGGCTACTAAAATTAGTGGGTTAAAAGTCTGTGGAGAAACAAGATACAAAGTCCCAAAAAGACTCCCCCAAGGTATTTATTAACCAGAAAGCAAACAATGGCAACTCTAGGTTGATTTATCCCCCCATAAACTATTCCCATCTTCGAACCCCAGGTACCTATGAATGTGATATTATTTGAAATGGGGTCTTAACAGATATAATTAAGTATCTTGATATGAGATCCTGGATTTAGGATAGACATTAAATCCAATCACAGTCATATGGTGCTTAACAACATTTCAAACCAAAACAGACTGCATATGCAATGGTGGGCCTATAAAATTATAACAAAGCAGAAAATTTCCCACTGCCTAGAGCCATCCTAGCCATCGTAAAGTCATAGTGCAATGCATTACCATGTGTTTGTGGTGAAGCTGGTGTGTAGTGTTTATAAAGTCTACAGTAGTGTACAACTGTGTCCTAGGCATTCTAATTCACTCACCACTCACACACTGACTCACTCAGAGCAGCTTCCAGTTCTGCAAACTCCTTTCACGGTAAGTTCCCTCCACAAGAGTACCATGTTTATCTTTTATACTATGTTTTGACTGTTTCTTTTTTTATGTTTAGATACACAAGTACTGACAATTATGTTACAATTTCCTATAATATTCAGTATAGTAACATGCTGTACAGGTTTGTAACCTAGAAGCAACACGCTATGCCTTATAGCCTAGGTGTGTAGGAGGCTATACCATCTAGGTTTGTGTAAGTTCATTCCGTGATGCAATTTTCAGAATGTATCCCTGTCATTAAGTGACATATGACTATACTGATGTCTTTATAAGGAGAGGAAAACTGAAGACATGGGGTTTGCATCCTGGAAAAGAAGGAAACATTAGGGAGAAAAAGAATGAAATCTGAATAAAGTCTTTAGATTAGTTAATAGTATTATGACAATGGTAATACTATTTCCAAATATTTCTTTTAATATTTATCAAACAAATATTAGAATATTTACCAAATTACTAAGTATTTATTTTAGTAATTATACTATAGGTATATCAACCTTTAGGAAAGTGGGGAATAAGGTATAAGAGACATCTCTACTATATTTCAACTCTTTTGTAAATGTATTTTTTTGAAAATACAAAGTATTAAATAAAAATTTTATTGTTGAGAGCTAACTGAGCAGTTTCATTTGGGTGTTACCGTTAGAAACAAGACTACCCTAATTGCTTTTAACTGGGGTATAGGATAGGAGAGTCAGAGTACTATGGACTGAATTATTTGCCCTCAAAATTTATATGCTGAGATTCTAACCCCTGTACCTCAGAAGACAGGACCTTTAAAGAGGTAACTAAGTTAAGAGGAGCCCATTAGGATGGGCTCTGATCCAATCTGACTGTTGTCATAAGGATATGAAGACACTGGAGAATCACCAAGAGAAAAGACCCCATGAGGACACAGTGGAAAGGCAGCCACTTGCAACCCAAGGAGAGAAGCATCAGGAGAAAGGGAACCTGCCGACACCTAGTTCTTTGGTTTCCAGTTTCTGGAAATATGAGAAAATCAATTTCTGTTGTTTAAGCAACTCAGTTTGTGGCAGGTTGTTACGGCAGCCGTAGCAAACAATTGCACAGCTAGTATAACCTCTTGCCCATGGAAGCTGTGGTGGAATCCATGCAGGCTTTGAATAAGTTAACATCTCCCAATTTCCCCTTGTTTATCTATATTTGAAGAATAATACTTATATTTAAGCCTGTTACGATTATCAGAAACACTATAGCTAACAGCATTTTTTTTTTTATGAAGAGAGAAGCAATTTTTTGCTAAGCATGAAAGGGGGCATTCAAGTTCAGAGCTTGAGGGGCAGAGTGAACGTTTTGAAGAGACATGACAAGAAACAGGAGATCAAAGAGTAGACATAAAATAAAGTATAATTCCAATGAACTCCATGACTAAATAACATCCCCAAGTAGTTAATTTGCTTGTATCAAAACCTAATTACAAATGCCCTTTGTGCCATTTGTAATTCAAGCTTCTTTTTGTCCTTTTACAAAGCAAATCAAATATGCAATATATATTTATTATAGGTTGGCCTCTAAAAGTTAGACAATGGAAGCCTTCAGATATTTGACACCGAGTTATCTAATTAGTGTCAGTAAAACTTAAAATATACACAATTCACATTAGATAATGTATGTTAAGAGAGAACTTTCAGAAAAAGGCTAAATTGTAACTCCCATATAAAAAGAACATATGTTAAAGATTGTATTTAACTCATGAGGGAAGCAGGCAGATGTTACCAATGGTTCAAAAGAGAATCTGAAAATGGAAACAATTATAGATCAGGAATATTAAAATGCAAATGCATATGAGAGAAAAGTAGTTTTTCCTCTTCGTAGGAGGAAGACAACTGAACCTCCACCAGCCAGGATAGAATTTACATGCCTGTCAATGACATACAACTTAAAAAAGTAAAAAAATCACTCAAGAGATAATGAAAGACTTGAATCAGATAACTTGAATCAGTGTCCTCCCAACAGTGCATATACATTTTTCTTTTTTTTTTTCTTTTTGAGACGGAGTCTCGCTCTGTCATCCAGGCTGGAGTGCAGTGGTGCGATCTTGGCTCACTGCAAGCTCCGCCTCCCAGGTTCATGCCATTCTCCTGCCTCAGCCTCCTGAGTAGCTGGGACTACAGGCGCCCGCCACCACGCCCGGCTAATTTTTTCTGTTTTTAGTAGAGACGGGGTTTCACTGTTAGCCAGGATGGTCTGGATCTCCTGACCTCGTGATCTGCCCGCCTCGGCCTCCCAAAGTCCTGGGATTACAGGCTTGAGCCACCGCGCCCAGCCCATTTTTCTTTTGGAAGCATAAATTTCTTTCTACATATTTAGACAGAGGTCCTAATGTATCTGGAATTGGTTCCTTCCAGTGGGTTCTTGGTCTCGCTGACTTCAAGAATGAAGTCGTGGACCCTTCTGGTGAGTGTTACAGTTCTTAAAGATGGTGTGTCCGGAGCTTGTTCCTTCAGATGTTCAGATGTGTCCGGAGTTTCTTCCTTCTGGTGGGTTTGTGGTCTTGCTGACTTTAGGAGTGAAGCCACAGACCTTCGCAGTGAGTGTTATAGCTCTTAAAGGTGGCTCGTTCCTCCCGGTGGGTTCATGTTCTCGCTGACTTCAGGAGTGAAGCTGCAGACCTTCCCGGTGAGTGTTACAGCTCATAAAGGTAGTGCAGACCCAAAGAGTGAGCAGCATCAAGATTTATTGCAAAGAGCGAAAGAACAACGCTTCCACAGCGTGGAAGGGGACCCCAGCGGATTGCTGCTGCTGGCTCGGTGGCCAGCTTTTATTCCCTTATTTGGCCTGGCTCATGTCCTGCTGACTGGTCCATTTTACAGAGCGCTGATTGGTCCATTTTACAGAGTGCTGATTGGTGCGTTTTTACAGAGTGCTGATTGGTGCGTTTATAAACCTTTAGCTAGATACAGAGCGCTGATTGGTGTGTTTACAATCCTTTAGCTAGACAGAAAAGTTCTCCAAGTCCCCACCCGACCCAGAAGCCCAGCCAGCTTCACCGCTCACTAACATGCTGTTTCTTTAATGAAATGTTGGTGATACGTCAAGGTCAGGATATTTTGGGGTATTCATAGGCCAAGAAAGTTAAAAATAGTTCCAGTGTGGCACATCCTCATGACTTCTGAAGAAGCTTCTCAAGTGGGTCTCTTTTAGTCAGCTATTTTTTTCTTCCTACAAAATGCTCAACAGTTTAGATATTCATGGTATAACCTCTATAGAGCCCTGTTCTGAATCTTATTAAAAGATATGAAATAAGCCTGAATGTAGACATTAAATATAAAAGTGTATGTAAAAATTTTAATTATTCAACTAGAGAATCAGTATGTGTTTTTGCTCTATGAGTAACATTCTAAAGTGAGTAAAAAAGATGGCTTGGAAAATAGACCCTAATAGAAAGGTTCAACTAGTTAGTTTGCCTTTTGTTTTCATTTCTGCTTTAGTCTGGGAGAATCAGTAGACCTAAAATAAGTCTTTGAAAGACACCAAAAGGTGCATTGTAGTAAATTATTTTCCATAGCTACAAAGGGCAGAAAAATAGATCAGTTCAGATTTCTTATGAAAAATGCACATTAGAATACATAGATATAGTGGTGTTAATTTTTAAACAGCTTACTGAAGGAAGTTATTGATATCCCTTCCTTGCTTTAGAGTCTAAAAAAGAACCATTTGCCGTTTATCTAAAGTGGCCTAAAAATAAATAGAAAATGAGTAAAAAATAGGAATCACCTAGGAAATTGTATAAATATTGCAAAGAACCAGCTCATATTATTCAGACTCAATAGGTAAGCAGTGAAGCCCAAGGATTAGAATTTTTATGACGGTTTTCACGTCATTTCAATGTACCTGTAGGTGTGGAATCAACTTCACAAGTTGTCCTCAGCCCACTTTTATTCTGACATATCATCCTATTAACCTCTCATAACATTCGATATAAATAATTCTGTGCAATATAGCTTCATGTGAACAGTGAAGTGGGAAAGGCAGAAATGTACCAGTAATTCCTGGATTTTCAAGTTTCAGAAAACCATTACAATCCAAAATGCAAAACGTATGTACCTGGAAGAGGAGATAAGGATATCTTCAGTCGGGTGCCTTCTCCTGTTTTCAGTACGCATTCCCTAATAATCTATCCGTAGGCCCTTGAGACCCTGGCAATTGCCTTGGAATATTGGCAACCTGGCTCTATCTTGCTATATTGTATTTTTACAATGTTCTTATTTTATTCATTAGTTTTAGCAGGTCACAATAATTTGTTTTGCTATTTATAGGCACTCAGGATACATTCACGTACTTTGCTGATAATGAAGTACTTTCTGTTTTACCAAATATCAGACTCTTGCATTTAAAATGTTTGTCTACATATCCCCTTTAGTACTTGTTTTATTTGCTCCGAAAGTGATCATTTTTTAAAATTTTATATTTTTAAAAAAGAACAAACTCTTACAGGTCCCATTTAATGAAGAAGTCATTGTAACAGATAAAAATTTTCCATCTGCAATTTTGCTTAGATAGTACCTGTTTTTAAAATGTAACAGTGAATAGTTCACCTGGGAAAGTAAATGTTTAACTGAGGATTTTTCATCATTACATGTATTCAGAACAACACAATTATTAAAGGGAACTAACCAATTTTTTTAATTTAGTGAATCTGGAAGGTGTTTTTCTTGCCTACTGTTTGTCAAGATCACTTAAGAGATGAAAAATAACATAGTGCCAGAAGGACAGAAACATTGAAAGGGAATGAGCAGTTTTGACAATAATAATAGATGAGTGTTTTGTGAAAATAGGTTACAGGTTTATCATTAATATTAAAGCTGCAACTCAAAATAAATGGGCACAATTTACAATAATCATTTACCATAATTACACATACATAGAAGACTTTTCTATCTCCAATAATCTCAAACTGGAGAGAGTTGAAGTTAACATTTCAATGAGAATGAACTTCAGTGCAGAACCACACTACAGTTATGACTAACTTAGACTCAAATGAGGTTCAACTGAGTTATTATTATTCCATCCAGGGTAACTTCACCTCAAATCCTCCCTGGACATGCAAGAATATTGTGGTAAAATAATAATAATAAATAAATAAATAAATAAAACTTACCAAATAAAAATGTCTTTCCCGGCTCTAAATTTGGTTTTTTCCTATACTTGTAAGGAAAACAGACCCCAAAGTGGCTAAGACCAGATCTGATATTAGAGGGAAGAAATGAGCTTATTTATGTAAAGTGCATAGCCCAGTTCCTAAATGACAAGTAATCACTTCATGGTAGTTATTGTTTATATTTGTTAATATTCACCAACTTTTCTTTGCTAAAAATTGCCTTACGTAAACAAATGAACCAATAAAACTAAGAGACAAACAAAAAAAAAATCTTCCTGGATAAGCTCTCTGGGCAGTCCTGCCACTGGGATTGTACTGCCCACATGCCAACATTGCATCTCCAGGAAGGTCCACACCATTCCCATTGAACCTTATTTATTTTATACTAAAAAATAAGTACCTCTCCAAAAATATAAGTAGTTTTTGACTGAAAATTATTTTAAGTGTATGGGTAAAAGTGTATGGACAATGGCTGAAATGAAATATGTACATATACAAAAAGAAAGTGGTTCTGAGAGTGAATGTATACGTGATTACATCTTATTCTGATTTTTTTTGGTTAACTTTTCTTGTCCATTTATTTTCTATGCTTCCATAACAAATGACAACAAACAAAATGGCTTGAAACAACAAATTCATTACTTTACAATTCAGAAGATCAAAAAACCTAGTAGGCATGAGTCTCACTGGACTAAGATAAAGGTATTGGCAGGGTTGTGTTCCTATCTGGAGGCTCTAGGGGAGAGAATATCTTTAGTACTCTTTCAGGTTGTTAGCAGAATTCAGTACCTTGCAGCTGTAGGACCAAGGTTACCATTTTTTGCTGCATGTAAGCTGAAGGCTCTTCCCAGCTTCTAGCGGCTACCGGCATTTGTGACCCCCTTCTTCCATCTTCAAAGTTAGCAAGAAGGTGAGGGGGAGTCAAGTCCTTCTCATATTGCATCTCTCAGATCCATCTTTCTGCCTTCCGCTACTACTTTTAAGGACTTAAGTGATTAAATTAGGCCCATCTGGATAACAACCCAGGATCAGGATAACCTGCCTATTTTAAGGTCAGGTGATACATAATCTGAATCCCATCTATAGCTTTGGTTCTCTTTGCCATCTAACTTAATAGAGTGACAGATTCTAGGGGATTAGGATCTGAACATTTTAGGGAATCTTTACACTGCCTACAGACAGTAGGTAGGCTTTTGACAACAAACTTTCAGAGTAACAGAGCCCAAATTTTGTACACCCAGTATTGATTTTACCAACTTTACCCATCATCTCTTGTTGCCAATTTTACTCTCTGATTTCTATTACCTATCTCTAAGTAAATAGCACAGTCTCTGCAATAAATCACAATTTCTCATGGTCACAACCACTCATTCTAGTTCTGCAAACAGTCTTACTATCTCTTCAATGTTTTTCAATCCATTTCTGACTTTGAATATCCAATTACTGCTATAGTACAAGCTCATATTCTTTTGATTCTCTTTATATATATATATACTTTAAGTTCTAGTGTACATGTGCACAACGTGCAGGTTTGTTACATATGTATACATGTGCCATGTTGGCGTCTTGGTGTGCTGCAGAAAAATTTCTACACATTAGTGAGTATATTCTGTCTAAAATGATTTTGTCATACTATCATTTTCCTGGTGAAAACCTTTCATAAGTACACTGTTTTCCTAGGAAAATGTACTGCTTAGCTGTCCTCTTTTTCTCTCATCCTTTACTTGACTTTTCTATTCAACAGCCAAGACTTGGCTTATCTATCATTTCTTTGAGTAGGAATCCTCACTCTTCCATTCTGGGTAAGGTACATCTTCTCATTCTTCTATACTTACCTCTCACAATATTTATCACACTGTTATCACCATAAATTTTCTTATCTATTTCTCTCAATGGATTGTAAGCTTCTGAAGAGCAAAGTTGTGCCTCTTATCTGACTTGAGTCCTTGAGTTCAGTTTAGAGCATGGCAACTAGTATGTATTAATATCCAATAAATATATGCTGAATGAATAATTAATAGTGATTAATATTATGTCTACCCTGTCTAGTCACATGGAATTCTTGAGGTCTCAGAGGCAAGGAATCTAGAGGACATTATGCTAAGTGAAATAAGCCAGACACAGAAAGAAAAATATTGCATGATCTCATTTACATGTAGAA
Organism: Homo sapiens; assembly: GCF_000001405.40. Taxonomy (NCBI): domain Eukaryota; kingdom Metazoa; phylum Chordata; class Mammalia; order Primates; family Hominidae; genus Homo; species Homo sapiens. Next base: position 9,877,133 of record NC_000007.14, read on the forward strand.
TCTAAAAAAATTCAAATATACAAAATAGAGGATAAAATGGGCATGGAGGCGGGAAAATGGGCGAGATGTAGATTCAAGATTACAAAGTAGCAGATACGTAAGATGAACAAGTCTAGAGATCAAACGTACAATATTAGAACTATAGTTAATAAAGTACTGTGTTTGGGATTCCTATCAGATGGATAGATTTCAGTAGCTCTTTCTATAAAAAGAAAAAATGAGTAACTATGTGAGATGATAAATATGTTAGTATGCTTCACTATAGTTAGTAACTCCTTTAACTATCTATATGTATTTCTTATATCATGTTACATACCTTAAATACACACGATAAAATTTAAATACATACGTACATAAAACAAAGAGGCAAAGTATGAGAAAATTATTTGGAAAACATATGCTACACTCATAGCTTTATACATTTTTTAATTTACAAATAAAAGATTTATTGTTAAGTATAATATATTAGCAGTCAATTTGCCTTGCTTTCCAGCACGTCTATACTTCGCAGAAAATTAAATATTTTAAAAGCTATTTTTAGAAACTTTATACTTGCCAATCTTTGTGTATTATGTACTAGTATTACATGTCAAACAAGGCAGAGAGATCTATTATGGTAAACCTACTTTCATATCTGCCTGGGGTCACAAGTCTCTTTCAGTACTAAGGCATGGACCATGTAGTGGGAATCCTGACATGCTGACAACATATTCCTATTAATTTAATAGTTGAATGAATGCCAGTTTAGAAATCAATGGATAGTTGCTCTATTGTATTTCAAACAACTGCTCCTCTGAAAGTGTTGAATATAGAGCTAAATAAAATCAGAGTACCAATACAAGTAGCATAAGACATCTGTCTTTTTATTTGAGCTGTGGTCAAGCTTGGGAAAAAAGTTTAGTTGGTTATTAATCTGATTATATCGGAACACTCAGTAAGCATCAGAAAATTACTATCTTTTCATTATGCCTGGATTTTATGAATCTTTCCATATGTCCTTTTCAAACTAAGGGAAGGGTGATCCTGAAAACAATTCTTCCAAAAGTACAGTAGTCGTTTACAAAATAAATATAACAAAAAATAACTTTTCTTTTTTTTTTTTTTTTTGAGATGGAGTCTCGCTATGTCGCCCAGGCTGGAGTGCAATGGCACGATCTCGGCTCACTGCAACCTCTGCCTCCTGGATTCAAGCGATTCTCCTGTCTCAGCCTCCCTAGTAGCCGGGATTACAGGTGTGCGCCACCATGCCTGACTGATTTTTTGTCTTTTTAGTAGAGAAGGGGTTTCACCACGTTGGTCAGGCTGGTCTCGAACTCCTGACCTCAGATGATCCGCCTGCCTCAGCCTCCCAAAGTGTTGGGATTACAGGCGTCAGCCACCATGCCCAGCCAAAATAGCGTTTCAATATACTAATAACTAATTAGAAAGCACAATGAAAATAAATTATAATCTTCACTAGCAATGAAAATGTATATTTTCTCAAAATGAACCAGAAAATTATAATACTTTTCTAAGTCATCCAATAATATTTGTATAAATGGAAAGATATACCATGCTGATGTATAAAGACTTGCAAATTGTTGGATTTTAATTATCCCTAAAGTGATTTACAGTTGCCATCTTGAATTTTATTCTAAATTGACTTCCAATATTTATTAAAGTTCCAAAGCAATTTTTAACCTAACAAAAACTGTTAAATGTTACTTGGAGGAAAAATTGAGAAATGGTAAATAATAAAATATATAAAAACAAAAACAATGAGAAAGTACCTGTAGTATTGGATATTCAACTAAAATATTTTTTCAAAAATTAAGATAAGGATGGTATCAGATAAGGAATATCAATTGATCAAATTGAATATAAAGTTCCAAAACTGACATGAGAATAAAGAACTTTTATATGTTATTAAGATATAATTTCATAGCAATAGTGAGAAAAAGAGAGTCAATGAATGGTACTAGAAAATTTGGAGGACTAAAGTAAATTTAGATTATTATCTTGTAATGTATAAATAAAGCCTAGATGGAATTCTGAATAAGGGAAGAAAGTAAAGAGGGGAGGGAGCAAGGAAGAGACGAAGGAAGGAAGGAATGGAGGAAGGAAGGGAGAGAGAAAGGGAGGGAGGGAGGAAGACAAAATATAAAAGTGTAGAGAAGGTAAAATCTTTAATGAGTGAGGAGAAAGTGAATTTATACATCTCTGCACAGTGAAGCTACTAAGATATTTAGCTCTTATTATGTAATTTCTGGAAGTTTATTCTTCTACAATTTTAATCAACACTATGCCTTGTTTTTTTCTTTCAACAAACATACAAGTTGCTTACTTAGCCCGAAGAGGTCAGTAAGCTTCTAGATTCGGAGCTAAAAATATGAGATGAGCCTGAAATATCTTACCATATATGCAAAAAGAAATAGAGATCTCATAGACTATCATTATCAAGGATTATGTTAAACGAACACACAAGCCAACGTGAAGTGGCTCCTGATGGGCAAAGGTAGAGATGAGGTGAGCGTAAGCATCCATAAGAATGATGATGATAATGAATTGCAATATATTATGCATATTTCAATCCATGACATCATTATATTTTTAAAGAAAATAATGTGTTTTGGTGGTTACATGTAGAGAATGCTACAGAAGCAACTCATTATTTTGAAAATGGGTACATACAATAAAAATGTATTCTACCTTTTCTATACAAATTCTACCTCGAAGTAACCAAATAGCTGTTCAGGAGAAGTTGCTCTGTAGAAGTATTCCAACATATAAGAAGTGATTGAATTAGAATATTAGCGTTTTCTGATGCATAATGAATTAATGAATACTAGCAACCACACTAATGGCTGCTGACATTCCAGAAAGGATGTATCTTCTAATGCAAATATACAATACCAGCTATAAAGTGTTCCTCCCCAATACTCTTGAAAGTATTTATTTCGGAAGAACAGAGAAACAGTAGTATGGGGATGCAGTGAGCAAAATCCCGATTATGGGAAACTATAGAACAAATACGCTGCTTTCCTTAAAAAATAAATTCTAAGGAAAAAATAAAGATAGAGATAGAACTTATAAATGAAGAGAGTTCTAAGAGATTAACTGAAATCATGTTTATTTGGATCCTGAAATGAATAAATAATACTAAACTTATGAGACAATCAGGGAGATTTGAACACTTACTGAATATCTGATAAAATGACAATTCATTAGTTTATAAGTATGATAATATTTTAGATATCCATGCTAAAATATTTACAGAAGAAGTAATAAAATGTCTGGATTCTGACAAAATAATTGAGGTAGTTTGGGAAATGCATGACAGTATCAATGAATCAAGTTTGTCTATGTGTTATTAATTCTTAAAGTTGGATAACTGACATATAGGTGTTTGTTATTGTGTTTTCTCTAAGTTTACTAAAATTAAAATAAAATGCTATTTTAATAAATATTATTTCGTTCTGTTAAATAAAAGCGAAGATGAAGTAAAAGAAGTTCTATGATTATTCAAACTACATGATAGATGTTTCAGTCATTCAATCTTTATTTTGAAAAAAATAACAAAGGAATAATTCTCTAGTAGATCTATCATTCAATTAAAAATAGTAACAGTGAATACATAAATAAACACACATTACCGATGATCTGGAAGGCACAAAAAGGAAATATAAAACCAATGAAAATTTTAAAACTTATTTTCAAAATATGAATAAGTAAAGGATCTAAAGAAAATGTCTACAAACGGCAATTTCAAAAGGGCCTCTAAGACAGAAGCTGACTAGATCTAAGAAAAAAAGCAATTGCATATTTTACAAGCATCTTCACTACAACCAGAAAGGTGAAATTGCTTATTGGTACAAAAGTCAGCGCTATATTGTGTGACTATGATTTACTCCATATCTGAAATGGTTGACATGTTAAATCTAATGCTTATTTAAGCTATCAAATCATAATTGGTACATTTATGCATAAAATATTAAAATACATTTGTCAGTTACTATAGATCTCTGCTTATCAACCGTAGGGGATTTTCTGTCCTCTTCTCCCTGGGGATATTTGGCAATGTCTGGAGACATCTTTGGTTCTCATAACTGGGAAAGTGTTATAGACATGTAGATTGTAGAGGGCAAGGATGCTATTTAACATCTTCTAATGTACTTGGAGTCCCACCACAGAATTACCCAATTCTGTCAATGGTGATTTCATTTAGAACTTATGCTGTAGATATACCAATATTTTTCAAGACTAATTTATGAATTTTTTAAATTACACATTGAAATTTTATTTTTATGCATTCATTTGTTCATTTATTCACACAGGATATCTTGCCATTATGAATGCCTCTTTTTCTTAAGGTTATAAAATACAACTTTGTCCAAATTAAATGTGTTTTTAAAATTTATTTTTCATTAGATATAGGTACAATGAACCACCATAGATTCAATGTTATACTTACTATTACATTTGCTCTAACATTTGAAGCAACAAACAAAAATTGTTTGGAGAAGCAACATATGCTGATTGATATGAAAAACAGGAAACATTTCTTAATATCATAACTTCAATTCACTGTCAACATCTTTGAAAAATACGGAAATGTCTTTAAATAAATTACAGTGTCATAGGGAACAAGAAAATTCTTACCCAGAGTATTTTTGTTGTTTTTATGTCAAAAGACTGACATGTTCTTTATTCTTAATAAAGAAATGACCTTTGTTTATGTTTTGTAAACTTTATGCTATGCATTTTCTTCTGAATCCTAGTACATATCTCATTGCTACAATTTTCTTTATTACAAACTTAAATTTGTATATGTTTGCATGCTGTTAAATAAAATGTGCCAACTGAAATCTGGAACTAAAATTCTAATGTTTAACTTTTAATCATATTTAGAGCAGATTATTTGAACCGTGACTATTAAAGAAATAATAATGGAAAATCCTTGTGTTTTAATGGATGAAAACATTTTGAGAAAACAAATGGTTATGAAATAATATTCTCCAACAAAATGGAGACTAGGAGACATATTTTTAAACATTTGTGTTTTCTGGAATTCTCAGATTATAGTGGCCCTGACACAAACAAGGATAATATAAAGCAAATCCTATACCTTTAAAACTTAATTTATCCCTGAAATTAATTTTGAGGTACAGTTGTTAATTTTTAATCACTAACCCATATTACAGTGAATCTTTTACTATGTATATGAGAAAGAAATCTAATAAGATGATGTAGACTCTATCAATGTATCTAAATAAAAATTCATCTTTATCAAGAAATACATTTGTATAAATGAGAAAATGATGCTAACAGAAATCAAGGCATTTAAAAGGCATTCTAATTAAATCAGCATGTAGTTACAAATCCCAACTGTAGGTAAGTGACTAATTAGCCAGTTAAGGTTAATAAAAATTTTCTCTTGTGTAAGATTAATTATAAAGGATGAGTGGCCACTGAAGAGTCTTTAAGCGATTTCTATTTTTAATAGCTCCAAATCTAGTTACAACCAATAAAAATTATTCTAACCACTCATAAAATATTCTACAATTTCTGACTTTTATGTTTCTAAAGGTGTTCCTCAGAGTAAAAATTAATTACAGATGGTCACTGACTTATGATGCTTCCATTTATGATTTTTCAAGTTTACAGTGGTACAAAGTGATGCATATTTAGTAGAACATCAGTAAGTTACCTGAGACATTTAATAATTTATTAACCTCATCATAAGTCAAGAAGCATCTGTATTGTACTCATGACACTATTTCTTATAGAACTGAAAACTAAGACATGAATTAAACAAACACAAATGTTGTATCTGAAATGGTGGCTTACTTTTCCTCGGGTTATGTATTTATAATACCTGCTAAGCAAAGTAGAGTCTTAATTACTTTTGTCTCAGCTAGCTATTATTTCCTCCTTAGGGGATAAATGTGGTATTATTAGGAATCAATTATCAATTATTTCCTTTTATAAAATTTGGATGACTAGCACAAGGAGAATGTTACAAGCTATCTTCTCCTGAAGAAAATGCGGAGATGGAGATTGGGGTAAAAGATGTTTATCTGATATCAATGCCTGGGAAGACAAAGCCCTGGAATTGAGAAGAGGAAGAAATGAGTGAAGGAGATGCAACATATCTTTGGCTGTCTAGTGGGGAGCTCTGAAGCTAGAGCTCTCCATCAAGCCAAATGGCTGTAGCTTTGTATCTCTGCTTTACTGTGTCACTGGATCCAGGATCCACAGGAAAGGGCCGACTTTGGGAAAACAGCTCCCTGAAGCTAAGGCAGACTCCAACCAACAGCTGAGAGTGGAAGCTGCCTTCTGCTTACCCTCCCCATAGTTTGGCAGCAAGTCCTTTTTAAGGGGAGGGAGCCAGGACAACACATCTGCATGTCTACCACAATCCACCCTGAACCAGATCACCCAGGATTCTGGTGAGCTTCTTTTTGTGAGGAGAAACTTAGAAAAGGAAAACTAGTGGAACAAACTCTAGCATTGCTGCTGTGGTTAGTATCAGCTAAAATTGAAAAATCACCATCTCTCTCTTCAACAATTCATTCCATAGTTCCCTCACTCTTAGCTATCATCTCTTCTGGGCTCAGTAGTTTACCCTAGTGATGTGAGAGATCCACATCCATGAGAAGACTAAACCCCTGGTTACCATGCCCTCATCAGGCAAGTTTACTTTACCTGAACATTTAATTCACTATAGGACAAGAGTACAAAGAGGTACCCAAGTAATTCACTTGGGTTCCACACATATTCTTCTCTTTCCTGGTTGTATGACATCTCTACCTCTTCCTAATGGCCAGAGTCAATTCTTCCTGCAAAGACATTGATTCCTTCTTTTGCCTACTGGTCCCTGGACATAAGAAGATCCACTTGTCCAGGTGGCAGCCATAGTTTATAATTCAATGGGGCTTTTGCTGTGTTCTCTGGTGAGAGTGTGTCTCCTTTGGAGACTAATACAAATCCCCACAATGGATCACTGGAAGTAATAGTAAGTAGGGCCACTCCTGCTTCAAGCTTTTTGTTCTGCACCTATATATTCTCCCTATTAAGACACAATTCCATATAAAAATCTTTTGAGTCAGTGCATATGGTACATCCTAAAGGATGGTAGTCCATCTCCATATGCATTGCCTCAAAAGTGGCACTCTAGTTATGCCATCAGCAAGCATACCAATACACTATCAAGCCTAGAGCTTACAGGTGGAGCAGAATCTGATACAATCAGTGGGTTCTCTTGTCATGGAATCACTTGTACTCTTCCTTCTCTGTATGATAGGTCCTCTCATACCTAAGAACCTAAATCTGCAATTTGATAACTGTGTTCACTGTGATTTTGCTTCTCACCAAAAGAACTTTACCATGAAATTAGATATGTTTATTGTTACTGATCAAAATCTTAAATATGAAGAAATTGCAAAACTAAGGAAAGGGTATTCTGGAAACAAATGCAGTCAAAGTTTAAAGACGGAGATAAATTAATATTTTTCATAGAGATAAATAAATCTGTATACATTGCCACATTTCAAAATCTGTGAAGTGTTAAGAAGGTAAAACATTTTAAGTCCATTTTATTGGCTCTATTTTAATGAATTCAACCCTATGATTCTTGATCATTGGCAGCTACATTTAGGGCTTAGCGACTTAAAAAATAAAAATATGGCCAATGTACCATTTGGAAATTGGACTGATTTTATTCATCTGCAGTGAGAAATCACCATACTTTGGCCTTTCTAACTGGAAGAAGTTATGATCATCCTGGCCCAGATCCATTTAGGAAGGAATATTCCATGGCCCTTAAGAGCAGAATTTGAGTTAAAGGGAGAGCAAAAATAGTGAGTGAGTGAGGGAGAAAGGAACAGATGAAGATACACAATTTTATAGAGTCAAATGTCACCCACAGTAGGAAATACAAGATGAAATAACATTTAGGAATAGGACAGATCTGACTATTTAGGATGTTTAATGGTTGTATTTCAGAGATGATACAGACATGCCAATAAAAAATAGGAAGTTGGGGCTAAAAAGAAAAATGCCATTAGGTTGAGAAGAATTGTATTAAGGTCCACTCATCTTGAATGTTATATAAAAATTCATGTGCAGGTCACATTTTTTTTTTCAAATGATGGCTTACACCTGTCTTAACTTCACCTCCAGGCTGTAGTCCTCACGGCCCCTGGCCTGGCAGTGTTGCTTCTCAATATCTGTTTGTTGGATTAAATCAGAATGAACAGGAGGCATTCATGAGTAAGTTCCCTCACTCAAATTTTATCTTAGAACTGTTAAGCAGTGAAAATAACATATTTCCTCCTTCAGATGTCAGCAAATCGATATTCCTCAGCAGAGATTATTAGAGTAAACTAAATGAGACCTCTAGAATGGCAGCCCTCAATCTTCGAGAACCCTACTTCTTTTCTGATCAGACTGGCTTAAGACTCATATTATGAGAAACATATTTCAGTAGGGGTAATCAAGCAAATTCCAGATGGGTGAAAATCTCTACTTTTAGAAACGCTGGCAATAGTCTGTATTTCCTAAATGTTACTTAGGCTCATTCTTTCCCATATGCACAATCTGAAAAATGATTCATCTTGCCCTGAACTGCTGCCTATACACCTGAGCGGAATCCACTTCTGCTCCTTCCTCCTAAACACTTCTCCCCAAGCTTATCTTTGGCTGCAATCCTCTGAATCTCAGCCTTGACCAGGGCAGTCAGCCTAATCATTTCTCCTTGGATTAGGCACTAGTGAGCCATGTCCACTCAAGAGACTGCTGGTAATTCTCAGCTTGCTTCTCTCGGCATCACTGAGCAAAGCTGTTCTTACAGGTTGGACAAACTTATCCACCTCAAAGCAGGAGGCTTTGGTTGGTAGGATAATCACATTTCTTCCTCTGTTGAGCTTATCAACGGATCTTTGGCAGCCTCGCTTTCATTCAATTTCAGATTTAAACCCTTAAATGTTACTGTGTTATCAACTGCTGTGTATTTCCTACCATAGTAACTGTATCCGCATTCTGCAACATCAAATTAGATGTTAAATTGTATTCAAGGAAACTTCATGTAAGACAAAAATTTACCAAGCCCAAGAGCATGTTACACAATGATAAAGGCTGAGAGGCTAATCTGATGACTTTTAATTTATAATTTCAATCTCTAAGTTTCAGGCTTTTATTTTCCTTGTTACAATAGTACTCAAACTATCCTGAGTTGTTTCTGGAAAACTAATTTAAAAGGCCAATTCATGTTATAAAACCATGCTGAGTTTTTCCACATCAATCTTGACACAAAGTCAGGGGTTTCCGAGAGAAAAAGTAAATAACGAATATAATTTGTCCAGTGAAGATTTGTATGTTAATGAAAAAGGTATTGACCTCTAAATTAGGAGACCTGAGTTCTAAACCTGGGCTGACTCTAATTAGTTGTGGTATATTATTTAATATTTCTGGACTCTACATTTTCTGTTTGTTAGATAAAGAGATTTAACTAAATTATTTCAGAAGTTTTTTCTGGTTCTAAAATTATAGGTCTATTCTATGGAACATTTTTGTATCAGACCATTAATGCTTTATGATAATATTCACTGGGCAATGACTCCCGCTAAGGAACTATTTGCATAACAGCAGGAGGGGAAGGATTCTGAGAAATCAGAACTAATTTTTTCCCAAAATGCAAAGGCAATTGCCTTTATAATTAGATGGTTTTTATGTTGTTACAAAAAAAATTAAAAATTATAATTTTGAACTGTAGTACATGTTTGTTATATGTTAAATAAATTAAAGTTTTTAAAAGTTTATTTTCAGATTTCTTCCTAACTTTCTCAAATCTTCTCTATGCTTGATAAGCGTGATAAATATATCTGGCTGGGGAAACAATATACACAGAATATTTGCATATGATTATAACTCTTCAGGCAAATCTAAAATGATAAGAAAGATTTATAAAACATATCACTACAAATCAAAAAGTGTAAAAAGTCTGTGTACCTCTCTCTTCTGTACAGATCTGATAAAAAGTCTCAACCTCAAAAATGTTCATGGGTATCTGTGGTCTTGATGATAACACAAACTGATTAAGTACTGAATGAAGAAAATACAAGGTCATTTAATCTGATTGGGACACTTCTAAAATGATCAAACAAAACTACCACCTTAGGATGTTGAGTTTTTCAAGGAAGCACTAATAGTTCAGGTACAAATCTGAAAATTATCATCTTATTATAACTTCACAGTAACTTTGCCAGATATGTGACATACTATATAGCTATCACTGGTCTAGTTGTCATTGTATTAGAAATTATACTTTGGTGACTCTTTTTACAGTTTAAAAGAAGATCATAAAATATTTATACTATACATTTTAATATCGTGTTCTGATATACTATATTGTTCAGACTCTGTTTATATTTAACATTATATTTTGTATTTGTCAGATAATATCAACAAGGCAAAAGAACATGTCCTAATGCTTTCACAGGTTTCCTGAGTATTGACTGTGCAATAATGCAAATTAAAAATTAAAGATCTAGTAGCTTTTTTTTCCTTTTTAATGTATTTTTAACCTATTAAATAGGATGTTTTACTTAAAGCTATAGTTAAGGTTTTAGTGAACTGCATGCATTTTAACTTGCTGAGTTTATCACATCCTGAAAGATGACATTTTATAATTGCTGATGAAAACAGGGATTATATGTTATATGGATAGTGCATAAAGTTTATGATCACTATGAAGAAATGGTTTACTGCAAATGCAAGTTAGAAAACTCTTCTTAAAATTAATATTGCCTTTCTCCAATTTTAACCAACCATCCATGTTTATAACTATGTTACCAAGGAAAACCCAAGGACCAATAAGCTATAAGGTATTTTTTAACCTTAGCCCTACACATTCAACACAGATAAATGGCTTTATTAAAACACACACTTTGTATTTTTTAATGCCTTTACACTTTGATGCTCTTATTTATACTCTTGATTAAATTAAAATACAGTTCTCTCAAATATACTCTAATATAAAGAATGTATTTCAAATCCCCTTAACAAAAATTGTTTGGAAAGACATCAACATTATACAATAAATATGAATGTAAAACTTCAGCTTAAATTGATAATTAATATTATTTCATAGGTTAAAAATTGATAAATAATTTTAGCTGTTATTTCACAGAACACTTATATAAAACAAATCAGTATTATAGTTTGCTAAAATAAAAACAAGACAAACAATACTATTAGGCTTGGTTCATGAATGTACTAAAAGTTTAATGTGGTATAAAACTCACTTTGTACGCAGAAATTGATCTTTTTGAAAATAAAAATATTGCCATGAACTATATATGTAGATTCACTTTTGATTCTTTTTGGAAATCTTGTAATGCAATAGTTTAAGATTATCAGTACAGAATGCTTAACTTTGCTCTACCAAGTATATAGGAAATGATATCTTAGAAAAAAGCTATTAAAAGCTGTCAATGACATTCACACTTGTTGCCAAGTTCCAAAAACTACAATTTGACTTCAAGGGTGTAGCTTGAAATAGTAGGAGATGAAATTTGTGTGCTTAACAAATTTTAAAATTTCAAAATGTATTAATTTTTATTTATTTATATTTAAAACTTTTAAAGCAATAGTCTGGTTAAATAAACAACTTGCATGGAGCTACATTTTGCTATATGTTTATGAGTTTAAAAAACATGCAACTGGCAAATTTAAATTTTCCAATTTCAACATGTACAAAGCACTGTGCGAGGTAGTGTGGTAAGGAGAGAAGAAAAGATTTAAAAATCTTTAGAAAATAATTTAAAAACTATATTTCCTTACCACAGCATTTAAACACATATTTATCTGAGGAAATGTTTGAGTATTTGAGTATTAAATGAGAAATATATGTAAAAAAAATTAAAAAGAACATATCAGAGTAATACTCCAACAAATGGAATTTAATGTTACTTAAACACAAGTTCTATGTTGTGAAAAGATATAACCAATAGAGAAATAAACTTAATAAGACTGCTGGATAATAAAGTGCTTCTCATCAAAAGGTAGGCCGAGAAAGATGGCAGAATAGAAGGCTCCACTGATCATCTGCTCCGACAAGGACATGAACTTAACAACTACAAAAAAAGCAGCTTCATAAGAACCAAAAATCAGATAAGCACTTACAAAATACCTGGTTTTAACTTTATATCACTAAAAGAGGCACTGAGAGGCAGGTAAAACAGTCTTAGAATTACTAATGCCACCCCTCCCCCAACTCCCAGCAGTGCCAGTGTGGTATGGAGAGCATTTCTGTGCCATAGGGAGAGGGAGAGTGCAGAAATTGTGAGGCATTAAACAGAGTGCTACCCTGTTACAGCAGAAAGAAAAACTGGACCAAACTCAGCTGACACCTGCCCACAAAAGGAGCATTTAAACCAGCCCTAGCCAGAGTGGAATCACCCATCCCAGAGGTCGGAACTTCAGTTCCTGCAAGCCTTGCCACTGTGGGCAAAAGTGCTCCAGGATTATAAATAAACTTGAAAGGCAGTCTAGGCCACAAGTACTGCAACTTCTAGGCAAGTCCTAATGCTGAACTGCGCCCAGAGCCAGAGGACTGGGAGGGCACATGACCTACTGAGACACCAGCCAGGTCAGCTAAAAAAGTGCTGACATTACCACTCCCATAAATTCAGGCTGCACTGCTCACAGCTCCAGAAGAGATCCCTTTGTTCCTCTTGAGAAGAGGAGAAGGAAGAAGGGGGAGGACTGTATCTTGCATCTTGAAAACCAGCTCAGTCACAGAAGGATAGGGCAATGGTGAGAGTCATGAGGCTTTCTTTCCAGGCCCTACGTCACAGACAACATTTCTAGACACACTCTAGAACTGAAGAGAACCTGCTGCCTTGAAGGGAAAGACCCAGTCGTGGTAGAATTCATTACCTGCTAACTGAAGAGCCCATGGGCCCTGCCTTACCAGTGGCAACACCCTGGTACTATGTTGAGGGCCTTGAGTGGGACTGAGACTTGTTGGCTTGAACGTAGACTCAGCACATTCGCAGCTGTGTTGGCTATGGGATGAGATTTTTTTTCTCCTTGAGGAAAAAAAAAAAAAGAGGGAACAATAAAAGGGATTTTGCCTTGCACCTAAGGTACCAGCTTGGCCACAAGGGGGCTAGAGTACCAAGTGGGCTCTTGCGGGTCCCCAATATCAGGACTTCATTCCTAGATGGCATTTCTGGACCTGCCCTGGGGCAGAGAGGAGCCTAATCTCTTGAAGGGTGAGTCCCAAGCCAGGAAGTATTCACCAGAAACTGACTGAAAAGACCTTGGGCCTTAAGGGAACATCATCACCTCATCAGTAACCTGGCAGTACTCCCATAAGCTGGTGGTAATGGCCACTGAGTGAAGCTCCTCTGCCATTGGAAGGGTAACAGAAGAGTGGGAAGGATTGTGTCTTGTGGTTTGAGTGTCAGCTCAGCAAGAGTATAGTATGACACCCAGCAGACTTCTAAGGTTTTTGACTCTAGTCCCTGGCTTCCAGCCAGCACCTCTGGACCTGCCTGGGGTTGGGGGGATCTTACCGCCCTGCAGGGAAGGAAACAAACCTGGCTGGTTTTGTCTCCTGCTGATTGTAGAGCCCCATGGCTTTAAGCAAACATAGATCCTAGACAGTGACTGGTTAAAGAAGGCCTTGGGAGAGACCCAGTACTGTGCTGGCATCAGGTCTGACCCAGCACAGTAACAGTGGTGGTCACAGGGGTGCTTGTGTCACAACTGTGGCCACCCACCTCCAGGTGACCCAGAACAGAGACAGATATTCCATTTGTGTAAGAGAAGAGAACAAGAGTCTCTGTCTGGTAATCCGTAGAATTGTTCCAGATTTTGTCCAAAAACATCAAGTTGGTATGTCTACAAGTCTGCAAGAATGACATTAATGACATTATTACTGGGCCTGGAGTGTCCCTAAAGCTTAGATCACAGCTTAGATCACGACACCCAAGTCCCTTCACATATATAAAAACCTTTCCCAAGAAGGACAGGTGCAGATAAGCCTAGACTGTGTAGACTACGATAGATACCTAAATCTTCAATGGCCAGACACAGATGAACATCTACAAATACCAAGATGATCAGGAAAACATGACGTCACCAAATGAACTAAATAAGACACCAGGGACTAATCTTGGAAAAACAGAGACATGTGATCTTTCAAACAGAGAATCCAAAATAGCTGTTTTGAGGAAACTCAAAGAAATTTAAGAAAACACAGAGAAGGAATTTCAGAATTCTATTAGGTAAATTTAACAAAGAGATTGAAATAATTAAAAATAATCAAGCAGAAATTCTGGAGCTAAAAAAATGCAATTGCCATACTGAAGAATGCATCAGAGTCTTTTAATATTAAGTTGGTGAAAAAGTAATTGTGATATTTTGCTACTACTTTTAACACCTACTTTTGATAACAAAAACACAATTATTTTTGCACCTGTCCTGCAGACTTGAATTAGTGAGCTTGAAGACAGGTTATTTGAAAATACACAGTCTGAGCAGACATAAATCGAAAAGAATAAAAATAATGACACATACCTATGGAATCTAGAAAATAGCCTCAAAAGGGCAAATCTAAGAGTTATTGGTGTGAAAGAGGATATAGAGAAAAAGATAGGGGTAGAAAGAGATAATAAGAGAGAATTTCCCAACCCTGGAGAAAGATATTAATATATAAGTACAGGAAGGTAATAGAACACCAGGCAGATTTTACCCAAAGAAGACTACCTCAAGGTATTTAATAATCAAACTCCCAAAGGTCAGGAACAAAGAAAGGATTCAAAAAGCAGCAAGAGAAAAGAAACAAATAATATACAATGGAGCTCCAATACATCTGGCAGCAGACTTTTCAGTGGAAACCTTCCAAGCCAGGAGAAAGTGGAATGGCATATTTAAAGTGCTGAAGAAACATAGTTTTACATTAAGAGAAAAACATTATCCTTCAAATATGAAACAGAAATAAAGACTTTCCAAGACAAACAAAAGCTGAGGGTTTCTATGAACACCAGAACTGCTCTACAAGAAATGCTAAAGAGAATACTTCATGTAGAAAGAAAAAGGATATTAATGAGCAATAAGAAATCATCTGAAGGTACAAAACTGACTGATAATAGTAAGTACACAGAAAAATACAGACTATTATAACATTGTAACTATGGTGTATAAGCTACTCTAATCCTAAGTAGAAAGACTAAATGATGAACCATTCAAAAACAAGTACAACTTTTCAAAACATAGATAGGACAATAAGATAGAAATAGAATAAAACAAATGTTAAAAATTGGGTGAATGATGTTATAGAGATTTTTTATTAGTTTTTTGCCTGTTCTTATGATGTTAAGTTGTTATCAGCTTAAAATAATAGTTATAAGATAGACGTTGCATGACTCATGGTAACCTCAAAGCAAAAAACATAGAACAGATACACAAAAAATAAAAGGCAAGAAATGAAATCACATTACTAGAGAAAATTACCTTCACTAAAAAGAAGACGGGAAAGAAACAAACAACAAAAGAGAAGAAGATAGAACAACCAGAAAACAGATAATCAAATGGCAAGAGTAGTCCAGGCGTGGTGGCTCACACCTGTAATCCCAGCACTTTGGGAGGCCAAGGTGGGCAGAGCATGAGGTCAGGAGATCGAGACCATCCTGGCTAACATGGTGAAACCCTGCCTTTACTAAAATTACAAAAAATTAGCCAGGCATGGTGGCAGGTGCCTGTAGTCCCAGCTACTTGGTAGGGTGAGGCAGGAGAATGCTGGGAGGTGGAGCTTGCAGTGAGCCAAGGTCGCATCACTGCACTCCAGCCTAGGTGACAGAGCAAGACTCCATCTAAAAAAAAAAACAAAAATGGCAAGAGTAATTCCTTTCTTATCAAAATAATATCAAAAGTAAATTACCTAAACTCTCCAATGAAAAGACAAAGTGACTGAATGGATTAAGAAACAAAGCCCCAATGATCTGTTGCCTACAAGAAACACAATCAACTATAAAGACACATATAGACTAAAATTAAAATGATAAAAATAATATTTAATTCCAATGGAAGCTAAAACAGAGCAGAAGTACCTATATTCATATCAGACAAAATAAAGTTTAAGACATAAACTATAACAAGAGACAATATATTACCTTTATATAATGATAAAGGGGTCAGCACAAGGATATAAGAATTTAAAATATATGTGCACCCATCACTGTAGGAGCCAGATGTGTAAAATAAATATTATTAGAGCTAAAGAGAGATAGACCCAAATACCAAAATAGCCAGAGACTTAATCACCTCACTTTCAGCACTAGATAGATCTCCTACACAGAAAATCAACAAATTAACATCAAAACTAATCTGCGCTATAAAACAAACGGACCTTATAGATCTCTACAGAAAATTTCATCCAGTGGTTGCAGAATACACATTCTTTTTCTTAATACATGGTTTATTATCAAGGATAGACCATATGTTGGGTCACAAAACAAGTCTTAAAGCATTCAAAAAAAAATGAAATAATATCAAGCATCTTCTCCGACCACAATGGAATAAAACTAGAAATTAATTACAAGGAATTTTGGGAACTATGAAAACACATGGAAATTAAACAATATGCTCTTGAATGACTAGTGAGTCAATGAAGAAATTAATGAGGAAATTGAAAAATCCCTTGAAACAAATGATAAGGAAATACAACATACAAAAACCTGTGGGATACAGCAAGAGCAATAGTAAGAGAGAAGTTAATGCCTACATTAAAAAAGAAAAAAAAATTCAAAAGTTAGTGACTACATCAAAAAAGAAAAAAACTTCAAATAAACAACCTAACAATCCATCTTTAAAAAGCTAGAAAAGCAAGATGAAACCAAACCCAAAATAGTAGAAAAAAATAAATCATAAAAATCATACCGGTAGTCAATAAAATTGAATTTTAAAAAATACAAAAGATTGATTAAACAAAAATTTGTTTTTAAAAAAAAAAAATTAAACAAAATTGATGCACCTTTAGCCAGACTAACAGAGAAAAGAAGAAAGAAGATCCAAATAAATAAAATGAGAGATGAAAAAGAAGACACTACCATGGATATGGCAGAAATTCAAAAGATCATTAGTGGCTAGTATGAACAACTGTATGCCAATACAGTGGAAAATCTAGAAGAAATGAACAAATTTCTAGACACATACAACCTTTCAAATTTGAACCATGAAGAAATCCAAAACCTGAGCATACCAATAACAAGTAATGAGATTAAAGCTGTAATAAAAAGTCTCCTAGCAGAGAAAAGCCCAAGACCTAACAGCTTCACTGAAGAATTTTACCAAATATTTAATGAAGAATCAACATCCTACTCAAACTATTCTAAAAAATAGAGAAGGGAATACTTCCAATCTCATTCTATAAGGCCAGTATTACCCTGATACCAAAACCAGACAAAGACACATCAAAAAAAGAAAACTACAGGCCAATATCTCTGATGAATATTGATGCAAAAGTCCTCAACACAACACCAGCAAACTTAATTGAACAATATCTGAGTAAGTTCATTCATCATGACCAAGTGGGATTTATCCCTTGGATACAATAATGTTTCCATATATGCAAATTAATCAATGTGATACATCATATCAACAGAATGAAGCACAAAACCATACGATGATTTCAATTGATGATGAAAATCTTTTGATAAAATTCAACTTCCCTTTATGATAAAAGCCTTCTATAAACTGGATGTACAAAGAATATGCCTCTACATAGTAAAAGCCATTTGCAAGAGACCCACAGCAAGTATAATATTAAATGGGGAAAAACTGAAAGCCTTTCCTCTAAGACCTGGAACATGACAAGGATGCCCACTTTCACCACTGTTATTCAACATAGTACTGGAAGTCCTAGCCAGAGCAATCAGAAAAGAGAAATAAATTTTAAAAATCCAAATTGGAAAAGAAGAAGCCAAATTATTCTTGTTTGCAGATAATATGATCTTACATTTTGAAAAAACTTAGACTTCACCAATAAACTATTAGAACTAATAAATTGAGTAAAATTGCAAGATACAAAATCAATATATAAAAATGAGTAGCACTTCTACATGCTGACAGTGAACCATCTAAAAGAGAAATTTTTGAAAATGAAATCTCTTTTACAATAGCCACAAATAAAATTAAATAACTAGGAATTAACCAAATAAGTGAAAGACCTCTATAATAAAAACAACACTGGTGAAGGAAATTGAAGAGGACACCAAGAAATGGAAAAATATTCCATGTTCATTGATTGCAAGTATCAATATTGTTAAGACGTACACATGGCCCAAAGCAGTCTACAGATTCAATGCAATCCCTATCAAAATAGCAATGATATTCTTCACAGAAATAGGAAAAAAAAAATCCTAAAATTTATATGGAACCACAAAAGAATCAGAATAGCCAAAGCTATCCCAGGAAAAGAGAACAAAACTAGAGGAAGCACATTACCTGACTTCAAAGTACATTACAAAGCTATAGTTACCAAAACAGCATGGAACTGGCATAAAAACAGACACATAGATCAATGTGAATAGAGAACCCAGAAATAAATTCCACATCTACAGTAAACTCATTTTCAACAAAGGTGCCAAGAACATACACTGGGGAAAACACAGTCTTTTTCATAATGGTGGTGGGAAAACTGGGTATACATATGCAGAAGAATAAAACTAGACCAGTCTCTCACTGATATGGTTTAGATTTGTATCTCCACCCAGATGCAGTGTCAAATTGGAATCCCCATTGTTGGAGGTGGGGTCTAGTGAAAGGTGATTGGATCATGGTGGTGGAATTCTCATGAATGGTTTAGCATCATATCCCCTTGGTACTAAGAACTGGGGCATTGCTATAAATATACCTGAAAATGTGGAAGTGACATTGTAACTGGGTAATGGGCAGAGGTTGGAAGAGTGTGGAGGGTTCAGAATAAAAAAGGCACATGAAGGAAAAATTGGAACTTCCTAGAGACTTGTTGAATGTTTGTGACCAAAATGCTGATAGGGATATGGACAATGAAGTCCAGGTTGATAAGGTCTCAGATGGAGAAAAGGAGCTTATTGATAGCTAGAGCAAAGGTCGCTTTGTTTTGCTTTAGTGAAGAACCTGGAGGCAATGTGCCCCTGCCCTAGGAATCTGTGGGACTTTGAAGTTGAGAGTGATGATTTAGGGTATCTGGTTGTTTAAAAGTGTGTGGCACCTCCCCTCACCCTCTCTCTCTTACTCCCACATAGGCCATGCAAGAAGTGTCTGCTTCTGCTTCTCCTTTACCTCAGGTATTTCTTTATAGCAGTGAGGGAAGGAACTAATAGACTCACCATATATAAAAATCAAATCAAAATGATTTAAAGACTTAAATCTACGACCTCAAACTATGAAACTACTATTAAATAGAATAAAACATTGGGGAAACTCTACAGGACATTGGACTGGGCAAAAATTTCTTCAATAATACTCCACAAGGACAGGCAACCAAGGCAAAAATGGACAAACGAGATCACATAAAAAAAAAAAATCTGGCTGGGCATGGTGGATCACGCTTGTAATCCCAGCACTTTCAGAGGCTGAAGCAGGTGGATCACCTGAAGTCAGAGGTTCGCGACTAGCCTGGCCAACATGGTGAAATCTCATATCTACTAAAAATAGTAAAAATTAGCCAGGCATGGTGGTGGGCACCTGTAATCTCAGCTACTCAGGAGGCTGAGGCAGGAGAATCGCTTGAACCTGGGAGGCAGAGGTTGCGGTGAACCAAGATCATGCCAATGCACTCTAGCCTGGGCAACAAGAGCAAAACTCTGTCTCAAAGAAAAAAACAAATTTTGCAAAGCAAAGGAAACAATCAAAAAAGTGAAGAAACAACCAAAAGAATGAGAGAAAATATGGGCATTACTCACAAACACCCCATCGGATAAGGGATTAATAACCAGATGTATAAGGTACTCAAATAACTCTACAGCAATAAATGTAATGATTTGATTAGAAAATGGACAAAAGATTTGAATAGACATTTTTCAAAAGCAGACACACAAATGGCAAACAAGCTTATGAAAGGTGCTCAACATCATTGATCATCAGATAAATACAAATCAAAACTACAATGAGATATCACCTCACCCCATTTAAATGGTTTATATCCAAAAACGAGGCAATAAGATATGGAGAAAAAGGAATGCTTGTACACTGTTGGTGGGAATGTACAGTATACTCTATTGAGAACAGTACAGAGGTTCCTCGAAACACTAAAAATTGAGCTGCCAGGTGATCCAGCAATCCTACAGCTGGGTATATACACAAATGAAAGGAAATCAATATATCCAAGTTATTTCTGCACTCCCGTGTTTGTTGCAGCACTATTCACAATAGCCAAGATTTGTAAACAACCTAAGTGTCCATCAACAGATGAATGGAAAAAGGAAATGTGGTAGTTACATGCAATGGAGTATTAGTACTATTTAGCCATAAATGAAGGAGGTCCTATCATTTACAACAACATGGATGGAATTGGAGGTCATTAAGTGATACAAACCAGGCACAGAAGGACAAAGTTTGCTTGTTCTCACTTATTTGTGGGTGCTAAAGTTAAAAACATTGAATTCATGGAGTTAAAAAGTAGAAGGATCATTACTACAGGTTGGTAATGGTGGTGGTAGGGGATGGCATAAAAGTAGGCATGGTTAATGGGTACAAAAACTAGAAAGAATAAATAATGCCTACTTTTGATAGCACAACAGGGTGACAATAGTCAATAATAATTTAAGTGTACATTTTAAAATAACTAAAATAGTGTCAGTTGATTTTTTTTTTTAATTTAACAGAGTTTACTTGAACAAAGAATGATTCATGAATACGGCAGAGCTCAGAACCAGAAGTGGTTCAGAAAGCAGACTGCTGAGCCATGTGAGCAATGAGATTTTGTAGCCCAAAGGAGAGAAACCACCTGACTGGATTTTTTGCAACACAAAGGATAAGTACTTGAGTGGATGAATCCCCTATTTTCCATAATGTGGTTATTACACATTGCATGGCTGTATCAAAATATCATATGTGATCCATAAATATATATACCTACTATGTACCTACAAAAATTAGAAATTAAAAATTAAATTAAAAAAGATAATAAGACCATGGTCAAGTGAGTTTTATACCAGGGATGCAAAGATGGCTCAACATGTTCAAATCAATAAATGTGATATATCACATATACAGAATAAAGAACAAAAATCATGTAATCATCTCGATAGATGCAGAAAAAGCGTGTGATAAAATTCAACATCCCGTTATGATAAAACCTTCAAGACAATAGGCAATGAAGGGACATACCTCAAAATAATAAAGGCTATACATGACAAAACCATAGTTAACATACTGAATGGGGGAAAGCTGGAAGCATTTTTTCTAAGAACTATTAGAAGATAAGGGTGCCCACTTTCACCATTCCTATTGAACCTAGTTCTAGAAGTCCTAGCAAAAGCAATCAGGTAAGATAAAGAAATAAAAGCCATCTAAATTGGAAAAGAAGAAGTCAAATTATCTATTTGCTGATGTTGTTATATTACATGTAGGAAAATCTAAAGAATCCACCCAAAAACTTTTAGATTTGATAAATGAATTAAGTAAAGTTGCAGGATACGAAATAAAAAACAAAATTAAGTAACATTTCTACACATCAATAACAATTTAGGTAAAAAAGAAATTAAGAAAGCAATTTCACTTACAATAGCTACAAAAAAAAAAAAAGAAAAGAAACCCTAGACATATATTTAACCACGAAGGTGAAAGTTTATTTTTAAGGAAAGCTATGAAACACTGTTGAAAGAAATTGAAGAGGGCACAAAAAAATGAATAAATATCCCATGCTCTTGGATGGGAAGAATTAGTATCATTAAGATGCCATGCTGCCCAAATAAATCTATAGATTCAGGGCAATCCCTGACAAAATACCAAAGTCATTTTTCACAGAATTAGAAAAAAAATCCTAAAATTAATAAGAAACCAAAAACAAAAACCTGAATAGCCAAAGCAATTTTTTTTTTCTTTTTTGAGGCAGAGTCTAGCTCTTGTCACCCAGGCTGGAGTGCAATGGCGTGATCTCTGGTCACTGCAACCTCTGCCTTGCAGGTTCAAGTGATTCTCCTCCTGCCTCAGCCTACCTAGTAGCTGGGATTACAGGTGTCCATACAGCTAATTTTTGTATTTTTAATAGAGACAGGGTTTTGACACATTGGCCAGGCTGCCAAAGCAACCTGAGCTTAAAAAAAAAAAAAAAAAAAAAAGCTGGAGAGATCGCATTATCTGACTTCAAATTATGTTACAAAACTATAGTAACCAAAACAGCATGATACTGGTATAAAAACAAACATATAGACTAATCAAACACAATAGAGAAATGAGAAAGAAAGCCACATATTATGCAGCAAAATGATCTCTGATGAAGCCAACAAGAACACCTATTGGGGAAAGATACCTTCTTCAATAAATGGTGCTGGGAAAATTGAATTGTCATATGCAGAAGAATAAAACTTGACTCATATCTCTCAACTCAGCATGAATTAATTCAAGATTGATTAAAGACTTAAAACATAAGACCCCAAACTATAAAAATACTTAAGAAAACTTAGGGAAAACTCTTCTGGACATTGGTCTAGGCAAATAATTTATGAGTAAGGCTTCAAAAGCACAGATAACAAAAGCAAAAATATATTAATTGGACTTAATTAAATTAAAAACTTTAAAAACTTCTTTACAGCAAAAGAAACAATCAACAAAGTGAAGACACAACCTTTCGAATATGAGATAATATTTGCAAATTATTCATCCAACAGATGAATAACAAGAAACTCAAATACCTCAACAATAATGAAAATATTACTAATAATCCCATTAAAAAGTGGGCAAAAAACGTGAATAGAAATTTCTTCAAATAAGACATACAAATGGTCAACAGGTATACAAAAATGCTTAACATTATTAATCATCAGAGAAATGCAAACCAAAACCAAAATGAAATATTATCTTATCCCAGCCAGAATGGCTGAAATAAAGAAGATTAAAAATAACAGATGTTGACCAGGGTTTGGAAAGAAGGAAACTCATTTACCCTGTTGGTGATAATGTAAATTAGTATAGCCTCTATGGAAAACATAGTGATTTCTCAAAGAACTAAAAATAGGACTACTCGTCACTCCAGCAATCCCACTGCTGGCTACCTACCCAAAAGAAAAGAAATTAATATATCAAAAGAACACCTGTACTCATATGTCTAAGACAACATTATTTACAATAGCAAATGTACAGAATAAACCTAAGTGTCCATTAACAGATGAACAGATAAAGAAAATGTGGTATATATACAAAATGGAATACTATACAGCCATAAAAAATAAAGGCATATATTTTGAAACAACAAGGTTGTAACTGGAGGTCCATATCTTAATCAAAAAAACCAGGCAGAGAAACACAAATATCACATGTTGTCTCTCATAAGTGGGTACTGAAAACGTGCTCACATGAACATAAAGAGTGAAATGATACAAAATAAAGACTTGGATGGGTGAGAGGATGGGAAAGGCAAGAATAATAAGAAATTTATGAATGGGTACAATGTAAGTTATCTGGGTGATGGATAATCTAAAATTCCTGACTCATACACTATCTATGCATGTAACAAAATTGTGCATGCACCTTATAAATTTGTACAAAAAGGAAAATAATAATAAAGTACTTTCAGATGAGTTGAATTTTATCTTTTACTGAAATTAATATGAATGAAAAACATAAAAACCTCTATTTTTTTTTTACTTGTTGAGACCCACTGACACATTTTTATCAACCTGTTGGAGGAGATGGCAATCCAAATTATTGTGTCAATATATGCTGCTTTTGGTTCAATATAATTACTCTATTAGATCACAAAATAATGTTTCTGCTCAAGTTCTTTTTATTTATTTATTTATATTATTTTTTATTATTATACTTTAAGTTCTGGGTTACATGTGCAAAACACGCAGTTTTGTTAAATAGGTATACACGTGCCCTGGTGGTTTCCTGCACCCATCAACCCATTAACCTACATTAGGTATTTCTCCTAATGTTATCCCTCCCCTAGCCCCCCCACCTCTTGACAGGTCCTGGTGTGTGATGTTCCCCACCCCCACCATGTCCATGTGTTCTCATTGTTCAACTCCCACTTATGAGTGAGGACATGCAGTGTTTGTTTTTCTGATCTTGTGATAGTTTACTGAGAATGATGGTTTCCAGCTTCATCCGTGTCCCTGCAGAGGACATGAACTCATCCGTTTTTATGGTTGCATAGTATTCCATGGTGTATATGTGCCACATTTTCTTAATCCAGTCTATCATTGATGGACATTTAGGTTAGTTCCAAGTCTTTAGCTATTGTGAATAGTGCCATAATAAACATACGTGTGCATGTGTCTTTATTGTAGGATGATTTATAATCCTTTGGGTAAATGCCCAGTAATGGGATTGCTGGGTCAAATTGTATTTCTAGTTCTAGATAGTTGAGGAATCACCACACTGTCTTCCACTATGGTTGAACTAATTTATACTCCCACCAACAGTGTAAAAGCATTCCTATTTTTCCACAACCTCTCCAGCATCTGTTGTTTCCTGACTTTTTAATGATTGCCATTCTAACTGGCATGAGATGGTATCTCAACATGGGTTTGATTTGCATTTCTCTGATGACTGGTGATGATGAGCATTTTTTCATATGTCTGTTGGCTGCATAAATGTCTTCTTTTGAGAAGTGTTTGTTCATATCCTTTGCCCATTTTTTGATGGGGTTGTTTGTTTGTTTCTTGTAAATCTGTTTAAGTTCTTTGTAGATTCTGGATATTAGTCCTTTGTCAGATGGGTAGACTGCAAAAAATTTCTCCCATTCTGTTGGTTGCCTGTCCACTCTGATGATAGTTTCTTTTGCTGTGCAGAAGCTCTTTAGTTTAATTAGATCCCATTTGTCAATTTTGGCTTTTGTTGCCATTGCTTTTGGTGTTTTAGACATGAAGTCTTTGCCCATGCCTATGTCCTGAATGGTATTGACCAGGTTTTCTTCTATGATTTTTATGTTTCTAGGTCTTATGTTTAAGTCTTTGATCCATCTTGAGTTGATTTTTGTATAAGGTGTAAGGAGAGGGTCTAGTTTCAGTTTTCTGCGTATGGCTAGCCAGTTTTCCCAGCACCATTTATTAAATAGGGAATCTTTCCCCTATTTAATGTTGTAGCTGTGTGGTGTTATTTCTGAGGCCTCTGTTCTGTTCCATTGGTCTATATATCTGTTTTGGTACCAGTACCATGCTGTTTTGGTTACTGTAGGCTTGTAGCATAGTTTGAAGTCAGGTAGCGTGATGCCTCCAGCTTTGTTCTTCTTGCCCAGAATTGTCTTTGCTATGCAGGCTCTTTTTTGGTTCCATATGAAGTTTAAATAATTTTTTTTTCCAATTCTTGAAGAAAGTCAGTGGTAGCTTGATGTAGATAGCATTGAATCTATAAATTACTCTGGGCAGTATGGCCATTTTCATGTTATTTATTCTTCCTATCCATGTGCATGGAATGTTTTTCCATTTGCTTGTGTCCTCTCTTATTTCCCTGAGCAGTGGTTTGTAGTTCTCCTCAAAGAGGTCCTTCCCATCCCCTGTAAGTTGGATTCCTAGGTATTTTATTCTATTTGCAGCAATTGTGAATGGGAGTTCACTCATGATTTGGCTCTCTGTTTGTCTGTTGTTGGTGTATAGGAATGCTTGTGATTTTTGCACATTGATTTTGTATCCTGAGACTTTGCTGAAGTTGCTCATAAGCTTAAGGAGGTTTGGGGCTGAGACAATGGGGTTTTCTAAATATACAATCATGTCATCTGCAAACAGAGACAATTTGACTGCCTCTCTTCCTACTTAAATACCCTTTATTTCTTTCTCTTCCCTGATTGCCCTGGCCAGAACTTCCAGTACTATGTTGAATAGGAGTGGTGAGAGAGGGCATCCTTATCTTGTGCCGGTTTTCAAAGGGAATGCTTCCAGTTTTTGCCCATTCAGTATGATATTGGCTGTGGGTTTGTCATAAATAGTTCTTACTATTTTGAGATATATTCCATTGATACCTAACCAGACTAATAAAGAAGAAAAGAGAGAATAATCAAATAGACACAATAAAAAATTATAAAGGGGATATCACCACTGATCCCACAGAAATACAAACTACTATCAGAGAATAAAACACCTCTACGCAAATAAACTAGGAAGTCTAGAAGAAAGGGATAAATTCCTGGACTCATACACCCTCTCAAGTCTAAGCCTGGAAGAAGTCGAATCCCCGAATAAACGAGTAACAAGTTCTGAAATTGAGGCAGTAATTAATGTCCTACCAACCAAAAAAAGTCCAGCACCAGATGGATTCACAGCCAGATTCTACCAGAGATACAAAGAGGAGCTGGTACCATTCCTTCTGAAACTCTTCCAAACTAGAAAAAGAGGGAATCCTCCCTAACTCATTTTATGAGGCCAGCATCATCTGAAACCTGGCAGAGACACAATAACGACAAAAAAAAAAAAAAAAAAGGAAAAGAAAAGAAAAGAAAATTTCAGGCCAATATCCCTGATGAACATCAATGCAAAAATCCTCAATAAAATACTGGCAAACCGAATCCAGCAGCATATCAAAAAGCTTATCCACCACGATCAAGTTGGCTTCACCCCTGGGATGCCAGGCTCTTTCAACATAAGCAAATCAATAAATGTAATCCATCACATAAACAGAACCAATGACAAAAACCACATGACTATCTCAATAGATACAGAAAAGGCCTTCAATAAAATTCAACACCCCTTCATGCTATTTATTATTATTTTTTTGAGACAGATTCTTGCTCTGTCACCCAGGCTGGAGTGCAGTGGCACGATCTCGGCTCATTGCAACCTCCGCCTCCCTGGTTGAAGCCCCGGGTTCAAGCAATTCACCTGCCTCAGCCTCCCGAGTAGCTGGGATTACAGGCACCCACCATCATGCCCAGCTAATTTTTCTATTTTTAGTAAAGATGGGGTTTCATCATGTTGGCTAGGCTGGTCCGCTCAAGTTCTTATCCAACCTATTCCACTTTCAGAAGCAGGTCATTATTTCCTTTCAACTGTTGGAGATCACCTGACTGCTTTTCCTTTCCTGTCATTTTCAAACAGGGGTATTTTTTAATATCCTAACCAATCCTAGATCTGATATTTTTGTGTATCTGCTTTTCCCCCCAAGTCTTATTTGTTTGGCAGTTATTGAATGCAAGTCTGCAAATTAGATCTCTGTCACATTATTTTTTCACAACTCTGCATGTAGACATATTTTCATGCTACAAACAATAAACCATATTTCCCAGATGATTTTGCTTAAGCAGAAGGATGAGAAAAAGTACGCAAGCATCTGGGATTCTGCCACGCCTGACAAATTTTATTATTGATTAAGATTCTCATCTTGGTTTATTGAAGAGCAATCACTTATTTGCAGCTACATAGCAATCACTGGTGGAAACTAACAGAATTTCAGCCTCCATAATACATCTTTATTCTTTTCTCTGAGGAGGAAAAAATATTGTAAGTGAAAATTATGTCTGCTTTTAAGACCTGAGAAAATACTAAGTGGTTGAACAATAAATTTCAGAAATTCCTTCGTATAGTTGAAATTAAGGTTAATTAAGGATTTTTTAAAAACCAAACTATGAACTGTTCTATGAATTAGAAGAACCAGCATCTTTTTTCAAGTGTCTATCAATTCAAACATTGACAACTTCCCATAACGTCGGACAAGATTAGGTGCAATCTAGAAAAGACAATGGTGATAGAATGGCAAAAAACAGGTGAATATTGACTTGCTCCTTTTTTACTGCTTTTACAGATGGCTAATTAATCTGTTAATATTTATTTATTAACTGAAAGTATCTAGAGTAACTACGTGCACTTTGCCACCAACCTGAGCCCACAAACATGCATTATTTTATTCTTCCTTGGAGAAATTTCTCTTAGTACAGTGATTGCACCTTCAAAATAAGTAAATGAATACATCAAAAACCTTATCAGTTAAGATATAATCAAATTAAAATATGTTCAAATGAAACTGTCTTAGACAACAAGAATATTCATTTTCTCACATTGCAAGAAGCCCAAAGTTAGGCAATTCCAGAGTAGCAATTTAGTGATTTTTAACATGACTACCTCTTTTATCATCTCTCTGCTCTCCAATCCTCAGTGTATTAACAATTTCTTCTCTCATGGTTGCAGCATGTCTGTCTCAACTCTGGAAATCATATTCTCACATACCAGCCACGAAAGACGGGAAGAAAAGAGTAAAAAGAGATTGTTGCTCCTACTTCACTTTTTAGCACAAAGGAAAATATTTCTAAGTTATCCGCCAGCAGACATTTTTTTTTTAATTCTCGTTGGTGGAAATTGGGTCATACATCCATCCTGAAATCAATCACTGGCAAAGATGCATTAACCAACCATAATGTCATAGCCCAGTTAAGGCTTACCCTTAAAGCTGGGAGAGGGGCACATCTTGGTGTGCATATTGCTGCTAACCTACAATCTCAACACATTTGAAGAAAGAATGGCTGTTGAATAAGCCACAAACCACTTCTGCCACCAGAGTGAAGTAGTTTTAATTAAATTTTCACCGCCAAGTATGTGTGGGAAAGGTAAAAACGCATGAATAGAAACTTGTTGGAGATAGTGTGGGACGTAAATGAAATGGAAAATTTCCAAGTACATATTATGATAATGCTGAAATCATTCTCGGAAGATTTTTTAACTTAAATGGCCTTTCTATCAAAGGTTATCCCACATAGAAAAATAGCCTGCAACCACAAGGAAGGAGGAAATTTAAAACCATCTTTGAGAGTAGCTTTCACATTATTGACTGCCTCTAGGAAAATCGACCCTCAACACATATGCATGCATATTTCAATTCTGTTTACTCTGTCTCACCTTTTCTTTTGTCAAAACTGGAAATCAGGCTACACTTTCCTTGGCCTTCCACCATTAATCTGGCCTGACCAATATTTAGAAGTTATCTTTGTATTACATCTGCCCATCTTTCACTTCTTTATTGTGGTAAACTATACATAACATAAAATTAAACATTTAAACCATTTTATAAAATTTTAATTTTTTGTACAAAGTACATAGTACTTAGTAGGTACACAGATTTATGAGGTACCTGAGAATTGGACACAGGCATATAATGTGTGATAATAACATCAGGGAGAGTGGGGTATCCATCACCTTAAGCATTTATCCTTTCTTTGGGTTACAAACAATCCAATTATATTCTTTCCATTACTTTAAATGTACAATAAATTATTGTTAACTATAGACACACTATTCGGCTATCAAATACTAGATCTTATTCATGCTATGTATTTTTTGTATCCAATAACCATACCTACTTCATTTCCCCACCCCACTACCTTTCTCACCCTCTAGTAACCTTCACTTTGCTATCTTTATGAGTTCAATTGTTTTAATTTTCAGCTTCCATAGATAGGTAAGAACAGGTGAAGTTTGTCTTTCTGTGCCTGGCTTATTTTACTTAACATAGCTCCATCAATGTTGTTGCCAATGACAGGATCTCATTGTTTTTAAACAACTAAATAGTACTCCATTGTGTATATTACTACAATTTCTTTACATATTTGCCTGTTGATGGACACTCTTAACTGCTTCCAAATCTTGGCTATTGTGAATAGAGCTGCAATAAATGTACAAGTGCAAGTATCTCTTTGAAATACTGATTTCCTTTTTTTTTTTTTTTTTTGAGTTTATGTTTTTTGCGTATGTCTTCTTTTGAGAAATATCCATTCAGGTCTTTTGCCCATTTTCTAATGAGATTATTAGACTTTTTTTCCTTAAAGTTGTTTGAGCACCTTTTATATTCTGGTTATTAATCCCTTGTCAGATGGGGAGTTTGCAAATATTTTCTACCATTCTGTGGGTTGTCTCTTCACTTTGTTGATTGTATCCTTTGTTGTGCAGAGGATACAATTCCCTCCTCTTCTATTTTTTGAAATAGTTTGAGTAGGATTGGTATTAGTTCTTCTTTAAATGTTTGGTAAAATTCTGCAGCATTTTTTAACTTGATGTGATCCCATTTGTCCATCTTTCTTTGGCTGCCTGTGCTTGTGGGATATTACTTAAGATATCTTTGCCTAGTCCAATGTCCTGTAGAGTTTCTACAATGTTTTATTCCAGTTGTTTCAGAGTTTGAGGTCTTAGATTTAAGTCTTTAAATGACTTTGATTTGATTTTTGTATATGATGAGAGAGAGGGGTCTAGTTTCATTCTTTTGTATATAGATCTCCAGTTTTCCCAGAACCATTTATTGAAAAGACTGTTCTTCCCTCATTGTATGTTCTTGGTAAATTTGTAGAAAATGAGTTTGCTATAGATATGTGGATTTGTTTCTGAGTTCTCTCTATTCTGTTCCATTGGTCTATGTGTCTGTTTTTATGCCAGTATCATGCTGTTTTGGTCACTATAGTTGTTTAGCATAATTTGAAATCAGGTAATGCGTTTCCTTCAGTTTTGTTCTTTTTGCTCAGGATAGTTTTGGCTATTCTGGATGTGTTGTGGTTTCTTTTTTTTTTTAGAATTGTTTTTCTATTTCTGTGAAGAAAGTGATTGGTATTGTCACATTGAATCTGTAGATTGCTTTGGGTACAATGGATATTTTCTCAATATTTATTTTTCCAATCTGAACATGAACTATTATTCCATTTTTATGTGTCCTCTTCAATTTATTTCATCGATGTTTTACAGCTTTTATTGTAGAGATCTTTCACTCCTTCAGTTAGGTTAATTTCTTTGTATTTTATATTTATAGATTTTACAAATGGAATTCCTTTTTTATTTCATTTCCTGATTGTTCACTGTTGGTATATAGAAATGCTACTGATTTTTGTATAATTATTGATTTTATATCCTGCAATTTTACTGAACTTGTTTATCAGTTATAATAGTTTTTGGTAAAGTTCATCAGTTTCTCATATTATGTACAAATGAGGATAATTTGACTTCTTCTTTTCCAATATAGATGTCCTTTATTTCTTTCTCTAGTCTGATTGTTCTAGCTAGAACTTACAGTACTAGGCTGAATAACAGGGATGAAAGTAGGCATCCTTGTCATATTCCAGATCTTAGGGGAAAAGCTTTCAGTTTTTCCCCATTCAGTAGTGATACTGCTGTGGGTCTTTCATATTGGCTTTTATTATGTTGAGGTATACCCAGTTTTTCAAGTTTTTGACGTGAAGGGAAGTTGAATTTTATCAAATGCTTTTACAGCATCAATTAAAATGATCATATGATTTTATGCTTCATTCTGTTGAAATGATGTATTTCACTGATTGATTTACATGTGTTGAGCCATTCTTGCATCCCAAGGATAAATGCCACTTGGTCATGATGAATGAACTTTTTAGTCTGTTGTTGAATTCAGTTTGATAGCATATTGTTGAGGATTTTTTAATCAATGTTCATCAGAGATACTGGCATAAAACTTTGTTTTTTTTCATGGGTCTTTATCTAATTTTGGTATCAGGTTAATACTGGCTTCATAGAATGAGTTTGGAAGTATTCCATCCTCCTTTATTTTTTAAAATAGTTTGAATAGGATTGGTATTAGTTCTTATTTAATAGTTCGGTAAAATTTGGCAGTGAAACCATTAGGTCTCAAAGTTTTCTTTGCTGGGAGATTTTTATTATATCTTTTATCTCATTACATGTTGTCTATTTCGGTTTTACATTTCTTCAGGTTCAATCTTGGTGGGTTATATGTGTCTAGGAATTTGTCTATTTCTTCTAAATTTTTCAATTTGTTGGCATATGGTTGCCTCTGGTAGCCTGTAATCATCTTTTGAATTTCTGTGGTTATCAATTGTAATGTATCCTTTTTCATCTCTGATTTTTTTAGTGTTTATATTTATTTATTCAATTTTTATCTTTTATTTTAGGTTCAGGGGTACATGTGAAGTTTTGTTACATAGGTAAATTGCATGACGTGGTGGTTTTGTGTACAGATTATTTCATCATCAGGTAATTAGCACGGTACCCAATAGGTAGTTTTTCACTTACCTGCCTCCTCCCACCCTCCAGTTTAAAGCAGGCCCCAGTGCCTATTGTTTCCTTCTTCATGTCCATGTGTACTCAATGTTTAGCTCCCACTTATACGTAAGAACATGTGGTATCTGGTTTTCTGTTCCTGTGTTAGTTCACTTAGGATAATGGCTTCCAGTTCCATTTATGTTGCTGCAAAGGACAAAATCTCACTCTTTTATATGACTGCATAGCATTCCATGGTGTACATGCACCACATATTTCGTATTCTTTCCACCATTGATGGGCATTTACATTGATTCCACTTTTTGCTATTGTGAATAGTGCTGTGATGAAGATACATATGCATATGACTTTACTTATCTGGGTCTTCTCTCTTTCTTTCTCAGTCAGGTTAAAGTTTTGTCAATTTTGTGTATCTTTTCAGAAAGCCAACTTTTTGTTTCATCAATTTTTTGTATTGTTTTCTTAAGTTCAATTTCATTTATTTCTGCTCTGTTCTTTATTATTTCTTTTTTCTACTAATTTTGGGTTTGGTTTGGTCTTGCTTTCCTAGGTCTCTAAAATGCATCATTAGGTTGTTTATTTGAAGTTTTTCTACTTTTTTAATGTAAGCACTCACAGCTATAACTTTCCTCTTATTACTGGTTTTATCATATCCCAGAGGTTTTGGTATGTTATGTTTTCATTATCATTTGTTTTAAATGTTTTTAATTCCTTTTTAATTTATTGACCGCACTGGTCATTCCAGAGCATATCATTTAATTTCCATTTGTTTGTACAGTTTCCAAAATTCCTGTTATTAATTTTTAGTTTTATTCCATTGTGGCTAGAGAAGATACTTGATATAATCTCAATTTGTTTACATTTTTAAGGCTTGTTTTATGACCTAACCTATATTCTATCCTTGAGAATAGTCCATGGGCTCCAAAGAATTTGTATTCTGCAGCCATTGGATGAAATGTTCTGTAGAGATCTATTAAGTCCATTAGGTCTATAATGAAAATTAAGTCTGATGTTTCTTTGTTGATCTTCTATCTGGGAGGTCTGTTCAATGCTGTACGTGGGGTATTGAAGTCTGCAACCATTATTGTATTTTGATCTATCTCTTTCTTTAGCTCTAATAATATTTGTTTATGTAACTGGGTGTTCCAGTGTTGGGTGCATATGTATTTCAAATTGTTTTATTTCTTGTTGAATTGTTCCTTTTATCTTTAGTGACCCTTTTTTCTCTTTTTATAATTGTTGTCTTGAAATCTATTTTTTCTTATGTGAGTATAGCTACTTCTGCTCTTTTTTGGTCTCCATTGGCATAAAATATATTTTTCCATCCCTTTATTTTCAGTATATGTTTGTCTTTACAAATGAAGTTTTTTTTTTTTTACTAGGCAACAGATAACTGGGTCTTTTTTTCTTTCCTTTTCATTTTTCATTCAGCCACTCTATGTCTCTTTGGAATGGAGAGGTTAGTCTCTTTACATTCAATAATATTATTGAGAAGTAAGAACTTATCAATAATAAGTAATGGACTCTTGCCATTTGCTGTTTTCTGATTGTTTTGTAGTCTTTTATTTCTTTTCCTTTTTTTCTTTCTTCCTTTTAGTAAAGCTGATTTTCAGTGGTAGTATGTTTTAATGCCTTGCTTTTTATATTTTTTTGTATCTGTTCTATGATTTTTAATTCAGGTTACCATGAGGCTTGCAAATAATATCTTATAACCCATTATTTTAAGCTGATGACAAGTTATCACTAATTTCATAAACAAACAAGCAAATAGTAAACTAATAGAAACTCTACATTTTAACATGGTCTCCCTGCTTTTTAACTTTTTATTTTTTCTATTTATATCTTATTGTACTGTCCATGTCTTGAAAAGTTGTTGTAGTTATTATTTTGGTTGGTTCACCTTTTAGTCTCTCTCCTCAATATATGAGTAATTTACACACCAAAATTATGATATTTTAATATTCCGTTTTTCTATTTATTTACTATTGCCAGTAAGTTTTATATCTTCAGGTGATTTCTTCTAATAATTTTTTTTCTTTCAGATTAAAGAACATCCTTTAGCATTTCTCTCAGGAAAGGTCTGGTGTTGATAAAATGCCTCAGGTTTTTTGTTTTGTTTTTTGTTTTTTTGTTTTTGTCTGGAAAAGTATTTCTCTTTCCTGTTTGAAGGATATTTTTGCTGGATACACTATTGTAGGATACAAGTTGTTTGTTTGTGTGTTTGTTTTTTTCTTCTACTCTTTAAATATGTTATGTCACTCTCTCCTAGCCTGTAAGTATTTCACCGAGAAGTTTGCTGCCAAACATGTTGGAACTTCACTGTATCTTATGTTTCTTTTTTCTTGCTGCTTTTAGAATCATTTGTTTATCCTTGACTTTTTGAAGTTTGAGTATCAAATGTCTTGAGTTAGTCTTCTTTGGACAAAATATGTTTGGTATTTCATAACCTTCTTATAATTGAATATTAGTATGTTTCTCCAGGTTTGGGAAGTTCTTCTTTATTATCTCTTTGAATAAACTTTCTACCTCTATCTCATTCTCTACCACCCCTTTAAGGCCAATAACTCTTAGATTTGCTTTTTTGAGGCTTTTTTCTAAATTTTGTAGGCATGCTTCTTTTTTAAAATTATTTTTCTTTTGTCTCTTTGTATTTTTAAAAGCCTATCTTCAAGCTGAGTAATCCTGTCTTCTGCTTAATTCTTCTGTTAAGAGAATTTGATGTATTCTTCAGTATGTCATTGCATTTTTCTTCTCCAGAATTTCTGCTTGATTCTTTTCAATTATTTTAAGCTCTTTGTTAAATTTATTGAATAGAATTCTGAATCCCTTCTATGTATTGTTCCAAATTTCATTGAGTTTCCTCAAAACAGCTGCTTTAAATTTTGTGTGTGAAAGCTCACATATCTCTGACACTTCATGATTAGTTACTTGTGTCCTGATGCTTGTGGATGTTCTTTGGTGTCTGCACATTCAATAGTTCGGTCTTTATTGAAGTCTTCAAAGTCTAGTCTTGTTTGTATCCACCCTTCTTGGGAATGATTTCAATGCATTTGAAGGGACTTGGATGATGTGATCTAAGTCTTTGGTCATTGTGCCATATCTGCATTAAAAGGTACCCGAAGTCCGATAATGCTGTGGCTCTTGCAGACTTATGTCTTTGTGGTCTTGAATAAGATCCAGAAGAATTCTCTGGATTACCAGGCAGATACTCTTGTTGTATTTCTTCTTTTTTTTTCCTCCCAAACAAATGGAGTCTTTATTTCTGTGCTGAGTTGCCTGAAGCTTGGGGATATGTGACATAAGCACACTTTGGCCACCACCGTGTATGCACTGGGTCAGACCTGATGCTAGCACAGTATTGCATCTCATCCAAGGCCTGTGGTAACTACTACTTCACTACCACATATGTTCATTCAAGGCCCTAGGGGACTACAATTAGCAGGTGGTGAAGCCAGCCAGGCTTGTGTCCTTCCCTTCAGAGTGGTGAGATCCTCCCAATCCCATGTGAGTCCCGAGATGCCATCTTGGAGCAAAGGCCTATAGTCAACTTTAGGGATCTACCTGGTACTCTATTCTTCTGCTACTGAGCTGGCACCTAAGCCACAAGGCAAAGACCTTCCCACTCTTGCCTCCCCTTTCTGCAACCAAAGTTGTCTCTCCCCATGGCCACCATCAAACTAGGCCAAGAGTCAGTACTGCCTGGCTACTGTCAATGTTTATTTGAGGCCCAAGGGCTCTCCAGTCAGACTGTGGTGAATGCCACCAGGCCTAAGACTCTCCCTTCAGGGAAGCGGGCTCCCCTGTCACCCAGAGAAGGTCCAGAAAAGCCATCCCAAAGCCAAGTCCTTGAACTGGGGACCTCAAGAATCTGCTTGATGCTCTACCCCACTGTGGCTAACCTAGTACTTAAGCTGCAAGACAAAGACCCCTTTACACTCCTGTATCCTTTACTCAAGCAGAAGGAGTCACTCCCCACAGCCTCCACAGCCTAGAATGCACTGGGTCACACCTGAATCCAGCATGTCCCCAAGTCTCACCCAGGGCCCATGATGAGTGCTGCCTGGGCACCACTTCTGATTATTCAGGGTCCAAGCGCTCTTTAGTCAGCAGGATTTAGACCCAATTATCCCAAGACTGGGTTCTTCCCTTTAATGCAGCAGATTCCCTTCTAGTCCAGGGTGTGTCTAGAATTGTTGTCTGGAGGCTAAAGTCTGGAATGGGGACCTTAGGACTCTGCCTGGTGTTCTATACCACTGTGGCTGAGTTGGTATCCAAGTTTCAAGAAAAGAGTCCTTTTTACTCTTCCTTCCTCTCTCCTCAAGCAGAAGGAAGGAGTCTCTCCTGAAGCTGCAAGCTGTGATGCCTCAGGTTGAGGGATGGCTGGTGCAAGCACTCCCTTGGCTGCCCCAGCTGTGTCTCATTGGGTTGCATGCCTCCCTGCCTCCCAAGTCCACTGGCTCTGAACACAGCATAGCACCAGTGCTTTCCCAGGAATGGCAGTTCTTGAGGCCTAGACTGCCTTTCAAGTTTATTTAGAACACCAGAACACTTTAGCCTACAGTGGAAAGACTTGCCAAAACTCAGGTTCTGACTGCTGGGATGGGCAACTCCCCTCTGGCGAGGGCTGTTCTAAATATCCCCACTGTAGGAACCAGATGAGTTCTTCTCAATGTTGCTTTCTGCTGCTATAGGTCAGCATGGAATTCCAATGCAAAGTCCCACAATCACTACACTCTCCCTTCCTCAAGCACACAGATTCTCTCTCTGTGCCATGTGGCCACTGCTGAGGGATGGGGAAGGAGTTGCATCAGCAATTCAAGACTATCTTTTCTACCCTTTTCAGTGTCTCTCTCAGTTAAATGAAGTTAAAACCAGGTGCTGTGATAACTCACCTGATTTTTTGGTCCTTATGAACCTAAATATTTTTTGATTTTTTGTGTGGATAGTTGTTCAATTTGGTGTTTCTTCAAGGAGGACAGTTGGTGGAAGCTTCTATTCAGCCTTCATGCTCTGACTCCTCTCCCTATTTTAACCATTTTTACTGTACTTTCAATGGCATTAAGTACATGCACATAGTTTTACAACAATCATCACCATCCATCTCTATAATTCTTTTCATCATGAAAAACTTAAATTCCTTTCTCATTAAACAATAACCCCCTATTCTCACTCCCTCAGCCCCTGTAAGAAATTATTCTAAATTCTGTAGATTTAGTCTATGAATTTGACTATTCTAGGTATCTTGTATAAGTGTAATCATGCTATATATCAACCTTGTGTCTGGCTTATTCACTTAGCCTATTGTCTTCAAGATTCGTCCACACTGTAGTATGTTTCAGAATTTTCTTCCTTTTTTTAAGGCTGAATAATGTTTCTTTGTATATATTTTGTTTATCTACTCATCTGAAGGTAGAAACTTAGATTGCTTCCACATTTTACCTATTGCAAATAGTACTGCTATGAATTTGAGTATACAAAGGCTATGGACTGACTTGTTTACCCACAAAATGTGTATTTTGAAACTTTAACCTTCAATGTGACAGTATTTGGAGACAGTGTTTTTAGGATATAATTATGATTCAATAAGATCAAAAGGATGGGGTCTTTATCTGATAGGACTTTTGGCCTTGGAAGAGAAAGAGATTAAATGATTTTTGTCTTTCTCTCAATGCACAAAGGAAAAGACATCTGAACACACAGGGAGAATGCAGCAGTGTGCAAGCAAGGAAGAGAGACATCACCAGGAATGAAACTGGCTAACACTTTAATCTTGGACTTACCAGCCTCTAGAACTATGAGAAATAAATTGCTGTTGGTTTAACCCACCCAGTCTATGGTATTTCATTATGGCAGCTGTACAGGACTAACATAAGAAAATCTGTTCAAATTATTGTTTTTAATTTTTTTAGTAGACACCCAAAAGTGGAATTGCTAGATCATATTACAATTCTATTTTTAATTTTTTGAGGAAGGGCCATGCTGTCATTCATAGCAGCTGTACTATTTGCATTTTTACAAGCAGTGAACAAGGATTTCAATTTCTCCACATCCTGGCCAATACTCATGTGCTGTTTTGCTTTATTGCTTACTTGTCTTTTATAATAACCATCTTAATGTGTATAAAGTGGTATCTCTTTATGGTTTTGATTTGCTTTTCATAATGATCAGTTACGTTGATGATTTTTTTTTTATTTTTTGAGATGGAGTCTCGCTGTGTCACCCAGGCTGGAGTGTAGTGGTGCGATCTCGGCTCACTGCAAGCTCTGCCTCCCAGGTTCACGCCATTCTCCTGCCTCAGCCTCCCAAGTAGCTGGGATTACAGGCACCCACCACCATGCCCGGCTACTTGTTTTTGTATTTTTAGTAGAGACGGGGTTTCACCGTGTTAGCCAGGATGGTCTCGATCTCCTGACCTCGTGATCCGCCCGCCTTGGCCTCCCAAAGTGGTGAGATTACAGGCGTGAGCCACTGTGCCCGGCCATGTTGATGATATTTCATGTCACCTTTCACCTTTAACTCTCTTTTGTCCTTGTTCTCTGAATTATTTAGCATATTTTCATACTGTTTCCTGTGTTTATAATAAAAATTGCACCTTATTTACCGGGAAAGAAGTTCAATTTTTGCTTAAAATCTATCTTCTTTGTAAAATCTTCATGAATCCTATTTTCATATTAACATATCTTTTTCTGGATATCTATTATCTTCTTTATACGATGATTACTGCAATTTCCACAGCTTGAAGTGGATTATATTAGACATATATGGGTCTTCTTCTACTTGACAAAACTTTGTTCTTATTCATTTTGTTTTTCCCAGCATCTATAAATGCTGAATTAATTCATTCACAAAGAAGAACTCTTTGTTTGGAATATTCATCAGTGCTTTTGTATATTAATGTGTAGTTTTATGCGTGATTATGCCATGAAATATAAATTGTATTTCCTTAGGTACGTCTAAATATCTAGGTAGAAAACCTAAGTATATTTGATATTGATGTCAGAAATAATTGATGGCTTGGTGTAAGGGAAATATTATTAGAGTATATCTTTTACGAATACTTGTACGTATATGTCATTGAATAGAAGTTTGATTACTGTTTAAGTCTCTTCATGTTGGTAATATTTATATCCTTGTAGCTAAAGTAGATATCCAAAAGTAAAAAGCTTTTCTAAGCTTCATTTGACCAGATTTTCTGGTAAACACAAATCTAATCTACTGTAGAATTTTCTTCTGTCAGACTCAAGTAGGAAAGGCAGAGTCAGAAATTTGATTGTGAACAGCAACTTGTAATTCATATGTTCCTATGACAATGGGTACTGTAAAATATTGTCCACTGAACCCTGAACCAACGGAGGGAGTTATAATATGGCATTTTTGATAGCCATCCTGCAAAATTTTGTGCTAGTCTCATCTCTTATTCTTCCTAGCAACTTATTAAAGGGGCAAGCACTATCAGTAGCAGATACAAGAAAGGACAAGGTAACACTAAAACAACATAAAATTTTCTTACCTTGGGCCCAAAAGCATTCTGCAACTATAGAAAGTTTATGGAGAAGAAATTATATTACTACTTAGAAATCTAAGGTGCTATTCCAAATCTAGTGCCTTGGGTACCTATAAAGTATATAAGAGCAGAGATAAAACTCAAAATCAAGAAATAATAGTAGAGTCCCACTCTTCTCCCTCTGGTAATAAAGACAAATCCTCAGTTATAGAAGTAATTTCTATTTGGCATCATACTAATCAAGACTTCATGACTAATTTACTGAGATATTAACTCAAAATAGCCATTGGTAAAAAGGGTGAAAAATGTGTTTTCTGCTTTTCAACTTAATTTTGTTTGTTTGTTTGTTTGTTTTGTTTGTTTTGTTTTTTGAGATGGAGTCTCGCTCTGTTGCCCAGGCTGGAGTGCAGTGGCGCGATCTCGGCTCACTGCAAGCTCCGCCTCCCGGGTTCGCGCTATTCTCCTGCCTCAGCCTCCGGAGTAGCTGGGACTACAGGCGCCCGCCACTATGCCCAGCTAATTTTTTGTACTTTTAGTAGAGATGGGGTTTCACCGTGTTAGCCAGGATGTTCTTGATCTCCTGACTTCGTGATCCGCCCGCCTCGGCCTCCCAAAGTGCTGGGATTACAGGCGTGAGCCACCGCGCCCAGCCCAACTTAATCTTGTTACTAAATGATGATACGAATGTACAAGAGATCAGTTCCCAAGAGGCGGAGTGAAAAATCAGACCTTGAAATAGCAAATATTACTTAGCTTAAGTGCAATAATATATTTCATGGTAGAACACATTAAAATGTATGACTATTTATGTGAAATTTTTTTCTTGCTTAGTTTGTCTAAGAGCCCATGACATTAAGTACTACCTACTCCCATATTTCAAAATGATATGCCAGACCCTCTAGAACTGACTCACAAAGAAGTTGATTGAAAACTGATGTTTTAACCTTTAGATGACTGTTCAGTTTCAGCTTGCAAATTAGACTGGAAAGGCCAAAAAATAGGTAGAGATATAATTCTTTTGAAAAAAAAAGTGATAATTACTTGGCATTTATTTAAATGACAAGATTCTATCTAAAACAACACATACCAGCACACCAGAGAGTCAGATGATGACCACACATGGAAAAGAAATAGGATTGTGTTGCCCTATGTCCTTCCAAAGAAGGGTATCTGGAAGAGAAAGGATAACTCAGCAGCCAAATGCTGCGGACATCTACTCCTGGTTGTTTAGAGGTGATGGGAAAATGGACTACTAGGGGGTGGTACATAAGGAAATCACAAAGTTCCACAAGAATGAAAGTTATTTTATTCACATATGCAACAATCACATGTGAACATCAGTTTACAACTGGAAGGTCAAATGAGAATAATTCCGTGGCTCACTGCCTCTTATTTTTCCCCAAAATATTAGATGATCAGTATGTCAGAGATTACAATTAGGAAGCTAGAAGTAGGCTATAAGAATATTTGAAGAGACGGAATAATCTATTCAGTTTTGCCTTTGCCTGTGGCCAGCTCAAATGGGGAAGGGCATTAAAATTAGAAGGTTACTGTTAATGATTACATTGAACTGGGCATTACTGTATTAAAAAGACTGATTTTTGTTTAAAGGGACAGAATCATTTTTTATTATCTGAAAGTTATTAATAAGACTATACCATAGACCAGGAAATGAATTAGACATACAGAGTCTATTGGAAAATGAAGATCTGGGCAGAACATTTGCTCATTGATACTGAAAGGATATTGTTTCTAATCCTATTTATTGACTATACTAAAAAAAAATGTTAATTAGTACTGATACTTCCGATTTTAAGTTACAGTTCACACGAACATCTTCATGTTCCTAATTTAATAACAAGAGTTTCCCATTTCTTTTCCATTTGTGTTTTCTAATTTTGTTTCTTTTAGAGATAGGTTCTGGCCATCACTCAGACTGGAGTGCAATGACATGATAATAACTCACTGCAGCCTCAAACTCCTGGGCTCCAGCAATTCTCCTATCTCAAGTAGCCAGGACTACATGTGCATACCAACACACTTAGCTAAATTTTGTTTTTGTTTGTTTGTTTGTTTTTGTTTTTTTTTTTTGAGACAGGGTCTTCCTATGTTGCACAGGCTGGTCTTGAATTACTGGCCTCAAGTAAGTGATCCTACTGTCTCAGCCTCTAAAAGTGCTGGGATTACAGGCTTTAGCCACCATGCCCAGCCTCTCCATTTTATAATTGTGTCTCTTTTAAACTGAATGAGAATTATTCTAGTAACATTAACATATCAATAGATCAGATCTTTCCTGGAATTCACATAAAATAGTTAAAATCTCACAATTATGAAAAATAATAAAAGTCCTGAGGAATGATTTTTTTTAAGCCTGAAATATATCAACACCATGCATTCAAAGTGCTTTATCCAAAAGTCACTTGAAATCATTTTTGTGTCTTTACTTGGTATAAAAATAAATACATGCTTCCATATTTTATTCATTTTAAAGCTTTTCTTCATTTTTAACTTAATGGTAGTGATATAATTTTAAAAATATGGATATGTACATGTTTCCAAAGTCAACATTATATCAACAGGTATACTATTCTCTACCTCATTTGAGTTATATACTCTAAGTCATTTAATTTCTAATCTGAAGATTTATTTTAATTATATTGTATCAAATTTTACCCTGTTCAAATTTTTTCGCATCATTGTTTTCTTCTCTTTGTGAGTTTCACTGCTGAAAAGTCTTGGTTTTCCTTTCTAAATAGAATATCCACATTATCTTAAATTGGATGTTCCAATTTGACTTGAATATATGCTACTGTCAACATGCCTGTTCACAACTTGATTGTGTTTTCTTTTGTAAGTGACTTTTTCCTGCTTTGTCTTTAGTATTATTTTCTCTCAGTTTTCTCAGGTAAATAGTGAAGTCTTTTAGGAATCAGGTCCACTTTAATATCAGCAAAGTGGTCTTCAATCATAAATCGTAAATTTTGGTTCAGATTCATCTTTTCTTTTTACTTTTTAGGCAATTAGAAGCATTTTGGATCACCCTGGCCTATCTTCTATCACTTTTTCTCTGATTCTTTCCAAACTTTTAAATTAATTTTATTCTTGGTTTTTTTTTTCATTTCTATTCAATATTTAAATCCAGAGTTAAAAATAAAAGCAAAATAAAGGGTGCATGTGTGGAAGAATAAAATACATATTTTATTTTTCTATACCTTAAATACATATATAAATAAAACTTAAATACAAATAAAATAATGAATTAAGCACAAATGTAAAGGAAAAGCAGAAAAAGCAAAAGATAAGGAAAAAAGAAGAAAATAATGACAGAAAAGAAAAATATAGACCAAATAATAATTAAATAAATTATCGAATCATTTAAAAAGTTACAAATAAACCCTCAAGTAACCTCATTTTGGAAAACAGAAAGCACAAATATATAAAGTAAGAAATAAAAAGTGGAAAATAACTATTAAAACAAAAAAATGATTTAAAAAAGAAATTACTTTGTGCAAAACTATGAAAATAAATTTGAAAGCCCTGATAAATTTGATAACTTTTTGGAATTCCATCTTCATTGGAAACTACAATAGAGACCAAATGTCTAAAAGACAAAAGAAAAAGTGATAAGGGATCTGCCTGCCCACCACCAAAATGACTAATTCCTGGTAATTTCTAGGAATTCTAACAAATATCCAAAACTTAGAGATTGCCATCGCTATTTAAACTATTTCAATCACTTGCAACATAAAAGAATGTACGGGGCAATTATAAACTGATATCAAATCTTGATAAATATGACAAAAGAGAAAAAACAAATTATGCATATTTATGCAAAAATAAAATATTTGCAAATCAGAGCCAGAGGACATTCTAAAGGTAACCCCTTAAGATAACCCAAGTCAAGTTTATCTCAGAAACAAGGCAGGAATCAAAATGAGAAAACCCATTAGCATTTATCATATTGACAAATTTAAGGAAAAAATTATAAGATCACCTCTTTATATTTCAAAAATTTCTCAATATATTTGATTACATGAGATCAATATAAATTCCTCATTATTAAGAAAAACTAGTGTCCAGGTAAATATTTGCATAAGGTGATTTTACATAAATACAAACAAATATGATACACTAATTTGAATACTGCAATTCCAAAAAGAAATGTATACTTGCTACTCATCCTCAGACTCAAATCCTGCATTTTACCTCATAGACCTAATTTCTAGCTGAACAATGACAATTGCCATCCATGGACAAATAAACACATACACGTATGCAGACCTGAAATTCTTTCATAGTAAATCAATTTAGATACATGGCAGATAATGAAATAAGTGCTATAATAAAAATTTGGCCTGATTAAACATGATCATACATACATGGTCCTCAGTCACAGAGACAAGAGAGGTCCAATGTTGAGATGTATACAAAATCTTTATCAATCCATTGCCATGATCCCAATTACTACCTGATGCCTACATTGCTCAGGTCTTCACAGTTCTCCTAGTCCTAGTTGCACTTTTATTAACTACAGTATTTCCTAAGAAGCGGAATCCAAATCACTGGTGATTCGGGAGAAGATTTTAGGCTTAAGCTGAGGCTCTTGAGGCATCTGCAGACTTGTGGTTCTTTTCCTCTAGTACCTCAGCTGTGACCTTGAT
Source organism: Homo sapiens (assembly GCF_000001405.40). Classification (NCBI taxonomy): domain Eukaryota; kingdom Metazoa; phylum Chordata; class Mammalia; order Primates; family Hominidae; genus Homo; species Homo sapiens. The sequence goes on from NC_000007.14 coordinate 9,921,445, forward strand.
TCTGTTAGGATTTTGCATGGCAGGGCTACGATGTAATAATGAGTGCCCTTTGTTATCAAGGTTTAGACAGCTGTGACCACCATGTACTTCTCTCACTTCAGGTTGCACTAAGCATAAGCAACACAAAGGCAACTCATGCTTTAAGCCCTTGACTTAGCCCCAGAGCTACTTTCTGAGTCTGCTAGAACCTGAAAGCTCTGGATGGTGGAGGAGAAAAAGGAAAATCTTTTAATTCATTAAGTTTCTTGAAATCTCTTTTCCTGGGGAGAAAATGAAGACAGGCACCAGGTTGCCTCTAGCCTCCTTCATGACTGTTCAAAGAGTTCCCAGTACTTAGTAAAAACTGAAATTACGATCTGACTAATAATGTCACCCTTTCTTACCATGGATACATTTTCTCCGTGTCATGACTTTCTGAACGAAGTAGTACAATTATTATGTGAGCATAGAGCCTCATCTTCATTTTAAACCAAGAAAGACAAAGTTAAATATCACTCCTTAAAGGGTTTTATTCTTACTGAGAAAAAAATTTTCAGGCATAAAATATTTTGGATAAATTACTAAAATCATTTAAAATTGTGCTTATAATTAATTTTTTACACTTTATGGTTTAATTGCATTATTTTAATATTTATTTTCATATGGGACAATTGATGGTGTTTGTTTTAATTAATGATACAGGTAGAAGGTTTTCTTTTTAAAATAAATGTAAGTAAAAATGTGAATCAATTTAAAGATAAATATTAAGCAAGTTATAGTACTGATGGTGAGATTTAACAAAAATTGTGAAAATGCTATGCAAACGCCTGAAGTATAATCATACTGGCTGAATAAATATGTAATCTTAGTTATCTCATGTTTTCAACAGATGTATGATGAAATCCCTGTCTTTGCCCCTAAGCCTGTTGTCCTATTTCTTAGCATGGCTGTTGATATTATCATCTATGCAGTCTAACAGTGATTCTCTCCGGCATCTTCCCATGATTATTTCCCACTTGTTGTTCTAGTAAGTCATAATGTTATCTCTATATGTATCTTTAGTATTATATTTGATCTCCCTCTATATTTATGATATTTATAATATCACTGGAACATGCACATATTTTACATATTGATTTTTTTTCAACCTCCATAGTTCAACCCATCTTTTGTTTAAACAATTGTTTTTCCTTTTTTTAAAAAAAAATACTTTAAGTTCTTGGATACATGTGCAGAACATCAGGTTTGTTACACAAATATACATGTGATGTGGTGATTTGCTGCACCCATCAACCTGTCATCTACATTAGGTATTTTTCCTAATGCTAACCCTCCCTTAGACCCCCATCCCCTGACAGGCCCCAGTGTGTAATGTTCCCATTCCTGTGTCCATGTGTTCTCATTGTTCATCTCCCACTTATGAGTGAGAACATTCAGTCTTTGGTTTTCTGTTCCTGTGTTAGTTTGCTGAGAATGATGGTTTCAAGCTTCATCCATGTCCCTGCAAAGGACATGAACTCATCCATTTTTATGGCTGAGTGTTCCATGGTGTGTATGTGCTACATTTTCTTTATCCAATGTATCACTGATGGGCATTTGGGTTGGTTCCAAGTTTTTGCTATTGTGAACAGTTTTGCAATAAACATACATGTACATGTGTCTTTATATTAGAATGATTTATAATCCTTTGGGTATATACCCAGTAATGAGATTGATGGGTCAAATGGTATTTCTGGTTCTAGATCCTTGAGGAATCGCCACACTGTCTTCCACAATGGTTGAACTAATTTACACTCCCACCAACAGTGTAAAAGCATTCCTATTTCTCCACATCCTCTCCAGCACCTGTTGTTTCCTGACTTTTTCATGATCACCATTCTAACTGGCGTGAGATGGTATAACATTGTGGTTTTGACTTGCATTTCTCTAACAACCAGTGATGAGTTTTCATATGTTTGTTGGGTGCATAAATGTCTTCTTTTGAGAAACATCTGTTCAAATCCTTCACCCACCTTTTTGATGAGGTTGTTTGTTTTTGTCTTGTAAATTTGTTTAAGTTCTTTGTAGATTCTGGATATTAGCCCTTTGTCAGATGGATAGATTGCAAAAATTTTCTTCCATTTTGTAGGTTGCCTGTTCACTCTGATGGTAGTTTCTTTTGCTGTGCAGAAACTCTTTAGTTTAATTAGATCCCAATTGTCAATTTTGGCTTTTCTTACCATTGCTATTGGTGTTTTAGTCATGATGTCTTTGCCCATGCCTATGTCCTGAGTGGTACTGCCTGGGTTTTCTGCTAGGGTTTTTATGGTTTTAGGTCTTACTTTAAGTCTTTAATCCATCTTGAGATAGTTTTTGAATAAGATGTTAGGAAGGGGTCCAGTTTCAGGTTTCTGCATATGGCTAGCCAATTTTCCCAACACCATTTATTAAATAGGGAATCCTTTCCCAGTTGCTTGTTTTTGTCAGGTTGACGAACATCGATGAGAAAATCCTCCATTAAAAACTGGCGAACCAAATCCAGCAGCACATCAAAAAGCTTAATCAACACAATCAAGTTGGCTTCATCCCTGGGATGCAAGGCTGGTTCAACATATGCAAATCAATAAACATAATCCATCACATAAACAGAACCAATGAAAAAAACCACATGATTATCTCAATAGACGCAGAAAGGCCTTCGATAAAATTCAACACCCCTTCAGGCTAAAAACTCTCAATAAACTAGGTATTGATGGACGTATCTCAAAAGAATAAGAGCTGTTTATGACAAACCCACAGCCATTATCATACTGAATAGGCAAAAGCTGGAATCATTCCCTTTGAAAACTGGCACAAGACAAGGATGTCCTCTCTCACCACTCCTATTTAACATAGTATTGGAAGTTCTGGCCATGGCAATAAGCAGGAGAAAGAAATGAAAGGTTTTCAAATAGGAAGAGAGGAAGTCAAATCGTCTCCGTTTGCAGATGACATGATTGTCTATTTAGAAAACCCCATTGTCTCAGCCCAAAATCTCCTTGAGCTGATAAGCAACTTCAGCAAAGTCTCAGAATCCAAAATCAATGTGCAAAAATCACAAGCATTCCTATACACCAGTAACAGACAAACAGCCAAATTATGAGTGAACTCTCATCACAATTGCTACAAATAGAATAAAATACCTAGGAATCCAGCCTACAAGGGATGTGAAGGACCTCTTCAAGGAGAACTACAAATCACTGCTCAAGGAAATAAGAGAGAACACAAACAAATGGGAAAACATTCCATGCTCATGGATAGGAAGAATCAATATCATGAAAATGGCCATACTGCCCAAAGTAATTTATAGATTCCATGCTATCCCCATTAAGCCACTATTGACTTTCTTCACAGAATTAGAAAAAGCTACTTTAAATTTTATACGGAACCAAAAAGGAGCTCATATAGCCAAGACAATCCTAAGCAAAAAGAACAGAGCTGGAAGCATCACGCTACCTGACTTCAGACTATACTGCAAGGCTACAGCAACTAAAACAGCATGGTACTGGTACCAAAACAGATATATAGACCAATGGAACAGAACAGAGTCCTCAGAAATAATGCCATACATCTACAACCACCTGTTTAAACAATTTTTTTAAAACCTTCAGTCTTACTGATTTGTAACTCATGTTGTGCCTTTAAGCCACCCTCATGCTCTCCCCAGAACTGTCATTCTAAAACACAATTCTGATCACATAACTTTCTAGATTTAAAAGCCTTCACCAATTTTTTATTTTCTATAAGCAGCACTCAATTTCAGTATGGCAAGTTTTGTCCTTTATATTCTAGCTTCAGACTAAATGCTCTCCACACAAATCCTTGCAGCATGCAGGCATGCTAGGCTTTGTAATAATAATTTATGTTTTAAAAAAGTTACTACTTCTGACAGAATTGGCTTTGCCCTCTATTTTATCTGTTAAATTCCTGCTCCTCATTTAAGATGAAACTCATTTATCATTCCCTCTTCAAAGTCTTCCTAAGTTACTAAAAGCAACATTCATTATTCATTCCTTTATGATAACACTTAGTGCTTTGCTATACTATTATAGAACATTCTACTTTATTTTGTATGATTCACATCAATGTCTACTTTTATTACTGCATAGGAGGTCTTATTCATGAGAAGCAGTGCAATACAGTGCTTCAGATCTAATATTCTGTGGTCAACAAGACCTGGGCACAAAGTCCTAGAAAAGTTGGATTTCTGGTAAATCTCAGATGAATAAATAAGTGAATGAGTTAAATGAGCTGAGAATCCTCCCATACATCAAACTATTCTTTATCCCCAAATCTTCCTCACCTAGTACATTCCTTAAAGGCCTTGTTCCTTTTATCTTTTAACAAATTAATCCTACTTTGTGTATTGAGATTTTTTTAATGGATTTAGCAGATGGTACACAAATGACCATTCTGTAATATTTGGTAAAATGTCACTTGTTAAAATGAGTGGGTTGAACTGGATAATATATGCTTCCTTCCATTTCCCACAGTCTCTGACCTCAAGGAGCACATCCCTGCTGTGTGATAGGCTTATGTTTACCCATGCCTTTTAAAGATTTTATTACATCAGTAAAATTATGTCATTAACACATACCAATTATGTGATTAAAGCTATTTACATTAAACATGCAATTAGATCAAATTATGCTAATAGGAAAATGCAGGATAACTAAAATTAATTTTAAAAGCAGAGAAATTAACTCAGATAAACTACATTTAAATACCATCACATGTTTAAAAGTAAGCAAGCAAATATTCCTGTTTTATCTCCACTAGTTCAGACTCTAATCAACTTGTCTTCCTGCTTTCATCTTCCCTCCCCAGTCCAAACTCTACGTATGACACAGTTACCTGTCCAAAATACAGATCCAGCATGTTCCTTCTCTGCTTAAAAACTGAAGAGTGGCACTCATTCCTTGTGAGAAACAATTTGTACTTTCACTCCTCTACAGTAGGTGTGACATTAGCTTTCACTAAGTTCTGTGAGTCTTTTTAGTGAATCATCAAAACGGAGGGTGATTTGGAGAAACCCTGAATTTGCATTTGGCATCTGATGTGAGGGTAATCTTGTATGGACTCTTGCCTCTCACTTTCTGTTTGACTTTAATTCCTTACAGCTGGAGTGAAAATCATGGGGAAAATTGGCATTCTAGAGGACTGCACCCTTACCCTTGAGTTTGAGTTTGGCTAATTCTGGATAGAAGCTTTTGTTCAAATATTTGCAATCATTTCAAAAAATTCAATTTATTTATCAGAAAGCTACTTTGACTTCTTCACACAGGTTTAATATTTAGAACTATCATTGTCATTTCACTCAAAGCACTTGGTAATTTCTTTCTGATTTCTTCTTCAAACCCAAGAATAATTTAAAGTGTGTTTTAGAATATTTAGGCTAGACATATTTTGAACTCTCATTTGTTAGTTTAAAATTTTGTTAAATTTTTAGTCAATGAATTAGACCTATAGAATATCAATATTTGCAATTTAAGCTTTTTGTCTAATGCATACTTAAATTTTGCAGAGAATCTATTGTTGGACTAGGGTAATACTTAGACTGTAAGACAAATACTATTTTGTCTGTTTTTAATTTAATATAGTAAAGCTCACTCTTTTGATTCTACAGTTTTATGAATTTGACAAATGCAGCGTCATGTAAACATCACAACAAACAAGACTCAGGACAGTCCTATCATCCGAAATAAATTCCTTTAGTTTTAGTTATTTGTATTCAAATCTTTTCTCCACCTCTAAGCTTTAGAAAACACAAATCTGCTTTCTCTTCTACAGTTTTGTTTTTTCCAAAATGTCTACAAATGGAGTCAGATGATATGCATTATTCTGAGTGACTTGTTTCATTTGTCATAATTCATTTTAGATTCACTGATGTTTTGTGTGTGTCGATAATTTGTAACATTTGATTATAAAGTTGAGTAGCATTTCACTGTGTGGATGTGCCACAGATTTTCTAGCCACTGACCAGTTTAAGCACATATGTGTTGTTTCCATCTTGGGGTGGCAGTGAATAAAACTGCTACAAACTTTTGCATAGAGGTTTCTGTGTATATAAGTTTTCATTTTTTAATCTAAAACACTAAAAGTAAAATAGCCATATTATACAGTAAGTGTATATTTAACTTCATATGAAATGGCATAACTATTCTTTAGAGTGGTTGTACCAGTAGTCTTCCTATCAGCAGTGTATGAGAATTACAGTTGCTTCTCATCTGTGCCATAATTTAGTATTTTCAATTTTTAAAATTCCACTCTAATTGTTTTTTTGTTGTTGTTGAAATGACTAAAACCTAAAACCCTCAGTTTCTTTTTATTAAATTGGGTTATTTATTATATATTCTAATAAAAGTCATTTGTCAAATTGTGATTTGCAAATATGTTACTTCAGTCTCTGGTTTGGCTTTTAACTTTAATTTTGCTGAAGTCCAACTTGTCAACTTTTTTTAAAACATATTATGATTTTAGAGTCATATATAAAAACTTTTTACCAAATGTTTTCTCCTATGTTTTCTTATAACAGCTTCAAAGTTTAGCTTTTATAGTTAGGTCTATGATACATTTTGAGATAGTTTTTGCATAATATGTGAGGTATATATTAAGGTTTATTTTTACATATGGATATTAAATTTTCCAGCATCTTCTTTGACAGTATTATCTTTTTTTCCAAACTAATTGCCTGTGCATCTTTGTCAAAAATTAATTGATCACATTGTGTGGGCATGTATATGGATATTCTATTCTGCTGCATCTGTGTGTACCCTTTTACCAAAACCAGACTAAAAAATTACTTTAGCTTCTTAAGTTTTGAAATCAGGTGGTGTGTGTCCTCCATATTTGATCAATTTTTTAAAAAGTCTTTCTTTTATAATTACTTTGCCTTTTCAAACAAATTTGAAAATGAGTTTGTCAGTATCTACAAAAATTGCTATGATTTGATTGGGATATTATTGAAATTAGAATCAGTTTAGGAGAATTTGGCAACTTAAGTCTTCAAATACATGAACACAAAATATCTATTGATTCAGGTCTTTTTTTATTTCTTTTATCAGTCTTGTGTCATTTTCACTATGCACATCTGGCATATATCTAAATGCATATTTAGATTTATAAGCATTATATCTTACTGGTGCTACTTAAATGGTTCTGTGTATTTAATTTAAATTTCAAATAGTTTCTTGCTAGTAGATAGAAATTATATTGATTTTTATATATTTTATTAGTTTAGTAGGGCTGCCCTAACAAATTAGCACAAACTGGTTTGATAAAATGTCAGAAAATTATTGTCTTCCAGTTTTGGAGACTAGAAGTTCACAATCAAGTTCTCTACAGAGTTAGTTCCCTCTGAGGGCTATAAAAGAAGAATCTGTTCCAGGCTTCCCTCCCTGGCTTACAGATTGCCATGTTCACCCGGTGTCTCTTCATATTGTCTTTCTTCTATGCAACTCTGTGTCTATGTCCAAGTTTCTGCTTCTAGTAGGGACCTCACTCATGTTGGATTAGGGGACCACTACAGGTTTAATACTCTGGTACAACTTCATCCTAACTAGTTGTATGTGCAAGAACCCTTTTTCCAAATAAGGTCACAGTCTGGTGTACTGGGAGCTAAGACTTTAGCATACAAAATTTGAGCGTGTACAACTCAATTCATAATAGTTTACCCTTTTCTCCCAAAAATTCACCTTTTCTCACATGCTAAATGTATTCACCCCATTCCAACACTCTTAGAAGTCTTAATGGCATTAACCCTAAATCCCAAATTTCATCCAAATATTATCTGAATTAAGTGTGGGTGAAACTGAGAGTATTCATTCTGGTACAAAATTTCTCTTTGTCAGTGGAACTGAAAGGTTATTTGCTTCCAAAAATACAATGGTAGGATTGTCATAGGATAGATGTTTCCATTTCAAAGGGGAGAATTCTGAAGGAAAAAAAGGGATAATGTATCCCAGACAAATTTAAAACCTAGCAAGGAAATTCCACTAGAGTTCAAGGCTTGAGAAATAATAATAATCCCCTTACCTTGATGCTTTCTTTTTCTGGCCCACTCAGGAGGCCACCCTACCCTCTGCCCTGATATGCAGCCCACCCTTTAGAACGTAGGAAGTGGCCCCACCCTTAGCATCAGTTTTTCCCTTTATTGAAGCATAGCACATGTCCACAGCCAGACATCTTCATTGACCCATTTCCTGCCTATAAAATTCCATAAGTTGGGGTTTTATTTCATCTCATCCTTTATTTCATCTTCCTTCCTTTGTTTCATCTCTGTCCTTTTCAGTTCAAAATTGCAATATTTCTGCTGAGATGGTTGATTGGATCCACAAATTCTATAACTAATGTCTTTTTCAACTGATTGTTCATCCGTGCCCATGATGGTCTGTCCACAGCAAGCTTTCTAACATTTTGCAGTATGGACTGGCTACAAGTTTTCCACATTTTCAAGTTCTGTTTTCCTTTTGCTTATCAATTACCTCTTCAATTTATCTCTTTTCTCACATTTATAGGCCAAAGGAAGGACCAGGCTGCACTTTTGATAATCTGTTTAGAAATTTCCTCAGTTAAATATTGAAGTTGATCAGTTAAAGTTCTACTTTCCATCAACAAGAATACAATTCTTTCGAGTTCTCTGCCACTTTATAACAATGATTACCTTTCTTATTAGTGTACAATATGTTCTTCATTTCTATATGAAACTTCACCAGAAGCACCATTTATATTTCAAGAACCATTCTGCTTATAATAATATATGTATTCTCTGAGAGAGGTTGTTCATATAGTTCCACTCTTTTGTTTCTGAGCATTCACCAGAATCTCCTTTAATGTCAAATGTTAGTACTTTACCAACAGTCTCTTTAAGCCAATCTAAGCTTTTTCTATCATGTGCCTCAAAACTTTTTCAGTCTCTACCCATTACCCAACTCCAAAGTTACTTCATCATTTTTGGGTATTTTTATCTATCAGCACCTCACTTCCCAGTACCAAAATATGTTCTGTGTCTCTTCTCTAGCTTCTGGTGATATTATAGTAATTTTGCTGTTTCTTGTCTTGTAAAAGCATCAGCATAATCTCTTCACATAATATTCTTTGTCTGTGTGTGCGCCTGTGTATGTGCCAAAATTTCTTTTTTGAAAAAAGAACATCAGTGATACAGGATGAGAAGTCCATCCTATTCCGGCATGATCTCATGTTAATTCATATCTTCTATGCCTTATTTCCAAACAAGACCACATATTGAGGTACTGGGGGTGAAGACTTCAACATACACATTTTTAAGGGGGACACAACTCAACCCATAAAATTAACCTTGTGTACCGAGACACCGTCAACTCACTTATTAGTTTTAAGTGAGAATCTAGCTGATGTAGACTACTCAGGATTTTCTATCAAGACAATCATGTTTTCTTTAAATAGCTTTTTTGGTAACAATTTTATTCAGATATAATTTGCATAGCATACAGTTCACCCATTTAAGATGTGTAGTTTAATATATTTTAGTTAATCTTCACAGAGTTAAGCAACCATTGTCATAGTCAATGTGAAAACATTTTCATGACCTCCAAATAATCTCCTTAACCTTTACTCATCACTCCCAATCCTGTATTTTCTCATCCGTAAGCAACCAGCAATCTATGTTCTAGTTCTATAAATTTGCTTATTCCGGACATCTCATATAAATGGAGTCTTATAAGATCGAGTCTTTTGTGACAGGCTTCTTCCGCTTAGCATAATGTTTTTAAAGTTTATTCACGTTGTAGCATGTATCAGTACTCCATTCCTTTTAAGGTCAAATTATATTCCATTGTATGGGTATCTCGCATTTTATTTATCTATTTATTAGTTCATTAATATATGGGTTGATTGCATCTTTTAACTAATATGATTATTCCTGCACTAAACATTTGTGTACAAGTTTTTGTGTGAATATATCATTTTTTTTCTTGAAGTGGAATATAATTGCACCTAGGAGTGGAATTGCTGTGTAAATTAGTAGCTCTATATTTAACTTTTTGAGAAACTTCCAGACTTTTCCAAAGCAGCTGCCTCATTTTATATTCATGAAAGCAATGTATGAGGGGTTCTTATTTCTCCACATTCTCAGCAAGACTAGGTATTATCTTTTTGATTCTATTAATTCAAGTGGATACAAAGCATTGCAATATGATTTTCATTTGTATTTCCCTGATGATTTAATGATGCTGAGAATCTTTTCATGGGCTTAGTGGTTATCTGTACAACTTCTTTTAAAATATTTTTATTTCGGTTGTCTATTTTTAATTGGGTCATTTTCTGCTATTTTTGAGTTGTGAAAGTTCCTTATATGTTCTAGGGATGCAAGTCCCTTGTTAGGTATATAATTTTTTAATTTTTTCTTCTATTTTGTGGATTGTTTGTTCACTTTCTTAATAGTGTCCTTTGAACAAATATGTTTTTATTTTTATGAAGTCCAATTATATCATTTTTTTCTTTTGTTGCTTGTGGTGGTGGTATCATAAATAAGACTCTATTTTCAACTTTAAAATAATAAAGATTTACTGCTGTTTTATAAGATTTCTACAGTTTTGCTTTTACATTTAGGTATTTGATACATCTTGAATTAACTTTATATAGTGTGATGCATAGGTTTAATTTCAGTGTTTTCCATATGTTTATCCAGTTGTCCTAGAACCGTGTATCAAAAGAACTATTTTTTATTCATGAAATGGTCTTGGCACCATTGCTGAAAATCAGCTGACAATAGATGTGTAGGTGTATTTCTGATTTTCAGTTACATTCCACTGATATGCCTCAATTACTGTTGCTTTCTAGTCAGTTTCAAAATTACAGGGTATCAGTCCTCCAACATCTTTTTCAAGATTATTTTGGCTATTTAGTTTCCGTGAATTTCAAAACTATTCTTAGGATCAGCTGGTCAATTTCTGCAAGAAGCTTACTGCATTTCTGAAAGAGTTGGGTTGAATTCATAGATCAATTTGGAGAATATTATCATCTTAATAACATTAAGTCTTTTGATCTATGAAATATCTTTCCATTTATTTAATTTTTTCTGTAAAGTTTCATCATTTTCAGAGTATGTGTTGTATTTGTTATTAAATTTATTTCTAAAAATTTTATTTTATTTTGGTGCTACTGTAAATTCAATAGGTTTCTTAATTTCATTTTGGACTTCCATTGCTAATTGTAATGATTATTTTTTTGTTAAATTGGCTAGGTCATGGAATCCAGTTTTTGGCCAGACACTAATTTAAATATTTCTATGAAGCTATTTTTTAGATGATATTAAGATTTACATCAATGGGCTGGGCGCAGTGGCTCACGCCTGTAATCCCAGCACTTTGGGAGGCCGAGGTGTCCGTATCATAAGGTCAGGAGTTCAAGACCAGCCGGCCAACATAGTGAAACCCCGTCTCTACTAAAAATACAAAAATTAGCTGAGTGTGGTGGTGCGTGCCTGTAGTCCCAGCTACTCAGGAGGCTGAGGTGGGAGAATAGCTTGAACCTGAGAGGCAGAGGTTGCAGTGAGGCGAGACCACACCATTGCACTCCAGCCTGGGTGACAGAGTGAGACTCTGTCTCAAAAAAAAAAAAAAAAAAAAAAAAAAAAAAAAAAAAAAGATTTACATGGATGATCTTTGAGAACAAGGAGATTACCATACATAATTTATGTGGTCCTCATCCAATTAGTTGAAGGCTTAAGGGAAAACCTGAGGTTTCCCAAAGAAGAAAGAATTCTGCCCCCAACTGCCTTCATAATGGAACTGCACCATTACCTTTTCCCAGAATCTGAAGTTGGCCACCCTGCCCTGCAGATTTTGGATTTGCCAACGCTTACAATTGTATAAGCCAATACCTCTCTCTCTCTCCCCCCATTCTTGTGTTAATAGATGGATTGCAATTAATTTTTGTATATTGATCTTGTATCCTGCCACGTTACTGAACCAGTTTATTAGCTCTAATATATTTTAGAGAATTCTAAGTCCTTAGGATTTTCTATTTACAACATGATGCCATTGGCAGACAAGGATAATTTTGTTATTTCCATTGTAATGTATATATCAATTTTATTTTATTTTATTGCCTAAATTTTCTGGCTAGAAAATAGAAATGGTGACAGTGGATATTTTTATCTTGTTCCTGATCCTAGGGAGAAAGTATCTAGATGTTTGTAGATGTACTTTATTAGGTGAATAAGTTGAATTATATTTCCAGTTTTCTTAGTGTTTTCATAAGGAGGGGGTACTAATATTTTTCAAATACCTTTTTGCGCCGTTTGAGATAATCATGTGTTTCTTGCTTTTATTCCATCAATATAGCTAACAATTGAGATTATTTTATTTCTCTCTAAGTGTTTATCTCTCCATCCATCTATCTATATAAGTACTTACAAATCATCAATGAGATTTATAAGCCTGTAGTTTCCTTTGTTGAAAGTTTATCTTTAATAAATTTAATTTTTAACAAATATGGAGGAAATATGGTTATCAATCTCTATCAGAATGTGATTATATATTCATCATCATCTAACTATATAGCAATCATTATCTATCTATATATCATGTACACATTTGTTTCCCTATTGCACTAAATACAGTTATAGTATAATATCGAATAGGAGAGGCAAAAGTGGACATTTTTTCTTATCAGTCTTGGGAGAAGTCATTCAGTTTTTCATCATTAAATATTATATTATCTTTAGACATTTTTGTAAGGATCCTTTATGGGTTTAAGAAAGTTTCATTTTATTTCTAATGTTTGAGACCTTTTCTCATAAAGAGATATTGTATTTCCCTTTTCTATTTCTGTTATAATAATCATGTAATTTTTTCTTCTTTAGTTTGTTATATATGGTAAAGTATATCAGGCGATTTTCAACAGTTTAGCAGCTTTGCATTCTCAGGTGAGACATGCTGCATTATCTTTTTTGAAGCATTGTTGAACTTAATATGTTGTTGAAAATGCTTGTGTCCATATTTTTTGATGCCTATGTTTTCTTTCTTGTTATACTTTTGTCTGATTTTGGCATTTGTAAAACTTGCCTTTATTCTATTTTTTCTTTATTTTCTATTTCAATAATTGCTCATCTAATCTTCATTATTTTTTCCTGTACCATCTTTGGGTCTAATTTTCTCTTTTCACTCCTACATTTCTTAGAGGTTTAGATTACCATTTAGAGATTTTTCTTGCTTTCAATATACACATTTCATATTCTAAACTTCACTTTACATTTTGCTTCAGCTCTCTCTCAAATTTTGATATAATGCATTTTTTTGTATTTTGTTAAAAATATTTCTACTTTTCTTAAGTCTACTTGTTTTCTCCAGTAGGCTGAAATGTGTTTTTTAACTGACCAATATTTTTAACTGACCAATAGCAACTTTTCATATGCTATTGCCTTGACTGTATGGAGTGCTCTATAAATGTCAATTATACTATGTTGTTTGGTGGTATTTTAAATTCCTCTATATTGTTGTTGATTTTTTCTCTACTAGTTCTTTCTATTACTTAGAAATGTCTCCAACTATAATTCTGGCTTTATTTATTTATTCTTTCAGTATTATCTGTTTTAGCTCCATGTATTCTGAAGCTGTGTTGTTAGGTACATACACATTTAGGATAGTTGTGTCATCTCAATGAATTAATACTTTTGTCATATGTAATGTCTGTCTTCATTTCTGTTAATTTCTTTGCTCTGATGCCTATTTGTCTGGTATCAATACAGCCATTTCAGTTATTTTTTATTAGTGTTTGCAATATATAACTTTTCTTATCAATTTACATTTAGGATATCAATACCATTATAGTTAAAGTGAGTTTCTTCTGTAGAGCACACAGCTGCTCCATGCCCCATTCCCATTTCTGTCTTTTTATTGCTACACTTAGACCATTTACGTTTAATGCAATTTTTGATATGCATAAATTTAGGTCGACCAGTTTTCTTGTTTTCTCTTTGTTCCTTCTAGTATTTTTTCTTCCATTTATTCCCCTTTTTTTTCAAACTTTTGGATTATTATGACTTTTTATATATTTTATTTTAAAACATGTATTGTGATTTTAACTATGCCATTTTAATATATTGTTTTAGTGATTGCTTTAGAAACTACACAGAAAGTTCTCAATGTTTTACAATTTACTAATAATCAATAGTTTACTACTTCAGTTTTAATGGTGAAATGTTACTACCTTATATTTTACTTTACCCTCTCCTCCTTTAGGCTATAGTTTTCTTCTAAACTACATCTATATACACGGACACTGTTTAGCCAATCATAAATTTTGCTTTGAATTGACAGACACATTTTAAATAACTCAATTGGAAGAGAATATATTTTTAAATTTAGCCAGATATTCAAGTTTTTTTGAATGTCTTTTATTTCTGATGTTCTAAGTTTCACTCTAATATTTTCTTTCATTTAAGAGCTACTTTTTAACAATTTAGAGCAAGTATAAGGGCTAGTATTTTCTTGTTTTTAATTTGAGAACATTTTTACTTCTCTTTCATTTCTAAAGAATATTATAACTAGAAAAGCAACTCAGGTGACAGTTATTTTCTTATAACACTTTAAAAATGCATTGCTTTCTTTTGTCCTCCTTGGTTTCTGAAAGGCAATAAATAAATGTATAAAAAAAGATTGCTAGAATTTTAAATGGCATCTAAATATAGAAACTATACTGATTGAGATATCCTAATGGAATCAAGAATAACAATATGGAAATAAATTACTTCCAGGAAAATTATATGGAAAATAACCTTGCCAAATTGGCTGAAGAATAATTATAAAACACACAATTACAAAAATCAATGTTTTCTTTTTAAAAGTCATTTTTAAAAAGCACAAGAATTTAAAGACTTACAGGTAAGCAATACCAAAAGTTCAACAAATGGTCCAGAATCAAAGCAGAATTTGAAGACTTCTAAGCTCTATGTATTAGGTTCAGCTCATTTTAACACAAAAATAAAATAATGCTAGTGTGCAAAATGTAATGTAGCTCAAATTCACTTGTGTCGTAGTTGCAGAAATACCAAGTAAATACTATCAAATTAAATCCAGGATGTATACATAAACATAATATGACCAAATAAGATTTAATTTTTGAACTGAAAATATTATTTGGGCTTAGAAAATTTAATAATGTAATTAATGTTTTAATAGATTAAAGGGGAAAACCAACTTAATTATTTTAAGGAATTCAGGAAATCACTAATTATTAATAATAAAATATCTCAGAAAAAATAGAACAGGAAGGAACTTCAGTTTGATAACAAAAACCCAGAGTAAACATCATATTTTAACATAATACGCTTTAAATATTTTCTTTAAATTCAAGAGGAATAATTACATTTCCCATATTGTACTCTATACCACCCATCGACTCATTACTGGTTTATATATTGAAATACTGTGTTTGCACAAAGAAATTATTTTATTCACTTCAATTTAATAGTTTTGCTATCCTGTCTTTAGGTCCCAGAAATTCTCTGGTTTCTACACAGATATTTCTCTTTTCTTGATCTAACAAATAACTTTTTATAACACTGTCCATGCTGTTTTTATAATACTGCATGGAGCTCTATGCTATTTAATGAGGCATTTCTCTTAATCAATCTGAGGAGCTCTGAAATGTTTTCATGCTGTGCACAAAGGCGAGAGTTTATAGAATATGCTTAACTATAAATGTTCTCTATTTTCATCCATATGTAAGTCAATAGACTTGGGAAGTTGGTGACCTCCTTAGTGTTTACCTCACATTTTACTCACAAGGATATAGGTGGGCTATTGAAAAAAGTATTCACATAATTCTAAGTAAGTTTGAAAAAAATAATATAATTACATAGATTCCCTTTGCCTTTCATTATCAACAAAAAGAATTTAAAAATCTATTATTATATGTCTGATTTGAATTATACACAGATGTTAATAGTTTAATTTCAAGTATCTTCCCAGATGACTTTTTCTATGTGATGGAAAACATTAGGAGAAAAATGTGGGGCACCGCAGCCATAGATCTCATTGTCTCAAACCATGAAAAATAAAAACAGCCACATCTGACAGAGACACACGTTTAGACTATATACCGTAGAACTGAATCAGTTGTACGTAATGACCAACATGCTGAGCTAAATTCCCATTGATGTGGTTCATTCGTCCACAAACGGAAACAGTGCTAATGTAAAAATTAATGTCACCTTTGTTTCATCTTCATTTTTACTTAAGATGAAGCTTTGTTTCACTATATCCTTAACTTTTCTAGTTGCTTATAGCCATGTAACGAAGGTGAGAGAGAATATTTACTATCATTTCAAATGTTGGCTCTTTTATGTCTAATTCAAATGATTTCCTGAAGCATTGCTCTTAAGAGCTGGTTAGGGGTACGGTTGTGGACTGATGTCTGTAGATTACTATACATTTCTGTACTTTCCAATACTGAGTAGAAGTGAAATAAAATTAGACTTTGTATGCATAATTTAGGCATAATTCATCATGAAGATGAAACAATCAAAACATAAAGGCAGATTATATTTTGAGTGCACAAAAATAGCAAACAGTGGATTTTTTAACAGCATTCATATTGTTAAATATCTACACTCTGTCTTAAACTGAGGCAATGAGATTATAACCTTAATAGTTAAGCCAAGAATGCTAGTTGTGGTCAGATGACTCACTCATTATCATTAGAGTACATACACAGGGAATTTGGTCATTGTGTTCCCAGCTGGCAGCTTTTACTAACATCTGGGTTATTAACATCAGAATCAGCAATCTAGCAAATTGTTCTCTCTAACATATCCAGCTAATCCTGGACCCAAATTAGTTCCCTTCCAAACCCACCTGCAGTAAATCCAGCAGTCAAGATTACCCTTGCACAGAAGTACTTGAATTATATATAAAAGTAGATTAGGATTAAATATTCCAGAATTCATGCCTGGCTTTCTATCTGTAGACAACATTGAGTATGCTTTTGGAAAGTGAAAGTCAGGATGCCAACATTATTTGCTTGTCAGCGAAAAATTTCAATGAAGATTCAGAGATTCTAACTACCACTTAACCAAAGCTATTTGGAAAAAGAGACATTTTCCTCATATTTGAGACAATTGCAACAAATATCTTATCATAAATATTTGAACAGTTTTGAAACTGTTTGCTTATATGAAATATACTCATAACAGCTTTAAACGGCAGTTCTGCTACTGTGTAAGCTTCTTGATCCTGAAGATGGTTTCTGCCTTGTTCTTTATCCAGCTTAAGGAAATTTTATAATGCAGTGAAATGCAGTGAAAGGAATCTAAAGTTCCTGTGATAAATCTAACTAATAATACCAGTAATCTTACTGTACTTACAAACCATTAATATAATTTAATGCCACATCATTTAAAAGTGAGATTTCTCAAATAGGTTCTTAAAGTTTAGTTGATTCTTTCCGATAAAAGGCAAACTCTCTAAGAGAAGAAAAAACTACAATGGAACACATTCATATGTACATAATTTAAAATTCTTGTGATGCCATCATAAACCAGCATGGGTTTTCTTTCTTTCTTTCTTTATTGTCGTTTTCTCTGATTGTATATCCCTTACGTAGAACCCTGTTGCTTTCCCAGGGAACACTGATTTTGATTCAAATACACATCTGACCAAACCTAGCTCTACACTATTTCTATTAGCTCTCCGTTCATGCATCTTGCATCTTGATAAAAAATTCCTTCGTTTTCACACATTTTCCTTCCTCTACTCCTTATGCTGTTTCTTTCTTTTTTTAAGTGAAAGCAAGTTTGTTAAGAAAGTAAAGGAATAAAGAATGGCTAACTCCATAGGCAGAGCAGTGGCATGGACTGCTCAATGCTCAAGTTATTTCTTGATTATATGCCAAACAAGGAGTGTATTATTCATGAGTTTTCCAGGAAAGGGATTTCCCAGAACTGAGGATTCCTCCACATTTGAGACCATATAGGGTAACTTCCAGAGGGTGCCATAGCATTTGTAAACTGTAATGGCATGACAGTGCCATGGCATGTTAGGGAGTGTCTTTTAGCATGCTAATTAACATATAATAAGCATACAATTAACATATAATGAGATATTTTTGACCTTTGTTACAAAGATATATTGTACTCAATACTTTGGATACAGTATCTTCAGTGTTGAGGTTGTTAATAGGAAAAATAAAGGTTTCCATAATCAAATATGTTTTGGTAAATGCTCCTAACAACATTCCTATCTTGTGGATATATAAAACATTATGTCCATCTTTAGAGCATAAAGTTTCAGAATAGATATTCAGTGAAAAAATCCATATCTCCTTAATTTATTTGATACACAGTGCTTCTCTGGTACATGCAAAGTCTTAGACTTTTAATACACAGAAGGACCTTACAAACCAATAGGGAAATAGACTTCCTTAGAAAAAGAAACTAAGATTTGTAAAAGCAAGTTTTAAAGAAAGAAAAGTAAATTGTTTTCTCCAATAGTAATTAAGAAATAAAGACTAAAACAACCTTAGCTCTTTTCTACAAAGTTTTAAAAGTTTAAAAAGAAAAATGAATGTGTTTGGAAACTTGTAAGCTAGTAGTGAAACTGAAAACCGGCTTACATGTCTAATAGGCTAGCTGGCCATACTTAACTGTGGTTAAAATACACATACTATTTTATTTGGCTATTTTTAAGTACTTATCTTATGAAAATAATAAGCAGTGTACTAAATGTATTCTGCAAGGTTGATCATTACAGTAGGATAGAATGAAAAAAAATCTAAATGTCCCACAAAATAAGATCAGTTAAATAATTTATGGTACATCTGTATCATGGAATTCTAGTCATTATAAAATCATATCAAGTAGATATTTTTACATGCAAATATGATCAAGAAAAATTATAAAGCAAGAATATGAAGTATTAAATACTAAATATAGTTGGGTGTATGTTTCTGTGGCTGTATTTGTGTGTATACATATATGTATGTGTATATATATATCCACAAATATATATATTTTATATATATATATGTGTGTGTGTGTGTGTGTGTACCTGGGTATGTCTGTGTGGGTATGGGTGTGCATACACACACACAGATTTTTTTTTTTCACTGACAAGTATAATCATTAATATGTTGGCAATAATTACGTTTGAGTGGTAAGGTCTTAAAAGTTGAATTTAATTGCTTAGCTTAGTTACATTTACAAAAATTTCTTTAATGGGATTAATTATTGCTAGCAAAATAAAGTCATTTAACTTTTCTTCAAGTACTTCATCTAGCAAGCTTTTACTGGCTCTTTCAGGCAGTGAAAGATCTTTCTTCCATGTTCCAAAGGCACTTTGCTCACTTATCATATGGGTATCAATATATGTTTCCTTGACTAATTTACTAGTAGATTTTGAGCCTCCAAAGAGAAAGGTTGTGATCAGATTTTCTTTCTAGTCTCTGGTATTAGTACAGTGCTTGACTCATAATAGCACTAATAATAGTTTTTGGAGCAAATGAACGAATAAATCGTTAAGCAAGTTTGACCAAATGCATAAAAAGATAAATGAAATTGTTCTGATTAGGTTTAATTATCAAAAACTACTTCAGGCTAAATGCTGCAGGTATTTAATGCATTTCTACCTTTTAAATTAAAATAGCTCATCCAGAGCCATGCACACTCTGAGCCCTCAATTAGTATTGATTGATATAATTCTATGAGAGGCATGAGTTAGGCTAGTAAATGACATGGGGAATCTCAATTCAAATCATGTTTCTAAGTGGTAACCAGAGCTGTAAGTGAATCTGTTACGTGGCAATTCTATTTAGAGAAGAGAATTGGGGGTAGGCTTTAAAGTAATTTTTAAAATGCCAGTTTAAAATAAGAAAACCCACAATATGTTTTAATTTGAAACATGTTTACATATCATTCCAGCATCATAACACAAAATCATAGAATATTTGTATATGCCTAAAATAATAACAGTAATAATAATTATAATTTGATACATTGGATCACCTAATCACAACTATTTATACATATTAAGAGTTAAAAAGGGAATGAAATATTTCCTTTTTCATTTTTGATAAAGCCTAATCCTGGAAAATATTACAGTAATTATAGCAAATATTTGCTCTCTTAATGAATCTGTTTGTCTAAGACCATGCTAACTAATTTATATATCCTTGTGATCATGTTAATAGCTGCATAAGTAATTATAATTCTCCATATTTTATAGATGAGGAAACTGTAGTACAAGAAGTATAATTTATTTAAGGTCATACAATTTCTACTTTATAAGACTGAGGCTGGCTAGTATCAGAATCTGTGGTTTTAAATGCAGTGCTAAAGTGAGGAAAATTATTATGACCAGAAGAAATCTCCACTTAATGGAAAATATTCAATCTTGTGTGTTATAAGTCAACTAGTAAATGTTTTTATATGCTTTATATATTCAGTATTCTATATTTTATATATTTTCTGGGTTTCAAAAATTATATATATATATATATATATATATAGAGAGAGAGAGAGAGAGAGAGAGAGAGAGAAATGACTTATGGAAGATAATAACCAAACAGTTAAATGAAAAGTGCTTTTGATTCGATGTCAAAAAGCAACATATAAAATGTGAAAGATATTTTATTAAGATGCTAATTTGAAGAAGAGGACTACAAGTCAAAGTGTAAGGGTACATGCTTTCTTTCCCTGATGTCAAGATACAGCATACCCTAAATAAAATAAAAAGTATATATTAAGTATTTTACAATTTTTAAAATCCTTACACTATCATATAACATATTGGTCCACTATAATCTCTGAAAGACATAGACATTCACTATCACCAGATGCTAATTTTTAAAATGACAGAAAATTCATCTTGGCAAAGAGCCTAAAACACAAAGTCAAGATTAAAGGCACTATGATTACTAAGAAAGGCAAAATAAGCTTTAACTAGGAATGTTTCACATCTTAAAAGAAAGATGAACAAATATCTCAGGAATTAGAATTGGAACTATACTTATCTGACTCCAGTGAAAGCGCCTTAATGTTGTTTGTACTCAGCATCAAAGAATGTTTATACAAATTCACCTACTCTCTTCATCAAGTAGTGAGAAATGAATGGTAGTCCTTGTCTAAAATCATGAAAAGAAAGCCACATATATTTTCATAATGTTTTAATACTCCTGGATATAACAGATTTCTAGGTGAGTCTCAAAGTGTTGACAGGTGTCTTGCTTGTTTGAGTAACTGCTAGTCTCCCACTTTAAATGGGAAGAGGGATTATGATGGACAGTGCAGTCTCAGAATTTATTTCTGAAAGGTCTGTAAGCCAAGTCAAATTTAACATCATGGACTACAATATAGAACACAACCTCTAATCTGGTGAACATTTCCAGAAACTTGATAACAGCTTTCTTTCCCAAACAAAAACATTTCAGATATTTTAAGAAAATTGTCTTTTGCACCTTAAGTGTGTTTTTTATATTTAAATACGTCCACTAAGTCTTCATTAAAATAGTAAGAGTGAGAAACGGGCAAAACATTCCCAACTAAGGGAAATATTGAAATAGATATGGTACATTCATATACTAAAAAAATGCAGTTTATATAAATCTGTCTAAAATAATTTTAATGACATGGGAAAATGATTATTACATAAAAATTTTAAATAAAATATCATGTAATTTTTTTACATGTTTTGAATTTCTCCCTCCACACTAACTGTCAGCCTTGCTGCTATTGTTGCCAGTTATCTTTCTCAAATGAACAATGTGTAAAATTCCCTGGAAGATGAAGAGGGAAACAAACAGAAACTGAGATTCGAATTTTGGACATTTAGTCAGTTCACTGACATAATTCTCAAATGCTGCACAACAGCCTTAAGTGGACACCGTTTAAATGTACACATCAGCTAAATTATAAAAAAAATTTTACCAGTCATGGACTTTCAAGTTTTTTAATTAATATATGAATATGACAAAAATGTACATTTAGAAATATCTTAACCTCCTCTAAATCTACAGGAAATTTTTCTTGAATTTTTTTCTTGCTGTTGCACAATTTCTAATGGGGGAAGTGGGGAGAAATGTATATAACTATAGACCACTGCCATCCAGGAAGAGGCAACAGCAGAAAATTCAGCATTATCAAAAGTCTTGCTGGCAGCCTTGCAAGCCTAATGCTTGATTTTGCTGGTGTTTCAGGGTGGAGGTTGATTCACATTCACAAAATTCCTAAGAAACAAATGCTTAAAGCTGGTGTTAATTTATATATTACAAGAGAAATAAAGATGTCAATAGTCAATAAATTGAACATTTGTGTTAGTGTAACTAGCGGATTCTCCTTCTAAGACAAGCAGGAACCCTATTTATTATGAGGTGGCTTGGTGAGACTGAAGTTACTGTCAGACCAAAGAGAGTAGCTCTCTGATTCAATATATAATTACTCAAGCTCAGCTAGCTTTGGGAGCCTAGTGTTTCCCACTCACTCAGAGCAATGCAACTGGGAGGAAGACCTTAAGGCACAAGGCTGTGAATGAACATGTTCTTCTATGGCCATTGCAAAATGGTTTATATGGCTTCCTTTGTCCTTATTTTTCTTTTACGAATCAGCCATCTGCCAACAAACACTCACAGACAAATTTGTTTGAAATCTTTCCTGAGCTGTGTTAATATCATCAGTCAATTTGTCACATATGTCAATTTAGAGGCATTAAGTGCTGAGTTTTTATAATTATTGTGGATGCATAATAGTTGTTCATATTTATGGGGTACATGTGATGCTTTAATATAGGCACAAAATTCGGAATGATCAAACCAGGATAATTGGGATATCCATTACCTGAAGCATTTATCATTTCTTTGGGTAAGAAACATTTCAATTCCACTCTTTTAGTTTTTTGAAATACACAATGAATCATTGTTAACTATAGTTGCCCTGCTGTGCTACTGAATACTAGATCTTATTCATTCTCTCCATCTATATTTTTGTGCCCATTTTTTAACTCAATCTTGATGGACAAGGTCTGGCTCTGCCCTTAAGTTATACTAATACAAGCTGAGCACGTTTTATCCAAAATATTTGGGACAAGAAGTGTTTCATATTTCTGATTTTTTCAGATTTTTACATGTACATTTTCAGAATATTTACATGTACATACTGAGATGTCTTGAAGATGAGGCCCAACTCTAAACAGAATTCATTTATAATTTCATATTCACCTTATACACATAGCCTGAAGTCACTTTTATACAATATTTTAAATAAATAATTTTGTGCATGAAACAAAGTTTTTGTACATTGAACCACCAGAAAACAAATGTATCAGGTATGAGCTTTTCTACTTGTGGCATCATGTTTGCACTCAAAAAGTTTCAGATCAGGGTGCATTTCAGATTTCAGGTTTTCTTTAATTAGGGATGCTCAACCTGTATACTGTATTATGTGAAATTTTGTCAAGAAAAATAAATCAACTACGTTAATAGCCAGACAAAATCTATATTTTTAGAAAGAAAATATTTGCAAAGGAAATCTAACATAATTAAAGACTAACATTAATAAAATATAATTTCTGAACCTGAATAAGCTACTTTCTGTAAGTTCTTGACAATTCAGCAAGTAGGCTTATTCCCTCCAAGGTGTAAATAAGAGGCTTCTCCCAATACAGTCCAAGTTTTATTTTGTTTTTGTTGCATTCATTTTCATTAATCGAAATAATTTTTTAAATGTGCAGATTGGAAGAATAAGTGCTTTTTTAAATCTTCCACAGCATTCAAACCCTCTTATTTCTAGTTTTCCTTAGTAAAAATGAGTTCTATGTCAACATAACAGGATTTTTTAGCTCAGGACTGAGCCACAGTTGGGCAATGATGTAATTGCACCATGCTCAAAACAAGTTAACTCTGAAAGCCATTTGAGCCCCATTCATCTTGAAACCTGATTCTCAATTTTGGCTTGCCACTAGTACCTCTTTTGCTTACTGCCAGAGCCTGTTGTCAGCTAGAATTTTAGATAGAGATTATAGCTCAAAGAAAGGGAGAGCTGTGTAACCACTATATTGTACTTGGACCACAGAGGTAATTAATTACCTTTTCATCTGAGAATTTCAAAGAAGCATACTAATTGTTTAATGAAGCTTCAGGGTTCCCCAGGGAGATGTGAACTTGGGTTATATGCCTTTGAATGCTGTTGATGGGTCACTATCAGGATTCACTGTTTTACTTCAGTCTAACACTTGCATTGAGTATTGAGGATCTCTACAAATCAGCACTGCCACTCATAAACCATACAAGAAATTAAAACATGAATTCCAAGCCTGAACAGGACCTGTGTTTTAAGTATTACGGATAAAATACAAAATTACTAAAAAACTACTGAAAAACTGTATTTGATACTTCTCCATCTAATAAGAAATTATCTTCTTATTGTGCCCACTGCCACTTTCAAAAGATGAGTGACGACATCAAGAATCAACAAAAGACCATTTGCTTGTTCCTAACTCAATTATTAAATGGTCCGTTACAAGGTGGCCTTTTATTCTCTTGCAGCAGGTGTTTCACACTCAAATAATGAGCCTTATGATGTAGGCACTGCATCCTTAGTTCCAACTAAAACCTAGACTCCCACCCAATTGGGCAGAAGTGAATATGATAATTGACTGGTGACTCAGAGAGGACAAAGGACATTTGTGACTCATCCATGACTTAATGATGAGCCTCTTATAGCCCATCAACTATTTTAGCAATTTTAAAAGAACAGTCTACCAAAGTGTACTCCTGCTGGTATTGACATGACAATTCAACTAGTAAAAGAAAGATTTTGACTATTTGTGTAAACCCCAAAATATCTGAATGAAAAGGAAAACATTCAGCCATTAATAACTTTGGTCTTCTATGGAGAAAGTATCTAGATAAAATGTGTTTCTTCATCTAAGTGTTGAGACATTGCAAGGTACTTCTTTTCAGAACAAAAGGTTACCTGTAATGTTATTAGGCTGGGATGTCGAATTTTTATGAAAAAACTCTTATTAAACTATGTAAATGCTACTTTTAAAACTGTATTTTTATTTTTTGAGACAGAGTTTTGCTCTTGTCACCCAGGCTAGAGTACGTTGGCACGATCTTGACTCACTGCAACCTCTGCCTCCTGGGTTCAAGCGATTCTCCCACCTCAGCCTCAGTAGCTGGGATTACAGCCTCAGTAGTTGGGATTACAGGTGCCTGCCACCACACTTAGCTAATTTTTTGTATCTTTAGTAGAGACGGGGTTTCACTATGTTGGCCAGGCTGATCTCAAACACCTGACCTCAGGTGATCTGCCTGCCTCGGCCTCCCAAAGTGCTGGGATTACAGGCCTGAGCCACCATACACAGTTGTAAATGCTACTTTTTAAAGAAAACTTAAGGCCAGTGACTTAGATGCTTACAAAATTTCTGCAGGAGGAGGAATAGAACAAGAGGGCAGAATAGAGCCCTTTAGCAATTTTCTTCCTGTAGGAACAACAGATTAAACAATCCATGAAAGCAAGTACCTTTACAGGCCCCCCCCCACCCAAATCAAGTGAGCTATTACAGTACCTGGTTTCAACATAATATCAAGGAAAAAGGAATTACAGAAGGTAGAAAGGACAGTCTTGTATTGCCTGTATCCCTCTTCTTCCAGCCTTAGGCAGCTCAGCACAGAGAAAATCTGTGTGCTTTGGAGAGGGAGACAGAAGTGAGTGTGAAACTTTGCATTGGGATTCAGTGCTGCCCTGTCAAAGTGGAATACTGCAGAGGGTAGAGTTCTGCCAATGCTCATGGAAGGAGTATTTAGACCAGTCCTGTGCCAGAGGGAAATTCCCCACCTTAGCTGGAGGAACCCAAGTCTGAGCTGGCTTTACCACCAGCTGATGAAAATGACCTGGGGACTGGAATAAATTTGAATGGCAGTCAGGTCACAAAGAATGCAATCCTAAGCCAAGCCCTGGTGCTGCACTCATCTCAGAGACAGTGGACTTTGGTGGTTACCCAATGCAACACCAGTTGTGGCAGCCAGTGGAGTAACTGTGTCGCCTATCCCCCAATTCCACACAGTGTAACTCTGGGAGAGACTCCTTCTGCTGGGGGCAAGAAGAGGGAAGAGTAAAGAAAACTGTGTCTTATAACTTGGGTACCAGCTCAGCCACAGTCAAATAAAGCACCAAGCAGATTCCTGAAGCCCCAAATTTCAGGTCTTTGCTCCTGGATGGTATTTCTAGGTCCACCTTGGATCAGAAGGGAATCCACTGCCCTGACGGGACAAACATAGTTCTGGAAGAATTCATCACTGCTGAGTAAAGTGGTCTTGGGCTTTGAATAAATATCAGTGGTAGCCAGGCAGTAGTGGACACAGGTCTTGTACAAACTCCAGTACTGTGTTGGTCTGCAAGGCCTCAAGTGCAACCTTGTGCAGTGCCAGCTATAGTGACCACAAGAGTGCCTTTGTCACCCATCCTCCATCTTAATTTATTCATTGACCCAGTGGTCATTCAGAAAAAAATATTGTTTAAAATCTATGTGTTTGTACAGTTTTCAAAGCCTCTGTTATTGAATTCTAGTTTTATTGCTTTGTTGTTGGGGAAAATAATTGATATGATTTAAATAATTATTTTTTAAAAATGGAGACTTGTTTTGTGTCCTAATGTGTGATCTGCCTTTGAGACTACTCCATCCATGACCTGAAGAAAATAACATGTACTCTGTAGCTGTTGGATGAAATGTTCTATAAATATCTATTAGGTCCATTTCTTCTATGTACAGATTAAGTCTGATGTTTCTTTTTTGACTTTCTCTCTACGTGATTCACAATAGCCAAGATTTGGAAGCAACCTAAGTGTCCATCTACAGATGACTGGATAAAGGGAATGCGGTACATATACACAATGGAGTCATAAATTCAGTCATAAAATTAATGAAATCCTGTCATTTGAAACAACATGAATGGAATTGGAAGACATTATGTTAAGTGAAATAAGGCAGACACAGGAAGAACAACTTTACATATTCTCATTCATTTGTGGGATCTACAAAATAAAACAATTGAACTCATGGAGACAGAGGTAGACTGATAGTTACCAGAAGGTAGTAAGGGACGGAATCAGTGGGGATGGTTAATGGGTACAAAAGTGTACTTAGATACGACGTATAAGATCTAATATTTCATAGCAGAACAGAGTTAACACAGTCAACAGTTTATTGCACGTTTAAAAATAAATAAAAGAGTAAAATTTGAATGTTTTAACATGAATAAATGATAAATACTTGAGGGGATGGATATCCCATTTATCCTGATACGATTATTATTCATGATATGCCTGTATAAAAATATCATCCTGGCTAAGATGGCTTTCATGCAAAGACAGGCAATAATAAATGCTGGCAAGCATGTGGAGGAAAAGAAATCCTCACACGCAGTTGGTAGGAATATATTTTACTGCAACTACTACGGAGAATAGTATAGAGGTTTCTCAAAAATCTAAAAACAGAACTACCATATATGATCCAGTAAACCCACCTATAGGGTATATATTCAAAAGAAAAAAAAAATCGGTATATAGAAGGGATGTCTGCACTTTCATGTTTATTACAAGATTATTCATAATAGCCAAGATATGGAGTTAACCTAAGTGTTTATTAGCAAATGAATGGATACAGAAAATGTGGTAGATATATATATATATCTATATATCTATAGATATATAGATATATATATATCTATATATCTATAGATATATAGATATATAGATATACATACAATGGAATATTATTCGGTCACAAAAATAGAATGAAATCCTCTAATTTGCAACAACACGGATAGAACTGGAGGACATTATGTTAACTGAAATAAACCAGACACAGAAAGAGAAATATTGCATATTCTCATTCTTATGTGAAAGGAGAGAGTAGAATATGGCTACCAGAGGCTGGAAAGGGTAGTGGGGAGGGAGGAAAAAAGCGGGGAGTGTTAATGGGAACAAAAGTACAGTTATAAAAGGAATAAGAGCTAGTGCTCAAAAACAGAATAGGAAGACTACAGTTAACAATAATTCATTTCATATTTCAAAAAACTAAAGGAGTGAAATGTTGTTAATATAAAGAAATAATAAATGCTTGAGGTCCCGTATACCCCAAATTACCCTGATTTGGTCATTACATACTGTAGCTTTGTACCTATAAATATCACATGTACCCCATAAATATGGGCAGTTACTCTGCATCCATAATGATGTTTAAAATTATTTCTAGTTCCTAAAATATGACAGCACAAAATTCCTCTGGGTTATCTTAACATATTGCTTAGATAATATATGGTATCACAACAAAAGGAGGAGGAGGAGAAGAAAAGAAGCAAGGAGGAGGAGGAGAAGGAGGAGGGGGAGGAGAAGGAGAAAGAAAGAGAAGGAGAGGGAGAAGAAGAAGAAGAAGAAGAAGAAGAAGAAGCAGCAGAATAAGCAGAAGCAGAAGAAGAAGAAGAAGGAAGAGGGGGAGGAGGAGGAGGGGGAGGGGGAGGGGGAGGGGGAGGAAGGGAACGGGGAGGACGAGGGGGAGGGGGAGGAAGAGGGGGAGGAGGAGGAAGAGGAGGAGGGGAGAAGAGAAGGAGGAGGAGGAGGAAGGGAAGAAGGAGGAAGAAGAGAAAAGTCACCTAAGAGACTGAATACACAATGACCAAATGTACTCTGAGACAAAATGACCAAAACAAACAAACAAACAAAACCACAGGCACTTTCCAGTAAAAAGGATGGCAGCTGAAGAGAGAAACAAAAAATTAAAACAGAGGGAAAAAGACGTGGGGTAAATGTTTCTCATATTCATTCAGAAATGTGTAATTTGGTCTCATTGTGAAACTTCCAAAATGTTTTCAAAGTGTTTTTATAGAGTTTTGGTTTCTCTTTTTTCTTCAGAGCAGAAAATATAAGCTTAAAAAGGAAACTTAACAAGTAATTTCTCTGTACTGAGAAACTTGGAAATTATTAAGGACAGATTTTGTGTTTCTGTAAAAAAAAAAAGTGGACTGACATATATAAAATCACTAAGATAAAGCAACACATATAAGGCTCAGCTCACAAAATAAAAATATCAAAAATTTAAAAACGTAGACTGTGAATTAATTTAAGACACTTAGCTTAATTTAACTAAAGACACTTGGCTTAACTTAAATAAAGGATATCTCTGTGGCAAAGATTCTGAAGTGAATTTCAAGGATCTGGTAATACAACATGTTCTTGTAGCTCAGAAAAATCTAAGGATTAAATTAGATAAACAAGAAGTTCTAACTTTACTAATTTTGTCCAATCGCCTTTTTTTTCCTATATAATGCTTCAAATAAAATTAGCTGATTTATAGTCATAAAATATTATATTCTATGAGAATTTTAGTGTGGAAGTACTGTGCCTGTAATTATTCTTATTGTTTAAAATAATTATTATCAGAAATCTAAATTTTTATTGAGCATTAGATTTCAGATAAAAGCCAATATTACTCAATATATGATTATTTAACATCGATAACAAAGTTCACTTTACACCTTTTATAGAATGCTATATATGTTAAACTTTGATCCCTTCAGAAAAATTCTTAAAAATCTATCTGGTGAAAATTTCAGATAACTTTGTATCATGCTAGGGTCATGAGAATCAAGTCATAAAAAAACAGGCAAACAACAGAGACTTTTAAATCTTTCGATTACTTTAGTAAAGGTAATTTTTACCAGTTAATATTTTTATTTAGGTTAAGTTAAAATATTATCTGTGGCTATATGCCTAGAAAATGAAATGATAAATAATATAACTTATTGTAGAATATTAAAAAATTAGTAAAAGTTATATAAAATTTAAAATTTCTGTTTCATTCTGAATATTTGTTTGAAAATAAATTCCATATCTTTTTCTTACTTTAAACATGTATTCTAATCGTATATATTTGAGATGTTATCTTTTTCTTATTTAAACATGTATTCTAATTGTATATATTTGAGATGTACAACATGATGTTTTAATATATATATACATAGTGGAATGATTACTAGAGTCAAGCCAAGAAACATATCCATCATCTCACATAATTTTTTCCATGGTAGAAGCATGTAAAATCTACTTTTCTAGCAAATTTCTGGTATACAATACAATATTATTAACTGTAGTCCTCATCCAATACATAAGACTTATTCATTTTATATAATTGCAACATGGTACTCTGACTTATATCTATTTTCCCCATGTTCCCACCACCAGAAATCAGTATTTTACGATTGTTTCTATAATATACATTTAACTAATTTAAAACTCTACATATAATTGAGATCATGCTTTAGTTTTCTTTCTGTGTCTTGCTTATTTCACTTAGCACAATGTTTTCCAGATTTATCCATTCTGTTGAAAATGGCAAAATCACCTTTTTTAAGGCTAAATTTTATTTTTTAATAAATTACTATTTTTTAATTCATTCATCTAGTGGCAGAAACTGAGGTTTTTCCATAGCTTGGCTATGGGGATTAATGGCTCAATGAACATAGATGCACAAATACAAGGTACTGATTTCATTTTCTTTGGATTTATACACAGAAGAGAAATTGTTGGGTCACATGGTAATTATAGATTTAATTTTTGAAGAAGCCCCCAATTTTCTATAATGACTGTATCAACTTACATACCCAACAACAGTGTACAAGCATCCCCATTTTTCCACCACCTCACCACCACTTATTGTCTCTTCTCTTTTTTATAATAGTCATCCTAATAGATTTGAGGTGATATTTCATTGTTGTTTTGATTTGCATTTCTCTTGTGATAACAGAAATTGAGCACCTTTTTAAATACCTGTTTGTCATTTGTAAATCTTGAGGAATAGATATTTCTCAAATGAAAACATACAAAATGTCAGTTCCTTTGCCCATTTTAAAATTAAATCATTTGTTTTTTTGTAATTGAATTGTGAGAGTTTGTTATATATTTTGGAAGGTAACTCTGTTAGATATATGGTTCACAAATATTTTCACTCAATCTCTGGGATGCTTTTTTGTTTTGCTCATTGTTAATTTTGCTGTACAAAAGCCTTTAAATTTAATGTAGTCTACTTGTTCAGTTTTGTTTTTGTTGCTTGTACTTTGGTGATCATATAAAAAATCATTGCTGAGATCAATGTTGTCAAGCATATGCCCTATATTTTCATCTAGGTGTCTCATGTTTAGGTCTGTCATGTATGTTAAATTTATTTTTACACATACGGTCCAATTTCATTCTTTTGCATGTGGATAACCAGTTTTCTCTTCAGCAGTTATTTAAGAGATTCTTCTTTCCTCATTTTTTTTTTCATAGTGCCCTTGTTGAAAATTAGTTGATCATACATGCTTGGGATTATTTCTGGGCTTTATTCTGTTCCACTGGTCGGCATTTTCATGCCAGAGACATACTATTTTGGTTCCTATGGCTTCGTAGTATCTTTTGAAATCAGGAAGCGTGGTGCCTCTCGTTTTATTCTTTGTCTTAAGATTGCTCTGACAATTCAGGAACTTTTGTGGTATTATACAAATTTTAAGATGTTTTTTCTATTTCTGTGAAAACTGTCCTTTCAATTTTGATAGGTATTAAACTAAATATATAAGTTACATTGGGTAGTATGAACATTTCAACAATATTAATTTGTTCAGTCCATGAGCACTGAATATCATTTTATTTGTTTCTTCTTCATTTTATCAGTATTTTATAGATTGCAGTGTACAAATTTTTTATCTCCTTAGTTAAATGTACTGTTAAATATTTTACTCTTTTTGATGCTATTATAAAAGAGATTGCTTTCTTAATTTTTTTTTGGATAGTTATTATTTAGGTGAAGAAGTGCAAATAATTGTTGTATTTTAAGTTTGTATCCTGCAGTGTTTCTGAGTTCATTTATTAGTTCTAACATTTTTTGTGTGATCTTTAGAATTTCTACGTGAAAGATCATATGATCTACAAACAGGGATAATTTTACTTCTTTTTTTCCAATTTTGATGCCTTTCTTCTTTTCTTGTCTGATCACTCCTGCTGGTACTTCCAGTATAATGTTAAGTACAAGCGACAAGAGTAGGCTGTGGTTATTTATAGTACCTTTTTACACTAGTTATCAGTTATCAGTGATCTACACACCACTACTACAGCAGTAGAGTATACTCAAGTTGATTATATATTTACCTGTACCAGTGAATTTAAACTTTCATATGGTTTTATGTTACTAATTCTCCACCTTTTGTTTATGCTTAAAGAACTCCCTTTAGTATTTATTGTAAGGCAAGTCTAGTGGTGATGATCTCCCTCAGCTTTTGCTTATCTGTTACTGTCTTTATCTCTCCTTCATCTTCAAAGAATAGTTTGTTTGTTGTAATACTCTTAATAATTTTTGTTGCTTTTTCCAACTCTTTGAGTTCCAGTCTCTCCTGTCCTGCAAAGTTTTGCTGAGAAAACTTCTTTAACCGTATCAAAGTTCCCTTGTCTGTAATATGCTTTTTCAATATTGTTGCTTACAAAATATTTTCTTTGCCTTTGATTTTTGACAGTTTGATTAAAATGTATCTTGGGGAACTCTTCTTTGGATTGAATCTGATTGGAGATCTTTTAGTTTCATGAATCTGGATATTCATATTTTTTCTCAGACTTTGGAATTTTTAAGGCGTTATTTCTTTTAAAAAAGCATTTTACACGTGTCTCTATTTTTCTCTCTCTTCTTCAGAAACTCCTAGTATGCAAAACTTAGCTGTCTTAATGGCTTAATGGTATCCCACAGATTCTGTAGGCTTTTTTCATTCTTTGTCATTTTTTCCTGTTTTTTTCTCCTCTGACAAAATGATTTGTTTTCAAGTTCACTTATGCTTTCTTCTACGTAGTACAGTCTGTTCTTGAAGCTCTCTGTTTGCATTTATTTTACTCATTGTATTCTGTAGCTCTGAATTTTCTGGGGTGCTTTTGTATTCTAACTCTTTGTTGACATTCTTGTTTGTTCCTGTATTTTTTCCCAGAATTCATCAAAAAATTTACTCTGGATAATCTTATAGTTCACTGAGCTTCTTTAAACAATTCTTTCTAATTGTCGGGCAATTTATGGAACTCCAATTCTTTGAGGCCAGTTATTGAAAAATTATTTTCTTCCTGTAGTGATGTCATGTTTCCCTGATTTTTTGTGATACTTGTCACCCTGAAAAGGTGCTCATTTGAAAAACGTAGTCACATTTTCCAGGCAGTATATATTAGTTTTGGTAATAAAAAGCCTTCATCTGGTGCCAGGGGAAATGGGTCACTCTGGGGCACACTGTGGCCACAGATCTAGTGGTGTAGGTTGCCAAGTTTGTGGGTCTGTGGTGACTCCAGGTCCAGCTGGACATGGTGTCATATTGAGTTAGACAACTGAAATCTGGGATGTCAACAACTGTGTGATCCTTGGTGGTGAGGGCTGTAGGAGGTCCACAGTGGCCATAAGGGCTCTTAGTGTCCTTAGCAACAACTTGGGTTCAGCAGCAAGGTGCTGGGGCAGGAAGTGAGGGGAGCCAGAACTTGTGTGTACACATTCTGCTGCAGATGTTGGCTGACAGCACATGCGTAGCAGCAGAGTGCCAGCTGCAGCCTTGTGCATGGTGGTACGGTACAGAATTAGAGGCAGGGGCTGGAGTAAACTGTGGTGCGTGAGTTTTGTTGGAGGCTGGTAGTATGCATGTGCACAATTGCAAAGTCAACTGTAGGCTGGCAACAGGGGTCAGACCAGCTATGTGTTTGTAGGTTTCTGAGGGCATGAACTGGAGTTGTATATGCACATTCAACTACAGGAACCAGCTATGACTTTCAGCAAACATTAGGCGGTAGAGTTGGCTGCTTTTGCACATGCAGCTATGGAGGCTGGTGTTAGTGGCATGAACGAGCCTACATACAGGTGTTAGCTATTGGTGCATGGCAATGGGGCAAGAGCTTACACTGGGAAATCCCAGGTCATTTGCATGCACATGCACAGTGGCTATGCTGGGTCCCTAGGCCAAAGCACCCATAGCAGCAGCATGTTGGATGGCTCTGGGGAAAGAAAAGGGAGAAGGGTGGTTGCTGTTCTTTCTCAAGTGAACATTGAGCTCTTTCAGAGTTATTTTCATTCATAAATAGCTACCAAATTCTTGTTCTTTGTGGGAAAAAGCAATGCTGGGACCTCCTACTCTACCATCTTGCTGAAATTGTACCTTCATTAATGATTCTTTTCAGTATCAAAGCTTTTTCTTCTTCATATGCCAGGCTTATCATATTGATTCATAATGTTTTCTGAACAAAGAATTATTCCAAGTTGTTTTATGTATTGTTCTTAATTGTAGAACTTTTTCAGAACCACTGCACAATTGCTTTGGCTTTGGGGTATCTGAATATATTGAAGAGAGTAATTTTAATGAATCATCTGTTTTAGCAGGACACTGGTCAAATATCACCCACAAGAGAATGTTAACATATTTAATCACACTAGTCAAATTCTACGTACCCAGTTTTGATAAACAGCTTTGAGTGGGGAAGACAAAGAAAATTAACATTTATTGAGTACATGAACTCTGATAGATATTAATTGACACAACTAACCTAGAACATAAATATTACTATCCTCATTTTATGGGTGAGGAAACCGAGGCTCAGAGAACTTTAATTATTGGGTTAAGGTTAGACTTTAAGTTTAGATACTTAGAAAGTAACATAATTGAGAATTCTCTTTAGGGGTTCCTGTCTCTAAAACCTATTGATGTTCTTTCTCTTCAAACATACTGCATCTAACACCGTTTCTAATCTAGCAGAGTTGAATTGTTTTCTAATCTAAAAAAAGTTGGATGTATTAGTTTATATTCTAAAATGTTGTGGCACTGTTCATTTGTGTCTGTTGTAAAGAGCTACTAATGTGGCCTCTTTTGGGCTCTATGATTAGCTGAGAGATTTCTACAGGTCCCCCCACCTTCCTCTTCTTTTTTGAATATCACTATAATTGAATTTTGATATTTCCATCTTGAAAGTCACCCAAAGAGGCCTCTAAAAGATGACTCTGGTGCACCCCCTTTGCAAATATGATTAACTTGGGCTATGCCATCTGACAGGGTTAGCCCCAGTGTTCATCAAGGCGTTTCTTCTGAAACTTCCCCTGGCTCATCTCTCCATGTCCACGTCACTCCCAATATCCAATCATTTGTCAAGCACTAATGTGATAGTAGCCATAGGAGAGGAAAAAGGTGGATGGATTTGAAAGGTTTCCAGGCATGGTGGCTAATGCCCGCAATCCCAGCACTTGGGAAGCCAAGGTGGGTGGATTCTTTGAGTCTAGAAGTTCAATACCAGCCTGTGCAACATGGCAAAGCCCCATCTCTACAAAAAATACAAAAATTAGCCAGGCATGTAGTCCCAACTACTAGGGGGCTGATGTGGGAGGATCATTTGAGCCCAGTAGGTGGAGGCTGCAGTGATCTGAGATCGTACCACTGCACTCCAGCCTGGGCAACAGAGCAAGACCCTGTCTCCAAAAATAATAATAATAATTAATTAAAATAAAACGTTTAAAGTAAACAGCACTGAAAGAATGATGTAGCTAGTCCAGCTGTGTGGAATACAGTAACATTGTCTTTTGCCTCCTCTCATGTCTCTGCATAAACATAACTGGGCTACAGGACCAGTTAGGTGCTCCCTAAAAATATTATCATTGTGCCTTCCATTTTTCCTTGTAGCATTTCCCATATATTTTCATAAATAGTTGTAGGTACACAATCTGTTTAGTGTCTATCTTCCTAATGGATTCAATATTCATAAGGGAAGGCAAATGAATTTTGCCTTGTGGAACACTATTCTATTCCAGTATATAACATATTACCTGACACATACTAGGAACTAAAAAAAATTTGTTGAAAAACAAACAATTCTGTAGTCCCAGCTACTCGGGAGGCTGAGGCAGGAGAATGGAGCCGAGATCGCACAACCGCACTCCAGCATGGGCGACAGAACAAGACTCCGTCTCAAAAAGATAAAAAAGAAAAGAAAAACAAACAATTGATTGTTAGAATCTAAATATTTCCCCTGCTATCAAATTGATTTAGTAAATTTTAACTTTTGATTTTCTATAATAGTTATGAAGTATTCCTAATTTATCTTCTAAGAGTATTCTATTTCCTGTCTATGATCTCTGCTTATGTGCAAAATTCTTTAATTGTTTGTTTGTTTTTCTTTTTGTCTCTCTTTTAGGGGCATTATGTAGATTGTCTCCAAGTTTACATTAAAGCTTGCTGTTTTGAACATCTCTCATGCACCACTTTAGATGCCCTAACCTTCTCCTGTCTTTGTTTGTTTGTTTTTGTTTTTTGTTTTGTTTTGCTTTGTTTTTGAGACAGAGTCTGGCTCTGTCGCCCAGGCTGGAGTGCAGTGGCACCATCTCGGCTCACTGCAAGCTCCTCCTCCTGGGTTCACGCCATTCTCCTGCCTCAGCCTCCCGAATAGCTGGGACTACAGGTGCCCGCCACCATGCCCAGCTAATTTTTTGTATTTTTAGTAGAGACAGGGTTTCACCATGTTGGCCAGGATGGTCTCGATCTCTCCTGATCTCATGATCCACCTGCCTCCGCCTCCCAAAGTGCTGGGATTACAGGCGTGAGCCACGGCGCCCGGCCGTTTTTGTTTTAAAAGATACTATGTTTGTGAAAGTAACTAAGTTATCATTTCTTTCCTATTTCCTTAAAAGATGAAACTATGCAAAAGATGTTTTAAAATGGTCTCGAATAAAAAGAGATTGTGAAATTTCTTTGGAAATCAGTGCTTTCCAATTATGTGTCTTTTGGGAGTAATAGCAAAATTTAGGCATAATCTTATTCCCAATACAAAAATCAAGTATTTTTAGAATTGTGGGAAATTTAAAACATTTGATTACACTCTTCAATAGTTGAAAATAATCTCAGAAATACGTGAATTTAATATAAAAGAGAAGTCCAAGAATAATACATAATTTTACATTGTATTTTCAAAATTGCATATTCATAATTAATAAAATATCCCTTTAATTTAAAAGGGGGAATCATTTTTTAAAAGAAAATCCATCTCAATGTTATAAACATATCTGTTGTATAAAGGGTTAAAAAACCCCTAAGCTTTAATTTGTAATCTCATTTGTTTTAATGTGGCTTTTGCATCTCTAGATCTTGATTTAATTGCAACTTGTGCCACTTCACGGGCAATTTGCCTGGATAATGCCTGCCCCCACTTCCCCTCCCATTAGCTGAGGGGGTGACTTGGATTCGGACAGTCAGAAGTTATGCTCCATAGGGCGCCAGTTCCTTATGTCACTCTTCCTGCCTCCCTGCTACTACATTACTTATGGTTAGTTTCACGCTGAGCACATTTTATTCCACGTTAGTACCCAGTTATTTTTCAGGTGGCTTTGCAGAACAGATGTTCATAAGTGAGTTTCCATCTTTCTTCTTTTTCCTGAATATTTTTCACAAAAGACTCCCTTGCTTTTCTTCATTTAGTCCAGAAGGAAACAGAAAAAAGAAAGAAAAGAAAGACTCATCCTAATTATCCTAAAAAATTTGTTTCTTAGATATCTTCCTATATAATTAGTTCCCATCTATTTCTCTTGCTATATACCTTTGTTGAAAAGAAATTTGCTTCATGGTTTTCTTATCTATTCCAATGCATAATTTTTTTTTGCCTGAAAATTATGTTTTTATTTTAAAATTTGATATAGATGGCTATTACATAGCTCTGTCCGCATCATCTGCATATACTGCTTCTATTCCAGTTTTCATCCAGACCTAAGCCTGAGGTCATGAGTTAATCTTCAAGAGAATTGGCTTCTTTATTCCCTTCCAACTCTTTCTGTTGCTCCTGTTTTAAAGTTTAAATGTCATATGTCCTCACATTTGCTCTTTGTGACTTGTCATCAGTGACTTGCATTCTGTCTGCGATTTTAACAAATTAAAAATAATCTTAAATTTCTCTCTGAAATCTGAAATCTATTCACTAGGGAGAGACACTGCAACCTTTGAAAGAAAATGAAAAGTTCTTCTCTTAGTTCTTCAAGAGTAAAATAGAAGCTTTTAGATCCAGAACCAATTAGATCTCTGGCCTTCCCTCTCTGTTGCTAATCTCGGCAAAAATCCCAGTGTACAATTAACTACACACATATTGATCCCCCAGGACATTACAGTTGGAGTCAATTGGGAGTTTTCAGGACTAAAAATCATTTACAAATCGAGGTTAAAACAAACAAACAACAACAACAAAAATAAACATTTGCAGAGTAACCACTTATTTCAAATATTTGTCAATAGTTCATTCTATAGGTAAAAATTCTTATTTTGATAAGAGTTTTTTTTTTTGAATCCTAGTCCACTTTTTATTTATTCCATATGCCCTTGAACTAAACTCTTGGCAAAAACTTTACAGATTGTAAGCCGGGTGGGGAGAAGACTGAGTGTTAAATCATGAGACAATTAAATTGATCAATTACAATTCAAATCATCTCTCTCTCTCTCTCTCCCTCCCTCTCTCTTTCTCACACAAAAGAATTTGTAAAAGCAGAATAAAAGGCTTCTAAATAGTTCCACAATAGTAGATTATAAACTTTAATTATTCTTTCTCAAAAACTTCTTTAAAGGAAAGAGAAGTAGAAATCTTTCCCAAATGTATTACAAATTCAAAACCTCTATTACTACAGTATTTAGACATTTATCATTAATAATAGTAATCTTGAATCCTAGAGCTTCTTGTAACTTTAAAGTGCTGCTTTCTTTAATAGAAAGAAAGAAAGAAATCCCAATACCCCATAGCCCACCATTAAACCAAAGTCATTTCATACCTGCAACATGCCATCAGCCATCTCTTCCTGAGAAGGAGGGCAGCATGCTGCCAATCCATAGCTGTCATTCACACACATGGCTCGTGGGCAAAGGGGGAGAAGAAGGGAGCCATTAGCCTGTAATTCTTAAAATTTACATCCTCTGTAATTTTCAGCAAAGGCTTTCCTTTTTTAGTATCTAAAATAGACTGAACCACCACTACCACAACCACTTCATGGCATTTTCCTAGAGTGAAAACAGACAGCCCAGTTAGGTATTTCAGGATCAAAAAAAAAAAAAAAGGGGGGTGATTTTGTTCTGCATCTCAACTTCCCTGTGACG
The DNA here is from genome assembly GCF_000001405.40 of Homo sapiens. NCBI lineage: Eukaryota > Metazoa > Chordata > Mammalia > Primates > Hominidae > Homo > Homo sapiens. Next base: position 9,960,565 of record NC_000007.14, read on the forward strand.
GTCAAATAACAGAAATTCGTTTATCCCATCTGCCTTCTTTAATGATCATGAACAGTGACAGATCCCAGAGAGAATGTACAACACTTTCTGCTTTCCAATGCTCAGTGTCATTCTCTGTCAGAAAAAATTTACAAGTTGGCTTTCATGTTTGTAAAGTTCAATTCCCAGAATAGTAGGTTATAAATAGTGATTACCATAAAATACGCCACATCTAGATGTTGTTCCAAGAAAAAATATGGAACTGGATTTTGTTATTTCTTTTTCTGGAAATGCACAAATGTGACATAGCTGCTCCTCATTCCACTCCTTATTTTAGGGAGTTCACACATATGTAGATTATTTTACTTAAGAATGGAAGAAAACAATTCATTAGCTGAATTTTCATATAGTAGGTATGAGTCCAAACATCCTCTCAGGAGTTCATTATCTTTTCACCCTGACATTTTAAAACACAATGCAACAGGCTAGGAGAAACGAACTTTGAGTAGATGACCTGGGTTCTAAATTCTAGTTCTGATCAGGGGAGCTAGGATAAGGTGCATGGATCCCCTGAGCCTACATTTTCTCATTTTATAAATAAGGAGACTAAAACCAATAATGTGTAAGTGCAAATTCTAATAGCCTTGGATATATTTGAAGCTAATAAGAAAGATGTTAGAGATAGCAGAATTGAGTTTTCACTTTGGAATTCTTCTAAGTTTTCTGTTCTATTCTGAATAGCTCAGGAAACACTGGACAAGCTGTTTGGGCTCTCTAGCCTTGGATTCCTCATTTGTAAGACAAAGAAGATAATCCTACCCTATTGCCCATGTTGGTGTGGGAATCCACAAAGAAGGACACGGCACTGTTCCAAGTCAAGGTAAGGTGTCTATGAATGGTGACCACTGTTATTATTTCAGAAAATCAGTAATAATACCGAAAATTATGTTTCCCTCTCCTTAGCAATTGCCTTCTAGGAGAAGAGATCTTCTTTCTTTTCTAGTGTAATAAAGTATGATTTGTTACTCTATTGTTGTACCTATGTGACAAATGCATAGCAAACTCAGAAACATTCATTATTGATGAAACAAGAGTCACATACATTAATCATAATAATAAAAGGAAAAGAGAAGTGTAGTCAGTTCTGCTGTAATCCAGCATATGTGTTTCTATGCCAAATTACGCAATAAAAAACAAGCGGCTTAGGGGAGAAAAGAAGTTAGGAGAACAACACTCAGAAATTTCATCAGTGACACATGAAAGACTGGTAGTAATATAATGAAGATAGTAGCACAGTTAAATGCGTAAGGAATGCATAAATACTTCAATAAATATGCAACTTTACCTTAGAAATGAGGTGAGGCTGCTCTTGGAAGGGTTGTGACATGTAAGTTATTGTGGAGTCGTGGAAGGGGGTTATCTGAAATTGGAAGGAAAGTTCTAACACCAGATGTGGGTGTTTGTGGCTCATAACATGTGTGATGAACTGAGGTAGCTGAGAGATAGTTGACTGTGTGCCTGTGTGCATTTTGTGTATTACTGATGGGCTCAGTCCAGCCATGTGCAGCTTTCTGCCTTCTCTTGGTGTTTCTCGCTGACAAAATCAGGCATAATCACACATGAAATTTGCATTATGCTCAAATTGTTCCTTAATATATCAATTTCTTTGGAACAAATTTGTTTTCAAAACAAGCATTATAGCAGAAATGACAATATGTAGATTTCCTCAAACGTATTCCTTATAAAGATTATGTATATATGTATATGTGCATATCTGTATATATAACATTGAAGATGAAAACATAAATAGAATTCACTGAATTATGATTTTCTTTGCTATGATCATAATAAAATTATTCATGGTTGAGTATCTTTGCATAATGCTGCATTTTTTCCAGCACATCAAAGGACATTATTTGTTTAAAAATGCCAAATACTAGAAAAAAAGAATACATCTTACAAAATCCTTATAAGCACTCTTTTGATTTAAACCTTTTTTCAAGTTTCATATGTGTCTCAATTTCCAGCTTCAGTGAAAACAAGAGAGAAGGTGGTGTGGAAGTACAGATACAGAAGAGAAGAGAATAGGGTAATGGAAATTCAGTTTAAAATGCAGACAAATCTGCCGTTTCTGCTTGATAGCCTGTAACATTTCCATGTAGTGCACTTTGCATGGCAGAATAGCTACTAGTAATAGAATTCTCTCACAGTGGAGGTTAATTACTTTTCAGCTACAGCAAAATAAATTTCCTGTCAAGCTCATGGACAGGACTATGCCAGTGTCCCCATTTTTACCTTCAGTTTTAATTCAATGTTAATATCTGACACTTGCTTGCATTTAGTGGGCTGTTCCTCTGAAGAGTCGGAGCCCCAAAGGAACACTGAGGGACTGTCAGTTATGTAGTATCAAAGTACGTGTTAAAAAAGTGGTTTGCCTCTCCCGCAGTGTACCATAAAGAAGATTATCTGACCTGCCTCTTACTAGAGAAAACAGGATGATCCTCCTGGCAATGTGGGAAGTGAAACGAAACACAAGACAAGGAACCAGGGAATTCCATCTTTCCCAGTCCAAAGGGCAGCAAACCCTGGATTTCTATTGCTTCTCACACCGATTGTAGGGAGGCTTTAAGAGTCATTCGTTTCCATCAATTTTCAATTTAATAAGGCCAAGCCCACTGCAAAAAAAAAAATGCTGAACTTTATAGGATAATGTTTCAGCGGCTTCCCTTAATTATCCAGTTTGGTAGCTCAATTTTTCTCCCCCAGTGAAATATCCTGTTTATGACCATCATCGTGTCCTATCATTGGGACAGGCACTATCACAGTCTCTTAATCTGTGCCAAATTTGGCAATCCTGAAGGACAGATGGAATAGGGAAATGATCCTACTTGACTTCCTACTGTATAGAAAACCCTGTTCAGGGAAACAGGAATAAAGAATCAGGAAGCAGGCTGGGCATGGGGGCTCACGCCTGTGATCCCATCATTTTAAGAGGCCGAGTGAGAGGATCACTTGAGCCCAGGAGTTTTAAGAGTAGCTGGACAAACTAGAGCGACCCATTCTCTACAATTTTTTTAAATGAGCTGGGCATGGTGTGGGGTGCCTGTGATCCCAGCTACTTAAGAGGCTGAGGTGGGAGGATCACTTGAGCCGAGGAAGTTAAGGCTGCAGTGAGTGGGCCATGATTGCACCACTACATTCCAACCTGGCAAACAGAGTGAGACCCTGTCTTTAAAAAAGTAGGGGAAAGAAAACAAAGAAGCAGAGTGTACTCTGTTGAAAAGCCCAGACTTCATAGCTAAAATATTTGTGATTGTCAGTAAGAAAAGAACAGATATGAGAAGATATTTTCAAGTGTATTCTTCTTTCTACAATACAGCTCTTCATTTTCAGAATTCCCCGCCCTGCATTCTCTTCCCATTAAAATCTTTTAGTTCGATATATCCGAGTAGTCAACACATAAAACCTATTCTGATTTGGCTAACCTCACTATCCTTTGAAATGCTATAGCGTTCTATCTTATTCTTTACTGTGACACTTATTATATTGTCTCGTATCACAACTTTAGTTTTGGGTTTCATTTTATTTTTTATTTTTAGTTTACTGCATTTTCTAGCATAATGCCTTGCATCTAGTGAATCCTCAATGAGTTTGTTTTTTTTAATTGACTTTTCTTGATACATAATACTCTTCTAGTACAGAGGAAACTGGAGGAGGGGATGCTCCATGCATTAGAAGCTCTTTTATATCTTCAACACTTGATATTAAATTCATTTGAAATTCAAGATTCCTGTAGAAAATGATATTTGACAGTGGATTTCTGAGTGTAAAAACAGTATAAGGTGATAAGTAAATATTTATGTATGTGTTTCTGGGGACTGGGAAGAAAATTACCAAGACCCATTTTACCCTTCCCAAGGTTGAAACCAAACTGAAAATATAATACCTGAGATAGAATAATGGAGATCAGATTATCATTTTTACTAAGCATAAATGTGGCTGACATGCCACAGTTAAATCAAGCTCCCTAAAATTTCACCCCTGGACAACTTTATGCATTGTTTACAAGAGCAATAGAAACCACTCAAGCAAAGTGCATGATGGCAGAGTAGATAAACTAGGTGGGCTTTGTGGACAGGGAATCCAAAAGGCTGAGGCCCACACATATAGGTTCTCCTCTAAACTCACCAACAAACACAGTTACTGCTTTCTGGCTGGTGCAGAAAGGTCTGGGGAGGGAAATGCTTTTCTCTAATAAGAACAGAGAAAAATGTCTTAGGACAGGATGAGTGGGGAGTTACCATTCCTGCCTGAGTCACTATGATGTCCATTTTTATTAACTGTCTTTGATGATGATAGAGAATGGTCTTTGCTATTAAGGGTAAGTATAATTTGGAATTGAATTTTTTCTTAGAAAAAAATAATAGCAAGTGGAAAAACCTTAGTGAAAGTGAGGGAGAGCCCTACAGCCAGATGGAAAGGGATCAGTCTTGGTCTATAACTGCATGTACTGGACAATGCCCAGCTGAAGGAAAAAAACTCTGACAAGCGACAGAAAAATGGAACACATTTCTGAGTATTCTTTTGCCTTGAAATTTTGTAATAATTGTTCAACCATTTGTTTAGTAGTCCAGAGAAATTGCTCATCTGACAGAGTTTCTGAACCTTGAAGATAAAAGTCCTTCTCAGTCATTACATTTCTATTTGGAGTAGGGATGAAGCATGGAAAAGAAGAAATAATGTTAGAAAAATGTTCAAGTACCATTGAGGTAAAACAGTCTGTTATATATACATAACATAGTTATATGTATTCAAAAGTTGTAAACTCTGTTTATATATATGTGTGTGTGTGTGTGTGTCTGTTATATATAACAGTTGCAAACTCTGTTATATATACATAACAGTTGCAAACTCTGTTATACATACATAACAGTTACAAACGCTGTTATATATACATAACAGTTGCAAACTCTGTTATATATACATAACAGTTATATATATATAAAACTATACAATATATATTATATAATATCTATGTTATATATATATAACTTTTTCTGTAAAGAGTCAGAAATTATTTTAGGCTTTGTGGTCTATACTGTTTCTTTCCCAACTTCTCAACTCTTCTGTTATATCAGTAGCTTGAAAGCAGCCAAAGACGTAAATGAATGAGCATTGCTGTTCCAATAAAACTTTATTTATGGGCACTGATATTTGTAGTTTGCATAATTTTTATGTGCCACAAAGTATTATTATTCTTTTGAATTTTGTCAGCCATTCTCAGCTTGCAGGTGATAGAATGAGTTGGATTTGGTCTGTGGACCCTTGTTAGCAGACCTCCAAAACAAAGAGTTCACTGAAATTTGAATTCAATCTTATCCTGAGTAAACCTAGAAAATAAACTTAGTAATTAGCAGTTGTCTACTCTATAATCTACAGCTTAAATTCTGAACCAAAACTCCTTCTCCACTACTGTCAAAAAAAGTTTTGTAAAAGCCAGCGTCCATGAGATTTTTAAAAAACCTACAAAAGAAAAGAAGATGCAGATTATCCATTTTGATTCTTGCCAAACCAACATTTCATTGTATATTTGCACAGGTCTTAACCTAATGGATTTAGAATGGAAAGAAGTAAAGGTTGAGAAATTGTAGAACCTTAAGAATCAGTCTAATTTAGGGGTACAGGATAGGGACTTAGAATTCCTATGAGGGGTACCCAATTATACAGAAAAATGTTAAGCAGAGGTAAACTGATGTCATTTCTCTTCTCGCTTATTTCATGAAAGAGCAAAGGAGTGAACTTCCACTAGACAGCTTCACTACGTTCTGTGGAAGATAAAACTGGAAGTTTCTCAGGGTGTAACTAGCTCAAGCTAAATTTATTCCAGAGCTTTCCATGGGTACCACCTGAACAGGAATGGCAGGGCAGGCAACTGTTATTCATTTAGAAGCTCAACATCCCCTTTTCCTTCTCTCTTTCCATGTCACAAAGCTGCTTTAATGTTCCCTAATCTTGATTTTCTTCTCTCCTTTTCCCCCTGCTTTCCCAGGTTTTGTTCTTCAAATTAATTACAGATTAATATGTAGTAGACACAGGACAATTTTAAGTAAAGAGCAACATTGTATCTTCATTTCTTCCTTCTATTGCCCTTCTCATGGAATAAATGCTGCCGTTTGTGGTGTACACTGATACACATTTGAAGTATAAATATATACACAGAGTTATTTTAATTTTAATTATTTTTACAGTAATTGCATTATCCTATATTTTTCTGTACTTTTTAAAAGCATATTTTACTGTTTTTTATGCTGATTTATTTAATGTCAGTTATGAATATATCATGGACACCTATCAAAGTCAGTAAACAGTTACATTTTTTTTGGTTTTATTTTTTCCCTGCATAGATTTTCATGGCATGGATAAAATATTATGTATGTAGTCTGCCTCTAGTGGGTAAGCTAGGAGAAGATTTCCACTTTTTCTTTTTCCCTTATTTAAAAAAATACATGCATACTGAGGAAGTTAGACTATACGGTCTATACCGTTATTTCCATATCTAAATTTCTGCGATTCTCTGAATGCATTTCCGCTGCATTTTGCCAGGTGCTCTACCAAGAGTAGAGAGAGGAACTGTACTGTAAGCCAGTTTTTTTTAAAAAAAAGAAAACTAAGGAAGGAAGAAAATGCCTATAAAATATGATATGATAGTTATAATAATAAAATAATTATCTGTAAAATACTTTATAATAAATTTAGGTTTTGTGTTCTGGTTATTCAAAAATCTAAATAATTAATAAAAAAGTAATAAATTAACTAAAATGTATGTTAGAGAGGAATATAATTTTAATGTTATTCAATCACATATTTGATTTTTTAAAGGAAAATCATTATTTAAAAATTTTACAAGAAACTTCAGTCTCTCCCTAATTCTTGCTGGTTAGAAGGTTATTGTGCTAAATGGAGAAGGAAAGGTAGCAAAATGTTAACACATTTAAATGGCCTCTAAACTTAACTCTTTACCAATATATATAGGCTGAAGTTTAAAGTGCATATAGGAGCCTCTAAATGGCACAGATTCTGTGTCTCTGGGCAGAAAATCCCATATAATAAGGCCAAAGCAGTTACTGGAAAAGAAAGTTGTGGTTTTAATGCATTGTTACTCTGCTCATAATTTATCTAGGGTTTGTAATTTGCAGATGGTCTGCTGTTCACCTCATTCATCACAGTGCGACACCAAGGAGAGGAAAGCTGTACACACAAAAATTAAAAATCGATTTGTTGCCCTTGGCATGCTTTCATTTCTTGTTCAACTCAGATTGTGTGTTTACCACTTACTGGTTTATTTTGAACTCCACAAAAGAAAAATGAGTCTGTTTGGTTCATCTCCTCCTATAGAAATGGACTCTCTGGTCATCTCTAGGTTTCCCTTCTCATTTTGCATCCTTATTAATGATACTAAAATGTAGAATTGCTGTGGGCTGAAAAGATCACAAGACTTCTGCCATATTTCCTATTTCACGCTTCTGTTGAAAGCATTTACTCTTTTTCAGGAATTATTTGAAGTACATGTAACAACCAACATTTCTTTCACACTCTTGCCAATAATTTGCTACAGAGAGGTGGAATGCTATAGTATTTAAAAGCTCAGACTCTGAAGACAGATTAGCTGAATTCAAATCTAAACTCTACCAACTTTATATGAGTGGCCTTGAGCAAGTTACTTAATTCAGACTATCCATACCAGGCATGGTGGCTCATGCCTGTAATCCCACCACTTTAGGAGGCCAAGGCGGGCAGATCACCTGAGGTCAGAATTTTGAGACCATCCTGGCCAATGTGTTGAAATCCCATCTCTACAAAAAATACAAAAAGTAGCTGGGCATGGTGACTCATGCCTATAATTCCAGCTACTCTGAAGCTGAGGCATGATAATCATTTGAACCTGGCAGGCGGAGATTGCAGTGACCTATCTGCCTGGGTGACAGAGCAAGACTCCACCTCAAAAAAAAAAAAAAAAAAGACTAACCAGGCCTAACTTTATAAAGGGGTATAATAATAGTGCCCCTACATCTTAAAGGCAGCTAGGGGATTAGGAGAGTCATTACTTATAATACTTAGGATACCTCCTGTCACACACCATGAAACTGATAACAATGATTATACATTTTCAGAAGCTTTGGTTACTTCATTCGGACTGAATCTTTGTGCACCCTCTCCCTTCATAAGCTGAAGCCCTAACCCTTGTATGTGGCTGTATTTGGAGATGGGGCCTCTAAGAAAGTAATCAAGGTTAAATGAGGTCCTAAAGATGGGGCTTTGATCTGATAGGTTTGATGTCCTTATAAGAAGAGTCACTCTCTCCATGAGCACTGTGTCTCAAGAAAGGCCACTAAGCACACAGCAAAAACGCAACTGTCTGCAACTTAATAGGAGAGCCCTCGCTCGACACCAGTCATGCTGGCACCTTAATCTTGGGCTTCCAATCTCCAGTACTGTTAAAAAATAAAATTATACTGTTTAAGCCACTAGTCTATGGCATATTCTTAGGGCAGCCTGAGCTAATGAATATATGACCTTCAATTTGTAATATAATTTATAAAATTAGCTGAAAATATTTATTTTACTCAATGAGATTTTTGTTTCAGGGTTTTATCTTCTATATATTTTTTAAAAATTTCATTTTTCCCCAGTAAGAATAGTTTTTGTGCTTACCTAAATTTCTAATTAAGGTAATTCTTAAAAAGACCCAACAGAACCCAAAAGAAAAACCTTATTAACCCAACAGAAAAAGGTGCCTTAAAATTAGGCAAAAAGGTAAGCAAAGCCTGTACGCTCAAAATAAAAGGAAACACTGATCTGCAGATTAATAAGATTTCAATCAAAATCTCAACAAGTTTTTTTTTAAGACATAGAAAATCTTATTCTAAAATATTTATGGAAAGGTACAGGCCCCAGAATAGCTAAAACTACCTTCCACAAGGAGAGTGATGTAGGAGGAACCAGTCTACCTCTTATTAAGTTTGTAAGTAATCAAGACAGTGTGATATTGGTTGCAAAACAGATACATAGAATAATGGAACAAAATAAAGCATCCTGAAATAGACTCTTATAAACACTGCCAACTGATTTTTCAAAAAAGTTAAAATCAATTTAGTGAATTCAATTCATAAATTTGATTTCATTAAATGGAAATGAAGCATTAAATGGAAATGGAGCAGTAGGCATAAAAGCAAATATTGAAGTAAACCTCACACCACATTCAAACATTAACTCAAAATATTTCATGAACTTACATATAAAACTACAAAACTTTTAGAAAAACTATAAGAGAAAATCTTCATATCTAGCTCTAACAACATTCAAACTTGACCCCAAAAGAATACCCTATACAATAAAAAATTGATACACTGGACCTCATCAAAATTAAAAACTTTTGCTCTGTAAAGAAAATATTTTCTCTGTGCAGAGGATAAAAAGGTGAGCTACTGATTAGGAGAAAGTATTTGCAAGTCATGTGATGTGGTTTAGCTCTGTGTCTCCCCACAAATCTCATCTTGAATTGTAGTCCTCATGGGCTGAGGAAGGGGTCTGGTGGGAGGTTATTGGATCATGGGGGTGGTTTTCCCCCTGCTGTTCTCATGAGAGTAAGTCAGCTCTCCCAAGATCTGATGGTTTCAAGTGTTTGACACCTCTTCCTGGCATTCTCTTTCACTCTCTGTCTGTCTGTCTCTCTCTCTCTTGCTGCCATGTAAGACCTGCTTTGCTTCCCATTCCCCTTCCGCCATAATTGTAAGTTTTCTGGGGCCTTCCCAGCCATGTGGAACTGTGAATCAATTAAGCCTTTTTTGTTTATAAATTACCCCATCTCAGAGTTCTTTATAGCAGTGTAAAAATGAACTAATACGTGAAACTTCATAGCAGTACCAAGAGTGGAGCTATAAAGAAACCTAAAAATATGGAAGTGACTTTCAAACTGGATAACAGGCAGAGTTTGGAAGAGTTTGGAGGACTCAGATGAAGATAGGAAGATGGGGGAATGTTTGAAACTTCCTAGAGACTCATTGAATGGTTTTGACCAAAATGCTGATAGTGATATGAACAATGAAGTCCAGGCTGAAGTGGTCTCAGATGGAAATGAGTAACTTATTGGGAACTGGAGAAAAGATCACTCTTGCTATGCTTTAGCAAAAAGACTGGGGGCATTTTGCCCCTGCCCTAGAGATCTGTGGAAGTCTAAACTTGAGAAAGATTATATAAGGTATCTGGCAGAAGAAATTTTTAAGCAGCAAAGCATTCAAGATGTAACCTGGCTGATTCTAAAAGTGTTCAGTCATGTGTTCACAGATTACCTGAAACTGGAACTTATATTTAAAAGGGAGGCAGAGAATAAAAGTATGAAAAATTTGCAGCCTGACCATCACGTAGAAATGAAAATCCTATTTTCTGGGGAGAAATTCAAGCCAGCTGCAGAAATTTGCATAAGTAATGAGGAGGCAAATGTTAATAGCCAAAACAATGGGGAAAATGTCTCCAGGGCATGTCAGAGATCTTCACAACATCCCCTTCCATCACAGGCCCAGAGGCTAAGAGGGAAAAATGGTTTTGTTGGCCAGGCCCAGGGCCCTTGCTCTTCTGTGCAGCCTCAAGATATGGTGCCCTGCCTCCCAGCCACTCTAGCTCAAGCCACAGCTAATGGGGTACAAGGTAGAGCTTGGAACATTAGTCTGAGGGTGCAAGCCCTAAACCTTCGTGGCTTACATGTGGTGTTGGGCCTGTGCACAGAAGATAAGAGTTGAGCTTTTGGAGCCTATGCCTGTATTTCAGAGGATGTAAGGAAATGTCCAGATGTCCAAGAAGAAGTCTGCTTCAGGGGTGGAGCCCTCATGGAGGACCTCTACTAGGGCAGTGCAGAAGGGAAATGTGAGGTTGGAGCCCCACCACAGAGTCTTCACTGGGGCACTGCCTAATGGAGCTAAGAGAATAAGGCCACAATTCTCCAGACCCCAGAATGGTAGATCCACTGACAGCTTGCACCATATACTTGGAAAAGCCACAGGCACTCAATGCCAGTCTGTGAAAGCAACCTTGGGGGCTGCACCCTACAGATCCACAGGGGTAGAGCTGCCCAAGGCCTTGAGATCCCACCCCTTTCATCAATGTGCCCTGGATGTAAGACATGGAGTCAAAGGAGATCATTTTGAAGCTTTAAGATTTAATGACTGCTCTGCTGAGTTTCAGACTTGCATGGGCCCTGTGCCCCTTTGTTTCAGCCAATTTTTCCCATTTGAAATGGGAGTACCTACCCAATGCCTGTACCCCCATTGTATCTTGGAAGTAACTAACTTGCTTTTGGTTTTACAGGCTTATAGGTGGAAGGGACTTCCCTTGTCTCAGATGAGAATTTGGATTTGGACTTTTGAGTTAATGCTGGAATGAGTTAAGACTTTGGGGAACTGTTTGGAAGTCATGATTGGTTTTGAAATGTGAAAAAGGCATGAGATTTGGGAGGATCCACGGGTGGAATGATATGGTTTGACTCTGTGTCTCCACCCAAATTGCGTCTCAAATAATAATTCCCACATGTCAATGGAGGGACCTGGTGGGAGGTGATTGGAACATGGGGGCAATTTCTCTCATGCTGTTTTCATGATAGCGAGTGAGTTCCCCAGAGATCTGATGGTTTAAAAGTGTTTGGCAGTTCCCTGCTGGCTTGCTCTCTTTCTCTTGCTCTCTCACACCTGCTGCCATGTAAAATGTGCCTTGCTTCCTATTTACTTTCCACCATGATTGTAATTTCCTGAGGTCTTCCCAGCCACGCAGAACTGTGAGTTATAAACTCTTTTGTTTATACATTACCCAGTCTCAGGTATTTCTTTATAGCAGTGTGAAAATTGACTAATATATCACATATTCAATAAAGGAAGAGTATCTAGAACTAGTGTTTAGCATTCTCACATTCGACAACAACAAAAATCCTATAGACAATTCAATTAGAAAATAAGGGTAAAACACATGAATAGTCATTTCATAGAAGAGGACATACAGATGGAAATAAGCCAACAAAATCTATTAGAAAAATGCAAATTTAAGCTACAATGAGATTACTGCACACCTGTCAGAAGGGCTAATTTTTTTTTTTAGAAAAGTGACACCACCAAATGCTGAAGAAGACATAAAAAAGCTGTATCATTTATATATTGCTGATAGGAATGTATAATGATACACCCACTCTGGAAATCAATTTGACAAATTCTGATAAACCTAAACACATAATTACCATATGGCCTAGCAACTGCATTCTTGAGTACTTATCCCAGACAAATGAAAAATTTTGTCTGCATAACAAACTGTGCATAAGTGTTCACACCAATTCTATTTTTAATAGCACAGAATAAAAAAAAATCAAAATGTTCTCCAACTGGTAAATTGTTAAACAATTTCCAGTACATCTATAGCATGAAATACTACTTAACAATGAAAAGAAGGAATTATTAGTACTTGCAACAACTTGGATAGATATTCAGAGAGTTGTGCTGAGAAAAAACAAAAGCCAAAAGCCAGTTCCAAAAGGTTATATATACTCTACATTTCCATTTATGCACATTCCTGAAGTGAATAATTATATAGATGAAAAATATTAGTGGTCACCAGGTATTAGAGAATTGCGTGGATGGAAGGAGATAGATGTGGTTATAAAGGGGCAGCACAATAGATTCTTGTGGGGACAGAATAGTTCTTTATATTGACTGTAGTAGGCAGTACAGAACAGAGTGCATGTAAAACTAGTGAAATTCGAGTTTGATAGGTGGATTGAATCAAGGCCAACATCCTATACTACAGTTATGCAAGATTTTACCATTGTGGAGGACTGGGTGCAGGGTATATGGGATCTCTCTCTATTATTTCTTACATGCATTGAATCTACAATTATCTCAAAACAGAAGTTTAATTAAAAAGTCAATGGGACTAAACTAAGAGAATATAAATTGATTCCTTAACTTTGGTATTATACTATCACCACGGTAACTAAGTATTATAAATAAGCACCTGACTCAAGATTCTATACAGCATTGTGTCTAGAATGTATGTAGTGTGTATATTTATTTGTTCTCCTAATAATGTTAGAGCTTTCTAGTCCTTGAAAATTCTAATTTGCATTAAGATTTGATAGAATAATTAAGACTACAGAAATTATCATGCATAGCATTGGTCTCAAGTCCCCCCGTACAAGAGAAGTTGAACTTTTGACATGGATATAAAGCAGACCCAGAAGGCTGCTGTTAAGTATAGTTTGATTCTTGGATTCAATTTCTGAGCACTTTGAAGTCATTTTATGCCACTTGACTCAAATCATTCATCTCAGTGAAAATTTGTTAGTTAAATGTCAGCTTCTTGGTGTTAGTCTATAGACTTCACGGAGGGAACCAAGACTGTCTAACAATATTTAAAAAGACACTTCTAGCTCAGGCAGCATGCCGGAGCAACAGAGGACCTGTGGAATATCCTGGCCGTAGGCCAGTTTTGCTAGCAATAAATATACCAAGAAGAAATAAATAATACATTTAACACCCTCGGTGAATTGTAGCATAATTCCTGAGAAGAAAATCTTCCTGGCTTTTGTAAATATTTTAACATTCTTTCCAATTTCTAGTAATATGGTGATTCAGGAGTAGCTACTACTGTCATTTGTAAAAGACGTAATGGAGATTTGTGGCTTAAAGTAGCTCTCTGCATGTGCTGCAGGCTGTCTACTTTGAGGTACTATCTTATTCTCCCTGGTTTCAAAGACAGCCTCTATGGTGATCACTCTCTGTTATTTTCTCACTGATTGTGGCTGATGTTAATAATAATTACAAGATTCATCTGTACTTTAATTGTCAACAGAATCAGGAAGAACAATATCTAGGCAGGAGTAATTACAAGTAAATCTAAAGAAATGAAATGTTAGTTTTCAAACTTAAGCTAGTTTCAGCTATCAAACAGACAGCAGATTATAGTTGCATGTTAGTGCATTTAAGAGGATGCTGGCAGTATTTTAAAATAATTAATAATATTATAATACACATGCTCTATTAAGGACCAAAAACATCTCTCCTTTAAGAGATATTGCAACTGAATATATATTTGGTCTATTCATGAGAACATGTGTAATTGTTAAGATGACATTACTTTTCAATTAGAGTCGTTGCTAGATATCAATATAACCTGTTATAAAAAGAGTTATTTCATCACATTATCACTTAATAGCTTGACAACTAACATGTCTCATCATTTTTACTTTATTGTCTCAAAGTTTTAATTACTACAATAAATACATGTTGTCTCCATCAGTAGATTTTTTTTAAAAAAAATAGTAAATATTTTGATACAGTAGGCAACTGAAAATATAGGTACATGGCAGCTTATTTAGGGGAGAAGTAAACAGAATAGAAAGAAAATTAACTTTTACAGTTCTGACGATAATGAAGACAAGGTTTCTTTTTTTTAAAAGTCATTTAGACAGTATCTTTTAAAACCAACAGTAGCTCTTTGTCATTCTCTGCATGCTCCAAGATTCCTTCTGTCTAATACACAATTATTAACAAAAACTCTATCTTCTAATTTTGGCTGCCTTAAAAACATTAGCAGGGGCCATTTATCATCATATTTCTTATTAAAGCTTGGAAGAAACACCACATAGCAGTGTATCTTGGAAGTTGGAACTGTGAAGAAAATCACTGTCTGTTATTTTCTCACCGATTGTGGCTAATATTAAAAATAATTACTATTACAAGATTTGCCTGTACTTTAATTGCCAATTTTCACAGATCCATTGACTTAAAATTTCATTCTTATCTTGTAGAATTATTCATAGTTGTCCTTTCCCCCCATTATTTGGATGTCCTAGAGTTATCCAAGATAGCATTTTGAGTTTCCCTTCTCAGCTGTCCTGGCAAAATCAGTTCCCTAATGAAGATGTATGGAACAGCCACTGGGCATTGCCACAGTATGTTTTAAAAAAACACACAAAAATAAGTTTGATCTGTTTAGACTGACAACACAGTAAAAAATCTGATGTGTTTCTTCATTTGTTATTTATTCTTCTTATTAGTTTTTTTTCCACTTATTAAAGGTTCTTTAGAGACATTTGCCTTCAATATTCTGCCTTTAAGTTATTCTTTTCAGCAAATGATTGATCATTGCTCTCATACCATAAAGAGGTGACAGTGTTTTCTGTTCTGAATGTGTGGTATAACTGAAATCAAGCATTCTCCTTTCAGTGGTCTGAATCTTTCCAGAGCTTTTTCTTTCTTTTTTTTTTTCTTTTTTCTTTTTTTTGAGACAGGGTCTGGCTCTTGTTGCCCAGGTTGGAGTGCAGTGGCGCAATCTGGGCTCCCAGGTTCAAGCGATTCTCCTGCCTCAGCCTCCCGAGTAGCTAGGATTACAGGAACGTGCCATCATGCCCAGCTAAATTTGTATTTTTAGTGGAGACAGGGTTTCACCATGTTGGCCAGGCTGGTCTCCAATTCTTGACTTCAAGTGATCCGCTCACCTTGGCCTTTCACAGTGCTGGGATTACAGGCGTGAGCCACCACGCCCAGCCCAGAGCTTTCTTATTACAGAAAGCCATAAAAAATATGAACATAAATGCTTATTTTCCTCTTTTCCAATATTAATGTTAGCATATTGTATATCACTACCAGCAATTTTTCACTTAGACATAGTTGTTTAATAAAACATGTTGAGCATCTCAATTCATTTTACTCATGCTTATAGGTGCATCATATTTTAATACTTATTGACCAAGTTTTTTTTTTTTGCTGCACTATACCATGCTTTGTTGAATAACCATATATATATATGTGGTTTTATATATATATATACACACACATATATATGTGTATATATATATGTATATATATGTGTATATATATGTGTATATATGTGTATATATGTGTATATATGTGTGTATATCTATGTATATATATGTGTAATATATATATGTGTATATATATATAGCATTTATTGGCCACTGGAGGTTAAATTCCTAGATGTGACAGACGTACTACATATGTGATGTAATGTTTGAACGATATTATAAAATTAAAATCTAGGGCAAAGTTTCTTAACAGCAACACTATCGACTTTTTAATTATTGGCCAGATAATTTTTTATGGAAGCCATCCTATGTATTGTAGGGCATGGAGCAGTATCCTTGGCCTTTACCCACTAGATGCCAGTCGCAACCCTCTCTACAGTTATGACAATCAAAAACATGTACAGATATTGCCAAATTTTCTCTGGGAGGACAGAATCATTCTAATTCAAAACCTCTGTTCTAGGTTGTCTTACCAATTTATAGCACTGCTTGCTGGGTAAGATTATCTATTTTTCTTACCAACAAGGTATATAATCAAACTTAGAAGTTTTTGACAATTTTATCAGAAAGGGAATAGAATATCTGCAACATTTCCATTTTAATTTCTCTTATTATAAGAGAATGAGCATTCTGTCATTTTTTGCCCTTTCTATATCTGTTCTTTACACTGTTTATTTTATTGTTAGTCTATTTGTACTTTCAATTGAATGTATTTTTAATAAATTTTTAAGACTTTTGTATCTTAGAGTGGTAACTTCTTTGAAATATAAATTAAGAATGCTTTTTGAGTTAGGCATTTGTTTTCTGGTTTTCATTATGCTGTTATGATTATGCATATTTTAAAAAATCTTTTATTTGGTTGCATTTCTCAATCTTTAATTTTATGACTTCTGAATTTTGAGCCATAATTGGAAAGGCTCCCTTGGTCCATGATTTTTAAGGTGTTTACACATATTTTTGTCTAGTACATTTATAGCTTTGTTTCTTATATGAATCTGCCATCAAATGTGAAATTTATCCAGTATTCAGGGTATTAATCTTCTTTCTGCAGAATTCTTTATTATAATCTTTAAAGTATAGTATTCTTTTATGCATTATTTCCTTTTAGCTAGCCAAAACACAATTAATCAAAAGACCATTGATTTAGAGGCTACTTGCAAGTGTAGTCTAAAATTACTTTCTAGTCTTTAATATAATTTTTAGATTCTATTTCAGACTCTGTGTAAAGGATGTGGTTAGTAGGTCTGTATTCTAATTTTAAATATAAAGTTTTGCATTTTTTAATAGTAAAATTGTATTTTTTACAGTTTTTTTGGGATAGGTCATATTCAAGACTCTCAAATGGAGATTTCTAAGAAAAACTTTATTATTATTATATTTGAAACTTATGAGATGATATGTGAGAACTCCCTTCTAGAGTTTATTGGATTTTAATATGAGAAGTATAATATGTATCCTGTGAAGATCTGCCTGTGCCTTTAAAAGGAATTCTTTTATAATAAGAACCACTGCATATAGAAAAAAAAACTTCCTCCTGAGCCAGGTTTATTTTTAGGTAAAACCACAGAATCTAATCAGGCTTCCTCTTATAATGTAAAGTGGAAATATAAAGATGCCTGATTATTTTGTGTTAGGACCAACCGTTTCATTCTATCATCTGTCTTTTTCCATCACCTCCAGTGTGATATCCTGGAATGGGGCTCCTGACACATAATAGAAAGCTTCAGAGGAAACATTAATATGTTCCTTAGTTCAAGTAGTTCATGTTATCACAGAAGCAAATGAAAAGTCTCCCAACCTTTTCATTTACTTCTATGACAACATGCTCTGAGAGGAAAGATTCTTGCTAGCTGTTTTAGTTTTAAATTAAGTGCCATGAATGGTTTCATTTCTGGATCACCCATAGCAACCATTACATGCAAGTGCAAGATGAGCAATGGGTGCATGTGAAATTCTCAAGAATTTAAGTTCAAGAGCTCTGAATTATTAACTAGAACGTTTTGTTAGTTTGGATTTAGCAAGCTAGGGGAAATTTTACACCATTTATTTATTAGTTTCTACCTTCTTTTCGACTTTTAAAAATCCATGTCCTTTAAAAATATTAATTCTTTATGCATAACCCTACTAACAGTAAAAAACACATTTCAGATAGGTTTGGAGTGTGTTTCAGTGGCCTCCTGACAGAAGCAAGAAAGCTTCAAAAAGAAAGTGGAGTAAAGATCACGATTTTACACCTGTTACCACTTTTCACTTTTTAGAACCTCATGTTAGAAGTGACGAGTTTTAATTTCTGCTGATATTGCAGTTATTCTCTGTTTAAAATTTACTGGTCATTTGTTTACTTATTATTTTTCTCCACCTAATTTGTTCTTTCCCTGTTCTTCTCAGGAGCCTAGGAGCCCTAATGAAAACAGAGCCTTGGCTTCTGACAGCTTGACATTGCCCAGATGTGCCTGCAGATTAGAGTCCACACTGATGCTTGATAGGATCTTGGGGGAGGCACTTCACCTCAATGTGTAAATTTCTAATTTCTGAAGTCCTGTATTTTTTTCTAATTCAGCAGTTCTATAAAATACACTTTGATTATGATTTAAGCCAGGAGGTGGCAATTTTTGTTATGGAGTGCCAGATAAGCAAATATATAAAGTTCCATGAGCCATTTGGTATCTGTTATAACTACTCAATTCTGTCATTATAGTGTGAAGGGAGTCAGAGACAATATGTAAGCAAATGAATGTGGCTGTGTTCTGATAAAACTTTATGCACAACTGAAATTTCAATGTTATACAATTTGGAAGAGTCATAAAACATTATTCTCTTCTTGAATTTTTTCAACCAGTAAAATCATGTAAGAACTATTTTTAGCATGAAAGCTTACAAAGAACATGAAAAGGGCCAGATTTAGTCCACAGGACATATTTTACCAACACTAACCCTAAGCAGTGATTATCAAGTTTGAGTGTGCATTGGAATCACCTAGAAGACTACTTTAAACAGATTGTTGGATTTTACCTCCAAAATTTCTGACACAGTAATTCTGCATGGGGCACAAGAGTTTTTATTTTTAAGAAGTTCCCAGCTGATACTAATGTTGCTGGTTTGGGAACCACACTTTGAGAACCACAATCTAGATCAGAGATTGGCAAACTTCTTCTGAAAAGAGCCAGATAATACATATTTCCAGCTTTCCGGACTCTGAGGTATCTGTTGTAACTACTAAACTCTGCCACTGTAGCACAAAAGCAGCAATACGCCATACATAAATTAGCGGATATGCTGTGTTGTAAAGTTTTGTTTACAAAAACAGGCAGCGGGCTGGATTTGGTATATGGATGTAGTTTGTAGTTTGCTGACACATGATCTAGAAGACTGCCTCTCCGTTTTTGTTTGTTTGTTTGTTTGTTTGTTTTGAGATGGGGGTCTCACCCTGTTGCCCAGGCTGGAGTGTAATGGCCTGATCTCAGCTCACTGCAACCTCCACCTCCCCGTTCAAGCGATTCTCCTGCCTCAGCCTCACGAATAGCTGGGATTAGAGGCGTGTGCCATCATGCCTGGCTAATTTTTGTATCATTAGTAGAGACAGGGTTTCACCATGTTGGCCAGGCTGGTCTCAAACTTCTAACCTCGTGATCCGCCTATCTCAGCCTCCCAAAGTACTGGGATTACAGGCGTGAGCCACCGCGCCCAGCCGAAGACTGCCTCTCTTATTCCAGATAAGTAATTAAAGAATCTATCAACATTATGGTGAATAAAGTCTGTTTGTACATAATGTTCTGAGCATAAAATGATAAAAACAATTCCAAAAAGTGAGTTTTTAATAAATAATTTATCACCAATAAATTAAATAGATCTATGTCAGACTTCCCTGCTAATACTGAGAAATTAACAACCATAGAAAAGATGTCTGAGCTAACTGATGAAATGTGCATACAAATAAATAAAAAAAGCAATTATTTCTCTTGTTCTTTCATTCCTGTTCTGCTAGCTGCTAAGAAATAGGTTTAATTATTTTCGTTTTAGATATTTACCAAATAGCTTGAGATCTGGTACTACAAAAAAATTTCTATAAATTATAACTTTTCCCCAAATTTTCTGACTCTACTTTGATCATATATTCTAAAACATTTCTTTGGATATAGCTTCCAAACATTTTACTGAGTTTTACATCATATATACATATATATGTGTATGTATATGTATATATATACACATATACATACACACACATACATATATATAAAAATTATATATATGTGGGTGTGTGCATATATATACTAATATATGTGTATTATGTACATGCATAATATATACATATGTACATAAATATATAGTATACATATATAATAGTCATATGTAAAAATAATATAATGCATAATCTTATCAAATATCACAGATAATCTGAGAGGATATCCGTGTATGTTCATGTGCACACATGCATACATGCTTAAAACTCTATTAATAATTTCCCAAACCAGCTCAATTTTCTGTGGGCCTGTTTTCCTGTGTGGTAGGCTAATTTTTCTTTTCCTTTGTACATTTCTCAAGTATCTGGTGATTTGATTTTTTATTAATAGCATAAAATGAGAGGACAGGAATATTTGTAGAGCCTTGTAGATAGGTGAGTGGATGGGTTTACATTAGGCTGAGTAGGTAGGTAGCCACCTGTTACCCTGGAATTATCTAAATACTAAATTAGAAGGCTTTACTCTGAGGTGCAGTGCTAATACTAACTGTCCTAATTCTTCTAAATCCCTTATCATATCAAGTTTTTTTTAGGAAGATAATCTTCTGGTATTTTGCCTGGTGTAAATGCCTGGTGGCAGATACAATTTCCTTGCCTAGAATTCCAATGAACGGCCTTGTTTAAAAACTCACTGCTGTCTCCAGTCCCCATTGTACTTTCTGTCTTTGACTACTTTCAAGCTGATATATAACGTCATGTTATTTCCACACATGCACAACATCCTCATATTCATTTTGCAGAGAACTCAAGACTATTACAAAAATACAATCTGGAAAAAAAAAAAGGAGAAGGGTCCTAGAACTGAGAAGTATTGACGAATGTGAATGTTTGTATCAAAGAAAGAGTCCCTTAAAATTAACCAATCAATAAGCACTGCCACCTCTAGTTTATTAAATTTACAACTGAGTGATCAAGTTAACAAATTGTGTATTGCTAATGTTTTTGAGGTGAAAATTATTTGACTTTTAGAAATCAAGGCTACATTTTCTCAATTCAGTCTCAACTATCAGGTTATACTGTTTCTGTTCTTCTCATATTCAAGCCACATTACTCCCTGAAGACTTAAGCCTGTGCTTGTTATTTTCTCATTAGGTTACAGGGAGAATGGAACAAGTTTCAGTAGAAGAAACTTCACCTAACCTCTTTAATTCCAACAGTTCTTGAATTTCCTGAAAAATCTATTGGTAAGTTTTCCATCCAAATTCCAAGTGGATTACAAGTGTTGTAAATGCCTTTGGTTTGATATGGTGTGATGGTACATGTCAAAGTCACTTGCCATCAAGTCTAATTTATTACTTTATTGAAAAGTTGGACATCTTGAGGTTCAGCTTAATTGAGATTGCTCATTATAAGCTATCATCCCAGAATGGAAATATAGAGTGAATGCCACTTTAAGTGCAGGAGGAAAAAGTTTCAACCATAATGTAAAAATAGCATCTGATGAGCAGATAAGAATCCTGTGTACGGCACGCTATTATCAGCAACCACAACTGCTCCTACTGTAGCAGTTCTGTAGCACAAGCTCTGCAAAGGAAGCCAAAGCAATCATAAGCATTTTTATAGCAAGGCTGTTCATGCTTTTATAGTACTCATTGTGTCAGCACTTTAATTATAAAATCTCTTTTGTCAGAGATTATAGCAAAGCTGTAAACCCACCAAAATTAGTCTTTAAAAACTCACTTGTTTAATATACAATAATTGAATAATATTTTTAATGCTTACCAGAGTTGTCCATGTATCAAATGGAAAAGCACATTAATATGTGCAATAGTAAGGCCCTTGCAAAAGTGGATGCCCAATAAAAACAAAATTAAATAATTCAGAAATGTTTGGAAATATATAGTACTTATAGGCAATATGCAAATGGAAAATTGTTATAATATATACAATATTTTGTGTTAATATTTAAAAATAATAGGTTAGAGCCCACATTACCGATTACATAGCATCTCATATTTTCAGTTCATGGAATTTATATAAATTGCAATTAGGTAAATACCACTGTGTGCTTTTTGAAATGTGTTTAAAATAAGACTGCAAGTCAAGAGAGACAGTAATCACATCTTTCTCAGTTTTATTCCCAGTGATGTACATCTACTTTTGCCCATAGTATGTTTTCAAGTTGAATTAAGAATCAATAAACTTATGATGTATAGATTAACAAGTAACTTATTGGTCAACAAGGAACATACATATCATCACTTTATAATAATCGCTCATTTCATCCCATCATTTCAGTTTCTGAGAAAGCATATATAATTTGACATATGAATAAAATCACATGCATAAGAAATTTATTTTACCTTAGTACATATGGATGTTTTCATTTCACTTACATAATTTTTCTATATTTATTCTGAGTAATTAGTTTCTTATATGTCAACAGGAGAACAAATCTGGTTTTGAAGATGAATTATCTATTGCATCCAAATATGGGTTTGGTTGCTAAGAAAAACATTTAGCCTCATTTTTTGAAAATTCTAACGTTATCTTCCACTTTAAAATACTATTAGAATAGGTTCTAATTGTGAAGTTTTTATACAACAACATCCGGATCTAAATCATCAGATGAAGTGTCCTAGACTGCAGAGTCAAGAACATCATGTAGGGTTATCTTTCGTTAGTCCACAGGGGGCAGTGATGCTGGGGGCAGAGCATAAGGGGTAGTTAGGGAAGAGGACTTTTATTGTCTCCAGTGGTGCGGTTATTCAAAATTCTATTAAGATTAATATAATTTAACTTAATTATCTACTAAACTTAGTACATTTAAAAGTTAAGTATATAAAGGTAATATTTAAAACGTTAAAAACATTTTAATCTAAACTGAGGAACAGAATTTGTAAATGTATTTGCTGTCCTTTATAGGAAATCATTATGAAATAATGCTAATATAAATTATAAAACATTTTGAAACATTCTTTTCTGTACAGGTGACAAAAACCGATCAAACCCTCGAACCTCACATTAGATCTGACACAGCTTGTCTCACTTGTACACCTTTTTTTTAATCCCCCTCATCATATATGTCATAAATTGAGAATGGTGCTTACCTCAGATCCAGAGCCAATGGCTATTATTAGATTGTCACAACATTAAAACTTTTAAACTATGAAGTACTTTTTATAGAAATTTTTCTATAACATTACATACAAAGATATAACTGTAGCTTGCCTGACAGAGCATCTTAAAGATGAATTGTTGCTTAGAGTGGTTTAAAGTGAAAGAAGTTTATGCAAAAGAGCTATTCAAAGACTGTAACACTGGTGAATTTCAAATACCACAGCCTATTGCATTTGTGTGTGTGTGGGGGGGGGGGGGGCGGGGTGAGGCCACCTGAAATCTACTCTGTTAGCAAATTTCCAGTACACAATTCAGTATTATTAATAGTCATTGAGCTGTACATTAGGTCTCTAGATTTATTCATCCTACCTAACTGTAACTTTGTATCCTTTAACTAACATCTTTGTATTTCCCTCATCTCCCTGCCCCTGGTAATCACTGTACTATTTGCTGCTTCTTTGTATTTGACTTTTTAAAATTCTGCATATAAGTGAGATTATGCAGTATTTATTTTCTGTGTCTTGCTTATTTTGTATAATGTTTTCCAGGTTAATCCATATCATTGCAAATGGTAGGCTCTCCTTTCTTAGAACTGAATAACATTTTATATTGCTTCTATATCTTAGCTGTTATGAATAATGCTCCAATACAGATGGGAGTGCAGATATCTCTTTGAGGTACTGATTTTATTTCCTTTAGGTGTATACTCAGAAATGGAACTGTTGGATCACATGGTAATTTTATTTTTAATTTTTTTAGGAACCTCCAAACTGTTCTCAATCATAGCTGTATCAATTTACATTCCCAATCATGTACAGGGTTCCCTTTTCCTCAAACCCACCCCAACACTTGCTATTGCTTCTCTTTTTGGTAATAGCCATCCTAACAAGTGTGAGGTAACATTTCATTGTGGTTTTAATTTGCATTTACCTGATGATTAATGATGTCGATCACATTCTTATATACTTTTTGGCCAATTGTATGTCTTCTTTTGATAAATATTTAATTCTTTTTTCCCATTTTAAATTGGGTTATTTGGGTTTTTTCTTACTGAGTTGTATGTTCCTTTTACATTTTTGACATTAACTTTTTATTATATTTTTCAGATGGTTTCACAGCAGTTTCAATGTTTTAAACGATAGTAGTTTCACCACCTAAGAAGTTGTCTTTCAATAAGAAGACCAAAGAGGAAGATATAAAAAGACTTATTTTGGTGTATCTCTAGGGTATTCCCTAAGAACTGGTATACAATGGGTCTAGATATTTGAGGAAGTCTGAGTTGATGCATAGGCAGGTATGGTCAATATGAAATTAGGCTTATCAGCCTGATTTGATTCTTACTCAGACTGGTAAGAACTGAGGATATAAGGGCTGAGGACATAAAGGTCACCCCAGATAGCCATCTTGTGCTGAACCTGCTTTTTGGCAGGTAAGTTCTTGCCAACCCTAATTATTTCTGCTAACTCCCTTTGTATTTCCAGTACCACCGTACTCAATTAAAGATCCAGACTCATCTCTTACAATAGTAAAACATACCTAAGATCAGGCTATAATGTTTACACAAGTTTATTATTACCTTTAGTATTTTATTCAAATAATATCACAAAGCATTAAAAATTTCAGAAATAAACCTATAGACACACCCCTAAAACTTTATATGAATATCTCTGAGGCAATAGGCCATGGTTCTCTGCAGGTTAGTGGTGCATTGTTCACTAGCTGTTAAATTATTCAGTGCTTACACAGTCTCCAAACCAAATGTATACTTTTCTTTTTTCACTCCCATTATCTAAGTAGTCACCATAAAATAGCAATATTTACCAAAAATATCTCTCATATCTGTTCCATCTTCTCCAATTCAATAGAATTGTCAGTGCTAAAAAATCTACTATTTAGCTTAAGCCTCCTTCAATTATTTATTTTTCATAATGGGAGACACTGTAGCACAACTGTTAAATACACAAGTTCTAGACTTAGACTGTGCGTGGTTCAAATTAACGTCTGACTAGTGGTGTCATCATTGCCAAATTACTTAATTTCTCTGACCCATTGCAGAATTAACAAAAAGTACAATAATTATGATGCCTACTCCTGCAAGCATTAAAACAAACATGCCTATATACACATATATGTAAAATGTGTTTTATAATATCTGGAACAAAATGTCCATTCAATAAATATTAGCTACTAGTATTATTGCCATTATTATCTCCAAAATTTAGCTCAAATATTTCTTTTTCAGTTACAATTTGAATATCTCTGGGAAAAATGTCAATCATTTTACTCTGTCTTGTGATGTCGTCTTGTGAAATGTATTCTTTTTTTGGCACTGATAATATTAAATGGATGAAATTTAAAATAACAGGTATTCTCTCTGAAGAACAATTTATGCAACTTGAAGATGGTCCAAATACAAATCATATCTGATGGTTAACCAATGATACTGACATCTGCCTTCCTGAAAGATCAATAAGATTGGAGAAGATTATTATAATTGGATGAGTGATGACATCACAGGGCATTTTCTATCTGTAAATGATAGAAAATGGTGTTTACACTTACCTGGGAAGTAGATTTTTAATATGGATAGAATTTAAAAGATTTAAAACATGTACACCTCTCTAGATTTTGAAGTGTTATTATAGTCAAACTAATAATAAGGCTTAACTTTAAGTGAAAAAAAAATGAGAAAAATGTGCAGAAAATATCTACTATATATTATATTGTGATAAATGACAGCTACTATCAGTTGCTAATAAATTGAACTGAAATAGCAGGATATAAATAAAGAAAAGATCTATATCTAGCCTATTTAAATCTTGCTTCTTAATGGAATTTTATCATTACTTTACTTCTCTATTTTATAGTACATTCTATAAGTTATTTTTTAAATTTACCACATAAAGGAGGCTTTCTATTAAGAGCTTGCTAATGAAATTACAAACTGAAACATGAGTCATAACTGACATGAACATTTGAAATAATACATTAATTCGCTAATCTAGCTGATGATCAAGAAAGGGATGCAGGAAAGAACTGACAATCTGTGCGTATATAGAGTGTCAGATATCCCATGTTGAACATTTATACAGTAGAATAAAATAAAAATAGTGGTATTGCTAGAGCAGCCATGGCTTAATAATCCTGGACCACAGACTGGTTGGTTCTTTAAGATAAAATCAAAGTATGAAGACTTTGAGAAAACACATTATTTCTTTTTATATAAATATTTCTTTTTAAATTAGTAATCGACAAATATATGTGCCTTCAACAATTGCAGATTACAAAATTTCAGAACACTCCTTCTGAACAAAATTAGAAAACTGTAGGAAAAAATTCTTCTTGAAGGCAAAAGACAGCTTGGTGCTGTTATCCCAGTAGTTAGTGAGTTCTTTCTCTCCAGGACTGAAGTAGTTCTGGCAGAAATGGATTAATTCCCATGAGAGTGGATTGTTATAAAGCTAGGACGGTCCCTCAGGTTTTCCCCTCTTTGCACATGTCCACTCTCTTTTGACTTTTTGCACCATGTTGTGATGCAACAGGAAAGCCCTCACCAGAAGCCAGGGCCATGCTCTTGAACTTCTCAACCTGCACAAATGTGAACTAAATAAACTTCTTTTCTTTATTAAGAAAAAAGAGTAAAAATAAATAATTGCTAGGCCCAGATCAAGGAGAAGACAGAGATCCAGAGATAAGGGCTTGATATCTGGAACTTACTCAACCTTGGGGTGTTTGCTTATCCTAAGAGATTCATAGCACATTAATTTATAGCCTCCTCTGCTAAAGGAACAAAGGTGGAAGAACATGTCGACTTAAATGTGGGAGGCCTTATTAAATTACGTGAATTTGTATGAGACCCAAGAGGGCTATATCCTTAAAATAAGGCTAAACTAGAAGTTAACTGCTCCTCCCCAAGACTTTATCCCAACTGCAAATTATCTTAATACCTGAAATTCTATTAAGATGGTTCTAGATTGTCAATGCCCCAGACACATGAGAGAGGTAAACATAAAACTTTTGTTTATGTTTTAAATTTAAATTTAAACTGCATTCCAGTAATATTTAGAATATTACTAGAATGCATTCCAGAAATATTTAGAATATTACTAGAATGCATTCTAGTAATATTTAGATTGCATTCTAGTAATATTTCTGAAAACCAATGGACTAAAGCAGAATATTTTAAAGGCAACAACAGAATTAAAGATTGTCTTCAAAGAAAAGTCAATAATACTAAGAAGCTATTAACCAGTTCAATAGAGACTAGAAGATAAACCCTTTTGAAATGACATTTTAAGGTGCTAAAATATAGCTGTTAAATTAGAATTCTATGTCCATTAAAAATATTCGCTAAGTATTAAGATAAGTACATTTATGGACAAGGAAAACAGAAAATATATCTCTGAAAAATCTACAGAAAAGGAAAAACTAAAGGGAAGTCTATAGGAAGAAAGAAAAATGTGCAAAAATTGCATTTCGTAAAAGCAAAAAAAAGAAAATAAAGAGCAAGAAAAGAAAAATGTTCTATCACCTGCCGGCATTTACAATATATTAATGAACACAATGGTAGCACATAACTAATGATGTGGTAATAAGATTCAAAGGTCCTTAACAAAAGGTAAGGCCCCAACTAACATTAGACTTTGGTAAGTCAAGATTAATGTGATAATTTTTAGGTTAAACACACAACATTTTTTAAAAGTAGGAAATGAGCAAACAAAGAAACCTACAACAAGGGTGAAAAGTAGAAAGATCTCAGTAAAATAAATTTAAATCCAATTATATTAGTAATTACATTAAATATAAATGGATAAAAATCTAATCAAAGTTGCTATACTTGATTTCCTAAAATCACAGTTCTATTTTTTATTTACAGAAAATTAAAATACAGAAAACATAATAAAATAATGCAAAAAAAGTTATGCTACATAAAGACAAATTAAAATAAAACTGACCTGGCAGTATTAACATGAGACAAAGGAAACATTTAGATAAAGAGCATTCCTAAAGAAAGAGAGGAAAATTTCATAGTGATAAAAGATTCAATGTAACAGAAATATATACTTCTAATTTTGTTTTCAACAAATCAATATTAGCTTACTATATATTAAACAAAAGATTATAGAACTAAAAATAGAAAAAAACTGATTCTGTAATTATATTTTTAAATGTTAGTGGAAATCTCTCTTTGATAGAACAAAGGGTACAAGTTAATAATAATTGACTAGAAGAGCTAAGCAACATTAATAAGAAATATAACTTAATGAAGATATTATAGTGTGTATATTAAGTGCTATATCATTGCATACAAGAACTGCAGAATATTGACATACGAAGTTTCGGAATTGAACTGAGAGTATGTTCTCTGATTACCATGCAATTGAGGTTAAAAAAAATACTGAAAATTTAACTAGAAAAAATAAAATATTTGAAAATTAAGCTATACACATTTATATAACTCAGGAGATACAATGGATCACAATGCATATTAATAACTATGTTGAAGTTAATAATATTTAAAATATTACCTATCAATCTTATGGAAGACAGGGAAAGCCATACTTAAAAAACAGTCTCTAATATATCTATCTGTATTTATGTGTGTGTGTGTGTGTGTGTGTGTGTATTAAGAGGTTAAAAATAAAAATGAAGTAAATTCTAATAAAATATAAGGAAATAATTAAAATGGTAATCTAAAGATACATTAAAATAGTGTTGCTCAAATTAAAAAATCATTCATTATAATATCTCTTAGAAAATACAAACACAAAAGAAATTTTGAAATTTAATACATGAAATCCATAAAAATGTGTAGCACACGTTATATTTAATGGTAAAATGTTCAAAACTTCCCCTTGGAAATCAGGACAAGACACTTCTTACCATCTTTCTCACTATTTAAGAATGTAGCTTAAGTCCTAGCCAGTGCACTAATAAAATACACATAAATTATAAATTTTAAAAATAGTAAGGAAGACATGGAAAAGCTATTTTATTAGATGATAGGATATTACATCTAAATATTCAAAAGGAACCACAGTTGCATACCAAATTAATAAGTCAGTCTATCAGAATACCATGAACAGTATCAAAAACCAATTACATATCTACATACAAACATTTCTACTGATATACACAGGTTCAATTGGTAAATAATATAAGATGCCCATTTACAAAACAATAATATAAAAAAGCAAGCTAATAAAAGCTTTTAAGACTTCTACAAAAACAATAGAATATTACTAAGAGGAATTTTAGAAAAACTAAGATGAAGAAATTCCTACTGTAAACTAGTTCAACCATCGTGGAAGTCAGTGTGGCGATTCCTCAGGGATCTAGAACTGGAAATACCATTTGACCCAGCCATCCCATTACTGGGTATATACCCAAAGGACTATAAATCATGCTGCTATAAAGACACATGCACACGTATGTTTATTGTGGCATTATTCACAATAGCAAAGACTTGGAACCAACCCAAATGTCCAACAATGATAGACTGGATTAAGAAAATGTGGCACATATACACCATGGAATACTATGCAGCCATAAAAAATGATGAGTTCATGTCCTTTGTAGGGACATGGATGAAACTGGAAATCATCATTCTCAGTAAACTATCGCAAGAACAAAAAACCAAACACTGCATATTCTCACTCATAGGTGGGAATTGAACAATGAGATCACATGGACACAGGAAGGGGAACATGACACTCTGGGGACTGTTGTGGGGTGGGGGTAGGGGGGAGGGATAGCATTGGGAGATATACCTAATGCTAGATGACGAGTTAGTGGGTGCAGCGCACCAGCATGGCACATGTATACATATGTAACTAACCTGCACGATGTGCACATGTACCCTAAAACTTAAAGTATAATAATAAAAAAAAAGAAAATTAAAAAAAAAAAAGAAATTCCTTGCCCATATTCTACCGTCAATCCTTTTAAACATCCAGTGGTGAGAATGCTGTTAATTCATTATAATACAATCTACTTCCTTAAATAAATTAGAAGACTTTTTGGAACAGTTCTTCACAATGATAATTTTTTTTATATTATTTAAATTTTTAATTTTTTTTCTCCAAAACGTAAAAGTTTAACTTTCACTTATTCTATTATCTTCAGTTCAAGTTATCTTTTTAGTGGTCTCTAATGTATACTTTAGGCTGGGCATGGTGGCTCACACCTGTAATCCCAGCATTTTGGGAGGCCAAGGCGGGTGGATCACCTGAGGTCAGGAGTTCGAGACCAGCTTGGCCAACATGGCAAAACCCCGTCTATACTAAAAAAAATGCAAAAATTAGCTGGGCGTGATGGCATGTGCCTGTAACCGCAGCTACTCAGGAGGCTTAGGCAGGAGAATCACTTGAACGTGGGAAGTGGAGGTTGCAGTGAGCCAAGATCGCGCCATTGCATTCCAGCCTGAGCAAAAAGAGTGAAACTCCATCTCAAAAAAAAAAAAATGTATAATTTAATGTTTGTATTATATTTCAAATTTTGTCATGATTTTTTTCAACTCTCATATTCATTTCTTTCTAATCATATTTCTCTTAATCTGATCCATATATGTTTATATCATAATGTTCCTTTTTCATAAGTAATCATATTTAATTGGCACATACTATGTATGACAAATCATTTTTAAAAAATTTATTATGGTCTCTGTACTAAACCATTTTCTGACAATCTGTTCTTTCTCTAAGTAACTATGCTCTCTTTGCTTTTGCAAAATTGTTCCATAGGTCATATGTAATAGTTTGTTTTTTAAATTATTCTTGAATAATAGTAATTATGACAATAGCTCAATTTTTTAAATGCCAAATAAATGCCAAATGCTGTATAATCTTTAAAATAACTCAACAGTTACACATGTGGGTAGAAAAGCTGAGGTTTGCATCCATATTTTTCTAATTGCAATGCCACCCACACCATACAATTGCATGTTAGTCCTCCTTGAAGGAGATCTTTCCAAACCTATATTAATCACGTAGCCTCTTTGTTTGGATAGCCTTTTGTCTCTTCTCTGTCAACCTGGACAATCCCTTTATCACATCTAAAACAAATAGCAGGCTGCTATGTTAGGAATTTTAATCGTATGTTCAGACTCTTGTAAGATTTCATTTAATTATTTCTATAGGTCTATCCTGAAATCTTCTTTTCTACCTACTATTTGTTTTACTGCATGCATAGTGTATGAAAAGTATGTGAAAAACACTGCACTACTCTAAGAGATCTCTAGATGATGTTTCTGTCCAAAAAAAAAAAAACTATTTCTAGAAAACACACCTGTGGTACGCAATACCTAATTATCAGCATCCTCCATATCTTGCTTAGTTGGTTTCTGGGAAATGCAGCTTTTGAATGGTTGTTGGGGGAGAAGTATTGCTGGAAGAAATGGATGACTGGGAATCATGTCTTTGTTATTTTGAAAAACTCAAGTCATGTAATGCTTCTTGTAACTTATGCTTCTGAGCTAGAGTCTAGAGACCAGATTTAGAGAAGGAGGCAGGAGCTTATTCTGACCCATAGAAGACAAGATGCATTGAAATGCAATTGTTTCTTTCAATTCAGTTCCATTAGTCTTGGAGAAATTCTCTTTAGATTACAGCAGTAGTTTTGTCCATTTTTTGTCCATTTTTTCTGTGTGAGTTTCAGTATATATTTCAATGGAAAATCAGGGAAGGCTATGACAGCCCTACCACATGCCATTTTAGGCCTCTGTTTTTATTCCTGCAATCTTCTACATACCTTTCAGGCAGAGGTATGATTTGAAAGGCATGCACAAACTGTTTTATGCTACTTTCCTACTTGCTTTTAAACGATGAAGAATAGTGCTTAAAATTCTTTAGAAAATAGTCTTGGTTTGACAATATACCAATGGGATTTGAGAAAAATCTTACATTTCTTTACTTCAAAATGAAGTTAGCTTTAGGAACATCTCAGTAGTCACTAGATCATGAATGGTCAAACCTTTGGAAGAAGAGCCATAGAATAAAGTTAATAAAAAGGAAAGATTTCAAGGGTAATAAAAGAGGAGAAGGAGATCTTTTGGCAAATAATATTAAGTATCCAGTATTGAATGCAGACCATTTGAAGAAAAGTGGTACAAGGTAAAACACTTGAAAAGTATATTTTTAGAACCACTAAATATTAGAGTTAAAAGGAATTTAAATGTGTCTGTTCAACCACCTTTCTTTCCTCAGTTCTCATAGATACCTGCCAAATAGTAGTCCAACCCATGCTTAATAATTCCAATGATCCATTTCATTTTTAAGCTTTTCTTTTAATGCTTTTACAGAGTTTAAACTTGTCACCACCCTAGGAGTTCAAGACCAAACTGGGCTACAAACTGAGACCCCCCCCCCCCCAACTCTACAAAAATGTTTTAAAAACTTAGCTGGGCATGGTGACAGAAGCCTATGGTCCCAGGAATGTGAGGAACAGTGAGCTGTGTTTGTAACACTGAACTCCAGCCTACGCAACACATGAGACCCTGTTTCTTAAAAAAAAAAAAAAAGAAAATCTGTCACCACATTATTTTGTATTTAGGAAGTGACAAAATAGAAGGATAAAGAAATTCATCAAGAATGTTGTTGGCTAGAAAAATATAAAGAAGGTAAGTTATTCCAGAAAATAAAAAAAGAGGTAATTACAAATTTAAGTTGAGAGCTTTCTATATTTATAAAATGTAAAATTGAAAAAAAGTTGGGTTTTGTGTTTCTCTAATGAACTCTGAGCATTAAATATGCTGGAATGTAGACTAGAAAGAAATTTTTAATATTGTTTTGCCAAATTCCAGAGATACATTGGGTGGGAACCTAGAGAGTTCTAATTACCTGATAAGGAGTTTAAAATTTATACAATCGGCAAC
This sequence comes from Homo sapiens, assembly GCF_000001405.40. Classification (NCBI taxonomy): domain Eukaryota; kingdom Metazoa; phylum Chordata; class Mammalia; order Primates; family Hominidae; genus Homo; species Homo sapiens. Next base: position 9,993,577 of record NC_000007.14, read on the forward strand.
AGTAAACAATTAAATACAACTTATAGTATAAAGAATACCTTAGAAAGATTATTTTGACAATAATATATTGGTTGAATTGAAGGTACAAAACCAGGAGGGGAAGAAGTTAGTATAAATAAGACCCTACATAAATCTGACCAGCGTGGTAGCCCTGAAAAATAGAAAAGATGGGATAGAAGTTAAAAATCGCAGGAGAAATAAATCTTGTAGGACCTAACAACTCATTGGATATAAAAAGCAAGGGAAAATAAAAGGGCTTAGGATAAAGCTTTCAGATTTTGAGCTTGTTTGAGTGAGATATGATGAGTTTCAGATTTTTGTTAAACATGACATACAAATAGAACACATATGTAGAAACATCCTATAAATAACTAGGAATATTGTATTAAGAAGAGAAGTCTAGCTAGGGTGAGTGAAGGGGAATATACAAAAATCATCAGCATGAAAGTGACATTGAAGCTCTGCATGGAGACCTAAAAACTGAGCATTCTTAGAGGCAGAAGATAAAAAAGGCTTAGAGAAATAAAAATTGAAAGTATGAGGCAATGCTTCATTATTTTACTAAGCAATATAGAACTTTTCCAAATTTTCTTAAACACATTTCCAATAGGCTTAGAACATGTGCCAAGACTCTAAAGAAGTCTATCAAAGTAAGAAGAATTTTATTCACTTGAAAAGTAACAAAGTTATTCAAGTAACATATAAATATTTATAATTTAAAAAGATACTAATCTATGTTTCTAAGATTTCAAGTGCTAGTTTAGATGACTCTGACATAGAAACCATTTTTATTTGAACTTGAGCAACTGTAACACCCAATATATTCCTGCAGCTCCTATTATATGTATGTTTTAATTGTAAGAGACTTCCTCATGTTGTTACAAAAAATATTAAGGATCCACTTGTCTGTGGTACTAGTTACAAGAATCAGTGTGTGTGTAAAAAGTAGACACCAAAAAGAGCAAATTCTACTGTATTTCAATTAAAGATTTTTTTAAAAGAATTATTCTGTATCTTTCAGGCACCAATTCCTTTAATCAATCCCTAGTTTTGTAGCTAATTTTTTTTCCTTCATTTATTGCTTCCTCTCTACCTTCACTGCCGTCATTATCTTTCTTCTTATCCCTTTTCTTTCTTTTTTCTCCTGTATCATTACTTCTTACTGACTTAGATCCATTGTGCAAAAGCTTGACCAGTTATAAATCTTAAGTATACATTCAGTTTTAAAAGTGAAAAATAGAAAGCAAAAATCAACTGTGTATCTTTTAAATTAGACAAGTTTGCACATATAGAAATAAGTATTTTTAAATGTATTATTCATAATGTTATACTTGATAACATGGGATATACATTCAAACAAGACTGATACAATTTTTATACCAGAAATTTACTAATTTTGTGATAAAATTTGAAGGAAATATAGAACTTATTGACTTTTTAAAATCATGTAGACAAATGGGAGTTTGGCAAATTAGTGGTTTATTGCAGTCAATGAATCAAGTAAAAAGCTGAAACCAGAATGGAACGTTTTAGGCTTCATTTTTTAATGATAACTCTGGCAAAAAAAAAAAAAGTATGCTAAAAAATGTGTCTTCTAGGTTTGGTGAAGAGTTGAGAGATCAATAGGAATGAAAAGGATTTATTTCTCTTTGAGGTCAAGAGTGAAAACTTTGGTTTATGTTTCCATGAGGGAGTTTGTCAGATAAATATTAGTTCATTCACTCATTCATCCAAAAAATATTTACTACATAATTTACTGCATGCCAGACACTAATTGTTTGGATAAGTGAATAAACAAAACTAATATCTTTGCAAATAGTAGCTCTTCAGCACAGAGGAAGGTGATAAACATTAAGGTAATTCTGTAGCATTCTGGAAGGCACTAAGAGCCATAGAAAAATAAAGAGCGATATAAAGGGAATCAGGATTGCCAGGGCTTAAAGGGGCAGGTTTCAATTTTAAAAAGAATAGTTGAGGGATGCCTAGATTACATGTAACAATAGAACAAAGACTCAATAGAGTTGATTGAACTAGACATATGGCTATTTGGGAAGAGATTTCTGAACAGGAAACATAGATACAGATTTCCTAATGCCAAGAATGCGCCTGATGTAGTGAAGGAAGGACAAGGCAGCCAGTGGCTAGATTATTGAGAGACAGGGTAAAAATAATGGGAGATAAACTTATAAAGACAAAGAGTTAGGCTGTTGAAACTGACCTGCTAGGACCTTGTAGGCCATAGTGAGGACTTGGGCTTACCAAAATTGAAAAAAAAAATGAAAATGAGAAAGAATGCAGGAGAAGGAGTACAGAGTGTGTAGCATGCATTTGAAATGGTTAACTCAAGTAGGACTCACCAGACACCAAACTTGTTGGTACCTTGACAAAACTTCAGGGAGAAATAGAGCAATACAATTGTCTTACTCTGTTTGGGCTGCCATAAGAGAATACCATTAACTGGGTAGCTTACCCAGTTTCACAAAGTTCTGGATCAAAGTTCAAAATCAAGGCATCAGCAGATTTGGTGTCTGGTGAGGGCCTACTTGCTGGTTCATAGAAAGCACCTTCTTGCTGTGCCCCATGTAGTTAAAGGCAAAGGATCACTTCGGGGCTTCTTACAAGGCACTGATTCAGTTCATAAGAACTCTGCCATTGTATTCTAATCACCTCTCAAACACAGTGCCTCCTAATAATATTACTTAAGGGCCAGGCTTTAAACATGAATTTTAGGGAACAGAAACATTCAGACTATAGCAACAATAATAGTAGAAAACTTCAAAATACCACTTTCAGTAATAGACAGAACATGCAGACTGAAGATCAGTGAGGAAAAAGAGAACTTCAACAACACTATAGACCAAATGGACCTAGTAAACTACACAGAACATTCTACTCAAAACATCAAAATACACATCCTTCTCAAGAACACATAGAATATTCTCCAGAGTAGCTTACATGTTAGGTCACAAAATAAGTATTAACAACTTTGGAAAAAATAGTATTTAACAAAATATCTTTTCTCACTACAATAGAATAAACCTAGAAATCAGTCATAGAAGAAAGATTGGAAAATTCGCAAATATCTGGAAAGTAAACAACATCTTCTTGACCAATCACTGTCATGAAGAAATCAAAAAGAAAATTAAAAAAAAAGAGAAACAACTAAAACCAAAAACTAAAAAAGAAGATAAAAATGAGAACACAATAGACCAAAACTAATGGGATGCATCAAAAGCAGTCCTAAGAAGGAAGTTTATTGGGATAACCCTACCTTAAAATGAAAAATATGTTTCAAGTAAACAACCTGACTTTATACCCCAAGGAACTATAAAAAGAAGAAAAAGGTAAGCTCAAAGTTAGAGGAAGAAAGGAAACAACAAAAAGTGAAACAAAAGAAAATAACAAGTGGAATTTTATTTCTTTTCTAAATAAAAGAAATGAAACATAGAAAACAATTTTAAAAATCAATGACGCTGAGTTTTCTTAAAAAAGATACACAATATTGGCAAACCCTTAGCTAGAACAAGAAAAATAAAAGACTCAAATAAATAAATAAATTAGAAATCAAAGTGGAGACATTACAACTGATGCACCAGCAATACAGAGAATCACAAGATACTACTATGAATAATATATCCCAACAAACTGGATAACCTAGGAGAAATGGGCAAATTCCTATAAACACACAACTCACCAATACTAAATCATAAAGAAATAGAAAGTCTATCTATAGTTATAGTCTACCAATCTATTACTAGTATGGAGATTGAAACAATAATCAAAAACTTCCCGAAGCAAAGAAAATTCCAGGACTAGATGGTTTCTCTAGTGAATTCTATCAAACACTTAAAAAACACTTCACTGCAATATTTTTCAAACTTTTCCAAAAACCTGAAGAGGAAGGAGCACTTCTAAATTAATTTTATGGGGCCAGCATTATCTTGACACTTCAGCTAGACAAAGATATGAAACTACAGTCCACCGTATTGTGATAAATATAGACACAAAGTCCTCACGAATATGTTAGTAAACCAAATCCAACAGAAATTAAAATGATCATACACTATGACCAAGTGGGATTCTTCTCTGGGATTCAAGAATTGTTCAACAGATACAAATCAATAAATATGATACACCATATTAACAGAATGAAGGATAAAAATCACGTGAACATCTCAATAGATGCAGGAAAACATTTAACAAAATTCAACACCCTTTCAAAATAAAAACTCTATGAAACCTCAAAATATGAGAAAAGTACTTCAACATAACAAAGACTGTATCTGAAAAGTCCACAGCTTAACATTACATTCAGTGATGAAACTGAAAGCTTTACCTCTAAGATCAGAAATGAGAAGTATTCCCACCACTTCTATTCAACATAGTACTTGAAATCTCAGCCAGAGTAAGAAAAGCATAAAAAAGGAAGAAGAAAAATTGTCCTTGTTTGAAAATGACATGATCTTATAAACAGAAAAATAGAAAACCCAAATGTCTCCATTAAAAATTTGAAGAACTAATAAATTAATTCACTAAAATTGCAGAGTTTAGAGTCAACATGCAAAAATCAGTTGTGTTTCTACACATTAGCAAAAAACTATCTGAAAAGTAAATTAGGAAAACAGTCACATTTACAGTAACAGCAAAAAGAGTAAAATACTCAGGAATAAACCTAACTAAGGAGGTGAAACACTTCCATACTGAACACTACAAAACACTGATGAAAGGAATTAATAAATACACACACAAATAGAAAGACATTATGTGTTCATGGATTAGAAGGCTTACTATTGTTAAAATGTTCAAAGTATCCAAAGCTATCCATTGCAATTCCTATCAAAATCCCAAAGGAAATTTCTTCCAGAAGTAGAAAACTAATAAGCTTGAGAAGAAAGAAAGGAGATATCACACTTTCTAATTTCAAAATGTAGTACAAAGCTACAATAATCCAAACTATACAGCAAAACTAAAAGCTTTTTCCTCTAAAACCAGAAATGAGGCAAAGAAGCTCACCCGCCATTTTTATTCAACATAGCGCTTGAAGTCCTAGCCAAAGCAAAAACAAAAAGAAGAACAATGATGGAATACATCAGTGGAAAAGAATAGAGAACCCAGATATAAACCCATTAGTATACAGTCAAGTAATTGTCAACAAAGATCACAAAAACACACCATGTGGGAAGAATTATCTCTACAATAAATAGTGTTGGGAAAACTAGACATCTGTATAGGAAATAACGAAATAGAACCCTTATCTCATTTTATATATAAAAAATCAACTCAAAATAGATTAGAAATACAAATGTAAAATCTGAAACTGTAAAATAAAGAAAACATAGAGAAAAAGTTTCATGATACCGGTCTTGATAGGTTTTACTGATATAATACCCAAAGCACAGGCAACCAAATAAATAAATAAATAATTAGGGCTATATTAAACTAAAACATTTCTGCATAGCAATCAATAGCACAAAAAGCAACTTCTGGAATGTCAGAAAATGTTTGCAAACCATATAACTAATAAGAGGTTAATCTCTAAAATACATAAAGAATTCTACAATTTGGTAACAAAAGAACTAATAACTCAAATAAAAAATGAATAAAGGAAATGAATAAATATTTCTTTAAAGAAAACATACAGCTGTCCAACAGGTATATGAAAAAAAGTTTAATGTTAGTAATCATTAGAGAAATGCAAATCAAAGTAATAATGAAATATCATCTCACGCCAATCAGGACGGCTATTATAAAAAATAATAAGACAAGTATCAGTGTAGACGTGGAAAATGCGAACACTTGGACATTGTTGGTGGGACTACAAAATGATGCATTCATTATGGAAACCAGTATGGGGGTTCTTAAAAAAATAAAATTAGAAATGTAATATGATTCAGTAATCTCACTTCTGAATATTTAGCCAAAATAATTGAAATCAAGATCTCAAAGAAACATTAGCATACTCCTGCTCATTGCAGCACTATTTACAACAGCCAAGATGTGGAAACAACCTAAATGTTCATGGGCAGATGAATGGTTAATAAAAATGTGGTAAATATGTAAAATATAATATTACTAAGCCTTAAAAAACGAAATTCTGCAATATGCAACACCACAATGAACCTCGAGGATATTATGCCAGGTGAAATAAGCCAGTCACACAAAGACAAATACTACGTGACTCTACTTATATGAAGTATCTGAATTCATTAAATTTATAGAATGCAACAATGGTATGGTGGTTGCTAGGGGTTGGGCGGGGGGAGGAAGACACTGATCGATAAGTACAATACACCAGAGAAGTAAGATAAATAAGTTCTAGAGATTTGCTGTGAAACACTGTATCTATAGTCAAAACACTGTACTGTACACTTAAAAATTAAAAAGGGTAAATCTCATGTTAAGTGTTCTTACTACAATAAAATAAAATTTCAAAATTGAATAAATTTCACATGGAGCAAATTACTCCTATTTTTATAAACCACATAGTCAATTCTTAGTCCTCTTGGAACTTAACAAATCACAGCATTTGACAGTGTTATTCACTACCTCCTCATTTAGTTCAGGTGGCATCTAGGATGCGCTTAGTTCAGGTGGCATCTAGGATGTCCTATTTTCCTTGTTTTTTCTCCTATCTCACTAATTTCTTCCAATAGTCTTTCTTCGGTTTATCTTCTTTTCTGCGATCCTTCCTTTAGTGATATCTTCAAGCCTTATTCTTTAAATGCCATGTATGTGCCAATAACTTCAAATCTGTATCTCCAAACCAGAACTCTCCAGATTTTGGACTTGTATATCTAACTGTTTACTCAGGCTCTCCACATCAAGACTACTAATTTAACCCTCCGCTTGATCTCATTTCATCTCTCTTCCGCACACAAATATGCACAACCCACTATATTCGTTTTCTCAGTTGACAGCAATTCCAGCCTTCCAGCTGGTCATTTAAGAAACTTTGAAGCATTTCCAATGTCTGTTTCTTTCACAGCCTTCATCCAGCCTATCAGGAAATTCTAGGTTGGTTCCATCTATTAAATATATCCATAATCTGAAACTCCTGGGGGGCTGAAGGAAAGAAAACTATTAAAAATAGTATGTCTACATTTTCTGCGGAAGAACAAAGAAACCTATTTTTTTCGTAGAAAGAGAAATTTCACAAATGTGTTAATATTTTTGCATTTTACTTATTTTCCTTAATAGAGGTTAAAAGTGCCAAAAGATATTTAATATTAATACTATTTGCAACAGCATGGGGCTTTGCACTTTAACAGCTTCTAACCAGCAAAAACTGTGCTGCAAATACATATTTGTGAGCTTGTTATTTTAGTTAATTACATACTTGATTAGACACCATGGCAGAACCTGGCAGTTATTATGACTACAAGTAAATGTTTATTTTTGTAGTTCTAGATTTTATAACATAATAACTAAACAAGGACTAAAAATTTTTAACCATTAGCCTTTGTGAGTCATCTATGTCTTTAAATAGAGTGCCTTGTTTGACAGTTTTAATAAACATGGTGGGTAAAGCAGTTGAAAAATTCATTGCAAGACCAAGATTCTTAGGTTTTTTTTAAAAGTAATTGTGTGTAAGTTTGTTCATTTACATATGGCAAATGCAATGATCATTAAACCTTCAAAAATATCTTTAGAAAAATGATAAAATAGAAACATAATTTTCAGAACTATCAGTAACTGAAAGTTAAATTGTTTTTCTCTATATGTAGCTAAAACACAAAAAATGACTATTTCTTATAAAAGATAACAATTAAATACTAGAAGAAAACGGTATGTTTAACAAAAGCTCTACAGTCAACAGGACTATATTTTTTAAATGACCATCATACTGTCTGCATATAGTCAACTTGTTTTAATCTTTCATGCTTTATTTCCCTTGCTTTAGATTACTATTGTTCAATAAAAAGAAAACGCAGAATGATCTTTTATTAAACAAACCACAGTATTATTTGTAACATAGCTTATCCAAGTCATTTTCTTTCTCAGTACCACATTGAAAAGGAATATTTTAATACTGCCTCGACTGTCAGGACACAATTATTAAAAAGAAGGTACAGGGTGAACTTTTATTCTGCAAATACATGGACACTACTTATTCAAAGATTATTAGAATGTAAACTAAAAAATTTGCCATTATCAGGTATGTATTATATTTTAAAGAAGGTTCTTCAGGCATGAGTGAAGTGATACCAGATAGTAACTTTGATCTATATAAATGAGGATCACTAGAAATAGTATGTGATTTTTTTCAGAATATGTTTTATTTTATCTTAACTTTATTAAAGGACAAGGGACTGCTTAAGACAGTAATGAAATTATATTGAGGCATTTCTGCAAAGGCAGAATTATAATATATTATATTATTATATTATAATAAAAATAGTATGATAGATGGGTAGTATAAATATTACATTATATGTGAGGTAGTTTAACTTTATTTCAAGAGAGACACTAGTAAGTTACAGAAACATACTTTAATCTCAGGGGACTAATAGACACTGAGGGCTACATGTGAGTGGAGAGTTGAAGGAGGATGAGACTGAAAAAACTACCTATTGGGTACTATGCTCACTACTTGGGTGATAAAATAATTTGTATACCAAACCCCAGTGACACAATTTACCCGTGTAGCAAACCTACACATGTAGTCACTGAACCTAAAGTAAAAGTTGAAAAATAAAAACCAAAATTGTGGGATACATTCAAAATCATACTTAGAGGCAAATCATAGCTTTGAGTGCTTATATTATTAAAAAATGTTTAAGATCAATGGTTTAATACATAAAGAATATGTCTTTTTTTAAAAAAAAGACACCAAAGCAATTCAGTGGTGCTGAAAACTACAACACACACACACACACACAAACACCCTTTCTCTTAACTCACACTGTACACAGATTTCAACATGGATCAAAGACCTGATACAAGAGTTAAAACTATAAACCTTCCAGAAAAAATAATAAGAAAATCTTGTTATGACCATGATGAGTAAGTAAAAATTTCTTAGAATACAGAAATGTTTAAAACCATAAGATGAAAAATTTGTTAATTGTACTTCATTAAAATTAAAAACTTGTACAAACTAGAAACACTGCTAATAAATAGCTAAACCACAGCTTAGGCAAATATGTTTGTAGTATCTGACAGAGGATTTGTATCTAGAATACAAAAAGAATGCTTATACTTAATAAAAAGACAAACTTCTAGTTAAAATTGGGCAAAAGACTGTAAGAGATAATTTGCAAAAGAAGATAATAAAATGGGCAATCAACACCTGAAACATTTTGCTGAGTAGTATTAGTTGCAACTACAAATTAAAATAGCAATAATATTTCACTACACATTCACTAGAATGGCTCTATTTTTAAATTATTCACAATATCAAATGTTGGCAGGGATGTGAAGCAACTGGAGCAGGTGTGCAGTCCTGTGGGAGTGTAAAATGGCACAACCCTGTTGAAAAACTTTTTTGGCAGTCTTTTTATAAATTTAAATCCATGCCTACTCCAAGACCCAGCAATTTCTTCTCAAGACATTTACCTGAGAGAAATAAAAAGTGTATTCATAGAAGACTTTTATAAGAATGTTCACTGCAGCTCTATTTACAGTATCCCTAAACTGGAATCAACCCAAATGTCCATCAGTAGATAAACTGTTATATACAATGGGGAATCTCCTCGGCATTTGGAAGGAATCAACATAGATGAGTACCAAAAATATTATGCAGAGCAAAAGAAGTCAGATGTAATACCTGATTCTGACTTTAGCATAATACCTGGTGAATTCAGTTATAAGTACAGACAAACTAAGCTATGGTGATGAATTGGCTCTATTGAGACTGGCCCTATTGTCCCATAGAACTGATGTTTATAGTCTTTTTTAATAAACATAGAAATTGATCTGCTCTTAAAGCTTGCAACTTGTATTTGTCTTATCTAAGTTCCTTTCTCAAGAAACCGACCCTCAGGCTTCCTAGACAGTATCAAGAAACTGGAACTCACCAGATTCCCACATCCAGACAATGAGAAGCCAGGCGTCTCATTTCTCATGATTTCATGATTTTGTTGACTCTTCCTAATTACTATTTTCTGGCATATAGATACATTCCTCCCCTGATATATAAACCTCCAATGTTAGTCTGTCAGGAAGATGGATTTGAGACTGATCTCCTATCATCTCAACTGCAGCACCTGAGTAAAGCCTTCTCCCCTAGCAATACCTGTGGCCTCAGTGACTGGCTTTCTGTGCTATTAACCACAAGACCTAGACCTGAAGTTTTGGTAACACTATCACTATTAATAAAATTATTGCCTCCGGAAGTAGGAAGTGGGGATTGGTAGAAATAAAACACAGGGAAATACCTGGGGTGACCACACTTCATAGAGGTGTGGGTTGTATGGGTTAAGCATTCCTCAACATACATGAAGCTGCTTTTTTTTTTTTTTTTTTTTAGACTGAGTCTCGCATTGTTGTCCGGGCTGGACACAATCTCGGCTAGTAAGCCTCTGCCTCCCAGGTTCAAGTGATTCTCCTGCCTCAGCCTCCCGAGTAGCTGGGATTACAGGCACCCGCCACCAATCCCAGCTAATTTTTTGTATTTTTAGTAGAGATGAGGTTTCACTATGTTGGCCAGGCTGGTCTTGAACTCCTGACCTCATGATCTGCCCACCTCGGCCTCCCAAACTGCTGGGACTACAGGGAAGCTGCTCATTTTAACCTGTGCATTTCACTACTTGTATGTGATACTTCGATTCTAAAAGGTCAGTTTAACAACCTTAAGGTGCTTTGATAACTCACAAAAAAATATACCACAAATTTATTTAGTGTTTGAATTCTGGAATATGTACCATTTAGATGTCTGAAAATATAGTCTCATTTTCATTCTTTAGCCTATAACTTATTTGTATTTAATGCTTTAAATTAGCAAATATTTTCTGTAAAGGGCCAGAAAGTAACTATTTTAGGCTCTGAGGATACTATATTCTGTCACAATTACTCAACTGTGTTGTTGTGGCCCAAAAGTAGACATAGGCCGAGCCTGGTGGCTCATGCCTGTAATCTCAGTACTTTGGGAGGCGGAGGTGGGTGGATTATTTGAGGTCAGGAGTTTGGGACGAGCCTGACTAACATGGTGAAACCCTGTCTCTACTAAAAATACAAAAATTAGCCGGGCGTGATGGCGGGTGCCTGTGACCCCAATTACTTGGGAGGCTGAGGCCGGAGAACTGCTTGAACCTGGGAAGCAGAGGTTGCAGCGAGCCAAGGTCATGCCACTGCACTCCAGCCCAGGTGACAGAGTAAGACTCTGTCAAAAAAAAAAAAAAAAAAAAAAAAAAAAAAAAAAAAAAGCCATACACACTAAGTCAATGAATGAGGCTGGCTGAGTTCCAACAATAAATCTTTATTTACAAAAAAATCAGATTACAGGAGAGATTTGTCCTGCGGAACCATTGTTTGCAAACTCTTGCTTTAAATAATATAGGGTTATGAGCTGTAGCATTTTATTTTATACTATGCTACACTACATATTTTCTCTGACACCTTCTTTAAAGAAATGGCTTTCCGAACTTATATAAATAATCAATATAACTATGGAAGCAATTATTATTTCAGATGTGTTTAGGAAAGCAAAATTTTGAAAGATGATTATGAATACTTAGTAGCTTATTCCATAAGACAAGATTATGCACCAATTGAACGGGGAGTTGAATGGGCACTAAATTATAAAGAACATCATAGAAAAGGACATCTGTCCATAGAAGCTCAATGAGCATGATATTTAAATATATTTGATTATGATTTAGAGTATGTAGCATAATAGATTTTCAGTCAGATGTTAAGGCAGAAAAAGAAATATTATTTTACTAATTGTAATTTTCAATAATATAAACCATTCTAAGCATTCATTACTGCCACATTCTTAGAACATTTCATTTCCTTCCTTCTCCATGTAAATTGTTTGTATGACAACTGGGAGCTAAGGGTGTAGTCTTCTCCTTTTTTCAGTGTTTTCACATTGCCATGGAAAACTTTGAAAGATCATGTTAACAGTTCCAAAAATATGCCTCAATTATTTGCTTCTTATGACCTAATTGTTCTTAAAGCCTGGCATTATTCTTTAGTCTTGTGCCTCACTGAATACATTGAAATTCCACGTGTATTTTCAACTCAAAAGATGACCTGTGCATATTTGGCCATTACTTACAGACATCTCCACATTTAAAAAAATAATGACAGTAAAAAACATGTGAATCCAATATCCAGACTAAATAAAATGTGGATTCCTGAGTGCAAAGAAAATATGGAAGCTGGAAAATACCCCACTTCTCTACTTTCCCAACTCTCAAATTTGGCTGGTTCATGTTTGCACTATTAAAGTCAGTGAGAAAGATATTGCTGAATATGTGGAAGACTCTTCTTTGATTGTATGACCATTCTATCATACATTTTTCTCTTTTAGTAATAGGTTAAAATTCTCTTTCATCAGCTATGGATAATTCTCCTTCTCTAGAGTGATATTTTTGCATTCTTATTCTTTTATATTTCATTATTGTAGATGATTAGAATTGTGAGTAGTTCCAGTTATTGATATCTACTCAAACACTTAAATCTAATACATATGCAAATGTAAGAATATATATCTTTTTAAAAAATCATTTTATATTTTTAATACCTCTCTTTGTTTTCAGCTACAGTTCTCTTATTTTTTATTTTCTCCATATTTAAAAACTGTACATTCCAGAAATAGCTGGTCCAAGTGATGCTGCATTTCTGCAATGTGATGCCTTTTCAGTGGAACAAAATTCTGTATATTCAACTAATGTTGTAATGATTAAAAATTTATGTATATAACACTTTTAGGATATTAAGAATTTTACAGGTTTGAGAAGAAAAAAAGAACATAATTGTGTATTTGCAAAGGCTACACTGAAATGGTAGAAATCCAGTTGTTTTTCCTTGTACCAGTAAATCTAAATGAGAGGTGACAATGTCTTTTATAACTATCTCTAGATAATCTCAGTTATAAAAAATGTTTACTATACCACAATCAGCCTTAGAAATAATGATAAATCAATTATACTGAGAAATGTTTTTCTTTTTTGTCATTTCCATGGCTAAAATCTTAAACTTTTTTTTTTTTGGTACCAAATTCAGGGTATTATGTCTTTGTATCTTCCCTCCTTTCCCCTTCTTTGTTCCTTTTTCTTGCTTCTTTTTTCCTTTTTTCCTCCTTCTTTCCTCCCTTCATTAGTTCCTTCTTTACTTTTTTCTTTTACTTTTGCTCACTAAGTGTTTTTGTAGCAGTTAACCTAAACTAGTTTTATTTTGAGTGCTTCTCCCTTTCAAGTCACTTAAGCTTTTCTCTTTTCCCCTCATGTTTATATTATTTTTTAGCTTTCAGGTAAAGTCTTACACAATTGTTTTCCTGAATTTAATTATGCAACTTTAAGGATTAATACTGGAGTTGAGCAGATTTATACAGCACTCAATTCTGTGAATTACATTTCCAGGAGTATCTCTTCTGGTCACTCCAAAGGTCCCTTAGGTGGCATATACCTCAGACCACCTAGAAGTAATGAAGATTCTCCTGTCCAAGCTATGGCAGTTTTCTACCCCATTCATAGGTTTCATCAGCCACTGCTCAGATCCTTTAAGCCACCTATCACAATGACAAGAATTGTGAAAGAAAACTTGGAAGGAAAAAAAGTGGTAGATGAAATACAAAGCAAAAATTCCAGATTTGGAGGGAGATAAAGAGTAGGATGTAAGTGGCATTGGAAAGAGAGAAGAAAACAAGTAGATAGATAAGAGAAAAGAAAGGAAAAAAGTACAATATTTGTAACATAAACCCTTACTTCATTTATTTCTACTTATGTAGTTGTCTCTGAAATTGTACTAGATGAAATTAGTCATTATGACTATTTGCAAAGGTATTAAAATCTATACAAAATATCAGTTATGTTTTCATCATAGTGGAAATGTATAGAGCAGACTTTGTATGCAGAAATGTATATATAGAAATTCAAGGGTTTAACCAAATAGAAGATATAAACACCTACATTCAAATTTTAAAATCTCATGCTTTATATAAAATTAAAAGTTGGGGAGAAATCAAGAGCAATGCATTGTTAAGAGATTAAATTTCTTGTTTCTATACATGTTAGTGATCATAGATGGCTTAGTGTAACTACAAAATATAATTGAAATCAATTGAGAAATAATTGAAATCAAGGCAAAACTAAAAAATATATATTATATATAATCATTATTTTGTATTTTATTTTTATTTTTCTCTTTTTCTTGTGTTTCTAACACATTTTATTTGATATTTTGTCTATGGAAAAATTCATTTCTGCAGTCAAAAACATTAGGCTATTGTCATGTCATTGGCAAAAGAAGCAATAATAAATGAAAACTAGTATCCAGCTACACGGAATTGGTTAACCTACTGTGCAGATAAATGATGGACTATTATTGCAAACATTCGGAATTATGTTTCAAAACCAACTTGGAAGTAGGGGAATTGCAACTTGGCTTTTCAGTTTTCTTTGTCACAGCTGCAGTCTCATGTTGAATACTTTCTTCACTTGGCTTCTGGAACACTACACCCTGTGTTCCTTCTACATTACAGTGTTCTCCTTTGGCGTTCTTCATCAAATCCTCTCCCTCTAGATGTTGAAGAGCCGCAACCTCCATACCTCTTTGTTTCTCTATCAAAACTCACTGTCTAGTAAGCCAATACTTTTCATAGCTTTAAATTTACCCAGACATGGAAGACCACCAAAATTATCTCTCCAGCCTGCACATGGCCCCTCCATTCCAAATGTTTATCTAAAAAGGAACACCTTTACTTGTACATTCATTAGGCATCTCAAACTTCTTTTTTTTTTTTTTTTTCTTGAGACGGCGTCTTGCCCTGTCACCCAGGCTGGAGTACAGTGGCACAATCTCGGCTCATTGCAGACTCTGACTCCCAGGTTCAAGCAATTCTCGTGCCTCAGCCTCCCAAGTAGCGGGGATTACAGATGAGCACCACCACACCTGGCTAATTTTTGTATTTTTAGTAGTGACGGGGTTTTGCCATGTTGGACAAGCTGGTCTCGAACTCCTGGCCTCTGGGGATCCGCCCACCTTGGCCTCCCAAAGTGCTGGGATTACAGCCGTGAGCCACCATGCTCAGCCTAGCCATCTCAAACTTCTTATGTCCAAAGTAAAGATTAATTAATCTCTTCTCTAGTGTTCTTCATCTCAGGATCCGGCTCCACCGTTCACCCATTTGCTGAGGTTTATAATTCTCATCTCCCTTCTTTTTTGTATCCCATATGCATTCCATTATCAAATTCTTTTGACTCTGTCTTCAAAATATATCTCCAATATAAGCTACCATTTCTGTCTACTTTTGCTACTATCATCCTATCAAGACATATACTCTCTCTCCTATATTCCTTTAATAGCCTGCTACCTGACCTCCCTGCTTCCACTCTTAGCCCTATATTGTACTATAACAGCCAAAGTGAATCTACTTAACATCAAATTATGTCACTGCCCTGATCTAATATTCTCCAGTGGAAGAAATCCAAAGAGGTCAACAGAGCCTTCTCAATAAGTTACAGTTAATATACCCTTAATATTTATTTCTAGATTCCTATGCATTCTTAATTTTCTAAAATAATCATATAATCATTTATTGCATCTAAAAAAGAAAGAATATATACATATATGTATATATATCCTACTTTCAATATTTTAGAATAATTGGCTTGGCGTGTTAGGATGATAAAAAGAGTTAATGCTGTTATAAAAAGAAAAGAACATTTAAAAGACATTTTAAAATGAGAAACACTTTGTTCCATTGCAATATATAGATATTTTATTTCATTTATTACAGAGTGAAATTAATAAGATTATACAGAAATAGTGTCAGAAAAATACCTATTATCTTTTATTGTATATGAAAATAATGGCTAAGTTACATGGTTTACTTCAAAATATCCAAGACCATAAAAAATTCCTTCTATTTGTCTTCAAATATTAAAAAGACAGAAGACATACTTGGAAACATCATTGTTGAGAATGACCACATTGAAAACCTGAAAATGAAAGCTAAATTACCATGTCATTAAACTGATAATGTATAGGTTAGAATTAATGCAGACTCAGTGTTTGGTATTATTGCTTTCCTGGTTATTTTGAGTAAATGGAAACCATATATAAAATTTTGATATAATATGGATTTTATATCCCCATAATTTACCATGAACTCATTGAATATTAGAGATTTAAAGAAACTTAGACCCTATATGGAAGAATTTATTTCATGTCACATAAGAAAACTGAGACCCAGAGACCACAAACCACTTTTCTTCAGTTTGGCAACAGAAATTAATACAACAAATGCTTAAAGTTAGTAATCCTAACACATTATCTATTGCTTATTATTGCATAATCGATGATGCTAAATTTCCCTAAACTGGCATTGTCATGCACACTTTGGCTGTGTTCTTTAATGTAAACAAAAATCCTGAAACTCGCATTATAACCCAAGGGATCCAAAACTTGTGAACACAAGAAGATGGGGGATAGCCATCAGTCAGGGATAAGAATATGTCACTGATCATCACTTTCTTCTTTATGCTTACTTAGTTCCAGATTTCACTCCTAGGTTGGCAGTTGCCAAAATCAGGCATCGTCTCAATGTCTCAATGTTACAAGCAATGAGAGAGGCTAAAACACAAAGGGAGATGGACATATAAATGGGGCAGGTCATCTATTTTCTAGTCAAAGCTACCATGTTATTGTACAATCTCAGCAGGAAGGGATCTTAAAGACCATCTGATGACATTTCACAAAAGATGCATGTGAATCTCTATGGAATGCTTTTCAAGGGCTTTTCTAGGTTATGACTGGACACATTTTTGTGAAAATAGAAATATTATTTCTTATGAAATACCTTTATAACTTTGAATGATTCCTTTTAAAAATTTTAGATTCAAGGATGATATGGTTTGGCTGTGTCCCCAACCAAATCTCATCTTGAATAGTAACCTGCGTAATCTCCATGGGTCATGGGAGGGACCTAGCTGTAGATCATTGAATCATGGGGGTGGTTTCCACCCCCATGACAGTGTTCTCATGACAGTGAGTGGGTTCTCATGAGATCTGATGATTTTATGATCATCTGGCATTTCCCCTGCTAGCACTCATTCTCTCTCCAGCCACCCTGTGAAGAGGTGTCTTCCACCATGATTGTGAGTTTCCTGAGGTCTCCCCAGCCATGCAGAACTGTGAGTCAATCAAACCTCTTTTCTTTATAAATTACCCAGTCTCAGGTATTTCTTCATAGCAGCATGAGAATAAACTAATATAGTAAATTGCTGCCAGGAGTAGAGTATTACTACAAGATACCTGAGAATGTGGAAGCGACATTGGAACTGGGTAATAGGCAGAGACTGGAACAGCTTGGAGGAGTTAGAAGAAGACAGAAATATGTGGGAAAGTTTGAAACTTCTTAGAGACTGGTTGAATGCCTTTGACCAAAATGCTGATAGTGCTCTGAACAATAAAGTCCAGGCTGAGGTGATCTCAGATGGAGATGAGAAATTTGTTGAGAACTGGAGTAAAAGTCACTCTTCCTATGCTTTACCAAAGAGACTCGTGGCTTTTTGCCCCTGCCCTAGAGATCTGCGGAACTTAGAACTTGAGAGAGATGATTTAGGGTATCTGGCAGAAGATATTTCTAAGCAGCAAAGCATGCAAGAGGTGACAAATCATAAAAGTTTGAAAAATTTGCAGCCTGACAATGCGATAGGAAAGAAAAACCCATTTTGTGGAGAGAAAGTTAAGCCTGCTGCAAAAATTTGCATAAGTAACAAGGAGCTGAATGTTAATCACCAAGACAATGGAAAAAATGTCTCCAGGGCATGTCAGACACCTTTATGGCAGCCCCTCCCATCACAGGCCCAGAGGCCTAGCAGTGAAAAATGGTTTTGTGGGCCAGAGTCAGGGCCTCCCTGGTCTGTGCAGCCTCAGAACATGGTGCCCTCCGTCCCAGCTGCTTCAGCTTTGGCCATGGCTAAAAGGAGCCAAGGTACAGCTCAGGCCATTGCCTCAGAGGGTGCAAGCCCCAAACTTTGGTGGCTTACACAGGGTGTTGGGCCTGCAGGTGCACAGAAGTCAAGAAGTGAGGTTGGGGAACCTCTGCCTAGATTTCAGAGGGTGTATGGATAAACCTAGATGTCCAAGCAGAAGTTTGCTGCGAGGGCAGAGCCCTCAGGGAGAACCTCTGCTAGGGCAATGGAGAAGGCAAAATGTGGGATTGGAGCCTCTACACAGAGTTCCCACTAAGCCACTGCCTAGTGAAGCTGTGAGAAGAGGGCCACTGTCCTCCAGGCCCCAGAATGGTAGATCCACCGACAGCTTGTATCATGCACCTGGAAAAGCTGCAGACACTCAATGCCAACTCATTAAATCAGCCAGGAGGTGGGTTGTACCCTGCAAAGCCAAAGGGGAAGAGCTGCCCAAGGTCTTACCAGCCCAAGTCTTGTATCAGCGTGACCTGGATGTGAGACACTGAGTCAAATGAAATCATTTTGGAACTTTAAGGTTTAATGATTGCTCTATTGGATTTTGGACTTGCATGGGGCCCATCGCCCCTTTGTTTTGGCCAATTTCTCCCATTTAGAATGGGTGTATTTATCCAATGCCTGTACCCCCATTGTGTCCAGGAAGTAACTAACTTGCTTTTGATTTTACAGGCTCATAGGCAGAAGGGACTTGCCTTGTCTCAGACAAAACTTTGAACTTGGATTTTTGGTTTAATGTTGGAATGAGTTAAGACTTTGGTAGACTGTCAGGAAGGCACAATTGTGTTTTGAAATGTAAGGACATGAGATTTGTGAGGGGCCAAGGGCAGAATGATATAGTGTGTCCCCACCCAAATCTCATCTTGAATTGTAATCCCCATAATCCCCTTGTGTCATGGGAGGGACTCAGTGGGAGGTAACTGAATCATGGGGCTGGTTCCCCCATGCTGTTCTCATGATAGTGAGTGAGTTTGCACAAGATATGATGGTTTAATAAGCATCTGGCATTTCCCCTGCTGACACTCATTCTTTTCCTGCTGTCCTGTGAAAAGGTGACTTCTGCCATGATCATAAGTTTTGTGAGGCCTCCCCAGTCATGTGGAACTGTGAGTTAATTAAACCTCTTTTCTTTATAAATTACCCAGCTTGGGTATTTCTTCATAGCAGCATGAGAATGGACTAATACAAGGGGGACCATGTGATGCAATATAATACACGGTTATATTGCATTACACTGCAGTTTGGGGTACAAATAATCCCATCACCCAGGTATTGAGCACAGTACCCAACAGGTAGTATTTTAGCCCTTACCCTCCTCCTCTTCCCTCACCACAGTATTCCCCACTGTCTGTTTTTCTCATTTTTATGTCTATATGTACCCAAAGTTAAGTTCCCATTTATCAGTGAGAGCATGTGGTATTTGGTTTTCTGTTCCTATATTAATTCAATTAGGAAAATGGCCTCCACCTGCATGCAGGTTGCTGCAAAGGACATAATTTTCATTCTTTTTTATGGCTGCATCTTTGAGTAATTATACATTTTAAAATCATTTTAAGTATCTTCCAGTGAATTTCTCCCTATGATCCTAATTTATGGATTTTTTAAATCTCTCAATACATACAGATATATACATGGGTGCATGTGTGTGTGCGTGTGTGTATGTGTGTGAAGAGTTAAATAATCTCTCCAGTTGAAATCTGAATAAGACAGAGTCTCAAATAATTATCGCCTTCATAATGAAAATAGTAATTTTTATTATATCTAGGAGTTCAGAAAATTCTTGTGCCAGACTTTGTGTAAAACATTTACTCACATTATTTCATGCAACTATACAACAAACTAATGAAATAATATTATTAATCCCAATCTTTGTGACTAAGAGAGGTTATATAACCTGCCCTAGGTCACACAGCTACTAATGGTAGAGCCATTTGAATTCAGAGTCTTTGTTCTCTGCTACTTTCCAGGATTAATACAATACTCTGTTAATGCAAACTGATAATGAATTGGCTATTTTGTGACGTACCTCACACCAGACATACACTAAGCTTACTGCTGATTATAAAACAAAAGTAAAATAAAACAACAGAAAATGATAATATTTAATATTATATTGCTTTGAATATTTATACTTCTAAAAATGTGGTTCTACTTAAGATATGTGTAATTATTTACTCTTGTAGACATCTTATATCTGTTGGTGTTATCACTATTGTTGTTGTTAAAGAGGTATTCACAGTCTCACAAGTTAGGATTGTCATAGTGAGAACTCAAAATCATACTGACAAATGGACTTAAGCTAATTTTTGTTCTTCCCTAAAACTTTAATTTTTTTTCAATTCAAGCAATGATGAGAATTAATTTCGATATTCCAGTTGGAAAAGAAAAACAGACCTCTCTCCAAAACTGAATTTGATAGTCCTTTGATCTTCAGACATTATGTCAGTTTTTTAAAAATCACAGCAAAATGCAAACTACAGAAACTGATGATCCACCTAGTTGTGAGTTTTGATTCAATGTCATGTAATTAGTTATAGAATAAGTTCGGTAATCTTGCTAAGGCATCTTATTTGGTATCTTGGCAATTTTGAGTTGCTAGGTTTCAGTACATGTGTATTTTCATTAGAAATAACAATTTTTCCTAAATGAGACCATTGTCTTATAAAATAAGAAAAATCCTGTTCAAAAAGTTTTCATTTGTGTCATATTTGAAAGTTCAAAAGTATGGTATATTATATTGTATATTTACTATTCCTTGAAAAATAAGGAAACTAATGTATATTTTCAGATGTTTTAATTTTTAATTGGTACTTGTAAAGAGAAGAAAGATAATTATTTCACATATAAAACTTCAAAAATATTAAATTTGGGGTAATTTCATATATGTGATTTTTATCCATCCTAATTATTTCCTTAATAAAGATACCAACTGTGTCTCCAAATATCTAAGGCAAGAAAACTTCTCACCTATCTTTCATTAGGAGAAGCAATGACTCTTTCTGGTCAAAAAATGTTTTAGGCTAATACTGCCCTGCAACAGAACTCAACTGTACATGGCAAATTAGTCAAACAACTTGGTTACTTTAATGTCCATTCTAGAGCAAGTAGAATGCTTACAGATATTTTTAATATTTCTAGGAAAGTAATGTTTCTTTACCCACTTACCTATGCTGGCAGTATTATTCTAATTAAAAAAGTAATTACATGCTATTATTTAGCAAATCTCACAGCTATGTACAAAAGCTCCCATGTTAATCAATTATAATCAAAAGAGCAGGAAATACACAATTAGATTTAAAACATTTGTAGTTATTTAAAATTGTTTTGTTTCTTGTACTGTTTGATATAACTAAAAGTCTCCAGGCATAAAAACCTGACCAAAAGAATAACTAGTTATAACTTCTTATATCTACATAAAAATAATTTGACATTTTTTTCCTGGAATTGTTAAAAAAAAGAAGCACTCTAATATATATTTCCCCTAGTTTCTGTAGTCTCCGTATGTTAACTATCACTCATAAACTTCCTTCCCTGTCCCATGTAGCATCTACTTCATTTGATTATTGTGTTATTGTGCCCTAAAGTTCTCTCATCCATTGTAATTAAAGTCCAACTATTATTATGTTCCACATTGGATAGTAAGCTGATTTGAGTATAGGCATTTATTTATTTTTCTCCCCCAAGGATATGTGATATTTACCTATTGAACTTATGTAACAATAAAAGTTAATAGAAAGTAAGAGCAGACAAGGGATGGAAATTTACATAGCTAAAGTAGCATCTCTTTTACAGAAGAACAGAATAATGGAATAATTTTCTGATGTTTCCTAAAAGAGGTTTTTGTTATTAATTGAATTTTTATGAAGTGAAACATTAATTATTTGTTAGGAAGTTTAGGAAAGCATAGTCTAAAGTATGTTTTAGAAAGACAACTCATTTTCTTTAAATTGGCAACAAGTTAACTATTCTTTCCAGTCTTGACAATTACCAAATAAATTAAAAGGAAACACAGTCCCAATAGCAGATTATTTTGCTAAACATTTGGATAAATAGAAGTAATGACTTCCAAAAAAACACTAGTATCAGGTTGTGAGATTTCTAGATAACATCATTTACTTTTCCCAACCCAATTAAAGCCAAATGTTTATGCTTCTTAACCTTTAATTTATTGTTCCTGAAAGCCTTTGCTCCACTGCCCCCACTGGAGAATTTCTAGTAACAACAGAGTTTCTTGGTCTGAGTAAGATATGAATACTAGAAATTTTAGCAAACGTGTCCTTGGGTATATTAGAAAATGCATATGCAAATTAACATTTTCAATTTCTCTCATTTTTTTAATTTTTGGAAATAAGTGTTAAAAGATGTTAGGATTTATTAAAAGTCTATATAAATTGTTCTTTGTGTTGATGCCTTATAGACATGTAAATCTCTTTGAAGACAGATTGGATTTATATTTCACTCAAATCCACCAGTGCAGAAATAACCCTCATTAGGTTTACCTGAAGCATTTTCAGTTTCTATGATGTTTAACATTGTGCAATGGGATAGGATAGTTGGAATGAAGAGAGTCAACCTCCAAATGAATAAATTTGTTTTCTTATTTTCCTTTTTTGGATTTTTATGGAGACCTGGTATTCATATACACTGAATGTCATTTGGACATAATCAACTACAAGCTTTAATAATGTTGATAAGCTACCTCGAATCTTTTCTTAGAATTAATGTCAGCAGCAAAAAGTAAGCCTAATGTTGTCTTTCTCAGTGGGTTTAAAACTTTAACAAACATTAGAATCATCTGAAAGTTTTCTTAAAATACAGATTTCTGGGCCCCATTTCTAGAGCTTCTAACTCAGTGAGTCTGGGCTGGCTCCCGATAATTTTCATTTCTAATAGTTCACTGCTGCTGTTGATGCTGCTGGTCTTGGAAACATAATTTGAAAAATCACTGGTCTACTTTGTTAATCATCATTATTACATATCAATTATCAATTAATCAGAGTTAAGAAAATATATAAATATTTGTCTCTATAGATAAGATATGCATGTAATTAAAAATTTTACTTTGGATCTTGATGCTAAGGGAGTCTTGAAACTGAGAAAGAGAAAATAGTAATAGAAATTGGGATAGTTTAAATTTTTTACTTTCACAGATTTTGAGGGAAGAAAATAACCTTGGAAGGCTATGAAAATTAGCTTGCCAACATATATTTAATAGCAGACACAGCCACTTTTATTGTGGGAGCTTAGGGGACACTTATTGTATTGACTAACATGGTCCTTCCCTTGGTCAGAGACCACTAATTTCATATGAATGTTCTAGATATCTTTTCACTGTGGAATTACTATTTGTTGCACACCAGGCATGAAGTTGATATTGAGAAAAGATTTTCATTTATTTACTACTAAGTTGGATGAATAAAAGAGATCACAAAGACAATTTTCACACAAATAAATAAAACAATGTAGCAATTCATATATGGCAGAAGTTGAGGAAGGAACTTAAGTTGGTCCTTGGTCACTAAGTGATCCTTGACCACATAAAGTGGTCAAAGAAGTTATTTCAAAACACGGAAAAGTGCCTATCGACAGCTTACACCACTGTGTGCTGTAAAACTATTGTTTATTCTTCAAATTGTATGTGCCCAGAAAAGCCGGAGAAAATACAGTAAGCTCTTATCAGTACCGTTTACCAATTAGAAAATGTCATAAGGGAAAATCTCAAATAATCCAATGAAAGATTCATCACTCCCATTAACACTTAACTTTATGTTAATAAAAACAACTATATTTGTTTGTATCATTTGTTAATTAAAATTATTACCATTTTTAAAACCAGGCTAAAGAAAAAGACATGAGGATGCTCTACTGGCCTCGTTGTTGTTTCCTGTGCACCGAGGGACTCAGATGCTTCTGGGCTTTGCACTGACATTTTCCTGTGTTAAGAACTCTCTTCACACAGATCATCACTTTGTTCAGTGTCTCACTATGCTCAAATGTCATCTCTTCAAAAAAGACCATTTCTAAAATTGCACAACCCTGTAACTCTCTGTCCTGTTAGCCAGTTTGATTTATTAACACCTACTGTATTTCTTTATAATTTTTAATTTTTTTAATTGTTTTTATTGTTTGAGACGGAGTTTCACTCTTGTTGCCCAGGCTGGAATGCAATGGCATGATCTCGGCTCACTGCAACTTCCACTTCCCAAGTTCCAGTGATTCTCCTGCCTCAGCCTCCCAAGTAGCTGGTATTACAGGCACCCGCCACCACACCTGGCTAATTTTTTGTATTTTTGGCAGAGGTGGGGTTTCACCATGTTGGTCCGGCTGGTCTCGAACTCCTGACCTCAGGTGATCCACCCGCCTCGGCCTCTCAAAGTGCTGAGATTACAGGCCTAAGCCACCATGCCCGGCCACTTAACATATTTCAATGAGGCTATAACTCAAGTATATCTAAGAAGTCCCATTAATTTATTTACTATATGGTAGTTTTAAAATAGATTTTAAAAATCCTTACTCTCCTTCCTTCAAAAGGTAAGCCCGAATTCAATCCTCTTGAATGCAGGTCAGTCTTGATGACTACTAACTAATAGAATTTGGCAGAATTGGCAATGAGTCCAAACCTCTCGAGTTGCTTCCTCTGAGGGAAGTCAGCCACCAGGTATATTCATGAAGCCTATGCAGAGGCCCATGCAGGAAAGAAGTGAGGCTTCCTGCCAACAGTCATCACCAACTTGCCAGCCATGTAAGTGAACCACCTAGTAAGCAAATCATTTAACTCCAGTCAAGCTTTCAGATAACTATAGTACCCGGAAACATTTTGATTGCAATCTCATGAAAGAACACAAGCCGAAACTGCCCAGCAAAGAAACTCTGTAATTCCTGATGTTGTTATAAATCAGTACACAGCTAATACCGCTAATGAAAAAGTACGGCCAATTTTACTAACAAAATTCTCTCTTATCATACAAAATTCCATTTTATATTTAATGAAAGAGATCTTTGAAACTAATTTAGACTCAGATTTTAATCATACATCACTCTTGTGCATACTCATAAAAAGAAATTGCAACTGAAAGAAATTGATGATAAACTTAAAACTTCTTCACATTTAGTATCCAATTTCTGACTATATTTTCAACTTAGTATGATCAGCATCTGTGTTTTTCAACACAAGACATCTGCAGTGTCCTTAGAAGTGTTGATGAGGAGAATTTTTTAAAGGAATTATACTATTTTCTTTAAACTTTTCTTCTAGGTGGTTGACCCTCATTATGCAAGTTTTGTTGTTAGTGGTTTCTCAATCTTACCAAGCTGTCAGTTGATAAAAATCACATTATTGTTATTTCCTGGTCAATAGTGACTATAAGATGCATCTGCAGCCAGACATCAACATGTTAAAAAATACATTTTAGAATTAATGAAATAGAGAATATACAAATATATTTATTTGTTAATTATAATTACCCCTGCTAAAATGTGAAATGCAGTGACTTTGTCTTGTGTACAGTTGCATCCAAAGTGCCTGGCACATATTAAGTGTGGAATAAATATTTATCAAGTGACTGACTAAAGAAACACATGCATACATAAAATTACAGTATCGTGTATACTAAGTAAGAGCATTCCCTGGTTTGTCATCTATGTAAACCAAAAATTTTAACTAAATATTGTAGGAAATTTTGTTTAAAAATTAAAGTGTAAGACTGAAAATTATCAACATTACCTTTAGGTAACTTAAGATCATTGTTTTGATTGATATTTATTATTTGACATTCCTATTGCTATCGGTTATACAGGAAACACTAAAATGTACTGCATGAAACCCTCAATACAGCTTTTTTTAAGCAATCCTAAAACTCTGCATTTTGAACTTACATAAATTTCTAGAATCTGGTATATTAGTTAATTTACATAATATAAGTGTTTAAACAAAATGTTATCTCACTTTAAAACTGTTTCCATTCCAGATGTAGGTTATGAAGGGAACATCCACCTTTCAGTATCCTCCATTTTGCTTTCATACAACAACTGTTCACATGTGACTATTTCTACTGCTATGTAAGCCAACTATTTCCCATGTCTATATTACAGACACACTATCAAGAAATAGAAACTGTTCAATGTGGCAAATATTTTCCAGCAACTGTGTCCATTTTGCAGAGACGATATGTTTTCATCACCTCAAGGATGACTGACCATGCAGTCAAAAAACAAAGACCAATCCCCAACAAGTGATGCCAGCTAAAGAACTTTCCCATGTAGAGTGTGACCACGATTAATAATAGTTTTACAGCCCTATAAAGCTCAAAACAAATATGAATAAAATGAACAGGCATCCCTGTAAAAGTCAAGAAGACAAGTCAGAGGTATATCGATTGAGTGGAATGTTAATATATTAATAACATTGATGACATAAGTGATTTATTTCGTTGACAGAATTCAGAATGAGATTCATTTATCATCATCTCCTACTCATCCATCAGTAGGATATTGTCCCAAGTAGTTGGCCTTCTATTACCAATTTAAGTTTTTTTATAGTAATTATATTAGAGAAAGAATGCATTATGGTTGTGGTTCACTATATTATAAATAAAATATAAACAAAATTAATGTTTTGTATAAACTAATATGTTATAATATTCAAATGATAGTTCTATTACTTCGTTTTACTTATTTTATACTGCACTAGCTCCTACCCTCTCCAAATTACCTAGTTTGGAAAGACAATTAATTTTAATTCCACACTAATACTCTTCTCTTCAAAAAGAAGGATGATAATAAGCCCCTGATAAAAATGAATACAGTTTAAATAATGTCCACTTGATATGTAAGATCTCCAATATTTAATCAGATAACATCAATAAATTCCAATGTGTGCACACTTCAGAGAAGATGGATGAGTATAACCATATATTGGCCTGGAAGCTTTCTCTACTTCTTCAGAAGCTCCTAAAGACCCATTTTGGAATCTGAATAGTTCAATGAGCGTATCTTACCAATAGAGACAGATTACAGTGGAAAAGTAATAGAAGAGCAGCCTCTACACAACTGGCCAGAATTTGTGACACTTAGATCCAGTTCTAAAGACATCAATGAATAAAGAAGAAATTTAGGGCAGATGACAGAGGACACATATATGAATGGGGAGAGAATATAAGGTACATGGAGGTAAATATGTCGAAAGAAGTTGGGGTAAGAACATGAAAATGTTGCGGATATTACAATGGAGTTTTAATTTTATTCTTCAAAGGAAGAGTGACCAAAGAGTCTTAAACTGGAAAAGAAATGATCAAATATGCAAATTAAAGAGAGATCACCCTGACAGCTGTATGAAGAATGGTCAGGAAACCAGAGGTGATTAGGACATCAAAACAGGTCAGCCAAAACTTTTAGACATCTCAAAAGCTTCAAGATCCAAAGGGCTACATCTCTAATTATAAAACTTAAGACCCTGTGACTTGTAAAGGTATTGTGTGACTAAAATTTTCTCTAGTTTTTTTAGATCACCATGTGCAAAGTTATTGCTACATAGTATATTAACAGAAAAAGATAATGATAAAGTTAAAACATACCTACTTCAACAAACTAAGCAGAAGCTGATGAGTTTCTCACCTCATGAGATGGACACTAGAAGTGTAAACATATATTTCAATAAAGCCAATGCATTTTTCAAATATGTGTTTTGATTGCTACTAAGTTTAAGTCACTACATGCTAAGCCATTATATTAGGTATTACATTAGATGCTAAGGCATTATGTTACATGCAGGGGCTGGGGAAGAAATGGAATAAAAATCAAGGGGTAAAGATGAAAAAAATAAGGCTACTGATGGACATAAATTACTTTTGTGTTTCCATATTTAGTTCTTCAGTAGTTTCATTCGTTTTCTTACCATCTTAAAGCACTTTATGATGGCATGGTTTGGAAGGAGAAATAATTTTAGAACCCAAGCACTGTTACCCTTGGTGACAAAGGGCCTTCAAGGGATGAGAATGAAAGGAATCAAAAAATATTTGTATGCGTGTCTACTTGACCTGAATGCTATATGCCTCACTCACTGATTAAATCAGGTCCTGGTACTACTGGAGTTTAAAATAATGACTGAGAAAATTAGAACAAGTCTTAAATTTACTGATAATTTTGGCAGATGTTGAAATTGGGTCCATGTGCAGCTTAGCCCATTATGCTTCAGTGGTTTTTAATGTAAAATGTGCTTTAAGATTTTTTTTCTCCAGATAGAAATTGTCTGCCTTACCTTCAGAGATATTGTATCCTCAATGAAAGATCAGATTAAATGGAATAAGTGCTTGCTTATACATTTGGATTAAGAGAGTGCAGCTGAAAGGATGCTTAAAATATATCTTTAAACCTAAGTGCAAAATTTCCATATGTACCTTGAAATATGTATTGGGGTGTTAAATGTGCTCAGTAAGCTAAGCAATGTGTTAGATAATTAATAAACATTTAACAGCATTGATTTTTACAGCCTGCTTTATTGAACTTCTTATCAGTATTGAGCAGATGGGTCATAACTATGAAAAATTATATTTTAAACACGATTACTATATGTGGATTATATTTGAAAAATACTGTTCAGTGAAGCACTTACAAATGTAATTTAACGCACAGAGCAAGACCCCAAAGTTAAGGTAATTTTTCTTGCATTAAATACAAAGGTACTTAACTGATATATAAAGAATATTATGGAGTTGTTTAAAAATAAATGAAAAAACAACCCCCTATATGAAAGAATAAAGTAGTATGTACAGTATCAGCTAGGAGTAAACAATTAATTGATTTTTGCTTTTACTTAGCATATAACAAATTCATTCTAATTACTTTTTAATATTATTCTTGATATTAAAAATGTTTGAATTTTTGTATTACTACTATAGAAATCGGTATTACTATAATAATCTCTTGGAATGACAACTACTGTTTTATAAGCCTCAAATTGTAGTGAACACACACACACACACACACACACACACACACGCACACACACACACAGATGAGTCAAACATTAACTCATTCCTGATACGGGACTGAGATAATGTGAAAAGCCCTAATAATTTTTTTTTGCAATTTTTTCCAAATGAATTTATTTGTTAATATTTACATATTTCAGCCATTATTTTATTATGACACAAATATATTTAAGATAAACACTGTAAAGTATAGGTTATCCTTTTTAGAAAGTAGTAGGACCAAAACAAATGATTATTGAACCTATCACAATTTTCAAGAAAGGTAACCAGCCTCTAGCATGGTCCCCAATAATCCATGCTTTCTGCTATTCAAACTTTTGTGTAGTTAGTATGTCACCTTTGACATCTGATTATGAAAAGCCTGTAGCTTCAGTCTTGGTCCCTCTCTCTCTCTTTCTTCCCCACTCCTACCACTGCCGGCCCAGCTTTCTGATGGTTCACTCTGAGGGAAGCCATATTCCATTCCAAACATTCCCAGAAGAGGCCACTGTGGCAAAGCACTGAAGTCCTTGGCTAACAGCCAGTGAAAAAAACAGACGCTGTCAATAACCAGAAAAGTGAGTTTGGAAGTGGATCCTTCCCTAGTCAACTCTCCAGATAAAACTGTGGCCACAATACACCTCATGTGGGACCTTGAGTCAGAACTACTCAGCTAAGGCTCTCCCAGAATTCTGGTTCACAGAAATTGTCAGATAATATTTATCTTAATCTCCTGAGTTTTGGGATAATTTGCTGCATAGCAATTAATACACCAGATGACATATCTATCCAATTGTACCCAAGAGACATCATGCTTGATAATATGAGACATACATAAAGAGTGGACAGCATGTGAATGCTTAGCATATTTACAATCTAGTTAAAATAATTAAGATACATACAAGTAACATAAGACAGTCAAGAAAAAAATGTGTACTAAAATAATGATATTAAGAAAATGACATTGAAACATAGGAAGTAGAGTCATTTTTGTTGAGGAGCTGCATAAAGCCATATAGAAATGGCACAAGTGAACTGATGTGTGGCTGGTGACTATGATTTGTACATAAGGCATTCCAGGATGAAGACAAAGTTTGCACAAATGCATAAAAATGGTAAAGTACAGAGTGTACAAAAAAATCAGAAAAAAACTTAGTTGGACTAACTGTATAGCAGCATATGTAATAGATTAGAAAAGTAATACCTATTCATGAGACATAGAATATATTAATATTCCAAGTCTAGCATAAATTAGGTGATTTGGGGAACCACAATTTATCTAAATTTTCATATATGCTTTGTTAAAGTGTTAGCAATTTTGATATATTCATGGTCTTGCAAAAGCATCTGTATTGTAGGTTGGGATGCCCTTGCAATGCTATTTCACTGCTGATCCATTACCAACAATCAATTGGATACATGCAAAAAGAGAAAAAATTGCATCTGAGAAACAAAGATAAAACTGAAAAACTTTATAATTTTCTGGAGTTTATACTTGAGCATAGTCATGGATAATAAGTTATGTTCAGCATTCCAACTCTCAGGAATTGGTCGTAATTGCCTAGATATCTGTGTTGTATAGGAACATAGGCTATATCTGAGTTTATAGAAAAATTGTGCCATGATCATTTTGGAATGTCTGCCATGGCAACAACAGAGAAAAGAGGTGGCATTTGTACATGCTATTTGCCATATTTGTATATGAAAGAAGAGGTAGAACATACACAGGAAAAGAGGACCATAAAGTGATTATGTTAGCTCAAGCTGTGACACATTTACAATAATAATTGTTATTAAATTTTTTTAATATTTAAAATATTAAGATTTGATTATTATAGGAAGCTTTAGAAGAACAGAACTCACGTTCAACCTTATAGAATAAGTTGTATATTATTAGAAAATCTTTAAAAATGAGAACATTTGTATTTACAATTTAAGTTTTAATGTTGCATCATTCAATGTTTATTCCCATTTAACTTAGTTTTACATATTAAGTTATCTCTGGATTCTATCAGTATTATGGATCAATTTATTTGTAAGTGTTATATTTGGTCAGATAGTTTCCATACTATCCACATAGGTAACAAACTAAGCAAATCAGTTGAGAATGTATTTATTTTCAAGTAATAGATACTTGACTAACTGAAAGTTGAACAAAGAGGGGTTCTTTTCTTCACATATGAAAAAATCCATAGATACACAGTTGCTGGCATTCCTTCTGGTTTTCAGTGATGACATAGTAGCCTCATCTGTTTCTACTTCCCTTAGCCACCAAAAGCATGCTAGCATCTCACCTCATGTTTAATGGCTTCTGGTTACAAAGACTGGTATAGCTCAGGACACCAAGTCTAGGCTCAAAGTAAAAGCATGGTGGAAGGGGAAGGAAGGGCCCAGAAATAGTTCACTCCTTTTAACAGGACATCAGATATCACCATAAATTTGATTGTGCAGAACTTAGTCCTTTCCAGTTGTAAGCAACGCATTATCTATTACTTAGGGATATGCACATTGCTACTCCAAATAAAGTCAGCACATGGATACTAAAGAAAAAGAGAAGAATGGATAATTTGTAAGCAATAAACCATGCCTGTTTCACGAAGCATAACGTTACACAAAATATGTGCGGTAAGCCCACAGAATTTATTTTCAAGAATCATTTAATGAATTATGTTATCCTTGATAGTTGTAAAAAGAATTATTATTCATTCACCAATAATTTATAAATCACCTATTATGTGGCAAGCATTTTTAAAGTTTTAGGAGTGTAACCATTCTGAGGTTTATTTTGGAAACAAGTTACTTTTCAAAAGCCAAATATATCAGAATTTACATTTTTAATATAATCTTGGAAAACTAAAGCATTGAGTCATTCATAACTATAATAATAATTAAAATATCATATATGAAAGTGACTTTATTTTTATAAACTAGAAAAAACTGACAGGTGAAATAAAAATACCACTTACAATAGAATAAAAAACATCAAATATCTACGAATAAATATAACAAAAAAAGCCCAACATCTCTACAATGAAAATAACTAAACATGAGTAAGACAAATTAAACAAGATAAATGAAGGGTAATTCTATATTCATGAATTGGAAAACCTAGTATTTTTAAGATTTCACTTTTACTTTTACAATTTGACATAAACATTTAATTCCATCCCAGTCAAAAGCCTAGCACATTCTTATGCTATCTATCCAGTGACAAAAAATGTATATGAAAATGCAATGTATCTGGTATAACCAAGACAATGATGAAGAAGAAAAAGTTCAGAAGCTACCCTACCCTATCTTAAAACTTATTATGAAGCTACAAAAATTAACAAGCACAGAGTTAGCCTAAAGATAGATGAACGTACTAAGGAAAGTTCAGAAATAGACATATACATGCATAGTCATTTCATTTATGACTATTAAATAATTGAGCCAAAGAAACAGACACAAAGAATACACAGTGTGATTCCATTTATTTAAATCTCAAAATCAGGCAAAACTAATGTATAGATTAGAAATCAACATAGTAGTTATTTGGGGCAGAGGAAAAGCTGTAATTGGAAGGGAGCAGAAGAGGACTTTGGAGGTTCTTGTAATAACCCACTTCTTGCTGTGGGTGCTAGGGTGTTCATTTTGTGAAAATGTAATAAACTGTGCAATTATGATTTTAAGGATTTATATGTGTTATACTTTAATAAAAAAGTTTACATAAAAATCAATGCTTCCTCTGCGCCAGCAAGAACCATTATAAATGTTATGTTAAAAAATAGAACGGACCCTTTTTAATAATAGCCATTCTGACTGGTGTTAGATGGCATCTCACTGTGGTTGTGATTTGCATTTATATAATGATCAGTGATATTGAGCTTTTTTCATATCCTTGTTGGCCGCATGTATGTCTTCTTTAGAAAAAAGTCTGTTCATGTCCTTTGACCACTTTTCACTGGGGTTGTTTCTTTGTTTTGTTTTTTTCTTGTAAGTTTGCTTAACTTCCTTATGGATGCTGGATATTAGACCTCTGTCAGATGCATAGTTTACAAGTGTTTTCTAGCATTCTGTAGATTGTTCACTCTGATGATAGTTTATTTTCCTGTGCAGAAGCTCTTTAGTTTAATTAAGTCCCATTTGTCAATTTTTTGCTTTTGTTGCAACTGCTTTTGGCATAGTCATGAAATCTGTGCCTGTTCCTACGTCCAGGATAGTATTGCCTAGGTTGTCTTCCAGGATTTTTATAGTTTTGGGTTTTACATTTAAGTCTTTAATCCATCTTGAGTTGATTTTTCTATATGGTTTAAGGAAGGGATCCAATTTGAATCTTCTGCATAGAAATAACAGATGCTGGTGAGTTGCGGAGAAAAGGGAACACTTATACATTGTTGGTGGGAGTGTAAATTAGTTCAACCATTGTGGAAAGCAGTATGGCAATTCCTCAAAGAGTCAAAAACAGAACTACCATTGGACACACCAATCTCATTAGTAGGTATATACCCAGAGGAATATAAATCATTCTATCTTAAAGACACATGCATGTAAATGTTTATTGCAGCTTTACTCACAACAGCAAACACATGGAATCAACCCAAATGTCCATCAGTGATAGACTGCATAAAGAAAATGTGGTACATATGAACCATGGAATATTATGCAGCCATAAAAAAGAATGAGATCATGTCTTTGCAGGAATATGGCTGGAGCTGCAAGGTATTATTCTTAGCAAACTAACACAAAAACAGGAAACCAAATACCACATGTTCTCACTTATAAGTGGGAACTAAATGATGAGAACTCATGGACACAAAAAAGGGAACAGCAAACATTGGGGTCTTGTCAGGGGGGTGCTGGAGAGGAGCAGAAAAAACAACTTTTGGGTACTAGAGTTAGTACCTGGGTGACAAAATAATGTGTACAACAAACCCCTGTAACATGAGTTTACCTATATAACAAATCTTCACATGTATCCCTGAAACTAAAATAAAAGTTAAAAAGTAAATAAAGAAATTTGATTCCTTCAAAAATGATAAAACTGACCCAAAGTACCAAAGATTAAATATCTATAGAATGCCTCAGAATAAATTCAAGATAAAATGTACAAAATCACTATGGATTATAAAATATTGTAACAAAAAAGACTTGGCAAAAAAATGAAATACATACCCTGCTACTGAATGAGAAGACACACTGTCACAAATGTTGATTAAGCCTCAGGTTCAAATACAAATTAAAGGGACCTTCAATCTGAATTTCAATATAATTTTTCACGGTATTTCCCAAATTGACTCCTATACATAATACATTTCAAACTAGCCAAGTCAAATCCTAAAAATAAAATAAGAGATGGTTTTGGACTAACATTAAACAACTGATTTTAAACGTCTGAAATTAGCTCAGAAATAGACAAGTAAATCAAAGGAAGAGTGCCTGTAAACATACATATATGGGAACTTAGTGTATGTCAAATACAGCATAAGAAACCAGTTAAGAAAGGGTAAACTATTCAGTATCTGATATGGTGGTAACTTAATTTTTATATGCTGAAGGCATCCTATCTACCAAAATATTCAAAAACTAAATTCCAGATCCAGTTCTATTTAAAACTCCAATTTGAAATATTACTGTTTAAAAATTATTAGAAGAAAATATAAGTTAATATATTTATGATCTCCATGAACAGCAAGTATTTCTTAGGCAAGTCCCTCAATGAATAAGTCAGTAAAAAATGATAAATTTAAACATAACAAAATCTGAATAGTCTATTTAACAAAGACAAGCAAAAACCTGTGAGAAAAAAAAAGATAGTACACACTATATTACATATAAAATATAGGAAAAATAAAATATAGGAAACACTATACTACATATGAAAAAAGATACGTATATACTATATAAAGAACTTCTGTAAATTAATAAAAACAAATTACAATAGAGAAAAAGAACATATTAAGACAGGTCACAGAACAAGAAAAAAGAATGAAAAATATACTTCTATTTTGATAAGATCATTTTGGCTGTGTGAAGAATAGAGTGCAGGAAAATAATGCAGAAATTGGGAGACTAGATAGAAGTCTACAGTAATGATCCAGGTGAGAGATACTAATGGTACAGATCAGGGTGTAGCAGCAGAAATTCTGATACATAGCCAGATTCTTTGTATATTCTGTTGATTGTGTCATAGCATTAACTAATATATTACATGTGGAGTATGACAAAAGGGAAGTGTCAAGGATGAGTTCAAATTTGCTCTGGAGTTAGCCTAAGTAACTGGCAATATGAAGTTGCTATTTTCTGAGATGAAAAGTTCATATCAGGAAAAGGTTAATAGGAGAATACCAGAAATTCAATTGTGAATCTGTTAAATTTGAGGTGCCTGTAAAATACCCAAATATTGGCCAGGCGCAGTGGCTCACGCCTGTAATCCCAGCACTTTGGGAGGCCGAGGCGGGCAGATCACGAGGTCAGGAGATCGAGACCATCCTGGCTAACATGGTGAAAACCCATCTCTACTAAAAATACAAAAAATTACCTGGGGGTGGTGCCAGGTGCCTGCTATCCCTGCTACTTGAGAGGCTGAGGCAGGAAAATGGCTTGAACCCAGGAGGTGGAGGTTGCAGTGAGTCGCCATCACGCCACTGCACTCCAGCCTGGGCGACAGAGCGAGACTCCTTCTCAAACAAAGAAACAAACAAAATTCCCAAGTAGTGTCTCCTCCTTTCTTTCCAGGAGATAGTTAATATATGAATCTGAATTATGCAGAGAGGAGGGGACCTAGAATTGAACACTGGGCCACTGTAAATTTTAAAAGTTGGGGAAAAGACAAGTAAAGGTGTGAAGTGGGAAGAAAGGGAAGTAAATAAAGCATTCCAAAAGAAAGGGTGGGACTGAATATATCAAAGTCTGCCATTTGTTCAAGTAAAGCCAGGACTGAGAATTTAAATTAAATTAAGTTTAATTTAATTTAAACATAACAAAATCTAAACAGTCTATTTAACAAAAAAATACTAAAAAGACAAGCAAAAACCTGTGAGAAAAAAATAGATAGGATACACTATATTACATATAAAATAAAATAAATTTAAATTAAATTAAACCTAACAAAATAGGCCTTTGAAAACTTGTCAAGAGGTTTAACTAATTGGCGAAGAGTCAGGAGAGGAGGAGAGGAATAAGGAGAACAGAAAACTCTTTGCAGAAATTTTTTTGGAAATATGGTTGCATATGGGGAGAGAAGTAGGATTAAGAATGGTTTGTTGTGTATTTGCTTACTGTTAGTAATAAGTGTTCTCCTGAAAGATTTACATACATACACGAGTATATTTATACCTGTAGAGTAAAGAGATTTAGTATGAGGAATTGGCTTACATGATTCTGAAGTTTGAGAAGTCCCACAATCAGCAATCTGGAGACCAAAGAAAGCAGGTGGTATCATTCAGTTCAAGTCCAGAGGTGTAATAATGAGTGGAGCTGATAATGCAAATCTCAGGTCAAGGGCAGGAGAAAACCGATGTCCCTGATTCAAATCCTAATCTCATCTATAAACACCCTCATGGACACACCAGAAATGTTTCACCAGATATCTCAGTATCATATGGCCCAATAAGTTAACGCATATAATTAACCAGCACAAGTCTACTCCTTGCTAACTTGGCACCCATACACATCTCCTTAAGCCATAGTTACTCTCCAAATAAGATAATAACAAGATCATAAATCATAAGTCTGCTTAACTTGATACAACCGTCCTGCACACAACTGAAGACACATGATCTCTTTCCCCAAAAGAGGAGGTAATGTCTTTGAGTTTTATTAATTCATCTCTTTGATATCCCATAACTTAAATACTATGATGTAAA
This sequence comes from Homo sapiens, assembly GCF_000001405.40. Classification (NCBI taxonomy): domain Eukaryota; kingdom Metazoa; phylum Chordata; class Mammalia; order Primates; family Hominidae; genus Homo; species Homo sapiens. The sequence goes on from NC_000007.14 coordinate 10,030,489, forward strand.
ATTAACAATACTTAAATACTGTGATATAGAGTCAATATAGCTTATATTACATAATAAAGGAATAAAATGGAAAGAAAATAAATAAATTTGATACACACAGCTGTATTTATAACAAACTAAGAAGAAAATACTCATGACAGTTACAGTCCTTGTTTCTGTAACTAGTCATGTGTTTATAGCTGGTATTTATAACTACTTATCCTACTACTTATTTCTTTTGCCGTCAGCAAGCACCTCAACTGGCAGTGGTTCTCTACCTGGTGGGATGACCCAGACCTTCATACCTGAGGGTTCTGGGGCATTAGTAGTTTTTCCTGGATTGGATTATTATAGTTTTCCATTGACCTTAATCACAGGGCACGGTAATAGTAAGAGACACCCTAATGAATCTCTTGTATTCCAGATATACTCTTCCTTACCTTTATTGTGGAGTAATTGTCTAATTTCCCTTTGTCAGGATCAATTACTCACTTCAGCCAGCTCTGTGACTCCCTTCTTTACCTCTTGATTCAAGGCTTGAGGAGCCCAAAGTGGCTAGGCAGCAGTCTTAACTTCCAGTTCAATGAAGTCATTGTTGGTTGTGTCTCTTGGTAGAAGAATTACTGCCTCTAGAACTAAGACCTCTGGCCAGCAGAGCTTAAGGTTACAGGAACAGGAAGCAAGAATTTTGCTAGTAGGTCACTGAATGTGAATGAGTAGTGTCATTCCCATTACCATGCCTTGATTCCTGGACCCATGAATCTTGGATATCGGAGAAACAGAACCGAATATTGAATGATAGTTCAGAAAGCATGCAGTCTTCTGAAGAACTCTGTCCCATTCTGACAAATGATAGCCACCTAGCTGGTCATCAAAAGGCCATTTCACTGTTCTATCAAACCAGCTGCTTCAAGATGAGGGATGGGAGGGTGCATGGTAAAAACAGTGAATTCCATGGCGAAGAGACCATTACCACAGTCTTTTGCTGTGAAGTAAACTCCGTAATCAGGTAATGCTGTATGGAATATCATGAGAGTGGATACAGCATTCTGAAAGTCTGTGAGTGGTAGTTTTAGCAGAAGCATTGTGTGCAGGGAAGGCAAATTTGTGTCCAGAGTAAGTGCCTATTTCAATAAGAAAACATTGCCTCTTACATGATGGAAGCAATCCGATATAATCAACCTACCACCAGGGAGCAGGCTGATCATACCCCAGAAAATGGCGCCATACTGGGGTCTCAATTGCTGACAGGTTGTGCATTCAAAGGTAACCATAGGAAATTTGGCATTGGTGCGTGACTGTCAATGTTGCTGAGCTCATGCATAATCTCTATTCCTGCTTCCATAGCCACTTTGTTCATGAACACACCGGGCAACGACAGGAGTAGCTGGGGAAACATGCTGTCTGGTATCCACAGAATAGGTAATCCTATCTGCTTGATTACTGAAATCCTCTTCATCTGAAATCACCCTTTGGTGAGTATTCACATGGGATACAAATATCTTCATGTTGTTTTCCATTTAAAGAGATGTATCTACTTACCTCGTCCCCCAATTTGTTTCCCAATTTTCTTTGTCATCAGTTTTTCTATTATATCCCTTCTAAGCCCTGACCATCCAGCCAAACAATTAAACACAGTCCATGAATTTGCATATAATCATAAGTCTGGATATTTCTCCTTCTAAGTAAAGTGTGTAACAAGGGAACTGCTTAAATTTATATTCACTGGGAGGAGTTCCCTTCACCACTATCCTTTAGGATGTCCCAGGAAGGGACTGTAGTACTATAGCTGTCCATTTTCAGGGGATGCCTGCATATTATGCAGATTTATAAACCAGGCCCAAGGCTTCTATTTGTCTGTCAACTGCATAGGAAACTTCCCATGAGGCCACAGATGCAAGCTGAGAGAGAAAGGCTTGTATATCAGCAGTGGGGACTATGAGTATTTGGGCCACTTCTTCATGTAACATACTTGTACCTGTTCAAGCCTTATTATGTATATACCATTTCTGTTTGATGATGCAGTGCTGCTGTGTACACTCACTTTATGGCTCAGTGGGTCAGATAACACCTAGTTAATGATAGGCAGTTCAGGTCACATGGTAACTTGGAGGCCCATGGTTAAATGCTCAGTCTCTACTGTTGCTCAGTAGCAGGCCAGGAGCTATTTATCAAAGGGAGGCATTTTCTGTGGAGAATGGCCAGGTATTTCTCCAAAATTCTGAAGATCTTTGCTATTATTCACAAAAAAGGGCCTGGTATTGTCTCCAAAGAGCATTCCTATCTGCCACTGACATTTCAAGCACCATTGGATCTGCAGATCATATGGCCCAAGAAGCAGAGAAGCTTGTACAGCAGTCTAGATCTGTTGCAGAGCCTTCTCCTGTTCTGGGTCCCATAAAAATCTAGCAGCTTTTTGAGTCATTTGGCAAATAGATTAGGGTAACACCCGAATGAGAAATATGTTACCTCCAAAATCCAAAAGGAATTACTAGTCATTGTACCTTTTTTGTTGTAAAAGGGTCCAGATATAGAAACTTATCCTTTAACCTTAGAAGGAATATTTCAACATGTCCCACACCATTGGACTCCTAGAAATTTCAATGACATTAAAAAATTGTGAATTTTTGTCAGATTTATTCCCCACCCTTTGGCATGTGAGCGTCTTACCAAGTCTAGAGTAGTTGGTATTTCTTGTTCACTAAGTCCAATCAGCATAATGTCATCAATGTAATGGATCAGTGTGATCACTTGTGGAAGGAAAAGGTGATTAAGATCCCTGCAAACTAAATTATAAATAGGGCTGGAGAGTTAATATACCCCTAAGGCAGTACAGTGAAGGTGTATCTCTGGCCTTGCTAGCTGAAAGAAAGCTGTTTCTGGTGGGCCTTATTGACAAGGATGGAGAAAAAGGCATTTGCTAGACCAATATCTGCATACCAGGTACCAGAAGATGTGTTAATTTGCTCAAGCAATAAAACCACGGTTGGTACAGCAGGTGTAGTTGGAGTTACCACCTAGTTAAGCTTGTGATACTCTACTGTAATTCCCCAAGATCCATCTAGGTTTTGCTCAAGTCAAATAGAGCTGAGTGGAGATTTAGTAGAAATCATTATCCTAGTATCTTTCACATCCTTGATGGTGGTAATAATCTCTGAAATTCTTCCATGAATGTTGTGTTTATTATGGTTTACTATTTTTCTAGGTAAAGGCAGTTGTAGTATTTTCTACTTGACCTTCCCCACCAAAATAGCTCTTACTCCACAGGTCAAAAACCAGTGTGAGGATTGTGCCAGTTACTATTTCCATTCCAATTATGCATTCCAGAAGTGGGGAAATAACCACAGGATGGGCTTAGGGATGCACTGGGCCTACTATGAGATGTCCCTGAGCTAAAATACCATTGATCATCTGGCTTCCAAAAACTTCTACTTTGCCTAGTGGACCACAGTCACATTTTGAGTCTCCTGAAATAAGCATCAGTTCAGAGTCAGTGCCCAGTAATCTCCCAAAGGTATGATTATTTCCTTTTGCCCAATATAGAGTTATCCTGATAAAAGGCAGTAAATCTCTTTGGAGGAAGCTGGGAGAAGGATTAACAATATAAATTTTTGGTATTGTACCCAGATTCTTCCTCAAGAGGACCCAGTCTCTCCTTTATTCAAGGGGTTTTGGGTCTATAAACAAGCTCAAGTCTAGTAATTGATTGACAAACTGTGACTCTATGTTTTTGATTCAGGTCAGATTTGTTTCCTATAATTTTTTCTCCCTATACAAATCAAGTAAGAATTTAGTAGGCTTCCTATTTCACTTTTAGAAACACTGTGACCAAGTAGCCAACACGATTAGTCTGTGTGAGTCAGGCTGTTCTGATTGCATCTTCATCTCTGCTGTCTGTTATGGTGACCATATCCACTTTGTCTTTGAAGGCTGAGTGCCAACACTTGGCCCCTGGTGTCCCAAGACCCAATTACTCTCATTGTATTTATGTTTTCCAATTTGGTAACTGCAGTTTCCACTGTGAGGTTTGTCCTACAGAGAACAGTGATCAAAGAGCTTTTTAAGGATGCTGGGTCCTCCCTCACAATGTATTTCTCACAATTTTGGTGAAAGTTATCTCTTCTGGACTTCACCAGTGTGGGTGAGGTCTTCAATGACAAATCCATTCTAAGATTCTAATCTCCCTAAGAATTAAATGGCTTGCTCTACATTAAACCAAGGAAGGCATGGCATCTATAAGTTGCTCACTGTGGGCCACCTTTTGACCCATGTTTCAGTCAACCACCCAAACTGTGAGAGCCCTTTCTAACTCCCCAAGCTGCAATATTAAATCCAGAATTTCTGCTTAGTGGGCCCATATCAATAAATTCAGCTTGGTTCAGCTTTATGCTTCTTTCACCATTACCTCACTCCTCTAGCATCCCTTCCCACACATGTTCACTGGATTTCTGTCTGTGCAAATAAATTATAGAACTCAAGTGTTTTTTTGGTGTTTAGCTCACTTCCTCACACTTTGTACTTCACCTCTGGGGCCCTACTGGGACTTGAGTCTAGTTATAGGTCTAGACATAAAGAAGTGTGGTGCGGGTGGATCCTGAAATGAATCAGCATTCCCTTCCAAGGAAACTGCCTCAGAAGAGGTCACCACAACTTCCTCACACAATACAGAATGATTTCTCTCAGAATTCAGGTGAAGAGGCTGCAACTACTGAGAATAGAGGAGCTACACAGCTAGGGGTAGAGAGTCTCTTCCACTAGAACGAGGAACGCAATTCTGCCTAGAATAGAGAGGTCACATACACTGGCAAAGAAGACTGATCAGAATTTCGAAGTTCAGTGTGGTCAGCTTCATCATGGTCTACACCCACATCCTCATCTCAACATACAGGATTCCATTCTTTTCTAAACAATGCCCTCATTTTAGCAGTAAACATTCTGCAAGGCTAGGAGTTCAATTTGCATTATAATCCAGCCAGTTCTAGGACGAGAATCTATGCTTGATTTTTAGCAATCTAATTCCTGAGTCTACAGGACATAAGCATTTCTTTTAGAGCACACATGAAAGGTTACTGATCATTTATGCAGCCCTTGGGCCATGAGTTTGAATCTCTGACCTCATTGTTTTGGTACCATTTTGACCAGTGATATTAGAAGCAACTAGCTAACCTCAATTATATTCATTAGTTTTCCAAACAATATTTGCAAGTATCACACAGATAGTCTCTCAACTCATTGCTTCTTATAAATTGCTAATCTGAAGTCTCCAGTAAAGATTTTGTGTATCTCTATCGCCAGATCATGCCATGGAATGTTGCTGCTCTCTTTACTACTGGAAATAGAGTCTTTAGTGTCTTTAACTGTAATCAGATTAGAGAGCCAATTTCAAAAACCCCAGAATCAATTCAGAAAATTATTATTACCATTCTGTTTTTCTAGACCTACTCTCAGGGTTAAAATATGTGTTAGTCATTGCTCTCTAGAGAAACAAAATCAATGGGATATGCGCGCACACACACACACACACACACACGCACATTCTCACTACAGTTGTCCCATAAGATTATAATGGAGCTGAAAAATTCCAATTGCCTAGTAAATTTGTAGCCATTGTAATGTTGTAGCACAATTACAACATGTTAAATAGCTATTATTTTAGAATGTTAAAATAGCTATCATTAGTGATTGTGAAAAACAAGCAATCCAAATATTCACCAATAAAGTCTTTGTAATGTAAAGTGTGACACATCTTTACTATAGAATACAAATTAGCCAGTAAAATTATTATATCAATCTCTATATAGATAAATTATCAACAATACATTAAACAGGTGACAGTGGAGAATGATCCCATTTTTCTAAAATTGAGTACATATGCATAGAAAAAAAGTTAAGGAAATACTCCAAAGTGCAACATTTTATTTCTAAAATATGCAATTATGGGTGCTTTTCACTGTATGCATATATCTATATCTATACATCCTCAGCTTTTAGGTAAAGAATATTTTTTAAAATATTACAATTATATAAGGAAAGAAAAAGTATCTCTAACAACTTTCTGATTTAAAAGCAAAAATCTCTCTCTTACAGGCACAATAGGATATACACTATCAATCAGGGACCCAACTTCTAAGTTGATAATGACGGATCATCAAAAAGAACTAGTCCTTGGAATTTACTGTTATTCTTTCACTGACAAGAACAATATCAACCATCTCCATCTTGGGGAATAACACCATTACTTTTCTTCAGAAACCAGTCTACCTCATACAAAAATCCAATCTCTGTTCATTACTGGCACCTGAACAAGATGTCTATTTAGTCAATTTTCCAGGCAAAGAAAAACAAGAGTTCCACAGTTCACTCTAAATCTCAAAACCCCAAACGATTACATCAAATGGATAAGGTCCAAAATTGAGACTTTTCAGGGAGCAGTAAGAGCTATTTTGCCTCTAGGGTGTCTCTGCTTTTAGAACGAAGTGATGCAAACTTTCATAAAACAATTTGTCACTGCAGATTTGTGAGATTCAGTCTCCCTTGAGGCTGATGACTGCTCAATGTTTTATGTATCATGATGCCAGACTTGTCAGGATTTTATTATTATTATTATTATTACTTCAATGACTAAATTGAAGCTTAGAAAATCGAGCCATTCTGTTTTTACTGCCTTATGATAAGTAATGGTTAATAAATATAGAAAGCAAGCTTTAGTAAACATTTTCACCAAAGAAGCCCGAGAATGCCTGAGATGACAAGTGTCCATGGATCTTCAGTGGGATGCTTATTCCTGCTTCATGTCATGGATACTTTTGCCCTTCTTTTCTATCTTTACTTGAAAGTCGTCTTAACTATTCCAAGAGTTTAAAAGATCCATGACCATTTCTTGAGGTCATTTTAAGAATTGCCACATAGGTAAAAACAACTTTGGGTCAAATGTAATACACAAAATGTTTTTTGATTGCCTTTCATTTGCATGACTTTCATAACATTATGAATTTCAGCACCTGTTTTCAACCAGTTCAAGAACATATTATTTCATTAATATCAACCTTCCTCAAAGTGTCAAGTAGAATAATGAGATATAAATTTGCCATAACTGATATGTTTAAAAAAGTAAAGTGATAATTCTGCTATTATTTGGATATGTACACACACAAAAAATTGTCACTCTTCATTTTTCTTTTAACAAAATTGCAAAAGGAAAGGGAAATACAACTGTTATTCATATGTTCCTTAAAATAATATTTTATGGCTTTTATATATAGGTTAATATTTTTCATTTTATATGTTATATATCCCTGGGTTCTAAATATTTTATAGATAAGACAATAATCTTTTAAAAAATTATATTAGTTTCTATGAGGACATACAGGTAGTAGGTGGTAAAGCTAAGATTTGAAATCTGCTCTGCTGTGCGGGAAGCCCATCTTTAATTTTGCTTATTACATAAAAAACTTGATTATGTGAATTGGTGGCATTTGAAAGCCCTTTCCCACAGCATTGTGATGCTAATAATTACAATAATTGTCATTTTATGAACTACATTTAGATTTAAATCATATTCAAAAAATGCTAACTTAAGAATATATTTTATTAAATATAATTACCCTAAAATAAATTTAAATAAAATCATAATATAAAACATATTTTTAATTCAATTAATCAAACATAAAGGAAGTGACAGATACGGTAAGAACACAGGCTTTGCAATCAAATATATGTATATATTTGTTTCAAATTTAGCTCCTGCCTTCCCTAGTTTGCTCACATTAAGCAATTTACTTTATTTCTGTATGCTTCAGTTTCTTTATCTGCAAAATAGATCCTCTAATTCTTGGAAACAATTTGAAACTTTTTGACTTTTCTGTATCCTTTTCCATTTTTTCTAGTGGTATCTTGATTTACTCCTATGCAAATTCTTCATAGTCTATGGTCTTAGTACGACCATACCTTTCTCTGCTCACTCTCACAATCTAACCCAAAAGAACAGAGATCTTTATCTTCCTTCACTTGAGAATGAACTGAAGGGAACATATGTCCAAAGTGTGACAAATCAGAGGCTGACCACAGAACTTTAGAGAGTGTAAAACAAAGCAGAGAGGATATTTAGAGGCCAGATTCATCACAGTGGAGAGGATTGAGGATGTAGGAGGGCCAGGAGATGAGCACTGGAAGAAGAGGGACATAATCATGACTCTGACTCTTACTGCTTAAACCCATGAATACCCTTGTTTCCTATTTTTTCAAACATCATCTCTAAACCTCCTATTAACTCTATTAGCTTCTCACACAAACTTTTCCTAAGGAAATTCTTTTTAGAAACTAGAGTTTTTTTTTCTTTTCTTGTAAACCAAAACCTGGTTTATACAATAATAATCAAGGTGAAATGAAGTAATTTGTGTGAAAGTATCAGAAAAACTGGCATAGCAAAAATTTTAGCTATTGTAGTTTGTTATTATGATTATTACTTTTAAAATTTTTTTCAAAAAGGATTTGTGAATGTTAGAATTATTTAAATGTGTTCTGCACACATTCCTCAGAAAGAATACTCCTGGACACAAAACACATTGCTAAGCACCTGGAATAAAATATCTCAGTCTTATTTAGCTTTTTTTTCCAGGTCCTTAACAATGTGCTTTATACATAGGAGTGCTCTGTAAGTATTTGTGGAATGAATTAATTCAAACCTGAAAGAATGTGTACAGATGTTCTTATTACTCTGCTCTATCTTTACAATGAGATGGTGAGGAGATGAGAGTAGCGGAAGACATGGTTACTAGCTAATTTCAATGTTGTTTATAGAAGCGAACCTTTTCTTACTAAGAAAAGGGGTGTGGCTACAAATGTTTCTAAATACTAAATAATGTGGAAATAAAATGAAACTTAAAAAAATGTGCATATAGTTAGAAGAAACCAAGTGGAAGGGACAGGAATAGAAGCTAGATTTATTAGAATATACTTTGATTTGCAAATTTGACTTTACTAACATGAACTTTACATAATTTAAATTTTAACACCATAAATTGAAAAGGAAATTAAACAAACTAATTGTATATCCAATTGGTGGCAATATTACACGAAGATCAGTCACTTTAAGTGACTCTAATATACTGTAACTTGATTGTACAACTCTAATGAGATATACACTAGAGAAAAATTAAATATTAATTTGGAAACTACTTTCAGTAATAATATTGATGGTAGTTTTTACCTTACTTTTATTGTGAAACTATTTTGGGAATTTATGGGATAAATAAAATTCATTTAAATTGATCTTTACAAGTGATATTTTCAGCTTAGAAGAAAGGAAACATCTGAAATCTGTGATGTAGGGTTAAAACTTCATGGTATTAGCCTTGATTCTAAAATGTCACTATGGACTTATGATGCATTTTTTCTTTTAAAAATGTGTTTACAACTGATAACTCTGCTCCCTAAGAAGGCCTGAAAACAGTACACCAATGTAGCCTAGACATTTTTTCATGAAAGAAAGCAAAGAAGGTATCATGACCAGTATGATTATGATGAGAGTGTGCAAGCTCAAAAGCCAAATAAAATAGGCTCCAATCGTAGGCTGTACTAAATTGAAGTCAAATATATTTAATTCTATGGATTCATAATGCTAAAGAAAAAAAAAACGCCCTTATTGGTAATTGGAATGGTGATGGGAAATCAACTCATTACTTTGGAAACTAGTAAATAAAATTTATCTTTCCTATATAAACTGTACTTTAGACTTACATAAAGTAAGTTGAGAATAACTTACATAACATAAGTTGAGAATGAGAAGTATCTTAATTATAGAAAAGTATTCCAGCCAATAAAGGATAAGAAATTTTAAAAGCCACCATCTTGGGACCTCTGATTAATTATTACATCTAGACAATTATCATCAAGAGATTTTAATATCATGTAAAAATAGATAAATATTACATATCTTTTTAAGAAGTAGTCTCGGGAAAAAAAGTTTCCCCTAAATTTGATCAACCTTCAGGTCTAATTAGGAACTTACGGAAAATGTAAGGGACAAAGGAAAATGTGTAAGAATAGCATGTATTTAAAAATTATAAAACTCCAAGCTGTAAGAAGCTTTATAGGAAAAATATTCCAGTGTGTTTAGCAACAAAAACAAAGGATGTAAAAAAGAAAAGAAAACAGGTGATGGATGGGTAACTATGAATCGAAAGGGACTTAGAAAATATAGCAACCTAATAATAATGCTTTGATTTGATTATTTTTTAAAAATCCGGATCCATATAATCAAATTGAGAAAGAGAAACAGAAGAAGATGGAGGAGGAGGAGAAAGGGAGAAAAAAGGGGAGGGGAGGGAAAGAAAAAGAGTAAGGAAGGTTATTACTGAACATTCAATAGATATTCAATTATATTGAAAATTGTCATTACATTTTTAAGCTGTTGTAATGATATTGTGTTAAAAACTTCGTAAGTTGTAGACATATGTGCAGATGAGGTTTTCTTTAAAATATTCTGAGGAGTATAGTGATAGATAAATAGAGTACAGAAAATTATAGATGAAACAAAATTGGTTGAGGGTAGCCCATTTACGTAATTAGATGTGAGATACATGGATACTTATAGTATTAATGCTACTTCTTTATATAATTAACATTTTTGTAATAAAATATTTAAAGAAAAATATACACATATATGTATAATTTTAAATGATTAAGCTATGCATGTATTTATATAAAATGTTTATAAAAGCACTTATGTAAAATATTTAAAATTATATATGTGCTTGTATATATATAATATGGTTAAAATATATATAATTTACTTTAATATTTTATTATAGACATAAAATTTAATTGTAAATAATATATTACCTATATATGTATATACGTGTATATTTGGCATATCTGGGTGGCAGCCCACAGACAAGTTCTCTTTTGTCTCTATGGGTAAACCAACCTTTTAAAGCAAAGTTTCAGGGTCAAATATGAGAGTAGAAGTTAGAATTACTGACAGAATAAGGAACTAGGTATCTATTTTTTAGAGTCACTAAGCAAAAAGCAAACTTCAATGCATTCCAGGACTAAAATGTGTAACCATACTTATGTAGGTACCTAGGCTTATACTTTCTACAATAAAAGCGTCATTGAAAAGAGTTAGTAGTGCGCACAGGCATATATATGACTTTGAAAAAAATACTTCATGGTGATTTTTAAAGTATTTCCTATGTGTTCTAACTTATTCTCTAGGAGCATTATGCATATAAATGAACACACTGACTAGTTAGCATTTCAAATAGCTCTAGAGGTGATGAGCTATGCATGAAAATACACACACTGGAGTCAGATAAATGAGTTAAATATTATCTCTGCCACATACGAGCAGTGCAGACATGGAAAGGTTATTTAATTTATCTGAATCTCAACTGCCTCCTCATATAAAATGAGGAGACTATTACACATATAATATAACCCTGCACACAGTGAATACTCACTAAATAGTTATTATTAGTAGTCGTTATATTAGAATGTGTTTATTTCTAAAATAACTTTCCATTTACCCTCAGAAGTTTCCCAAAATGAACTTTTTTACTGTTAAACAATAATTTCTATTTGTAGTCATTTGAGTACATGTTATCTAAATACCATTTATAGAGAAAATGAACTAACTCAACTCAATATATGAATACGAATGGGTTCGCGCATTCATTTTTCACCTCTGGAAACTTCCATTCAAATATTTGCTTTAGTCTTGAGTGAAAATGAATTTAATGGTCTGCCTCATCAATGGCCCCATTATCACAAAGCCGCCATGCAACTCTGGATAATTTTGTGCAATAGCTATTCTGTCAGTTTCTGCTCAAAATTAAGGAAGATTAAAATTAGCCGATTGTTTTATAATTCTCTGCACATTTCCAGAACTGTATCAGTAAGTCCTATTGCTTATATCATTTTAGCTCTAGGTAATGTTATAAGTATGTGTGGTTCACAGCTGACATGCTCCAAAACTATGGTTTTCAATACTATCTAAACCTTAGGGTCAACTGCAACATTTTAAGAAATATTTATGCTCATCCTTAAACCCAGAAATTCTAATTTCATTGGTCTTGATTGGAACTGAGGAATTAGTTCTAAGTAATAAAAATAATTTAAAAAATATATAAACAAATATATGCCCAGGATACTTTTTTTGGTACTAAAGCTTAGCCTTTTGCTACTCAAAGTTAGTTCATGGACCAGAATATTTGGTTTCACATACAAAGTTAGTGGAAATGAAGAATCACAGGCCCCAACACAGAAGTACTGAACACAACCAACATTTGACAAGATCCCCAAGTGAATCATTGCATGTTACACTCTGCAGAGTATTAACCAAGTCTACCTAGAATTAACAGAATTTCCACTTAAGCTAAAATTTAGAATTCCACATGATGCCCACTAATTAAGCTTTTCAATTACATTAACAAAAAAGTTAGAAGAGAAGGAGGTGAAGGTAATATCCAGACAGTTATAAATTATTTAAAACCTGTAAAAAGAACATTTGTTTGCTTCAAGAAAAAGAAACTAATAGCATTTTCAAATATCATCATAATAATGAACTGTTTCCATTGGAATGCAAGAAATGTCATCTGAATTATAACTTAGACTTGCAATTGAGCATTTATATTAACAGCAAGTAAAATTTCAGAAGCTACTTTGACAAATTGAATAAAACAGTTTGTATTCGGTTCCCAAAAGAATATGCATATTTATATGTATAGATAAATACATGGGACATTAATTCCATTTGCATAGATTATATAGAAATTCTAAATCTGTCTGCTCCCTAATCTCTGACTCTCTTCCATAATAGCCAACATAAATTTTCAAAGACCCCAAGTAGAGTTATATAATGTGAAAATTTAGTTGAAGGTTTTTGCATTCTTAACCATACAGCAGACAAAATAATCATTTCAGAAACATAAATCTTATCATAAAATTTCCCTGTATAAATTCTCAAACAGCATTTCATTTTATCAAAAGTAAAGCAAAACAAACAAAAACAACAACAACAAAAAACCTCAAGCTTTTTAGTCTGGTCTAAAAAGCCCAGGCTACCTCTGCACCAACACCTCTCCCTTTTAACCACTCACAAATAGAGGTCCAGCTTCTTTCCTTGGCCACACCAACTTTATTTCCTACATGGAACTTGTGGACTAGTTCTTCTCTTCTCTCTTTTGCATGTCTGACTCCTAGTTGTTATTTAAATTTCAGGAAGGCTTGCTCTAAATACTCAACCCATAATAGCTACCTAGCCACCCCCTGTATAGCACTTTTCAATCTATTCTCCAGTTTATTCACTTATTTTTATTGTCTATTTTATCAACTAAAAAGGTAAGATTCAAGAAGAAGGGGATACTGGCTCTCTTGTTCATTACTGTAATAAGAAATTCAAAATAAAATATTATAAAAGTATAAGCCCTAGGGAAAACTGGAAAGCATATGAAAATCAGTTGGATGATAATGTGGGAAATTTTAATATTAAATATTAAACATTAAAATTTCCCATGTATTAAGCATCTACTATACCAAGCATTATAATGGGCTGTTATATACACTATCTCCAGTCCTCACTGCAGCACTCAAACATAAAATAGGCACAATTTTACAATAGATAAATCTGTGACTCATAAAAATTACAGAACTTATCAAAGGTCCTATGACCAGTAACATTGGAATCAAGACTTAAACTCAGAATAATCTATACAAAATACTTCCTCCCATTAAAAAAGCTTGATGGCACATATAAAGGAATAAAGGAATCAAACAAGTTAATCATACTTCCTACGAGTCATGCACTTTTAGTTGAACAATGAGAACACATGGACACAGGGAGGGGAACATCACACATCAGGACCTGTTGTGGGGTGGGGGTCTAGGGGAGGCATAGCATTAGGAGAAATACCTAATGTAGATGACGGGTTGATGGGTGCAGCAAACCACCGAGGCACGTGTATACCTATGAAACAAACCTGCACGTTCTGCACATGTATCCCAGAACTTAAAGTATGATAAAAAGAAAAATATATATATCATCTATAGTTCAATTCAATTGAGTCCACTGGAAATAATTTTAATTAGTTCAAAATATTGAACTAATCAAATAACTTTGATTAGTTCTGTTATCATATTTATGCCCCGTGCCAGAGGATAACATGTGAAGCATATATATATGCATCTATATATAATAAATAATAAAAATTATTTGATATGAGTATACATATACTCATTTACTTACATAAATTAAGTTAAATTAAATTACTCATATAAATTATTTACTCATATAAATTAAGACACAGATATAATACATCTGTCAGGAATTAATTCAGTCTTTTCCATCACTAACTCCCTCCTCCCCCCAAAGTCTCAAAATAATTTTTCAAGTACTAAAAATTGTTTTTCCTTTTAAAGTAATTTTTAATTTTAGAAAAATTATGAATTTATATGAAAATTGTGAATGTAGTACAGAGAGTTCACATATACCCCACACCCAGCTTCCACTATCATCTCATATTAATATGGTACATTGTGTTACAATTATTGAGTCAATATTGACACATTATTATTACCTGAAGTCAATATTTTTATTATACTCTCCCTGGAGTTTACCTAACAATTTTGTTCTGTTCTGGGATCCTTTCCAGGTTACCATGTTATATTCAGCCATCACGTCCCCTTGGGCTCCTCTTGACTGTGACTGTTTCTCAGACTTTCCTTGCTTTTGATGAGCTTGACAGCTTTGAGGAGTAGAAGTACTAAAAAAATATTCCACAGAATGTCCCTAAATTTGGAATGCCTGATGTTTTTCTCATGGTTATACTGGGGTTATGTTTTGGGGAGGAAGATGACAAAGGTAAAGTGCCATTTTCATTACCTCATATCAAGGGAATATGCTATCAATATTTTACACTACACATCATTATTCATGTTCACCTTTGTTGCTTGACTGAGGTTGTGCTGTCAGGAAAGTTCATCTTATTTCCCCTCCCCAAACTGTATTCTTTGGAAAGAGGTCACTATACGTTTCCCACACTTAAGGAGTGGGAAATTAACCCATCGCACTTTGAAGGATGGTCAGCTACATAAACAATTTGGAATTATTCTGATTGAGAGATATGTCTATTCTCCTCCTATATAATTGTTTATGCAACCACTTATATATGTAAATATCAAACCATATTTTATTTTATGCCTTGGATTATAATCTGATATAACTTTATTCTGCTGTTCAAATTGTTCCAACATTGGTCATTGGAAACTCTTTCAGTTAGCTTCTGTGTCACTTTGATATACTATCATCATCGTGGTGGTAGTGTTTTGTTTAAACTATATATGAGCACAATAAGATCATCTAGCCTCATATTGCATATTTCTTGCCACAGTCTTAAATCAGCCATTTCTCCAAGGATCTCTGGTTTCCTTTATTGAAGAACAGTACCATGAACCAAGAACTAAGCTCTGGATGTGCTAATTATCACTGGAGTGCTGTAGCTTTTAGGCTTTCTCAGCTGACAAAGGAAGGAAACACGTGTATGTCTAGAGTACTTGACTGTGTATATATACATACCAATAAATATTTCTATATGTAATTATCTGTACCTATATTAAGTTAAACTTGAGTTCAGTCTTATGTTTCCAACTCTATTCCATAACCAGATGGAACACCTCAGCCTCCAACCTGTAATGATCTGCAACTCCAAACGCCAAAAGGCAAAAGCTTTGCTCACAATATGGATTGACTTAATTGTTCAATTCTAGCATACATTTATAGCAATATAACAATTGTTAGCCTGTACTCTCATGGGAAAAAAACTTTATCAACTACAATATACTCTTTATACACAGTTTCTTTTGTCTTTAGTCTTATATATGCCACTCATTTCCAAAGTTACTTAGGCCAGTCCCTTTTCTTTCATACCCATAAATGATACGGTTTTCTATGTTTGTAGAAATGTAGAATGTGACATTTGTCACATTCTGCATTTCATCCTGGAACTCTCAATCTCCTAATCTTTTTTTTTTTTTTTTTTTGAGACAGAGTCTTGCACTGTCACCCAGGCTGGAGTGCAATGGCACAATCTCAGCTCCGTGCAACCTCCTTCTCCCAGGTTCAACCGATTCTCCTGACTCAGCCTCCTGAGTAGCTGGGATTACAGGCACTTGCCACCACGCCCGGCTAATTTTTGTATTTTTAGTAGAGACGGGGTTTCAGCATGTTGGTCAGGCTGGTCTCAAACACCTGACCTCGTGATCCACCCGCCTCAGCCTCCCAAAGTTCTAATCTTCTTTTTTAATTTGCATACATTAAGGCTCAATTTTTGTGCTACAAAGTTCTATGAGTTTTCATAAATGCATAGGACCAAGTATTTTACATTAGAATATCAAAATGAATAGTTCTACTACTTTGTAACTAGAAGAGTAATTCAAAAGCAACATATTTTTCTTTAAATACAAAAGTAATACTGTATATCTGGAGAGATTGCAGATATTAGTGACACTGTCAAAGAACTAAAGAATACAGGGCTGTGCTGGGCCATATGACTCAGCATATCCAATGGTGCTTGAAGTGTCAGTGGCAGATAGGATGCTGCTTGGGGCCAGTGGCAGGGCCATATAGGTGAATCACAGTGCAGACCTTTAGAATTTTGGAGCAAAGCACTGTCATCCTCTGAAGATAACTATTTTCCATTTGAGAAACAGCCTGTTACCGGGTCTTACCATTTAACTGTTCCTGCTAGTTTATGGCTGCAGAGTTTCTGTTAGAGGTAAGCATATTTCAACTGTGACTCTCTGCCCCATCTTCCCAGATTTAAGGATGGTGGTTTGCCCTACAACCTCAGTTCTCTGATATGTCCAAGAAAAGTTGTTGATTTTCAGCTTGCTCAACTTTTTCTTGCTGTTTGCACAGGAGTGGTGACTTTCAAGCTTTTTATACTGTGGGAATGAAACCTAATGTCCCAATCATTTTTCATGTGAAATAAGAAGGTGCTGGAATTTGTTTCTTCCTCATTATCTGGTCAGCGATATCTTAGAGGCATGCAAATTTTGGATAACAAAATCAAAAGACTTAAAGAATATGTGATTTTGATGAGTTATTTTAAAGCCCAACATTATAAAATTAGTGTCCACCAACAATAATTTTCCATTTTCCTCCCTATATTCTGTGGGATCAATTAATCATATTGGTGTGCAAGGGACACTGTTGAGAAGGCTGAATCCATGAAGAATATTTCTTAAAAGAAGAATATTAATCATTCTACATAAAGTCCTTGAATTCTACTTACTAAATTATTAGATACAAAAATACTTCACACCACACTATTAAGTTGAGTTTTTGGAAAAGAAAATCAAATTCAAAAGGTCAGGAGGTAACTGTTCTCAAAAATATTCAACCAGAGATTTGCCTTGAGCATAGTCAAGCTGATACAAATGTAGAATGCATTTTTTTTATCTCCTTTCTCTAATAGCCTGTTACATAATCCTTAGGGGGCAAGTAATTTTTCATAATGATAGTAATTGCAATTGAGTTTAAAGTGGCTAAAAGCCTAGGCCATGTCAAATTTTTATGTCAAATATATGGAAAGATAAAGAAAGGAGGGGTTGGAGCAAAACGGAAGTGGTGAAGGAAAGAGAAAACATGTGTGGGCCCCAACATTATAGACGTGTAACATGCAAGAAGCATACCGAGTTTAAGACTGCTGCCATGAAATTTGCATTCTAGAATTTTTTTAGTATGAAGAGTATTTAAAAGCATATGCTCTGATGTGTTGTGACAGAAAAGTAGAGAATATTTCACTGCTAATTACCCCTCTAACATTCCAAACACATTTGGACAGCAGTATAATGAGGAAATCAGTGATCTATACATATTTTTCTGCTTTACCAATAGGTGTCAATGTTTTTTGTTTATTTTCTTAAGAGATGGAGTCTTGTGTTGCAAGATGAAATGAAGTGGTGCAGTCATAACTCACTGTAACCTTGAACTCTTAGGCTCAAGCAATCTTCCCACCTCAGCCTCCCAAGAAGCTGGAATGATAGGTGCAAACCACTATGCTCAGATAATCTTCCAATTTTTTGTAGAGAAGGGGTCTCACTGTGTTGCCCAGGCTGGATTCAAACTCCTGGACTCAAGTGATCCTCACATGCCACCTTCTAAAAACACTGGGATTACATGTATGAGCCACCACACTGGGCCAATGGCATAATGCTTTAATCAACTATCAAGAAATATCTTGCACAGCACAAGGAGAAAAGCAATAGTTTTCTTGCCATAGGTCTCAACAAAATAACATCATTTCCACTAATCAAAGTCAGTCTGATGGAACAGTATAATAATAACTGCATATTATTTATAGTTTATAAATACATTCAACATAAAACATCCCATTTACTATTTTTAGCAATTTTTTCAAGGAGGAATTATTAAAATTTTATATAATTTGCCCAAGGACACAGCTCATATGTGATAGGGCTTCACTGAAGTCTTGAAAGAAAACTCTTCTTGTTATTGTGTCATCAAGGAGTCCCATAAGTAAAGAAAAGAGGACTTGATAATTAAAGACACCTTTCCTTCCCTTAAGTGTCATATAGGGAAGGTTGATCTAATTGGGCCAGCAGGCTTCCAAAGAAAAAAATACTATTTTTCATATTTTCAGATGTTCATAGACCTCCATCCAAGTCAAGGATAGATACATTTTTAAATATTACATTCTAGCAAAGTAGAGAGGCCACCTTGGCTATACCCAGGGGTATTTTTCTTTTTTAAGAAAAAGTAACCTTGCTAAATGTTGTGATACTAAAAAGCTTTTTGATTAAATTATATTTTTGTGAACTCCTAGAAAAGCACCACTAGCCATATAAAGGGTAGCAAGATATCATTTCTGATGACCAGGAAAGTTTTGAAGGTGAGTGAATTAAAAACTTCAACTGTGTTCAAGGATGAATGTAAGGTCTCTAGAGATATGGACTCTGCTTCATTCACATAGGTGGCTGTTGTGTGGGAAATTAACTTGATTTAATGATAGGCTTCAAATGTACTACCACGAAAATTACTGTTGAAACTGGCACATTGGATAGAGTCAAGACTCATAAATGTGCTGTATTCAGGAGACCCATCTCATGTGCAAAGACATACATAGGTTCAAAATAAAGGGATGGAGGAATATTTACCAAGCAAATGGAAAGCAAAAAAGAGCAGGGGATGCAATCCTAGTCTCTGATAAAACAGACTTTAAACCAACAACCAAAAAAGACAAAGAAGAGCATTACATAATGGTAAAGGGATCAATGCAACAAGAAGAGCTAACTATCCTAAATATATATGCGCTCAATACAGGAGCACCCAGATTCATAAAGCAAGTTCTTAGAGACGTACAAAGAAACTTAAACTCCCACACAATTATGCTGGGAGAACTTAACACCCCACTGTCAATATTAGACAGATCAATGAGACAAAAAATTAACAAGGATATTTAGGACTTGAACTCAGCTCTGGACAAAATGGACATCTACAGAACTCTCCACCCCAAATCAACAGAATATGCATTCCTCTCATCACCAGATCACACTTATTCTAAAATTGACCACGTAATTGGAAGTAAAACACTCCTCAGCAAAATGCAAAAGAATGGAAATCATAACAAACAGTCTCTGAGACCACAGTGCAATCAAATTAGAACTTTGGATTAAGAAACTCATTCAAAACTGCACAACTATTTGGAAGCTGAACAACCTGCACCTGAATGACTACTGGGTAAATAACGAAATTAAGACAGAAATAAGTAAGTTCTTTGAAACCAATGAGAACGAAGACACAACATACCAGAATCTCTGGGAAACAACTAAAGCAATGTTTACAGGGAAATTTATAGCACTAAATGCCCACATCAGAAAGTGAGAAAGATCAAAAGTCGACACCCTAAATCACAATTAAAAGAACTAGAAAAGCAAGAGCAAACAAATTCAAAAACTAGCAGAAGACAAGAAATAACAAAGATCAGAGCAGAACTGAAGGAGACAGAGACAGGAAAAAACCACCCAAAAAAAAAAAATCAATGAATACAGGAGTTGGTTTTTTGAAAAGATTAACAAAATACATAGACTGCTAGCCAGACTAATAAAGAAGAGAGAAGAATCAAATAGACACAATAAAAAATGATAAAGAAATCACCACTGATCCCACAAAAATACAAAGTACCATCAAAGAATACTATAAATACCTCTATGCAAATAAACTAGAAAATCTAGAAGAAATGGATAAATTCCTGGACACATACACCCTCCCAAGAATAAACCAGGAAGAAGTCGAATCCCTCAATGGGCCAATAACAAGTTCTGAAATTGGGGCAGTGATTAACAGCCTACTGACCAAAAAAAGTCCAGGACCAGACAGATTCACAGATGAATTCTACCAGAGGTACAAAGAAAAGCTGGTACCATTCCTTCTGAAAGTATTCCAAACAATAGAAAAAGAGGGAATCCTCCCTAACTCATTTTATGCAGCAAGCATCATCCTGATACCAAAACCTGGCAGAGATACAACAAAAAAAGAAAATTTCAGGCCAGTATCCCTGATGAACAGTGATGCCAAAATCCACAATAAAATATCGGCAAACTGAATCCAGCAGCACAGCTTATACACCATGATCAAGTTGGCTTCATTCCTGGGATGCAAGGCTGGTTCAACATACACAAATCAATAAACGTAATCCACCACATAAACAGAACCAATGACACAAACCACATGATTATCTCAATAGATGCAGAAAAGGCCTTTGATAAAAATTCAACACCCCTTCATGCTAAAAACTCTCAATAAACTACATACCGATGGAATGTATCTCAAAATAAGGATATTTATTTATCACAAACCCACAGCCAATATCATACTGAATGGGCAAAAACTGGAAGCGTTCCCTTTGAAAACTGACACAAGACAAGGATGCCCTCTCTCACCATTCCTATTCAACATAGTATTGGAAGTTCTGGTCAGGGCAATCAGGCAAAAGAAGAAATAAAGCATATTCAAATAGGAAGAGAGGGAGTCAAATTGTCTCTGTTTGCAGATGACATGATTCTATATCTAGAAAACCCCATCATCTCAGCCCAAAATCTCCCTAACCTGATAAACAACTTCAGCAAAATCTCAGGATACAAAATCAATGTGCAAAACTTACAAGCATTCCTATACACCAATAACAGATAAACAGAGAGCCAAATCATAAGTGAACTCCCATTCACAATTGCTAGAAACAGAATAAAATACCTAGGAATACAACTTACAAGAGATGTGAAGGACTTCTTCAAAGAGAACTACAAACCACTGCTCAAGGAAATAAGAGAGGACACAAACAAATGGAAAAACATTCCATGCTCAAGGATAGGAAAAATCAATATCACGAAAATGGCCATACTGCCCAAAGTAATTTATAGATTCAATGATTCAATGCTATCCCCATCAAGCTACCATTGAATATCTTCACAGAATTAGCAAAAAATATTTTAAATTTCATATGGAGCCACAAAAGAGCTCATAGAGCCAAGACAATCCTAAGCAAAAACAGCAGAGCTGGAGGCATCATGCTACCTGACTTCAAACTAAACTACAATGCTACAGTAACCAAAACAGCATGGTACTGGTACCAAAACAGAGACATAGACCAATGGAACAGAACAGAGGCCTCAGAAATAACACTACACATCTACAACCATCTGATCTTTGACAAACCTGACAAAAACAAGCAATGGGGAAAGGATTCCCTACTCAGTAAATGGAGTTGAAAAAGCCGGCTAACCATATTCAGAAAACTGAAACTGGACACCTTCTTTACACCTTATAAAAAAATTAACTCAAGATGGATTAAAGACTTAAACATAAGACCTAAAACCTTAAAAACCCTAGAGGAAAACCTAGACAATACCATTCAGGACATAGGCATGGGCAAGTACTTCATGACCAAAACAATAAAAGCAATGGCAACAAAAGCCAAAATTGTAAATTGGGATCTAATTAAACCAAGAGCTTCTGCACAGCAAAAGAAACTATCATCAGAAAGGACAGGCAACTGACAGAATGGGAGAAAATTTTTGCAATCTATCCATCTGACAAAAGGCTAATATCCAGAATCTACAAAGAACTTAAACAAATTTACAAGAAAAAAACAAACAACCACATCAAAAAGTGGGTGAAGGATATGAGCAGACACTTCCCAACAGAAGAGATTTATGCAGCCCACAAACATATGAAAAAGAGCTCATCATCACTGGTCATTAGAGAAAGGCAAATCAAAACCACAATGAGATACCATCTCATGCCAGTTAGAATGGTGATCATTAAAAAGTCAGGAAACAACAGATGCTGGAGAGGTGGTGGAGAAATAGGAATGCTTTTACATTGTTGGTGGGAGTGTTAATTAGTTCAATCATTGTGGAAGACAGTGTGGTGATTCCTCAATGATCTAGAACAAGAAATACCATTTGACCCAGCCATCCCATTACTGGGTATATACCCAAAGGGTTATAAATCATTCTACTATAAAGACACATGCACACGAATATTTATTTCAGCACTATTCACAATAGCAAAGACTTGGAACCAACCCAAATGCCCATCAATGATAGACCGGATAAAGAAAATTGGCACATATACACCATGGACTACTACGCAGCCATATAAAAGGATGAGTTCATGTCCTTTGCAGGGATATGGATCAAGCTAGAAACCATCATTCTCAGCAAACTAACACAAGAACAGAAAACCAAACACTGCATGTTATCATTCATAAGTGGCAGTTGAATAATGAGAACACATGGACACACAGAGGGAAACATCACACACTGGGGGCTGCTCGGGGTGGGGGGCTGGGGTAGGGATAGCATTAGGAGAAACACCTAATGTAGATGATGGGTTGGTGGGTGCAGCAAACCACCATGACACATGTATACCTATGTAACAAACCTGCACGTTCTGCACATGTATCCCAGAACCTAAAGTATAATTTTAAAAAATTACTGTTGAATACTAGTATATGAAACAGAAGGGCTCACAGACCAAATTAAAGTACTCTAGTCCCACAGAGTATTAAATCAGTTTAGGAAACAATGGTGAAGCTAAGGAAGGTTAGCACACTTAAGATAAAAGTGATGGAAAGATCATACTATCTGAATCTTTAGTACAATGTTCATTTGTATGTCCTATCTCTGAGCAGCATCATATTAATGTGGTTACAAGATCTAGACTGTGACTGAGCAAAAGAGCTCACAGACAGAAGGTTGCCTGAGTCAAGGACATACACTTGCTCTATCAGAGTGACACAGAACAAGAATGTCTGACCAATGGCTCTAGCTTGCTGAAGAGCTGTGGGTTTTATTTTCACTTTGAGGTAGAGGATATATGAAGTTACACTTGGTAGCCACAGTAAGTGGTCAAATTAAGGCCTTGTGAATATTGAATGTCTCTAATGTCTCATATATATCCCTCATATATAATGTCTCATAAATATGTTATACTATATATATATATTTATTTATTTATTTAGTCATGAATATTAAATGTATTTTCTTCCATCTCTTTCTCCAGTGTTTAACATGCCCAAACTTAATATAGTTTGGCTGTGTCCCCACCCATATCTCATCTTGAATTGTAGCTCCCATAATTCCCACGTGCTGTGGGAGATACTTGAATCATGGGGGCAGTTTTCATGGTAGTGAATAAGTCTCATGAAATCTGATGGTTTTGTAAGGGACTTCCCTTTTCACTTGGCTCCCATTCTTTCTTGCCTCCTGCCATGTAAGACATGCCTTTCACCTTCCACCATGATTGTGAGGCATCTCCTGCAATGTGGAACTGTGAGTCCATTAAACTTTTTTTCTTTATAACTTACCCAATCTCAGGTATATCTTTATTAGCAGTATGAGAACAGACTAATACAGTAAACTGGTACTGGGAGTGGGGTGCTGCTATAAACATACCCGAAAATGTGGAAGTCACTTTGGAACTAGGTAACAGGCAGAGGCTGAAACCATCTGGAGGGCTCAGAAGAAGATAGGAAGATGTGGGAAAGTTTGGAACTCCCTAGAGACTTGTTGAATGGCTTTGACCAAAATGCTGATAATGATATGGACAATGAAATCCAGGCTGAGGTGGTCTCAGATGGAGATGAGGAACTTGTTGGGAACTGGAGTAAAGGTGACTCTTGCTATGTTTTTGCAAAGAGACTGGCAGCATTTTGCCCCTGACTTAGACATTTGTGAAACTTTGAACTTGAGGAAGATGATTTAGGGTATGTGGTGGAAGGAATTTCTAAGCAGCAAAGTATTCAAGAGTTGTCTTGAGTGCTGTTAAAGGCAATCAGTTTTAAAAGGGAAACAGCTTAAAAGTTCAGAAAATTTGCAGCTTGATGATGCAACAGAAAAGAAAAACCTATTTTCTGAGGAGAAATTTAAGCTGGCTGAAGAAACTTACCTAAGTAATGAGGAGCCAAATATTAATAGCCAAGACAATGGGAAAAATGTCTCCAAGGCATGCCAGAGAACTTTGGAGCAGGCCTTCCCATCACAGGCTCAGAGGCCTAGGGGGAAAAAATGGTTTTGTTGGCTAGGCCCAAAGCCCTTCTGCTGTGTGCAGCCTAGGGACTTGGTACCCTGTGTCCCAGCTGCTGTAGCCATGGGTAAAGGGGCCAAGGTACAGCTTGTGCCATGGCTTCAGAGGGGAGCAAGCCCCAAGCCTTCGCAGCTTCCATATGATGTTGAGTCTGTGGGTGCACAGAAATCAAGAATTGAGGTTTGGGAACCTCTGCCTAGATTTCAGAGGATGTACGGAAATGCCTAGATGTTCAGGCAGAAGTTTTCTGCAGGGGCAGGCCTCTCATGGAGAACCTCTACTAGGGCAGTGTGGAAGAGAAATGTGAGGTTGAAGCCCCCACATAGAGTCCCCACTGGGGCACTGCCTAGTGGAGCTGTGAGAAGAGGGCCTCTGTCCTCCGGATCCCAGAATGGTAGGTCCATCGACAGCTTGCATCGTGTGACTGGAAAAGTTACAGACACTCAATGCCAGCACAGGAAAGCAGCCTGGATGGAGGCTGTATCCTACAAACCAACAGGAATGGAACTGCTCAAGACCATAGGAACCCACATCTGCATTAGCATGACCTGGATGTGAGACATGGGGTCAAAGGAGATCATTTCAGAGCTTTAATATTTGGCTGCCCCACTGGATTTCGGACTTGCATGGGGCCTGTAGACCCTGTGTTTTGGCCAATTTCTTTTATTTGGGATGGATGTACTTACCCAATGTCTGTACCCCCATTGTATCTAGGAAGTAATTAACTTGCTTTTGATTTTACAGGCTCATAGGCAGAAGGGATTTGTTTCAGATGAGACTTTGGACTGTGGACTTTTGAGTTAATGCTGAAATGAGTTAAGACTTTGGGGGACTGTTGGGAAAGCATGATTGGTTGTGAAATGTGAGGATATGAGATTTGGGAGGGGTCAGGGCTGGAATCATATCGCTTGGCTCTGTCCCCACCCAAATCTTTTTATTTATTTATTTTTGAGACCGAGTTTTGCTCTGTCGCCATGCTGGAGTGGAGTGGTGTGATCTCAGCTCACTGCCACCTCCGCCTCCAGGGTTCAAGTGATTCTCCTGACTCAGCCTCCCAAGTAGCTGAGACCACAGGCACCTGCTACCACACCCAGCTAATTTTTATATTTTTAATAGAGATGGGGTTGCACCATGTTGGCCAGGCTAGTATTGAACTCCTGACCTCGTGATCCACCTGCCTCAGCCTCCCAAAGTGCCAAATCTTATTCTGAATTGAAGCTCTCATAATTCCCACATATTGTGAGAGGGACCCAGTGGGAGATAATTGAATCGGGTGCAGTTTCCCACATACTGTTCTCATGGTAGTGAATAAGTCTCAAGAGATCTCATGGTTTTATAAGGAGTTTCCCATTTCACTTGGCTCTCAATCTCTCTTGCCTGCTGCCATTGAAGACAGGTCTTGCTTTCCACCATGATTGTGAGGCCTCCCCAGCCATGTGGAACTATGAGTCCATTAAACCTCTTTTTTCTTTGTAAATTAGCCAGTCTCATGTATGTCTTTATTAGCAGTGTGAGAACAGAGTAATACAGTACTCTACACCTAACAGCGTATTTATACTTAGCACATCTTATGAGTTTCAACCATGTCATTTTTTTCTTTTTTTCTGAAGAGTTGAATATTCTAAAACAAGTTTTAAAAATGTACATTGTGGTAGTCCCTGATATATCACCTTCTATACATCCAGAAATACAGTTTGTACACATGCAGCCATTCTCCATTATCAATTTCCAAGGGTGCTTATCACAATAGCAATAAATTAATCTCATTCAATAAAAGAAGGACTTTCTTCTATAACCTATGTAGCTATTGTTGTATCATTTGGAGGATATATATGATAAAATATGAATAGAATGTGAACAATAACAACTCACATGAGAACATAAATCATAAAACTAGTTCTCAAGGAGTAGATATTTTAATATAACAACAGCAAATGTTTTCTTTTGTTACCTTATTTTAATCTGTTAAACTAAAAAATACAATAAATTGTGAATAGCACAGTAACTTTGTACAAATTTTTACAGTTTAACTATTACTTTGCCTTCTATGACAGCCTTACATTTAATATTGGTACCCAAGGACATGCACATCAGAGATACTATACTTTATGTGGCTGAGTTTTTCATTACTCTTCTTAAGGTATGAGGTAACAAGGAATCCTTAGTGTAATTTTTTAATATTTCTCCAAATTTGAGAAAATTTATACAAGTAATAGTAAAAAAAAAAGTATGTTTAAAGGGAGATAAAAACTGATCACAGTAATATGCAATTTTTTTAGAAGACTATAAGCATTCTACATATTCTTAGGCTATCAGAAAAAACCAAGAGTTATATTAGTCATGATTTTTTTTAAATGAATGTAAATTTCACTGATAAGCAGTTACTCTTTGGAGGCTAAATGATGTTAGGCATATTAACTCTTTAGACTGGTTAGAATATATTAGCATTGTGCTAATCTGTAAATCGTTAGATAATAGGAAAAATTTGCACCAGCATATATTAATGTGTTTGTAACACTGGATAGTATAAATTTGTGCTTATATTCAGTAAAGAGCACTCATGCATGTGATATATATTTTTATATATATTTATATCTATTCATTTATATTATTTGTATGTATATATTATATATTTATATATATATAATGTATGTGTGGGTGTGTGTGTGTGTGCATGTGTGTGTATGTAAGGAGCACCTGTTTTTAGTGTTTTGTA
This sequence comes from Homo sapiens, assembly GCF_000001405.40. Taxonomy (NCBI): domain Eukaryota; kingdom Metazoa; phylum Chordata; class Mammalia; order Primates; family Hominidae; genus Homo; species Homo sapiens. The sequence continues at coordinate 10,057,791 of NC_000007.14, forward strand.
TATAGAGTTTTCCCTATGTATGTAACACAAATCTTTCTTTTTCTTGTTCACTCTTACTAGCAATCCAAATATTTTTTAAATCAAACCATGAGCATCATCAGCTACATCATCTCGTCTGCATTAGTAATTCTTTAACTCTAAAAATACACACTGCCAGGGCACTCATTTAAAACTTTATTTGAAATACGCAGAATTAATTTGGAGAAAAGAGAAGACATGTTATTTATTTCATTTAAGCTAGATACACATATATTATTTGTGGCTCAATTTTTGTTTGGGAATTTAACATATGTGTGTACCTGTGTATGTCTCTCAAGAGGACCATATACCAATTTATTTTCATTTCTGTAAGGTTTTTTTTTACAAGACACATATAAAATGGGATTTCCCCTGTGTATACTCCCAGGATTACCACAACAGAGAGCACTCATCACATCTAATTTTCATAATTTAATTCTCTCAGTTTCAAATGGAATTTTTTGTTCTTTTTGGATTTTTATGATCAAAAAATCACTGCAGACAGAGCTATGCTTAAGTATCTACTGATACATAATCTGCCCTCTTAGAAATCATGACCTTATAACTAAATTCCACTCTCTAATCTCAGTAGTACTCAGCATTATTTTATGGCTGTTTTTCTCACTCCTCCAGCCCAAGTGCTCCATATCCCTTTCTCTAAACACAGAGGGCAGATTCGGCTTAACAGGCTTTCAACCATAAACTTTAATAGCACTTTAAACAGCCTCAAAATGGAATTTCTTCTTTAACTAAGAAGATGTTACTTTGTACATCATAATTGAAATACATCAAAAAGTTCCTTGTTAAAGCTCAAGATATATTACAAAGCCATTCTATAGCACGGCTGCAGGGCTTTGCTAATTAGAAGGATGACAGATCAAATTCCAGAGAAAGTTATGTCAGTTGAAATGCTGGAGATAGAGTAGCTTATTTAAATTGTGTACCCAAAACAATCAAGGAAACATATCAAACCATGGTATTTTGTTTTATTTTGTTTATGCACATTACACACTGCCAAAAAAATATTTTATTTCTCTGTTCAACTCTCTGTGACATTTTGAAACTTCTATTTTAAGTATTCTTTCCAAATATTCCACCTTGAACATGCCTAATGCCAGAGAGTCTTCGTTTACTACCTCACAAGGAAATCACTAACTTCTACTACCGAAAATATCAACTTGTCTTCCAAGCCCTTTAACAACTTGTCTGCACCTCTCCCTCCACAATAGAAGGAACAGAAGCACCCTCCACCTTGGAAGACTACTCCCTCCCTGGGAGTCTTCAGATCTCATCAACCTTCTCCAAAATCTGAATCTATTAATGACCCCTTCTCATTGGTCTTCAGCTGTATTTTCTGTGTACAACTGCCTACCTTGGATTCAACTGCTCCCTCTCAACCATGTCTGCCCAGTGGCATTTTAAACACGTTCTACACTTTGTCCATTTTCAAAAATACTTTAAAAGAATAAAAAGTTCTCCCTCTATCCAATGTTCCCATCTTATCCAGTTACTGCCATATTTATTTTTCTTCTTCTCTATTGAAATACTTGTAAAAACAGTTGTGTGTATTCACGATTTTTCCTTCTTGCCTATCACTCATTCTCCAACCCACTCCTGCCTGGCCACTGCTGCTACCACCCTGAGTTCAGTTAACACCTGTCAGTCCTTGCATTATATGCTTGCCCTCTCAGTGGTGTTTGTTACTGTCCATACATTCATTCATTTACTCATCATTATTTATTGATTCCTGGAGGGTATACTATGTGCCATGCCTTAAACTAGATGTAGGGGCTACTGCAGTGAACACCATAACTTAAGGATGAAAGGAGACAGATAACAGAAACTAAGTAGCATTTTAGATTTTTTTAAAAAAAAAGCAAAGCAGAGAAATAAAGAGTTGCCTGTGGTGAGTTTGAAACGTGAAATCCATATTTAAAGAGAATGTTAAGAAAAGGTTTCACTGCCACAATTTTAATGCTCAAAATCAGAGATTGCTGAACATTCTCTCTGGTATCACCACACATTCTTGTTCTTCTCTTTTTTTTTTTTTTTTTTTTTTTTTTTTTTGAGACGGAGTCTCGCTGTCGCCCACGCTGGAGTGCAGTGGCGCAATCTCGGCTCACTGCAGCCTCCGCCCCCTGGGGTTCACGCCATTCTCCTGCCTCAGCCTCCCGAGTAGCTGGGACTACAGGCGCCCGCCACCTCGCCCGGCTAATTTTTTGTATTTTTAGTAGAGACGGGGTTTCACCGTGTTAGCCAGGATGGTCTCGATCTCCTGACCTCGTGATCCGCCCGCCTCGGCCTCCCAAAGTGCTGGGATTACAGGCGTGAACCACCGCGCCCGGCCGTTCTTCTCTTAACTCTGTCATATGTTTTGTCCTTTCTTGCAGGTTTCTTCTTTTTCCCATATATAAATGTTGGAATGCTTTTAAAAATGGTGCTTTGCTTTTTTTTCTTCTCTTTGTAAAATTCCCCTCTTGATACTTTATCTACAAATATGGTGTCAACGGTCATCAATATAGGTATCTCTTGTTAAAACCTATTCTTTGCGTTAATGACTTACATATCAAACAGCCAACTTGAGTCACGTTTTGGATATCTCAAAGATACCTTATACTCATTATGTCCAAAATCTACTCTTGATTTTCTACAAGAAAAATGGTCTTCCTTTTAGTGTTCTCTAGCTTACTGAATGACACTAACTTTCTTTAGATTTTCCCAGCCAAAAAATTTGATAGTTATCATCAATAACTCGTTCTTTTATCATACTATATAGCCCATCAATCATCAGGTTTTTTTAAGTTAACATCTTAACAATGTCTCCAGTTTTCTCTTTTCTAAGCCAAGAAACTATAATCTCTCAATGGAATAATGAAACATTGTTCAAACACTTCCTTTCTTTAAAAAGTTATTTACATTGTAATCAGGTTAATTGTAGATTTCATCCTATGTTTTAAATTTTTCCTCTGGATATATACAATTTTAATTGGTCAATTAAATGTTTTTTTGTTTTTTTGTTTTTTTTTTTTTTTTTTTTTTTGAGACAGAGTTTTGCTCTTATTGCCCAGGCTAGAGTGCAGTGGTGCAATCTCGGCTCACTGCAACCTCTGCCTTCCGGTTTCAAGCAATTCTCCTGCCTCAGCCTCCCAAGTAGCTGGGATTACAGGCGCCCACGACCATGCCCAGCTAATTTTTTTGTATTTTTAGTAGAGACGAGGTTTCACCAAGTTGGTCAGGCTGGTCTCAAACTGCTGACCTCGTGATCCACCCACCTCGGCCTCCCAAAGTGCTGGGATTACAGGCGTGAGTCACCCCACCAGGCCCTAAATATTTTAAAATTTAAAAAATGTAAAAATTAATAGCCTCCATGCTCTTCTGACAAAATTCTAAATGCTTAATATGGAACACAAAACACTACTATCTGATTACTACAGCCTCTCTGGCCACACCAGCCACAATTGCCTTTTCCTTGTCCTGTGTTCTAGACAAGCTAACTTTTAGTTCCTCAGATGACGTGCTCCTACAATAGGGCTTTTGCACATGCTCTCCTGCTCCTCATACTGGAATTTTATCTTCAACTTCTTTACTTACCTAATCCATATTTACCCTCCACATTTCATTCCAAAGGAGAATTATTCACATTAGCCACAACCTACCAGAATGCACTGGATTCTGTTATATGCTTCAGCAGACCATATACTTTTCTTTTACAAATGTCATTACAGTTGTTACTTTTCATGTATAAGAGCTATTGTTTAACCAATGTTTATTTTCTCAACTCAACTATAAATTCATTAAGGACTGAAACTGTTTTGATTTTGTTTTACTGCTGTGCCATTATATATTTGTTGGATATATAAATGGGTGAAAGAGTAAATTAACACATTTATATTTTTGTTTTTGTCTTTGTTACAATACAGTTTTTAGCAATATTTGACTGTAACTTTTGTTTTTCCACTTTTAAACATATTCCTTTTGACAAGTTACACAACCTTACTAAATATTAATTTTGTAATCAGTAATTTCAGGATAATTGTCGTTCCTACCCCATAAGTTAAGATGAATGTAAATTCACCTTTGTAAAGAACATAAAATAGTTCATTGCACATAGTAAGTGCTCAATAAACAACTTTGTTATTTTTATCTTCTCTAAATTGCCTAAAACAATAACTTAACTCCAAATTTTCACTTGTACTATTAATTGAGTAGTTTACTCTCTATAAAAAGTATAATTCCCTAGAGATTAGAATAGTGTTTGAACTGTAGGCATTATATTGAACTGCTATTAAGTGTAAGTTTTTATTTAAGAGTTTTAATTACTTCTTATACATAAAGGGTTGAGAGGTTCCTACAACTTATCCTTACCCAGCAGTGTTTTCCCCTCTAGGGAAATCAATGAATTAATTAATTACTCTCCATTAATGGAATCAGCCTTCAGCAGATCCCTGACCTGAAAAACACTCATCTGAAATAAATAAATAAGAAAGACTATGGCACCAGTAAATATCATGTTGCCACCTTCACCAAAAATTTCCTTAGGATAGCAAAGAAAATAAAACAGAAATGAGAACTCTATCCTCTAAGACACCTATAATCCCAAATAGCAATATTCAAGGAAAGGCTGCCAAATTCAATAAAAGTAATGTTGCATTTAGACAGATGTTGAGAGAGAACACTAACAGAACACTGTTTTCCAAATGTAGGTGTCATGCTCAGGGAAGGAAGCCCAACATGTTATTTTAGAATGACAGAAAAAGAGTATATGGGATATTGGTAGAATCTTTCCTGGGTCGAGTTTGTTCTAAATAATAAGCCAAGATAAAGGCACAAGAATTAACAAGAAACTGCCTACTTTTGCACGGTTTGCAGAATGTAGTCTCTTGGTAAAGAAGTGAGGAGGACCAACATTATTCACTGTGAGTAACTTTATGGCTGTCAATCTGCTCATTGAAGGAAGTAAAGATTAGACAATACACAGAGAAAAATCTGTGTTACTAAAAACTGTATTGTAAACAAGGGAGAATTGCTGCTGCTGTGAAAATCATGTGTGTCCTCAACTTCCTAGTAATTTCTTTCAAAGGCCTTATCCAGTCTTGGGACCATAAATGCTAAGCAAACAAGAACTAGCAAGGAGTTTACATAAACGTACTGTAAGAAAAAGAAAAAGAACAGAAAGAGAAGATGAAAATAGAAAAAGAAAGTGACAGATTAAAAACCCTCACTAAATTAAATTAAAAATTTGCCATCAGCCAGACAGAAATTGTAATCAAAATTATCATTAATTTAAGAAATGAAATTATCAAAATTATTAAATTATTATTCAGATATTAAATCATTAAACTATTATGCAAAATTATTATAATGAATTGTAACACTAAACTAAAATTTTTAAAAGTCTAGGATTTTTATTTCAGAGGTAAAGTTTAAAGAATATATGAGAGATTATGAAAGGAGATTACATCCAAGGTGTCTAAATTTGAGCTGGCAGGGAAAGAAGAAAAAAATAATGGGAAAATTAAAACAGAGATCGCAATTTGAACTGTACAAGGGAAAGTAATCATTGCTGAAACTATGATGGTAACATTGATAATCTGTAGGTGAATTAACTAAAGCAAAATCAAATGGAAAATAGCATAAAATTAAAATAATATTTAGAAAGAAAATGACAGATATGAAAATCAGATAATGGAAATCAATAAAATGAGAGTGTCACTGAAGAGTACTGAACAGAAAGAATAGGGAGATACATACATGATAAAAAGGCAGATGATAAACGTTAGATGAGTATAAAATATATTTAAGTAAACTATCTCAAGAAAATGTTTTCAGAAATATAAAACAACTTAAAACTATATGTGTACTGGATATAGTGTTGAAATTAAAATGGGAAAATGAACATCAATACCAAAATTATTCAAAATTGAAAGAAATTTTTGAGAAAGAATGTCTATTCCATTTTTCCCCCCTTTGAGACAGGGTCTTCCTCTGTGGCCCAGGCTGGATTGCAGTGATGTGAACACAACTCCCTTCAGCCTTGACTTCCTGGGCTCAAGAGATCCTCCTACCTCAGTCTCCCAAGTAGCTGGGACTACAAGTGCACACCACCATGCCCAACTAATTTCTTTATTTTTTTATAGAGATGACGTCTTGCCATGTTGCCCAGGCTGGTCTTCAACTCTTGTGCTCAAGTAATCCTTCTGCCTCAGCCTCCCAAAGTGCTGGAATTACAGGCATGAGCCACCCTGCCTGACCCAAATAATTTTAAACATAGATAAATTCTCATTCTAGTAAAAAAGAAACAAACATTTTCTTAACACACTATAATTTATAAAAGAGTTCCCAAGAACTCTTCTGGAAGAAACTTCTATAACAAAATCTTTTGGCAAGCAAGAGATAAATTAATAAATTATAGGAAAGAGACAGATTGTAAACATTGAGTTATGATTATCACATATAATGTATTTGTTTTATACCTGAAAATGTAGAAGTAACATAACAATTAAATTTGGAAATGAATGAAAGAGAGAAACAGGGGTAACATGCATCGATCAATTTTGATATCTTAATCTTTCATAGCAAAGGTTCAAAAGATGGTATTTATACCTGACAAATTGAATAATACAGATATAACTAAGTACACAGGTACAAGTAATCATTAAGAAAAACAATGTAACCAGTTAACAGTTGGCGGCAGAGAGAAGGGAAAGGAAGTTGAAATGTATACATTTTTATTGCCCTTACTTTGTAATTAGAGAACATAGTGGATTATTGTGTTAAAATATTGTCACAAGTGTGAAACATTGTATAAAAATACACTGCAGTGCTGTTTCTAATTACAAATGGACATCAGGCATCAAAGGAGGGTGATTTCCAGACAAATGGAAAGACAACAAGGTGAGTCCTATGATCGCACAAAGTTTCTACCTTGAAAAAGTTTCCAGGTCATAGTGCAGGGATGGTGAACCCAGGTGAAGCCTGTAGGATTCCTCTGAGGCAAGAGACAAAGTTGGGAAAGCAGGGAAGCTACTGTTCACAGGAGTAGCGGAAAGGAGAGAACTACACAGGGAGAAAACTCCAGAATCCTAAAACAAGAGAATAAGTATTTCTCAATTTATCCAAAAGAAGACAAAATTTTAAAAAGAGAAAAATAGGAACAAAAAATAGATGAGACAAATAGAAGCAAATAAGATGACAGATATAAGTCAAATGACATCAGTGATCACATTAAATAAAAAATGTTTTCAGTGTCCCCAAAAAGCAGAATATCAGATGATTTTAGAACTGTTTTTCCTCGGGTATTCTGCAGAGTACCAATCAGCACAAGCCTGTGAGAAAACTAACTGAGGGTGGGGACAGGATCTTACTAAAGGATTAACACTATGTGAGACACAGGACTGGGAATAGTGCTTGTGTCACTTTAATGGTCAGATTTGAAAACCTCTTAATTCACGGGAAAATGGGTAGTATTCTCAGAAGTGTTTTGCCTAGTAATGAAGAAAATTAGGAGGACAAAAGGTGAAAAATAAAAAAGGAAAACAATCAATCAATGGAGAGGGATCCAAATGAACACAGATGTTAGAAAGTACAATCAATAACATTAAAACATTTATTTAAACTGCATTGTATGTGTTCAAAAGGATAAGTATAGACATGGAAAATATTAAAAAGACCCAAATCAATCTTCTGGGGATAAAACAATACCTGAAATGAAAAATACACTGCATGGGATTAAATGTCAATTAGAATTTGCAAAAGAAAAAAAAAAACACATAGTGACCTTGAAGACCTAGCAATGAAAACTATCCACAATGGAATGTGAAGTGATAAAATAAAAAACAAATTCAACATCAGTAATTTGTGGAACAAATTACTAATATATGTGTAACTGGAGTTCAATAAATCAGCAGGAAGGACCAGAAACATTTTTTAAGATATAATTATTAAAATGTTTCTGAATTTGGTGAAACTGTAAATGTAAACAATCCAAGATTCTAAGACTAAGAACTATAAATAAAACTATACCTATGCACATAGTAATCAAATTTCTCAAAACAAGTGATCAAGTGACACTCTTGTAAGCATTTAGAAAAGACACATTGTATACAGAGGAACTTAAACAATAATCACAGCACATTTCTCATGGAAAATGGTACAACTGAGAAGACAGTGAAGCAATATCTTTAAAGTAATTTTTAAAAACTGTTAACCTAGATTTCTACTCTCAGCAGAATAATATTTCAAAACTGTTGGTGAAATAAAAAATATTTCAAAAATATGTATGCTGAAGGGATTTATCACCAGCATACTCACACTTCAAAAAATGAATGCAAAAATGTTTACACAGAAAGTGGTATCACGTGCAAATAAAGAGCTACACACACACACAAAAATGAGCACCAGAAATGGCAAACACGTTGGTATATTTATGTATACTTATGTATGTAAGTTTTTTATTATTTCAATTTCTTTAAAAATTATTAACAGGCTGGGTGCAGTGGCTCATGCCTATAATCCTTGTAATTTGGGAGGCCAAGGCCTGTAGATCAGTCGAGCCCAGGAGTCAAGACCAGCTTGGGGAACATGGCAGAACCCCATCTCTACAAAAAAAAAAAAAAAAAAAAAAAAAAAAAAAAAAAAAAAAAAAAAAAGAGCCAAGTGTAAAGTAACCACTAAAATGACAAAACAAAGAACTATAGCATACAAGTAAAATATGGACATAAAGTGGAATTTTAAAATTTACTCACTTTATTGAAAAGACAAAATAAAAAAGAGAAAGGAACAAAGAACAGATAACACAAACATTCACCAAAATATATTCTGGGGCACAAAGCACAACTTAATAATTTAAAAAATATACACATTATAAAATGGCTGTTCATATACAACAATGGAATTCAATTAGAAATCAATAACAGTAGATTGAAAGTCCGAAAATACTTGGAGACTACACAACACACTTCTAAATACATGAGTCAAAGAAAAACTCTCAAGAGAAATACAAAATTATGTTGAACTAAGTAAAATAAAAATACAACTTATTAAAATGTGTTGGATTCAGCAAAAACAGTCAGTAGAGTGAAACTTATATCATAGAATGCATATACTAAAACATGAAAGGAATAAAATCAGTCATCTACGTCTTGCCTTAGGCAACTAGAAAAAGGAGAACAAATTAGGTCTAAAGTTACCAGAAAAAAAAATACAAAACTTAGAGCAAAAGTCAATAAAATTGGAAACAGAAAATTAACAGTGAAAAATCAATGAAACCAAAAGCTGATACTTTTAAAAGGTAAATAAATTGATGAATTTCTAGTCAGACTAACAGAAAAAAGCAAGAAAAAAAGACACAGAATAGTAATATCACTAACGGAAGAGGGGCCATCACCACTTATTCAATGAACATTAAAAGAATAATGGAGTATGACAAACTGTATGCTCACCTATTTACTATCTTAGATGAAATAAACAAATTTAGTGAAAGATACAATCTAATCAAACTCACACAAGGAGATATAGACAAACAGACCATCTGAATAGGCCTAATAGTGAATCAGTTTCAAATAACCTTCTAAAGGGGATAACACCAGGCCTAGAAGATTTCCCTGTTAAATTCTACTAAATATTTAGGAAGAAATTACTCCAATTCTACACAATCTGTTCCAGGAAAGCAGAGGGAAGACTTCCTAACTCATTTTGAGGCTAGTATTATCCTAATACCAAAACCAGGCAAAGACATTAAAAGAAAGAAAAATTACAGACCAATATCTTTCTTGAAAATAAATGTAAGTATCCTCAACAAAATATTAGCAAATCAAACCTAATAATATAGTAAAGAATTATAATCACAGCTTAGTTGTGAGAGGATTGCTTGAGCCTGTGGAAGTCAAGGCTGCAGTGAGCAGCCAAGAATTGTCTTGGCATTTTTGTTGAAAGTAAGTTCATTTATGTAAGGCTCTCGTCTGAGCTCTTCATGCCACTCCATTTGTCTAATCATCTATGTTAATACTACATTGTCTTAATTTCTGTGGCTTTATAATAAGTCTTTAATCAGACAGAATTAGTTCTCCATCTCTATTTTTTAATTCAAAGCTGGTTCCAGGTATTCAAAGCTAGTTCAACATTCATCAATGAATATAATTAATCACATCAATAAGCTAAAGAACAAAAGTTATATGATAATATCAATAGATGTAGAAAAAGATTTGACATTTTTATAACAATCATTAGCAAAGTAGGAATAAACAGAAACTTCTGCAACAGAGAAAATCTGAAAAAAAGATATATTTAATGGTGAGAAAGAGATACTTTATCAAGAACAAAGTAGAGATGCCCCTGTTTTCTCTCTTATTCAACATCTTACTGGAAATTTCAGCTTATGCAGTAAGACAAGGAAAGAAGAAAAAACATACAGATTGGGAAAGGAAGAAATAAAACTGTTTTTGCTTGTAGATGACATGATTGCCTACATAGAAATTTCTAAAGACTATACAACAGCAATCCTGGGACTAGTAATCAATTATAGCAAAGTTGCAAGTTACTAGGTAATATAGAAAAGTCAATTGTGTTCTTGTATGTAAGCAACAAACAACTGAAATTTGAATTAAACTATGCTGCTATTTACATTAACACAAAAAAGAAATATGTATAATCTTATAAAATATGTGTAAGATTTACATGAGAAAAACTACAAAGCTCTCATGAAAGAAAGCAAAAAAATTTAAGTAAATGGAGAGATACTTATGTACACAGATACAAATACTCAATATTGTTATGATGTTAGTTCTTCCCAATATGGTCTACAGATTTGATACAATTCCAACAAATATCTCAGATTGGTTAAGAAGGCTATGGGACCTGGTATACAATTGACTGGACCAAGCTGAGCCAATAAGATATAATTACTCACTCATTGTCAGTATAGACAAAGACATGGAAATGACAGTCATGCAACATTGGAACCCTGACATATATGGTGGTAACAAAGCTGGCCACAGAGCTCAAACCATGGCAACTCAATGCTATTCTGTCCTGGGCAGAAAGAGTCACAAGGGAAGCAAAAAGAGATGACAGAGGAAATACAGATTTTTAAAGGGAAGAGAATGGAGCACATGTGCAGGGAGAAGCAGAGGTGCCAAGAGAGATATACACAATTGAACTATTTTGTTGATACCAAAATACTGACTCTAAAGTTTACATAGAAAAGCAATGGACTCACAATAGCCAACACAATACTGAAGGAGAACAAAATCAGGGGCTGATATCATCGAACTTTAGGTTTTACTATGAAGCTACAGTAATCAAAACAATGTAGTATTGTTGAGAGAATAGACAAACAGATCAATGAAACTTAACGGAGAGCCCAGAAATTGATATGTTACAAAGATGATCAACTGATGAAAGGAGCAAAGTCCAGTTACTTAGGCACAATTTCTTAAAAAGACTAAGTAATTGGACACCCACATGCAATAAAAATTAACCTAGACATACACTTTAAATCTTTTAACAAAAATAATTAAAAGAGATCATGGACTTTAAGACAGAAAATTAGAGAACTTCTAAAATATGGCTTAGGAAAAAATCTAGGTGACCTTGTGTTTGGCAACGACTTTCTATATACAATACCAAAACCACAACTCATGAAAAAAAATAAATAAGCTAGACTTTATTAAAATTAAAAATTTCTACTCTGTAGAAGAATTGTTAAGAGAACACAAAGACAAGACATCAACTGGGAGAAAACATTTGCAAAAGATATATCTGATAATGGCTATTATCCAAAATACAAGAAGAACTCTCAAACATATATGTCCACTATATATAGATGGTAAATAAGCACATGAAATAATGATCAACACCATATTTGCTTAGGGAATTACAAATTAAAACAATGAGATACTATTAGATACGTATTAGAATGACTAAAATCTAAAACACTAATACCAAATGAGAGCAATTATGTGGGTCAACAGGCACGCTTTTCATTGCTGGTGTGACTGTACAGCGATATAGCCACTTTGGACATTAGTTGTTTGTTCAGTTTTTTGTTTGCCTCTTTTTTGTTTCTTTTTTTGTTTGTTTTTGAGACGGAGTCTCACTCTGCTGCGAGGCTGGAGTGCAGTAGCGCGATCTCGGCTCACTGCCACCTCCGCCTCCCAGATTCAAGCGATTCTTCTGCCGCAGGCTCCCGAGTATCTGGGAATACAGGCACCCGCCACCACGTCCGGCTAATTTTTGTATTTTTAGTAGAGACAGGGTTTCACTATATTGGCCAGGCTGGTCTCGAATTCCTGACCTCGTGATCTGCCTGCCTTGGCCTCCCAAAGTGCTGGGATTATAGGCGTGAGCCACTGTACTCAGCCCAGTTTTTATCAAAGCCAAAGACAGCCTTGCCAAATAATTCAGCAATTGTACTACTAATAACCTACATAAGTAAGTTGAAAACTATGTCCACACAAATACCTGCAAATAAATGTTTATAGCAACTTTATTAATAATTGCCAAAACATGGAAGTAACCAAGATGTCCTTCAATAGGTAAATATATAAGTAAACTCTGATTCATCCAGACAATGAAATATTACTCTGCAACAAAAAAAAAAGAAATTAGCTATCAAGCCATAAAAAGATGTGGAAGAAATTTAAATATATATTTTTAAGTGAAAGAGGCCAATCTGGAAAAAACTATATACTGTATGATTTCAACTTTATGACAGTCTGGAAAAGGCAAAACTATAGAGAGAGTAAGCAGCTCAATGTTTGTCTGGGGAATGGAGGGAAAGATAAAAGGATAAATAAATTGGTGGAACACAGGGAATTTTCAGTGCAGTGAAACTATTCTGTATGAAACTATAACAGCAGAGACAGGACATTTTTCATTTCTCTAAACTGATAGAACAATACAACCCACAGACTGAACACTAAAGTATTGACCTTCATTAATAATAATGGATCTCTATTGGTTTACCAATTATAACAAATGTACCCCACTAGTGGAAGATGTTAATAATAGGGTAAACTGTGTGCTGGGGGAGAGCCAGCATATAAGGACTTTCTGTACATATTGCCCACTTTTGTAACAAGAAAACTTCTCCAAAGAACAAGGTATATTTTTAAGAAAGAGAATAATTCATTAGACCAACTAGAATTTACTACACAAATTCAAAGTGGGGCTTATCATTCAAAACCCAATGTAACTGACCATATTAAAAATGTTAATAAACCATATAATCATTTTAGTAGAAGCAGATAATCTCATCCACAAAATTCAGAATCCATTACTGATTTAAAATAAACACTTAGGAAGCTAGGAAACATCCTCAATTTGATAAACAGCATATATGAAAAACAGACAGATAATATCATACTTAATGTTGAAATACTGAATAATTTCATGCTAAAATCAGAAATAAGACAAGGATGTCTGCTTTCACCACTGTTCAGCATTTTAGTGGAGGTTCTAGACAGGGAAATAAAGCAAGAAAGAGAAATAAAAGGCTTCTCAATTGAAAAGGAACAAATCAAGTCTTTTTATTCCCAAATGATATGATCATGTATGTGTAAAATCAGATGGATTCTACTTGAACTAATAAGTGAGTTTAACCACTATTAGGATATAAAATCAATGTAAAACACAAACTATATTTCTATAGATTAATAAGGAATAATTGAAATTTGTGAAATATATTAACATAAAAATATAAAAAAATTAGTGATAAATTTGACAAAAGAGGTACAAGTCCTTTTACACTAAAAATCATAAAATATCTCAACAAAAATAAAAGACTTAAGTAAAGGGAGAATGTATTATATCCTATCAAGGTAATAGGCCAGAATACTCAATATTGAGTAAGATATCAATTCTTCTCAAATTATTTATAGTCTACTGGAACCCCAATAAAAATCATACATCTTTTTAATTGAAATTGATAAACAGAGTCTATAATTCATATGGAACTGCAAATTTCATATATTAGCTAGCCAGCTTTGAATTAAAAAATAGAGATGGAGAACTAATTCTATCTGATTAAAGACTTATTATAAAGCCACAGAAATTAAGACAATGTAGTATTAACATAGACGATTAGACAAATGGAGTGGCATGAAGAGCTCAGACGAGAGCCTTACATAAATGAACTTATTTTCAACAAAGATGCCAAGACAATTCATTGGGGAAACGTTAGTCTTTCCAACAAATGGTACTGAAACAATTCCATATTCGTATTTCTTAAAAAATCTTTGATTCATATCTTGTACCATAAAGGTTAACTCAAAATTGATCATAGAGCTAAGTATAAAATCTAAAACTCTCAAATTCCTAGAAGAAAACTTGGGAGCAAATCCTTGTGAACTTATTTTATGGGAGTATTATTTAGATATAACAATAAAATGTACTCTGTCAAAAAAGATTGACATACTGAACTTCAGCAAAACCAAGCACATAACCATAGCAAGTGTTGGTAAGGATGTGGAGTAGCTGGAGCTCTCAAATAGTTCTGGTGGAAATACTAAATTGGGAAATCACTTAAAAAAATTATTTGATGTTTCTTAAGAAGTTAGAGATAAACCTACTATATGATACAGTCATTCAAATCTTAGCTAATATAACATATGTCTATAGAAAGAGTTTTATGTAAATGTTCATAGAACACTTATCTGTAAGAGCCACAAACTGGAAACAGTTCAGATGTCCATTAATAAATGAATGGAAAAAAACATTGTGATAAAGCCATAACCATGGAATACTGACATCAAAAGAGTAAAGTATTGATAATTGCTAGGACATGAATGAATAGCTAAGTAAAAATGCTGAAGCAAAGAACATAGGCAAAAAATAGTATATACTGTCTGCTTCAGTTTATATGAAACCCTATACACTTCATACCAATCTATAGTAACATAAAGCAGAAGAGTGATTGACAAGTGGGAGTAAGAATACTCAGAGACTTGAAGGGAAAGATTATCAGAGAACAACAGAAAATTTTTTCAGTGATGAATAATTTCATTATCTTGATTGTGACAATAATTTCAAAGGTACATACAAATGTTAAAACTTATCAAATTGAACCCTTTAAGTAACTGCAGTTAATTGTTAATGTAGCTCAACGCAGCTGTTTGGTTTCTTTTTAAAGACAGGTAATTTAGATGACAATCAGGATTTAACTAGCTATCCTTTCTCCCAGAGCAAGGGATAAAACTAACAATACATATTTTTAAAATTAATACGAGCGCCTTCATTTAGATATAAACTCAGTTGCACAAATACTTAGTCTTCAAAGCTTTGCTTACAACAAATTTCAAAAAGATAGTTAATCGGTTTCTATTAGGTACCCTTTAGAAAGCTAAGAAAATTTTCTTCAACTCTTACTTTGCTAATCCTATATTTTAGGTGAAAAATAAATGTTAAATATTATGAAATATCCTTTCAGTATCTTTTAAAATTATCAACTGCATTTGTTTATTTATTTATTTTTAGACAGGGAGTCTGTCACCTGGAGTGCAGTGGCGTGACCACGGCTCACTGCAACTTTGACTTCCACAGGCTCAAGCAATCCTCTCACCTGAACCTCTCAAATAGATTGGACCACAGGTGTGCACCACTACCTCTGGCTAATTTTTCTTATTTTTTGTAGAGACAGGTTTTTGCCATTTGCCCAGGCTGGTCTTGAAATTCTGTGCTCAAGCAATCTGCCCACCAGCCTTCTGAAGTGCTGACACTACAGGTGTGAGCAACCACACGTGGCCATTAACTGCGTTTATTTAGTAAATCACATTAATAATTTCCAAATGTTAACAAGGTAAGATTTTGTTTTTTGCTTGTTTATATAAGGAGAGTCAAGAAAGAAAAGAATAAATTGATAAGGAGGAACACTACAGAGGAACAAAATTACACCATCTCAACAAGATTCTTCCCCCGTATTCTTCTCTGAATCTCCTGAACGTGCATGAAACATCAATACAAACCAAATACTTGATGACAAAATTGACATATAAAGACTAAATCTAAATCTGATGCCCAGAATATCCTAAGTATTCTAATAGACTAAGTAAAATTTATTTAACTATTCTATACTGCATTCCCCTTATCAGTAAAATAAAGATAATTGTATGTGTTTCACAGGTGATTTTAGCATGTAATTAATACATGTAAAATACTTAAAATGGCACATAATATGTAGTTAATCCTCACCAGTTTCAGATAGTTGGCACCTATGGAGTATATCCAGTTCTCAGGTTTTAAGAACAAGGTATTTTTGATATAGCTTTTCTCTCTGCTTCTGTGTCTGTCTCTTCCTCTTTCTCTCTCTTGCTCTCTCTCCATTTTCTCTCTCTCCATCTCTCTCTTTTCCTCTTTCTAACACACACACCACATACAGCAATGATAGAGATTTATCATTTTACACTGAAAAAAAGTGGACTATCAGAAATAAAATTTTTCCAAGGCTACTTTAACACAGAACTGAGCCAGGAATATAGTTAAACCTGCAGACTCCAAGTCTTTTACTTTTTGACTACAGTTTTGAAAAACAAATATTTTATTATATTTTTATAGGAAAAGAAAGGATGAACTCGGAAATCCCAACAGTCTCACTGCTTATTTGCCATTTGTATATTGTCTTTGGTAAAGCGTCTGCTCAAATTTTTCACAATTTTTCGTGGGTTTATTTTCTTGCTGTGGAGTTTTCAGGGTTCTTATGTTCTATATACAAGTCCTTGTGAGATATGAGATTTTTCACATGGTTTCTTCTGTTTTGTAACTTGTTTTTTCATTTTCTTAACAGTGTTTTTCACAGAGCAAAAGCCATTTTTTTTTTTTTTTTTTTTTTGGCGATGGAGTCTTTCTCTGTCTCCCAGGCTGCAGCTGCAGTGCAGTGGAGCTATCTTGGCTCACGGCAACCTCCGCCTCCCGAGTTCATGTGATTCTCCTGCCTCAGCCTCCTCAGTAGCTAGGCTTACAGGTGTGTGCCACCACAGCCGGCTAATTTTTTGTATTTTTAGTAGAGACAGGGTTTCACCATGTTGGCCAGGCTGGTCTTAAACTCCTGACCTCAAGCAATCCACCTCCCTCAGCCTCCCAAAGTGCTGGAATTACAGGCATGAGCCACCGCACTCAACCAAGACTTTCTGTCTATATACGTGTGCTCCTCAAAATTGAAAAAAAAAATGAACTAAATAACAAGAGGAATTTATAATCAATTATTACACAGTTATTTAAGACAAACAGCAAGAAAACATTGAAGCTTTAAAGAAATGGCAATGCCACAGAAAAATTATATTAAGTGTAAATATCTCAAAATACAAAATTTTACTTGCATGTTTATATTAAGTGAAACGATTTCTGTTCAAAAAAGTAAGCATCATATAAAAGTCCTGATGATGGCTAGTTATTTGATTTGAGTGGTTTTACATCTACTTTTAAAATGTGTTTACTTTTAAAATTTTATATTATGAACAATTATTCATTCTGCCAACCCAATCTGTTACAAAATTTCTTGTGAGAATTCCACAAATTTAACTGCTATAGAGGAATTCAAGTTCACTGAAGACAGAAATTCAGTAAGATGCATTTTTGAAATACAGTGCGTAAAAGAATGTCCCACACTTGAATGAAACTTGATAAATGTTTATGGAATTGAATTAGCTTTACGTTATGTGTGTTCTCATTGAATTTTATTTTCAATGCAACAATATTTGTTTTACTATACTTTATATTTTAATATGACCATTTTGCTCACAGACCACTATAGTCTAGAATGCAAGGAGCCTGCTATTTATAGATACTTCATGTCTCCAGCAAAACACATATATTTTATTTATTGTAGGTTCTCAATAAATAGAGTCAATTTTAAAGCACCATTTTAAAAATGATTTAAATAATGAAGTGATTTCAAAATTTCCATTGGATTCAAAAATGTACTCCAAAATACTATTTTATTTATATGTTTTAAAATTCATTTTTAGTCATTTTAACGTGTGGAACAAACATTTTCTCTGACTGGACATAGCTCATCTGCTACTATGCAAAAAGACTATTTTAACCTGCAAAACATAATATAAACATTTGTTATCACCTATTCTTATAACTGCGTGACTGTATAGTCTAATGACTGCTTCCTTTTACAAAAAACTCTTCCTCACTGTCCTAAGTCAGCAGCAAATTAAAAGAAAAGAAAGGTTGGAGGGAATAATTGGTGAGTATGCAATGTTGCTATTGCCCTCTGTAACAACAGAGAAGCTACTTAACTCAAATGTGTCGTAGTGCTATTAAACTATGGCGCATTCATTATTCTTCACAACAACAAAATCCCCTTGTAATCAGGTCAGAGTTGAGAGAATGTGGTTGTATTCTAAACATGAAGCATTTTTAATGTGGTTGACTTGGCCAGATTTACTATGCATTTCATCACTAGATGTTGTCATGCATATTAATTTTTCTTTTTTTCATATATCAGTTCACTCTTTTCTAATTAATTCACATTTAGAGCATCTGACTGATCACAGGAGACAACTTTGTAATTAATTCAGCCTGCTCATAGAGGCAAGTATTTTCAATTAAAAAAAAAAAGAAAGAAAAGAAAAGAAATACTATTGATGATTTTCTCAAGAACTATAATGGACCCAGTACTATCATTTTACCACTACACGAAATTGCCCTCTTCAAAGACACTAATGACCTCAGTGTTGCTGAATCCAATGTTAGTTCATCAACCAAAATTCTTTTGACTTTTTTGCAGTGTTCTGTATCATATCTCCCTTTTTGAAAATTCTTTCACCTTGGTTTCAATGTATACTTTCTTGGTATAGTTTCTTCTCACCTTGCTGTGTGTAACTTCCCCAAATATTTTTGGGATTCTTTCATTTATTTACCCATTTCTTATTATTTTTCTAATAGTTCTGCTATTAGCCATCTTCCCCTTTAACTCTAGTGGTTAGTCTTGCCCTCTCCCACGGCTTCATAACCATTTATACACAAATGATTCTGGAATCTACATTTACAGGCAGAACTGCAAAAAGCATGCATACCAACTAAGGAGAAGGCAAGCCCAACCCTTCAGAGTGAAAACTCACCATAAACAATAGGCAAGGCTAGGCTATTGAGTACTGAGAAGCAGCCTTGTCTGCAAACCAGATCCTTCTTCTGAGTTCCAACCCTGATCTTATACCTCTCAAGAATAGAACCTTCAAACTAAGTGTATCAGTGATCTATTGCAGTGTTACAAACCACTCCAAGACTTTGTGGTTTGAAGCAAACACTTATGAGTGTGCGGGCAATTATGCAGATTTACACCAGGCTCACCTTATCACAAGTGGACTTCCTCATGTGTCAGCATATGAGCCGGGATGGGGCCTGGCTGGACTAGGATAGGCTCACATGAAATAAGTCAAGTTGATCTGCTTTTCTCTCAAATCTCTCTAGCAGGCTAGTCCAGGTTTATTGCGATGGTAGCAGTGGGGATCCAAGAAAGGAAGTAGATTGCACAAATACATTGTCAAGCCTCCGCTTTTGCCACTATCCCAAAATGAATCACATCACCAAGCCCAAAGGGATTAATTGAGGACACTAATGTAATCTATCGACCCAACTCAACATGTCAATATCACTACTTACTATTTGTTGCTTTACCTCTTCTTCCACTCTGGACTGCCTATGTTATTTTCCAACTGGATCAACTGCCTACATTTAATAAGTCACAAAATTCTGTTGATTCTACCTCACAGACATTCACTGCTTTCTCAAGTTTCTTCCACATATACTGCTGCTATGGTGAGTTCCCATCTTTCACCTCAATACTCTAATTGGCCATGTCATCCCCAAACGTGACCCCCGAAATCTATCTTTTACATAGAAACCACTTTGGTTCAGATATTTCTGAAATATAAATGCTATCAGGAAACAGCATACAAGAAGCAGTTTTTTCTTACCCTTAGCATAAACTTCATATATGACTAATACGAACTTTGATGATTGGGTGCTTACATTCCCACCTTTATTTCTAGCTCCTTCTCTTCTCAAATTTTATGATCCAGCTATAATGAATTACATTTAGTTGTTTTGGATAAACCACACACTTATTTGCACGTGCTTTTTGGCTAGAACTCACCCTTACATGACTAATAAAGAAAAGAGGGGATTAGCTGTGTTCTGTATACATAGCCAAGAAGTTAATCCAGGATTTGAAATTTTCTGAATGTAAGCAAGAAATAAAGTAATTTTACCTAGAGTTAACTACTGTAGGTAAATGGTGTTCCACTATCAATTGTTGAGTAACAACCAATCCAAACTCAGTGGCATAAAATAATTTTAATTTATTATGCTAACAGAATCCATGGGTCAGATATTTGGACAGAATAAAACAGAGACGGCTTATTTCTGCTCTGGAACCTCAGCTGAAAGCTTCAAATGCATACAAAGCTCCCAAATCCTAGCTACTCTACCTTACTTGCCATATATATGCTGCAGCATGTATAAATGTCCCTGTCCGTGCGCCCAACTCCCTTTGTAGCCCTGCATAACAGCTTTCTCTCCTTTGTAGCTATAAATAGCAAAGGGTTCTGCCTTTCATCTCTCCCAGTATAATTGTGTTGTATTCCACCATCAAAATGATGGCAGTGTGACCCATCTAGAGTGGCTGCTGCCATGACACCCCTTCTGAATTAGCAGGGTGGGAGCCTCTTGCTCCCCAGCTACAGCTGTGGCTACCCAGTCATGGCTACAGACCGGGGCATCCCTGTGATCTTGGGGGCTGGGAGCAGGCAGGAGACCTACCCTTCTGGGTGCAGCTATAGCCATCCAGCTGCAGCTGTGGACCTAGGCATCTCTGCACTCTTGGGGGCCCAGGAAGGCCCCCTCCGCATGCAGGCTCAGAGGTGCCTGCTTCCACTGCCTGGCCTCTCCCCACTCTTGGCACCTGCTCCAATCTTGGAGCAGAATTGGGGCCCAGTCTAGGCACCGTTGCAACCTGGCCGGGTGTGTGCATACCTGGGGCAGCAGTAACATGCCACCCCTCTGCTTCCCCAGCCCCCTCCAGACTTTGGCCACCAATGAGCATGGAAGGGAGGTTAAGGGGGGCTGAGGGCAGCTCAGCCCTGACCTGCAGGTGCCCTCGACATGAACAGCCTGGGCACCATGAACACTGGCAAGATGCAGACAGACTCCTGGACAGAAGGAGTGGGTCCCCAGTAAAGCCCCACTCAGGCCCAGAGAAGGCCTGAAGCCTGCCTGGGGCCAGGCTTCCAGCCCCCATGGACTAAAGTGGAAACCTATGGTGCTTTTTCTGGGCCTACCCGTAGCCACCCATGGACTAATCAGCATGAGCTTTCTCCCCTCTAAAGCCTATAAAAACCCTGGACTCAGCCAAACTTGAGGAAGCAATGGGACAACCTGTCTATGGAGAGGAGTCCCCCTCCACAGGGTCCCCTCTCTGCTGAGAGCTGAGATGATGGATTGAACAGCTGCAAAGAGGACCAACTCACCCCAGGGTCTCTTCTATGCTGAGAGCTGAACACCCATCAGGACACCCTGGCCACGGAGAGGAGCTGCCATCTGCAGGTCTCCTCTGAGCTGTTCTATTGCTCAGTAAAGCTCCTCTTCACCTTGCTCACCCTCCACTTGTCCACTCACCTCATTCTTCCTGGACACAGGAAAATAACTCGGGACCCGCCGAATGGCAAGGCTGAAACAGCCATAATACAAACAAGGCTGAAATATGCCCCATGCTCGCCATGTTGTGGGTGACAAGAAGGAGAGAAGAGAGAAGGAGGGAAGAGCTGTGGCCCTCTGGGGAGCCCAGACCTAGGAGCTCCACAAGCTAGGGCTGTGATACCCTCTTTGGGGCTCTGTGGTTCCTGGCATCTCCAAGCTTCCAGGTGCCACCTCATTACCCAATGCCAGCCATGGAAGCTGCTTGTGGTACGCCTGGTGCAGCCAAAGACTCACAGGGTGCTGGCGTCCCTGCTGGCACTTGGAGCTGCCTGCCCTACGACAGCCAGTGTTCCTGGCTGTACACAGTGGTTGGACCCCACACTCACTCACTAACACACACGCTTCACTGCTCTGCTCTCCCTTGGAGGCATGGGATCCAGGCTGGTAGCACAAGCTGTGCACAGCCTGTTCAGGCTGAGTGAGCCTGAGAAAAACTCGGCAATGGTGCCACTGGCCACAGAGGTTTTCCAACCCGAAAAGCAACACCTCAAATATCCTGTAATGAAAAGCATCTTTAAATCATACAAAATACCAAGTCTTTCCTCATTTTCAACACAGTAAATATTAAATACACACACAAACACATATACACATATGCAAATATATACTATACTTAATTATATGTTAGCTTTCTCATATATGTTTAGATATATATGTTTAGAGATATATATATATATATATATATATATCTCTAAACATATAAGTATATAAGCACAGTTTTAAAATATGACTATTCCTCAATCAGTAGAATGGGCTTGACAGAGCAGAAGCACCATCATCTTGGACAAATACCACCACTTAAGGTTCCAGCTCCCTTTCTAATCTCATGCATTTCAAGGAAATCACTTCTCTTCTAACAACAAACAGCCAGAAAAAAACAGACAATAAAACAGTTAAGATAGTTCCAGCACAGAGGGAGGGGGGAAAGTCTCTTGGGTAACCATCAAACTTCACACTCATACAATGGGCCCCAGTAAAACAGCGGGCCCTAATAAGCACATTCCTTTCCCTTCAGGTGCAGTAAGATAGCGAAGCTAAAAGGAGACTTGGGGTATATGCCTGCAGCTGCAGGAAAATGTATGGAAAGAGACACAAAACTCTCCCTCCCAGATAAGTAAGACAAAGAGACACAAACATTCTGATCCTGTGATAAGCCCCCTGCCCTGAACCCTTAAAAACTCTTAGTCTGTAACACAGAGTACCTCTGACCTAACTCGGCCAGAAGCCCCTCTGAGGTTTATTCTCCAAAACAAACCTGTCTTTGACTGTTGAACCACTTTTTGTGTTTCTTTCCTCTTTCTTTCTTTAAGAATTCAAGAGAGTTCCTGAAAACCTATTTATTAAAGTTTGAGTAAAGAATTAGCATATTAATGCTTCAATTCAGCCATAAATAATAAAACTCGAGTGATAGTAGAATAAAATAATGAAAGTATGAACCCATTCCTGTTTATATTTTTACTTGAAAGTGGGAAATACAGACATAACAGTTTACTACATATTGTGAGATTATTAGAAAATACTTAAGTGACAATATTTTATTATTTTTTCAAAACTTAACTTTAAATATTGAAATCTATGTTTTGCCAGAATTTTTTTTTAAAGAATACTTTTTGTTTCTAGAAACCTCAATTCATGTAAGTTGTAACTTTGCTGAGCCTATGTTTTATCACTTCTAGATAAGGCTTAAATAAAAGATGACCTATAGGACCTCTGAAGTACCACTGAGCTATGAACTATTTTATTACATTTGATCAAAACTGGATGTATCATCTCATAACTAACCCACATGCTCTTCCACTGTTGGTATATGAAAATCTAGACCACACACATGAGCTTATTCTAGGCTAGTAATTTCCAAATTATGCTTTCTAAGGCTCTAGTGGTTCTTTCAGGAGGCCCACAGGCCTACTGGGGGAATGAATGTGTAGCACTTGAGGCTTGTCTATCAGTTATTTGTTGCTACAATAACATTGCATAAAAACCAGCCATAAAACTCAGTGGCATAAAATATTGTTTATTGCACATGTGTCTGGAGTCAGTTATAGTCAGTTAGGTAGATCTATTCATTAGTGCTGTGCCAGTTCATGTGTGTCCAGAATTACTGGTTGTTGACTGATCTGAGCTGGCCTTGTCTCTACTTTTTTGTATATTCCTCATCCTCCTCTAGTATTTAGCAAGCTACTTCAGATATATCCTGCTGTGATGACGTAAGTGTAGGCAGAACACCAAGCTTCACTGCATAAGCCCATTTCAATCATCTGCTATCATCCAGTTGGTCAATACAAATCATATGACTGACTGACATACAAAAGGTTGCTGCAGGTCACACCATCTAAGGTGGGAGGACATTGCAAAGTTCTATGACAACAAGTGCTGATAAATGGAGAAGAAAAATTAGAAGATCATCATTTCAACATCTCTATAGTGCCTTAATCCAAAGTACTTTTACTTTTATCTATTTCATATATTGGACTACATGGCAAAATGGCAATTGAAAGAGTAAGACATTCTCTTATTAAAAAAAATGAAAATATTGTACACAATTGTGCCAAATTCCTCAGACTCTCCCCACCTAACCTGAACCTGCTTGTGCTGATTTCACTTTACAGGTAATAATTTTGATAGCAAACTACATCTACCACATAGAGAGCTGGCACTTTGCCTGACGCCTATCCTATAATTTTGTAACTCTACACTTGCAAAAATGTCTGTTTGTTCTATTTTTTTCTTACTCATCTGCCTTCTTTAGGCTTTCAATGCCTGTACTATGATAGACTCCTCAAACCTAAATCCAAAAGGAAAACACCATTTTTTTGTATTTCTAAATCAATGCTGGGCTGGCCTCAATTCTCTCACAGTGGAATGAGCAGAAGAGATTAGGATGTTATGTTTCTTTAATTCTTTTCTTGTGTGTGAACTGGTCCCCATTTGTGCTATTTACTGCTTTGCCTTTAAACCGCTTGGGTCTATCAGTTGCTTCCATATGCTATAGGGTTTCAGTGGTACAACACATATTGCAACAACGAGGAACAAAGTGCTATTCTACTTGAGAAACCGAATTTGTATAGCCCACCACAGTGCCAATTACCATTTCTACTTCTTTCTAATTTCTTTGACTCGTCATTGATTCACATGTGCATTCAATAATAATTGATTGAACTACAGTAAGTAGTTCTACCTTGATGAGAATTTCAGTGCCCCACAAGAATGACATAGAAAACAACTGCAATTATATTGATTACCTACCATGTGCTGTTTTTCAATATCATTTCTCTATTCTTAAAATACTGTAAAACATGATTATTATTTTACCTTTTTGACAGATGATAAAATGGTGATTTTGGGGGATGAAATAACTGGGGCAATTTTATAGAAGTAGTAAATTTTGGAGATGAGAAACAAACATAATTTTGTTTTATTTCTTCCTTAGGCTTATGATTCAGATTTACAATAGAGTTGTCAAAAATTATCAGTTTCTTCCTGTGTGGCCAAGGGCAAGTACACAAATATAGTCAAGTATATACATTTGATCCAAAAAACTGTGTACGTTGGTTTCTGGTGGTGTGCCAAGTGTAGTCGGAGATGCTGGAGAGCAACACATGATAGAAGAATGGCCCTGCCACCCACAGCTTACAGACAACCTAAAAAACCTGTTGACATACACTTGCTCCAAGCTGGACCACCTACGAATATTCTGCTCATCCACAAACAGAGAAAATATTCACGAAAACTATAAAAATGTTACTGTTGCTGAGATGGCCAAAAGAAAGCTACTAGAAAAAGTAAGATAAAAATCCAATGTAACACCATACCCATGATGAAGAAGGATACCTACAATTGTTTTCTAATTTTCAGTGTTTTAAACTCTGCTTATTGCTCTAGTTTAAGAGTATTGTTTTTTCTTACTTAAACTTTACAAAGTGCCCCACGAAAGTCTTACTCTTTTCCCTAAAGGACTGAAATCTTAAACCTGGAGACACGATTCAAAAAGGCTGAAAACTATTGTTGTAGCAAGTCTTCAGGGATTCTCTGTTGTGCTGAAGCATAAACATTAAATATAATTTTTGCCCCATCACTACAAATGTTAACAATTTTTCTATAACTAGCATTTGATTTTCTCAATCTAGTATAAATTTGTATTATTTTTACATAAATGATATATAAATCAGTATATAAGAAGAGGATTGGCTAGTATTCTCAAAAAAAAAAAGAAAAAGAATGTGGGTGCTCTGATCTTTTGATAAACTATTTAAAATATTTCAAATGGCATTCAATTGAAGAGTTATCCATTATGTCACAACACATTACATGAAATGATTATCACAAAATTAAAAAAATAGAAAGCCAGACAAACACGCATAAAAACAAAGAAATCTGTGGGAAAAATCAATTTAAATCTTTGTGAGAAATATGGGGGAGGGGAGTCACACAAAAAGGAGGGAAAAAAACCATGCTGCTTTTCATTGACTTTAAACAGCTGCCATTGAGCGATTACAGTGTAGGCAGCCTTGAGCTGCAGATGAAAATTTCCACGTGTAAATTGGGTGGTTGCAAATTCTTTCAGTACTGCTACTGTTATTTTGTAACCTCAAACTCACATAGTCTAATTGTTTGCAGTATGATGTTAGGCAAATGATTGAGTTTTATTGGCGATAAAGTTCAGAAACAAAGAGGTCAAGGACTTACTGAGTTACTTAACAAAAAACAAGGAGAGCTCCAGAGAACCCCCCTCTTTAAATTGCACTTGAAGGTACTTCAAAGAAACATAAAAGGGGGAAAAAAGGGAACAAAAACATCGAGAGTAGAAGAGGAAGGCCTGCATCCACATGCCAATTATGTTCCACTTAAAATAACTATGCCTACTAATATCCTGAAAATGTAGCAAATTGTATTTGCTATTAAACACCTAATTTGGCTTAATATTATCCTCAGAAATGTAAAACACTTTCTTTCAAAGACAATGGTTTGTAAACTTTATACAATAATTGAAATCAACTCAAGAAGCTTTAAGGAAAACAGGCTTTATCCCCACTTTCATTCATTATTTCTTCCATTTGTTCATTCAGTAAACTGCAATTATTTGGGAGGAAACTTAGTAGGCACTCATAGTTTTTGAACCATTAAATTAATGAAAGGTAAATGCTTCAAAGAGACATCTCTAGGGAGTCATTTCCTAGACTTCACTGCAGCCACAATGAAATTTGAAACAGGAGACTAAAAATTATTCTCTTAAGCAAATCCAATATATAAAAATCCAAATGTTAGTAAGAATAAATAAATGGTGATTATTTGTGCTAGAAAGGAATTCTTCATTACACAAATGGTTTCCCATAGAAATCACTGTAATGGTGAACTGCTTGTCTATCTTAAATAATAAGAATTTATATAAATGAAAAAAAATTATTTTTTTCTTTGTGGCATAATTTCCCTAATCCCTTTCCCCAGAAGACTCATTTTGCTACGTTAATACTTAAATGGGACTGGACAACAAAATTTACCCACTCTTACCAGACTATTACTAATATCAGCAGCAAATCCACACGAGTCTACTACATCAACTCAATCCTTGCCTCTTTAGAAGAAAGAATTTGACTGAGGAGCATGGGGCAGATGTAGAGACCTAAGCAAGTTTTAGAACAGGGGTGAACGTTTGCTAAAAAGTTTTAGAGCAGGAACAAAACGAAGAAAGTACACTTGGAAGAGGGCCAAACAGCCGACTTGAAAGATCCAAATGCCTCTCCCAACCCTGGACTTAGGGTTTTTCATACCTTGGCATGACTCTGGGGTTTGCATTTCTTCTCTCCTGATTCTTCCCGTGGGTCCACATGTGCAGTGGCCTGCCAGCACTTGGGAGAGGCCGCATGTCCAGCGTGTTTGCTGGAGTTGTGCACATGCTCATTTGAGGCATTTTTCTCTTAAGCAGTCGAGCGTTCCAGAGGAAAGTCGGAAACCAGTTTAACTGCCATTTTGCCTCTCTTAGTGCGCATGCTTAAACTCACCCGCCCAACTCCTGAGATCTTATTGGGAAACTGCTCGTTACCAGCTTCAGGTGTTTTCTATCTGCTGGGAGACTGACTTTTCCTGGTACTGGCTGCAACTAATTATTATCTTAGAGAGACAGTTTAACAACTGCCTGACCATCACCTGATGGTTGCCTGATATTCTTGGAGTGAAGCCCTCTCCTGCTCTGATCATATCAACCTAGCTACATACTCTAACAAGACTATTTTAATAACTGCTTTTAAAAGATTCATCTTCTGAAGTCTTTGCTCTGCCGCCTGAGATAGGTATGAACAAAAGCAGAGCCAGATTACTTAACACAATATGAGGGATTAGAGAGGCTTTGGGAGAGAATAATATAGAGGATGAAAGAGAATGAAGAGTGGAAAATAATTGTTGAAATAGGAACCAAATGCCTACAATGGGGATTTAATGCAATGATTGTGCAGTGTGTCATTACTTCTAGGTCTTCTTTTGCGGATGCTGGAAACTAAACCCTGAGCCTGCCCCTCAATGTGGATACAGAAGAAAGTAGACTATTCACAGGGAGATTCAATGTAAAATGCGTACATTAGCCGTAATTAATGCTCTGATCAATTCATGAAATATTATTAAACACTAATGGCAGACATAGAGAGGTTTTACAATTACATAGGTAAATATAATAGAGCCCTTCCCTACCTTTGTATGAATAACAGGCATGAATATAACAGAGGGAGTTTAGGATACATGACCTCAAAATATTTTAAGCTGAAGGAATTTATGCAAAGGAGGAGATGTCTCTCTAACCTTCCCACTGCCCTTCCTTCCTGAAGCAGTTCATAAAAGCTGGGAAGGGTTTTCTAGCGTTCTCTTAAAATAGGTTATAAAAGCTTCATGTGAGAGGTGCTCTCCCTATATCCAGAGAAATGAGCATTTTTGTCTTTGAAGACTCAAGGGCATAGAGAAGCATCTGAGTCAGCAGACTCTGATATGTTTCCCTCAGTTTACTCCCACTAGATCATATTCCATTTTATCATATTTCTCCGTGACTCTGCATTTTACATCAAACATAGCATAAAAATATGCAGGTTTGACTGTTTCTTTTGGTCTTTCCTTACAAAGGCTCCAATGTCACTTAAAACTTATAATAAATACAATCATCCCTCAATATCCATGGGAGATTGGTTCCAGAACACCTAAGAATACCAAAACTTAAGGGTGCTCAAATCCCTGTTATAAAATGGCACATAATCTATGTACATCCTCTCATACACCTTAAATAATCTCTAGATTACTTATAGTTTCTAATACAATATAAATGCTATACAAATAGTTGTTATACTGTATTGTTTTTATATACATTATTTTTATTGTTGCATTGCTTTTTATGCATTTTGAATATTTTTGATTCATGGTTGATTCAATCTGTGGGTATGAAACCCACAGATATGGAGGGTAGACTGTAAATCTGCTTGCTTTTCTCTTGTTAACCTGTCTTTTGTTGTAGAAGCCTCAGTCATGAACCTAAAATCTTTTACCTGGGTAAAAGAAAAGCAATTGTCCTCCTTTATATCATCATAAACTGACCTGGTTTTGAAGATAGACAAATATACAAGGTTATGGAAAGACAGAAAAAAAGCAACTCAGACTTACTGAGGAGATCAGGAAAATATCATAGAAGGCTGCAGGGGAGGAACAAATTCCTCTATGCTTTTATTAATGGCTGGAGGATCAGTGTATTAAACTAACAAGCAGATAAACAAAAGAAAAGGCTTACATATTTAATTTTTAATTTTACATGCACTATGGCATCATTAAAAAAAAGTGAATACCAAAATGAGAAGCAAGATTTGGAAACTTGTATGCTACCTTAATAGCGGAAAGGGTAGGGGATAAAAGCCACTTATGGGAGAGAAAAATAAATTTTAGGAAATACAAATGGGCCCTTATGAGAATAAATGGGAGACAGAGTTTGTGGCAATGACTGTCTAGGTTTGGTGCAAACTTCTCATCTCTTTTCCTATGACAAGAGTCAATTTTCCCTGGTCAATGAAACTTCCAGGGAGGGAATTTGGACAGTTTAAATTTTTTTTTTTTTGGAGGATATATTTTCAGGCAGATAAGGGGAGTTCGCAGAAAGCCTCTTCCTGCGTTTGTTGATTCTCAAATGTCTTCAGCTCAAGATAATCCTTACGGCACTGTGGCATATTCTGTACCCTTTCAAGGTCAGATTAAGTTCACTTGTAGTAAGAGAACTGTAGACCAGATGAGTTAAAGAAACAAAGATAGAGAAATGGATATGGTGCATGTAGAAGGATTCCAAAAAATGAGAAAGACATAAGAATGAATGTGTGAAAGCCTTCACAAAGTTAAATTTCATAGAGTGATTATGCAAGCTTTGAGCACATAACACAAGCATCAAACTGTCAGAAGATGAGAAAAAGTCAAATAAGAATAGATTACTAAAGGCTTTGTGCAGCGTGCTTCACAGTCTGGACTTCAATTCTTCATAAACAGACATAATAATGAAACAAAATGAGTTGTGGATCATGGGCTAAACCTATGACCACAAACAGGAGAGAGAATCTTGAGCAATGCCCTCCTGCCAATGCATGTAGAAGAAGGAAGTATCTTGATGAGGTTCAGGACACACTGTTCCAAAAGATGGCACCTTGACATACTGAATAGGTGAAGGAATTTGAGGAAATCACAGAAGCAGGAAGGTGATTCAGATCTTTTCTTGTTCACCTTCCCTGCAGCCGGTCATAAAAAGTAGGGAGGATTTTCTGAGCTTCTCTTGAAACAGTTTATGAGACCCTCGTTTGAGAGGTGACCTCTCTATAACTGGATAAATGGGTATAGGCAGAAATACCCATTTTTGTCCTGTTACATTTTTCTGAGAGTCTCTGAGATTCTTCATCAAATTTAGCAAAAGAAAAAGAAATTCATCAAATTTAGCAAAAGAAATACTCAGATTTCACTGTTTCTTCAGGACTTTATTTCCTTACATAGGCTCTCATGCATGTAAAACATATTCAATAAATCTGTATGCTTTTCTTTTGTTAACTTGTGTTTTCTTATAGGGGCCTCACTCATGAACCTAACATGGGGAGAGGAAATTATATATTTCCTCCCTGCAGTTTTCCAACGTTCACAACTCAGTGGTTTCCATTTATATTTTTTCTTTATTGAAATGAGAAGAGTTGCTTCTTATCAAACATCCACATGAACAGAACTTCACATATATGAATCTTCACACACATCCAAAGCATGATAGACTATATTAGTAAAGAAACAGACCATGAGAGTTCACAGTATAGTATATTGAGTACTGCTGGATGAAAAAAATGCAGCTTATTCATTACTTCTCCTTTGAACAATTATTTAGTTTGATTATTACCTTCAAAGACCTATTTTAAGATGTTTAATTTTAAATTCTTTTTACTGTCATTTTAATAACCAAGCACTGTTAAAGAAAAAATTACTCTAATACTTTTTAAAACAGTAATGGTGACTTCATTAGAGACTATTGCAACAAGGCAGAGAGATCAGGCTCAACTCTGAATACAATAAGGACAAGTGGGGATTTATGACCAATGTGCAAAGTGAGGGATCTGTGGATGGAAAATTACTAAGAAGAGACATCAAGGGAAGGGGAATTCTTGCTAAAGTGACCCAGTAAGATTCTTGCTAAAGATAAGCCAAGTACTTATAAATCAATGATGGAGATGAGGAACTTGTTCAAATGTCAAGGGTGATTAGATATCAAAGGTAGAGGGACTATTACTAAGCTGATTTGGCAGGATTCTTTCTAAATTTGGGATATGCAGGCCTGGCAAAGACAGGATAAACATGAAAGGCCAAGACCAAGGCCAATTCAACAAGAGGGCTCGAGGGTCTTATCAGTGAGAGACTATTAGTGAAAGAGTCTTTGTCAGCATGCTATTTAAAAATTAAGAAAGGTAAAACGTATTAACAAGGGTGAACTATAATAAGCTTTGCTCTGCCTGTCTACAGAGATGGAATAGACATTGCAGATAAAATGAGATGGAATTTATGTATCTGCTAAAGTGCATGTGCCAGTAGGAATTTAGAAGTTTTTACACAAGACATGTCTTTGCACTTTGTGTAATATTCACAATCAAGCAAAGACAATATAGGATACCTCAACCTTTATGCTACAACTATACAAATATGTTTTTTCTCTTTTCATGTCTACAGTTATTTTTCTGCTTCTTCTTTTTAAATCTCATATTCCAGTTAACATAAAATAATGCTTTATACAAATAAAAACAATTCTTTTTAAGATACTGTGACTACCTGTTATGTTTCCTGACAAAATTAATTATGTCTTTGCTAATCTACTCAAGCTCCAAATAGCATTATGCAGTAACTTATCAATACTTACATCCTACAGGGAATATACTTTATCATCTAGGGTCTATAGACTACTTTTAAAAGAAAACAATCAATAAATTCTTTAGGCAGAAATTTACCATGCCATTCTCTCTTTACAACACAAATTGAAATGAAATCCACTAAACAAGCACAGAACAGTGACAAAGGCCCTATGCAGATTTTTAGATATTATTGGTATGTTCCCTCCTTTCTCTGGAAAAATTTCACTTTTTCCTTATATTCTTCAGGGCATCCTTTTCTAGATTAGCTCTTCGATGTATTTAAACCAGCCCCAGAGAGCTGAACTGAACAAATAATTAAAAGAAAACATAATTAGAGAATTTGGGGCCATATTACAAATATAAAAAGTATTTTAAGTAAATACTAAGTTTGAAGAAATGCAATAAAAAATTATATTAATATACTGCTAACAAAATATTAAATGATCAGTAAACATCAAACATGACGAAAGTATATTGTATTTTGCCTGTGAGGATAAAGAGAAAATGAATACTAAACTAAGCATCCAGCTCAATAATTTAAATAATTATAATCATCCAGAAGAATCCATGAGGAAGTGCATAATGAACATGAATGCATACAGACATTTGTCAGACATTTCTATGATATCCTTACATTAAGCTAAATACAGGTTATCATCGTCTTGGCAGTATTTATAAAAGTAATCCAATTCTGGACCAAATCCTGACAAAATGATTATAATGTTCATCAAGAAGATCAAACTCCTATTTTTTGCGACAGTCTCTTTTCTTAGCTCCCATGTAATAATGTTCTCTTCATTTTTCTTCTTCATCTAGAGGCTTCCTTTTAGTCTCCTTCATCAGATTTCTTCTTTGGTTTTAAATATTGGAGTTCCTCCAGTACATGTACTAGATACTTTCAAGACTCAATATGCAGTTCCTAGAAAATATCCAAATCATTATCCAACATTTTTAAAAAATTCTATGATTTGCTACTGTATTTTTGGGCTAGAACTATATTCTATATAGTCTGTGCGCTCACTATATTCCACAGTCTGCTCAACATCTACATAGACTGAAGAATAAATCACAAAGGCCCCTTAAAGCAATGGATCCGAAATTGAACTCATCTATTTTCTGAACAGGTGCTTCTCTATAGTCTCTTTTCTCCATAGAACTTACCATAATTCCATCCAGTTTCACAAGAGATCCTGAATCACCCATGATACCTCCATCACGTTCAACAGTGTTCAGAAATTCATCTTCAAAGCATTTGGCTTCACCTCCTGAATATATTTCAAATCTATTCAATTTTCTTAATTTTCTCAAAAAACAACTTAGATCAAGTCACTATAATCTTTCACCTGGACTCTGCCATGGTCTTCTGATGGTCTGGTCTCTTATCAGTTTTCTTCCTCTTCCAAAGAATTCTCTATGCCACAGTCCAGAGTGAGATCAGTCTCTAATATCCTCACATTACTTTTAGGAGAAATACAAAAAATTCTTACATTGGCATGTGTAGTTTTATATGGTCAACTTCCTGCCACCCTCTAATATTGTGTCTTAAACTGCATGCCCATGCTATCTGTTTTAGCCATGCTGGCCTTGAATCAGTGATTTGAACAACTCACGTTCCCTTCCATTGCATGGCTATTGCATGTACTCTTTGCTCTGCCCTAAGTATTTGAATGTGCTCTTCCATCATTTTTGCATAATTGACTTTGCATTTTGCTTATTCATAAACTCAATTATTACCACATCAGGAAGATTTCCATGATTATAAAGTGTAGATTTTGTCCATTGCCTAAGTGTTCCTATAAAAGTATAAATTAGTTTCTTCACAGCACTTATCATGATTTGAAATTATGTTTGTTTGATTGATAACTATCTTCTTCACAAGACTGTATAAGAGTCAAGTATTAGAATGCCCACGCCTATTTTGCTCACCATTTCATCCACAGCCTTCAACACAGGATGGGAAATGTGCAATAGGCAGTTTTACAATGAATGTGAGTGAATGGCAAATATATTTGTGGAAAAAAAACTATTGAAGTAAATTTTATGTGTATAAATACTAAAACACTATATTACTGACACGAAAACGGGTGAATATACCAGTGGAGTGAAATAGATATGAAGAAAATAATGTAATATCTGATGAGAAAGATATATTAGAGTAAGAAAGGAAGTTCTATTCAATACTTTTGAAACATCTACCAAACAATTTTTTAAATAAAAAGAGATGGGGTCTCACCTCTTTTTATTGTAAAAATTGTTTTGTAGATATTTCAAAAGTATTAAACATCTCACTGCATGAGTAAGTCAAAATAAATTTTTGATGACACAATTTTGAAAAATACGTAATTATTAAAACATTAAACATTTATTAAGCACTCTGGAAAGGATTGTTAAGATTCATAGTCATAATGGCATAGCAGAAATATTTGGAGTAAGATAGACCTATTTTTAATTCCTAATGGTGTTACTTAGACAAGTTGCTTGCTATTAAAAATAATTAATAAACTTTATTTTTATAGGGGTTTTAGGTTCGAAGGAAAATTTAACAAAAAGTACAGACAGTTTCCATATACTTCTTGTTCCTACACACATACAGTTTCCCACTATTGACATTCTGCACCATATGAATGCATTTGCTACAATCAAAGAATCTAGATTGACACATCCTTATCACTAAAAGTTCATCATTTACATTAGCGTTTACTTTGGGTACATCTGATGGATTTGGGGAAGTGTATAATGACATGTATCCACTATTCTACAGTCATACTGAATACTTTTATTACCCTAAAAATATTCTGTTCTCTACCTATGCATCCCAAACCACTAGCTACCACTAATCCTTTTAATGTCTCTATAGTTTTGCCCTTTTAAGAATGTCATACAGTTGGAATCATACAATATGTAGCTTTTTCAGATTGCTGTCTTTCACTTAGTAATATGCATTTATATTTCCTCTGTTTCTTTTCAGGGATTGATAACTCATTTCTGTTTAATGCTAAATAATATTCCAAACTCTAGCTGTTCCACAGTTTATTTATTTGGCTACTAAAAGACATTTTAGTTGCTTCCAACTTTTGGCATTTATGACTAAAGTTCCTAAAACATCTGTGTGCAGATTTTTGTGTAAATATAAGTTTTCAATTCATTTGGTAAGTAGGATGAAATGCAATTGCTGGACCGTAGGTAAGAGAATATTTTGTTTTGTAAGAAAATGCTGAACCGTCTTCCAAAATGGCTGTACCATTGTGCGTGTCCACCATCAATGAATGAGAATTCCTGTTATTCCACATCCTCATCAGCATTTGGTATTGACAGTGCTTTAGAATGGCCATTTTAATAGATGTGTAGCAGTATGTCCTTTTGATTTAATTTGCAATTTCCTAATGATGTATAATGTTAAACATCTTTCATATACTTAATCACCATCTATAGATCTTTGGTGAGATTTCTGTTCATTTATTTTATCAGGATTGTTCATTTTCTGATTGTTCAGTTTTAAGTAGTCTTTGTATATTTTGGGTAACAGTCCTTTATCAAATGTATCTTTTGCAAGTACTTTCTCCCAGTCTGTGTCTTGTCTTATTCTCTTGACATTGTTCTTTCCAGAGCAAAAGATTTTAATTTTAAGGAAGTCAGCTTAACTATTATTTCTTTCATTGATCTTGCCTTTGATGTTGCATCTAAAAATCATCATCATATGCAAGATGAATTAGGTTTTCTCCAGTTATCTCCTAGGAATTTTAGTGTATGGTGTTTAACATTTAGGTCTATAATTCATTTTGAGTTAATTTGGTGAAGGGTGTAAGGTGTGTATCTTGATTTTTTGCATATGGATGTCCATTTATTTTACCACTGTTAGTTGAAAATACTATCTTTGTTCTACTGCAGTTTTTATTCCTTGGTCTAATATCAGTTGATTATATTTACATGGTTTCTTTCTAGGTTCTCAGTTCTGTTCCACTGATTATTTGTCTGTTTTTTTTCCCCAATACCACATTGTTTTGATTACTGTAGCTTTATAACTAAGTCTTGATGTCTGTTAGTGTCATTCATTTAACTTTGTTCTTCTCTTTTAGTATTGGGTTGGCAATCCTGGGTCTTCATCCACTCTATGTAAATTTTACAATCAATTTGTCAATATCCACAAATTAACTTACTGGAATTTTAACTGAGATTGCACGGACTCTATAGATTAAGTTGGGAAGAAATGACATCGTGAAAATGTTGACTCTTTCTATTCATATGAGCAAGGAATATCTCTGTTATTTTTTCTTTGATAACATTCATCAGTTTTGTAATTTTTCTCATATACATCTTATAGATATTTGGTTAGATATATGAGTAAGTACTTAATTTTGGGGTGCTAATGTAAATAAAAATGTGTTTTGAATTTCAAATTCCAATTTTTTATTACTGCTACATAGGAAAGCAATTGACTTTATATATTAATCTTATATCATGTAACCTTGTAGTAATTGCTTATTAGTTTCAAGAGTTTTTTGGCAATTTTTGATTTTTTTATACAGATGATATTGTCGTCTGAGAACAAGAAATTTGATTCATTCCTTCATAATGTGTATACTTTGTATTTCTTTTTATTGTGTTATTACATAGCTAATGTATCTAGCACAATATTGAAAAGCAATGCTGACAGGGGACACCCTTGTCTTGTTCTTGATCTTCACAAGAAAATTTTGAGTTTCTCACCATTAAGTATGATATTAGCTGGAGAGTTTTCATAGATGCTCTTTATTAAGTTGAGTAAGTTTTTTCTATTTTTAATTTATTGATAATTTTTATCATGAATAAATATCGCATTTGATGAATTTTTTTGCATGTATTGATAAGATCATGTGATTTTTCTTCTTTAGCATGATGTGATGGATGACATTACTTAATTTTCAAAAGTTGAAACAAATTTGCATACCTGGCACAGATTCCACTTGGTCATGGTGCATACTTATCTTTATATATTGCTGGGTATAGTTTGCTAATATTTTGTTGAGGATTTTTGCATTTATGTTCAAGAGAGTTATCAGTCTATTATTTTTTTCTTTCTTCTAATGTATCAAAATCCCAGAAATTTTGGAAGTTGGATTCATTTCATTTTATTTAGTTCAATATATGTTTTAATTTCAAGATTTTTTCCTTAATCCATGTGTTATTTAGAAGCGTGTTATAATCTCCTAATATTTTGGAATTTTCCAGCTATCTTGCTGTTACTGAGTCTTAGTTTAATTCTATTGTGGCGTAACAGCAGAATAGTATAAGTTCAATTCCTTTACATTTGTTGAGTTCATTGAGGTGTATTTTATGTCCCAGAATATGGTCCATCTTGGTGAATGTTTCATGTAAGCTTGAAAAGAACATTTAAACTGATTTTGTTAGATTAAGTAGTCTGTAAATGTCAATAGGTTCAATTGATCAATGCTGCCTTTGAGTTCAACTAAGTTCTTACTGATTATCTGCCTGCTGGATCTCTCCATTTCTGATAGAGAAGGTTTAACATCTTCTACTATAAGAGTAGATTCATCTATTTCCCCTTGAAGTTCTATTAGTAAATTGACCTTTAGTAATGTAGTAGTAAGATGTAAGAGAAAAGAAGAGTTATATATTCCTATGATTAAGTTTCAGTGTTTGGTGAGGCTGTGTTCCTGGACTGTGAACCTTATCAGTGCTTCTGAGTACCCCATATCCCTCATAGATGGGACAGGATGGCTAGAGGAGGCTGGAGTTAGGTATTTCTTTCCTGTAGATAGGTTAGGCTTTGATAAAACCCCAGCATATTAGACTCTGATAAAATATTTTCTCCTGAAAGCAGGCCTTATTAAGAAGAACAGAATGCTTCAGTGTGTTTTGAAATAGTCACTTCCCATAAGTAAGAGAAAACTTTTATCTGATATTAACTATGAGAATCTGGTAGGGCTCCTAGGGGTACCATTAATAAAGCTGTGTGGGTGCGCTGATGACTGGGTCTCCCTGGAGTATTTTTTATTTCCAGACTTGTCTACATTTAACCTCCAGCAATTTTTCAATAACAGTTCAGATTTCCTATCCCTGGCACTGGTTCCTGCAGAAGTTTCTGCTTATGAGTTTCTGCTCTGGTAAATTGTGATTCTCTGTATTTGCCTGTCTGTCTCTCCAATCCGGGGGCAGTGGTTTGCCCTGTGACTTCACTTCTGGGATGGATTTAAAAAGATTTGTTGATTTTTCATTTTGTTTCCCTTTTTATTGTTAGGAGCTGATTTCTAAGTTCCTTACAGGCCTGCCAGACCAGAAACACAAAGACATTATTTGCTTACAAAACTGAGAGCCTCAATTTCCTGATTTTTAAAAGAGATAATTTTAATACTTAACTCATATAGATGAATTTAAGATTAAATTTTGAAATATTTTATATAAATGGATTTAGGTTAAATTATATGATATCTACCCTAATATAATGTCAGTTACATATTTTCTTAAATATTAAGAAACCAGATACCAAGTTCTACCACCTTAGGAATAGCTTTTATTTTTGATAGACCAACTGTGGCCCTGCATACTCCTCCTGGGTGACTGAAGTTTAAATATTCAAGGGTTTCGTTTTGCTTGTTGAACTCTTATAGCTATTGTAAACTTCCCAAGATGCCGATGACTGAACTTCAGATAGCAATTTTACGATTCCCAACTCATCGAAGGTCTTATTTATATTTTTCAGTTGTACTTTTTTTTCTAAGCCAAGGAAAACATTGGCCATCCAGGAAATTTCCTATAACCGAACTATAGTCAGGATGTTCAACATCACTTTACTTGGAGCTGGAAAAATGTGTTTTTGAAGTTGTATATAGTTATGTCCTTGCACATATTGAAAGCTTTCTATAGTACTAAAAGTTTGTTTTATTTAATCAAACATTAAACATTTTTAAGAAAATAATCAGACAGTAAAGCAAACTTATCTTCTTGAAAAAAAATAATACCTTGCATCACAAAATAATATGCAATGCAGAAAGTTAAGCCATATAAAATTTTACATTATGGGTGTTTTAAAAAAAGACATAATATGAAAACAACAAACAGGAAAACTGTAGCATATATAATACATATTTCCTGTCTTTTTTTTTTCTAGGTTTCATTTGTGTTTTTTTATTTTTTTATTTTATTATTATTATACTTTAAGTTTTAGGGTACATGTGCACAATGTGCAGATTAGTTACATATGTATACATGTGCAATGCTGGTGCGCTGCACTCATTAACTCGTCATTTAGCATTAGGTATATAAAGTGTTAATTTTACCCTAAGAATGGAGTGAAAAACCCTTTCAATAGATAAGGTAAAAAAAATCTGAATCTTAGTTTTAAAAAGACCTATTAAGTATATCGAAAAGTATTCAAAATAATAAATAAAAACTTTTTAAAAAACAATAAATATAATACTTTTTGCTCATAAACTTATTAAAATATAAAAAAGTCCAATGTTGATGGATATATGGTAAAACAGGAATTCTAATACAGGACTATTATTTGAAAAGCCATTTGTTTTGGTATCAAAAGTCTTAAAATATTTACTCTTTTTGATTCAACAGTTTTCAGTTTGGAAGCCCTCCTGAATGATATCGTATACTGAAATATATTTGTGCCCGTATTTGTTATTCAAAGTGGCATTTAAGATAACACATTTAGAAATGATTCACATACTCAACAATAATAAACTTTATTATAACATGTTTATATAATAAATATGTATTATAAAACAGAAATTTAATGTTTATCTTCAAGCAATAATTTACAAAAATTTCTATGTTTATTTAAAATGCAAAAGGCAGGATGGGAAAGTGTTTTCATCAAATGATTTAATCTATTTAAGCCATCATCACTAAACCACCAGACACATAAACATCTTTATACAATGCATTGTTTCAGTATGCCACAATTTCTAGTCTTTGCATTGGATTAGAAAATTAGATATAATTTTATTTTTATTTATACGAATTCCCAAAAGAATGAGAGGAATTTCTTCTTTGCATAGAAATTATTATATTTTTGATCACTATGTACTCATATTGGGTGTACGGCAAGTCTACCATAGATTCTATCCAAGAGGTCTTTCAGTTATATATGAGGAAATTGCTTTTGTTTCTGTAAACTAGATACTGGTCCCACATGAGAAAATCATGTTAATTTTAACTTAGTGATGAAGTATCTAGGGACACATATCATAATTTATAGATAATATTATTAATAATTAAAGTGTGTTGAAACTATTGTGCTACATTCCTTCCATGCATTCACTCATTGAATCTGCATACAACCATAAGAGATAGATACTATTATAATCCCCATC
Organism: Homo sapiens; assembly: GCF_000001405.40. Taxonomy (NCBI): domain Eukaryota; kingdom Metazoa; phylum Chordata; class Mammalia; order Primates; family Hominidae; genus Homo; species Homo sapiens. Next base: position 10,098,214 of record NC_000007.14, read on the forward strand.
TTGTCAATGAAGATACTAAGCCATAGAAAAATTAGGTAACTTATACAGAGTCACGAAACTGGTTCCTGAAATAAATATCTATGATACATCGGAGATGTTCAGCTTTCAGAGCTCATACTTATAAAAATGTTAGTTTTTATTACTTCATGAATGATTTACTTTCAGTTATCAACATCCGCTTAAAACAGATAAATATTCTTGGATTTATTACTGCCTAGAGTGCGAAAATTGGGACCATCAACGTATTTCCTGACGCCTGGTTCTATACTTTACTCACTAGGCTCTGACGAGCTATACAAGCTCTCTTGCAGACTAAGACAAATCCTGCCACGCTGCACAGCTGGTACTTGAAAATGTCACTGTTGATTAGACATTTTTAGTCATTTAATTTTTGCTCTATAAGCTGGATTTCAGTTCTCCTTCATGACTGACACATATTGTTTTTGTCTTTTACTTCTGTCCATATTTTTCTTTAGGGCATTCATTAAAAGAAACAAGACATTATTTTTAATAAGATATCACCTGCAGAAAGGAAGCAATGGGAATAAAGTAGAGTCCTTCCCATGAAAAATATTGCTCCAGTTAACTAGTCTAAATTGAGTTAATTTTGGAAATTGTCTGCTCCAGAATTAAAACAATAAAATCCCTACATTTGAATTCTAAATAGCAATATGGAATAAATGTATTATAACGAAACAGAACCACATGGGAAAGTGTAAAGAAATTCTCAAAATAAGTCTTACAAGAGAATGTTCTATTTTTCAACAAAGAATAGGCACTGTGTGTCAAAGTCATAGCTGAGAGTTTTACTTGTGAGAATATGTGATAGTTTGGGTAGAAGAGGGCACAATTTGGACTTTGATATCAATTTTATTGGAGAAAAAAATCAGTACTTACAATTCTATAATCAAATTTAATATGCATCATACTATAAAACAAGATACTTCTATAAATAGCTATCATAAAGAAGATGACAGAAACTAAATAAAATTTTTGTCCTCTTGAACTGAGTCTTATGTTTTTATACAATGAATATTTACAAATGAATTGTTTTGTAGAAATGACTTAACAACAATCAGTACATTTTTAGAAGGTATTTATAATAGCCAGAAATAATTACTACTCTTGGCTAATCATGGTCATTTTTATATGTAATCTTAAACTATTTTTTAGATAATAAAATAATAAATGCTTTTTGTAAATAAATCAAACATGTATTAACATAGGATATAAAGCTTGTTAGTATCTTAAGACCAAAATAAACCCACTTTTATACTATTATTTGTATATGTGTTTATTTCCATGTATAATATAAATATATAAACATTTGTTTTATAAGGATATGGCAGATACTGAATTAAGAGTTTACATTCATTATCTATTTTAACCCTCACAAGAACCAAAAAACCCTATGAGTTTGGAAATATTACTTTCCACATTTTACAGACACATATATGAAATTATTAATTTTTTAAAAGAGAATGAGAGTTTATTAAAACTTTAGTTCATGCTGTGCATGCTGGTTCACACCTGTAATCCTAGCACTTTGGGAAGCCAAGGCGAGCGGATCACCTCAGGTTAGGAGTTCGAGACCAGCCTGGCCAACATGGTGAAACCCCGTCTCTACTAAAAATACAAAAATTAGCCAGGCATGGTGGCAGGTGCCAGTAATCCCAGCTACTTGGGAGTCTGAGGCAGGAGAATCTCTCGAACCTGGAAGGAGGAGGTTGCAGTCAGCCCAGATCACGCCACTGCACTTGAGTGTGGGTGACAGAGCGAGACTCCATTTCAAAAACAAAACAAAACAAAACAAAACTTCAGTTCATATAGCAAGGCAACCTGAGTTTCAATAGTGTTTCTGCTAATTACTAAATGTATGATTCCTGGCAAATTATCTAATCTGTTTTTACCTCAATTTCTTTTGTAAAATGAGAGCAATAATAGTACCTACCTTATAGGCATAATGTGAAGATTAAATATTTCCATGAATTTAAAATGCTTAGATGGTTACCTGAAACATAGAAAAGACTCCATAAATGTTAATAAACATTTATCTATTGATATCTATTGGTTCCTCAATGTTATCTATGTCTTTGTGAGTATATACAGAGCTATCCCATCTTTTGAAAGAGTTGTATAGTGTCTGTTTTTATTTTCTCTATCCCCTTCTGTTTGACTTTTTAGTTTTTTTTTTTAATTGCAAACTGCTACAGTAAATATAATTGTGGGGGTGAGTGTAAATATATATAGTCTTACAGTTGAATAAATATGTCTACATTGTATACATTTTTCAAGTGTAATTTCTGAATCAACAGCCATGAATATTTAAAATGTGTAGATAATGTTTGTTACCCACTGAAACACTGACACCAACTTATGTTCCTTCCTATAGGTAGTGTTAATTTCCTCTTGTGTCACTATTACTAGATTTATTCATTTGTTTGTCCACTAATTCAACAAAATTTATTTGCCAGTTATTATATTTCACATAATTTGTTAAGAACTGCAGACATCTTGTCCCTGTTCATGGAACTCACACTCTTTGGAGAAGACTGATTTTAAATATCTAATTGAACGTTGGGAAGATGTCCAGCTGAAATGATGTCAGTATTCCATAACAGATGAAAAAGATAGGTCGTGAAACAAAGCAGCATGTTCAGAACAAGTCAGAATAAGTAACTTAATACATTAATAAAATGAAATTATTTAATAAATATAATTTTCATAAATATTATATTTATTATATATATTTATAGGAAGGTTTTGATAAGTGAAGTCTCAAAGATGGGCTAAGAAATCTATAGATGGGGTCATCCATCATCTTTTTTCAGTCAAGATAGCAAATTATCTGAAACATTTCAGTGAATTTTATTCTATTGATATACTGAGCAGATAAAAATGAAAATTAAATGCTTATCATGCATTATGAGGTAAAAAAATTTGTTGCATTTTTTAGATATTTAAAAAATGGTTTATAATTTGTGATTTTCATTTTATACTTCAGTCTTCATCATAACCATCAGCAAGGAGTAAATGACAGCTCATAATTTAGCTGCTAGACTTTCAGTGTGGAGCAGGGAGTTGAGGCGGAAACTAGATGTTCTAGTATTTTACAACGAGGTATCTGAATATGCGTTTCCATTTATATTCAGTAAGTACCTTATCACAGAGAACATTGTCTCTTCCAGCTCCCACTCCTCCCAAAAGCCACTTAATCAAATTAAATATGCTCAAAGTCTAACCTTTTAAATCACACTGAAACCAAGCTAGATCCCATGGCGATTTCTCTTTAACACCAGTAATTATATGCTTCCATTGCCCTCTGACTCCTGCAGGATCCAGGGCAGTTCAGTGTGGAAATGAGCCTCTTTAATTCCCATTTCTGCAATTCAGTCCAAAAACTGTAGGGTGGGAACATTTTTTTCCCTCTCTTAACTAAAGCAAATGGTACAGAGGCTCTGATCCATTTCATCATTTAGACGATCTACTACTGCCAAAATAAATCAATTAGAGAAACATTCATCAATTGTATTCAGCACCACCACCTAATCTTCCGACAGTTTCCAGTCATAGAGATTCGTCTACTCCCTCTGGCTGGGTAGCAGAAAAATCTCAAAACTTAGGAGCATGGATACTCAGTCCTTGATCTAGATTTATCCAACACTGCACTGAACATTGTGCTTAGAATAAAGTACCTGAGCTACTCTTGCCAAAGAAATGTTTAATGATGTTACAAATGAAGTGTTAAATTTGATTCACTGCATTTTATATATCAGTGCTATGCAGTAGAAATATAACGTGACCCACCACATAATGTAATTTTTTATTTTCTAGTATCCACGTTAAAAATAGTAAAAGGAAAAAGGTGAAATTAATTTTCATAATATATTTTATTTAAATCAATATATCCAAAATACTAACATTTCAACATATAATCAATATAAAAATTGTTAATGAGATATTTTACAATTTTTTTATATAAAGTATTTGAAATATGATGCATATTTTACACTTACAGCACATGTCAATTCAGACTTGCCACATTTTAAGTACTCAATAGCCACATGTGGCCAATAGCTGCCATGTTACACTGTGTGTGTGTGTGTGTGTGTGTGTGTGTGTACATATATATGTAACTTTAAATTCTCTCTGAAATAGGATGGAACAAAATTTTAAAGTTAAAAAGAGCAATAGTTAACATTTTTATGGCAGTTAATAGTTTGCTAAGCACTCTAATACACAGAATTGTAGTTGACTTGCATATCAGACCCATTTTCTTCTGCTATATCAAAGCAATTCCTAAAGTAGAAAGCATGACATGTGTAAGAGAGAGAAAAATAAAAGTTTACTTAGAACTAAACTCACAGCAGCAATTTTTACATTCAAAGCTCAGGCCACAAAAGCAAAAATAAATACATGGGACTATATCAAACTGAAAAGCTTCTTCATAGCAAAGGAAACAATCAACAAAACGAAAGAGCAGCCTATGGATTGGAAAAAATATTTACAAACCATATATCTGATAACAGGTTAATATCTAACATGTGTAAATAACTCATATAACTCAAAAGTAGAAGAACAATCTGATTAAAAAATAGGTGAGAGACCTGAATAGGCATTTCTCCAAAGAAAACATAAAAATCACCAAAAAGTATAGGAAAATATGTTCGACATTATTAATCATCAGGGAAATGTAAATCAAAACCACTGTGAGATACCATCCCACACCTGTTAAAATAACTATTGACAGAAAGTCAAAAGGAAGCAAATGTTGGCAACGGTGTAGAGAAAAGGGAACTCCTGCACATTGTTAGTGGGAACATAGATTGGTACAGCCATGAGGGAAAAACAGTATGGAGGTTTCTAAAGTAATTACAAATAGAACTACGATATGACCCAGCAATCCCTCTGGGCTCCAAAGGAAATGAAGTTACTACCTAATAAATATATCTGCACTCTCATGTTCATTACAGCATTATTCACAATAGCCAAAATATGGAAACAATCTGTGTCTGTAAGTGGACAAATGAATAAAGAAATAATATGGAATATTATTTGGCCTTAAAATTAATGAGATCTTGCCATTTGCTACAACATAGATGAGGCTGGAAGATACTATGCTAAGTGAAATAAGCCAGACACAGAAGAAAAATATTGCAGAATCTTACTTATATGTATAATCTGGAAAAAAAATCAAATATACAGACACAGTGGTTACTGGTGGTAGGCACGGAGAGAAAATGGGGAGGTAGAACAGAGGATACAAAGTAGCAGATATAAGGCACTGTGGCTCATGCCTATAATCCCATCACTTTGCTGCCAAGAGGCCAAGATAGGACGATCACTTGGGCCCAGGAGTTTGAAACCAGACTGGGCAACAAAGCTAGACCCTCCCCTCTACAAAACATAAAAAATTAGCCAGGTGTGGTAGTACATGTCTGTGCTCCCAGCTACATGGGAGACTGAGGCAGAACAATTGCTTGAGGCCAGGAGCTTGAGGCTTCAGTGAGCATGACTATGCCATTAAACTCCAGCCTGGGTGACAGAGCAAGGTCCTGTCTCAAACAAACAAACAAATAAACAAAAGTGTTTAAAAGTAACAGATACATAGGATAAACAAGTCCAGAGATCTAACGTACAATATGAGGTCTATAGGTAATAAAATTGTACTGAATTTGGGATTCCTGCTAAAAAAGTAGATTTTAGCTGCTCTTGTCACAAAAAAAATCTAAATGAGTAACTATGAGAAATGATGAATGCATTAATTTGCTTCACTATCATAGCCTTTTTTATCTTTAAGTATGCCATAATATCATGTTGTATGCCTTAAATGTACACACTCAATTTTTTAAAGTAAGTTACATAAGGCACATTAGAAGGTAAATAAATGTAAATAAATCTTTATACCAAGCCCACCCCTTAGGAAATCTTATTAGGGAGACATAAAAATAAAATCTCAAGTAGATGTTTCTTTGTTCAGTGAGGCTGTATTGGTTCATTCTCACGCTGCTAATAAAGACATTCCTGAGACTGGGTAATTTGTAAAGGAAAGAGAATTAATTGACTCACAGTTCAGCATGGCTGGGAAGGCCTCAGGAAACTTACAATCATGGCAGAAGGGAAAGCAAACACATCCTTCTTCACATGGCAGCAGAAAGGAGAAGTGCCAAGCAAAAGGGGAAAAAGCCCCTTATAAAACCATCAAATCTCATGATAACTCACTCATTATCAGAGAACAGCATGAGGAAAACTGCCTCCATGATTAAAGTATCTCCCACTGAGTTCCTCCCGGGACATGTGGGGACAATAGGAACTGCAATTCAAGATGAGATTTCGATGAAGAAACAGTCAAACCATATCAGAAGCATAGGAAGAAGTTCGAGATCACACAAATAGACTCAGCTAAGTCTGGAGGCTGGAGTTAGAGAGGGATGGCTTGTTTCACATCAGAATGTGTATTTGTGGTTAGCTGACTTGGTTGAGGCAGGGTTTGAGAGAACTGCTCAGTAGAAGGGATAGGGGATAATGACATGGCCACAGGGTAAATTTCATTTTGTCAAAATTACCCAAGGGGATTCTCAGAACCAGCCCTTTTAGCCTTCTCTCCTTGACCTTATTAATAAAAGTAAATTTTTCCACCACTCTTACAAGAAATAAGTCCTTTTTATAAAATTTTAATTTCAACCAATATTAGAATGTCTCTGTATACTACTTGCCACATATCTTTCTGCCTTTATCCTCGCCTATTTTTCTGGCCTTTTTAAAAAAATATTTTTCTGTAGTCAGAACTGTAGAGTTAATATGCTTCACCAATTATTGGCCACTACTGTGCTGTTTACAATATTAATTTATAATCTATCTCATGAACTGTTCTAAGTATGGTTGTGTGGTTGCTTTGAGTATCCAACTTAAAAGCAGTTATTCATGTGGGCAGAAATAAAATATTTTAATAAAAAACTGTAACTGTGTTGTTGTCATCCCTTTTATAAATTTGTGTTGAGGATAAATCAGTTTTAGCAGTAGGGAACAGCAACTCAGCTCTGGAGCTTACTAGTCTTATGGAAGCCTCGCTGGTATTTCTTACTTCATCTCTTCCCTTTATTTAATGTCTTGCTTTTTACTATAATATCACCTCCTTTTTATATAGACAGGGTCTCGCTATGTTGCCCAGGCTCCACTCAAATTTCTGGGCTCAAGTGATCCGATCTTCCTTCCTCAGTCTCTCAAGTAGCTGGGACTGCACGCAAGCACCACAGTACCCAGCTGTTATCACTTCCTTCAGCTCTGCTCTTAACATCGGAACTATAGAGAAGCAGTGGTCTAGTTAAAAAAACAAACAGTTGTTTGCTATTTCTCCAGGCTGGGTGCCCAGTCCCACTTTCTCTGTGACAACCTAACAATCTTAAGACGGGTCTTTAAAACCAGGCAATATCCCAGCACTTTGGGAGGCTGAGGCGGGCGGATCACGAGGTCAGGAGATCGAGACCATCCTGGCTAACAAGGTGAAACCCCGTCTCTACTTAAAATACAAAAAATTAGCCGAGCATGGTGGCGGGCGCCTGTAGTCCCGGCTACCTGGGAGGCTGAGGCAGGAGAATGGCGTGAACCCGGGAGGCGGAGCTTGCAGTGAGCAGAGATCACGCCACTGCACTCCAGCCTGGGGGATAGAGCGAGACTCCGTCTCAAAAACAAAACAAAACAAAACAAAAAACAGACAACGCTAGCAAACTCTGTGAAGAAACAGGTAGATTTCAGATTGATCTTGCTGGGTTTTATTGCACAGTAGGGCTGGTTGGGAATTTAAGCCTTCCTCCTAATACCTCATTTTGGAAGGTGAAGGTATGACAGCACTATAATTCACCTTGGTTATTGATCCATCCCTTGAGAAACTATGCTAATTGTATCAAAAACACAGCTGTTGGCGAAGAAACACAAACTGGCTCTATGGGTTTAGGAGATAATTTGAAGTTAGAGCATCAGTCTTCAAAGTATAGGCTACCCTGTCCAGGGAAAGTGTAAGGCAAGTACTTGGGGAAAACAAAAGAACATCAGAACTTGGATTTTTAAAAATCTAAAATTAGAACAAAATTAGACTTTAGATTTAACACATAGAGAGACATACATGTATATAATAATATACATAAACATATATGTATAATTTATAAACAAATATGCATATTTTAAAAACATAGGCTCGAAATTTTTTAACTGATGCGATTCATAAAAATGTCTGAATTTTTTATGTTTCATAAAAAACATTTACAAGATTGGTAAAATTCAAGGCCAGTCCAATGTGACAGGCACAATGTACCCAAATTTTCAAAGCTGTGAAGGAGTGAATGAAAATATCCTTTTAGGACTGCTTAGGCCCAGTGTGGGCTGGAGATTTTTCTCAAACATAAGTAATTCAATTAAGACAAAAGCTTTATTTGGCCATTTGTTATTTTCCCATAAACATATAACTGAGTTGTCTAAATCATTAGCAATTTTTTGTCCTTATAAAATTAAGTCAACACACAACTTGGAGCAATATTTAAAGAAACAAAAAGAGCCAAAGATAAGTTAAGCAATCTAGTCTCAATAAAGTTAACTATTAATCTTTGACTCATTAAAGTTTGCTTTTCTTTCTACACGGGGAAAAACCTTCACTTTTTCTCACTTCTAAGCTGCTCTAGACCTTTACCTTCCTCTGTTTCCTAAGGAGCATTTTGTTTCTGATTTTAAGAAGTTCTATAACTTGTTTACCCTCCTGTATTAAAGAAAAGTCACTGATGATCTAATTTGGGTGAGTTAGTGTTTCCATCAAAAAGCATTTCATCTCCTTTAGGGGTGCAATTTTTCTAATCTCTGGGGGACTGAGGGGACACCTTATCACCTTTGCAAGAAATAGATTCCATGATCCTCCTTCAAGATCCATAAATTGGAAAAGGTACTTGGCTCGAATCACCCGAAATCATGAAAAACTATTATAATTTGTGATAAAATTCTAGTTCTGAAAAAAATCTTAAGCCAAAAAAAGGCTGTCTAGTTTTTATTTTCATTAAAACAAATGTATATATGTGGTATACAAAGACAATGAAATTGTTTGGTTTGATTGTTTTTAAGTATTATGAAATGGAATCATACTATGTATATCCTTTTACAAGGTGATGTTTTTCAATGGGCCATTAGGTTTCTAAGATTCACTCTTGTTTCTATGTGAAGCTGCTGATCATTGTTTCACTGCTGAATAGTATTTCATTGTGTCAGTATACCACAATTTATTTAGCTATTATCTCATTGTGTCAATTTATTTAGCTATTCTTCCTTCAACAGATATTTTTGTTATTTGTAGGTAATTTGATTGTTTTGCTCTTAATAGCAATGCTATCATGAACATTCCCGCTGCTGCATTTTGTTAACACATGTAATGACCTTAGTAGGCAGTAGATTTCAAATCTTTAGGCCACAATAGACAGTGAGGTACACATTTTAACACAGGTAACAGACACAGGCACACATATAAATAAAACTGAAGCAAATTCCTTCAATCTTTACCAATTTAAATGGCACTCTACCATCCATTTTCTAATTCCATATTTTGCTTTATTACATATATTAGTTATATGTATTGTTTTGTAGTCTATATTGTTCCATTTAATTTTTTAAAATGCTGGTAAGATCATTGAAACTGAGATTCATAGTTTAAAAATACAGCTTTCTATCCATCATACACCTGATAGAAAAATGCTGTTTCAAATATTTACTTTCTCAATAAGACAATAACAATTATTTTCAAAATATGATTGAGTCAAATCAAATTTCAACTACTACCATAAAACAATTCATTCCTCTCCACATTCCACAGACATTAGTATTATCAGACTTCCAGTTTTTTTAAAAAAATCAATGCAAATCACATAAAACAACATCTAGTTGTCATTTGTATTTTAATCCCTCTGATTAATAAGTTGAACATCATTTCCTCTTATTCAAAATACTATTTGAGTTTTTAATATGATTTCTAGTAGTGCTATTTACATATTGGTTTGTAAGAAAGTTTGTTATACCACTGATGCTAATTCAATTCTATTTAATTATAGTGTCCAGTGTCTTATCTCACTTTAGGCTTGCCTTTAATATTACATATTGTGTCTTTTAATGAAAATAAAATTTTCAGATTACCTGTATTCTTTTCTTTTTCTTTTCTTTTTTTTTTTGTTTGTTTGTTTGTTTGTTTGTTTGAGATGGAGTCTTGCTCTGTCACCTGTCACTAGGCTGGAGTGCAGTGGCACAATCACAGCTAACTGAATCCTCGACTTCCCAGGCTGAAGTGTATTTCCTTCCTCGCCTCCCGAGTAGCTGGGACAACAGGCTTGCACCACCACGCCTGGCTAATATTTTGGGTATTTTTTGTAGAGACAGGGTTTCACCATGTTGCCCATGCTGGTCTCAAACTCCTGGACTCAAGCAATCCTCCCTCCTTGGCCTTCCAAAGTGCAGGGCTTATGGGCATGAGCCACTATGCCCAGCCTGGATATTCTTTTGACTAGTGCTGCTGATTTTCCTTATGTGCTTACAGATCCTTGGTTGTTCATTTATATTAAAACAAAAGACCCAGGCATCTATTTTGCATTTCTTATGCTGTTGGGTTAGTATGTATATTCCCAACTGGATCTCTCTCTTGAGGGGATATTCTCACTACGATTTCTATATTAGGTAGGATGACGCTTTCTTAATAACAAGCTTCACTTCAGGGTGAACAGGCCTGGAATTCTCTAAGGGTACAATCCCAAACCTATGTGTGTATGTGTGTATCAGGGTGCACAGAGGAGTGAGTTTGGCATCAGTAACTTCCAAAGTTGTCATAGATAGAAGCTTTTCTTATTCCAAACCTTCACTAAATCAGTGCCTCTAAGCCCAGAATCTCTTTGAAATTTTGCTGGGCAAATTGCTCCAAGACTTTTCTGCAGATTCCTTAATAAATGCTACTATCTCTTCACCTCTCTCATTTTCAACCCGTACATTAACACTTCCTATCTTCAAGAAACTTTAGAAATCTTTTATTCTGTTGTAATTTTCCTCTGTTCTTCTGCTATGGTCTTATTATCTTATTTATTACACTTTTTATTTCTAGTTCAGTTTTAACTTTAGAAGGACATGAAACAAATCCGTAAACTGATCTTTCATCTTGAACTAGATGACACATGAGTCATGTAGCTTTACCCCTTCCTCAGTGGTTGGTTAGTATGCAGTTGTGTTAGCTTGAAATAAGGGAAGGAATGAAAAGCAAAATCTCATGGGAGATCCATTTCTTCATTCAGCAAATACAGAGCATCTTATAGAAAACCTGGTTGAGAAAGAATGGCCAGATTATAAAAAGAAACAGGAGAAAGCAAAGTCAGTTATGTAAAGGCAGGGAGTAGTTTCAGGAGTTACTAATGGTTAATGCTATCTATTGCTGTAAAATATTTTATAAGCAGGGGAAGGACTCTAACGTGATTTTTTTCCTGGTGTTTTAATCTGAGGGATATCACTAGTCTGCAGGGATCCAAGCTTGTCCAGACTTACAATCCACTACCTCTTCTCTGTCAACTCAAATTTAACCTTTCTCCATATGATGCTACAGTTGTAGTTTTGCCTTAGAACTTTAAAAAAAAAAAAAAGACTATCTGAACTCTTTCAAATTGAAAGTATTTGTTTACAATTGTATGTCCAAATACTTCTAATCTTCTGTATTTCACATAGTTAGTTGCACTTGCTTTAAAATGCTTGAGCTATGAACTATTTCTATGTTTTAAACTCAATCAATCAATAACACAACACACTTTACAACTGATTTCTCTGTACTATAAGGCATAAAAAGAAGGATAAGAACTGGCTTCTTCTAAACAAGATTTTATGACAATACAGTAAAGAAATTACACTAATGCTATTTAGACTTCCACTGAACTGGACATAATAGAATATAATTTTCTTCCAAATCTTAACTATAAATCCCTGAATATCCCCAATAATCAGCTCAGGCCCAGACAAGGAAATGCTAAGAACATTTATCTCACAAATTTGAGCTTCAAAGGGTTATCTTGAACTCTTTCACTGTCAGAGAAGTATCCAAGCAAAGGTCAGGCACTCATTAAAGCTTATCTGAAGCCACAGTTATATGTTATGGTTTATTGCCTCAAGTACCAATTAATACAGAATTAAAGAAATGAAAAACCAGTGATTCATACCTTTGCAGACAAATCTTCATACTTCAGCATAATATTAAAATATTGTCATTTTAGTCATGCAGTATTTTATTAGGCACTTAACTCTGTAGGTTTTACCAAAAGATATATAACATTCATTTTTAACAAAATGCAGAGGAGATTTGGGGAACATTTATCCAAAAGCTAATAAAGTAAAATCTTAGAGGTATTTTCTAACCAGCGACTTAAACACGGACATCAATTATTAATGAAGTTGAAATGCTTAATAATAGGGGACTGGAAAGATGTTACAAAGAATTGCTGAAATATCACCATGATATCAAGGGCGATTGTCTTCTTAGGAGGCATACAAAAAACAATAAAAAGCATAATTGCACACTATAACATTAATGAATTTTGCCTACAAGGCTATTGGTTGGGAGACGAGAAAGAGGATACTGAAGAACCACGGGAGAGATTACAGAAGCATGCATTCCCCATTTCATTACTATATTTTATGTAACTTGGAAGCATTCTTACCCTTCCTGTAGATAAATGCTAACCCAGTAATACTGATAATCTCCTTCAAATACCTGTAGGCACATTTTGCATGTACGATTGACTGCTGAACAAAGCAGGAGTTGGGGCACACACCCCCACACAGTTGGAATCTGAATATAAGTTTAAACTCTTTCCAAAAGCTTCACTGGTAACAGCCTACTGTTGACCAGAAGTCTTACTAATAACATAAACAGCCTATTAACATGTTTTGTATGTTATATATATTAGATACTGCATTTCTACAGAAAGGGTAGAAAAAAAGTTCTTAAGAAAATCATAAGAGAAAATACATTTACTAAGTGAAAGTGGATACTCATGAAGGTTTTATCCTCATCATCTTCACATTGAGTAAGCTGAGAAGGAGGAGGAAGCAGAGGAGTCAGTCTTGCTGTCTCAGTGGTGGCAGAGGTAAGAGTAAATCCACATATAAGTGAACCTATGCAGTTCAAACCTGTGTTGTTCAAGGGTCAACTGTATATTCGTTTCATGATAAGCAAATGCTTCATCCTACCAAGAGCCCTAAGCCAGTACTGTCAAGCAGGCTAAACTTACGCTTTTGCTCCTAGAGCTCTCCAAACTTTGCATCCTACTTTCATCATTATCTGTGATGTCGTCCTCTAGAAAATGAAAGCTGTCCTTCCAAATGCTTAACAACATTGTAGCAATTGAGTCTGGAGAAAACCTCAAAGATATAATAAATAAAAAAAAAATTCCCTGTGAACAGCAAGCAAACAAGGTTTTAGGTAGAAAATTATCCTTGATAAATTGAGTCTTCTTAGGATGTGCATAGATACAGATGGGTTCTTATGTTATTACTGCCATTTAAAAGACAGCTGAAGTTTTAAGACGTTTTGTGACTGAGACACTATTGTCCATTTTTGGAAATTGAGCCTTGTAAATACTTTTACATTGGCACTAGCTTAAAATCTATCGTACACTTTCTATCTCAATAACGTGATTAAAAGTTGATGTCTTCTGTCCATTACTTTACTCAAAAGACACATTTGTTACAATAATTTGTTTGCTTCTGTGATTGTACTGCTTAGCTCTTTCTTACTCTAGATCTCGTCTTATTATCTTCTTTTGCAACAAATACAATGAATGAATCCTGGAATAAAATGACGTAAATAAAGTTACCCCAAAAGTATCAAATATCTCTTCTGTAAGAATTAACAAACTCATTTCCTCAGGGTTTGGACTACACATTTTGTCTGAACACCTAGGGGTTCATGCTGTTATTTCATTTACTCTGTAAAAATGTATAAATATATCAAGATATTCTAAATATAAATATAAGTAGAAACATATTAATATATATCAATATATAATCAAACATATTAAATTATTTTGCTTAATATGTAATACATTTACCTCTAAATTTTCTGAGAGTATATCTTCATACTTTGAAAAGGCTGATTTGTGTCAAATAACTTTTGCAGATTCAAGATGAGTGAAACTGCACTGTAACTTAAACAGAAAACTATGGTGTAAATATAAATACTGTGAAGAACATTACAATTTTACCCAAAAGTCTTTATCGAAATGGCATTGGTATTCAAATTCTGCATATCAGTTCCACATCCAGTAATCTCATTTTCTTTACTGTTTTCATCTGTAAAGCAAGAATATGAGATTGCCAACATAGCAGAAATATTATAATTAAGTGAAGATTTTTTAAAAGATAAAGAATGATACTAGTAATGACAAGAATGATAATGATAATGGTTTGTTCTATTGTCATTGCCTAGACAGGCTCCTGTCTAAAAATGTTTTCTAGTTGTTGTCATTGTTGCTATTTTTCATGTTAATTTTTTTGACAGAAAAAATAATGGCAGAACAGACTAATAGGTTTGCTTGAATTAATCTAAAAATGAAAAACATTGCCACGAATGTTTCCTCCTACTTTGAGGCTATGCTAATTTCCAGGATACTATCCACCCCTTCTCTCCAGTTTCCAAGTTGAAAATCCCTGATATTTGACCAGTTTTATCTCCTTTATCTTTACTCTCACAAAACTTGCTACTGGATCTCTTTAAAATCTCTGATGCCTTGGGTTTCTAATTATCCTATTTCATAGTACTGTTCTTTGGATTTATTAGCACCGGCATACGTGAAAAATGCTACCTCCTTCCCTTCACCTGCCACTGTTTCCTCAGTCAGTCCCTCTTCCTAAGGCAAATCAACTTCCAGTTTTCCCTGATTCCCATTGCTGAACACCTAAACACTGCTAGACAAATTGTTCAAAGATGCCAATTGGCTCTGTTACAAATTTAGGTATTCCAGACTTATTTGTGTCTTTGAAGTTGTTTGACAGCAATTATTTGGCTCATTTCTTTTTTTTAATAGTAACTATTTTTTTTTTTTTTTTTTGAGACGGAGTCTCGCTCTGTCGCCCAGGCTGGAGTGCAGTGGCAGGATCTCGGCTCACTGCAAACTCCGCCTCCCGGGTTCACGCCATTCTCCTGCCTCAGCCTCCCAAGTAGCTGGGACTACAGGCGCCCGCCACTACGCCCGGCTAATTTTTTGTATTTTTAGTAGAGACGGGGTCTCACCGTTTTAGCCGGGATGGTCTCGATCTCCTGACCTCATGATCCGCCCGCCTCGGCCTCCCAAAGTGCTGGGATTACAGGCGTGAGCCACCGCGCCCTGCCAATAACTATTTTTTTAAGACAGAGTTTCACTATTATCACCCAGGCTAGACTGAAGGCATGATCTCCACTCACTGCCACCTCCGCCTCCCAGGTTCAAGTGATTCTCCTGCCTCAGTCTCCCAAGTAGCTGGGATTACAGGCGTACACTACTACGCCCCACTAATTTTTGTATTTTTAGTAGATACAGGGTTTTGCCATTTTGGCCAGGCTGGTCTCAAACTCCTGACCTCAAGTGATCCACCTGCCTCGGCCTCTCAAAGTACTGGGATTACAGGTGTGAGCCACTGCGCCCAGCTGGCTCATTTCTATTAGACATCACATACATTCAGCATAGAGGTTATTGCAAGCTTCTGCCATTCTCTTAAGCCCCCTTTCACATAGACCAACATATGTCCTTGAGTTAATTGACCTAGTTTCTTATTATATTATGAAGATGGAGGCAAATGAATAGAAACACTCCAATTTACTCCTTTCCCACTTTCAAAAAAAGTTCTTAGATTCTTCTGTACTGCCTTTGAGGTGGATATAGCATCCTCTTTCAAGTGTCAGCCTTTCAATGATGTTCATTATGACAGTCATTTCTTCATTCTATTTCCTTGGCCTGTCATTTTCCCTGTTCGTGTGTCTCTAACTTCTCACTGACTTCATTCTCTTTCTCTTAGACAAAAACAAAACAAACAAACAAAAAAAACAAACAAAAAAACCCCTGAAGTAAACATTAGCTCAACCCTGTCTCCCATGAAGTTACTGAATTCTCCTCTTTTTACTGGATTAACATCTTGAGAAAAATATTATGAATGGAAATTTGGGGGGCATCTGTAGAGATCGTGTCACCTTTTTTTTTTTTTTTGGAGACAGAGTTTTGCTCTTGTCGCCCAGGTTGGAGTGCAATGGCGCAATCTTGGCTCACTGTAACCTCTGCCTCCTGGGTTCAAGCAATTCACATGCCTCAGGCTCCCAAGTAGCTGGGATTACAGGCACCTGCCACCATGCCTGGATAATTTTTGTATTTTTAGTAGAGATGGGGTTTCACCATGTTGGCTAGGCGGGTCTCGATCTCCTGACCTCAGGTGATACACCCACCTCAGCCTCCCAAATTGCTGGGATTACAGGCCTGAGCCACCACGCCAGGCCCAGATTGTGTCACTTTTAATGGTAGCTCATTATCCACTTTAGTCTCTTTTATCTCTCTCAGGGTTCATTCAGGTTTCCCCATAGCTTTGGTTACAAAATATATAAATGGCTTTAATCTCTTGAGGGTGTAAATATAAATTATAATCTTCTACTTAATATCTTTATTTGAAGTGCTGTATCTGCAATTTATAGTGTAACAAAGTAAAATTTTGTTGCTCTTTCTTGAATTTGCCTCTTCAATAGAATTTTGTTAGCCACTGTTTTGAATTAGGTTTCTTTTTTAACTTGGACCCTCAAACTGTAGAACTCCTAAAGACCTTTCAAGATCCAACTCTGTCACTTATTCACTATTCAATTAATTCGTTATTACATTTGATTACTCAACTACTCAGCCCTCATATTAAACTCTTAACAGGAATATAAGGTAACATAGGAAACACAGTAGTAAACCAAATAGATACATTTCCCTGGCTTTACAGAGATTTGGTGAAGTCTTCCTTATTTTAAATGAATGAGTTCGTCTCTCCTTAAGATCTTCATGAAATATTGTGCAGGTACATAATGTAGCAATTATCACTTTGTTTTTATTTATATGGTTATTTTAATGGCTTCCATAGATCAGCCAGGCTCTCTTAAAAAGACTAGTTTTGTATAGGTGTCTCTGAACAGGTGTGCAGGTATTGTCGCTTTTATTTTTTCTGTAGTAGATTGAATCTCATAGTTATTTCATTAATATTTGTTGTTCCCTGAGTAAAGTAAATGTGGAGTCTGAGGGGACAAGGTAAAATTATGGATCCGAATGTTTAAGAATATGTGCTCTGAGAAATTATATTTCCATAGGCTGGTTCCCCTTGTAAAGAGTGGCCCTTTTCTGAATTTGGTAAAACGGTTTCATAATTCTGTTCAATATATAAGGAGTGGTAAAAAGAAAATTAAAACCGTCAAATAATTTTCTTTTACTTAGGGTTACTAAGTTACAATTTTTTGGTCAAAATATTGTGGACAACAAATGATACATCCCTTAACTCAATTCCTTAAAAATGTCTCATTATTTTTACTTTTCGGTACAGTCTGAGAAAAAAAAATTGAACTACATTTAGTTTAACTCTAGAATATAATAAAAAGAATTAGCTTCAGGCTATAGAGACACAACCACAACTAAGAAATTGCCTTAGAACACAGATTAAAGAGAAAGTTCTTATTGGGGCATATTCAACATAGTGATTTGGAGAGAAGAGTCAGAGACAAAGACAATGATAGGCCTTGCAGTAATAGTTATTGAAAAAAATGTCAATAAAATACACCTATTACATCGAAAGATGTTGAGTCTATCTGTAACTCAGACTTCCCATCTTTGATATGGTAGATGCAACTCACCCAATTGCAGGCTCGCTAATATAACACTTCATGATAGTTAATAAAATATTCATTAAATGTTTTAATGATTTTAATCTTCTCTGCTTTCTACCCTTTTCTATGAGAATTAAGCGAAAGCCAGACTGTACTGCAACACTTTTCTGGAAACTTCCTTCTAATTGCCCATACCCAAATAGCAAAATGTTTCAAATCAAAATATAGTGAAATCCTTGATTATTAAGCTATTAAATTATTGAATTATATGTATCACATCTCAATTGAGTAAATATTCATGTTTTGCAATCAAATTGTTCTATACCAAACAGGCACAGATATAGCTATGTAATCTGCTTATATGACTATGCTGGCATGTATTTAATAGCCTTTGGAGGAAAAACATGTAAAATTGAATGATTTTAAAATAAGTTAATTTTGCTCATTAATTTTTTTTTTTTTTTTTTTGAGATGGAGTTTCGCTTTTGTTGCCCAGGATGGAGTGCAATGGCGTGATCTTGGCTCACCGCAACCTCCACTTCCTGGGAATGCGTCACCACACCCGGCTAATTTTGTATTTCAAGTAGAGGCAGTGTTTCTCCATGTTGGTCAGGCTGGTCTGGAACTCCCAACCACAGATGATACACCTGACTTAGCCTCCCAAAGGGTTGGGATTACAGGCATGAGTCACCGCACCTGGCTTCATTAAAAATTTTTGTGGAAGTTTTGTTTCCTTTTCAAACACTTAATCCCTGAAGTCACAGCAAGCAAAATAGAACATGAGTGGTAGTAAATGTATAATCATGGGATGCTAGGTACTTGTGGCATAAATAGGTTGTATTATATCTAGTGGACCTGTCTCAGTTTTCTTTGCTGAATCCTAAGTTAGAACATTATTTTCCTCTCTCAACATGAAAAAGTAGAAGAAAAAATATACAAGGAAGGGAGAATGAGAGGAAATAAAGAGGAGAAGAGGAAGGCCAAGTGCTTCTTCCTTATAGCAGAACTTTAAGACTTTACAGCCTCTTGAGTCTTTTTTTGTCTAATTTTTAAATTTTCTTTACCTTCTCATTACATTCCGAGTCTCTTCATATTCTGTTAATTTATTTCTTTCTTTCCTTCTCTCTCTCTCCTCTTTCTGTCTCTCTCCCTTTCCTTCCTTCCTTTCTCTTTCTTTTCTTTTTCTTTCTTTCTCTCTCCCTTTCTTTTTTTCTTTCTTTCTTCTTTCTTTTTTCCTTTCTTTCTTCTTTCCTTTCTTTCTTCCTTCTTCTTTCTTTTTTTTCAAAGACAAATCCTCACTATGTTGCCCGTGCTGGTCTTGAACTCCTGAGCTCAGGTGATCCTCTGCCTCAACCTCCCTGGTAGCCAGGCCTACAGGGGAATGTCACCATGCCTCCCTATATTTTCATGAAGTTATTTCAATAGTCCAAATTTCTCTTAAAATGTTACATGGTGAAACCGTGTCTCTACTAAAAATACAGAAATTATCCACGTGTGGTGGCAGGTGCCTGTAATCAGAGCTACTCGGGAGGATGAGGCAGGAGAATCGCTTGAACCTGGGAGGTGCAAGTTGCAGTAAGCCGAGATCCCACCACTGCACTCCAGTCTGGGTGACAGAGTGAGACTCCATTTCAAAAAAAAAAAAAAAAGCGATGCCTATAACTAAACAAAATATTTGAGGAATGAATCTATCTTTAAAACTTTTGAATCTTCTTTATTGTCTCCACATATGTTTCTTCTATAAAATTTAAGCAGTGCAAGTGCACTTTTGTTACATGGATATAGTGTGCAGTGGTGAAGTCTGGGATTTTATCACCAGAATAATGTACATTGTACTCACTAAATAATTTTTCATCCCTCAACCCTCTCTTACTCTCCCACCCTTCTGAGTCTCCAGTGTCTATTATCACACACTCTATGTCCATGCTCTCACTTCTAAGTGAGAATATGTGGTATTTGACTTTCAGTTTCTGAGTTGTTTCACTTAAGACAATGGCCTCCGGTTCTATCCATGTTGCTGCAACAGACATGATTTCTTTTTTTATTTTTTATTTTATTTATTTATTTATTTATTTATTTTGTGGCTGGGTAGTATTCCATGGTGACTGTATGTGTGTGTGTCACATTTTCTTTACCCAATCATTATTGGACACTTAGGTTGAGTCTGTATATTTGCTATTTTGAATAGTGCTACAATAAACATAGAAGTGCAGGTATCGTTTTTATATAATGATTTCTGTTCCTTTGTTAGATACCTAGTAGTTGGATTGCTGGATCAAATGGTAGTTCCATTTTTAGTTCTTTGGGAAATCTCCATACTGTTTTCCACAGAGGTTGTACTAATTTACATTCCCACTAATGGGGCATAAACATTTCCTTTTTTCTGAATCCTTGCCAATATCTGGTGTCAGATGATATCTCATTGAGGTTTTAATTTGCATTTCTTTGAGGATTAGCAATACTAAGCATTTTTTCATAGCTTCTTGGCCATTTGCATGTCTTCTTTGGAAAAATGTCCATTCATGTCTTTTGCCCACATTATCTATTTTTTCCTTTTCTTTTTTTTCTTTTAGAAACAGGGTCTCACTTTGTTTTTCAGCCTAGCTGGGGCCACAGGCGCATGCCACCATGCCTAGCTAATGTTTTCATTTTTGTAGAGATGAGATGTCCCAATGTTGCCCAGGCAGGCTTGTCTCCAACTCCTGAGCTCAAGGAATCTTTCTGCCTCAGCCCCACCAAGTGCTGAGAATACAGGGATGGGCCACCATGCTCAGCCTTGGCTACTTTTTAAAGGGTTTGTTTTTATTGTTGTTGTTGTTATGAGTTCCTTGTAAATTCTAGATATTAGTACCGTGTTGGATTCTTAGTTTACAAATATTTTCTCCCAGTCTTCAGGTTGTTTGTTCACTCTGTTAATTATTTATTTGGCTATGTGGAAGTTTTTCAGTTTAATTATGTCCCATTTTTCTGTTTTTGTTTTTGTTGCCTGTGATGTTGAAGTCTTAGTCAAAAATTCTTTGGCTAGATCAATTGTCCAGAGTTTTTCCTAGGTTTTCTTTTAGTATTTTTTACGGTTTCAGGTCTTACATTTAGGTCTTTTACCCAATTTGAGTTGATTTTTGTATGTGGTAAGAGATAGGGATCCAGTTTCATTCTTCTGCATATGGCAATTCAATTTTCCCAGCACCATTTATTGTAGAGGTATCCTTCTCCACTATATGTTATTGTTGATTTTATCAATGATCAGTTGGCTGTAGATATATAGCTTTATTTTGGGGTTTTTAAAATTCTGTTCCACTGAACTATTTGTCTATTTTTTATACCAGTAACATGCTTTTTTAATTATTATAGACTTGTAGTATAATCTGAGGTCAGGTAACGTGATGCCTCCACTTTTGTTCTTATTATATCTCTCTCTCTTTTTTAATGTTGGAATTCTTCAAGAGTCTAACCTCGGTCTCTTCTTACACTATTTTCTCTCCCTGGGAAATTATACCTATTTCATGATTACATTTGCACTAATTACAAATTCTATATCAATTGTACTGATATCATTCTTTCGCTCAAGACTTTGATTTCCAGTCATCTGAAGCTCAAACACTAAAAGTAAACTGAGCACATTGTATATCCTTTGAAGTATTTTCTCTTACTTTGAGGCAATTTCTCATAATACGAATGTGATCAATATCTTACACTCTTCATACTTTTCATAATCTTGTGTAATGGACAACAATTTCTATTACTGGGCTACATCTGCCTTTCTCATTTACTCATCCTCAGCCTATTAATGGAACCTCCTGATAGATGATCATGCCTTCACCACAACCGTCACATGCTGGAGTCACTCTTGTAAAGCTGCTTTTATAATATCACAGCTGCCTTCTTCAAAATAGATTTTCCAATTAACAATCAATTTACAGTGAGGTTAGCAAAACTTTCAATTCTTTCCATAACATGTGGCCACAAACTATGGCTCCAACTTGATCTTAAACTACATAATAATAACATATTGCTGATATAATTGAAGTTACCATAAATGACTATTAGACACAGTATTTGTATATTTTATATACATTATATAGAGTATCTCAATAAAGCCTTTATAACAAACCTATTATATAGGTTTTACACTTGATATATTTTACAGTTGAAGCTTGGAGATGCTAAGAAATGCTCCTGTGGGTGAGAGGAATAGGCAAGATATGAATCAAAGTTTATGTCGCATCGTCTCCCAAAATGCATTTTAACCACTAGGCATAGTGTGCTTTAATTTGGAATTTATTGACATCTATTTTCTAATAAACTCAAGCTGAATCGTTTTCACCACTATCATGTTATTATTTCCATGCATTCTATAATTCAGCCTTTGTAAGCTGTAGTGTGAGCTTTAATAACTAGTTGCTTTTGCTCGTGATTTCTTTCACTTTAAGGACATTCTGACCACTGTTTCAGGCTTAACTCAAAGGCCAATTTCCTCATAAAGCTTTCTAAAATTAAACCAGTTGAAATTAATGTTCTTTCCTTTGGTTAGTAACTTTCCATTGCATGCTACCTTTGCCACGATTTATTGAACAAAATGCATTCTACCTTTCAATATGCTATTTATTACATGCCTGGAAGAGATCAGATCTTCATTCTAGTGTCTAACAAATATTCTTTGACATAATATATGCTCAATAAATGCCTATTGAACAAATGTTAAACAATTTTATTTACAACCAGTTACACAATAGGAAAAGCGTATTTCAGATAGAAATATTAGGTGACTTTTTATTATTCAATACATAACGCAGACTTATGGGCCCTAAATGGAATACTGTAGCAATGTTAGATTTCTTTTAAAGGCAACCATCACTCAATATTCTGCAGTTCAGGAGCATGTCATCTCCATTCACACATTCGCTGCCTTGATGTCAAGGGAGAGGAATCTGAAGCACTTGTGTCTTTTGTGTTCCTTCTCCTTTCCTTAGCCTTGAGAACTGTAAAGTAACCAAATGGTAGAGGCTTCCCACAATGCCCAATTCTGCTAATTCAGTTACTAGAAAACATGTTGCCAGTGCCCAGTAGTTCACATTCTTTTGGAAGCCATGCATTTGAATATTTACAAGATGACGAAAACATCTAAAATGTTGGCTACCCAGACCTAATTTATATTCACCATGCATAGCATAGACACTGTGTCAAAATCAATTTGACAAATTGTAGAAAAAAATAAGTATGATAGCTTAAAAAGTCAAAATTTATTGATAAGCTGACACATTAAAATGTATTTTTCTTAAACATCCTCTTTTGTTTCCAAGGCTAAAGTAGCAGTGCAGGGTTTACATTGATACTATTTTTTTGAATTTAAAATGTTTAGAAATTGAAAAACACAGTGACAGCAAAAAATGAAAGGCACCTTTCTATCTAAATGACACAATTGTGCTGACAAATGTTATAATACTAAGAAGCATTGTTTTTACGACCTTTGACTAATTGCTGTTCATTATTCTATTATCCTGTGAAATAGCCTAAAATCTCTCCCTTTCAATGGGAAATAAGTGGGCAATTTAAAAATGTACTAATGGAGTTCCTGCCATTTCTTCTTCGCAGCAAGAAGAAAGCCATGTGAAAGCCTATGCCAAATCTCACTCTCCTGAACATGCTGCTGCAAAGAAACAGCAAATCAGAGCTCTCCCAGAAACAGAAACGCAGCTGCTAGTATTATGCTTGGCCAAGCCCCTCTTCTTTCTATTGCTATTTCCTACATCCAGTTTCCTTCTTCTGAATAGTGCTGGAAAATTAGCAGGGAGAGAGCATGTGCTGGATTTGGAGTATGTGCCTTCAGGGCTTGGAGCCATAGTCTTCAGGAGCCATGCTGTGTAGCCCATTAAACAAATGACAAAGAAAGAAGAAAATAGTCCTTCTTAGCATAAATATCCAATGATTGATAGCAGTCTTGTTTGTTTATTCCTGCCCAGTGTGTTTGCCAGTCTACTCAAAGAGTCAAATCCTGTCTATAATACAAATCACAAGGAAAACATTTTCTATTCCACTTACTAGTTAAGTCATTCCTCTGAAGTATATTTTTTCTCTAGTATGCATAAAACAGTATCACCCTTGCTACGCTCAGCATTGCCCTATGCTTATTTTGATGCTTCAGTTGATTTTTGCTATTAAACCGCAATCTTCCCTGTCACTCTTATTTTCTTTTAATAGATTTTAATAAGTGGCATGATTTAGTAGTGTAAAGAAAGAGACATGTATGCCATCAGTTCAGAATTCAGTGACAAAATCTTAATTTTTGTGGAAGACGGGAGTGTGTAAACCATGGAGGTTAAATATATGATGAAGAGAGAGAGAGTGAAACTCAATATGTATGGGATACTTTACTTTCTCCAAAAAGCAAAACCTGTTTAGCAAGCAATAGTCTACACAGCGGAACAGTGTCACCCATACAGTGTAGTAGCAGCAGAATTCTGTTCCTGTTCCCTTATTCTCTAATTCCCAGCACATTCAGTGGATTACATACTGTTTATGCATCATGCAGCCTCCCTGAGCCCTGTTTCTTTACAGTACTTACTCCTGCTGCTAAAAGGAAAATAAGCTCTGACAATCCTCTTTGGCTGCCAAAGCTGCTGCCTCTGAATGAATACATCCTGCTTCCAAGAGTCAAGCTGATCCCTGTGATCCCTGAATCCAACAGGAGTTCAAAAGAATTCTGCACGTCTCAAAGAGCAAAAATTGCTATTCCTTTAGGATTTAAACAGGAACCAGAGCTTCATCACGTGAGAGCTGATGCTATCATACCTCCAGACTTCAGGGCTGCTGCTGAACCAGCTCAAACTGCAGATGAACCGGAAGGCCCAATCTGCCTCTGACTCTGGCTTCCCTCCTGCGTGACACAGTTCAGTTCAGACACAATAATGAGGCCATTGAATTTCCCTCTGCAGCTGGGAGCTGACTATAAATGCAAAAGCTAAGTTGTTGAAATAACTGTGTCAGGGGACTTGCAAATGAATATACTGTCATTCCAATGTAACCCAATTTACCCTGTGTTCATAGTGAATGGTTTTAGATGCTTAGTTTAAAGCCCTACTATGATGTTCTGCAAAAACATCTTTAGAACACCTTCCCAGAGGAAAATTGACAACTAAGATGACAGCTTAGAAAGAGATAAAAGGACCACATTTTTATGACACTTTTCCTAGAAAGACTTAAAGATGTTAAAAAGTGAATGATTTTACAATATTTATGAGATACGTGGTAAATATTCTTCAAGTTAAAAATAATAATAAAATAATTCTTGTAGGGCATTATTATTCTATAATTCTCCTTTTAAATATAAAAGGAAGAAAGTGTCCCACTCTGAGCAAACAATAAATAAAATTCAGTTTTTATAAAGCTCGTATATCTGTTCATTTGAACAAACAGGTACCATTCTAGGAGGAGGGATCAAAATAAATGCAGCATGTAGAACTATCCTCCATAGACTTGAAAGCCCCGTTCGAGTTATTTATTTTATATACTTTGATACATTAAAAAATTGTCAGAAACATGTATCTTGAGCTTGGTATTCATAAAATGGTTTTGCTAAGATATTTTAGAACCAGACTGTTAGTAGGCTTAAATATTTTAAATATAGTAAAATTATGTTTGTATAAGCATTCCATGATAGATGATGATGATCTGCAGTTGATTATGTCTTCCTCTGGGTAGTATCTGAGATCTATGTTATACAATGGTGTGAATATGTGATTGAATGAAGAAAGAAGATCATTAGCAAGGATTTTATCACCTAGGTAAAAAATTTTAAAGCAGGGTGTCTTAGTTCATTTCTGCTACCAGAGGCTGGGGAATTTATAAACAGAAACTTATTTCTCTCAGTTCTGAAGGCCGTGAAGTCCACTATCAAGGCACTGTCAAGTTTGATGCCTGGTAAGGGCCTGGTCTCTGCTTCCAAGATGATGCCTTGAATGCTGCTTCCTCTGGAAGGGATGAACTCTGTGTCCTCACACGCAGAAGGAGTGTGACAGGTAAACTCACTCCCTCAAGCCCTTTTATAAGGCATTAATCCCATTCTAAGGGTGAGCCCTCATGGCCTAATTACCTCCTAAAAGGTCCCACTTTTTAATATAGTACAGTTGTCCATTGATGTATGCGGAGGATTTGTTCCTGGACCTCCTGCTTATATCCATGCATACTCAAGTCCTGCAGTCAGCCCCGAGAAACCTGCATATATGAAGAGTTAGCCTTCTGTATATGTGGATCTCATATCCTGTGAATATTGTGTTTTCAGTCTGCATTTGTTTGAAAAATATCAGCATATAGGTGGACTCACACAGTTCAAACCTATGTTGTTCAAGGGTAAAATGTAGTTTCCCCCTTGTTCTTGAGGGTTACATTCCCAGACTCCAGTGGATGCCTGAAACCATAGATAGTACTAAACTCTCTATAAACTTTGTTTTTTTCTAAACATATATACCTATAATAAACTTCAATTTAAAAATTAGGCACAGTAAGAGGTTAACAATAACTAATAATACAATAAAACAATTATAAAAATATACTGTAATAAAAGTCAGATGAATGTGGCCTCCCTCTCTCTCTCCCAATGTGTCTTATACTGTACTTACCCTTCTTCTTGTGATCTGTTGTTCTGACAACCAAGACAGCTACTAAGTGACTAATGGGCAGGTAGTGTATACAGTGTCTGCCCAAACGGCTGCCCACTTTTGTGCTTGAAACCCAGGGTCCTGGAGGTGTAGGCACCTGAGGGAATCTCCTGGTCTGTGGTTTGCAAAGACCGTGGGAAAAGCATAGTATCTCAGTCACAATGCACTGTTCCTCACAGCACAGTCCCTCACGGCTTCCCTTGGCTAGGGGAGGGAGCTCCCTGACCCTTTGTGCTTCCCAGGTGAGGCAACGCCCCACCCTGCTTCCACTTGCCCTCTGTGGGCTTCACCCACTGTCTAACAAGTCTTAATGAGATGAGCCAGGTACCTCAGTTGGAAATGCAGAAATCACCCACCTTCTGCTTTGATCTTGCTGGGAGCTGCAGACCAGAACTGTTCCTATTCAGCCATCTTGCCAGCCACCCTACAATGGTTCTTGGCCATATGTTGCTTAATGGATACCACCAGAGACCATTGTAACATAAAGAACACTGATGATAGGAAACAAATTAATAGAATCATGAAAGGAATGATTTCCGCAAATTTGTCTCAGGATATGCTTACCCAGATTATAAATAAAATTTATGTAATCAAAATTCCACAGGTGTATCAGAAAGTCACAAACAAAGAGAAAAAGGACCTATGATTTGACTACACATGTTCACAATGCATTATTTGATAAATACAACTAAATATTTCTCATTTTTCACTTAAAAAACACAGCATAAATTTAAAAACCATAGAAATTATTTTAGTGCAAAATATTTGAGTATTATAATTAAAATCAGTTTATATTTTGTTTTGAAACAAGTAGTCAAATTTTAATCTACATTTAATCTCCAAATCAAACCTGAGATAAAATATAATTTTTTATATCTATGTTTACAAATGAGGCTTTAAATAAACAAAGCATTTTGCAGCACCTATTGGAGAAAAGTCAGTTACTTTTCTATATGTTTATTATTAAAAATAAAAGTAAAAGGAAACATATATAATAAAAGTCTTTCCCAAAACCGAAAATTTTGCTTGCAAATTATTTCTTTTCACTTCTTTATTATATAGCATATATAAAAGTTGGATTTTCTTTTAATTTCTAAAAAAATTTTATAAAATATCTTTGTAGTGTTACAGGACTTCTAAAAATAATTTGAAATTACCTGAAAACAAATAATAGAAATTATTTAATTTAATTTAATTTAAAGGAATTTTTTGCAAATGCATTGACATGCTAATGCAATAAGATTTTACAAACCACATAAACAATTAAAGTTTTCCTTCTCTGTCAATTCAAATTTTAAAAGGCCAACCATTTACCTCTCAAGATTATATTTGCTTAAGAATTCTGGACAGTTGTCCACGTTAGACAATTGTTCCTCTTCAGAGTCCAGTACTATCTGCAGGAGATATCTGTTGTTTTATTTTGTTTTGGTTGGCAAAACAACTGGAAGGCACTATTGCCATTTATTTAGTTGGGCCAGGGTTTGTCTATGTCTGAGGATGTTAGATATTTTCTCATGAGAAAGAAAGTCTTTCTGAACAAAGATTTTTCCAGATGTCATTTGACTTTCTAAGTTCTCACCAGATAACAGATGGCATAATAGTGAAAGGTGTGTGTACTTGAGTGGAGCCAAGTCGGATCTCACTCACACATTCTCATACCTACACAAAGTAGTTTTGGCCTGGTTTTAATTACATTTAGCCCTGTAAATGTACTACCATGTATCTAGAAGAAGCATTGTGTGTTTTCTTTCATTTGAAACTTTACCAGGAATTCTTTACTATGCCAACCATGTCAGAAAATCATGTTGCTGAGTGCAATGCTGTTTTAGCCATTAAAATCATCACAGGTACACACTTGGATCAATTCACATTCACTTTTATATTTGTAGTGCATCTCTTTATAGGTGTACCTCTGTCTAATTCATTGTGTCTTCTAACATAATCATGACCAAGCATTTATCTCACGCTTCTTCAATTCATCATCACAGTAATGAGGGCAGTGTGTATAAATTACGTGCATAAGTAGGGTCTATTATCTTGAAATTTTATTCCACTTTTAAAAAACGAATATTATAAAACATTTGTGATAGGAGAGGGCATTGGGCGCAATCAGGGCTCAAAACCATTGTTCTCAATACACCGTCCTGAGCCTCTCTGGGAATAGACTCCAGTCCCATACAGACCTCAGAATATCCCAGAATTCCCAGTAGACTTCCAGCTTGAGGATTTCATTGAAGCTACATCTTTTATACAAGGAATTACAAATGGAATGCTTAGAGGGCCAGGCAGGTACTAAATAAACGAACTCAGTCAACTGTAAAAACAGTAAGGAATGGAGCGGCTTATGGCAAATTTAGTAATGTATATTCTAGCTAAGGAAAGCAAGACCCAGTTGGTCTCAGCAAATACTGCCTTGGCGAAATGAGAATCCAGTATTACTGTCACTTAGTTTTCAAGTAACGCAGAATATGTAAATAAAGTGGTACAATTTCCTAAATTTTAATACATTGTGTGTGACAAACAAACAAACCTTATTATAGACTATCCATGGGGTGTCACACCGCAGTCTCTAAGTTTTTAATGGAAGAAAATAATATCTGAACATAGAACCCTAAAGTGTGAGATATGCCCCTGAATTTTGTTTTCAGGTAGCTTTTACTTAGAGTTAAAACAAAATGTTCATTGCACAGATGTGAAAAAGAATAATACTGCATTATCAGTTATATTATAATGGTTTACACATTTTACCTATTGACAAACCCATGGCAAAACAAGATGTTTTGTAGGTTTTAGTGTATTGTGATCTTAAAACTCTTTTTCAATTTGTATCCATTAATTTTACCTCTGATCACTATAGTTTTAAAAAGCAATTGACTCATATATATTGGGTACATAATGAGTACCCAAAACAGCTTTTTTTCTTATCAGTCAAATTAAGGGACTTTATACGATTTTCTTTGTATAATTTGAATGTGTACATATTATACATTTGAACTATTGTTAACACAGAAAGTTACTTAAAGCAATGTGAAAAAGTCTTAATGTAAAAAAAGAGGATATACGTTTTCAACTCCTTTGTTCATTTTTCCACTTTCTTTCTAGAAATTGTTTCTGTCCATTTTAATTTTCTCTGAGTTGAGTGGGAAAAGGATGTAGGAGACAGTTACCTCCAACTGCAAATAGCAATCAAAGATTAGTAAATGTTTTCAGCAGTTCCAAGTTTCATTGAATCTGTCTTGAGAGGTATGTGGCCAAATAAAATATGCATTTCTGGAAAGGCAGTAAGAGACATCTTGGTGTTTTAAATTAATGAATTGAAAACCAACTCAGAAAAGACCTAAAAATTACAATGTAGAAGAGGTAAAAAGGAATTGCCATATATGAGAAGAATCACAGACCCTGCTTAGCACAAAGATGTTAGGGAAGAACAGTCTTTATAAAAATAGAAGAAAAGCTAATACAAATCTCACAAGTGCATTTTAATGGTTCTATTTGCAATGGCACACACTAACAGGGACATCACCATTGTTTCTCCAAGTTTCCTGTATCTTCAGCAGTTGTGAACAAATCATTAGTAATTCTGAAACTTCTGTTTTTGCTTTAGAGGTCATTCCCATTCCTCAATTAAAAACAAAGCAAAAAAAAAAAAATCCAATAACATTACCCAAGAACCAAAGAATCTTAAAATATAATTTCTTAAGAGTCATCTATAGAAATGATGTGAAATAAGGTAAGAAGAACCTGTTTGTAAAATAACAAGGTTATGTGCCCCAAATCAAATGAAATATATATATTTTATTATGTGATCATGGTTCACTGCAGTATATATATATATATGTGTGTGTGTGTCTACGTATATATGTGTGTATATACATATATACATAAATACACACACACACACACACACACAGATATATATATATATATAAACACATTTAAGAGAAGTCAAAGGCAGCCTGTCAACTTCTTTTAACTTCCTCAGACCTTGGCCTATCTTGACTTCTTTACTTCAAATTCAAACGTTAAAGAAGCCAAGTGGTACTTGCATGTATATTCTTTCTAGAGGGATTGAAAGAATAGTTTAGAAATTGATTTTGGAAATCCTATACCATAGTCCATTCACAGCAGATCTGAGAATATGCTATTTTTAAGAGGCATAGCCAGTTTGAGGAAAACTCAGCTAAATGCTTAGATGAAACTACCCTGTGCCAGGGATGCCCCCTGGTGGGACTGAATGTCTAATGATCACTAATGATTATTTTTTTCTTATCTCAGAAATATATTTACTAACTACAATCTTATTGATTCTAGATTTTTATTGTCCCTAAAGATAAAAATGTATTTTTAGATAAAACAATATCTGTCTTCTGAAAAAATATTAGACAAGATAAAATACTTCAGGGTACATTGGTGAGAAAATTAGAAAAATGACATCTCTGTTATACAAATGAAAACGAGCCCTTGAATGCTGTTTTGATGGCCTGTAACAAACCTCTTCTGCAGAAATCTGCAAAATGGTTTCGCAGTTGGAAATTCACAGCAATAGAAAAGATGCTCTGGATTGCTATATTCGCAGGTAAGATGGCTCTTTTTAGACAAAAAAAAATAAAAAATGCTATTGCCATCAACAGAATGAGACTATTTTGATCACTGAGTATATGCTGGGTACTCTAATAGAATTGCAAGTAAGTCCCAGAAGAAAAAAAGAAACAACGATGAAAATGGGTTGGTTGAGTAGAAGTAGTCTTAGCAGAGGCTTGAGTATATGATGACAAGTAGTCTTTTCAACCATACTGAAAACCATTCTTTTGCTGATGGTGTTTTGAGAATTAAAATATGTGTGTGTATATATATATATATACACACACACACACAAAGTAAGATTGATTATGTTTATGAACTTACTTAAAGTTGCCACTACATTAAATTCAATATAGATATAAAATTTAGGTCACATAGTTTTTACAAATCATATTATTGCTTATACTTTCCAAAGTAGGTAAATGTGACAAAAATGATGTTTTCCAAAAGTATCGACATAAAAATTAATTAAACTTCTATTTAAAAGGTTTTATTTTATAAATGCTGGTGCATTCAGCATATATTTGGAAAGGCTGCATTTCACTACTATTAAAACCAATAGATTATGTCTAAAACAATATCAACACAGCTATGCATAATGTGTACCCTTAAAATTTCTGTCTCCTTCCTTAATAATAAAAGTGTTATTGATATAGCAAACGCTACATCGATTTTCTAAAAATAAACACTGTTTTATTACACATAAAACTTCTAGAAGAGTTAAATCTTGGCTTGAAATGAAACTTCAAATATCAACAGGAAAAAGCATAAAGCCAAATGTTTTCTTAGTTGCAAACCAAATTAAAATATTTTAATTTGGATTTACCATAAATTATGCAAGATCTGTAGAACAAAGGTAACTGAGGAAGCTTTTTTAAAGAAAACTCCAGACATTTGGAAAATTAGAGATACTCAATAAACCCAAAATATGGCAAGGCTCATCCATCCCTAAAAGTAATTAATAGATAGTTTTAATCCTTTTATTTGATTTAATATCCTATTGAGGTTAATCCATATTTCTCCTTTCCCTTAAAAAATTCGCAAAAATCCTCATGACTGCAAATGAAACATATACCATTGTGCTTTTTCTTTCTTATCTCTCTCATCATTGACAGAGGCAGCCTTAGATTCCATTTCCCAGGGTATCCCGTTGTTGGTCTAGTGAGCCTTATACTACTGTCAGTTCGCTCAGTCTAGCAGAACACTGATTTTTAAATGGGGAACCTGGAAGAAAATAATTCAATATTCTATTAGACAATGAATACTGATAGTCAAAGAGGTAGGAGAGGGTCCTTCACTCCATGTTAATGTATATTCATGAAGGAAGGGCTTTTTATGTTCTTACTAGAATGTATGCCTGTGGGTATATTTAAGGTGTGATTCAGCAGGGGAATCCTGTATTTATGGGAAGAAGGGAGAAGAGGTGAAACAATCAAAGGAGGAAATCAAAGGAGGATAAATGACATACAGAAAAACTGCTACGTGGCATTCGAGTTTGTTTTTATTGTTGTTTTTGTTTTGTTTTATTTTGAGACAGAGTCTCCCTTTGCCTCCCAGGCTTGAGTGCAGTGGCGTGATCGTGGTTCTCTGCAGCTTTGACTGACTCAAGCCGTCCTCCCACCTCAGCCTCCAAAGTAGCTGTAACTACAGATGCATACCACCACAGCCAGCTAAATTTCCTTTGAATTTTTTTGCAGAGACAGGGTCTCACTTTGTTGCCCAGTCTGAGCTCAAACTCCTGGACTCAAGCAATCCTTCTGCTTTGGCCTCTGGCCTCCCAAAGTGCTGGGATTACAGGCATGAGCCACAGTGCCTTGCCTTGTTGTTGTTTTTAATCGTAAAACTCTTGGTAAGATCAATAAGAGTCTGTCCTCAATAGTTCACCTAGTATTTGTTTGAAGCTCAGCACAATTCCATGAACACTAACTCCCCAAATCAGGTAAGTTAGATCAGAAGAACAATTTTTCGTACCATATGCTTTAAACATTTTTTTGAATTTTAAAGTAATAATGTAGTTTGCAGCTATTCCTTGGAGCCTTCACACGATTTTGACTCAGATCCAAAAAATGCAAAACAAAAGTAATCAGGAAAAATTTATCAAAGAATAAGGCAGTCTATGATTTAGAAAAGGAATGGAATGGACTGAATTTTTAAGTCTCAAATATTTAGGTGATATATATATAAATGTAAATGGCAAGTGTGGATGATATGATAAGCAAGAAATGAGCTAAAGTTATGCTATATAAAGTACCTATAAAATTTAACTTAAAAAGCCAAGATATTTTATAACAAAATAAATAACATATGCCTGCAATATTTTCCCGGAATTCAACTCTTCTCTCTTTTTTTTTTTTTTTCTTTTTGAGATGGAGTGATGGAGTCTCGCTCTGTCACCAGGCTGGAGTGCAGTGGTATAATCTTGGCTCACTGCAACCTCTGACTCCCTGGTTCAAGCGATTCTCCTGCCTCAGCCTCCTGAGTAGCTGGGATTACAGGCACACGCCACCACGCCCAGCTAATTTTTCTATTTTTAGTAGAGACAGGGTTTCATCATGTTGGCCAGGATGGTCTTGATCTCCTGACCTCGTGATCTGCCCGCCTCGGACTCTGAAAGTGCTGGGTTTACATGCATGAGCCACCGCACCAAGCTGTCTTCTCTTTTTTAACTCTTGAAAAATTGATGACCTCATAGGGTGGGGAAGGATATAGATGAGGCTACTCTCTGGCTGCCTATTGATCAGACTTCCAGACACATATACCTGCTGCAATCCTTCTATTTTTGGTGGAAAAGTGTGAAAAAACAAAAGTTGAACCACCACACAACCCTCTGGTATCTTTCATGTTTATTTATGGGAATTGGTCTATCAAAGTGTAAGACATTTAAATTATGTTTATAAATTGGTTTAACTTTAAACTGTTTGAAATGGTGAATACCTGCAAGCAATCAGTCATCCGGATCTACTTGTCATCACCTATTATTTCTATGAATAAGTTCAATGATAATAAGTAAGAGTGTTTCTAAATTTAACATATAAAAGTCACATTAAATGACAAAGGATTGAAACACACTATAAGATAGAGCATCACTTAATTACTTTAGACTTTGTTTTCTTATTTTGTAAAATTATAGTGTTGGGTTACAAAATATAAAGTCATTCCCAGACTCATGAGAATATGTTAATATCATGGTCAAGTCCTCTTGTCTAACACACATTGTTTAACAACCATCGAAATCCTACATAGAGATAGCCAAAGTCTATGTAGTGGTTACAGCAAGGATTTGTCAACCTAGGTTCAACAGACAAGGTTGCAATCTTATATTGACTGTAGACTTTGGAGAAATTATTCAATCTTTTAAAGTCTCAGTTCTTTATCTATAAAACTGGGAAAATAATAGCACCTACCACCAGGACTGATATTCAGGTGGCACAAACCTGTACAGTGCTATGAATTCTTAATGGCCAAAATCATTTCTGGTAAATTAGTGCCTATAATATGCCTGTTGCTAAGTATTTTGAATATTAACCCTTAGAATAATGTTGACATTTCTTGATCAATATATGTTCTTAACAACCTATAGTAACAATAGCTGTAGCAGTATGGACATAGTGACTCCACTCTTTTACATGTCAGAAGGAGTGAACAAAATTTATTTCTGGGCTTTCCTCATCAATTTCAGCTCTGAATATAAGCCTAGCATCCTTTACATTGAACAATGAATAGAATATGGCAAATAGGAATTATAAAAATTGATTTGGTTGGGCGCAGTGGCTCACACCTGTAATCCCAGCACTTTGGGTGGCCGAGGTGGGTGGATCACCTGAGTTTGGGAGTTCAAGACCAGCCTGACCAACATGGAGAAACCCTGTCTCTACTAAAAAAAATTACAAAATTAGCTGGGCATGGTGGCGCATGCCTGTAATCCCAGCTACTCAGGAGGCTGAGGCAGGAGAACCACTTGAACCCAGAAGGCAGAGGTTGTGGTGAGCTGAGATCTCCCCATTGCACAACAGCCTGGGCAACAAAAGTGAAACTCCATCTCAAAAAAAACAAAAACAAAAACAAATTAATTTAATATATTCCTTTAAAGAATTAAAGACTTATTTTATACTGGATTATGGCCAAAGGAGCCACGTTTCTTGCAGGAATCCTAAAATATTATTATTCATTGTTTCTTACTCTAATAAGACCTGCAGAATTATAGACACAACTTCCTTCTCTACAGGAAAATTAGCTGACATCAAAGAATGGTGTTAAAGGATTAGCACAAGTGAAGGCTCTTTCCATATACAAAATAAATTTAACTAAAAATAAACTTTGATATTTTGTTAAAAACCAATGCTTAAAAGCTTTTAAATTACAAGAAACACAAAACTTCTTACCAAGAAAAATACAAATATTCAGAAATAGTTATTTATCTATACAAATGCCTGGAATCTAGCCTCAGATCATACTGAGAGTTTTCTGCTTAACAGTTGGGTGTGACCAGGAAAACACAAGCTATTTACAACAAAAAGTTGTGACAGTGCAGGTCTTGATTGGCATGACAAAACTGAAGAGGCAACATCATTAAACAAAATTAGCAGGGACTCATGTTATACAGACTTTAACCCATTATTACATATGCACATCAGTGGGTAGATGACATGATTTGGATTTGTGTCCCTGCCCAAATCTCATGTTGAATTATAATCCCCAGTTTTGGAGGAGGGGCCTTGTGGGAGGTGATTGAATCATGGGGCAGATTCCTTCTTGCTGTTCTCTTAATAGTGAGTGAGTTCTCGTGAGATCTGGCTGTTTAAAAGTGAGTGGCACCTCCTCCTTCACTCCCTTGCTCCTTCTCCAGCCATGTAAGATGTGCCTGCTTCCCCTTGTCTTCCACCATAATTGAAAGTTTCCTGACGCCTCCCAGCCATGCTTCCTGTACAGCCTGTGGAACCACGAGTCAATTAAATCTTTTCTTATAAATTGCCCAGTTTCAGGTATTTCTTTATAGCAGTGCGAGAACAGACTAATACAGTAGATATCACTTCAAATCTCCCTTTTCAATTTAATACTTTCTTCTCATTTCAGATATCTTGGAATTTGCTAATGGACTACTTCCAAATGCTGTTCTCCAACTAACGCAGGTTCTTATCACAAAATGAGCTCATTTGCACGTGTTTAATGCTCTGCAAGGAGTACAGTAACTGTGTCAGTAGTGCTTTTGCTTATCAAATTTACATTTCAAAGTGGCTAAATTGTTTTGAAAGTGTATCCCAATGTGGAGTCTTTTGCAGTCACTGCTTGATGTTTAAAATGCCTGATAGCTACAGAAAAAAGGGAGAGAGGGAGAGAGAGAGTGTGTGGAGGGGGAGACACAGAAATATGTATTTCTTGGCATTTGTTCAAGAACAAAGGAAGAATAAAATTGCTTCCAAATAGAGCAAATATACAGGTGGCTATTTCTATAGATACATTTGGCTTATATCACTATATTTAGTATAAAATTGAATTGAGTGTTAGTGATTGAAGGAATTTTAGGTAGATTCTACTTCATCCTCCTCATTTTATAAATGCAAAATTCAAAATCCAGAGAGCTATGACATGGGTTTAATCATATAGTTTTGGGGTAAGATGTGGCTCGATTTGATCCCTGACTCTGGCTCTTAAGCTATGGGAATACTAAGCATCAGCTTCCTCATCTGCTAAAGATTTGATAAAACAATTTTTAAAATTAATTGAATAAACTATGAAAGAAATTCCAGTGGGAAAGACCTGAGTCCACTTATTTATGGCTGGAATGCTGACTGATATAGTACCTGACAGCAGAGTTTCACTGCAACTTCCTAAAAGGTAGGAAATAGCTCAAGTTTTGTGATTCCAAATTATCCCTCTGATTTTTATTTCGACAAATTGCTATGGGGAACTGTCATTCTGATTATACTTCTGAACCAGTGTCTTAGAGCAGCTTTATGACTGACACACATGCCAGTTTTGAGAGAGTATTAGGATTAATGAAATGAAATAAAGAAAATGTCTGTTTACTGCTAATATGAGTTTCTTAAGAAGTTCTGTTAAAAGACCTCATTTCCTCTATTATGATCTATTATATTAGAATAAATACATTCTCTTGGGTTCAATAAAACATTTGTTTATTTCTAATTATATCTATAAGAACAAAGTTAAAAATATAGATTGGATTCAATAGCTGGTTTAATATCTATATTCCGAAACTGTCAATCAGTAGATTGATTTCAATATGGAAAAATGTCTCTAGAGACACCTCCTGCTCTCCACACCAATCAAAGACACGGAAAATGCCATGGGATGCATGGTATATAGTTTTAGGAGACAACATTGAAAGAAATAGCTAATATGTGTAAATTACAACTATGTTTCTCATAATATTAAAAGAAAGGCTAAAATTTAGGAACATAATTTAGTGAAAATACAGAAAACCTTTTTAATTTCAGTTACAGAAAAAAATACTAGTTTTATAAATATCCTTTGTTTTAGACTTAGTTTAGCAGTAGTTTCTGTTAAACATATTGTAGTTATTTTAGTTGGCCACAAGTTCAAACTAAGTGTATAAAATGATTGACAAAAACTAAACTTTTAATATTTTGGATGGCTTTGTTCTGAGCTTGTCTGATAATAGCATTTTCATTTCTCAGTGGCACATTTTGAGAGGAAGCATTCTATATGGAAAAACATCTAGGGAGTAAAGGAAATACATTGAGACATGATTGAAAGTGCTGCTGTGGTCTAAGTGTTTGTGTCCTCCCCAAAGTTTGTGTGTTAAAATCCTGATTCCCCAGGATAATAATGTTGTGAGGTGGGGCCTTCAGGAGATAATTAAGTCATGAGGGCAGAGGCCTCATGAATGGGATTGATGTCCTTTTAAAAAAGGCCCAAAAGAAACCCCTTGCCCTTTCTGCTATGTGAGGACAGAGCAAAAAGACTGCAGTCTTTGAACTAGGAAGAGGGCCCTCAACAGAGCTCAACCATGCTGCATCCTAATCACAGACTTGTAGCCTCCAAAAGAGTGAGAAATAAATTTCTGTTGTTTATAAGCCACTCTGTCTATGCTAATTCTTTAGCAACCCAAACAGACTAAGACAAGTGCTTTGTATTATCAAAACATACAGAGTCAAACTATACAAATTGATTAACTAAAATGTAGATTTGAAGGACAGTCTATAGGGCGACAAAGGAAAGCTGCTCTGTTTTGTGTCAATGAGCCAGGACCAATGGGCAAAGTTACAGAGTCCAATTTCAGCTTAGTGCAGTAAAAACAGCAGTTACAGCTGCCCAACAATATACCAGTTCCACTCTCAGAATAGCAACTGAATGATCACAGAGCATGGAAGAAGGAATCTGTGATCTGGAAAAGAAGTCAGACTCGAGTGCTGGAAGTTCTATGCCTTCTGGGAACTAGATCTATTAGAGTAAAATATCAGATCTGTACTCAATTATAACTATATTCTTGAACTTCAAGGTGAGACTTGAGATATATGTATATGTGTCTATTATTTTTTTCACCAAGTTAGACAATATTTTGTATTTAACCTTGCCACGTGTCTAGTATTTTTCTAGACCTATTACTTTTATATTTCTTCTCTGTACAGTATAATTTGTTCACTTTATCTTAAGTTTTAGAGTTTTTTACTGCCGCATTCAATTTATATATTTCATAACCACCAAATATAAAACTGCTTCACTTTTGACAACAAATTCATACCTATTCAGCTTAATTTTAAAAAATAAAATTAAACCCCTAAAGCTAGGATTTTACTTTGTAGAACTCTTATAAATCACAATTTTTTCCTTTTTTGTAGGATAACAGTTGATATATTTGTCAAGCTTTTTTTGTTGAGAATGAGTCTTGCTCTGTCGCCCAGGTTGGAGTGCAGTGACGCAATCTCGGCTCACTGCAAGCTCTGCCTCCTGGGTTCACACCATTCTCCTGCCTCAGCCTCCTGAGTAGCTGGGACTACAGGCACCTGCCACCACGCCCAGCTAATTTTTTGTATTTTTAGTAGAGACGGGGTTTCACTGTGTTGGCCAGGATGGTCTGAATCTCCTGACCTCGTTATCCACCCTCCTCAGCCTCCCAAAGTGCTGGGATTACATGCGTGAGCCACCGCGCCCGGCCTATATTTGTCAAGTTTTACAATCTCATCAAAGGCATATTTACTTTTAAGCTTTTAAGAACGTTCTATATGGTTAAGATTAACATAACTCTACTTATAATATTTGTGGGGAAAATAATTATAAAACAATTTTATAAAATTGCTGAAAAGAGAATGTGTTTTTCATTCAACAGAAACATGCAGTGAATTTGACTCACAATTCCTGCCTCTCCTCAATTAAAAACCTCTTCTTACATTTCCAGCCTACAAAGCTTCTCCTCCTTTACTTGTCGTTAATTATACCAGCATTTTCTCCTAGACTCTATTAATTGGTAGGTTCTAGGCTAGTAAAAGACCTCTGTCTATCCATTCACTTACTGTAACAGAGAGCTGACACAGAAAATTCAGATTAACATTCTAGTAAAAATGTTATTTAAACCAATACTTAAATTATTTTTTGGACAAAATTATCTACATAATTTTATTAATCCTATACTTCACAGAGCCAAGCAAAGTTATTGAATTGATTGGGAATGCATAGCTAAAAACAAAATGGAATTTGATTACCTATGAACCTCATTTAAAAAATAATAGCAGTGTTAACCCTATTTTGACTTTTACATGCTGAATATTTGTGTTCTCCCAAAATTTATGTTGACTGTAACCCCCAACGTGATGGTATTTGCAGGTGGGGTCTTTAGGAGGTAACTAGGTTGAGATGAGTTCCTGAAGGTGGAACCCCCATGATGGGATTAGCGTCATCTCAGTGTGCTGTCACTAAGAAAAGGCCATGTGAGGAGGTAACTGTCTGCAAGCCAGAAGCAGGGTCCTGACTAAGAGCCAAATCTGCCTGCACACTGATCATAGACTTCCCAGCCTCCAGAACCAAGAGAAATAAATGTCTGTTGTGTAAGCCAAGATAAGCGTTCTTTAGTTGGAAAGATTTTAGTCAGGCTTCTGAAACTTCTCCTAGGCCCATATATGCCCTTCCTTATAAAATCCAGTTTTAGCAAAAGAACCTGGCTAAATCAGTTTAGCCAGGACTCCCCATCCTCGATATCTGATTATCTTCAATATCTGATCAGATTCCTCCTCCTCTACCATCCCCCAGCTGATGTCTGATCATTGTGGCTTGTCTTTAGTAAAAATCCTGTTAACTTAATTTAGCCAGAACACCCCTGACCTCTGACATTTCCTCTTAGTAATTTTCCATCCACTGACTCTCACACTGCTCCTTGGCTAAAATTCCCACTTGTTCATACAGTATGCAGAGTTCAATCTCTCTCCTCAGCTTCAAGACTCTGTTGCAGTATTCCTTATAACTATCACAATGGTCCTGAATACAGTCTTCCTTACCATGCTTTAACAATTGTCATTGAATAAGTTTTTTCTATAACAACCATCCAGTCTATGATATTTCGTTTTAGCAGCCTGAGCTGACTAGGACACCGCGCAAGCCAACTCTAACATAGGAAAGTATCTTAAATTGATTGACTAAAGTTGCAAAAGAAAACGTGGAACAGATACTATCATAGTGCATTAGGATTAGTTTCAAGTTCACTTTGATAGAAAAAAAGGGCTTATAACGTTATTAGAGTTTTAGACCCTCATGAAAATCTCCAAAACTGGATTCTTTTGAAAAATGAACACACTCAGATGCAGACTAAAACTGAACGTCGTATGCTTACTGTCAAACTGACCACACTATTTTCTCTTTGGAGTTAGAAAACTAAATCTAATCAAACCAGTTAAAAAGATAAAAGCATCGTAAAATGTATTTTAAGCTACTGAAAATGTAGCCACTACAAAAGTATGTTTCACAAGAAACCTAAGTAAGACTCAAATCTATTCAATTAGTATAGAAAAAAAGCACTAATAGTTTCCAATATAATTCCACATTTGTTATATAGTTTCATTCTGCCAGGTAGATATGGGCAAAAGAACAGTGCTCCTTTCAGGTAAAGAATAAATTGGGTTATGCATAGATATTCATAATTTCTTTAGCATCCTCCCCACAATATAGTTCATGCTAGGAGCGAAATTTTTCCCATAAGCAAAGTCCTAAACAAAGTGCATTTCCCCCAGACAAAAAACAACCATGAGTGTCGTACAATGCTAAGAATCACACTTTCACCCTTCCTCTGCTCCTTTTTTTTTTTCACCTTGTCAGGAACAATCCTATCTTTGCCCATTTGAGGAAATACATATTTTGGGAAAGGAGGAAACTATTAGTTTAAGTATACAACCAATGATAGTATCTAATGGCTAAAATCTTGAACATCAAACAGAACCAGGGAAAATGAAAAGAAATTAATAAAATTAGGAGAGATGACATTGTTAATATCCAGCCCTTTTTCTCTCATAAATTATAAACCTATAGCTCAGAAAGTTTTAATTTTTCAAGATGCAAGGCCAAACCTATGGCTAATGGCCAGATGAGGTGAGTACAGACCTAAAAATAATGAAATATATTGCTAGTCCTGCTTTTAACTGACTAACAAAGCTCAGGTAGCTAAAATGTTATCCCTCTAAGAGTGGCTCCTAGGATTTGCCTCCTAAGTAACTGAGCTAACTAGTCATAGATTTTATGAATTTACATGTAGTCTTTCCAAACTTGGGTAACAGCATTCAAGTTCATCCTAGGATATTTTATATCCGAAGGCCCATTTTGGTGGTAGCCAGAATCTTTGTATGCACATGCAAATTGAGCATTAAAAACTTGGCATTTCATATAGAAATAGTTAGAACTCATAAAGAGCAAATCACAGATATTGGAATGTTTTTTTGAACAGAGATAAGCAAGCAGTATGCTACATTAATTTTTAAGTCTCTGCATATTAATTTCCTCAAACAATTGCATTTCTCATGCTTGCTTTAGTTTTGAACACATTGTGATAGAGCATCTTTATTTAATATTTGATCATGCAAAATTAAACACATTAGAGTTTAATCTTTCTGATAATAAACTAATGACAACTTAAGATTTATTTTCCTCGAGATTGTTTCAAAAGTCCCTGAGATGTTGATTTCTGAACACCTATTAAAAAACTGTAACCTATAGGGACATCTCCTAAATATTGCTGAATCAAGTTACTTTCTCAATTTGAAACTCTATTGATTCGTTCTAGGTTGCTTTCTTATAACTTCAATGGTCTGAGAAGAAATAGTAGTCACCAAATCCTATTCTTGGTTTCATAAAACTATTTGAAACTGAAAAATGGAGTCTATTTCAGCTTACTTTAAAAAAGATAATTGTCTTTAAAATGAAAAGGAAAAAAAAAAAACCCTGTGAGAGAAACAAAACTAGCAGCTTATATGTTAACATAATGTTTCTTTTCTTCTAATTTGGATAAATTATATAAACCCTTTATGGTTGCTCATTACTGGTCTACTTCATCTTTTCTTGCATTTCTCTTTCCTATAGTCTACCTCCAGACCTATCGAACTGCTTGCCATTTCCTAAAATTGCTATGCTGCTTTCTCCCTGGATGCCTTTGAATACAGTTTCTTGTAAATGCACAGCCTTCTCTGTCAAATTCCTCAGTGTAAATCATCCTTCAGGAACAAAATCAAGAATTGCCTTCTCATGGAGATGTTGCCTGGCAGTCCTCAAAGTTGTAAAAATTTTTGTTACTTTTTGTATAACTCCATCAGTAATTATTGTTCTGTGTTGAGATCATGGATTTTATTATCTATGTCTTTTAGTATCTGCAAACACTTTCAGTCAACAGGTTGTGTCTGGTTTATTGAACATTGACTGCAATAGGACTGGAATAGACGTTGTAGAATTGAGAAAACAGGTGAATGAACAAATGAAGAAATGAGAGCAAACTTCGGTGACTCAGTGCATTGCCATGTAATTTAGCAGAACCTCAAAGGATATATACATAGTAACCTAAAAAGGAAATTTCTAAGCAAGTAATTCAGTCCGTCGATTCATTTGGTTGTAACTATTGCCATTATATCACAGACCAGTAATTTCAGTTATTTTAATAACCAAATCAGTTTGATCACTGATTTCTTCACTACATATTTCAGCCCCTGCTCTGGGGTTAAAACTGGCCAGGAAACTTGGAGCTACTTCTTGAGAGCTGAAACTACCTCTGGATAAGGTACAGATTAATAAGACCACTGATAAAAATCATTAAAAAGGTGCAGCATGCGTTGCC
Organism: Homo sapiens; assembly: GCF_000001405.40. Lineage (NCBI taxonomy): Eukaryota > Metazoa > Chordata > Mammalia > Primates > Hominidae > Homo > Homo sapiens. Next base: position 10,141,598 of record NC_000007.14, read on the forward strand.
TTTTTTCAGCAGTGAGATGTGCTGCAAGGTTTAAGTTTTGGAGTCAGATGAGTATGTCTTCAATTCCTTTACCCTCTAAATGAGTGACCTTGTTAACTTTATCCATAAGAGTGTTACCTTGATACATTTCTTAGCCCTCTGTGTATTTATTTTTATTTTTAAAAGAATATCCACATCTACCTTCATGAGTGGGGGTAGAGAAATGGCACAAGACTGATGAGGTAACATATGAAAAATGTCTACTTCCGTATTTGACACATAGTAACTGATGAATATTAGTTTATTCTTTTTACTACCATTTTTTGTTTACTAACTCTTTTCATTGATCTTTGCCCTGCCTAGACAAACCTTCTGAATTGCTGAGGCTATTTTGTGGAGAATTACAGAGGCCACTAAACTCTTCCTTAACTCTTAGAGTGCAGCAGAAGTTGTAATAGCATCACTGAACTGAACATAATGATTACTGGGCAATCTCTCCCTCCCTCTCTGGTTGTCTTCCTTCCTCCCTCCCTTCCTCGCTTTTCTTTTTCCCTTTTTTCTGCTTTTCTTTCTGTCTTCTTCCTTTTTTCTTTTTCTCTTCTTTCTTCTCTTTCTCCTCTTCTTAAATATGAACAAATGTAAGAAATACAAATATGTTTTAAAAGTAAAAGTTCAACTTTATAAATATTAATCAGTGAATATATGCTCTAATTTTATCTGAGGGTACTCAGTCATCTCTAACCTTTAATTTTATATGAGTTATTTTCCAGAATTATTTTTTTGCTTGGCTCATAGTAAAATCCTTAAAACCCATCACAAACTGGTTAAAATATTTTGTGTTCTCCTTGCATCAAAAGGTACTTACTGCTGTATCTTTACAAGTTTGTTGTTTTTTATTCAGCTTACTAAAAAAAATTAATTTGTTTAATTTTGTGTAAACAAAATAATCAGTCAATTGGTGAATTTTTAACTTTTTAACCAATTGTTTGAACATTAGGTAGGTAGATGTAAGTTGTTATTCCACTGGAGCAAGCATGATAGGGAGGCATTTTCTTGCACTAGCAGAGATTATAGCTGCTGAAATAGACTTTTAAGGTATTAGACAAGTATTTGGTGGAGAATGGTTAATAAACACTAATTAAGTCAGCTCCAAAGAAACCCTTGGAGGAAGATCAATATTATTAAGTGTTTAAACTAGCTTTTCACATTTACCGAATCTATATGGAACTGGGCAAGCTGCAATGCCTCCTTCACTTTCTTACTTTCTGCTCCCCTTTCATTTAAACTGATTGTTGGCTTGCAGCTCACACTTGTAATCATCTTTTTCTCTCTAGGAACTTATTTAAGTTGCCATATATACATCATATATTATATATATACTGCATAACATTCCTTAATGTTGAGTTACTGAGCTTGGCTGATATGAAAAGCTGCAGAATCTGCTAGTGCTAGATTAAAAATGTATATGAACAAGGCAAAAAATAAAAAAAGGATCCCACTCGCTTCCTCCAAGTTAAAAGAAGATAAAACTGTACTTGATTGAGAAAGAAAATAAGAATAGTTCTGATTTTGGCATTAACTTCCATAATCTAGAGCTAAGTAATGACTACTTGCCCACAAGCAAAATAAATCACCAGGTACACAGGATATGAAGTACATTATGAATACGAGCTGCTGTCAATTAATTATTGGTTAATTAACATACATCCTAGATTAATAATAATCATAATTAATAATGATAACAGCTAGCATAAATAGAATTATCTTACTTAGTGGCAGGTGCTCTACACTTTACATTTCATCTTCATGGCCATTGCACATGATAGGCACCATTATGATCCTCACTTTACAATGAGTAATCTGAAGTCTAGAGAATTTGGATAATTGCTAAGAATCACATAGCTATTAGATCATGGATTTGGGATCTGAATCCAGATAACACACTTCTACAGTCTATGTTCTATCTAAAACAATTTTTCATTTCTCACAATGTGCCAAATTCTAATCTTACTGAGGCTAAGTCCAGGACTGCAGAGTTGATAGAAAGACCACCAACAGATCTTTAGGCAATCCTTCATAGCAGGTAATTAAAATATTTGCATAGGAAAGTATTAGAAATAGAAAAAACTAAAATGATCAGAGACGACTCACTTAGGGGCCAGCGTATTAGAAACTCTATCAGAACAGTATTTGCCATTTTATGAGATAATTGATTTTCTAGTTTTATTCCTTTCTCACAATAACTGCAACAATATTTACAGTTTTCAACAACACACTAACACTACAAATAAGAAGGCATTATATTTATTAAATGCTTCAAATGCATCAAGCATTAAAAAAGGGCATTATATACATTATTTCATTTATTTCTTGCAACCTTGTAGAAGAGATATTGTTTTATTTTAAAATTGAATATACTGGTACTTAGGAAGTTTACTATATAAATTAATAAACTACAAAATTAAGAAAATAAGTCACAAAAACACACATTCCAACAAACATGTATTTTATAAGCATCCTACTGGCAAAATTAAAATAGTATCTGCTGGTGTGGATGTAGGAACTCTGATACAGGTCACTTCATGCACTGCTAGTGAGAGTATCGACTGGTGCATTTAACCTGGAAATCACAGTGGAAGGCAGTTAAATTGCTCATGGCCCAGAAATTCTCATTTTGCATATATATATTCCCAAGATATACATCACAAAATTCTACAAGGATATTAATTACAGCATTGTTTGTGATAATGGTTAGTCAGAGGTGTCCATCATATGAGGAAAAACTAGATAATGTGTGGTAGAAAGTCAACATGAGGTATCATGCAACAGTGAGAGGCAAATGAGTGTGTGAATATGTGTTTGTATGAACAGGTCTCAAAACCATTGCATAGAGTGGTATAAAATACTTGCAAATTACATATCTAAAAAGAAACTTGCATCCTGAATATACAAGATAATTTAAAACTAAAAACTAATAGAAGAAATAGTCCAGTTGGAAGTAAGCTAAGGATATGAATTGATATTTCTCTAAGAAATATATACAAATGGCCAATAAGCACATGAAAAGATGCAGAACATCATTAGTTATTAAGGAAATACAAATCAAAACCACAATGAGGTACCACTTCACACCCACTAAAATGCATACAATAAAAAAGACAATAACATTATAATATTCAAATATTCAGTTCTCAGCAAAAAATTATGAAGCACACAAAGAAATAGGAAAGCATGACCCATTTAAATTTGACACAAATCAGCCCTAAAAAAGTTCAGACATTAGAAATATAGGACAGCCATTTTAAAACAACTCTATTAAGTATGTTCAAAAAGCTAAACAGACATAGCTCTCCCTAGCCTTTTCTCCTAGGCCTTAGTTCATCTGTTGTGTGTCTCAACCATAATCTTTTGCCCCAGCCATCTGATGCTTTTCTGGCCAGAATAAGTTCCAAGACAGGCAAAAAAGGGAAAAGTGACTTGAGTCCTTCAGGCAGTTCTCAGCCAGACATTAGAAATATAAGACAGACACTTTAAAACAACTCTATTAAGTATGTTCAAAAAACTAAAGGAAAATATGGACAAAGAACTAAAGGAAATCAGAAAACATGTATAAACAAAATAATATCAGCAAAGAAATACAAATTTGAAAAGAACTAAACAGAACTCCTGGAGCCAGAAAGTACAATAACTAGAATAAAAAATTTGCTGAGGAGAATCAATAGCAGATTTGGCAGGCAGAAGACAGAAGCAGGAACATGAGGATAGGATAACTGATATTTTCCTGTCTGCAAAGCAGAAAAAAAAAAAGAAATGAGAAAAATGAACTGAGTGTAATAGACCAGTGGGACACAATCAAGTAGCCTAATGTCTGCTTAATGGGAATTGTAGAAGAAAGTAAAAAATAGAAAATTTATGTGAGTGTTAATGGCTAAAAACTTCACAGCTAAACTGACATATGTATAGTCATCCTAATCCTAAGCGAATTCAAAGTCCACTAGAATTATTTATACAAAAACTCACTCTTTTAATTCTCTGATCTCATTATCTCCATGAACTTCATTCTTACTCCACTTTGGTTACTTGCTCCAATTGCTTCCCTACAGCTTTTCACATCACTCAAAATTGCTTTTTCTCTGAAATAAGAAATTCAATTGCCCACTTTCTCAATGCAATCCAAATCCTTATGGCTAGCTTACTTAGTTTCCTCCATTACAAGTATTCTTCAGCTTCATCAAGATCTGCAGCCTTCTGACTTCTCCCACATTCTTAGTCCTGTAATCCTATCCTTTGTTTCCTTCCTAAACTGATTCTGATTCTGTACCATTTTAAAATCGATTGAGTCCTCTCCTATAGCATCCCAGCTTTCTAAACCCCAACCTTTTCTTATGCCTGTACCTTGACTGTAGGTAGCTACTACTCCATATTTTTACCCTCTAACATGTCATTAACACAACGTAGTTTTACCCTCTGCACACCCAAAATCTGTTCTTTCCAATTTGATTCTTGAACTATATGTGTTTAAATTCAACAGATACTTCACGCATCTTACGTTACTTAATTGTCTTTAGTATTTGCACTATTTACCAGTCCCACTTTAAAACACTCTCTTTCCGTGGCTTTCATGACACTCAATGCTACTGGGATTGAGTAGCATCAAGAAAATATTTTCTTGAGTTTTCTGTTCAACTTTTAAATATTGAGAATCTAAGAGATAATTTTGTATACTTTTCTTTCACTCAATGTCAACAACCCTCATATGTTTTGGGGACTGTCTTCGTCTGTTTGTGTTGCTATAAAGGAATACCTGATGCTGGGTAATTTTTTTTTTAAAGGCTTATTTGGCTCAGGGTTCTGCAGGCTGTTCAAGAAGCGTGGTGCCAGCATCTGCTTCTGGCTAGGGACTCACTATTTCCACTCATGAAGGAATGTGAAGAAGAGATGGCATGTGAATATCACATGGTGAGAGAGAAAGGAAGAGAGGAGGGGGAGATGCCAGATTTTATGTATTTATTTATTTAACAACCAGATTGCATGGGAACTAACAGTGAGAACTAACTCACTCCCATGAGAATGGTGCCAAACCATTCATGAGGGATCTGCCTCCAGGACCCAAATACCTCCCAATAGGCCCTAATTCCAACACTGGGGATCAAATATCAACATGAAACTTGGAAAGGCCAAACAAACCATATCCAAACCACGGCAGAGACTTTCAGTAAAAACCATGCCTTGGTTAGTAGTAGATTTGCGGCGGCAGCAAATCTCTATATTTTTTGTGAATTACAATGACACGTTCACTTAGCTTTATCATCGGTGTGGGGTGACAACACTTCAGACCAATAACAGATTCAACTCCACTGAGCTGGTGGGGGCATGTAGAATAAAGAGGAAAAAAATAGTGATTTTTAAATCTAAATTCAAAGACCATAGGATGTCTTCATTCACTGCAAGGTGATAATTTGTGAACATATTGAAAGACCCATGGAAGTTAATACCCATATTTTCTGAAGAAGACTTTTGCCGAAGGAGATTTCTGCTTCAGGTGGTGAAGGAGTTTAGAACACACCACTGCAAAATATGCCATTCTGGCAAATTTTACTTACATATTTTACTTACTTTTCCACAACTGCCTTTCTTGGTTTAACCTAGTATAAAAGCATTTAAGTTTTATCAGTTCTTTCAGTAATCATTTCCTTATGAGGGCTCACTTGTCACATAAACCCATATTAAATAAATGTGTATATGTTTTCCTAGTGTTAAATCTGCCTTATGTCAAGTTAGGTCTCAGGCACAACCAGAGACCCTAAGAAAAGAGAGGTAGAGTTTTGCCTCTTCTACAGTGGGAAATAAAAGCTGTTAGATTTAGATTTATTTATAAAGACTAGTAAAGTTTAGAACACATTGATGCAACATGAGATTGGATAAGTACAAATTTCCTATAAAAACAGAAGTGCTTTGGGCATTTGGCATTAAGTAATGAGAAATAAATGTCAGGGTAAACCTCAATTCTTCCCCAGTATAACTCCCATTAAAATTATATGTTCAGAGGAAACATTTTATTTTATAAATACATTTACCCCTTTCCCAGACCTATTCTGTAAATAATTACTCACTTTACCTGTTGGAGCCTTTTTTTTTTCTTTTTCTTTTATTTTTATTTTTTTGAGACGGAGTCTCGCTCTGTCGCCCAGGCTGGAGTGCAGTGGTGTGATCCCGGCTCACTGCAAGCTCCGCCTCCCGCGTTCACGCCATTCTCCTGCCTCAGCCTCCCCAGCAGTTGGGACTACAGGCGCCTGTTGGAGCTTTTGAGGCTCAGAATACAACATTACATTGAGAAGGCCTCAAAAGCAGCATCAGAAGCAAAGTTTATCTCTGACGTTTTCCTGCTCTCCTGTCACTCACCTCTCATTCTCCCAGAGGCAAGACATAGAAACTCAAAGCTCTCTTTCCTAAGGCAGGTCATAGAAATAAAAACTCCCTTTCCCCAAAGCCAGCCATAAAACCTAAACATAGTATTATAACTTTCTGACATATTTTTGTGTAAGAACTGGCCATAAAGAAATTCTATGACCTACGTTTGATTGTGGGTCGTAATACCCCCATTCCAGGGAGATCCCTGCCCCAGAACTGGAAGAAAGAAAGGCTGCACAGAAAGGCCAAGAGGAATCTGAATAAACAGCCCTTTTTGGGTTTTCCTCTCAATCTATTACTATTAGATCCTACTCTTTTTATCCAGTCACATTTCTACCTGGCTGTTCCTGCTTCATCAAACCTGAATATGAAACCAGACATCTTACTGTGTACCTTTGGGTTTTCATTTCCGATGGCTTTCATGTCACACAAAACTATGATTAAATGTGTTACGCTTTTCTCTTGTTACCCTGTCTTTTGTTATAGGAGTGTCAGCCATAACCCTTATAAAGAAGAAGAAAGGGATGACACCCTTCGCATCCCTACAGGGCCTCCCTTACTGCTCCGAGGGCAGAAAACCAGGTTGGATACAGCCCTGTCCCATGTATTTCAATTTTTTAAATCTGTAATTTTTCTCCAATTAAAGAAATAGTTACATTACTAAAGCATCTTTTTTAGGTGAAATCTTCATAGATTTAATGTTTTTGTGCTAAGAAGAAAATGGATATGGTTTTAAAATCAACCAAGGAAAGTTTCTTAAAGAAAGGTGATGGTTAGACTGCAAGTTGGAGAATTGTGTAGAAAGAGATTCGTCATGCTGTGGCATAACGATGCTCACAGTAAATACTTGCTCAAATCAATTAATTGCATCCAGAACGGTTTCAAACTTCTATCAGTGGGTAATCGAGGTTCTCCAAGAGTGTTGCCTCAATGTGTATTTTTAGCCTTCTCTCTCACAGAATTTATTAAACAAAGAAATAAATACAGCCTTGCTTTATAGCTAGGTAAATACATTCATTGTGATCTAAACATATCTTCTCATTTCTAACTCTGTGATTATATTTCTTGCACTGCTTCTCTCACCTGGAAAGCCCACCTTAGCTTTTTTATCTGTTTACATGCTATACTTACCTAAAGTATAAATAGATGCTCTTTAAAAAAAAGTTTTTGACTGATAATTTAGCCCACTGTGATCTATTTCTTTCTAGACTCCTTTTCATGTAATGAGGTTGTTTTCAACAAGTTAATATATAAAATGGGTTACACCTAAGCACATATGTTTTCTGTTTATACTTGGAGGATGTCACCACTGCATTTATTGATATTTGACTATTCCCATAATAGTATATGCTGGTTTTTACTGTTATTTTACTGCTGTTTCTCAATGTTTTATCCAGTAGTTCATAATACTTTATTACCCAGGGGACATAACTTTACTTCTTCACATTGAATGAAGCTGTTAACACACACTGCAAGTTCAATTAATAACTGAAGACATAAATATTCAAGAAAGGTAAAGGAAAGAGGGAGAAATAGAAGGCAGACAAGAAAGGTAGAAACAAACAATGAAAAAGGAGAACATGGAACAACTAAAGTTGTCCTCATTGGTCACTAACCCCTTAATGACTTTATAAACACATTTTGAAAACAGCCTGAAGAGTTAAGTCTGTGAGTTCACATTTGTAAAACTGATTAAATATTATACAGTTCTCTGTAGATATAAGGCATTAAAAATCATCTAAATCTAAAACCAGGGTAGCTTTTGCTCTCAATATTGTTGTATTGTATTTTAAATTTGTTTCACACTGCTCTGTCCCTTTGTTAATTTAATGAAAATTGTTAAATACTTTTGGAACTTGGAACGTACAGAGTATATTCCAATGAAATTCTGTGACGAGTCATCATCCTTTTACTAAGACATACTTGTCTTGTTTTTTTTTTTCCAGAGAGTCAAAAGCCCTTAACTATAGACAATAAATCTGCTATGTAACAGGAATTTTAAAACTCATTTTAAATCTCTTCATCACTTTAAATGTACACTAAAGAAATCAAGTTATACTTGATAAAGGCATCATTTGATTTTATGGTCATTTAAAAGTCTCTATTATATATTTTACAATTGGCATTTTCAAATATATAAATATATATTTACACATAATATCATATGGTTTCCAAATATGCTATTAAAATCTAGTACAAGTTTTTGAGCAAGATTCCTACAGTTAATTGTTTACCATAAAAATAAACTACAGTTTCTATGCATCCTGAGATTTTATTTATTTTGGTTTAAAATTTTTAAAAAATTATTTCTAAAAATTTTGTGGGTACATAATAGTTGTATATATTTATTGGGTATGTGAGATGTTTTGATAGAGACACACAATGTTAAATAAGCATATCAAGGAAAATGGAGTATCCATCCCATCAATTATTTATCTTTCATGTTACAAACAATCTAATTGCACTATTTATTTTTAAAAATACAATTAAGTTATTATTGACTATAGTCACCCTATTGTGCTATCAATTTGCATGTCTTATTTTTTCTTTTTTTTTTTTGTACCCATTAGCCATCCTCACCTCCCACGCCAAACCCCTATTACTCTTCCCAGCCTCTAGTAATCATCCTTCCACTTTATATGTTCATGAGTTCTAGATTCCATGAATAAGTGAGAACATGTGATTTCTATGCCTGGCTTATTTCACTTAACATAATAATCTCCAGTTGCATTCATATTGTTGCAAATGACAGGATCTCATTTGCTGAGTATGTGACTAAAAAAGTAAAAAAAAAAGTTGGTTGCTAAATAATTTTTAATACAAGAGGCGTTCAATTAGTTAAAAGGAGATACCTTTAAATAGAATAAAGGTGATATGGCTATATGTTTCTAAAATATTAACAACATTTTACACCTATAGGTAAAATTTTAAATTTCCTCTGTTACCTATTGAATGTCTATAAAATGTGTCTCTTGTTTGCATTTCCTAGTTGACAGTTTTTGTTGTTGTTGTTGTTTTGTTTTGTTTTGAGACAGAGTCTTGCTCTGTTGCCCAGGCTGGAGTGCAGTGGTGTGATGGCGGCTCACTGCAACCTCTGCCTCCCGAGTTCAAGAGATTCTCCTGCCTCAGCCCCCTGAGTAGCTGGGATTACAGGCGCACTCTGCCACACCGGGCTAATTTTTGTATTTTTAGTAGAGACAGGGTTTCACCATGTTGGTGAGGCTGGTCTCAAACTCCTAACCTTGTGAACCACCCGCCTCGGCCTCCCAAAGTGCTGGCATTACAGGCAGGAGCCACCGCACCTGACCAGCTGACAGTTTTTCTATTTGAAATATTTTGAATTTATTTGTAGAAGGCATTTAAATTTAAATATTGTAGATAAGGTATTAGTTTGGAACTATTCAAACAATAATGCTAAAATCAAATATGCTAAAAATGCATGATCAACAGAATTTTGCTTTCTGCAGTGTATTGGGCAAGATACTCTTAAAAAACCTCCTGTTACAGAACTACTATATTCTGGATAAAACATATTTTCAATATTGCTGGCTCACAAAGAGTCACTGTGTTTCCAAGGATGCTCCATCCTGCTCCCAAAAGAACAATAAAATAAAATGCCATGAACTGAAATAAGAAGTGCGAGCAATGACTAATAAATCAACTAAAGCAGGAACACTTCCCTGAAAGATAAATGCTTAAATGTGTGCAAGTTTGAAGACTAAATCTGGGACCAGTGCATATGAAGACTTAAATTAACCAGAGTCATTCACATTGAATCCACATCCTTTGGAGCTAAGTTATTCCCAGCTTTGCAGTATCTCTTGTATCTTGGCAAATATAAATGCTAATTTTCTCTGAAGAAAATTATTCACGATTAGGGCCAAGAGTAATGTCACTGATTGAGATGATTGTCAAAGATTCCCAAGCCACCATGGACAAGTCAGAAGAAACACAGACATAGGTGCATAAGGACTATGAATTCAAATGATCACACAAGGAATTTTTTTAAATATATGAAAAAAGTTCAAATTAATAAGATTTTACCTAAAACACATACTGAAAATAAACAGGAAGTTTTGGAAAAGAAACAACTCCTTTTGAATTAAGAAAATATAAATGATAAATCAAAATCTCTGTAACAGATAGCAGTATAATAAAATTAGGGGACTTCAACATGTCACCAACAGCACTAGACAGATAATTGTGATGGAAAATCAAAAGAAACTGAATTTAAACTGGACTGTAGATCAAAGGGACCTAGTAGACATTAACAGAACATTATACGCAACAAATGTAGAATATATATTTTTTTGTCATCTGTGCATGAAATATTCCCCAAGATAGACCACATGCTTAGTTGTGAAGCAAGTCTCAATAAATTTTTAAAAAGTAGAAATCACATCAAGTATCTTTTTGGAGCACAGTGGAATAAAATTAGAAATCAATACCAAGAGCAACTCTCAAAACTATACAAATATATGGAAAATAAACAACTTGTTCCTCAATAATCATTTGTTAAATAATGAAATTAAGGCCAAGATTCAAAAAATTTTTAAGTAAATGAAAATACACACAACACATCAAAACCTCTGAGGTACAGCAAAAGCAATGCTAAGAGGAAAGCTTATATCACTAAATGCCTACATCAAAAGGATATAAAGTTCTCAAGTTAACAACCTAATGCCACACTTCAAGGAACTAAAAAACAAGAACAAACTCAAAACTACCAGAAGAAAAAAAATAACAGAGATCAGAGCAGAACTAGATTGGGACCAAAAAAAAAAAAAAAAAAGATACAAAGGATCAATGAAATGACAAGTTAGTTTTTTGAAAAGATAAATAAAATTGATAGAATGCTAACTAGACCAACCAAGAAAAAAAGAGGGAAAATTCAAATAAACACAATCAGAAATGATAAGGGTGATATCACAACTGGTACCACAAAAATGAAAAAGATAATCAGAGACTACAATGAGAATCTCTACACACACAGACTAGAAAATCTAGAGGAAATGGATAAATTCTTGGAAACATACGATCTCCTAATATTGAGCCAGGAAGAAATAGAGACCCTGAACAGACCAATGATAAGAAATGAAATTGAGTCAGTAATTAATAATCTCCTAACAAATAAAAACCCAGAACCAGACAGATTCACAGCCCAATTTTACCAGATGCATTACACAAAGAAGAGCTGGTACCTATCTTACTAAAAATTATTCCAAAAAAATCAAGGAATAGGGATTCCTCCCTAACTCATTCTATGAAACAAGTATCACCCTGATACCAAAATCAGGCAAGAACACAACAACAAAAATAACCTACAGGCTAATATCATTGATGAACATAGTAGCAAAATTCTCAATAAAATACTAGCAAACTGAATTTAACAGCACATCAAAAAGTTACTACATCACAGTCAAGTCGGTTGTCTGTTACTACATCACAGTCAAATGGGTTGTCTGTTACTACATCACAGTCAAGTGGGTTGTCTGTTAATACATCACAGTCAAGTGGGTTGTCTTTCAGGAATGCAATATATCCAAATCAATAGGTGTAATTCACCACATAAACAGAATTAAAACCAACAATCATAGATCATCTCAATAGATGCAGAAAAGCATTTAATAAAATCCAACGTCCCTTTATGATAAAAAGAAAATCTTCATCAAACTGGTCATTGAAGGAACATACATCAAAATAATAAAAGCCATATACAACAAACCCAAAGTAATATCATACTTAATGAGGAAAAGATGAAAAGTACTGGAAAAATACAAGTATATCCACTTTCACCACTCCTGTTTAACATAGTACTGGAAGTCCTAGCCAGAGAAATCAGGCAAGAGAAAGAAATAAAAGCCTCTAAATTGGAAAAAAAAAATGAAATCAAATTATTTCTGTTTGCTGATGACATGGTATTTTACAAATAGAAAACCCTAAAGACTCTTCCAAAAGACTCCTAGAATTGAGAAATGACTTTAGTAAAGTTCCAGCATACAAAAATCAATGTACAAAAATTAGTAGTATTTCTATACATTCTATACAGAGTGTTCAAGTTGCAAACCAAATGAAGAACCCAATTCAATTTACAATGACCACAAAAATATAAAAAAGAATACATCAAACCAAGAAGGTGAAAAATTTCTAAGAGCAGAACTACAGTAGTAATAAAAGAAATTATAGATGACACAATCAAATGGAAAAACATCCCATGTTCATAGATTGAAAGAATCAATATAGTTAAAATGACCATATCGCTCAAAGCATATACAGATTCAATGAAACTCCTATTGAATTACCAACATCATTTTTCACAAAATTAGGAAAAAAAATTCTGAAATTCTTGTGGAACCAAAAAAGAACCTCAATAGCCAAAGCAGTCCTAAGCAAAAAGAACAAAGCTGGAAGTGTCAAATTACCCAACTTCAAATTATGCTACAAGGCTATAGTAACAAAAATAACATGGTATTGGTACAGAAACAGACACAAAGACCATTGGAGCAGAGTACAGAACCTGGAAATAAAGCTGCATATCTATAGCCAACTGATTTTTACAAAGTTGATAAAAACATACAATGGGAAAAGGGTACTGTCTTCAACAAATGGTGCTGAGAGAATTGGATAGCCATATGCAGAAGAATGAAGCTGGAACCTGTCTCTCATCATGTGCAAAAATTAACTCAAGATGGATTAAATACTTAAATCTAAGACCCAAAACTATAAAAAAAAACTTGAAAAAAGCTGAGAAATAACTCTTCTGGACTCTGCCCTAGGCAAAGAATTTATGACTAAGACCTAAAAAGCAGAGGCAACAAAAACAAAAATAGACAAATGGGACTTAATTAAACTTGAAAGCATCTGCACAGCAAAAGACTTAACAGAGTGAACAGACAACCTGAGGAATGGGAGAAAATATTTGTAAACTATGCATCCAACAAAGGACAAATATCCACAGTCTACAAGGAACTCAAAACAATTCAACATACAAAAAACAACCCTAAGAAAAAGCGGGCGAAGGTTATGACCAGACAGTTCTCTAAAGAAGACATACAAGGAGCCAACAAACATGAACAAATGCTCAATATCACTAGTCATAAGAGAAATGCAAATTAAAACCTCAATGAGATACTATCTCACACCAGTTAGAATGGGTGTTACTAAAAAGTAAAAAAATTAAAAAAAAAATCAACAGATGTTGTTGGTAACAATGTGGAGAAAAAAATATTTATACACTGTTGGTGGGAATGTAAGTTAGTCCAACCTCTATGAAAAACAGTATGGAAATTTCTCAAAGAACTAAAGATAGAATTACCATTTAACTCAGCAATTGCACTACTGGTAACTACCCAAAAGAAAATAAATTGTTACGTAAAAAAGACACCTGCACTATATGTATGTTTATCTCATTGTTTAGCAAAGTCATGGAATCAACCTATATATCCGTCAGTGGTGCACTGGATGAAGAAAATGTGGTACAGATACACCAGGAGCTACTACACAGCCATAAAAAGATTAAATCATGTCTTTTGTCCCAACATGGATGGAACTGGAGGCCATAATTCTAAGTGAAATAAGTCAGAAACAGAAAATCAAATACTGCCTGTTAACACTTATAAGTTAGAGCTAAACAATAGGTATACATGGACATACAGACTGAAATAAAGACACAGGGCACTTCAAAAAGGGGGAGTTTTGAAGGAAGGTGAAGGTTAAAAAAATTACCTATAAGGTACAATGTTTACTTTTTGGGTGAGAGGAACCCTGGAAGCCCAAACCTCACCATTACACAATATATCCATGTAACAACATATATCCATGTAACAAACCTGACATGTACCCCCTGAATCTATAAAAATGAGTAAATAATAATAACAATAATTAAGTCTTTAGATAGTTTAAACAATAGACAGATTCACCTGAAAGAGATATTTGTGAACTAGAAGTTAGATTTGAAGCTATTACTCTGAAAACAGCAAAAAACATGTTCTTTTCCCATTTTCTCTTTTATGTAGAGAAAAAATGAGGAAGAGATATTGAGGATAAAAGGTTAAGGGTGACTGTAAATCCAGGTGTAACTCCCAATAGAAAAAAAAATAGAGAAAATGGAATCTTGACATATTTGAAAAAACAGTAGATGAAGATTATTTGGAAAGGACAAAACACTTGAATGTACAGACATCAAAAGCAGAATATATTTGAAACAAAGTAAATAAAAATATTTCCAAAAATAAAAACTTCAGAAAAGCAAATATAAAGAAAAGGTATTTCAATGTACCCAAAAGAAAAAAATGTAAAAAATAAAGACTATTAGGCAATATTCTCAACAGCAACAACAGAGACCAGAAGACATAAACTACACAAGAGAAAATGATTGCTTCTTAAGGATTGTTTTCCAAGAATATGATGAGCTCTAAAACTGTTGTATTATTTGCAAGTGTATTACACTGATTGACCCTTATGCTTTGATAAGTTGTTACGCATTATAGAATTCCAGAGGTAATTAAGAAGAAAACTTAAAATATACAAATATCTTTATTAAGTATTATATCAGTGTAACAATTCTGCACATGCACCCCCAATCCAAAATTATATATATATGTATGTAAATATGAAATAAAAATAAAATATACAAGCAAGTAGAAAAAATAAAATAATCCAAAAACTTCTGGGCAATATAAATGAAAAGGTAAGATTAATAATTCTAAGAATACAAAATAGCAATAATTCTAAAAATGCAAAAATAGCAAAATAGAGACAAATTTTAAGTTAGAGATTTCAGAATAAAATTGAAATAAATTAAAAGAAATTTAAAAAGAATAAAAATATAGGCTATTTATGAGATGGCGCAGTGACCCCTCTTAGGCACCTGCCAGTTACCTCTCTGCCTCAAAGCATGGAATAAAAGGAAAATCTTGAGTTCTTCCAGCGGAATTTTCAGGCACCCGGCTAGCCATGAGAAGTAAATCAGCAATCTGATAAACAAGAAGATAATAATACCTTAAAATAATATCCAAGGAAATTAGAGCCACAAAATGTTTGGTTCTCAATAGAAACTAAAGACAGCATCGTAACATGGGTCCCTGAATGGTTTCTCAGAAACCTAGACTCCTACCAAACAAAAATTGCTGCCTGCTGACATGTAGACCTCAGATAAGGAAACTGAGGACTGAACTCTGACTTCCTTTCTTTGTTCTAAATTTCCTTCTGAGAAGCCTAGAGGTATTCATGCCGCAGGCCAAAGCCAACATTCCTTTCTGTTGACCCAAATTTTTAGACAAATCTTTTCCTCCTTTACCAATCACAGATCAGAAAATTTATGTATTATTTAGCATTTGTCTTTTTGTGCTTGGTTTATTTCACCTAGCATAATGTCTTATGTTGATCCACTTTGTTACGAATGACAGAATTTCCCTTTTCTAAGGCTGAATAATATTCTCTGTGTGTGTGTGTGTGTGTGTGTGTGTGTTGTGTGTTACATTCCTTTATCCATTTATCCACAGGTGCTGTAGTTTTCCTGTACTTTTCCTTTTCTAGATTAAGTAAATTCATTTCTATACTATTTAGCATATAATTGTTATGAATAAATGTTGTTTGTTCATTAAATGCTTTTTTTGCATCTACTTGTGTGATTTGTCTTTTATTTCCTCAATGTGATAAAGTACATTAACTGATATCTAATGTTTAACAAATCTTGCATTTCTTAAATAAAATTAATTTGGTTATAAGGCATTATCCTCATTAGATATTAGTAGATTTAGGTTGCCAAAATTTCTTTAATATCTTTGTCTCTATGTTTAGCAGTAAAATTGATCTGTAAATTTCCTTTTTATGTACTTCCTTGTTAAGTTTTGGCATGAAGATTAGGCTAATCTCATAAAAGAGCTGGTCAGTATCTGCCAGTTGTTTTGTTTTGTTTCAGAAAGAAAAACCATAAAAATGATGACATATGCCGGGTACAGTGGCTCATGTCTGTAATCCCACCACTTTGGGAGGCTGAAGCGGGCGGATCACTTGAGGTCAGAAGTTGAAGACCAGCCTGGCCAACATGGTGAAACCCCCGTCTCTACTTAAAAATACAAAAATTAGCTGGGCGTGGTGGCGGGTGCCTGTAGTCCCAGCTACTGGGTAGGCTAAGGCAGGAGAATTGCTTGAACCCGGGAAGCTAAGGTAGCAGTGAGCCGAGATCGCGCCACTGCACTCCAGCCTGGGAAACAGAGCAAGACTCTGTCTCAAAGAAATAAAAACAACATATACACCTGCAAAAATCATCACATATTAATTTATGCAAAGGACAGTATTTCTTAGGGCCATATGGATTTGAATTGTTCTAGGCAAGATTTTGTTATAATATCATAATTGTAGGTATCAGATCCTCCAAACAGTATAAAAATCCTCAAGGTGATGACGTTCTTATTGTTGTTATTTTTACCCAAGACCTCACAAAAATGTCAGGACTCCTTTTGCTCAAAACTGGTCATTTGGCTGGATGCTCTTGGGTAAAGTAGAACATATATTTTATTTTATCAATCATTATCTCTAAATTTAATTTTTATATTATTTGTAGCATACTATGAGTAATGAGAAAGTACACAAAGCAATAAATTTTTGAGTCCTCCATGAATTTATCATAATGTTATAATCTTACAATAATTATAGTAACCATTATTGAGTAACTATTGTGTAGCTGGGATTATATGGGCATAATAAATATATGGGCATTTTATATATATAATATACATATATAACATATATATGTGTCTATAAATATATAACAGATATGTGTATACATAACATATACAGTTTATATATATAACATATATGTGTATATGTAACATATATAGTTTATATATAAAACATATATGTGTATATATATATAAAGCATATATATGTGTGTGTGTATATATATAAAATCCTTTTATGCCATTCAACAATCTGTGAGGTGAGAATTAATATGTCCATTTGATAGCTGAAGAGATGTCCTCTCAGAAGTGTTACATAACCTGCTCATCAAATATGTTGCAGATACAGGATTTGAATCTAGATCTGACACTGAAGTCCTCATTTTTCCATTGTGTTGCGACTTCTCCTACTATATGTGTATCCAGACGTATTCATTTTTTCTTCCATTCAAGCAATGTAGGAGGTACTGTACTGGAGACCAGATAAAAAGACGAACGAGATAGACATGGCCCCCGTCTGAAGTTCTAGTGCAAGGACCAATAATTACAAAAGCATTTACAGCTAATGGCTAAGTACTGTGGAAGAAGAAGGGCAGGGGCATCTATTTAAGTCTGGGAAAAGTGAACTCAGCCAGTACTGGAAGAGTGAGTATTATAAATGCTAGGAATGTGAGTAAAGTTAACTCCAAGAAACTGCACTGGATGGTCTTAAAACTTTTCAGTTATAAATTATAAAAGCTTGGGCTGGGCGCGGTGGTTCAAGCCTGTTATACTAGCACTTTGGGAGGCTGAGGCAGGCAGATCACTTGAGGCCAGGAGTTTGACACCTGCCTAGCCAACATGGTGAAACTCCGAAACTTCATCTCTACTAAAAATAAAAAAATTAGCCAGGCTTCTTGGTGCAGGCCTGTAATCCCAGCTACTTGAGAGGCCGAGGCATGAGAATCGCTGGAGTCTGGTAGACAGAGGTTGCAGTGAGCGGAGACACTGCACTCCAGCCTGGGCAACAGAGCGAGACTCTATCTCAGAAAACAAAATAAAATAAAATAAAATAATTAAAAATTAAAAAATTATAAAAGCTTAAGAGTCAGTGAATACTTTCAAGTGTCTCTGTTTATGAAGCCAATTAATATACACATTAAAAAATTAAATTTTTTATTTTTTTTTAATTATTCACCCAGAAATTTACTTGAGGTTGGAAAGCAACTACATTAAGATGCATGTATGTCAATATGCCTAGGTATCCTTAATATTTACATTACTTCTAAAATGACTGTATCACAAAAGGTGCATAACTTTTGTGAGTGCCTTAAAAAATACTTTCTGGTAATAAACTAAGTGCATAAAGAGTTCATCATCTCTTTCAAGCTAGGAAGTCAAGGCAGGAAGAAAATATTCAAGTAAAAACACACTGAATTAGTAAAACACAATGTGGATCCCAGAAAATTAAAATTCTAAGTGCATAGTAAGTAATCGTGATGTCTCCATTAGTTTATAATAATTTGTTTTAATTTAAAGGATTTTGGTTTCTCAAGAAATCCTTCTTTAATTATACACATTTGGGGAAGATATAGTTGTAGAAATGAGTACATATTAGATGCAGATTGGGATAGAAATGCACATGGAAGTCAAGGTGAAGTAGAGAGATATGATACAAAATAGATGATGTAACAAGCATAACTTCACTATATGTAGTATTTTTTAACTGCTGCCATAGCAAAGCATCAGAAACCAAGTAGCTTCAACAACAGACATTCATTTTCTTATAGTTTTGGAGGCTCAAAACCCAGAATCAAGGTGTTGGCAGGGTTGTCTCCTAATAGCTACGAGAAATAATCTGTTCCATGCCTCTCTCCAATTTCTGGCAGTTTGCTGATATCTTGGACATTTCTTGGCTTGTAGAGGTTCACTCTCATCTCTGCCTTCATGTTCACGTAGCATTGTCTCTGTTTGTGTGCCTTCCCCTCTATCCAAATTTTCTATTTTTTTAAGGACACAGTCATATCGGATTAGGGGCTACCCTAACCAACTAATCTTAACTTGATCATCTGAAAAGACCCTTTTTCTAACTAAGGTCACATTCATAGGTGCTAGGGCTTAGAATGTCAGCATCTTTTGGGAGACGATTCAGCCTATACCACTACATGCAATATTAAACAACTGTAATTTTATGAAACAATCTTCAGGTGACTAATTTGAATATCACATAGATATACAGTAGTATCTCTTAAAACTCCCATCAACTTATTTTAAAGTTTACATATTTAAAAATAGTTTCCATTTATTAATATGACAGACCATATACTTGAAGATAGAATTATGAGTGGAAAAATAAGAAGAAAAAAATTTTGAAAACCTATAATGAGAAATGAATTACATTTTCACTTTGTAGAGCTGTGATATGCATTTTCCTTTTTATCCTTTTTACTTTGTCATTAAATTAACATAGATTCACAAGAAATGTCATACTAATTGGGATATCTTTGAATCTGGTGTAGAAAAAGGTCACACTTAATCAAAGCAGGCCAGAATATTCACGAAGTCTTGGTCTTGGCCATACCTCAGCATCATAGGTTTCATACCGAATTTATACTGTGTATACATTGCATAAGTTCATTAAGTTATTTAAAGGTAACATGATTTTAAACATCACATTTCAGAACCCTGAAAGTTAAAAAGGAAAGCCCTCTTCACGTAGTTATATAAATAATAAAAATCCAAAATAATAAACAGCTTTTGTAGTCTTAGATGTATAAATTTTTAAATCAATCTTTATTATAATTACTAAGATGGGCTAATTTAAAAACACAAAATTAAAATTGGGTAATACAGTAAAAATATTTTATATTTTTAAGTAGAAGAAGAACTTGAATCAACTGCCATCGAATAATTTCCCCAAATATATTAGGCTTTAGATAAAAAGTAGTCATAATAGCAGTGACAAAACAAATCTATGTAGGTTTTACCTATATTAATTCCATAAAAACTTGACTCCCTCAACATTCTTATTTAAAGTTCTGAAATCCTTTGTGATTTTATTCTTTTTGATATGATTATATGAGCGATTACCTGATAATGTTCCTCTGGGCTTGTTCCATGTATGATATAGGGTAACCGATTTCTGTATTACGAAGAAACCAAATCAGTCAGATTCCTACCAAGAATGTAAACTCTGCTCAAAGAAGCAAAATCTATAATCTACTCAAAGAAGCAAAAAGTAAAAGGGATTGCTTACAGAGGTAATAGATGTAATGAGAAGCCAAACAAAGTAGCGACGTAACAGGAAAATTTGCTATAGCAGGAAGTTGTGCTACGAACCCTAGGCTGGATTTACAAAGGGAAAAGTGGTTTTGGCACAGCCCAGCCGCGTGATTGCCCAGGTGGAATCATTGTGGGTCTCTCTGTCTGGAGGCAGTGTCATTAAGAAGATGCACCTGTTGCTCATACGACCTGATGCTGGGAGAATGAGAAATACCTTGGCTTCTCTCTTGCTCCTTACCTCCTATTGACTGAAAAATTAGTGAAATGAAGATTGAGTCTGTCAAATATAGACAAGCCAAAAAAGAAGAAACACTCAACAAAGGGAGATTTTCGTACAGGGAACTGGTCACACTACTAGCAAGAAAACTGAAAGGCACTAAAGTCAATGACTTTAAAAATAGGATAACATCATTCAGCAGGGCAGATGCTTTCTAAGTTTTGCTCGGTTTGACAAAATTGGAGAGGAACCTAATTGACTTATTAACTGATGAAAAATGTTTGATGGCAAGTCACAATGTGACTTTTGGCATGAAATCTGCAAAACAGTTAAGGAATTAAACAACCTGGCTGTAAAAGCGTCCTTTATTTTCCTATGCTACTTTTTGTGAACATGATTTCTCTCAATGACTATTTATAAACATACACACACAAAGCAAAATTTCTGCTAAAACTAGCCTCATTTTGAAATGTCCACCAACATATGTATAGAATAATTGTGAAAATATTCAGCTGCCTCATCCATCCTAGTAAGAGACGCATTTTACAGTAGTATTTTACTTAACGTTATTTTCAAATGTCATATTTATATTTTTAAAAAACTGTAAATTAGAAATAATTTCAATTATAATTCAATCTAGAATAACAATTTTATTTCTTTGAATATTGTGGTTCCAAGACATTTTAACATAAATTTATATTTATATTTATATAAATATAAAATAAATATATTTATATTTATATAAATATAAAATAAATATATTTATTTTATATAAATATAAAATAAATATATTTATTTTATATAAATATAAAATAAATATATTTATATTTATATAAATATAAAATAAATATATTTATTTTATATAAATATAAAATAAATATATTTATATTTATATAAATATAAAATAAAATTTTAATTTATTAAATATAAAATAAATTTTTATATTTATATGTATATTAAAAATAAATGTAAATTTAAAGACATACTTATTGCAGCATAGTATATTAGTTATAAAATGCTTTCAAACATAAAATATGTTACAGTAATATATTACAGTAATTTTCTGTGGATAAGTAGAAAAACTATGAGTTCTAACAGAAAAAGCAAGCATTAAAAATTTTTAACTATTAAAAAAGAGATTAATGCCATAATGTATTTTAATGAATTATGAGGGATATCAAATTGCTGTGGTATTCGTAGTCTTTAAAATAGATCTTTAAAAGTAATATAATTTCATTTAGCAATATCAATACTCATAAAAATCAGTTTGTACACTCAGTTTTGAAAATTACATTATTTGCAGAAACTTCAACTTAAGCAAAATATAAAATGTAGATAGTAACAATAATGTGCAAAGGGGTTCATAGTTATTTAAAATTACTTTCTGGAAGAGTGATCAAAACGTTTGAAGGTCACTAATCTAATCTGCCACCTTGATGGATATGTCTCTTATTTAAATTCATTGTAACTTTATAGAGATAAATTAATGTCCAAAATTACACATTGGGTAAGTAATTCAGCCAGATGAGCTGATGTTCTCTGTTTTCCTTTTCAGAAGCATCCTACACGTACACAGTGCTATCATAAACATAATTCTATTTATCCCCAGCTAATAAAATTTCTGATTTTTCTCTTTTAGTTAAAACTTAAAAAGCCGCTAAAGTTACTAACCCAAGATCAAATGACTGATTTACCTATGACCTATTCATTGACGCATGCTATTAAAACTTATGTGTGGAAATAAAAAAGTTCAACTTGTACATTAAAAAAGTGCGGAAATAAAGTTCAAATTGTAGATTAAAAAATTCAAACTTGTAGATAAAAAATTGCTATAATGTGTCGTAGGCAGCTAGACTAGTAAGTTGAGTTTAATTTGAAAAAAGAGACATGCTTATCTAATGCAATATGTGAATAGCTAATACAATATAAAAATATTTAAATCATTAATTTCTTTTGTCAACAAGCATGTTGAACACAATATATTTTAGGCATTCATCTAAGCACTGGGGGAAATGAGTAAGATAAGGACTTAGACTATATAAATCTCATAATTCAATAATAGAGGCAGGAACAGATGAATTGTACCAAAAATTCAATGCATTTTGAAAATAATCAATCATAGAGTTATTAGAATTAAAAAGAGATATTACTAGTGGAGCATAAAGTCCACTAGCGATGAATGAAAAAAACATTAAATAAATACAAAACAAAGTCTATGAAACAAATGTAAAAAAGACAGTGCCCCAGATAAGAACTCTGGGAGAGGTAGAAGTAATGTGAGCAGGTGTGCTCCATGTCGAAACTGACTTTTTTGAAGGAAATTATTGATACTTCATCTGTAATTTCTCACTGTGAGCAGTTTACTAGCTAAAAATTAGATTGAGAAGAAAAATTGAATAAATTTTTCACACTAGATTTTTTTATCAGATACCTGATTTATTCTTTAGCAAATGCTATTTAATTACTTGTCAGTATCATCCTCTCTTGTGGTAACAAAAAAAGGGCAAAAAATAAACCCCACCTACTTCAGATTCTTCAGCTTGGCTAGGTGTATTCTCACTGTGAAAATAATCTATTATAGAGAGGTTTTAAAAATGGCAACCAGACTGAATCAGAACTGCATCTTTCATCTCAGCTGTATAATAACTCTTACCTGTGATCATGTCAATTAAATCCAGTTATATAACATGAATTAAAATTTTCTGTAGCTCACAAATATCAGAAGCATACACTGGGTTTTAACTGAATATTTGATGTTATAAGTCTCCAAAAGCTTTGCAAGTTCTCCGGTGCTCCCAAGTAACCCTATGCAAAATTGAAAAGAAACTATAAGAAATGTGTTTTTACCCACCATATAATTATAGGTCAGTCTTCCTTGACATGCATATTTTCTACCACCAGGATGGCCTATTTGATCACAGTCGTATTATTCATGAAAGGAAATATTTGAGTCCTAATGCCTTCTGCTTTTAGGATACATATTAGTAGACTTATTGACTAAAAAAAGATAAGTTATATAATATTAAGCCACTTTTTGTTTTTCCTTCTTCACTTGCTGCTTATTCTGAGTCTAGAGAAATAAAAAGACTTTTTGCTTACATATTTCTAGCAAGGAGAAATGACTGAAAATTTTTAATTAATATTATGACATTATTATATATATGTGTCAAATTCTGCATTGACTATGTGTTTTATTCCATCAGGTTTTCTTCAAACCATGTCAGAAAGAGATTATGATATATTTACTATATTTTCTTTGATTTTTTTGAATATATGCTGAATTTAATATTGGAAAGATTTTACATTTTATTAGTTTCCTTTGGCTCTACTCTATGATCTCAATTTCATCAACTCACCTTATAACACTACAAACAAGTTTTTAGCCCCTGGTTATTGATATAGCTTCAGTAGACATCTAAGGTTTCTAGCTATCATTTCTCAAACATATACATTATACATATGCACACGCACACACACACACACAATTTTTATAGCCCTCAAATTTATGTAACAATAAAAAAACTCACAATTTTAAACAATAAAAGCCAGACACAGAGGTGAACCTACTATATGATCCTATCTTTATAATGTATGAACACAAGCAAAACTGTTCTAAATCAACCGAGTGAATCTTCTTGGAAGGAGCAAAGTAGTTAGGGGATGATAGAAACTGGAAGGAAAAAAAGAAAGCTTCTAGAGTGGTGGCAAACTGTATCTGGGTTCTAAGTGAATAGTTATATTCCCTTTCTGTAAATTCTATAAACTGTACATATATGATATTTCTATATATACTGTGTCTACATTGATATTATAGGCATAAAAAGTTTTAGAAATATGTTACATTTAAGCAAATGTCACTTAGTGTCATGATATGTGCTTAAACAGTCAAGTCCAAAAATAAGGGTTGGTCCAAAGACTTACTTCTTCTTCTGTGTTGCCACAACATCTTACATAACCACAGCATCAAATAGAGCTTTAATTATTTGTTTACATTATTTTCTCTACTATTGGAAATGCAGCTATATGAAACCAGGCACTATGTCTGGCTTGTTGCTTGGCATAAATATTTTTAAAACTTTACCGAATGACAAAAACAATATTTAAATTTTTTTTTTTAATTATACTTTAAGTTTTAGGGTACATGTGCACATTGTGCAGGTTAGTTACATATGTATACATGTGCCATGCTGGTGCGCTGCACCCACTAACTCGTCATCTAGCATTAGGTATATCTCCCAATGCTATCCCTCCCCCCTACCCCCTCCCCACCACAGTCCCCAGAGCGTGATATTCCCCTTCCTGTGTCCATGTGATCTCATTGTTCAATTCCCACCTATGAGTGAGAATATGCGGTGTTTGGTTTTTTGTTCTTGTGATAGTTTACTGAGAATGATGGTTTCCAATTTCATCCATGTCCCTACAAAGGACATGAACTCATCATTTTTTATGGCTGCATAGTATTCCATGGTGTATATGTGCCACATTTTCTTAATCCAGTCTATCATTGTTGGATATTTGGGTTGGTTCCAAGTCTTTGCTATTGTGAATAGTGCCGCAATAAACATACGTGTGCATGTGTCTTTATAGCAGCATGATTTATAGTCATTTGGGTATATACCCAGTAATGGGATGGCTGGGTCAAATGGTATTTCTAGTTCTAGATCCCTGAGAAATCGCCACACTGACTTCCACAATGGTTGAACTAGTTTACAGTCCCACCAACAGTGTAAAAGTGTTCCTATTTCTCCACATCCTCTCCAGCACCTGTTGTTTCCTGACTTTTTAATGATTGCCATTCTAACTGGTGTGAGATGATATCTCATAGTGGTTTTGATTTGCATTTCTCTGATAGCCAGTGATGATGAGCATTTTTTCATGTGTTTTTTGGCTGCATAAACGTCTTCTTTTGAGAAGGGTCTGTTCATGTCCCTCACCCACTTTTTGATGGGATTGTTTGTTTTTTTCTTGTAAATTTGTTTGAGTTCATTGTAGATTCTGGATATTAGCCCTTTGTCAGATGAGTAGGTTGCGAAAATTTTCTCCCATGTTGTAGGTTGCCTGTTCACTCTGATGGTAGTTTCTTTTGCTGTGCAGAAGCTCTTTAGTTTAATTAGATCCCATTTGTCAATTTTGGCTTTTGTTGCCATTGCTTTTGGTGTTTTGGACATGAAGTCCTTGCCCATGCCTATGTCCTGAATGGTAATGCCTAGGTTTTCTTCTAGGGTTTTTATGGTTTTAGGTCTAACGTTTAAATCTTTATTCCATCTTGAATTGATTTTTGTATAAGGTGTAAGGAAGGGATCCAGTTTCAGCTTTCTACATATGGCTAGCCAGTTTTCCCAGCACCATTTATTAAATAGGGAATCCTTTCCCCATTGCTTGTTTTTCTCAGGTTTGTCAAAGATCAGATAGATGTAGGTATGCGGCATTATTTCTGAGGGCTCTGTTCTGTTCCATTGATCTATATCTCTGTTTTGGTACCAGTACCATGCTGTTTTGGTTACTGTAGCCTTGTAGTATAGTTTGAAGTCAGGTAGTGTGATGCCTCCAGCTTTGTTCTTTTGGCTTAGGATTGACTTGGCGATGCGGGCTCTTTTTTGGTTCCATATGAACTTTAAAGTAGTTTTTTCCAATTCTGTGAAGAAAGTCATTGGTAGCTTGATGGGGATGGCATTGAATCTGTAAATTACCTTGGGCAGTATGGCCATTTTCACAATATTGATTCTTCCTACCCATGAGCATGGAATGTTCTTCCATTTGTTTGTATCCTCTTTTATTTCCTTGAGCAGTGGTTTGTAGTTCTCCTTGAAGAGGTCCTTCACATCCCTTGTAAGTTGGATTCCTAGGTATTTTATTCTCTTTGAAGCAATTGTGAATGGGAGTTCACTCATGATTTGGCTCTCTGTTTGTCTGTTGGTGTATAGGAATGCTTGTGATTTTTGTACATTGATTTTGTATCCTGAGACTTTGCTGAAGTTCCTTATCAGCTCAAGGAGATTTTGGGCTGAGACGATGGGGTTTTCTAGATAAACTATCATGTCGTCTGTAAACAGGGACAATTTGACTTCCTCTTTTCCTAATTGAATACCCTTTATTTCCTTCTCCTGCCTGATTGCCCTGGCCAGAACTTCCAACACTATGTTGAATAGGAGCGGTGAGAGAGGGCATCCCTGTCTTGTGCCAGTTTTCAAAGGGAATACTTCCAGTTTTTGCCCATTCAGTATGATATTGGCTGTGGGTTTGTCATAGATAGCTCTTATTATTTTGAAATACGTCCCAAACAGAAAGGACATCCACACCGAAAACCCATCTGTACATCACCATCATCAAAGACCAAAAGTAGATAAAACCACAAAGATGGGGAAAAAACAGAACAGAGAAACTGGAAACTCTAAAACGCAGAGCGCCTCTCCTCCTCCAAAGGAACGCAGTTCCTCACCAGCAATGGAACAAAGCTGGATGGAGAATGATTTTGATGAGCTGAGAGAGGAAGGCCTCAGACGATCGAATTACTCTGAGCTACGGGAGGACATTCAAACCAAAGGCGAAAACTTTGAAAAAAATTTAGAAGAATGTATAACTAGAATAACCAATACAGAGAAGTGCTTAAAGGAGCTAATGGAGCTGAAAACCAAGGCTCGAGAACTACGTGAAGAATGCAGAAGCCTCAGGAGCCGATGCGATCAACTGGAAGAAAGGGTATCAGCAATGGAAGATGAAATGAATGAAATGAAGCGAGAAGGGAAGTTTAGAGAAAAAAGAATAAAAAGAAATGAGCAAAGCCTCCAAGAAATATGGGACTATGTGAAAAGACCAAATCTACGTCTGATTGGTGTACCTGAAAGTGATGTGGAGAATGCAACCAAGTTGGAAAACACTCTGCAGGATATTATCCAGGAGAACTTCCCCAATCTAGCAAGGCAGGCCGATGTTCAGATTCAGGAAATACAGAGAACGCCACAAAGATACTCCTCGAGAAGAGCAACTCCAAGACACATAATTGTCACATTCACCAAAGTTGAAATGAAGGAAAAAATGTTAAGGGCAGCCAGAGAGAAAGGTCGGGTTACCCTCAAAGGGAAGCCCATCAGACTAACAGCGGATCTCTCGGCAGAAACCCTACAAGCCAGAAGAGAGTGGGGGCCAATATTCAACATTCTTACAGAAAAGAATTTTCAACCCAGAATTTCATATCCAGCCAAACTAAGCTTCATAAGTGAAGGAGAAATAAAATACTTTACAGACATGCAAATGCTGAGAGATTTTGTCACCACCAGGCCTGCCCTAAAAGAGCTCCTGAAGGAAGTGCTAAACATGGAAAGGAACAACCGGTACCAGCCACTGCAAAATCATGCCAAAATGTAAAGACCATCGAGACTAGGAAGAAACTGCATCAACTAACGAGCAAAATCACCAGCTAACATCATAATGACAGGATCAAATTCACACATAACAATATTAACTTTAAATGTAAATGGACTAAATTCTCCAATTAAAAGACACAGACTGGCAAGTTGGATAAAGAGTCAAGACCCATCAGTGTGCTGTATTCAGGAAACCCATCTCATGTGCAGAGACACACATAGGCTCAAAATAAAAGGATGGAGGAAGATCTACCAAGCAAATGGAAAACAAAAAAGGGCAGGGGTTGCAATCCTAGTCTCTGATAAAACAGACTTTAAACCAACAAAGATCAAAAGAGACAAAGAAGGTCATTACATAATGGTAAAGGGATCAATTCAACAAGAGGAGCTAACTATCCTAAATATATATGCACCCAATACAGGAGCACCCAAATTCATGAAGCAAGTCCTGAGTGACCTACAAAGAGACTTAGACTCCCACACATTAATAATGGGAGACTTTAACACCCCACTGTCAACATTAGACAGATCAACGAGACAGAAAATCAACAAGGATACCCAGGAATTGAACTCAGCTCTGCACCAAGCGGACCTAATAGACATCTACAGAACTCTCCACCCCAAATCAACAGAATATACATTTTTTTCAGCACCACACCACACCTATTCCAAAATTGACCACATACTTGGAAGTAAAGCTCTCCTCAGCAAATGTAAAACAACAGAAATTATAACAAACTATCTCTCAGACCACAGTGCAATCAAACTAGAACTCAGGATTAAGAATCTCACTCAAAACCGCTCAACTACATGGTAACTGAACAACCTGCTCCTGAATGACTACTGGGTGCATAACGAAATGAAGGCAGAAATAAAGATGTTCTTTCAAACCAACGAGAACAAAGACACAACATACCAGAATCTCTGGGACGCATTCAAAGCAGTGTGTAGAGGGAAATTTATAGCACTAAATGCCCACAAGAGAAAGCAGGAAAGATCCAAAATTGACACCCTAACATCACAATTAAAAGAACTAGAAAAGCAAGAGCAAACACATTCAAAAGCTAGCAGAAGGCAAGAAATAACTAAAATCAGAGCAGAACTGAAGGAAATAGAGACACAAAAAACCCTTCAAAAAATCAATGAATCCAGGAGCTGGTTTTTTGAAAGGATCAACAAAATTGATAGACCGCTAGCAAGACTAATAAAGAAAAAAAGAGAGAAGAATCAAATAGATGCAATAAAAAATGATAAAGGGGATATCACCACCGATCCCACAGAAATACAAACTACCATCAGAGAATACTACAAACACCTCTACGCAAATAAACTAGAAAATCTAGAAGAAATGGATACATTCCTCGACACATACACTCTCCCAAGACTAAACCAGGAAGAAGTTGAATCTCTGAATAGACCAATAACAGGAGCTGAAATTGTGGCAATAATCAATAGTTTACCAACCAAAAAGAGTCCAGGACCAGATGGATTCACAGCCGAATTCTACCAGAGGTACAAGGAGGAACTGGTACCATTCCTTCTGAAACTATTCCAATCAATAGAAAAAGAGGGAATCCTCCCTAACTCATTTTATGAGGCCAGCATCATTCTGATACCAAAGCCGGGCAGAGACACAACCAAAAAAGAGAATTTTAGACCAATATCCTTGATGAACATTGATGCAAAAATCCTCAATAAAATACTGACAAACCGAATCCAGCAGCACATCAAAAAGCTTATCCACCATGATCAAGTGGGCTTCATCCCTGGGATGCAAGGCTGGTTCAATATACGCAAATCAATAAATGTAATCCAGCATATAAACAGAGCCAAAGACAAAAACCACATGATTATCTCAATAGATGCAGAAAAAGCCTTTGACAAAATTCAACAACCCTTCATGCTAAATATTTTAATTTTTGCTCTTCTTTATTTGCATGCCAATATAGAAAGAAAAGACACTGTGTTTTAAAATTAAGCAATAATAATAACTTCAAGAGAGATTTGGAGACAGGTTGTTATAATAATTCATTACGCTGGTTGATAAAGTGATGTTAGGTGTGCGGAGAGCCTTATTTAGGGAGTTAATCTTAGAATACGTCTATTGTACTCTATGTGTGTACATAACTACAAACGATTTCTGCTATGCTTTGAGACGGGCTTCATTGGGCTAATAAAATGTGGCACTCATATTACTCAATAACATTGCAGTTATCTTAGTAAAAGATGCATGAGAAAGCGAATGTGTGGCTAGCTGTTCCCTTTCCTCTACTAAAGGCTATGTATAGAATATGTTTCTTTTATATCACATGAAACCTAGGTATCTGTTTAAAAAGCAAGGAAGTTGAGTCTACACAGATAAATTGAAATAATGATTTATATTTTGATTTCAGTTAAAATAATTACATATTAAGTTTTAAATGTTGAGCCATACCGAATTAATATAATGATGAAGCAGAGCAATTATCATTTCATTATCTATATTAGTGGAAGTTCCCAATACTTACCCCCACACTCCCATAAAACCATTTTTTTCAAACAATTTATAAAGCCATATTGCTGTACTCTGACTAAAGGAGTCCTAAGCCTTGAGCCATCACTTGAGTTCTTGATAGTCCCTGAAGCCTCTCACACACTGCTGAGTAGACCTGAGGTTCCGTGAAGCATAAGCCGAAAACTACTGAGAGTAATTTAGCATCAATGTTTAGGTCTGTGAACTACAGTATGACTAATTTGCTTTCATATTTGCTCTGCACATCTACTTATATACTGTGTGTCTCATCTCATCTTTCCAAACTGAATATTCTATATCATAACCCATCTGTCTACTTGGTAAAATATTTTTTCTTCATTAAAAATAGAGTTGCCTCCTTAACATATTTACTTTTTTCTCTTTGACCAAAATTTCAGTCATTGCATTTTATTCCATTATTTTGGAGATGCACAGAGGATATTTACTTCCTAAACCTCGATTCAGGAAATATCTAATAATACGATAAAGATAATTTTGAAATTTCTGTAATTTTTCCTTATTACCTTCTAATACAAGAACAAATATCAACACCCTTACTAGCTGGGTAATTTTGGACACATTACTTCATCTGCCTGGGTCTCAGTTTTCTCAGCAAAGAAGTGGGACAAGAGCTGTATTTGCCTGACAGGGTTGTTGTGAAAATTACATAAACTAAGACAGGATAATTTCTCCCAACACATAAGAAATTCTCAGTGTGTTAGTTTTTAGCATTAGGCATTATCAAAAGATATTAGTTATTATCACTTGGATTTCTAATTTCTGGAAATAAGAAAAAGATGAAAAAGAGGTAATCGTGAGTGGTAGAAGGAGATTGTATGGGAGAACATGTGAGAAAGCAGTACCTATTTCCTCAAGACTGGCCCGGTTGAGCAGAGAAATAATGTTGACTTTGAAGTTTGAGAATCAATTACTTTAAGAGTATGCTAGAAACACCTTCTCCATGGGTAATCCCATGGACTATTATATTATGTGATTAGCTCAAGGTCTCAAAATGCCTATTAATAAAGTCGATTAAGAATTTTTTTAAATTTTTCCTTAATATCTTGTATTTTTGTACATTTTTTTCTTTATCATTCCCAACATTCCCATGAGTGACAGAAATGTTATAATCTTTATTTACCTGGTAAAAATTTATAGACATGTCTCTGTCATATAATGGTAAACCTGAAACTCAGATTCAGTCTGTTTTCCTTGCCACAACTCTAGATCTGCTTCCCATGCCCTTTTTTCCATTCATTGTGTTTCCAAACATATGTGTGAGACATACATAGAGAAAAAAAAAACTGTATGTGATTTCATGGTGTGAATATATCATACTTTATTCCACTGCTGTTGAGCATTAGGTAACCATTTTTTTTTTTTACTGTCTTTTGATTGGTGGCCAGTTTCCAACTACTACAAATGATATGGCAATGAATATTTTAGAGCATCTCGTTTGGTACACAAATGTACCCAGGTCTGTTGGAACTGTTAGCACAGAAGTTTGCATGTGTACATCTTTAGTAGTGACAGTTTTCCCAAGTATACAAGTTTTCTTGCATTTTTTGCCAATATTTACCTTTGTCTGTATTTTTAATTTTTACCATGGGGAAGGGAGTGGTAGTGTTACCTCATTCTGGTTTTAATTGCTTTTACGTGCTCCTTAATGAATTTTAATGCCTTTTCATATTTATCTTTTTATATATATTTTCTTACCCTATATCATTAAAATATACTCTTGTTTTCTAAGAATTTTATAATTTTAGCTTTATATTTAAAATACAGTTAAATTTGAATACATGCATGTTATACTAACATACAGTGTAAGAATTGAAATTTTTTTGCTAACATAATTTATTAAAATGACTCTTATTTGTCTCCTAAATTACCTTCGCGTTTTTGTTGAAAATCAATTGATCCTATGTGTATGCCTCTATTTTTTAACTCTCTGGTATGTACCATTGATCTATTTGTTTGCCTTTATACCAAAACATAATGCCAAAATATGGTTATGGTCATTTCATGTTATAATACATCCTGAAATCAAGTATTATAAATCCTTCAACTTTCTTCTTCTTTTTTTTTTTTGAGATGGAGTTTTGCTATTTTTGACCAGGCTGGAGTGCTATGGCGCGATCTCAGCTCACCGCAACCTTCGCCTCCCAGGTTCAAGCAATTCTCCTGCCTCAGCCTCCTGAGTAGCTGGGATTACAGGCATACGCCACCACACCTGGCAAATTTTGTATTTTTAGTAGAGACGGGGTTTCTCCATGTTGGTCAGGCTGGTCTCAAACTCCCAACTTCAGGTGATCCGCCTGCCTCAGCCTCCCAAAGTGCTGGGATTACAGGCGTGAGCCATGGCACCCGGCCTGTCCTTTTAAAAATCTGCTATATTTTACTACCTTTGCTTTTTAATTTAAATTTTAAAGTCACTTTATTGGTATATATAAAAATTCATGCTGAAATTTTGATTGGGATTGTGGTGAGTCTAAAAATCAAATTGGAGAAAATTGATTATAATAATCATATTGCATATTTTTATCTGTGAACAATTGTGTATATATATGTGTGTGTGTCTTAATTTCTTTCGGCAAAATTGTATAATTCTTTGTATACATATCTTACATATCTTTTGTCAGATTTATACATAAAAATTCACATATTTGATGATATTTTTTATATTACTTTTTAATTTCAATTTTTAATTATTACTGATATATAAAAGTGCAATTGAATTTTATGTAGTCATCGTGAATACTGTAAACTTGGTAAACTCACTCATTATTTCCAGAAACTGTTTTGTAGATTCCATAAGTTTAGTACAGACTATTATGTCATCTGTAAATACAGACACTTTTACTTTTCTTTTCAGTCCGAAAGCCTTTTATTTCTGTCACCTTATTGAGCAGGCTAGAACGTCAATTACATTGTTGAATAAAAGAGTGAGAAAGGACATGTAGTTTTTAACCATTAAGTAGGAGACTAGCTTTAGGATTTACACAGATGTACTTTATCAGATTGAGGAATTCCCCCGAATTCCCCCTATATTACAAGTTTACTCAGTTATGTCAAGAATAAATTGGGATTTTTCAAACATTTTTTTTCTGTATCTCTTGTAATGGCCATGTGGGTTTTCTTGTTTAGTCTGTTAATATTGTAAATTATATTTATTGATTTTCAAATGTTAAACCAACCTTGTATTTCTAAGAAAAACTAACTTGGCCTTGCTGTGGTATCGTTTTGTATACCATTAGGTTTAATTTTCTAAAACACTCTTAAGGATTATTTGCATCCATAAGAAATACTGAACTCTAATTCCCTTTTCTTGTAATATCTCTATCTGGTTTTAATTCTAAAGCTGGCTTTAGAGAATTGGTTGAAAATAGAATTCACCTACTTTGTAGGAAGGATTTTGACTACAAACTCAACATCTTTAATACATATATGGCTATTCAGTTTATTACTTTTTGAGTGAGCTATGGTAGTCCGTCTTTCAAGTAATTTGTCCATTTCATAAGTTGTAAATGTATAGGCATAAAGTTGCTCATGTTTTTTCATTATTCCTTTAATATCTGTAAGATCTATAGTGATGTCAGCTCTTTATTCCTGATATTGGTAATTTTCTCACTTCTCTCTCTCTTTTATCAGGTCAGCCTAAGTAGAATTTTATCAGTCTTATTGGTGTTCTCAAATAACTGCTTTACATTTTACTGATATTCTTTTATTTTGAATTTTTCATTTTTTATTATTTACAATCTGATTTTTATCACTTTCCCATACTTAATTTGAGTTTAATTCTTTTTTAGTTTCAGAAATTGTTTTATGATTTTAAACATATTATTAAAATGTTGAGTTCCAGTTTTCAAGCTGACATAGAAAGAGCTTGGAAGCCATCGCCACTGTCCTCAAAACAAGAAAAAAGCTGAGCAAACTGAAAGTCAATCTGTCTTCTTAGATCCATTGGAGAAACGAGGTCATAGGGCAAACTGCTGTCCTGAAAACTCGAAAAACAAACAGACAGATACAAAAATTACAGTTCACTGAGAATAGAAGTCCTGGAGCAAAAACTTCCAACTGAATCCTGTATTAGTAGGAGTACTTCAAACTGAAATTGACAAATTCTGGATGTTCAATATGGGCTAGTTTGATAGTTAAAAACTGTGAGAGACCAGTCTTAGCATCTCTGCCTTATTCAATTTTCATAAGTTTTACATCTAAGAGCCCTACCAGGTTCTCACTGTGAGAAGATCAGTGAAAAATCACCTCATGCTCTGGCAGACGGAAGAGAAGAGTAATCATCTAGAAATATGCCCAAAGCTCTCTGTTTTTCTTAAAGATGGCCTGTCCTCAGTGGAAACTATTTTAACGAGGTATAACTGACTGTGGTTTTACCAAACCCTAACAATCTAGGGAAAGGAAAATACTAACTCAGGCTCACTGTCAAAGTGAGACCTAATCACGGAACAATACAATATCTCCCTTCCCTCCACAACTTACCACCATATCAATAGAGTTTCTGTAAAATAACAAGGAAGTAAATCGAGAAGGACTGAAGGCATCAGGCTTTATTTAAAGAGTCTCTAGGAAAACTTAAAGACAACAAGGAAGACGAAACAAGGAAATGAGGAGATTTCAGCTTCTGATGCCGCAGCTACAGCAAACAGTACCCACCGCCTAACTTCCTAGCCAGGCAATTATGCAAGGTAACAACTTGCACTGTGTCTGAAAATAAATCCGTTGTTATCACTCTCTTTTTTTTCCTTTATATGCAATGTATCTTTGCTCTTCTGGACACTTTTAATGGTTTTCTTTATAACTATTTTAAATTATTTAATTATGATATACTTGATGTATCAAACTGTGCATGTGATTTTCTTTTTTTTCAAATTTCCTAGTTTATTTCCCTTTTCATCTAATATTCTTAAATTTTTCTTTCTTTGTACTTTTAAAAACCTTAATTCTATTGCATTCTCATAGAAGCTGAGACTTTTTGGTTTATTAAAATGTTAAAAAATATTACAGATCTTGATGTTGTGATGAATTAGTTTTGTAGATTTTCTCAATAAATATAATTAAAGCAGCATTGGAGTGTAACACAAATATAAAATAAATATTAGTGAGTAAAAACTTCTATGAAAAAATGATCAAATTAATATATGGGAGAGAAGAGACAAATCTTCCATGTAGAATTCCAAATAATTATTTAGATACTCTGTCTTTGAGGAAGTGATGTATAACTCCCCACTGTTTAAGTATGAGCTGTTCATAGTGACTTCCTTTTAAAGTACAATACAGAAAAGAGGGGGAAATAACATTTTAGTGGAGAAAAATTGGTCAGCATTAACATGACAAATCACATTGTAGCAAGTACTCTTGCCACAATGTGATTAACCTGAAAATTTACTTATTTGTTTTTTCTCATCAAAATGCATAACTTCAGTTGTATTATAATTTTTTAAATAGATAATAAAGAAAGCAGGAAGAGTGATAAAAATCAGAGGTCTAATAGACAAAAATCAAAAGACACAAAATTTATGCTTCCACTCAAAACAATCTTTTCGAATAATTCCGTTTTACTGTACCACCTAATGACAGCATTTTTGAACTTGGAAATTTAACAAGCCTCCCAAATACTTCACCTTTGGCAGTGATAAAGAAATATTTAAGTCACTTAAAAGTAAGCAAAATATGACAGGACACTTTCTGCAACCATAAAAAAAGAAAAGATTTCAAATAATTTAAAATAAAACATGCAACAAAGGATTAAAATATAACCAAAAACCAATGTGAGTTAATTATGGTAAGTGCCTGAATACATTAAAAATTTCAAGATAGAATTTCATAATTCAGAACTTAAGTAGGCCAAAGAAAAACATAGATATAAAAAAAGCACAAATTTAGGGGAAAAAATTAAAAATTCTGCCAAAAATGAAGACTAAATTACATTACGCATAGTAGGCTAAATGTTATTTAAAGTGAATTAGTGATGCTAAGAAAAGAAAGAAAACTGCTGAGAGAATAAATATGATAAAAATAGAAAGCATGAAGGATCAGAAAGTGATAGCTAATTTCTAAACAGAAAAACTTTTACATCCAAATACTAAAGGAATTGATTATGTGCCTATGGAAATTAATTAGGAATAGTAAACTCCAAGGCATATCAAAATTATTAGACTTGAAAGATAAATAAAATATACTCCAAATACTCGCTGTCTTGTTTAATGACATTATAGTTCTTCAATCATAGACAAAATATCTGAGCCTTTTTGATGTATTTGCTTCTTTTCTCATTCCAGAATACAATATATCTTTTATATAATTGCGCTGGAAAATATTTTAATATTCCCGATGAGGAAATAGAAATAAATAGGTTATAGATGATAGATAATTAACATATGTAGAAAATTGATATACATATATATACACACACACATAAATATGTATAGTTACTTAAATTTATGTTATTCAAGAATGTTAGGATTTCTTTATATAAATTTGCGAATAATGTACCTAAATATTAGAAGTGAAGTATATGAGTTTGAGAATAACATTATGCATTCATTTACTTGATGCAGAATTAAAACCTTCAAAATTATACCATACCTTGAATATTTTCTAGCACATAATGGTTATTTAATAAATATGTGTTGGAGAACAAAAATTCTTGAAAGAATTGGACAAAAAAAAATTTGGACTTCTCACATGACAAAGGTAAAAAATAGACACTGAAAGCAAACCTAAAATTTCACAGTAAATTTACAAATCTCCATAGATATAAGTTGTTATTGTTTTGGCAATTTATACCAGATCAAGTTCCAATTAAGGTAACTAGATTCAATGAAATCAAATGATACCTAAAGTAAGAATAATTATTGAATAGGGTTAAATTAGGCCACAATAAAGTGTTAAATAAATTATGCAAAGAAGAGAAAGCTTTCTAAAAGTTTTCTAAGACTAAATATCAGAAAGCCTGTTATTACTAGTATTTTAATCATTACTGAATAATAAATTGACTTTTGATATAATTTTCAGCCTTGTTTTATCAAAATATGTATATTTTTGTTTGTTAGGCATTAACAAACATATTCAAGAAGAAGGAGGACAATAGTGACAATATTCTTTAAATTTAAACAACATTTAAAAGTGTGCTACTTGTATGTAATGTTAAGTACCTTAGCGATAAACAATAGTAGAGATGCAGTACTAAGATATTTTTCAAAGGCTAAAATGACTTAAGGAAGTCTAGGAAAACTTACTAAACTGTACTTTATATTTATTAATAATTCCCTTAAATTTTTTGAAATTTGTCAAATTAAATCCTATTTTATCAGTATGTTGTTCTATGTCAAAAATAAAAATAAAAACTGTTTTATCTTCCAAGTAGCATGACTTGAGTTTCTGAGACTCATTTTTTTTCACTGTCTGTTGAATGGAAATAAAATACAACTATTAGGAGTATCAAATATGTTACAAAAGGAAAAATTACTTGGGAAAGCTTAGAATATTCTTATCCTATGTTTATTATACACCCATTTGATAATCTACTGAAAAGTAAGAAGTCTTCTTTAACATGCAAGATATACTATCCAGTTTTGTAAACAAATGTGTCTCATGAGGGGGAGAGAAACAAACAAATAAAAACCCATCCATAAGGCAGAACTTAGGAAAAGCTCAGAAATCAGAGTCACTTTCCACCTTAGAAGGCAATAGTGTGAGGGAAGAGGATAAAAATGAGTTTAGCTTGAAAGTCTGTGTAAGATGTAAGCCCATATATCCTCTTCCACCTTGACTGCACTATAACTTCCCTTCTGGCAGGAAATATAGTGATATAACAAGAGAAACTACAAAAGCATAAGGCACATCCAAAATAGGGGTAAAAATTCTGTAGCTAAGCATGGGAATTAAATGACAGGCTGAATACTGAATGGTAAGACACCTTATCTCTCCTTTTCTACTCACTTCCTAGAAAACCCGCATATAAGTTTATGCTGCTTCTTGCACCCTGGGCAGAAATTTAGAGTTCTGCTCCAAAGGGACTGGCCAAATAGAAAAGAGTTAGAGAAAC
Organism: Homo sapiens; assembly: GCF_000001405.40. Lineage (NCBI taxonomy): Eukaryota > Metazoa > Chordata > Mammalia > Primates > Hominidae > Homo > Homo sapiens. The sequence continues at coordinate 10,180,089 of NC_000007.14, forward strand.
TCACTTAACACTTGAAGATGCCCCTCCCAAAATGTTTTGATTCCTATCAGGAAACTCACCAGTCAACAGCCACCTACGTACATATGGTTTTTCTACTTACCATTATACTCTTTTTCATTTGAATTAGAACAGACAACCACAATCTTCAAGCATTTTAAGAAAGCATTTACTATGAAATATAGAACCTAAAGCAGAAATAAACAACAGAAACTTGAAGGAAACTAACAATGCAAAAAACAATCAAATAAATTTAAAATATTTTCAATGCAACAAGAAAAGGAAATTATTCATGAAACAAGACAGGATAGTGTTAAAAATAAATATCCAGACACCAAAAAATAAAAAGAAATTAAAAGTTCAATATGAATATGAGAAACTAAATTTGTTGAAGTTACTCTGAGGGCACAAACAAACTTAACAAATGACAAAGAGTAGAAACATAGAATCATGAATAAAATTAAATGATCCACCTGAGAGCTTAATACCTAGTAAATAAAAATTCTAAAAAGAAGAGTGAAAAGATACATAGAATTTTAAAAGATAATGACCAAATCACATCAACAACAAATCACATCATTTCAAAATAGACATAGAGAAGATTCTACAAATTTTTAGAATTAAAAACAGAAACAATAGTCAGTTTCAATTAAATGGTGATCGAATGCTATTTTATTTCCCAAACAACAATGAAAGATACTAGAACAATATCTCTTACAAACTGATGGAACATTGCTTCCAATTGTAATTTCACACATAACTCAATTATAAACCAACTATGACAGTATGATAAACACATGACACTTAGGCGTCCTCTCAAAATTTATCTTCACTACATCTTTTCCCTGACGACACCAAAGAATACTGGGAAATGTGAATGTGTGAAAAAATAATTTAAAAAGAGGGAAATACGTGCTTCAAAATGTATAGAACCCAAAACAGAAAAAAGTGAAAGGAATTTCTAGGATGATAATAAACAGAAAGTACCAGAGTAGTACTCAGAGAACAGGTGTTGGAACAACCAGTCAAGATTAGAGCAGGAAGAAGGGCCTCCCTGACTGGGCGCCGTGGCTCACGCCTGTAATCCTAGCACTTTGGGAGGCTGAGGTGGGCTGATCACCTTAGGTCAGGAGTTTGAGACCAGCCTGACCAACATGGCAAAACCCTGTCTCTACTAAAAATACAAAATTGGCCAGGGGTGGTGGAACATGCCTGTAATCCCAGCTACTTGGGAGGTGAGGCAGAACAATCGCTTGAACCCAAGAGATGGAGGTTGCAGTGAGCCGAGATCGGACCATTGCACTCCAGCTTGGATAAAAAAGAGCAAAACTCTGTTAAGAAAAAAAAAAGGGCACCCGTAAACAGAAAAATGAAAACCATAGATTATTTGAGGTGTTTGGCTGTAGAAATAAGTTTTAAGAGTTTAGGGTAAGGTAGGGGAATAGCAGTAGGTACATAGAAAATGTCAAAGGCTATAATATATACAATGAAGATTCTTAAATTTCATTAAAATTGATGATACCCTGAGCTCAATTTATACAGGGCTGTAAAAATCTTACAAGCAGCAAATTGTGTATTATTTGAATGAAATATGTTGCCATGCTTTAGAAGACCAATCAGATAAGATGAAACTGGAGAAGTAAGTATAATGAGGAAAATGAAGACATTACTATGCACATTCTTATGAGGATATTTAACATTTCGTGATGACGAACTTTTGTGAAACGTGGAAAGAGATCCCAAATTTCCTTAAAGTAGTCAAATCTTTGAACAACATTTACATATATTTACAAAATATTGACACATATCTAAGACATTTATAAACTAAGTGGAGGAATAACTGTTGGGAAGCAGTCTTCCAAGGCCCTGATCCCACATCTCTTAATGAGTAGTCCACCGCTGCTTCTCATAATTGTTTAATCAGCTGGCAATTCTGACAAGTAATGGCCCTTCAGAATGCATTAAATAAGCATGTATTGTTCCTGTTAACCCTCTGGACAAAGAAAAGGCTCGCTTACTGCTTAGTATATAAGTGGCAAAGGTCCTAGGTTCAGGATTCCCCTGCTGTGGTTTGCCCACTGCATGAGCCAACACCACCTGGCTCTTCATGCTACTGTGTGTAACTTGGCTTTTAGGGAACTAACATAGTGATGTTACTCTACCCACTGTTATTGCTATGAGTAATAAATTATTTTTTGGTCTATGACCCGGAAGTCTTGTGTCTTTTGTCACCATTTATGGAATTGAATCAGCTCATATCTCATTGGCCTATATAGTTGTTGCAGTGGGAGATCTCCTGATTCTAGTTCTTCACATTGTCAAACATATTTAAATAAGATAAAATTCCAACAGTTTCATGTAGCAAGCTATGCAGTTTGTTAAAAACTGGTTTATCACACCATTTGTGATTTGGAAATCCTTGGAGATTATTAAAACATCAGAAAATGGATCAAAGATTCTTTAGGTAAATGACTGGCCACTACATTTGCTTTAATATTTGACTTAATTTTTTATTTAAAATTATTTATCAAATGACTAGGGTTAGAGAAATTGGTCTAAAAACTTATCATCTTTTCTTTATCATCAGAAGTAGATACAATCAATCATTGTATACCATCCAGGAGAAACATTAGCTATTTCAAAACAATTTAGAATGGGTGAGAGGAATGTTTTTAAAAATAATATCAAGATTTCATGGCCAAACATATCTTAAGGGAAGAAAAAGTCCAGAAAAAATACATTGACAATTTTGATACATAGTCATAGACTATTTTCCCTACCTTATCCAAAGATGCAAATAAAATTAATATTTCATACCAATAAATGTATATTTCATTCATTTCATAAAATTACAACATAATGAAAAACAATTAAAGTTATTGATTTGTTAAAAGCAAAAGGAGCAATAATGTGGAGATTTGGCTGAAAACAAAGAAAAGGTGTGGAAGTATTCTCTGATTGGCGCAGTGGCTCACGCCTGTAATCCCAGCACTTTGGGAGGCCGAGGGGGGTGGATCACGAGGTCAGGAGATCGAGACCATCCTGGCTAACACAGTGAAACCCCGTCTCTACTAAAAATACAAAAAATTAGCCAGGCGTGGTGGCGGGCGCCTGTAGTCCCAGCTACTCGGGAGGCTGAGCCAGGAGAATGGCGTGAACCCGGGAGGCGGAGCTTGCGGTGAGCCGAGATTGTGCCACTGCACTCCAGCCTGGGCGACAGAGCGAGACTCCGTCTCAAAAAAAAAAAAAAAAAAAAAAAAAAAAAAAGTTTTATAGATGGGCAACTTAAGGTTGAGGAAAAAATGGAAGTGTTTAGAATGCCATAATTTCATGGGAATAATAAAAAATAGGAACTAATCAGCTAGATTTTAGACAGGTCATAAACATGGACACTTTCGTCACCTCCAACTACGTGCAGCTTTAGAGCAAGGAGAATGATTGTGGACCAGTGGCTAAAACCTCAGTGAACAAAGGAAGTGATGAGAATGGGCAGTAGAGTCTAGAACAAGAATAGCAAAGCGTAATGCAGCCATAGGGCATAACCTCAAATGAGCAGGGATCTTTACCCACAGAAGAAGGGAGGTGGTCTAGAAGTATCAAAGGGATTTAAAACATGTAAGCCTGGCCCCCTCAGCCTCATTCTGTACCCTCATACCAAAAGGGGAATTAATGAAGATTGGGCACCATACTCTCAATAATTCTGCCAGAAAGTAATATCTTCAGGGAAATTCAAGTTTCCATCAAAATCAGTAAATGTCATTAGAATATTATTAGTAGGTTAAAATTGTATGGAATCTGTTTACCATAAAACACGGCATCCAAAAGCACAGTGGGAGGAAGGAACCATAGTCAGAGAAGTCAGATAAAAAGCCCAGAGGCATATGAAGATGAGAATGAGTGAATAAATGGCCATTTGATGAGCCTACATTTTAAATTATAATGTAAGACAGGTTAGCCTTAGCAGGCTTAAACTCAATGGTAGGGGGAGAGGGTGGTCTCAGGTCTCTTTTAGAACTATATATTGCATATTTTCATTTGAAATGTAGATTTCTTATATGAATATGAATATTTGACTCTAACTGCATTTTATTTATTCACACTGAATTTTAAAAAGTGCATTGATTATAACTGGAAATAATGAAGTTGTTTTCAAACATGTTTTTAAAGTATGAATATAGACAGGCTGAGAAAGAACACTCTTTTTTTTTCCCCTTTATACTATTTTAATGTTTCTCATTTTTCAAAGAGCACCCTCAGGCAAAATCTTGTATCCGTTACAGAGACATTTAAAAGAAATCTCAGTTCCCATTAGACATTTTAGAAAAGAGTCTTTTTCTGCATTTCATTAGTATCATCAATAAAAAGGATGGCAGAAAAGATATAGTAATTAATGTATATTAAATACATCATATTTTACTTTATTCTATGCTTAAAGAGAAAAATTATGTTAAATATTTATATTTTGATTTCTCTTGCTTCAAGTATAAGTGAACCTTATAGTTCTAATGTTTTAGTTAAACTAAACTATTTTATGCTAGTTATCAAACCCATAGGAAGTAACACTGATGACGTTTAGAATCTAATTCTAACTCTTCAACTTCATTACTAACTTTATTTCACATAATTCTTACTTCTATACTTAATGGCTCTAATAAAAAATTTTATTAATGTATTTTACCATACTATCAGATCACTAGAAACAAATATGTTTATCTTCATAGAAAAAAATGATTCAGTGCACTATAACATTCATATGGCAAAAAGCCTTAACCAAATAGGATCTATAAGGAAACTCCTTTATAAAGATATATAAAAGAAGAAGAGGAGGAGGAAGAAGAAGAAAAAAAGAGAAGAAAAATAGGCAAACATTTTACTTAACAGTGAATAGATATAAGCCTTTCCTTTAAAATCAAAGGAGAGACATTGATGACTTCCATTCTGTCTTTTATTTTATACCATACTATAGGGCATAGGCAATGTATTTCAGGTTAAGGAATTGAAATTATAGGAATAAGAATTGGAATAAAACAAAATTTGTAGTACTGGAAGCTGATATAATAGTCTATATTAGTCTGTTTGGGCTGTTGTAACAAAATATTATACTTTGGGTAGCTTACGAACAACGGAAATTTATTTTTCATATTTCTAGAGCCTGGGAAGTCCAAGGTCAAGGCACTAACATATTTGGTGTCTGGTGAGGGCCCTCTTCCAGACTGCAGATGACAGACTTCTTGCTGTGTCCTCATATAATGAAAGGGTGAAAAAACTCTCTCAGGTTTCTTTCTTACAGCCACTAATCCCATTCATGAGCATTGTGCCCTCATGACCTAATCACCTCCTAAAGGCCCTACTATCTAATATGATTACTTTGTAGGTTAGGATTTTGCCATATGCGTTTTTGAGAGGACACAAACATTCAGCTCATTGCTTTGTTTATTTGAAATACTCAAAATAATTTTCAAGGCAAATCATTAAAATTAAAACTTTTTTTGGCAAAATATTATACTCTTTTAAATTAATTGTAAAAGCTAAAGTGAAATTAAAATGCAAAGATGGCATTCAAAACTATTACAGAGAGACAATTTTTTATTTTTTACAAAAAGTATGCTTAAACTTTGTGGAGAAAAACTGTATTAATCTTTACTGAAGGCATTAAGAGATCTAGATAAATAGAGAATTATGCCATGGTAATGAAATTGATAACCCATGAGAGTCAACATGCCATTTTTTCCTAAAGTGATCTTTAATTTCAATGAGAAGAAAGAAAAATCCTATTATATCTTTCAATGGACATTAACAAGCTAATTATAAAACTTATATGGAAATGCTAAATGCCCTAAATAGTCAAGAAAATTTTGAAGAAAAAAGAATATTGTTGTAATATTTGCCTTAGTGTGTGGCAAGACTTATGAAACACTAATTAACAAAACGTGATGCCGGAGCAAATACAAATAGACTTGCAACACAGTGTGGAGCAAACATCCCAACCGGTATGCCATGAATGGGTTATGCATATTTAAGGATATTAATTCCCTTAACTTACTGGACTCTTCGGAGGATCCCAAGTTTGCCAGAGCCATCTGGCTGTAAGTATCCTTGCTGATTCTCCTCAGGCTCCTGAGAACTCACTATTAAATTCTACATGTGCATGACAGAGAATAAAATTTTAAAAGTAATATGATGGAGATTTCAGAAATATAATCATAGGTATATGGAAACTTAACACATGACAGAGCTGGATTGAATTCTAGATAAATAAGGAACAGTAATACAGATCTGTGAAGAAAAGAAATAGTGAGGGACTGCGTATAGTGGCTCAGGTCTGTAATCCCAGTGCCTTGGGAGGCCCAGCAGGGAGGATCACTTGAGCCTAGGAGTTCAAGATTGCAGCAAGCTATGATTGCACCACTACATTCCAGCCTGAGCCACAGTAAGTCTCTATCTCTAAGAAAAAGGAAATACTGTTTGAAAAATTAGTTATTATATTGAAAATACAGAATTGGATTCTCACACCACATCAAATGTAAAATAATACCTCGGTATAATTTGAAAATTAAATATTAAAAAGCAAAATGTAAAACTTTAGGAAGAAAACAGAATATTTTTATGAAGTCAGTATGAATTAATGATTGATAGGATTAAAGACACACTACCTCAAAATATGTCATTCTGGTGTTTCAGAAAAGAGCAGAAGCAGAAAGGTCACTCTCAATTTCCTCTTACCCTTTCCTTCCTGAAGCAGGACATGAAACATAGAAAGAATTATCTGACCTCCTTGAGGAAGGACATAAAATCTAGCTGACCTTCTCCTGAAGTAGGTCATGAGGTCCTCCTACAAGAATTGCCCTCTCTATACCTGGAAAAAAGAAGGTCTCTGAATGCACTGGGAATCAGAGAAAAGGCTGAACAAACAGGACTTGCTAAGTGTATTACAATTAGATCATACCCCTTTGTCCGATTATCCTTCTCCATGACTATCCACTCTTTAAGAAACCTAACCATAAAAATACACAGATTTCTCTGCTTCTTTGGGCCTTCATTTCTGAAGGCTCCTGTGTTGTATAAAACTTAAATTAAATAAATGTGTATGCTTTTCTCTTGTTAAGTTGTCTTTTATTATAGATACCTCAGCCATTAATCTTGTGATGGAAGAAAAAGTTTTCTCCCCTACATATGCTATCATATATTGTTTAAAAACTCATGGAGACAGAGAGTAGACTGATGGTTACCAGAAGCTGGGAAGAATAGTCGGAGTGAGGAGGAAGTGGGCATAGTTAATGGCTACAAATATATAATTAGATAGAATTAATAAGATCTAGAATTTGATAACATAACATTGTGATTACAGTCAACAAAGCTTCACTGCACATCTAAAAACAACAAAAAGAGTATAATTGGAACATGAAGAAATTATCAGTTACCCTATTTACCCTGATATGATTATTATGCATTTATGTCTGTATCAAAATATCTCATGTACCCCGTAAATATATATTGTATATATGGTATATATAGATATGCAATATACAATATGTAGTATATATAAAATTATACATATATACAATATACTATATATACTATATACTATATATACAATACAATACTATATATATACTATACTATATATACAATATACATACTATATATTGTATACATACTATATTGTATATATACTATAAATAGTATATATAGTACAATATTATATATAGTACTATATATAGTGTATACATAGTATATATAGTATGTATATATACAAATACACTATATTGTGTATATTGTATATATACAATGTATAGTATATATACAATACATAGTGTATATACACTATATAGTGTATATATACAATATATGCAGTATATATACAATATGCACAATATATAGTATATACAATATATACAATATAAAATTGTACATATATACAATATACAATATATAGTATATATAAAATATATAATGTACTATTTACCCAGAAAAATTAAAAACTAAAATAAAAAAATACAGAAATATGTAGTATGAGTAAAATAAAATTTATAGGCATATAAACACCAAATTTATCATAATGCTTACTATTAAGGGAAAAAAATGGAAAGTAACAAGACAAGAGTGAAAACGGGAGTTTTAATTAAATTATTGCCAACTTTTTATATTTTTTAAGCTAGGAATTAAAAATTCCTAGTTTAACTTCAGCACAATTAAGAAAAATACTTAATTGTGTTGTTATTTGCATGTTGTATGTCTTAAATATTTTATTTAAAAAATATTTAAAAATATATGCAATAATAATCAGGACTTGAAAAGTATAGAAAGAATTAAAATATCTTGTTTCAAGGTTATTTTACTGAAAAATTGTGTAGATGGAAAGAAAATTAATCTCAAGGACATGTAAGTTCTGTGATTTCTGAAGTCATCCTAAAAGGATATGTTAAAAAGTACTGTAAGCAATTGTACTAAGTGGTTATAATTATCATTTCTGGGATTTATTTGAAATGGTAAGGAGACAACACATAAGAAAAAATTTGCAACTTAGGTAACTGTTGTTACCTAAGTTGTAAATTTACAACTGAGTAACTGTTGTGCTCTAAGAAACTTTGATTTACTTTATATTTGTAGCATCACTGTAGCATCTCTTTCTAATGTCCTTGCTGTAGTATTAAAAGCCTGTGGTGGTCAATTTGTCTTCCCCAGGAGGCCGTAACTCTTTAGACTACATGATATTGGACAATCCTTTACTCCAAAATATATCTTAAGCTGACTATTCTCCCCTTAACAGAGTTGCAAAATGTTACCACATTTTATTCACATCAAGAATTTCTGGAAGAAATATAATTAATTAGTTTTCTCATAGAAAATAATCTGCCTGTTCATTATCGGATAATTGGAAAATAAATTAAAAATAGAAAAAAAAAGGAAAAAAGTACTTGTATAGCTTCTTCTTGGAACCAGCCAGTGAAAATATCTTAGTACCCCCTCCTTTGTTGGTACATGTGCTGTTATATGACTGTGATCTTACGGTCTTCAAAAATATATTTATCAATTTAATGCTTTTATCATTATAAAAGTGACAGATAAATATTGAACATCAACAAAATGCTTCAAGGAAAGGAAACTAAATCACCTTTTAACAGATTTGTCTGGCTGTCAATCCAATACGTATTCTTCTCTTCTTTATTGTTATTAATAAAGTAATATTTTAGTAATATTAGTATATTACTGATATCCGCTTAAGCAGTGTGGAATATTTTCTTTAAATACCTGGCTTTGATATTCTTAACTAGCAAAGATGTGGAAATTGCACTAATCCTTCCATCAATTCCTTGATTCTCTGTTGCCACAATCTTAGGTGAATTTTTACTAATTTTGATGACAATTAAATAGAACTAAAAATAAAATTAGTTGACCATTAATGATTTCCTCTCTGGAAACAGAGTTATCCTGCCAGCAACAGAGCAGTTAGAAACCCTTTATTCTTCCAACAGTCACTGTATCCACAAATACAAAGATTGTATCAACCAGAAAAGAAGAAGAAAAAAAGAAGAAAGGTGTTTGTATATGTGTTGACTGTGCTGAAGCTAGACTTTGAAACATATAAAAAGAAAGAAAAAGGTGATAAGATAGCACTCCATTTCCTGGAAGAACATTCACATTCTCTGACCCTTCTCCTGATAGCCAGAAAAAACTTTAAACAAGAAGCACTTGTTTTTAACTATCTTTCCAATTTTCCTTTGCTTAAAGAATGAAGCCAGGTAGAAGAGAATGCTGACATTTTCTGATTGCTTTTTGGTTTTCCATTAAGCTTCTTAGCACAGATTAGATACATAACAGGTGACAGAGTGGAATTTTTCTTGTTGTTCCAGAATTATCAGGGCTCAGAGCTAGGAAAAAACAACAACACCCACCCCAAAACCCAAACAAACAAAAAAACAAGGGAAAAACAGTACACCACAAACTGCTTATCACGGCCAAAAATTGACACAGGCTCAGTTTTCCACTGTTCATTATGAGCTGAAGACACCCTCTCATCCCCACTACAAGTTTCGTGACATTACAAGACTGTGAGGAAGCTGGAGGGGAGTCATCAGACTCACAGACAAGGCCACACAGAGTTCTTGCTAAACAATCGTTTAACTCATTACTCTGTTCATGAGAGAAAGGAGAGTGCTTCCATTCCACCTCAAGAAAACAGTTTAGAGGTTCCAAGAAAATAGCTTCTGGAGAAAAGAACTTTGGAGTGACTGAAAGAAAGAGAGGTAAACATTTCACTCCCTACCTGGATGTCTGATTAGGCATCCAAAGCCTTCAGCTTTCTGAGCAGAGGAGAAAACAATAGTGGGTCAGAAAGAAATGGTGGTGGGAGAGCTACCCACACCCTGTAATGTGGTATAGAAAGGAGTGCATCAGTTTCCCTTCAAAAGTCAGGTGAATATCACAAAAACATACACCCTCTTGCTGGGATTCCACCAAAGAGTGCTGCCTGCTGGTGGGAGGACAGTAGTGGGAGCTTATATGCTGATGGCAGGTGATGAATGATGAATAAGAACTTGGAAGGGATTGAGCCAAAGCTGGACCTTCTGCAATAGGGAATTAGAGAGTAGAGAGACTCCAAAAGCTCCCCAAAGAGTTCACAGAGGTGTTGCTCTGAGAATCATCCTTTAAACACTTGCCAGGAAAAGGAAGTGAGAGACCAGAATATGTCTTGGCATAAGGACGGTTTTGAGCTGAAAGCAATTGAGAAGAAGCAGATGAGAGAAACCTCTTGGCTCTTCCTCTCTTCATCTAAACACAAGGCATAAATTTACAAACAGTATCCTCCTTTTTTCCCTACCAGGGAGGACAAAGGTTAAGCACTGAAGACAACTTTAGCTCTTATGCCCCTGGAGGTGGCACCGGAAGGATCTATATCAGCAAGCTTTACTAATTAGCCTCTATCTGCCATGCGTTCATCTCCTCACAATCTGCTGCCCCTAAAGACTCAAAGTCCTTTTCTTTTGTCTTGTCACTTCTCTAAAAATTCACTATTCTTTATCAAAGACGCTATCTATATAAGCTGGAATTTAAAGGCACCTCTTTTAGAATTACTCATTCCGTGTGTATCTCCCATGTACACATAAAATATTATGTTAATAGACTTCCTTTTATTTGTTAATGTGTCTTTTGTTATAGGGATCTGTTCCTACTAAGAACTTATGAGAATTGAAGAAAACAATTATTTTTTCTCCCCTACAAAAATATCAATATCTTATCAGGGTAAGTTTAAGAAATAGTGACACCCAATGGAGTACAACTATGATCACTTAAATTATTTTCCTCCTTCTCCTCACTTCTACGCTGGAGGACACAAGCTTCAAAAGAGGGGGAGAGGGACCCAAGCCTATGCAACAGACAGGGGAAGAGATGAGTTTGAAACCAAGATTACAAATTAAAGTTACAAAGTACACTATGTTTTAATGACTATAGTGTCTGGACCACTTTTAAAATCTACTCAAAATTCCATGAAGGGACAAAAAAGGAAAATATATTAAGGCTCTAGCAAAAGTTATGATTGCAGAAAAATAATCTTCAAGTTTATATTCCACTGATTGAGGCTCCTTATAAATATGAAATAGGGACAAGACCAAGGCAAAGTTCTCTTAACATTTTTTATTATTGCAAACACAGAGCGAGATTAAAACAATGAACTACATTTTGCTGTAACTTAACTGGTCTGAGGAGAGTCTACTTCTAATAATTTTCAATTAAAGAAGCTTAACAGTTATTTAAAAAGTGGGCAGAGAGGAAGAAACCAAGTAGAAGAGAAAACAAACAATGAAGGTGTTATAAAGCAATCTGCCAACCTGTTTTCCCATCATCCTTTGCACAGCTACCTTCCTACTCACTCTTGTTTCATTAGCAATTTAGTGTTTAGCATGTTGGTTACAGTAGCTAAATGTTAATTGGCTATTTGGCATGTTATGCCAAGATGAACCTGATTAATTAAGAGAGGAAGCACTATCCTTTGAGCAACATGACTAGGGCACTGATGTTGATGCCTCAGGTTCAGTATATAATGAGACTTGTAGCTTCAGGCATGGGGGAGCCTGTATGCGCTCAGTCTCTGGCATAGCACCGAATTAAGTATTCGCTCTGTAGTGGACCCCTGCTTATCAGCAACCTTGCTATTACTCTACTGACCTGATGTGCATAAGCAATATTTTCATCCTTTTCCCAAGAGATTTATTTGGCTGTTGAAGTAGAAAATGAATATTTTACAGTTCACTTGTCTGATCAATTACCTACAAGCTGCTGCAGTATTTTATAGCCAGTGGGAGAGCTGTGTAGGTGATGATAGAGAAATCTGGAGGGAATCTCCTAGCCAACTACACAAAAGGGACTAAAACTGTGAATGAGCCATCAGTAACTATTCTTTGTTCATATGGGTCTAGCCAGAAATTACACTGTAACCAATTAATGTACTTAAATGATAATCAGCAAATGTGAATTCTAGAGGTGAGCAAACCTGACTGCTTGATTGGAGTATAATGCAGTGCAGCATGGTTCAAAGCCAATCTTTCTCAAGGCTACACCTCCCATAGTCCTGCCATTTTTGTCTTTAATAATTTAATGAAAATTATTTTTCAGTGATACTTTGGAATTTTTTAAAAAAGTAAGTGGAATGTACTTACCTGAAGAAGCATTTTGTTTCCAGCCTTGAAGGAGAATATGTTTGCAATGTCAACTTTCATAGAAATTTGTTTTCAAATGAGTATCTTGATTTGTATAATGTTTATAATTTAATACATTTTTGTATGATCTTCATTGAACAATTTAAAATCATCTTTTCAAAAAATAAACATTAAAATAATGACTTCTTTTGTCCCTTAAAAGAAATATTCTAAAAGACTCTCATATACATTAAAGTTAATTTAGTCTTTAATGTTTTAGGATTTTTTCTTTAATATTTATAAACCACACTGTTGGAATGATATTTATGTTATTACACATAATTTATTCCAACTTTTACATAAGTATATAGTTGAAATATGATAAAAATATTAAATAAATTGTACAGTACCTGGGATCCGCCATCTATTTAGCGAAGTCCGCTATTATCTTCAAAATATAAATCTGGCTTTGACAGACTAAAAAATTATGCATTGCTCCGAAACTTGTAAAAATAAAAGATCTAAGACTTCATTTTGTTTAACAGAGAGAAATCAGAGTAGGCTTTATTTAGTTACAGTGATAACATAAGACATTTTCAGTGACTAAATGAAAACATGATTTTAAAGGAAGAAACAAATATTTTCTTAAGTATACCTTAGTAGGGGGGTATTTTATTTCTATTTGAGAAGCCATATTTAACATTCTTTATAATGAAATTTTACTTTGCCCATCCAACAAAATATTCCATTAGACAATAACTTCAAATTGAAAAAAATAAACTAAGGCTTCTCCTCCCCCATTCAAAAATATATATACACTCAAGGTTTGACATTTTTATTTCCTCATCCTATTACAGTTTCCTTTCTGTTTTTTTCCCCATTCATCATAGCTATTTAATGGCAAAATAAATCTGTGTCAAGGAATAGAAATGTTAACATATATATGTGTGTGTGTGTATATACATATCTTAAATCAAGTGTTTAAATTTTAAAATATTCTGTGTTTGCAATTGTGCTAAAATCTTCTTACACTGTGTAGGGATTAAAATATATTTTATTAGGATATTGGAATTCCCTTATACAGAAACTTTAATGACCAAGATTAACCTTCACCACAGATTGCCAAGTGTTTGAACATGACGCAAATTGATAAACGATGTGTGAAAATAATTGTTAAAACTATCTGAATCTCTTGAAATAATGCACTTAACTCAAAAGTATTTGAGCAACTATAACAATCATGGAGATTTTTATTTTACTATATATTTTCAAAACAATTCTACCAACTAGCTGATTCCTTTTGTTGTTACTTTTAGTCTACCTTCTCATTTACTGCTTTTGGCAAAGAACAAAAAGAGAGTCCATCAATCTTTGCTTTACTAATTTTGTGACCAGGTTATTTTTATTTCATTAGTTTTTGCTACTTCTGTCATTTTTTTCTGAATATTTTAACTCCCTCCATTTCTTCTTTATTTTCTTTTCCTTTTTCCTTTAAATAATATATTGATAATGAGTTTAGTGTAGAATAGCTTATTGCTTCTCTTCCAGGAGTATACAGGGATGATGTAAAGCTCTCAAACTTCCATTCTTTTAAGGCATTTAATTTATAATAAAATACATCATGAAATTAATATCTGGTAGATGTGTTACATTAAGATTTTGAGTCATATGTCATTACATATATACACACACACATTGTATATTTATATATTATATATACATTACATATAGTTTCCTAAACTAAAATCTCTCTCTCATTAAAGGATATTTGAGAAACTACATAAATAACACAGCGGTCAAGAGTTCAGCTCTGGAGACCAAATGCCTGGTGAGGCATAGAAACATAGAGACCGTGGCTCTATGTTTCATTTGCTGTGAACCAGAGCAAGATACCGAACTTCCCTATGCTTCCGTTTCCTCATTGCTGCAACAGGATAAAGATGATTTTAATTAGCATTTCCCTCATAGTTTGTTGTAAGGATAAGTCAATACATGAAAACACTTGGAAAATTGCCTGGCACATAGTAAGCAGACATAAAAGTTAGCAATTAAAGAGTAGGTTGAATATATTTTCTATTTCTTCTTTTTTTTTTATGAGAAAGGGTCTTGCTCTGTCACCCAGGCTGGGGTGAAGTGGCACTGTCATGGCACACTGCAGCCTTGGCCTCCTGGGCTCAATTGATCCTCCTGCCTCAGCCTCCCAAGTAGCTGGGGCCACAGACATGTGCCACCAAGCCTGCCTAATTTTTTTAAATTTTTTGTAGAGACAGCATATGGACAAGTTGCCCAGGCTGGTCTTGAACTCCTGGGATCAAGCAATTCTCCCGCCTCAGCCTCCCAAAATGCTGGGATTACATGGGTGAACCACTGTGCCTGACCTACATTTTCTATTTCAAAAGGATGCTTTATGGTATATAAGCTTTATTAGAAAATAATCCCTAATTAATGCTTCTTTGTGCACATTGATACTTTTTAGATTGGAAACCATAGATTGTGCCAAGTTCATCTTCACCTGTTGATCCTGTTGCCAAAATGGCCTTTGCTTCTGGGTCTCCCTCCCACTAATGGTCTCCCTGAATGAAGTTTGTAGACAGCCCATATCAGTGTTACCCAAGGAGTTCATTTGTTAATTATGAAGACTTTTGGAACCCCATTCAGTATAATACAGCAGGACAATTGAAGATGTAATTCAGAAATCTGTATTTTGTGAAGCTTACAACAGAAGCACACCTGTCTCTTTCTTTTTTTTCTCTCACCCCAAAATTGTCTTCATGCTATCAGTTTTCTTCTCCATTAAAGCTTAATGAGATACTAAGGCAAATTATTACCTTTTCCAGAGTTATTTACTTTTATGTACATCACTTTGATGGTAAAATAAAAGGATTTCTTTTCCTATAAGGAATTTTAGACATATGCAAAATGTGGGGGCCTTTACCTCAGTGTTAAACCATCTCACTGCAGCCAATTATTGCCAAATTGGTTCAATTAGCCCCTCTTTTGGGGTCAGGGCCTATAAGGTCAAAAAGACCTATATATTACAATGATTCTAACGCCTACATATTTCATCTTCAAAGGGTTGTACTAGTTCTCCAAATAAGAACAATAGAAGGTTAGACTATGCATAATCAATGGGACAAAACATCAGAATTGGAAGATCAGGTTCACAATTTTAGTTCTGCTTCTAACATAGTATGGTTTATGTAAACCATATTTATGGAAAAGTAAAGCTTTTCCATAAATTCCCTGAAATATAAAAGAAAATTCCTAGTCTATGGAAAGCATATTTCTTCAGATTTCACAAAGCATTTATCAAAGATGAATGTTTCCAGCATAGTCACGTCAAAAATTCTTCTGAGTATTATACTTTATTTTACTATGGTGAACTAGTATAATTTTTTAAGCAATGGATAATTTTTTTTGTCTTGACTGCTAGAATGTATGGAATTATATTTGGTTTTCAGTTGCAGTAGTATTTCTTAACCTATATTTTTGGGCAAAACTATCTGATTTGTATTCTCTTATTTTTTCCACAGGAATTGAAAAATACAATGTTTTTACTATACTGCCTTTCTGATAAAAGGAAAAAAATGTATAAGTAAATAAATGGGTAGACAATAAAAAGAGATGTTTTCACCTTCAAAATGGTGATGAACAAATAATAAATCACCTCCCACACAACTTCAAAGAAAGGATGCACTATATGAATCCAGAAGTATGGTAAACATACTGATGATAATATGACTTTTTCAATTTTCAGATAGTTTTTATTTGTTGCCAATGAAAATTCACTCACACAAAATGGGGACTTTATACTCCATTACAAACTAGAACAACCTTAAGAAGTCATGATTGCATTGTTACTGTGTTTATGACTAGTGGTTTTTCATATAATTTAATACTTGAGTATGATTTTATAGATTTTATAATAACATCGTTACCCAGTTGACAAAAAATTTCATGAGACTACATGAATGCAGTTTTACTTTGGAAAATTTTCATAAAACTAATTGTATAAGCTTCTTAGACACTA
The DNA here is from genome assembly GCF_000001405.40 of Homo sapiens. Classification (NCBI taxonomy): domain Eukaryota; kingdom Metazoa; phylum Chordata; class Mammalia; order Primates; family Hominidae; genus Homo; species Homo sapiens. Next base: position 10,196,754 of record NC_000007.14, read on the forward strand.
GCACCAGCAGAACAATTGGTAATGGTGCCAACATGCAAGAAACAAATTGAAAGGAAGAAAGCTTTAAAAAAAAATGTCTGGTCTCTCTTTAGCAAAGAAAACAAAACTGTTTTCATTTCACTTTTTTGCCATTGTGAATAACGGAAAAATGTTTTTAAAAAGTAGGCAAATCACAGAAAGCCTAAAGAGAGTCAAAGAGCTGTCACCAGGACACTAGAATTATTATTGTTTTTACATGTTTCCATTGGAAGTCAGGTCCCACTTTAAGTGCTCTGATGCACTTTGGTAAAAGGAAATCTGCAAAGGCAGGCGAGATTTTAAGACTATGGCTTTATTTCCAAAGATTGTTTTTCTTATTTTAGATTAGAGCCTATTATGTTATGAGGCAAAAAAGCATCCTTATGAAACGAGGTCCCGCTTAGAGCTCCACTTCACCTTTACAGCTTTCAGCAGCCCAACTGAAGAAGCAGCACTTTGGAAAAAGCACAAAGACATTTCTACAAATGAAAAAAAAAAATAAAAGTTTGGGATATGAGCATATTTTCTTTGTAAGACAGGATCCTTGCTGTGTCACTTCTCCAGATTTGTCTATTTTGAATAAAAAGAGAGCTTTTTTGACTGAGAAGGTTATAATGGTTTAAAGTGTTTATTATTAGAACCATTGGTTCTTTTTCCTGTAATTTAAAAAAAATTATTTCTACAGGTTTTTGAGGAACAGGTGGTATTTGATTACATGAGTAAATTCTTTGGTGTTGTTAAGATTCTGGTACACCCATCACCCTAGCAGTATACGCTGAACCAAATTTTTAGTTTTTTATCCCTCCCCCTCCTCCACCCTTTCCCCTGAGTCCCCAAAGTCCATTAGTCCATTGTATCATTCTTATGCCTTTGCACTCTCATAGCTTAGTTCCCACTTATGAGTGAGAACATACGATGTTTGGTTTTCCCTTCCTTTGTTACTTCACTTCGAGTAATAGTCTCCAGTTCCATCCAAGTTGCTGTGAATGCCATTAATTGATTCCTTTTTATGGCTTAGTAGTATTCCATCACCTCTCTCTCTCTCTCTCTCTCTCTCTCTCTCTCTCTCTCTCTCTCTCTCTATATATATATATATATATATATATATATATATATATATATATATATATATATATACCCACATGTGTGTTCAAATATCTTTTTCCTGTAATGACTTCTTTTCCTCTGGGTAGATACCAGTAGTGGGATTGCTGGATCAAATGGTAGTTCTACTTTTAGTTCTTTAAGGAATCTCCACACTGTTTTTCATAGTGTTGTACTAGCTTACATTCCCTCCAGCAGTGTAGAAGTGTTCCCTTTTCACCGCATCCACTCCAACATCTATTTTTTTTTTATTATGGCCATTCTTGCAGGAGTAGGTAGTATTGCATTGTGGTTTTGATTTGCATTTTCCTGATCATTAGTGATGTTGAGCATGTTTTTAAATGTTTGTTGACCATTTGTATATCTTCTTTTGAGAATTGTCTACTCATGTACAGAGGAATAGTTAAATGACTCTCCATTAACCAAATATACCTATGCCTGACTCAAGTATCTTTTGTTTTTGTTTATTTCTTATTTTATTTATTTTGAAAATACTCAAGAAAACTAAATATAGATGATAGCTCTTACTGGAAAACATATATTGTTCTTTTTTATAGATGCAAGTTCTATCACACAATTGTTGACATTTACATTTCTAAGGTGAAAATCTTATTGAATCAGATGCTGAGAAAAACAAAGAAATAATCATTACTGATGAACAAATTCTGGCAGAAAATAATTTGCTAAAACTTCAGGACCTGAGCAGTTGAACTCTTAAGTCCCTGACTCAGATAAATAAATATTCAGTCTATCACAGTATAGTTGTCCTGCACAATTAAAAATCAGCTGTTGGTTATATGTTACTGTTTGCATGTGGCTATCAGGCAAAGCCTCAAAGTCATTTGGATTGAATTCAAGTTTTAAAAATATGGGAGACAAGTAATTTTGTTTGTCTGAATGCTTTTCTTTCTCCTTTTTCGAACTAAACTTCTTGAGGTAATTGAAAATTCATATGTAGTTGTAAGAAATAATATAGAGCAATCTCATTGTAATCTTTACCTCATTTGTCCCATGGGTAACATTTTGCAAAACTATGGTAAAATATTATGACAAGGATGTTGACATTAATAGAGTTAACATAGAACATGTCTATCAAGACAAAGACCTCTCATGTTGTTGTTTTACAGAATACAAGATCCTTCCAGCCCACACCCCTTCTAAAATCATAGGCAATAACTAATTTGTTCTCCCTTTCTATAATTTTATCCTTTCAAAAATATTTTATAAATGGACTCATAAAATATGTATTGCATGGGGGATTGTCATTTCTAATTCAGCTTAGTTTTCTAAAGATTTATTCAAGTTGTTGCTTGTAAAAATAGTTGGCTCATTTTTAGTGTTGAGATGTATTCCATTATATGAACATATCACAGTTTGTTTAAGGCATCTGGGTTGTTCCCAGTTTTGGACTATTATGAATAAGGATTCTATAAATATTTGTGTATAGGTTGTTGTATGAACATAAGTTTTTATTTCTCTGGGATGGATGCCCAAGAGTGCAATTGCTGGGTCATATGGCAAAGGTATGTTTAGTTTTGTAAGAAATAGACAAAATTTGCTTTGCCTGTAATGTATGAGTGATTTGGCATTTGGTGTTGTCGCTACTTTTTATTTTAATGAATCATCCTGACAGGTATATAGTCATACCACAGTGTGGTATTAATTTGCATTTCCTTAATAGCTAATAATGCCAAACAACTTTTCATATGCTTATCGGCCATCTCTATATTCTCTTTAATGAAATAGTTCTTGGCTTTTGCCAATTTTCTAATTGGATTATTTGATTTATAATGTCAAGTTTTGAGAGTTCTTTATATATTCTAGACATTAGTCCTTTTTGGGATAAATAGTTGATAATATTTTCTCTCACTTTGTTGCTTGGGCTTGTATTTGTATCCTCTTGATCTCTTACAAATCAAAAGTTTTTGTTTTGTTTTGATGAAGTTCAGTTTATCATTTTTTTAATGTAGTGTGTTATTTTTGTAAATTCTAATGAACTTGTTTTCAATCTAGATGCCAAGATTTTCTCATATGTTTTTCTCTAAAAGTTTTATAGCTTTATGTTTTACTTTGAAGTCCATGAAGGATTTTGAGTTAATATTCTTAAGAGTGTGAGATTTTATTTTTCTGTCTATGGATGTCCAGTTGCTCTAGCACCAATTATTCATTTATTTAAATGGTTATCTCTTTTCTAGTGAATAACTCTTGCACTTTTACAGAATCAGTTGGTCATATTTGTGTGGGTTCATTCTTTTCCATTGATCTACGTATGTATCTCTATGACAAGACAACACAATCTTTATTACTGTAGCTATATAAATTATGAACTAGAGTAGTTCCCACTTCATTATTCTTCCACAAAATTATCTTGGCTGTTCTGATTCCTTTGATTTTCCATGCAAATTTTAGAGTGATGTTTTTCTATATCTACAAAATTCTTGCTTGGGTTTTGAGAGGTGTTATGTTAAACCTCTACATCAATTTAATGCGATCAATATCTTTACTATGTTTATTTAGTCTTCTAGTCCATGAAAATGGCATATATCTAAATTAATTTTGATCTCCTTTTCTTTCATCAGCATTTTGTAATTTTCAGCATACAATCTCCTTATATGCATTGATAGATTTACACTTGAGTGCTTCTTATATTTTCAACAACTCTAAATGGTATTGTATTTTTAATTCTTATATTCATGTAGACATTGCTAATATTTAGAAATAAAGTTACCTTTTGCATGTTTATTGAATTAATTTATTAGTTGTAGGTGTTTTTTGGTAGATTACTTGGGATTCCCTATATAGACAATCCATCACGTCTTCTTCAAAGAGGGATAGTTTTATTTCTTCCTTTATTATCTGTATGCTTTCTATTTTCTTCTATCTTTTCTTTTTGCCTTACTGCACTGGCTAGAACTTGCAGCAGCATGCCGAATGAGCAGTGAAGCAAACATCTTTGTCTTGTTCTCACCCTTTGTAAAAAAGCATTCAGTGTTTCACCATTAAGTATAATGTCAGTTGTAAGTTTTACGATTAATGCTTTTTACCAAGTTGAGGAAGTTCCTTTCTATTCCCAAATAGTTCTATTTTTCTGAAATTATTTAAATTATTATTGATGTTAAAATTTATGAAATCCTTTTACTCTGCTGGTAGATATTATGTGATTTTCTACTTTAGCTTGCTGAAATAATAGGTTATATTGACTGATATTCAATTATGGCACCAGTCTTGCATTCACGGAATAAACCTTAGTTGGTAATGATGTATTTTTCTTAATATACTGTAGAATTCTATTTGCTAACATCTTGCTAAAACATTTTGTATCTATATTAATGATAGATTTTGGTCTATCGTTTTTTATTTTATATTGCTTTTCTTTGGTTTTGGCATCAGGGCAATACTAGCTTCAAAAATGAATGACAAGTTTTCCTTCCTTTTCTATTTTCTGGAAGATGGAGTGTAGAATTGATGTAAGTTATTCTTTAAATGTTGAATTGAGTTCTTCAGTGAAATAATCTGGGCCTGGAAACTATTTTGGGGAAGTTTTAAATTATGAATTAAATTACTTAAGAGATATAGAAATATAAGTCTATTCAAATTATCTATTTCATATTGGGTGAATTGTGGTAGTTTAATTTTGAGGAATTGACACATTTCTTCAAAGTTTTAAAATTTATGTTTGTAGAGTTGTTTGCCATATTCTCTTGTTATCATTTTGATTTTGGCAGGATCTATTTTATTTTTTGTATTGATAATTTGTGTCTTCTCTTTTTTTCTTTTACAGTCTTGTGTTAGGTTTTTCAGCTTCATCAATCATTTTGAAGAACCAGATGTTTGGTTCACTGATTTTCTCTATTATTTTTCCATTATCAATTTCGTTGATTTCTGCTCTTATCTTTATTATTTTCTCTTCTACAGGCATACCCATTTTCTTCCAGCCCACATTCCTACTTACTTTTTATATGTGTCTTATGTTTATTTTGCTTTTCTTTTTATATCTTCTTGTGGTGGAAGTTTAAATTATTAATTTCAGACTTTTATTATTTTTTTTGAGATGGAGTCTCACGCTGTTGCCCAGGCTGGAGTGCAGTGTCACAGTCTCAGGTCACCGTAACCTCCACCTCCTGGGTTCAAGCAATTCTCCTACCTCAGCTTCCCGAGTAGCTGCGATTACAGGCTTATGCCACGTAGACCGGCTAATTTTTGTATTTTTTTAGTAGAGACAGGGTTTCACCATGCTGGCCTGGCTGGTCTCGAACTCCTGACCTCAGGTGATCTGCCCGCGTTAGGCTCCCAAACTGCTGGGATTACAGGCTTGAGCCACCGCGCCCGGCTGAGACTTTTCTTCTTTTACGTATGCATCTACTGCTATAAATTTTATCTCAGCACTACTTTAGGTATGTCCTACAATTTTTTGGACTACATTTTTATATTCCTTCTAGCAAGGCAATGTATATTTTTTTATTTTTCTTGAGGCTATCTGTTTTATGCATAGATTATTTAGAAGCATGTGGTTAGGTTTTAAAGTGTTTGGAAGAGAGCTAAATGATAAGAACTTATGAACACAAAGAAGGAAACAACAGACACTGGGATTTACCTCAGGGGGAAGGGTGGGAGGAAGAGGGGAAGCAGAAAAGATAACTACTGGTTACTGAGTTGAATACCTGGGTGATATGCTAATATGCACAACCAACCCTCATGTCACATGTTTATCTATGTAACTAACCTTCACATGTACCCTCAAATCTAAAATGAAAATTTAAATATATATATATATATATATAAAATGTTTGGAGACGGATGGAGTTGGGATGACCAGCCCCCACTAGAAACGTATGATACCTCCCTCGCTGGGAGGCGTAGGAGTGCCTATTTCCTGTTTCCCATGTGGTCCCCACTGACACTTGGGGTAGGGGGTTGATCTCATTACCACTGAGAAGTGTTAAAAGTCCTGACTCTCCCCTGGTCTTCTGACATCACTCGAACATGTGGGAGGATGCCTTATTACTGTTGAGTTGGAGTGGACATCCAGCTTTCCCACCTGGTCTCCACTGACACTACAGGGACTTGCTGTTACTCAGAGAGGAAAGATGTCTTTCTTTGATATGACTTTTGTGGAGGGTGGGGGAAATGGGGGGCGTTTGTCATTACCACCTGGTGATGGTGAAAGCCCAGGATTCTGGCTTGGTTGGCTGGTGTGGGCTGGACTCAGGCCACAGTAATTTATGTGATAAATAACTAAAATGTAGCTGTTATTTTATTTTTCGAGACAGAGTCTCACTCTGTCACCCAGGCTGGAGTGCAATGGCACGATCTCAGCTCACTGCAACCTCCGCCTCCTGGGTTCAAGTGATTCTCCTGCCTCTGCCTCCTGAGTAGCTGGGACTACAGGCACACACCACCATGCCCAGCTACTTTTTATATTTTTAGTAGAGACAGGGTTTCACCATGTTGGCCAGGATGGTCTCGAACTCCTGACTTCATGATCCACCCACCTCAGCCTCCCAAAGTGCTGGGATTACAGGCGTGAGCCACCACGCCCAGCCATATAGCTGTTATTTTCTAAAATCTTCTGTCTTGTTAGGCTTCCACTTTCCTTATCCTTTGGCTTAAGAGAGCAAAATTTTTTTGGAGGGGAGGGAGGAGTTGTCTGTGCCGACTGGTATCTTGAGGTTGCCAGCTTCTTTAGCTCCATGTGTGGGATATATGAGGTAAAAATAAGCCCATCGTGTCATTCTTTGGGTGTCATCAACCTGTCTGCCTTCTTCTTGCTATATTTCACAGTCTTCTTATCTATATAATAGCAGGGTTTTTGTCTTCTTATTTTGCACATAATATCCAGGGTTATTAGTTGAAATTAGCAGAAGAAAGAGGGAAGCACAGGTTCTCCAGCTTCTTGGAAGACCCAGACTCCAAATTATGAATGTGATTGTGATTCTTGGCATGAAATGTTTTTTGCTGCAAAATTATTTTCTGTCTTTTACTTCTGAAAGATTCTCTTTTGAGAGTCTTTCAACATCACAGTTTTCTTTCCATGGATTTTTTTTTCATTAAAAAGAGAACATGTCATACTAGGTCATGTAAAAGTTGTACTTTCTATTCCTTATTCTGAGACTTATAATGGCTCCAATGACAGTTAGCAGTTGACTTCCTTATGATGTTACAAAAGTTGCCTATAATGCCCTACAGCAACAGTTCTACCATCAATCACCTGTTATTAACCCATGTTCCATACATTTATTAAAACTTTTACCAGTCTATTTCTGGTCAGAGACATAAATGTCCTTTTCATGCAATAAAGTTTTTAATAGCAGCAATCAAATTGCCACTACTCATAAATTACCACCTACTTTGTGCTAGATATTATACTTTGTGGAAACAAAGATGAACACATTTCTATGAATTTATGCTCCTGTGGAGGAGACTAAAATGCAAACAAATAATTATAATTCTGGAGTAACACAAAATATAACTGAGAAACATCTCAAACAAATGAGAGAATTAACTTTAATATGTAACAAGAAATCTAGAAGTGCAGCATCTTAAAATGACACCAGGGAACTAGATTCTATGTATTTTTATCCTACTCTCCTCAGCATGTGACCTTGCTTTGTAGTCACAAAGGAAAGGTAAGGTAAGGTAAGGTAAGTCACAAAGGAAAGGAAAGGTAAAAAGACCCTGAAAGTCCCCCCAGATGACTTCCACTTATATCTCATTGTCTATTCTGGGCCACACATAATTATAAAAGAGTCTGGGCAATGTCTCTTTTTTCTTAAGAGGGGTACATGGCTACTATGGGAAAAGTGTGGTCCTGTTAATATGGACAACGCAGAGAATAAATATTGCTACAGAAAAAGTAAGGTTGTTAATATAGGTGAAGACTAGGGAGAACACTTACTCTCCTGACACAATGTCATTTGGTGTTGAATGAGGTGCTAAAGTCTAACTGGTAGAAAAGGGGCTGGGCGCAGTAGCTCACTCCTGTAATTCCAGCAACTTGGGAGGCCGAGGCAGGCAGATAACTTGAGGTCAGGAGTTCGAGACCAGCCTGGTTAACATGGGGAAACCCTGTCTCTACTAAAAGTACAAAAATTAGCCGGGTATAGTGGCGCACACCTGTAATCCCAGCTACTCGGGAGGCTGAGGCAGGAGAATTGCTTGAACCCAGGGGGCAGAGGTTGCAGTGAGCTGAGATGGCATGACTGCACTTGAGCCTGGGAGATAGACCGAGACTCCGTCTAAGAAAGAAAGAGAGAAAGACAGCAAAGAAAGAAAGAGAAAGAGAGAAAGAGAGAGAGAAAGGGAGAAAGGGAAGGGAAAGGAAGGGAAGGGAAGGGAAGGGAAGGGAAGGGAAGGGAAGGGAAGGGAAGGGAAGGGAAGGGAAGGGAAGGGAAGGGAAGGGAACGGAGAAAGAAGGTGTTCTGCGAGAGGGAATAATAGCATAGTAAAATTTCAAGGAGTTTTGGGGGAATAATGGATATTCCTGAATAGACTAAACGTGAGGGGATCGAATATGAGTGGAATTACAGGTAAAACCTTACCTTGCAGCTTAATTGTGGTGGACCTGACATGGCATGTTGAAGAAAGTAGGCTTTATCTCATAGGAATTCAAAAGTTCCTAAATGGCTAATAGATGGGCAAAAGCAGATTTGTGGTTTGGAAAGAGAGCTCTAGTCAGCGATGAGAAAGTGAGTAAAGAGAAGACTGAAAGCTCACTAGTTCATCTTAATCTGTCACTAAAATCTAAAGGTGTTAATCTTTTATTACTTGATAGAAGCTTCTCCACCTGTTTGAATTTTTAAACATATCCTTCCTGAGGTGGAAAAATTATAATTTGTATACAATATTCTGTGTCAGGCTTACCCTGGTTTCAAATAAGGTAGGCTACCATTTTCTAATTTGTTTCCTTTGCCTGGCTTTGCTGCCAACTATTTTCTTTGGTGTCTTTGCTGCCAACTATTTTCTTTGGTGTCTTTGCTGCCAACTATTTTCTATGGTGTCCTTGGCTCTGGCTCTACACTGGGCCTGCTGGAATTTGTTGGAGCTCTGAAAAATGTAGAGTTGATAAATATTATCTCTCACTCGGTTCATACTATTCTTTTTTCTATATGTTTACACAGCTGACCAGGTTATAAAGAAGCAGAGACTAGCTTCTGTTCCTTATTCTATTCTGATAATTTGGAGTGATCAAAGTTTCAAACTGCTGATTAAGCTCCAAGTTCTCAATAAATGTATAATTTGCATTTATAAAACATTTTATTTAAACATTTTAAAACTATGGGTAAACTACCCAAGCAAATGTGGCTTTTAGCATCTGTTAACATATCAGTGACTATTGTTAATTTTTTATGTCAGTTCAACTCATTTCTGTACAACCCCAATAACATTTTCTGGCCATTTCTGGGCATACATTTGTTTGTAGCTTTGCGTGCATCATTCTTTGAACGTAGGGTTGAGCATGACTTTTCATAATCATTTTTTCAAGCCAGTATTCTTTCATGACAGACATAAAATGGGCTTAATTAAATGCCAGACAAAGCTCCATGCATGCTCCTGAGAGTTATACAATAACAAGTGAACATGTAGCTAAGTCTTGATAATGCTGCATTAGTCATTTTTATAAATGGTTCTGAAGCTTATTCCACTATTAGAGTATGTGAAGTTTATTTTTTGGTAACCATCCTAAATTTACACTTACAAAAGTTATTTCTTTTCAAGTGAGGTACAAATAATTTTTCTTAAATGTAGAACTTTATCACCAGTAATAGCAAGAAATTTTAAAATAAGCTTTGACAATGACTGATATTTTAGGTTTTAGATCAAAGGACAATTTTTAGTATTCCTCAATGACTGTTTCTTCAACCAGTATCAACCACATTGTCAATAATGCATGAATTAAAGGGGTGGCCTAATAATGTTTATGTGAATTCACTGAAAGACAAGAAAGTATAATGTCTTTGCATTTCACAAATATTTGGATAAACACTGCCCAAATTCTTAAAGAATTTTATATTGTGCACTTTTGTACAATAGTTTTGTGGACCCTGCAAAAGTCTATGTGTTATTTTAAGCATAGACTAAAGAACATAAACAAACCTTTAGCTTCCTTTTAGCTTATTGTGAATGGCTTAACAATACTAAAAGAGTTTAAGTAAGTTAATAGGTAAGGTGAATTAAATTCATTGCAATCAAAGGAGCAGCAGATATAATTAGGATAAAATTCCTGGATGACTAACATTGCAACAAGTACATGATATGAATCAACTGGGAGGGAACTGCAAGCAGTGCCATTTTCAGATAATTCTAAGCAGAAACAATTCCAAGAATGACCATCTAATAAGAATGATAACATTTGTCCAAAGTCTGAAATTCTGTGGAATCTTTGTTAGTTTAGAAAACATTTGAGATATTAGTTTCCACTCTTTTTACTTTCCGTTTTTATTGAAGATTTTTTTTCTCTTTTTCCATAGCCACCTCTGTGCTGACTCTGGAAAGGGGTGAAGGTAGACAAAAAAGGCTGGAAGTCCACATTGGTTTTTATTATATAACTATTCCTTCCTCCCTTTGCCCTCTCGGCTCCAATTATATTGGCCTTCTTGATAATCCTGAATAAAGCTAGCCAACTCCAGCCTGTATCAAGGATGTTGCAGTTACTAATTTTTCTTTCCAAATTCTGTATTTCACTCATGTATCTCCTCAAATGTCACTTTTTTAGTGAGCATTTCTCCATTTATCCCCTTACAAAATGCAAAAATTAGCATTCTCAGAATATGGTTTATATTTATTTTTTAAATTGCTTATTTTTTTTGTTTCTTTCCACAAGCATAACTTTGTTTTTGCTTACTGCTAAACATCCAGAAAAGAGTGGTTGGCATTTAGTAGATATTCAAGTACTTCCTGAATGAATGGAAGAATATTTCGGAAATTGCAGCCCTTATAAAATTTAGAAAATTTGAATTTTTTCCCACAAGGAACAGGCAGAAAATAATATGTCTTTTTGTTCCTGTAATAAAAAAGAAAAAAAAAAACATCTTGGTCAGGAAGGAAAAATAAAGAAATGATGGGAGCAGAAAATAAATAGAAAGAGGGACCTTGAGCCCTAAAAACTGTGTTGAGCTCCAGGGAGGCCAGAAAGCCACTTGAGAAGGAAATGATTTCTGGGAATTGTTTCTTGGCATAAAAGACTGTAGATTCCCATGTGCAAATTCCTATGCCCTAGCAAGCAGGGAGGTACCTTAGAAGACTCACAGGATCTGAAAAAGGAAATAGATATTTCAATAGTCATTGATGAAGTTCAAATACCAAATACTACCAGGGGTGGCTGTCCTAATACCTAGTATTGCATAAACTCACTGGGAACTTTGATATACTTCTAGGGATAGGAAGAAACACTCAAATACTTAGTAACTTACAGCCTAATAAATGAGAGCTTGATGTAGAAATTGTTGGATTAAATATTTATATTCTTTGTGCACTTGAATTTATGGGCTGGGATTCATAACTGCCCCATTTACAGTTCATTTCAGTGAGAGTACCTGCGTTTCTGATTTCCATTTGCTTATTTTATACTGTACATGAAGGTGAACGTTAGGAAGATGCATTAATTTAAACGCTTGACACTTAGACAACAGGGGAATTTTTTGCTAGTGTTTGGATCACTCTTTACACCCCATAAAGGATGTTGGCAAAAATGTGACATCTGTACTGGCAGTGTGAAAACACTGAGGTCAACAACTGCCGAGATGGCAAGTATGAATCTATTGCTGAAATGTGTTCAAGTCAGCACCACATGTTGCAAAGAAATCATAGAAGCCAGCATCTTTCAAAACCAGTTTGGAAGCTGTCACAAAATTGTCAAATGTATTAATAATCTTATTAAATAGCAGGCTTTTTCAGAAATATTTGTAACAGTCTAGAATCAAGGTGGAGGTTTGAATATATCATACGAGACAAACTCATTATTTTGTGGATGAAAATAATTCATTTGCTTAATATCTCAAATGCATCATCTCTTTCAAACATGTTTGTACAATATGTTTGAAATGGGTTGGATATTTTATATTATTATTATTATTATTATTATTATTATTATTATTTCGGAGACGAAGTTTCTCTCTTTTTGCCCAGGCTGGAGCGCAATGGTGCGATCTTAGCTGACCGTAACCTCTGCCTCCTGCATTCAAGCGATTCTCCTGCCTCAGCCTCTCAGAGTATTTTTATTTTTTAGTATATCGGAAGGCTTCATTTGGCAGCAGGGGATTGCACTGTTAAACTACGTGCTATAGCATATAGTGTTAGGGAATGGATTTGGGATTTAACTTGACAAACAGAAAACATGTGGAGTGTCTTGAAAACTTAAGCAAGTATCTGAGACAAATGTCACCAACATAACTGAGACCTAATAAAAAAAATCACTGATTTATATCATTTTAAGATATATTTGGAAACTTATTTTTCACCAAAAATAAAGTGTCAAACTGGCTAAGGATCCCAGTCTTCTGCTCATTATAAATGTTTCACCTGTGAGAGAATGTAAGCAGTAATTAGAGGTTGCTATTTATTGAAAAATGGGAAAAAACCCTCTATTATTCAGGATTCTGCTACATTTTAAATGAAGAGCATCCTGCGAATAGAATGCTGTTATTGTTGTAGCTGCCCACTTATATGTATTTGGATTTTACTCTGCTCAACTAATCAAAACAAAATTGTAAGATAAAACAGATGCTTAGACTTATTTGTCCTTGAAATTTTTCATGCAAAATCCCCTAATTCAATTTCTTTTTCAAAACATTTTGTGATTTCCAAAATATTTGTATTTTTAAAATTTGATGACTATCTTACATAAATGTTAAAAACTAAACTTAATGTATCTGATTAACGTGCCACTTTTATTTGCTCTATCTTTTAAGATTTTTGTGTAAGATTTTCTTTTTAATAAAGTATTCCTACTACTAAAATAGTTTGAAAATCACTATATAGTTTTCATTTTATCAGATCACTTTTATCATTTTATTGGCCTAGAAATTGTGATCAGCTTTTAGTAACTGGTGGTGAGAAAACACTATGATTCTAATACTGCCTTTCTGGAACTTATAGTTTCATGGGGAGACTACGCCATATATACAGATGTGAAATCACAACTGTCATAAGTGCCATGAAAGAAAGCTACATGTCGCTATAAGAGTCTACGACAGGGGTTTAGTAAATAAGTCAGAAAGTCAGGGAAGACTTGTAGGAAGTCAGGCTTGAGTTGAGGTCTGAGGGAGTAACTGGACTGGGCAAGGAAAGCCTCCAGGGTGAGAAGAACGCACAGGAGGCTGGTGTGGCTGCAAAGGAGTGATGAGTGGGGCTGGATGGGAAGTGAGATTTAGTTGAAAAACAGCCAGGGCTGAGGCCAGGGAACTTAGCCTTCATCACAAGACCAGTGAGAAGCTACTGAAATAATTTTACTACGAAGTTCTATGATGACATATAAACTTCAAAATCACTCTGGCTTTATGGGGGGCAAAAGTTAGAGGGAAAGGAGATAGGATGATGAAGAACAAGGGTAGTAAGTAGGCTATTGAAGTTTTCCAAAGGAGAAAAATTGGAAGCTTAGGCTATCAAGGTTTGAGAGAATATAGTCGACAGATTTGAGAATTTATTTTTAAATGGCAAATTGCCTTTGAGGACATAAGGTGTTCTTGGGGTCTGTTTGTTGTTCAGGTTTTTAATGTGATTAACAGCATGGATGGTGAGACCATCACACATCATTCTAAGCCTCTCTTTTTTATGCTATGAAACGCCAGAGTTAATTTCTAATGTTGTCTTCAGGTCTAACAACATTGGCCCTAACCAATTTGTAAAGGATTTCTGTAAAAATCAGCTTACCTATAATGTCCTATGAAATTAGACAATTTTTTCTTTAGTCTCTCTTCAGTGACGTACTAGGGCAGATCTGAATTATATGAAAGGAAATAGAATAAAAGATGAGTTCTAGTTAGTAATATAAAGGTTAAAATTAAAATGGATTTCTACTGAGGTTATTTATTTTTAAAAATATCAAATAATGACTTTCTTAATCCTTCATTTTTTTAAAGTTTCTCTGAGGTGTGGTCTTGAACCACTTTCTGCTATCTAATATGTTGCCCCCTTCTTTCAGAAGTATTGAATAACTCAGTTCCAGGAACCCAATAGAGTCAAAACAATCTCTAAAAACTTCTAAACGTATTCATTTTGCTCCAGCAACCTTCAAAGTGCTTAAAGTTCTTAATCAATATTTACTTGTGCTTTTGAGGATGATGGCATTTGCATAGCTACAGTATAGACTTTATACTGTATGCTTTACCTGTTGAATGTACTTTGTACTCAGCCATGCTGTTTGCCTTTACAGTAATTATAATGTTGACCATGGAAAATGAGAAAATTCTTGGTTATAGGCATATTGTCATCCTAGTGGAGATTGCAGACACAGCATGAAAATAAAGCTGGACATAGTTATAATATCTTTAATACATTCTAAAAATGTACTTTTCATTTTAATTTCTAAACTGTCTCCTTGGGTGATCTTTAGAAATATGAAACCATCACTTTCACATTTGTGGTATACTTTTTATTTTAGTTTTTTATTCTATTTAGCTGTCTATATATTTAAGATTATTATTTTCTAAAATATTTCTGGTTTCATTTTAGGATTCACTATGTTCTATGCTAAGTTGTGATGCAGGATTTTTGCTCCTTAGCTCAGCTAGTTCCAGGTTCTTCTCTCACAACCAGGAAGAAATAGGCATGCAGATGTCGAAGAGTGAGTGGAGTGAAATTTATTAGGAAAGGAAAGCTCTCAGCAAAAAGAGGGGCCCTAAAAGCAGGTTGCTGGTGCCCTGTTCACAGCTGAATACAGGGGCTTTTACATACGGACTGATGGGGCTGACTTCTTTATTTGTATAAGGTGAAAATTCCTGGTGCCTCCACCCTATTCCCCCAGTGTGCATGTGGGCCCTTAGTCGGCTGCTGGCATGTTTAATCAAGCCCCCTTTGCAAGTTCCCTTATCTGCACAAAACATCTGGTACAAGCACCTGTGGGGTGGGTCAGAGGCTCTCCGGGACCCTTCCCTTACTGTCTACCTAAAGCAAGGTGGCTAATGCCTTTCATTCCCCGCTTGAGGAGTGGATACCCCAACTGCTGGTGGGGAAAGTGGTCAATGACAGCTCTTAACTGCTTCCTGCTGACAGGGGGCACTGTTTTAGGAAAGCGGCAGTTAGGGCTCCTCTTGAGGTCACTTTAAGGGTCTCCAGAAAAATGACACATTCATACCTGGTTCCATTAGCAACACCATTTGAAGTTTAATGGCCGCTAAGCAAGAATAAACAATTAGGGTTATTAGAAGATGCACATCAAAATGAAACAAGGGGGTAAGGGCAGCTCAAAAAAACCCCAAGGCTGCTGAAATGCCCAGAAAACTGGTGGCTATAGTTATGCCTGCCAAGATGTGGGGGCATGGGGCTTGGCTCTGGTTAGCTCCCTTGGTCTTATTTTCCATAACAAAGAAACTTCTGGGTTATGGGCACCCCATTTATTCTTACCACCTTGCAGGCTTTGCAGGATAATTGTCCAGAACTAGACTATTGATCTAGATCTTTATATTACCCATCTGTCTGTTTCTTCTGAGATACAGCCAGAGATCACTGGTTGGTTCACGGGGATAAACAGGGTTAGTCTAGAATGTAGGCAAAAACCTAAAAACAACAGATGAGACGAGAATTTAATAACAAGTATATGGTAAGCATTGAAACATAATTTTTCTCTCTCTAGTCCCCATTTTTGTCAAAAACAAATCATGATAGGACTAAGTTGCTTGTAAAATAAACCTTAGTCTTATACTTGGCCTGATTATTTGCGTAAAGTGCAGCATGAGTAATTGTTTTTCACACAGGCCTTTAAATCGGCTTTAATGACACCCTGTTCCCCACGGAATCTCAGATAAGACCTTTTACAGCTGAGGCCAGCCATGGGTTGGTAGCCTCAAATACCTATGAGTTGAGTAAATTCCTCTTTTCTTGAGGTCTCAAGAACATGGGTCTCCTGGGCCTATTAGAAAGTAACATTCTTTACTTACCACAGGTTAGGAACCCTAAAGGTTTTGAGAGGGATCTTTCTGCTTTCAATTCCTGGGGTTTCATAAGGAAAACAGAGGTTTTCACCCACATTAACAGGGGGCCGAGGGGGTGGGAATTATCCACACTTATCCACATGTGGCCTTTTCCCAATGCTGTCAGTAGCCTTTGAGTTCCCTAGACCTTGTCTATGCCATGAATGCTAGCATGACCTCTATCCATGAAGTGGGAGCATCCTCTATCCATGAATGCTACCATGACCTCCTCTATCCATGAAATTCAGCAGGACTTAGTCATGCTAAGGTAAAGCTATGGAGCTGAGTCCTCCTCAAACAAGGGAGAGAAAAGGATGTCTTGTGAATTGGGGTACTGGCCTAATAAGATGTCTTCCAAAGGAAAAAAAAAAACCTCTTGCATAAAAGGTAACTCCTGACAGTGTGGGGAAAAGAAAAAAAAAAAAAACAGCTTAAGGGCAGGGCAGGGAAGATGCCTGAGGGAAAATCCTCTAGCTCTATGCAAATGGGTTCCTCCAACAGGGAGAGAAACTTTCAATCATTGTACCCTCTTCCTGGCTTGGCCACGGGAGGAAAGACTCTGTTGGTGCATGGCGTCGGGGGGATGGTAAGCAGGAAACACTGGCCAGCTGGCCACATGGGGCCCTTGGCTACCGAGGCTGTCCTGGGGCCCGGGCCCAGGTGGCAGCCACAGCTCATTCCCACCCCACATGTCCATCAGGATGGGGGTGGGCGACACCTCTAAGAACAGAAGGAAATCGCATTATTCTGAATTGCATGTCTGATGGCTGGGTCAAAGGCTCATTCTACCTAGTAATATCTCCGCAGTTTGCAGCAACACCCTTAACATTACAAAAGAAGAGATAGGTGCCGTGACAGTACTGAAAAAAAGAAGTAAAACGCCATAGAAAAGACTGGATTGGGACGAGACCGACATTCCCAACCCCAGAGGATGACGGGGGTGGGCGTGTCATGGTCCTCTCCTGCATCCTGTCCTCTGTAGCTGTGCCATTCATTCCTAATTGGCTCACCAGAGGTTCAGTGCTGCATCTGCCTTCAGGAAAAGTCTGAGGACAAGAAGGCTCAGAAATGAAAGTGAAAGGCTGTGGGACTGCATTTACTCACCCACCAGGTATCCCAGATGAGCCCCCAAAATGATGCAGGTTTTTTGTGCCTTAGCTCAGCTACGTCCAGGTTCTTGTCTCATGACCAGGAAGAATAAGCATGCGGACATTGAAAAAATGAGTGGAGTAGAATTTATTAAGTGAAAAGGAAAGCTCTCAGCAAAAAGAGGGGTTCTAATAGCAGGTTGCTGGTTGCCCCCTTCAGAGTTGAATACAAGGGCCTTTACATACAAGCTGATGAAGGTGGGTTCCCTATTTATATAAGGCATGAATTGCTGGTGGCTCCATCCCATTCCCCTAGTTGTATGTGGGCCCTTAGTCTGTACGTTTAGGCAAGCCCCCTTTGCAAGTTCCTTTATCTGCACAAAACATCTGGTGCAAGCACCTACAGGGCAGGTCAAAGGCTCTCCAGGACCCTTTCCTTACTGTTTGCCTAAAGCAAGCTTGCTAACTCCTTTCAATGGCATACCCCATATTAAGTAATATAAATTCATATGAATATTCTGCTTAATTCTTTCTTGTGTAGAGAGGATCTTGCATCTACCAATCAATAAACTTCTGCTTAACATGAATTTAAGGTAGAAGGTTGTCTTTCCATGATGAATTTTCTATTTATCCAGTTTAAGAAAACATTTGCAAGCACAGGCCAGTGTTGCAATGGATAATGCGTCTGACTATGGACCAGAAAAGTATTTGCCTTCCTTAAAGAAATGTGGTCTATATAGCTGGTTACAGATGCTTTTCTGAGCTCCTTTTTAAAGAAACAGGACCCTATAGAGAAGAAATTACTAGGCAAAGAGTCAAATAACTTTTTTTTACCACAAGACATGTAAGCTCCCTTAGCTTCAATTTCTTCATTAGTAAAATAGGTATTATAATAATATCTTTCCTGCTTACTTATAGAATTGTTTTGAGAATCAAATGGGAGTAATAATTTAAAAGAACTCTAAAATCTGTAAAGTACTCTACTAGTGAAATATACTACCATTCCTTATAGGAAGGCTTTTTCCTGTATAAACATTGCATGCTTACTAGTTTTATCATTACATGATTAGCATATGCATTAGTTTCCTATGGCTGCTATAACCAGCTACCAACACCTTCATGGCTTAGAACAACATAAATGTATTCTCTTTCAGTTCAGGAGGCTGAAATTATCTTCATTGAGCTAATGTGAAGGTGTTTGAGAGGTTAGCTCCTTCTGGAGGAACTAAGAGAAGATTTCTCCCCTTGCCTTTTTTTAGCTTCTGGAGGCTACCTACATTCCATCGCCCATGACGCCTTTTTTGCACCTGTGCAACCTTTTGCTTCTATAATTACATTGCCTCTCTCTCCTCTCTCTAATCATGTATTTTACTGTCTCCCTTTTCATAGAAGACAGTCATTATATTTAGGTCCTTCCCTGATTATCCATGATAATCTCTTTCTCTCAAGATCTTCAACTTAATCACATCTGAAAAAATCCCTTTTGTCATGTAAGTCAACATTTACAGGTTCCAGAGAATAGGATTGTACAGGCATACCCCAAATATATTTTGGGTTAGCTTCCAGACAATAACAATAACGTCACAACAAAGCAAATCACATATATTTTTGTTTCCCAGTAATTATAAAACATATATACAATATATTGTAGTCTATTAAATGTGTAATAGCATTATGTCTAAAAGAACAATGTACATATCTTAATTAAAAATACTTTATTGCAAAAAAATGCCAAAAATCTTCTGAGTCTTCAGCAGGTTGTAGCGTTTTTGCTGGTGGAGAGTCCTGCCTCAGATGTTGATGGCTGATGACTGATCAGGGTGGTGGTTGATGAAGGCTAAGGTGGCTGTGGCAATTTCTTAAAATAAGACTTCAATGGAGATTACCACATCAATTGACTCTTCCTTTCACAAAATATTTCTCTGTAGCATACCATGCTGTTTGATAGAATTTCACCCACAGTGGAACTTCTTTCAAAATTAGAGTCAATCCTTTCAAACCCCACCACTACTTTATCAACTAAGTTTATGTAATATTATAATTTTTTTTGTCATTTCAACAATGCTTAAATTATCTTCACCAGGAGTAGACTCCATCTCAAAAAAACACTTTTTTACTCTCATTCATAAAAAGCAACTCCTTTTACATTAATTTTTTTCTCATGTAATCGTAGCAATTCAGTCACATCTTCAGCCTCTGCTTCTAATTCTAGTTCTCTTGCTGTTTCCATTCTGCTAATGTTTATTAGCAGTTACTTCTTCTGCTGAAGTCTTGAACTCCTCGAAGTCATCCATGAGGGTTAGAATCAATTTCTTCCAAACTCCTGTTAATGTTAATATTTTGATCTCCTTTCATGAATTATGAATGCTCTTAATGGCACCTAGAAGAGCGACTCCTTTCCTCAATTTACTTTGCCAGATCCATGAGAGAAATAACTATCTATGGCAGCTGTAGCCTTACAAAATGTATTTTTTAAATATAAGACTTGAAAGTCAGAATGACTCCTTCATCCACGGGCTACCTAATGTATGTTGTGTCAGCAAGCATGACAACAAGAGTAATCTTGCACATCTCCATCAAAGCTCTTGGGTGACTAGGTGCATTGTCAATGAGCAGTATATTTTGAAAGAAACCTCTTTTCTGAGCAGTAGCTCTCCACAGGGAGCTTAAAATATTCAGTAAACCCTGCTGTAAACAGATGTGCTGTCATCAGGCTTTGTTGTTTCATTTATATAGCACAGGCAGAGTAGATTTAAGATAAACCTTAAGCATCTTAATATTTTTAGAACGGTAAATGAGCATTGGCTTCAACCTAAAGTCACCAGCTGTATTAGCCCCTCACAAGAGAATCAGCTTACATTTTAAGCTCTGAAACCAGGAATTGGTGCCTCCTCTTTAGCTATGAAAGTTCTAGATGGCATTTTCTTCCAACACAGTAGAAGGCTGTTTAATCTACGTTGAAAATTTGTTATTGAGTGTAGCCACATTCATTAATCATCTTAGCTAGATCTTGCTGCAACATCTACATCAGCACTTGGTGCTTCACCTTGCAATTTTATGTGCAAAGTGAAAGAAGACTTTATAGAAAAGACTTCTTTCCTTAAACCTCATGATCCAACCTCTTCTAGCTTTAAACTTTTCTTCGCAGCTTCCTTCCCTCTCTTCATAGAATAGAAGAGCATTAAGGCCATTCTCTAGATGAAGCTTTGGCTTAAGGCAATGTTGCAGTTGGTTTAATCTTCTATCCAGACCACTGAAACTTTCTCCATGTCAGCAATGAGGGTCTTTCACCTTCTTACCATTCGTGTGTCCACTGGAGTAGCACTTTGCATTTTTTTCAAGGACTTACCTTTGCATTCACATCTTGGCTAACTGGCACAAGAGGCTTAGATTTCTGCCTATCTCAGCTTTTGACATGCCTTCCTCACTAAGTTTAATCATTTCTAGCTTTCGATTTAAAGTGAGAGATGTGAAACCCTTTCTTTTACTGAAACACTTAAAAGCCATTGTAGTATTATAAATTGGCCTAATTTCAATATTGCTGTGCCTCAGGAAATAGAGAGACCCAAGCAGAGGGAGAGAGATGGAGAAATGACCAGTCAGTGGAGCTGTCAGAACACACACACCACTTGTTGATCGAGTCTGCCATCTTATATCAGCATTGTTTGTGGTTCCCCAGAATGATTTCAGTGGTAACAACAAAGATCACTGATCACATATCACCATAGCAAATATAATAATAATAATTTTCAAAGTTGATATATTGTAATAATTACCAAGTGACACAAAGACACAAAGGGAGCACTTGCTGTTGGAAAAAGTGCATCAATAGACTTGCACAATGTAGGGTTGCCACAAACCTTCAGTTTGTAAAAATCACAGTACCTGCAAAGCACAAAAAAGTGAAGTGCAATGAAACAGGGTATGCCTGTAGATGTCTTTGGGGCCATTATTCAGTCTACCACAATTATTACAGGACGATCACGTGTAGCCAAGTATCTTCATGGATAAGAAATCAGATGGATGCAGCTAGTTACTGTTCATGAAAACATTCACCAGCAGGGCCTTTCCCTAGAGTAGTAAGAGGTTTCTAGCCTGAAACCTCTTGATAATTGGTCTATCAATCAATGGACACAAAAAAGTGTCACTCCTACAATGTGGGTATTCCTAAAATGAAATGTTTTCATATTAGAATGGTCCTTCTGTTAGAAAGTCCAGAAGTAACTGAGTCCTAAAAGAAGAGGGGGAGGGAAAAATGGGTGGGAGCATCAAAGAAACCAAGCTATAAGCACACCAGAATGTTGTCTTAACAGCAGCAAGAATGTTGTCTGTTTCAAAATGCACTTTGATTCAATAAAGGCTCCCAGAGGTAAAAATAGTAATAACAATAATAATAATTGTTTTTAAACTGCTATTTCAAGACACTATGATTCTGACCAGCAACACTTTGACAAGCTATTAGAGTAACTTCTTGTCTTATATAAATAATTAATGATTACTCCCTTAAAGGGAACCATGCACTGATGCAAGGATACCTTCTCCCACATATAATCATTCTAACACTTCTTTCTGTAAAGTCACTGACTAGTCAGAAAGGTTTTTTTTTTTTAACTTCACTATGCTTTCCTAAATGATAAATTATGATAATGGGTCTTATTAGAATTCAGGGGTAAATAGAACTGTTCAGCAAATTATACTTATTTGCAATTGCTGAATTCCTAAATGAATTCTCATATGTTTAGGCCTATGCTGGCAAAGCAATATTAATTTTAATCTAAGTGATTTGAAAACAAATTAGCTACCTTTCTCATCCCACCCACTGTTCACTGGCAATTCTTCACCACAGTCCAAATTTGGTTAACACTTTGATTGAGTTACAGGTAAAATGATAACCATTAGGCAGTTTTTCAATTTTTATATAAATAATCTAGTTTTTGAAAATTTTAACTCAGAGCTTCATAAAATCTTCACACATGAATTAGAAAAATTGGACTAGGTTAAAATTTGAATGTTTGTCCTTTTAAAAAATCGGTATTGGCTACATAAATGTGTTATTATTAGAGAAAAGAACTGAGAGATCTTGGAATAGAAAACTAACTTTTGCAATATGTGTTTTGAAAAAAAAACATGTATCAGTATTTCAGACTATGCCTGGTTAATAGATTGATAATCAATAAACAATTGAATGCAGTATAGAATATCCACCTTTTTACCTTTCTGCTCTTGTGTATATTCTCTATAAATGAATCCCACATCTCTGACTTAACAACTGCTCATTGTCCTTAACATGACTTCAGCCTAAGCCATTCCTCCTAACCCCTACATTTTCCTGTGGTTATCATGGTATCATACTCCCTCCAGGCTTCAGTGCCATGGATATCACAGTCGTTTCTGAGGCAGTAGACATCAAATATTTACCTTTTTTTTCTTTTAAAGTTTTTTTTCTCTAGCTTATTTCCAATTAGTTATGCCATCACTCTGGATAGAAGCCCCACCACTATTTACTTTGAATTCTTTAAGAGCCATTTAATTTTCCAGGTTTAATTCTAACCTTTCCATCTGTTTATCACACCAACTGTTTTTAAATATTGATTTTATCTCTTTATTCACTCTTAAAATCCCTGGATGGTTCTTCTTCAAGTCTTCACCAGTTTTTTGAGCCCTTTTATTTTTTAATCTCACTGGGCAACCCAACTTTACTCTACAGCTCCTGCTTCCTCAACCACAGAAAATTCTAATTTTTCACTGCCCCAAATGTGTTCCTCCATTTATTTTGCTTTATTTTGTTGTGATGTCATCCTTCTTTCTATTCCATAAGTGTTCATATTATCCTATAGTTTTTTTCTTATTTTTGAAGTATTTCTTTCATACAAGCATAAAATATCACTCTGGCACTCATGGCTGAAAGAGAAAGACCAAGCTATTCAAGTAAAACACATGAAGTGCTCTGTGTGATAGGTGACTGAATTCTTGATATTATTCTGGCTTTGCATGTAAATCAGGTAAGTTATTAGATGAGATCATTATGGCTAATTTTGCTGACAATAATTATCTAATTTCAGGATAAGATTTTGGCTTCAGCTTTGGAATGATATATATGTTGCTTCATTTTCTTATTTATGTATTTGTTTTGAGATGGAGTTTCGCTCTTGTTGCCCAGGCTGGAGTGCAATGGCATGATCTCAGCTCACCGCAACCTCCGCCTCCCAGGTTCAAGCGATTCTTCTGCCTCAGCCTCCTGAGTAGCCGGGATTACAGGCATGCGTCACCATACATGGCTAATTTTGTGTTTTTAGTAGAGATGGGGTATCTCCATGTTGGTCAAGATGGTCTCGAACTCCTGACCTCAGGTGATCCACCCGCCTCAGCCTCCCAAAGTTCTGGTATTGCAGGCATGAGCCACTGTGCCTGGCTGTTGCTTCATTTTCATTACATCTTTATTACTAAAAGTAACTTAAATGTAGCCAAAGGATTTAGGTATACACTTGTTTTCATTCCATTCCTCAGTCATCATTTGGCAAGATTAAGTCTACTTTATATTTTTAAATTTTTGGTGCCACTAAAATCTGTAAGTTAAACAAATCTATAAAATGTATTTTACTACAAGAAACATGCAGCAAAATTTTATAATTTCAAGAAAGTATTTAAAAATTAGAGTGGGGGCTATCTAGTTGTTTTTTTTTTTTCAAAGTTTCAGAATAATCAATAAAAGATTGCCAATGTGAGAACACTGAAGCCTAACTAGGGAGTGAGACTTTAGTTATAATATGAATTGACTATATAGACTATAGCCTTTAATATTTCAAATATTCCTCCAATAAATTTCTAAAAAAACTAGTTGACTTTTTCCTGGGCACACCTTATACAAACATAGGCACTGCAGTTATGAAATGAACGTTTTATCTCTTCTATACCAATGACCTATCATTAAAGTCAGTAGGATGGAAATTGTTTTGAAGAATGCAAGTAGTTACACTTGGAATTTACAAAATTGCTTTGAAACTGCACTCCTCCTTCTTTCTACAAATTAACTCCTCTGATGGATTTTTTTTTTTTTTCTGGTAGCCTTTTCCTGCTCCCTCAAGCTATAATTAGTCATTGAAAATTGTCTCAGTGCATGGTTGGAAGACACTATAAACTCTGGACATAGTTCTTTCTCCTTGTTAAGAAAAGGCTCTCACTGAGTGATATAATCTCAGTAACCTAATGACCAGAAAGTGATTTCAGAACATCATGTCCACTATTCTTCTTTAGCAGGCTGTAATAGTAGCACAGGTACAAAATTATCAGTATTCTGTCTTTTTAAAGACACTAGTAAAGCAGAAGCACAGCTAGTGCACCCAGAACTTAACTCACCTAATTGTTTACATTTTGGTTAACAGAAAAAATAATCCTTATTTTGATAAGTATTCTGTGTCTTCATGTCATTATAAAACTAATAAACTATGAAGGTAGATAAAATCAAAACCACTCATTCAAAATGTGTTTACAGTTGCATTGCAGCTCACTTCTAGTCTCAGGCTAAAGCAGCATTTAAATGCTAGATATTTGATATCTGCAATTTTGAGAGAAAAATGCTGAATCAATTTAAAATAGCTTCAAACATGTAGACATTTATGTGGGAACTAATTGGCATAAACAAGAGGGAAAATTGCTGAAATGATTTACATGTGCCTGTTTATAAAGCCTGCTGGATTTTAACTACACATTATTCAATGCTTTGTTGTAACTTCGTGTATCTTATTCATCAATCACATCTAAACCACTGGGGTTCTGACAATAACAAATATGGAATGTATCCCATTTTCTCTCTATTGTTGTTATAAGGAAAGCAATATAGAAGAAAACAAGCTAAGCCAGTAAGTCACAAAATAAAGTGAGCAAATCAGTGTGACCGGAAGTGGGACAAATCTCTTCAGGAGTCCAAACTCTTAAAATCAGATTTTTTTTCCTAATTTGGGAATTCAGCTTTACTAAATCTAAATGCTTAAGTCTTTGCCCTCAAACACAACACCTTTTAATTTGTTATTGCTGAACATTATAAATTCTGCAATTATAAATTCTGCAATTGCTAATTCTTGTTGAGGCTCACCCTGCATGGACCAGACATAGTGGGAACTGATTTCCATGTAATGTATGATGTACATCCTCTAGTAGAAGTCAAACTTTTTATTTACTGTTGTAGTGTCACCCCGGTAGTAGCAAAGTGCTTTGTAATAAATTATTACTAAATTTTAAAAAAACTAATAATAAACAAAAATTCTAGATTGCCAAAATGATCTTCCTAAAATTGTCAAACTGATCTTAATCTTTTTCTTTTAAATAAATCAGTGTGTAATGCATAATATTTTATGTTTTAAAGAAAATTAACAAAATAAAATTACCAGGATATGTTATCCCACAGATGCACAGCTAATGAAATAATATGAAGAAACTTTTAATAAAACTGTCATAGAATATGTAGGAGATAAACTACACATACACAGCAACTAGGTAGAGTCAAGCACATAAATAAACCAAACAAATTATACTTTATGAATTTAAATTGTACAAGAATAAAAAAGGTAATTAGAGCTTTAGAAGATGAAATATAATCTGGGTATTATAATATAGAGTAAAAAATAAAACAAAGTTTTAAATTATGAGAAATGGAAGATAATTTGGGAATAGAATGACCAGACAAAATATCTGATTAAAGAAGTCTCAGAAAGATGATACTTTCAGTGATCTTTTTTCAGTTTATTACTAGAAAAGTGTCTCTGAACCTGGAGAGCACCAGAAACCAAGAGGAGGAGATGTAGCGCTCTCTCCTGAGCTTAAAGCTGGCTCTTGGTTTTGCTTTGCTGCAACTGCTTTTTGCCATTGATGATCATTCTTCTCTTCCTCCTGGGAAGTAAGAGAGAGAAGATGCAGCACGAATGGTTCTTTTTTCCAATTTTTTTTTTAAAAAAGAAGTTTTTTTAAAAGAAGTTTTGAGAAAGAAAAAAACTTATGGAAAATAAACAAGAATTGAAGAAATAATAAATCAAAAAACATATTTATTTTGGATGGAGACTAAAACTTGAGTGCCAGACAGGATTCATTCCTTCAGTTGTTCAGTCTCTCAACAGATGTTTATTCAGCAAATATTGTATGCCAGATGCTGTTGTAAGTGCTAGGGATATGGCAGGAAGTACATGTTGTTAGGAGGGAAAGACAGGCAAGAAACAATAAGTACTAGATTATGGAAAGACACTGTTTTAGTCTATTCTCGCAGCTATAACAGACTATCACAGACTGGTAAATTATACCGAATAGGAATTTCTTTCTTTTTTTTTTTTTCCTGAGACAGAGTCTTACTCCCTCCCCCAGGCTGGAGTGTAGTGGCGCGATCTCAGCTCACTGCAACCTCCGCCTTCTGGGTTCAAGCAATTATCCTGCCTCAGCCTCCTGAGTAGCTAGGATTACAGGGGTGCACCACCACGCCCAGCTAATTTTTTTTGTATTTAGTAGAGACGGGGTTTCACCATGTTGGCCAGCCTGATCTCGAACTCCTGACCTCGTGATCCACCCGCCTCAGCCTCCCAAAGTGCTGGGATTACAGGCATGAGCCACCACACCGGGCCAGAAATTTATTTCTAACAGTTCTGGAGCTGGGAAGTCTAAGAACAAAGCACCAGCAGATTTTGGTGTCTGGTGAGGGCCTGGTCTCCACTTCCAAAGTGGTGCCTTTAACCCTGAATTCTCTGGAAGAGAGGAACTTTGTGTCCTCACGTGGCAGAAGAGCAAGAGAGAGCAAATCCACTCCAGCAAGCCCTTTTTATAGGGGCATAAATTCATCTATAAGATCAGAGACCTCATGACCTAAACACCTCCCATGAGGCTCCACCTCCCAACACTGTTGCATTGGGGAAAACATTCAAACCATAGCAGACAGTACATTTTAAGAGTTTAGAGAGTACTGAAAAGGTGATTTTTCCCCCTATAACTTTATTTTCTTTTCCTCTTGATGTGACTTGTACATAGAGCAATGAATGAAAGTCTCCTTTAACCCAAACAAAGAAAATGTAAAAAATAACAGAGAACTTTAATTTCTATATTGAAAAGTCCTACCACGTATCTGAAAAAATTGACTTTCAGTGATTATTGCACTCCCTTGCATTTCTTTGTCCCTGTCTATGTCTTCTTTATCCTCTGTAGTTTCCACTTTATAAAAGTGGGTATTTTGCTACTTGGCATAGATCGATGATAGATGATAGATAGATAGATAGATAGATAGATAATAAATAGAGATAAAGAGACAAATAACTTACATATACATAATTATTAAATCTTTATGTCTTTATTGTAAATTATGACTTTTAGTGTTTAAACATGGCCTAAATTTTAGGTTTCATCATTTTTTAATTGAATTTTACTTGGCTGATATGAAGATTGCAATCTGTGATTTTATGTTACTTCTATTTCCTTGATATACTTCTGTATTTTTCTTTAGTGTAACCCAGAGCTCACATACAAGTTCTCTTATGTAGCATCCAGCCTTAATGGCTTCTCTCAATCTCTCTCACTGACTCTTACCCCCAATTCATTAACTTCCAATTTTATGCAGAGTAATTTGCTCCACTTTAAACTTTGATCCCAAACTTTCATATTCAAATCTTCAAAGAGGTCAGATTAAACAAACCCTCCAGTTGTTAAGACACATTCTCCTTAGAGTATGACAGTACACACACACACGCGCGCACACACACACACACACACACCAGGAGGGTTTGGCAGACTGAAAACTCATAGGTGTGAGCCTATAAAATTGAAGCAATAGTGTTACACCAAGAGAAATGTACAGGTCATACAGAATAGTCTTTTATAGGGAGGTAAAGACATGTATATTCATACTTAATCATGCTGTTTCAGATGCCAGGGAGGCCTGCTATCTAAAATATGAAGTTTTAAAAAGAATAAGAGAACTAGAAATGCTGGGCAAAAGTTCAGAAATCTTAATATGTCAATTTTATACCTACAAAAAAAGCTAAACTATAAAGTCTGTATGATTTTGGGCAAAATTTCAGTAGGAATTAATTATGAAGGATTTGAGTTTCTTTAATAAAAGTCAAATTAGTATTGACTTTATGTTTGTAATGCAGAAATTATTTCTTTTTTATCATCACTTTCATTTCCATATCATGAAGTCGCAAGTGAACTAACTCTATGTGGAATTGAAAGTAATGTTCTAAAGTATGTAAACTTTAGAGAGTCTGAGTCATCTTCTATTGTGCTGATTTTCAGCTAGTCTGTCATTTTTATATTGTTGCTAAGTGCTTTTCCATCTAATTGCATAGGGACTGATTTGTTTAGCAACCTCTGTTTAGAGTCAGGCTTTGTTCTCTTCACTGTGGACACCATTCTGGCATTGTTTTCCTGTTTCCATTGTTTCTCAGAGCATATTTTAACACAAGCATTTTGTGATTCAATTATCCTTCCCTCACCCCTCCCATATGTAAGCCAGAGTACCCTTTGGCTCTAAATATATGCTTGTAACAGCTGCTTTGCAATGTTCATTGCAAAAGAGACAAAGAGAGCCCAAACAGCTATGTTACTAAACCGTACACATAAAATAGTCATACTCAATTAAAGACAACAGTAATCAAAACAGAAATAAGGAATATTTGCAATTCAGAAGCATTAGGGTAACTGTAATTCCCATAGCCTTTTATAAACGTATTTGGTGATTAATTCAGAATATCATGAAAAAATGCATACCTCCTTTGACAATTCACATAATACTTTATAGCTATATGCATTTAGGCTGTGGATTATCTCATTCTGAGAAATGTAAAGCACAAGGTCTAAGCAGAGCGAACATTATGTTATATTGGGAATGATACATGGTGTAAAACAAAAGGAAGACCTTTTAATCATATTTCCAGAAGGTCTTAATTCCTTTTAGAGACCTTTATGCACTAAGGCTCTCTAAGCATGAAACTAGAAAAGAGAAAGAAAATCTACTACAAAAGTTAAAGAAAATAATTGATAGAGCCAATCTATAGCCTAAATGTATTTGTTCATGGATAAGATAAATTAATGAGTAAAAAGAAAATAAGATCGTTGGTCCACTTTTAATGTTACCTTACATAAACTCCATTTGATAGTCTTATCTTGAAAAAAATATTATTTTTGTCTAAACAAATTGTGGAAGAGGGTACAGCTGTGAAATAGGGAAAAATGTCTAATAAGTAAAAAAATAAAAACAGTGCATAGATATCAAAAAGAGAGTCTCTGGAGTTTAGGACTATCTGAGTAGGCTAAGAAAACAATTATTGGCAGGCATGGCAAGCAAATCAGTAAGAGTTTGAAGGATCAAGATCTCCAAAGTAAAAGGGAACTTTAGAGAAATGGGCATAACATTCTGTGGAAAATTTCCCCTTGAGGCACTAGCTGAATGCTAAAATTTGCATTTGAAGAACATATGTCTAAGAATTCAAGCAGAAATCAACTGCTGAGATACTAAAAGTTTAGGCAGATAGTTTGGCAGTATTTTGGTGCGGGGAAGATGAAAATTAGAATGTAGGATCATTACAAAACAAGGGACTTAGGGTGCAGTGGCTCATGCCTGAGATCCTAGCACTTTGGGAGGCCAAAGCGGGAGGATTGCTGGAGCCCAGGAGTTTAAAACCAGCCTGGGCAACATAGCAACATAGTGAAACCCCATTTCTACAAAAAAAAAAAAAAAAAAGAGGAAAAAGATGGACTTACAAAAATCTCAGGCCTTTAGTTGGATCCCTGAAAAGGCAACAACTATAGAGTGAGAAGCAAACTAGAAACAGAATATCCTCTGCTGAAACAAGGTAATCTGCATGTATTTTAGTAGCCCCCAAGAAGAAAGATATCATTGAGAATGCCAGCAATTTTTCATATACATTTGGGATTCAGTCAAAATTTATCAGATATGCCAGAGAATAGAACCAAATGACTGAGAAATGTAAGAGAAAAACTTAAAAGTAGAGCAGCAGAAAATCAAAATATCTGAGGTATCAGGACTAAACTTAATATGTTCCAAAAATAAATACAAAGATGGAATATTTTCATCAGAGAATTGGAATTTAATTTAAAAATCAAATAGAAATCAGGGATCTTACAAAATACTGAAATTAAGATATAGATGACTTTAATAGTAGATTAATGATTAACCACAGTAGAAGAAATAAAGTATTTACCAATAGATTCACATACTTATACACATACAAAATATACAGTTTGAAGCAAGCAAGTAAATTAAATGAAATATAAAATAAGAGCTATGTGGAACATAATTGAAAAAAAGGTTCATGTATTTGTAACTGGATTCCAAAAAGGAGAAATGACAGAGGAAAAAAATAGAAGTATGAGAAGAAATGTTGGCTAAGAATTTCCCAAAACTAATGAAAAGCATCAAGTCTTTGGAGCCATTCAAGAAGCTCTATGAATCACAGCCCAGCTAAAAACAAAATAATAACACCTATTATATAAAACTGCTAAAAACTAAAGCCAAATGACAATCTTAAAAGCATGCAAATAAAAGACACATTAGTTTCAAATGAGTAATAATATGATTAAGAGCTGACTTTTGAAATAAAACAATGGGAGACAGAGAACACTTACAGCGCTGAAAGAAAATGCCTGAATCTATATTTAGAAAATGATCTCCTTCAAAAATGAAGGCTAAATAAAGGCCTTTTTTTATTTGTTTTTCTTTTTGGGGGGTGAAACAAGAAGTTCAGAGAAGCTGAGGTCATAATACTTTTTCTAAATAAAATGCCAAAGATAATTATCTAGGCAGAAAGAAAATAATCCCTGAACAAAGCATAATAATAAAGGAAGGATACAAAGCACAAGGAAGGAGAAACATCAGAGCATATCAAAACCAAATATTAAATGTTAGAACATAATAATAACAACAATAATAATACATGTTCAAATTATATGTAAAATTAATATCCATATTATTGATAGTGCAAGAAATCAGAGTGGAACTTTTCAGGCACTTTCATTGATCAGGAAGTGTGAAAGTAATAAAAGTATATTCTAATCAGTGAAGGATGCATATTATAATATATATGGTAAACATTAAAAACAATAAAAGACTAAAAGGCCAGGCAGAGGGGCTCACACCTGTAATCCCAACACTTTGACAGGCCTAGGTGGAGAATTGCCTGAGCCCAGAGGTTGAAGACCATACTGGGCAACATAGTGGGACCCCATTGCTGCAAAAGAATTAAAAAATTAGCTGAGTGTGGTGAAACACTTCTGTAGTTTTAGTTACTTGGGAGGCTGAAGCAGGAGGATTGCTTGAGTCCAGGAGGTTGAGGCTGCAGTGAGCAGTGATCACACCACTGAACTCCAGCTTGAGTGACAGAGTGAGAACCTGTCTAAAAAACAAATAATAATAATGTTATTTAAAAACTAAATAATGTAATATGGAGCAAAGAACAGACGAAACAGAAAATAAATGGCAAGATTACATAAACCCCAAAATATAAGTAATTGCTATATATATTTAAATACTTTAGTTGTCAGAAAAAGATTGTTGGGCTACATACAGAAACCCATTTCTACTTAAAGGAGACATATTTTAAATATAAAAATAGATAGTGGAAGTTTAAAAAGCAAAATAAGGTTAAAAGATACTCTGGTACAGCTATGGTGAGGGCACACTGAAAGAAAAAATATACTCCAAAAGATAAAAAGGGTAATTTCATAATAATGAAAGAGTATTAATAGTATCAATCTTAAGAAGAAACAAAAATAGCAGCACATTAAGCCCTAAAATTATAGAAGGTATAAAATAGTGAAATAGAAAGAAGAAATACAAAGGAGAAAAACCTGAAAACCCCAGATTGATACTATTGATAAACCCCTTGCAAGACAGAGAGAGACAAAGAGACAGAGAGCAGAGAAAGAAAGAAAAGGAGGAAGAGAGAAAGAAGAGAGAGGATAGGAAGGAGGTACAAAAACCAACGACATAAATTTTTAAAAGGGTCATTGTTATAGATATTTAAAAGTTAAGAGGAAATTAAACAATGCCAATTGATACGGATTGACTATGTCCCCACCCAAATCTCATCTTGAATTGTAACTCCCACAATTCCCATGTGTCGTGGGAGGGACCCAGTGGGAGGTAATTGAATCATGGGATGGGACTTTCTCATGATAGTGAATAAATCACATAAGATCTGATGGTTTTAAAAAGAGAAATTTCCCTGCACAAGTTCTCTCTTTGTCTGCTGCCATCCATATAAGATGTGACTTGCTCCTCCTTGCCTTCCACCATGATTGTGAGGCCTCCGTAGCCATGTGGAACTGTATGTCCATTAAACATCTATTTCTTCCCAGTCTCGGGTATGTCTTTATCAGCAGCATGAAAACGGACTAATACATCAATCAAGTTATCCATCAAATACCAATGTATTTGTGCACATCAATCAAAAATTTCAGACGAAATGTATGCATTTCAAGAAAAAACAGATTTGTAAAATGGACACAAAAAGAAATATGAATCATCTTAAATCTATTAAAGAAATTAAATTTATCATTCAAAATACCCAACAAGTAAGCCTATACTACTTTACCAAATACATAAGGAATAAAACCAAACTTATATTAAAATTTTCAGACAAAACATGATGTGGAAAAATGATGTCAATAGTCTTTTTGTCACATTTTGATAATTCTTGCAATATTAAAAAATTTTTTATTACTATTTTATCTGTTATAGTGATCTGTGTTCAGTGTGATTTTTTATGTTACTGTTGTAATTGTTTTGGTGGACCACAAACTGTGCCCACTTAATTGATAAATGTGCGTGTTAAAAAAAAATCATACAAAAGGGTACAGTTGCTCACGCCTGTAATCCCAGCAC
This sequence comes from Homo sapiens, assembly GCF_000001405.40. Lineage (NCBI taxonomy): Eukaryota > Metazoa > Chordata > Mammalia > Primates > Hominidae > Homo > Homo sapiens. The sequence continues at coordinate 10,229,963 of NC_000007.14, forward strand.
TTTGGGAGGCCAAGGCAGGAAGATCACTTGAGGTTTGGAGTTCAAGATCAGCCTGGCCAACATGGTGAAAGCAAACCCTGTCTCTACTGAAAATACAAAAAAATCAGTCAAGCATCCTGGTGCACACCTGTAATCCTAGCTACATTACAGGCAGAGGCAGAATTGCTTGAACCTGGGAGGTGGAGATTGCAGTGAGCCGAGATCATAACCCTGCACTCCAGCCTGGGAGACAAGGTCAGACTCTATCCCCCCAACCAAAAAATAATTATAGGATATAAAAAACACTACCCACCATATTTATTTGATGAGACAATCATTATCTTGAAATCAAAATGGTACAAGATTATTAATAAAATAATATTACAGAATAATCTTTCACATGAACCTAGTCACAAAAACTCTAAACACATCATGAACTGGAAATCAAATCCAGCAATATATATTTTGCATTTATTTCAGGACATAAAAGCTGTTTAATATCAGTCTTAATTCAGCACATAAACACAATAAACAAGTGTGTCCATTTAGTGATAAACAATAAAAACCAACATACAATACAAAATTTTTTCAAGATGATAAATCCTCAGAAAATTAGTATTGAAAGGGTACATTCTACCTACAGCAAACATCATTGTTGTGGTACCATTAGGAACACAAAAAGAGTGCCTACTACATTAATTTATTCACCATTGTGCTAGAGGGCATAGTCATTGTAATGAGTCACACAAAATAAGTAAAAGCTTTAAGGATTTAAAAGAAGAAATACTGCAGTCCCACGATGATGCTAGACTTGTGCACATAGAAAACTAGATAAATTACTAGTTGATAAATACAACTCTGGATGCATAATTAACATATGAAAATCAAATGTGTTTATTTTCTATGTTTATAAAGGAATATTAGAAAATGACATCCTAAAGTGATATCAAAAGAGCATTTATAAATCAAATAACTAATGGAAAAGTATTTAGAATACTTTTCATTAGAATATGCACATCTATTAGAGATGTACAAGTCCTTTACACTGAAAACTACAAAATATTGCTAAGATAATTTGAAAAAAATAGAAGCAGTGACAGCATAGCTTTTTGAATCTTCCTTTTTTCCTTCATGAAAAGAGACAAACCTCAAATCCTGTGACCAATATCTACTACAAAGTTTAGTTGACAATTGTGTCATGAAGAAACTCAAAATATAAGTGGGTAGGGTCCAGCCATTAGCAAATGTAACAATATTTCTTTCTTTAGCAACATCCATTTTGGGGAACCAATGAAACAGAGTGAAGCAAATTATGCAAATAGTACTCATTACCCAGAGAGACAAAAAGGAAGTTTCTGATGTGCTGCCACTTTTTATCAAGACAATGAATATATCCATTGCTCTAAAAAGTTTGTGATGTTTCCCGTGTTCCTCTATCCCCATTCAGCCACTGATCTGCTGTCACCACATGTAAATTTGCATTTCCTAAAATTTTATATAAATGGAGACCACTCAGTATGTGGGGTTTTTTTTGTCGAAATTCTTTTATTCAACATAATTATATTGAGGCTTATCTGAGTAAAGCATGGGTCAGCAATTCATTTTTTTGTTGCTGAGAAGCATCCCATCCCATTATATGAATACACCATAGTTAGTTTATCCATCCACATGTTGATGGCCATTGTTTCCAGTTTTTGGCTATTATGAATAATAATATTATATATATATAAAAACATTTGTGTAACATCTGAGGACATAAACATTCGTTTTTTTTTAAAATAGGAATGAAATAGTTAGATAATATAGTCAGTGTATCAACTTTTTAAAAAAGTCATCTGCTTTTTAAAGTGGTTGTTTCATTTAACATTCCACTAACAGTGTATGACCATTCCAGTCTTCCATATCCTCACAAAGACCTAGTATGGTATATCTTTTAACAAATTTTAGCTATTCTAGTTGGCATGTAGTGCTAATTGTGATTTTAATTTTCATCTTTCTAATGATTAATGATGCTGAGTGCATCTTTTCTTGTACCTATAGATCACTTTTTGTATTTTTATGAATTATTTGCTAAAGTCTGTTGCCTGTTTTTTATTGGTTTGTTTAATTTCTTATTGTTGTGTTTTAAGAGTTCTTTGTATATTCTGAATACCAGTCCACTATTAGGTACATCATTTGCAAATGATTTCTCCCAGTTGGTAACTTCTCTTTCCATTTCCTTAATGATATCTCCCACAGAGGAGATGTTTTTAATTTTGATGAAGTTCATTTTATCAAGTTGTTTAAATGATCGTGCTTTTGATTTCATATTTAAAAAATCGTTGCCTAACCCAAGGTTGCAAAGCTCATCCTATGTTTTCTTCTAGAAATTTTATAATTTTAGATTTTACATTTAGATCTATGATGAATTTTGAGTCTTTTTTATATATGTTGTGAGATATGAAACAAAGTTCACATCATTTCCTATGGCTATCTGAATGTTCCAGTACTGTTTGATGGAAGACTTTCTTTCTCCACTGAATTGCTTATTTCACATTGATGAAAAATAAATCGTCCACATATATAATATTCTATTTTTGAACTCTCCATTCTGATTTATTGATCTATTTTTCTATCATGATTCAAATATACATTGTTTTGATTACTGTAGTTTTATAATGCCCCTAAATCAGTATAAGAGCCCCAAATTGTTAATCCTCAACTTCGTTCTTTTTTTTTCTCAAAATTGTTTTCACAGGTTCTAAGTTTTCTAGGTTCATTGAGTTTCCATACGAATTTTATAATCAATTTATAATTTTCACCAAAAATTTATTCCAGGGTTTGACTTATAGAATTGATAATTTAATAATATCATCTTGTGACCCATGAAGATGGCTTATCTCTCTATTATTTAGGTCCTCTCTCATTCTCTAGGTAATGCTGTAATTTTCAGTATATGACTTTTATTTATTTTATCAAATTTATCTGTATATATTTTATAACGATGCTATTATTGGAGGTATTTTAAATTTAATTTCCAAATTGTCATTACTAGTACATAAAGCCCGATTTGCTTCTGTACATTTACCTTGTATTCTGTAGCCTTAATGAATGCATGTACTGTATGAATTCTAGTATCTTTTGTGTAAATGTCATTGGATTTTCTACATAGCAATGATGGCATCTGTAAATAGTGTTTTATTTATTTCCATTCTGAATACTTTAAAATTATTTTAACTATTAAGTTGTCTGGAATATGTAATACCATATTTAATAGAAGTAGTGAGAGTGAATATTTTTGTCTTAAGTCTGATAATTCCAGATTAAGTACTGTTTTAACTGCCACTTTTTAATAGATGTGCTTTACCAGGCTGAGGAAGATCCTTTCTATTTCTACTTGGCTGAACACTTTTATTAGTAATAAATATTGGTCTTTATCAAAATCTTTTTCTTAATTTATTGAGATAATCATATGGTTTTCTTTTTTGTTTTGTTAATTTAGTAATTTATGTTGAAAATTTTTTAAACATTTAACCTAGCATCCTTGGGAAAAACTATACTTGGCTATGATATCATAATGTTTTATATCTAATTAGATTTGACTTGCCAAAATTTCATTTATAATTTTTGCATTTATGTTCACAAGGAATGTTGGTCTTAAGTTTTCTTTTCTTATGTTTTTTTCTGGTTTGTTATCAGGGAAATGCTTTTGGAAAACATTTCCACTTCTTCAATTTTCCAAGAATATCTGAATAAAATTATTAACACTTCTCTCTTAAATGTTTGGTAGAATTCATCAGTGAGGCCATTTAGGACTTGAGTTTTTGTTTGTTTGTTTGTTTTTGTTTTTAATTCTTAACTACACATTCCAGGTCTTAAACATTTACAAAGATATTCAGAATTTCTGTTTCTTCTTGGGTGTGTGCTTTGATAACTTGTAAGTTTTAAGAAATCTGTTCATCTATTTAATTCATTAAAAGTAATGTCAAAAATGCAATTATTTTGCACCAGCCTAATAAGGTGTCAAATTATTGGAAAAAGTTCTCTATAATATTTATTTAACAGTATTCTAATGTCTGTAACTTTTGTAATGTTGTCAGTTTTCTTAGTTCTGGTATTGTTAATTTTTAACTTTCTTTTTCTGATCAGTCATGCTGGAAGTATATCAATTTTATGGATCTTCTCAAATAATCAGATTTTTGCTTCACTGATGTAGCTATCATCTCACTCTTTTCTATTTCATTGCTATCCACTCTGATTCTTGTTGTTTCCTTTTGTGTAATTACTTTGGGTTTAATTTTTTCTTTCTTCCAGTTTTAGAGTGGAAGTTGAAGTTATTGAGTCAATTTTTTTCTAATATAAAGGTTTAGTGTATAAATTTTCCTCTAAATAATATTTAATTGGCATCTCATAAATTTTGATATATTTTCATTTTTATTCAGTGTTTCCTTTCATTTTGCTTTGGCCTATATGTTATTTAGAATTATATTATTTAGTTTCCAAGTACTTGGGAATTACCCAAGAATTTTTGTTATTCTTTCTAATTTAATTGTATTATGGTCAGAGAAAACACTTTAACTGGAATTATTTTAAAATTCTTAAGGTCTGACTTGTAGCCCACAATAATTTTTGGTAAATATTTGGTGTGCCTTCGAAAATAATGGTCATTATAATAATGCTGGATGGAGTATTCTATAAATGTCTACTACATCAAGCTACTTGGTAGTGTTGTTCAAATGTTTTATATTCTTACTGATTTTCTAATTTTCTATAACTTATTTATAGAAGAAAGTTAAAAATCCTACTACAATGGTGAACTTTTACTTTTCTTTTAATAATTCTGTGAGATTTTTAATTCATGTATTTTGAAACTATTATTGGGTGCATGAATGTTTACAAGCTACTATTTTTTGATAAATTGACCTCATTATAGTTTTATAATTACTGTACTTATCCCTTTTAATATTATTTGCTTTGAAATCAACTCTAACATTAATATAGTTTTTTTGATATATTATGTTAATGCAGTATTCTTTCCTTCAGCATTACTTTTACATATTTGTGTTTTTGTATATGAAATGAGTTTTTGTATGTAGCACATTTGTTGTCTTGATTTTTTAAATTCAATCTGCCAATTTTTTGCCTTTTTATAAAGATACATGAATTATTTAAATTTAGTGTGATTAGTGATTTTATTATGTTTTAGTCTAACAACTTTAACTGTTTTCTTTATTTACCATTTGTTTTTCTTGATTTTTTTCTTCTTTTTCCTTCCTTCTTTTGGATTAATTGAATAGTTTCTATGATTTCATTTTATCTGCATTGAGGAGCTATTAATTACAAATTTTTGTTCTATTAGTTGAGTGGCTTGTAGTATATATTTTAAAATAATTACAATGTGCCTTAAAATGATTATATCACTTTACATAAAGTATAAGACATTTAAAGTAATATATTTCCAATTTCTCTTTCCAATCATTGTGCTATCACTGTCTTACATTTCAATTGCACATTGATTATAAACTCCACATTACATTTTTTTTGTTTATGGTCAATTTTTTTCAAAGATATTTAAATAATAAGATACATGTTTTGTATTTTCTGGTGTTATATCATTTCTTGTGCTCTTCATTTCTTTGTGGAGAACTTTATTTCCATCTGATGTCACTTTTCTTCTGTCTGAAAGGCTTATTTACAGTACAGGTCTGCTAATAATAAATGATTTTAGCTTTTGTAATTTCAAAAAAGTCATTATTTCACTTATATTTTTGCAAGATATTTTTACTGGTCTAAAATTTTCAGTTAAGATTTTCTAATTAAGCACCTTAAGGTACTTAAGTGTATGTAAGCTCTTATGGCACTTTTTATTAAGTATATTAATACAATACTTAAAACATATCTCTTCTGATGAGAAATATGCTGCCAAACTTATCTTTGTTCTCATCTGTGAAATATTCTCCATGTGGCTGCTTTAAAATGTTCTCTTTATCACTAGATGTTAGCAATTTGATTGTCATGTTTCTTGGCATATTGTTTCCATATTTCTTATGCTTGGTATTTGTTGAGTTTCTTGAATTTGTTATCATATTCAGAAAATGTTCAGCCATTGCTTCTTCAAATAATTTTTAGCCCTATCTCCTTTGGGGACTACAATTACATATATAAGTGGGCCTCTCAAAGTTGTGCTGCAGCTCATTTATGCTCTATTTGTTTTAATTTTCTTTTCTCTCTATGTAACTTTCTGAATAGTTTCTATTGCTATAGCATCAAGTTCACTATTCTTCATTCTGAAATATGTACTCTACCACTAATCCTATGCAGTTTCTTTTCCATCTCATACATTGCAGTTTTCATCTTTAGAAGTTTGGAGGGGTGCATTTTTAATACTACTAACTTTTTTTAACATATGAAATATAAAATGATGATTGTTTCAATGTCCCTGTCTACTAATTCTAACATATGTGTTAAGTCTGGGTTGGTTTTAATTAATTTTTCTTGTAATTATCAGTCATGCTTTCTTGCTTCTTTGTATGTTTGTTAATTTTTGTTGAATACCAGACATTGTGAATTCCACCTTGCTGAATAATGGATATTGTTATATTACTATAAATATTCTTGAGCATTATTCTTATATGCAGGCAAGTTACTTAGAAACAGTTTCTTCCTTTGTGCTTTTGCTTAAGTTAAAACAACTTAAAACTTGCTTTATCTACTGAAGGAAAACTGTTCTATCTATTCTATTCTATCCAATGCCTTATAAGTCTTGAAGTCTTCCAGTCTGGCTGGTGCTAATAGGCAGTATTCCTGGTCCTGGAATAGGTATGACTTCTGGGCATTGTTATGCCAATCTTTTCAGATAGTTTTTCTAGGTAGTTTTCTCACAGGCATGCGCTGATCAGTATTTAGCTGCATACTTGACGACGAGTCTCCTCATTTCTCTAGAAATCTCTCTTCATGCTGCTTTTTTTCTATCTGCTAATATTAACTGACTTTGGTCTAACTCTAACTGCTTTGGTCTCCCCAGACCCTCAATTTTATTTTCTCTGAAAATCTTCCCAACAGGCAATCACAGGGTCTCACCTCATTTGTTTTCTGTCTCATCAAAATTACCCCTGTTTATTGCCCAATACTCAATATCATAAATAATATTTCTCTTATAATTTCACTTTTCTTTGTTGTTCAGTAAAGGGGTAAGCCCAATCCCTGTTATTCCATTTCACCTGCCAGCAAAAGAATTAAAATTATTTAAAAACAATTTTGATGGTTTAAATAGGAAAAATACCAAAACAAGTTAATTTCTAACCAACCAAATCAAAACCACATTTAGCATTTAGTGAAAAAATATATATATTTCAATTTTAGAGAAAAAAGAACATATATTTTTACTCTCCTGAGAAATTATGCTCCTTATCAAGGCAGCTGTTGAAACTATCTGTGTATCTCTCCAAGATACACAAGTTATGTAATATCTTAGGAACACCTGGTTAATCCTCTGATTCCTTTGAAGGCAGATTATGTAATTCATGGTTGAGCCTGGTAGGCTCTCTCATGCGATGAGCTGCTTGCCAGGCACAAGAGATGACATGCTTTCCCAATGGACACAGAGATGACTCACAATTTCCATTACTGACATAGCGGAACCCACAGGAAAAAAAAAAAAAAACAAAGAGCCCCACTCTTTGCTGACCTGCCCCATGGGCAATTCCAACTGTGTTTGCTTGGGAGAAATTCTGTTTGCTGACTGATATGTGGTAGTTATGGGACCATGTTTTCCTTTTGGTATTCTCATAGTTGATGATGCCTTCTTTTCTAAATCTCATACATTCTAATGTTAAAGTTTGGATTCTTGAGACTTCTTCAAATTAGGATCATTATTTTTTCTTTCAGGCTATCCTTGGTTTAAAGGATTATGTGATTATGAGAAGGAATATTTAAGATGAAATTTTTATCCTACCCTTTGATAGTCACATCACTTTATCCAGCCACCTTGCTCTAAGCAATGGTGATAGCAATGCAGACTACTTTTACCACAGCTGAGATAACTAGAGAGAGAAAATACACAGAAGCCAGCTTCAAAAGTAAAATATCAAAACCAAGACATAATATATGACAGCTTGATATACATAGAAAATAAATCTCAATTAGTTGATACCTCAAATTCCTTTTGAATTTTATTGTGAAAAATAATTGTTCTCAATAAGATTATTCCACATATCCTTCCTTGCACAGAACATATTTTGACAAATAATATTTAAACTTTCTTTAAATATTGTTAGGGTTGTTTGTCCCAAAAGCAGACCCTATGAGTAGGATTTGAGTGAGTAGTTTATTTGGGAGACGAACCCAAGAATCACTGGTGGGAGAATGGGAACTTAAGACAGGAAAAGAAAATAAGTCAGTATATGGTGTGCAAATGGGCAGGTATCCACTGTGAGCAATTGGGTTTTGATGTAAAGTTTAAAAGCACTAAAGGAATCATTGTAACAGTAGCAAATGCACAATGATTGAGGATAATTACTCAGTTTCCTTACTCTTCAGAATAACAATGATTCACTAAATTTATTGATTTAGAAACTTTAAGACAGGTGAATTATCCAATGATCACAGATGATAATTTGAAAGTTTTTGTATTTTAGAAGTATGTGTGTTTGATGGTGAAAGAAGATTATACAAATGCATTCTTTATTTTGTTTTCAAATAGTCTTTCTTGAGAAACGAATTTAGCAAAAACTGTGGGATTTCATGGTTCTGATAATTTTACTTTTGTTCTAAGAGCACTTTGAATGTGTTATTCTTGCTGCCATAAACTTTTATCCAGAAATTGCCACGTGTAAACTGTTTTTATATTTGTAATAAAATTGTGAATGACCCTTGTCCCCTATGTAATGTTTCACATGGGAAAGAATTTAACATATGGCCAGGACTACAATATATCTCTTTGGTACTTAACATATTTATTACTTTCTATAATTTTGTTTTGAGTACTGACTTCCAGAATATACAGTAAATTTTGTTAATCAATTACAGCAATAATTTTAATCCTAGTCATTGCATGTAAATTTCTTTCTTTCTTTCCTTTTTGCTTTAAATTCTTCATAAAAGGACATTTAAACATGCTACACATGCTACATGTACTTTAACACAATAATATTCCAAGGTTTAGATAGGCTATTTTATGGCATATACTAGAGAAGGGTGTCTCTAAACCATTCTTCTCTGTACCAGAAAAAAGACACTTTCTACAAGTGAGCTCTACTATGTCTCCTGTATCTGATTGTGGTGATTTCAGGAGTCTGGAAATTTTTCACTCAGCCAAAAACTAAAGGTTAAAGACAAAGATGGTAACCACAAGAAAGCAGGAACAAGCAGGGGATGACAACATTCACAGATCTGCTCTTCATGTAACCCACGAAAGATCTGTCCCATGAGTGAGCAAGCTACAGGCTTTCCCCCCAAAGAATATATAATTGAGAACAAAAATAATCAGCAAGACCTTCTCACAGCAATTTTAGGGAAAACTTTTTCAAAATTTTTGTGACTTTCATGTTGGGGAAATGAGTTTGTACACTCTTCCTGAGCAGCTGTGGCAAGATTTTTCAGGGATAAGACATAGACCCGAGAGAAGTTTTCCACACCACTCACCAAGCAATGGGTGAAGTTAAGTTTCGAGATCAGGGCAGTAATTTCCAAGAGAGACACAGAAATTAGTACAGTAGATAAGAGAGGGGAAACACTACATAGCTTATATGGGTCAAGAACACTGCTTGAGTTAGGCAGTCCAAAGGGAGAAACACAAGAAACCCTCCACTACTAAAGTTCTCCTAGGGCCCTCAATTACACTTACCCTCATAGAAGAGTTGTTTGCATGTTGAGTCTGCCTCTCTCCCTGGATCCTGAGCACCTACTGGGCAGGCACCACTTAGCTAAATAACACCCGTTATGCATATTGTCTTAAATATAGTAACACAGTCCCCTGAGTGTTTAACTCAATTATGCTGAAGCAAAGGTCAGGAAAATCAGCCTTCACAGATGTAAGATAAATATTGCCATTCAAATCACAGCTGTGTACATGACTTTAGTAAAACATGCTTACTTCTTCTAAAAGAAAGGATAAGAAAAGACTGTTAAGCTGTTACTATAATTATTTCACCAGGAAATTGATAACCCCAAAAAAGCCTGATTGTGACTATGCTGAGGAGTTCTGTGTGCCAAATTAAATAGCTTTTCAGTGAGATCACTACCACATGCAAAATGTGACTGTCAGCATATTTTATTTTTAGAAGTTTTAATTCCTTTAAAATGCCAACTACTATAAGGACTTA